>NC_000003.12:98705574-101205574 GCF_000001405.40 Homo sapiens | reverse complement strand
GGCCCAGTCTGCTTCTCCACATTCAAGGTCACTATCTGTCAGGTGAACGGCTGGCTGTGAAAATTCTTGACATCATTTCGGTGACTGTAAAGAGCATACCTCTCTGAAAGTCGTCTTTCAGAGAGTCGCCTTTCCTTTCAGATTCCTTTCCTTGCATATGTAAGCAGAACACTGTTATGACTTTGCTCAGTTGGAACAGGGATGGTGTTTCTTAATTGATCTTCAGATATCCTGCAGTTCCTCTGTTCTGATCACCCTGCTGAGAAAAGCACTTTACCAGGCTTTTTGGGTAACATTTATGTTAGGTCCTTCCCCTTTAATTTCTGTGAGGTGTAAAGTTTGTTCGGGCTTTTTCTCAGGTCATTACAAATGTCAAGATTGTTTAGCCAAGTGGCCATGACTGATGAACTCTGGATACAAGATAACCCCTTAACAATATTTTCTAAGAAAGTCTCAGTTTTGCAAAAATTACTGTGAGCAATCCAAACCTAAATTCACTGCACTGAGGAACAGGGGTAAAAACTGTTAAATCTACAAACAATTCACTGCATACATCACAATAATAAGTAATAAATAGTAACAAGAATCGCTAGGTACTAGGGTGGTTACCATTATATCTTACATTTCCTCACCCATTCTTTTGCTAATTATCAGGAAAGTATATAAAAGTCCTTTTGATCCTCACTGGTCAAAGGTAATGGACTGTATATAGATATATGAACTCCTGTGGGGGTAGACAATATACTAGTTAGGATGTAAATCACATAAAAAATGAAAACAAATGACAGAAAGAATTAAAAAGTTGTATGGATGAATGCTGCATAGGGAAATATTTTTTTTCCTACCAAAAACCTCATACATGCTAATAGAAAGAGAACGGGCTTTAAGAATATCAGAAAGAAATAACCAATTATTACTGAAGAAGCTGGTCCTGATGGAAAACATGTACTTTCTTGTTTTTGCAGTTTGGGTAGGTTCTGTGTTCTCAGTGCTGCACACACTGTTGGAAACAGAAGGGAAATTGTTGTGAAGTTTGTAAAAGTCAGGTTTAGTCATGCCCAGGTCTGGGGACTTGAGTGCTCCCTGAGCCTCACATCTTTGGAATATGTGAGAGAACAAAAGAGGTTTTGCCAAGATTGGCTTTCCTTTCAGATTTTCCCTTCACTACATTCCAGAACAGGGGAGCACATGGTGTTGGAACAGACCCACTGTCAGTTTGTTTAGAATCACATGGCAAAACGCTGTGGGTTACCAGGGCAGGCAGTTCATTTGCTACTTCTGTTCATCTCCCATCCTGAGTTTTTAGGTAGTTTGGCGAGTTTTGGTTCTTTAAGAACAGGTTTAATTCAATGTATAAAGTATTAAAACATTTTTCCTCCACTGAATGACAGTTAAACCACTTTCTCTGAGTACATAAGCTCCTCCATGGTTATAATTTAGGCAAGTTTGGAAGCTGTCATGGCATTAGGATACTTCTTAGTTACTCATCAAGTATTTATTGAGTGGCTGAAGGAACAATAATATTTTGGTAAGTACTTGAGCAAGCATTAAAGATCAATAAATCTGGGATCTGAAAGATGCCTCAGTTTTATCCAGAGAAGAAGTTAGACACTACAAGAATCAGAGTTAGTAATCATGCAAGCATAGTTTCCTGATAGATGACCAGGTGTCTTTTTAATTTTGAATATTATAGCTGGAGTGCAATTTTAAGCCTCTTACCACTTTTAGGAACTTCTAGTACAGAAAAAGGAAGATGTCCATAAGGATCTCCATGAGTGTGGACTGAACCACTTCATCAGCTGGAGAACAGGACAGCAGAGAGTATGTGCATCAACTGAAAGAGCCACAGCCTGCGGCCAGGAGGAGACTTCACATGTTGGGGATCAGGAATCGGTCCAAATGTCATAAATTCACAATGTACTTAACGCTGTGCAGTTAGAATGCTTATTCACCTAGAAAAGTCATGCCCGCCAAGTCATATTTCTAGCATAACCACAAGAATTCGAAAGCTTCCTGGATTGAATATTAGCTGGGCCCTTTCCTGGAGGAATTGTCACACAGATAGAGAAGCAGCCAGGAGTCCACATTAGCCCTGAGCCCTGAGCATCTTCTTTCTTCAACAAGTGTTTATTGAATCTTGCTGTATGCCAGGCACTGGGCAAGATGCACAGGGGACAAAGATGGATGAAGCATAGTCTGACCTTGAGGAGCTCACCAACTAGGTGGGAGACAGACATGTTCATAACTACTGATGAGAAAGTGTGATAAATTCTGTAATACTGGTTGAACAAAGTGCTGTGAGCACAGGGGAGGGAGAGTGAAGCACTAGTTAACAACAGTGAAGAATTTTTGAGTTGAGAGGGTTTTTACAGGTTACCTAGTTCTTCTACCCAATGCAGGGATACTTACCACAGCATCCCTGGCTGATGGTCATTTAGTCTTTGCTAAATTTCCTTCTAGAAGTGGCTCAATGCATTTTCAGGCGTCTCTATTAAATTAACTGATGCAAACGGTTATCTGAACATTTGTCAGGCATTGTTCTGAGTCTGCCACATCTATCATCTCATTTAGTCCTTACCTAAGGATGGGTACTTCTAATATTGCTTTTTTCCTAATGAACAACTAGTTTGCCAAGTTTACATATCCAACAATGGCTGGAACCAAGTCTTAATTCCACAGTCTGACTTCAAAGCTGTGCTCTTAACCTTCCTGATACACTCATGTGTTTCTATTCTGCCATTTGCTGAGAAAAAGAGGAAGTTAAATTTCTCTCTTTTTTGACAGCTCTTCAAATATTTCCAGAGATCATTCGTGTGTCTGTGTCACCCTTACCTGTGACATCCAACTCTTCCCTAGTCATTCACTCTAAGTTCTTTCAAATGTTCCCCAAAAGACATGTTTTTCAGACCCTTTACCATCCTAGCCATCTCTGAAGCCTCCCGTTTGTTGATGAGTCTCTTAGATGTCTACAGAATCAATACAGCATTTCAGAAGTGGTCTGTCTACCACTGAATAAAATGGATGTCGCATCTCTTTACCTGGAAAGTATTCATTTTTAGTGGCAGCCACATCACATTCTTGACTTTCAATTTGCTGTCAAGAAAGCTCATAGGTCTATTTTCCCCGCTAATTTTTTTGCCCTTAACTAAATTTATACATTATTTGCAGGATTTTTGGGAACATGCTCAATTCACCTTATTCTGAAAGGCATGTTCCTAATACCATTTTAGAAAGATTGCTTAAGCCTTAATTAGAGATTCCTTTGGTGATATTAGTCATATTAATATTCATTTGGGACCTGTGTAAATATTTTAGTGATAGTTAAGATTTAAAAACTTGAATATCCAGTCTTATAAAAGTTACAAGTCCTATCCTAACTACCACTGCAAAAACTTACATAATTTAGAAGATCATTAGATTTTCAAGGTGAACCAGATTTTAAATATAAATCCTAGGTATTTGATAGTATTGCAAAATTATTCTTGTAAAGTTACTTGAAGCATTGGTACTGATTAAGTTATTAAAAAGAAAAAATGAAGATACTTGAAGCTAAGTATACTTAAGCATAAAATATATATTACGGAAACAAAAAGAGCCACTGAATGATGAAAGGATAATTATTTTACTTTATTATTTTCATGTCAGGTGGGTAATGTGCTGACATTGTAACAAGGTTTGAGGGAAGTACATTTCACACATGCATATAAAAACCCAACCATTATGCTTATAAACCACAAAAGAATTGAGAATTGTTTTTTACACTGATTGAAGTTTGAGGAATACGGTTTGTTTTTCTAGGGCTTTCCCTGCTGGAAATGATCACCCTGCATAATGGCTATATTTTAAGTCAAATGTTATGCTCCACATTAGCAAGTTATTCATTTAATCAGGCATGGAAAACCCATCTTTCTGGGCCATATTTTTATGCTCAGGTTTAATAGTTTGCAGAATGACCTCAATAAGTTGTTTAAATCTGTATTTGGAAAGGAGTCCTCAATCAGAATTCTCAAAGAACAGCTCTTGCTCAGGTTTCTCTCTGCACTTCTTCGTTATAATTATCTGTATGTAGATCTGTCGTTCTCCAATTGTGTCCCTGGACCAGTAGCATCAGCATTGTCTGGGTCCATTCCCGAAGTGCACATCTCAGATGTCCCCCAGACCTGCTGCATCAGAAGCTAGGGGGATGGGGTCAAACACTGTGTATTTTAATATGTTTTCCATGTAATTCTGATGCTTGCTAAGTGTGAGAACCAAAGAGCTACATTGTATCAAACTTTTAAAAATTATTCAATTATGTTGGGCCAAATTCTGGTAGAACAGTATGAGGAGAAGTCTCTACTTCTACTGTGATTACAGGTGGTCAGAGAACTTGGTCATGTGCCTGGCAGAGAAACCTCACTGCTGTGTTTCCCCACTCATATAAAAGAATGAATTGTTTGCTCTTTCTTTAGGAAATCAAACTAGGTATCCTGGAGTGCCTGGCCCTAAAACTGATAGAACAGCGCTTATCTCAGCAGTCCAATCAAATTCTGCACCCTAATATAGAAAGAAATACCCTTAAGAAAAGATTCTTAAAGATAAGAAGATTCTCACTCTTTGAAAGTCTGCATGAAATAACTTAGCAACATAAATTTTAGCCAGAAGGAGCTTAGATAATTTCTTTAGTTTTATTGCTGTCAAAAGGAATATTCTGCTCAAATAGATAAGACTTTTTTTCTGATCTTAAAAGCCTCTAAAGACGGTCGCAATCACTTGTAATCACTTTGTTACTAAACTTAAAGTTTAATAGCTGTAAATGTCAGAAAATGCATTTTTTACATTTCCTATGTTATTTGCTGTGTTAAGGTCACATGGCAATTCAAGTATTGCCTAAAACCGTTTTTCATAGTTGACAGTTTGGACACTTCAGTTGCCAAATTCTGTTGTGCTTTGAAGCAGATGATAACCCTCTAGGGCTTGTGAAAACACAGCTTTGGAGAAGATAACCCTCTAGGGCTTGTGAAGGGGGGACAAATCTGACTCTGCCCAAATCAATACAGACTCTTCTCACCCCAACCCAAATCTCTTTAGTCTGAATACTGGAGGAGGGAAAATCCTTAGAGTTGAGCCATTAGCCTGTGTGTGTGTGTGTGTTTGTGTTCGTGTGTGTGGTGGGGGATATGTGTAAGGGGGGGTGCTTTCTCTCTAAAGCTAATGGGAGATACAGGGCATGCACACATTCATACATTCATGACATGGAGTAAAATAAGTAAAGTGAAATTATTTTATGTTTTACCTACTGTCTCAAGCCTGTTCAACAAACCAGTTAAAAAGACTCAAACTTTTAAAGTGCAGGTACAACGTCAAATGATACTCAAATGGATTTTTAAGAATAGAATTATCACTGTATTACTTAAGGATTACACTTGTCTTAAATATCATAGGCACTTTCAACTCAATAATTATTCCTTGTGATTTATATGTGTAAGCTATGGCAAATGGTAAAATAATAGTACACTTTTATAATGATTGGTTAAGATTTATTGTTTTGTTATCAGGGAGTTTCTGAGAACATTTTCTTCCTTTCCTATTTTTAGCTGTGATGATACTTCAGATATTATAAAATGTAGAGTTCACTTACTGGGGTAGGGTTGAATCAAGCTGATCATTCTCACTCTGGAGAGCTCTGTTAGAAAATCATTCCTTTTGGATGTGAAGGACCTCTTCAAGGAGAACTACAAACTGCTGCTCAATGAAATAAAAGAGGACACAAACAAATGGAAGAACATTCCATGCTCATGGGTAGGAAGAATCAATATCATGAAAATGGCCATACTGCCCAAGGTAATTTATAGATTCAATGCCATCCCCATCAAGCTACCAATGACTTTCTTCACAGAACTGGAAAAAACTACTTTAAAGTTCATATGGAAACAAAAAAGAGCCTGCATCACCAAGTCAATCCTAAGCCAAAAGAGCAAAGCTGCAGGCATCATGCTACCTGACTTGAAACTATACTATAAGGCTACAGTAACCAAAACAGCATGGTACTGGTACCAAAACAGAGATATAGATCAATGGAACAGAACAGAGCCCTCAGAAATAACGCCGCATATCTACAACTATCTGATCTTTGACAAACCTGAGAAAAACAAGCAATGGGGAAAGGATTCCCTATTTAATCAATGGTGCTGGGAAAACTGGCTAGCCATATGTAGAAAGCTGAAACTGGATCCCTTCCTTACACCTTATACACAAATTAATTCAAGATGGATTAAAGACTTAAACGTTAGACCTAAAACCATAAAAACCCTAGAAGAAAACCTAGCAATACCATTCAGGACATAGGCATGGGCAAGAACTTCATGTCTAAAACACCAAAAGCAATGGCAACAAAAGCCAAAATTGACAAATGGGATCTAATTAAACTAAAGAGCTTCTGCACAGCAAAAGAAACTACCATCAGAGTGAACAGGCAACCTACAAAATGGGAGAAAATTTTCGCAACCTACTCATCTGACAAAGGGCTAATATCCAGAATCTACAATGAACTCAAACAAATTTACAAGAAAAAAACAACCCCATCAAAAAGTGGGCAAAGGATATGAACAGACACTTCTCAAAAGACATTTATGCAGCCAAAAGACACATGAAAAAATGCTCATCATCACTGGCCATCAGAGAAATGCAAATCAAAACCGCAATGAGACACCATCTCACACCAGTTAGAATGGCAATCATTTAAAAGTCAGGAAACAACAGGTGCTGGAGAGGATGTGGAGAAATAGGAACACTTTTACACTGTTGGTGGGACTGTAAACTAGTTCAACCATTGTGGAAGTCAGTGTGGCGATTCCTCAGGGATCTAGAACTAGAAATATCATTTGACCCAGCCATCCCATTACTGGGTATATACCCAAAGGACTATAAATCATGCTGCTATAAAGACACATGCACACGTATGTTTATTGTGGCACTATTCACAATAGCAAAGACTTGGAACCAACCCAAATGTCCAACAATGATAGACTGGATTAAGAAAATGTGGCACATATACACCATGGAATACTACGCAGCCATAAAAAATGATGAGTTCATGTCCTTTGTAGGGACATGGATGAAATTGGAAATCATCATTCTCAGTAAACTATCGCAAGGACAAAAAACCAAACACCACATGTTCTCACTCATAGATGGGAATTGAACAATGAGAACACATGGACACAGGAAGGGGAACATCACACTCTGGGGACTGTTGTGGGGTGGGGGGAGGGGGGAGGGGTGGGGGGAGGGGGGAGATTAGGTATATCTCCTAATGCTAAATGACGAGTTAGTGGGTGCAGCACACCAGCATGGCACATGTATACATATGTAACTAACCTGCACATTGTGCACATGTACCCTAAAACTTAAAGTATAATTAAAAAAAAAAAAAAAACCATTCCTTTCACTGAGCTGAGGCAGCTCTCCTTGTACACTGTTTCCAGGACAATAAGAGACTGTCATTATGAGAGGCTCATGATGAGTCTATGACTCTCTGTAGAGATAAGGAAAAGAAGAAAATATTTTTTCCATTTCACAGCCAAGAACAGACACAGACACAAGCACCATAACAGAGGGGACAGGATTCAAATTATTGAGTAGGGATTTTGATTTTCATACTCAAAGCAGACCAGAGTTTCCATATTAGTGTCTCCTAAAGACATTTTATTTGTTTTGCTGAATTGAAAGAAAGACAAAATGTGTTCTCTCGACCCATGCCACCCAGTAGAAATATAATGTGAGCCATATACATACTTTTAAATGTTCTAGTACCACATTAAAAAGGTAAACGGAAAAAAGTGAAATTAATTTTAATAAAATATTTGTCTTAGTGGATACAAGCTATTATGATTTCACAATGTAATCATTATAAGGAATTAATGATATTCTACATCTTTTTTTGTATTAAGGTTTCAAAAATCACAACACACCTCGGTTTGGACTAGCCACATATCAAGTGCTCAATAGTCACAGGTGGATAGTGACGACCTATTGAACAGCACAACTCTGGAATCTCCTTTTCCAACACTTCCCTACTGCTTCAACTTCCCTTCCCCATCCAAAATACAAAGTGTCTTTGCAGACATTGAGTTCCTGTCTCCGGAAGTGTCTGAGCAGAGGGTGGGTGACTACCATTTGGTGGTAATATTGTGGAACTCTGAATAAAGAGCGTCAGTGGAAGTTTGGACAACGAAAGTGTTAAAATCCTTTCTAATCCCTAAGTTTTGTGATGCTGTGATACTGAGAAAGGAGACATGAAATTGTGGGTTTGGAAAGAACTTCTTTCCGTATTAGATGTGCTATTTCCTGCCATTATCTCTTGATTTGTAATTCACTCCTTTGCTACTTCTAGTATGAATGCAATGATTACTTATAGGGTGCTATATAGCCTATAAACCACTCTCATAAACACTAGTGTTTCATTCAATTATTTCCTCACTCACTTAGTAAAAGCATATTAGTCCCTGCAATGTATTAGTCTCTGTTCCAGGAGCTGGAATGTATTAACCACAGCGGGTAAGATAGGCACAGCCCCTGGGCCCATAAAAGATTCAAGCTCATTTGTTCCTACTCTTCCTTACCTCCGGTTTTTGGAACCTCTCCACCCAAGTTTGGCTTGAGCCACCAGGAGCCATACACTGACTGATATGAAAATAGTGGTCTGACTAGTCTCCTGGTGTAGAATGTCAACCCATCCCTGAAGCGCAGTTTTCAGTGACAAGAAAACTGAAGATGGGGTTCTCAGCTTCTCTGGTGTGATTAAGGCACTAGAAAAAAAAACCAGCACTGAGGAGAAGTAAAATCTGCTGATGTTCAGCTACATGCACGAGTTGAAATTGTCATTTGCATTAAAATTCCCTTTGCTGTCAGCTGCCACATGGATGCTTAATCTCCTTTGACTCTCTGCTACACCTTTTTGTGCGTTATCTGAAAGTTCTGGAAGAATTAAAGCTTCTTCTGAGCAGTGTTTATTAGTTATGATGCTCCTGCTTTAGAGAAAGAAAAATAATGGAAACTTCAGTTGTCAGAAAAACTGATGTTTGGGCCTGATAGAAAAAAAAAACGAGGATTTATGATGAAGGAAAATCATTCATAGAAATATTTCAAGGATTCAATTATGATTTTGTTTAGTAAGTTTGAAAATACTCTATCTCACTCATTTAGTTCTTTAGTGTCCAAAACATTTTGGGAACTCAGTTGCTGAATTCTACAGTATTCAACTTCTCTCGAATGTCTTCTACCACCAGAGAGCAGCAGAGATTTATAGGTAGTTAATGAGTCCCCTAGATACCAATAAACAAGGAAGCTTGGCCACTTGATTTGATCTCATTAAGTAAATAGCTAGTAAGTAGAAGAGGCAGCTGATTAACTACCAGAATGTTCACCCGTTAGCCTGTATCCCTACCCTTTCACCCTTTCTCTCTCTGGGATGTGCGTATATGTGATTTTAATGATTTACGACATGGGTTGGGAAGGGTTTTCTAACTTTTCTAGGAGCTTTGGGGATGGGTCAAAATGTACCTTGTTCTTCCACACTCACTCATGCCATAGCCTGAGTAATACAGGAAGGAAGTGAATCAAAAGTCTGAGAAAGTACAGTTCTTTTTCTCTAGACCAGGCATCATCAAACTGCTGCCCACAGGCCAAATCTAGTTTGCCACCTGTTTTTACAAATTAAGTTTTATTTCAACACAACCACACCGATTTGCTTATGTTTTGCCTATGGCTGCTCTTATGCTACAATGGCAGAATTAAGTAGTTGAGACCATATGCAACCATATGGCTTGAAAAGCCTAAATTATGTATTGTCTTGTCCTTCACAGGAAAAGTTTGCTAACCCCTGCTCGATGCTGTATCAGTATTTAAATTATGGAATATATAGGAAAGCAGAAAGAGTCTCGGACTGGGAGGACTTTAACAACTATAGTACCAGTCCTGGTCCTGCGGGTTGGTAGTAATGTGTCCTTGGGCAAGTTCTTTAATGTTTTGAGCCCTAGGTGGCCTCATCTGTAAATGGGGGCTGGGGACTCAGGGTGTAGTTTGAACTTGGTAGTATCCAAGATCCTTTCCAGATTGAAAGTTCTATGAGGATTTTTAAAATTACTCTTGCTTTTTTATAGTTTTAAATTACTCTTGGCGTTTTTATAGTTTATGTGGAATTGCAATCCCCAGTGTTGGATGTGGGGCCTGGTGGGAGGGGATTGGCTCATGGGAGTGGTTTCTGATGGTTTAGCAGCATCTCCTTAGTGCCGTCTCGTGATAGAGTTCTCATGAGATCTGGTTGTTTGATGTACTATCTCCCGCTTCACTCTCTTTCTTCTGCTCTGACCGTGCAAGATGTGTTGCCTTCCTCTTCGCTTTTCTGCCACGATTGTAAGTTTCCTGAGGCCTCCCCAGCCATGCTTCCTGTACAGCCTGCAGAACTGTGAGTCAATTAAACCTCTTTTCTTTATAAATTACCCAGTCTCGGGTAGTTCCTTATAGGTGTGAGAATAGACTGATACAGCATCTGACAAAGCATCTATAAGGAACTTAGACAAATTTACAAGAAAAAAAAAGCACCATAAAAAGTAGGCAAAGGACATGAAAAGACACTTTTCAAAAGAAGATATACATGCGGCAAATAATCATGTAAAAAAAGCTCAACATCACTGATCATTAAAGAAATGCAAATCAAAACCTCAATGAGATACCATCTCACACCGGTCAGATGGCTATTATTAAAAAGTCAAAAGATAACAGATGCTGGTGAGATTGTTGAGAAAAAGCAATGCTTATACACTGTTGGTGAGAGTATAAATTAGTCCAACCATTGCGGAAGACAGTATGGCAATTCCTCAAAGACCTGAAGACAGAAATACCATTCGACCCAGCAATCTCATTACTGGATATATACCCAAAGGAATATAAATTATTCTATTATGAAGACACATACACAAGTATGTTCATTGCAGTACCATTCATCATAGCAAATACATGGAATCAACCTCAATGCCCATCTGTGATAACTGGATAAAGAAAATGTGGTTTTATACTACATGTTCTCACTTATAAATAGGAGCTAAATAATGAGAACACATGGACACACAGAGCAGAACAAAACACCATGGGCCCTTTCGGAGGGTGGAGGGTGGAAGGAGTGAGAGGATCAGGAAAAATCACTAATGGGTACTAGGCTTAATACCTGGGTAATGAAATAATCTGTACAACAACCCCACTTGACACAAATTTACCTATGGAAGAAACCTGCCCATGCACCCATGAACCTAAAATAAAAGTTAAAAAAATTATACACATTTCAGAAGGGTACTCATCAAATAGTGAAGATTAATATCACATTCCTCAGGAGATGACACACAACTGGAGGTATTCGTGTTACATCATGTGGCAGATACAGTGCAGTCCTATCCCCAGAGAACTGACTTTTATGGAATTTGGCCTCAGTATAGAATATATTGCTGACATATGCTATATGTTATTTCATGCTTGTTATTATATGTAACGCAATGCATTGTTGCAATTAAGCCTACAAGTTGATGCCTATGAGGATTTGAGACAAAGTAAAACTTTTACCTCTAAGTACTTAGACGTAAAACGTGTCACTGATGTTAGGAAAGATGACAGGACAAAGGCCCTGGGGTCTTGGGCTGTGGAAAAAGTGGAGCCTGTAGCTTTTCAAAAAGTAACTACCTTCACGATCATTTATATAGGACCATATTTAATGAGCTCCTTATGGTGAATGATGATTATGTCCTCTGTTTTCTCTATAAAAGTAAGAAGTGGGGTAATTTTCAAATGTTTTCAACTTGCATATTTATTATTCAAACTAAAATATTCCTCTTTTTCTTTTTGCCTAGAGTATTCTAGCCATTCTTTCTCTTTGAGCTCCCAGCCCGTTGTTCATAGTCTCACATGTAGCAAGGATGTATGGAGGATAACATAAGCTTTCTGAGTTTACAGATTTTATCATTAGGTAGAACAAAATCCAATGCCTTGGTGCTGTTTCTCTCTCAGTGTACTTGTGCCCCAAGGGGAACATCAAGCCTCAGGATAAACATGTCTTCTTTTGTGGGAGTATCAACTTTACCGCAGTGTATGAGATGTAATATAATTTTTATATTAAAACACACCCAGATTTATTATAGAATAGAATATGAAATCTGAATTATTTTTAAACACAGAACACTACTGTGCATGACTTTTTTTTTTGCAAGATGTGAGCAATATAATGTAATATTTAAAGTACAATCTCTGGACTCAGGTGAACCACAAAAACTTCACTTGGCTTTGGACAAATTTTTAAATCCTTTTATCCCTCAGTTTCTTTTTCTATAAAGTGGAGCTGATGTTAATATGTAACTTATAGAGTTGATGTGAGCATTAAAGGTACTTAATGTTTACTATGTTTAGCACATAGTAAACACACAAATGATGCTGCTGGTAGCAATATGCTCAGAACCTTGAAGGTAAAAATGGATGCTCCTGGGTCACTAGGGGTGGAGATGCTTGCACAGCACTGCTCTGGAGAAATTAAGTCCTACTTCTGCCCTCTCCTTTCTGGGTCAGGGTATTCAGAACATGCTGAGGAACTGGCCCAAAGCACAACTGTGATGGAGCAATTGTTACGCTTGACCTCAGAGCCAGTGGTGCTTGATGGATGGTGTATAGTCTTTGGATCACTAGGAGTGAAACATCACCAGGAGAGAAACAGATGGGAAGGCTGGATTGGCCAGTGAGTGGGCAAGGATGAAGAACCACGGATTTTAACTGAAGGATTTGCAAGTGACCCAGCTTCCCCAAGAGCAGTGTCAGGGCCCGAGGTTAAATATTAGATCAGAATGAGAACTAGAAGGTACTAATGCTATCATCCTCTCCAGTGGCCAAGACTGACCCTACTAATGCATTACCACACGTTTTCAAGCAGAGCGCAGGTAAGGCTTCAGAATCTTCCTAAATTTGTTGATCCAGGCAGACACTACTAAATGATTATCACTTGAGAAGATTTTTTTTCTGGGTAGCTCTTGAGAGATTCCAGGAGCTTTGGACACTATTATATATATGTAAGAAAAGCCAGCAACAGAAGTGGCTTCAAAGACTCGCCTGCTTGGAGAAACCTTCTGTGATTCATGATATTTTAGTTTCTATTTCCTACAAACAACTGTTTTAATCCAGCTTTCAGGATGAAAAACAGTAAGATAAAACTAATGACAGAAGCTTGAATAACATATACCAAAATCCTAACTTTCCTGATATATTTTAAGAAGAGTTTGTTAATCAAAATGAGTGGGTGTCATGTTGGAATTTTATCATAAGGGGTTTTGCATAAACTCCTGCCTGATTCTGCCTAGACTAGTTGGTGTTTTCCATTCTCAGATGGGAGGCATATGTGTAGGTTATACCAATGCACAGGCTATACTAATGCACAGGCACTCAGGCCAGTGCCGACCGAGGCTCAAGGGAGGGAAGTTAGGTTACAAGGAAGAAGGGTAAAGACTATGTGTTGTGGTCAGTGGACGAAGCACAAACATGAAGTTGTTTTACTTTTTGCCAGTCATTACCACTAGCTTCATTAAGTTGGATCTCCCTTCTCCACTATGTAGCAAAGAATTTGACTTTCTGGAGGCTAAGGCTGAGGATTGCTTGAGTTCAGGAGTTTGAGGTTACAGCGAGTTATGAGCTGTCACTGCCACTTCAGCCTGCGTGACGGAGCAAGATTCAGTCTCAATAGTAATAATAATGATAATAATAATGTAATAAAACTAACCTAAAGAGAGATCTGGTCTTTGCACTGATTCCTGGGAGGAATTCTCTGAGTCCCTGAAATGTCCTGCTGCTAAAAATGTCTTTGTTTACCTGGGGGCCTTGGTCCACACTGGATAGTCTAACAGTGTGATTAAGGTGGGGGCTTTTGGTCATGTGTTACTGGTTATGTGAGCAGTTATCTTGTATACATTAGAGCCTCAATAAAGACTCTGGACACGGAGGCTGGGGTGAGCTTCCATGGTTGGCAGTACTCAGTGTGCATCGTCCCATTTTGTTGCTGGGCAAGTTAATGCTGTCTGCGACTGCACTGGGAGAGGACAGCTGGAAGCTGCATGAGTGGAACTTTCCTGGACTCTGTCCCATGCCTCTCTTCTCTTGGCTGATTTTAATCTGTATCATGTCACTGTAATAAACCATAATCATGTGTATGACAGATTTCAGTGGGTTCTGTGAGTCCTAGCAAGTTACCAAATCTGAGGGTGGTCTTGGGAACCCTTGAACTTACAATTGGTGCCAGAAATGAGGGTGATCTTGGGGACTGTTCCTTAATTTTCCACCCACTTAAAGCAGATTCCTTATGATATCATGGATGGATTCAGTAGCTTTCCAGATCCTTTGGTTAGTGAGGATCTATTGAATTTAAAGTTCCAATTTTAAAGTTTCAGTCGTTTTCATTACCAACCAGATTTGTAGCTAGAGGGACTTGATGTGGGAGGGGTAGGTCTTGGTTTTCTCTTTCAGTCTTGTGCCCCCCTCACTGTGGGAGTATGTGATCTTCCTCTGGAATTCTCCCTCTTCTTCTAAGTCTCTAGCTTCTCATTTGGTTTGAGCCTTGATAAGAGAGAGGAAAAGAGACAAATGTTGCACTTTATTGGTTGTCCTTGCTTTTTTAGCTAACCCTGAACAGCTAACTGATGCCGTCTGTGTGGTAAGTGTCAAAAGTGCTGGTGCTCTCATGGGACATGTGATGGGCTCTCCCAGGGTTTGAAGGGTCCTGACTGTACCTCTTTACCTCCTCCAAACCTCATCTCAGCTGCCTTAGTGCTGGGACCTCCTCTCCCTGGGAAGAGGGCATTGAAAAGATTATTCAGATTGCATTTTTCAGGGTCACTTGACACCATTATTAGGGTTACTGTGGCTGAGCTCATCCTTGTTACCTCTTTAGTTCTGTTCCCTGCTCTGGTGGCCAAAGGGTAGACTAGTGGTACTTGGTCTCAGGTCGGCTTCACAGTCTTAAAAATTATTGAAGGCTTTGAAGAGCTTTTGTTTATGTGAGTTATAGCTATCAATATTTACCATATTAGAAATTAAAACTGAGAAATTACAAAAACTTTATTTACTCCTTTAAAATAATAATAAACACATTATGTGTTAACATAATTAATTTCTTAAATAAAAAATAACTAGATTTCCTCAAAGAAAGTGAGAGAGAAGAGTGGCATTGTTTTTCATTTTTGCAAATATCTTTAATGTTTGACTTACAAAATGATAGCTGGATTCTTACTTTATTCTGCATTCAATTTGTTATGATTTTAAAAATTAAGGTATCCAGACTAAATCTGGCCTGATACAGATAGACAGTTGGAAAAGGAATTGTATTTTTATAGCCTTTTCAGATAATTGTGAGTAGTCTTTTGAAATACTACATCAAAATTTAACAAGTGGTAGTTTCTTTAAGGTTGATTGCGATGTGGAGTCTAAAACCATATCATGAACTTTGCATACTCTATTACATTTTAACCCATTGGTCCGTCTTCCATGCTGAGTAATCTCTTACCCATGCATGATTTTGTAACATCATGCAGTGGTCATTTGAAAAATATTGGTTTACTTAGCTACTCAGATCCTCCAAATGTGGACACATTTCATTATTTAATGTCTAAAAGAAATCACACTACTAATCTCATTAGAAGTCTAAGCATTGGGAGGCTGTCAAGCTCACTGTGGTGGACACAAGTTTTCTAATATTCTAATTTTAGTTTGAAAATTTGAGTTTTATCTTTGGTAACAAATACTGTAAGTGGTTTTACTGGCCAGGTGTGGAGTCTCATGCCTGTAATCCCAGCACTTTGGGAGGCTAAGGCAAGCAGATCTGTTGAGTCTAAGAGTTCAAGATAAGCCTGGGCTACATGAAGAAACCCCATCTCTGAAAAAAAAAAATTAGCCAGGCATGATGGCACATGCCTGTAGTCCCAGCTACTTGGGAGGCTGAGGAAGGAGGATCATTTGAACCCAGGTGGTGGAGATTGTAGTGAGCTGAGATCAGACCACTGCACTCCAGCTTGGGTGACAGAGTGAGACCCTGTATCAAAAAAAAAAAAAAAAAAAAAAAAAAAGGTGGTTTTCCTAAAAGTTACAGGTTTACTTTGTTTATTTTGAGAAAATGCCAAATACCCGGAACTGAATAACCAGTTTGTCTGTTATTCATTCTTTCATGTGAAAGTGGTGATCGTGGTAAGCAGAGTAATGACTGTTTTAATCTAGAACCTGTTAATATGTTCACTTACATGGCAAAAGGGGCATTGAAGATGTAATTTGGTTAACAATCTTAAGATAGGAAGATTATCTTGAATCACCTGGTTTAGCCCACTGCAGTCAACAGGGTCCTTATGAGTCAAAGAGAACAGTAGGAGATTTAAAGACGCTATGAGTCTGGCTTTGAAGATAAAGGAAGTTGAAGATAAAGGAAGGGGCCATGCACCAAGGAATGTAGGTGGCCTTTAGAAGATGAAAAATGCAGGAAAATTGATTCCCCCCCGAATCTCTAGAAGGAACACAGTCCTGCTGACACCTTGATTTTAGCCCAGTGAGACCCATGTTGGATTTCTTACCTCCAGAAGTGTAAGATAATACATTTGTTTTGTTTTAAGCCACCAACTTGGTGGCAGTTTGTTACAGTCGCAATAGAAAATGAATATAGTGTTCCATGAAACAAAGCAACTACTTCAACTCACAACTCAATCACACAAGTGCTTTTCTTGAAGACAACATAGTATTTCAATAAGCAGCACAAGTGCTTTGTGTGCATTTTCTCACTGAATATTAAAATTTAAGTCAAGTGATGAGATTCCACATGATTAATAATTTTGGTATCAAGATGATAATGATCTCATAGAATGAGTTAGGGAGGGCTACCTCCTCAATTTTTTGGAATAATTTCAGTAAGACTGGTACCAGCTCTTCTTTGTACAACTTGTAGAATTCAGCTACGAATCTGCCTTGACCAGGGCTTTTTGGGTTGGCAACTTTTTTATTACTGATTTAATTTTGTAACTTGTTATTGGTCTGGTCAGGGTTTCAATATCTTCCTGGTTCAGTCTTGGGAGGTTGTGTGTTTCCAGGAATTTTTCATTTCCTCAAGGTTTTCTAGTTTGTGCTCATAGAGGTGTTCATACCAGTCTCTGAGGATCTTTTGTATTTCTGTGGAATCCTAAGTGGTTCTGATGCACATTCAAGTTTGAGAAGCATTGCCTTAAGCTCTTTGTGACTCAAGTTCTTTTCTTTTTTCTCGACACTTATGTTTAATGGTTTATTATAAAGGATACAGATGAAGAGATGTGTAGAGTGAGGTATGAGAGAAGGGGCGAGGAGCTCCCATGCCTTCCCTGGGCATGGCACCCTCCAAGAACTTCTGTATGTTTATCTATCTGGAAGCTCTTAGAATCCAGTTCTCCTGGGTTTTTATGGATGCTTCATGACATCAGCATTTCTTCTCCCTAGAGAATTCCTAGAAGAATTCTCCTTCTCTCCTCTCTGGGGAGGATCTTAAGACTCACAGTCAGGGCTGGGCGTGGTGGCTCATGCCTGTAATTCCAGCACTTTGGGAGGCTAAGGTGGGCGGATCACCTGAGGTCAGGAGTTTGAGATCACCCTGGCCAAGATGGCAAAACCCTGTCTCCACAAAGAATACAAAAATTAGTCGGGCATGGTAGCGGGCACCTGTAATCCCAGCTACTCGGGAGACTGAGGCAGGAGAATCGCTTGAACCTGGGAGGGAGAGGTTGCAGTGAGCTGAGACAGTGCCATTACACCCCAGCCTGGATGACAAAAAAAAAAAAAAAAAAAAAAAGAGAAACAGACAAACAAAACCTCACAATCAGAAAGAATGGAAAGAGTAGAGTCCTGCCTTGAGGCAAGTGAAAAGAGGGCAGGAGAAGGCCGGAGGTCTGCCCCTGAGGCCTAACACACCCAACATTATAACAAAAAACTGTAACAAGGCCAGGAACCATGGGCGAATACCAATATATATTATGACACCACAGGCCACTCCCTGTTTTCCAACCATGAATCCCTTATAGCAAAACAAAGATACACAATCATTAATAAGTGGTCCAGTCCATCATATTGTATGAATGTCTCCCAGGCTGAGGCCACTTAGATTTTCAGGCTTCCTTTTATCCTTGTCAGGTTCCAAAAGCAAGAGTGGTATTGGCAAATACATAGCTTCTCCCTTTCAGGCAGCTGGAATAACCGAGCTACGAGGCAATGTCATCTCTTGTTCCGAGACTCTTTAGAGTTGTTAATGTAATATTGGATTTCCCTCCATTTATCACTGTTTATTCATTTCTTTACCCTCAGCTATTATTCCTCCTGTTCCCCATTTATTATTTATTTTGACCCAAACTCTGACACTTTTGGAAAGGACATTAGGTTTGGCCACTGTGCTGATGTAGATTGCCTGCGGCAATACTAGTCTAGCGAGTGCCTCTCCCTTAGTTCACCCGCATTCATATCGAGAAGGATTACATAGGTTCCAAACTAATGTGCCATTTTTACCACCAGGCAATATAGCTGCATTTATTCTTAACCCCAATTTTGCCAGGTGGGGTGAAGGCACAATCCACCCCCATCAGGCCCCTTAGGAATTCTGACACACTTTAAAAACACAGTGAAGATTTCTTGCTTAGGAATCATCCCTGCTTCCAGCACTTGTAGTTGCAGCCCTTGGTCCTAGGACCACTGCATCAGGTAGGAGAGAGAAAAAAAATTTCTTACGAGGTGATATGGGGAAAAAAAGAAAAAATATAGTCCGTATACCAGTGTACTCCTCCCTTGGCAAGACTTGCATAGTCATATCATACCAGTATCTCTCACCCCCTCTTCCCCAGGTCAACCAGAAAAACTGAAAACATCTAGCAGGGACACTCTAGTCCCACTCATGCTGAGTGTGAGCACACACTTGTGAAGGCAGGTAGGCCAGCCCTTCCTGCTTTTAGCTCTTTCTTTTTTAGACAACCAATGTCTTAATTGCCTGTTCTACTTCTCCATCAAATGATTACTCTAAGGATATATCTCTCTGCCCATTGTTGGACACTATGGGCTGTACAGTGTGTTCCTTGATCTGAAGAAATGATGGTTAGCCACCCAAATCTATGCATTATCTTCTGTTGTGGTTTTTTTATGGCACTCTAAGCATTTTCTTCTTCTACTGGGTAAGCAAAGCCTACTCCCAAGTCAGTGTCTAATCCTGTCAAGATCCATTTGTAGCCCCCAGAGAAAACCAGCATCAGTCTCATGTGCCAGCTGTGTTGAGGGCCTTCCTACCAGTGAATATGCCTCATAGCCATTGGCAGTCTCTGTCTCTCTTGCAGAGAAACAGAACAGTTCTTACTGGCAGGCCTGAGAGAGTGCAAAAGGAATTTATATATATTATATATATATATTATATATTATATATATATATATATATATATTTTTTGAGACACGATGTTACTCTAATTGCCCAGGCTGAAGTGTAATGGCAGGACTTTAGCTCACTGCAGCCTCGACCTCCCGGGCTCAGGTGATCCTCCCACCTCAACCTCTCAAGTAGTTGGTACTACAGGCACGCACCACCACAGCTGGCTAATTTTTGTATTTTTTAGTAGAAGCAGGGTTTCACCCTGTTGCCCAGGTTTGTCTCAAACTCCTGAGCTCAAGTGGTCCTTCTGCCTTGGCATCCCAAAGTGCTGAGATTACAGGCGTGAGCCACTATGGCCGGCCAATGTTTTAATGCAGCTCATCTCCACACTGCTGCAGTAACCCCAAATCCACTAATTTCATGGACCAAGGTGGCCCATGGGAGCACATGGGAATATCTGTTTGTTGATTCCAGTCACCTTCGTAACCTGGAAGGGAGTTCTTCTGATGGGCATTGACTTGTTCTACTTTAATGCACCCACAAATTTCCATAGAGCCATGCCTCATTTGGGCATCCCTTTAATCATCCGGGTTTCCTTCTGCCTGATTGTATAGTCACGTCATTTGTCACTGCCTGTGAGTCAGTAAAAACCTAAACACAGGGACTTTCACCACTGTTCCATTTTTTCATTACTGTTAGAAAAACAGCATGCAATTCCGTCCACTGAGCTGATCTGTTTTTACCTTCTTTTTTTAAAAAAATTTTTTATGATTAAAAAATTTCCTTCCTTCCCTCCTTCCTTCCTTCTTTCCTTCCTTCCTTCCTTCCTTCCTTCCTTCCTTCCTTCCTTCCTTCCTTCCTTCCTTCCTTCCTTCCTTCTTTCCTTTCTTTCTTTTTGAGATGGAGTCTTGCTCTGTCACCCAGGCTGGAGTGCAGTGGTACTGTCTCAGCTCACTGCAACTTCTGCCTCCCGGATTCAAGTGATTCTCTTGCCTCAGTCTCCCAAGTAGCTGGGTCTACAGATATGGGCCACCACACCTGGCTAATTTTTGTATTTTTAGTAGAGATGGGGTTTCACTATGTTGGCCAGGCTGGTCTCGAACTCCTGACCTTGTGATCCACCTGCCTCGACCTCCCAAAGTGCTGGGATTACAGGCATGAACCACCGTGCCCAGCCAAAAATTTTCTTTTTAATTTTTTAAAATCTTTTTGTGGAGATGAGGTCTTGCTATGTTGCCTAGGCTGATCTCAAACTCCCAGGCTCAAGTGATCCTTCTGCCTTGGCTCCCAAAATGCTGGGATTACAGGCGTGAGCCATCATGCCTGGCCAATTTTTTAATAACTTGTAAATTATAATTTTGTGGGTTCATAGGCATATATATTTATGGGGTACATGAGATGTTTTCATACAGGCATTCAATGAATAATGATCACACCATGGGAAATAGGGTATTCATCCCTTCAAGCGTTTATCCTTTGTATTACAAGCAATCTAATTATTGTTATGCTTTCAAGTACTAGGCCTTATTATGCTATCAAGTACTAGGCCCTGTTATGTTATCAAGTACTAGGCCTTATTAATTCATTCTAACTATTTTTTCCAACCCAAAACTATCCTCTTCTTTCACAACCCCTCCACTGCCCTTCCCAGTCTCTGGTAGCCATTCTTCTACTCTCTATCTCCATGGGTTTAATTGTTTTGATTTTTAGATCCCACAAATAAGTGAAAACATGTGATGTTTGTCTTTCTGTGCCTGGCTTATTTCACTTAACATAATGACCTCCAGTTCCATCTATGGTATTGCAAATGACAGGATCTCATTTTTACATTCTTTGATCAAAGTAGCAGTCTTCCAAACAGGATGTTGTGCATTCACTTGGAACTGCTGTCTGTAAACCAGGCAGCTCCTTGTTGGTCAGTTGAGAGATGTTCATAGGGCACTGTCCAAGTGTTGATAGATTCCAGCAGCACCTTACACAGTTCCAGAGTCAGCCTAGGGGTAAAGAGGCTCCCTGCTGTGAGTATCTCTTTGCATTTCTCCTCTTGGTTATTGCATTCAATAACCAAGGGTTTGAATACTTTACTTTTTTCTTACTTGCATTTCCTTATCCATCCAGTGAACAGCAAAATCATGTTTAAACCATTTTCATTGTATTGTGGAATACTTCTGGGCACTGCTATTCCGCTTAGAGAATTTCTCTGACATCTCAGTATCAATGACATAGCATTGATATTTCAGGTATCAAAATCATTTTATGTCCTTCAGCCATGGGATAGATTCAATTACCACCCCATTAGCAAGGTAGTAAATGTTCCTCAAGTGGAAATTCTCTAGTCCAAAGTCTCAGTGGTTGCTGCTGGGAGGCACTCATAGGCCTTTGCTATATACTCTAGAAAATACTCCATAAAGGGCTATGAAATGGAGAATTTGTCCCTAATAGCACTCTAGTTTCTGCTCTGCACTGTGTGGGCTTGGGAAATCTTATTGGTTCCCATTTAGCGTGTCCAATTTATATTGCTTGAAGGGCAGACTTACGTGCTTTCTGTTTTATGGTACTAGGTAGGGAAAACATTTTCCAGTCAGATACAGTGTTCATTCCCATGATATAATCAGGTAAGAGAGATGCAACCATTTCACATAAAGTGTGTTCAAATACACCAACTTGTATAATTCTATCAACTTTTACGTTTTCATGGTCTAGTTCCAGGAACTTCTCTTCTTCACCACCACACCATTTTACCCTCTCTTGCGTAAAAAAGAGGCTTTGGGTCTCCAGCCAGGGGTCTGACTAAGGGACTCTGGCCTCTCTGTCAATACCTTGATTAACCAGTCTACTCATCGCCCCAGGCAATTCCAGGTGGGTTTTTTTTTGAGTAATCTTTACCTTTGGGCTTTTAAAATACCTCCAACTGCGAGAAATGTGGCAAATGGTTTGGGGTCCGTTAATACTGAGGGACCAGCAGAGGCTCCCTTTGGTCCACTCAATTTTCACTAATCTTATATTAAGACTTTTGTTTTAACCCCATCAATTTTTATTTTATTAATTCCATTTTAAAATAACCATCTGAAGATTTTTATCCTGTTAGGACAAGTCCCATGACTCTCTTTCCTCTTAGTTTCATCCCATCAACAGTGTATTTTTTCATCTCATTTATTTTTATTTTTTATTTTTTTGAGACAGGGTCTTTCTCTGTTATCCAGGCTGGAGTGCAGTGGCGCAATCATGACTCACCACAGCCTCTATCTCCCAAGCTCCAGTCATTCTTTCCCTGCCTTGGCTTCCTGGGGAGCTGGGACTGCAGGCATGTGCCACCACACCTGGCTAATTTTTGGTTTTTTTGTAGAGACAAAGTCTCACTATGTTACCCAGGCTGGTCTCAAACTCCTGAGCTCAAGTGATCCTCCTCCTAGACCTCCCAATGTGCTGGGATTACAGGTGTGTGCCACTGTGCCCAGCCTTTTTTTCTTTTTTTGGACAGTGTCTCACTCTATTGATCAGCCTGGAGTGTAGTGGTGCAATCATGGCTCACTGCAGCCTCAACCTCTTGGGCCCAAGTGATCCTCCCCTTTCAGTCTCGCAAGTAGCTGGCACTACAGGCACATGCCAGCATGCACAGCTATTTTTTAAAATTAATTTAATTAAAACTTTTTTTTTTTGGTAAGGAAATGTCTTACTATGTTGCAGAGGCTGGCCTCAAACTCCTGGGCTCAAGCAATCCTCCTGCCTCAGCCTCCCGAAGCTCAAAGTGCTGGCATTACAGCCGTGAGCCACCATGTCTGGCCTCATCTTATTTTTTAATAACTGTTTAAAAATTTCTGTCCTGAGTGTTTTGACTCTCCCCTCTCCTGTTCACCATTCTGTTATTAATTAACCTAGTATTTTTATTAGCATCTGTAAGACCCGTGAGAGGAAGCTGAGACAACAAATTTGATCAGGCTTTTGGAACTCTTGTTTGATTCTGCAGGAATCTTTTTGGGTGTCTTTATAGAAGGGGCCCTCTTAACTACAGCATTTACTATGACCTGGGTAATGGGCATATCCAGTGTGTGAATATCTCTTTCATTATGCAGTTAGTCCTGCATGGCTTGTATAGAAAGCATATCAGCTGCCTCATCTAGAGTGCTCCACTTGGCATTTAAAGGGGGAGTTGGACAGTTCCCCTTTCTCAGGGTAAACAGACTGTATAGTGGCTTTTATCCAGTCATCCAGGCTGGCTGTTCCCTCAGGAATAACCTCCTGTGTATCTGGACCCTATACAACTGTTTTCAGTGGTTCAGTAGTGAGCTGTGGGTCCTGCATCAGCTCAAACATGCTCTTCCATTCTGCTCTGCAGCATTTAAAACCAAAGATACTGTCCCTCAATTAGTTACTCTCATAATCCAACATAGTAAAGGTTCCTCGGGAAACTGATGATACCGATCTACAAAATGGAACACTTCCTTCACACTATACCCTCTGGTTTCAATAGTTACTTGGCTTTGCCTTTCCGCCACGTTGACTACCTTCTTGGTAGCCACAGGTCTTGGAGATATTTTCTATTGTCCCCGCACAATTTTGCCCTTAGGGGGTGGCTTTGAGGCTGGTGGCCTGAGCTCAGGCTGTCTGAAATCTAAGCTTGGTCTAATATTAAGGTCAGACCCAGAGTTCTTTTTAAATTTCATTTTAGCTATTACAGATAACGATAACCAAGGGATTGAATGTTTTGCTTTTTTCATATTAGTTTGCATTTCCTTATGGATCCAGTGAACCAGCTCCTGGGGAGTTGGATCCATCTCTAAATTCCACTGGTAACTTTTACCTTTGGTAACTGATCTCAACACAGGGGCAGCTTCATATCATGGATGACCATGTGGCCGCCCAGGAATCAAAGATTCCTCATTCCCCACCCTTTCATTCTTTCTCTTCCCAAACCACATGTTTCTATGAGTGAGGGTTGTTCTAGCAAATTGAGCTTCACTGACACCAATTGTTTCAGGGAAAAACTCTCTTCTCAAACCCCTTTTTTATTCTGCTTTCACACCACCACAATAATCATCAACACAGAAGAAGACTTCTGTGACCAAATGTGTGTGGGTTTTCTCCAACACACCAAGCAGTGAACCCTGGCTGATATCCTGTCATTCAATTCTGACACTACCTGGAGTTAGTGTAGGATCCCCAGGTTGAGGGCTCAGTCCTCAAGGCTGCCCCAACACCACCCCACACCAGTTGCAAGTGACTGACTGGCTTCAAGTTGGGTACAGCTTGAGGGGTTTGGATTTGTCTGTCTCCTGTTGCTATCATTGTGAGCTACTCCAGAAAGTTAGTCAAACCCAAAGAGGGATTTGTAGCCTACTGGATTAATGAGAGCAAGTAATTTAGGGACAGTATCTGTGGTTTTAAATGCTGCAGAGTGGAAGAGCAAGAGCATGTTTGAGTTGATGCAGGAACCACAGCTCACTGTTGAAAAAATTGAAGACGGTTATATATAGTCCAGACACTCAGGAGTTTATTCCTGAGGGAACAGCCAGCCTGGTGAGACAAGAACTTGGAACCCACCAAACTGTGGGAGTGAAAGAGCTGTAAGGCTCCTGCTCACTGAACTATGGGTGGCTAGAGTAAAAGAGCTGCAACACTCCTGCCCGCTGAACTATGGAAGTAAAAGAAGCCACAACAACAATAACTCAGTGAAACACTTACATTGATTGGTTTATTATAAAGGATATTGCAAAGGATACAGGTGAAGAGATGTGTAGGGTGAGGTATGGGGGAACGGGAAAGGAGCTTGCATGCCCTCCCTGGGCACGCTACCCTCTAGAACCTCATGTGACCAGCTATCCAGAAGCTCCTGACTCACGTGTTTCATCCATAAAAGAGCATGTTTTATTAGATGTTATCAGATCTCCTGTGTAGGAGAATGAAAAATGATTGAAATAAATTTCAATTTTTTTCATAATTTATCATCAACTAAAAGTTATGAGGGTCATACTTTTTATGCTCAATCAAGAAATCAGCTTATATACTTTTTATTTTAACAATTAAATGCATAGGTACATGGTGGAGAGTCATCAATGAATGGAAATAAAGTTTATATTCTGTTGTTGATATCCTACTATTTAGAAATGGAAGCATTCACTATCTTGCTCTGGCCCAAATGTTTATCTGCTGATGATTTAATTTGAGATGCATGGTACAGGACGTAACTAACAGAATCAGCAAACATGCAGGAAAGGCTGTCTCATGGTTAGGTCTGTTGGAAAGAAATCTCAGACATCCGTGGGACAGCACAGTGTGCTTAGGACAGAAAGGGGCATGCAGGCAACTGCTGGCAGCCAACCCGGAACTGTAGGAATGCAGTGGAAGGAAACTGGATCCCAGTAAATGTCTTGCTCCAGCCTGTGGAATCCTTCTGATTTCATCATCTGATGACAGTTAGGTCTTCCTTGGCACATGATGCTGAGCTGGACCCTGTATTCACAGGATGATCCATTTTCCTGAAGCAAATTCTTGTGCTGCCACAAGCAAGGGACAGGTTCCAGATGACTGCTGGTGCCTCTTCTACAAATCCCAATTTTCCATGTATGATGACCACATGTCCTGGATTTTCTAGCCTAGACCCAATTTTATCTCATTTTATACTTTTCAATTGAATAAGTAAATTTCTAACTAAATATGACATAATTCATCTTCAATTATGAGATGATGAATATTATATAAATATACTCACAAGTCAGAAAAAAATATTTTTTATCAGGTCAGACTTCCCAAATTTTGGTTCAGAAGTCATGGTGATCAAAAAAGTCAGATGCGAGGCTGAAATATTCAATGGTGCTAAAATGGGCAGGTAGAACTACTTAACAAGGAACAAACCAAATGAACACAGGCCAGCCCTGTCTGCTAAAGACAGCACCAGTTGCTGTAACTATGTATAAATATGCCTGCTCTCCATCGATGTTCTTCTAGAAGTAAAAGTGGTTTCATTAGTAGTCTGTTATAAAGCTGGGAACCACTCACAGCTAAGGTAATGTTGGAAGATGGGTTTAAGAGAAGCAACAGGCATGCCCTGCTACTCACTGGAATTCCTTTCACAGCATCTGTCTTTGCATCCCATCTATTGCTTTCTTCCTCGGTATTGATTGTCATGGGCAAGACTTGACCAGACATTGTTGGTCTGTGTTCCTTTCATGCTCTCGTATCCTGGACAGCACACCAAATATTTAATACTTTCTGTTTCTTCTTCTTTAGATCTGCACCGAGAAGTTGATATAAGCTAAATCTCTGGTTCTAGATTCCAGCTCTAATTTGATTTTAGTTTCCATCCCTCTTGGTGCCTTAGAACAATTTTTCCCTTTTGCCAGATTTTTTATATGTGACCATAATGTCTGAACCAAAAATTGGAATATCTTATCTGACAAGGGATTTATGTTTCTTATTTGTGCATTTATTTATTTGAAATGCCTTATAAATGGGGACAAACTGTTTGAGATTTAGTTATCAATTTAATGAATCACTTTTTCATTTTTGGCCTATATGTTGTAAGGGGCCTGTGTAGTCCTAGGATTTTTGGTAGGTCTCTGTAGGTGACTCTTGGCTGTCCACGTGGCTCGTGAGCCCTGCAGCTCTATCTGCTGATGCAGTGTCACACTGGGGACACAGAAACATCTATAAGGCTGCCACAGTCCCTTCTGCTACAGTTATTCTTTCTCTGGCAGTTGAACCCCCCAAGAGGCTCTGCTGGGAATCAGAAATCAGTCTCCCTTGCTTTTTGCTTCCATCCCAAGGCTGAAAGAATCCTTCTCATATCTAATGGACAAAGGTAGGATTCTCCCTTCAAATTTTTGTCCAAGACATTGTGTATCCACACTTAATCTCCCGACTCTGGAACACAAAATCCAGGAAGGCTCATTCTCTATTTCTGTTTTCTGCCCTGCCAAAAGCTTCCCCCAATGCAGCCAAGTCACTGGATACTGGGAGAACAATGAGCATAATATATCTTAATATCTCAGAAGTACTACACTGCATCGCTACTTAAGCGAGCAATCTCTTGCTAGCTTCTAATTCTCCTTGTGTAATTTTTCCCAAGTGTCTTTCCCTCCTCTTGATACATGTTCTGGAAACTAAGAACAAATCTGCAATCCTACTGAATCTCCTTGCAAACAGGGCCCCTGCACTGCTGACTGTAATATAAACCCTTCCAGACACTATTTTCTTGCTTTTGGTTCATTTTGCAGAACTCACACTTTTAAGAGAAAATTTAAAAACAAGATTGCAAACTAGTATGGATTGAATTGTATCACCCCAAAATGGATGTTGAAAGCCTAACCCCTAGTACTCAGGATGTGACCTCATTTGGAAATAGGGGTTATTGCAGATGTAATTAGATGAGGTCAGAGTGGAATAGGGTAGGCCCCTAATCCAGTATGACTAGTGTCCTTTTAAGAATATGGCCATGTGACACATAGAGGGGAACAACACACACTGGGGCCTACTGGAGGAAAGAGGAGAGAAGGAGGGAGAAGATCAAGAAAAATAACTAATGGGTACTAGGCTCAATACCTAGGTGATGAAATAATCTCTACAACAAACCCCCATGACACAAGTTTACCTGTGTAACAAACCTGCACATATACCCCTGAACTTAAAATAAAGTTAAAAAGACTTATAACTCAAGAAAAAAAAAAAAAAAAGGAATATGGCCATGTGAAGATGGCGGGTTGGGATGATACACCTACAAGCCAAGATTGCCAAAGGCTGTTGGCAGACCACCTGAAGGTATAGTGAGGCCAGGAAGAATTCCCCTACAGGTTTCAGGAGGCAGCACGGCCCTGCTGACACCTTAATTCTGGACTTCTATTCTCTGGATAAATTTATGTTTACACCCACTTTGTGGTACTTGGTTATGGCAGCCCTAGGAAACTAATACACATAACATTCATACCTTAGGTTGCTTTTGGTTTTGCAAAAATAGAGGTATAACATAAATAGTAACATACATGAAGTGAAAATATCCACATTTTAAGTGTATTGTTCAATTATTATGTGTACATTTTAATAGTTTTTACTATACTATGTAACTGTCATTTAGATCCACAGATAAATTATCTCCAGGACCCCAGAAGACTCCTTTGGGCTGCTTCCCATTCAACATCATCTTCCCTGACCCCAAGAGGTAACCGATGTTTTGACTTCTGTCACTCTCATTAGTTCTGTTTATTCTTGAACTTTACGTAAATGGAATCATAAATATGTGCATATTAGTGTCTGGCTTCTTCCAATCAACATAGCGCCTGTGAGGTTCATCCATGTTGCTGTGTGTATCTGCAGTTCATTGACTTCGATTTAAGAATGAGGAGCTCTCTACACTGCTCTGAACAGAAATTAGCTCCCTCTTCGTCTTATTATGTAAATTGCTTCCATGACTTAGTTTAAATTTGTGATATAATTTTTATAAACTGTAAATGACTGGAGCTGTCAACATAAGAGAGTTGCAATGACTCTGTTTTTAAAAAAATTAAACACACATGTGCTTGACATCAGCTACATGGTAGAATGAAATTAGGTATTGTAAACTACAAGAGACATACCTGTAAATTGCTTACATCACTGACAGTGTTGGAGCTCTTGCTTGATTCTAGAAAATTTCAGGAGAAAATAAAAAATAATTTGGTTTAAAAAGCATAGTGAATTCTCTTTGACTCAGTAATTGCACATCTAGGAATTTATCTCAAGATAATAACTTGCAAATAGACACGCAAAAAATTTATTACAAGGATGTTACATTTATTCTTGCTTATAGCAGGGCTGGGGGGAGAGAGAGAAAAGTAGTGGTGGGAGAATTTGGTTAAATAAATTAAGGTACATTCATAAAATGAAACCAATTTATTATTCTCACCTGTCCTTAAATTTAGTGTGTTTCCACTTAAGAGGAACAATGAAATATTTTGCAGTGCTTATAAATTACCTATGTGTTTTGGAAGAATGTTTAATGATGTGACAATGTTGCCTATATATTGTTTATTGGTAAAGTTGTTACCAAACAATAAACACAGGATGATCTCATTTTTGTAATAACAGCATGTTAATGTAGAACAAAGACTAGGAGGCTAAATACCAACTTCTTAATTAACAGTGGTTACTTCTCAGTGGTAGGATTATGGGTGATGTAAATTTTCCTTGTGCTTTTGGCTTCCCAAATTTTTGACACTGTTTTTAAGATAAAACTATTTCTTTATTCTTTCTTTTTTTAAATACTTTCAAGTTCTTGGATACATGTGCAGAATGTGCAGGTTTGTTACATAGGTATACACGTGCCATGGTGGTTTGCTGCACCCATCAACCTGTCATCTACATTAGGTATTTCTCCTAATGCTATCCCTCCCCTGGCCCCCCACCCCTGACAGGCCCAGGTGTGTGATGTTCCCCTCCGTGCGTCCATGTGTTTTCATTGTTCAACTGCCACTTATGAGTGAGAACATGTGGTGTTTGGTTTTCTGTTCCTGTGTTAGTTTGCTGAGAATGATGGTTTCCAGCTTTATCTATGTCCCTGCGTAGGACATGAACTCATCCTTTTTTATGGCTGCATAGTATTCCATGGTGTATATGTGCTACATTTTCTTTATCCAGTCTATCATTGATAGGCATTTGGGTTGGTTCCAAGTCTTTGCTATTGTGAACAATGCTGCAATAAACATACATGTACATGTGTCTTTATAGTAGAATGATTTATAATCGTTTGAATATATACTCAGTAATGGTATTGCTGGGTCAAATGGTATTTCTGGTTCTAGATCCTTGAAGAATCACCACACTATCTTCCACAATGGTTGAACTAATTTACACTCCCACCAATGGTGTAAAAGTGTTCCTATATCTCCATATCCTCTCCAGCATCTGTTGTTTGCTGACTTTTTAATGATTGCCATTCTAACTGGAGTGAGATGGTATCTCATCGTGGTTTTGATTTGCATTTCTCTACTGACCAGTGATGATAGGCTTTTTTTCATATATTTGTTGGCTACGTAAATGTCTTCTTTTGAGAAATGTCTGGTCATGTCCTTCACCCACTTTTTGATGGGGTTGTTTGTTTTTTTCTTGTAAATTTGTTTGAGTTCTTTGTAGATTCTGGATATTAGCCCTTTGTCAGATGGATAGATTGCAAAAATTTTGTCCCATTCTGTAGGTTGCCTGTTCACTCCGATGATAGTTTCTTTTGCTGTGCAGAAGCTCTTTAGTTTAATTAGATCCCATTTGTCATTTTGGCTTTTATTGCCATTGCTTTTGATGTTTTAGTCATGAAGTCTTTGCCCATACCTATGTCCTGTATGGTATTGCCTAGGTTTTCTTCTAGAGTTTTTCTGGTTTTAGGTCTTACATTTAAGTCTTTAATCCATCTTGAGTTAATTTTTGTATAAGGTGTAAGGAAGGGGCCCAGTTTCAGTTTTCTGCATATGGCTAGCCAGTTTTCCCAGCACCATTTATTAAATAGGGAATCGTTTCCCCATTTCTTGTTTTTGTCAGGTTTGTCAAAGATCAACTGGTTGTAGATGTGTGGTGTTATTTCTGAGACCTCTGTTCTGTTCCATTCGTCTATATATGTGTTTTGCTACCAGAACCGTGCTGTTTTGGTTACTGTAGTCTTGTGGTTTAGTTTGAAGTCAGGTAACGTGATGCCTCCAGCATTGTTCTTTTTGCTTAGGATTCTCTTGGCTATATGGGCTCTTTTTTGGTTCCATATGAAATTTAAAGTAGTTTTTTCAAATTCTGTGAAGAAAGTCAATGGTAGCTTGATGGGGATAGCATTGAATCTATAAATTACTTTGGCAGTATGGCCATTTTCATGATATTGATTCTTCCTATCCATGAGCATGGAAGGTTTTTTCCATTTGTTTGTGTCCTCTTTTATTTTGTTGAACAGTGGTTTGTAGTTCTCCTTGAAGAAGTCCTTCACATCCCTTGTAAGTTGTATTCCTAGGTATTTTATTCTCTTTGTAGCAATTATGAATGGGAGTTCACTCATGATTTGGCCCTCTGTTTGTCTATTATAGGTGTATAGGAATGCTTGTGTATTTTGCACATTGATTTTGTATCCTGCAACTTTGCTGAAGTTGCTTATCAGCTTAAGGAGATTTTGGGCTGAGACAATGGGGTTTTCTAAATACACAATTATGTCATCTGCAAACAGAGACAATTTGACTTCCTCTCTTCCTATTTGAATACCCTTTATTTCTTTCTCTTTCCTGATTGCCCTGGCCAGAACTTCCAGTAGTGTGTTGAATAGGAGTCGTGAGAGAGGGGGGTCCTTATCTTGTGGCGGAAGATAAAACTATTTCTTTAAAAATGCATAGAAAATAACCACCTGTTTTAAAGGTCATGTTCACTTTGCAACAGATTATTTGATCTGAAAGCACAGCAGCTTTGGATTATTAAGCTATTCCATTGTAGCATCCATCTGAGATAATTTTTAATATAGCTCACCTCTATTGTATATTATTTTATACAGGCAAAGCTTAACTTTCTTATTTCTGCATTACATTTTTAATGTCTTCAGAAAACTCCTACTTTTTAATTGTAAAAAAGTAATATATATTAAAGTCTACAAAATATATATAGACTCCATATGAGCCTCATGAGCAAAACCTATTTTTTTCTGTTAGCATGATGTAAAGAACTGGGTGGGAAGATTGACTTGCATGGCCCAATGCTGCTCTGCTTCCTTCTGGAAAGAAAGGCCAGTCTCCATCTTGTAATCAGGAATGAGTACACTTAGGTTTATTGCAGGGAGGGTGGATTTAAGGGGATAAGGAATGGAAGGGGGTGCTGTAGCCTGAATGTTTATGTTCCCCCAAATTTCATGTATTGATACCTAATCCCCAATGCAATAGTATTAACAGGTGGGGCCTTTGGGAGGTGATTAGTTCATGAGGGCTCCACCCTTCACTAATGGGATTAGTGCCCTTATAAAAGAGGTGAGGGAACTTGTTTGCATCTCCAGCTATGGGAGGACAGAGAAGAAGGTACTATCTATAAGGAACAAGCTCTCACCAGACACTGAATCTGCTGGCACCTTGATCTTGGATTTCCCAGCCTCCAGAACTGTGAGCAATAAATTTCTGTTGTCTATAAGTTGCCCAGTCTAAGGTGTCTTATTACAGCAGCCTGAATGAACTCACAGGGAATTTCTAGGCACTTCAGTTTTGAATGGTTTGAAACCATAATTTCAGATTGGAATTGAATGTAAAGAACTGAGACAAATGGGTCCTTGTGGAAACACAGGAATCTGAGACAGAGGACTTGGGTGTGAGGAATGAATGAACAATGGTTCCTGACAGTGCCTCCTGATTTGAAATCTGGAGCTGAGTGTTTTCACTTTGTCTTCTCAAATTCTTCTTGGTTTTGTGTCCCTTTTTCTCTGGTATTTTTTTATATCACTCTTGTCTCTTAGAGTAGAAAGCAGATGTTTGGTTTGGTAAAACTTTCTTTCAACATCTGGTGTTCACTACAGTCATGTGAAAGTTATTGGTTTTGTTCTCATCTGTCCTCAGTCTTAGTTCATTTCCACTTAAGCTCACCAATTTTATGGAAGTTTGAAACAGAATAAAAATATTTTTTTTATCTTTTTCTTGTGTCCATCATAGTTATCTCTTAAGCATTCTCTCTTTCTCGTTCTTTCTCTCTGTCTCTCTCTCTCTCACACACACACAGACACACACAAGCACACATACACACACACACACCAGACAGACACACACATATACCTAAAGGCTGCCATATGGAGACATTAAACGCACCAAAGTCTCATAACTTTATCTATGATGTTTTTATTTATGACTACCCTCCTTTCCATTTAATTTTCTTATCAAATACTACTGTTCTTCAGATCAAGACTAAGAAAGGAGCAAATCTTTCCCCTCCCCACTGCTGATCTGTTTTGTTGGTTTGTTTCTTGCTGCCATGAATTTTCCGCTTTCTAGTGGATGTGCTGATTCTCATCCACTTTCTTCTGAGGCCCACATATTGAGACTGGCCCATGTGACAGGGCCCGGGGCTGTATTACAATGAGATGCAGAAGACAAACACGCATACATTTAGACATCCTTCCACCCTACAAAATTCTTAAGAACCTGATGTAGTCAACACCTTGGTTTTATGTGACCACAAGTTCAGGAGTAGCTGTCCCTGTTGTTTGATGACTTCAGGGAGTTTTTTCTGTTGGTATCAGGTTCATTAACCAAGCAGATGGTTACTAGTGACTTGGGGACTCAGTCTTAGGAGTCCTTCCTCTGTAATCCTGCTCTTATGAAGTGCCTCTGGCAATGAACCCACTACTTTCTATTGTAGAGCATTCTCCATGGGTTTTAGTTATTTAGAATTCAGACAAGAAAGTTGGCTGGCCTGTTGCAGCCCTTTTTTTTTGAGTTGCATTTTTATGTTTTTACCATTGATGTCTGCTCTTGTAATCTTATCTCTTCTTTTTCCAATTGATTTTCCAGTGAGAAGTGACCAAGTTTGTGGTCATATTCATGATCTTGGGCTGCCAGATTTAGCAAATAAAAATACAATATGCCCAGTTAAATTAGAATTCCAGATAAAAAGCAAATACTTTTTAGCATAAGTATATCCCATGCCATATCTGAGACATATTTATACTATACAATTATCACTATTTATCTAAAATTCAATTTTAACTGGGCATTCTGTATTTTATCTGGCAATTCTATTTTCATCTGATTTTGCCTTCAGGGCCTGTCCCCACTGAATTAACATCTTCTCAAAGACAAACTGAGGACATCAAGCTCAATCAGTCATTTCTTCCCCCTTTGTGGTTACAAGTTGTTGGTGCAGAAAGTTAAAATGTCTGATGAAAGTGAGGATTCTGAGGTTATCTGTGGCATTTGATATGCTCTACCTGACCTCTGGGGCTTTGTGCATGTTATTTATGTCTGGAATTATCTCTCCTCCCTTAACTCCCACTCTCTCTCTCGTTTCTTTAACTTTTGATTCTTCATCAAGTTTAAGTTCCAAGGTCATTTCTTTCTTGTGAGATCCTTTCCTCGACTACACTAGTATCAGGAGGAAGCGTTTGTCCTCTGCATGCACACAGCATACTGAACTACCCACTTGGGAACTTGCTCATCGACCTTGGTCTATGAGGAGGAGACGGTCTTTCTAGGTCATTGTTGTATCCTCACTCAGTGTCTAGCATAGTCCTTGAATGAATGAATACATCCAGAAGACTAGGAGTGGGGCCAGAGGAGTTGGTGAACTTGAAGAGTCTCCAGTAAAAAAATTTCATAAGTGAAAATGAAGGCAAACATGCTTGATTCTGGAAGAATGGACCACATCCAGAGGAGAGAAATGCTTTTAAATAGAGCAGATGCCTTTCAACCATATTGTTCTCTGGCCCATACTCCATGGAGTTGCCTAAGTCTCGGGGCAAGGGGACTCCAAGAAAGAGTCAGGTGAGGAACAGCCATTCTTCGAGAGCCTCTCCGGATCGCTGAAGCCATTATCAGCTCTGTAACAGCAGCTGATCCAGGAGTGAAGACTGTGCCTTTGGAGTGTGGCCGTGGCACTCTTAACATGGGCAGCTGTGCTATCATCTTTAGCAGGTGGTGCTGGTGTAGCTCACAACTTTGGATTCCTCTGAGACAGGCACTATCTCCTCTGGGAGCTTGAGCAGGACAGATGAAAAGCACAGAAACCCATGGCAAACACAAGCATCAGTTCTAGTACCTCTCTCCCAGAATTCTTTGAGAGTTTTCTAAGAGGGGACTAAAGTTTTGGCAGAGTAGCTGGAGAACAAAGCCAGAAAATCCTGCATAAAACACATGGTGACCCTATTTTTACCCCCTGGTTGGTGTGGCCTGGGAGACATCGACTGTATCCACATTTGCCAGCTTCTTTGTTTAGAATACTCATAAATAAAGATGATGGCTAATTTTTTCTCCTGCACTCTACAGGGTAGGGTAGTTTATAGTTTCTCTCTGTAATTGAATTGTAGGCTCTGGAGGAGTGGAGAATTTTATGAGTCAGAGGAAAATCTGATAAACTGGCCTTGTCCTCGTTTGAACAGGGTTATGACAATATGTCACGTAAGGGTGTTATTTACTAGTATTTTTTGGAGAAATAATTAGCTTCTTTTTTTATAATAGAATAAGGCCTTCCAGTTAATTATCTATACTTTCTTCTAATTAAAATAGCCTATGACTGCACAAGACAGGAAAGGTAGACCTCTTTTTCCTGCTTTGGGTTTGGAGGAAAATAAGTGAATGCAGGGTAAGGTGATGTGATGAACACATTCTGAGTTCACTTAGGATGGTAACGTTTGTTCTCCTCACTCTCTAATGCAATGCCAACATTTACATCTTCCTACAGAGACAGTAAATGGAAGGAGAATGGACAGTAGACGGAAACACTGCTGTTTTGGTGAATGGGTGAGGTCACTGTAGCAGTTTTCTAGCTCCAGTGGTTATGGCAGGTGGTGGGGTGGGTGGCCAGTGGGAGTGGGCTCATAAATTGCAGAGTCCTTTCTGTGGGACATGTGGAGCCTTGGTGTGAAATCTTTGCTTAGCTAACAATACTGTTTATGACAAAATTTTTAATATTTGTTTTAAGCTGCAGTTGAAAGGGAAATAGTTGTAATAGGGAGCAGAAGCAGGGTTACGATACTGATTGTGAGAGGAATTAGTGTCTAATTTTCCTCTCAAATCTACTTGCAAATATGAATTTACATCAAGGCTGTGCCATTTGAACTCTGACCCACTTCCTACCACCCCCATTCCCAAGTCCACTTAATCTACGCCATACGTTATAGCCACCTGGGAAACTTTTAATCCCCTGATCCAGGAGAACAACTCCTGGCTAATTAAACCAGAATCTTTAGGGCGAGGCCCAGGCATCAGCTATTTAATACATTTTTCCAGGTGAGTCTAATGTCTAGCCCAGATTGAGAACTATTTTTTCTGGAATGTACAGAACTATTTGCAGACCCAGAGTGTTGATAATACAGACCAGATTTCAGAAGAAGACTGTAGGTCTCTGAGAGATGGCTTGCCACGAAGCCTAGAAGACCCAGAAAGGTGGTGGCAGGCGGCACTTATGCCAGTCACTATCCCGCCTGCTCTGTATGTGTGAGTGCTGTGCCAACCCACAGGGTCAGCAATAGGGCCTTGAATATCACAAACATCTCCACCAAACAGACCAATACTTGGTTTTGTTTTCCTCCCCAGTATGTTAGGAAAGCTTTTTAAGTTTTTTGATACTTCATAACCTACTGAATACATGTACATTACAGAAAAGGAAATAATGAGCCAAGTTTGGCTCTCCAGATGCATGCGTGTGTATGTGTATGTTTGTGTGTGTGTGTGTGTGTGTGTGTATGAGAGAGAGAGAGAGAGAGAAAATGAGGGAGAAGAAGGGAAAGACAGGGAAGGAATATGTCTCTTGAGGTTTAATTTTTCTCTAGGAACTCATCCTGACCAAGTATAAAGAGGAGAAGGAAAATCTGCACTTTGAAGAAGAACTGCTGTCCTGGGAAACAGGTGAGGTCACTGTGGCAGCTCTATAGCTCCAGAGGTATGGCATGTGGTGGGTGGCCAGTGGGAGTGGGCTAATGGAGTGCAGAGTCCACGTGTCTGTAGGACACGTGGAGCCCGGGTATGAAATATCTGCCTAGCTAGGCTTGGTGATAAGTGAAAGAGTGAAAGGGTATCATTAGTTATCCTCACCAGGACCTAGTGTCCATTCTCCTTGGGATCCTGAGATGTTAGGAGAGGCAGGACTTGTTGGCTTGGGAAAGCTTAAACAATTCTATTGACCACATGGATTCCACTCCACCACGGGAGGCAGGCAATGCCCAGGCCTGAGACCAACTCAGAGAGGGAAACTTCCATGATGATTTGGAAGTCTCAATAAGGTGTCTTCTACAGTATCCTCCCAATCCCACCCAGTTTGTCACCTCACAACTCATATTCTATTAATCAGAGAGGCCAGAAGGAGAAGTGTCCACTGCGTATTATGTCCTAATGGCGTCTCTGACAGCTGGTTGATAACTTCACTCTAGATCAGCTTTGGCCTTGAAGATCTCAGGTCATCTACCTTTCACAGACAGTTGGGTAATTATTTTCTACTTGAGAGTCCTGAAAATGTGTAGCCAAGAAGGTATGAAAATAAGAGTGTTTTTCTAAAGCTGCTGGCTGGAATGAAAGAAAGAATAAAAGGAAAGATAATTTGAAAATGTCTACTTAAGGCCATTTCACTCTGAGAAAATGTTTTATTCGTGCTTGGATCACAAAGAAATATTTGAACATTTCTATTGAGTCATTTTCATTCATTTTATTTTACTATTAATTTTTTTTAAATTTCAATCTGGCCTCAGCAGCCTCAGACCTCTGTGACCAAAATACATCAATGATCTTCAGTATCACTAATTACTGTAACACTATTTATACGGTCTTGCTGTGAGAACCTCCTGTGGGTCCCCTTTAATTTTACAAAAACAATGACAGGGTGACAGTAACAGCTTTTGCGGTGGAGTTTCAGCCTTAAGCAGCACTTCAGGGGAATGACATGGGACCTTCTTCATCCCATTGTAATTGAGCTATAGTAGATGTATCCCAGAGGATTCTCTGTGGAGTGAGTAAGCTTAAGATCCCTGAGATTTAATTGTTACTGTCAGTGGTGCTGCAGCTGTTATTTACCAGCCTGTGAAGCCCATTTTCTTGGGTTACCAAATGATGTACAATAATTAAATATATCTTCACCAAGCACTTACCAGTTTAATGTTATATAGGCACAGCATCAGAATCTGTACTCATGGAACTTTCCATGTCTTTAAGGAAACACAGAACCTTACGTAGTAAGGGAAAACAGTGTATTATATATATCAAGGTAAACAGGAATATAAGTGGTTAGGATCAATTGGGGAAAATTGCTTGGAATAAGTAGGATTTGAGAGAAGCCTGAAGGTTAAGAGGCATGAGAGAAAAGGTGAAGGATATCGCATTCTGAGTAGGGGAATTGGTAAGCAAAGGTATGGGTGTGGGAAAGAGGATGTTATATTTCAGGGACAATGAAGTGACTGTTAGCTAGTGTATTTGTTTCCTAAGGCTGCTGTAACCAATTACTATAAATGTATTCTCTCACAGTTCCAGAGGCTAGAAGTCCTGGAATGAAGGTGTTGGCAGGGCTGGTTCCTTCTGGAGACTCTGAGGGAGAAACTGTGCTCTGCGCCTTTCCATTTTCAGGTGGCACTCTTTGGTGTTCCTTGGCTTGTAGATGCATCCCTCCCATCTCTGCCCCTGTCTTTACATGGCCTTCTCCCTTGGGTCTCTGTGTCTTTATTCCTTTTTTCGTTTCTCTTTTAAGGACACTGGTCATTGAATTTAAGGCCCATCCTGAATCCAGGATGGTCTCCCCAAGAGATACTTGATTTAATGACATCTGTAAAGACCCTATTTACAAATAAGATCACATTCACAGGTGCCAGGCATTAGGACTTGAACATATCTTTTGGCAGGACACTGTCAACCCACTATAGATAGTAAAAGTGGGTAAGGTTGAATGGATGGAGAGGTCTGCTTGTGTCAGTTCCTGAATTTTTATGTCATAGTGGGGGTTCCAATATAAACTTCTCAGCTATCATTAAACAATGGACATTTTTTGGGGAAGGATAACGAAATGAGCTCATGTGGGGTAATTTGCATTGAGGATTGAGGAGAAATCAGTCTGAAGGCCAGAAGAGTCAAGGTGTGTGAACATGGACTAAGGACTACAGGTCATTCTCACCTGGCAGGGGAAATACCATGATTACTAAGAACTGTAAGTTAGTAGTAGGTGGTGATTTGCATATATCATGGGGTGTCTTGCTTAGATTTGCCTCTAACTTAAACCTCCTGGGTTCCTCCTATGGCCTTTAGCCACAGCCAAGGTGAAATCTGTACAGAACTATTTCTGTACTAGCAAAAATCATCCTTTTTTGCATCCTAGCATAATGTAGGTGGAGATGGAGTACATGACCGCTCAGGTTTTGGGAGCATCCAGTAGGGGAGCATGATGCTTTGAAAGCAACAGGGACAAAATATTTCTCTTTAATTAGCTAAGAGTTAGAATCAAGGAGAACCTGGAGTTAACGTGGCCAACATCAGGAGCAAACAAACTTGGCTGAGACATAGGTGTGAGACCACACAATGCACTAAGTCAGGAGACAACACACGTTATTTTTCCTGATGCCCACTTCTTCCCCTAAAAGTTTCTGTGTGCATATCCTGCCCTTTCAACTGTGTTGCAATCTTCTTGAGAATAGTGACCATGTTTTAAGCTTATATCCCTGTAGCACAATGCTGGGTGCACAGCATATACTTAGCCAGTGCTTGCTTCTTGATGGAAACAGCTACTGGCCTCCTTATTCTTTTCAGTATTACAAACAAAACACATGAAAAAATCAATGACAGTGATGAAGGTTTGCTTTAAAGTGGATGAAAGACTCATAGTCATTGTAGGTCTTCCTATTGTTCTTAGAATTTCTGGGCATAGACTGTTGACCATATACACTATGGTTTGCTTGATGGAGTCAGAAGAACAGGTAAGAAGGTGAGACCCAATGAGATAATCAAAACTCTGTCACTAAAGAGCATCGCCCAGGAGCACTTCAGTTCTTTTCAAAAGCAACTGGAGAATGGAGAGTACACAGATTGCATAAGATATGTCTAGGGCTAGACATTTAAAGCTATTCAATGTTTCAGCCTCTTTCTTGGGAAAAAATAGAAATAACAAATTACTTTTGGGAACTAATGTTTTCATGAAAGTCCTACCAAAATCTGCATACATCTTTCTCAAATACATTTCACATTATTGCAACAATGGAACGATACTAATGATCCTTTCTGAATTATTATAAAAATATTTGCCAGGAGACTGAGGCAGGAGAATGGCGTGAACCCCGGGGGGCAGAGCCTGCAGTGAGCCGAGATCGCGCCACTGCACTCCAGCCTGGGAGACAGCGAGACTCCGTCTCAAAAAAAAAAAAAAAAAATTGCCCATAAATGTTGCCAACTTGCTGTTTACTGTTAAAGAGCAAAGAGGAAACAAGTCCATCAAAACCACCCCAAATCAGCTAATAGAGATTTGAGCCCTGGCATTGTCAGTCATTCCTGCCACAGGAGCCTTAATAAGAGAGGTCAACATCTTCTCCCTCAGAAGCAGACAATTGTTTGCACACACAGCACCAGCCTCTCCGACTGCCCCTCACACACTGGGTCTGAGATACCTGCTTAGACATGTGAACTAGGAGAAAATCTCAATATGAGGAGGCTAAATAGTGTGGCAATACCGAAATGTTGTGAATACTGCTTTTTTAGCACATGAAGTATAACTGGTCCAACAGTCTTGCCTTTTTTTTTTTTTTTTAACAAGAAAAAGAATATGAGTAGACTTTATCTAAGATATTAACTTCTTAGTTCTAAAAGCACTTGTAACAAAAACCAAATTGTTTTTGTGGGGAGGATGGTAGAAATTCATAATTACTGGGATTCCTTGTCTCATGAATGAGTAATGCTAAGTGTCATAGGGCTACTTAAGAATGCATTTATTTATCTTTTAAATTGTTAAAAAGCAAATACATTGCATAAAGGTGATTATTTTAACTATTTTAAGCATATACTTCAGTGACATTAAATACATTCACGTTGTGTGTGTGTGAGGCTACTTAAAAAAATTTATCTTGGTCACTTTTTTTCCTTCAAAATATAAAAACAATACTCAAAGTTCCTGCATATCCAGTTCAGTGAGGTTAATATTCTTGCAGAGAAAACTCTGATATCAGCTCAGCTCTGATAATTCTTTGTTTTTTTTTTTAAACAGTCTCGCTCTGTCACCCAGGCTGGAGTGCAGTGACGCCATCTCGGCTCACTGTAACCTCCACCTCCCTGGTTCAAGAAATTCTCGTGCCTCAGTCACCCGAGTAGCTGGAATTACAGGTGTGCATCACCATGCCCATCTAATTTTTGTATTTTTAGTAGAGGCGGGGTTTCACCATGTTGGCCAGGCTGTTCTCAAACTCCTGGCCTCAAATGATCCACACAACTTGACCTCCCAAAGTGCCAGGATTACAGGCGTGAGCCACCATGCCCAGCCAGAATATTATTCTGATCATTCTGACTTGCTTCATCTGCTACCTCTTAGGTAGTTGTGTGAAGTCATAATTAGCAAATTCTGGGTGAAAAAAGATTTCAAGTCACAAAGATCTCTCATAACTAATGTCAATGGAAAATTCTTTCTTTGAGATTGCCCTGATTCCATTATACTGTTTAATCCACTTGGCCCATCTGTGTCATACTTGTTAAATTCTTTTACTAAATCTGGGCAGACATAACTGTAGCACTCCTTTACTGCAGTAGCTGTTTCTAGGGATTGCTCTGAAGGAATTTCTACTTCTCAGCCTCTGAACAGTTGCTGAATGAAATATGTGATGCTTGCCCTATGATTGGAATGTGCTTATGGCAGTTGCCAACCCCATATCCTTCAGCTGGAGGTGGGATGGCAGTTGCCAACCCCATATCCTTCAGTTGGAGGTGGGACAGGAGTGCCACCATCTTTACTATCTCTTCCCATACCAGTCAATGCCTGTTTTCTTATTTGTTTTGATGCTCAGGATGCTGCTAATGCAAGAACAGCCTGTATGGCTATGTATGAGCCTGGAATATTGAAGAACTCAAACACTATTTCGGTAGCATATTCTGTTTTCTGGAGCATTCAGTGGACGTTTGGTGAAAAGAAAGTAATGACCCACATGTTCTGCTTTAAGTATTTAAAGATTACTTGCTCCAAACCTTTCTGTCAACAGTCTTCAACTAAACCATGGTGGGTTCACCACTTCATGGTATATGTGGCTTTTCCTGTTACATCATCCCCAATGAAGAAGTCTATGACATTGGCTTTCTTTATCACCCTCTTTTGAGCCTAATTGCCCACTTTTGCTGAATTCTTGAAAGCAATACATCAAGGGATAATAAACTATTGTTCTGTATTTGCAACATGTCCCAGTTTTGTATACTCAGTGCCACAATCCACCATACGCACTGGTAGCTGTCCCACCATCTTCCTTCCTGCTGCTATCACCCTTTCTTCCCTCTTGCCACCCCACTGCTTTATCTGGTCAGTACTGATTTGAGATTCATGGCAGGAGATGGGGACTTTCTAACACTCCATAGCTGGGTACCCTCTCTTACAACTTCTTCCTCTTTCGCTGCCTTTTCCCAGGAAGTCAAGATGGTCCATTTGTGCCCATGCCCCAGTCAGACCCAGGCCAGGTTGTTTTGAATGGAAGTTATAGGGGCAGTAGAATAATACTTTGATTTCTAGATTATTTTTTTGCCTCAGTGCTTATTTTAAATGGCCTAAAAATCAAGTCTAGTCTAGACAATGTTGGCAAGAATCTAATCCCGATAGATTAGAAATAAAGTATGAAAAGAGCCAGATGGAAGCAGTGCCTAGTCTAAGATCACCTAGGAATATAAAAGAGATGGTGATGGAGAGATACTGAATGATGCAACCAGGTGTGGTCACAAGTACAAATGTTTAGGTTGAAATATGGGAAGGAGATGACATATCTGGAGGGAAACTGAGGAAGTAAGCAGGAGGTGCATGTGAGGGGAAGTTGAGGTCACTATGTAAGTTATGTTAGGTATATTTTAACTGATTAACTCTCTGGGCAACGCTCTCAAACTTAGATGAACATCTGAGTGACCTGTGGTTTAAAAAAAAAAAAAAGGCTATATGACTCCTGCCTGAAACCTGTTGAATCAGAATCTCCAGGGTAGTATTTGTTTTAGAAAGCTTTTTAGGAGATGAGTTGAGGAAGATATATTTAGGCTAGAGGAATAATTTTATAATGTTGCAGAAACTAGTTTCTATCTCTCAATGAAAGGGAGGTGGCCTGAGGAGTTAATAGTACCACTGACAAAAAAGGCAGGGATTGTTTTTCACTCAGCAATCAGATTGTGGACTCAAGAAGGTAGTTCTGCGTTGCTAGGGATGTTTAAGAACATGCAAGACAAAGTCATATGATGAAAAGGGATAGGAGAGGAAGGCTTTGAGGACACTGTGCAGATCAGAAGTGGTTGGCGGGGGGACCCTGCTATTGGCCTGTTGTAGCTCCTCTGTGAAGAAGAATATCTCTCCAGAGGAGGGGAATGGAGATTGATGATATGACAATGCAGTCCAAAACAGAATAAGCTTGCCCAAAACACACACAGGTGTTGACTCGACTCTTTGATGTTGTCACTGGAGATGTTGTCATCTTGCCTCAATTCCTAGGACAGGAGAGTTGGTGATCAAAGTGAGATTCACAGTTGTGTACTAGGTGTTTGCATTGAGTTATAAGTGCATGCAGGGTGATGGCTTCATACATTTGAATATCAGTATATCTCTAGTATTTGATTTAATCATATTAAGACTATAGTGCACCAAAAGCTCCATAAAACCAGAGACTTTTCTTATTTTGTTTGCTGTTGTATCCCTAGAATCTATAACAGTACCTGGCACATAGTAGATGGATCTGGATCTTCAATAAATGTTGAACTAATGAACGAATGAATCCATTGTTTAAAAGATGCAATTAAGAACAGTAGAAATCTGGCTGGACACGGTGGCTCATGCCTGTAATCACAGCACTTTGGGAGGCTGAGGTGGGCGGATCACTTGAGGTCAGGAGTTGGAGACTAGTCTGGTCAACATGGTGAAACCCCATCTCTACTCAAAATACAAAAATTAGCCGGGTGTGGTGGTGCATGCCTGTAATCCCAGCTACTCGGGAAGCTGAGGCAAGAGAATTGCTTGTACCTGGGAGGTGAAGGTTGCAGTAAGCCGAGATTGTGCCATTGCACTCTAGCCTGGGTGACAAGAGTGAAACTACATCTAAAAAAAAAAAAAAAAACAAAAAAAAACAGTAGAAATCCCTGAAACCAGATGAACCACACCACCAAACAAGTTGAGACTGCACATCATCCTCTTCACAGAGGTGAATAAAAAATTGATGTTGAAACTTGATCTAAGCTAATTGTTTATCTTCTTATTTATTCTCCTATTATTTATTGGGGAGAGTTAGTATTTTGAGTCTTTCTTCTTCCCAAATTAAATCAATTTTCAGAACTTTCATTTGTACTAAGTGTAAATAACGTCAAATACTTTATGTATTACTCTTCTAAGTGCATTACATTTTTTAACTTGAAGAGATGATGTCTTAGCATCAAATTTGAATCATCATTTTACAATGGGGAAAGATTTCCTTTTCAATGGTAGATTTTTTTTGCCTTGAAATTCTTATTGATATTCAAAATTTAGAGAACTATAGTGCAAAGTGTTTAACATATATTAGAATGAACAGGGTATGACAATCTCAGCAGTAAAGAGAAGATATCTGTGGGCTTACAAGGATAGAATCTACATTTCTCCTTTCCTCTTGTTTTTTTGGAGTGGCAAAAGATGATTCCTTTTTTGTTGTGGGTCTAAAGGATATGTTGTATGTGTTGGCAATTTCTTCCCTTACTCATGAAGGAGTTATGCTAATAGTAACCAGGTTCTAATGGCATCCTTGGCGTTTGATTTGATTTTGGAGAGACTAAACCAGGTACCACGCCTCAGTCAAGCAGCCAGAAATAGCATTTGGAGTGTTTGCCTAACTGTCCATGGGAAAGGCCAACCATAAATTCTAGATATTCCACAGACCACCCAGAGAATCTGGCAGGATACACACACACACACACACACACACACACACACACACACACACACGAAACCACCACTAAGAGACAGCCACTCAGGATTAGGCAAGTGATGGTCACCAGCCACTGGCAAACTTTGGCGAAAACATCAGTTATCATTTCCAGCTTTGGGGGTTTGCCTTGTGTCTAGAGCCCACATCAAATACATTGCTGCAATTAAATAGATTCTTTGCCACAGTGAGTTTCATTGGAATGTTTCCTTGCACTTCTCTGATGCATATAAATGAGGTGAAAATCTTATTTTGCTTTCTTCAGAGCCTGAAATATAAAGATTATGAAGAACGGCTGTCATCATAACATAGAAGCTTTTGAAAACAGTCTGTGGCTTAAAGCAAATCATTTTCTTCCCATGAATTAATTATCTAGCATTATGAATTTCTGTGAAGCCTATATAACCAGGCTTATGTTTTCTTATGCTGTTTTTATATTGGAGTTGCATGACAGTAACTTCCTATTTTCTTTTCAAGTGGAAAGATGGGTGGAAATTCTTTATAAGCTGTAAAATGCCATTCACATTTAAACCGCCATAATTTCTAAAGTTTTTAAAATTGCATTTGGTACCATTTACAAGGGTTTTTTAAATGCTTATTGGTTATGTTTCTGGTAGTATTTCACTCAGAAGATGTCTCTTGTCCAGTGTGCACATCTATAAGAAGCAAATTATTCTGTCTGCTTGCATTGCTGCATGCTTTGAAGAAAACGTTCTGTAGCTACCAGCAGAATTCTATGGTTCGAATAATGCCAGAAGCATTTCTGCTTAGATAATCATATGAAGCCAGGTGGGATTAATTAGAGACACTATATGCTCACAACTGAGGCACCAGCTTTGGTTCCATTCCTGTGACTTCCTGGCACCACTATTAAGCTAATAATTCTAGCTAGTGACAGTGGAGTTCAGACTCACCACCCCCATCGGGGTACTTTGAGGAGAGTTTAAAGATAGTAGGGCCTATGCCTCTCCCTGTTACTGCTCTTTTGCCAAGGTTAACAAAAGAGTCACTTGGGTAGGAGGTACAGGGCAGAGAGAAATCCTGTCCTCTGGGTGAGTGATGGTGAAACGACCAAGTCTTCTGTGTGGTGATCAGGTTGGGGTGGCTCCTGCTGCTGCCACTAATCCTAGCATTTTGGGGTTTCTCCTCACAGATTTTCCTCCTGGATCTGTGGGGAACCTGTCCTGATTCAGCCTCAGGTCCTGAGAGCTGGGCCTGGGGTGGAATTGACTGAGGCCAAATCAAGGATTTGGGAGCAAAGAGCAATTTACATTTTTGTCAAAGGCAAGGTTGACCTGGGATACAAAGAACTGTCTAAATCCTGTAGTCCAAAAAAAAAAAAAGAAAAGAAAAGAAAAAAAAAAAAGAGGTGGAGAATGAGAACTTTGCTGTGGAAGGTCATCAACAGAGAATATAAAAGATGGAATAAGCTGGGTGGACCTCGGAGAGCCCTTCTGAGGCAATGATGCATCCATCCCTTAATTTCCTTTTGGCCTGAAGTCTAATTTGTGAAAGCAATTTTCCTTCTACATTAGGTTTTCATTGATTATAGCTCCTTAAATCTGACACCTTGTTGAGCTGTACAAGGACTTGGGGACCCATCCAAAGGAAGCTTTGCCTTTTCCTCCTTATCTTTACCAGGTGATTTTGATGCATTTGTTTGAGGAGAGTTCCTGGTATGGAGGTCTAGACATTGAACTTTGGGGAGTAGAAAGCTCTCATGGAAATATCCCAGGTTTCTATATTAAATGATTATTTCTAAAGACAAGTACATACATACATATTTTGTTTACTTATTTAATCCAAGTGATTAGTCATTGAGCAGTCAGCTTGGGCTGCTATAACGAAATGCTGTGGACTGAGTGACTTAAACCAGAGAAGTTTATTTCTCACAGTTCTGGAGGCTAGGAATTCCAATATCAAGGTGCCAGCAGATTCAGTGCCTGGTGAAAACCTCTTACTAGCTTTCAGGTTGCTGCCTTCTTGCTGTATCCTCACATGGTGGAGACAGAGCTCACTGTGGTCTCTCTCCCTATTTGTATAAGGACACCAGTCTCATCATGGGAGCCTCACCCTCATGACTACATTTAAACCTAATTAATTCCCAAGTCTTCACCTCCAAATTCATCATATTGGGGGTAGGGCTTCAATATATGAATTTTGGGAGGACATAAACTGTTAGTCTATAACAAGGAGAAAAATAATGCAGTTGAACTCTGACTCAGTTCCCCCCAACTATCTGGGGGATGCTCCAAGTGGAATGGGGGAAAGAAGGCAGGTGCCTAGTCAATGTGATTCTGGACTCCAGGTAAATACACTAATGAAATATGTTAGCAGAAGGGTCTTTTCTGTAGAATGCTCCTAGCAGGATATCCTTGAAAAATGACATGAAAGCTGGGGTATAACACAGAGATGTTTCATAAAATGCTCCCTTATGGTAGGAGATAACACCACAAAACCTCCATTGTGGACCCCGTCTTTCACTCTGGGCCAGAGAGTTCATGTCTGTCATGAACCGAAAGGAGCTGGGGAACTGCTCTCAAAGTCCCCAATTTCTCTCTGCTTTTCTGGAACCTGAATCTTTTACTGGATTACCTGACTCTTTTACATCATGATGAAAGCTTGACACTGGCTATAATCTTGATTTGTGTGAGTCTGATCCTTTGTGTCAGATCAGGCAATAATAAAATAGAGCAAATAAAACAAACAAAATGGTTCCAAGTACATGTGTTTGTCTAAGATCTACTCATTTCTATTTTTAGCTTTTTTGTTGTTGGTAAAAAATTGTCCACATACAATTTATAGAGAAGAATAAAAGACAGAAATTTCAATCAGGTTCTTTAAGTGTTCAATGGATTATTTTTTTCTATTGTTTTATTGTGGTGAAATATACATGACATAAAATTTACCATTTAGCCATTTAAAGTGGACAAATCAGTGGCATCAAGCTTACTTGCATTCCTGTGCACTCATTACCACTATCCATCTATTAAAGGTTTTCACTATCCCAGACAGAAACACTGTACTCATTAAACAGTAACTCCCCATCTCCCTTCCCCCTAGCCACAGGTAACCACCAATCTACTTTCTGTCTTCATGAATTTGCCTATCCTAGGTACCTCACATAGTGGAATCATACAATTTATTTGTCCTTTTATGTTTGGCTTATTTCACTTAGCATACTGTTTTCAAGGTTCATTCATGTTGTTACATGTATTATGATGCCATTTCATTTAAAGGCTCATTAATATTCCATTGTGTATACATACCACATTTTGTTTATCCATTCATCTGTTGATAGACATTTGGGTTGTTTCCAGGTTTTTGGCTACTGTGAATAATGTTGCTGTGAACTTTGGTGTATAAAAATATCTGAGTCCTTGTTTTCAATAGTTGGGTGAATATATTCAGAAGTAGAATTGCTGAATCATGTGGTAATTCTATGTTTAACTTTCTGAGGAGCCACCTTAATGTTTCAGTGGCTGTGTCATTTTACATTCTCACTAGCAATACGCAAGAATTACAATTTCTCCACCTCCTTGCCAACACTTTTTATTTTCCATTAAAAAACCATTGCTACCCTGATGGGTATCTATTTTTAAGTGTCTCATTATTAAATAACCAAAAGGTAAATAATATTTTACTACTTTCTAGCTTGCCCCTCTGAGCAGCTAGTTCCATCTTTCTGGACCAGCCTCGACTCTGGAACAGACCTGTCCCTGGAGTGAAACTGCCAAGACTGCACTGCTAAGCTACCTCCTTGGAGGACTTAGCTGATATAATTCCCTTCTTGTCACCTCCAGCCAATGTTTTTGGGTAATTGATGGGTGATTAACAGAGAAACTTGTGGGGCAATTTGGAACTACTAGTATGACTTCATTGAACAAGAACAGTTAAAGAATAATGATAAATTTGCATCAATATTCTTTGCAGGGCCTTTCTCTAGTGTTATGTCCAAATTGGCTTTGATTATCCATGCAGTGAAGAGGGATTTGATGTATGTTACTGAGCCATTGCTCTGTTAATTGTCTTATTCTTTGTGTTATGATTTACCTTCTAGACAGTTGAAAGGTGGTATTTGTTTAATGAAGGTGATTTTATTTTCCAATGTGATTATTGATATTTTGAATACAATATTCATTAAGTTTCATTGCTAAGTTTAAATTGCTGATTGCTTAAATCTTCAGTGCATTAAAAGGGCATGCACATTCTGAATGTCATGGCTTGCTTTTTATGTAGTTACTTATTTGTTTTTGTTGCTAGTAAAACAAATATCTGCTCACTTTAGCTCATTGGGGCTTATCTGCTTCTGTTTACCACTGAAGCCCAAACATTCAGGCTGCAGTTGGCACTACAGAGATGGGAGAACAGGCTGGAGACTGTTCTCCCTCCAGGGTTGTTGATAAAGCTGTCAGCCAGGTTGTGGGGGTAGAATTCTGGCAACACTTGTGTTCAGAATTTCTTAAGCTTAGCCAACTGGCAAGGGATATAATCAAAGGGGAATGAATATGACAGTCTAACTCCCTGCTACATAAACACACACACAAACACACACACACACACACATGCATGCAAAATAACATTCATGTTGATTCTGGGATATACTGTGAGCTATAGCAATCTCTAAACATGTTCAATTTGAAAAGCTGAATGCAATATGTGCTTTGCTTAACTTATTTATTTTTTAAACATAGAAAACCTACTAAAGCTCTTAGGTCTGTCTGTCTGGGACCTTACATAAGTAGCCAGTTTTATAAAAATAAATCTTATGATCTTATAAAAAAGTTTAGGTTCATAAATTATATTCGGTATATTTTAATTGAAATAGTACTTATAAGGGCCTTCTAAATGTTTCCATAATTTTTTCTTTATCATTTGTAAACTTAAAGTGGGTTTTCAGAGCTATGGATCATTTATGAAGTTTGGGGTAGATTATAAATTGGTACACCTTTCTGGATTGTAACTTGGCAATACATATGAGAAGCATTCAGAGTTTGCAGAACCATCATTCTTCCACTATTTTTTCCTAAGGAAATAATGAAAAGTATGTGGAAAGATACAGTGACAAAGATATAAGGATATTCAATGCGGTGTTGTTTCTTATAATAAAACATGTTAGATTTAAAATAATATTATCTATGTAATGAGGTATCATGTAAGTATCAAAAAGGCTATGGAAGAATGTTTGAGGATTTACTTTAGGTGTCAACCTGATTGGATTAAGGAATATCTGAAGAACTGATAAAGCATTACTTCTGGGTGTGCCTGTGATGCTGTTTCCAGAGGAGATGGGCATGTGAGTTGGTGGAGTGAGTGGGAAAGATCCTTCCTTAATGTGGACAGGCACCATTCAATTTACTGGGGGATCAGATAGACCAACAAGGCAGAGGAAAGCTGAATTCCCCCTTTCTGTCTCCTGGAGCCCCTGCCAATAAGGACATCAGAACTCTGGCCTCTCTGACCTTGGAACTGCGGTACTTACACTAACAGCCCCCTGGGTTCTCAGACATTTGGCTTTTCTAGTCTGAGGCTTTGGGACTTGGACTGAGCCATGCTACAAGCATCTCAGGGTCTCCAGCTGGCAGATGGCCTGTCATGAGACTTCCCAGCCTCCATAATCATATGAGCCAATTTCCCTAATCTCTTCTTGTGTGTGTGTGTGTATTCATATCATCTGTCTATATCTATACATCTTACTACATCTGTCTATATCTATACATCTTACATGGTGTCAGGCAAAGAGAGCTTGTGTAGGGGAACTCCCCTTTAGAAAATCATCAGATCTCATGAGACTTATTCACTATCAGGAGAAGAGCACAGGAAAGGTCCGCCCCCATGATTCAATTACCTCCCACTGGGTCCCTCCCATGACATGTCAGAATTATGGGAGCTACAATTCAAGAGCTCTGTCTCTCTGGAGAACCCCGACTAATACAAATATTTAATGACAGAAAAACATATATGATATGTTAAAATTTTAAAAGTATGCTTTTAAACAATATGTATGATATCTACATGAAAACAGCAGAGGAAGGTCTTCAAAGTATCGAGATGTATATCTAAATCCCGGGATTATGAGTGATTTTTTGTAATTTTTTTTGGTTACCTATCCTTTTGAAAATTTATGTAATAAATAATTTTTTTAAACAATACCCAAAGTGGTTGTAAAAAAAATTTTTAATGTGCCTAACATATATATAATTATTTGCAACTCAACTTAATTTGCTATTAACCCAACTGTAGCTATCTGGTTAAGGGTAAAATTCTTCATTAAAAAAGCTGCTTTTATTGAGTGTTTATAACCACTAAATAGTTTTATAATCTTGAGGTTATCCGGTCCACAGAAGCAAGAGGAAGAGGTGCCAGAGAGGAGTCAGAGAGGAATGGGGAGGGAGAGAAACACAAATAATGAGATTAAATTGCATTTCCATTTAATTTTCAAATTATCTGTAATGACTTTAAGCATGGATTCATCTGGAAAAACTTCTAAGTATTATATTGAACTTGGCATTAGTGGCCTGGGGCATGTTAGAGTAAGAATTTTTAAACATGCCTAAAAAGAACTTTATCTTAAGATTCATTCATTTTAGGTGTACATTTTGCTAATGTCATGAAACACTTTTCAGGGTTGAGTATGCTTTGGTGGTAAATTATATAAAGTGGTCATACTACCAAGTAACATTTATATGTTCTCAAAGCTCTTATAGGAGCTTCTTTAAAAAGGGTAGCTTATTTGTTTCTGCAATAGAACCATGACTGGGTGAGGTGAAGGACTGCTATGAATGTGATCAGAGGGTAGACAGAAAATCGCAGGTGCTGGAAGGGATGGTATGTGGCTGGCTGGTGGCCTGGCCAGTGCTTGGTGGTATTTAACGCAGTTAGAGTTCTCCATTCAGCTTACTGTGCTGCTGTGCCTCCCTTTATAAGGAAAAGACTCATTACAGTGGAGGCAATGGTAAAAGGAGATGTGGATGACAATACCTTTGGTCATTTGGAAATGTTGACTCTACAGTACAAAGAAAGACTTATGGGCATCAGAGAACCTGAACAGGTTGTGGACAGACAAGAAGAGATGTACGTATTAGTCTATTCTCACACTGCTAATAAAGACATATCTGAGACTGGGTAATTTATAATGGAAAGAGGTTTAATGGACTCACAGTTCCACATGGCTAGGGAGGCCTCACAATCATAGTGGAAAGTGAAGGAGGAACAAAGTCACATCTTACATGGCGACAGGCAAAGAGAGCTTGTGTAGGGGAACTCCTGTTTATAAAACTATCAGATCTTGTGAGACTTATTCACTATCATGAGAAGAGCACAGGAAAGATCCACCCCCATGATTCAATTACCCGCCACTGGGTCCCTCCCATGACATGTGGGAATTATGGGAGCTACAATTCAGGATGAGATTTGGGTGGGGACACAGCCAAACCATATCAATGTATAACTGGTAATGTGTGGAAGCCACTCTTCATTTCTTGCTGTGTAAATGGACATGAAATCACAGTTGTCATTATGGAAAGAGCAGTGAACAGGGTCCTGAGACAGGGCTCTAGTCTTAGCTTTCTTTTGACCAGACTCTCTGAGTTTTAGTGCATTTACTTGTTAAATTAACAGTTGAACTACATGTAGGAATTCTAAGGTCCCTTCTAGAATGATGTGCTACTGTTTGAATAGTGGAAACAGTAATACATTGGGGGTTACTACAAAAATTTCTAACTCATCATTATCCCTTCATTTGGGTTGCCAACCAAAATCCTCCAGGTACAGTGAATCAGGACTGCTCATCACTGAACTCTCTAGCAATTCCAGAGATCTAGAATTAGTCTAGATTGGAACACAGTATCTGTTTCCCGTCCTTGGTTTTGGAAACTTTCTCAGACTCCACACTGTGGCTTTCTGGATGTGGTTCTCCACTGCCTCTTGCTTCTGCATGTGCCCTGCCTTCCCTGGTTTGAGCTCTTCCACAGCTTCTGGAGGGAGACTAAGGAAAGTTATGAGACATATTAATAAGTTATTATAACATCTGCTTTTTAAACTAGTTGAACAAATATAAAAATTCTATTTTTTTATTTTTAAGTTTCAGATATTTTTAGGTTTCATTTTTAGGTTTTATTCCTTCATTTATTGATTCACAAAAGATTTATTACAAGCTGGAAGACTTTTTTTCCCTGAAAGATTTTTTTCCCCACCAACACATGGCACTTATTCTAGAAGTGTTTTGGAATTTGGTACAAACACAATTTGAGTAAAACTTTTAAAAATCTTAGCAAATTCATTGGGGATAGAAAATATGTATTTTATTATTTTTCTAATCTATTACTACTCAATACCATGTTTTATTGAGAATTGCTGCATGAAATGATCATACATTAAAACATACATCAGACAAGGTAGTTTAAAATATACCTCTTTTATATTTTGGATTGGAATTTGCATTTCATCATATTTAGAATTTTTATCATTAGGTACACATAGATGATTCGTTGCATCTCTGATATGGAATATGTTTCATTGTTTCATTCCACAGCTTCAGTAAATAGCTCTGACATTGGCAGAAAGGTTTAAGTCCATGTGTAAAGTCTGGCAATGCGGGACTTGACTTTTTCAATTATTTTTCCAACTAGAAATGTCTAAGGATGTTGACTTATTGAAATATCTTTGCTACTTTGCCCTGGAAAGTTTCATAATATGCTTCACAGAACAATTGCCACATCTTAGAAGGAGTTTATGAGCTCATGAGGGAACTTAAAGTTCTAATGTAGAGGTGTTTTGCTGTTTAACAAGAAGGTCAGTGGTAAAACTGAATACTATGTTCTCTTCCCCATATTTTTCTAAAGGTTAATCACATTTTAGTAAAATTATGAACTCACAGACTGTCTCATGTGCTGACAGTACTGTATCGTGGCCCCTAACACATCCACACACATGTGTCCCATTCCTAGAAATAGAGGAGAGGATATGAGGTCATTTGTGATGAAATTCTGATCAGAATGTTTTGAAGTGTTCACTGACAAAATTCGCAATAACACAATCATATGGCCACCATTACAGTTGTGGCTGAGCACCTTACTTTTAGGAAAATATTTACAGATAATAAATTTTACTGATTTCAAGACATTTTATTATTTTATGCAACACAGCAATAATGTCTTTTATGATATAATGTTTGTATTTATAGAGGGATGGTTCATAAACATTCCCAAGTAGACTATCAAGCTTGTATTAGCTCTCACAATCTTTCTTAATATCTTCCTCCTGAAAAAAATTAAAGTACCCAGCGAAGCATAAATAAATTGCTCAGCTTCATATCATTAGGCATTAGAAAGTAAGGAAACTAACGGGCTTTCACTTCTCACCGTTTTTAAACAACTTCTTGTGGATCATGTTCAAAGACGCTGGAATCAAGCTCCTTCTAACACAGCGAAACACAGCATAGAGAGTAAGAGAAAGTCCCAACTATGAGGATTTTATAGGCAAGTGGCATGTGTTGTCTGTCACCAGAAGTAGAAGTCTAACACTTTTGCCCACTGCACCTTGGTGTCAGAGTCACCAGGAAAAACACAAAAACGCAATACAGCCAAGTACTAAATGGAACCATACTTTACTCATATAAAGAGAGCAAGATCAGCTTCAGTAGTGGGCATTGGTCCCCCATGTCCCACAGGTCCCTCCTGGCAGCCAACACAGGGCCGTTGGCCACATGCACTCCTCTAGTGCTGCAGAACAAAGGACCCTGTCTCCTCCCTGCAGAGGACAGATATAGCCCAGCTTGAGCTGTGAGGACTCTTCATATCTGGATAAGAAGGTGTTCCAGGCCCAAAGCCCATTCTTATGCAGCCAAGTGGAGATCAAAAGACTGCATGGACAAGAAACTGCCTTTTCCAGCAGAGGAGGCATGGAGAAAAATCTATATCCTGATACACACCTCCATACTTATGACATCTTATACTTACAAGGAGGAAATGTAACTCATATCCACTTGAGTAATAGTGAAATTATAAACATAAATTCCTTGACTCTTCATATTCCTATGGCTTTCTGAGATAGAGGTTATATAGCTCTGAAAATGCATAAAAAATGGGGCTATCGGTTTTCAAGTGTGTTTTTTTTTTCTGATAAGTGTTTAGTTATCTCTAATTTTTGGCACATGGATAATACCAAGACACGGAATTATTTCATGGTCCCAAACAAGTTTACTTTATTGTTCATTTCACTGCAGAGACCATTACGTGACTATGAGACACGTAGAACATCAATGGGCATTTTCGTGGGTGGGTGGAGGGAGATGGAGAGAGAGTACTCAACAGGTACGAGGTTATAGTTAAACAGGAGGAATAAGTTCTGGTGTTTGTTGCAGAATAGGGGGACTATAGCTAACAATATTGTATATTTCAAAATAGCTAGAAGAGGAGATTTGGAATGTTTTCATTTATCATTTCTACAAAGAAATGATAAATATATGGTAGTGGATATGTTACTCTCATTTGATTATTGCACAATGTATGCATGTATCCAAACCACCCTGCACTCCATAAATATGTACAATTATGTGTCAATTTAAAAAAATAAATAATTTTAAAAATGGCTTTCTAAGAAGATATACACATTTTTATTATGAATTCCAGAAATGGAAAAATAGTTCTGGAAGTCAAACATGCAAAGACAATCAATAAAACGTATTAGTATATCTTGTCCCTTTAGAAACACTGCCACCTTCTCCTCTAGTCTGACTCTTTAAAGTTAATGTACTTTAAAAGTTAAAATTTGAGAATGACTAAATTAGTAGTTATTTAACTACTTGTTAAATAACTCGTTAGTTATTTAACTAACAAGTAGTTAAATATACATAATGAAGCAGGGAAAAACCCCAAGAAAGACAATCTCATTTCTCTATTTCATGGAATAACAGCTGGGATGCTCATTTACTGTCTTTTTCAGACTAATAAAATTTATTCTAAAACAGCCTTCCAAATACCACTGTGAAAGCCAAGATTTTTTTTTTTTTGCTAGAAATCAAATGACTTCTTATAATACTATTTTATGGAATCTGTTGATTATTTTACCATTTGGGCATAGAGATACAGCCTCAAGAGCAGTAGAAATTCAACTGCACCAAATTTAAATCACCACTTCTTATGATGTGCTGCTGGAAACATATAATTTCAAATACATCTTCATTTTATTGTTTACTAAAATCAATGCATAATTATTCAGAAAGTGATGGTTAAGTGACAGTTTGGGGTTTTTGCCTGGTTCTGGCTGTTCATCATTTGTCCCTATTTACCACTGAGTGTGAACCCCTATCTTCCTCCTCTAACCTCTTCACTTTTCCCTAAAAGACTGTTGGTGGAAGGAGGAGAATGTGCCAGGCCAACATCTGGTGCTAATATTAACCCACCTAGAGTCTGATGGAGAAAAGCGTAAAAATAATCAATTAAATTTTAAGAGCTCTCCTTGTGGGTGAGTTGAAAAGACATACATTAACTTTCATAAATAAAGACATTTGGAACTTTTGCCAGATGAATCTGATGAGTACAGATCTCGATTTTATTTTATTTTTTGGGTTCTTCATAATTCTGTGTGCAGATGTTACCAATAAAAATACGAATTATGCCATTTTCTCCTTTATATTGTTGATTTTAGTTATATTCTCTTTTACGTTTCCCCAGTAAATAAAATAATAATAATGAAAACTAATATTTATTGAGTGCTTACTCTTGCTAGTAATAATCCTATTTTACATATGTAAATTAGGTAATATACATAAGTTATTTACAATAGTGAGGGAAACAAAGGTAGGGACTATTATTATATTCATTTAAAAGGTGAGGAAACTGAGACACAGATCATTTACATAATTTTCCCAAGCTAGTAAGAGGTATGGTCAGGATCTAAATCCAAAACCTGTTCTCTTCATCACTATGTCATAGTGACATAGCTCACTCATGGGCAGAACCCACGATATTTCTTATTTCTGGCTGGTGTGGGTGTTGTCTTTTAGCATATTGGGGTGGTTCACGGTGGGTGTTGGCAGAGGGGTATTAATAAATAGAATCAATTTCCTGTATGATATTTTTGGAGATGTTAAGAAACTGTCAATATCATTATACAGTGGCCCCAGCTCCTTCAAACCACACCCCTGCCACTGCAACTGGGTCACTGGTAGGTTCTCTGTGGCTAATAGCATGTGTGTGGAAGATTCTGGTCATATTACCATGGAGTGTGTGCTAAAGATAACGCATGTGGCTGCCATGACTCAGTTTCAGCCAGTCCTTCAGTTTTTGCTTGGAAAAGTCCCAGGATAATAGAATGAATATTTTGAAATAAAAATTGTGAAAGAATAGAATTGATTTGGTCACTAATCTTTTCGTTTGAGATTAGTTTTTCTTTGGTCTAATCAGTAGCTATTGGGTAAACTCTTTGTGGCATAAATAAACTTAGAAATTGTCAAATTGCAATAACCTTTCATTTTAGTAGACTATCCCTTCCCTTGTCCCAACTCCATTATTTTCTCTAGCTTGGCCCTTTTGAGTTCAATTCCACCAAAGTTTACTGACCAAAGTTTAATATAAGCAATGCTCTATGTTATGGAGAGTGAGGTACAATTCCTGTTCTTAGGTGCACAAACATATATACCACAGGTCAGCCTGTGATGGAGGATGTAGCCAACATACAAATGAAGTAGCTCAGTACATAGATGTGGGAGACATTTTTTCAACTTGGGTGAGTGTCAAAGCTTCACAGAGAAGACAGAATTTGAAAACACTGAGGTAAAGAAGAAAGGTATTCTATGTAGAGAATTAAAGGTAAAAAATTGCAGTGTATGTTCAGGTATTGTTAGGGATGAGGCTATAGGTGAGAGGGAGAATGGGGAGTGGGAGAGTAATATGAGGGATGAGATAGGAGACACTGAGCCCAAATTATGGGGGCTTGTATTATTATGAAGAATTTGTGGTTTATTCTGTGGACAACAGATGCCATTGTAGGAAGTGATCGAGTATGGGTATTAGGAATTTAAGACTCTGCCCTCAAGGTTGGATTTTAGGAATCTAACTTTGTGTGAAGGCATGGATTGTAGAAGGTAAAGACCAGAGGCAGAGACTAGCTGGGAGGCTTTTGTGATAGTTCAGGCGAGAGGTAACAAGGACCTGAAATCTGGAGTACAATGGGAATGGAAAAGAAGGCTTGGAGGGGTGGACTGAATGTGAGTGATTGACTGTTCCTGGGAGTGGGAGGGGAAAGAAAGGAGAGGAGTCAATGTTTCTTGCCTCTGAGACTTTCAGTTCTGATGAGCGAGATTATCTTATGCAATTAACTGAAATAGAAAGAAACAGGAACCAACACCCTTTTTTGGGGCAGTGGTTGGTCATAGAAAAGGGATTATTTTTTCAAAAGCTCTGATGACATATTTTTTCATCTCTCTATATAATATTTCTTAAAGGACTAAAGTAGAAAAGAAATCTTTAAAACATTTATTAGAAAAATAAAGCTAGAAGAGCATAAAATCAATAAAGGGATTCTTGGGATGTATTTGTTTTTCTTTTGAAACTAAAACAAGTTAACAAGTTCAGCTGTGTAATAACTATAATAAACAGTACTACAAGTGAGTTTATGAAGTTTGAACTCCTTTATCTTCTTGGATCACTCAGGAGCTTCACTAATTTAATCTTGCCTATAAAACTAACTTGAGCTTATTTTAATAAAGTAACTTTCTGACATTTTCCTGGCTTTTAAGTATCTGTCCCCTGTCTAAATGAGAAGGATAGAGATGCGCACATTTTTATTATTATTATTATACTTTAAGTTTTAGGGTACATGTGCACGATGTGCAGGTTTGTTACATATGTATGCATGTGCCATGTTGGTGTGCTGCACCCATTAATTTGTCATTTAGCATTAGGTATATCTCCCAATGCTATCCCTCCCCCTCCCTCAACCCCACAACAGTCCCTGGTGTGTGATGTTCCCCTTCCTGTGTCCATGTGTTCTCATTGTTCAATTCCCACCTATGAGTGAGAACATGCGGTGTTTGTTTTTTTGTCCTTGTGATAGTTTGCTGAGAATGATGGTTTCCAGCTTCATCCATGCCCCTACAAAGGACATGAACTCATCATTTTTTATGGCTGCATAGTATTCCATGGTGTATATGTGCCACATTTTCTTAATCCAGTCTATCATTGTTGGACATTTGGGTTGGTTCCAAGTCTTTGCTATTGTGAATAGTGCCGCAATAAACATACATGTGCATGTGTCTTTATAGCAGCATGATTTATAATCCTTTGGGTATATACCCAGTAATGGGATGGCTGGATCAAATGGTATTTCTAGTTCTAGATCCCTGAGGAATCGCCACACCGACTTCCACAATGGTTGAACTAGTTTACAATCCCACCAACAGTGTAAAAGTGTTCCTATTTCTCCACATCCTCTCCAGCACCTGTTGTTTCCTGACTTTTTAATGATCGCCATTCTAACTGGTGTGAGATGGTATCTCATTGTGGTTTTGATTTGCATTTCTCTGATGGCCAGTGATGATGAGCATTTTTTCATGTGTTTTTTGGCTGCATAAATGTCTTCTTTTGAGAAGTGTCTGTTCATATCCTTTGCCCACTTTTTGATGGGGTTGTTTGTTTTTTTCTTGTAAATTTGTTTGAGTTCATTGTAGATTCTGGATATTAGCCCTTTGTCAGATGAGTAGATTGCAAAAATTTTCTCCCATTCTGTAGGTTGCCTGTTCACTCTGATGGTGGTTTCTTTTGCTGTGCAGAAGCTCTTTAGTTTAATGAGATCCCATTTGTCAATTTTGGCTTTTGTTGCCATTGCTTTTGGTGTTTTAGACATGAAGTCCTTGCCCATGCCTATGTCCTGAATGGTATTGCCTAGGTTTTCTTCTAGGGTTTTTATGGTTTTAGGTCTAACATGTAAGTCTTTAATCCATCTTGAATTAATTTTTGTATAAGGTGTAAGGAAGGGATCCAGTTTCATTTAAAACACAGCTTTTCCTTTGTTCACCAATATTTTGTTAGTATCAAAGGAAGACTCTGGCTTAGTTTTTAAAATCTTCATGGTAAACATTGTTTATTCCAAATAAGTTAAAAAAGCAGTTTTCCACTAACATAATCTTGAGCATCTCATTATGCATTTTCTGGGGAAGTTAAGTGCTGTTGAGTAGGAAGGAGAAGAGTAAAGTAGTGATTGGAGACAGGACAATCCCACACTCTTTAAATTTATATTTCAATTTTTGTTTGTTTGAATAACAGAACCACTAAAAAAAACTAAATATTGAGAATTCAGCTGATTTTTATCTTACTATCCTATAACCAGACTTATAGAAAAACTTGTGTAAAAAACTCCGGAATATTTCTTCTTTCCTCAACTTGTTATCTGTGTGTTGCTATAGCCTGGTTGCCTTTGGGTCAGGTGGGTAACTCAGATGCCTAACTTCTTAGTCTCTTAGACTCCCCTATCCAGATATCCCAGTTCACACTGTCTAGTTCCTGCTTAAAGTTAGTTACATTTGAACACTTATTTTATATCTACCAAAGCATATGTATATATTTCTTTCTTACCTAAGGAACTTACTTATTAAAGCAAATGACTATCTCTAGATTTAAATGGTCTAATTGTTGGAAGACATAGGCTGATTGTTCCAGTAAATTGATAAAGCCTCTTTTGTACAATGGAGATCAAATAACAGGTTAAGTGTCTGAGAGTTTTCATTTTCAATTAGCATTGCTATCATTAATTCATTTCAAAAGTTGTAAGTGTTATACAGTATTTCAATTACAGAGCACAGGGTAGAAAACAGACTGCCACCAACATTTTTGTGGATTTAAATCTTTTTCACCTAAGAGGTTGATTTTTTACCTGTAATTTTGAACTTCTAAGAAAGGGCTCTTATAGGTCAGGTGTGGTACCTGGTGTTCAAAGATAATATTCCAATGAGCCATGCCTTCTAGTAAATTAGTTTCCTATCACTGCTATCACAAATTGCTATAGTTTTTGTGGGTTAACATGAATTATCTTACTATTCTGTAGGTCCTAAGTCCAGCCCAGGTAGCACTTGGCCGACATCAATATACCAGCAGGGCTGCATTCCTTTCTGGAAGCTCTAGGGGAGAATCTATTTACTTGCATTTGCTAGTTTCTCAAGGCTGCCTGCATTCTTGGTTTGGAGATCCCTTCCTCCATCTTCAAGCTAGCAATGACAGGCCGAGTCTTCATGTTGCCTTCTCTCTGTTTCTCTGGCGCTGAGAAAGATTTCTCCACTTTTAAGTACACACATGATTAAATTGGGCACAGGGAAAATCGCCCCATCTCAAGGTTTATACACTTAATCACATCTGCAAAGCCCCTTGTGCCATATAAGGTAACATTCTGTGGCTTAGAACATGGACATCTTTGGAGGACTATTTTTCTGCCGGCCACATGCCCTTATACTACAGGTCCCTTTCCCAAATCTAAGCTGTTTCTGTGACTCTATCTTGAATGGGGTGTGATGTTGTGTGAATTTTGAAGCCTTGCAGCTTCCCACCTGGGGTTCTTGGAATTCTAGTTATTAGATGCTCTCTATCGGAACTTCTCACTATGTTGCAAGAAGCTCAAACCACACGGAGATGCCATGTAGCGTGCACTTGTTAATAGCCTGAACCGAAAACCCACTGGGCAGTGAGCAACAGTTGCCAGGCATATAAGTGAATCATCTTAAACATCCAGCTTAGCTGGGCCTTCAGATGACTGCAGGCCCAACTGATATCTGACTGCAAGTACATGAAGGATCCCAAGTGACACTTCCTAGTTGAGTCCAGCCATCCTCTGAACATTGGGAGATAACAAATTACCATTTTAGGCCACTAAATGTCATAATGCAGAACTGGATAATAAGAGAGTCAAGGTGGGTTGAGGTTTCCAACTTTTGACCAATCAACTCTGGCCAGGGGTTAATTAAGGTCATTGTGTCTGTCAGGTAGCTTAGTTGCAATGAGTAGAAATGAACTCTGGTTAATTCAAGCAGAAAAACAATTTCTTTAAAGTGTAAACAGCATGTTGGTTCTCAGCCACCTGCTTGGAAATTTCTGCAATTTGGTTTGGCTCCTCATTTAGGAATATTTTGAGAATTGGATTCTGGTGCTTTTCAGTCTCTACTTGCAATTTAACATTTCAATTTACAAACGAAATTGGGCATTGTCCAGAATTGCAAGGAGGATTGGAGGAGAACCAGGCTTGGAGGCTAAGCAGCAAAGAACAGTGCCCAAAAATTATGTCCCAGAAAGAGGCTCAGTGAGAAGATTGTTCCACCATCACCAGTGCCAAGTTCTATAAACTCTGAATCTCTATTAGAGGGATCACAGGTGCTGACGCTCAGTATCAAAACCCGCACTGCTACACCTCCTACCCCAGAATGTCCATCTCGCTTCAACTGCCACTCCACTGATATTCAGCTAATTTTAAGAAATATTATGAAATGGACATACTTATTTTTATATAATAATATACTGTTATAACAAAGTATTTGGAAGGACACATGCTATTAATTATGGTAACCTTTGGAAAGTTGGATTAAGGAAGAATTTTACTTTCTCTTAGCATGCTTTTATATTGCTTGAGTGGTTTACAAAACATTGTTAATTTTGTAATAAAAGGCATAGGATTCTGAAAATAAAACACATTACTCAAACTTAACATATTGTACTGTAACCATTTCCAGTTAATTTGTCATTATGCTTTGTAACTGAAAGGGGACAGGGAAATGTAGAGGAACAAATGGAATATCTGATGAACATTGCTGTCTGTGCCCGTCTCTATCAGTCCTGATTCCTCACTTGTAAAATAGGTCTAATGATGACATCTATCTCTGTTTTGCTTGGAAAAATTCTGTCCTTACCTGTTTCGGGTCTCTGCTAAAATGTCTCTTTTTCATAAATATAGACCTTTCCTATAAGTTCTATAAGTTCCTATAAGTCCTGCAGTTCCCACACATTATTACCTTGTGTAAAAGACTCCCTCCAGCCAGCGTCCCCCACCCACTTCCTTATCTTTATCTGCCTTCCTTACTCTCCTTCATTTATCTTCACTTCCTGACTTATCACCATCCAATATGTTAGGTATTTACTTGCTTACTTGTAATTGTCTGTCTTCCTTATTAGAGCTTCATGAGGACAGTCCTCTTGCCCATTTTGCTCATGGTTCTATCTCCAGGTTAGCACAGGGACTTCAATGTCTCCTACTAGTATGGGTCTATGTATTTTTTGTTCATTTACAAAACTCATAGTGTTCTTTTAAACAGTTCACATAATATAAATGTATATGGAAGAAAGAGTAAAACACTTATTGAGTGGATGAATATAAAACCCAGATAGTTAATTACAAATGGGAAATAAGTATATAAAATGCTTGGCACAATACCTGGCACATAACAGGTTTTCAATAATTATCTTTTAAAATTAATAATTTTGTTTACTAGTGATCAGTTTTATATTACTTGTATTAATAAAATTTATAGCATAATTCCTGGGCCGTAAGAAGACTTAATAAATGTCAACTCTAAATATGAATAAGCATAATTCCATAGCAGAAAGCACAAAAGAATAGGTGCTCAGATAATGACAGTTGGCAGTTACTGAGTCCTGTTAATTCCTACAAACTCTCTGCCTCTCTGCTGAGGACTGCTTCTCCCTAGGCCAGAGACATGTTTGAACCCTTTCCTCAAACCATCCACTGCTTCTATATACTGTCTCCCTGGTCATTTCAAAATTACAGGAGCAGTAACCACTTATTGATTTTTTGAATAGTTGTTTTAAAAAATATGTGTTAATTATGCTTCTATGCACAATCCAGTCTTTAAAACTTAGTTAGGCAAAGAAAACATTTTTGTAGTAAATCTTGTCCAGTGTAATTGGAGCAGATATTTTACCAAGCCACATATATTCTTGATTTAAAAAAAAAAACAGAGCTTCTTTTGCCTTTGCCTCTACCTTCTAGTGTATGTGGTTGCTGAAAGCTACTCTTCAGTTTCACAGCTAGTTTAGTTAATGCTATTATTTCCAAGCAACACAAATATTCATCATTTCCTGTTCCATTGTGTAGTTCTTCTGATTTTATTACCTCTTGTTCATAGATTTTAGCGGTTCCAGTTTTCCAAATTCTTTTCAATTATTGTTTGATTTATAGGCTTTCAGGCTTCAAAGTCTTTGAATTTTTGTTCAAAAGAAATGATTTATTTGGATTAAAAACTTAAATGTAAGATCCAAAACTATAAAACTACTAGAAGGAAACAGAGAGAAAATGCTCCAGGACATTGGCCTAGGCAAAGATTTTATGGCTGAGACCTCTAAAGCACAGGCCACAAAAACTAAAAGTCAACAAACAAATTGGATTATATTAAACTAAAAAGTTTCTGCATAGCAAAGGAAACAATCAACAGAGAGAAAAGACAACCTGTTAAGTGGCAGAAACATTGCAAACTATGTACTTGAGAAGGGACTAATATCTAGAATATACAAGGAACTCAACAGCAAAAAAAAAAATCCCATTAAAAAATATGCAAAATATCTGTATAGACATTTCTAAAAAGAATATGTACAAATGGCCAACAGGTATATGTAAAAATGTTCAAAATCCTAATAATCAGGAAAATAGAAATTAAAACCACAATGAGATATTATCTTACTCCAGTAGGAATGGCTATTATCAAAAAGACAAAAAATACATGCTGGCAAGGATGCAGAGAAAAGAGAACTCTTATACACTGTTGGTGGGAATGTAAATTAATATAGTCATATGGAAAACAGTATGAGGTTTCTCAAAAAGCTAAAAATAGAACTATAATATGACCCAGCAGTACCACTGAATAAATATTCAAAGGAAAGGAAAGGAAATTGATATGTCTAAGGGATATCTGCACCCTCATGTTATTATAAAACTATCACAATAGCCAAGTTATGGAATTAGCTTACATGTCCGTAAGTGGATGATTGGATAAAGAAAATGTGATACATACACACATATACACATAAATATACATACACCCAATGGAATACTATTTCAGCCATAAAAAAGAATAAAATCCTGACATTTACAAAAACACGAAGGGAACTGGAGAACTTTATGTTAACTGAAATAAGCCAGACACAGAAAGACAAGTGTGGAAACCAAATGCTGATCTCACGGAGGCAGAGTAAAATGATAGTTACTGGAGGCTGGGAAGGATATGTAGGGAGATGGAGAATGAAGAGAGGTTGGTTAATGGGTACAAATACAGTCAGATAGAAAGAATAAGTTTTAGTGTTTAATGGAACAGTAGGGTGACTACAGTTAACAATAATACATTGTACATTTCAAAATAACTAGAAGATTTGAAATGTTCCCAACACAAAGACATCAGTGTTTAAGGTGATGAATATCCTAAATGCCCTGATTTGATCATTAGGTATCGCATGCACGTGTCAAGATAGCACATGTATCCCATAAATATGTACAAATATTACGTATCAATAAAAAAGAAATAATTTATGGAATTCCAATGTGTAAAACAAATAATTGTATCTGGTCAAATGTACACACCTAGAAATACACAGCCCTGCATTTCCCTGACTGTTAATTGTCTCTACAGTTCCCACACATTATTACCTTATCTCTGTCATCATTACTGACATAGCTCCTACTTTTTATGGATGTCCTGTGTTACATAACCTTTTTTCTATGGCTTCTATAGCATTTTGTGCATATCCCTATTATTGTTCTTGCCACATTGTATTTTAATTTGATTTGTCTATTTCTCTGACTATATGATGAAGTCCTTGAAGGCAGAGTCTGCTGTATCTCTATTGCCTAGTAACACTTAGTAAATACTCAATTAAATACTCAATGACTGACTCTTTGACCATGTCCAACCTAAGAGACGTTAAGTCAGACAGGGTGGATTGATAAGGTCAAAGTCTAAATGAGAGGAAGAATAAAATAGGTAAGCTGTCATCAGAAAAGTGATGCTAGGCAGAAGGTGTGAGAGATCCAGAGGGGACATGTATCAGTCAGGATCCCAACAGGAAAGAGGTGACACACACAAATCAGGACATTTCCAGAAAGATCTATTTGCAAGGGGACCATCTGCAAAAGTGAATGTTCTGGGGAATAGGGGACCCCAGGAATTGGTGCAGTAACCTGGGATCAGTGGCAGTAGAACCGTTACCACTCTAGGCCCAGATAGACAAGAGAGGGAGCTGTTACCAGAATGCAGAAGGAATCAGAGGAGTCACCTTGAGAGAAATGATGCTTGGTCAAGAGACACAGCAAGTCTAAGGTGATATCACAGGCAGGAAGTCAAGGGAATAAATGCCAGACCTCATTCTCCACCCTCTTAGCAATCTCTCTCCCTCTCTCTCTTTTTTTTTCTGGCTTCCCATTGGCTGAGCCCTACCGGAAACCTGAGAAAAGGGAGTCTGTCAACACAGTTCATCCAGGTCAGTGTCCCTGAGAAGAAAGCAGGCTGGAGAAAGATGGGGCATGGATTTGAAGGAACAAATATGAGATATCTAGCACAAGATATTAGGTGTGGGACTAAGCCTGAAAGTGAGGATGAAGATGTTGTTTGCCAGATTACAGTGACACGGGGGAGGGAGCTTACTGTATTATATTGTTGCATTGCAAACAGGCCCCAAATCTAAGAAGCATACTGCAGTAAGCATTTATTTAGCTCACATGTCTATGGGTTTTTTTTCAGGTTGTGCCCAGTTGGGGTGGTCTTGCTGGAGCAGTTGTTTCCCAAGTGTCTTTCTTTTTCCTGGACCCTTAGGCTCACTCATGGATGCTCTTCTCATAGAAATGGCAGAAGTGAAAGGGAGCAAGGCTAGTTATGCAAGTAATTTGCAAGCTTTTGACCATGTCACACCGGCTAATGTTCTCTTGGCAAAAACAATTCACATGGCCAAGTCTGAGATAGCGAGTGTGAATAGTTCTGAATAATAATCTGTGATACCCACCAAAGACACTCCTGCATCTTTCCTCCTACCATCTTTTAAACATTGGTTAAGGCAAATGCTCACAAATGGCAGAGGATTCTTTGATGGATCTTGTGGAATTCTTTCCAGCGTTGTCCTTCAAAGCTATAGTTACCTATCTTAAAAAAAAAAAAGAATTTGGAATATATTATTAACTGCAGATTTTGCTGCTAATTTCTGCACATTCAGCCTCTCTAGAGAGCATTATGGAGGAATGTAATTTTTTAAAAACATTCTTGGAAATGCCTAGAAAATGTCCATACCATATGATTGCATATAATATTCTGGTACATAAGGCTAGTGGCACTGGTGTTTAAAAAATAAGTATTACTTTTAGGAATGTATGTAACATTTTTGAGATGCATATATAGCTTGATTTTATACAACTTGGCAAATCCACTGAATTTTTTTTTTTTTTTGCCAAGTGGAGTAGATTTAAATTTATGTATTAATTTTGAAAAGTTATATTTTTAATATTTTAATTATTACTTTCCAGAGACATGGTATATCTTTCTATTTATTCAGAACTAGTTTTATGCCCTTCAATAAAATGTTGTAGTTATGTTTTTATATTGGTGCTGTATCCTTCTTGGTAAATTTATTCTCAAATATTTTACAATTTTGTAGCTAATGTGAATTAGATTTTTTCCCCCTCACTTCTGACTAGATGTTGCTGGGAAAGAGAAAAGCTACTACTTATTATATATTAAGTTGTGTCTAGCCACTGGCCTTAAAAAGTGTCAAAATGAGTAACTTTGAATTCCTTGGTAAGAATGAAACACAAAGGTGAAATCATATCTTTTGTTGCTTTAAAAGGCTAGAACGTAATGACATAGTAAATTAGGATGTAAAGATGAATTATTCCATTCATTTATTTTTATTGAGTACCTATTAAATTCAAAACACTGTTACTACATCAATAGTGGTTTAAAGGAAGTTAATGAGATGTGTCTTCTAACATAAAGAAATTTAACATCTTACTGGCAAGATAAAAATGTAAACAACAAATATAGGCAAGAATAACAGAAAAACTATAGTATGTTTTCTTTATGGCTCACTGTTAGCTTTCTGAAACAGGACCTGTGACTTGGTACCCAAAATATCATATTAGGCATTTAATAGCAGTTGAGTGTGAACAAGAAATGATTCATTCCAATGAGAAATCTTAGAAGTTTCATGGAGGAGATAGTGTTTGTGATACACTATAAAAGATGGGTAGAATTTCAATGAGTGAAAAAGATGGGGAAGATAAAAACATCCTGGTTGAGGGAAGAGCTTATATAATCAAAGCACAGATGTGTACAATTTCCTAGCATGTTTGGGGAATGGTGAGTAGTTGGATATGGCAAAGCATAGGTACCTAAAAGGATATAGCAGAAGATGGGGCTAAGAGAGAAGTTTTGAAAAAGTTTTTGTGGGAACATAAAATTGAGACTAAGTACTTTGGACTTTGATCATCCAAACAAAACCACTGAAGGTATTTAAGGAGGGAGTATAAGCTTGCAACCCCCATGGCTATTAAAAAGTTGGAGTGGAAACCAGGAGAGTGAAAGCTGGGACCCTTTAGGAAGCTCTAGCAGCATACCAAGCAAAAGATTGATGTTAAGAACTGAATTAGATCAGAGGCAGAGGCAGTGGAGAGGAGGAGATGGATGTGGCAAGTATCCTTAAGGCACAGTTGAAGGGCTTAGGCAACCAAATTGGTGTGGGTTGAGGAGAAGTTCTTTGACTCCAATATTTCAAGTTCAAGGGTGGCTGCGAGGATGCTGGTGTCATTACTGGGAAAGAGAACTCAGGAGGAAAAGTATGTTTGGTCTATCTTCAGTTTTGCAAAGGTTGAGCTTGAAGTCCAGGAGACACATTTATGGCACTCTGAAGAGGGTGGTATAGTGGTTTCCAGCCTGAAAATCTTTATTGGTCTAAATTTGGAGTGACCAGATTATTTTTGAGAAGCAAAATTGCAAACATCACAAAGAATTTCTAAATAAATAGTAAAAATGTTATGGAACAATGTAACACTCAATATTTTTCTTTGACTCTTTTTTTTTTGCCATGTCATTTTAATCCTTTCCTTCTCTTTCTGCTTCCTGGAGGCCATTAACCAAAGAAGAAATGCTTTACTTTCTGAAGCTCCTGATCAATTTGGTGAGGTCCAAAGGAATAACATGTTAAACATAATTTGAAAAGTTTTGCTCTGTTCTGAAGTTGGACCTAAAATTTGAAACCACGTGTCTCTGAGGTACATGCCTCCTCTCTAATGCAGACTGGAGGTGTTCAATAATGTCTAATATGCCCACTGTGACTGGTGACTCCAAACCAGGACAACCAGCTAGTATTGCATGGTCAGCTCCCAATAACAGCAAATTTTGAACATAAAACCTTGATTTTGAAAAACAGTCCTGGGCACTGTCTCTTCTCTGCAGCCCTTGCTCCCATCCCGTGAGTACCCTGCTCCTGACTGTTTTGGGGCTTTGCTTTCCATTTTTTTCCTCACTAAAGCATTAATTTTTTTAAATTTTAGGTTCAGGGGGTACATGTGCAGATTTGTTACATGGGTATATTGTGTGCTGCTAAGGTTTGGGCTTCTAATGATCCTGCCACCCGTGTAGTGAACATAGTACCTGGTGGATAGTTTTTCAGCCCTTGCCCCACTCTTTCCCTCTCTGCTTTTAAAGTTCCCTCTTATGTAACAAACCTGCATGTCCTGCAGATGTATTCCAGAACTTAAAATAAAATAAATAAAATTCCCAGTGTTTATTGTGCCCACCTTTGTGCCCAGGTGTACCCAATAGAACATACTTCTTTATGGCTGCATAGTATTCCATGGTGTATCTGTAGCAAATTTTCTTTATCCAGTCCATTGTTGATGGACACCTGGGTCGACTCCTTGTCTTTGCTGTTATAAATAGTGCTGCAATAAACATACATCACTAAAGCAGTTTTAATCTACCAGAATACTTGGCCTTTCTGTTTCTTAAAATTGTAGTAAAATATACATAAAATTTTTCATGTGAATCATTTTTAAGTGTACAGCTCAACAGTGTTAAGTACATTCGCACTGTTGTGAGACCAATTTCCAGGACTCTTTGCATCTTGCAAAACTGAAACTGTGTACCCATTAAATATTGCTGCCTCCCCACAGGCCCTGACAACCATTCTACTTTCTGTCTTTATGAATTTGCTACTCTAAGTACCTCATATGAGTGGAATCATACTGTATTTGTCTTTTTGTGACACTTTCCTGGTTTTGATCCATTTCTCTGGGTAGAATTTAAACTCACCTTAGGCATTGTCACTTTGTGTACCATTGGCTTGGACTCCGGAACCCCACTGGCATCCTATTGGGCCCACCAAGGGCATAACAGACGTGAAGAAAGAATGCTTTAGCTATATGTAATTTCCTGTATTCAGTCTGCTCTTGTTCAAATCATAGAACTGGAAGAAATCCTGAAGCTCAGAGCATTTGGGCTCCTGTCTCATGGCAAAATGTGCCACTACTTTTACCCTTCTCTCCCTGCCCAGTTCTGCGTACAGATTAAATACCAACAGGAAGAATGCAGGATCCTGCAAGCAAAAAAACTCTAATAAAGGGAACTCAAAGAGTGAGAATATAGACAACGAGGAAACAACCACACCAGAAGTTTGGTGTTTATATTGCACTCTTCCTCTGAAGACAGTGACATGCTTACCAGATATTATCTGAACAGTGAGGCAAGTCCTCAAGGAAATTGCAGTCTGACAAATTAATCCCCCCTAAGAAATGTGCTACCAGATGACCTTGTTTGATTTGAAACTGAAGATGTCACCTGTGGAAACTCAGAAAGGAAACTTGGTCAGTGGGACTGATCCGTACGTAGCCTTAGGGGCGTCTTGAGTGGATGGATGTGGTTATGCGGGTGGGTGAGCACTTCAGAATCATAGCGCTAGCATCCCTGGATTAGTGAGCTTACCCAACTCAAGCTCACAGTGAGAGTGGAAGAGCACACCCTGTTTATAAAGCTCTCTGGAGAAAATCTTTACTAATTGGGAAACTCATCGGTCAGACTGGTTCTTTGTTGTACTCAGCTGTTAGCACGATGCCTATCATGCAGCAGGAACTCAGTACGTATTTGCTGAATTATTTAAAAAGAATACATATGAGACAATATTATTATTTTAAAATCTCCAAATCTTTCATTTCTCAGCCTGCAATTTGAGCCTATATCTGTCATGGTTAACACTTAGAAAGCAGCATAGTACATTTAAATAGCATTTTAAAGATTCCAAGGAGATTAAGAAGGTGCATTAGGATGTGGGACCTGCATCCTCTACCTGAACAACTCAGGCTATTGGGTCCCTGGGACTTTTTTTGTGACCTCCCACCAATTTAACAGTTTGTTCCTGTTGCTTCATAAAATGTACAATTGGAAAAGCTAGTATAAAGCAGTTTAGTTGTTAAAAGAGGGGAAAACAGAGAGACCTGGCTTCAAGATTCTATTTTTTTTCTACCTAATGGAAATACCAGAAACTGAAAATATGCTGGGGCTAGAATCGTACTAGTTTCAAGAAACTGGTTTCTTGAATGCTTTCACAGGAAGCCAGGGCTCAGTTTCACTTTCAACCATGAGGTTCCCAATACAGTCTAATCCCTGACATGTAGGCAAATCAATTCCCAATGGGGACATAGAACAAGGTTAGAATCTCTAAGGAGAGGGGCAGAGAGTTTGAATGTATTAACCTGTCAACCTGACTCCCTGGATCACACTGGCCTGGAGTCAGATCCTCTGCTTCTTTTTAAAGATGGAAGTGAGGCAGCATAGAGCTCACAAAGAGAGAAAGAGAATCCTCTGGATTTTTGTGGTTGTTATTGTGTGTTTGTTGGTGGTGGCTGTGAGAAGAAGTAGTGCTGTTAAAACTATCTTTATTAGTTCATTTTCATGCTGCTGATAAAAACATACCTGAAACTGGGAACAAAAGAGGTTTAATTGGACTTACAGTTCCACATGGCTGAGGAGGCCTTAGAATCATGGCAGGAGGCAAAAGGCACTTCTTACATGGCGGTGGCAAGAGAAAAATGAGGAAGAAGCAAAAGCAGAAACCCCGATAAACCCATCAGATCTCGTGAGACTTATTCACTATCACAAGAATAGCACGGGAAAGATCGGCCCCCGTGATTCAATTATTCCCCTTAGATCCCTCCCACAACACGTGGAAATTCTGGGAGATACAATTCAAATTGAGATTTTACGGGGACACAGTCAAACTATATCACTATCCATGCAATCATAGTATAATGTAGAATTTGTATTCAAGGTTTACAGCAGGGCTAACACTGCTTACCGTATGTCTAACTAATTTTGCCATAGTCATATGGCAAAGTCCCTTTCCTTGCAGGGAATTTGGGGCCACTTTCTACATCTATACCAAGCTTGTCCAACACAACTTATTTTGTTTTGGTTGTTCTGTTTTGTTTTGTTTTAGGATTTTAGCAGCCTGAAGCCATGGTTTTTAGCTTCTGTCTCTAGTGATATGTGGAAAAGAGGGATGAGGAAGGGGCTTTACTGGCCCAAGCAAAACAGAAACTAAGAACTCATGACTGTAATCTCTCCCTTGGACACAGCATTGATCTTGTACCATCATCTTGGTAGTTTTATGTCATGTTATTCCAAGACACATGAAACGAAAACCTTCTTGGGGAAGTAGGTACAGGTAGTAGTAAGTAATAACACCTTAAAAATCAATGTTTTCTTGTTTCAGGCTAATGCCTTTTTCATTTGATACCTATATTTCTTCACTGTGACTGGTTTTGGATTGTGGGATTTTAAGAAGCCGAAACCACACCTATGAAATTCTCAGGATACGGTGCCTGGTACAAAGTTAATTATTTATCGAATGCCAGTGAGAGAATACAAAAAGAGAAATGCCATGGTCTTTGCCCAGAAGGAGCTTTCAGTGTAGTTGGAGAAATAAAATAGGCACACATAGGTCAGTTAGTGAATAAAGTTCTAAAACATGAGCTAATAGTTTAATATTCACAGTAAGTATAAAAAAATTGAATTGGAACTCTTCTGAAGAGAAGAAACATGGCCAGGCCCCAAAAGATGTATAGGTGTAGAGAGGGTCTCTGTTGTATTGCCCCCAACTCTCACTCTCCCTTCTTACGATAACAATATTCTGATTTTGCTCTGGAGAACTAACTGCCACTTTGCCACTTTCAGCCCATGTGTTTCAGATGACCTTGACTCCACTCTTGTCTCCATGGGTATCATATGACCAAATGGTAAGTCACCAATGTATTCCTTCCTCTGGCCACCGTTGGTTCAGGGATGAACACATGACCCAATTCAGGTCAATCGGAGCTAATAAGACTCAATCAAGAACTTTTTGAGTTGTCATGAAGGGTCCTCTCTTTTCAACTGCAGTCATTTTCCTCCACAAGGGGCAGCATGACTGAAAATGGAGTCAACTCAGTGTAGGGAAGAGCTGAGATGCAGAGGAACTGAACCTGGTGACATCATTTGAGCTGCTGAATCCAGCTGTGCCTGAAACCAGTGTTACTCTTTACATTTTAGTTATGTAAGCCAATGCATTCTTATTTTTACTTAAGACATTTGGGTTGGGTTTCTGTTGCTTGCAATCCAAACAGACTTAACTCATGCAAGTGCACCAGGAGAGGCAGAGGGACAAGAATGATAAGTTAAAGGAATGGCATGAGTAAAGGAGAGGAGGCACCGTGTGTGGTGACTTGCACAAAAGAGAGAGGCTTTCATGCCTGGCACAGAGGCTGAGGCTAGGAAATAACCGGGCATTTAAGGTAGCGTCAAGTTATAAAGAGTCTAGGCCATCAGGCACTGAGGTTTAGAGTGAGTGGGAAGGAAGCAGGAGCCATAGTGATGTTTAGATCTAATGTATAACTCCACTTTTGGCGATTTAATTTCTCTTTTATCACTCCTGGGAATATCTGAAATATGGGACAGGCAGTCATTACTGATTTATACTAATCAATATAAATATGATAAAACCAAATTAATTAGCCTTCATACTAATTACACTCTGAAACTGACAAGGCTGCTTGCCATATGTAGACTCATTTGTTGATCTTGTGTGAGTGGTAGGCCTCGTTTATAAGATACATACGTAAGTATATATAAATAAGTTAGATAAATACATAAGTTAGCTTTCAGTAGGGATTTTCCACTTACACCCTTTGTTCTTCAAATGTGGGGATCCAAAAGTATCGCCATAATTTCTGGCAGTTACGGGGCAGTTTTGCCTAGGTGCTATTTGCTTACATTGACTCCTGTGGGTCACCTGCATCCAAGGATGTTTACTGACTCTTCCACTTACCATACCTCCTGCTGTCCTTTCTGGATGTCTCCCACTCTGCCGGAGGCCAGCATGTTGACTCTAATTGACCAGGAGGCCAGCATGTTGAGGTGACAGACTTGTCATTGTCCATTTGTGGTCAGATGAGCTCAAGCCAAGGCTTAGCCTTTTCATGGGTATTTTGACTTTAGTTTAGTCCCAGCTGTAGTCAATATTTTGAGTTTCTGATCTCTTCATAAGAAGTCTTAGCTAGATCTCAGAAGTCTCAGATTTATTTTATACTTGCCTGCCACAAGCTTGGTTTAAGACTTGGTCAGAGACTTATGTCAGCTCTACCAACCTGTGCTGAGGGGACAAAAGAGGGTCAGCAATGATGTGTCTCCAAGGGAATTCCTAGACAAACCACTGAAAGGACCAAATATTGGCCTATTGATCTTATCTTCTCTAAGATGCTTGTTAGATATTTAGTCTGGAGTTCAGATTAGATTTGTGTGTTAGGGTTCTCCAGGGAAATAGAACCAATAGTATATGTGTATGTACCTATATAGATGTATGTACATATAGATGTATATGTATGTATGTATGTATATTTAAAAAGTTTTAAGGAATTGGCTCAGCAAATATAGAGGCTGAGAAGTCCTACAATTTTCTGTCTATAAGCTGGGGACCCAAGAAAGCTGGTGGAATAGTTCTGAGAACCAGAACACTAATAGTGTAAATCTCCATCAAGAGCAGAAGACTGATGCCCCAGCTCAAGCATTCAGGCAAGAGAGCAAATTCCCCCTTCCTCTGCCTGTTTGTTCTACTTAGGCTCTCAATGGATTGGATGATTCCCACTCACACTGGGGAGGGGAATCTCCTTTACTGAGTTCACTAAAATACTAATCTCACCTGGAAACACCCTCACAGACATACCCGGAAATAAGGTTTATTCTTGGTACTCCAGGTCCCACTAAAGTTGACACATAAAATTAACCACCAATTAACTTAAAGTGAAGTTAATGCTTATGTTTACTTCAATATATTTCCAGTTAATCATGCTCCAGCAAAATGGCATTGGCTTACACCACACCTTTGCAAAAACTAAGGGGAAGATGGAGGTGGGTAAGATGAAGGTAGGCTACAGGATGACCTCATATCCCCTTGGTTTATGAGAGGAGTGTGTTGGTGTGGCCTGCTGGTGTATGGGACTTTCTCCCAATCAAAGGGGAGCACCAAGCTGAGGTCTGAGATATGAAGGACACAGCTGGCATCTGACACATTCTGCTTTTGTCTCACCCATTCTGGAGCTCTGAGTCTGATTTTAAGGACTTCAGTTCTCTGATTATGAGGAACACTAACTCCTTTACTCTTCTCTTCCGAATCATGCTCTTAGTCCAAGCTTTTTCTGTACCAAAAGCTCAAAATGGTGGAAATCAGTTTTAGGGTTGTGACATTTTCTCTCGCTCTTCTTCTTTCTAGGATTTAACTAAGTAGAGTCGATGGCATCATATTTGAAGAAATGCTGGTATTAGTTGGTCTGGGTTAAAGTTAAAAGTGATCTAGCTGTCAGCCAGAGACAGACCTCAACTCTTTTTCTTTTGGTAGCTTTTTCTTCCAAGGGACTTTAAACACCTATCTGATTTCTTTTAGTGAAAAGAATGAAGCAGTCATTTCTTATACCTGTTCATTAGGGAGTAGGTTTGCATTTTAGATCAGTGTTTTTACAACAGTATTAACTCTTTCCGAAATACTTATAAACAAGTGCACTCCCCACCCGCAACCCCACAAAGATATTGATTCAGAAGGACTGGGATGAGACACTCCAGGTGATTCTTATGTTTTCTAGTTTGAACACCTGTGCCTCCAAAGGATTTTGAACTTTACTTAAATCAGGTTTGTCTTCTAACAGATGAAATAAGGTCTCAGAAGATTTTCAGGAAATTAGTGAAACAGCTCAGAAGTGGAGGCTGGCTTGACTGTGCTGTTGTGGGATAAAGTGAGTTTTACTGTATTGCCAGCTGGGTTCATCTTACCCCCGCCATTTCCCGAAGTCGAACAATTTTGGTGGCTTTCTGTGATGCTTCATGTAGAGGCAGGAAACCATTCCAAACCCACGTACTCCCAGCACTGAGTCATCGCTGTGTCCTGACCTTTCCAATAACCTTGCTGTCAGAGCAAGTCGAAATCAGGAAACAGGTAAGCGACCTGCCTTCCTAACCTGGCAAACACATATATTTTGATAAAGCTATTGGCATGTTTAATAGAATATAATTAACTATTCAAACTCCATTTCGCTTGTTGGGGCTTCAAAGTGGGTTCTGGAGTGGCAAAACGATTTGGGGGGTTTCTTCTTGCCTTGAGCTTTATTTGAGGTTAGTTTTAATGAAAGACTTCAGGAGACAGTTATTCCAGAGGGAAATCTGTGTTGTCCATGGTGTAGGAGCTAATTCACATTTGCTTAAAATGAATTCACCTAATGGGATTAGATTTAAAATGTGACCATTAATTTAAAGAATATATCTACTGATTAACATCATAAGAAATTAGATTTCATGTAAAACGATCATATGTTTTGGAATATGAAAAATTTAGAACTCACTAAATGTTGAACATATGGATATCTCAGAAAGGATTAGTGCCTGGCACATAGGAGGTGCTCATGAATGATTCTTGTTGAAGGAGGAGTGGGATTTAAAGTATGAATTGAGTGTCTTGACTGAGAAACACCTCTGTGTTTAGTGAGAATAATAAAAATGTTCTCTTTATCAGCTGTTTATGATGTAAAATATTTCCTGGTGGTGATTAAGCAGTAAATAGTGGGTGTTTATTAGCTGGCCCATTTCAGACACTTTATATTTTCTTTTGCTTTAGTAATTGAACATAATAAATAATACTGTTGCCTGGACAGCAGCTGTTGTTTTATTCCCAAAAAGGATGCTTTGCTCAGATTGCTATCTTTTGTAGCATCAGCTGGCACTATTCACAGATAACAAACATAGGCAATACCACTTTTAATGAGTTGGAATGTGTTATGGGTTTGGGAATGAAGGTTTAAAGTTGTCGATTAGGCAAATTAAGCTGTCTGTGTACTTTCTGTCTGTACAGATGGCTGATTTTACAAAAGCTAATTTTCAACAGGGGTCCTTGTAGCTATTAGAGTTCTTTTATGTAAAAAACAGCAAGCCTCCCTCCCCAACCCTACAATTTAGAGAAAATGGTGCCTAGAGAGTATACTATTTGTGGTTTTAAGAAGTTGCAATGACAGACTTGTAATAAATTAATTGTTATCCTCTGTAAAACTTTAAATTGCAGTTTCAATATAGTGAAATCTTTGAATGAGACATTAATATTTTCTGTCCTTTTCTGAATAATGTGTTGATGAGAGAAAACAGTGCTTACATAACATTTTTACTAAGCAAGAAAAACGCATGTTGTCATTGAGAAGCAAAAGGAGTCTCTAAGAATTATGGGCAAAATGACCTGGAGTGGGGCAAGAAGTCAGTGTCAGACTTCCCAGTGCTTTAGTCTTTCTAAGCATCTTTGGAGGCAACTTGACCTATAAAGGTTCATTTTTCTCCTTAGTTGATTTTATTGAGGGTACCTGAACTGAGGTGCTGCCACACCTCTGTCACACTGCAAACCAGTTGTGGACCAAGAGGAGAGAAGTAGGAATTAGAAAGAGGACATTTGAACAAGGTGTTCTTCATCATCAGTTGAGGGAGGAAAACTGTGTACAATGTAAGGAAGCTCCCAAGACAGGCACATGCTATTTTAGGCTAAGGTTACTTGTTTGTAAGAAATGAGATTTAAGTTATATTAATGTGAATGTACATTTATCGTGTAGAAGACAGGGAGTCATCATGTTAAGGAGTAAAACTGCCTTTAGATATTTCAGTAAAAATAAGAGAGCTCCAGCATAGAGTTGAAACTATTGTTTTCCCTCTTCATCCCTCCCTGTCTGTCTCCCACCTCCCTCCATCATCAAACCAGAGCAAATATCCCTCCTCAGCCTCCTTTAGTGCAGAAGAGAGTTTTCTGTTGCACTGGGGTCTTCTACCACACAGAAGAGGTAGGAAGATGACTGAAAACTTGAGACCACAGCATACTTTCCCCTTGGCGGAAATGTGATATGCATGCACGCGCACACACACACACACACACACACACACACACACATACCCCTATATACCTCTAGAAGATAATAAAGGCTATGAAAATATTAAAACACAAGATAGGATCCAAGGGAATTAAGATTCTATAAAAACTTTAATACAATATAACCATCTCTGTTAGGTTTTTTAATTGAAATTACATTAGATTTATGTATTAATTTTGGAAGAATCTGTACTTTTATAATATTCCTAACCAAGAACATAGTATGCATCTTTCAATTTCTTCCTATCCTATTTTTTGTATTTCAATAGGATTTCAACTTTTCTTCATATAGATCTTTCTTCATATCGAATTCTCATTAAATGAACTCCTAGGCACTTTTCTTGTTATTGTTGTCATTAAAAACAGAAATTCTTTCCTGTTTCCATTTCTCAGTTATTGCTAAACAAGGACAATTTATTGATTAAAAAATCATCCTGTACCTATTCACTTCACACATTTATATTAATTCTCTCTTCTTCTTTTTTTTAATATATTCCTGTCGGTAAAGTGATTAACCTTGTTTTTCTCCAATGACTTTTACGTGATACTTATTTTTTCTAAAACTTGTGTGGCATTTGCTATCAATGGTAAATCAATAATGATGGTAGCAATCATCTCTCTAGTTCTTGACATTAATGACAATGGCTTTGTTTAAAAATTATTTATAATGGTATCTGCTGTTGATTCTTGATAATTTTTATTATATTTAAGTAGTTTTCATCTATTTAGTATCTCTATTAGAAATGGTGGTTTAATTTTGAGTCTTTTTTTCTGCATTTATTGATATCACATGGTATTTCTCCTGTAATTTCTTGATGTAGTTTAGTATGTTGATAGATTTTCAAATGTTGAAACTTCCTTGCCTCGTGGAATAAGTTCTATTTAATCATAATGTATTATTTTCATGTAGGGGTGAATCCCATTTGATGACATTTTATTTAGAAGGTTACATGAAATGGATCTAAAGTAAGTGTTTTTAAATTATCCAGGCTAGAACCTCTTTGTCAACTTTCCATGTAAACATGTGTTTGAAGTTGTGCCAGCAATGACTTTTCTTCCCACAGCTACTGGTGAAATCTTTTCCAACCCTCCAGGTCCCAATCAGTGACTTTTCATCCATGAAACCTTACCTTACCTTGGTCTTGCCCCCTACTTAATAAAATAACTTCCTATTTCAAATCTTTGCAGTATATTTTAGTGTCAAAGTATAATTTTCAACAATGTTAACATGACACATATAAATACTTAGTGAAATCTTGTAAAAAAATTTATTTAACTCAATGATGGAGACAGCAGATGATAAATGAATTCAAAGGGCTTTTGCATTATATAGTTTGTTGGGAATGGCATGTTACAATGAGTTGGCTAAGTTAGAGGCATAACTGGCCAAAGTTCTAAAGGGCAGTAACATTGTACTTTTGGGGTTTTTTCTACTGAACAGAAATCTGTTTACATCTCTACCAGACAAAAATCTACAAGTTTTTACATATCCTCACAGAATCGACATTATATAGCAACTCAAAGAAAGGTACATCTCCCACAAGATTAAATAATTCTTGGGTGGACCCGTCAGATGACGTTTCAGTATGACATTAAAAGAATATACAGCCTTCCTTTTGTTGAATTTCCATTTTTGGATACTTTATTTTTAATAGTAGTAAATCCCACAAAAGGTGCAGTCTAATTTATGTTTCAGTTTCATGCACATTTGACCTATGTCAGCATGTATGGCAGCAAGCAAGTATATGGGTTTGAATACATCACACAAACTAAGGTTTGAGTCTTGGCTCTGCAAACCTCATGCTTCCCCATGTATGGTTTGTGCAGTTGGAGAAGGAATTTGGGGAAGCTGGGAGGGGTAGAAATGGCAGACTTTGGGCTTAAGAGCATCAGGAGAAAGCACGCTGGTACATCTCTGGCATTCCCTTTTGGTTACAACTCAACATGACCATATTTCACCTGCCTGAGGGTAACAACAGGGTCACAGTGACAGTAGCAAGTCAGAGTTCCTGTTTTTGCCTCCAGTTCCCTGTGTAAGACTTTCCATACCTTTCAAAGGGATCTTTTCTCCTAATATTTCTGGGTTTCCTCCAAAGGAGGCTCATCTAGCCACAAATCAATATGACAGCCACAGTCACTCAGCCTATTCTCCTTCTGGGATTTGGTCTCCTCCCTTGGTGGTGTTGGCTGTTTCTGGTGCCATTTGAAGCCACTTATGGCAATGGAGATTGCTGGAGAATGGAGAAAGCAAGGGAGCTTTCTTCTTATGCTCCCAAAATGAATAAGCCACCTTGTCTACCACTTGTGGTTGCCCCTCCATTTTCTCCTATAACTGCGTATCTTAACAGGACAGAGTCTTCCAACAAATAGAGTTTGAGGAGATGCTCTTTACCCAAGGACTGTTTATTTAGGTTTGTATTCATGTGAGATCTTGCTTTAGGGTGAAGAAGAAGAAGATTTTAAGCAACTGTTGTTGAGTTATTATTGAGTGCTAATTGGTACCAGTTGCTATGGGATAAAGATACAAAGGGACATTCCTGGCTTGTGAGGAACTAGTTCAAACCATCTAGTTTAAGTAGAATAAACATAGTAAAAGTTCAAAGAATTTTGCAAAAATTAAGAAATCGAACAAAACACTGTAGGATGTAAACCCAGCCCAGGGCATTTGCTGTGCGGCTTTCAGTGGTGATTAGAGATCACATTCCTAAGTCATTAGAGAAATAGCATCAAGGTTGAAGGATGTTTTTCTCTTCAGAGAGAGTGCTTTAGTAGAGTTTATGTACTCAGTGTGAAGATGTTTTTGTGCTTATGTATGAAACAGCTAGGAGTTCATGCTGAAATATTCCTGCCTCCCTGGCAGTTTTTTTTCCCTTTTTTCTTTTACCTGGCAAACACATTGACTTGGAAAAACAATTCAAGAGCTCTTGTTATGCCAACATGAATGTATGCCATGTGCCTTGTCTAATCTTGTAAGTCCTCTACTCCTGCCTTCAAAAATACAAATTTGAAGTTTCTCTAACTAATTAGTCATTGCCTTTGCCTTCTTTTGTTGAAGAGAGTAATAGTTTTAAAATTATAAAGGTTAGCTATGAAGTCATGGGAAGGTGAAGATGTTGAAGTGTAAGAGGATTTTAAAGTGCAGAGGGACTGGGCATGGTGGGCTCATGCCTGTAATCCTAGCATTTTGGGAGGTCAAGGCGGGCAGATAACTTGAGGTCAGGAGTTTGAGACCAGCCTGGCCAACATGGTGAAACCCCATCTCTACTAAAGTTACAAAAATTAGCTAGGTACGGTGGTGTGTGCCTGTAATCCCAAATACTCGGGAGGCTGAGGCAGGAGAATCGCTTGAACCCGGGAGGCGAAGGTTGTACTGAGCTGAGGTCATGCCATTGCACTCCAGCCTGGGGGACAAGAGTGAAACTCTGTCTCAAAAATAAAATAAAATAAAAAATAAAGTTCAGAGGGACTAAAAACATAGCTTTTGAAGTAAGTACATAACCAGAAACCAGATATGTCCTGAAGAAAGGTGTTTCTTTACTTTCTGAATTATTGAGTAGGACTGTTCAATTTAGAAGATTGTATATCTTTGATGAGAGGGAAAATTACCATTAGTTTTCAAAAGCCTTCCCACGCCACAGATTTGCAGCTGCCAAGGAATAAATCACATCCCCTTTGTTTTATGATGAAATACAGTTGACCTTTGAACAACACAGGTTTGAACTGCCTGGGTCCACTTATATGAGGTTTTTCTTCCACTTCTGCCATCCCTGAAACAGCAAGACCAACCCCTCTTCTTCCTCCTTCCCTACTCGGTGTGATGATGACAAGGATGAAGATCTTTGTGATGATCCACTTATGCTTAACAGTAAATATATTTTCTCTTCCTTGTGATTGTCTTCATATCATTTTCTTTTCTCCAGATTACTTTATTGCAAGAATACAGTATATAATACATATAACATACCAAATATGTGCTAACTGAGTTATGTTATTGGTAAGGCTTCCAGTTAACAGTAGACTATTAGTTAAGTTTATGTGGAGAGTCAAAAGTCCTATGTGGATTTTCAACTGTATGAGTCAGTGCCCCTAATCCCTGCCCTGTTCAAGGGTCGGTTGTACTATATACCTGGGAAACTTAAAAACAAAAAGGCCTTGGCCTTACTTTAGGTGAATTGAATCTGAATCTCTGAGGTGAGTCCTGTACTTCCTGTGTCAGTATGTTTTAAAAGTCGGCCAGGTGATTTTAATGTGCAGCTAGGTTAGAGAATCATTGCCCTTCTCCAACTATACCATGAGATGACACTGTGTTTACTTAGTTTTCTTGGAAGCAATTAGGGTATTGTGTTGCCAGCTTTTTATCACAGCATCTATGGTTGTGTAACCTAGACACAAATCCCTCATCATAGGTGGGTGGCATAGTCAAGCAGCAAAACATCTGGCCAGGTTCACATGCACAATTCTGTCAAATGTTCAATCTAAGAGGATCCTTATCACAAGAAGCCATGAGTCTTATTCATTTTCTAAGATTTGTTAAAATCAGTAATTATTTTATGAATTTTATAATAATCACATCATTTTTCCTCCTTTGACTGATGTGATGAATTATTTTAATAATGCCCTAATAGGAAACTCTTCTTGTGTTTTGGGGATAAAACCAACTATGACATGATGTATTGTTCTCTAGCATGAGGCTGGATTTGATTTTTCTAAAATAGTTTACATTATAATGGGATTCTTTCTTAAAAAAACTTATTTGATGGAACTCAACAGTAACTTGTATTGGCAATTTCTATAGATAAAGAGTTTCAAGGATGCAAGGACTAAGTGGGTAGTAAGGAAACAGAGGCAGTTGGTCTTTAAAAATAGTGAGGAATAAAAATGAATTTCTAGTTACTCCTCAAGGATTATAAGTTTAACTTTTGTGTTGAAGGAGCAAAACATTTACGGCATACTTGGAAATCATTTTATTCATCACCATCTCTCATTCAAAATTTTTCTACGAAAAAGTTTTTTCTTTGCCTTTGGTTAAAATCTAAATGCTCAGATATTAAGTCTTCTTCCCCTATTCAAAGAGTCTAGTTTAAGTGAATAAAACATTGAGAATCATGAAATAGTCAAAACTAAGTTAAAACTTCTCTTCTACTTCAGTTTCTATCTTCTGTCAGAGGAGTGGGTTCAGGTTAGGTTTCTTTTTCTCCCTCTCTTTTCCATGCCAGCTCCTCTTCCCTTCTCACTTTCTATCCTGGGCTTCTGAACCATATCCCAGGTTTGAACCATAGGGAAAGGAGAAATGGGTAATAACCAGGAAAGGTTTTGCATGGCTGACCCCAATTTATAAAGATTTGGCTTCTTCTACCCTTAGTGTATATTTAAAGCTGAGCTTCATGGGATGCTTTGTTGATCTTCAGGGACCTCTTCCCCACCAAACTACAGCAGCCCCCTATCTGTAGTTCAATAACTATTTTCTTTAGCTGGTGCTTAAAACTCCTTCTTCAGTCTTCAAACTTCTGGCAGTACAACTTTAGCTTTTATGCACTGGGTTTCCCACACCTCCTAGTCCCCCAGGCAGGCAGATTCTGACCCTTGACCATCCCTAGTCCAGGAGAAGCATTAACACATCCCTTGTCCCAAGCAACTCTGGAATTACAGACTGTTATGGACTGAATGTGTCCCCACTAAATTCATGTTGAAATCCTTACCTACAAGGTAATGGTATTAGGAGGCATGGCCTTTGAGAAGTGATTAGGTTTAGATGAGGTCATGAGAGTGGGACCCCCATGTTGGGATTAGTGTCCTTATAAAAAGAGACACCAGAGAACTTGATTCTCCTTCCTCTCTCTGCCATGTGAGGACACTGTGAGAAGACAGTTGCTTACAAAAGAGGAAAAGGGCCCCCACCAGAACCTGACCAGTCAGTACCTTGATCTTGGATCTCTCAGCTACAGAACGGTGAGAAATAAATGTCTGTTGTTTAAGCCACTTGGGTTATGCTATTTTATTATAGCAGCCTGAGCTGGCCAAGATATATGCTGTCCCAAATATGGCTATCATGCTTGCTCTGTCTTCAAAGTAGGGGCTCCACACAACGTGTCTTACTTTCAGCCTGGTGTCTGAAACTTATTGGGAAATTATACTGTGTATCTGCAAACCCAAGGATACATATTAAGCCCTTCAAGTGGTCTTTCTAAAGACTCCCTCACAAGGTTTGAGGAAAGTAGAAGGACCTGTTTCCCAAGGCTCATAACCCACCAACAATTCTCTCTAAAGGAGTTTTCTCACCATTTGGCTTCTGATATGGCTTAGCTATGTCCCCACTCAAATCTCATGTTGAATTGTGGTCCCCAGTATTAGAGGTGAGTCCTGGTTGGAGGGAATTTGGATCATGGGGGTGGTTTCTAGTGGTTTAGCACCTAATGCTGTCTCGTGATAGAGCTCTTACAAGATCTAGTTGTTTAAAAGTGTGTAGCACCTCCCGGTTCTCTCTCTCTCCTGTCTGCCATGTGAAGATGGCTTCCCCTTTGCCTTCCACCATGATTGTAAGTTTCCTGAGGCTTCCTCAGAGGTAGAAGCCTGTATTTCCTGCAGAACTGTGAGCCGATTAAGCCTTTTTTTAAAAATTTTTTATAAATTACTCAGTCTCAGGTAGTAGCAATGCAAGAACAGTCTAATACAGCTTCCTTATCTTTTCTAAAAGGCTGGAAAGTGTTACAAACTTGGCTCTTTGCTGCTTTTTTAGAAGCCCTGCACAGCGTAGCATGCTGCTTGAGAATGTGGCAATAGTAGGTACCTATCTCTCTGAGGTCTCAGCCAAAACAGGGAGAGGGTTCCTATTATAATATCTTGTCATACAGAAGAATATTAGTTTGTATTAGATATTTAAGTAAGGATAGCCCAGAGAGAAGAAAGTAGTCAGTCAGTGATACTTAGGGGCTCAGGTTTGAAGGTCTGAATTGACTCAGTGTAATCTTATTTATCAAAATCTGACAGTTTTAGCCTACCCTGAATCTGTCTTCTCTTTATATTTACCAGCCCCAGCCTCCTCATTTCTCCTATTAGTTTTTGTCTGATATTTTTCAAAATCCCTCTATGTAAACTTCATATATTCAATTTCACTTGCCTTTGGTGAGTATTCTGCTCAGTTATGTAGGCTCCCTCCATGTGTTCCTTAAATCCAGGTTTTCGAAGTGTCTTCTGGAATATTATTTCGGAAAGAGAAGCCACAGTAATGATGTAATTCCATTTATTTAGTGAACGTTGCATGCATCTTATATCTGTTTTTGGTGACTCATAGTGCATGAAGCATATCAAAGGGTTTGAGAAATCCTGCAGTAAAGAAATTGGTTTAGCTTTTTTAAAACCAAGCACTTCACAAGCTTATTTGACCATAGACTGATATTACTAATATTCATCTGGGGGGACTTGTATTATCCATAGGATATATTTGGAAATGCTCATTTATATTATACTACTCTGCTGCTCAGGGCTTTGTTATGATGTACTCTTGCATTATATGTGAGGTCAAATAGAAATCAGGGAAGCTCCTTGACATTTATCCCATTTGGAGCCCTGTACTTTCTCTCTAATCAGAAGAATGTGGTATTTCCTTGTTAATTTCCTTTCATAATTTCTCTTTAGAGTTTTATTAATCATAGAAACATCCCTTAAATATTTCTGATGTGTCAGTTATTTCTTTATAATGATAATTTCCCAAATTTTTTCTTTAATCAATATCTTATTATTCATCCTTTTAGTAAAAACATCTTAAATCATGCTTTTAGTAGATAAGTAGTATATATTTATTTTAGAAAAATCAGAAATACAGATAAGAGAGAATGATGACCCATAATCTCATGTGACCTAGAGATAGTTGTTCACCTTTCAGAATATATGTTTCTAGATGATTTTCTGTATGTGCACAGCCTACTCTGTACATGCTGTTTTTATTTATGTGTGTGTCAAAAATACATCTATAAGACTTATAATGGCATAACATTCTATTAGATTTTGTAATTTAACTGATTTCCTACTTAAGTATGTTTAGGTGCTTTGTAATTTTTCACAATTACTGACAACTGTAGTGAAGATTTTTGTGCCTAAGTCCTTTCATTACTTCCTTATGAAGTAGTTTCTATTAATTGAAAGTTAGTTTCTATTAACTGGAATCAGTTCATGGAATTTTAGGTCAAGAGAATGCACAAAACTCCAAATCTCTTGCTAGGTATTACTGAGATAACCTTGGTAGAAGGCAAATCAATTTGCTATCCTATTTGAATAGTATTAAAAGACTGTTGGTCTTAATACATCTCAGATATTTCCAACAGTGTTATCTTTCTCAGTTCATTAGCTCTTTGGTAAAGGATGATGTGATACTGGGAACATGGAATTCCACAGACTTGAAGTAAAATTAGTCTGTGTAACTTGGGATATTTCATTTAACCTCTCCAAGCCTCAGATTCTTTATCAGTAAAACTAGGATAAATGTTTCATATAGGGTTACTAAGGGATTAAAATTTGCACACAAAAAGTGTCTGATACATAACTCATATATATACTCATAGAACATTTATTGAATGTCTTTATCGTTTAACTGTATGCCATGTTTTCTCTCATTTAATTGTCAAAACCCCAGGAAGAATAATTGTCTCCATTTTACTCAGACTTAGAGAAGACAGTTAGGCACTTGCCAAGTGCTTTCACTGTTGGAGATAGGCAAAATGACGCTCACTAGGAAGAACTCTAGCATGAGAAATACAGGCATAGTCACTGGGGTAAATAACAACAGTGCTGACAGCTGGATTCTGGTTGCCTCTTATCTGTCTCCAAGCTGATGCACCATGTGGCTTACTTAGGCCCTCAGTCACAGAGTGAGCATGAAAATGGAAGGAATCTGCAGAGCATATTAATGAATGAACAAATAGGAGTGCCCCTTACAGGAAGTAAGTAGATGATAGATGAAAATTTCTTTACACGACATGCAATAAGGCATGAGCAAGTACAGACTGACAAACAAGTCATAATATACAAGAGAACATATTTATAACTAGTAATTAAGGCATCCTAAAGTATTATACAGAATAACCTTCACAGATACTGTACCTTCCTACCAATTTCCAGAGAAGGAATATATGGCCTGACCAGGAAGAGAAACATCATGTTAACAGGCACTAGGGAACCTTGGCTGTGCCCTGGTATCCTTGTAGATGAGGTCTCGACATTGCCCCTAAAACAGCTGTAAGACTATGTGGAAGAAGGGAGAATTCTGGTCAAGTAAGACCCATCACTTGTTTGCCAGTAAAATGGGGAAGTGCTCATATTTGTGGAGGCTTCTTGTCATATGCTTCATGGTGGCTGAGGTTCCCCTTGACAGGACAACGTTAGGGATGTTTAGCAGTTCAGATCAAAATCTAACATTACCACAAGTCGATTTTTTATTGTGGTAAAACATAGCATGAAACTTACCATTACAACTTAAGTGTATAGTTTAGTGGCATTGAATACATTAATATTGTTGTGCAACTATTACCATCATCCATCAACAGAACGTTTTCACCATCCTTTTGATAGCATTTTACCCACAGTAGAGCTTCTTTCAAAATTGGAGTCAATCCTCTCAAAATTGCTGCTTTACCCCCTAAATGTATGTAATATTTTAAATCCTTTGTTGTCATTTCAACAATGTTCGTAGCATCTTCATCAGGAGTAGATTCTATCTCAAGAAAGCACTTTCTTTGCTCAAATATAAAAAACAACTTCTATATCAGCACTTGCTGCTTCACCTTGCACTTTTATGTTATGGAGAAAGCTTCTTTCCTCAAACCTCATGAACCAACCTCTGCTATGTTCCATCTTTTCTGTTGCAGCTTCCTCACCTCTCTGCCTTCATAGAATTGAATAGTTAGGGCCTTGGTCTGGATTCAGCTTTGGCTTAAGGAAATGTTGTGGCTGGTTTTATCTTCTATCTAGACCACAAAATCTTTCTCTGTATCATCAGTAAGATCGTTTTATTTTTTTTAATCATATATGTGTTCTCTGGAGTAGCACTTTTATTTTTTTCTGTTTTTTTAATACTCAATACTATATTTTTGAGATTTATCATATTTATTTTTCAAATCCAATTTATTCATATTAACTGTTGCACAGAATCCTATTTGTATTGCATATATAATCTATAGTACATTTATTTACCTGCTGATGAACAATTACGTTGTTTACCATTTTTTGCCATTACAAACAATGTTGCATTAAATATCCTTTTAAGTTTTCTTGTATACATGCATGATTCCCTTAGGAGCAGAATTGCTGGGTAATAGGTAAGAGAATTTCAACCATAAAGTATTATCAAATTAATCTCCAGATGATTATAAATTGGTATTATTTATAAAAATACTGTGTGTGTGTGTGTGTGTGTACACAGATACAAATAAAGCCTACCTGTAGAAGCCACAGTATGTAGAAATTGTTACTTTGTAATAAAACAACAGAGACAAAATGGAAATAGAAGGCCAAGATCTATGTCAATGCTCTTGAAGAGTACAAGTTTTAATTGGGGTGAGCTCTAAGACAAGCTCAAAACAGTTGGTTAAAACAATCAGACTCAACCACTGGTATTGACAGAGCCATATGTAAGTAGGGTAGGAATGCATATTAATTAATGGTGATTCTTAGAATTCCCTTCTTCAGGCTGGGCATGGGCAGAGACATCATCTCAAAGACTCAAAAAAGTCCCCTTGAGTCCCTCTCATCAGGCTCCAAAGCTTCCTCTTACATTGTCCATCAAATCTACTCTTCATACAAGTTCTGATTAAAGCATTTTGATTGTTTAAAATAATAACTTTTATTTTAACTGTTTATTTTAACAACTGTTGATTGTTTAAAATAATAATAATAAGTACATAGAAAGGTGATGTCTCCAGAATCTCAAGCTGTCAAAGTAATAAGGTTTTCAACAAACAAAAGAAAACCATCCAGTTTTCATCTGTGGCAGTAATCTGTCTTTTCTAACATGTTCTGTTAAAATGCACTATATTGAACAAATAAGGTAAATGTTGCAAACTTCAGTGATGGGGATCAAAACAGTGCTAGCTTTAAGAGTACTTATTTTTTTTTTTATATTTTAAGTTTTAGGGTACATGTGCACAACGGGATGGAGTAGCACTTTTAATTTCCTTCAAGAACTTTTCCTTTGCATTCGCAAGTTGGCCAACTCTTTAGCACAAGAGGCCTAGCTTTTGGCCTGTTGTGGCTTTTGACATGCCTTCCTCACTAAGCTTAATCATTTCTAGTTTTTTATTTCAAATGAGAGACATGTGACTCTTCCTTTCACTTGAACACATAGAGACCATTGTAGGGTTACTAATTGGCCTAATTTCAATAGTTTTGCATCTCAGGGAACTGGAAGGCCAGAGAGTAGGAGAGACATGGGGGAATGGCCATCAGTGGAATTATCAGGACACACACACACAAACACACACACACCATTTATTGATTAAATTTGCCATCTTATATGGGTGCACTTTGTGGGGCCTCAAGTCAATTACAGTGGTAACATCAAAGATGGTTGTAGGTTACCATAAAAGATGTAATAATAATACAAAAACTTTGAAATATTGTGGGAATTACCAAAATATGACACAAAGACACAAAGTGAACACATGCTGTTGGAAAATGGCACCAACAGACCTGCTCAATACACGGCTGCCACAAACTTTCAATTTGTAAAAAATTCAATATCTGCAAAATGCAATAAAATGATGTATTTCTGTATCCTGAAGGGAATTGCTAGATTATATATTAATTCTATGTTTAATTTTTTGGGTAACCATCAAACTGTTTTCTATAGTTGCTACACCATTTTACATCCTCACCAACAATACATGAGAGTTCCAATTTCTCCACATTTTCACAAACACTTACTTTCCATTTGGCAGATTTTTTGTTTTGACCTTAGCTATCCTAAAGGGCGTGAAGTGGTATTACTTCATTGTGGTTTGATTTGCATTTGTCTAATGATTAGTAGATTGAGCATCTGTTCATGCGCTTATTAGCCATTAGTATACCTTTCGAGAAATATCTATTCAATTCTGTTGCCCATTTTTAAATTGAGTTTTTTTCATTGTTGACTTGATATAAATAATTTTTTAAAAAGTAATACAATTGAATACAAATTATCTTTGTTGACAAGGCTGTCACTTCCCACATAATATTGATTTTTCTGGAATTTCCATGCTATTCCATTTTTTTCCTGTTAGGATTTGTTATTGGACTTTTATAATTACTAAAACATTGGGATTTTAATCTTTGTATCTGTCTTATAAAATGCCGATGACTATATTTTCTGGCACATTTGTCACTTAGTTGTTAGCTGGACAACCCACTTTGGCTACTTGGCCAAACTATATTTTAAAAAGGTAAACTTTAGGTGATAAAATCTGTACCTTCTACCTTCTACCTAATTTTTCATATACTTTTTTTATATCTTATAAATCATTTATTTATATATATTTTTTATTATTATTATACTTTAAGTTTTAGGGTACATGTGCGCAACATGCAGGTTTGTTACATATGTATACATGTGCAATGTTGGTGTGCTGCACCCATTAACTCGTCATTTAGCATTAGGTATATCTCCTAATGCTATCCCTTCCCCCTTCCCCCACCCCAAAACAGTCCCCGGTGTGTGATGTTCCACTTCCTGTGTCCATGTGTTCTCATTGTTCAATTCCCACCTGTGAGTGAGAACATGCGGTGTTTGGTTTTTTGTCCTTGCGATAGTTTGCTGAGAATGATGGTTTCCAGCTTCATCCATGTCCCTACAAAGGACATGAACTCATCATTTTTTATGGCTGGATAGTATTCCATGGTGTATATGTGCCACATTTTCTTAATCCAGTCTATCATTGTTGGACATTTGGGTTGGTTCCAAGTCTTTGCTATTGTGAATAGTGCCACAATAAACATACATGTGCATGTGTCTTTATAGCAGCATGATTTATAATCCTTTGGGTATATACCCAGTAATGGGATGGCTGGGTCAAATGGTATTTCTAGGTCTAGCTCCCTGAGGAATCACCACACCAACTTCCACAATGGTTGAACTAGTTTACAGTCCCACCAACAGTGTAAAAGTGTTCCAATTTCTCCACATCCTCTCCAGCACCTGTTGTTTCCTGACTTTTTAATGATTGCCATTCTAACTGGTGTGAGATGGTATCTCATTGTGGTTTTGATTTGCATTTCTCTGATGGCCAGTGATGATGAACATTTTCTCATGTGTTTTTTGGCTGTAAAAATGTCTTCTTTTGAGAAGTGTCTGTTCATATCCTTCACTCACTTTTTGATGGGGTTGTTTTTTTCTTGTAAATTTGTTTGAGTTCATTGTAGATTCTGGATATTAGCCCTTTGTCAGATGAGTAGATTGCAAAAATTTTCTCCCATTGTGCAGGTTGCCTGTTCACTCTGATGGTGGTTTCTTTTGCTGTGCAGAAGCTCTTTAGTTTAATTTGATCCCATTTGTCAATTTTGGCTTTTGTTACCATTGCTTTTGGTGTTTTAGACATGAAGTCCTTGCCCATGCCTATGTCCTGAATGGTATTGCCTAGGTTTTCTTCTAGGGTTTTTATGGTTTTAGGTCTAACATGTAAGTCTTTAATCCATCTTGAATTGATTTTTGTATAAGGTGTAAGGAAGGGATCCAGTTTCAGCTTTCTACATATGGCTAGCCAGTTTTCCTAGCACCATTTATTAAATAGGGAATCCTTTCCCCATTTCTTCTTTTTGTCAGGTTTGTCAAAGATCAGATAGTTGTAGATAGGCAGCATTATTTCTGAGTGCTCTGTTCTGTTCCATTGGTCTATATCTCTGTTTTGGTCCCAGTACCATGCTGTTTTGGTTATTGTAGCCTTGTAGTATAGTTTGAAGTCAGGTAGCGTGATGCCTCCAGCTTTGTTCTTTTGGCTTAGGATTGACTTGGCGATGCGGGCTCTTTTTTGGTTCCATATGAACTTTAAAGTAGTTTTTTCCAATTCTGTGAAGAAAGTCATTGGTAGCTTGATGGGGATGGCATTGAATCTATAAATTACCTTGAGCAGTATGGCCATTTTCATGACATTGATTCTTCCTACCCATGAGCATGGAATATTCTTCCATTTGTTTGTATCCTCTTTTATTTCCTTGAGCAGTGGTTTGTAGTTCTCCTTGAAGAGGTCCTTCACATCCCTTGTAAGTTGGATTCCTAGGTATTTTATTCTCTTTGAAGCAATTGTGAATGGGAGTTCACTCATGATTTGGCTCTCTGTTTGTCTGTTATTGGTGTATAAGAATGCTTGTGATTTTTGCACATTGATTTTGTATCCTGAGACTGCTGAAGTTTCTTATCAGCTTAAGGAGATTTTGGGCTGAGACAATGGGGTTTTCTAGATATACAATCATGTCATGTGCAAACAGGGACAATTTGACTTCCTCTTTTCCTAATTGAATGCCCTTTATTTCCTTCTCCTGCCTGATTGCCCTGGCCAGAACTTCCAACACTATGTTGAATAGGAGTGGTGAGAGAGGGCATCACTGTCTTGTGCCAGTTTTCAGAGGGAATGCTTCCAGTTTTTGTCCATTCAGTATGATATTGGCTATGGGTTTGTCATAGATAGCTCTTATTATTTTGAGATACGTCCCATCAATACCTAATTTATTGAGAGTTTTTAGCATGAAGGGTTGTTGAATTTTGTCAAAGGCCTTTTCTGCATCTATGGAGATAATCATGTGGTTTTTTTCTTTGGTTCTGTTTATATGCTGGATTACGTTTATTGATTTTCGTGTGTTGAACCAGCCTTGCATCCCAGGGATGAAGCCCACTTGATCATGGTGGATAAGCTGTTTGATGTATTGCTGGATTCGGTTTGCCAGTATTTTATTGAGGATTATTGCATCAATGTTCATCAAGGATATTGGTCTAAAATTCTCTTTTTTTGTTGTGTCTCTGCCAGGATTTGATATCAGGATGATGCTGGCCTCATAAAATGAGTTAGGGAGGATTCCCTCTTTTTCTATTGATTGGAATAGTTTCAGAAGGAATGGTACCAGCTCCTCCTTGTACCTCTGGTAGAATTCGGCTGTGAATCCATCTGGTCCTGGAGTTTTTTTGGTTGGTAAGCTATTAATTATTGCCTCAATTTCAGAGCCTGTTATTGGTCTATTCACTGATTCAACTTCTTCCTAGTTTAGTCTTGGGAGGGTGTATGTGTCAAGAAATTTATCCATTTCTTCTAGATTTTCTAGTTTATTTCTGTAGAGGTGTTTATAGTATTCTCTGATGGTAGTTTGTATTTCTGTGGGATCGGTGGTGATATCCCCTTTATCATTTTTTATTGTGTCTGATTCTTCTCTCTTTTCTTCTTTATTAGTCTTGCTAGTGGTCTATCAGTTTTGTTGATCTTTTCAAAAAACCAGCTCCTGGATTCACTGATTTTTTGAAGGGTTTTTTGAGCTCTATTTCCTTCAGTTCTGCCCTGATCTGTTATTTCTCGCCTTCTGCTAGCTTTTGAATGTGTTTGCTCTTGCTTCTCTAGTTCTTTTAGTTGTGTTGTTAGGGTGTCAATTTTAGATCTTTCCTGCTTTCTCTTGTGGACATTTAGTGCTATAAATTTCCCTCTTCACACTGCTTTGAATGTGTCCCAGAGATTCTGGTATGTTGTGTCTTTGTTCTGGTTGGTTTCAAAGAACATCTTTATTTCTGCCTTCATTTCGTTATGTACCCAGTAGTCATTCAGGAGCAGGTTGTTCAGTTTCCATGTAGTTGAGCGGTTTGGAGTGAGTTTCTTAATCCTGAGTTCTAGTTTGATTGCGCTGTGGTCTGAGAGACAGTTTGTTATAATTTCTGTTCTTTTACATTTGCTGACGAGTGCCTTACTTCCAACTATGTGGTCAGTTTTGGAATAGGTGTGGTGTGGTGCTGAAAAGAATGTATATTCTGTTGATTTGGGGTGGAGAGTTCTGTAGATGTCTATTAGGTCCACTTTGTGCAGAGCTGAGTTCAATTCCTGGATATCCTTGTTAACTTTCTGTCTCATTGATCTGTCTAATGTTGACAGTGGGGTGTTAAAGTCTGCCATTATTATTGTGTGGGAGTCTAAGTCTCTTTGTAGGTCACTAAGGACTTGCTTTATGAATCTGGGTTCTCCTGTATTGGGTGCATATATATTTAGGATAGTTAGTTCTTCTTGTTGAATTGATCCCTTTACCATTTTGTAATAGCCTTCTTTGTCTCTTTTGATCTTTGTTGGTTTAAAGTCTGTTTTATCCAACACTAGGATTGCAACCCCTGCCTTTTGTTGTTTTCCATTTGTTTTGTAGATCTTCCTCCATCCCTTTATTTTGAGCCTATATGTGTCTCTGCACGTGAGATGTGTTTCCTGAATACAGCACACTGATGGGTCTTGGCTCTTTATCCAATTTGCCAGTCTGTGTCTTTTAATTGGAGAATTTAGCCCATTTACATTTAAGGTTATTATTGTTATGTGTGAATTTGATCCTGTCATTATGATGTTAGCTGGTTATTTTGCTCATTAGTTGATGCAGTTTCTTCCTAGTCTTGATGGTCTTTACAATTCGGCATGTTTTTGCAGTGGCTGGTACCGGTTGTTCCTTTCCATGTTCAGTGCTTCCTTCAGGAGCTCTTTTAGGGCAGGCCTGGTGGTGACAAAATCTCTCAACATTTGCTTGTCTGTAAAGGATTTTATTTCTCCTTCACTTATGAAGCTTAGTTTGACTGGATATGAAATTCTGGATTGAAAATTCTTTTCTTTAAGAATGTTGAATATTGGCCCCCACTCTCTTCTGGCTAGTAGAGTTTCTGCCGAGAGATCAGCTGTTAGTCTGATGGGCTTCCCTTTGTGGGTAACCCAACCTTTCTCTTTGGCTGCCCTTAACATTTTTTCCTTCATTTCAACTTTGGTGAATCTGACAATTTTGTGTCTTGGAGTTGCTCTTCTCGAGGAGTATCTTTGTGGTGTTCTCTGTATTTCCTGAGTTTGAATGTTGGCCTGCCTTTCTAGATTGGGGAAGTTCTGCTGGATAATATCCTGCAGAGTGTTTTCCAACTTGGTTCCATTCTCCCTGTCACTTTCACGTACACCAATCAGACCTAGATTTGGTCTTTTCACATAGTCCCATATTTCTTGGAGGCTTTGTTCATTTCTTTTTATTCTTTTTTCTCTAAACTTCTCTTCACGCTTCATTTCATTCATTTCATTCATTTCATTTTCCATCACTGATACCCTTTCTTCCAGTTGATCGCATCGGTTACTGAGGCTTGTGCATTTGTCACGTAGTTCTCATGGCATGGTTTTCAGCTCCATCAGGTCCTTTAAGGACTTCTCTGCATTAGTTATTCTAGTTATCCATTCGTCTAATTTTTTTTTCAAAGTTTTTAACTTCTTTGCCACTGGTTTGAACTTCCTCCTTTAGCTCGGAGTAGTTTGATCTTCTGAAGCCTTCTTTCCTCAACTCGTCAAAGTCATTCTCCATCCAGCTTTGTTCCATTGCTGGTGAGGAGCTGTGTTCCTTTGGAGGAGGAGAGGCACTCTGATTTTTAGAGTTTCCAGTTTTTCTGCTCTGTTTTTTTCCCATCTTCGTGGTTTTATCTACCTTTGGTCTTTGATGATGGTGACGTACAGATGGGTTTTTGGTGTGGATGTCCTTTCTGTTTGTTAGTTTTCCTTCTAAGAGTCAGGACCCTGAGCTGCAGGTCTGTTGGAGTTTACTGGAGGTCAACTCCAGACCCTGTTTGCCTGGGTATCAGCAGTGGTGGCTGCAGAACAGTGGATATTGGTGAACCGCAAATGCTGCTGCCCGATCCTTCCTCTGGAAGTTTTGTCTCAGAGGAGTACCCAGCCGTGTGAGGTGTCAGCCTGCCCCTACTGGGGGGTGCCTCCCAGTTAGGCTACTCGGGGGTCAGGGACCCACTTGAGGAGGCAGTCTGTCCATTCTCAGATCTCAAGCTGCATGCTGGGAGAACCACTACCTTCTTCAAAGCTGTAAGACAGGGACATTTAAGTCTGCAGAAGTTATTGCTGTCTTTTGTTTGTCTGTGCCCTGCCCCCAGAGATGGAACCTACAGAGGCAGGCAGGCCTCCTTGAGCTGTGGTGGGCTCCACACAGTTCGAGCTTCCTGCTGCTTTATTTACCTCCTCAAGCCTGGGCAATGGCAGGTGCCCCTCCCCCAGCCTCGCTGCCACCTTGCAGCTTGATCTCAGACTGCTGTGCTAGCAATGAGTGAGGCTCTGTGGGTGTAGGACCCTCCAAGCCATGTGCGGGATATAATCTCCTGGTGTGCCGTTTGTTAAGCCCATTGGAAAAGTGCAGTATTAGGGTGGGAGTGACCCGATTTTCCAGGTGCCGTCTGTCACCCTTTTCTTTGACTAGGAAAGGGAATTCCCTGACCCCTTGCACTTCCCGGGTGAGGCGATGCCTCGCCCTGCCTCAGCTCACGCACGGTGGGCTGCACCCACTGTCCTGCACCAATTGTCCAGCACTCCCCAGTGAGATGAACCTGGTACCTCAGTTGGAAATGCGGAAATCACCCATCTTCTGCATCGCTCGTGCTGGGAGCTATAGACTGGAGCTGTTCCTACTCGGCCATCTTGGCTCCACCATTTTTCATATTCTTTAAATATGGATGCCCCACAAAGCCTTATAACACAGCAGAAATATTTCTTACCGAGTTGGATATGAGGAAAGTAACAATATATTGTGATCCTCAATTGAGAAGTATCTCATAATCACTTAGAGTGTTATTTTGTCTAACAGTAGATGACTCAATACACTAAATTTAATTTATTGCGAAGTTACAATTGAATATTGACCTATGTGTTAGTTTCTTGTGGCACTATGACAAGTTACCAGAACCCTGGTAGCTGAAAGCAACACAAATTTATTCTCCTGTCGTTCTTGAGGCTGAGACTTCTGAAATTGTTTCACTTGAAACTGCCAAGATTGGCAGGGTCATGCTCCCTCTGGAGGACCTAGAAGGGAATCTGTTTTCTTGTCTTTTACAGCTTCTAGAGCAGCATTCCTTGGTGTGTGGCCCCTTCCTTCATCTTCAAAGGAAGCAGCATAGCATCTCACTTCAGTTCACATTTATTTTTCATTCTGGGTATGTGAAATCCCCTCTGCCTCCCTCATAAAAATACCTATGATTGCATTTAGGACATATCTGCATAATTCAGAATTCACTCCCCATTTCAAGATACTTAATCACATTTGTAAAGGTAATATTGAGAGGTTCCAGGGACTGGACTATGGACATTTTGGGGGGAACCATTTTTCAGCCTCTTGTAACCTATGCAGGACTCTTTGGAAATATAAAAAGAAAATGAAAATGGAAGGTGTAAATATCATAGATGTTCTTGAGCCTTAGTTCTGTAAACAAAATTTAAGTTTAATGTGATTCTCCTATTTTATTCACATGAACTGCCTCACTTTTTCTTTTCCCATTTTGTTCTTAACTATTTCCAGTTTGGCTTCTGCTCAATGCTACTGGTACGATGCTCTCCAAAGTTTGTCAGTGACTACTGAGGTTGTCAGAGAGTTTATTAGTGAATACAGTAAGCTACTGATCCTGGATCTTTCTTTGGTTTTCATTCTCCTTAATCTCTTTAAAGTATTCAGCACAGACAACTTATTAATAATAAATGAAATGTTCTCTTCTTTAACTGTAACACTCAACACTCACTTACCTATTAGCTTCTCTCCTATCATAATAATTGTAACCAGTCCTTCTCTTTCTTTTGATATCTTTCATTCTCCCACCCCATGACATGACAGTTCTTTGAGGTTCTGTGAGTGGCTTTTTGATTTCTTCTCATAACTCAGAGTCCCCTCTCGAGTTTGACTACTGTGTTCATGAAACTTGTAAATCTTTACCTTGAAATCTGAAGTCTAACTATATGTCCATGACAGCCATTCATTTCCTGCTGTCTGCAAGTCATATACACATCAATATCCGGATGTCATCTCAAATCCAGCATTTATAAAAACAAACCTCTCTTACTCTCTTAACTTGTTTATTTTTTTTTTCCTCCAATTTCCATGCAGGTCAACACCACAAACATCATGCTAGAAATTTTAGTATCTTTTTCCTTATACCTAGGTTTGTTAGGTCATTCTGATTCTTAGTAAAAATGGTTTCTGGTTTTGTTGCTTTTACCTCAGTAGTCTAGAGCAGTGCTACTCAGAGATGGTCTGTAGATTAACAGCATGGGTACCACTTAGGAGCCTGTTAGAAATGCAAGTGCTTGGTCTTATCGCAGACCTTCAGGATTAAAATCTTTTTTATCTGTGTTTTAGTAAGTTATCCAGGTGATTCTTATGGGTGATGGAGTTTAATAACCACTGGTCCAGAGTCAAGTCTAGACTAGCCTTACTCCATTCTTAGATTAGTTCAACAGCTTCTTAATAGTTTCCCTATTTTCAGTCAAATATCTTACGGACAATTATTTTCCTTTTATAAAAATTGTTTAAAGGTGTATTATCTTCCCCTAGCTTTAGTGAGGTATGATTGACAAATATAAATTGAATATATTTAAGATGTAAAGCGTGTTGTTTTGATATACATGTACATTGTAAAATGATTACCACAATCAAGCTAATTAATATATTCATTGCCTCACATAGTTATCTTTTTTTTGGTGGTGTGATGAGAACATTCAAGATTTACTCAGTGAATCTCAAGTATAAAATACAGTATTATTAACTATAGTCAACATGCTGTTCATTAGATCTCTATAATTTATTTATCCTAACAAAAACTTTGCACCCTTTGGCAAACATCTCCCCATTCTGCCTTCCCCCTCCAGACCCTGGCAAGCACCATTCTACTCTCTGCTTCTACTATGAGTTTAACTTTTTTCAATTACACATGTAAGTGAGATCATACAGTATTTGTCTTTCTATATCTGGCATATTTCACTTAACATAGTGTCCTCTAGGTTCATCCATGTGGTTACAAATAACAGGATTTCATTCTTTTTTAAGACTGAATAATATTCCATTATATATATATACATCACATTTGCTTTATTCATTTATTCAGTGATAGACACCTAGGTTGCTCCTATATCTTAGCTATTGTGAGTAATGCTGCAATTAACATGGGAGTGCACATACGTCTTTGAAATTTTGATTAGATATATACTCAGAAGTGAGATTACTTCATCACATAGTAGTTCTATTTTTAGTGTTTGAGAAACTCAATACTGTTTTCCATAATAGCTGTACTAATTTACAATCCCACCAACAGTATATCAGGGTTTCCTTTTCTTCACACTCTTGCCAACATTTGTTATCACTTAACATTTTGGTAATAGCCATCCTAACAGGTGTGAGATAGCTCATTTCAGTTTTGATTTGCATTTTCCTGATGATTAGTGATGTTGGGCACCTTTTTCACTAACCTGTTGTCCATTTGTATGTCTTGTTTGGAAAAATGTCTATACAGATCCTTTTCCTATATTAAAATCAGGTTATTTGCTTTTTTGCTTTAGAGTTGTTTGCTTTCCTTATGTATTTTGAATACTAGCACCCTATTGAATATGTGCTTTGTAAATATTTGCTCCCATTCTGTAGGCTGCCTTTTCATTTTTTGATTATTTCCATTGCTGTGCAAAAAAATTTAAAAACTCACCTGTGTTGTGTCAGGTTTTTTTCTTCCTTTCATTTCTTTTTTTAAATACCCTCACTCACTGAACTTCAAAACAGAAATCCTCTTCTATCTAGGAAAATTAGTGACAGGAAAGAGAATAAGAGAGAATAGAGGAAGAGGATGGACTTGCAAAAATATAAATTTAGGTTGAGATTGAAAATGTGAATGGGAATTTTTGTTTTGAATGCATTCTTGGAGTATATAATATATTAGCAGTTCTACTTCTTTTTAAGGAAAATAATTTAAATACATTTTCATAAACCTTAGAAAAGAAGTAATATCTCCATTTAGCTTTCTTCATGTAACAAGAATTCATGGCAGTCGTTTATTTGAGATAATCTCTCCTTTTTTTTTTTTTCTAATTTCAACATTAGTTATGGCCGAGAATACAAAAGGAAGGTCCTTTTATTGGGTTACTGGCATTTGGAAAGAAGAGAGTCTATACATAACTTAATTACACACTTAGTATCTATTCCACCACTACTGACTATATTGGTTTCACTAAAATTTGGTATTCTATGAACACATTTTTAAAAAATGAATTGAACATTTTTCAGTGTTGAGATTTGTGCTGAAAAAAATGCAATGATGATTATGAGAGACCCTCTGATGTTGCTCACAGTTTAATGTAGGAGACAGACTAGTAAACAGATGCTTAAAATATAGCCCACATCAATGCAACTGGCCCAAGCCCCCCTCTGCTTTTAGGATGTCAGATTAATTCTGACACACGCATATGAGTGGCTCAGCAGCATAAAGACTCTGAGTGGCATGTTATGCTGTTCTGGAAGCAATAGCAGCAGAGCCATTTGTTTTGGGAAAATGACAGAGTCAAAATTCCCTTGAGATTGTTTTCAGTTATAAACCATATTGACTTATTCTAGGGGAAAATGGAGCAGGCTCTTACCAAGTCATGCCTGTTTAATTCCTCATGACTGAAAGTTAAATTTAATTGTTGTTTCAGTAATGCATCCAAGATAAGGAAATTGAAATGATGAATCAACCCTTTCATTTGTTTGATAATTTAAGATTCACTCTGAACTAAGATAAAGTTACTGAAGGATATGTTCAGGTGGCTTACTTCTTTGACTGTACTTGGGTCAAAAGCTTTTTATTTTTATTTTATTTTATTTTTTGAGACAAAGTCTCACTCTGTCACCCAGGCTGGACTGCAGTGGCGCAATCTCAGCTTACTGCAACCTTCGCCTACTAGGTTCAAGCAATTCTCCTGCCTCAGCCTCCCAAGTAGCTGGGATTATTAGGCGTGCATCACCATGCCCAGCTAATTTTAGTATTTTTAGTAGAGATGGGGTTTCACCATTTTGGCCAGGCTGGTCTCACACTCCTGGCCTCAAATGACCCACCCGCCTCAGCCTCCCAAGGTGCTTAGATAACAGGAGTGAGCCACCGCGCCCGGCCCCAAAAGCTTTTTATACTTGTGAACCTCTTCTGGAGATTTCCCAATGAATTAAACTGATGATTTATTTAGTTTAATGAAGAAGGAGCTTGCAAGATAGTAAGAGCCAATCAAAATTGTTTACTCAGAGATTCCATCCCTTAATGTATAAAACTATAGATCTCACAGCTGTCTATTTAGCAACCAGTAGAAATTTTGTATTTTACCCTCCATTTATTACAAAATCAGAAATAATAAAGAAACAAAACAATAAAGAACACCAGTGAAACAAAACTGAATACATATGATCTAAAGAGAGTACAGGATGTTCTCTAAATAATTCAAATAGATTTTCTCCTTTCCTTTCCTTTCTTCTCCTTTCTCCTTTTCTTTCTTTTCTTCTCCTTTCTTATTGTTAAATTGAAGGAGCAAGAATTATCCTTTAGAAATTTCTGACAAATATAGCTTGCCTAAGCATTAGTTTACCTTAAACCTTTCTTGGCCATTTATAGGAAAATGTGGTATAGAAATAATTTATCTCACATTTTGGCATTAATGAACTTAATCCATGTGACAGGCATGAGGTCACGTTTGTAAAATTATCTCATGTACATATGTGATTAGAATTATATTTCAAATGTATCTTCCATTGATTTCAGTTACTATATTTGTAAATCAATCACCAACGTTTACTTAAGGGACCAATGAATTCAAGAGTATAATCGTAGGCATAGTGTACATGACTGGTAAACATTCTTTCCCCTAAATTTATAGACCTTTTTCTTGAGAAATCTAAACTGACATGTAAAACCGTGAAGAGCATACATTCCTGCCTGAAGGACAAACATTAAATGGGCACTCTACTAAATAAGTAGAAAAATTAACAAAGTTATCCTCAGTTGTGGAGGCTTAAAAATAGTCCTTTGCTAGTTTGCCCTGGTGAATATCCATCAGGTCTGTACGAGTTGGTGGAGTTCCAGGCTGATGTTTATATGAAGTGGTGTTTATATGGCAGTTAGAAACCATCAGCACATACCTCTTTGAAGTTTATTGTAAGCAACATATATCACACTTGGAGAAATGAATAAGTTGTGGCAGCTTTCTAATTCTGCTGGGACATTTTAAAAGCCCTGCTTGCCTGTCTCAATACAGAACCTCAGGAAATCTGAGTGTGGTGAGCAGAGTTGTCTGACATCTCAGGGTATTGTTTCATGCTTTCAGCTCTATTTAATCTCACCTTCAACACCTCTTAATATCAATGATCTGTCTTGTCATATCCTCTCAGATGTTTTCGTCAATCTTTTGAAGAAAAAATAGTTTCTGCTAATATAGTATCTTATATCCTAGTTTAACTTTTGCCCCATTATGATAATTCCCATGTCCTTCTTTAATGTTATTTGAAATTTTAAAATCTTGTGACAGTCAGTAGCAGTAAAAACCAAATATTCTTTTGCACTTCTCTACATTTTTCAGTCACCACTGCAGTACTGAAGTTAGGGTGGGGCCAATGACTAGGTCTGGCTAAATATATATATATGTATACACACACACACGCCATCACTATATACATACACACACGTATACACACATACACATTTGTGTATGTGCCTCTACTATATCTTTCTCTCTTCTATCTGTGTAACTGGAAGTGAAGAAGTATAAGATGATGGAGTTGCAAAATTGGGGAGCCTGGATCCTGAGTCATTACTTGGCCACCTGGTTTGGATTGGGTTGACCTGAGTGAAAAATAAACCCTTGTAGTTAAGCCACTGACACTTCAAGGTTTATTTGTTACTGCAGCATAATCGAGAATTACTTAACTAACACACCAATATCTTGAATAAAATATGAATCAGAGAAGTGAGATGAAAAGCCATTTATATGCCTCTTTCACAACAACCGGATGGGGTTTGGATTTAACTCACTGACTTTCTGAGTGGCATTTCAAAAGCTCCTTTAAGCAATGAAATATTCTCTGCCTAGTGATGAAGATTTAAATGGCCTAAGGAAGCTGTTCATCACTTAAAAAATATATATTGGGATGCCATAATATTGATGCCAAAAGACTTTATTAATAAAAAATAATTTTAACTGCCACTTTAAACGACTAAAAGTTATTCTTTTCAAATGTTTGCTTTTCAAAAAAAACTTATGAATATAAAAGCAGCATATGCCCAGTATAGAAGAAAATTTTAATATATACACAAAATAAATTTAAAAACTATAATCTCTCATAATCTTATACACCAAGAGATAAATACTAATAATGTCGGATAATGTTTCCTTCCAATCTTTTTACTTCGTGTATATAAGTACATGTTCTTATTCTGAAGACTGGCAATATTATTTCCTCTTGGTTTTTTATTTAATTATACCATAAGCTCTTCTCCAAGTTTTAAAATATTCTTTGTAAATATTGTTTTTGTTTTTGCATTTTAACTAGGACTTCCTTTTGGTTAAAGTGATAACTTTGTGGAAATTTCAATCTCTTTATTTGTAGGCTTGGTCCTGATAGCCACCTTGAACTCTTGAGAAGAAATGTGTGGAATTAAGACTCTGTATGTGTGTGTGTGTGTGTGTGTGTGTGTGTGTGTGTGTACACATACATACATACACCAAATAGGCTGATACTTTAAAGATTCCACCATGCATTTTTAAATTGACTTTTATTTTAGGAATAGCATAATTAGAAGAGGAGTATGGAGTTTATTATTCCAACTCAAGAATCATTTATTGAGCATCAACCGATACAAGGTACTGTTGATTATAGTAGAGATAGGAAGATGATTATTCATGTCCTAAGAGAGCATATGCTCTAGATTAATAATTAAATAAGTGGGTCTTGTCTACTGGATTTGAGAAAACACCAGGCACTGACAACACTTGGAAATATTACACAAGTTGCACTTATCTGAGTGATACAGAATGAACTTAGTACAGTTTGACTACTTAGTAGAAATCAACAGTTTCCAGAGCGCACAAATCTACCTTTTCCATGACAGGATACACCTGTGAGTACATAGTTTCAGATAGAGATGTCTGAATGTGTAAGAATAAGTTATACCTTCTTCACTGTGGTTCACTAGAAACCATTTTATCTGCACAAGGTCAGCTTCACAAGTGTGTGACATGTGCAGTTGCATAGGGTCCACACTCAGAAAGGGACCCTGCACTTAGGGTTTAATGCTCTGCTGGCATCATTTTGAAATTCTTAACACTGGATTATTGAATTTGCGCTTTATAACTAATGTCTGATGGGACAATAGAACATGCACTGGGAACCTAGAGCCTTGGCTGCAAGTAGTCCTGCCTCCTGCTCCCTCCCTGACTCCTCAGATTGGGTTCTCAGCCACCTGCTCCTCTGCCCCATTCATTGATTGCTGTGGCCCTCCATACCCTCTATGGGACCAGGCATGGGGAAGGTCAGTTTTGGATACTTGTGTATCAGAAGTCACAGGAGCAGGGACCAAGGTACTTGTTGTCTGCACTCACTGCATGAGTGTTTTGTGTCCAAGGGAATGTAACATTAAATAGCAAGATAATAACGATAAAAATAAAACCACCATGAAAGATCAATCAAGAGACTGCAGAAGGCAGTCTTCTGCTTTTTGAATGAAGGGACTTGGATTTTCTTTTTCTTTTTTTTTTTTCGTTTTCTGGCAAATTTTATTTATTTATTTTTTATTTTATATATATATATTTTTATTATACTTTAAGTTCTAGGGTGCATGTGAACAGCACCCCATAGATTATGTTGCTGGCTCTGCATCTGGGCCACAGATAGGTCATCTCTTTTGGAATTATACAACATTTGATTGCTAGACTAACGTATAGTCAAGTCTCAACAGACTCGTCTTTATTTGTAGCTTTCTCCATTCCCTTCCCCTCCTCTACCCCCAGGCTAAAAAGGCCTGACACAAGAACTTTCCTGAATTCTATGAGGCAGAGCCAGAATAAAGATCAGTTGATTCAGATGTTATTGAGTGTTATCTGAACAGACATTTAGTCTAGCTATAGAATCTAGCTATAAAGTCTATTTGGCATTATCTAAAATACTTATTCGGTATGAAAAATTCTGTATTCATCTTATTACTATTCCCTGTGGCTCTGAAATTGATATCTTCATAGGTGCTATAGCATTTCAGTACTTTGAGCAATCTTTATGGTTGTACATGTATAAGAATAAGAATAAACACACTTTAAGCTAAAAATTGGAGAAAATCAGGTCTGAATTGGCATGAGGGATGGTCTATAAGCCATATACTATTTTTAAACCAAATTTGCCCTTTATTCATGCATGCATTCATTCATCAAATATGTATTGATTACCCTATATGCTAGGAAGTTTTCTAGGAGCTGGAGATAGGACAGCAAGCAAAATAAAAGACGTGGCTACTCACTCATGAAGCTTCAGACTAACGTGCAAGAAGGGCATTCATAAAATAACCACATCATTGACTGTGATAGAATGTGAACCAACTGGGATAAGTCTTCTGAGAGAAAGAAACAGTCTATAGAGGCAGATAACAAAGAAACCTAATTTAGCCTAGGAAACCAGGAAAGACTTCCTTCTAAGGATAGTGGCTGAACAAAAGCTGAAGAATCAAGTGGGCAACTAGGTGAACAGGGCTGGGCTGAGGAGGAGAAAGCATGTGCAAAGGCACTCTGGTGGTGGGGAGCTTGCCCATTTGAAGAACTAGAATGTCAGTGTGTCAGAGTTCAGAGAATGAGAGGAGGGTTCTGTGAAATGAGCCTGAGAAGTAGACAGGGACCAGACTGTGCAGGGCGTGTTAGACCATGTTAAGAATTTTGATCTGTAGTCTAAGAACAATGGGAAGACACTAAAGGAGTTTAAGCAAGGGCTCAAAAGAACTAGGCTTGTGTGCAAGAAGAAATATATGCTTTGTAAAAGACAACTCTAGCTGCAATGGGGAGACTAGATTGAAGAGTCCAAGGTGAATGTAGAAAGATCTGTTAGGAAGCTAGTGCAGTAGTTCAGGTAAGAGATCATGGCAGCCTGACTTTGCCGGCATGGTGGCTCATGCCTGTAATCCCAGCAATTTGGGAGACTGAGGCGGGTGGATCACCTGAGGTCAGGAGATCGAAACCAGCCTGGCCAACATGGTGAAACCCCATCTCTACTAAAAAATATAAAAATTAGCCAGGTGTGGTGGCAGGCGCCAGTAGTCCCCTCTATTCGGGAGGCTGAGGCAGGAGAATCGCTTGAACCCAGGAGGTGGAGGTTGCAGTGAGCCGAGACCACACCATTGCACTCCAGCCTGTGACAGAGTGAGACTCCGTTTCAAACAAAAAAAAAAAAAGAGATTATGGCAGACTGACCAATGGGTAATGGTGGGGACCAAGTGCTGTATGGATTCAAGAGACATTTAGATAGCAAAACTTCAATGATGAAATTGATGATGGAAGAGGAATCAAATACAATTTCAAGTGTTTTTTTTGCTTGCATACCTTGATAGATTGTAGGTCTATTCATAGAAATAGGAAACATGAAGAAAATCAGATTCAGAGGAAGATATCATGAGACCAATTTTGAGATGCCTCAGTCATCTAAGGATAAGTGTTAAAAGAGGCCCCAGACAGGCAGGCACCTTAATTTTTTCCTTGCGTATTCTAGTCTTCAGAAGTATTGCCTTTTGTCCTACTGGTAGTGACATAGTAGACCAATAATTGGGCATCTGGGGATTTTAATCCTGAAAACAGTGGGTCTGATACTGCTTGTGTTTTTCATCAGTGTCCACCCCAAGTGGGTCTTCCTGCTATTCTCTTCACTTAATTGCCCCTCACTTGCCATCTGAGCAATTGGCAAGGATGTGCCAGGCCTAGGTTAAACTTGGAAACATGCTTGACCATTCTATTCCCTGGTCCTTTCAGATCAGTTTGGCTGCAATTTTGGCTACTTGGACCCTCAAGCATAGCTGGTAAATCAAGTTAGAGATGTAGCTGCCTTAAAACTTGCCAGTTTAGGCTGGGCACGGTGGCTCACACCTGTAATCCCAATACTTCAGGAGGCTGAGGCAGGCGGATCACCTGAGGTCAGGAGTTCGAGACCAGCCTGACCAACATGGAGAAATTCTGTCCCTACTAAAAATACAAAATTAGCCAGGCGTGGTGGTGCCTGCCTGTAATCCCAGCTACTTGGGAGGCTGAGGCAAGAGAATTGCTTGAACCCAGGGAGGCGGAGGTTGCAGTGAGCTGAGATCACTCCATTGCACTCCAGCCTGGGCAACAAAAGCAAAACTCTGTCTCAAAAAAAAAAAAAAGTGCCAGTGTATGAGATAATTAGATTGGTTCTCTCCAGAGGTAACCTGCCAAGAAGAGATGCTATAGATGTTACTCTTATACTGTAAAACTTGTGAAATCAGATTACTTTAAAATGATGTATTACAAAGTTATGGAAAAAAGCAGTTGTGACTATGGAAGCCCAAGGCTTATATCCGAGCTCTGTCTTACACTAAATATGGGTACAGTGTTTCCACTCTGTCCATGAAATGGGAGATAATATCCTCCAACCTGTGTGCCTGACATGATGGTTAAAAGGATTAAGCAAAACAATAGTTTGTAATTTATTCTGTCAGAGCAAACTGCTGGTAAATAAAAGGGAGTAAGCTGACTAAAAATAAATTTTTTTAAAAAAGAAAAATCCTAATAAAACAAGTTTATAATTTATAATTGTATACAAATAAAAGATGTTACAAAAACAACAACAACAACAACAAAAAGATACTTGTACATTTGGGTGCGTATAGGGATTTATAGTGTTGGGCTTACAGATGGATAATTGAAATGAGAATGTTCTTACAAGTGAGACATTAAGAGTGCTATATCTTGAAAAACAGGGGGGACAGTGTTTCAAAAACAAGGGACTGGTTCAAGGTATTGAATGCAGCCTATGACAAGAGATAGGAAGAGCATTGAAAAATATACAACCATTTTAGAAACACCACGGTCCTCACTCACATTAGCCAGAACCACCTGAATGAAGTGATGAAACAGAAGCAAATTGGGAGGGTTGGGGAGCGAGTTGGAAATAAGAAAATGGTGACCGCTGGAGGAATCTCTAAATACATGTGGCTGTCATAGAGAGAAAAGAGGAGACAACAGCAGAACGGGATGTGCATGGCAGAGTTTTAAACTGGTGTAGCTTAGATTGATGAGGCAGCCATAGAGGTTTTGGTATTGTCAGTGAGAAGCAATGATGCATATTTGTAATTTATGCAGAAGGCCCATTGGTTTCATTTGCAAATGCACATTTCCTTCAAACTTTAGATTGTAACTTTAGATCTTTCTCATAATAAGCACTCTTTTATTATCAGCTCCATGACACTCATGATTGCATATGCCTTTTTCCTGGAGACCCAAGGTGAATGCTGCATGAAGTTTCTTATAAAAATAAGCAAAACATAAATGTTTCTACATTGTCTTCATCTAGTAATGTTGTCTGATATAATCCTCAAAGGTTACATCACTGAGTTTGAGGAAATAATGACTTCAAGCTTTCTGTGATTGCGTGTATTTTTTTCCCCCGAATGATATGTTTTTGGAACAGGTCACGATAGATGAGAAGGATTTAGACTAGAGTTGGCAGAACTTTTTTTTTACATGCATTACACAGTTAAAAGTATAACAAGCAGTAATTTTTTTCAATTGTGTTATGAGAGAGCCAGTTTTAAATAGGAAAATTGTGGATCAACTTTCAACTTCCATGAGTCTATTTTAAGGATTGTCTGCGAATGCCACAGGGAATTTAGCTACCCTGGAGTGTAGGGCATTCAATGCTGCTTTCCACTCTTTGTATTTTCTACCTCTTTAATTATAATTGATAGAGTCAGTGTTTATAATTTTGGACATATTTCGGTCAACTTTCTCATTCCTTGACCATATACACTACACTGTTTCTTTCTCTTTCTTCCTTCTATGCCTTCACCAGGGGTGCTCTAAGCTTCACTGTCTGGAATTCCTCTAAAATTCTTTCTTCCTTTTTTGTTTTCCTCTTCAACTTTTGTTGGTGTCAGTCCAACTCTTACAGTCATGTAAATGTAAGAGTTTCTATTTTACTCTAGAATTTTTCTGGACACTTATTTTCATGCCTGTTATATTCTTCTGATTGCATCTTTCAGTGTCTTTATCTTCTTCCCCCAAATAAGTTGCTGGTTTCTCCTCTTTTCAATTTTTCTGTTTCTTTGAGATCACTTTTCGAATTACTTGGGGTCAGATAAGGTCAGCCTTCATTTCTTTATCATTTGTCATCCATCAAATAAGTCGTAAAACTCCTAATGAACTACTTTCAAATAAACAAATACAGGTACATGGCATCAAATGAGTAGAGAAGAGCTTCTAAAAAGCAACAGTTTTCTGCTTCCCCCTTGCCCATCTGTTCTTCCACTCTCACAGGAAATATGTTTAAACAGTTTTTATTGTCCTAGTGGTTACTTCAAAAACTGTAGGCAATGTGCTTATACCTTTATTTAATTATTGAATTATCAACTTCAGACCATCTCTATTTATGCCCCAATGTAAAAGATGAGCCTTTAGATTCTTTACTCTCGTCTTCTTCTGAAGTTTTGATATTGTATTTGTGATTTTAATTATTTTATTTTTTCTTTTGTTACTTTAATCTCTGTGAGCATCTATTTCTTGTTCTTCAGCTCCTGATATTATTTCTTGATCTCTCTTTGTAAAATAAGAACATCAGTGCCTCTGCTCTCTCCTGTACCCTTATCATAGGCCACAGTTACCTTCTGTCTGCAACCACTTTACAAGTTTGCTGCATTTGATCATCTCTAAAGGTTGAAAACCAAAAAAAATTGCCTACATTACTATAACATTATTGTATGTATCATGTGGGTTCCTATTAATTTCTTTCCCCCAAAATTCAATGTTGATATCCCCAGGTGCTGAAGGAACTTGTTCTCTCTTTCCAGGTCTCTTTTCTTATATTGTACCAATTGCCTAACATCACTTTCCACTTCAGTCAATATTTAGAATGTGACATTTTGTGGGGAGGAAACTTTGTGATTCTTATCCTTCATTATTACTTTTTAAAATTGAGCTATGGGCCAGGTGCGGTTGTTCATGCCTGTAACCCCAACACTTTGGGAGGCCAAGGAAGGAGGACTGATTGAGTTCAAGACCAATCTGGGCAAAATAGTGAGACCTCATCGCTACAAAAATAATAATAATAATAATTAGCCAGGTGTGGTGGCATGCGCCTGTAGTCTCAGCTACTTGGAAGGCTGAGATGAGAGGACTGCCTGAGCCCAGGAGGTTGAGGCTGCAGTGAGCTGTGATGGCACCACTGCACTCCAGCCTGAGCAAAAGAGTGAGACCCTGTCTCCAAAAAATATTGAGATATAATTTACATATCACACAATTTAAACCTTTAAAGTGACCAGTTCAGTGGCTTTTAGTATTTTCACAAAGTTGTGCAACCATTACCACTAATTCCAGAATATTTTCATCATCTAAAAAAGAAACCCCTTTAGCAGTCATGTCCCATTCCTCCCCGGACCCAGTCCCTGGCAACTATCAGTCTACTTTGGATTTGACTATTTTTTGACACTTAATATAAATGGAATCATAAACTATATCCCCTTTTGCATCTAAATTCTTTGACTTAGCATAATGTTCTCATCTATGCTGTAGCATGTTCATCCATATTGTAGCACAAATCAGTATTTCTTTTTTTTTGAGACGGTGTCTTGCTCTGTCACCCAGTCTCAAGTGTCCTGGTGTGATCTTGACTCACTGCAACCTCCACCTCCTGGGTTCAAGCGATTCTCATGCCTCAGCCTCTCAAGTAGCTGGGATTACAGGCACCCACCACTGCACCCGGCTAATTTTTGCATTTTTAGTAGAGAAGGGGTTTCGCCATATTAGCCAGGCTGGTCTCTAGCTTCTGACCTCAGGTGGTCCACCTGCCTCGGCCTCCCAAAGTGCTGGGATTACAGGCATGAGACACTGCGCCCGCCCTCATTTCTTTTTGTGACTAAATAATATTCAATTATGTAGATATACCACGTTTTGTTTATTATCAGTTGATAGAAATTTAGATTATTTCTATTGATGGCTATTAACAATTTTGCCACTATGAATATTCATGCACAAGTTTTGGTGTGAACATACCTTTTCATTTCCTTTGTGTATATACCTAAAAGTGGAATTGCTGGATCATACAATAATTTGATGCTTAACCTTTTGAGAAACTGTCAGACTATTTGCTAAAGCAGCTGCATCATTTTACATTCCCAAGAGCAATGAGGGTTCCATTCTCCATATCCTTGCCAAAACTTGTTATTATCTCTTTTTTAATTTATAGTCATCTTAGTGGTGTGAATTGGTATCTCATTGTTTTCTTATTTATTTTTAAAAATTTGTATACATTTAAGAGGTACAAGTGCAGTTTTGTTACATAGATATATTGTGTAGTGTTGAAGTATGAGCTTTTTGTGTAACCATCAACTGAATAGTGCACATTGTAACTATTAAGTAATCTCTCATCCCTCACCTCCCTCCCACCTTCCTAATGTCTATTATTCCACAGTCTATGTTCATGTGTGCCCTTGTGGTTTTAATTTGTATTTCTCCAATGATTAATGACAGTGAACATCTTTTCATGTGCTTGTTGGCTATTTGTATATCTTCGGAGAAATGTCTATTCAGATTTTTTGCCCATTTTTAAAAAATGGGTTGTCTTCTTATTGATTAGTTGTTAAGAGTTCTTTATATATTCCAGATACTATAACTTTATCAGATATGATTTATTTGCTGATCCATGGATTGTCTCTTCACCATCTTCATAATGTCTTTTGAAGCACAAAATTTTAGATGTTGATGAAGTCCAATTTTTCTACTTTTTCTTTTGTTGCTTGCATTTTTGGTATAATATCGATGAAACTATTGTCTAATGCAAGGTCACAGAAATTATATTTACATTCTTGCTTAAGAGTTTTATAGTTTTAACTATTACTTTTAGGTCTTTAATTCATTTTAAGTGAATTTTTGAATATTATATGAGATAGATGTCCAGCTTTATTTATTTGCATGTGGATATCCAATTGTTACATTGGATAAGCTCCAAGTCAGGTTAAACAAAGGCATCTTTGTGAGAAGTGTCTTCCAGGGAATCCCAGATGGGCCAAATAGTGACAATCCTCTGGGAATGCATAGCCCCATCCAGTGGCTTCCAGGCTGCTGTTTTGTACTGTGATTGTGGGTAGTTTTCAAAGCTATTACAGAGCTAAAGAGTGGGAGATAGAAATGGGGCAAATTAAGAGGCCATAAAACTTACTATTACTGAGATCTAACTGCTTTTCTTGAATACATGTTTCCTACATTGCAGCAAGCCTTTTATTAATTTCCAGAGTTCTGAAAAAGTTGATTCTAAGAAGTTTTACCAGTACTCTTACTGCTTTTAGGGAGAATAGTCATTTTAGATGTCCTCACTTGCCATTTTCACTGATGGCCCTCCTATCCTATTTTTGTAACACATTTTCACTATTTTCTAATCTCTCAGTCATATTACTCTTTTAGTGCGTCTTTTTTTTCCCCCGGACATCTCCTTCTCAGAGCCTGTGCCCCTTAATCATTTGACATTCTCCTTGGGCCTATTGCACAGATTTTATCCTGGAACACTCTGGATTGGATTCACTGTTTTCTAGATGCAGTGCCTCATTCTATGTTGCTTTGTCCCTTATTTTTCTGGAAAACATTCTCAAGTAATTTTTTTGAAAAAAAAAATGGTACGTGAGAAGAGAATGGATACATGTTCTTACATTTGTAAAATATCTTGTTCTTGCCTCACTCTTAATTGATAGTTGGTCTGGGTATTGAGTTTTAGATTTAAAACTCCCTCAAAATTTTGACAGCACTGATCCTTTGTATTTCTATCTGTTACCTATTTCCACAAAATGATGTACAACAAAGTACCTTAAATGTGGTAGCTTCAAAAAACCCAACCATTGCTCCCAAGTCTGAGTTGCCTGGATGGTTCCTTTGGTTTCAGTTGGACTACTCGTGAGTCTTTGGTCAACTGAGTAGCTATACAACTCTGCTGATCATTTATGAGATTATTATATGTTTGGGAATTGGCTAGTTATAGGAGGGTGTAGGATGAGATCACCTGAAATGACTCAGCTGTCTCTCATGTAATTCTCTTATTCTCCCAGTAGGCTAGCCTGGGTATGTTCCCACGATAGTGGCAGGGATATAAGAGAAAGAGTGGAAGTACATAAGCACCTTTTCTAACCATCCCATTGGCCTAAGCAAGTCACACGGCTGAACTCAGAGTCAGATAAGAGAAAACAGTTACAAGGCAAGGGTGGATACACAGAGATCATTATTTTGGGCCATTAATATTCTTAATTTACCATGGTGTTTTAGTATGCACCGTTGCTGATGAGAAGTCTCATGCCTGTTTGATTTTTATTTTGTTTTTATTTAGGATTTTCTCTTTATTCTTCATCTAAAAATCTTACAATGGTGCATCTAAGTATAATTTTTATATTTTCAAGACGTATTTTTAATGCACACTTAGCAGACCCTTTAACTCTGAAGATTTGTCCTTAATCTCTGAAATTATCCCCTTTGATAATTTTTTTACCATTTTTTTTTTTTTTACCTTTTCTGAAGTTCCTGTTAATTGAATCCCCTGGATTGGTTCCCCATGTCTTTTATTTTTAATGTAATCCACGTCTCTGTCTTCTTATTCTGAGATGTTACTAAAACTTTATTTTCTAGTCATTCTACTAAATTTTTATTTTATTTTGGCATTTAAAAAAATTATTAAAAGCTCTCTTTAATTTTCTTTTCTTTTTTTTGTTGCCTTGTGTTCCAGTGTTGTAGATTCAACTTCTAAGTAAACTTCAAATTTTTCTTTTATCTTTTAAAAGTTCTCTTCTATATCTTGGACTATTTGTTTCTACCAAGGACTTTTGTTATTTTTTGGTTTTGCTTTTGCTTCTTGTGGCAGAGGGATTGTCTTTTACTTCAATAATTTTGACTCTCTTTGCCTATCTGGTGGTCCTTGTTTGCTTATTTACATTCATGATTAAAGAATAGGATAATTGGCACATGCCAATTATCCTATTTATTGCTCATATATTCATTATTTTATACATAGCTTTATTTTTCAGTTAAATGTCTTCTCTGAATGGAAATTCTTAACAAAGAGTTTATGTGGATGAGTAGTTTCCATCGACTGGCTTGCTTTACATTACAAGAGGAGGTGAAAAGACTGCTATAGGACAGAATAGACCCCAACCCCTAAATTGTACTAGAAAGAAATATAAATGTCTATGAAAATATCCTTGGCTTTCAGCAAATATTTATTTCAATTTATCTGGAAAAGAAGCATCCATTATTTTGGCTGGGTGGTAAATGCCTATGCTGTGAGTTGTGGGTGGAGAGCGCTGACTGGTGCAGATGTCTCATATGAAGACTTATATGGATCTCTCAGTTTTTAGCCCCATTGCACACTCATGCCCTCCACTTTATCTGTTGACCTCAGCTCAGAGTCTCTCTTTAGTTTTATTGGACACATTGATGGCCATGTCCTCCACAACTCAGTGACAGCTATGGGGCCTCTCTCCACCTGTTTTATCTGCCAGCTCATCATATGGTTAGCAAGTTTTTTGAAATACCTTATTCATTGACGAAACTTAATTTTCTCCCACTTTTTTATTATTATGGGTTCATTCTTTTTATACTTCATACCTTTGCTTCCATGTATCTAGGAGAAAATGGAGGCAAATGCATGCATCAGCTCACTACATTTAAGATTTTTATTAAAGGTCTTAAATCTAAGAATTTTCAGGAGGCTTATCAAGTCATTTTAATTGTTTTCCGCTCTGTGTGTCTTGTTTGTGTTTCTTCCTTTCTAGTCTGGCTTCCACTATGCCAGCCACATTTTTTTTTTTACCATACTCCATTAGATCCTGCCTGTAATATCTTCTTGTCATATCTGAATAAATTTGTGTGCACTGTCAAATAAATCTCCTGCAGTGCTGCTGCCTCTCCTGTGCTCAGAATGGTTTTCTCGGTACTCATGTTAGCATTCAAGGTTTTCCACAATTGGACTTGACCCTTTTCCCACTTATTCCTTATTATTCCTTCACCAATCTCTCTGCTTTAGCAAGGCTGACCCACTCATTTTTCTTAAACATACCTTGAATTTTCTACTTTTATTCTGATTTTATTCTTGCTATGTGCCTTGTTGGGGACCAGCCTTAATACCACCCGTAGGGTATTTAAAGTTTGGTGGAAACAAAGGATTGAGAAGAGACAGGTTAAGAGTAAAGGTGGGGAGCCAGGGGGCCAGTGTAAAATATGGAAGTGTAAAAGGCCTAGAGCTTTGGTTTTTATACTATTCATTGAGTATAATTACTTAGATTTAAGAAGCAGATGTTTAGGGTGAAACAGTGAAAAGGAGGCAATCTGTTATAGGCATAATTTGTAGCAATAGTGGTTTAAATGAGTTTTTTTTGTGCTTAAACAGTATATCTTTAACTTAGTGGGAACGGGCTTAACTAGGAGTCTGCACGTTTGTTCACATTTTAATGTTTTAAAGGAGTGGTTTTTTTTTTTTTTTTGAACACAGTGTTTACAGATAAGAAAGCAGGTTTCACTCTGAGGATGGGAACATGATGGCAATTAGGAGGCTTTCCTCATCAGAGGCCTTTTGTGGCTTTTTCTAACTTATTGTCCCATATTTTTATGGCCAGTTTATGTAGGCACCCCACAAGCCCTTTTCCCAACAGTGCCTCACCTGGAATGGTCTTCATTTCTGCTCTTTTGAATTGAACCCATACTTCAAAGTTGAATTCCAGTTTTTCAGGAAGATTTCTCAGATTGCTCAGGCACATGGTGAAACTTTTATCCTGTCTCACACATTTAGGCACTTTGTAGAGTCAAGTCTTCTTGTCTCTTAGATCTCTAACTAGAATACAGGGCAGGAACCCTATTCTTTCATTCTCTCTCTCTTTCTCCCTCTCTCCCTCCCTCCCTTCCTCCCTCCCTCACAGAGTCCTGCTTTCCAGAAGATAAGATAGGTTACTTCATAAAATTAATTCACCTGTTATCAGGAGACTCTAATATATGAGCAAGCTTCCATTTTTTGTCAAGAAAACATGTTACTGATCTTACTTGGTTAAGAATAAAAGGGCTTACTTCAAGTTTGCTATAAATTATTTTCATTACAAGGATCTCCCTAATTAGTTTACACACTCCCTATTCCAGTACTAAATTTATTTTGTAACTTCAGAATTTCCTGGGATTTTCCATACAGTCATAGGTATTTGTAGAGTAATCTGGGGAAATTTTTGAAGTCAAGTAGAGGAAAGAATACATGACCATCTGTTGAAATTCTCATTATTTTCTAGCTGTGCTCAGCCTATTGATGTCCTTTTAATTAAACATGGCTTTGAGGAGAAAGTAGAAATTGACATTTATCAATTGAAAATTAAATTTGAACCTCTATAAAATATGTTCCCTTGGAAATCTTAAACTGAGCATCATTTAAGTTTTTGTTGTTTCTCTTTGTAAAGTTTGTTTTGGAAAATTTCAATGATACACTGATGTAGAGATATTATCATTAATTCATATATCCAGCACTCAAATTTTACATTGTCAGTAGTTGCCAACTTTGTTTCATCTACTTGTCTTCTTCTGAAGTGTTTTAAAGAAAATTTTATCATTTCATTTCACCTGTAACTATTTCAGAAGGCATATACAACAGATAAGGACAGGTGTTTTCTCCCATAATCACTGTGCCTTTATCATATCTAGCAAGATTAAAATCCCTTAATGTCATCTAATAGTACTTGGTACATAATTACATTTTCCTGATATCTCAAAAATGTCTTTGTATAGTTGATTTCTTAAAATTAGGATCCAAAAGACACACGTTCATTACGTTTGGTTATTATGTAAGTCTCTTATCTGTTACAGTTCTCCCTCACCCTTATTTCTTTGCCATTGCATTAAAGAAGTAGTTCTCAATTCACTTCCCCAGCTTCCAAGACTGTTTACGCTCTTAAAAATTATGGAGGACTCCTGGCCAGGCTCATTGGCTCAAGCCTGTAATCCCAGCACTTTGGGAGGCCGAGGCGGGTGGATCACTTGAGGTCCGGAGTTCGAGACCAGCCTGGCTAACATGGTGAAACCCTGTCTCTACTAAAAATACAAAAACTAGCCAGGTGTGGTCGTGGGCCCCTGTAATCTCAGCTACTCGGGAGGCTGAGGCAGGAGAATCACTTGGCCCTGGGAGGTGGAGGTTGCAGTGAGCAGAGATTGCACCACTGCCCTCTAGTCTGGGCGGCAAAGGGAGACTCCATCTCAAAAAAAAAAAAAAAAAAAAATTATGGAGGACTCCAAATACCTTTAATTTATGTGAGTTGATTACTAATTTTATTTAGTTTATGTAGGTTAGCTCTATTAATATTTACCATATTAGAAAATAAAACTCTCATTCTGCTGGTTGGCTGTCCATTCTGTTGTTTACTTCTTTTGTTGTGCAGAAGCTTTTTAGTTTGATTAAATTTCTTTTGCCTATTTTGTTTTTGTTGCATTTGCCTTTGAGGTTTTAGTCATGAATTATTTGCCCAGGCCAATGTCCAGAAGAGTTTTTTCCTAGATTTTCTTGTGGTATTTGTATAGTTTCAGGTTTTACCTTTAAGTCTTTCATCCATGTTGAGTTAATTTTTGTATATGGTGAGAGATGAGGGTCCAGTTTCATTCTCCTGCATATAGTTATCCAATGTGTGCACAGGGACATAGTGGAATCGTAGACATTGGAGATGTCTAGAAGATGAGAAATTACTTAATTGATACAATGTATACTATTTGGGTGATGGTTACGCTGAAAGCCCAGAGTTCACTGATATGCAATATATCTATGTAACAAAATGGCACTTATACCCATTAAATGTGTAAAATAATCATTATAATCATATTTAAACAAGAAAAAACTTGTAAATTTTAAAAATATTTATTAAAATTTTAAAAATAAAAACTAACTCATCAAAAGTTATAAACCCATACATGTTAACTCATGTTATAACTCATAAACCCATTACATGTTAACATAAATGAAATATCTTTATGGAAAGTAATTATTTCCCAAAACAAATAATTTAGTGAGAAGTGTGGCATTGTTTTATGTTTCTATAAACCTCAGATGTCTAGCTTATTGGAAGGCAGCTAGATTATATTCAAGTATCCCATTATACTACTTTGGTGGGAGAAAACCCAGCCTCACGCAGTTATGATGTCCTGAAGTTTTTGGTAAACTCCAAAGTATACTCATGAGATGATGTAAGTGCAAAAGGCAAGTTACCTTAGTGTTATTCTGAAAATAGTTTAACCTTGTAGATTACCTGAAGGGGTTTCAGGAACCCTGGGTGAGCTTCCACTCCCCACACTGGGCCACTCTGGCTCCCCCTATCACATACAGATGCCTCCACCTCCTTGAATGGCTTTGGGCCTGAATTGTCTAGGAAGGTACGGGTGCAGGTACAGGCAGGACAGAAATCTTGAACTTTACTTTTATGTATTGAGGTTAGTTGTAGTATTGAACTAACTGTTAATTCAGTTAATTCTGAAACTGTTTTGTATGTATGGTATGATAGAGTATATGTGTACAAATACTGACTTTAGGAATGAGGGTCCTCACTACAGGAAAAAGGAAAAATGAAGATGGAATGAGGAAAGTGAGGGAGAATCTTGTGTTAATGAACTTGAATTGGAGATATCAGTATGAACTGATCAATATGAATTTATGATCTATTAAAAATACATTTATCAGTTCTGTCTCTTGGAAGAGCATGTAAGCAGTGGCACCACAGCAGCAACGACATACTTAGTGAACAGATCTTACTTTCCCAATTCTTTCTTTGGAGAAGTGCCTGATTAGAGTCCTGGGCACAAGTGAGACTGGAACACTGTGTGGTGCCAATAAAAACCTGCTCAGAGACTGGTGGAGCCACCCAAAGACATGGGAGCTGCAAAACTATTTTATTTTTCTATTACTTAGGTATTTTATATTCATGTGTATTTATCAACTTCTTGCATCTGTAGCTCTTTTAAAATTTGTTAAATTTTTAATATTTTTGAGATGGAGGTCTCACTGTCATCCAGGCTAAAGTGCAGTGTAGTGTTGATAACACATGGCAGCCTCGAACTACTGGGCTCAAGAGATCCTCCTGCCCCAGCCTCCCAAGTAGCTGTGACTACAGGCATGTGCCACCCCACAGCTAATTTTGTGTGTGTGTGCAAAGATGGGTGTATTACTCCGTTTTCACGCTGCTGATAAAGACATACCTGAAACTGGAAAGGAAAAGAGGTTTAATTGGACTTACAGTTCCATATGGCTGAGGGGGTCTCAGAATCATGGCGGAGGCAAAAGGCACTTCTTACATGGCAGTGGCAAGAGAAAAATGAGGAAGAAGCAAAAGCAGAAGCCCCTGATAAACCCATCAGATCTCGTGAGACTTATTCACTATCACGAGAATAGCATAGGAAAGACCTGCCCCCATGATTCAATTACAACCCCCTGGGTCCCTCCTACAACACGTGGGAATTCTGGGAGATATGATTCAAGTTGAGATTTGGGTCGGGACATAGCCAAACCATATCATTGCGGGAGGGGTTCCTGCTATGTAGCCCAGGCTGGCCTCGAACTCCTGCCCTCAAGCAATCCTCCTGCCTTGGCCTCCCAAAGTGTGCTGGGATTCTAGGCATGAGCCACTGTGCCCAGCCTCTCTTCTTAATCATTTTCCTTCTTACTTCTTACTTTAATTAGTAACAGTTTAAATATTTTAAAAGTAACCTTTTTCTTTTTGTTATTAGAGACAGGGTCTGGCTCTGTCGCCCATGCTGGAGTTCAGTGGAGTGGTTATAGCTCACTGCATCCTCAAACTCCTGACCTTGAGCAAATCCTCCTGCCTCAGCCTCCCACATAGGGACTACAGGCATGCACTACCACATCTGATGTAGCTGTTAAACAACTATGAAAGAAAAGCAAATTTACAAATAATCAAATAATATTTTCAAATCCAATACAATTCAAATGAACTAATTTAATATGCACATTTTGTTGAAATTAAATTATATTTTGCTATATATAACATATTTGATTTGGTCCTGTATTTGAACTTCAATTCTGCAAACGTAGAGAATGCCTGCTTATATAAGTATGCTGTGCATATCATTAACAATTTTGAGGCTTTGTTTGCTAGCTTGCCATAATTAGACTTCATCCTTAACTGAAACTCTGCCAATAAACAATCCTAGAATGCCTTCTCAATGAGCTATCACTTTAACTTCAAAGGTTCCATGTCTATTCAGGATAAGATTGTCATTGTATTGTTGTTGAATTCTAAATTAAAGTAGTATCTAATATAATTATGATAGAGGATAAATATCTGAAGTTTTTTATTTTTGCAGGTGTTGAAAAATAGTAATACTTTAAACACTGATTCTGCTCTCAAACTGTCATTCTAAATACTGGATGTGATTTGGGCATCCCATTTTAAAATTACATGACTGAAGCTCAGATTTCTTTATTCTCTTCATCTCTAAGTAGAAAATTTGAACTATTAAACTCTTATAAACTACTGTGATTTCTCCTTCATTTGGTGTGAGTACATTTATGCATGAAGTATACAATTATACTATTTCTTATTTATTTGTAGCAATTAGTACATTTCTCCACTATACCATGTTGCTGTTATATCAAATTGGGTTCAGTGTTAATATCTTAAACTGAAGTATGTTTTTTTTAAATGAAAGACAGGCCTTTCAACTACAGATTATGTTGACAAAGGCAAATTGTCATTATTACTGACAAACATAAATTCATACAAATACAGTGCAGAACAATTAGTTTGGTATTACATGGTACTGACCTAATAACAGTCATGCTTACCAACACGTACAAAGTTAAATTCTGTGATATAATAGTAACACTCGGGGAGGCGGCATTCAGTTTTGAGGTGGCTTTCTAGATGACATAAAATATATTCACATACATTTTTTTAAATTATAAAAAATTTAAAAGGCTTAAAAACATCTCTGAGCACTTCCACCACACACACACACACACACACACTGAAATGGGATGATTTTGGAAATACCCAGGTGATGTGTTTTGCAACTATGTTTGGGAAAGGAATTCATTAGGCCTATTTCTCTCATGGGCACAATCCAGTGCCGCAACTAGTTTGATAGAAACACTCCTAGCTGATCTTCAATTATCAACTTTCTGGATTTGCTGGAGTTTTCCTTTCCCTCTTAAAGCCTGTTTCTAATACAGCCACTAAACCTGTAGTTCCCACAACTGTAGGCTACTTTCTAGCACATCCATGTGCTTCTGCTACCACTAGTTAAATTATTTATTTCAAAAATCTGTTTACTGCAGCTATTTTTTATTGTAAATCTAATATATGCTTATTATAATTATATAATATAATTAGACACTATATAAGTCAATGAAATGTCTGAATGAGAGTTATTTCTATGAAAACTAAGGTGAAGGCTTGGGGAGTGTTGGTAAGGACAGGGCACTGGGCTTGCTGTCTAAGTAGATGTAAATGAGACAATTGAGATTAGAAGGAGGGATCGTACCAGTCTAGAAAGCACACTTGACATGCTTGATGAGGGACTTTGTGTTCGTTCCTGCTCTGAAACTAATTGGAAATTTGAATGCGATATTGTGATAATTTGCCCTATATCTGAAGATTGGTGAATGGATGTATATTTATATGTTTTCGTTAAAATGTTTAAAGTACTAACCAATTTATAATAGTCCATATTGACCAACTTTTACTTTAAACAGCCATCCACTGGTCCTGAGTATATCTATCCTACAAGAGGGAACCTACTGTACCTTCAACTAGTCCCATTACCTCTTTAGTCCTAGCTGGGAAATAAACAATGATACTGAGAAAGTTACTCAATTTTCTTGGACAAGCTTTCATAAAACAGGTCCTAGTGATTGCTTTTTGTTTTTTAAAAAAGATAATATATACCTATTTTGGTTCTTGAGGAGGGAAAGGAAGAAATTAGAGAGGACTCATATGACGGCTATCCAAAAATGTCGTAGGTGCCTCATTGTTCTTTACTTGAGTAGATGCACGTAGAGACTTGATTGGCTTCAAACGATTAGAGACAAGACATCTGTTTTTTAAAATGTAAGTGTTTAGCAATTTTTCACATCTCCTTTTGAGGCTGAGTTTTGAACATTTGTATTTCTGCTCCTTCATATTTTCTGACTTGTGCTGGAGTGACTTGTCTGATTGGAGGGTAATCTGGTTACATGCTAATGGCCACAGAGTGGTTGTACCTGCTCTTGGCTAAGGTCTGGGACTTGAAAGATATGACTATGCGGTGTGCAGGATTCCATAATCACACTTGTCTTCTTTATAAGACCATGCAGTTCTAACACCTGTGTAGCTATTTGAAGATATGCTGGCCTGTAACCTGCTTCCTTAATGACACCAGAAAGTTCTGCAGACTCATAGCTGAGACCTTTTAAAATTTCAAAACAATACTGGAGAGATTTTTTTTTCTGAAAAAGAAACATGTACATGATTCACCATGTGCAAATACAAGGTACTTTTTGCTTATGCTGGAAATCAGTGGAATTTCTCCAACTCCTTGGTTTACTTTTCATAGGCTATAAGATGACAGTTTTGAGAATTTCCAATAACCCAGATTATAGCACAGCTGCACAGTTCCAAGAGCAGCTGCTAGAGTGGGGTGGATCTTGTCATGGTTATTTAAAGGATGTTTGTGGTTATTTGACAAAATAAAGAGCTTAATCAAGGATAAAGCTGCTTATTCTGTCTCTTCCTACTCTAAATGCCATGTAATTTTTTTTTATTAGATGACTTGTCTGATAATTACAAAGACTTGGTTAATGTTAAAATAAAAATATTTTAGTTCTTAGTTGTACGAATCCAGTTTTTCTTTTCCTCTCCATCTCTCACTCATTATAAGTGAATCAAAGCGGATAGAAACATATCCTTTTGCAATCAACATAATTATTTTGTTGGACGCAATTTTTGTAAGTTTTTATGTTCACCTCTGAAAAGAGCTTGAGCTAGAATGCTTAAAGACTCCTTTGTGTGATTTTTTTAAAAAAATAGACTTTATTCTTTAAAGACGTTTTAGCTTCACAGCAAAATTGAGCAGAAGGTACAGAGTACAGAGATTCCCCCCCTACCCCCACCCCCACACAGCCTCTCCACTATCAACATCTTGCACCAGAGTGGCACATTTGTGACAGTGGATGAACCTACATGGACACATCATTATCATCCAAAATCCATAGTTTATATTAGGGTTTATTCTTGGTGTTGTATATACTACAGGCTTTGACAAATGTATAATGACATATATCTGCCATTGTAGTATCATACAGAATGTTATGTTGCCTTACTGTGCTCCGCCTATTCCTGTCTTCCTCCCCACGACTTCTGGCAACCACTGATCTTTTTACTGTCTCCATAGATTTGTCTTTTTCAGAATGTCATGGAGTTGAAGTCATATAGTATGCAGCCTTTTCAATTTGATTTCTTTTACTTAGTAATAGGCATTTAAGGTTGCTCTATTTTTTTTTAGTGGCATGATAGCTATTTCTTTCTAGTGCTGAATAATATTGCATTGTTTAGATATACCATGGTTTGTTTATCCACTTACCTACTGAAAGACATCTTGGTTGCTTGCAAATTTTGGAAATTGTGAATGAAGTTGCTATAAACATTGATATGCACGTTTTTGTGTGGGCATACGTTTTCAGTTTATTTGGGTAAATACCAAGGAGTGTGATTGCTGGATTGTATGGTAAGAGTTGGTTGAGTTTTGTAAAGAAAGTGCCAAACTGTCTTCCAAAGTGGCTGTACCAGTTTATATTCCTGCCAGCAATGAATGAGTTCCTGGTGTGATGTATTTTTAAGTACACTCATTTTAAATTTTATGACAACCTTGTAAAATAGGTACTGACTAATATGCAAGTTCATATGCAAAAGTGATTAGACTCAAGGAGACTGCTTATTCTGGGGCTAAGAAGGCTAAAGTCTATTCCATTTCAGAATTTTGCACTATTTCTTTTGAACCAAGTTGCTTCCTGTAAATATAAACCATGATGGAACAAATAAACATTTGTAAACCTATTATATTGAACCATTTTTTAAAAGTAATCTCGAAGTATAACTAGAAATACCATGCACTAGCTCTATATATGCTAAACCTGGGGTCTTGCTTAAGTAGTATATTTAAGGTAACACAGCTAATTAATGATAGAGACAATTTTGTCTAAAGTTCTCTTGATTCAGATTTTAGCACTGGTAAGACTGATTTTCATATGTTGGTTATGGGATTATGTTGCTACATTATATGGGCTTTTACTTTTAAAATGTTTTGTTCAATTTGCCTTTTGTTTTTAAAAAAGTTTTGCTCTATTTGTTCAATATTATTAACAGGGAAATTCAGACATAAATACCTCGGAAAACCAGAGTGTTTTAAAATGAGAATACATACAAAAAGGTTTTTAGTGTGTGTGTGCCATAAAAACAAAGTTAATTTATTCTAGTTACCCCTTAGATTTTTCCATTTATCTGGAACTCTGCAATGCAGCTAGTACTTAAATAACAACTGTACTCTCATCTTCCCACTATGTCTTTTCTACTGCTTGCTGCTCATCAGACTCAGGTTCAACTAATATTTATGGAGCATCTGCTTTGTGCCAGGCTCTATGTGCGTGCATATGAAATGCGGTGTATCTTACTCAGCCCTTACTGTAACCTTACAGAATGAACGTTAAACACACAGGAAAATAACATGGCCTCACTTCTGTTCCCTAACTACTAGTTAATTCCCTGGATATTTCTCTTCTCACTACTGGACTTTGCCTCAGTAGTTTCTTATTCAAGTTCATGCTTCATATCCTCAACTAAATACAGCACCATTTTCCCCCATAAAATGTATCCTACCTTGATTGATCCTTTGCATTACTGAACCTCTAAAAATTCCTACACCAATCTCTTTCTCAATTTCTATGCTTTGCTATCTGCCCTCCAAGCCAGCACATTTCTACCACATAGCATTTGATCAGCACAAGGTTATGAATAAATTGTGGAAAAGAACTTCAATAATGAGATAGTAAGTATCACTTAAAAATAACTTCTAGAAAAATACTTAAAAATAAAACTTGATCATTGTCATGACATATTAAAGAATCTTTAAATATAAAAGATTAATTTTCCATTGGAAGAATGAGTGAGAAAGGGAGCTTTAGTGCTAGTATCCATTATTCTCAAAGAACAAGGTATCCTAAAACACATTAATTCCCCACTAGATTAAGTACTATTTAGGAGACAGGAAGTGCTGCCTGAAGCTCATGTCGTTTCTAACCTCAGCTCCTTGGTTGACATCCTTGGAAAGAAGTTCTTACCATCCTGTGTCCCTTTCTTCCCTTGATCCAAAAGTTGCTTGGCTGTTATGCTAGCAAAGTCCAGGGACTTAAATTCTTAGCCTGGCCATGAGTACAGTTAAGGCACATGTGTAGTGTGTCTCAAGTGGTTGGTGGGGTTGGGGTAGAAGAGACCCATATTTCTTGGACAAATGGTAGTATAACTTATTTTTATAACTTATTTATACCTTATTTTCCCAATAACTTATTTTTCATGCCATTGCAATAGAAAGAATGTGGCTACTGATTCACAATATAAGTAGATTCTGAAGACACAATTATGTTTCTATGACTTAAGTTTTTTTTTTAGAAAAATGAGAAAATATGGTGTGTATTTGTATAGGCTGGAATGACAGCATCTGTCTCTTCCCTTGTGCCTTCCCCCAACTATGGTTACACTCTTTGTTACTTTGGCCTATGTTCTTTAAATAGATAGTCTTGTAAGGGATGTTACACATCTTGAATCTACAGCCTCATACAAAAGTTTGTAAACAACCCCCACCCAACTACCACTGGTGTCTCCTTTACCCCTTTTCACACCTTCCTTCTGGGATCAATTCCTTTGTATACTACATATTCTATTACATTATATCATGCTGTTGATTTCACTGTCTAGCCTAAATGGGTGCCAGAAGAATAGACTTCCTATCTTCCTTATTCCATCTTTACTGCTTAGCACAGTGCCTTGCCCAGACACAGAGAAGTGGCCAAAATGTTAGAGTGGAGAATGTTTCCTGTGAGAAGAGAGACATGGCTATCTTGAAGCGTCTGTGCACGTTCTGAGAGTATGCTAATACACATGTAGACACATGGTCCTTCTTATATAGCCCTTTGTGACCATAAGAAAAAATGTTAAATTTCTTCTTAATTAATTGCAATATATTAAACATCACAGCTAATCAAAATCTATACATTCATATCTCAAAGGTTTGTTATGTTTGTTCTTGTGAGATATAAAAAAATGTGTGTGTGGACTGCACTATAGAATCTCAAATTAGGCCGGACGCCGTGGCTCACGCCCGTAATCCCAGCACTTTGGGAGGCCAAGGCGGGCAGATCACGAGGTCAGGAGATCGAGACCATCCTGGCTAACATGGTGAAACCCCATCTCTAGTAAAAAAATACAAAAAAAGTTGGCCGAGCGTGGTGGCGGGCGCCTGTAGTCCCAGCTACTCTGGAGGCTGAGGCAGGAGAATGGCGTGAACCCGCGGGGCGGAGCTTGCAGTGAGCAGAGATCACCAGACTCCGTCTCAAAAAAAAAAAAAAATCTCAAATTAGTAGAATTAAACTAGGAAGTTGAAGCACCAAGTTAATTCAAATCTAGAGTCTATATTTACATTATAGAAATAGGAAAACATTCCAATAGCGTAGCAGAGTGTTCTAAGTTTCAGGGTGATATAGGTATGCAATAACTGAATTGAAGACAATGTACTGGGTTGATATTAAACGTTAAAGTAAAACCTCTCATGAACCCTCTACTTAACCTGTAGACTATTAACCTCCAAGCGGGTTCACACTATTGACTCTGAATGACCTTATCTGCTTCCCATGAGTCACAACACAGAGCTTGAGTTCATGAAGCTGTTATACCTCTTCTTGGCAGCATTTCACAGTGTTCTAACTTAGCAGCTTTTTACATGGCATTCCATGGCTATAAAATAATTTGAGAAAAACAATGGCATATTGGAAGGATTCTTCATATTTACAATCTTAGGCTTAAATAATGTTCTATAAGTTAATTAGCCAAAAATTTTCTCAAGTGTCTTGTTTCTTCTCAGAAGCAAAGGGAAAAGCCTGGTGACATTTCTGTATTCTTACATCAACAGCCATGAGGCATTTTCATTGAAGGGAAAACAAAATCCGCAGCCCAGTTTTATACAATTGAGACTGATTAACCTTTGTTCAAATTCAGCTAACTTAAAATAAGCAATCTGGAAATAAGTTCTTGAACTTTTTTTTTTTTTTTTTGTAGGAAGTGAGGAGAGTGGCCCTGTAAATACACCAACTGCAAAGACTGCTGGTTTGAATTGTGGGTGATTTTCATTTAAAAATTGTCCCTTGGAGAGGATGTGGAGAAATAGGAACACTTTTACACTGTTGGTGGGACTGTAAACTAGTTCAACCATTGTGGAAGTCAGTGTGGCGATTCCTCAGGGATCTAGAACTAGAAATACCATTCGACCCAGCCATCCCATTACTGGGTATATACCCAAAGGATTATAAATCATGCTGCTATAAAGACACATGCACACGTATGTTTATTGCGGCACTATTCACAATAGCAAAGACTTGGAACCAACCCAAATGTCCAACAATGATAGGCTGGATTAAGAAAATGTCGCACCTATACACCATGGAATACTATGCAGCCATAAAAAATGATGAGTTCATGTCCTTTGTAGGAACATGGATGAAGCTGGAAACCATCATTCTCAGCAAACTATCACAAAGACAAAAAACCAAACACCGCATGTTCTCACTCATAGGTGGGAATTGAACAATGAGAACACATGGACACAGGAAGGGGAACATCACACACAGGGGACTGTTGTGGGGTGGGGGGAGGGGGGAGGGATAGCATTGGGAGATATACCTAATGCTAAATGACGAGTTACTGGGTGCAGCACACCAACATGGCACATGTATACATATGTAACAAACCTGCACGTTGTGCACATGTATCCTAAAACTTAAAAGTATAATCATAATAAAAACAAAACAAAACAAAACAAAAAAATTGTCCCTTGGCTTTCTTACATAGAGATCAGATCCTCATCTGTACTGATTTCAGCAATGGATTACTTTTATACATGTATGAAACCAAAAAGGGTATTGACAAATGTCTATATTTTACATATGTATAACTTTACAAGGAAAATCCATATTTCTTATTTATGGAAATAGAGATATGTCTCACCTCCTTCTCCAATATATAGTGAGTCAGTCATGGTGGTAAATACAGACTAGCTGGACAGGACTGATCTGAGAAGCTCTTTAACCTGGACCCCCAAGGACCTGAATTCTTACTGGGGATATAGTTTGATAATGTGTGGTATTTTTCACAGTGTTCTATCTTACACAGTTTTGGGCTATGGTGATAATACATAAAGAGTTCTAGATTAAAGTCAGAAGACTTGCTTTTGCTATTAACTAGTTGTGTGATTTGGGCAACTTAGTCTTTTCCTCATTTTCTGTTGGAAAGTAGAAAAGAAGGAAAACTGAATTTGCTGGGACAAAAACTGGATATGAAAAAATTGTGGGGGTTTTTTCTTTTTCTTTTTAAAATTTTTATAGATTTAGACAGTACAAGTACAATTTTGTTACATAGATATATTGTGTAGTCTGGGCTTTTAATATAGCCATCATCTGAGTAGTGTACATTGTATCCATTAAGTAATTTCTCATCCCTCACTCGGCTCCCACCCTCCCACCCGTCCAACTCTCTATGTCCATGCATACATATTTTTGAGCTTCCACTTATAAGTGAGAACATGTGGTATTTGACTTTCTGTTTCTGAGTTATTTCACTTAATGGCTTCTAGTTTCATCCATGTGGCTGCAAAAGACATGATTTCATTCATTTTTATAGTTTTAAGTCATATACTTCTATAAAAACTGGAGTAGAATTAAGATACCAACATTGAAGAGGTTGGCTTACGTGATGATGCTATTATGAATTTCCATGACAACTCAAATATCCTTAGGTTGATCTTCAAAAATTGTTAGATCCATAAACTGAATGCCCTTAGAGAATAAAGAATTATACATTTCGTTGACAGAACATAATTCATTAATAATTCTTTGAGGAACCTTTTAACTATTGTGTATGTATATTTAGTGCTTATCAAATATCCAATTAATCTATTCAATGGTTAGCATTTTATATCATTAATATGATTGCTTTTCTGTTCCATTTTACCAAGATTGGTTTCAGCTTTGAACCAAAAACTGAGACAGCGACACATTGACGTTTTTTGCTTGTTGCTTATTCTAATTTTTCTCAGATGAATGTCATTTTAACCTAGCCTTTTATAGGCTTTTCTTCACAACATTTCAAAAGGTAGTTTTTATTTTAAATCTGCTTGGAACTTATCAAAGACTTCTGAAATATAACTCAATAACATATAATTATTATTAGCACTCTATTTATAAGGGAACCAATAGTAGATCGATTTAACCTATTTTAAAAAAAGGATTTATGTAAGAGAAAAATGAAAAGACAAAAAGAAAACTGTGGATCTTTCATAAACAACAAATTGTTTTACTTTCCTTGAATAAGATGAGGATGAGCTGGCAGGAAGCAAGAAGACCTTTCTTCCCAGTTGCTCATGGATTTTCCAGAAGACCTTGGATATTTCCCCATAGCATGTTGCTTATATTGGGTCTGTTCATGTCTTTGATTAGCATCTTCATTTTAGCTTTGCTAGGTATGCCCCATTTATCTCTTAACATTTTTCATGTCCAATCAATTTTTAAATATATCTCAGTACATAACTGTATTAGTTTCCTATTGCTGCTATAACAAATTATCACAAAATTGGTTAGCTTGAAACAACACAAATGTATTATTTTTTATTTCTGGAAATCAGAGTCCAAAACAGGTCTTCAGGGCTGTGTTCCTTCTGGAGGCTCTAGGGGAGAATTCATTTCCTCGCCCTTTCCAGTTTCTTGAGGTTGCCTGCATTCCTTGGCTCGGGGCCATATGACTCTGAACTCTGCTTCTGTTGTCACATTGTCTTTTCTGATTCTGACCCTCTGCCTTTTACTTATAAGAACATTTGTGATTATATTGGGCTCACCCAGTGCTATGGTTTGAATGTTTGCCTCCTCATAAATGCATGTTGAAACTTACTCTCCAGTGCAATCATAGTAAGAGATGGGGGCCGTTAGGATTAAGACACGAAGGTTCTGCCCTCACAGATGATATTCGTTTCTTATAAAAGGGGTGGATGGAACCAGCCAGACTCTTTTGGCCCTTCCATCCCTTCCACTACATGAAGACACAGCATTTATCCCCTCTGGACACAGCAGCAAAGTGTCATCTTGGAAGCAGAGAGCAGCCCTCACCAGACAGTGAACTGATACTGAACTTCTGAGCCTGCAGAACTGTAAGGCATAAACTTCTGTTCTTATAAATTACCTAGTGTCAGGTATATAGCAGCACAAATGGACTAAGATACCCGGATAATCCAGGTAGTCCTACCATCTAAAAATCCTTCACTTAGGCATATTGCAAAGTCCCTTTTCCCATGTAGGGTGATATATTCACAGGTTTCACATTAGAATGTGGACATCTTGGGGGTTGGACATTATTCTGCTTTTCATAATAGCACATTACAAGATCCATAGTAGATACAAAGAACTGCTACAGTAATAATAATAATGCTCATAATTAACCAGGAATGCAAAACAAAAGTTGATGCTGTTATTAACATATCAATAATTGATAATTTTGTCTTTCATGATTAATAGTTTTAAGACCTCTTGACAATGTAGTTATAAGGCATAATATAGACATTACATCACAGCTACAGTAAGATCCATCAATGACATCTTAATGTGCTTTTACTTTCTTCATGGGGATTCATTTATTCACATGTGCATATATTTTTTGGTTATTAAGTACAACAAATTATGTACCAGGGTCTGCTCTCATAGAGGTTTATGATGCAATGTTCAGTTTAAGCCTAACAACCCAAATTTATTACAGACTTTTTTATTTTGAGAGGGAAATATTGCTCCTTAATTCTTTATTTTTAGATTGGTACGCTTAAATATGTATATATGTATATATCTGGGAAGCTAAAACAAATAATAATTTGGGAGAAGAATTTAGAAATGTCTAAAAAGAGGGTTATTTAAGGTTTTGTAAACTTTCATACAAGTTACTTGCTATTAGGTAAACATTCTAAGGGATTATTTTCCTTAGATTATTTTGCTCTCTAACAGGCTGCTTTCTGGCAATCCCTTGGTCATTTGAATTGGACATATCAGACCAGGTTATTAAGAATTTAAAATTACTTTATCAGTCTAAGTGGAAAAATTAATACATTTCCTATTTAAAATGCCAAACAACTTAATTACATTCTCTTTAATTTGAGCTTTCTAATAATAAAGCAACTAACATATGCAATTTTAACCACCAACTTAATTAGGGTAAACACACAGAGTTAATTTCCAGCAACCTGTGTTGTTCTTTTCAGAAAACTAATTATTGCTTTTGTTTGATACACCATGAAAATAAGCACATGCCACTGTAAAGATTATTTTTTTGCCTTTCAAATAAAAATCTAAGAGTTATATCCAATTTTATCATTAGTTCTCTCTCCTACCCTGCCCTGTTCTTTTTCTCTAACCTCACAATATTAAATTAAAGGAGATGATTGTCCTGAGCTTTAAAATGAAAGTAGTTATGTCCTAGTGACATTGAGAAGCAATACTGAGTAGAACTTTTTTTTTTTTTATCAAATTGGTGTTGAGTCCTAATTAAAACAAGAACAATGATTCCTTTTCATAGTGGTTGGTTGGCTGATTTTTTAACACCTTGTTTAGGATGCTTATTTGTTTAGAATGCAGGATGGAGGAGTAATGGTGGAGATTCTGTCAGTACTCCTCAAAATTAAAACTCATGCAGATAATTTAAATGAGTAAAGTGGATTAGCTGATGACTTTTACATATAAGAAGATGCTTACCTTATATAAATATGAGAAATGGGGCCAGATATTCTAATTTTTAAAAAGAAGTGAAAGACTGGACATTTTTATATGAAGTATACTGTTTAATATAAGCAACGGATTAAATCAAAACACTGCCAAACAAAGAAAACACAATTGCAGAACAGGCTGCCAGGTTGAGACCTCCGGAGTAAATGACATCTAGTTTCCTGCTAGCTGTAAAAAATGTCTGAGTCAAGAAATGATACGCCCCATTCCACTCCCTGTTCTTATTAGATCAACATACAGTTTACTCATTAAGTAAAATACCAGGAAATGTTAGATAAATAATTCAGCTGTGTTTTTCTAACATAGTGGCCTCACTTTGATAGTTTAGTAGACGAGGCTTATAAATGGCTTTAGATTTTTGTCTAAATAATGTTAATGAGACCAGTGGGGTTCCTCTTGATAGGATAGTGCATTTTGTTATCAGAATAAGTCCTAACATGAATATGAACTTGTACTTTTTCATTTTTATTTTATTTTTTGAGGCCAAGTCTTGCTCTGTTGCCCAGGTTAGAGTGTGGTGATATATGATCATAGCTCACTGCAGCTACAATCACCTGGGCTCAAGCAATCCTCCTGTCTCAGCCTCCCAAGTAGCTGGGGCTACAAGTGTGCACCACCACACCCAGCTAATTATTATTAGTTTTTTTGTAGAGTTGAGTGTCTCACTATTTTACTCAGGCTGTTCTCAAACTCCTTAGATCAAGCAATCCTCCTACTCTGGCCTCCCAAAGTGCCGGGATTACACGCATGAGTTACCGTGCCCGGCTGAGCTTGTACTGTCAATTAGGCTATTGTATTGAGTGAGGGGATCAGGTTATTGGGCATTATACACCTAAGTGATAAAATTAGCCAGAAATCGCAGTGACTTTTGTTTCAGGATTTTTTGTTAAAGTAAACTTGGTATGTAACTCTTAATTGTAGGGGCTGGTAACTCTTTGGGGAAAGTTTGTAATAAAATCATGACTGAGGGAAAAAGTCAATCAAAATTTCAGCAACCAATAATCGAATTACAGATTTTATCCAAAATATCTGTCATTGGTGTTTGATTCTTATCTTGGACCTTTTATTAGAAATAATTTGTGGACACATAGAAAAAGGAAATGCAGAGATCTTTGGTTAGTTTTGAATCTTCACTGTTGGAGGGAAAGTATTTTTCAGAAAAGCCCTAAAGCACTTGAGGAGTTCTCAAAGATGGATTTCTTTTAGTGTCAATCATTCACCTATTAGTATTATTGAGTTCCAGATTATTTCTGGAGGATATTAAGCAAAAGGGGTTGGGGGTGAGGAGTATCAGATGTGGGAGGAAAGCAGGTGGCTTGGGAGACCTCGGAGGAACTCAGACATCAACTATTTTCTAGAATTAACCAAGGTCATTGCTGCTTACTTTATAAAGTCTTAGACTTTGTGTTAGGTGGCTTCTCCTTATTTGATGAATCTATCTGCACGTAACATCATGACTACTTAGAAATTGTACTCATGGAAGGGAAAATGGTCAGAGGCCTGATGAAAGAAGGAAAATTCAAAGTACACTAGACACGGCTCTTGGGCCAACAAAGGAAGGAAAGAGGAAGATGATGGTATCTCACACAGTAATGAAACCCAGTGTACTTTTGCCCTGAGCTAGATTTTAAAATAATGCAGGAAGTTGAGTGTGAAGTGGAGGCCATTTTGTAGTGGATAGGGTTGTGTGGGGAAAATCACCCAGAAAAAATATTCTGTCCTTTCAGCCTTGGGTAAGGTAGAGGACTCCCAGGGAGTAGCATTTGGATAACAGGAAGTTTAGACTTCTCTGTGAAATTAGACAGGCTATTTACTTAGGGATGACCATAAAAATCCAATTCCCTTAGATGGGAATCAGGAAAGGAGAATATGTCCACAAGACATTTTCTGAACAATTACCTGAGAAATTTGTGGAAGAGGGACTGCTTGTCATTAAAAAAACAAAAGCAAAAGCAAAAGTCTCCAGCATTTTACCTCCTTTTCTCTATTTTGGAAATTCCCTGCCATAAAAGTCTTGGTGGGAAGCAGAGTCCACCCCCTATAGACACAGAAGATTCCTTACCACCGTAGAAACAGAAAATTCTCAGAAATTGCTTTTGTAGCTCCCATGGAATTAGGTCTATCTAATGTAGTGCCTGGAATTTTTAAATCTGGAGTTAAAGAAGCTGCGGAGGCATAAATAGGGAGGAGTTCCTGGAGGGCAGCAGCAGGAGTGCCCTCTGGTGGTGGGTCCGGTGCTGGGTGCACGTGTCAGGGTAGGGGCAGCGTGTCCTCACCTGGAGGCTCTGTGCTGCATCTCTGGCTGTGGCCATGGCTGCAGAGCTTTCCTTTGTTCCTGCTTGTTTAACTTCCCAAGGAATGTGAAATTCCAATATCCTTTCATGTCATTTTTTTCCTGCTTAAATAAGATAGAGTTTGTTTCCATTCTTTGCACCTCACCAATACACAAGGAAATCACACACCCTTCTCCCATTCAGCCCATTCAGCCCCTAAAGAAGATAACAGGATGGAGTTTAAAGAATTAGAAGTTAAGTTGAGCTTTAAACTACAGAGCAGAAGGGGAGGAGGAGGGAGAGAGGGAGAACATGATCTTGTGTGATAATTTAGGAGCTGGGGAGCAGGGTAAAAAGCAATGGAATTTGGAGCAATAAGGTTGCTTAATGACTTCTCTTTACACATGAAGTCATTTATATTTCTGTTATTTACTTTATGGCTTTACAGTCCATGATGGCAGGTTCTCGCTTCTCTCATACTGTGTTGTAAACTCTGGTTCTAACATGGGACCTGACAAAGAGGAGTTGCTGTAGGATTTGTTGAGTCAATTTTCATGGTTCTGTAGTTATTTGACTCTTGGAAATAAGGAGACAAAATAAAGTTTTAAAGAATGATGTATCCTTTGTTTATTTCTTTCTAAATGCTGTAAAATCACACCCTGATTATAAAGTAGGATGGAGCCGTAAGGAATTCCTTCATGTATCTTCTGCTTTGCAGAAAACCCTTTGCTACTACGGACTTGCTCCTTTGGTTTGATTTTTGAGTAATTAACATGGGATAAGGGAGTATTTTTATAGGATTTACTTGTGAGTTCAGAACATAAACGTGTAATTGCAAGAATTGCTGCTGTGGGGAGAGTCCTAAAGCAAAAATAAAACTTAGAAACTTGAGAACAAAATGGCAAAACTTAGTCTTATCCACAAAGGAAAAAGAAAGAGAAAAAAATTCAATGGTGCCATAATTGGAGCTCATTGTGCTTGGAGCCAGATGGCTTGCCCTTGGTTTTGGAGGCCAACAGGCCAAATTCCAAACATTACAGCCTGAGATGGCCTTATAATCAAAGAATAAAATAACTGAGGAAAACTTTGGAAAACCTCTAGTCTTTGCTTATGTTATTTTTCTTTTGCCTATTTGGTAACAATAAGATTTTTAATATTCTGTTTATAGTGTTTGGAGTGGTTCTTTCAATCCTAATGCTTGTCCCTGTCCATAAGCATGTTAGATAAACCCTGCAACATAAGAAGAATTGTAGAGGATCAGTTTAATATTTTGCTTTAGGTAGGAACATTAGCCTGTAACTATAGGGAGGTGTGGCAGTTACCCTCAATGATGCAATACTCAGATACACATGACTCTTGTTTAGCATCACATGTAATTATATTGGACTTTTAAGCATAAAGTAATAGCCAAAATAAGTATTAAATAAACAACTTGCCTCCTTTTTTTTGAGATTACTATTAGAAATAGCCAGTTTTATATTCCAGCTACTTAGCTCAGGTTATGTCCCCACCCAGAAATTTTACACTTGGTGATGAGGCATAAATATTTTCTGTGACTAAGTGGGCATATGAATTAGAAGGCCTTTGGATATTAGATAAAATGGAAAATAAGTTTATATGTTTATACAAAAGAAATTAAAAACGTGTAAACTTCCCCTGAAATCGGTGATTCTCAACCTTGGCTGCACATTGGAATCACCTGGAAAGCTTTAATAATATTGATGCCTGGGTCCCACCCCAAAGTCTGCCTTATCTGGTCTTGGTTGTGTCCTAGACGTCAGGATTTTTTAAAGCTGCCTTAAACAAAACTGCTTGACAGACTGAAATGTATTATAATTTGTTGACTTTTCCTAGGTGTTTTATAATGCTGTTAATATCATGATGAAATATAGTCACCAGTCAGTAAGAAGCAGAATAGTGTTTAATCCCATCTTGGTTCTTTCCTTAAATTCACCTACAGATTGTGTCCTTTATTTAATGTCTGTCCTACCCTCAAACTGTATGCTCTCTGAATGCAGGGAGTATCCCTGTGCTATTCTCAACTGTGTATTCCCAAGGCTGTATAAAGTGTTGGGCATATGATAGGCCCTCAAATAGAGTGGAATGAATAAAGAAATACTTATAAAGAGATCTGGGTTATAAATACCTGAAAGCATCAGGTCATGCCAAAATTTCCCCAATATGTATAAATTACCTTTACTTCTTTTCAGATGAAATCCCTAATTCTCTATCAACTAAACTTCCTCTTAAGAAAACGAGCTGGCTGGATATGGTGGCTCAAGCTTATAATCTCAGCATTTTGAGAGGCCAAGGCAGGTGAATCACTTGAGGCCAGGAGTTCCAGACCAGCCTGGGCAACATGGCAAAACCTCATAATATGATGTAGTATTATTATGCCACCTAAGAACAAAGACACTGAACAGAACATAGAGATTATAGTATATGAGAAATACATTTATGATTTATCATATTTGGCTGGGTCAGTATCCTTTTTTACTCCGTTGTTCAACTTTTTTTTATTTTTATAAGTGGCTTTTTTTCCCAAATGAACTTTAGAACCAGTACTTAAATTTAAAAATCCTGTTGTTTATATTCTAGACAACTTTTTATAGGATTTTTCAGAAGAACTAATTATTTAGTTGTTTATCAATTACATGTCCATTCTACTTTTTTTTGTATTTCACTGCTTTCTCTCTTTTTCTCTTTGTCTCTATAAATTTCTGCTTTTAATCTAGTTGTAATTTTATAATTTAATGCTTAATTTATTCATTCTTGTTCTTCAAGGTCAATACTTTTACTAATAGCAGCTTTATAAAGCTATAAGTCATAAGTTTTGGCATAAAGGAATCTGAATTTTATTTTGCTTAATCTTATATGTATATTTGATATTAACCATTGATATTTTAACTACATAGAAATATATATATCATATATATATGCCAAAACTTATGAGTTATAGCTTTATAAAGCTGCTATTAGTAAAAGTATTGACCTTGAAGAACAAGAATGAATAAATTAAGCATTAAATTATAAAATTACAACTAGATTAAAAGCAGAAATTTATAGAGACAAAGAGAAAAAGAGAGAAAGCAGTGAAATACAAAAAAAAGTAGAATGGACATGTTATATATATATAGAATGGACATATATATAATATATATATAGGCAATTTATGCATATTGGAGAAACTCTGGCATGACCTGATGCTTTCAAGTACGTATATATTTTCTCTTTTATGTCTCAACTGAGAGCCTGGAGTTTTTTACTAAGGTCCCCCCACCATACTGGGTTGTGAATTCAGACTTCTGTCTCTCTGATGGACTGAAAAACTGCTGAAATCTTGGCTTCACTCTCTGGCATCTGAGCTGGGGCTTTTTCCTTGTTTTTTCAAGTCTCAATCTGTATGAGTAAAACTTAGCAGTTGGCAAATGGCTGAAGGGCAAATTGCTGTAGTATTTTGAGCTATCCTTTCTGCATTCCCTTTTCCCTGTTACATTCTGGCTTCTTTGGTCTGTGTCTGCCCAGCCTGGGGAGGCTGCTGTCAGTGCCAGCTTACCACTTTCTGCTTAGAAATGGTGGTCTACATCACCAACACCTCTGAGGAAAGACAGTTATAAAAATGTGTTCATATTAGTCTGTCTCTCTTCTTTATGGGATAATTGCCCTTCAACTTCTGATAGCCTCGGTTGCTCTTTGATCCCTTCACTGTTGCATTCAAACATTTTTCTTTATCTTTTATTTAGCTTTTGTAATTGTTTGTGGCAAGAAAATTGGTAATGACGAGAGAACAAAACTTCTCCCTTAACTTAATGCATTCTTTCCTTGTACTGATCAATTCCTTTTTAATTTTAATCTTACCCTTTATTCTAGTTTATCTTAAACTCATTTCTTATGTTTCAGAAAACGCTGTTTTAATTTATGAAAAATGCAAAGTAGATAATTTCTAAAAATATCTTCAGTTTCTTATGGTTAATCGTTTTTTGTGCATACCCTGTATCCCTAAGGCAGTACTTCCTTTCTTTATGTTACTTAATATTGTTTTACTTGTCCTTGAAAAAGAAGAAATCTGTCCAGGTTTTGTGTTAGGAAAAAATATTTAATTTCTCTAAGTTCTCTGTACTTTTCATTAGGTATGGAGTAAATATCTCATCTCTTAAACTGAAAGGGTTTGTTTTTATTAGACATCTACTAGCCAGATTTCCAAGGTCAATGAATCATTGGTTTAGAATGACTCTGCTTGATTTTCTCTTGTCTTTCAGCCGAACTTACTGACTCAGAAGGGTGTTTTTTTCCCTGAATCATTTGAGAACAACTGCAGTTCTCTGACAAGGGTAGTACTTGAACAGTAACAAAACCAAAGGCACTGATTTCCTTGCCTATTCTGTTATTTCACCTCTCTTTTTTAAAGGCTTCGCATCAGAAGAACATGCCTCCGAATGTGTGTTTTTATAAGCCCCAGCTACCTTGGATTATGAAGGGTTATATTCAATGAGAGTTTTGGAAGGAGAATGTCTTAAAAGTTGTTCTTGTATTGTAGAGGAATGACTGCCAAGTGTGGGATGAGGGAAGAGCAGATTTTTTATATCAGGCAGTCCTGGGCTTCAATACTGGTTACCCCACTTTCAAGCTACCCAATAATGGAAAGATCATTTAAATCTTTTTTGATGGTAAAGTTGGTATGATAGTAGCACTCTGCTCACATAGCTATTGTAAGAACAAACTATGAAACGTAATACAATCAGTATACTCTTGGTACAAAGAAAATGTTCCTAAATATTAGCTGTTATTATTACTTTTATTCTTACTCTTATTTTATTGGATTTAAATATTAGTAACTTTCATCCCATCTCAGGGATCAGATTCCTTTGAGAAATCCATGCATTTCATGCATTAATCAAGGTTTTATAATATTTCCAGTTTGATGAGGTGTGGGTGATAGGGCCAAGTGGAAACTAGGGTATAGCAATGAAAAACAGGAAAAGTCTTACAGGAGATTCCTAAGGCTAATTTTTGCAATACAAATGATCCATCCCAGTCATTCAGGATGTGAGGACTTCCATATCAGAGCCCTATTTTAGTGCTATTTTAGTTCCCTGTTTTATGTGCTTTTCTTAGAGTTAGGCTTTAAAATTTCAGTCTTGTGTTTTAAGGCTACAATGAGAAGAACCCTAGAAGCAAATTAGGAGCCTTGTGTTCTAGTCCTGGGTCAGGTGATGTCAAGCTGTATAATCCAGGGTGTATCACATCATCTTTTAGGGTTTTGGTTTCATCTGTCAGGTGAGGAGTTTGGACTAGATGTTTTCTCAGGCTCATTCAATTCCAAAAGAAGACTGATCTAGGGGGAGAGGCTTGTATATAGACATGAATAGATTTGCCAATGCTCATGTTCTATAATACATTCTTAATTTATAGCAATTCATTTCCTCCTCTTCCTCCTTTTCTCTAACCACCCATTCATTCAGATTTAGTGAACTTGATTTCAGATTGAGATATTAATGGTTCACAGTGTCACAGTTCAGATATGTGATCTTGGAAAGACATGAGGTCCTCACTGCACATAGTGCACACAAAAGCCTTTAATTAAACACATGAAATGTTTTAATCACATGCTCTTGAGAAAACTATAAAAAGGACCCATCCCAGGCCCAGATGTGCCCTTGGAAAAAATTGGGCCAGCAGAAGAGAAGAAGGGGTGGGAGTTTTAGCTGTGATTACTTCCATCTGTTCTTCAGAACAAATTTCTTAAATGTACACTAAATGTGAGAAAAATTATAAGAAGCTGATATTAAAGTTGGATGAAATAAGTAGAGTTAATACATTAATAGCCCTAAATTTTGAAACAGGATTTTAGATTTCAAATTTTGTTAAAGCCTCAATTGCTAGTTGCTTTTATCCCCCTTGACTTCATTATTCTTAACTTTTATGCTTCTATTATAAGCCTAGAGCATGCCATATATTATGACAAATAAGTCTACCCCATGGAGCTTAACGTGATCAGAATTTTTCCACACAAACTTTTGGACATTTAATATAGTCACTGATATCAATTTTCTTCAATCATTTAAATAGCAGAGGCTGCTCCAGACTATAATAAGTGGGGAGAACTCAGTTGAAGGTATCTTAATCAATCTAGCTTCAATATGTCATCTTTTCATTTAACAGAGACACACTGCAACACAGAATAGATTTTACATTATTAGCTAGTCTATTACCTTTTCTATATGACAACAGAGTTGATGTTGGGGTGGACCCTCCATGACTTTTGGTATTAATAAGTGATACAATAAACTGACCAAATTCTTATAGATATGTTAATGAAATATGGTTGTTGATGTCTGGAGATTGTGAAGGACTGGGGTACCAAGCCTGGTTTTACTCTTTGATTTAAATTTCTACTTTGTTGCTATCCAGTATAACTTGAGATCCTACTGTAGATTTATATAAGTCCTAAGAAGATAGTTTTACAACTGTGTTTAACCTTTTTAATGTATTTTCATTCAAGGCAGTTAATAAAAAATTTTAATTTATTATACACAGTTAAAAAAATTACCAAGATTAAAAGGAAATAATATTCCTAAAATACTTTGGACTCCGATTAAATGTGGAATCTTTGAACACTTTTAAAGTGTGGAATTTTTAGGATATAGATATATAAAAAGTAGTAATAATATTTTTTTTAATGTAATCAGATTAAAAATAATACAATGAAATACAATCTGTTTACTGCAATTTCCACTAAGCAGTCAAATTTAGAGTCTGCATTCATTACAGCTGGAGAGAATCACCCTGAAGAGAAAAGCTGTTGCATCAAATTATGGGAAATGTGAACAATTCCAAGGGAATTAGAGTGTTCTTTCCAAAAACAGTTTATAGGAAGGATCAGGATCAGAGTTTTACTACTGAAATAATTTTGTTCTTCTTTGTTTTTTTTCTTTCTATTTTAAATCTCAAGGAAATGTGACATAATTTATTTTTAGTATGTTTATATATGTGCCTACTGGTTATTTTGAACCAAGAGAAAAAATCTTTGCATTTCTGGGAACAAAAAATATTAACACACCTAGCACTCACATAATTTGCTGAGTGAATCAATAAATGAATCAATGATATCTTTCTAAATGCCATCTTTTAGAGATGGTTGACATCTGACAAACTGAGGTGATAAGGAAAAGTGCTTCCCCCCAGCTCCTAACCATAGAATATTTGGTAAAAATTAAAACAAAAGTAAGTCTTAAATAAAAAGTTTAAACATTGGAAGGAAATTCTCAGTTAACAAAATTGAAGAAAAACACCCTAAAATGAGAGAGATGAACAAAGCTAAGCTAAATGGCTGAAGGGTGCACCTAATCTAAATGGTCTAGAAGACTGGGGCTTGACATGAGAGCTAGAAGGAGAATTTACTCTGCAGTTAGCAATTCACAGGATGATAACAAAGGAGAACTTCAGAGTGACAGCTCTACCTAAAGAGCAAACAGTCTAGTTTTGGAGTAAAGGAACAAAAGGACCCTGGTGGGATGTTTCTAAAGAAAAAGAAAAAAAAAATCAGTGGATAGATCACCCAATGTGTTGAGGGAGGTTTCATGGCTCTAGTGAAATGTTTGGATCTAATCTAGTAATAGCCATTAGCAGACTAATGGGAAGGGGAGAATCATTCATTAACTCAGGTATCAACATCTCTGAAAAAAAGAATTACACAAAAAGGTGAATTTTTAAAAAGTTTTTGCACAGCAATGGAAACAATCAAGAAAATGGAAAGGCAACCTACAGAATGGCAGCAAATAAGCTGAGTGCAGTAGCTCATGCCTGTAATCCCAGCGCTTTGGGGGGCCAAGGTGGGATAATTGCTTGAGGACAAGTTTGAAACCAGCTGGGCAATATAATGAGACCCCATCTCAAAAAAATTTTTTTTAATTAGCTGAGGGTGATGGCACGTGTCTGTAGTTCTAGCTACTGGGGAGGCTGAGGCAGGAGGATCGCTTGAGCCCAGGAGCTTCAGCCACTGCACTCCAGCTTAAACAACAGAGTGAGACCCTGTCTCTAAAAAAAAAAAAAAAAAGTAAGTAAATAAATAATTAAATAAAAATAAGTAATTTAAAACAGTTTTAAAAGAATGGTGGCAAATATTTTCAAACCATATGTTCAATAGGTATGCCATTATCTAAAATATATAAGGAACTCAAACAATCCAATAGCAAAAACAAAATACCTGATTAAAAATGGAGCAAAAGATGGTCTTGAAAAAAATGGCAGACAGGAGGCAGGACTAACTTGCAGCTCCCACTTGGATGGACAGAGCAGTGTGTGGAGACTCAACATAGTAACGTTTTCCTCTAAGAACTACTGCAGGAATATACTATAAAAGCAAAGACAATCCATAGACCCTTTGAAGGAAGTAGATTGCTGCTGCAGGCTCTGTGAGACAGCCAAAAAACTGTGGGTACCCAAAGTGCAAAAATGTAAAAGTGAGATCATCTACCCCCAAAAATACATCCTCACTGGAGAACTTGAAGGTCCAGATCATGGGATAAAGATTTGACCTTACCTGGAGCTGAGACAAATTTAAAGAGCCAAGTGAAATATAGGGATAGAGGAAGCAGAGGGAAGAGCCCTGTGGGCACTCTCAGTCTCCAAGGAAGCCATTTCTGACTTTGTCTCTCAAGTGTCCTTGGGGAGGGCTGCCAGTGGAATTGAGGAAAGACCACAGAGAGAAGGAAACTTCCAGGTGAACTTTGTAACAAATTCAAATTCAACTGAATGCAACGTTTCCAGGACAGAACCCAGGAAAGGGGGTGAATCAGGAGTGCAGATATGAGCACAGAAACTGTGGCATGAAGGGAGGAGTGAAACCTGAAAGCACTGCTTGCTTTCTCAGTGTGAAGGCTTGTAGTCTGGAGCAAGTTCTCAGCCCTGCTCACCTGTTGCCTGGAAATAAACTCAGAGATGATGTGGGGTACATGGTCAGGCTGAAACTGGCCTTTTGGGCTGTATGGGAGCTGGGTAAGGCCTGTAATTGCTGGCTTTCCCCCACTCTCCTGGTGACCTGAATGACACAGCAGAGGCAGCCATAATCCTCCTGGGAATGTAACTCCATTGGCCTGGAAACCACAGCCCCATCCCCAACAGCAGCCATAGGAAGCTCCGCTTAAGAAGAGTCTGAGTTCATATATGCTTAATCCTGCCCCAAACTGATGGTCTTTCTCTACCTACCCTGGTAGACAAAGACAAAGGACATAATCTTTTGAGAGCCCTATGGCCCCACTCACCACCTGAGAAACCCAAATACTTATCCGGGTGACCGAGGGCAAGCTTGTAGCCTCCCTGTACTACCACAGCAGATGCACTCTTAAAAGTGCCACCTCCTGCCTGGAGGCCAACCAACACAAAACCAGTGCACTAAACAAAAATACAACCAAGGACCATCACAGAGTCCACTTCACTCCCCTGCTACCTCCCCTGGGGCAGGTGCTGATATCCATGGCTGACAGACCTGAACATGGATCACATCACAGGACTCTTTGTAGACACTCCCCAGTACCAGCCCAGAGCCAGGTAGCTCCACTGGGTGGCTAGATCCAGAAGAGAAATAACAATCACTAGAGTTTGGCTCTCAGGAAGCCCCATCCCTAAGGGAAGGGGGAGAGAACCACATCAAGGGAGCACCCCATGGACCAAAAGAATCTGAACAGCAGCCCTTGAGTCCCAAATCTTCCCTCTGACACATAGTCTACCTAAATGAGAAGAAACCAGAAAAGCAACTCTGTTAATATGACAAAACAAGGTTCTTTAACACCCCCAAAAGGTCACACTAGCTCACCAGCAATGGATCCAAAACAAGAAGAAATCCCTGAATTGCCAGAAAAAATATTTAGGAGGTTGTTTACTAAGTTACTAAGGAAGCACCAGAGAAAGGTGAATACCAACTTAAAGAAATTTTTTAAATGTCACATAATATGGACAGAAAAATCTTCAGAGAAATAGGTACCATAAATAAAAAACAATTACAACTTCTGGAAATGAAGAACACACTTATAGAAAGGCAAAATACACTGGAAAATCTCAGCAATAAAATCAAACAAGTAGAGAGGGAACCTCAGAGCTCAAAGATAAGGCTTTCAAATTAACCCAGTCCAACAAAGACAAAGAAAAAAGAATCAAAACAAAATGAACAAAGCCTCTAAGAAGTTTGGCCTTGTATTGAACAACCAAACCTAAGAAAAATTGTTTCCGAGAAAAAATAGAAATGTAAAACTCTGGAAAACATGTCTCAGGGAATAATCAAAGAAACTTTCCTGGCCTTGCTAGTGATCTAGACATCCAGATACAAGAAGCTGAAAGAGCACCTGGGAAATTAATCATGAAAAGATCATCACATAGGCATATAGTCATCAGGTTATCTAAAGTCAAGACAAAGGAAAGAATCTCAAGAGCAGTGAGAAAAAGCATCAGGTAACCTATAAAGGAAAACCTATCAAATTACCAGCAGATTTCTCTGCAGAAACCCTGCAAACTAGAAGGGATTATGGTCCCATCTTTAGCTTCCTTAAGCAAAACAATTATCAGCCAAGAATTTTGTATCCAGCAAAACCAAGCTTCATAAATGAAGGAAAGATACAGTCTTTTTCAGACAAACAAATGCTGAGAAAATTCACTACTACAAAGCCAATACTACAAGAACTGCTAAAAGGAGTTCTAAATTTTCAAAGGAATCTTCAAAATACACCAAAATAGAAACTCCTTAAAACCTAAATCACACAGGACCTATAAAACAAACACACACACACAAAAGATATTCAGGAAACAATAGCACGAAGAACAGAATAGTACCTCACATCTCAATACTAACATTAAATGTAAATGGCCTAAATGCACCACTGAAAAGACACAGAATGGCAGAATGGATAAGAAATCAGCAACCAAGTGTCTGCTGTCTTCAAGAGACTCACCTAACACATAAGGACTCACATAAACTTAAAGTAAAGGAGTGGAAATTGTATTCCATGCAAATGGTTATCAAAAGTGAGAAGGAGTAGCTATTCTTATACCAGACGAAACAAACTTTAAAGCAATAGCAGTTAAAAAAGACAAAGAGGGATATTATATAATGATAAAAGGACTAGTCCAACAGGAAAATATCACAATTCTGAAAATATATGCACCTAATATATGCACTGGAGCTCCCAAATTTATAAAACAATTACTACTAGGCCTAAGAAATGAGATAGATGGTAACACAATAATAATGGGGGACTTTAATACTCTACTGGCAGGACTAGACAGGTCATCAAGACAAAGTCAACAAAGAAACAATGGACTTAAACTATACCCTAGAACAAATGGATTTAACAGATATTTACAGAATATTCTACCCAACAACTGCAGAATATACATTCTATTCATCAGCACATGGAACATTCTCCAAGATAGACCATATGGGCCACAAAACAAGTCTCAAAAAATAAAAAAAAAATCAAAATTATATCAAGTACTCTCTCAGACCACAGTGGAGTAAAATTGGAAATCAACTCCAAAAGGAACGCTCAAAACCATGCAAATACATGGAAATTAAATAATCTGCTCCTGAATGAGCATTAGGTCAACAATGAAATCAAGATGGAAATTAAAAAATTCTTTGAACTGAATGAAAATAGCAACACAACCTATCAAAACCTCTGGGATACAGCAAAAGTGGTGCTAAGAGGAAAGTTCATAGCCTTTAAAGGCCTACATTAAAAAGTCTGAAAGAGCACAAATAGACAATCTAAGGTCACACATCAAGGAGCTAGTAAAAAAAGAACAAACCAAACTCAAACCCAGCAGAAGAAAAGAAATAACAAAGACCAGAGCAGAGTTAAATGAAATTGAAACAAAAGCAATACAAAAGGTAAATGAAACAAAAAGCCGGTTCTTTGAAAAGGTAAATAAAATTGATAGACCATTAGTGAGATAAACCAAGAAAAGAAGAGAGAAGACCCAAATAAGCTCAATTAAAAACAAAACAGGAGATACTACAACTGATACCAAAGAAATACAAAAGATTATTCAAGTCTACTATGAACACCTTTACACACATAAACTAGAAAACCTAGAGGAGATGGATAAATGCCTGGAAACATACAACCCTCCTACATTTAACTAGGAAGAAATAGAAACTCTGAACAGACCAATAACAAACAGCGAGATTGAAATGCTAACAAAAAAATTTCCCACAAAAAAAAGTCCAGGACCAGATGGATTCATGGCTGAATTCTATCAGACATTCAAAGAAGAACTGGTACCAATCCTATTGACACTATTCCACAAGACAGAGAGAGAGGGAATTCTCCCTAAATCATTCTATGAAGCCAGTATCACCCTAATACCAAAACCAGGAAAGGACATAACAAAAAAAGAACACTACAGATGAATATCCCTGATGAACATAGATGCAAATATCCTCAACAAACTACTAACTAACCAAATCCAACAGCATATCAAAAAGATAATCCACCATGATCAAGTGGGTTTCATACCAGAGACACAGGGATGGTTTAACATATGCAAGTCAATAAATGTGATACACCACATAAACAATTAAAAACAAAAATCACATGATCAACTCAATAGATGCAGAAAAAGCATTTGACAAAATTCAGCATGGTTTTGTGATTAAAACTCTCAGCAAAATTGGCAGAGAAGGAACATACCTTGATGTAATAAAAGCCATCTATGACAAACCCACAGCCAACCTAATACTGAATGGGGAAATGTTGAAAGAATTCCCCTTGAGAACTGGAACAAGACAAGGATCCCTACTTTTACCACTTCTATTCAATATAGTATTAGAGGTCCTAGCTAGAGCAATAAGACAAGAGAAAGAAATAAAGGCCATCCAAATTGGTAAAAAGGAAGTCAAACTGTTCCTGTTTGCCAATGATATAATCATATACTTAAAAAACCCAAAGACTCATCCAAAAGCTCCTAGAACTGGTAAATGAATTCAAAGTTTCAAGATACAAAATTAATGTACAGAAATCAGTAGCTCTGCTACACACAAACAGCAACCAAGCTGAGAACCAAATCAAGAATTCACCCCCTTGTACAATAGCTGCGAATAAAATAAAATAACTTAGGTATATACCTAACCAAGGAAGTGAAAGACCTCTACAAGGAAAACTACAAAACACTGCTTAAAGAAATCATAGACAATACAAGCAAATGGAAACACATCCTATGCTTATGGATGGGTAGAATCAATATTGTGAAAATGGCCATACTGCCAAAAGCAATCTACAAATTCAATGCAATTCCCATCAAAATACCACCATCATTCTTCACAGAACTAGAAAAAACAATCCAAAGATTCATATGGAACCAAAAAAGAGCCCACATAGCCAAAGCAAGACTAAGCGAAAAGGACAAATCTGGAGGCATCACATTACTTAACTTCAAACTATACTATAAGGCCATAGTCACCAGAACAGCATGGTGCTGATATAAAAATAGGCACATAGACCAATGGAACAGAATGGAGAACCCAGAAATAAAGCAAAATACTTATAGCCAATTGATCTTCAACAAAGTAAACAAAGTGGGGAAAGCACATCCTATTCAACAAATGGTGCTGGGATAATTAGCTAGCCACATGTAGAAGAATATAATGGGATCCTCATCTCTCACCTTATATAAAAATCAACTCAAGATGGATCAAAGACTTAAATCTAAGACCTGAAACATAAAAATTCTAGAAGATAACATCAGAAAAACCCTCTAGACATTGGCTTAGGCAAAGCATTTATGACCAAGAACCAAAAAGCAAATACAACAAAAACAAAGGTAAATAGATGGAACTTAATTAAACTAAAAAGCTTCTGCACAGCAGAAGAAACAATCAGCAGAGTAAACAGAAAACCCACAGAGTGGGAGAAAATCTTTACAATCTGTACATCCAACAAAGGACTAATATCCAGGATCTATAAGAAACTCAAACAAATCAGTAAAAAATAAAATAAAATAAAATCCCACCAAAAAGTGGGCTAAGGACATGAATAGACAATTCTCAAAAGAAGATATACAAATGGCCAACAAGCATATGAGAAAATGCTCAATATCATTAATGATCTGGGAAATGAAAATCAAAACCACAATGCGATAGCACCTAACTCCTGCAAGAATGACCGTAATAAAAAAAATTAAAAAAAATAGATGTTGGTGGGGATGTGATGAAAAGGGAACACTTTTACACTGTCGGTGGGAATATAAACTAGTACAACTACTACGGAAAATGATGTGGAGATTTCTTGAAGAACTAAAAGTAGATCTACAGTTTGATTCAGCAATCCCACTACTAGGTATCCGCCCTGAGCAAAACAAGTCATTATACAAAAAAGATACTTGCAAGTCATTAAACAAAAAGATACTTGCACACGCACGTTTATGGCAGCACAATTTGCAACTGCAAAAACATGAAAGCAGCCCAAATGCCCATCAATGACTGGATAAAGAAAATGTGATGGTTGGATGCGGTGGCTCACACCTATAATCCCAGCACTTCAGGGGGCTGAGGCAGGCAGATCATGAGGTCAGGAGAACAAGACCATCCTGGCTAACACGGTGAAACCCCGTCTCTACTAAACATACAAAATATTAGCCAGGTGTGTTGGCACATGCCTGTAGTCCAGCTACTTGGGAGGCTGAGGCAGGAGAATCTCTTGAACCCAATCATTCCCCAATGGCAAATTGATGGCACACTTAAATTAGGAGAGAGAGAGTCGTGAGATGCAATGACCTTCTGCATAGTGATGCAACCAGTTGGAGGTGACCTCTGAGAGTGGGAATGAGAGAAATAAATATCCCAACTTCACTCTCCTACCTCCCCTCATCTCCTACTAGGGCCTCCCACTGACTGACCCTAGAAGGAAGCTAGACCTAAAGGATCTGGTGAAAAGGTCCCTAGAGGTCAGCTTTCCGCGGCAGAAAGCAGGGGGAAGAGGGAAGGAAAGTGGATCTCATGGGGCAAATGAAAGATAACGCACAAAAAGCAATATACTACATGATCCTATTGTGATGCTCATGAATTGCAAATGGTACTTGGCAGCTTGGAACAATGTTTGTGACTGTATCAAGCCCAGATTCAACATTTGTCTGAACAGAAATGAAGGTGGTCCGCTCTAAAAAAAAAATGTAAATGATGCAAAAAGTGGCTCAATGATGACACCGTGATGTCGGATATGCCCATTAAAAGTTTGAATAAAGTATTTAAGGAAATATGAGTGAAGGCGAAAGCAATAGTCATAAAATAATTTATTATGTAATACATGATTTTAAAAATGCATCTGAAAATAACAGTAATATCAAGTGTAATCACAGACATTTGATTATTTTATTTATTTATTTTTATATTCAAGTTATGCAAAACATTTTGTATCTCCCCATTCAGAATACTGGAAGAAAGCCTTACATTTGAGGCCACCTTATGTGCAGACATACGTAGTATATAAATAACTCTGGAGAAAATGACAGATGACTAGAAAATTAGATAAAAGATATAAGCCAGCAGTTCAAAGAAGAGGCAAACAAAATAAACAATAAACAATAAAAGGATGTTTACTTAGTAACCAGGGAAAAAATTAAAATGAGATACCATTTCACTCCCATCTGATTGACAAACATCAAAAAGTTGGAAAGTATTTTCAAGTATGTGTATAAAAAAGATCTTACCACCATTGCTAAGAGTATCAAGGGTTCTCATCACTTGTTGAGACATTTGCTAATGTCTAATAAAGTTATAGTTTAAGACCTGCTTGATCTAGATCTAAGCTGATGTAGATCTAGAACCTCTTGCACATAGACACAGGAAGATATGTAAAATATGTTCATCGCTATATGTTTGAAATAGTGAAACCTGGAAATAATATGATGTTAATGGTGAAATTGATAAGATGTGGTTTATTCCTATGTTGGAAAATAACAGCAGTTAAAACAGACCAAAGCAATACACATCAGTATGGAGAAATCTTCAAATCAAAGGTGGAAGAAGAAAAGCATGCTTCAAAATGATTCATATTATAGAATAGCAATTACATAAATTAAGCCTAAAGCAATTCTATACGTTGTTTTTATATTCATAAATATAGCAAAAGTATAAAAGCTCGGACCAGAAGGGACATGCCAAATTCCTCTTAGTGGCTGCCTCCAGGTAGGAAGGGAAGGGAATTGGACTGGATGAGTGGAAGTAGCAGGAACAAGTACAATGTCTTGGTTTGAAGTACTTGAATGTTTGTTTGTTTAAATTCTGATTTGATTTAGACTCAGGTCCTTTTATGTCTGAACACATTTCCAAGAATTTCAACTACAGACAACATAGTTGCTTACTATTTGGGGGACAAATGGAGATTTGTGTTTTTAGTTTTGTAATTTTCAGGGCAAGTTATAAAATTGTTGACTGGAGTAATCATACCCATGTTCTATATTTTATTGTTCCATTAATCTATAGTTCAGTGGGAGGACATTTACACCTGATCTTAGCCAAAAGACCTAGAAGTGATGTAGGAGGACTTTTAAATGGAAGAATTTTATCCCCAGTTAATGGAGTGATGGGAAGAAAAATAAACAAGTCATGCATATGGCTAGCTGATAAAGATTATTTAAAACTAATGAGGATTTTTTTTCACCAGTTTGAAGTTACATGCTTCTAGGATGAAAATAGTGTATGGGAATAGAATGAAAAACATGAGTGACTTTCCAATTTGTATTTTCAATTGTATTGTGGCATCTATAAACATCATTCATAAGCAGAAACCAAACAAATTAATTTTAAAATTAGCATCTACCACTGTTAATGATCTATGTCACTTACTCTTGTCCCAATTCCCTATACATTTGTTGCTTTCTGTTATATGTGAGCTACATTGTTCTCTTCTAGAGAACAACTCAGTTGAGTTCTCTGAGGCCTCATCTTGAATTGAATCCTTTCCATCTCTCCTGTTCCTCTCTAATTGCATTGAGCATCGCTGTATGTGAATTTATCATGCTTTGTTTCCCATCTCTTTAAGAAATTTTAGTCTTATGAAAATTTTACAAATTAACCTCAACAGTATTTTCCATCTCTGAATAGTTTCTGATCTCCTCCCATTTAAACTACTGTTGTAATTACTGCATTGCCTTAGATGTATTCTATTTGTACATACTACCTTGAGTGCATTAACAAATATTTATAGCAGCTCCCAAGAATACCTTATATTATCATAGGGAAAGAAGTACTAATATAATATTCACTAATGAATTTTCAACAAATTTCTATTCTAGAAATTTCTCCAATGTCTATTCAACCCATACTTCTCTTTTACACTTCTGCCAATTCAACAGACCATTTGGATGTCTCTGAGAACCTCAAACTCAACATGTTGAAGACACAACTAACATAATTACCCCCAAACCTGCTCTTCCCCATGTATTTTCTGATCAGTTAACAACACCTCTATCCATGAGGATGTGCAAGCTGGACTGTTATCCTCGAAGCTGGATTTTCTTTCCTTATTTCTCACATCCAGTTTTCTTCCAGGGTTTGTCAATTTTGTTTTCTACATATCCCATACATCTGTCTGAATTCAAGCCATATACAATCACTGGCCATTTGGACCACTGCAACAGATAATTTACTGGTCTCCCTCTGCTTTCTCTGGTGGCCATTCTTCAGTGTGTTCCATACACTGCAACCAAGGAGAGCACTACAAAATGCAAGTGCAGTAACCTCAAACACACCCAAACTTTCCATTCCTATTTGCTTTAAACCCTGTCCTTAGGCTAAATAACAAAATCCCTTACATGACCTGTGATGCCATGTAAGATCTGGCTCTTACTCCCCTAATGCCCTCTGCTTCAGCCACACTAATATTACATAATATTATTTTCCCTTAGTTAATGCCTGGATTGCCTTATGTGACACCTCACTCCATCTAATTGAACCTTACTCTTCTTTCTGATTTCTTCTCCTTTGCCACTTCCTTAGGGAAGTGTTTCCTGAACTTACTTAATTGGTCAAATCTTCCTATTAGTTCTCAGAGCACTTGGTACTTAATATCCTTCTTAGCACATAACACAGGTATAATGTTACACTTATTTGATTCAAGTATTTCTCCCTCTAGACCTATACTGTCTAATATAGTAGCTACTTGCTATATGTAGCGATTTAACTTTAAATTAATTAAAATTAAATAGAATAGAAGTTCTGTTGCCTAGTCACACCAGACACATTTCAAGTATTCAAGAACCACATGTGACTAGTGGCTATCATATTGGGCAGCAGAGAATAAAGAACATTTCCACTATTATAGGAAGCTCTGTTGGCCACCATACACTAGACTATCAACTCTTTAAAGTCAGAAACCGGTCCTTTTCTTTTCTGTCTCTTCTTTCTGTCGGCCTTTCTGCTTTTTTGGTTTTATTTATTTATTTATTTATTTAGTTAGTTAGTTAGTTAGCTAGTTATTTTGTCTTTCTGTCTTTGCCTTGCCATTGGATTCCAAGTGCCTAGCAACATAGCTGGCCCAAAGACAGTCCTCCAAAACATTTGTTAAACAAATGAAAAAAATGAGTTGATGAATGAGCACCTCAGAGCCTTGTGGGGACAATGTAGAATAGCCAAGAATGCCCCAAATTGTGAAAATTTTCACCGGGGCAGGTATTGGCAAACCACTGTTCCTTGAGGCCTCAGCACTATGTGCTTCTTGCATACTCAGTTATTGACATGACTGTACAACGTTTGTGTTGGTATCTCAAAACTATATTTGGCAAGACATGGTCTGGAGATCCTTTGTGAACACTTTGTAAAAGGGTGTGCTTTGTGGAAGTGAAAAAGTACCTGATTGAAGCACTCTATGTGCTAGCAGATGTTTATCAGTTTTTGGAAGCGAATGGTTGTCATGTCTTAGATGTGTTCTTATGCTTAAGAGGATATGCCAAATTATGTGAGGGATCCTGTTTCTTATTTTACTTTAATTTTATTTTTACTGAAGTGAAGAGTTAATGAAGTATGGTCTAAGAAACAATTAAGAGGGGCTCTGATTTCATGGAAATCCATGTTAAAGCTGAAAAACACCACAAAGTGTTTTAATGCTTTGACTTAGGGGCTGGCAAATTATGGTCTCTGGGCTAAGTTTAGCCCAGTGTCTGTTTCTGTAAATAAAATTTTATTGGAAAAAGCCACACTCATTTTTTTTTCCATCTATGGCTGCTTTCACCCAGCAAAGGCAGAGTTTAGTAGCTGGCGCAGAGACTGTATAGCCCACAAAGCCTAAAATACTTACTAAGTGGCCTTTTACAGAAAAGTTCACCCACCCCTGCTTTAAATCCTACGGGATCAAATGTGACTTGCATTGTCTGAGCTGTTAGTAATTTGTGGGCACAGCTGACAAAATGGTCACTATGATCAGTTGTTTTCTTGATCATACACCCTCTTACCTTCTGCCCCAGATAGATTTTTTTTTTTTTTTTTTTTGGACAGAGTCTCACTCTGTTGCCCAGGCTGGAGTGCAGTGGCATGATCTCGGCTCACTGCGATCTCCGCCGCCTCCAGGTTCAAGCAATTCTCCTGCCTCAGCCTCCTGAGTAGCTGGGATTACAGGCACATGCCACCATGCCCGGCTAAATTTTGTATTTTTAGTAGAGACGGGGTTTCGCCATATTGGCAAGGCTGGTCTCAAACTCTTGACCTCAGGTGATCCGCCCACCTTGGCCTCCCAAAGTGCTGGGATTACAGGCATGAGCCACCGTGCCCCGCCCCAGATAGATTTTTAAAATTCAAAATCATAAAGAAAATTACAGAGCTGGCCTATCTTTTTGAAGCAGCTGGGTGAGTTTCAGGCCAAGAGATAAAGACATTGACAGCAGAGTGTGAAGGAAAATGCCCCTTGCCACGATGCCGTGTGGGTTGAGAACCTTAAGGTGTTGGTACCAGAGAAATGGAAGATTGGCCAGAAAAAAGACAGTTGGTCAGGAAACACGTGCCTTGCTCCCAGAATAGGAGAATAAGTTGGGCTCTGACAAAAACCTCGGAGAACAAAACAGGAGACAAGAGGCTCTGAAAGTGAGGCATGATGTGGGTGAGCTTCAAAACAAAGGGCGATGAGCAGACAACTGAGACTCTGTGAATGGAGAGACCCGCAGATGGATCAGGGCAATTGGTGGAAACTGAATTCAACAGCTGTGTTCCGAGTGGAGAAATTAGGTCAGGAAAATGGTATGAAAACTTTCCAGGGAAGCCCAGTCAGGAGTCAAAGGGCAATAAGGAGCTTAGGTTTGAAGTAGAACTTAGGGTAGACCTGGGGTAGATAGAAGCAGAATCTATTGGCAGGAGGGTGGTGGGGAGGGCAGCAGAGATAGCTGGCTTGAGCCTCACATTTAGACTTTAATCTTATCTCCATATGAGCCTACATATAAAGTTACTTAGCAACACCAGCAAGTTTGAAAGAAAACAATGAAATTTAAACTTCAAAAAAATTTCTTGTATCCCTACTTTTTAATATATTTGTGTATAGTATTTGAAGACCCACAAAAAAATCCAAGTGACCAGTTACATAGCATAAACTCTGGAGCCAGACTGCTTTTGCTAATATCTTGATTCTGCCATTTATTAGTTGTTTGACCTTGGGCAAGTTACTTAACCTCTCAATGCCCTAACTCACTCACTTATTAAATGAAGATAATAATCATACCACTTCATAGAGTTGTGAGGACTAATTGAGCTTACATCTGTAAAGTGCTTAGAATTGTTCCTGATACACATTGAGTGCTTTGGAGTTTATTAAATATAGTGACCTCTCTCTCAACCTGAGATGCCTGGCTAAAAAATCAGCTACAAACAAATCATGTAGTAACCCATCTCCAATGGACTATGTAAATTCTATTAAAGAATTTGTGTCCTTTAAATAAATGGCTGTTTAGTGTAGTGGAGGGATATTCTTGTTTTTAGGATTTTTTTTTTCCTTTGAACAGATTGTATGTCTGTGTGGAAGCTTCATTTCATTGATCTCAATTCCTGCCTTGCAAAAGAACTCCCAGGCTGGAGTGCAGTGGCACAATCTTGGCTCACTGCAATCTCCGCCACCTTCCAGGTTCAAGCAATTCTCCTACCTCAGCCTACTGAGTAGCTGGGATTACAGGCAGGTGCCACCATGCCCGGCTAATTTTTGTATTTTTAGTAGAGACGGGGTTTCACCATATTGGCCAGGCTGGTCTCGAACTTTTGACCTCAGGTGATCCTCCCACCTTGGCGGATAACACTGAGTAGAAAAGAAAGTGAAGTAATTGGTAAAGGTGAAGGAAACAACTCAACTCATACAGGGTTTTTTTTTAATTGTTGTAAAATATACATAATATAAAATTACTATCTTAATGATTTTTAAATGTACAATTCAGTAGTTTAAGTATATTCACATTCTTGTGCAACCAATCTCCAGAAGTCTTTTCATCTTGTAAAACTGAAACTCTATATTCTTTTTTTTTTTTTTTTTTTCTTGAGACAGAGTCTCGCTGTGTCGCCCAGGCTGGAGTGCAATGGTGCAATCTTGGCTCACTGCAACCTCCACCTCCTGGGTCCTAGCACTTCTCTTGCCTCACCCTCCTGAGTAGCTGGGGTTACAGGTGCCCACACCACGCCCGGCTAATTTTTGCATATTTAGTAGAGATGGAGTTTCGCCATGTTGCCCAGGCTGCTCTTCTTGAACTCCTGATCTCGGCGATCCACCTGCCTCAGCTTCCCGAAGTGCCGGGATTATAGGCGTGAGCCACCACCATGCCAGACCCTGAAACTTTATATTCATTAAACAGCTCCCCATTTACCCCTCCCCCTAGCCCCTGGTAAGGACCATTTTACTTCCTTTTTATGATTTTGGCTACTCTAGGTATCTCATAAGTGGACTCATACAGTATTTGTGTTTTTGTGACTGACTTATTTCACCTTGCAAAATGTCCTCAAGCTTCATTCATATTGTAGCAAGTGTCAGGATTTTCTCCCTTTTAAAGGCTAAATAATATTCCACTGTATGTATATACCCCATTTTGTTATCCGTTCATCCATCAATGGATTCTTGAGTTGCTTCCTTCTTTTCGCTCTTGTGAATATGCTGCTATGAACATGGGTATGCAACAGTCAGGTGTCCAACAGTCAGGTGGTCGCCTTGCCCCCTTGCTCCCAGAACAGGAGAATAAGTTGGGCTCTGAACCAGGTAGACCTGGATTACAGCCCTGGTTTCACCTCTTACAGGTTATGCAATCTTGGGCAAGTTACTTCTCTGAGCTAGTTTCATTGTGTAATAGTGATATTTAAATAGAGTTGTTTTAGGAGTTAAAAGAGACTTCATGTGAAGCCATTGAACCATGTTTGATACACAGTAAAAATTCAGTAAATTTATGTCTCTTTTATTCTCAAATGTGCCATCTCTTCTTCTCTGATCAGTTATGCATAGCTCCTTCCTTTATTTTCACTTTATTACAAGGAGAGCCACAAACATATACATGAGGTCTGAAGTTGGCTTGCACTGTCAACACTAAAAAAATAAATTTCCTCCCAATAGAGGATACCAGTAGAGTTGGTCCAACCTTGCTTAACTCAACAAATTTTACTTAGAATTTTAGGGCTCTTTTGAAAGAGCACTGACATATTCAAGAAGTCTCATGTCCTATCTTAAAGGTGTCTTTCTTGAAAGACAACAATTGTGTTTTTTTTTCAAAAGCAGTTTCAGGTATCTGAATTCAATTAAGCACAAACTTTGAGGGAGTTCAAATTTGACCCACATATACTCTTTAATGCCTAACTCAATTGGGCCCACTTGTTTGACCTTTATCATAGTAAAGGAAACCTGACCTTTACATGTTCATATTGGCAGCAAGCATTTTATTTCATTTCCCTTGTGGGGATGGTGTCATTGAGATAAATGCCTTTTTGTGGTACATCCTAAGGAATATATAGTATAGCGGCTATACCCAGTAATGATCTGCTTACTTAAACTCAATTTAGTTGTTTAAATATTTAAAAATCAACAAAAATATTTTTAAAATATTGGAAAGACTACCGAAAGAATTTTTAATTTTAGATCTTGCCAAAACACTATAAAGAAAAAAGGGGCTAGATTTGCTCAGCTCAAAAAATTGTTTAATAATTATTTTGTCGTGAGATAAAAAATTAAGAGAATAGCTTGAACTTTGATTAAGAAAAATAATGCACAATCAAAAAATTTTGGTAAAGATGACATAAATATTGAATGGATGAGTACAAATGATTCTTGTTCTTAAAAATCTCCCTTTGGCTTGGGGAAAGGCCCATCCAGCTTGCTACGACCACCTCCAACACCCATACGTGCCACACAGGGGCCTGAGGGCTGGCATGCCATGGCTACAGCCAACACTGACATTATGCATGCCACTCAGAAACCTGGAGACCTGCCCACCTGCCTAGCCAATTATTGCCACTGCTGGTACCTGAGCAAACCACTTGGAGGCCAAAGATTGGCTTTCATTATCACCAGTGCCCATGTATGCCACCCGGGGGCCCAAGGACTGGCATGCCTGGCCCAGCACTATTACCGCTGGTATCCAAGGACTGGCCCACTTGGTGTCCTTTTCCCAGCAAAGCCTCGCCACAGCCTTCACTAACAACCTAAGCCAATGAGGAACTCATATACACCACTGTGCTGATTACAAAGAAATTATATGGAGACTACACTACTACACTCACCCAGAATCAAAGCCAAAGCACCTCACTCAACCAACACTATAGATACATCTATAGGAAAAAGTGTTTTCTTATAAAGTCAATCCATAAAATTAGAAAAAGCAACTGTTACACCAGATGCACAGATAGCAACAGAAGTACAAAAGAGAATCATGAAAAGGCAAGAAAACATGACATCTCCAAAGGAATACAATAATTCCCTAGCAACAGATTCCACCAGAAAGAAAATATATGAAACAACTGAAAAAATCAAAATAATAATATTAAAGAAACTCAGTGAGATACAAGAGAACACAGATGAACAATGCGAATAAATCAAGAAATCAATTCACAATCTGAGAGAGACAGATACCATAAAAAACAAACAGAAATCCTAGAAATGAAAATTAAATGAACAAAATAAAAATATATCTGGGGAGATAACATGATCACTTCTGAGCTCTGGGAGTGCCCTGTTTCTCACTTAATGTGACCTACTCCTCATTCAGCTGAACAAATTGGAGCCTAAGAAGATAAATTGACTTACTTTAGTTAAAGGAAACAACCATTTTGTGTGTGTGGTGGTGGTACAAATACTCTATAAATATCCATATCTTGTTGAATTGGAGATAGTTCATACGCTGGTGACTTCAGAAGTACTTGCCCTTTCCAAGATCACCAGTGATCACATTGTGTCTAAGTCCAACGAATGCTTTTGGGTGATATTTTGTTAGTGATCTCTGGACCGTTTGTCACTGGAGAGTCTTTTTCATTTAAAACTTCTGGATCCTTGGGTAGCACCACATCCTCCTGGACTTTTTCCATATTTTTCCAGCCCGTCTCTCTGTCTCTTTTTAAGGCTCTATCACCTTATTTATTTTCTGTTTTGGTGCTTCCTAAGGTTCTGCCCATACTTTCTGATCTTACAATCCTCCACACACTCTTTCTAAACACTCCAATCCATTGCCATGACTTTACTTTCTATCTGTAAGTTGATAATTCTTAAATGTGTATTCAAGCCCAGATCTCTCACCTGAATTCCAAGCCCTCATTCTCTGCTTGGCTGTTCCATGTGAGCCTTAAACTCAGTAAACAAAAAACTGAAATTGTCATCTTTTCTCCCCATCCTCAAATTACACTCCCCAAATCTCTTCCTCCTTAATTCCTTATTTGCTTGGCACCACGAGGTTCACCTTTGATTTATCCCTCATTCTGTTGAACATTTTTTTAACGTCCTTCATTTCCCCCTCACTATCCCCACTATTAGGATAAAGGGCCATTCTTTCCAGCCTAGATCATCAACCTGCAAAAATCTAATTGACAGTCTTGCTTTTGTTCTTGCCTACTCCTAATCACTATCCATGTAAGACCCAGGGGGAATCTTACTGAGGGAAAAATCCTAATACTACCACTTTCCTGCAAAATAAATATTCTTTGAGCACTTCCCATCACCTGAAGGATCAAGTCCAAACTCCTGCACATGGCACAAGGCCTTTTTTTTTATTTTTTATTTTATTTTTGAGATGGAGATTCACTCCTGTTGCCCAGGCTGGAGTGCAATGGTACAATCTCAGCTCACTGCAACCTCTGCCTCCTGGGTTCAAGTGATTCTCCTGCCTCAGCCTCCCAAGTAGCTGGGATTACAGGCACGTGACATCACACCCGGCTATTTTTTTTATTTTTAGTAGAGGCAGGGTTTCACCATGTTGGCCAGGCTAGTCTTGAACTCCTGACTTCAGGTGATCCATCCGCCTTGGCCTCCCAAAGTGCTGAGATTACAGGCATGAGCCACCGCGCCCAGCCAAGGCCTTTTATAATCTACAGCTAGTCTTTCCATTTCTTTGAGTATTGTAGAATTTTTTCCCGCTCTCCCCTTACATCTGTTTCTTAGCATTTCAAAATACCCTCCATTCTTTGAACTTGCCATGTTCTCTTTTGCCTTTGTTTAAAACCGTGGATGCTTTTCTCTCTGGTGTGTTCCCACTCATTTTTCAAATCCTGGCTCAGATGTATTCTCCTTCTATGGTCCTTCTCCCTCCTCAGTCTGATTGATATCCTCTGTGGTGCCCTTGGCATCCTGTGCTCATCTCATCCCAGTACATCTATTCTGTGGGAATTCAAACATTGCTGGTGACTCTTTGGAGGGTAGCTTGATAATAACTAGTAAAGTCAAATATGTGTATACTCTTTGGCCAGTAAATTGACAATTCTGGTTCATACTTCAAAGAAACCATAGCAAATGTACATAGAAGAAATGTATAAAAATAATTATAGCTGTGTGTAATAGCAAAAAGAATGAAACAACCTGAATGTTCAACAAGAAAAGAGAAGAAATGGTGGCAAAGTCATCCCCTGGAATACTATACAGCAGTTAAAATGAATCAACTAGAGTTGCCACTATCAACATGGGTATACATAAAACACATAGTGTTCAGCAAGAAAAACAAGTTGCAGAATAATACAATTTGATGCCATTTATAAAATTAAAATCATGCAAAACTTTATAGGTTTGAAAATACTTGGCAAATGTATTAAGAAATGCAGGGGTATAAGCACTAAATTCAGAATAAGAGTTCCTTCTAGGAAAGGAAGAAGAAAGAATAATGTTTTATATAAAATAAACTGGAATCTTCCCTCCATATCTGTGGGTTCTGCATCTATGGATTCAACTAACTATGGATTGAAATACTGGGGAAAGAAAGTTCACAAAGTTCCAAAAAGCAAAGCTTGAACTTCCCACACACTGAATACTATGTCAAATCCACACAAATGAAGTGATGTGTAAGCACTGTGTTTGGTATTATAAGTAATCTAGAGATTACTTAAAGTATCGGGGGAATGTGTGTAGTTTATACGCAAATATTAAACCATTTTATATAAAGGACTTGTGCATTTGCAGATCTTGGTATCTGTGTGGGGTCCTGGAACTAATCCCCCTTGGATAACAACAGATGACTGTACAATAGAGACTTAATTACTTTGCCAAACAAATGATACCAATTAACCACACTTCTAGTAGAACAGAAGTAGCACAGAAAAAGAATAGGAATAAATTCTCAAAATTGGAATGGAAATAGTAAAAAGTAAAAATGTGTTTTTGGAAGGGATAAGGATCAGGGCAAACTCAATGCCTTAAGTAATTATGGCTGGGTACATAAACAATTTGTGGTTTGGCTGATTCACAAAGACCTGTCTTGGCTCTCTCTGCTATTAGAAAAAGTGTTGAAAACACTGTTTATTCTGATTTCCTGGGTATGCCTTACTTTAATGGGTTCAGGTAAACAAGTTCACTGGCATTTTCAAGGGGAGCTATAATACCAAGGCAGCATGTGATGAAATTCCACCATGTCTCTTTGTTAATTCATTCCTTTTCTACCTGACCTTTAAGTATTTTAGTTTGTCATAACTCCAACCTCTTAATACTTTATGTTCCTTTCCCAAGTGATTGCATCTATTTCCACATTTAAGTCCCAAGTCCAGATGATAGCTCCTCTGAGTGATCTTAAATACCCAACTGCTCACTCAACATCCCACTGGATGTATCATGGGCAACTCAGAGTCAAAGTATAATATGAATTCATGCTTTCCATGCCCCATCATCAAGTGTACTCCTGCTGTGTTTTCCTCCCCAGGGTACAGTGTGACTATCCAGCCAACCTGCTGGAAATCTAGGAGTCATTTTTGACACCCCCTCTCCCTTATCTTTTATATCCAATGTATCACTAGGTTCTGTTGATTCTATCCTGTAGACATATCCCAAATGCATTGACTTTTATACAAATTCATTGCTACTCTTATTTTTTTCTGGCCTTTGCATTCTCGCTGTCTTCTCTGTATTTATCAGCTCCACCTCCTCCATCTATGTTTAATTAGCTTCCATTGCATGAAGCCACTGTCCATACTACGTCTAGGGTGAACCCTTCAAAATGCAAATCTGAATGAGGTACCCTTGCCTAAAATATTTCCTTACTTCTTATAGCTCTTGGAGCCCATCGCAGAATCCCTCTCAAGCTCTTTCCATCTGGGAAGCTTCATCTCATTGCAGTCTTCTCCTCTTCTCACTCTTCTCAAATTCAGCTTCCCGCCACATGGCCTCCCTTTAGCTCTTCAAATGTATCTGTCTCCTTCCCACTTCAGGGCTTTACTACAAGCTGCTCTCTCTGCCTGAAAAAACTGACTCTCAGCCACCACTTCCCAATCCCTCCACCTAAGACATGTTTCTTCATGCATTAGCTCTCAGCTCAAACATTACTTTCTCAAGAAAGGCTATCATGACCACTTTGGCAGGGATTATAGGTTCTGTAATAGCACAACTCTGCACTTGTTGATAGCATTTAACAAAAAAGTAATTAAAGATTCACCTAATTGTCTGCTTGCTACATCAGACCATGAGTATGAAAGGAGTAGCACAGTGCTTGCTGTTCCCTGCTGTGTCCCCAGCACCTGCCCAGTGCACCTCAAGTAGCACCTGAATAAAAGGCTGGGCTTCTGAAATGGCTACAGAGAAGGAGGAAGGTTCAGTTTTTACTCCCAGAAGCTACCAGGTACTACTTAATATTTGGAAACCAGTTCTTATTAGCATTTCAGAAAATGAGTCTGGGATAATTGTTTTCAATGGTTTTTAAACTTATGTGGACATTAATATGTAGATACATCTTCATTCTGTGCTTGAGTTTTCCTAAGCTAGAAGTAATTTCCCATGAAAAGCGATCAAATCCCTGTGCATGCTAGATAAGTTCAGTTTCAGAGGCTGTGGATTTCATGCTTGAGAATACCTCTTTAGAACTCTTCTGACCCCTCAAGAAAATCCTTAGCCAAATATTAGTCATGGGCTTGTGCATGAGAAGGAAAAAGGACTGATTTTTCCCTTGAATGGTGTGAATGTTATGTCTTTGGTATAGAAGGAGAATGAATTTTGGATTCAGATAGGTGTCAGATTCTCAATTCTATAATTTTGGCTAAGTTTTTAAAGCCACCCCAAGCATCATTTTCTTCATTTATATGATTGAAATCGTGCGATGATTTACAGAGATACCATAGATTTGCCGAGATAGCATTTAACAAGCTTTGAGCACAATGCTTGTTGCTGATGGAGGCTTAATGAATTCTAGTTCTTTTCACTTTTCTATCAGTAAATGTAAACTAGTCAGTTGTTTTGAATTGGAGCTCAGGGCCCCAGACAATTGAAATTAGAGTTTTGACACTCTAAAACCTCCTCTTCTTACAGTGTTTTCTTAGAAATTATTTTGATAGATTTAGATTGAATGTAAGATTGTATGACCATGGTACATGTCAATTAAGTATACCTTGATGCATCTAGACAAAACCAATAGTAGAGCAAGAAAAAAAGAGGAAATATCATATGTAGGTAATTGGTAGCAATATACTACCTCATTGTAAGGAGGGATTGAAGCAAAGCCTGTCCTACCAGGGCTGGATGCCATTTGCTTATGACCTTTCTAGAATATGTCAGTAGATGTGTTCTAAGGAGAAGCTGGAAGAAGGACCAACGTGTATTTCCTTGGATTAGAGAATGGTTCATCCATCCCTCAGTCTATTCATTGTCATAAGTATCTGAGTGTTTAGGGCATATCAGGCACTGTCCCAGCAGCAAAAGTCCAACAACAAACAAGAGGCAGCTCTGCTCTGATGGAGGGAAGGAGGACAGAATAAGAGATGTAGGTTGATTATCGCTTATCTCAAATGCATGGGACCAGAAGTGTTTCAGGTTTCAGATTTTTGTGATTTGGGGACATTTGCATCATACTTACTGATTCAGCATCCTTAATCTGAAAATCCAAAACCTGAAATGCTCCAATGAGTATTTTATTTGAGCATCATACTGGTACTTGAAAAGTTTTATATTTTGCAGCATTTTGGATTTTCAGATAAGGGACATTCAACCTTTAATAAGCAAATATATATGACATCAGGTGTGAAAAGTGAAACAACAAAAAACAATAAGGGGATAGAGAACGTGTGTTTGTGTGCAAGTGTGTGTGTGTGTGTGTGTGTGGTGCACTCTTATATAATGTGGTTTGCAAAAGTCTCTGGAAGAGATAGTGGACTGAATGTCGCAAGGAAGCAAGCCTTGCAGGTCCCCGAGGGCTGAGTTTCCAAGCAGACAAGGCAGCAAGGACAGCAAGCATGAAGGTCCTAAGCTGCATGCCTGGTGTATCTGAGGAATGAGGAGGGAGCTGGTGCAGGGGAGCAGGGGGAGTAAGGTGAGTGGAGGAGGTGAGGTCAGAGATGTCAGGGGGGCCAGTACACAGGGATAAGTATACAATGGATGAGATTTTGGCTTTGAATCCAAGAGAGATGGGAAGCTATGGGGGAGTTTCAACCATAATCTTATTTGCCTGTTAACTGGCTTACTCTGGCAGCCATTGCAGAACAGCCTGCTGGGACGAAAATAGATTTCCCAGGGGTATGGGCAGAAACAGAAAGACTGATTAGGAGGCTGTTGCCAAAGCTAGATGAGAAGCATGATCCCCTCAGTACTGGCTGCTAAGTTGTTAAAAAAAAATTATATATATATATATATATATATATATATATATATATATATATATATATATATATATATGGTATTCTTTCTCAGAAAATGAATTCTTTCTAATGTCTACTGACTTCTGCATTAAACCAAGTCTGCTTCTCTTTGCTTATCCTTTATTTCTGTATATACTACCCCTCAAATGCAAAGGCTTTGATTAGAATAATAATAATGGGTATGATGAAGAATAGTTGGATTTTGGATCTACTTCAATAATGGAGCTGAGCGGATTTATTGGTGGACTACAAGAAGGGTATGATAGAAAGAGGAACCCAGGATAGCACTTAAGAATTGGGCCTCAGCAACTGGAAGGGTGGAAGGGAAGACTAAAAGAGAGGCACATGCTGGGAACACTGTGGGGTCTTTTTCAGTCTCTAAGAATCTTCTGTTCCAACATAGTTTTAAGAAGAAATCCTACCTTAGGCTTATCGGCCACCTACATCCTATGGTTTAGTTGACTGCTAAAGGCTGGTTCTGTAGGATATAAGAAAATTGCCTAGCATGAAGGGTACTCTGATATAGAAATTGGGAGGAGTGTAAAACACAAATTCCACCTATCTGACTGCTTAGCCAAGCGCTAGCCCTAGTTATTAAGGAACTTTTCTGACTGACTGTCTCCCTAGAGGCTCAAGGCTAGAGTAACAGCTGTAGGTGATTCCCAACTTGGCAAAGGTTGCAATCACCTTTAAGCCTCCAAAGTTGAATCTGGCACTTTTCCAAGATTTGGTTAGTGAAAGCATAGAGCTGCTAGAGGGAAGGACTCAAAGAAGGTCACAGCTAGGAGAGACCTTCGCTAGAGTATAAATTAAAATTTAGAAAGAGACAAGGTCTGGAGAGATTACATGACTTCTGCAAGAGGCATGAGGAGTAGCAGAGACAGGGTTAGAACCTGGGTCTCTAACTCCCAAGCCAGTGCTGTTTTTGCTGTGCAATGCTAAAGGGAATATGAAAGTCACAAGTAGTCACTGACTTGGAACAAATCATCTTTTACTCTCAGGAGACTAGAGATTGTTGTAGTCTTCACCACACACTACTTTTAATTCATATTCATGAATCCCATAAGATTTACCCTTAGGCAAAAACTGGAGTTTGGCTGCGTTTCTTGGTCTAAACAAACCAAGAATGGCAATAATAATCCTTGGTTTCCTCTGGGGAGAGATTATTACTTTCACATTCAGGAAGTGATGAATTGCAACTATAATGGTTGGAAAAGGACAGTGGTGTAATGAGCAGATGTTACTACCATGAATGTGGGGATAATTACAATTCTTCTATGGATAACTACCATAAAAATAAGTTTGCAATATGTCCGTTTTCTTGCCTTATCAAACTGGCAGTTGAAGGCAAAATGGCTTGATTTGAATTTCATCCATGTTTTTCACAATGCCGGAGGAGCTGCTAAGGGGTAGTGAAAGATCCAGAGTAGACTGCTGGAGAAAGAAAGGTGATGCAAGCAGTCAGCTGCTGAAAGACTGACACTTGGTTGTTTCCATTGAAATGTTTTAAAAATCCAGGTGGAAGCTTGTGAACAAGATTTTCTCTGATTACTACAGCATCATCACACCACATGTCAAAAATAGTTATTGCTCACACAAACTGTAGTCATGCTTTTAGTTTCACTCTCTCTCTCTCTTTGCAAGTTCATTGAACTTAGACCTTACTAAGATTTAGGGATCCATTCAATTCTGTACCAGCTGTTTAGTAGCTGATGCTTTTTTTTTTAATAGGGAAAAATTTCTCACATCTCTGTAGATTTCTTACCCTGGGATATTAGTCAGGGTTCCTCAGAGAAATAAAACCAATAGGATAGACAGATGATAGATAGATAGACAGATAGATAGATAGACAGATAGATATATGGAAGACGAAATTTATTATAGGAATTGCCTTATGTGATTATGGGGGCCAAGAATCCCCACAATAATATAGATATATATGGGGAAATTTATTATAGGAATTGGCCTATGTGATTATAGAGGTTGAGAAGACCCACAGTCTGTCATATGCAAGGCGCAGAACCAGGAAAGCTGGTAGTATAATTCCTTCCAAGTCGAAAGGCCTGAGAAAAAAGGGAGCTGGTGGTGTAAGTCCCAGTCTGAGTCTGAAGGCCTGAGAACCAGGATTATATATGTCCAAAGGCAGAGGAACTTGGATGTCTCAGTTCCAACAAAGAAAAAAAGCAAATTCACCCTTCTTCCATATTTACGTTCCATTTACATATTGGATTACCTCCACCCACCTTAGTGAGTGCAATCTTCTTTACTCAGTTTGCCTATTCAAATGCTAATCTCTTCCAGAAACACCCTCACAGACACACCGGGAAATAATGTTTTGCCAGCAATCTGGGTATTCCTTAGCTCAGTCAAGTTGACACATAAAATCAACCATCACAATTAACTCCTTGTAAGCTTGGCACCCATATGAATCTCCTTAAACCATTCCTAACCTTCAAATAAAGACAAAAACCAGGCCGTAATGCCACCTACCAGGATACGAGGATCCTGCGTACACAAGGAATACTAATCCTTTCCTCAGAAGAGAAGGTAAAGTCTTTCAGTGACATTTTCTCTTCTGATATCCTACAGGTTACACTTGAATACTATGTACAAGTTACATACACACACACACACACACACACACACACACACACATATATCCTACAAGTTATGCTTGAATACTATGATGTAAAATTACATATGTATATGTATGTATATATAAAATTACATATATATACACATATATCCTACAAGTTACACTTTAATACTATGATGTAAAAATAACAATAGTTAAATACTGATATAAAGTTAATACATATCATGTTATGTGATAAGGAAATAAGATTAGAAATAAAGGAAATATGTTTGCTTAATATATATCTATGTACACCCAAATATATTCATAACAAGATGAGGAGGAAACACTCATGAAATTACAATTCTCATTTCTGTAACTGGTCATGTAGTTGTAACTGGTATTTATAACTACCTTCTGCTACTACCCATTCTGCATTTTCTTTGCCTTCAGCAAGGACCTCAGCTCATTGTGGCTCTTTACCTGTGGGGTGACCGAAAACTTAATTCCTGACCAGTCTGGGTCATTTGTAATCCTGCCTGGATTGGGTAGTTGTAGTTTCTCCTTGACGTTAATCACAGGGCATGGTAATACTAAAAGATGCCCTAAGGGATCTTCTGTATTTCAGACTTCTCTTCCTTCTATTGCGGAGTAGTAGTCCTATTTACCCTTGGTAGTCAGGATCAATCACCCCAGCCAACATCATAACTCCCTTCTTGGCTGTTGACTCAGAGGCATGAGGAGCCCAAAGTGGCAGTCTTAACTTCTAGTTTAATGGAAGTATTGTTGTATCTCCTGGTGGAAGTATTCTTACCTCTGGGACTAAGACGTCTAAGCCAACAGAGCATAAAGTCTAATGAACAGGAAGCATACATTTTGTTTGTGAGTTACTATGTGTAAATAGGAAATGGTGCCTCTCCCATCTCCACCCCTTGCTACCTGGACCTGTGACTTCTGGCTCTGAGAGAAAGAGCACCATATATTGGATGCTGATTCAGAGCATATACAGAGGGCCTTGTACAAGCCTTGCAAGGTATTGCCATCTAACTGGTATTATAACTGAGTGTTCAAAAGGCCATTCCACCATCCTATCAAGCCAGCAGCTTCGGGATGGTGTGGAATGTGGCAAGACCAGTGAATTCCATGAGCATGAGATCACTGCTGCACTTTTTGTGTGTTCTAGAATAAAATATTTTAAAAATTTCTTCCTGGCTCATTGCTATGAGTTCTTCTGTCTGTGGTTACTAAGACTAATCCCCAAGGAATCAGGAAGAGTCAATCCTTCCTTAGAAGCTGAATGCTGAATCTCTGATTATTCAAGACATTGGACTATTTTTTTAGGAAGTGATGTGACTCTGTTATTTTTCTCCTTGATCTGACAGTATCTGTGGGAAGAGCACAATGAGTTGCATAAAATAACTGACATTAAATTTCAGTGATTTTCTTCTGTGTTATATCTAGCTATACTTTATTCTTTCTCTTCTTCACATTTGTCTGTTGTGCTAATTGACTTAGCTCCTACTTTCTGCTCTGAAATTCACAAAACTACAGTTAAGTATGACACATTTTCTCAATGCTTCTATTTTATCCTAAAATATTGGTGGGGGGGAGACATTGGATTTTTACATTCCTAAAAGATTTTGTTACACACATGTAGAGGGAAAAATCAGTGTAATTCTGTTTTCTGATGGACGTGTTATAGGCCAAATAGAAAAAAAATCACTTAGATTTTTAACTTTTATTTTATGTTCAGGGGTACATGTGCAGGTTTGTTATATAGGTAAATTGCATGTCACAGGGGTTTGGTGGACAGATTATTTTGCCACCCAGGTAATAAGCATAGTACCTGATAGGTAGATTTTTGATCCTCACCCTCCTTTCTCTCTCCACTATCAAGTAGGTCCCAGTGTCTGTTGTTCCTTTTTTTGTGTCTATGTGTACTCAGTGTTCAGCTCCTACTTATAAGTGAGGGCTCTGTTCCTGCGTTAATTCGCTTAGGATACTGGCCTCCAGCTTCATCCATGTTGCTTCAAAGGACTTGATATCTTTTCTTTTTTTTTTTGAGATGGAGTTTCGCTCTTGTTGCCTAGGCTGGAGTGCAATGGCATGATCTCAGCTCACTGCAACCTCCACCTCCCAGGTTCAAGAGATTCTCCTGTCTAAGCCTCCTGAGTAGCTGGGATTACAGGCATGTGCCACCACACCCGGCTAATTTTGTATTTTTAGTAGAGACGGGGTTTCTCCATGTTGGTCAGGCTGGTCTCGGACTCCCGACCTCAGGTGATCCACCTGCCTCAGCCTCCCAAAGTTCTGGGATTACAGGCATGAGCCACCACGCCTGGCCGATATCATTATTTTTTATGGCTGTGTAGTATTCCATGGTGCATATGCAACACATTTTTTTTCCAGTCCACCATTGATGAGCATTTAGATTGATTCCGTGTCTTTGCTATTGTTAATAGTGTTGTGATGCACATACATGTACATGTGTCCTTTTGGTAGAATGATTTTTATTTCTTTGGGCATATACTCAATAATGAGATTGCTGGGTTGAATGTTAATTTTGCTTTGAGTTTTTTGAGAAATCACCAAACTGCTTTTCACAATGGCCAAACTAATTTGCATTCCCACCAGCAGTGTATAAACATTCCCTTTTCTCTGCAACCTCGCCAGCATCTGTTATTTTTTGACTTTTTAACATAGCCATGCTGACTGGTGTGAGATGGTGTCTCACTGTGGTTTCGGTGTACAGTTCTCTAATGATTAGTGATGCTGAGCATTTTTTCTTTGCTTGTTGGTCCCTTGTATGTCTTCTTTTGAAAACTATCTGTTCATGTCCCTTTCCCACTTTTTAATGGGGTTGTTTTTTGTTTGTTGATTTAATTCTTTATAGATGATAGATATTGGACCTTTGTCAGATGCAAAAAAAAAAAAAAAAAAAAAGACTAGAAAATTCTGAGTATGTAGCAGGTGCTACCAGCTAAGGCCAGGCTCCCAGCTCATCATACTAGGCCTTTGGGAACCTTCAGTGGAAAAGGAGAGCTTTACCATATTCTCTCAGTAGCAACAAAACCTGCCACCTAGATGAGGGATACTATAATCCCAAATTTTGGCGGAAGTACATATTTTCTTTGACGTCTGTTTGCCCATTTGATCTTGCTTTTGTTCTCACTTTCTCTCCTCCCTTTACAAATAGTTACATACATTTAATTGGGGGGTGAAACAAAACATGGATATCAATCTTTAGGGCATTATGAAAGTTATCTCCTCAATTATCCAAGTTAAGTGAGCGGCACTTCTGTTGCATTATAAAATAGCTTCCTCTGGTGTACTTTTAAAACTCTCTGTGTTCTAGGGTCAACTATTAGTGACCACAATGTTCAATAATTACTCAGATTTGGTGATTCTGTCCTAAGGTGAAATTGATCCTGTGCAAGCAGAATGATTGTTGTGAGAAAGGCAGCAATGGCAAGGTGTAGAACTTGATGAGATTTAGAGAGAAGCTAACAGCTGAAGCCACTCCCTCTCCCCCAAAGAGGGAGTGGCTCTGTTTTCACGGGAAGTATCTATTTCCATGGGAAAGCAGAGAGGAGAGATTCCCTAGACTACATATTAATTCTAAAGCATCCTCAATATCAATGAGAGAGAGATGCATGTGCAGATGGCAGTTGCTTGGGATCTTTTCCTTTTGATCAAATACATATATTTATGTCCAGATTTACTTCTTTATGTGTACTCAGTTGCAGGGAAGTTTTGAAAGGCATTGCCAGGGATTGTCTACAGATCGTTTTGTCATTACGTAGAATGCGTTTCAGCAATGGTCTTTGTATAGTGTGCTGGGCTGGAAGCATTGGTGTCTAGAGACAGCTGCCTCATGCTGCCAGACTCACACAGAATTGACTTTTGCTACTGTGTGTATGATTTAAACACACACACACACACGCACACACACACACACACACAGATACACATTTATAAATGAAAAGATCAAACGTCTCAGAGTTCTGTTACTCACTTGAGGAAACAGGGTAGGAAAAATGACTTGGAAAAGGAAAATCAAATTACAATCAGAATAATTATTGATGAACAGGGAATCTGAGTGAAGAAGAGATTTAAGATACTCGTGCTGAGGTGACTTGGTGACACACCTTTCCCCAACCTGGAGACCCTCCTTACAAGGAATTGAATCTGCATTTCTGTCAGGGCAGGCATATTGGCTCAAGGTAGCACTCTAAATTCACATTAACTCCTATTTTGACTGTGAGAGATTTTTTAAAACGTTAGCTCTTCATAGCTTATCTTTTTCTCATTTTCATTCAGTTTTATAACAAGGTCTCAATTTATTTCTGTCACATTAGTGATTTTTATAAATGTCCAAGGAAGCAATCTAACCTCATCAGCCCTCAGTCTTCAGAGCAAGTATTTGCTAATTACTTTAGGTAAGGCTGCTTGCTATTATTGGAGGAATGAATCTCATCTTTAATTGATTAACCTTGAGTCAACACAGGTTTTTTCTGTTAGGCTTAGGTTTCCTGACTTCTTTTTCTGAGCTTTCTCTACCTCAATAATTTTTGCATTAAGATGTTTATTATATAACATTTTTACATAGAAAAATATTTAACATATACAGGAGGAGATATTGAAAAAGTTTGTGGAAAGTGAAAAGGTAAAAATAAAAAATATAAACTTTATTTCTCACATAAGCTCCATCAAGGTCAAGACAATATTGTAAACAATCATACTAGCCACTTAATCCATCCCTAAAGAGTTTAAGTTCCTGGGAATTAAACCAAGACAATGCAGTCTTTTTTTACATTATTAATGGAAGAAAAATGGGTGCCTTTTAAAGATTTTTTAAGATTAGGAAACAAAAAGAAGTCAGAAGGAACCAAATCAGAACTATAAAGTGGATGCCTAATAATTTCCCATCAAAACTTTCAAAAAATTGTCCTTATTGGATGAGAAGAATGAGCAGGAGCATTGGCATGGTAGAGAAGTACTCTTTGGTAAAACTTTTCTGGGAATTTTTCTGCTAAAGCTTTAGCTAACTTTCTCAAAATGCTCTCATAATAAAAGAAATGTTTCATCTCCTATTACAATTCTTCTTGTCCTTCAGAAAGTCAACAAGCAGTATGCCTTGATCATCCCAAAATGATTTTGCCATGACTTTGTTCTTGACCAGTCTACTTTTGCTTTGACTGGACCATGTCCACATCTTGGTAGCCATTGCTTTGATTGTGTATTGTCTTCAGGATCATACTAGTAAAGCCATGTTTCATCTCCTATTACAATACTTCAAAGAAACGATTCAGGATCTTGATCTTACTCAAAATTTCTGTGGAAAGCTCTGCTCTTGTCTGTAGCTCATCTGGGTGCACAGATGAGCTTTTGGTACCCATCAAGTGTAAAGTTGGCTCAACTTAAATTTTTTAGTTGGAATTGTGTAAGCTGAACCAATGGATATGTTTACATTATTAACTATAGTTTCTGATGTTAATTGTCAATCCTCTTCAATTAGGGCACAAACAAGATTAACTTTTGTCCTTAAAAATGGATGTGGATGGTCTTCTAGTGTAAGCTTCATCTTTAACATTATCTTGTCCCTTTTAAAAATGAATTGCCTATTTGTAAGCTGCTGATTCCTTTGGTGCATTGTCCTCATAAACTTTTCATAAAGGTTCAGTGATTTTACTATCCTTTCACCACATTTCACTATAAATTTGATATTTGTTCTTGCTTCAAGAACAAGCAGAATTCATGTTTCTCTTTTCAAATTCTTGACTTATCCTTCTTATTGCCTCAAACTAGATCCTGTTCAGACATGTTATAACAAGTTAATATGAGTTTGCTTTGGTGTAAAAAAATTTGAAATCCATGCATACCTTTTTCATAATATGCATTTTCCTCATTTTGAAGACCCCTCATATAAATTCTGAAGCAAAGGAATTATGAACATTCATGAATCTGCTGTCAAATTTAAAACTAGGATATTAGCAATACTGTTGCATATGCATGTGTGTTTTGTCTCTGTTCACCCCCTCATCTGCAATAAGTGGTAATCAATATCTTGAAGTTTATGTTTATGAATCCCATTCTTCTTTTTTAAAAGTTATTTTTGAATTATTTATGCATATATAATAGATGTACATATTTTGCAAGTACATGTGATATTTTCATACATTCATATTTCATATAAGGTGTAATGATAAAATCAGAGTAATTGGGATATCTACCACCTTAAATAGTTATCTTTTCTTTATGCTGGGGACATTCACATTATTTTCTTCTAGCTATTTTGAAATATACAATAGATTGTTGTTAACTGTAGTCACCCTACAGATTTAATGAACACTAGGTCTTATTTCCTCTATCTAAATGTATTTGTGTCCATTATTCAATCTCTCTTCATCCCCCTCCCTTCCCTTCCCTTCCCTTCCCAGACTTTGACAACAACCAAGGTCTTAACTACAGTTAAGTCTTTAATCCATCTTGAGTTAAATTTTGTACAAGGTGTAAGGAAGGGGTCCAGTTTCAGTTTTCTGCATATGGCTAGCCAGTTTTCCCAGTACCATTTATTAAATAAGGAATCCTTTCCCCATTGCTTGTTTTCACCAGGTTGGTCAAAGACCAGATGGTTGTTGATATTTATGTGGCCAAAAAACATATGAAAAAAAGCTCAATATCATTAGATAAATGTAAATCAAAACCACAATGAGATACCATCTCATGCCGGTCAGAATGGTGATTATTAAAAAGTCAAGAAACAGATGCTGGCAAGGCTGTGGAGAAATAGGAACACTTTTACACTGTTAGTGGGAATGTAAATCAGTTCAACCATTGTGGAAGACAGTGTGGCAATTCCTCAGGGATCTAGAACCAGAAATACCATTTGACCCAGCAATCCCATTACTGGGTATATACCTAGAGGAATATAAATCGTTCTACTATAAAGATACATGCACACATGTGTTTATTGCAGCACTATTTACAATAGCAAATACATGGGACCAACACAAATGCCCATCAATGATAGACTGCATAAAGAAAATGTGGTACATATACACCATGGAATACTATGCAGCTATGAAAAGGAATGAGATCATGTCCTTTGCAGGGACATGGATGGAGCTGGAAGCCATCATCCTCAGCAAACTAACACGGGAACAGAAAACAAAACACCACATGTTCTCATTCATAAGTGGGAGTTGAACAATGAGAACACATGGACACAGGGAGGGGAACAACACACACCAGGGCCAGTTGGGGGGTGGGGGCGAGGGGAGGGAGAGCATTAGGACAAATAGCTAATGCGTGTAGGGCTTAAAACCTAGATGATGGGTTGATAGGTACAGCAAACCACCATGGCACACATATACCTACGTAACAAACCTACACATTCTGAACTTGTATTGCAGAACTTAAAGTAAAATAAAAATTAAAAAAAAAAAAAAAAAAAACACAAGAAAACCCCAAACTGTACAAACCCTGGAAGACAACATAGGCAATATCATTCAGGACATAGGCACAGGCACATATTTTATGATGAAGATGCCAAAAGCAATTGCAACAGAAGCAAAAATTGACAAATGGGATCTAATTGAACTAAAGAGCTTCTGCACAGCAAAATAAATATAGACAGAATAAACAGACAACCTACAGAATGGGAAAAACATTTTGCAAACTATGCATTCAACAAAGATCTAATATCCAGCATCTATAAGGAACTTAAACAAATTTATAAGAAAACAAAAAACAAACAATCCCATTAAAAAGTGGGCAAAGGACATGAACAGGCACTTTTTAAAAGAAGGCATACATGTGACCAACAATCATATGAAGAAAGCTTAATATTATTGACAATTAGAGAAATGCAAATCAAAACCACAATGAGATACCATCTCACATCAGTCAGAATGGCTATTATTAAAAAGTCAAAAAATAACAGATGCTGGTGAGGTTGTGGAGCAAAAAATGCTGATATGCTGCTGGTGGAAGTGTAAATTAGTTCAACCATTGTGGAAGACAGTGTGGTGATTCCTCAAAGACTAAAAACAGAAATACAATTTGACCCAGCAATCCCATTACCGGGTACATGCCCAAAGGCATATAAATAGTTATATTATAAAGACATTGCATGTGTATGCTCATTGCAGCACTATTTACAATAGCAAAGACATGGACTCAACCTAAATGGCCATCAGTGATAGACTGGATAAAGAAAATGTGGTACATATACACCATGGAATACTATGCAGCCATAAAAAATAATGAGATCTCATGTCCTTTGCAGGGACATGGATGGAACTGGAGGCCATTATGCTTAGCAAACTAATGCAGGAACAGAAAATCAAATACCACATGTTCTCACTTATAAGTGGGAGTTAAATGATGAGAACACATGGACACATACTGGGGAACAACAGAAACTGGGGCCTACTGGAGTGTGGAGGGTGGGAAGAGGGAGAGGATCAGGAAAAGTAACTAGTACCCATTAGTTATTTTAGTTACTTATTAGTTACTAATATCCATTAATTATTTTAGTTACCTATTCATTACTAATACCTATTAGTTACCTGGGTGATGAAATAGTCTGTACAACAAACCCATGATACAACTTTACCTATATAACAAACCTGCACATGTACCCTTGAACTTAAAATAAAAGTTAAAATAATAAATAAATTATGAGTTTAACTACCATGAACATTCTTATGTATGCCTTTGTGGGGGGATGTGGAATTTCTAGGTTACATTGTATGATAATATTCAGCATTATTATTACATAGAACCTCTTCTATACTGAGGTTATAAAGATAGTCTTCCATGTTTTCTTTCAAAAGTCTTAAAGTTTTGCCATTTTGTCCTTAATCCATCTGGGATTGACATTTATGTATGGTATATGCTGCGGTTTGGCTCTGTGTCCTTACCCAAATCTCACACTGAATTGTAATAATCCCTAGGTGTCATGGGAGGGAACTGAAGCAGTAGGAGGTAACTGAAACATGGGGGTGGATTTTTTTCCCATGCTGTTCTCGTGATAATGAACAAGTCTCTTGAGATCTGATGGTTTTATAAAGGGGAGTTCCCTGCACAAGTCCTCTTGCCTGCTGCCATGTAAGACATGCCTTTTTTCTTTCTTTGCCTTCTGCCATGGTTGTGAGGCCTCCCCAGCCATGTGGAACTGTGAGTTCATTAAACCTCTTTCCTTTATAAATTACCCAGTCTCAGGTATGTCATTATTAGCAGCATGAGAACAGACTAATACAGTATGAGGTAAGAGGTCCAGTGTCATTTTATTTTTCATAGAGAGAATCCGTTTTCTCAGCGCCATTTATTGGATAGCTCCTTCCTTCCCCTAACGTTGTAACATTTCAAATTTTGTTTCAGTCTGTCTGCCTCAGGGCTCTGTTCCATTGTAAGAAATGCTTAAAAACAAACAAAATCTCACATTTTGAATTGGTATTGAATATTTTCAAGTATTTTTTTTCTGTGAAGTTGAGATCATATGGTTTTTCTGTATTAATTTGTTAATATTATAAAAGATATTTATAGACTATTAAACCCCCCTTGAATTCCTGGGATAAACTCAATTCCATTATAATGTTACATATGGTTTTTAACTGCTGGGTTTGGCTTGCTAATATTATTTTTAGGATTTTTGTATCTGTGTTTTAGAGTGAAATTTGCCTATGGTTTTCTTTTTTCAACTCTTTTTCTCTGGTTTGGGCATCAATGTTATGTCTGTCTCATAGAAGGCACTGGGAAATGTTCCTCCTTTCTCTTCTCTAGAAGAGTTTGGGATGATAGGTTCTTTGGATATTTCATATAATTCATCTTTAATTCTTTTTCCAAGATGGCATGTTGGAGGCAATGTTAGCATACCTCTCCTACTTGGAAAGACAAAATAGTGTATAGAGAGTCACACTGTGAACTTTTTTCCAATAAGCAACACAAGAACTTAACAGAAAAACTGAAAGAAACCGCCAACCCTTTGAAAGAAGTGGAAGGCAGCAGCCTATACTGTGAACCAGATGGAAAACAGTGAGTTTGCACACCATGAAAGGAGAAGAGACCGCTGCTATGACACGCTCTCCTACAGGGGAGCTGGGCAATCCAGGCCACACAGGAAGCGCTTAATCCTACCCAGTGCTGGAGCAAATTTAGTGAGCAGTGGGGAGTATATGAGAAGGAGTGGCATTGGGGCATGCTTTGCATGCACTCCCAGGCTCCAGCAGGCATGAAGGAAAGCCATCCCTGATCCTACCTCACACGGGACCTCATGGAAGTCTGTCAGTTAACTCAGGTGGTGGTCACAGGTAGAAAGAAGCTCCCAACGAAAGTCTGCAATATAATCTCGAGTGGGGACAAACCCTGTTGGCTAGAACCACAAGAAGTGTGCTATAACCATGAGCACAAGAGGTGGATACCCTGCTTCATGAGTGGACCACCAGGAAGGTTGTGACCTGAAGGCTAGGTTTTTTTGTCTCAGGAAGGCTTATGGCCTGGGGCAGTTTTGAGTTCTGAGGGCAGGCTGCCTAGAATGCAGCTGGCTGCTGCTAGCAGAACAGTGTGGGTGTGAGACCTGCCTTACCAAGTTTATGGGAGCTGAATGGGGTGCTTACTACTGGTTGCTCCCTGTGTGGATTCTCTTGTGCAGCAGAGGCAATTGTGCTTCTCCCTGAAACATTACCCCAGAGGCCAGGGAACTGCCCTCTGATCCCCATTGAGGCTGCTGCTTGAACCTACATGTGGGGAACCAGAATGCAGGCTTGCATGACCCAGCCCCCACCTGGCTTTGCCCCTCCACCTGCCCTGGTATCTTAACACAATGGATAGGGACATTTTGAAGCTCCATGGCTCTGTCCATTGCCTGAGATACCAGAGCACCTTCCCCTGGGTAATATAAGGCAAGCACAAATTCCACTGCTACCACCACAGATTGTGCCCTTTTGCGAGTGCCACCTCCTGGCTGGAGGCCAATCAGCACAGCCCATTACAACACCTGCAGGCACAAAAACAGCACTCAGAAAGGAGAAAACTTTTGCATAACTTCAGCTATTACCATTGCCTGTATCACCCTGAGACATAGGAACTAGGAAATCTTGGGTCTGTCCATGTACCCAGTACATTACCACCACAGCTGGCATTTGAGAAAGCCAACACACTAAGGCTATTTATAACGAAGGAAATCTCAGTCTACATTACTCTCCTCCCATTTCCATCAGAGCTGGTGCTGGTACCTGCTGCTGGGAAACAAGAGGACAGGTCACATCACTGGATCCCTTGCAGACATTCCTCGGCACCAGCTTGAAGTATAGTAGACCCACTGGGTGCCTAGACCCAGAGGAGCAGCAGGATTCACAGTAGTCTGGTTCTCAGAGACTGCTATTCCTAGAAGAAGAGGAGGTGCACCACATTAAAGGACCACCCCATGGGACAAAAGAAACCAGAATGCAGGCATTGAGTCCCTGAAATTTCGACTTGTGAGAAGTTTCTTTCAGCAAAGGCACAGGTGCAGTGCTAGGCTAAATGAGGAAAGTCTGCAGCTCTACCTCAACAGTCAGGAACCCCTGGTGCTTGTGAAGGGTCTTAGAGAAGGTGACTTCTTTTCTCTCTTGTCAACCACTTTGGACACAGCTGCAGCCTCTCCCATAGGAGCTTGGTGTGGGTGCCTCTGTAGGCAGCATTTGTGGAACACTTCAGGGTGACTGCATCCCCATAGACATGCCCTCCAAGTTCAGGCTTGCATGAGAGGTAGAGTCACAATCCCTCTGTACATGGAACATCAGAATCCATGCAGATGAAAAGAGGTGCCTGTCTGATCTGAATAGCTGGAAGACTGGGTAAGGGGTGTAACTGGGAGGCAGATTGCTTTCCTGCTGGCCTAAAAGGAGAGCTGTGGTGGCTCCCTCCCTTCTCCCTGAGAAGTCCTCAGTGCATTTCACTGACAGCCAGAGGATTGCTTGAGCTCAGGAGTTCAAAACCAGCCTGAGCAACATGGTGAAACCTCATCTCTACAAAAAAATACAAAAATTAGCCTGGCATGATGGTGTGTATCTATAGTCCCAGCTACTTGGGAGGCTGAGGTGGGAGAATGGCTTAAGCCCAGGAGGTTAAGGCTGCAGAAAACTATGATTAAGCCACTGCAGTTCAGCCTGGGCAACAGAGCAAGACCCTATCAATAATAATAATAATAATAATAATAATAATAATAATACAAAATACCAATGAAGCAAGGAGCTCATTCTTTGAAAAGATAAAGTTGATAGACCACAAGCTAGATTAAACATGGCACACGTATACATATGTAACAAACCTGCACATTGTGCACATGTACCCTAAAACTTAAAGTATAATAAAAATAAAAATAAAAAAACCCACAATGCTAAAGAGAAAAAAAGAGAAATTTAAATAAACTCAATTAAAAATAAAAATGGAAACATTACAACTCATGCCACAGAAATATACAAGATTATTTGAGACTACTATGAACACCTTTTTGCACACATGCTAGAAAACCTAGAGGAAATGGCTAAATCCTAGAAACATACAACCTCCTAGCTTGATTCAGGAAGAAATAGAAATCCTGAACAGAATAATGACAGGCAGTGAGACTAAATCAGTAATTTAAAAACTGCCAACAACAACAACAACAAAAAAGCCAGGGCCAGCTAAATTCACAGCCAAATTCTACCAGACAAAGAATTTGTACCAAGTTTACAGTAATTATTCCAAAAGAAGGAGGTAAAGAAGGAGGTAATCCTCCTTTACTCATTCTACAAAACCAGTATCACCCTGATACCAAAGCCAGGAAATAACATAACACAAAAAGAAAACTACAAACCAATACCCCCGATGAATATAGATGAAAAATCTTTGACAGGATACTAGCAAACTGAATCCAAATGCTCAACCAAAAAAATTTTACCATGATCAAGTAGGTTGCATCCCAGGGATGCATAGATGGTTGAATGCAAGTCAATAAATGTGATTCATCTTGTAAACAGAATTTAAAACAAAAGGCATAGGATCACCTCAAGAGACACAGAAAGAGCATTCAATAAAATCCAGCATCCCCGTATGATAAAACCCTGAACAAAGTAGGCATAGAAGAAACATTCCTCAAAATAATAAAAGTCATGTATGACAAACCCACAGCAAAGATCATATTGAATAGGGAAAAGTTGAAAACATTCCCCTGTAAAACTGGAACAAAACAAAAATGTCCACTTTCACCACTTTTACTCAACATAGTACTGGAAGTTCTAGCCAGAGCATCGGACAAAAGAAAGAAATAAACGGCATCCAAGCTGGAAAAGAGGAAGTCAAAGTATCACTTTGGTGATAATATAATCTTATACCTGGAAAACCCTAAAGACTCCTTCAAGTGATTTCTAGATCTGATAAATAAATCCAATAAAGTTTCAGGTTTCAAAAACAATGTACACAAATCAGTGGATCTGTGATACACCAACAATGACCAAGCCGAGAATCAAATCAAGACCTCAATCCCTTTTACAGTAGCTACGCACACACACACACACACACACACACACACAAACAAACAAACAATAAAACCATAGTAATATGCTCAACCAAGGAGTTGAAAGATCTCTACAAGGAGAACTATAAAACATTGCTGAAAGAAATTACAGATGACACAAACAAATGGAAATACAACCTATGCTCACTGACTGAAAGAATTGATATCATGATAACCATACTGACCAAAGCAATCTACAGATTCAATGCAATTTTTATCAAAATACTAACATTTTTCACAGAATTAGAAAAATTAATTCTAAATTTAATATGGAACTAAAAAAGAGCTTGAATAGCCAAAACAATTCTAAGCAAAATGAATAAATCTAAGGCATCACATGACTTCAAATTATACTACAAGACTATAGTAATAAAAACAGCATGGTACTGGTATAAAAGTAGATACATAGAATACATGAACAGAATAGGCAACCCAGAAATAAAGCCAAATACTTACATCAAGCTAATCTTTGACAAAACATACAAAAACATAAACTAGGGAAAAGACATGCTGTTCAATAAATGGTGCCAGGAAAAATGGATAGCCACATGAAGAAGAATGAAACTGGATCCCTATCTCTCACCATATACAAAAATTAACTAAAGATGGACTTAAATCTAAAACTTGACAACATAAAAACTCTAGAAGAAAACCTAGGAAAATCTCTTCTGGACAAGAGGGAGGCAAGTAATTTATGACTAAGACCTCAAAAGCAAATGCAACAAAGCCAAAAATAAACAAATGGGACCTAATTAAACTAAAAAGCTTTGTGCAACAAAAGAAATAATCATCAAAGGAAATAGAAAACTCAAAGAATAAGTAGGAAATATTTGCAAACTATGTATCCAACAAAGGACTAATATCCAAAATCTACACGGAACTCAAATCAGCAAGAAAACAAGAAATAATCCTATTAAAAAGTGGACAAAGGACATGAGTAGACATTTCTCAAAAGAAGATATACAAATGGCCAACAAACATATGAAAAAATGCTCAGTGTCACTAATAATCAGGGAAATGCAAATTAAAACCACAATGAGATAACCACTTTAACCCAGCCAGAATGGCCATTATTAAAAAGTCAAAAAACAATAGATGTTTTTGTGGGATGTGATGAAAAGGGAATGCTTATACACTGCTAGTGAGAATGTAAATTAGTAGGAAAGCAGTATGGACATTTCTCAAAGAACTAAAAGTCTATCTACTATTTCATCCAGCAATCCTACTGGGTATCTACCCAAAGGAAAATAAGTCATTATATCAAAAAGACACCTGCATGCATATGTTTACCACGACACAACTCACAATTGCAAAGATATGGAATCAAACTAAGTGTCTAACAATCAATGAGTGGATAAAGAAAATGTGGTATATATACACATACACACCATGGAATACTACTTAGCCATGAAAAAGAATGAAACAATGTCTTTTGTAGCCATTTGGATGGAACTGGAAGCCATTATTCTAAGTGAATTAACTCAGGAATCAAAACCCAAATACTGCATGTTCTCACTTGTAAATAGTACCTAAGCTATGGGTATATAAAGGCATACAGAGTGGTAAAATGGACATTGGAGACCCAGAAAGGGGGAGAATGGAGGGGGTGAGGGATGTAAAACTATCTCTTGGGTACAATGTACACTATTTGGGTGATGGGTACACTAAAATCCTAGACTTCACCACCATACAATTCATCCATATAACCAAAAATCACATGTGCCCCTAAAGCTATTGAAATTTTTTAAAAAAGAAAACTAGTATAGATAGACCCAAAATAATATTTAATATTAATTTACGTTTTTTCTATTAGAGAAGGTAAATATACATCTTTTTATACAAAATTGGCCATTTATATTTTATCTCATATAAATTTCTTGTTCATAACTTTCTTTTTTCACTCAATTGATTTTAGGTGTTCTCTATAGATTCTGCACATTAATTTGACTATTAAAGACTTCACATATTTTGTAATTTTTTATACAGATCTTTTTTGACTTGGTTACTGGTATTTTATTGTACAGGATTTTAAACATATATAATTAAATAATTACATATGTTAGCCTTTAAAAAAATTCGTCTTTGAGATTTTTTTTCCTGGAGAATATTTTAAACTACTGATTGAATTTCTATATTTAGGCTTTCTATTATTATTTGATATGGTTTTATTTAAGTTGTATTTTTTTTTCCTAGGAAAAGCTCCCTTTGGGATCCCTGGCCTACTGCAGGACTCAGGTTTGATTTCCCAGCCTTGTTGCTGGTCCAAGTCTTCATGTCCTGTTTTGAGAGCTACTCCTGTCAAAGAAAACACTTTTTAAAAATAATTTGCTGTAATCCCAGCACTTTGGGAGGCCAAGGTGGGTGGATCACAAGGTCAGGAGTTCGAGACCAGCCTGGCCAATATGGTAAAACCCCCTCTCTACTAAAAATGCAAAAATTAGCCGGGTGTGGTGGTTCACACCTGTAGTCCCAGCTACTTGGGAGGCTGAGGCAGAAGAATTGCTTGAACCTGGGAGGCGAAGGTTTCAGCGAGCCGAGATCATGCCACTGCTCTCCAGCCAGGGCGACAGAGCAGGACTCTGTCTCAAAAAATAAATAAATAAATAAATAAATTGCACAAAGGCATTGTTTGGTGGTTTTGCAGTCTTTGCAGTATCCTTGCAGATCACATTTCTGATATTGGCATTTGCTCTCAGGACAACCTCTGTTTTATTTTACGATCCTTAGTTCTCTAGCTGTTTGCACACATGATTTTTTTCAGGTATCTGGGAAGATCCCTATTTTGATTTGCCTGATAGGTAGATGTCCCAATTATAGAAGCAGTACTCTCCTCTGTTCTATCCGCAGGGAAAATATGTCCTATGTGGGCAGTCACAGAAATTCCTCTCCCTCTCCTGTAGGTCCTAGAATGCCACCCAAACTATAAATATCTCAGTAGGTAAGAAGCACAGTGTGGTATGTATGTGCATAGGGGTGCATACACATGGTAATAAAGAACTCATTTCCTTCACCATAAACACAATAAATTGAGGGTTATTATGTAAAAAAGAACTTATATACTGAGTTGATATTTCGTGCATCTGAAATATGTCTGCATTTGCCAACAATAACCATGTGGGGAAACCCCAGCTGATATTTCCAGGGTCACGTATATATTGCAACCTCTGTATGCCTCTCATTTTATTAGCAATCTACTAATGTTAGAGGAATGATTCAACAACAAATCAAGTTCTTGAGACATTAGCTATTTTCCTCCTTACAGCCATTTGCCTCACTGTCTCTTACCATCTCTTGATGCAAATTTTAGCAAGTGCGTGAAACTGAGACATGACAGAGTCTACTTGCTTCAAAGGGTATGCCAGGCTGTGTTCAGAACATGTTGAGTGGAGAGACTTCTAGAGAGGAAAGAGTAAGATCTGATTGCCAAGTTTTTCTTACCCCACCCCAACCTACCCCTCCCCACATCTGCTCCTGCCAAGCCCTGAACTCTCTTTAATGATATCTTGCCAGCAAAGCTCAGTATTTGTTTCCAGGAAATGCTTCTCCCAGAAGACTATGTGGACACCCAGAAAACAACTTTTAAGTTATTCTATGTCTATGTTTACTGTTCCAAGACAGAAATAGTGTGGCAGTTGGGAAAAATTATTTTCATTCTCATGTACAAGTCATAACTGTATACATTTTCTGAAATCTTAGGATCAGGGCAATAGTAGGGGTATTTTACAGCAGGGTTGGTAACTTTTTTCCGTAAACAGCCAGATAGAAAATATTTTAGGGTTTGTGGGATAGACAGTCTCTTTTGCAACTGCTTATCTCTGCTGCAAAAGCAGCCATAGATAAAATGGCAGTACATAAGCAAATGGGCATAGCCATGTTCCAGCACCATTTTATTTACAAAAACAGGCAGTGAGCCCGATTTAGCCCCTAGGTCACAGTTTGCCAACTCTGTCTTAGAGGAGCTGTTTAAAGGGATTTCCCTTAAGAGTTGCTGCACATAGTTTGCTATCATTCATTTATTTAAAACAGAACTTTTCAACCACAGCACTATTGATATTTGGGCTGGTTAATTCTTTGATGTGACAGGTGTACAATCCTATGCATTGTAGATGTTTAGCAGCATCTTGGCCTTTACCACTAGATGCTAGTAGCATCTTCTGAATTGTGATCACCAAAAAATGCCTCTAGACATTACCAAATGTCCCTTGGGGGGCAAAATTGCTTCCTGTGGAGAATTGCTGATTTCCAGAGATAGGGAAGACAGAGCACATGTCACAATTGGGGACTGTGAATTTGTCAATGTCTGAACACAGGGCAAGGGGAGGGAGTATCTGGGGTTGAGATGAAGAGGTAGTTAAGGGAGAGACAACTTAGGGCCATTTAGACTTTCTTTTGAAGGCAATTAGATGACATTAAAGGGTCTTATGGAGTGGAGTGTGGTGGTAGTTTTAGGTTTATGTTTAGGATGGTCACTCTTGTATCAGAGAAAAAAATGCATTAGATAGAACAGGACTAGAGGCAAGGGTATCAATAAGAGGACCCAGCTACCAACATTTTGACTAGCACATCTTGAACAATGCTGTTCTGGTTGCTGGTTATTATTAAATCCTTGTAAAATTTATGTAATGCTGACCAAATCTACAAAAGATTGATTAGTGCCATATAGTCAATTCACAAATTATAGAAGATGTACCTGACCTTAAAATCAAACTCACTTATCTTAGAGCCCTTGTTTCCTTCTTGCTGGGAAAATCACCTTAGAAAACAAAACTACCAAGGACCCTGCTTAACAGTGAATATAGAGGTGGGCAAGGATGCTAACTGTCATTATGGCATATGATCAAAAAGTAATTGTACATAGCCAAATGAATAGGCCAACTATTGACTTTCGAATCGGGAAGAAACTAAAGGTCCAATGTTCATGTAACACATTTGCAATATCATGCACAACTGGTTATGTCACCTCTGCTTAGACAACTCTGACTGTGACTTGGCTCCCAAGAAAGTTCATGACATTTTCCAGGCTGTAATTATTATACAGCTCTTTTCTTTCTTCCTTTTTTACTTCTACAATATATTAGGTATTTGAGAGTTCCTTTCAAAGACCTGGAATAGTTGCATTGAACAAGTGTTCTCTTCCCTGGACAGTCTTGGGAATGTGTGAAAATTCTCATTGTCAATCTTCCTTTGTTACATTTTACCCTTAATTTCAGTAATTCTCATGATTATGATATCCAGTAATATTTATCAAAGGTCTCTTCTGCTCTCTAGGGACCATGGTAGGCAGTGGGGATACAAAGATGAGATGAGAGTGTTTCTGTCCACAAGGGGAAAATGGGGGAAGGAATTCAGACATTAAAATAACAAGTACAATTGATATAATTTGTGTGTGATATATTTCTTGTCAGTACTGAGGGAGGAATGTGAAAATCACTCACCTAGTCATTGTGTCAAATAGAACTTTTCCTTGTGGCAAATTATCTAATGATGCTTTTTAGTAAGCATCTTTTTCCCCTCCTTCAGACTGACAATTGATTCAAACTCTACTTCCTTAATCAACTCCTTATTGATTCCAACTGTACTTCTGTGATAGGTAGTCTAGGTAAATTTATCTGTTGTTGGCCAGAGTCCAAATCTGGACACAGTGGTACTTAAGGTGTTTATACAGGAGAGGTGGTCACTCTAGCCATCAGCCACCAACAGAAACATTATTTTCTTGATCACTTAAATCCATGAAAACCCTAAGTGGGGGAAACTCAAAACTGAAGGATTCTGGAATACATGGTTCCCACTTTAGCAAAGTAGGAGATGAGCTTGAGGATTTAACACTGGCCTTACTTTCATGAGTAATACAGATTGAACATCCCAAATCCCCAAATCTGGAGTTAAAAATGCTCCAAAATCTGCAACATTTTGAGTGCCAGCAAGATGCTGAAAAGAAATCCTTATTGGAGCATTTTGAATTTAGGATTTTTGAATTTGGGATGCTCAATTGGTATAACACAAATATTGCAAAACTCAAAAAATCTGAAACACCTCTGGTCCCAATCATTTTGGATAAAGGATACTGTAGTTCAATTCTTTATGGCAGGCTCTTCACATCATGCCCACCAACCTCATTGCCCATATTTTGATAATCCGATGAAGCAACAGAAATAGCCTCCTTTAGGTATGCATCGCACATTTTGGTGTTCAGTGCACATTTGCTTAAGCACTAAAGCACACTGCTGTTATCTTTCACTAAAAACAATAAGTACTGTAAACTAGAAGACAGATAAGAATTGTGAGACTTCTTAAAAATTTCTTTTCCCCACCATCTGTCACATATTTTGCTGATAGCGTAATAATGCTTTGAATAAAATTCAATAAATTTGGTAAATTTAAGGAAAACCAAGGTAAGAGCTTTCTCTTTTAAGCTGCCATGTTTTTTTAGTTGTATAGAATGGCTATAACTTGATAGAAGTGTACTCTTGCCTCTAAAGGCACAGAAACATTATAAAATTCAGGTTTATACACTTCCATTCGCTAGATTTTTGTTTTGTTTTAAAGAGTAGCAATTCATCTGCTAGAAGGCATTTTGTTTGACCTTAATGAAAGAGGAGGGGTATAAATTGGAAAATCACTTAATTTTGCACATGTAAACATGCTGTTCATCTCTATACTGAAAAATGGTATTTGTTGCAGTAAGGAAAAAAATAAGTTGCTTTTTTTCCTAGTAAGAATTCCAGGAAAAGCAAAAAACTCTTTTATGTATTTAATCTTTCTTTTCTGTGTGACTCATGGTTTCCTTTTTGCTCCTGACAAACATAAGTATCTTTGTATCTGTGCATCAGCCTGCCTAAGGCTTCGTCTCTTTCCATCTCCCAAAGACAGAGCCTTGGGGACACTTTCAGGAGTCAGCTAAGGAGAATGCACACACTTAAAACCCACACCTGTTAATCCCCTATCTTTTCCAAAAGAGTTTCTTATTCCATTTTAGACTGAGAGCCTTTGTGTAAGAGTCCAGAATATTTTAATATTTTAACATTTCCTGCTTCATCGGCATCTCGGAGCCAAAAGTATAGCACTAGTTTCTTCCAAGATTTTTTATAAGCAAAGAATCATGTGCTCCACAATCATTCTTAGTTAAAGATGCCTCAGGTTTCACACTTTGGGGACAGAAAAGGAAAATACATTTTCTCTAGACATATAGTTCATGTGCTATATATTCTGGAATGCTCATTTTTTTTCAGCCGGATTGTAATTTCCTGAGCGCCAAGGTGAGAGGCCATGTTTAAATGCACATCTTGAATTGGCAAATGTCTGTGGCATGAGTATGTCTAAGACCAGTTACAAGCACAATGGTGCAGTCAATTATGTGTCCCTTTGCTGCCTCTTGCTCCTGTTCCCTGTGCCATTTTCTGTCCTCCCGCAGGCTTCCAAGATGTCATCTTTATCTTTGTTTCCCTCCTCTGAAAATGATTATGAAGAAAGTATTTGTAATCCACTCACACTGACTAAAAATAGCTAAAAACTCCTTTCCAAGTAAATTCACATTTAAACAAGGCCTTAAACTAAATGCCAGTGTTTTTCAGTAGATTGAGGCGATGGAGGCCAGAGCTTTTCACCGTGAGGTATTCTGCTCTGATCCTAATTATACCTTTTGTGGTCATTACCAGGCTGATTCCACAGTAAACATAATACACTTTTATATCCCATCCTTCCTTCAATGCATGAAGTGGGAGAGAACAAAAACAATCTAAGGAAAACTTATCTTTATTCCTCTAAAATTCAGAATTAGTTACTTAAGAATTAGTTATTATTAAATACTAATAATAACTAGTTACTTAGAATTAGTTATTATTAAATACATACATTTCTATTATGCAAAGCAAATATGCAAAATTGGATAACAGAGACGGCGAAGAGATAAACTGGAAAAAAGTAAGTATAAGAGCTAATAAGTGGAACAGAAAGAAGGGCTTGATCAGGGGAAGGAAACAGCGGACTAGGGTTATGGGGTTTAGGACATTTTTATTGATTGGAGGTGGTAGAGGTCAGACAATTGGAAACAAGGTCCAAGAGTGTGGGGGGCTACACACACACACACACACACACACACTCACTCCATAAGTGACTATACAGATGATAGTGTTTCCTCCCTCTCTCTGCTGCTTTTCTACATGATAGCTACAAGTTGGTGATCACTTAGTCCTATTTCCCTGCAGACGTATTGTGGGTGCTGCAACATAAGAAAGGGGGAAAGGATGGTAGCTTCCCATTCAGTGGATAATTATTGAGTGTCTGCAATGGACTGGATACTGGGATTTCCTAGAATTGCCGCCATCAACCTGTCTGTTCCGAATGCAGCCTACTTAGACAGTGCCCCTCAGTGTAGTGTCTGAAGCAGGTCTGTCTCACCTAAACCTGGGACAACATATCAGTTATGCCTCAGCCTGTGTGATTGATGTGGACACAATTACTTGTTGGTGCTTTTCTTTTCTCTTGTGTTGTGTGAGCTTCCACTGTCTGTTGTTATATGGCTTGCCTAAGATGTTGTGAATAACTCACTTGGGTGAGAAGAGTTGGGGACCTGATTACCTATTGGGTTCATGTCTAAACCCTCCTGGATCCACCTATTGCTACCAGCTATATACTGAGATGGTTACGAATAAGAAAAATATTTCTAGAACAATTTTCCATTGCACAAGAAGGACTTGCTTATAAATATTTCTATGGAAAAATAGAGAGAAGAAATATGATCTCCATAGTTCTACCACACAGAGACAATGGGTTTTGGTTTATATTCTTCCAGCCTTTAAAATTTAGACACATTTTAAATATAACTATATTCATACAGTGTTTAATGTTTCATAAATTGTGTCCTTTTTCTGTTAGCGTTTTAGGATTTCTCAGGTAGCCAATTTTATGTGGTTTTTAGTGACTGGGTTATATTTAGTTATTAGATTGTGCTCCGATTTATATCATCAACCTCCTTTTTAAATGTTTTATGCTGTTGTATGCGGTCACAAACTTTTTCACTTTTCCTAAAAAATGTTTAGATGATCTTTAAATTTTGAATCCTTACCTTGGCATATATTTTTTAATGTGAGTTATTGAGCCAAAGGGTATGAATATTTTAAAGGCTCTGGCAGTTATTGGTAGAGAAACATTAACAACTATTTCTTAGTATGGATGAGTTGGTTTCATTGGTGTAGGTGAAATCCAGTGACAAGGACATGGGAGAAATCATACATTCAAAATGATAAGAATGTATCCTTTGGTGTGCAGAAGCTTTTTAACTTGATGTAATCCCATAAATATATACATCTACCATGTACCCACATTTTTTTAAATTGTAAAAAGCCTAATCCAGTAGTGATGTGTTAACACATTCCATCCATTCATAATGCCCATGTGCTACATTTTCTCAGGTAGAATCAACAAGCAGCACGTTTGAAAATGCTCCAACAAAAACTCCACATTTATCTTTACTGCTGTGTCTTTTTAACCTCTTTAACCCCCTGACTAAAATATTTCTTTTTCTTTCTTTTTTTTTTTTTTTTTTTTTTGAGACAGAAGAGTCTCGCTCTGTCACCAGTCTGGGGTGCAAAGGCACAATCTCGGCTCACTGCAACCTCCACCTCCCAGGTTCAAGCTATTCTCCTGCCTCAGCCTCCTTAGTAGCTGGGACTACAGGTGACTGCCACTATGCCCAGTTAATTTTTGTATTTTTAGTAGAGATGGGGTTTCACCATCTTGGCGAGGCTGGTCTCTAACTCCTGACCTCAAATGATCCATCCACCTTGGCCTCCCAAAGTGCTAGGATTACAGGCGTGAGCCACTGTGCCCAGCCAAATATTTCTTTTTTTTTTTTTTTTGAGATGGAGTCTCGCTTTGTCACCCAGGCTGGAGTGCAGTGGCACGATCTCAGCTCACTGCAATCTCTGCCTCCCAGGTTCACACCATTCTCCTGCCTCAGCCTCCCGAGTAGCTGGGACTACAGGTGCCTGCCACCACACCTGGCTAATTTTTTTTTTTTGTACTTTTAGTAGAGACGGGGTTTCACCGTGTTAGTCAGGATGGTCTCGCTCTCTTGACCTTGTAATCTGCCTGCCTTGGCCTCCCAAAGTGTTGGGATTACAGGCATGAGCCACCGCGCCTGGCCCCAGCCAAATATTTCTATTTAACATTCACATGCTCCTTAGGTTCTCTGAACCATCTTGTCATTGTGATTTTGGAGACACTTTGCTTCTTCAGGGAAATTTACAAAAATTGTCACATCCTAATTTTCCCAAACTTGAATGTTAGGTAACATGGCAAAAAAGAATTAGGGCTGCTGTTGGAATTTAGCTTGCAAATCAACTGACCATAAAATTGAGAGATAATCTTTGTTATCCAGGTGGGCCCAATGTAATCACAATGTTTCTCAAAAATGGAAGACAGAGCTACAGAAAAGTCAGAGAAAGAGATGTGAAGATGGAAGCAGTTTCAGAGAGATGCTATGTTGTTGACTTTGGAGGTGGAGGGAAGGGGTCAAGGCCAGAATATGGGCTCTAGAAGCTGAAAAAAGGTAAGGAAACAGGTTATCTTTTAGAGCCTCTAGGAAGGGATGCAGCCCAGCCAATACCTTGACTTTATTCCTGTGAGATTCATGTCAAACTTCTGAACTACAGAACTGTAAGATATTAAATTTGTATTGTATTAAGCCATTGAGTTTGTGATAATTTTTATGGCAACCATAGGAAATTATCACACTTAATTTTCACTTCTAAATAGAGTTAAACTATATTCTTTCATCATTGTGTTTTTCATTTTACATCAATTCATTTTACTTTCCATTTATTGATTAATCAAACTGACATCATTCTTATTTTGTTAGAGGCTAAGACCTTCCTTTCCCTTTAATTATGTAACTCTCCTTGCCATTTAAAGAGTTATCAAAAACTGGTATCTTCAGGAAGATTTTCTTATACCCTCTCCTCCTCCCCACTCGATTAGGTAGGGCTAGAGACCTTCTAAGGTTTTCATATGTTCTCGTGTTCACCACTATCCATAATTGTTGCGGGAAGTCAGGGACCCCGAACGGAGGGACCGGCTGGAGCCATGGCAGAGGAACATAAATTGTGAAGATTTCATGGACATTTATCACTTCTCTAATAATACTCTTATAATTTCTTATGCCTGTCTTACTTTAATCTCTTAATCCTGTTAACTTCATAAGCTGAGGATGTATGTCACCTCAGGTCCACTGTGATGATTGCGTTAACTGTACAAATTCATTGTAAAACAAGTGTGTTTGAACAATATGAAATTAGTGCACCTTGAAAAAAAAAAAAACAGAATAACAGTGATTTTCAGGGAAGAAGGGAAGATAACCATTAGGTCTGACTGCCTGTGGTGTCGGGCAGAATAGAGCCATATTTTTCTTCTTGCAGAGAGCCTATAAACGGACGTGCAAGTAGGGAAGATATCGCTAAATTCTTTTCCTAGCAAGGAATATTAATAATTAAAACCCTGGGAAAGGAATTGCTTTCCTGGGGAGCGGTCTATAAATGGCCGCTCTTGGAGTGTCTGTTGTATGCGGTTGAGATAAGGACTGAAACATGCCCTGGTCTCCTGCAGTACCCTCAGGCTTATTAGGGTGGGGAAAAAACCATTCCCTGGTAAATTTGAGGTCAGACCAGTTCTCTGCTCTCGAACCCTGTTTTCTGTTGTTTAAGATGTTTATCAAGACAATACGTGCACAGCTGAACATAGACCCTTATCAGGAGTTTTTGATTTTGCCCTTTGCCTTGTGATCTTTATTGGCCTCAGAAGCATGTGATCTTTGTTCTCCTTTTTGCCCTTAGCATGTGATCTTTGTGACCTACTCCCTGCTTATACACCCCCTCTCCTTTTGAAACCCTTAATAAAAACCTGCTGGTTTTGCAGCTCAGGTGGGCATCACGGACCTACTGATATGTGATGTCACCCCCAGCGGCCCAGCTGTAAAATTCCTCTCTTTGTACTCTTTCTCTTTATTTCTCAGACTGGCCGACACTTAGGGAAAATAGAAAGAACCTATGTTGAAATATTGGAGGTGGTTCCCCCCAATACATGATACTAAGCACACTATTTAGTAACCATTGGATTGCTCTTCTTCATGTCCTAAAAGCCTTCATCTAGGGCAAGGAATGGTCTCTTCTCTTGGGCCTCAATGCTTTAGAGTGTCTAGCAAGCTTTGGGCTCTCCATAGATGTTGGTCAAATTAACGAAATAGACAAGTCTACGCAATTAATTGCTAGTGAGAATTCTGGTTTTTATCTGCCTAGGAATGACAAGCTGGGTGGCAGGACTGGAGGACTCTAGATGATAAGAGTCTAGCTTATGGTGCTTCAAGTGTCAGGCTGGTGATCAGACTGGCTTAAGGGGCTTGGGTGATACAGTGCATCCTGTTTCGGAAGACAGGCTAGGCCATTTGAAATGCAAAATGCCAGTCTTCTGAAGAGAATTCAGAGCCCTATCAGCATCATATTATGTGGTTGGCATTCTTTGACCTGATTTAATGTCCTCTCTGCACACTGGTGCTGAGAACAAGACATTTCATAAGTCAAAGACCACCAGTTTTCAGTTCAGGAAGTGAGAGCTGATGATACATTTAACAAGGAGTTTCCACATCTTATGCCATGGATTATCTGTGAGACCATCCCTGTTGCTTCCTACACATTTTCATATTTCAAGTCTTTTTCCTGGAATTAATGTCAGATGTTTCTGGTGAATCACATAATTTCAAGGAAGGCTGTTTTCTTTCACTTTAGCATGGAGAAATGGGGAAAAAGACTTTCTCATCATTTGCCTGAGGCAACACTTGAGAAGAAATTCTCTGGAGGATTCTAATCCCTTCCTCTACTAGGCATAAGATCCTGCTTGGTAATGAGGTCTCAGGGAAAGTAATTTCACCATGAAGAATAGGACCACAACAAGCTGATGGACCTCAGAAGGTTAGTCCTGATCTACAGGTGCTCTTGAATTAGAGATAATTCAGGGATGCTTAGGTGATTTCTTTTCCCAATAAGTTCTTGTGGTTCTCAGGGTTGAGGGTAGAGAAAGAATAAGAAACTCAAAATAAGTCATAAGGAATAAATCGTTAAATGAATGGATGGATTCTAAAAGAGAAGAACATAGGAAAGTAAGGCCGTCTATGGATTCTAATATACTACAGGATAAGCCCAGGCCTGGATTTCACTCATGTCCTGAGGATAATCCAGGTTTCAACTTCCTATATACCATTTCATCATCTTCCCATCCCTCTCTTGCTCCATCCTCCAGTCTGTCCTGAATATCTTCATGAACTTTAAGGTATAATGACTGGTCATATGCTAGCTCACAATGTTACCCTTCTAAGAAATCTTTGCATTTTATATGTAAGCCAAAAGAATTCTCTAAAATTTAATTTCACATCTAAGATAGTGAATGAGGGAAGAAATTTTGTGCTTTAAGTTTTTAGGAGATGATACACACTAAAGTTTTGAGCTGCACCGTTGACTAACTGTGTCCTTGGGCAAGTCTCTTAAATTGTCTGAGTCATGTCTTCCCCATTTCCATCTGAAAACTTTCACAGGATTGTTAATGAGGATCAGGGAATGTGAAATGTATGCTTTGGGAAACAATTTAAAAATTGAGCACTACCAAGGGAATGCTAGAAGAATAATGAATCATTTCTAATTTTTTTTCTTGGAGTGGGTTTTGCAAATGTTGAAGAGAGAATGACCAGCTCTTCTGGGAAAAACAAGGAGGAAAAGCTTTAGAAAGAAAGAGAGAAAAGACATATTTGAAAGCTGTTGTGAGCAAATGGAGTTTAGATCTTCTTTTAAAAGTGGATATTTCAGATGTGTTGCTGTGTGACTAGCTCCTCCCTTGTCTCAGTATGAAACCTTCAATACAGACCATGTCATCAATGCTTTTGCACTTAGAATTGAGGGCAGGGAGGGGAGAATTCAATAGAAGACACTAGGTGAGGGCACGGCTAGACAAGGAGGCTCAGTTACATTTTGGTTACTTATATAGCAACAAGTCAACTTGTATGTAATAAACCATTATGAGCCAGGACCCTGAAATCACATTCAGATTTAGCTGTTTGACTTTGAGTGAAGTTACTTATGTTTATTGAACATCAGTGTTTTATCTGTTAAAAATATAGTGACTCTCTCATTAGATTCTTTGAGGATTAAGTGAGATAATGAATATATGGTGTTTATATAGTGTTGGACATTATACAGGAGAAAAGAGACACTAATCAGTATCAGAAATGAGAGAGGTGACATCACTGCAATCAGTAGATATTAAAGGAATAATTTTAAAAAATGAAAACTTTATGTCAACATATTTGACCTGTGATATGGTTTGGCTTTGTACCCCACCCAAATACTATCTTGAATTCCCACGTGTTGTGGGAGGGACCTGGTGAGAGATAGTTGAATCATGGGGGTAAGTCTTTCCTGTGCTGTTCTTGTGATAGTGAGTAAGTCTTGCAAGATCTGATGGTTTTAAAAATGGGAATTTCCCTGCACAAACACTCTCTCTTTTTGCCAAGTCTTGGTATGTCTTTATCAGCAGTGTGAAAATGGACTAATACAGTAAATTGGTACCAGTAAGTGGGGCATTGCTGAAAAAATGTCCAAAAACGTGGAAGTGACTTTGTAACTGGGTAACAGGTAGAGGTTGGAACAGTTTGGAGGGCTCAGAAGAAGACAGAAAAATGTGGGAAAGTTTGGAACTTCCTAGAGACTTGTTGAATGTCTTTGACAAAAATGCTGATAGTGATATGGACAATAAAGTCCAGGCTGAGGTGGTCTCAGATGAAAATGAGGAAATTGTTTGGAACTGGAGCAAAGGTGGCTCTTGTTATGTTTTAGCAAAAAGACTAGCGGCATTTTGCCCCTGCCCTAGAGATTTGTGGAACTTTGAACTTGAGAGAGATGATTTAGGGTATCTGGTGGAAGAAATTTCTAAGCAGCAAAGCATTCAAGAGGTGACTTAGGTGCTATTAAAAGAATTCACTTTTATAAGGAAAGCAGAGCATAAAAGTTTGGAAAATTTGCATCCTGACCATGCAATAGAAAAGAAAAACCAATTTTCTCAGGAGAAATTCAAGTTAGCTGTAGAAATTTGCATAAATAATGACGAGTCCAATGTTATTACCCAGGGCAATGGGGAAAATGTCTCTGGGCCATGTCAGAGGTCTTCATGGCAGCCCCTCCTATCACTGGCCCAGAGGCCTAGGAGTAAAAAATGTGACTGGGCCCAGGGTCCCCATGCTGTGAGCAGCCTAGGGACTTGGTGCCCTGCATCCCAGCCACTTCAGCCATGGCTGAAAGGGGCCAATGTAGAGCTGGGGCAATGGCTTCAGAGGGTGCAATCCCCAAGTCTTGGCAGCTTCCATGTGGTGTTGATCCTGTGAGTACATAGAAATCAAGAACTGAGGTTTGGGAACATCTACCTAAATTTCAGAGGATGTATGGAAGTGCCCAGATGTCCAGAAAGAAGTTTGCTGCAGGGGCAGGCCCTCATGGAGAACCTCTGCTAGGGCAGTGAGGAAGAGGCCACACAGAGTCCCTACTGGGGCACTGCCTAGTGGAGCTGTGAGAAGAGGGCCACAGTCCTCCAGACCCCAGAATCGTAGGTACACTGACAACTGACACTGTGCACCTGGAAAAGCTGCAGACCCTCAACACCAGCCCATAAAAGCAGCTGGGAAGGTTATACCCTGCAAAGCCACAGAGGTAGAGCTGCCCATGACCATGGGAACCCACCTCTTGCTTCAGTGTGACCCAGATGTGAGACATGGAGTCAAAGGAGAACATTTTGGAGCTTTAAGATTTGGCTGCCCTGCTGGATTTTGGACTTGTATGGGCCCTGTAGCCTCTTTGTTTTGGCTAATTTCTCCCATTTGAAATGGCCATATTTACCTAATACCTTTACCCCTCTAGAAAAAAACCTTGAAAAAAGATTAGACGAATGACTAACTAGAATAAAGAGTGTAGAGATAACCTTAAATGACCTGATGGAGCTGAAAACTATGGCACAAGAACTTCGTGACACATGCATATGCTTCAATAGTTGATTTGATCAAGTGGAATAAGATATCACTGATTGAAGATCAAATTAATGAAATAAAGCGAGAAAACAAGGTTAGAGAAAACAAGAGTAAAAAGAAATGAATGAAGCCTCCAAGAAATATGGGACTATGTGAAAAGACCAAATCTACGTTTGATTGGTGTACATGAAAGTGATGGGGAGAATGAAACCAAGTTGGAAAACACTTTTCAGGATATTATCCAGGAGAACTGCCCCAACCTAGCAAGGCAGGCCAACATTCAAATTCAGGAAATACAGAGAACACCACAAAGATACTCCTTGAGAAGAGCAACCCCTAGACACATAATTGTCAGATTCACCAAGGTTGAAATGAAGGAAAAAGTGTTAAGGGCAGCCAGAGAGAAAGGTCGGGTTACCCACAAAGGGAAGCCCATCAGACTAACAGTGAATGTCTTGGCAGAAACCCTACAAGCCAGAAGGTAGTGGGGACCAATGTTCAACATTCTTAAAGAAAAGAATTTTCAACCAGAATTTCATATCCAGCCAAACTAAGCTTCATAGGTGAAGGAGAAATAAAATCATTTACAGACAAGAAAATGCTGAGAGATTTTGTCACCACCAGGCCTGCCTTACAAGAGCTCCTGAAGGAAGCACTAAATGTGGAAAGGAACAACCAGTACCAGCCACTGCAAAAAACATGCCAAATTGTAAAGACCATCAATGCTATGAAGAAACTACATCAATTAATGGGCAAAATAACCAGTGAGCATCATAATTACAGAATCAAATTCACATATAACAATATTAACCTTAAATGTAAATGGGCTAAATACTCCAATTAAAAGATACAGACTGGCAAATTGGATAGAGTCAAGACCCATCAGTGTGCTGTATTTGGGAGACCCATCACACGTGCATAGACACACATAGGCTCAAAATAAAGGAATGGAGAAAGATCTACCAAGCAAATGGAAAGCAAAAAAAAAAAAAAAAAAAAAAAAAAACAGGGGTTGCAATCCTAGTCTCTGATAAAACAGAATTTAAACCAACAAGGATCAAAAGAGACAAAGAAGGCCATTACATAATGGTAAAGGGATCAATGCAACAAGAAGAGCTAACTATCCTAAATACATATGCACCCGATACAGGAGCACGCAGATTCATAAGGCAAGTCCTTAGAGACCTACAAAGAGACTTAGACTCCCACACAATAATAATGGGAGACTTTAACACCCCGCTGTCAATATTAGACAGATCAATGAGACAGAAGGTTAACAAGGATATCCAGGACTTGAACTCAGCTCTGCATCAAGCAGACCTAATAGACATCTACAGAACTCTCCACCCCAAATCAACAGAATATACATTCTAATCAGCACTGCATCACACTTATTCTAAAATTGACCACATAATTGGTAGTAAAGCACTCCTCAGCAAATGTAAAAGAACAGAAATCACAACAAACTATCTCTCAGACCACAGTGTAATCAAATTAGAACTCAGGATTAAGAAACTCACTCAAAACTGCATAACTACATGGAAACTGAATAACATGCTCCTGAATGACTACTGGGTAAATAACGAAATGAAGGCAGACATAAAGATATTCTTTGAAACCAAAGAGAACAAAGACACAACATACCAGAATCTCTGGGACACATTTAAGGCATGTGTAGAGGGAAATTTATAGCACTAAATGCCCACAAGAGAAAGCAGGAAAGATCTAAAATTGACACCCTAACATCACAATTAAAAGAACTAGAGAAGCAAGAGCAAACACATTCAAAAGCTAGCAGAAGGCAAGAAATAACTAAGATCAGAGCAGAACTGAAAGAGATAGAGACACAAAAAACCCTTCAAAAAATCAATGAATCCAGGAGCTTGTTTTTTTAAAAGATCCACACAGTTGATAGACGGCTAGCAAGACTAATAAGAAAAGAGAGAAGAATGAAATAGATGCGATAAAAAATGATAAAGGGGATATCACCACTGATCCCACAGAAATACAAACTACCATCAGAGAATACTATAAACACCTCTACACAAATAAACTAGAAAATCTAGAAAAAATGGATAAATTCCTGGACACATCCAGCCTCCCAAGACTAAACCAGGAAGAAGTTGAATCTCTGAATAGACCAATAACAGGCTCTGAAATTGAGGCAATAATTAATAGCCTACCAACCAAAAAAAGTCCAGGACCAGACGGATTCACAGCCAAGTTCTACCAGAGGTACAAAGAGGAGCTGGTACCATTCCTTCTGAAACTATTCCAATCAATAGAAAAAGAGGGAATCCTCCCTAACTCATTTTATGAGGCCAGCATCATCCTGATACCAAAGCCTGGCAGAGACACAACAAAAAAAGAGAATTTTAGACCAATATCTCTGATGAACATCAATGCGAAAATCCTCAGTAAAATACTAGCAAATCAAATCCCGCAGCACATCAAAAAGCTTATCCACTACGATCAAGTGGGCTTCATTCCTGGGATGCAAGGCTGGTTCAACATATGCAAATCAATAAATGTAATCCTTAACATAAACAGAACCAAAGACAAAAACCACATGATTATCTCAATAGATGCAGAAACAGCCTTTGACAAAATTCAAAGCCCTTCATGCTAAAAACTCTCAATAAATTAGGTACTGATGGAACATATCTCAAAATAATAAAAGGTATTTATGACAAACCCACAGCCAATATCATACTGAATGGACAAAAACTGGAAGCATTCCCTTTGAAAAAGGCACAAGACAAGGATGCCCCCTCTCACCACTCCTATTCAACATAGTGTTGGAAGTTCTGGCCAGGGCAATTAGGCAAGAGAAAGAAATAAAGGGTATTTAATTAGGAAATAAGGAAGTCAAATTGTCCCTGTTTGCAGATGGCATGATTGTATATTTAGAAAACCCCATCATCTCAGCCCACAATCTCCTTAAGCTGAGAAGCAACTTCAGCAGTCTCAGGATACAAAATCAATGTGCAAAAATCGCAAGCATTCCTATACACCATTAACAGACAAACAGAGAGTCAAATCATGAGTGAACTCCCATTCACAATTACTACAAAGAGAATAAAATACTTAGGAATCCAACTTACAAGGGATGTGAAGGACCACTTCAAGGAGAACTACAAACCACTGCTCAACAAAATAAAATAGGACACAAACAAATGGAAGAATAGTCTATGCTCATGGATAGGAAGAATCAATATCATGAAAATGGCCATACTGCCCAAAGTAATTTATAGATTCAATGCCACCCCCATCAAGCTACCAATGACTTTCTTCACAGAACAGGAAAAAACTACTTTAAAGTTAATATGGAAACAAAAAAGAGCCTGCTTTACCAAGACAATCCTAAGCAAAAAGAACAAAGCTGGAGGCATCACACTACCTGACCTCAAACTATACTACAAGGCTACAGTAACCAAAATAGCATGGTACTGGTACCAAAACAGATATATAGACCAATGGAACAGAACAGAGGCCTCAGAAATAACACCACACATCTACAACCATCTGATCTTTGCCAAACCTGACAAAAGCAAGCAACGGGGAAAGGATTCCCTGTTTAATAAATGGTGCTGGGAAAACTGGCTAGCCATATGTAGAAAGCTGAAACTGGATCCCTTCCTTACACCTTATACAAAAATTAATTCAAGATAGGTTAAAGACTTAAATGTTAGATCTAAAACCATAAAAAACCCTAGAAGAAAACCTAGGCAAGACCATTCAGGACATAGGCATTGGCAAGGACTTCATGACTAAAACACCAAAAGCAATGGCAACAAATCCAAATAGACAAATGTGATCTAATTAAACTAAAGAGCTTCTGCACAGCAAAAAAGAAACTACCATCAGAGTGAACAGGTCACCTACAGAATTGGAGAAAATTTTTGCAATCTACCCATCTGACAAAGGACTAATATCCAGAATCTACAAAGAACTCAAACAAATTTACAAGAAAAAAACAACCCCATCAAAAAGTGGGCAAAGGATATGAACAGGCAGTTCTCAAAAGAAGACTTCTATACAGCCAACAGACACATGAAAAAATGCTCATCATCACTGGTCATCAGAGAAATGCAAATCAAAACCACAATGAGATACCATCTCACGCCAGTTACAATGGCAATCATTAAAAAGTAAGGAAACAACAGATACTGGAGAGGATATGGAGAAATAGGAATGCTTTTACACTGTTAGTGGCAGTGTAAATTAGTTCAACCATTGTGGAAGACAGTGTGGTGATTCCTCAAGGATCTAGAACTAGAATTACCATTTGACCCAGCAATTCCATTACTGGGTATATACCCAAAGGATTATAAATCATGCTACTATAAAGACACATGCACACGTATGTTTATTGTGGCACCATTCACAATAGCAAAGACTTGGAACCAGCCCAAATGTCCATCAGTGACAGACTGGATTAAGAAAATGTGGCACATCTATACCATGGAATACTATGCAGCCATAAAAAATGATGAGTTCATGTCCTTTGCAGGGACATGGAGGAAGCTGGAAACCATCATTCTCATCAAACTATGGCAAGGACAGAAAACCAAACACCACATGTTCTCACTCATAGGTAGGAATCGAACAATGAGATCACTTGGACACAGGGTGGGGAACATCACACACCAGAGCCTGTTGGTGGGTGGGGGGCTGGGGGAAGGATAGTATTAGGAGAAATACCTAATGTAAATGATGAGTTGATGGGTGCAGCAAATCATCATTTCATGTGTATACCTATGTATCAAACCTGCATGTTGTGCACATGTACCCTAGAACTTAAAGTATAATAATAAACGAACAAAAAAAGATCATTTCAATTGATGCCAAAAAGCATTTGATTAAATTAAGCATAGCTTCATGACAAAACTCAATAAACTTGGTATAGAAAGAATATACTGCAACATAATAAGGGCCATATATGACACACCTACAGCTATTATCACACTGAATGGAAAAAAACTGAAAGCCTTTCCTGTAAGATTGGGAAAATCACAAGGATGTTCACTTTACCACTGTTCTTCAACACAGTACTGGAAGTCCTGGCTAGAGCATCAAACAAGAGAAAGAAATAAAGAGAATCCTAATTGGAATGGAAGAAGTCAAAGTGTCTTTGTTTGTAGATGATATGATCTTATATTTGGAAAAATCTTAAGACCCTACTAATAAACTATTAGAACTAATAAACAAATTCAATAAATTTGCAGTATAAAAAATTAACATAAGAAAATCAGTAGCATGTTTATATGCCAACAGCAAACAATCTGTAAAAGAAATCCAGAAAATAATCCAATTTACAGTCACTAAAAATAAGATTAAATATTTAGGAATTAACTAAAGAAGTGAATGTAAAGAAACTAAAGAAGATCTCTACAAGGAAAACTATAAGGCATTGATGAAAGAAATTGCAGAGGACACCAAAAAAAAATGGAAAGATATTTCATATTCATGGATTGGAAGAATCAATATTGTTAAAATGTCCATCTCATGTAAAGCAATCTGCAGATTCAATGCAATACGTATCAAAATACCAACGACATTCTTCACAGAAATAGAAAAAAAAATCCTAAAATATATATGGAAACATAAAAGACTCAAAATAGCCAAACCTATCCTGAGCAAATAGAACAATACTAGAGGAATCACATTACCTGACTTCAAATTATACAACAGTTATAGTAACCAAAATAGCATGGTATTGGCATAAAAACCGACACATGAACAAGTGGATAGGGATAGAGAATGTGGAAACAAATCCATATGTCTACAATGAACTCTTCGGCAAAGGTGCCAAACATATACATTGGGAATAGGACCGTCTGTTCAATAAATGGTGCTGGGAAAACTGGATGTCCATATGCAGAAGATTGAAACTGGACCCCTATCTCTTGCTATATGCCAAAATCAAATCAAAATGGATGAAATACTTGAATCTAAGACTTCAAACCGTGAAACTGCCCACCAAATCATAGGCAACCAAAGCAAAAATGGACAAACTGGCTCACATCAAGTTAAAAAGCTTGCGTACATAAAGGAAACAATCAGCCAAGTGAAGAGGCAACCTACAGAATGAGAGAAAATATTTGCAAACTATCCATCTGACAAGAGATTAATAATCAGAATATATAAGGAGCTGAAACAACTCAATAGGAAAAAATATAATAATCAGATTGAAAAATGGGCAAGAGATCTGAATAGACATTTCTCAAAAGAAGACATACAAATGGCTAACATTTTATGAAAAGGTGCTCAGCATTGTTGATCATCAAAGAAATGCAAATCAAAATTACAATGAGGTATTACCCCTCTCCAGTTAAAATGGCTTTTATCCAAAACACAGGCAATAAAAAATGCTGGTGAGGGTGTGGAAAAAATGGAACCCTCATACACTTTTGGTGGGAATGTAAATTAGTACAACCACTATGGAGAACAGTCTGGAGGGTCTTCAAAAACTAAACATAGAGCTACCATATGATCCAGCAATCCCACTACTAGGTGTGTACCCAAAAGAAGGGAAATCAGTATATCAAAGAGATATCTGCACTCCCATGTTTATTGCAGCACTATTTACAATAGCCGAGATTTGGAAGCAACCTAAGTGTCCGTGAACAGATGAATGGATAAAGAAAATGTGGTATATATACATAATGGAGTACTATTCAGCCATAGAAAAGAATGAGATTCTGTCATTTACAACAACGTGGATGTAATTGGAGGTCATTATGTTAACTGAAATAAGCTAGGCACAGAAAGACACACTTAACATGTTCTCACTTATTTTGGGGAGCTAAGAATTAAAACAATTGATCTCATGAAGATAGAGAGTAGAAAAATGGTTACCAGAGGCTGGGAAGGATTGTTGGTGATAGGTGAGAGGGAAGTGGGGATGGCTATGGGTACTAAAAATAGTTACAAAGAATGAATAAGACCTAGTATTTGATAGCACAACAGGGTGACTATAGTCAATAATTATTTAATTATACATGTAAAAATAAAACTATAATTGAATTGTTTATAACACAAAGGATAAATGCTTGAGGTGATAAATACTGCATTTACCCTTATGTGATTATTATGTATTGCATGCCTGTGTCAAAATATCTCATGTATCCCATAGATACACCTACTATGTACCCACAAAAATTAAAAAAATTTTAAAAGCTTGACATTGACATCACACACACAAAAATCTACAGACCACTACTGCATGTGAATATAGACACACATATTCTAAACAAAATTTTAGCAACATGAATACAATATATAAAAAGAATCATAAATTATGACCAAGCAGGGTTTATCCCAAGTATGTACTTTTTGTTTATCACTCAAATATCAATCATCTATTTCATTATATTAATGAACTAAAAAAGAAAAACCATATGATCATCTCAATATTGCCAAAGAAATATTTGAAAAAATTTGACATCCATTCCTGATAAAAATTCTCAGTAAACTAGAAATAGAAGGGAACCTTCTGAATTATAAAAACCATCTGCAAAAAGATTCACAGCTAATATCAGATTAACTTAATTATGAAAATCAGAATGATTTCTAAAGGGCACAGGACAAGAATGTCTGCTCTCAACACTTCAACACTGTATTGGAAATTATAGACAGTTCAATAACACAAGAAAAATAAAAGCATTCAAATGGAAAGAAAAAGGTAAAACAGTATTTATTAAAATGACATGATTATTTATTTAGAAAATCTGCATGGAATGCATGAAAAACTACTAGAGGTAATAAATGAAGTTAACAAGGTTGCAGATATAAGCCCAATATACAAAAATCAATTGTATTTCTATGTTCCTCCAGTAAAAAAATTGGTCATTGAAATAAAAAAATACCATTTTACAACAGCATTAAAATATAAGTAATGCTAAGAGAGAAATCTGACAGGATGTTTACAAGGCCTGTAACATGGAAAACTATAAAACATTGCTGAGAGAAATTAAAGAAGACACAGATGAGGGGGAGAAATACCTAGTTGTGTTTTAGCACTCAATTGCTAAAATGTCAGTTCTCCCCAGATTGATCCATAGATTCAACTGAATTCCTGTCAAAATTTATTCCCGCCTTTTTGGTAGAAATTGATGAGCTAATTCTAAAATTCATGTGGATATACAAAAGTCAGCTAGGTGCAGTGGTTCATGACTATAATCCCGGCACTTTGGGAGGCCAAGGCCGGAGGATCACTTGAGCTCAGGAGTTCTGGTCCAGCTGTGGCAACATAGCGAGACCCGATTGCTACTAAAAAAAAAAAAAAAAAAAAAAAAATAGCTGGGTATGGCTGGCGGTGTGTGCCTATAGTCCCAGCTACTCAGGAGGCTGAGGTGGGAGAATCACTTGAACCTAGGAGGTCAAGGCTGCAGTGAGCCATGATTACACTGCTGCACTCCAGCCTCAGTAACAGAGCTGAGATTGTGTCTAAAAAAAAAAAGAGAGAGAGAGAGAGGGAATAGGTGGGCAAGCATTATCTGCTTTTAAGACTTATTATAAAGCTTCAGTTTTCGAGACAGGAGGTTGTTGGCATTTAGATAGACAAATAGAGAAATGGGACATAATAGAGACTCCAGAAAAAAACCCACATGTATATGCACAATTGATTTTTGATGAGGGTGCAAAATTAATTCAGTGGGGAAAGGATAGTGTTTTCAGGAAATGATATTAGCCCAGTTGGGTGTCTGTATGTAAAAAAAAAAAAAAAAAAAGAAAGAAAAAAGAACTTGGATTCGGATTCATACCATGCACTGTATGCAAAAATCAACTCAGGATGGCTCACAGATTTAAATATAAAACTTAGAATATTTTCATGCCTTTGGATTTGGCAAAGGATTTTTAGCTATGACACCAAAAGTAAAATCTATAACAAAAAAGTAGGACAAATCAGACATTATCTAAATTAAGAACTGTGCACCTCAAAAGAGACTGCTGAAGGAATAAAAAACAAGCCATGATAGGGAGGAAATATTTGCAAAGTATATATCTGATTTAAAAAAAACCTAAGTTCAGAGTATGTAAAGGGCTCACAAAACTCTATTATAAAGAAACAAACAAACTCCTCCCTCAAAAGTGGAAAAAAGACTTTTGAACAGACACCTTACTAAAAAAAAATAAATAAGCGAATGGCAAAAAAGACCTGAAAACATGTTTATCGTCATTTGCCATTAGGAAAATGCAAATTAACCCCAAATCTGGCACTACATACCTGTAAGAATGGCAAAAATTAAAATGTCTGACATGCAAATGTTGAAGACATGGAGGAACTGGAACCTCCATGTACTATAGGTGTGAAGATAGAATTGCACAGCCACTTTGGAAATGGGTTTGGTAGTTTCTTAAAAATTTAAACATACACCCGATTAGGTAGTCCACTCTACTTGGAATATTGGATATTTATCCAAGACAAATAAAATCCATCCATCCATCCAAAGACATATATACAAATGTTCATTGCAGCCTTATTTGTAAGAGCCCAAACTGGCAATAGCCCAAATGTCCATAAGTGAATCTAATTATAACCATGATGAGTGAAAGAAGCTGGTCAGTAATAGAGTACATACTGCATGATTTCATTTATGTAAAATTCTAGAAAATGCAGTGAAGTGCATTGTACTAGAAAGCAGATCAGTGGTTGTGAGGCATCATGTGGTAGGCACCGAGAGGGAAAAGGGTGAGATTGAAAAGGGACACAAGAATTCTCTAGGAAGTGAGGGATATGTTTATTGTCATGATTACGGTGAGGATTTCCCCGGTAAACACATGTGCCAAGACAAGTGTTAAAACTCACCAAATTATGTACAGCAGTTCCTGGAATAAAATTGTTTCATAACTGGTGCCACTATGTAAAGTTTGACGTTCTTTCCATGTCTGCGTGGGTTTTCTCTGGGTCCTCATGTTTCCTCCCACATCTCAAAGATGTGCACATTAGTTGAATTTGCACGGTCCTAGGTATGTTCCCAGGACCACCAGACAACTACTCGTTCAACATGCTGCTGCGTACTTGCATGCCCCAGGCTGTCAGCCTCCCTGATGCAGTACTCTAACTTTCAGGATCCTCCTCTGGCATATCCTCCTGTTCAGAGTTCCTTCTCTAGTTTACTAACTTATGTTTCTCACTCAGCTCTTGACTCCATCAATTCTTACATTATTTGAAGCTTAAGTTAAAAAAAATTCCCTTCACCTGCACAAGTTCAGCTAGGTACTCAGCATCTCCATGAAGAAAGCAGAATGTAGATAAAACAAGGAAAGCAAATTTCACAGCTTAGAGATATACAACTTAGGTCTTAAAGAAGCTTGTTTCTAGATGAATAGATCCTTCACACTGTTTTATAAGTACAAGTTGCTAATTAACTCAAGGTTATGAAGCCAAAAATTTAGAGGTCAAGATGCCTTAGACAAATTGAAGAATAACCTGCAAATATCACTTAGGTGTTTAAGGGGCAGTACATCTCTGTGCTATAAAAAGAATTGTGGAAGAGAACTTCATGCTCTGGCCAAATGTACCTCCACTGGAGCAGGACACTTGTCCAATTGGATCATGGGTCTAATTCAGGAAAGTGATTAAAGAAAAAAGATTTGGGATGAAAACATGGAACACTGGGTTTCCCATTTCAAATAAGTCATATTAAAATTATTTTTATTAGCATCCCTTAGAAAAACCACAGCATAGCTTCAAATATTAATTGCATACATGCAAGCCTTTTAAAAATCTCCTAGCATAATACTTTACAGAGACTAAAAATATGGACAAATAGGTTAAATGACTGCACAAAGTTGACTTCCAAGATTTGAAAGATGTATGAGTTTTAATAGAAGTCTCATTTGAAATAATGAAATTAACGTTGAGCCCTTAAAAAAATCAAGCATGAATTGGCCAGGCGTGGTGGCGGGTGCCTGTAGTCCCAGCTACTCGGGAGGCTGAGGCAGGAGAATGGCGTGAACCTGCGAGGCAAAGCTTGCAGTGAGCCGAGATCACGCCACTGCACTCCAGCCTGGGCGACAGAGCGAGACTCTGTCTCAAAAAAAAAAAAAAAAAAAATCAAACATGACATGACTGAAAACTATGACACTTATTTGAGCAGTGGTCTAGATGTCTTCTAATCTCGTGGATTTCACTGACTTCCCCAAGGAGAAAGTATTCTTAAAAAAATGCCATACAATCATTGTACCAAAATTCTATCAGTCTACGGTTGCATAGAAAAGGAAAAAGAACAGGTTCCCAGATGCCCACTTTATAGCTTGTGACACATGTTTTTTGACACAACTTCTGTGTGTGGGGTTTGTTTGTTTTACCTCACCTTGCTCCAGAAACAAATTAAAACAACTTACAAAATCACATAAATTAAGACTCCAAGTAAAATAAGCAAGAAATAAGGGTGGGGACGAAAAATAAAGCCAAGAATGATGTCAAAGAATGCACATCACAAAGACCTATACACTTAATATGGGTGGGGGATGTATTTGGCTCTAATTTTCTACCAGTCAACACAGAAAGAGAAACCTGGTTACAATGTCAAAAAATAAATACAGTTGCTCTGGAAAAATAGCCACAACTTTTCATATTTGACACAGCAGTCAGACGTTTTCTCCAGGGTTGTTATTTTTTAGGAGGTACTATATGATGTAGTAAGCAATGTCTAGCAACACTCTTACTATGTACAATAGGGGGTTTCATGGCTGATTCTTATAATAGACTTCAGTGTAGGTATTACACAAAATGCACTATACTAAAGCATGATTTAATAAAATATTTTAACGCGGGCCAATACTATTTTCAAGAACTGTGAAAGATCTGAGATTTTTATCCTATCTGCAAGCTAACATGCAGTTCATAGAGGCTGGCAGGAGACACAAAACACCTGGGTCAAAGACAAAGGAAAGGACAGTTTATTACAGCAATAGCAGTAGCCTGAATATCAGCATTTGCACTAGTTCTAGGAGCCCAAATTCTCACAGGACAACACAAAGAGGTACAGGTGATATGTACACATGCCATGGGTTGTTTTACAGAAGAGGAATGACAAGCTTAGAGAACTTAAATATTTTATAATGGGAAGTGATCATGTATTCACATTGCCCCAGAGGGAGATGTTACCTTTATTATATGGAACAGAACACAAATTTCTATCTTCCAAGGATATTTTATGTGCAAATATTCTTTACAAGATATTCTGGAACATAGGGAGTTAGTGCCTCTGCTCATAGGATGTGCGGAAACATTAGTTACCCTTGCAAAATTATCTCCCAACAACTGCACATTCTAGGTCATACTCAAGTGTTCTCTGACATAATCTAGAACTAACCCTTAGGTTATTGGGAGGAATTGATGAATTCTGTTTCATTTGACACTTACTCATCATGTACTTATTGTATTCTTATATTCTAGGCACTAGAGACAGTAGCAAAAGAGGCACAGTTGCTTTCTGTAGTGTTACTCCTCCCTAGTCTGAGGAGAGCCCTAATACTTTCAACATCCTCACTGAATGTTCAAGTGTCCTACTAGCTAAGATAATGCAACCATTTTTTATTTCTGACACAATAATTAGAGATTGTGCTTCATTTAATTAGCCTACAGTCAGTTGCAAAACTGCAAATAATGATTGCTAAGGTGGATTTGACTTTGCCTGCTGGCCATGCAGAGGCCAATTCCTGAATTCCTGCTGGCCAAGCAGAGGTCAATTCCTAACTCTTGCACCAGCCCCTCATAAATGTTTTGAAGAACCAGCCTTCTTTACAATATTTCTGCTGGGTTTGTTCCCCTCAGAAAACCTGTCATTTCCTGCTAACACAGTGGTCTCACTGGCTTAATGTGATGGCAATGACATATAGGAGCAGAACCAGCAGTGCCAGCTGGATAAATGTCCTAACCCCGATTGAGGGAACTGCTTATTCAAGTAAAAAATCAGAGATGAAAAAGACCTGTTAAATAAGCCAGTGCCTCCTGTAGTCACTGCCAGAGCATTCCTATGGTGAGAGCTTAGACCCAGCCAACTCTAAATGACTTTAACAAGGTGCCTTCTCACACTTTATTTGGAAGACGGGGCTGTCTCTTCCATTTTTTCTTCTTTTTTCTTTTTGATAAGTTTTCTAACTAGAATTTCATTTGACCAGTGTTATTTAATTTTTCTCTTACTGTTTTTGGTTCAGCTACAGCACCCCAATGAGGTAAGCGATTTTCAAAGAGTCAGTATAAATATACCAACAAGGTTTAAAGTGCTTTATTAACCCAGCCATTCCACCCATGCGTCTATATATTTTGACCAAAGTGATGTAGGGGGAAAGGATACACATGTGGACTTCAGAGGTAAATATGCCCAGGTTAGAATTATAGTTCTACTTAACTGGGGGCTTATCATTTTCATTATTATTGTTTCCAGTGACTGCCATTTAGTAAATGTTTCCTGTGTGTCAGGCTCTATGGCAACTACTTTCGAAAAACTGCTAGCAAATGTAAGAAATTGATACTGTCATCTTTATTTTAGAATCTAAAATGTAGTAATTAAGACTGGAAGCACTATAGTTAAATGGGCTGCTTAAAATGCCAACACTGTGACCTTGGACTTTCACTTGACCTCTCTGTGCCCAGTTTATCTATCTGTAAAATGGGGATGATGACAATGCCTGCCTCATAGACCGTTTTGAGGAATAAATGTCTTAACATGTGTAAACTGATTCGATCAGTGCCTAACACGGAGCAAGCATTTAAATGTCATCAATATTGATAATATAGAGATGAAGTTTGCTCAAGGACAATTCATTAGTAAGTGGCATCCGTTATTAAGCAGTAGAATATACTAGCATTGTCAGGACACTTAACCTTTTTTCCTCAGCTTTTCTTAATGGCAAAATGGGGATAATGCCATATCTCCTGCAGAGGCACTGGGAAGATTAAAATACAGTAAAGTAGGTAAAGACTCGATTACAGAACTCAGTCCACAGTTGAGGCTCACATAGTAATAGTGCTCTCTCTACGTCTCTACATCTACATCTGTTGAATATATGTGTATACACATATATATTATAACGTAATGTATAGCTTTGTAGCCAAAGACTTACTCTTAAATGTTTCTCATAATACAGGAACTACAGAATGGCTCAAAATATATCTTTATGAGTTTACTCCCATTTAAAAGAATTGGGTTGGTTTACTGGATAATTAAAAAGTTTCCTTCTTAATAAGGTTTTATTTTATATTTTTAACATTTTGATAGCTTTTAGTACATTGTTTCTGGATTCTTTAAAATAGTTTATCAAATGTTTCAAAACTGCCTAAATACTTCTTCTTTCACAAATACAGATCTGCCATAATTTGAATTTTTATATCACAGAAGGAAGAGACACAGTTACAACTTAGCAGAAAGAAAGAAATGTGATGATATGTTTTTGCTGTTGTGCTTTTTTTTTTTTTTTTTTGGTGTGTGTGGGAAAGGGTGTGATGTCATCTTGTCTCCACCCCCTGTGAGTAAGCCCACGGCACAGCTAAGTGCAGCCGCCCGCCTCTGTCACTGGGAGACAGTCCACTTAAATGCAGCTCCAGGGTTGCGAGGCACCCACCAGCATCATTCCCCATGCGAGGTGGCAAATGCAACATGCTCTCCAGTTTGGGGTGTCTACTTCTCTGTGGAAGTATTACACTAGCCCTGGGAAATGCACAGAAATTGCCAAAAGGCAAGTAGCCTGATGTTTTATGTTTTAAAAATAATATTAAGATATAGATGTTTTTAAATGTTGATTTTAAATATGATCTGCTTTACCATACGGGGGGAATAGAGTTATTCTGCAGAGATTCAAAGTTCAAATGTGTGAAGGGGTCTCTTAAACTTTTACTTTCCCCTCCTGTTATTTACTTTTCAATTACAGCTCTTTATTGCAAAAATGAAAACAAACTTATTACATTGAGCAGCTGTTCATCAGAGCTTGAACTGTATACTTTCTAACTATAGTGCTTGTGTATTGAATCATATTGTGTAAATGGATATTATAGTCTGTTAGAAAGAGTTGTTTGGTGTTTTTATCCTCCTCCCCAGAGACTGAATCAGTACTAGCTTAAGATTCAAAAGAAGCTGGTTCTGAAACCTTGAATCTTTGGTGTGAACCTCAAACATACCTGTTGACCAGGAAGCTGAGGGAGTCTAGGCAGGTCAGACCAAAGTACGGTCATGTGCTGATTTGCAGACACGTCCCTCCAGTGGAGTTTGGAAGAGGGCTTGAGCTGTTGGACAGGACACTCCCCCCTTTCTTGGCTAAATTGCTCTCATTTTAGTGTTGGTATTTTGTTTACAAATGTTATCAGAAGAAAATTAAAATTTCTAAATTTTGACCCTAAAAACAACCCTTTGAGCCCATCAGAAACCAAAACAAGAGGCTGTTGCCTCTCTCCTGTCTCTGAACATAAATGTTGCATGTACTTTTGTTTCTCTGCAGAGGCACTTCTCTAAGCCAACTCTAGGTCTGTGAAGGCTTTTTATGGTTGCAGACTGCTGTAGTCAGCAGGATTGTGAAAAACAGGCTGGAATTTACCATACAGTCATGATGGAAAACATCAGAAGTAATGCAGAGCTGCAGGCTTGTCAAGAACCTGGTGTGCCTAAAGTCAGAAAGAAAGGTTGCTAGTGTCAGAATATCCAAAAGATCATCCCTAGGTCCTCTCTCTGGGTAGTCTGCCCCAGGATCATCTTGTCCCAAGTGAAAACTGTTCTTTCCTCGGTGGGTAAAGTGAAACTTGAATCCAGCATGTGAAGGCTGAAGCGGTTGGCTAGTTGATATTTCACACGATAATGTGAACAGCAATAAAAAAGACTAAGTAAACTTTCTCAACTCTGATCAAATAATTAAAGAAAAATAAAAAACAAGCACTCTTAGATCTTTTTCTACCAAGAGTTTTGCTCCTTGATCACAATAAAACTGTGATTTAAATAAATCAATTATGAGCCACAAGCATTCAGAGTTAATTGTACCTACTAATGGAATATTTAACAGTAACATATCATTTGAGAAGAGTCTGGGGGTTTTCTCAGTCTTAATACCTACAGAAGACTTTTATTTTACTTTTTATTCATTGCATAGGGATGATATAGGTGCAACTTTGTTACTGCAAACTTCTGGACAATCCCAGTGCTTTAATTATCGTGTTGCAATCACTAGACACAAATCTCTTGACACAATTTTTCTTTATTTATAATGGGAAAGAAAAAAAAACATAGTTGTCGAAAATGGCCACAAAACTTTTGTTGTTTATTTAAAAAATATTTGTAGTTTTGGTAATTTGGAAAAAAACATCAAATTATAATAATGATAAAAGAAATGGCAAGTCTTGTTTTTAATATTATGTTTTTTCTTTATTGGAAAGCTATTGAGGACCTTTTAGCTGAAGTCATCTTTTTCAAACTGTGCTCCAGGCATAGGTGCACTGTTTGTCCTACAATGGGTAGAGTTTGGGGTGAGGGTGGAAGGGCAGCTGATTCCTGTCAATAACTTGTGGAGTCTTTAAGGGGGGAATCACAATAAGTGTTAGCAGTTTGCACATTCTCAATAAAGAAACCTGTACAACTTTTTGTTTCTCACACTCATTTGACTAAGAATCCTCTTTTCCATAGAAGATCTATAATATCTTAACAGGGGTTTGTCTGTCACAGGACACATTTGGGGAAATGTTGAGTTAAAAAAGAAGAAAAAAGAGTAAAAGTTTTTACTTTTGTTCTTCCTTCTACTTTAGAGTTGGTTAAATACTATTTGTGACTTAAGAAGTGGTTAGAATTCTGGAGCTAGAAAAGATATTCATGATCACTTAGTCTAGTGATTCCCAGACCTTTGGATTTATGGACCAACAAAAATACACAAATATTTTAACATCAGGGTCCTGTTATAGAGAGCATACTTGAATTTTGCTATGTGAGGATGCTCAAAGGGAACAGGGGAGAATGTCTAGTGTTCATAAAAGTAAACAATTTTAACAGATTTATACAATAAATAAATTTAATTTCATAAATAAGTCCATTGTTATTTTTCTCATTTTCCCACAGACTAATGAAAAATTGATCACAGGCCAATATTTGGAAACCACTGACCTAACATAACCATTTATTTTACAAATGAAGATACCCCAAAGCAGGGCAGATTCAGTAACTTTCCCATGTTAATGGTGGAGCCAGGACTTGATACCTAGCTTCTCATTCAAAATCCATGTTCTAACCTGCCTCCTGCCAGATAGGCAGGTTCCTCTGACCCCAGCCTTAGGAATGACATTCTGTAGTGTACATGTGAATGCTACCTATTCCTTGAATAAAAGAGTTTCTTGTAAATTTCTTTAACAGTATTTTAATTTTAACTTTTCTTCCTAAGAACATATCTACATTTTTATGTACATATTTTATATATATATTATATATACAAAATTATATATATATAACCATATATAGTTATTTATAAGAAGTCAGTTGTTATATGTGGTGTGCCTATTTGCATACCTAGTCACATACTTTGTTATAAAAAGTAAGTTATTAGAAGATTTTTGCTTAGTTTTTAAAAGCTTGGAGACTATTAATGGAGCTTTTCTCCTCCCCACCACTAAATGACTATAGTTTTGTCAAATTATTTATTTTTGTTAGCCTCAGTTTTCTCATTGGTAAAATGGGACTAATGATAACTATCTCATAGTATTTTAGGATTAAATGAGATAAGAGACACAAGTCTGGCACATAACAGATTTTCAATAAATCCTTATTGGGTCATAGAAAAGGGGATCAATGTTGAAAAACATGCACACCGAATAACACATGATCTTGTATTCAAAATGTAAGACAAATCTCTTGTAAGGTAGGAGATGAGGTGGTGTGAACTTGGCAGAAAGATGGGGTAAAGGACTGCAGTGTTGTTCTACGTGGCAACAAGGGAGGCTTCTACCGCATTCTAGCCTGACCATTGTCTGCCCATATGGCCAACATTACCCTGTGGAAAGCTGCACCTTTGCTCTAAGATCAGCTTTTCCACAGGGATTTGTAAGATGTCATAGACTCTTCAGGTGAGCTCCTGTTAAGCTTGTTTCTCAGGAGGTGAATTAGACCATACTAGAGAAGAATTTTCACATTGTTTTATACCTTTGGAAGCCCCTGTGCTCCAGCTACCTCTCAGAATCTTTATTCTTGGCACCATTGGCCTTTTTTCTTTTCCTGGCAAACAGGCTAAAATAAAAACCAGTGAGAACAATATGTAATGAAAGGAGCCAACAAAATCTTATAGTGGGAGAGCAGGCCCTTGACACACCTCTGCATGGAAACTCCAGTATACAGAAGATTGTAATTAGCCCAAAGGCAATGGCTATTATTTTTAAGCAAGTGTGAGAAAAACCACAGAGGAACCTCCAAGATACAAGTGTAATCTGATGGCCAGAGGGCATGAGGATCTTGGGTGTGACTCTTGGGATATGGCAGAGGGAAGAGGCAGCTGGCTCTTTGCTTTGGGTTCTTACCTAACAGAGTAGAAATCTCTGACTTTAGGAACAAAACACAGAGCAGATGATAATCATAACAGTAACTGCCATAGCTATTAATAACTATTACCATTATTATTATCACAGGTAACATTCTTTGAGTATATCCTGCATGTGGTAATTTAGTGCTTCATATTTTAATGTGGAAAACCTAATTAAATTATTGAAGCTCCTCCATTGTCTTTGTCTGTTTCGTGCTTCTGTGACAAAATACCTGAGACTAGGTAATTTGCAAAGAACAGAAGTTTATTTTTCACGGTTCTGGAAGCTGGGAAGTCCATGATCAAAGTGCTGGCATCTGGTGAGGGCCTTCTTGCTGCATCCTCACATGGTGGAAGGCAGAAAGGCAAGAAAAGGATAAATTTCCTCCATAAGACTTTTTATAAGGGCACCCAATCCCATTCACAGGGAAGGAGTCCTCATGGCCTAATCACCTCTTAAAGGTCTCAGCTCCTAATACTATCGCACTGGCAACACCTGAATTTTGGAGGGAACACATTCAGACTATAGTACCTATGAAGCAGGTAAACCTATTATTCCCATTTTACAGAGCATAAAATTGTGCCTCAGAGTGTTTAAGTAATTTACTCCAAGTAATATAGCTAGAAAGTGGCAAATGACTATACCTTTAATTTTGATGCAATATTAGTTCCCTGCTCTATGTAAAGATACATTAATTCATTCAAGTAACAAATTATATTGGATGTATACACAGAGCACTGAGGCTGGGGAGACAAAGCTTGGCACTTGTCTTCAGGGAGCTGACCAGCTTGTGGAGAAGATAAGGGACTGGTGTGGAAAGGGATAATTACAATAGAGAGGGGTCATCCTTCAGTGTGGGTGAAGCACAAAGCATTTTGAGAAAAAAAGGATCCAATCTGGATGGGAGGTATGAAGAATTATGAGAGAATAAGAAACCCAAATAGAGGTCTTGAGTACAAACACAAGTTGAGACAAGGAGAAGGATTGCTGAGAGGTGAGGGGCTTTCTCAACAAAGGTAGCTGCTGGCCCAGAGCCCAGGCAACCCCAGGGGCCAAAGCTCAGTGAGTGTTAAAGTACTGAGAGGGAAGCCTAGACTGAAAAAAACCATACAAGATGTAACTGTGCTCTCCTTGTCTCTATCTGGCCTGACTCCTCATGATTGATTACAAAGAGGAAATAAAATGTTGTCTTTGGAGAGGAAGGCTCTTACACCTTGCTCTGTCAACTTTCCAGCTGCTCACCTGGCAGCTGGCTCTCCATGGAGCCCTTCCAACCTCACTTTGACAAAACAAGAATGTGTCACTCCAACAGCTCAGTCCACTTCTCCAAGAGGTGGTTGATGCTTATGGGAGGCTGCAGAGGATCTCGTCCATCTTAAGTTATGGAACACAGGATACTGGTGAGGAGTGCAAAGCCTACTTGGTGTGGTTCTGCTTTTATTTGAGTAACATATATTTATGTATTGCTGGGACTGTATTAAACAGTACGTTAGAAAAAAATGGTTCTGCTGCTAAAAAGAAGCTTAAAAACCACCAAGCAAGAAATTATTTTAGCATCTTTTACAGTTCTAAATTTTCTTGACAGTTTTATTGATGTGTTTGTCTATCAATTATTAAAGATTATCAGTAGTCCTTAATAATTCTTAAAAGTATACTAATAATCATCATGTTACATATCAATGGTGTTTAATGCTGTGTTTATGTAAATTATCTCATTTTATCCTCACACCTGTGAAATATTATTATCTCCATTTCACAGATGAAGAACTAAGCTTAAAGAGTATGTTAGCTATCTATTGCTGCATAAAAATTTTCCACAATAATCTTTAATTGACTGTTAATAATCCTTAATAATCAATAGTCAACACATCAAGCCCAGATTATTAAGCATCTACTAGGTAAACTGAATGAGATACAGCCCCTGCTATAAAAGAACCTTATATTACAAAGGTAAAAACTGACCAAATATAATTTGTCCTGATGCTAAATTTAGAACCTGAGGTTTAAAAAAATAAAGTTTTCTTGTGTTAATTATACATTCACTAGTTTAGTTTTATAGACTGCTATATTGGGCTATAAGATACTGTTAAGAATTTTTACTATCTTCCCCTGTCTCCCTTCAAGAAAGAGAGGGGACACAGGGGAACACCTGAAAATAGAAGAATTCATCAATATAATATTATAGCAAAGACAGTTAAAATGTTATAGGCTAATGTGAGTTTACAGAAGGCTTTTTAAAGACATAAGTGAGGTGTTTAATGAAGGGAATGCCATTCAGGAGATGGGACCAATCACTCTATCTGGATCACCACCCTCAGAAAAAATTTGCCTTTTGCTGTTCCCTGATTGCAATTTATAACAGTAGGTATAAACAAGACAATATTGAAAGTAAATAGGTGAATTTAATAAAATTGATCTCAGAATAAACATAAAATTAAGAAATAGGATACTCTAATGTGATTATCTAGATTATCTAGTTATCTAGAGAGATTACTAGTCAAATAAGAATACATTTGTTAAAATGACCACCAAAAAGTAAAAATAAATAGTATCAGCTAAAGAAGGAACATGCTAAACATAATATAGAAAAACAATAATTGATATACATATATTCAATTAAAATAACATTTTAAAAGATGATAACCATATTACTGTGTATCAGGCATGATATTTAATGCTAAGTGTTTATAAACATGTGAAATATATATTATTATTAGCTCCATTTCACAGATAAGAAATTAAGTTTAAAGAGTATATTAGTGTAATCCCAGCACTTTGGAAGGCCGAGGTGAGCAGATTACTTGAGGTCAAGAGTTCAAGACCAGCCTAGTCAACACGGTGAAACCCCATCTCCACTAAAAATACAAAAATTAGCCAGGTGTAATGACAGGTACCTGTAATCCCAGCTACTCAGAAGGTTAAGGCATGAGAATTACTTGAGCCCAGGAGGCGGAGGTTGCAGTGAGCTGAGATTGTGCCACTGCACTCCAACATGTGCAACAGAGCAAGACTCCATTTCAAAAAAAAAAGAGTATGTTAGTTATCTTTTTCTTATAACAAATGTCCACAAAATTATCAACACACATTTATTATTTCACAGTTGCTGTGAGTTAGGAGTCTGAGCCTGGTTTAGCTGGGCAGACTCTCCTCTCCTTCAAGATGTCTCACAAGGCAACAGTGAAGGTACTGGCCAGAGGTGAGGTCTGATCTGAAGGTTTGCATGAAGAAGGATTTACTTCCAAGCTCACATGGTTGTTAGCAGAATTCAATTCCTTGAGGATCATTGGTCAAAGGGCCTCATTTTCTCACTGGCTATTGGCCTGAGGTTGCTGCAGGTCTCTGCCTCATAGGCCTTTCTATTATGGCCACTTGCTTCATCAAAATGTACAAGCCCAGGAGAGTCTGCTGGTAAGATGGAGGTCACAACCTTATGTAGCTGAATCACAGAAGTGACAACCCATCACTTCTGCCATATTCTACTGGTTAGAAGCAACTCACAGGTTTACCATACAAGTTGATTGTATACCTCAGATTATGTAAGAGTCTATCCACCACAAAGAGCTCAATGGCTGGTAGCAAGTGATATAGTGAAACTATGAATATGGGAAATCTAACTCCAGATAATATACTGGTTTAAGCATTAAAACTCCGTCAACTTCCTAAAGAATTAAGCATTTTGTGGCAGATGCCAACATTGGCAAACTGCTAATTTGTCTCCCTCAGTGCTTGAGGTTAATTATAAGAAATCTCTGAGAATTGAGATAAATATCTTAAGAGTACCAAGTAAATATTCAGCACCCAATATGGACCTTGTTTTCTGTATACAGGATCCCAGTCAATGCCTAGATTCCTTTGCTGGTTTCCTCTGTGGTCCATCAAATGTGGTTGATACCATGTACAGAGGCACACAAAATTCCTCCAAAATAGAAAAAACGCTTTTATCCCTGACACCATCTCTTAAAGGAAACGACAAAAACATAAGAAAAAAATTAACATAGTAGGTAATGAACACCTATGAACCTGATGATACAGTCCTGATAAAAATGTGCTTTTCTGGCCAGGCATGGTGGCTCATGCCTGTAATCCCAGCACTTTGGGAGGCCAAGGCGGGCGGATCACGAGGTCAGGGGATCGAGACCATCCTGGCTAACATGGTGAAACCCTGTCTCTACTAAAAATACAAAAAATTAGCCGGGCATGGTGGCACGTGCCCATAGTCACAGCTACTCGGGAGGCTGAGGCAGGAGAATCGCTTGAACCCGGGAGGCAGAGGTGACAGTGAGCTGAGATCGCAGCACTGCACTCCAGCCTGGGCGACAGAGCAAGACTCTGTCTCCAAAAAAAAAAAAAAAAAAAAAAAAAGTGCTTTTCTGAAACTTCAGTGGAGTTGCTTTTAGAGTAAATGGAAGTTACTGTAGGTCTAATTAAACTTGTGTGTAGAGAAAGAAAATATACTTTTATCAGTGGATGTGATGGAAGCAACTAGAAAAACCAGAGGAGTTTCTCTCAGATCCTATTTAGTGTTAATAAAACAATTTTTCCATATGCTCTCAGGAAAGAAAATTTAGGTTGTACACAGAAAATATTCTAACCATGACACTCAGACTCTCATAGACTGTTTAATACTAGATACCCTGTGGGTCTCTTCTCTAGTGTACAGTCTTCTCTTGTGTTGGGAAGGCCCCGAAAGTGCAGGAGGCACATGGTAGGAAAGGCTGGCTTCAAGGTTCTCAGACTACTTTGGCAAAGTTCTGTGGACAGCAAGACTAAATCAGTACTTATTCTACTCCGTATAATATTAGCTTGGGTTTCCCACCAAGAGCCTTCCACAGCAAGATTGTTATAGTGTGTTGTAGGTTTCCCTCACCTACTAAAGCCTTGACATATATTTACAGTGATTTTGATGAACATTTAAGGCCTGTCAGTACACATGCTATGAAATCAGCTAATGTTCCTTTCTGTGGAATTCTAAAGAAGGAGCTAGAAGATGTGGCATTTTCATAGAAGATTTGTCATCATTCTCCAGTCAAGGATCATACTTTGAAAGCCCAACCATTAGAAAACCAGGGCAAATTCACCCACTTCAAGCATCTTCTGGTCACACTAGAAATTAATTTTAGAGAAAATTGAGGCCTAAGTCACATCTCACCTATGACATAGCAATTCAATATTTTCTTCATTTAATAAGTTTACCTATGACTATAAATACTATAATGTATATCCCAATACAGGCTATAGCCCAATATATTTAATCCTGGATGCACATGAGAATAGTAAAGTTTTCAAAAATATCAGTAATGCTCTGCCTCCCCAACAAATTTATTTTAAATTGGTCTAGGGTGGGATTTTTTTTTTTTTAACTCCTCAGGTGATTCTAATATGGCCAGGGTTAAGAACTACTGATTTGGAGCTTTTTGACAATTTGTATGTATAAGTGCTTGATAAATAAATCTTTCTTGATGAGTACAGAGTAAAATTTAAAGGTTGCAAGTACGTTTTTCTACTATTTAAGTTTTGATTTCTGTAAATTTAAAAGTGATTTTTACTTTTATGCTGCTTTGCTCCAGGATTTTAAAACATTGTTTGAAAAAATTTTCAGACTCCCTCCTGAAGCTATATAAAATAAGTAAATGTGTAAAATTGAGATGAGCATTTGGTTTTAGTGTTAGAACATAAGTGCTACTCTCAGAAGCCAGATCTGAGGAGCTGTGACTGTGATTTTTAAGAATGGACTTACATTTATTCATTTTGTCATTTAATTAATATTTTTTAATCATCGTATTAGGATTACAAAGATGAATAAGACATTTCCTGCATTTAAGGGGTTTGAAATCAGTTCTATTTAAAAATACTTGGCCACGCAAAAGTCATTTACTTTTATATGAAACTGTTGGTGTGTTAATTCTTTATCCTCATTTAACAACCAACATTTGCAGGAGCTAAGCTATCCCACTGTGTTGCCATGTACTGGCTTTAAGTGATATACATAAGAAGAAGAAAAATGAATTCAAATGTAATCTGTTAAGAAAAACAAAGCACCTCATGATTTCAGTGCAAAATATAGGAGTTAAGTAAATATGCAATGGATTTCCATACTCAGAAAGTACGGGTTATATAAATTATACTGAAAATAATTTCTTTAATTGTGCACATTTATATATTCCAGCTGATTTTTGTATTTTATGTTAAGGATAATTTTTCAGCATGTAGCATGTCTTATAATCTGAAACATATTTAAAATGTATTCCACTGTTTCTCTAATGTAATGGAAGTTCTCTCTTCTCTGAGTAGTGGTGAATGAAACCTTGCTAAGACTCTGAACAGGGGCGCTTTGCTTACAAGGTGATGCCAAGGTGGAGCTTCAGATATCCTTTCTCGTTAAATACAATTCTGTTATTTTTCCATTCTGTTAGCTGATAAGAAAACATTCTGGTTTTCCAAGGGTCCTCCTGAGAGGCCACTGTGCACGTGTGTGTGGGCATGTGAGACCTAACAGGCCTTGCTTCTCTGAGAGCAGCGGATTCTGGTGTTCAAGGAGGGGCTTGGAGTGTCTGCCAAAGTCATGCTGGCAGCGAGCTCTGGAATTCAGTTCTTTTCCAGCTATGTCGGCAGGAGATGCAGGACAATTTCCTTCTCCTTTCACTTTCCCAGATGAAGTTAAGACACTCTGGCCAGTTAGTTTAGAGTAAGGTATCAGATGACCTGGAAGACAGTCCCTCCATTCCTCTCCAGGCCCATCCTCTCCAAACTCCCCTAATGATCCTGCTGTCACAGAATTCTTCCCTAACTATTCCTTTTTACAAGAATTAAAAGGAAAATGATTCTGGGCATGCTCTCCCATATCAGGTTTACCTAATTTGTAGTTTTGTTATGAGCTGGAAAGATAAATACTGAAAATTAGCACCATGGGTTAGTGGGTAAAGTGCAGGAGTCCACGTGAGCCCGAGTAAGTCATTAGGTTGGTGCAAAAGTAACTGTGGTTTTTGCCATTAAAAACCACAATTACTTTTGCACCAACCTAATGCTTCACCTTTCTGAACATTAGGGTTTTTTTCTCTAACAAAAGGAAATAATAAAAGTATCAGTCCTCTTTAGCTTTCATTAACAAGTAATATTCGGGTGGCATTAATGGATTTTTTTGATAGTAACTTTCTTAACCAAAGTAAACAAACGTGAAGACCAGGTACATTTTTAAAACTCTTTACCTGCCAATATAGTTTGGCTCTGTGTTCCCACCCAAATCTTGTCTCGAATTGTAATCCCCATAATCCCCACACGTGGAGGGTGGAACTTGGTGGGAGGTGATTGGATCATGGGGGTGGTTTCTCCCACGCTGTTCTCGTGATAGTGAGTTCTCAGGAGAGATGATGGTTTTATAAATGGTAGTTTTTCCTGCACTCTCACACATTCTCTCTCTTGCCTGCTGCCATGTAAGTTGTGCCTGCTTCCCCTTCTGCCATAATTCTAAGTTTCCTGAGGCCTCCCCAGCCATGCAGAAGTGTGAGTCAATTAAACCTCTTTCCTTTATAAACTACCCAATCTTGGGTATTTCTTTATAGTAGTGTGAAAATGGACTAATACATCTGCCTTGGCAGTGATGGAAAGATCTAGATACTCCAGTAGCCTGGACACTGGTGCTGAGCAGAAAGACACCCTTTCTGGGTGTCAAAGTCTAGAGTGTCTGAGCCTGTGGTGTGGCATCCACACAGTGAAACAGGATCGGCAGAGAGGAGCCAGGACACTGGGAGTGTTTTCAACATAATTCTTGCCATGAGCATCCCACTCCTGTACTCTCATCCAGCTCTCCCTGAAGGAGTCTGGAAGATCCTGCTCAGAGCATATTTGTCTTTTACGGTGAAACATCTGAAAGTACAAGTTGTGGTCTTTGGTCATTTTTTTCTCCGCCTATCCTTGGGATGCAATTCCATGTGACTTAGCCTGCTCCTGGATGCCTGCTGCAGTCTGTCTGGTCAGTCTGCAGGTACTGGATTGGTTTGATTGTGTGACTCTTTTTCTGCACTCCCTCTTTTTGTTCCCAATCATTCTCTTTCCTAAACTTTCATCCTCCTTCTCCTGCCCCTCCTCTTTCTCCCTTCTCTCAACATGATGAGAGTCTTCAGAGCATTCTCCTGGCTTCCACCCCCAGCCACTCCTGCTGACCACTTTGGCCCATGTCCTTGCCTCACAGCTGACTCCTCATCTGTTTGGATGCAGCAGGAATTATCCTTTGGAAGACAATGCACACTTTATTTTTTTTTTTAAGGCAAAAGTGTTGTTTCTATGTCATGCAAAGTATTCCACTTGGTTGAAGAATATCATTGCTTCCTGTTCATTTATCTTGGCATGACCAATCTTAGAAAAGCACACATTTATATTCATTTGATCAGCTCTGTGTATATCAGATTAGACAAACCATAACTGTATATTCACACCATAGCATTCCTAGATGGCTTTGGCTATAACATAAATCACTATGTCCCTCGAAGGGTGGCAACAACATATGCACAATAGCAGTCAGACATTATAGTGTTCTTTTGTAAAGCTGGTTTTCAATTTATTCTGGATGTTTGTTCTATTGTAGTTGGAGTTTGATATTTTGAAGAACTTGCAGAGAATTCTGCTGTTTTCCAGTGGATCTTTGAGTTGGATCTTGAGTTCAAATGTCATATTTCTCTTCATTTGTCTTGTAACCAATATTTCCATGGAACTGAGTTTCTGTGTAAAGTGTGCCCAAGAAATGGTGATCCTGTAATTGGTGACTAGATCACAGTTGCAGGCATTTAATACTATTTCAACATATAAACCTCTTTCTTTGATCTCCATTTCTCTGGCTGGCTGTCTTCTTTGCTATACTCAATAGATGACTTCCAAATTTTCCTCTCACTCTTTGTTTACAACCCTCTTCTTTCCCACTTGCGTGTCTTCTCAGGTTCTAATTCTTGTGCTTGGAAGACCCTCATCATCTCTGCTATGGTAACTTTATATGTTCTGTTGGCTTTTAGACTTTTATAACCCATATTAATAGTGAATACTGGAAAAAAATGTGTATTTCAGTGAGCTTTCCAAATCCAGGTGTGTATGTGTTTGCACTGTGCATGCCATGTTGGATTGTTGTGCTGGTTCATCTTGTGATACAAATAAAAACCAAGGGAGGCTGAGGCGGGAGAATGGCGTGAACCGGGGAGGCAGACCTTGCAGTGAGCAGAGATCATGCCCTACACTCCAGCCTGGGTGACAGAGCAAGACTCCATCTCAAAAAAAAGAAAAAAGAAATAGATGAAAGTCCTACAAACTGACTAAATTTGGTGTGACACACAATGAATTTTTGAATGATCAACATATTGGCAGTAGTATGGTTTAGGGTTTTGCTCTAATGTATAATAACCTACTTGCAAAATTCTTTATAGACAGTCTTTCAGCAAAACAAGTGATTTTGAACATTATCCCATTTTGTGAACAACTCAAATTTTAAATATTGATATTACAACTGAGTTACCAGAATGACTAATAAGAAATACCATTGGATTACTTAGAGAATTAACAATACTTCATAGTACAGGTTAGTCAAAATTCCTTCTCCACATGTTCTTGGCAATAAATCCCATTTCACAAATTTTCAAAAACATATCAGTGCCTTTTCAAATATTCTCAGGTGCCTTTCTCAGATGTTTACAAGGAATGTGCATTGAGTCCTATAATCCCATAAATTTGTGAGCTGAATTGCGTTATATAATACTTGTTCTTTATTGGCCATTCAGTGCAAACATCTATTTTCACTTATGCCGGAAAATTAAGACAACAAGTATTTACTGTGGTGTTTTCCAAAGTCATCATAACCCCTGGCTCAGATGTCATCTGTAAGGTTTCCGTGGTGTCCCAGAAAAGTCCATTTCAAACATTCCTTTTCATGGTTGGAGGTTGATAGGCCACAAAGGGACCACAGATGTTAACACTAAATAAATTTCCTGTGAATTATCAGATAATTTAAAAGGCATTAAAGGATAAGCATTAACAGAGTAAAGATCCTTTTAGGGATATCTCTTTCTAGGGACTTTATTATTTTGTGAGAGTAATCTTCTTTTAAAAAAAATGGCAAGAAACATTTACCTCTGTTTGTCAGCTCTGAATCTAAAGTCTCTCACCTACCCTTTTTCATTTATGAACTTGCATCCTACATCTACAAGGCCTGGTTGTGGAAGATAATTAGATGGATATGAAAGAAATTTTATGACTTGACTTTGTTTTATTGAAACATGGCTATTTAACAAACCTAGAGATAATGACTCTCACTCTCAGTATATGGAGAAGCAAAGAATCACTGAGCGCAGTGGTCCTCTAGCTTAGCAAGCATCATCATCTCTTAGAGGGCTGGATAAACTCAGAACACTGGGCTCCATCCCCAGAGTTTCTGACTCAGTAGATCTGAGGTGGGATGGTTTGAATAATTTGCGTTTCTCACAAGTTCCCAGATGATACTAGCAATGCTGGTCCTGGGATCACATTTTGGAAACCACTGACTTAGTGAATCTGCTAAGTATGCAGAATCCTGCCTCCCCTAACCTCCCCCACTTTCACTCCTCCCACCCTTACTATACTCACATCAGATTCTGATTCAGTTGTTCTGGTAATCTGCATGTTAAACAACTATCACTGATGATTCTGATGAGATTAACCATGCATTGAGAAATAATGCTGATCTCTTTACAGAATCAGTACAAAGCACTCGGGTACTACTTTGAAGAAAGTGGATAATATAAACTTAGCTAATTTACTTAGTTCTAGAAATTTGGAGAATTTGTGCTTTCTGTTGTTGAATATATGATAAATGTCTGTAGAAAAAAATTTAGCTGATAGAGTGATACCCTCTAGTTCTTGAGATGAACTTGCTGGCTGCCTTTTATAATTAGAAACTATTTTTTACCATAGCTAGCTGGAGCCCTGGGCAGCACTCGCTTGACATAACCTTGTTTGGTGGTGAGTAATGTCTAAAACTTCAGTTGAAAGGTTTTTGTGACATTATGAGCTATTAGTGGGAGTCATTCCACTTGTGTATATGTATTAAAGTTAATGCCTAATATTAACCAGAGGCATATGTTAACTGTAACCCAAATTCAAGAAAACTCACAATAAAGTATGGACAGTTTACTTTACTAGGTCAATGAAGAAAGACACAATTGTGACACTAAAGATGAATTTGATACTTCATGTGAATGTTTTCTGTCATTTTGTCTTACACAGAGTGCTAGCCAGCCCTTCAGCTAGAATTGGACATCAGCCTATTGTTGAGCATTAGCTATGACACTTGCACTTGGCAGCCAGCTGAAAACATTGTGTGTGTAGCTTGCAGGTTAGAGCTTCTTTTCTTAAGCTCAGGGGAGCCATAAAACCCTTGAAGCTGCATGTAGACTAGTACACTTGTGGGTCTGTGCATTTTCAGGAGTGTTGGTCTTTGGATATTGAGCTTCTTGAAGAAGTCTAAGAGCTGATAAAACTTAAGAGCTGTCTAGACAGATGCCTTTTACCAAGCAAGAATTAGGATGGGTCAAGTGAAGGGCTGGAAGAATTACTACCATATGCATAGATCATGCAGAGAGGGCCTCGAGATGGTCCATGAAAAATCTCATACTTTGTAACTAAGATGTGAACACACAGTTTATTTTATGTAATTTCTTTTGATGTGGTATAAAAAAATTTAAGTGTGGTAGTATCCAAGGTGGCCCTCAATTATTCTCACCTGCTGTTATTCATGCTCTTATATAGTCCCCTTGCACACTGAATCAAGGCTGGGCTGTGTACTCATTAAATATGGAAAAAGTGAAGTGAAAATATGTAACTTTCAGAGGCTAAATCATAAAGGACATTGCAGTTTACACCTTGTTCATTTTCTTGGATCACCCAATCTGGAGAAAACCAGCTGATGTGTCATGAAACACTCACGCAGATCTATGGAGAGGTCCACAAGGTGAAGGGCTTAGATTTCGTGCCTATATCCAGCACAAATTTGCTAGCCATCGGAGTGAGCCATCTGGGAAGCACATCTTCCAGCCCCAGTCAAGCCTTCAGGTGATGGTAATCCTGGCCAATATCTTAACTGCAACCTCATGAGAGATTCTGAGCCAGGACTGCCCAGTTCAGCTCCTCCCAAGTACCTGATCCACAGAAACTGTATGGATGATGAATGCTTATTGTTGATTAAGCCACTAAGCTTTGGGTTAATTTATTATATAGCAATAGATAACTATTAATGTAGGGAGCATATGTGATGCCTTTTTAATTTTAAAGGACTATTTAAATGGAATAAAAATAGAATGAGAAGTGTAAATAATCTTATCTGTTGGCATATGGCTTTGGAAATGTAGTTTTGCCTATGGGCAAAAGAAAATTGGAAATAAACACGGGAAGAGAATTTTGGGATCAATTACCTTTCCAGGACCACAAAAAAACTGAGCATAAATGCTGATTAAAGAGTGATTGGAAAAATACATGAATAATTATCCCTTTAAAAAAATTCATAGAAAAATGTTTGGTAGTTTAGAGCAGCTAAAGGACCACATCTCCAGAGGCCTTCATAGTTGGCCTTGTCTTTCATTCCAGAGCCCATCTCAGGACTGGCCTTAGGCCAAGGGTGTGGATCTGTATTGGTCCTGCTATCATTTAGAAGAGTCGACCTGTGCCCAAGATAGCTTAAAGACAGCCAGATCTGAGATCTGCCCCGTAGCTGACCTACATCCCCGAATTCCCCTGAGGAACAAATGGGCCTCCTGGGACAAACTTGGATCAGGCCAAGCTTTCATCTCCTTGGTCTTAGCTTAGACCCCATCTTGAAACTTATGCCATGGCATTCTCATGTAATTGTATCTCCAGGGTAGGCATTATGAAATTTCTCATCTCTTATTAAAATACCATTTTCTATGCATCTAACATTATGAGAGAATAAATAAAGAAAGAAGAAAAATGGTTACCATCCTGGTGGAATTTATATCCTAGCAAGAGGAATACACAAACCAAACAGGATACTACAATGTAATAAATGCTAAACTGAGGAAGGAATACAGCTGAACTGGGCTTTATTCCTTTCCAAAAATAGTTTTATTTTTCTTAGGAGAATTGGGAAGGCTTTGAACAGGGCGCCTTCTCTGCCATTCTGCACAATTTTATGGCATTTCCAGAAGTGTTTTATCAAAAAAAGAAAAAGCTTTATGTAGGGAATATTTTATATGCACCCTCTGTGAAGGGTGAGAAAATTTTTCTAACCCCAAACCAGAATACATGATAAATATGAATATATTTTTGAAGAAGCAGGCAGCATATTTATAAATGAGGGCTCTCTCACAACATTAAAGACATTTTAACTCTATATTTTACCTATAGTTTACTTCATTAATGGATGCCATTATTGCTTTAAGCTGAACACATTTGCTCCCTTCAAAAATACTATTGTTTATAAAATGATTATGAGGAAAAATCACAGACCGTTATCACCAGTTGCTAAGGCCTTACTAAGAAAGCATATAACAAAACATAAAAATTGGGTAAGAAGTTTCTATCCAGTTGGCCAGTTCCTCGGCCAGTCAGGATCTGGGTTGCTTGGATAATACAGGTCACAGGGGACAAGGAGTCTTCTGATTAGTGCCTCTTCCCAGACCAAATACCCTCTGGATTCTGAGGGTTTTTTTATATTTCAGGGTGGGGTTTTTTTATTTACTAGTATGTATCATCATTCAGGGAACCACAAGGCCCCCTGTGGTCTCTTGCTTTCACTCAGATTCAAGGCAAGTTGGACTTGACCTTCTCAGAGCATCCCATAGTTGCCAGGGAAGGATTGTTTTGGTGGTGAAAACATGTTATTTTCTACCCCTCCTTTATTCACCCTCAGTACACACACCTAATTAAACAAGCAAAACATTCAGGCTTTTGAAGCTAATGCTATTTGTGAAGGACTGAAAAAAATTGAGTCAGGTCTAAAAGCATCGTCCCAACAGGGAGGGTGCCACTAGAAATGTCACAACTGTGACTAGAGACCAACTATTGTATAATCCATTTCCCATCCTGTCCTTGGAAATGGGGAGCTCCTTCATCCTTAGCAGCCCATCTCCCCCAAGGCAGCTAGATCACAGCTGGGGCTCCCTTCTAAAGTGACTCACTTGCTCCTAGGACTCCCTTACTAGAAGCGCAGGTATATTGCTTTGAGGTTCAATTTTGTTATCTTGTTTACTAAAGTTGAATTTCAGTATGACAATACAAGGAAGCATCTTCTAATGATTAAAAGCTTTTATCTACATCCAAGTGTAAACATTTTTGATTTTTGCAATATCCTTCTCTTTTTTCTAAGACAAAGTAATAATAAAAATTCTCTTGAAAAAAATCCCTATACTATTACTAACATATGGAATTATTAAATAATCTTCAGATTAATATATTAAAATAACTAACCTCTTATCAAATTAACTTCTTATCAAAATAACTAACTTCTTATCAAATAACTAAGCTTCTTATCAAGCTTTTTTGCCGAGACTGTCTATAAACAACTTGCTTGCTGTCTCTTACAGAGAGAACATCTCAAACAGCATCTTGGGCAGGTTTCACTTTCTAGAATGCTCCTGTCTTGGGATACCTGTTATTCCATGTCACATTCTAAAGCTAACCGTGACTTATTTTGACATTACTTTCAGATAATTAGTAAATATTCTTCTGTAGTTATATCTTAATCTAGGTAATAAGCAACAAAATACCTTTCAAAAATCTTTCTAGGTTTAAACACACCATAAAAGTTCCCTTCTCTAGTTCCTTTGTCTATCTAATTGCTATGTTCAATCCAGTAAATTTTTATAATTTGTCAATGTTAATCAAGTAAAGCATTTCCATCTCCCTAGAATGTTCCACTGTGCCTTGTAGTCAATCCCTTCCCCTACCCCCAGTTTCTGGCAACCACTGATCTGATTTCTCTCCCTATAGTTTTGCCTTTTTCAGAATATTCTATGAATAGAAGTATATTAACTTTTTTTGTCCGTTTTTTTCCACTTAGCACAGTTCTTTCATAATATATCCATGTTGTTGCATGTATTAATAGTTAGCTCCTTTTACTGGTTGAGTAGAATTTCATTATATGGCCATGCAGCCACTTGCTCATTCACCAATTCAACAGTAGGGTTGTTTCTAATTTGGGGCCAATATGAATAAAACTGCTATAAGCACTTGCTTACATAGGTCTTTGTGTGAACACACATTTTTATTTCTCTTGGATAAATATCTAGGAGTGAGATTGCTTTTTGTCATATATTAAGTGTTTGTTTATAAGAAACATCAAACTGTTTTTCCTAAGTGGCTACAACATTTTTTTAATAGCAAGGTATGAAGATTTCAATTGCTCCAAATCCTTGCCAGAACTTGATATTGTTGATTTTTTTATTTTGTGTTTTTATTTTTAGCTGCTAATAGGAAAGAGTCAGGTAAGTTTTGAGTCCATATCTCTATTCGTTAGGCATACTTGTTAGGCATATTTCTTTAAAAAAATGTATGATCCATTTTCTTAGAAACCGCATCTTGTCTAAAAGGTATAATAGTAGGCAAATTAATTTGCTGAAACTCATACTAATTTCTTATCAGATGAGATAATATGTGGAAATCGGCTACATTTGCCTGGCACAGAGGGAACTTTCAAAAAAGTTTAGTCTTGTCTCCTGTTCTGACTATATCTTGTATTCATGAGTCATCGTAAGCCAAACATTAAAATTCTATAACTTAAATTGAACTGTCATATAGTTTTTGCCATTTGAGGCTTCAAGAGTCAAATTAAGCCTGCTTTAAACACTTTGAAAGACAGTGCTCTGGGGAAGAAAATGCTAGCTAAATCTGAGCATCTCACGTTATGCAGAAATTATTGCCCTTATCTTCATTCATAATGAAAGTGTTGGTGAAAGAAGGAATGAAGCAGAAAAATGATCACTGGATTGGAAACAAAACTCCTCTGTTTTAGCCCTTACTCTGCTTCTAACTGGACAGGTGACCTTGGGAGAAAAAATTTAACTTCCATGGGTCTTATTTTTCTCATTGAAAAAACCCAGAGCTTAATACAGTCGATTCTCATTATTTGCAGTAGTAATGTTTTATAAAGTTGCTGGAAACACCAAATTAGCCAAACCGTTGTTTCTATGGGGAAATATGGAGTTGGATTCCTGTGAGCCACTGGTCACAACATTTTCATCAATGGATCAGTACATAACTTTGTTTTATGTGTGTTTCTGTTTAAAGATGCCTTACTTAATACACGTTGTTGATTCATTAACATTGAATTCATGGCCAACAGCAGTAGAGCTCATTACTGAATGAAGCTTATCTAACTCACATTTTTGCTCCATAAGGCACATCACAGCCTTCTTGTGCTCAGAAACTCCAGACAGCCCTTCAGCACCACACTTAGGGCCTGCTTAAACAGTGAAGTCACTAACAAAAAGCACAAAAATGGGAAAGGTGTGGTGCTATGTCAACTGTGAAAAGGACACTTGTTTACAGTCTGAGAGCTGAAACAAGAAGGCAGAGCATCACCTTGTTCAACCTCAGCCAGGAACATGCACATTGGGTGACTCAGATTTTTCTCCATTCCTCACATGTCCACAAATAAGTCTGAAAATGCTTTGTGTATTAATTTTGGGATTAAAAACCAATGTTAATTAGTAGAAACATTTGCAAATGTGGAATCTGCAAAATAATGAAGCTTGGCTGTTATTTGCTACTTCTGTTCCGTAGGATAAATCATGCATGTTGATGTGAAAGGATGTGGTGATGCTGTTATTGCTGTTTTAGCATGGGTGTTTTCCCCAGCCAGGGGCTAAGAAATCCAAAACATTCAGGAAAAAAAAATGAATCAATCTCAGTACTTAAATACTTCACTCTCTGTGCCTCAAACACCATAAGCAAATTAGAGAAACTGGAGAACCTAATGGAAATGTTTATTTACTTTTAAAAATGTGCATTAACTTATGAAGATAACATCTTGATGAGAGCCTTAAGTGGCAAAAATAATAACTCCATTGTTTCTTTACAGTGGGAAAGGGCTTGTTGGAACCTGGTTGTTTTAGTGCACATTTGCAGATGCCTGTAGGACCGTTTTTAAACTAAGTGGTCATCCATCACTTCTCTTGTTGGCCCAGAGATTAATTTTCACATCTTAAAAGTACTTTATAAATATTTGCTAGCACTAGTTTATTTGCAGATCCCTTTCAGTACAGAGGGGTTTTTCACATAAAAATTTGATTTTGCTTTTTAATTTAAAAAGCACTTTCACACAATTATCTCACTTTAATTTATATGATGTAAGTTTTATTTCTAAAATATAATGCAGATGTTGTTTTAATGGCAATGCTAACTTTATGATAAAAAAGAGATTCTAAATACATTGATGCATGGAGCTAGTGAGGTGAAATTACCAGGTGGCAGATATGTGTTCGTGAGAATCCAGTGCTTAAGGGAAGGATGACATTCCATCCCAGCTGCCCTTCTCCCTGCCCCTTTTTAGGAAGGCACACCCTTCTCAGCCCGCATTTCTGTGATTCCTCCACTGAGAAACTGCATGTTGATTGGACTGGCAAGAATCCTCACACCTCCTTTCTGTTTTAATTTCCATTTTAAAATATATTTTTAATGACCTTGTTCCTGATCCTGATCTTTTAAAAAGCTGTGGTTTTGCTGGGACAAAGAGCAAAACACATCTTGATGAGCAGATGAATGAAATCCAACTTCCATCAGCATCTATTAAACACCCACCACATATAAAGCTCTGTGCTTACCAGCTGCTTTGATTTCAATTGTAGGATATAATCCCATGTAAGGCATTTTTGACAGTTAAGGGGAAAAATTCTAGAACAAGTGGTGAGCATAAAAGTGGAAGAGTGGAAGCACGTTTTGTCTTTGGGGGCCACCCTGTGTTCTCCATCCTGGACCTGGTGACCCTAATATCTAAAGATTCATCTTGCCCCATTCCAAACTTGCCTTCTCCTTATAATGCTGTCAGCTCCAGACTATCCCATCACCATGCTTGGTCAAAATATCCCTAGTTAGTGCCTCATTCCTGCTAGCCTACTCTTGAAAATTATCTGCCATACTTATTCTCTTGAAACACTTGCTTTTTATTTACCGATGCTTATGTAAAGTCCTAATTCAAGAGAATCAGGCCTGTCTTCTCTAATGGGAAGATTTCAACCACCAGGTAGCATTATAATGGAAGAATTTCTTAAATCATGAGATCCTTTCTATGTCTCTTAAAAGTCTTGTCAAATAAGTGGTCACCTCTTCTGTTTAAATGTCAACTGGGTCCTGGAAAATGTACCAAGCAATGTCTTCACTGCAGAAATTCCTAACTGAAATACAAATGTTTGCCTGACACTTGCGAGGCATGCTGAGGAATGCTGTATATTTAGAGGCTGTATGTTTAATCCAGAAAATGGTATCAGCAGCCACCAAAATTCCTTGAAACAGTTATAATTACCAAGAAAGCAGCTTTAAGAACTCTTTGTTTGATGTACATCTTGGAGTAACTCAGTTTTGATTAGGATTTAAGGAAAACAACTCTTGGCATGGAGCATGTGACATGGGCCGCTGTGAAGACCACTGCCCAATCATTTCATTTGGATACTGAGATGAAGTAACAGTTACTAACAGGTGGCAGTTCATGGCCCTCCCATGCTTCTTGGGCACTTGAAAATTTCCAGAAGCCCTCACTTGTAAGGAGAGGGAGAACAGGTGCTGCAAAGACAGAAGAAAACTTTCAGCACAAGCTGCAGAGCTGCTCTCCTGGTGGAACTACCCTGCGAGGAGGAAATAACAAGCCAGGAACTCGTGCTGCCACTTGACCGCCTTTCGTCCTCCTCCTCAAGCCTGAGGGCCCACAAGTAGAGGAGTGAGGTCTATCCATGTGAGAGTCTGGGACTCTCTAGAGCGATCAAAAGCAAGCAAATTAATAAAAATTGCTTGAATTGTTTTATGTATTTGAGAGGGGCAAGGGTAAGACCCCAAATCCCAGTCTGGGTCCATATGTCTCTATACGTCACATTATTCTGCAACTGGATACCTGTGAGTTGGGCATCATGTACTTTGTCATATTTTTTAGTGTGTTCCCTTTGGAAGGAACTGTAGCTACTTCCCCAGGTGTCCAATGGGGTGCTCCATTTTTCACAGAAACAAAAGCAATATATTTCAAAGTCAAATTGATGCTTCTGATTTTACCACTGAGCATTGTTATGGAGTACGAAGCCTAATTTCTGCTTCAAATCAAAAGCCAGTCGTTCATTCAACAAATACTTATTAATTGCTCATTATAGTTCAAGATCTTTAGGAGAATGCGTATGGATAAGAGTGCCCTTTCTTTTTTAACAATATAACAGAGACCCAAACAGGCCATCTAGGCCTGTGACTATAGTAGATTTTAGGCTGCAGCAAGAAGTTAGAGGAATGACCAAGGTTAGGCTAGACCTGTACCTATGAGAGTAGCCCCATGGGAATATTCTATTGAAAGAAATGCTGTAACTCCTATGTAACATGAAATTTGTAAATGAAGGCCATTTAATAATGATTTCCTTTGTAGAATATGTGTAGCTTGTTGATTAAGACTAACTTTACATGAGCAGGAAAAAAGTATATAATGCATTTTCCTCTAACCTTAAAAAAAAAAGCTTTACTCTGCTAAGATTATTGGGGATTTCCTCTGGCTCTTGGCAAATGGTCTACAAAAAAATGAGTTAACACTCTTAGATGTGGACTCTTCCTACTCCACCCTGACTCTATTCCAGCAAAAGTCATTCTTCCTTTTCAAAAAAACATGATTTTTTTTCTTGATGACGTAGATTGGCTTTTCCATCTGTTTAGAGCTATGCCTCGAGATTTAAAGATAGTGTAGGGTTTTTTTCTCCTTTCTTTTCAAATGCACACTTTTGGAACAAGATGCTGTTCTGTATATAGCATTTATTATTTGTGATTGATGGAGAATTTTTTTCAAGTTTATAATAAAATCCAGAGTCAAGGATCTGCTGCTGGCCACATTTATTGGGCGAGCCCATCCCTTTAGTACTTGGCTCTTGCTTTTTTTGCATGAGGCAGCAGGGGATGCCTGATGTGGGGCCGGATTGGTAGGCAGGAGTCCAGGGTTCTAATTCTGGCAATGCCACTGGCTAGCTCTAGAGCCCTACATATGTCATCTAACCACACTTGGCCTCAGCTTTAAAATGAAGAGCTTGGTCTATAATCTCTAAACTCTCCTCTATCTCTAAAATTTGGGATGCTGTACTCCATATGTAAGATCACTTTGGGAATTGCCTTGTGGCTTACTGCAGGCTGTATGTGTGGAAGTCCTGGCTCTGATTCAAGTCTGTGACTTTCTTGCTTCATGGTTTGCATCACTTAGACCATGTCTATGCTTCCCCGCCCTTTGTATCAAACACTGGATCTGCGTAAGATGAGGCAATACTGACCTTATTGGTGAACAGATTACTCCTTCTACAGGTTTGAAAAAGCTCAGCAAATCCCAAAGGGCCCAGGCCTGCAGGAGAAACTGCCATTCAAAGAATAATCTGTACTTTTTTTTAAGACAGCAAATTATGAGTTGAACAATGAGAACATATGGACACAGGAAGGGGAACATCACACACTGAGGCCTGTCAGTGGGTGGGGGGCTAGGGGAGGGATAGCATTAGGAGAAATACTTAATGCAGATGACGGGTTGATGGGTGCAGCAAACCACCATAGCACGTGTATACCTATGTAACAAACCCGCACGTTCTGCGCACATATCCCAGAACTTAAAGTACAATAAATAAAAAGAAATGAAAAAAAGTACACTAAAAAATCAACAACATAAAATTTTGTTGTAAATAGCTGTCACTTAAGAGAGCCCCAAATAATCTTCAAGTTACTTTTCAGTTTAAAAGATACAGACCAAGATACAGACCAAGATTTCAACTTGACCACACACTATGGATTAAATGATTACCTTTAATTTTGTGAGATGGTTTTTAAGATCTGAGTTTTCACTTTCCTATTTGATTACACCAAAATCACAATTAAAATAAAACTAGGTAACATAGGTGGCAAAATACTATGTATTTCTTGTATAGCTGTATACATTTCTTATTATGCAAGAGAATAATAAAGTGAAAAAAGTGTACAAATTGGATTATCCCTGTTCTCTTTCCAAGTGCTTTAAAAGAGATTTTTAATCCATGAAATTCCTTCCTTGGCATTTTATTCCCCTTAGGAAAAATATATATACATATTTGAAATTTCTGAAATGGATCATTCAGGATTTGTTTTTCTTAACAGGATTTTGGGATTCAAAGCTGTATATTATAGTAATAGAATAAAAGGCTGAAAGTAACTTCAATCATATACAGAATATGGGGCAGGTATGGCCAGATTGTTCTATTAGAACTCCCCAGGCTCGTCCATGGCAGTCTTGCCTGTGTCCTCTAATATCACATAGCCCCATTTTGATGTCAGTTTCAACCATCTGATGGTTGGCCCCCTCCTAATCTCAGTCATTTCAGTGAATTTAAAAAGGCAGTGTGGCTACTGACCTAAGTAACTACAGTTGTTTCACATAGGCATGCATTGTTTTTTCATTTTTTTTCTTTTTCTGTGCCCCTTGTGAGCAGGAATGAATGTATATTTTTATGAAGATGAGGCTGATCTGAAAACTATTGTCTATTTGCAGATTAAAATTGTACCTTTTATAAAATGTTCATTGGGGCATTTCTATTCCTAGACTAATATAGTAAAACTTAAAGGTCAAGTTAGTTGTAATTATTCTACCTTATTGAATTGTTTTTGAATTGATTGAAATCAGAATATTACAAAGAGGCATGAGCAAATCACCATAAAATTGGAATAATTTTTATTGCATATTCACAAGTTAAATTGTTCTTTGTAATATTGGTGCTCCAAAAGGTTGAGAGGCCCGACATGTCTGAAGCATCATCAATCTCTAATAATATTTCTTTTTTTTTTTTTTTTTGAGATGGAGTCTCACTCTGTCACCCAGGCTAGAGTGCAGCGGCGCTACCTCAGCTCACTGCAACCTCCTCCTTCCAGGTTCAAGTGATTCTTCTGCCTCAGCCTCCCGAGTAGCTGGGATAACAGGGGCCCACCATCCCAAGCCTGGCTAATTTTTGTATTTTTGACAGAGACAATATTTCACCATGTTGGCCTGGCTGGTCTTGAACTGCTGAACTCAAGTGATCCACCCGCCTCAGCCTCCCAAACTATTACGATTACAGGTGTGAGCCACCGCACCTAGCCCTCAAATAATATTTGATTTAACAAAATTTTAAGGTAGCAAAACTTGAGCTGTCACTTGGAATTGATAGGAATCCAACAAGATTTACCTTTATTAGTCAGAATTCAGAGACCAAAACCCCAGAGGGTATACAGTTCAAGCCTTTCCCTTCACAGATGAGAAAATTGAGATTTAGGAACATTAAGTCAATTAACCATGATTACACTGCTAATCAAAAACAGACCTGGGTCTGCCAATAAGTCTCCCATATCTGAGTCATCTTTAGTTTGAAAAAAAAAAAAGCCTTACAAATTCTAGCGCTTTAAAATTTATTGCACACATAACGTGGTGAAGTTCTTTGGTGTAGGACTCTATGCTCATCATGGGGGTGTGGTACAGAGATGTAGCATGTAGTCTCCTAGGGACATAATCATGAATTCACAGCCATCAATCCTGACATCTCAAATAATACTTTATGTCTAGAAGAAGAAGAAGGACATTCTCACATTAATCTGTTTCATGTGTGATGGATCAGGGGAGGTATTTTGAATCTTTACATGTTTTAAATTCCTATAATTTAATCTTTGCTGTAATTCATATATTTAATGAAGTAAGAAACTATATTTTACAAACCACCTTAACTTCTCATTTGCAATACACCCTTGTGCCGATGGAGAATCTGCTTACATTTTGTTGCTGTTTCACTATTTTACTTTCAAGCAGGGGTCAGCAAAATTTTTCTGTAAAAGACTGGATAGTAAATACATTAGGCTTTGTGGGCCATATGGTACGTGTCATACTCAACTCTGCTGTTTTTACAAAAACAGGTGGTGGACTGGATTTGGCCCATGGGCCATAGTTTGCCTTTTGGGTCATGAAATTCAGAGATAGCATTGCCTCACTTCCTTCACTTCACCAGAGAAAAGTTGGCAAAAGCTAAGGTGATGGATGAAGGTCTTACCCTGTTAGCTAGATGATCAAATTAGAGAAACTGGGTTTATTGATAACAGAGCTCTTGCCTGTATTCATAGTCCACACATGAAGTCATGGTTTTCTATTTTCAACATAACAGCTGTGCACTATGGAAACAATTAGTGTTATGAATCCAATGTGACCACTTCAGGTTAGAGAACAGAGACATTCTCAGGCTTATGAAGTCGATCGTGCTTTCATGTAGGTCTCCTAGGATCAAAGTAGGAGGAAACCTAAGCTAGTCACAGAACTGGGCCTGATTCATGGACTGTTTGGGGCCCATCTTTGCCCTTGGTTGAAGTCCTCCCTTAAAGCATTCATGCTTTTCACATCTTTCTACAATAATGGAAAGATCATTATTGGATCAAATGTCCAAATAATGGACATTTTATCCTTTGTAAAAATCATCTAAAACATGAATTGAGCAGGCTGAGGACAAGGATTTTGTTTTATCCCCAGCTGTGGCATTTTGGCAAATCACGTCACAATCTGGCTTCTGCTGACCTCATCTGTTACGATCCCCAAGGCCACCACCAACACACCACCACACACTAACACACTAACACACACACACATCTGTTACAATCCCCAAGGCCACCATTAACACACCATGATTCCATTCTTCAGAGCACCCAGATTAATGCCTGGTACACGGAAGTTTCTCAATAAATTTATTTTAAATTAATGATGTATAAACTCAGTCCTTTCCTTACTAAAACCCCTTCTGATGGTTAATTGAATACTTCCTCTGTTTTTTTTTTTTTGTTTTATTCAGAATAAAGGCTTTCCATGTTTTCACATCATTGCTGTAACAAATTTAATAGGATGTACTTTGGTTTAGCAATAATTGGCCATTCTGGAGGGCATCTGTTAAAACTATAGAGTTGATTTTCTTTTATGAACCCTGATATTTAAATAAACTGGAATGTTTAATGGTTTGAATGGCCCAGAATTTTGTCACTATATCCATAAGGTTTCTAAATTTTCTTAGTCCTTGAGGCAAATGGGACTTGAAAAAGATGGCATTTGAGATGAGTTAGGGTCATGGCCCCTCATGTGGATTTACCTTAGATTCATGATTCTGCTAGATCAGATGTCCAAGGTTTGAACTCTTACTGAAAAGAGTTGGCTTATGTGTGGAAGGAGAGTTGGGTATGGAAAGGGAGCAGCAAACGACCAATAAGAAGGCTCCACTCCAAAGTTATCTCTGATCACTGCACTTATACTATTAGAACTTAAATAATGCAGTTTGGGTTTCCTTATTAATACAAAAATTTATCATGACATAAGAAACTTCTTCATTCTTTATGAGTCTTTACACTTTAATAGGAACTAGCTCTTCAGATATTTTCCAGTGTGATGGCTAACCAATCAAAGCTTTAAAGAAGAGAGGCTGGTACAACCAGTGAGGGCAGAAGCCAGAATTTGGGGAAAATATGCAGAAATTAGAAATAGGAGGATGCCAAAATTTTTGTCTATAGAATTTTACCCCCTAGGACCAACTTGTGGAAGTTTGCTAGGATGCTATTTGGTTAATTGAGATTTCTGGGCTGTTGGGTGCCTCTTGTGGGCCAGGACCCATGCATTAGAAATACTGAAGTGAAGAAAAATGGACAATTGTGCCTTCAGGTAGCTTACATTCTAGCGAGGCAAAAAGATGTTAAACACATAATAGTGAAGTGGCTACGTTGTCTGGTGTCTATACCCTGGAGTTCGTTGTTGCATGCCAGGAAAATTTAGGACATGGGACACACACAAGTTTAGGAGCAGAGGTTTAATAGGCAGAAGAGAAGAAAAAGAACAACAGCGCTCTCCATAGAGAGAGAGGTCTCTGAGCAGAAAGGACCGGCTGGCGGCGGATGCCCCGGAATTTATAGTCCAATTTGAGGAAGTGGTGTCTGATTTATGGAGGGCTCACATATTAGTTTGATCAGGTATGACATTTACATAGTGCCCAAAGAAGGCTGGTCCCCCAACCCCTAATCTTATTATGCAAATGGACTTTCCAGTTGATTGGTGCCATCTTGTCTGCTCTTTACCATACAAGTGGCTGACAAAGAAAGGGAAGATGGAGCCGCCATCTTGAACATGTCTAGACCCTAGTTCCTGCTAGCATTCACCCTTGCAAGATCCCACCTTGCAGGCTCCTTTTTGCTACAAAACGACTTGGGGCTGCTTCTCATCAAAAAGAAAAGTCTTACCGAGGACTCCCATACCCTTACTATCTGCCTAAGTGATTTCTTCTTAACTCCTGTATTAATAGTATACTAAATGAATAATGTAAACTAAGATGAATGTTCTTTGTAAAGGAGGGCTAAAAACAGAGAAACCATCTCTAGCCTGGGATGTCAGAGGAGGCTTTTATAAGAAAGGAACTCTTGAGTCAAGTCTGAAGGATGAGTGAGTGTTAACTAACTGAGGACTTTCAGGGCTGGTTAGTGAATGGCTTCATGGGAGTGAAATCAGAGCCTCCCTAGGAGAGAGACCAGCTCTGAGCAGACACCCTACTGTGGATGGAGCAGGTAAGTGGATGGAAATAACAGCTGGCCAGTGCGACTGGAGCACAGCAACTAGGCAGAGAGGGCTTAGAGATGAACCTGGAGAGAAAGAGAAACAGGGGCTAACATACATTGGAGGGTCAACTACATCGAAATTATTAGTCGCCATCTGGGAACAATGGAAACTGTTGAAATGTCCTAAGCGTGAGCTATATGTTCTGAATTATATTATAAAAAGACATCTCTGGTTACCAGTGTAGAGTCTATCGTAGTAGCTGAAGTAAGAGATGGTGGTGGCTTGGACTACTAATGCTTATTAGTGGTAATTTAGTGGTGATAAGTAAAAAAGGAATAAATTTGTAAGATATTAAGAAAGTGAAAATATACAGATTTGACAATCAGATATTTGAGGAGGAAAGAAGAAAGCATCAAAAATGACTCCTGGGTTTCTAGCCTACACATACAGTGAGCATTGAAAAAATGTAGTCATTGAGAATGTGAATCATAACTTTGCCTTTGTTCAAATCTCAACCCTGCCACTTAGTAATGGTGTGATCTTGGGCCGATTGCTTAACCACTGTATGCCTCCATTTCTCATCTTGGAAATGGAGGTGGAGATGATACTAGTAGCCACATCATAGCTATAATGAAGATTAAATGGGTTAACATATATGTACAGTACTTGACCCAGAATAAGTATTACCACTGGTTAGTTTTCAGCATCACTACATGAGTGATGGTTATTTCCTGTACTAGAAAAGAGTCAGATGTAGGGCCAAAAATTATGGCTTCAGTGTTAGACTTAGTGAGTCTGAGGTGCCTTTGAGACTTCTTAGTGAACGGTGCTGAGTAGGCTGTTTCCTATAAGAGTCTAGAACTCAGGGATGAGGTCTGCACTAGGGCTACAAATTCAGGAGCTGTCAGTGTGTAAGTGATAGTTCAAGTCACGAAAATCAATGCAATCACCAAAAAATGTTTCAGAATGAGCCCCAAGGTCCTCCAGTATATAATGACCAGGTAGATGAGTTTGAGCTTATGGAGAGACAGAAAGGACCAGTCAGAGAAGTGGGAGAATATTTGAAGAAGGAGGGTGTGATCAAAAGTGTCAAATGCTAATCTTTAAGTAAAATGAACAGTATCTAGTGAATCTAGTGAAGTCACTGCTGACCTTACAGAGAGTGTTTTGTTTGTGTAATTGACACAGAAGCTATTTCATAGTGGACTGAAGAGAGAAGGAAGTAGAAGGAGAGAAGAGGGAGCAAGAGCTGAAAGAGAATGTAAGGTCAGATGAGGACAATGTTTTGTTACTGTTGTTTTTTAAGATAAGCGAGATTTGAGTGTTTAAATTGTCAAAGATGAGGACCAAGTTGAAAGAAATTCATGGAATAGTGCAATTTTCCTAAGGAAAAAAGGAGAATGAATAAGATGTAGAGTATAGACAGAGTAATTAGATAAAGGGACAGACAATTCCTGTTATGCAGAACAAGAAAGGAGAGGGATGGGTGCTGACGTAGACAGGTTTATAGGTTCAAAAGTGGGGATTTGAGGGAGTTTCTGTCCAGTGACTTCAATTTTCTGTTGAAGAGAGAGTCTGCCAAGTGAGGAGACAGAAGTCAGAAGAAAGGGCTAAAACTTGACAAGTTATGGGAGAAGATGAGAATGATTTGGCAAGAGGAATGAGGACCCACTTGAGATTAGTGACCATGAATTTATACTTATACCATCTACCCTACTATTTGATGTTCTCTAGTAGATTTTGCCACTTGGAGCCAGGTGCCATGAAAGGAGATTGTTGGGCTCATCCACAGTTGAGATATCTCCAGAAGGATGTAACAGGAAAAAAGTAAGCTAAGCGTTTGGAGGTTTGGCAAGAATATTATTGCAGTGATGGGCCATGGAATCTAATTATGTACCATGGAAGAGGCTGCTAGTTTGGGAGGAAGTAAAAAACATCCATGAAGGCTATTTTTCAATGATGTCTAAGAGTGTGGTGAAAGTAGTTTAACAAGCAAGAAGAGGCTGTGGTTAAAGAGTGGGATCCTTTGGAAGTGGAACAGATTTATTGAAGGTAATTTTATGGCCGACTTACATAGGAATGTCTTAATAGAAAGTTCAATTTTTATAACACATGGAATCTTGCCCAACAAGAGTGTGACTTTTTGCATCATAGTAGCAGTAATAATATCTGGATCTGGGTTCATAACTTGATGTAGCTCTAATTATGAATTAGGATAAGTTTTCTTCTCCTTTGCCCATATTATGTTCTCACTGGTATCCCATCAACTGTTGTGTCTGACCATCCCTCTCATGCTGTCATTTCTTTCTAAATGGGGGATCATTTCATTTCTCAATCTTTTGAATAGGGTTTATTGCGGTCAACCTCACTCCACTCTGCAGTGAGCCTTCACTTCCTAAGTGTGTGATTTCTACCTGAGCCCTGGGAGAGAGCATTTCTTGCTAATTTTCTGTTTGTTATTAACACAGGTAGCTTGTGTCTCTAAAATTGACACTGTGATTTAAAATTGGAAATTCAAGCGTGATAGTGAGCAGCTGGGGTGAGGTATATTTGGGGATAGTATTTCAGTGCCTGAAATCAGGCCCCAGCAACTTCTTTCTTTAGCCTAGTTGGTACTAGGGCTGCCTTTGTTGTGCCTTACTATTTATAAAGTCTGCCTTTGAGTTGTCTGATGTAAAGACACTTTATTAGTTTTCTATTGCAGCCATGACAAATTACCACCAACCTAGCAGTTTAAAACAACACAAATTTATTATCTTACAGCTCTGTAGGTCAGAAGTCTGGGTGGGCTTTGCTAGTTTCTCTGCTCCAAGTCTTACAAGACTGAAATGAAAGTGTCAGCTGGCATGGGCTCTTATCTGGAGGGTGGGGTGTTGTGAGGGCCAGAGGGTGAGAATCCACTTCCAGGCTCATTCAGGTTCTTTGCAGAAGTAAGTTTCACCTGGTCATTAAATGAGGACCCTCTTTCCTTGCTGACTATTGGCTGGAAGTCATTTTCAGCTTCTAGAGTCCACCAACATTTCTTGTCATGTGGTTCCCTTCCTTCATCTTCAAAGTCCGCACTTATGGGTTGAATCTTTTGCACGCTTTGAATCTCTCTGACGTCCTTTCTGCTTCATATCTCCTGCTTGCAGCCAGAGAAAGTTCTCTGCTTTTAAGGAGACATGATTAGATTGAGCCTACGCAGATAATCTATAAGAATCTTCCTGTTTAACATACTTTATTCTTCTGTATGTAATATGTCTTTTTGCCACGGTCATCTTCCAGTTTTTGTCTTTCCAGCAGTTTAAAGATGATGTGTCTAGCTGTTGTTGTTATTGTTGTTTGTATTTATTTTGTTTGATGTTCTGTGAGTCTTTTGGATATGTGATTTGGTGTTCATTTATTTTAAGAAATTATTTGAGTATTTCTCTCTTCAAACATTTCTTCTGTTCAATTCTCTTTGTCTTCCGAGTTTCCAATTACATGCATGTTGCACTGGTTCATACTACCCCTCTTGAATGCCCTACTTTAAAAAAGTCTTCATTCTTTGTTCTTTACTTCTCTATTATTTTTTCATTTCTGATATTTCACTTTGATTCTTATCCTTTTTTATCTCTTCTGAAATTATTGTCTGATTATACATACTGTCTACCTTTTCCATGAGAGCCTTAAGCATGTTTATCATAGTTATTTTAAATTCCCCATGTAATAGTTCCAACATCTGTGTCATATCAAAGTCTGGTTATGTTGATTGATTTGTCTCTTGACAGTGTGTTATAATTTTTTTCTTTTGGTTCTTTGCAAATTTTTTTTAAAAAAACTGACTTTGTGTAGTCATATGTAGACATTATGTAGGACAGTAGACACTGAGGGAAGTAGTTTTTATGCCTGAACATTTGCATGCATTTTCTTTTGTTAGGCCTTTAGTGTGGTAGTTTGAGACAACTGGGTCATTAGTTGAGCTGAGTTTGCATTATGTTATTGCCATGGCTACCCCAGTGCACCACAGGCCTCAAATTTCTCTAGCATTATCTTATAAAGTCAAGACTGATTTACCAGAGAGTATTTTTTTTAATGTCTGTTCTATCCTACCCTCAGCTTTGGATCTTCCCTTTGAGCCTACAACCAAAAGAAGGTTTTTCTCCAACCTTTAAATGCTCCCCTGGGCAGTAGACTACTGTTACTTGTTATTCAATGATTATTAGCCAATTGATAGGGGACATTGAGGAATCTTTTTGTTGTTCTGATTCAGCCTTATTCTTTTTTTTTTTTTTTTTTTTTTTTTGAGACGGAGTCTCGCTCTGTCGCCCAGGCTGGAGTGCAGTGGCGCGATCTCGGCTCACTGCAAGCTCCGCCTCCCGGGTTCACGCCATTCTCCTGCCTCAGCCTCCCGAGTAGCTGGGACTACAGGCGCCCGCTACCACGCCCGGCTAATTTTTTGTATTTTTAGTAGAGACGGGGTTTCACCGTGTTAGCCAGGATGGTCTCGATCTCCTGACCTCGTGATCCGCCCGCCTCGGCCTCCCAAAGTGCTGGGATTACAGGCGTGAGCCACCGCGCCCGGCCCAGCCTTATTCTTTAGGAGGCTCAATGTTCTGGGTCTTACGAGTGGGGTTTCTCACTCTCTGTGGAAGGTCTCTAATGGTCTGGCCTAGAAGGTATTCCCATCCCTCCTGTAGGAATAGAGCATGTTTTCCTGTTCCCTTATTCTGGCTGCAGCGGATCTTCACCTATGCCCTGGAGCAACAAGATGGTTGTTCTTCCCCCGTGGGGTTAGGTTTATGCTCCATAGGAAAGATAAAAGGATCTGGGTGGTTTTGAGAATGTCCATGGGAGGCATTCTCAGAACTCTCTTGCTGCTTCCGATCTTTTCTGTAAGTAACCATGAGGTTCGTGAAGAGCCCACAAGTAGATAAAAACTCCCTTTGTGTCCTTGGTTCTCAGGGATTCTGTATTCGAATGATAGTCTACATTTCCAGGCTTTTAGGAATTCATTAAAAATTTTAACCAAATTTATCTTACTAGCTTCTATAGCATCCAGTGGCATCTCTTTTTGGATATGCTTATCTTTGATTTCAGGTTTCCCTGCAACTTTAGCTCTTTGATGAATTTTAGAAACATTACAAATTTGAAGATTATTTGGTGGTTGTTTGTTTTCTTTCTTGCTTGTCGCAAAGGTGGGAGTAATGTTTACATCCTAAGTGGAAACCAGAAGTTCAATGTTTTACAAAAGTTTTAGGACACTTTCATAATATACTCCTGTTTTAAAACTGCAGGTATGCCTTATTCCTTTTATTAGTTTTCCCAATGTATACATTACAGGATATTTATCATATGGTAAAATTGTCCTGGATAAAATACTGTTGCTTATCCGTCTGGTTAAGTATATCCTCAAAGTACACTCGCTCTAATGAAGCAAGGCAGCAAAGGAAATACTTGTTCAAACTGTTGCTTTGTCTCTCCACACTCACTTTATCTCTTCTTTGTTCTCCTTCTCATTTCTTAGTCAACTTACTGTTTTTAGCACCAGCCACATATTTCTCAACTTGGACAATTTTGTAAATAATAAATTTATTTCTTATCTTCATCAGCAGGTGAGACTTACAATGAAACTCATTGTCTTATATTCAGAATATAGTCTATTAGGGATGAGTTCCAACTCTGCACTTGTTTTAGTTAATCTGTCAACAGAATTTGATAGTGTCCACTTTCTATTTAATAAGATACACATGTTTTTCCTTATGGATTCCAAAACTCCATTGTCTTTTCTCTTACCTCATGAGCTACTTCTTCTCAGTGTCACTTGTTTTGCCATTTTCCTCCAGCTCTAAATATCAAGAATCTCCAAGGATTAAAACCAGATGCTTTATCTTTACCACATATCAATCTGTGAATCAACTGACTTGGACTATTTTAATGACAGAGTCCACAGATAATAATAAGCAGTTACACTAAGTACCTCACAATTTCCCTGCATCAGGAGCTGAGCTGTGAGCAGGCGGAACCAGGGTCAAATTTAAGGTTTGATTCTCCCTTAGCAAGTAGCTTAACATCTCTGGGCTCAAGTTTCCTCATTTGCCTGGTTTTCCTCCTTTCTCACTGGCTGCTATTAAGTCTCCTTTGCTGATTCATTCTCATTTTACCAGTCTCTTAAATTGGAGTGTCCCAGGACTGAGTTCCTGGATCTCTTCTATCTGCTCTCCCTCCCTTGGTGATCTCATCTAGTCTTATGACTTTAAATACCGTCTAAATACCAACAAGTTCCAAATTTATATCTCTAGCCCTGACCACTCCCTTCAACTTCAGATCCATTTATCCAACTCCCTACTTAATATCTCTATTTGGCTTTCTAATAGACATGCAGGTTTAGCATGTTCAAAATCTAGCTTCTAAATTCCTCTACCCCATATTTTCCTGTCCTGTAGTCTTTCCCAACTCAACTAAAGACAACTCTATCTTTCCATTACTTGAGTCAATAAAACTGGAGACATCCGTAGCTCCTCATAAATTTCTCTTTTGATTCATCTACAAATTTTTTAGCTCTGCTTTCAACTTTTATCAAGAAATGCTTTCTCTATTTTTCTTACTCAAATTATCTCCCACCTTGATTGAAACTACCACCATCTCTTACTTGGATTATTGCTATAGTTTCCTAAATAGTTTCCCTGTTTTTGGCTCTTAGAATAGTCTCAAGATAGCACCCAAAGTAATTCTGTAAAAATATAAATCAGATTTTAATCATTTCTCTGCTCAAAAACCTCTAATAACTTACCATCACAGAATAAAAGCCAAACTCCGTCAGTGTCCTCTAAGACCCTATCCATCCAGCCCAGTTACCTCTAGCTTCACCTCTTCCTGTTTTCTCCTCGCTTATCTTCCTATAGCCACAGTAACCAGGCATGTTCCTTTCTCTGAGTCTTTGCACTGGGTATTCCTTCAGCCTAGAATGTTCTTCCTCCAAATATCTGAATGGTCCATTATTATCATGATCTGTTTCCCTTCCTTCAGGGCTTTATTCTAAAGTGAAGCCTCCTCCTCTATCTATCAAAGATTGTGCCCCTTCCCACCTTGACTCTTCCTGTTTCCTTGCTTTACTTTCCTCCTCAGTATTTATCACCAGCTGTACTCGTTAGGTTAGGCTTGATTGTGTCTCAACAACAAACCCCCAAATCTCAAAGGCTTAAAAACATACAAACATATACTTTTTGCTCAATCACTTGTTTACCAGGGCCTCTGTTCTTTGTAGTCACTCAAGACCCAGGCTCCATCTGGTCAATTGCTTCCTTGCAGGACAGGAAGAACAGAGTTGGAGGGTCTGGCACCAACAATTTAACGAATTGACCTGGAAGTGGCTTATGTCCCTTTTGTGCACAACCTACTGGTGAGAATTAGTTACATGATTGTGACTAATTTCAAGAGATGGGGACATATAATTTTCATGTGCTCAGAATAATAGGGGAATCAGATATCAAGAAACAGCAGTGGTATCTACCCCATCATTTGACATGCCATATGTGTGTGTGTGTGTGTGTGTGTGTGTGTGTGTGTGTGTGTGTGTGTTGTTTTTCTTTTTTTTTTTTGAGACAGAGTCTGAGTCTTGCTCTGTCGCCCAGGCTAGAGTGCAGTGGTGTGATCTCAGCTTACTGCAACCTCCACTTCCCGGGTTCAAGCAATTCTCCCTGCCTCAGCCTCCCAAGTAGCTGGGATTACAGGTACATGCCACCGTGCCAGGCTAATTTTTGTATTTTTAGTAGAGACAGGGTTTCACTATGTTGGGCAGGCTGGTCTCGAACTCCTGACCTCAGGTGATCTGCTCATCTTGGCCTCCCAAAATGCTGGGATTACAAGTGTGAGCCCCCATGCCTGGCCTCACATACCACATGTTTTACTTATTATTTATTTATTTATCTCTTCTCACTAGAATGTAAACTCAATGAAAGTATGGCTTTTTGTTTGTTTTATTCACTGTTTGTTTTGTTCCAGCTTATGGCAGAGAGCTTTGCATATTCTAGGTGCTCAATAAATATTTGTTAAATAAATGAGTGACTGGATTTTTATAATGATTTTAAGAGAAATAAATACCAACCTTCCTTGCAGATTTGTAGATAGATGCAAAAGATTCCACGTGTAAAGTATTGTTAATACTATTACTTCTTGTTGTATGGTAGAATTCTAATTAGAAGACATCTGTGAAATGGGAGATATAAAAATATTATCCAAACAATGGAGGATACAGGCAGAGAATAGTCTAATTTAAAATCTTATGAAGAAAAGAAACAAATAAGTCAAACATCTAATACGGCTGCCACTATATTTAATAGTTGCTAAATGCATGGAAATCATCCAATATCATTTACAGGGCAAAAAAATAGTCCCAATGAACATGTTGTAAAGGGAAACTGAATCAGCAGTCATTTGTGAAAGTATTCATCTTCACTTGTTAAAAAGTCCACCCAGCCCTGTGCCTTGCCCTGCTCTGATGATGCTATTGAGACACCCGTCTGACATGCATGGAGTATTGTACTTGGATCTCTGTCAGGGACAGGACCGTGTTCTTTTCTTGGATCCAGTCTGTTCTTTTACTGAGCAGACAGCAAGCCCTTCATGCTAGAAATATGCAGCTGGGATTCTCAACATCAAAACTTCCACTTCTGTCTGATGACACATGTGCTGACTGCTCCGTGTGGTTATGGAATGCCTTTGCTGACTTTATGAGAAGAGACATGTCTTACTTTCCCTGCCCAATCTCTTGCCAGTTGAGCTTTATGATTCGTAAAAAAAAAAAAAAAAAAAAAAAAAGACAAAATTTAAAACATTAAAGGGATGATAAACACGTTTACTTTTGCCCTGGGCTTGGTGGTGACATGCTATTTCTTGATAATTATGAGAGCTGCTAATAGGCATTTTCCATGTATGCTTTTATGTCTTGTGGATTTATGTGACAGTTTATCTGGTGCCTTAGTTGGGGCCCAGAATTGTAGAGGAAAAGGGTTCACCACCCCATTAGTAATAATGCAGATGGACTAATCCATTGGCACTCAAACAAGATTTTCACACTAAGATTATCTACCAAGATCATCCATGTGTGATGTAAAGGTCTGTGGAACTATTTGGATCTAGGTTGGTCTCATTCCACCTGTTTTTGAAGGGCATGGCTGAGACTTATATTGTAAAGTACCTGTCATTCTTAACATAGTCAGTTTATTGCTACTTTATTTATTTAAATAAATTATAACAGCAAAGGATAGAGGAAATGGATAAGGAATGAGGAAAGGCTGCCAGAGAACGGCTATTTTAAAAATAAATGTACTGAAGGAAGGGCATGTACGTGAAAATAAGCCTTAAATTGATTAGAAGGGATTTCGTGACTGATAGTGAGCCAGTGAAATTCTATCCAAAGGGTAATTCCAAGATTTCATGATTCCCAGCCTTCTTTGTCCTTGTTTATAATTTTACCAAAAGAAAAAATTGGAGTTGTTATCTTTTTGGTCTGAAGTTAATGCTTCCTGTTTGTATTGCTGATTCCAAGTTTTGGGTTATTATGCCACATTAGAAAATAGCAATAAGTCTTTCATATGACCATTGAATTATTTCTAAATAATTAAAAGAAATTAATAATAATTAAAAGGTAAATATCTCATGTATATTTCTAAATGCTGTGTTTGAGAGGAGATGTTCTGATGCGCACCAGAAATATAATGCCTAGAGGTCACTGTATCTGGACCTTTGTTACACGTACTAGTGTTTGGGAGTGAGAAAGACAGTTCATCCTAAGAGCTAATCTACAGTCTGGCCCCAAGAGGGAGGGAGAATAGTTACAATTAATTTTAAGTTTCTCCCAACTCCGAGTTTCCAAGTATCTATGAGCATGATCCTTTCTTTTTAATCAAACTGGTCTATTTGCTTTTTTTAATTTTGTTCAGGGTTTGCAGTTCAACATGAGCTTCTTGCTACTACTATTTTTTACCTGGAACATTCTTTCAAGTCCTGCCTTTTATTTGACTCTTATTTTCAAAGCTAAGCTGAAGTCTCACCTTCTCCATAAACCTTTGCCTAGAGAATAATATCCACTCCCTCAAAATTCAAGAAATGTAAAGCATTGCTTTGTATGACAATCGTCTCTCTGTCTGGTAATCTCTTTGAGGTCAAAAAAAATAGTATTTCTTTCTCCGAGAAGTGTTTCTAACAGTATCTTCTTACATGCCTCAGAAAAATCCTTATTTTCTTTTGCAAATGTAATTTTTTGCATATAGCTCTTATCGTGTGTCAGAGTTAACTCCTGGAGATCAGTATCCCTCACTACTGATGGGTGATGTAGTATCTTACTCATTTTTGCATACACGCTATTTAGCCTGTGCCTATGACATTATTTTGTGATAGTCTATTTTTTCTTCATTTATGAGTATAGCCTTATTCTGACCTTGATTCTGTGAGCATTAAGGAGTCACGTGCTGTTTTTGTCCAGCAGGGGCAGACGAAAGAGATAATGTAACAAAGTAGTATTGTACAGTGATTAACCCGGAAATAGTGGGAAGGGTGGATTGGAAAGGTAATGAGGTTGGTAATTATAAAAATGGAAGACTGGCTGGTCTTTTCAGGCCAAGCCTTTGGATATTATGTAGGCACAGGAGACAAAATTGCCTAGTGTTTGAAGCCCAGAAATGCATTTACCCAAAAATGAATGAGCCCATCCTACATGGGTTTGAAAGAAGTATATTTGAAAAGTGAAAAGAATCAAAGATGACATCAAGAGGATGCAGGATGAAGTTTTAGAAGCTAGAAATGCAAAGAGAGAGTCAAAGAGTGGATAAAATAGAGCAAGTAAACAGCTCAGGGGAGCTAGGTGGAATTTTATAGAAATAAAAGGAAAGATGGTATAGAAACTTCATCTAGAATACATAAAAGAGAAACAAACAATTCCAAGTTGAGATGGTTTTGCATTTATGTCCTCAGTGTCTTAGTGCTTTGCTGATGGGCTTCTTCCTAAAAATACTTTTCTTTTTTTAATGTGTCTTATTTACAATTCTATTTTTTTGTTTATGAAAATATGGAACACTTCACGAATTTGTGTGTCATTCTTGTGCAAGAGCCATGCTAACCATCTCTGTATACATCCAACTTTAGTATATGTGCTGCCGAAGCCTGCACAATTTTCTTAAATTATAAAATACCTATTTGCTTCTTTTAATTTAAATGAAATCTAAATGTTTTGTGTACATATTAATAGATCAAATAGCATATTCCATGGTGTTTTTATACCAAATTACAATTAGAGTGTTTAATTTTTCTCTAGTACAAAAGATGCAGTATATAGTACATATGAAAGGCAAACATCATTTTCTTATTATTTATTTTTAATTAACAAAAATCATATATGTTTATGGCATACAACATGAAGTTTTGAAATATGTATACATTGTAGAATGGCTAAATCAAGCTAATTCACTAAGCTAATTGCTTCACATGACATTTTTTGTATCTTAAAATCTACTTTTAGCAATTTTCAAGTATACTTGAATTGTTATTAACTATATTGTTATTAACTATAGTCACTATGTTGTACAGTATGTATTGTGAACTTAAAATGTTTCTTGAGATGAGTTGATCTGGAAGGGAGATAGTTTTGGCCAAAATTTAAGGAATTATTTGTAGACAAGAGATAAAAATGCCTTTTCCCCTTAGAGATCAGAATATTAGCAGGAGGAGCTGGGATTTTATTCAACTGTGTACAAATGGGGTGAACTAGAGTTAATAAACAGTGATCTTGTTGGGTGGGGCTAAGAAAGAAGGTGAGATAGGAATTGCTGGAAAACATTGACTTATTTACAACTCATTGCAAGTAATTTAAATGAAACCATAACCTACATATGGTTTGTCCTTAAGAATGTCTTCTATTATAATAAAATTTTGGGCTCAAGATGACCTGCACCAAAGTGGTCAAGGAGAAGGAAAAGAAGAAAACTCACTCTTTAATTAGAAGTTTAGCCTTTCAGAAGAGAACCACTGCTCCAAGTTCTCAGGATGGTAATGAAGCAAAGTCATAGGCATCCTTGCATTTGGACTTCTCCATGTTTTATGCGGGTTTTGAGCAAGGTGTATATAAAACCTGACTCCTCAAGTGTGACTTGGGTGCCTAGGACTGTGACACATCATAGATGGTAGAGAAGTAAACTGGTTTTGAGAAAGATAATGATGGTTGGAGCCTGACCGCATCAACAAAAGTGTCAGTGGTTCACAAAGCTTGTAGGACTGGAACCAAATAAGTATCCAGAAATAGAGGTTAAGATATCAGAATCAGCTAAGCTACTTACTAGTTAGCAGCTAAGTTATGATTGTAGCCTTAATTGTAAAGCAGTTCTCTAAAGGAGCAAAAGACAGAAACTTTGTGAATTGCCATGTTATGAGGGCCAGAGGAGGAATAGAAGTAAGGGAGAGAGATGGAAATTTCATGGAAAATGAGAATTAGGATACCACTGTGTCACAGAGTAAAATCAAGATGTAGGGGGAGGTGGGGCAAAGGGTGCTCACACACGTGCATACACATGTGAGGGCAGATGCATTAGGGTGGTCAGAGGTCTGCAATGCTAGAGAGGAGTTATGGGAAATGAGAACTTCAGACAAATGTCTGAAACATGGGATTCTCCAGTCTGCACTAGACTTGTCTCAGACATTTTTAGAATCATTAAAATCATCGAAATTATTCTAATGCTGGTGTGGGAAATAATAGATATTTTGTTACTCTCCGGTGAGCAGTTAGTGTGGCAGATAAATGTTAAGAATTAGTCCACATTGTTCTTTTGAGAGGTTTTGGGCGCATCCTATCCTCAGTTGACTTTAGTGTGCTGGGATTAATGTAATGTTCCCTGGGCACGTGGCCTCAGCCCCATAAAACAGGTTGTCCCATTACTGTGAATGACTAGTATGAGATGCCTGGACGAGGATGGACACCACAGAGATCAAGTACATGCATATGATGATTAGAGCCCTTAGAAATAACTCTCCACTCAGAAGAAAGATTTCCTTGTGGAAAAGATATGAAATGCCATTAGATATTTGTAATCTTATATTAATTTTTAAAAGAGAGTAGATGAAAAGAGTGTTTGACCAGCAAGAGATGTTGATAGTCTACACCTTATATAATATCATGTAGAATGAATTATCACAGATATTAACACCTCGACCTTCATCTTTACTTTTCCTCAGTCTGAAATTTCCTTCTTCCTGTTCTCTGGACAAGTCCTTCTTGACATTCAAGACCCAGATCAGATGCCACTTCTTCTGTGATACCATTCCTGACTCACCCACTTCTAACTAGTCAGTGCTCCTCTGAATTACCTCTGCATGCGGGTCCCTCCTCTATGTAGAATTTGTTGAGTGCATTGAGTAATAACTTACAAGTCTACATCCTCCAGTACAGTACAGTTTTTTTGAAGAGACTCATTTGTTTATTATAGTATTAATTCCTATCAAGCATAATATTTTCCATTTTAAAAAACTATTGTATGTGTTTGTTCATTCATTCAAAACATATTAATTGAATATCCTTTCTCTGCCAGGCACCGTGCTAGGGACAGTATCCTTATATAGCTTATAGTCTGGATATAAACAGCATCTATATAGAATGAATTTTTGGTTGGAAGACAAGGAATGTTAAAAATTCAAAGTACACTGAAATGAAAAAGAACCCAAGGATAAAGTCAGATCAAAAACAACCCTTACTGAGCTGCACAGTTCAGGAACTGCTTTTCACAATCTGTTTTACTTAATCTTCCCATCAATTCTGAGAGAGTTCTATGATTAATACTACTTTACAGGAGAAAAGGTGACATTTGGATAGTAAATAAATTATCCATATAACAGTTGAACAAAAGGGCAATTGTGGGTTTAATTTGGGACTTGAACACAGGTTTTCCAACTCCAAACCCTGTGTGTGGCCCATTATGTTCCACTATACAGTCCTCCTTCTTCAAAACGCCACTCCTTACAGGATCAGATGAGGAATCTCAAGATCATGGAAATATCAGTGCTTCCATAGCCACAAATTTTAGCAATGATCTCACAAACAATACAATGAGCTTATCTAATTGTCATATGGATTCAATGTAACAGATCTCAAATGTGATTTTAAAAAACTGAGCTCGAACTTTATAAGATCAATACCTTATCCCAAAAACGAATACCAAATTTCACCAAAATAAATTCAATTGTTGGCCAGGCAAGGTGGCTCATGCCTGTAATCCCAGCAACTTTTGAGGCCAAGGTGGGCAGATCCCTTGATGCCAAGTGTTCGAGACCAGCCTGATCAACGTGGCGAAACTCCATTTCTACTAAAAATAACAACGACAACAACAAAGAGCCATGCATGGTGTTGTACACCTGTAGTCCTAGCTACTTGGGAGACTGAGGCACGAGAATTGCTTGAGCCTGTAAGGCAGAAGCTGCAGTGAGCCAAGATCGCACCACTGCACTCCAGCCTGTGACAGAGCGAGAGTCTGTCTCAACAATAAATAAATAAATAAAAACTTCAATTGTGAATTTATTGAGATGATCGTTAAACTGTGCCAACTCACTGAGATGATATAGGGTCAGTTTACCTACTATCAAAGAAAATTCCCAATGAATTAATTGAAAGACAGTAGTGTCATTAAAAATAAAGATATAAAGCTATATTTATATTGAAGAAAATGCAGGTTATGGAACAGCACTTGGAGTATAACCTTATTTTTGTAGACTGTAATATATTATTCCCAGGAAAAACTATCTGGAAGAACATATAAAAATGTTTACAGAAGATTTATCTGCATATTAAATGAATAATTTTTTAAAAATATTCTCTTTTCCAACTCTCTTAAATTTCTTATTAAAATGAATGTGTACAAGTTGAGTATCCCAAATGCTCAAAGGAAATGCTCATTAGAGCATTTTGGATTTTGAATGTTTGGATTTGTGATGCTCAACCAGTATAATGCAAATATTCCAAAATCCTAAAAAATTCTGAAATTTGAAAAATGTCTGGTCCCAAACATTTAGGATAAAGGATACTCAACCAGTATTATTTGTATAATTTTTTAAGTTAAAAAGTGAATGCAGGGACTATTATTGGGGTAGAGGAAAGGGAGATGAAAATGTGCCACCAGCCTGGGAGGGAAGTGAAATGAGTGATTTGGGAAAGACAGAAGTATTCATATAGTAAGTTGTAAGCAGTTTAATTCTCAGGCTGTCTCTGCCAATTGCGGCAATTAAACTGCAATTGCTTTGTTTTCATCAAGCTTTTGGCTAAAAACAGAATTAATAACAACTGATTTTAGTAACACATTCTGTTTGCAGTAAGGACTTGTATGGATCGAATTCCATTTAAACTATAATCTAGTTGTAAAATATGTTTGGCACTTTTCATTTTTAAAATAGCATTTTTTTCTACTGAAATCAAATCTTGTTCTGAGCATTTGAGCTGCTTGTTGCTAAGAACTTGTGAGGCAACTTTTCTATCATGTGGACTTATTTTTAATCATCTAAGATTTGAATTTTGTATTATTCATTTCTCAGAAGTTTGGCTTGTGTGTAGCTTCATAGGGAAAAACAATTTAGCTTTGCTTCTAACACATATTTTAATGTATTCTACCAGGGCCCTCTGTCCTCTATAGCTTCCCTGCATACTCCTTAACCCATTATATCCCACCAGACTGTCTTTGTTTAGGATCTTTAAATCCATCATCTACTTCCTCCCTCAGCACCTTTGCTCATGCTATTCCTTATGTCTGAGAATGCTGTTCCTGCCCTCCCTCTTCACCCAATATGCACACTTAAACGTTGGCTGACTCATTGCTACCCATTCATTAAATGTGTTACCTCTTCAGATCACAGCAGTTATGGAGCTATTGAAGGTTTGGGCACCTCAGTCCCGCAATCTTTGATTTTCCCTCTAGTGTTCCCTTGGGTCTATTTCCTGCTACCAATAAAGTGCCTTATCCGCCACTCTTTATCTTTTTTTTTCTCAGCTTCATAGTTTTTGCTACCTAACAGTTTACTATCTCAACTTCAACTTACTCCATTCCCTTATTCTGTCTCCTGGCCTCTCTTTCTTACCATTTAAATTAATTTATTTCACACTGGGGAATAGTATAACCAGTGGGAATTACTATATTCATATTTGCAGTGTCTAAGGAACAATTCCCCATAGGCAGTATTTGGACTACTCAAAGGACAATCACATCTCTTCACTTCCAAGTTCAGAGTTTTGAGTGAAGTGAGGAAATTCATTGTAGCTCCTAGGTTTAAAATACAAGAAAAAAAAATTTGCCTGATAAAAAGTTGTGAGACAGCCTTCCTTCTTATTTCTGCAATTTAAAGTCAGGAAGATTTTTTTTCAAACGGATTCATTCAGTTAGATTTTGCGAACATTGGCTAAATGTTATAAAATTCTATTTTAAGCACCTAGTCTTAAGCTTGGGCCACACCCACTAGATGAGGAAATTTTAATAATGTCAGCCTAGTAGGCAATGATGCCAAGCCACTTTGACTTTCTTTTTCTCACCTAGTAAAGCTCAAATACGACATTAATAGCAAACCATCAGAGATGTTATTAATGAGATATATCAGGTATGTGCATAGTTCAAAATTTCAATATTTTATTAATATTGAAAAACATTTTAGACTCAAAATGTTTTAATTATTACCATAAAAATGACAAATATTGTCAAAATAGTAATAATTCCCTAGTCAGGAAAGATAGCTATTTATTTTCATAGAAAAACCCAACTGAAGCATTTGGTTACAAAGCAAAATGTACACGTAATTTCATTTTAATTTTAAGTACAAATAAAGTTAATGTCTTCAGAACTGATTAATTTCATGGTGAACAAATATTCACATAATTAGTATAGCCTAAACTATTCTTAAAACTGGAATGACTGGAGATTGAAAGACAACTCAGTAATTTATTCTGCTTCAAATTCAAACTCATTTCTTTTCTTTTTTTTTTTTTTTGAAACGGAGTTTCACTCTTGTTGCCCAGGCTGGAGTGCAATGGCACGATCTGGGCTCACCGCAACCTCTGCCTCCTGGGTTCAAGTGATTCTCCTGCCTTAGCCTCCCAAGTAGCTGAGATTACAGGCATGCACCACCACGCCCAGTTAATTTGGTATTTTTAGTAGAGATAGGGTTTCTCCATGTTGGTCAGGCTGGTCTCAAACTCCCGATCTCTGGTGATCTGCCCACCTCGGCCTCCCAAAGTGCTGGAATTACAGGTGTGAGCCACCACACCCAGCCTTCAAACTCATTTCTAACAATGTCAATGGTCATTGTATTGTTTTGCAAAAAGTGTATTTCTTGTTTTCTGGATAAATTTGGAATCACAATAATTATTATAACAAAATAAGTGATCTCATCTTTTTTTTTTTTTTTTTTGAGATAGAGTCTTGCTCTGTCACCCAAGCTGGAATGTGTGGCATGATTTGGCTCACCTCAGCCTCTGCCTCCCAGGTTCAAGCAATTCTCCTGCCTCAGCTTCCTGAGTAGCTGTGATTACAGGCGCATGTCACTATGCTTGACTAATTTTTGCATTTTTAGTAGAGACAGGGTTTCACCATGTTGCCCAGGCTGGTCTCGAATGCCTGACCTCAGGTGATCTGCCCACCTTGTCCTCCCAAAGTGCTGGGATTGCAGGCATGAGCCACCATGTTCGGCCAATCTCATCTTCCTTAATGACTAAAGATAGAAATCCCAGGGCTTAAAATAATTAATTTTATTATCTAACGTATATTTAGTGACATTGATAAAACAAGACAGCTCATTTTCTGGATGATCACAATTTGGAGTGGTCCTCAAGCAAGAGAAATATTCACAATCTTAGCAATTCATATAAAACTGGAAAAGTTTGGGAGTTTCTTAATAAATTATGCATTAACTTACCGTATGACTGAACAATTTTACACCTACATATTTACCTCCCAAAACTAAAAATATATGTTCACACAAAGACTTGTACATGAAATTTTATAGCAGCACTATTCATAGCTAAAACTGGAAACAATCCAAATATTTGATGAATATTTGGATTGAATAAATAAAATGTAATATATTCATAAAATTCTATTTAGCAAATAAAAGGACTGAACTAGTGATACAGCATGGATGGATGAGTCTCATAAAAATGATGCTGAATGAAAGAAGCCAGGTGTGAAGAGAACATGTCATGTAAGTCCATTTATATTTAATTACCAGAAAAGCAGAAAGTAGACCAGTGGTTGCCTAGAGCTAAGGGTGGGAACAGAGAGATTTACTATTAATGGGTAAAATGGAATGTTTTAGAGTAATGGAAATGTTCTGAATATAGATTATGATAGATTTAGTAAATTACATAAATTTAGCAACTTCTGTGAGTTTGAGCTATAAAATCATTGAGCTGTATACTTAAAATGGGAGAATTTTATGATATATGAATTATATCTCACTAGAGCTGTTAAAAATTATATGTGACAGTCACATATATTTCTTCCATATGCTCGTGAAAATATTTGTTCCTTTTTTTATATATTTGAAGTACAATTGGGGAGACCTGTGAAAAAATTATCTGGAAATTATTAGTGTTTCCTTAAAAAATTATTTTCTGATTTATTTGGATTTTCTTGCACTTTAGTAGGAAGATAGTATTTTTTCTGGATGAGATGTTAGAGACACTTTTGAGTATTAGATTGAGAATGAATTTGAGATTCCTCAAAATATTTTACAGAGGAGAAAAATGAGGCTTAGAGAAGACAGCCGACCTAAAGTCAAACACAATTAAAAGCCAAGTTGATCTCAGAACCCCTCCTGCTTCTTCCACAACATGTTATTAATAATATGAGATGCCCACAGTGGAGTTGAGAGCAAATGGCCTTTCTTAGAGCCTCCTGACATCTCATGGCCACTCAGCCTTAGTATATGAGGCCACTTGGCCATATTCTCAGGATAAGTTTAGCCATTTCCCTGCAGTCTTTAGAAGACTTTTGATGCTGTGAAATCTCCAAATGAACAAGTATATACCATCAGTACTGGGTATTTATGAACTAAATAAATTACAAACAATTCATGAAGATGCCAAATGTCTAAGCAAAGATGGCAGATAAAACCATTGGTTCCAGTTTCATCTCATGTTTTTTATTTGCAAAACTTTAAAAAATCAGATTTATTTAAGAAAGCTGTGTGATTTTTTGACAATGTTTTTGCAAGATGGCAAGATTTTCATTTTTTATCAAGAGTATTTTCAATTTGCTCCCTGGAACAGTGTTTTGCAATAGAAATATGTAATCTTGTACATGCAGGATGTTTTAATATTGGTAGAAGTAACATTTTCTGCTTTGTCCTGTAAATAATCACTCTGATTAAACTTAACCTCTATTTGGCCAATGGAATTTAATGAGTGCCCAAACTGGAGTTATCAAGAGAAGAAAAGAAAAAGAAGTATGAGTCCTTTTGGAAAATTACTCAGAGTAATATTAATTTAAATGATATATTTTCTATTTTTTGATACCTGATCACTCTGAGAATTGTAAGGACAGGATTTTTAAAAATTAAAAACAGTTAAACTTATCTACTTTCATCTTCATGAAAATCATTCTTTGACATAAGAAAGTCAATATTACACTTAATTGTCAAAAGAGGCTCATGCCTGGCATTCTCTCAGCTGGGAGTGAGAGGGAAAGGTGTCAGAGACCTTGAGTATCAGTGTCCAGTATTTAGCTTTTCAGTGAAGATGAAGTCATTATATGGTTTTATCTGCGCTTACTACTAAGAAGTTAGTTAAGTGTAGTAATTGTCTATTATAAATAGAAGAGTTGATAGTTTTGTTTCCCTGGTAAATAGCATTATAAGTAAATAATCTGGAAAATTAGAAATATACATATATAATTTCACTTTTTCTTGGAAAAAATTTTATCATCATATAATCAAACATTTTAAAAATAGTACAATCAAAAGAGGCTGATTATGAAGACAACTGGAAGATGTAAAAATGTTGGCTTTAATAACTATCTGAATACTACTGTGACAATAACAACAAAAAGCTACTGATGCATGCAACAAAACTGATATATCATCAAGACATTTTAAGTGCAAGAGACCTTACATGAAAGACTACATACTGTGTGATTTTATTTAATCGAAGAGTCTAGAACAGGCAAACTAATCTATGATAGTAAAATTAAGAACAATAGTCCCTGGGAGGATGTGGTGGGAATGAACTGGGAAGGGGCATGAGGAAATTTTCTGGGTTGATGATGATATTATAAATCTTGATAAAGGTTTGGGTTACACAGATGTATGGCATTTGGGGAAAACAGTAATGTATAGTTAAGATTTATGTATTTCATTGTACCTAAATTTTATCTCAAAAGAAAAATATAAATAAATATTAAACTTTAGTTAATGGCATGCATACTGAAGTGTTTGGGGGTGAAGAGTACTGAAATTCAGTTGACATGGAAATTAATTAAAAATTAAGATGGAATGAATGATGGACAGAGGGATGGAGAGACGGAAATGTACATGATAAATGAGTAAGACAGGAATCATTGACTTTTGGTTGCTGCCTTATGGATATGCTCTACACAATTCAAGTTTTTGTATGTTTAAAATTTTTTATAATAAAATTTGGAAAATAACTCATCTTTGATTTTAAATCTCTAAATATATTGGTTAGATTTAAAGACACATAACTGACATTCAGAAGTTAGTAGTATTCCAAACATAACATTTTACCTTATGTGTCTCCAGAAATAGTTCTCAGAAACCCTAATTAACAGAATTTGTTCACAGACCAAAATATGTGTAAAAGTCTCATGATAGGAAATTTAACAGTGAAGTTTCTTTTCTCCATACTGTGTTGAATATCTGTAAATGTCTTTCAAATGACATTGGGCCCATTAATTTTATTGTCGATGCACTGAATTTTAAAAGAGTAATGGCTCTCAAACTTGAGTATTCACCAGAATATCCATACAGCTTGTCGAAATACAGATTGCTGCCCCCAGAGTTTCTAATTCAATAGGTCTGGGATGGGGTCTCACAAGTTCCCAGATGATGTTGATTGTCTAATCTGGAGACCATACTTTCAGAGCCCTGGAATTGAGCCTAGCCCATCTTCCATCAAGAGCACTTAATACTACCACTTCTTACTTTAAAGGGCAACAGAATGTAAGCAAATCATCTCCATGAATTTTCATGAAAATAAGCAAAGAACAAAAAGAAGGGAAATGAGTCTTGTTAAATTCCTTAGCCTATCGGGTTACTTTTCTATGTATTAAAAAACAATAATGACTAAGAATCTACCATTTTTCCAAAGTGGTACAGAAAAAGTATTACAAAATAAATTTTGACACCTTGTATTTTTCTCCTTTCTTCCCTACCTGCTTTTGGTATATCTATCCTCATGGGATAAAAACTACTTTTGTGACTAATTAAACAAAACTAAAGGGACGTTTTCTATATATATTCTTTCTTCCACCCCTTTTATATCAGGTTCAGAATCCCTCAATTGTAGCGTTATTTTACTAATTCTGCTAATCATGCTGCACTGAAACAACTGACTTATTCATCTACCCAATGTACTAGAATGTCCAGTCTTTGCCATCAGACATATCATATTCAAATTTGTGTCACTAATGCCTACTACCCAGTAGTTAATGAAAGGAATAAAATAAAAAGCAGATAAGTAAAAATATATTTGTCCCAAGGTAAATATAAATTTTATTTAGTTTTTTTGGTCAGTTGAAGTTAACCATGTCACTGTCCCACTTCCTTTACAGCAAATACCTATATATGATCATTGATTGTGTGAGGTTGCCTCTCCCACCTTCCCCTTCCAAAAAAACCCCAGCGCACTTCAAACTTTAAAGAGTAATTTTAGCATAATCAGATTGAGGGAATGTGTGCAATTGACACCTGTGTATGTCTCAGAATGAGGTGTCTTCTTGAAAATGAGAGACTGTTGATTTAGAAAGTAGTCTTTGAAAAGCAGTTTTCCTACTTGGCTGTTGGTTGGGTTACAAAGTCAGTAATGTAGTTACTGCTCCTTTGGTAAAACTATTAGCCTTGCCAATTGGTGCTGAAATGTCCACATTGGCAGTTCAGTCTGTCTCATTCAGTCATCCAAATTCACCAGACGGTGAAGTATTGGCCTGAGGAATCAGAGCACTGGGAATTCTGACCAAGGTGGAAACTGGTGGTTTTAGCTGAATTGGAACTCATTTGTGCAAACAGCTGGGCAAACAGATATAAAGTGCCCCATTAGGAAGTGAAGATTTTCCCCCTTGGACTTTTTGTAAAGTGACATTTCTTTCTAAATTCGAAAGTAACCGTCTTCTGGGTATTTGGTGATGAAAATGTCCTAATAAAAAGCTCACTAATTGACTCCTAGGAATTATGGATCTATGGGTATTGCTTGGGTGTGGCTTTATGAAGGGAGTGCTCCAGGTGAACTGAGACTTTTAATTTCCTGAACTCTGAGAACACATGTTGCGTGTGGGAGCATGTCTTCCAGCTGGCAGACTTACAACAAGGCATCTTGGAGAGGGAACGTGCTGTTCTGCTTGCCCTGGAGCAGAGATCATGAAATGCTGTCATTTGAGCTTCTTGCTAACATATGTTCATGTATAAGTAAAGTTTTGATTTTTTTAAAAAGCCCCCATTCCTTGGCACTGAGGCAGCTATCTATGTGGCTTATGGGACTTTTACCATAGCTTTTATTCTGCACATTATTTTAAATGTAATTATTCTTTAGATTTATACAAATCTTGCTTTATTTAATAATTTTAATCAGAATTTTTTCTTGTATTTTCTGATTTGTGTTTATAGAACACAAATAGGGATGCCATCTGTCCACCTCTAAATCTGTGTGCTATTAATTTACAAAAGTCCAGAATTGCTTTTCCTCTATATTCTTATTTAAATTCCTGACTCATCATATCATATATATATATATATATATATATATATATATATATATATATATAGTGAAGTAATTTCCTTTGTAAATGAGGGATTACCATGTCCAAAGTGTTTGTAGCTGAGTTCCTATCTAGCCTGCACCAGGCATCCTACTGCTAGTATCCCTAGTTACCAGTAATAGCAGAATTAAGAGGCAGGGAAGATAAAAATGAAAGGCATGCAGTGAAAAGGGCAGGATGGGTGGGGTGGCTTGAGGCCTATGAGGAAAGGTCGGAATGGTAGGTTGGTTACCGTTATCAAATCTTTCATTTGTGTAAGTAGCAACTATTTTTGCATGGCCTTTGTGAATGTGGCTAATGTATATAGTCACAAATAAAAGATGGTTTGAATGGTGCCATAATAAAGATGACTGTTGCGGGAAGTCAGGGATCCCAAACGGAGGGACCGGCTGAAGTCATGGCAGAAGAACGTGGATTGTGAAGATTTCATGGACATTTATTTGTTCCCCAAATTAATACTTTTATAATTTCTTATGCCTGTCTTTACTGCAATCTCTAAACATAAATTGTGAAGATTTCGTGGACACTTATCACTTCCCCAATCAGTACCCTTGTGATTTCCTATGCCTGTCTTTATTTTTATCTCATAATCCTGTCAGCTGAGGAAGATGTATGTCGCCTCAGGACCATGTGATAATTGCATTAACTGTACAAATTGTAGAGCATGTGTGTTTGAACAAATATGAAATCTGGGCACCTTGAAAAAAGAACAGGATAACAGCAATTGTTCAGGGAATAAGAGAGATAACCTTAAACTCTGACCACCGGTGAGCCGGGCGGAACAGAGCCCTATTTCTCTTCTTTCAAAAGCAAATGGGAGAAATATTGCTGAATTCTTTTTCTCAGCAAGGAACATCCCTGGGAAAGAGAATATGCGCCTGGGGGTATAGGCCTATAGACGGCCCCCCTGGGTGTGGTCATCTCCTATGGTCTATAGACTCTAGGGGTGAAATAGACCCCAGTCTCCCACAGTGCTCCCAGGCTTATTAGGAAGAGGAAATTCGCACCTAATAAATTTTGGTCAGACCGGTTGCTCTCAAAACCCTGTCTCCTGATAAGATGTTATCAATGACAGTGGTGCCCAAAACTTCATTAGCAATTTTAATTTCTCCCCGGTCCTGTGGTTCTGTGATCTTGCCCTGCCTCCATTTGCCTTGTGATATTCTATTACCTTGTAAAGTACTTGATGTCTGTGACCCACACCTATTCGCACACTCCCTCCCCTTTTGAAAATCCCTAATAAAAACTTGCTGGTCTTTGTGGCTTGTGGGGGCATCACAGAACCTACCGACACGTGATGTCTTCCCCGGATGCCCAGCTTTAAAATTTCTCTCTTTTGTACTCTCTCCCTTTATTTTTCAAGCTGGCTGACGCTTAAGGAAAATAGGAAAGAACCTACATGACTATTGGGGCAGGTTCCTCGATAAATGATAAAATAGATAAAGATAAATAAAGATAAAATAGATAAAGATGATAAAAAGATGTTTGAATGAGTTTTTCACTGCATAACCTGAACAACTGTCAGCGACATCCCTCTTTCTGGAAGACATGTTTTAGAGCAGCTACATGTTCACTGCCCACTAATTCTCTGTAAGCACTCAGAAATTCCCTACTGGGACCTAGTAAAACTCCATTCCCAAAGAGTTGGGAAGACAGTGATGGAGAATCTGGGATTTTGAGAAAAGATTCCAGCCTGGAGGTCCAGAGAGCCAGGATAAAATGAGATATATGGAATTGGTAGTTGGAATATAAGAACTTTAAATTTAGAAAGGATTTGCCTAACAATTATTCTGTGATTCCAATTACAATTTGGCACACACACATGCATGCACAGGCACATGTGCATGCACACACACATGCCCCCCCAACAACGTCCACCACCACCAAAGCAATTTAATTCCTTTTACCTACTTTGTTCTTTCATGCCATCATACCACTGCAGGAGGGGCCATGACTTTGTTCATCTCTACAACCACCTTACACAGACTCTCCTTCTGATGGAAGGTCATGTAAGCGTCTTGCTGTTTCAGCACTGGTGAAAACACTTTTAATACTGTCTAATATTACTTAATTGATAACATCATTTAATTTTCATTCTCCTTAAAGTATTTAGCTGAAGCTGCCATGGTTTTTTGTTATGAAAATTTCCACTAGCATCACTGACTTTCAGCTTGTCTTTGATAAGAAAAAAGTCATTTTACGGACTAACACACAAGACTACACATTTCTATATAAGGATCAGGAACAACTGAAGATACTTGTATAATTGTCTCTGGCCACTGTCTTCACAGTGATTCTTCATTGTCACAGGGAAATTACTGAAACTCCATGGTTTTTTCCTTTTAATACCTTTCCTTGGATTCCTGGTGGCAGGACAGGGAGAGTCATTTGAACAGAAAGCCCATGCTATGTGATCCCTTTTCGACTCCCTAAGAATTAAAGAAAATGTTAAATTATTGCCAATCCCTATGTTTGCTTGTTTTTTTTTTTTTAACTTTTAGGTTCAGGGGTACATGTGCAGGTTTGTTATATAGGGAAACTCATGTCACAGGAGTTTGTTGTACAGATTAATTTGTCACCCAGCTACTAAGCCTAGTACCCAATGGTTATTTTTTCTGATCCTCTCCCTCCTCCCATCCTCCTTCTTCAAGTAGGCATCAGTGTGTGTTGTTCCCCTCTTTGTGTCCATATGTTCTCATCGTTTAGCCCCCACTTATAAGTGAGAACATGCAGTATTTGGTTTTCTGTTCTTGTGTTCGTTTACCAAGGATAATGGCCTCCAGCTCCATCTATGTTCCCACAAAGGACTTACTCTTGTTCTTTTTTAAGATTATAGTTTGTATATCTTAGTGTTAAAGTTTAATTTAATACAATCTATGTCATATACTATGATTTTTGGAAGCTTCTGACAGTGACTGCCCTGCTTAATACATAAACTTGAGACGTGACATCTTGACAGCTCCTTCATAAACTGATGTGACCATAAAGGCATTGGAACGTTTTCTACTTGTAACCTGCTGTCAAAGCAGAGCATAGACTACGTTGGAAACTTAGCATTGTCCGTTCTTAGAGCATAATAATTCCTGAAAAGGACTTGCTAACTTTATGTTTGTTGAGTGGTGAATAATAATATTAGACCCTATTAAAACTAATTCTGCAGGTGCTGTAAGATGCTTGAATGACCTTCCATCCGGAGAGTCTGTATAGGGTGGTTATGGAGATGAGGAAAGTCATAGCCCGTTCTACAGTAGCGTAACGGCATGCCAGACAAAAGATTCAACTATGTTGTGTATGTAGGTAATTTGTTCTGTTTTATTGCTGAGCTATATCTCATTATAGGGATGAGCTATAAATGTTTATCTGTTCAACTGTTGATGGACATTTGGGTTTGTTTCTAGTTTGGCACTGCTTTAAATATTTGCACACAAGTTTTTGCACAGACTTGTGTCTTCATTTCTCCTGAGTAAATACCTAGGAATGAAATTAATAGGTTATTAGCTAACTGGCAAGCATTTTCCCAAGTGGTTAGACCATTTAAAATTTACACTCAAAATGTATGAAGGTTCCAGATGTACTACATTTTTCCTAACACTTGGGATTAGCAGTCTTTAATTTCAGCCATTCTTATGTGTAATATTTCACTGTGGTTTTAATTTGCATTTCCCTAATGACTCATGATATTAACCAAAAGTTGGCAAACTATGACCTGCAGGCCAAATCCAGCCCACTGCCTATTTTTATAAATATTGCTCTATTGGCAAACAATTTCAAAAGATAGCAGAAGACAAGGAATAGTAAAATCAGAGCAGAAACGAAGGAGACAGAGACATGAAAAACCCTTCAAAATCTCAGTGAATCCAGGAGCTGGTTCTTTGAAAAGATCAACAAAATAGATAGACCACTAGCCAGACTAATAAAGATGAAAAGAGAGAAGAATCAAATAGATGCAATAAAAAATGGTAAAGGGGATATTACCACCAATCCCACAGAAATAAAAACTACCATCAGAGAATACTATAAACACCTCTATGCAAATAAACTAGTAAATCTAGAAGAAATGGGTAAATTTCTGGACACATAACCCTCCCAAGACTAAACCAGGAAGAAGCTGAATCCCTGAATAGACCAATAACAAGTTCGGAAATTGAGGCAGCAATTAATAGCCTAACAACCAAAAAAAAAGTCCAGGACCAGACAGATTCACAGCCGAATTCTACCAGAGGTACAAAGAGGAGCTGGTACCATTACTTCTGAAACTCTTCAAAACAATAAAAAAAGAGGGATTTCTCCCTAACTCATTTTATGAGGCCAGCATCATCCTGATACCAAAACCTGGCAGAGACACAACAAAAAAAGAAAATTTCAGGCCAATATCCTTGATGAACATTGATGCAAAAATCCTCAATAAAATACTGGCAAACCAAATCCAGCAGCACATCAAAAAGCTTATCCACCACGATCAAGTCGGCTTCATCCCTGGGATGCAAGGCTGGTTCAACATACGCAAATTAATAAATGTAATCCATCAAATAAACAGAACCAATGACAAAAACCACATGATTATCTCAACAGATGCAGAAAAGGCCTTCAACAAAATTCAAAGCCCTTCATGCTAAAAACTCTCAATAAACTAGGCATTGATGGAACATATCTCAAAATAATAAGAACTATTTATGACAAACCCACAGCCAATATCATACTGAATGGGCAAAAACTGGAAGCATTCCCTTTGAAAACTGGCACAAGACAAGGATGCCCTCTCTCCCACTCCTATTCAACATAGTGTTGGAAGTTCTGGCCAGGGCAATCAGGCAAGAGAAAGAAATAAAGGGTACTCAAGTACGAAAAGTGGAAGTCAAATTGTCTCTGTTTGCAGATGACATGATTGTATATTTAGAAAACCCCATCATCTCAGCCCAAAATCTCCTTAAGCTGATAAGCAACTTCAGCAAAGTCTCAGGATACAAAATCAATGTGCAAAAATCACAACCTTCCTATACACAAAAAACAGACAAACAGAGAGCCAAATCATGAGTGAACTCCCATTCACAATTGCTACAAAGAGAATAAAATACCTAGGAATCCAACTTACAAGGGATGCAAAGGGCCTCTTGAAGGAGAACTACAAACCACTGCTCAAGGAAGTAAGAGAGGACACAAACAAATGGAAAAACATTCCGTGCTCATGGATAGGAAGAATCAATATCGTGAAAATGGCCATACTGCCCAAAGTAATTTATAGATTTAATCCTATCCTGATCAAATTACCATTGACTTTCTTCACAGAATTGGAAAAAACTACTTTCAATTTCATATGGAATAAAAAAAGAGCCTGCATAGCCAAGACAATCTTAAGCAGAAAGAACAAAGCTGGAGGCATCACACTACCTGACTTCAAACTATACTAAAATGCTACAGTAACAAAAACATCATGGTACTTGTACCAAAACAGATATATAGACCAGTGGAACAGAACAGAGGCCTCAGAAATAACACCACATATCTACAACCATCTGATCTTTGACAAACCTGACAAAAACAAGAAATAGGGAAAGGATTCCCAATTTAATAAATGGTATTGGGAAAACTGGCTAGCCATATGCCAAAAGCAGAAACTGGATCCGTTCCTTACACCTTATACAAAAATTAACTCAAGATGGATTAAAGACTTAAACATAAGATCTAAAATCATAAAAACCCTAGAAGAAAACCTAGGCAATACGATTCAGGAAATTGGCATGGCCAAAGACTTCATGACTAAAACACCAAAAGCAATGGCAACAAAAGCCAGAATAGAGAAATCGGATCTGATTAAACTAAAGAGCTTCTGCACAGCAAAAGAAACTATCATCAGAGTGAACAGGCAACCTACAGAATGGGAGAAAATTTTTGCAATCTACCCATCTGACAAAGGGTTAATATCCAGAATCTACAAAGAACTTAAACAAATTTACAAGAAAACAACCCCATCAAAAAGTGGGTGAAGGATATGAACAGACACTTCTCAAAAGAAGACATTTATGCAGCCAACAAACATATGAAAAAAAAGCTCATCATCACTGGTTATTAGAGAAATGCAAATCAAAACCACAATGAGATACCATCTCATGCCAGTTAGAATGGTGATCATTAAAAAGTCAGGAAACAACAGATGCTGGAGAGGATGTGGAGAAATAGGAACACTTTTACACTGTTGGTGGGAGTGTAAATCAGTCCAACCATTGTGGAAGACAGTGTGGTGATTCCTCAAGGATCTAGAACTAGAAATACCATTTGACCCAGCAATCCCATTACTGGGTATATACCCAAAGGATTATAAATCATTCTACTATAAAGACACATACACACATATGTTTATTGTGGCACTGTTCACAATAGCAAAGACTTGGAACCAACCCAAATGCCCATCAGTGATAGACTGGATAAGGAAAATGTGGCACATATATACCATGGAATACTATGCAGCCATAAAAAAGGATGAGTTCATGTCCTTTGTAGGGACATGGATGATGCTGGAAACCATCATTCTCAACGAACTAATGCAAGAACAGAAAACCAGACACTGCATTTTCTCAATCATAAGTGGGAGTTGGACAATGAGAACACAAGCACACAAGGAGGGGAACATCACACACCAGGGCCTTTTTGGGGGTGGGGGGTTAGGGGAGGGGTAGCATTAGGAGAAATACCTAATGTAGATGATGGCTTGATAGGTGCAGCAAACCACCATGGCACGTGTATACTTATGTAACAAACATGCACGTTCTGCACATGTACCCCAGAACTTAGAGTATAATTAAAAAATTATTATTGGATTAAAACAAAGAAAATCACTCTATTGGAACTTAGCCATGTCCATTTGTTTATATGATGTCTATAGCTGCTTATGTGCTATGATGGCAGAGTTGAATGGTTGTGGTACAGAACATCTGTCCTGACAAACCTAAAATATTTACTATCTGACCCGTTACAGACAATATCTCCCAAACCCAGATGTTGGGCATTTTTTCATGTGCTTCTTGGCTATCCTATGTCTCCTTTAATGAGGAATCTATTTAAATTTTTGTTATTTTTTTCATGTTTTTTCTTTCTTTTTATTGAATAGAAAGAATTATTTTCTTTACATAAATACAAGTCCTTCAATAGATATATATATATATTGCAAATATTGTCTCCCAATGGGTAGCTTGCCTTTTTTTTTTCTTGTTAGTTCTTTTAAAATTCAAAACTTTAAAAATTTGACCTAGTCCAATTTATCAGTTTTTAAAATCTGTGCTTCATATGCCATATCTCAACTGACAGGAATTGACTTTATTATTTTGATATCTTAGAAAATTTGATTTTGTATAATGAAATAAGTAGCTGAGTAGGTATAGAGGTTGGCACTGTAAGTGAAAATTGTGCAATAAAAGAAGAACACACTATGGATAAGAATAGGGTTATGTGTTTAATCCTGAAATGATGTTATTATTTTATTGACATCAGTATTATAGCTATTCTTTTACTTAGTATCTTATGGCAATTAATACGGTACCTGATCTGTTTTAAGTCTATATGTGCTATTTAGAATAATCTTAATTTCTTTGTTAGTGTCTGCCACATTGAAAACATAAAATAATAATTGTTGCTACACTAATAAGTATTATCTACTTTTAGAAGAGTGCTTTAATATTTTGCAGCTTTTCTCTTGAAGTAATTTTATTATGTTGACCAACTTGAGATCAACAATTTAAACCACATTCTGAAATATTCTGGAGAATGTAAGATAACCTTATGAAAGATTAGATATGAAAGAATTCCTCCTACTAAATGGATTATAATGATGATTCCTTTCTCTCCCATAAGTGACTGGATGTCCATGATAGTTTAGCTTGTCTCACTGAGTACCATGTGTTAGGGTTATGTGTCTTTTTGGTAAAATGATTTTTATTCCTTTGGGTATATACCCAGTAATGGGATTGCTGGGTTGAATGACAGTTCTGTTTTAAGTTCTTTGAAAAATCTCCAAACTGCCTTCCACAATGGCTGAACTAATTTACATTCCCACTAGCAGTGTGTAAACATTCCCTTTTCTCCACAACCTCGCCAGCATCTGTTATCTTCTGACTTTTTAATAATAGCCATTCTGATGGTGTGAGATGATGTCTCGTTGTGGTTTTGATGTGCATTTCTGTAACGATTAGTGATGTTGGGAACTTTTTCATGTGCTTGTTGGCCACACGTATGTCTTCTTTTGAGAAGTGTCTGTTCCTATGATTTGCCTATTTTTTAAAATGGGGTTATTTGGTTTTTCTGCTTGTTGATTTGTTCAAGTTTCTTATAGATTCTGGATATTAGACCTTTGTCAGATGAGTAGTTTGCAAATATTTTCTCCCTTTCTATAGGCTGTCTGTTTGCTCTGTTGATAGTTTTGTTTGCTGTGCAGAAGCTCCTTAGTTTAATTAAGTCCCACTTCTCCATTTTTGTTTTTGTTTGGGAGACTTTGTCATGAAATCTTTGCGAAGGCCTATGTCCAGAATGATACGCCCTAGATTTTCCTCTGAGGTTTTTATAGTTTTAGGTTTTACATTTGTCTTTAATCCATGTTGAGTTGATTTTTATATATGGTGAAAGGAAGGGATCCAGCTTCAATCTTCTGCATATGGCTAACCATTATCCCACTCCATTTACTGAATAGGGAGTCCTTTCCCTATTGCTTGTTTTTTTTCGGCTTTGTTGAAAATCAGATTGTTGTAGGTGTGTGTCCTTATTTCTGGGCTTTCTAACCTGTTACATTGGCCTATGTGTCTGTTTTTGTACTAGTACCATGCCGTTTTGGTTACTGTGGTCCTGTAGTATAGTTTGAAGGCAGGTAGTTTGATGCCTCTAGCTTTGTTCTTTTTGTTTAGAATTGCTTTGGCTACTTGGGCTGTTTTGTGGTTCCATATGAATTTTAGAATAGTTTTTTCTAGTTCTGTGAAAAAAATGTCATTCGTAGTTGATAGAAAGAACATTGAATCTGTACATTGCTGTGGGCAGTATGGCCATTTTACCAATATTGATTCTTCCTATTCATGAGCATGAGATGTTTTCCATTTTTTGTATCATCTTTGATTTCTTTCAGCAGTGTTTCGTAATTCTTGTTGTAGAGATCTTTTACCTCCATGGTTAGCTGTATTCCTAAGTAGTTTTTTTTTGTGTGTGTGGCTATTGTGAATGGTATTGTATTCTTGATTTGGCCCTTCGTTTGGACATTATTGATGTATAGAAATGCTACTAATTTTTGTCCATTGATTTTGTATCCTGAAACTTGCTGAAGTTGTTTATCATTTCTAGTAGCCTTTTGGCAGAGACTACAGGATTTTCTAGGTACAGAATTATATTATCTGCAGAGAAACAGTTTGACTTCCTCTCTTCCTATTTGTATGTCTTTTATTTCTTTCTCTTGCTTTCTCTTTCCTGATTGCTCTAGCTAAGACTTCCAGTACTATGTTGAATAGGAATGGTGAGAGTGGGCATCCCTGTCTTGTGCCAGTTCTCAGAGAAAATGCTTCCAGCTTTTGAATGTTCAGCATGATGTTGGCTGGCTGTGGGTTTGTCATAGATGGCTCTTATTATTTTGAGCTATGGTCCTTCGATGCCTAGTTTGTTGAGGATTTTTAACATGGAAGGATGTTGAATTTTATCAAAAGTCTTTTGTGCATTTATTGAGATGATCGTGCAGTTTTTGTTTTTAGTTCTGTTTATGTGATGAATCACATTTATTAATTTGCATATGTTAAGCCAACCTTACAACTCAGAAATAAAGCCTACTTGATCATGGCAAATTAGCTTTTTCATGTGCAACTGGATTGATTTGCTAGTATTTTGTTGAGGATTTCTGCATCTATGTTCATCAGGGATATTGGCCTGAAGTTTTCTTTTTTCATTGTGTTTCTGCCAGGTTTTGGTATTAGAATGATACTGGCCTCATAGAATGAGTTATGGAGGAGTCCCTCCTCCTCAATTTTTTGGGGAATAATTTCAGTAGGATTGGTACCAGTTCATCTTTATAGGTGGAATTTGGCTGTGAATCTCTCTGGCTCAGGGCCTTTTCAGGTTGGTAGGCTTTTTGTTACTGATTCAATTTTATAACTCATTAATCTATTCAGGATTTCAGTTTCTTCCTGGTTCAATCTTGGGAGGTTGTATGGTTCCAGTAATTTATCCATTTCTTCTAGGTTTTCTAGTTTGTGTGCATAGAGGTATTTGTAATAGTCTCTGAGGGTTTTTTGGATTTCTGTGGGATCAGTGGTAGTGTCACCTTTGTCATTTCTGAGAAAGACTTTTTTTAAAAGAATTTCTTAACACTCTTTGAAATATTAACAGATGCACTAAGGTGTTGCAAACAAAGGATTAGAAACCACCATCGTAGATCCAAGATTCTACTTTGCAAATATGCAATTTTTTGTCTAAGGCCTACTAGTGTTACTTTCCCAAAATGTTTACCTTCTGTTTTTATTTTTTCTCACTCCTGTTGACATATGCTTTGTTCCTCATATACGGTGCAATAAAACGTTCTTCCAGTAGTCTTATTTTTCTGAATTCCTGGGCTCTTCTGGTGACATATATACCATTTTTACTTATAGATGTTGTACTAGTTAAGCTTGTATCATGTGGTATTATTTTCTATGATCCCTACCTTAAGGCACTCACCAGAGGTCTTTATACTAACTGTTGAAAGATGCCATTTTATGACTAGTATTCCAAACTACTAAACCAGAATTACACTGAAAATAAATGTATTATCAAAGATTAAACATTAGTGTAGAATGTACATAGGCATACCTCAAATTATTGGAGAAATTGTCCAAGAGTGTAAAATGTCATTTAATACACATCTAAACATTCGTTCAAAGGAACACTTGAACTTATTTATATTGAAGGAAAAAAAAACTTGCTTAACCTTTTTGCTGACACTGAAAGAGTCAATTTGGTAATAACTGAGTAAGTCAAGGCATGTAGGGAAGGCAAACCAAAGATAGAGGGAATCCATACTGGGTGGACAACCTGAGCAAAGGTGTAGGGCCAAAGCCTCATATGCATTGCAGAATGTGAGAGGATTGTAAGGGTCAAAAACAAATGAGAAATGTTGAAAAGTAATAAGAGAAGAAGTAATGTGTGGTAAGATAATGAAGACATTTGAGTTACTGGCTCTAAAAAAAGAACTCAGGTAATGGTCTTAAAATTAAGTTTGTGATGCTGTGTTGAGATGAGATTTGTCTGTATGTATTTTTCTCTTTCAGAACATTTTAAATTTAGCTCGAGAGAGTAGTATGAACTGGAATTTTAGAAAAAGTAGAACAGCTAAATGCCAATTCATTTGAATAGTTATATGATGTTGATGTATTTGTGGATATACATTGTTAGCAAAAGGGAGAGAGACTGGAGTCATGAAAAGTCCTGTGCACAGGAGGTGGATTACTTCCACTTTGTTTGGAAAAATGGAACAGCCTTCCTTGTTCTCATCTGATGTAGCCATCTTTTCCACTTTCCCATGGGAGAAATAATGTGATTCATCAGGCCAGAGTCCATGAGCAAAAGTCTAACGTGATGATGATGCTGTGACTGTTGGCTCTTTGTCAAATATGAATGCAGCCTACGTGTACTAAGATTTGTTAAATGCTCCCTCCCAACTAAGTGTTGGAAATAAGCTGGTTGAGTTTAGATTCGTTGTGAGACTTGATAGCCTTCTAAGGTAGCAGAATATGTGTTCGATTTTACATTGGTTCCATTCTATTGAGCAGGGTGAAGTAACTAGAGTTAATCTAGGCACATTATTAAAAAGGGAAAAAATTGACAAAATCTGTGTTTTATCTGAAGTATAAATCATCTTATCAAAACCTGGCAAAGTTCACACAAAACACTAGCAGTTGGCACCCCAACTTGAGCATTATGATCTGTGGTGTGGCCACTCCTTACTCTTTTGGATAGTTACAAAGTTCTCAGTGAAAAGAGAGCAGTGCAGTCCAGCCTAGAGAGAGCCCAAGATCTAGTTTTGACCCACTTTTAACGTGCTGGGCGCCTCAATTTCCTCATTTGGAGGAATTATACTAGCTGATTTGTAAGGTCCCTTTTCAGATTTTGGATAAGCCACTCATATCCCTGGCTTTTTATTTTGCCACAGTATAACAATAGCAGTCTGAGATTCAAGAAGTTTATAAAAATGTCATCAAGTTCTTGGAAAGTAAAAACTACTATGCACATACATGGAAACTATAGCCTTAGCTGCTGAGGTATGAATAATCCCCACAACTTGGTATCCAAGAAAGGGTTATTTTTCTTTTTCCAAAGGCCTAATTGAACATTTTCTGTGGTTCTATTGAGGCTGTGCAGGCTGATTTTGGGTGGCGTAGAATAAATTCATTGTGATGATGTTGGGGAGCACATGCTGCACAAAAGTGGTGATTGGTATTTGTACAATCTAAGTCTTTGATTAATGAGAAATAGAATGTGAATTATTAAGTCAGTAAATGCAGTCTTTTCAATAGTCAAAATATTTTTTAAATATTAAATCTCTGGGGAATAAAGAAAAAACATAATCCAGGTTCAGAATCCTTTATCTAAAACCCCTGGGGCCAGACATGTTTTGGAATTCAGAAATTTGGAGAGGAGGGTTAGAAAAGAACTAGGATGCCAAGATTATATATTACATAACTTCCTCAATGGGGTCTTGATCAACACCATCTAACTGAACACATTTCTTCAATGAAACACATGAATAGTCACCCTAGTGGATTAAAGAAAGATTGAATGGCCTCAGGATGGTTCTGACTGGGATGTGTTGCCAGATGAGTCTGAGATAAACTTACAAAAAAAAAAAAAAAGACACAAAAAAACTACAAAGTTTTTTGATTTCTGAATCATGGCTAAAGAACTGTGGACCTGTATTAGTAAGCACTTGTTGAGCAATTACTATGGGCCAGGTTTAAGGTTGTGCCATTTACATTAACTGATTGATATGATTTGGCTCTATGTCCCCATTCAAATCTCATGTTGAATTGTAATCCCCAATGTTAGAGGTAAGGCCTGGTGGGAGGTGATTGGATCACAAGGGTGGTTTCTAATGGTTTAGCAACCTCCCCCTAGTGATAGAGTTTGCACAAGATCTGGTTGTTTAAAGGTATGTGGCACCTTCCTCTTTCTCTTCCTCCTACTCTGGCCATGTAAGACTTGCCTGCTTTGCTTTCACCTTCTGCCATGAAAGTTCCCTGCATTTCCCCAGCCATGCTTCCTGTACAGCCTTAGGAACCATGAGCCAATTAAACCTCTTTTCTTTATAAATTACGCAGTTTCAGATATCTCTTTATAGCAGTGCCACAACAGACTAATACACTAACCTTTGTAAATAACTCAGCAAGAAGGTAAATGTTATATATCACTTAGAAACCAGGAAGATAAGGCTCGAGTATCTTCAGTGGGATGCCAGAGTCACAGAAGTGGGGTTTGAACCTGGTTCCTTCTGGCTCCAAAGGCAAAAGACAATGTGTTTCCTCACCATTTGGTCAAGACCTTTAGTTAGTGTGATTATTTGCCTCTGTTGCCTTAGTAGTTTAAAAATAAATGTCTTGAGAATTTGATTAAGGTCTCTCTTCTCATTCTTGGCATCTCTCTGGGAAAGTTCATCCAATTATCACTTATAAGCTAATGACACCCAGATGGGTCTCGACCCCCATCCTGAGTATCACACTTAGAAATCCCACTCACTACTGGGCATCTCCATGTATTTCCAGATGTACTCCCAGATGTACTCCCAATGGAACTAATCATTTTCCTCCTCAACCGTTCTCTGCCTTCCAGCATTCCCTATTCTACCATGTCAGTTATCCCTAAGACAAAAATCTTTTTTCTTCCCTCTGTTTCCAACTCTGTCAATGACTAAGACCTGTGGATGTGGCACTGGAAAGCCTCATAAAGGAGGCTGGGCGTTTTTGAGCTGTAGTAATTCAATTTTACCAATAAAAAAATTCAGGTCCTTTCACCATACCCAGACAGTGTGTATAAAGCAAAGGTTCTGGCCAACTTTGAAGAGCCAAAATAAACCAAATTGCATCTACCTGCCCAATAATAAACTACTAAGTATTGAACAGTAAGATATACTTTTTATTCTAGGCTGCTCTATGTTATTTAGCTTCATTTTGGGCGTTTGGGTGTGTGCTGTAATACTGAGTAGCAAAGTAGACAACATGTTTTTCAAGAACAATGCCTCTAGCCACCAACACTTGCTGGGAAGTTGGGTAGGATGCTAAAAAGGGGAAGTAACAGCCATCGATGTTTTCATTCCCATTGTTAGGTAAAAGGCCAAACCTCAAAGTCCACATCAATACCACAAGTGACTCCATCCTCTTGAAGTTCTTGCGTCCAAGTCCAAATGTAAAGCTTGAAGGTCTTCTCCTGGGATATGGCAGCAATGTATCACCAAACCAGTACTTCCCTCTTCCCGCTGAAGGGAAATTCACAGAAGCTATAGTTGGTAAGGTGTTTGGGTATCGGGCTGGGAAGGAAAGGAGGTAAGAGGTGGGGGGGTGTAACATGACCTACAAATCTTGATGTCAAGAACTATTTTTTCTACATCCTTAGCTTAATCAAATGGTAGAATTACAAGACATCTTCATAATTGTTGTAACTCATAGCATAATTCTTTACATTAAAAAAATTATTACATGCAGAAATAGTTATCTTCATTCTCCCTGGCTATATAACTCAAGAATTCATAAGGACAAAAACAGCTGAAATGTCTGGGATTAAGTCTCTGTAACATATTTTATGTGGACTAGTTTTCCTTAGTGCTGTACCTTACTATCTTTTGATAGTACAACTACAGCATTTTGAGTGTATTTTCATGAAAAGCTACATTTTAAAAAAAAGTATTATATTTTTAAAAATTTAGAGTATTTCAGAGAAAAAAGATTAAAGTTTTTCTATGTATTATAAAATTTTATATTGCTTTAAAAATGTTTTAAATTATGTTAAAATGTAAATTGAGGATGTGGGTCACTTTTGAGCCTTCTCCAGAAAAATTATTTGCAAATAAAACCATTTAAGAATAATTTTTTTTTTAAGCCTGGCACAGTGTCTCACATCTGTAATCACAGCACTTTGGGAGGCTGAGGTGGGCAGATCACTCGAGCCAAGGAGTTCTAGACAGCCTGGGCAACATGACGAAATCCCCTCTCTACAAAAAATACAAAAATTTACCAGGCACGGTAGCTCACGCCTTGTAGTCCCAGCTACTTGTGAGGCTAAAGTGGGAGGATCTCTTGAGCATGGGGAGGCTGAGGCTGCAGTGAGCCGTGATAACATCACTGCACTCCAGCCTGCACAACAGAGTGAGACTCTGTCAAATAAATAAATAAATATATAAATATTTAAAGGATCCTCTATTGTTGTGAATACTTTTAAAGGCTTTCTGGATAGTCTAATAAGAGGTTTATATTTTGTTCCACTGCTAGGATTATTGCTTAGGAGCTTTCCTATAAGTTTCAGAGGTGTTATCCTATGAATTCAATTACTTTATATCAGCTCTGATAATATGCAGGGAATGTTGAAGATGAATCTATTTTGTCCTGTAGCCTCTTGTTTCTCATACAGACGTCTCTGTTGGACTTCAAAATCTGGCAACAGAGTAATATTGTTAATTAAGCATCTAAACTAGATTTTACATAAGACAAACACTTTAAAGCAAACCTACTAGTTTGTTACCAAAAAACTGAGAGGTAAGCATTTCTGACAAATGTAATAACACTAACCTTGACCACAAAAACCATAAAGAAGTCTCCACTCTATTCAATTTTTAGTATAAAAAGTGACCGGAAGCCGTGTGTTTGCCCCCACACAAATAGAAACAGATGACATATTACCCCTTTTTTCATTGAGCATTAGGAGTAATATTTTATTATGATAGTTTTTTTGTTATATAAATTGAAATTTGGGTCAATTGTAAGCTCTTTTTCCATATAAGGTGAAAAGTGTTCAATCTTAAAGTAATAGAAGTCAAATTATTACTGATAAAAAATATGTTCAGAAAACTGAAGAGAATTTGTTGCACAAATATTTTAACCTTTCACTGTTTCAATGATGAAAATTGATTAAATGGACTAGGGACACTTTTATTTATTTATATTATGTTCATTCTTTAAAGTTTTTTATTACAGGAAATTTCAGACAACCAAGGAAAGAGTATTAAAATGAACCTTCATATCTCAGCATGCAGCTTGAATATATATCACTGTTTTGCTAATCTTGTTTTGTGTATTCTTTCATACATACTGTATTCATTGCTGGGTATTTAAAGCATAACCAGGTATCACATTTCTTTATCTAAAAATGTTTCAGTATGCATCTCTAACAGATAAAAAATATTTTTAATAACACTGTGCTTTTATCACATAACAATAATTCTATAATACCATTTTATACCTAGAACATATTTAAATTTCTCTAGTGATCTTAAAAATGTCTTTTCAGGGTTGGTTTGTGTGAATCAGGATCCAAACAGGTCTATATGATATATTGGATTATGCCTCTTAAGTATCTTTTATTCTGTAACAATCCTCTCTACCTTCTCTTTTTAAATGTCATTGATTTCTAGAGAAATTGGGTCATTTATCACAGAGAATGTCCGTATTCTATATTATAGAATATGGAACTGGTTGCTTCCATTCTGTATTTTCTGAGCTGGCTCCTCCTATCCCCTGTATTTCCTACGAAGATGTAATTAGATCTAGAGGCTGTATTAGATTTGAATTTGCGGGAAGGGGGAATGTAGTACTTTACAGGTGGTACTATGTATTTCCTAATGACTCACAAAAAGAGGTGCATAATGGCTGCCTGTCCCATTTAGTGATCCTAAGACTGATGTGTTTAGGTGGTCTCAGCCTGGTCTCTCACAATAAAATTCTCCATCAAATTTTCACCTAATGGTTTTAGCATCTTTTGATAATAATTGCCCAGATCTATTATTTTATTCAGGAGTTATAAACAGCAATTTTCTCATTCTATTATTCTTTCTCCCTATTTTAGCCAATGATAAAGAATAAATTTCTCTCATCTGCTTTTTAATTTTCCATATATATTGGTTTTATTAGGTTGGTACAAAAGTTATTGCAGTTTTTGCCGTTACTTTCAATAAGAAAGGCAGGGTAAATTTTCATTGTTATGAGTTGATGCTCTGATTATTTCCAAAGATGACTAGTGACAGTGTTTGTTGGTTGGGTTTTAGGGCCAATAAGAATGCATTGATTTTTATATATTTAATGGGTTTTTATCAATATATCACTTATGTATGCCTTATGATTCTTTCAGTCTAGCTTAAATATGCTCGATTATTTACTTTGGTTAACTATAATACTGAAAACTTCTTAAAGTCAAGCTATGCCTTATTCTTTGGTTATTCATATCAAAATAATTTACATTAGGTAGATAGGCACTAAATATTTGTGCCACAGAATTGAATAGACTTCACTCTGTGTAGAATATTTAGGCTGGAAGAGGATGTGAGAGATTGTTTAATCTAAGTCCTGTCATCAGGAAAGTAGCTATTGAAGTCATTTAGGGCAGATAAAATAGGTCACTGTGCATCTCAAAGAACCTAGGGATAAAGATTCCACAACTCCAAGAAGGCTATTCCAATTATTTTTAAAACTCTTACCTCATATTGTAGATCAATATGTTCTTTTTATTAATTCCTTTTCTCTTCTAGTATTCTAGTGGAAATGAAAAAACATTCCTCGTACATATTTCCTTTTCCGTATTTCTTTAAGCCAAGAGATTTGTGTGCTTCTGCTTTTATTACTTCAAAAATGAACTTTTGTTCCAAGTTAAATGTTATTTTTTGGTTGTTTAAATTGGTTATTTATAGTCTTCCGTGACTTATTTGCATTAATTGCTCCTAATTGATTAAGCAGCCATACATTAATTTCCTGCAGCTGCTAAAACAAATTACTACAAATTTGGTGGCTTCAAACATTACAGATTTATTATCTTGCAGTTGTAGGTCAGAAATCCAACATGGGTCTCACTGAGCTAAAATCAAGGTGTGGGCAGGGCTGCATTCCTTTCTGGAGGCTCTGAGGGGAGAATCTGGTTTTATGTCTTTTCCAGCTTTTAGAGGCTACTGCATTTCTCTTCCACTCAAGGTCAACAACAGTGGGTCAAGCCCTTATCACATCACGTCACGTCACATCACCATCACCATCACCATCGCCATCGCCATCGCCATCACCATCACCATCACCATCACCATCACCATCGCATCACATCACCCTGGCCCCCTTTCTTGCTTTCCTCTTCTACTTTTAAGGGCCCTTGTGATTGTAGTAAGCTCATCTGGATAATCCAGGATACTTTCCCTATTTTAAAATCAGCTGATTAGCAATTGTAATTCCACCTTCAACCTCAATTCTCCTTTGTCACGCAACCTCACATCTTCACAGGTTCTGGGGATTAGGATGTAAGCAAGCTTTGTTGGGGGCATTATCCTCTCTGCCACAAGCTGTATGTTTAAAATTTGCATCTCTATTCAATCCCCTTTCTGATATCAGTTTACTGGATGTATTTTTCACAGATATGCTGTGGTGGTTTAGTGTATTTGTAACTATAAAGTGATGAATTAAAGTCCCTTGAGTACAAAGTGCTATACAAGAGCAAAGAATTTTTATTTCTTCATGGAAAAAAAGCATCACTTACAGCTCCTGCTCTTACTTTCTTTTGTAATAAGGTAGTGGTATGTTTTTCAGTTGCATGGAACTATACCCAAACACAGTGAATTACCCTCAGTTGCGAAGCAAATATTAAGTACAGCCTTGTCTGACACATGTCATTTGTTTAATGATATGTTTACCATCATTTTTCATTTTACCATTGAATTGAGAAGCTGTTGATTATTCAGAAATATTCAAGCTAACCTTTAGTGACCTGTGGACCAGGACTTCCACTAAATAATCATTTATAACCATTTTTACATTTAATACCTATCTATTATCTTTCTATTTATTAAGTATTGACAGAGATGTTTTCAAGTCACTTACTGCTTTTCCATGCAAAAGTAAATAAAACCTTCCTTTTGCCATTTTGGAAATTAATATTCATATGAAATTTCTGTAAAAATTTAAGATTGTACTAGAGGGGCAGTAGGAAAAACAGTATTTTCCCCAGTGGCTATTAATAAATATTAATTGCCTCCAGAGCCCTGCGATGACGTGATAAAACATGATTCACATTTCATAGATCCTCTAAGTTCCTATGTCTTTTTTTTTTTTACTCACATCATGAATGTTCTCACTCCTGGTTAACATTTTAAGTTTCTGCTTCTTTCTTTTATGGTCAGCTGCTAGTAATTTTGCTAATGTCTCATTAGCTGAGAACTTTCTCAGCGTTGACCTTTAAAGACTCATACTTAATGATGTTCTGTTGACATCCGAAAACACTTTAATCAGTGTCACCTGCAGAGGAAGACCTACAGCCACAGTTATGTGGTGCACGTTGAAGAATTGCTTTAGTATCCTTACTGCAGAAAAGGCTTAAGTTTAAAAATATGTGTTCACTATGACAAATTCTGATTGAAGAGTTTGTCTTCCAACCAGGTGTTAGGACTCCAATGGGGTGCAAATGTTTTAATTCTCGTGTTCTCACAGCTGCTAACCCTCACACTCATTTCTCTAAGGGAGTGCATTTCTCACACTCAGCACAGGCCTCTCAGTCACTATCTTGCCTATAACTCCTTCAAGTGATGCCAGCTCTAGTGAGGAAAAGGATGCAGTGCCAATGCACTGGAAATGCTCTAAGCTGAAAAAAGTCCTGGACAAGGATGCTAAAATCTGTGTTCTAGGAAAGATCAGTCTTCACTTGAGAGGCAGCATGATGTGAGGAAAGAATACCTGTTTACTTTTGAGTCAGACAGACCTGGGTTCAAATTCAACACGACTTATTGTGGAATAGTTGTGGGTAAGTAGTTTAAATTATCTGAATTATATTTTTCTCATTTATAAAATAGAGAATAATCTTTCAGAAGCATTGTAAAGACTATGGCTGAATCATATAAAGAAGCTAATATAGGCTGGGTGTGGTGGCTCATGCCTGTAATCCCAGCACTTTGAGATGCCGAGGCAGGTGGATCACGAGGTCAGGAGTTCAAGACCAGCCTGTCCAAGATAGTAAAACCCTGTCATTACTAAAAATGCAAAAATTAGCCGGGCATGGGGGCGGGTGCCTGTAATCCCAGCTACTCAGGAAGCTGAGGCAGAGAATTGCTTGAACCTGGGAGGGGGAGGTTGCAGTGAGCCAAGATCACGCCAATGCACTCCAGCCTGGGCGTCAGAGCAAGACTCCATCTTAAAAAAATAAAAAATTTAAAAAAAAGAAGCTAATATAGACTCTAGCACAGAGTAGGCATGTTTTATAAATTTTGTCAGTTGCTGTTATAACAAGCAGAGTGGCCTTGGAAAATTTACCTAACACTTCTGAGCTTTGTCTCAATTGCTAATAACTATTGGGTTAACTTTCCACTAAAGTTCTGGCCAGCTCTAAGAGGTTAGTGCCTAGGTTGAAAAAGCCTGGTCTAAGTGGCAGTTTTGTGGTTTTTGTTTTATATTTGTGGGTGCGGAGATAGTGTTGGTAAAATTGTAGAGGATAGATTGTTTTAGCAGAGCTGTTAGTCACTGAAAGGCAGCCATGCCCATCTATCATACCCAAGTATGTTTCTCGTCAGGGTCAACTCTCAAAACAACATTAAAAAACAAAATAAGCAAAATCTAAGATGATGGCACAGTAGCTGATGCATACACACAGCTCTCTCCCAAAGTCATTATTATCTCTTAATTATCAAGGGTATCCTGTGTCAAAGCTGACTGTTTCGTGCCTTTGGTGAAGAGAGTCATCAGGTGCCTCTTAGAATTCCTTAGCTGTGGCCTCCAAAGAAAAATATGGTGACTCCCTCAAAAATATATACCTGGAAAAGTCTGTCATCTCTAGATCTCACTTTTTCAATCGCTTATTCAAATAAAGCAATTTTTAGCAAGAAGATAGCGAGAATTTTGACCTGTCCTACTAAACAGATAAAAATAAGTGCATGACGCTTTAATTTACTTAAATGATGGCAATTCTATCTCAGCGCATTTGGGCTAAAATTCAACCATCAGTTTCTTACTTTGAAGTTTCTCACTTTATTTCACAGTGAAACATTTTCAAAAATTTAAAAGCAAAGTTGATTTACGATTGATCAGATATGAGTCAGTATAAATTGTATGCTTATAAATTTTAATGCAATTTATATTTCTACAGATTATTAGTACCATTTACAAGGTTTACCCTTAATCTTTATATTGGTATAGACGGCAAGAGGAAATGCACAATTTTTCCTATTTTACCATGGCAACCCTTAGAATTTCAGTTGTTCTCTTCTTCTCTATCATAAAAGTGTTTAATAATGCTCTATTTTTATGAAAGTGGGATGAAATATAAAATAATAGAGATTGATACTGTTTATTACACTGAAATATAACTATCATAAGTGATTATGCATTCATTGAAGAAAAACAGAAATAGGGGTTGAAAATAACTGAAGGAACTATATAGGGAATATAAAGAAGATGAAAAAAATAACTTATGAAAAAAAGAAACAGGATAAACCAATAGAAGGAAATGATGTAGTACCAGCCATTGAAGCCAGCTGAGCCCTCTCTTCCTGGCAGAGTCCTTAGAGAGACGGCAAGAGGCTTCAAAGGCAGGGAGCAAGACAGCTGCCAGGGGTGAATATCAGACTCGATACGGATGCAAGATGGCAGTTATGCAGGGATAGGTAGTACTGTTAGTTCTCTTTTACCCAGAAGGAGGTTGAAGCTCCAAGAGTTTTAAACTTCCTAACACTGCTCACCTACTGTATGGCAGGTAAAGGATTTGAAGCTAGGAAGTCTGAGCTCTGAACCACTGTGTTCTACTGCCTCTCAGAACTTAGGGAACTTTATCTGTTCTACAGGACAAAGGTGTTGCTTCTATAATGTCCTGTAAAAAATGGTTAAAAAGTGGGTGGGGAGATGTATTATGGCTATCTCCTCATTAAGGTTTAAGTATGTAAGGCACTCATTTCATCCTCAAAACTTGTTCTCCCCTTCCTCCACCACCACCATCTCTGCTTGTTATGTGCTGCCCATCCATCAAGTCCTACTTTATCTACTGTACACAAGGCCATTTCTGGCCAGGATAGACATTTCAGTCCCTCTCCATGAATATCCTGGAGGCTTACCATTTGCTTTATCATTCTTAAGGTTAATCAATTGCTATTTGTTTTTATTTTTGTGTGTCTTGTCTGCCTCTACACTTCACCCAAGGAGAAAACTCCCAGCAGCTAAGGACCCCAGGAACCTTAGATTTCTTTTTACCCTCAATGTTTTCATTGATTTCAGAAACACAATAAAGGAATAGATGAGTGGACGGGTGGATGGGTGGACGGGTGGACAGGTGGACGGGTGGATGGGTGGATGGGTGGATGGGTGGACGGGTGGATGAATAGGTGGGAAAGAGGAAAAGGAAAGGCCCAAAAAGTCTGAAACAGCTGTGGGTACGATTTAAGATAGATTTTTCTCTTTTAAAATTATTTTCAAAATGTCATCTAATTCTTAGTTATTTCTTTGGAAATAGATTTACCACTTGGGAAGTATTTGGCTTTAAATCTTCAAGATGAGTCCAAAGTTATCATTTTAAAAAAACAGGAATCCCAGAATCATTTGATTTTTTTTTCCTCCAAGGCGCAAAATTTACCAGAACTTCAGCTTCAAAGGGGATTTTTAAAGAAATTCGCCTAATAGGTATCAATTTCTTAATAAATGTACACCATCTCTTAAACAATTCACCATAAGTTTATACCAGAAAGCCATTGTATGATAAGAGATGACCATTTCATCATGTTTTGGTAAAGAAAACATCCCTTCAAAGTCCTGTTTTTTTCTACTGGATTCAACTACAATGTTTTCATGGTCTGCTTGACTTCAAATGATAAACTGTCACCAAGTCTATCTTTTCTTGGAAGTACAATACAAAAATTCACAATATTTTACTATAAAGCACAGTTTTTTCAAATGTAACCCACAATGCACTGAGATCAAAATCTAACTTTTAAAAAGTCATTCTCGATAATATCCAAAAGAGTGTCCCCGAATGGCTAATGGCCCTTTTTGTCATGGGCCAAAAAGATATATGGTCCCAGGTTCATTGCAAAAGTCTTGCTATGGAGAAGGGGTCTTAAGTGGAAAGACAGCTGCCAGTAAAAGGATATTAAAGGGTTATCTGGAATAGATATATAAGATAGCATTTAAACTTTAGAATTTTTTTTTTTTACATTTCAAAACCAAGGAACATGGTCACATCAACTTTCCTGATTATCCATATATTATTTTCCTTTAAATATTTTACATTCCATGGAAATTCAGTGCTCTCTGACACATGTGGGTCATACCAAGTGCTATGCCATGAAAGCCAGCATTAGGTTATACTCTTCTGTATTGTTCCCCAATTGTTTTTGTCGTGTGTGTGTTTCTTCTGTGTCATGTCTCACCAGCAAAATAGTAAGCTCCTGAGGACCAGAGCTGAGTCTCACCTTCCCTGATGGGCTCCACAATCAGGGTCAATATATTCACAGCTGTAATAGCTGACTACCCAGAGTTTGCTAGGGAAGGCTCCCTGCCTAGTTGCCTATAGTAAAAATATCCAGGAGAAAAAATTATTCAACTGGGGTAAAGGGTTGACTCTACCCTATTAGTAAAGTAACTATATACCCTGTTTTATCTGGCATAGAGTCATGGTTGACACCTGCTGTTCTGATATAATTAATTGTGCTCCCTTTCAACAGTACCCTAGTTTAGTTGAAAAATCTATATGCAATCTACATACAGGAGAAAGCCTAGAATTCTTAGCATGGTCCCCAGATGTTTCACAATCTGATCCCAAGGTAATAGCCCAGCCTTTTCTCTGCCACTGGAGATGCTTTGCATCAAGAAAAGGGAGACAAAATCAAGGGTTGGAGGGTTTGCCACAGGTTTGCCACTGCTGTGTTCCATTCTCCAGGCTGGGCACATAGATGGTCAAATGCTGGAGTGGCACTTCTTATCAACCAGTTAGCTGATGATTTAATATTTTTGAGCACTTACAATGTGCTGGGCTAAGGGCTTTATGGAAATGGGTTATTAAATCCTTAGAGCAACCCCATGAAGCAGGTACTATTAGCATTCTCTTTGCCCCACTGAAGACAGTGAGTCCCCAAGAGGTTAAGAAATCTACAAGTAGCAGGCTGACTCCTCAGCCTGTATAGCTGAACACCATGCCAACGTGCTTTTCTCCGTGGCCTATAAGTGTTCCAGTACTTTTGAACTCAATGTTAAAAACTCATCTTGTGTAAATTATTCCTGACTCCCCACTCCTACATGGAAAAGCTGACAAGAACATTTGAAAAGGAAGAAAAACCTTTGCTGATTTGACGGCTTTGACTTTGGATACTATCTGAGAGCTAATGTGACCTGGCTTTATAATTTGAAAGACAAATATCCGAACAAAGTCCTGATAAATAAAAATATCCAGACACACTTCCTGTAGCGATAACATGAACAAAGTGGTGAATTCACTGGAAAAATGTGTGTGTGCGAGTGTACAGTCTCTGCTTCAAAATCAAGCCCTTGCCAAGGCTTAAACCAGTTAACAGACAACACTCTGAACTTCTCTGTGGGGTGCACATATAAAACACGGGCAAGGAAAAAACTACATGCAATAAAGCCAACAATTTTAATGCCTAACAGGTCTGCTAAACTAGGAAAGGATGTGGCAAGTGGGTAAGATAAATAGTTTTTAAACATTTGTGGTATCAGGGAGAGAATCTGCCAGAGCATTCGAGTGAAGCAGGGTTAGTTTGGGACAGTAGCTGAAGGAGATGCTCCCAACTCTATGCCAGGAGCACAGGAAATGAAATGACCTGGAACCCCAGCGTTGTGGTCAGTGTGCAGGCACTGGAAGTGGAAGGGTCAGGGCTGGCTTCAAGATCGGATGACCAGTGCACTTAAAGGACCTTGCATTCTGGGTTTAATGCCCTGCTGTCAGTGTCATGAATTCTTAACTTATCTTTCCGTTTTATTTTGTAAGTGAGGTCCTATCAGACAACAGAGCAGGCGCAGAGTCTTGGAGCCTGGGTTCTTATGCTTGGCCTCCCAGCCCCTCCCCTAGTTTGATTCTCAACTGTCATGTCCTCCTGCCCTGGTGTCCCTGCTGCTTGGCTGCCTTCTACTTCCCATCCCTATTCAGCGACTTCAGCTGCCCTCCACCTCCAGCAGGGACTTGGGTGTGCACACCTCCATAATGACATCTGGCCGGGCATGGCGGCAGCAGTCCTCGCAGTGTCTGGCAGAGCCACTGTGCATTAAGTAGGGCATTTGGTTGGGGCAAGTCTCCCTCTCACCTGCATCAGGTACACAGTATGTCCCAGTGCAGAAATGGCAATCCCTTGGAGGTCTATGAATTGGGATGGCAGACCTGCAGGGAAGGGAGATTGACTTTTCTACCCTGGGGGGTGGGTTGGGGGATAAGAGTAAAGCACTTTGATCTTGATCCTGGAACTGCTGCTGGAGGGAGATAGTAAGTGGAGGGGGAAGAGAGTGGGCTGAGGGTCTGCACCCACCTGTACAGTGCAATATTAAATAGCAAATAAACATTATGATGGGTCAAGACAGAGATGGTGGAAGAAAGTAAAAGTTGAATTTTGTGCCTTCAATGGCACTCTTTTTAGGGTCCTACCTTTTGATTTTGCATCCGACCCTGCAAATTATGTAGTCAGCCGTGGGTGAAATGCATGCTTTTAATAGCATTGCCTCCCCAACTCTCACAGAATGAGAGTAAAACTGAGAAAAACTCCAATAATGTCTTCCTCAAAGGACTGTCTTTAAAATGACCCTCTGTTTAGAAAAAGTGTGTCTTTTCTTCCAGACAACCTTAGAAACCTGTAAATGGTGATCAATTATGGCAGAGCCATTGGGAGTACACATTACTGGAAGGAGATGCCCTCTTTCCCCCCTTTAACGTTGTCTTCCTCCCATACCCCTTTCCCCACATCCTCTCTTCCAATCAATGCTGCACTCCCATTTCATATGTAGAGGCTCCACTCACTCTCTATAGCGGGCCAATGAGGGGCTGCTTCTCACTGCTGTTATTCAATTCCAAACAATTCTGAGCAACTTCTCTTGTGACATCCGCACCAACATGAGCTGTGAGCTCCCTTCAGAACAGGCCTGTGAACATTCTGGAATCCCAGCAGTGGCTGCTGTTCCTAGTCATTTTTGCATTGTTGTTCTGTGGTACGGCTGGCTGCACTTTTGTGAGTAGTTTAACCTTTAGTATGAGCTCAGCCTGCCAGGGGCCTGTTCCGCAGACTGCATCTTAAAGACTGAGATAAGCCAGAATTCTCCAAGCCATGGGGCATAACAGAGTGTTCTGTCAAACTGGGTGTGGGTTCATTATTCAACAGATCTTGTAATGTTTAAAGGAAATAATTACTGAATAGTGTAGGATTTGCTTTAAAATTTGCTCTCCAGTTATTTTTCAGGCAAAGAAGGAAAAGTTTTTTTTTTCCACATGAAAACATACTTTTTCTGAGGAAAAAAACAACAGTCCTACAAATAGGACTTATTAAAGACTAATTGTTTGATTACTTTTCAAAAAATACTTGTTTGTGCTGATTGTGCTATTTCCCAACCCTCTAATTATTTTTTTTCCTTTCTGCCTGCAAAGCCTCGGGCTTCATTCATCTTTCTTCTAGCCCCAGGCATTAAAGGGGTAGAAGAGCAGATTCATTAATTCTTTCAGAACATGTTTATTGAGCAATTACTATGTTTCCATGTTTAGAGGTACATGAATAAACAGCATGAACTGAAAGCCTGGCCCATGTCCAGAGTAATCCTCAGCCTCTTATAGCTTTCTTCAGGGGCTTAGGAATACTCTAAAAGGTGGAGGACTTATATTACTTTGTGATGCTCCATAATTCTATAGACATTCTTTTTTATGTTTAAGGGCAATGTGCTAGTAATCTACTGAGTGATGTATTAAAAATTAGCATTGTATATTAGTCAATTATATTGTATGTATTAACATAGTAAAGTTGACATTACTTATGCTACTTATGCTACTCTATTCTTATGCTACTCTATTCTACTTGAGCTTCAAGCTACCATGAAATTTTGCAAAGCTACAACTTAGCACATGCCCAAGCAGACAGCAGGATTTCCCCAATTTTCTAGAAAAATAACCATCAGTGTTTTTCCAGAAGTGACGCCATCCTTCCTGAAAGAATGTTAGTGATGTTCTTGAGTTGGTCCAGACTTTCAGTTGCTGCTGTTCTGGCCTTTTCATATGTAATTACTTCAGGGTCACTTAATTATCATGGATGGGCAGGTTTTCTGTAGTCGTTATTGATTCTGTCCTGTGGAGTGATGGCATCAACAATATTGGAGCCTGTCTTTTTTCAGCAATGGTCTTCAGGGTGGATGTGGACTACAGTTGAGTTATGAATCATTTTATACCCCATTGCTGAAACCAGTTTGCTGTTGTGGTGTAAATTTGGTTTTATTAGTCAGTTCTTTGTCACCGGAATAGGACAATGGGTGGGGTGGGTGGAGTGCAAAGTTGGTCCCCCTGTTGAAACTTAGAACTACTGGTAAGTAGCCTTTCAATAAGTGAGGAGACAACAGCATTCTACTCTTTTTACATTCCAGCTCCCCACAGGCCTGCCCGCCTCTGCCTAGACTGACTTCTTCAGTGGGGTTCCCCTCTCCCTTCTCCCCTTCATCTACCAATAGGCCACAGGGGACCCATCTACAGCAGAGGCAAAGGCAGCTGATAGCTACAGAGTCACAGAGCCCAGGGCGCTGGTGAGCTGTTTATATACCTGTTCCATGGCCACACTTAGGAGGTCCGTTTTTTGAGAACCAACTAGTGGGTGAGTGGAACTCCCTGCTGGAGCTTAAAGACAGCAATATTTCTCAAGGGTGTTTTTCAGGTATACGTTACTCAGGCTTAGTGTTGATGAAATGCGGTACAGGAGCTGTGGCCAAATGTCAAGAGCTAGAGGATGCTTAAATTTAGATTATACCCGCTCAGGTCTGAATATAGCTAAATGTGGCTTGTGAGCACTTACAGATGCAAATCAGAATCGACAATATTTCTGTTATGGAGATTTCCATGAATATAGTTTTTTTTTAATTCTGTGGGTGATTTTATTCTTGTTAGGGTCTCATGATGTGCCACACTGGCTTCTAATAAAAATAATTACCTTATTTCATCAAATTCTAAAGCATTTTCTACTGCAAATCAGTCTATTTTATATAAAACTAAGAAACAAGTTGCTAATTAATGGTACTGCTCTTGTATCCCTTGAGGTTTTTGTTTTATACTTATGGAAAGAGCTTCCTTTGACTCATTGATGCATACATTTTATGTTGTCTGTTTTTTTTTTTTTTTTTTTTTTTTTTTTACAAAAGAGAGGATTTCCTTTTCTATAAACTGTTTTAGACGCGTTTTAGATTAATGAAGTTGTGAAGTTAGGTCTCCTGAAGCCTGAGCCGACGGCAGCACGAAGGGTAAGAGCAGGTGTTCTTGGGCTTTGTGTTGACCAGCTTGCCTTACACAACCCCAGCACTGTCTGGGACACGGAAGGTGTTCTTCTTAAGGAAGTAAAAGATGAAGGCAAGAATAGCATTACTGATTCCCAAATGGATGATGTTGAAGTTGTTTATACAATTGACATTCAGAAATATATTCCATGCTTTTTTTAGCTTTTATAATTCCTCAAGTGAAGTAAATGAGCAAGCACTGAAGAAAATATTCTCCAATGTCAAAAAGAATGTGATAGGTTGGTACAAATTCTGTCGTCATTCAGATCAGATCATGACGTTTAGAGAGAGGCTGCTTCACAAAAACTTGCAGGAGCATTTTTCAAACCAAGAACTTATTTTTCTGCTATTAACACCAAGTATAATAACAGAAAGCTACGCTACTCATCGACTGAAACATGCCTTGAAACCTCAAAGAGGACTTTTTCACAGGGTACCTTTAGTGGTTGCCAATCTGGATATTTCTGAACAACTAGGTTATAAAACTGTATCAGGTTCCTCTACATCCACTGGTTTTAGCCAAGCAGTAAAAACACACAGCTCTAAATTTTTTGAAGAAGATGGATCAGTAAAGGAGGTACATAAGATAAAATATGTAATGCTTCATTACAAGAGGAATTAAGGAGTATATGCAAAAAAAAGTGAAAAACAATGAACAAGCAATAAATAAACTAGTAAAGGATATAAACAGATTAAAACAAGAAATTGGAAAAAAGGAGATGAGCATAGATTCAGGCAGCCTGAGAGAAGAATATCTAAAAAGACCCTCAGGGGAACATTTTTCCTGGTCAAGCATTATGGACCTTTTATCCAGATTCTGAATTTCTTCATTCGTGTGTTGTGTCTTTAAAAAACAGACATGTTTCTAAAAGCTGTAACAACAACCTCCACCTCGATGTAGTAGCCAAACTGACCTTAATGGTAGAACACACTGACATTCCTGAAGCTAGTCCAGCTAGTAGACCACAAATGATTAAGCATAAAGCCTTAGACTTAGATGACAGATGACAATTCAAGAAATCACAGCAGTTAGAGACATAAGACAAACCATGTAAAACAGATACTGATAGTAGTAACCAAGAAAAAGCATCTACAATGAGCAGCCCAGAAATAGATGAAGAGTTTGAGAAAATGAAGGGATCTAGTGAATATCCAGTCTCCTACATCTTGATCCTTTTAACCTAAAAGGAGATTTTTTTTTCATTTGGCGGATGGGTAAAGCCCAAACATTTCTATTCTATTGTTTTTACTATGTTGAGCTACTTGCACTAATACAGATAAATTCATTTGTTTTTACTATATTCCCCTGTTTGCAGTAATCCACAGATAAGTCTTAGCATGTTTAATTTGTAAAGTATGTTTTCAAACATCAGATGCTTTTATTTCAAAATCTTTTTTCACATTTCACTAAGTTGTTGAGGGAAAGCCTTACACTGACACATTCTTTATAACTGGAAAAGTGAGGCCGGGCACAGTGGCTCACACCTGTAATTCCAGCACTTAGGGAGGACAAGGCAGGAGAATTTATTGAGGCCAGGAGTTAGAGACCAACCTGGGCAGCATAGTGAGACCCATCTCTATTTTTTTTTTAAAAAAAAAGGAAAAGCAAGAATAGGAAAGAAATAGAATTTATTTTCACAATGTAGAAAGAAATTTGTATGAAAATTTACTTTTTATCGAAGTCATTAAAATTCTCCTAAACTGATAATTTTTTTTTTACCTTTTTTAAATTATACTTTCAGTTCTGGGGTACATGTGCAGAATATGCAGGTTTGTTACATAGGTATACAAGTGCCATGGTGGTTTGCTGCATTCATCAACCCATCATCTACATTAGGTATTTTTCCTAATGTCATCCCTCCTCCTGCCCCCGACTTCCCAACAGGCCTCAGTGTGTGATGTTCCCCTCCCTGTGTCCATGTGTTCTCATTGTTCACCTCCCACTAATGAGTGAGAACATGTGGCGTTTGGTTTTCTGTTCCTGTGTTAGTTTGTTGAGAATGATGGTTTCCAGCTTCATCCATGTCCCCGCAAAGGACATGAACTCATCCTTTTTTATGGCTGCATAGTGTATATGTGCCACATTTTCTTTATCCACTCTATCATTGATGGGCATTTGGGTTGCTTCCAAGTCTTTGCTATTGTGAACAGTGCTGCAATAAACATACATGTGCATGTGTCTTTATAGTAGAATGATTTATAATTCTTTTGGGCATATACCCAGTAAAGGGATTGCTGGGTCAAATGGTATTTCTAGTTCTAGATCCTTGAGGAATTGCCACACTGTCTTCCACAGTGGTTGAACTAATTTACACTCCCACCAACAGTGTAAAAGTGTTCCTATTTCTCCACATCCTCTCAGCATCTGTTGTTTCCTGACTTTTTAATGATTGGCGTTCTACCTGGAATGAGATGGTATCTGATTGTGGTTTTGATTTGCATTTCTCTAATGACCAGTGATGATAAGCATTTTTTCATATGTTTGTTGGCTGCATAAATGTCTTCTTTTGAGAAGTGTCTGTTCATGTCCTTCGCCCACTTTTTGATGGGGATGTTTGTTTTTTTTTTCTTGTAAATTTGTTTAAGTTCTTTGTAGATTCTGGATATTAACCCTTTGTCAGATGGATAGATCACAAAAACTTTCTCCCATTCTGTAGGTGCCTGTTCACTCTGATGGTAGTTTCTTTTGCTGTGCAGAAGAAGCTCTTTAGTTTAATCAGATCCCATTTGACTATTTTGGCTTTTTTTTTTTGCCATTGCTTTTGGTGTTTTAGTCATGAAGTCTTTGCCCATGCCTATGTCCTGAATGGTATTGCCTCGGTTTTCTTCTAGGGTTTTTATGGTTTTGGGTCTTACGTTTCAGTCTTTAATCCATCTTGAGTTAATTTTTGTATAAGGTGTAAGGAAGGGATGCAGTTTCAGCTTTCTGCATATGGCTAGCCAGTTTTCCCAACACCATTTGTTAAGTAGTGAATCCTTTCTCCATTTGCTTGTTTTTGTCAGGTTTGTCAAACATCAGATGGTTGTAGATGCGTGCTGTTATTTCTGAGGCCTCTGTTCTGTTTCATTGGTCTATGTATCTGTTTTGGTACCAGTACCATGCTGTTTTGGTTAATGTAGCCTTGTGGTATAGTTTGAAGTCAGGTAGTGTGATGCCTCCAGTTTTGTTATTTTTGCTTAGGATTGTCTTGGCTATGCAGGCTCTTTTTTGATTCCATATGAAATTGAAAGTAGTTTTTTCCAATTCCGTGAAGAAAGTCAATGGTAGTTTGATCAGGATGGCATTGAACCTATAAATTACTTTGAGCAGTATGGCCATTTTCACAATATTGATTCTTCCTATCCATGAGCATGGAATGTTTTTCCATTTGTTTGTGTCCTCTCCTATTTCCTTGAGCAGTGGTTTGTAGTTCTCCTTGAAGAGGTCCTTCACATCCCTTGTAAGTTTGATTCCTAGGTATTTTATTCTCTTTGTAGCAATTGTGAATGGGAGTTCACTCATGATTTGGCTCTCTGTTTGTCTGTTATTGGTGTATAAGAACGCTTGTGATTTTTGCACATTGATTTTGTATCCTGAGACTTTGCTGAAGTTGCTTATCAGCTTAAGGAGATTTTGGGCTGAGATTATGGGGTTTGTAGTTCTTCTTGAAGAAGCCCTTCACATCCCTTGTAAGTTGGATTCCTAGGTATTTTATTCTCTTTGTAGCAGTTGTGAATGGGAGTTCACTCATTATTTGGCTTGCTGTTTGTCTGTTATTGGTGTATAGGAATAATGGGAAATTCAACTCAGTTATCAACAGTCCCGTTGTTTTTTTACCCAGTATCATTGTTGGTGCCAGCAAGGGTCTGGCATGTTTAGTAAAGGAGGATCATACATTTGATTTAGATGTTTTAAGATATATTTTATAAGAAAGTATTCCACTGAATTCTTATTTATTCAGAGTTAGCATTTCTTTCAAATGACTTTTCAGCACCTGTGGAAATAGGCTTACTTTTTTTTCTTTTTTCTTTTTTTTTTTTTTAGACAGAGTCTTTGCTCTGTCACCCAGGCTGCAGTGCAGTGGCACGATCTCGGCTCACTGCAACTTCTGCCTCCCAGGTTCACACCATTCTCCTGCCTCAGCCTCCCGAGTAGTTGGGACAACAGGCACCCACCACCACGCCCGGCTAATTTTTTGTATTTTTTAGTAGAGATGGGGTTTCACTGTGTTAGCCAGGATGGTCTCGATCTCCTGACCTCATGATCTGCCCGCCTAGGCCTCCCAAAGTGCTGGGATTACAGGCGTGAGCTACCACTCCCGGCCTTTTCTTTCCCTTTATGTTACATTCCTGGGATAAACTGTATGTGGTAATAATTTATTATTGTATTATGTGCTGTCAGATCCAGATTCTGCCTGTCAGTATATTTTTAGGGTTTTTTTGCATCGATATTTATGAATGAGTTTGGTTTGTAATGTTTATTGTGAAATGCTTGCATTTTGGAACTTGTGATGCTTGCTGTAAAGATTTTTTGAACATTTTCCTCTCTTGTAATATGTCCTTAGACTTTGTAGAACACAAACTCTGCTTTCTAGAAATCACCATTGTTACTAATACTTAATTCATACTTCTTGTGTTGACATTGTTACAGCTTTTATTCCCCCCCCAAAACAAGGTCTCACTGTCACCCAGGCTGAAGTACAGTGGTGCAATCTCAGCTCACTGCAACCTGTGCCTCATGGGCTCAAGCAATCTTCCCACCTCAGCCTCCTGAGTAGCTGGGACTACAGGTGCCCATCACAATGCATGGATAATTTTTGTCTTTTTTGTAGAGATGGGGTTTCACTGTGTTGCCCAGGCTAGTCTCAAACTCCTGAGCTCAAGTGATCTCCCTACCTTGGCCTCCCAAAGTGCTGGGATTACAGGCTGAGCCACCATGCCTGGCCTTTGTTACAACTTTAATTACCTTTAAGAACCTTTTGAGACTAGGTATGATTTTTCCTACTTTGCAGGAAACTGAGGTACACAGAGGTTAAGTACTTTGACTTGTACTAGCATGTAGTTGCATAGGATTTAATCTGTTTCCAGAGTCTGTGCTCTTATGTCCAGAAAATTAGTTTAACAAAAAAATTGTTAAACATAGCAAGGGCCTTTTTCAGGCCCCCTTACCTAATTTCTTTTAGGATTATCTTGGTTTATTTCATGCTTCTTTTGTGGACACTTTAATAGCAGAAACTTTGCATGCAGAACTAAGCTTCCCTGTGACAATATTCTGAAGCAGTGAGGCTTGCAATGCAGGCGTCCTCTAATGGGAGCAGACCCAAAATGTGAAAATTGGGATTTATCAAACTGCAATTATAAGAGTATTACTGAAAAATCCAGTAATTAACAAAATATTTCAACAGTAGATTTCCTTAAGCAGTAAACTGTCCCTGTCCTCCACAATAGGGCATTCAAAATATTAAGCAAATTAGATTTAATTAGTCTGCAACATTGTATAGAATTAACTATTAGGAATGGAAACTTTGTTAAGGTAACTGCATTCTATGCAACTTTTCCTAAATTGACATTTTAGGTATATATCTTTCTAAATGAAGTAACATATATTGGCAGAATTTCAGTCTACAATGTATATATTTCCAGGCTACTATAAATCCACAAAGAATTTATTGTACAGAACAGAAATAGAAATCCTACTCTTGAGTCTTATTTTTCCACACCTGTGTCCCCAATAGAGCACAAATACTCCCAAAATATGTGTATGTTGGAAATATTTAATGAGCAGTAAGAGCCAACACATGCACCCAGGTAATGACATTTGTTCCAATTTGTAATTGGCTGTAACAGCCTATGCTTTATGCAAAATAACTGTGATCATAACAAAAGGTATTTTTAAATTGCTCATATAACCATATGTCTTGGATCATGGTACTATCTTTGGCTTCTGTATATGTTATTTTTCTAGTGTTTCGGGTCTTTCTTTAAAAACCTCTAGGCATTAGGCATAATTAATCCATATGAAGGAAGAATCTAAAAGGTTAACTCTAAGAGACTCTGCTAGAGTGAGAACAATTTAGGAAAACTAGGGGTTTTGTTTTCTAAAAGTGAATTCCTGAGATTTATTAAAAGAGTATTTTGTAGACTTGATTAAGATAGTTACATAACTTGCAGGGCCAAGAACAAAATGAAAATGCAGGTCCCCTGGTTCAAAAACATGGAAAAAAAATGTTGTTGAAGATACTAAAATATAAAGCTTTTTCCTTTTTGTGGTTTCTCCTTTTGTCATGATTTTATTTATTTATTTTATTTACTATTTGATGTCTTAGTAAAGAAAAAATTTAAAATTATTAGCATGAAGTTTACTTTATATCTTTATATTGTTCAATCCCAGGTTTAAATGCAAACGTAAGGGCCTTTAATTCCTAAGTGAAATTACTGAAATTGCACAATTTGTATTTTACAGTTTATACATATATGCATATGCATTTTGTTCCTACCAGAATAGTGGAAATGCTGCACAAAACTAATTCAGCTGTTTATTTCACTTCTTAATATGTGCACATTCTACCAACACTCTTCTTTCAACTCATTTCTGAATGAGGAAGAGTTGGAAAAAAAAAAAGAACTAAGAGTGCCCTTATCTTTCCCTTTTTTCCTTTATCATTTTCAGCATAAGTGGTTGGCTAATACATGAGTAAGAAAGGATATGATAGGGTTTCTTGGTCATTCGTATTTCTTTTTTTTATTATTATACTTTAAGTTTTAGGGTACCTGTGCACAACATGCAGGTTAGTTACATATGTATACATGTGCAATGTTGGTGTGCTGCACCCAGTAACTCGTCATTTAGCATTAGGTATATCTCCGAATGCTATCCTTCCCCCATACCCCACCCCAACAACAGGCCCCGGTGTGTGATGTTCCCCTTCCTGTGTGCATGTGTTCTCATTGTTCAATTCCCACCTATGAGTGAGAACATGCGGTGTTTGGTTTTTTGTCCTTGCGATAGTTTGCTGAGAATGATGGTTTCCAGCTTCATCCATGTCCCTACAAAGGACATGAACTCATCATTTTTTATGGCTGCATAGTATTCCATGGTGTATATGTGCTACATTTTCTTAATCCAGTCTATCATTGTTGGACATTTGGGTTGGTGCCAAGTCTTTGCTATTGTGAATAGTGCCGCAATAAACATACATGTGCATGTGTCTTTATAGCAGCATGATTTATAATCCTTTGGGTATATACCCAGTAATGGGATGGCTGGATCAAATGGTATTTCTAGTTCTAGATCCCTGAGGAATCACCAGACTGACTTCCATAATGGTTGAACTAGTTTACAGTCCCACCAACAGTGTAAAAGTGTTCCTATTTCTCCACATCCTCTCCAGCACCTGTTGTTTCCTGACTTTTTAATGATTGCCATTGTAACTGGTGTGAGATGGTATCTCATTGTGGTTTTGATTTGCATTTCTCTGATGGCCAGCGATGATATTCATATTTCTTAAAGTGCCATTGCCTTTTTTCTGCATCTAAAGCAAGTTCTGGTTCACATGGAAAGTACGGTCTCTCACAGCTCTGTGTGTCCCCCTCCTTACCCTTTTATTGAATGGTAAATGTGACATACTTACCTTGTTCTACCTTTGAGTCTTGCTGAACTCCCACACATCATGGTTCCTTTGGAATTATATGATAATGCATTCCTCCAATGCCATAAATGAGTGGGGGAGGCAAGAACATGCTGACATGCTTATTGCTTCTGTTTCCCCCACTCACATGCATGCTCTATTGTCCCATCAGACTTCCCTTGCAAAACACAAGTTCAAAGATAAAAGTGTTAAGAATTTCAAGATGGTGACAGCAGGACCTTAAACCAAGCATAGGGCTTTTCTAAGCATGGGGCCCCATGTGACTGTATATGCCACATGCCCATGAAGTCAACCCTGCCCCAGTTATCTCATCTACAAATTGAGGTGATAATAGTAGTGCCAGGTAGGATTGCCATGAGGGAGTAATGAAGTTATGAATATAAGGTTCTCAATATAGTATCCAGCACATAGAAAGCGTTCAGTACATGGTAGTTTATTGCTCTATATCTCAAAGAAAATCAGGAAATGGTTATTGTATTCCTACTAGGAAACTTGTTGATTTGATTTGGGTCCAGCATTCCTTGTACGAGCCTCACTAAGCAAGATGTGCTTTCAAACACACGAGACTGGAACAGAATGAATGCTCCTTTATCTGTGTGGTGGGCAGGAGGCAACTGTACAATGATGAGGCAAAGCTCTGAGGTGAGTTCATCAGGCTGCCTAAGTTACTTTATTCGGCGGTAATTACTGCAGCAGGTTATAGCCAATAGTGCTGTGTAAGATGTCCAGAAAAAGACAAAGGCACAAGTTACTAAGAGAAGTTGAGTTGCCAGGTTGTCCCCATCTGAAAAGAGGTCAGCTCTGCAAAGCCTTGGGCAAGAAGGCCTCTGCTCCAGACTCATGGAGGGGAGACATTTGAACCCAGAATGAAAACAAAACAAAGATATGAAGTCTGCCTGAGTAAGTAGCTGTGAATTCTGGCTGACTACAGCATCCAAATGATATTTCTTATAGAACGAGTTTCAGAGTTTAAAGTTCTGGAGGAACATTGTAAAGAATACTCATCAATCCATTAATCCAGTAGAGTTGCTTATAAAATGCTATTTCATATGCCCAAAATATATTTGGTTTATTTACATATGTGTAACCAGCCATTCATCTTGCAGACATCAATATTTAAAAAATTATTTGATAAATTATTAGCTCCTTATTGAGTTAGCATATGCTGATTGATTTAATATAATTTTATTTAAAACTTAAATATCCTGAGATTCCCTATGTACATTTCATTGAAATATATTTAAAATGAAAATTATACCAACTTATAAATTGTGACTGTTTAGAAATTGTTCATTAAAAATGACTAGCTATGAAAACAGGCTGAGAAATTACATAAACAGGATACAAATTAGGAAGGGCGTTATAAATATTCCTGTTCCCATGAAAGGGAGTGATTTTAGCTCATACAGGTGAGGCCCACGGTGTCTTGTGCAAGTAGAATTTTTCCTTCCCTGGAGCATCGGGATTGGCTCTCCTTGAGGCATGGGGTAACAGAATGGACATACTCTGATTTTTTAAAATATATATTTGCAGAGAAAAGAACTGATGAAGACAGCGTTTAAAATCTGTGTATAGTATGATTATTTTAAGACTTCTCCCTCACCCTTGCCCATTTGGTTTGGAAAATCTGGATTTAATTTTCATTTTAATGACTTAATAAACTTCTCAGGAAGTGTCAACTTTTCGGATTATTGGGTCCTCTCACTCCCTGGAGCTGCGGTTATGGAGGATGACTCAGGGAATGCTGAATCAGGGTAGGGGTGTGCTGCCTCCAATGCTGGTTCTCAAAGGGTTTTTCTGATAAATAATGTTATTGCTTCCAGATGCAGAGCCGAAATATCTGATAGTTGTGCGACCTGCTCCACCTCCAAGTCAAAAGAAGTCATGTTCAGGTATAGTCCTTTGCATTGAATTCTTTTTCTTTTATGAACTTTGAACCATGACTTTTCATCTCTTTTGGACCCCTGGAGACCAAATGCCTTGAGAAGCTTTAAGAATGTAGAGGAGGTGTCAGCCCTGGGTCCACAGTTTACCCTTTTGGAGAAGTAACACAGCCTGGTGGTAGAGACTGCTTGGGATTTTCTCCTGGTGCCACCACTTGCAAACTGCAGGGAATTACATAAGTTATTGAACCTCTCTACTCCTGGATTCTGCTGCATAATAGGGTTGTCCTTGAGGATTAAATGAGTTAAGGACAGTGCCTGGCCTGTAGTCAGTGCTCATTTGGGGTTAGCTCCTATTAGCCTGTTTCTATTTTACAGTGTGTGAACTCATGCTCACTATTGTGCCTTTCAGATGTTAAGGGCAAAATTTTATGTCTCACCTTTTCTTAAGGAGACTGTTTACATTTTAAAAGGATAATTCATGTATGTGTGTTAAATAGATCAGCATGTAGGTTTTATTTACTCCTTATCTCTCCCTTCTAACCTCTTCAATTCAATAAAGGAAGGATTTCTTCCATAAAATAAAAATAATAGCAACACTCATGTTTCCAGGTCTAGGAAGACTTGCAACAGGAAAGTGGATATATAAATAAGTAAGTAGAAACTTTCTACATAACTAAAGATTAAAATTCTATGTCGTCTAATTTCACTACCAAAACTTCTTCTCAGATCAAATAATATAGCTGACCATTGCTATAAGGAAGAAGCTGTGAATATGCTTTTTCTATCTGATGTTGCATCTTCCTAACTCTATATAGAGTTGATCACAAAATTTTGCTTTTCTTTTTTTTTTTTTTCTTTGAGACGGAGTCTTGCTCTGTGGCCCAGACTGGAGCGCAGTGGTGCAATCTCAGCTCACTGCAAGCTCCGCCTCCCAGGTTCACGCCATTCTCCTGCCTCAGCCTCTCGAGTAGCTGGGACTACAGGCGCCCACCACCAGGCCCGGCTAATTTTTTGTATTTTTTAGTAGAGACGGGGTTTCACCGTGTTAGCCAGGACAGTCTCGACCTCCTGACCTCATGATCCACCCCCACCTCGCTCTCCCAAAGTGCTGGGATTACAGGTGTGAGCCACTGCACCCAGCCTGCTTTTATTTTTCTAATGTGAATGATCTCCAAGTAATTATTGCCAAAGCATGTTCATCTTTTATGGTACACTGGATACCACACGATAAAAGGATCTTTTTGTTTGTTTGCTATATTTTTCTGGAGGAATAAAATGGGAGAAAGAACAGTCAGCTATTCAGTTATACTAAATAGCTTAAATCAGAAATTAGTTGCCACAATTCCCTCCCCTCTTTCTGCTGATTTCCACTTCTTTTAAGAGCAGCATTGAATGGTTAAGCATTTTGAAAAATACTAATTCTTTTTCCTGGCCTCATAGATCATCCCAAAGCAAAAGGGAAATTCCAATCGCTCCTTACAACTTGTTAGTGAGAGTTGTCCAGACAGTTTTCCACACACTTGAAAATAGATGTACTCTCAATATTTCAAGACTGTACTTCAAAAATATTGAGCCACAAACTCAAGAAACATCAGTGTGATTCCATGGAATCTGTTTTCAGATGAATACTCATTGAACTGTTTCTTGATAGAAATATGATCATAGTACAAATATACAAAATTATGTAAGGAATGTCAAGAGAATGATCATGCCTTAGCACTTTATAACTTCATTTTATTTTGAGGATTCTATGACACTAGCCTTAGAAATTATTGTTTACTTTATGACCAGCTCAGGAAATTGCTTCATCTTGCTCAGGATATAACATCCCACCTTTCTTTTTGGATAGCGGATATAATTTTGTTTTTGTTATCTGCATTTAGGAATAATGTAATGACTAAGGGATTAGCTTCCATTCATTCTATATTTGTATCTGCCACATAAATTTTAATTATTTAATTATTTTTATATTAAGATTCAACCTTAGTGAAATAGTTATTTGGTCATACAAATAATTGGGAGACCATTAGTTTCCCTTGGTCATACAAGCCTTAGGTTCCTTACATGAAAAATATGTCTTTCATCTCTAAATGGCATTATTTTTATACATAGAGAGCCAAGACAGTGATATCATAAAAATAAAACTAGATTGTGATTGAGGAGACCCAGGACTTGAGTTTTGACTTTGCTCTTAATGTGACTTTGGACAATCTTGAAACTTCTCTGTGCCTTATTTTTCATCTGCAAAGTGAATGAGATCGTTGCATCACGTTAGTGAAAATCAACTCAGGAATTGAAAAGGGAAGATCACAATCATCCCAGGGCTTGTTCAAACTATAAGTGTTCCCTGCCTTCACTGCAGATTCTAATCTGCCCTCATTGGAGCTCATACATGACAATTTAAATCACCATCATATAAGGCACAATTACAGCTGGGTCTGCAGAAGTTAGAGAAGAATAAACCCGTGTTTCCAACCATGTAAATGATAACTATCTTTGAAACTTATTTCAAACATCTTTAAAAGTCAACTATCCTATAATGAGGCAATTTGCCACCACTAGGTTAGGTGTATTCTGTGCTAAGAAGGGTTCTTGCTTGAATAACAACTTACAGAACTTAAATTTAACAAAAGGAACAAGCTTGACACAATTTTCAAGAGCATTTGATTCAGATGACCACCAATAGGCTCATGCAAGGGGCACTCTCCTACCTACCTTAATAGAGGTGGCAGGCCATTCTGCCATTTGGCTCCCACTTCATTAGACAGCACAAGTTCTTTCTAGAGCAAATACAACATTCATAGTCTCAAGAAATAAAAGAGGGAATTCAACAGCAATACAGAGTATGTATGTTTTATATTCTGTGTAGTTTTATTAGGCTTTCTATCGGATTTTTATCTTATTTACTCTAATTATTTTCAATGAGTCAGCATTGGTTTTCATGGTTGAGGTTCTTCCTGTTTTTCGCTGCCCTACTTCTGCAGTTTCAGATAATTTTGAAAGTGCAAGTGCCTGCTTCTGTGTACTTGAACACAATCTCCAGTGATTTATTAGCATAACTCTTGGCATTATTTAGATCCAGTTGGCACCATCAGAACAACTGTGCTTCCTGTGTTACCCCTACTCTTCCATCATTGTTAAAAAATGTGTTTGCCTTTTCCATTTAGATACTCATTGTAAAATATATACTTACTACAATAACATGAAGAGATTTTACACTTCTAAATAGGTTAAAAAAGATTATAACCTACAATCTAGATAATAAGGTTTATTTTCTTGTCTTAGATGTTATTTCACACTCATTCACAGTCCCGGGAAAAAAATAAACATACTTTCATTTTATCTGTAAAAGAAATTAAGTGTGTGTATGTGTGTTTGTTTATTTCACTCATCACAGCTAAGACCTCCATATCCTTCCCTGACCCACAAGAAAATAAAACTAGGTATAGCTGGATATTGTTAATATGTGTACATGTACAATATACATATACATGTGTATGCATATATGCATATGCACACATGCATAGACACAAATCTGAAAAAGGTATTTGATTCACATTTAAATTCCTGGGCAAAAATTAGTAATAATGTGGACTATAGAAAAGGAAAGGAACTTGATGTTTTCACATTTTGCATCATCTTGCCAAGTCATCTTTAATGCATTTTACCCGAATCATGGCAACTTACTAAATGTCTCCTGAATTATTAACCTCTATGCCACCTCCACAGGTAAAACTCGTTCTCGCAAACCTCTGCAGCTGGTGGTTGGCACTCTGACACCGAGCTCGGTCTTCCTGTCCTGGGGTTTCCTCATCAACCCACACCATGACTGGACATTGCCAAGTCACTGTCCCAATGACAGGTAATATTAGCATTTGCTTTTAATAGCATCTGTACATGCTTTAGAAGAATATGTAAGTATCAGGACTGTTAGCATTGACTTAACACCTCTTAGCTGTACAGCCTGTTCTAGGTGTGAGGGGAACAAAGTCAGGGGCCCTGCCCTTGAGAAGGTTATCTACCTGAATAGAAAACACATACATGTAATTTTTTTCAAAAATCATGAACTATTATACAAGGAAGTATGAGTCAAATAGCAAATGGGTGGTATCAGTAATAAGTGCAATTAGAAACTCAGAAGGCGGGGCCAAAGGCAGTTAGGAAAGACAATTAAAAGTTGGAAAGTTGATTGGAAAAGGATGGATCTTTGATCTCACAATTGAAGCTCTTAAATCATACTTCTCAAAGTGTGGTTCCCAAAGCAAGCAGTATCAGCATGTCTTGAACTTGTCAAAAGGTAAATTCTCAGGTCCCCCTCAGACTCACTGAGTTAGAAACTCTCAAGGTGGGGCCCAGCCATTTGTGTTTTCACAAGCCTTCCAGGTGGTTTTGATGCCCACTGAAGTTTGAGAATCACTGGCTTAGAAAACTGAGGAGAGACACACAGGCAGAGATATAAGCAGAGGAAAAGCAAGTTGGAAATGAAGCTACCATTTTCTTTGGAAGAACAAATGGGAAAAATCTAAGTATATTTTTAAACTACTGCTATTTATCCATCCAACCATTTGATGCATGTATTTAGATGCATTGGATGGATATGTACTAGGCCCTGTGCTACATGCTGAACCATACTTCTAGGTTGGTTATAAAATGATGTTTGCTTATAAATATTTACTATATTAGCTTCAAAACTCAGAAACTTGCATCTAGAAAAGCATTCAAAATTTTCAAGCTTCAATCAAGGCATTTTATTTTTAAAGTTTTCTATTTTAAATACATTCAAAGTGATTTTTACATTTCAGAAGTTTTCTTATTCCTTTTTGAATAAAAAACATTTATTGAGGTATAATTTAAACACAGTAAAATGCATAAATATTAGTGTACAGTTTGAGTTATGACAAATGCCTATAACCATGTATCCAATACCCATCAGGAAACAGAAAAATTTTATCACTCTAGAAAGTACTTTCCTCCAGAAACAACCATTGATTTGATTTCTATCACCATAGATTAGTTTTGCCTACTCTAGAATTCCATATAAATGGAGTCATATAGTATGGGTTTTCTGACTGTCTTCTTTCGCTGAGCATTGAGATTCATTCATGACATTGCGGATATCAATAATTCATTCTTTTTTGTACTCCTGAGTGATAGTCTATTATGTGAATATTCAAAAGTTTATTCTCTTGCTAATGAGCACCTGAATTATGTTGTTTTTTTTTATGTATATGAATACAGACTGTATAAACATTTTCGCATAAAATTTTGGTGGACATTTTAATTTCTCTTAAACATAAGTGGAATTTCTGAGTTATAGGAAGATGTATATTACGTATATTTGATTATTTTTTGCCTAATTTTTCCATCTACATTCCCACAAGCAATGTAGGAGAGCTCTGATTGCTCCACATTCTAAAGCAGCATTTTGTGTTGTCAGCATCTTTCATTTTAGCCATTCTAGTGTAGTAGTTTTTCATTACAGTTTTGATATGTATTTCCCTTACACTAAGGCTATTGCATACTTCTTAATGTGCTTTTTGGCCATGTTTATGTTTTTTGTAGTGTTTTATTTATTTTTATTTGTCCAAATCAAACTAAAATGAAGGAATTTTTAAAGTGTTTATAAGTTCTCAAAATCACCTTTCATCTGACGTTGGGAAATCTAGACTCAAGAAAAAAATCAAATTTCCCTTCATATGCCCATGGTTCTCAAGGGATGAATACTTGGAAAAACATGTAGAAGATATTTCCAAAACCCAATTTTTTGAAAAATAATTTTGAAATGCTTCAAAGAATCTGAAATACTTTTTATTTCACCCACCACTAATCCCATGACTTATTTTGTTTGGAAAATGGACTCAAAAGAACATGCCTCCTTGTGATAATTCCGGTTCCTAATGGATTGGTCTGGGGTACTAATGCTGAGAAAATAAACACTTATGGATTGCTCTTTTTCTTTTTAAAAATTATCTTGATAAAGTTATGGAGAGAGAAAGGGAGAAGAGAGGAAGGAAGAAAGGAAATTTTGTAGTCTTACAGCAAAATGCAACCCAATTTTAAGGGTTACTCAACTTGCTTGATGAATCTGTAGGACTACTTGTTTCAATAGGTTTAGTAACCTGGCAAACTTGTGTAGCATAATTTGGAGTAATTTCTTCCTCCCGCTCTCAAGCCTCTCCTCCAATTTCACTTTGTCCTACTGACACTTCTGTAAAAGAATCTATCTGATGACCGATTCTAATTGATAGATGTTGCCATGGTTTGACAGCACCCGGAGATAATGAATATAGAGAAAGTTAGGACAGATGACCTAATGGAGCTAGGATTCTAACCCAGGCTGTTGACTCTAAGGCCCAAGCTATTCAGACCATGCATGGATCTCACCCTCACCCTCACCCCCTTGCACACGCACCCTGGCTCTACTCTTATCAAATAGATGGAATTAGGCACATCACATCACAATATTCAAAATCGATAATTTCATTTTGAATAAAGTCTTTTGAAAGATACAATAATGACAAGCAAGATATTCTTGACCAAAGTAGGGAACCATTAGGACATGAGTTGAAGGGAAGAATTAAACAGTAATGACTAAAAAGGAGTATTTGGAGTACTAGTAAATTTCATTTCCCCATGCTTCCTTTCTCCCTAATTAGCATAGTTAATAAACCGACATTTAAAGTCTTTGTGATGTTTGAGGAAAAAAATAATAGCCCCGATTTAAAAGCCTGGAAATACTGTACATATTAGAAGCATCCAAATAAATCTGCCAGAACTACAAATTAGTGTAATTAGAAGCAGACTAGACTTGGAGAAATCTACCCTCATATGTTCATGCATAATTTTTTTATAATTTAGACTAATCCAGTAGGTTAGCATAAGCAATAATAGCTAAAAATGATGGTTATATTCTGAAAATTGGAAGATTAATACAGCTAAAGTTTTACTTCAGGAGTATCTTTTTACAAAACCATTGCAATCTGAATGCACTTGGCTTGCTACAGGAACACCAATTGGTATCATTTTAATTCATTGATATTTGGTTCCCTCTGTACAGTCTCTGATTTTTTAAAAAAATGATTTACATTGGTTTGTGTAGCCTCATTTATCCTGTGCAAATAACAGTGAAATTTGTTTTTATATTTTGACTATGGACTTTGTATATCAAAGCTCTTAGGTAGTAAGTTTCCAGTTAGAAAACCCTCATTGTTTTTGTTTTGTTTTTAGCTTGGAAGTATCAATGAAATATCACTTTATCCTTTGTGGCGCATGTTTCTGTACCTATTTGCATAGGGTCTTTATGGGTCTCCCATGCTTTAAGATTCCTTTCTAAGTTCACATCGGAGAGCAGATGTGCTTCATTTACAGTTTTTATTCTTAATGGGCTTTGAATGGAAGAGTGTACCCATTTGTCTTCAATAGAGCCTCAATTTGAAAGAAAGCTTTCAAATTGGCCCTGATGAAGAGTCAACTGTTTTTAACCCAAATTTATTTCACCATTAATAGCTTATTTTTTCTTTCTCATGTTTCCAACTTGTTAAAGATTTCAAGATTGCTTTAGTTCTCACTCTTTTGCCAGCGTATTAAAGCTTTATGAATAGTTTAGAAATCACTTTCGCATTTTCTAACATTCTCATCTTGTGTTTTTTTTTTCTGTTTTTTTTTTTTTTTTTTTTTTTTTTTTTGAAGCGGAATCCCGCTCTGTCGCCCAGGCTGGAGTGCAGAGGCGCGATCTCGGCTCACTGTAAGCTCCGCCTGCCGGGTTCACGCCATTCTCCTGCCTCAGCCTCCCGAGTAGCTGGGACTACAGGCACCGGCCACCATGCCTAGCTAATTTTTTGTATTTTTAGTACAGGTGGGGTTTCACCGTGTTAGCCAGGATGTTCTTGATCTCCTGACCTCGTGATCTGCCCTCCTTGGCCTCCCAAAGTGCTGGGATTACAGGCGTGAGCCACCGCGCCCGGCCGTGTTTACTTACTCTTAACGTAGAATGAGGGCTCTCCTTTTTGGCCAGTCCAGAGCAGACTCTCTTGCCTTTTTTCCGCCCCCAAGTTTGTAAGAAGCGAGTATCTTCAGTGTCTGAATTCTCACCTGATTGACCCCAGTGCCTTGTTACCTGTCTGTCTTGCCGTGTAAGTTTTAAGCTCGGTGAAGACAGGGAGTATCTTGCCCACCGTTACTTCCTGGTCCCCCGAAGAGCATCAGGAACATAGGAGGCCCCAAGTAAATACATGCTGAATGAAATAACCAGTGAGATATCAACATTCTCACTTTTATGTGTTACCATTACCTCAAACTCAACATGACAAGATTAAACTCAGACTTTTTCTCTTGAAATATCACCTCACTTGTCTCTGTATTGCTTTCTAAAGTAGTATCATTGTCCCATTGGCTCTAATTTAAAACTTCATTTATTTTCTATTTTTCACCTACTATCGTTTATGAAGGCCCGAAGATACATTCGTTTTTCTTTTGAGATGTACCCATATCTGCATCTGTGTCTTCTCCTTGTCCATTTCACACTAATGTTCCCAATCCAAGCATGCCTCACCTTACCCTGGATTCTGGCAACAGCATCCTGGCTACATTCCCTGCTATTTTCTTCCCCCAATCTATTCTACCTTCCACAGTACTGAGGAAATCTAGACTATCCTTTATCAACTCACTCTTTCCTCATCCTGAATTTATCTTTACCTCTCTTCTCTTCTTTCCAAGAAACACAATTCTGACTTCAGACAGTGCTCATGATCCCATCTTTCCCATGTCGTCTAAGCCTTTGCTTCTCCAGTGATCCCCTCTCTCTTCCATTTGCCCTTTCACAGGCAGTGGTGCCCTGCCTCCTGCTGGCAAGCATGCTCAAAGTTTCTCTCCCTGAAAACAAAGCCTTCTGTTGATCCTGTTATGTATTCTAAGCTACTTTTCAGTCTCTTTTAATTTCCAAACTTTTCAGAGTTATGGCTCCCACATTCTGAATTCTGCACCATCTGCACAGTCCTCATCCCTTCTCACTAGTTGCCATCCCTTTTCCACTGTTCCACTGAAATGTCTCTTGGTGGTCACTAATGACCAATTAGTTACTAAACCCAGTAGAGTTTTCTCAGTCCTTATCCTTCTTAACCTATTCTTAAACTCTTTCTTTCTTTGACATTTTTATTTAGATTTTCCTCTTGCCCCTTTAACCATTTGTATTAGGGTTTCCTAGAGGGACAGGATTAATAGGAGAGATGTATATACATGAAGGGGAGTTTGTTAAGGAGTATTGACTCACAGAATCACAAGTTGAGGTTTCATAACAGGCCGTCTGCAAGCTGAGGAACAAGGAAGCCAGTCCGCGTCCCAAAACCTCAAAAGTAGGGAAGCTGACAATGCAGCTTTCAGTCTGTGGCTGAAGACCCAAGAGCCCCTGGCAAACCACTGTCATTAAGTCCAAGAATCCAAAAGCTGAAAACTTGAAGTCTGATGTTTGAGGGGAGGAAGCATCCAGCACAGGGGAAAGATGGAAGCTAGAAGACTCAGACAGTCTAGTCCTTCCAACTTCTTTTGCCTGCTTTATCCTAGCTATGCTGTCAGCTGATTAGATGGTGTCCACCCAAATGGAGGGTGGGTCTGCCTTTCCAAGTCCACTGACTCAAATGTTCATCTCTTTTGGCAACACCCTCACAGACATACCTAGGATCAATACTTGGCTTCCTTCAATCCAATCAAGTTGACACTCACTATTAACCATCACACCTTTCCTTTTCTCCTTTGCTCACTCCTTATTATATCTCCTAAATGTGGAATCATGTTCTATCTTACCTGCAGTACCCTTCTTATCTATGTCTAGTCTTTAACAATCCCCTCTATGCACAACAGTGCTTCTCAAACTTTGTGCATGCAAGTCATGTAGGGAACCTTACTAAAATGCAGATTCTGATTCAGTAGGCCTGAGAAGGAGCCTGAGAATCTGCATTTTTAAAAGCTCTCAGAAATTGCTTTTGTTGCTGTTCTACAGAGAACAGAAGTGGCAAGTATGTAAATGACTTCCAGGGTTGAATCTCTGACCTGGGCCCATTTACAAATTACTAAGAATATGTTTTCAGTTGTCCATGGAATATTTTCATCACAATAACCAGGTAACTGTGATTGGCACCTCACACTCAGACTAAATTCATACTTTCTATACTATTAAAAGAATACTTTTCCCATCACTTTATTCTCACTTTTGAAAAATCAGTTTTAACTTTTTTCGCTTTCTTTGGTACCCATATCCTATAAGGAGTCTGGTTTCATCAATTCTTTCTTAGAACTGTAACTTTAATCTGTTCTGGTTTTTATGTGTGTGTGTGATTCCTTTCCTTGTTATCTCACATCTGGAGTATACCTTGAGATGCCTCCCTCCAGTTTCTCTGTGACTTATTCTTCCACGCTGGTAATTCTAGCTTCCTTCATTACTACTCAACTTTATTTACCTACTGAGGAATTGCCACCAGCTCCCCACTGTCTAGGAAAATAAGTCATAGAATCTCTCAAGAAATATACCTCAATGCATATCTGAGTCATGCTCATGAAATGAGGTGTAAATCCAATCCACGCTGCTTTCCAGGGGCCTGGGTAGTATGTCCTGAAGTAAACGACGTCAATGGAATGGGATTTAAAATGCAGCGTGTCCATTTCTCAGCTTCAGGCTGGATAGTGCCACACCCAGCCCCAGCTCTATGCTGTGTGCTTTCCATTCTGCCTTCTTCAGTCATACACATATGCATGTCTACCTCCTTCATTAGAGTGCAAGCTCACTTTTGAAACTGCAGAATACCACTTGCTTCCATCTCACACAGAACCCAGCATTGTATTTTACAATAGTAGTTCTCAACATATAAGTGAATATGCAAGTGGGATGTCAAGAAGAGGATTTAAAAATCATCTAGCCAGTCTATTCAGCTCTTGAAGCTTCTTTGCAACATCTCCCATCCAGAGTCCACAGTGAGCATCTCCAGGGATGGCATCATAGCATGGATGTTGAAGATACAAATTCTGGTCACACTGACTTACCCGAGTTCAAAACTCTGCTCTATTATCATCTTAGTTGCTTTGCATGGGTTGCTTAAATGCTTTTAGTCTTGGTTTTCTTATCTGCAAAAGGGGGTAAGTAATATCATAGGGTTGTCAAAATTTAGTAAGATGACACATGTAAAATGGTTAATGCAGTGTCTAGCATGCAGTGAATACTCAAAATTATACTGTCTCCTGCTAGCCTTCTCATTGCTTTGATATTATTTACTTTATGTTATAATTGCCAACTTCAGGCAAGCCATTCCATTTCAGATAGCACTAATATCAGTAGAAACATTTCTTTTGTTGTACTTAAACCAGCCACCAGTGGGTGATACTATACGAAGAAAGGAGATCTTAGAAATAGTTGACCAGTTTGTGATGAGTCAGAATTCAATTCACATTTGAGAATCATGGTAAAAATAACTTGCATTTGCCTTATCATGATCCTACTGTTGAGTTAGGAAAATGTGGTTAGACAGACTCACGTTACTTTTTTCCAGAGGTAATCTCTAGATTACTGTGTCAACCCATTGCTTTCTATTTGGCTATAGATGTAAAACTACCAAATAAAAGTGGATTTTGTGGTCTACAAAAAAAAAAAAAAAGTTGACCAGTTTGAAAATTATCACGAGTCCAAAGATATTAATGACCTAAACTGGGGCTCACATGCTACCTTGGAATAGTGGAGAGGCAAGTGGAAGAGAATTCATGTAAGAAAATATACTTGGATTTGACAACTGATTGGACATGAGGGGAGAAAGGACTCTGAAGTCATCAGAAATGGGGATCACAAGAGAAACAGATTTGGAAAAGAAAATGAAGAGTAGATTTTAAGTTAGTTATGAAATTCACAGAGGATTAAGTAATTTGGTCATAAGGTTTTACTATAATAAAGAGGTCAGCCAACAGATTGCAAAGAAATAGAGACATTTTGAGTGGTAAGAAAGTGGGAGAAGACAGATTATTAAGAAATTTCATGTTAAAATATAGTGGCAGGTTTAAGAGAAAAGTACTAGTTTTAATTTTGTTGGGGTAGAATGAAAGATATCTAAACAACTTTTAGACTCGGGAAGGTCCGTAAGGAATCAAGGGAAAGGTTGGAGATCTGGTGGAATAAGGAAGTGGAATACAATTATTGAGAAGCTTATCTTTGAGAAGATGAGAATGCTTTTTCCCTTGAAATCAGAGTGGGACAAAGAGAGAATGAAGGGGAAGAGAGACCCTTTAGAGGAAGGGAATGAGGGCAGAATTTTTCTCAGTAGTTACAGTCTCAGTAAAGCAAGAAGCAACACTGACAAAGACAGTGTCAGGATGTGTTCTTTGACATGAAGAGTCAAAAATGTGGGAAATAGATGTTTTAGGAAATGTAAAAGTAGTTAATCACATAGAAATAAAAGCATTCCTGAAGGAAGTATGGAAAACCCAAAAGACAGTCAACCATGTACATTAAGCTGGGGTAGTTCGTAGAAGGACTAAGCTTAGTTTGGTGTTCAATTTCTTCACTTAGTGTAATTCACTACCAGTTACATCATAAATTCAGTTTATGGAGTTTCTACTTCTGTCTCAGGTATTTTGTTAGAATAGAATATCCAATATGTTGCTGGAATAAATTTTTAGAAACAAAGGATCTAAAAGATAGTGGAGTCCAGTCCCTCTCTGAGAAATTGATGCTTAAGAGGGTGGAGAGATGCCCCCCTCCCAAGGTCATGCTACTAGTTTGCAGCTGACTAAAATCCGAGTCAAGCTACTACCTGCCTTTCTGCTACATTTTGAGGAGCTGTGGATTTTTCAATGCTATAACAACAATTATTGGCAGTATTGAGACTATTCAGGTGGCCCAAGCACAGAATAATGCCAGTTGAACCAAATGCTACCTTCAACAGTTTCTTACCTCTTAATTAGGATATGAGATGCTCTTGTTCTTAAAATTGAAATTGCTGAAGGCAGGCTTTCTAGAAGTCTAGTCTGATGACATTCATAGACTACTACCTGTATTTTTAATAGACTTGTTGCCTCTGTGTGCACTTGTGCTCAATTTTAATCATTCACAGAAAAAGGGTCAACTAACGTTTGACAAGACTGTGACTATATGTTATGGTAAATACACATTAAAACAAAAACTAAAAAGCCTTCAATAATGTGAAATGCTGATTACTTTTGTTTTTCTTCCATTCTGGTTCATTTTTCCATCTTTTTCCATGTCTTTTGCCTAGCACCACAGTTGAAAGAGTCCAGTGCAGTACAAAAGGCATTAGATTAGGAGTCAGAAATTGGCATTTGCCTGGGTCTGTCACTGATTATCAGGGCTTAGACACTTCTTGGGCTCTCTTTTCCTTGTATGATAATTCTTTCTCTGCTCAGAGTTTATTGTATGGATTAAATGGAATAGGTAAATAAAAATCATAAGCCCTGTGCAAATGTATAATGCAGAAATTTATTGTGTTTGGCTTCAGTTTGCTTTGGTTCTGTAGGAGTGGTGCGTTATGCAATGATGTGTTGCAAAATATAATTGTAGACCTAATGGCTTAAATCAATATGTCTTTGGAATTGAATAATTGGTTACTTAGAGATATTATAGTCTAATTTTTAAATGACCCTTAGAGCACCACATATTCATTCCACAAATATTTATGGAGCACCTACTGTGTACTGGGTTATAAAGAACTGTTTATTATCATAAGACCTATATTTTGTTTTAAAATCAATGAAAATTTACTTCACCACTTTAAGTATAGTTAAGTGGCCTAATCTCTCTGCTTGAAAAAAAATGATAGTGCTATAAAACAAAATTGGAATTTGCCTATAATATACAAGTATCAACGGAGACAGTGTTGAAAAGGACAAACCTAACTAGGAGAAGAAGGGCAAAATGCCTAAGCCTTTATTTTCCTGAAAAACTTGGGATAAGAGGGTATTTCAAATGCTTTGTGATCAAAATGGAAAAGATTTACACTCTGGATTTTTAAACCATGGTGAAGTTTAGGGTTCTTTTTAAAGAACAAAACATTTCTGTCTCATTTATTTATAAGCAGGTTATGTGAGATCAAGTTGACTGCAAAGCCTTGAATCTGACCTTCAGTAGTTCTGTTAGCAACAGGACTCCTGCATCATGAAAGCAGTTAAGTCCTCAGAAATGTATCTACTAGAGATGCATAATTTTGTTGGCCCATCTGGTCTGATTTTAGCTTCTTAACATTTCTCTAAGAGCCAGGACGGGGAAAAAATAACAATAAAAATTTCATGCAGCGTATTTGTCAAGAAATGCATTTCATAAATCACTGATATTTTGACTCACAGGACACAAAGGACTTCTATTACATTCTATTACAATTCAATAATATAACATTTGTTTCCAGTAGCAGTTAGTGTTTAGGCTGGAACAGCCTCCTTCACTCATTCTGTTTTCTGCTACTTTGGAATGGGGGAATGGAGCCCTGAGCACAGCTTTCACTAGAAAGGAGCAAGCTAATCAATGATGGCAAGCCTTTCAGTGGTTTGTGCCTAGTAAGAAAGTAGGCTGAATATACAAATGCATCTCATCTCTCTCTCTATTTATTAAACTACAAACCCCCTGCTGACTTCATGGGCATACTACCTGTGCACCAGACCCCCAACTTAGAAGAGCCCAAATTTGGTTTAATGCTCTGCTGTCACTGTCTTAAGATTCCTAATAACTTTTGAACAGAGTCTACGTGTTCATTTCTTATTGAGCCCCACAAATTACGTAGCCAGTTTTGATACTCATCTCTAGATACTGGGATTGTTTTGCATCACCAAGAGCTTAGGCTTGACACTTAGAGAATGCTCAATAAATGTTTTCAGAATGAGCAAAATTCCTGATTTTTTAAAGCTTTAAATAAAAGCAAGTAACCTTAATCTTACTCCATTTAATTTTGCTGATGTAAGGAGTGGAGGAAAGGTACTAACCTTTTGAGGAAAATGTTAAGATATAAAAAAGACCCAAAAATAGTTTACCCAATGCGTATGTTTCCATCATCATAACATGGCAGCTACTATTTCATTCTATTAATTCAGTGTTTAATTAAAAATAAAAAGCAGATGAAGTTTACCTATTGACCCCATCTCAAATCCTATTTTTCTCATCACCTGCTCACTGGGAGTTAAAGCACTATCAGAAATGTTGTATCCTTTCAGTATTTGTTATCCCTTTACAGTGCCAGGAATAATATTTGGTAACATATTTCATACGTCTGAATATTTATGTAAATGATAGGAAACTATATGCACCAATCTGTAATTTGTTTTTATTTGATATTTTGTTTCTAAAATCTATCCACATTGATACATGTAGTTCTCCCATTCACTCTCATTACTGTATATAGTAGTATACTGTACTTGATCTGCTGCCCCACTTACAGCGGCTGTTTAAAGTAGAGCCAGAGGAGTCTGTCTTTGTATTTCGATTCTGCCACCGCCACTGGTAAAAGTCAGTAGCTGGGTGATATTGGGCAAGTTAAGTGAATGTTCTGAAACTCCATTTTCACATTTGTAAAATGAGATTAATAATTTCTACCAGCTAAGATGTTTTCATGACAATTAAACCAGGTAATATATGTAAAACCTAGGTTCAAAAAATAGTGATAAGGATTATTTTACACATATATATGTGTATATTTATGTATATATGAATATTATGAAGGCCTAAGTAAATACATAACAGTGATATTGAATTGGCATTAACTTTTTTTATTTGACTCTTAACTTGGCTATTGGTCTTCTTTTTAATAATAAAAACAGCTCAACCTTAAAATGCAGTACTGAATACATCTTAGTCTTAGGTTCTTTTTTTTACAAAATTGAATGATATTACCTCTAACATATCCTTCATGGATGAAAAAGCTTAAACTCATACAACTATGAAACTACCATAATAATTATAAAATGGCACCTATGTTCTACTCTATGTATAATAGAATATTATACATAGTGTAATATCTACGTTTTTTCTAGTGTTTTCCAACTTTCATCTTGCAAAGCAGCAAATAATAGAACGAGAATTCTGGAATTCCATTGGGCCAAAACTGTGCTGCTGCAAAGACTCCAACTTGCAATGAGAAATTAAAAACCTAAGCACACGTTGAGCTTATTTTTTTCATGTTCTCTGCAAATTTTTTAAAAATCGGAAGAGAAGCCAATATTAAATAGTATCCCAAGTTGGTTGAAATCTGTGATGAAGTAAGAAATTTGAAATAACATTCTGAATCCCTCTGTGATTTTAAAGCATTATATTCTGGTTATTCAACAGATTTTATACAATTCGCTATCGAGAAAAGGATAAAGAAAAGAAGTGGATTTTTCAAATCTGTCCAGCCACTGAAACAATTGTGGAAAACCTAAAGCCCAACACAGTTTATGAATTTGGAGTGAAAGACAATGTGGAAGGTGGAATTTGGAGTAAGATTTTCAATCACAAGACTGTTGTTGGAAGTAAGTACCTAGAAATGTTTGTTTCAGTAAGCTTTTATAATTTTTTTCTTAGTTACCTAATTTTTAATTATGTTATTCATTGTATAATATGAAATAAGCTAATTCCTAAGGTCTAGTATTTATGAAAATATAGAAGCAAAGAAGATATATTGAGCATTGATATTTCAGAATCTTTAGTTATAAGTGATTTTTAAAATAAGTAATAAATATTTGATGCCTCCATTGATGTCGTTGTCTATTGTATTACAGCAGTTTAAAATCAATCCCTACCTGCGAACACCAACAGAACCAGAAAAACAATAACATGTACCAATGTTCAGAATGGAAAGCTAGACCAGTAGAGATGCCCATAAAAAGACTTTCGGGAACCTTGAGCTTTCTTCCAGTCATCCCGTCATTAAAACTTCATTGGCATCAGTGTTTAAAATGATAGTGATTAAAATTATACATCCAAGTTAGAGGATGAGTTGTAGTTGTCTTCATAATGATTAGCTAGAGTTGATTTAGGAGCAAGGAGAATAAAAATAATGTTATTTTTCCCTTGTTTCATCAGGTAAAAAAGTAAATGGGAAAATCCAAAGTACCTATGACCAAGACCACACAGTGGTATGTAACAGTTTATTTTCAAGAATGTTTTTAAAAAATTGTATCTGCATTGTTAAGGAAATAGTCTTATTATAAGATACTGAAATTAGATTAACTGACTAGCTATGAAACAGTGGAGAAAGTACTTAGTTTTAGGAATTAGTTTCTTTTTCTTAATACTAAGTAAAAGCATGATTTCAAATCATCTCTGATTTGTTTGAAGTTCTAAAATTCTAAGATTCAATGTAGCTTATTCTAATATTTTAGTATTCTGGGTATTTCAAGGTTATACATATTATCTTCTGTCTATTGCTTTTTAATATAATGTTTCAAGAGCAAATTGATACATGATTTATGTACATTGCTACAGCTCAAACCTTTCCTTTCTATTTTCTATCATACCCTACTTAAAAGAGCCAGTCTTTTTCACAACAATGGAGCAACCAGTTTGATTTTGTAAAATGCCCAGTCTCTGTTCAGTTCAGACAATGTTTGCGTTTTATGAACCAGGCATTTCCCCATGAATCTAAAAACATCCTTTTCTCTGTCACTTCAGCCACTCGGTTTCTCATGCTCTCTTTCCTTCCACTTTTCAAAATCTATTCTCAGGAAGCATCATGTCTAGTATATACCACCCCACCTGGGATGACTGTAAGTCACTGTTAGAGCCACCACAGACATGTTCGCATTTCAAATCTCATACCCAGTATTTAGTTTGGTGCCAAAATAATTGCAGCTTTTGCCATTAAGAGTAACAAAGGACATTATATTACTGGGCAGACAGAGGAGGCAGTTCGGTGAGAAGAAGGGAATTTGGTCCCTAGATATTGGAAGTATCCTACAGTCAAATGAACGTGCAAAGACTATTGTGGGTGGAATTTTGCTCTCTGAGATGTGTGCTTGAGGTGTGTGGCTGAACATCTTTTTATGTCTAATTAAGGAGTCCACAGAATAGCCCCATGGATCATGTGGCCCAGTCTGGAAAAAAAATAGTAGTATATACTTCACTGGGATTAAAAACAAAAAAAGGAAGATTGGTTTTGGTAACAGAAAATAGTCTTAGATAAAGTAGAACTGACTAAAAATTAATCTGCCTAAGGCAAATGTTGTTCATGTGGTTTGAAATGGCAGAAAAGTGTGTTCATTGTGAAATTATTATCAAATAGTAATTATGAGGTTGTTACAATTTCTAGGAAAATATTTCAATGTATTTCAGATATAAATACAAAAAAGAGATTGCAGGTAAATTCCTAGGCCTGTTTTTTTTTCTCGCTCTCTTTTTTTTAACTTGTCTGTTTGGTTGGTTTTTTGTTTTTAGGTTTTGCTGCTTTTCTAATTGTCTAATACTTAAATATTTAGAATGTTAAGTGGGAAAAGAAGCATTAACAAGGTTACCTATAACAAAACTACTTATAAGGGTAGTATAAAACCATTAATAGTCTGGTAAAACTTTAGAACATCTTTTGTTTTCTAAACATGTTTTCATTACAAATTAAAATCATACTATATTTGCAATTTTCTATCTTGCTGTTTTCACTTGGTCAAAATGTTATGAACATATTTCTTATCATCAAATGCTCTTCATAAACATAATTTTAATTGCTGTGTACTGTATGATCTAAGTGCATGATTATAAGTTTCCAATTTGTAGGCATTTAAGTTACTTCTAATTGTTTTTAAATTGTGGGTGATGTTATAGTGAACACTTATGATAGGTTTATGAACACTTGTGATAAAGCTTTGTTCACAATGCTAATCATTTCCTTAAAATAGATACTTAGAAGAGGAATTAACAGTTTAGAGTTTTAACATTTTTAAGCCTTCCTAATACTATGGTCAGATTTCTTTCCCGAAAAGTGGTACTAATTTATAAACTCGCCAGCAATGTATCAGTTTATGTTGCTATAGTACCCTGATTGTCAACTTTATATATTTTCATCGCTAAATTGTTGGCTAATGTAATAGCTTATAATTGTTATCTTAATTTTTATTTCTCTGATTGCTGATAAAGCAGTAGTTTCTTCACTTATTAGCCAGTTGTATTTTCCATTTAATGACATTCTCTTGCAGTTCTTTGTTTGTTGGGCGTTTCATGGGTTCTTTTTAGAACTATATAGTCTAAGACTGTATACACTAAAGAAACATTGACCTGTTGATGATACTATCTAGAAATATTTTTCTCACATTTGTTATAGCTTAAGTTTGCTCATAGACATTTTTGAAATAGACAACTCATGAAATTTCCTTAACCAAATTATTAGATTTTTCCATTGTGATATCTCAATTGCATTATATTTTAGAAAGGCCCTCCCTCTCCAGAGAGCAGATAAATATTTCTTTCCTTTCTTTTAGTTTTATAAGTGGTTTGATTTTATAATAATTCTGTGAATTTTATTTAACTATGGTATATAGTAAGGTTCTATATTGATTAGGCTATGTATTTTTCCCCCAAATAACCAATTGGCTTAGTACTGTGTATTTATGTATTGAATTGTGCCTCTCCCTAAGTTCCCTTCATCTTTGTCTCTTAAATCCAGTCAACATTGTATAGGAAACGTAGATCTGCTGTACCTCACAGGCAAAACAGTGGGATAGAATTGCTCTTTCATCCTCTTCTAGAAAAATCCTCATTCTTTGTTGTGAATGGTTGCCTAGGAAGCATACATTGTCTCCTACCCTCTTGGCTGTCATGCTTAACCTTTCATGTGACTCCATGATATCATTTCTTTCATTCCCTCTTTTCAGCTATCATATCCCAGTAATTTGTATTTGTCTTGGCAGGATATTTCATTTAGGATGAGTTACTCAGCAAGATTGGGAAAGATGATTGACGTTTTACTCTCAGGGAATTTAATTTTTTTCCCCCTCAATATAAGCAGCCATGATAGGAAGGGCTAGGAAGCAACTTCCTGCATGCATGACACAGAGCCAGGCATTTTATCACTTCAAGCTGTGAGGTGGAGTATCCTGACTCCAGCCAGCTCTGATGAGTTTAAAACTCTTTGTTATTTCCAAAGGAAAAACCAAATTCATTAAAAAGATATTTTAAGCCTTCTTTGAGAAGGTTTATTGTTTCCTTCTGGACAGCAAAAAAAATATATATATATATATTATATATATATGAACTTACATCTCTGCTCTCAGGTAGCTGTGGAACATGGGGAAGTAGTAACAGAACTGCATGGGATAACTTTGACCATGTTATGTGACCACATACAATTGATTCTGAGAAGTGGTTTGATACTTTGGAGGTATATTTTAGTCCAAAGAAGTGTATACCCAATTATTCACCCATCTCTTCTCTGAGACCTATCTTAGAAGGCAATACTTCAAGAGATATGAAATTAATTTCACATGTTTTGCTTTTTGGATTTCAAGCAAAAAGACACATTGAAAACTTTTTTTATTCATATGAACATGCTTACACCTGAAACCTTAGAAGCAGCAAAAACTCTTGAACACCTTCCAATAAGAGGTATTCGGAATGGAAAAAAACAACTTGAACTGTAGGCTGTCCATTTTACAGATAAATAAATTTTAGGTCAAAAATTTGAATACAAAATACAGCCCATCCTACCCTTCTGGTTACACTATATATTGTAATTCATATATCTAGATATGTGTTCTGCTGACAGGCAAGCCCCAGTGCAATTGTGCCCAGAACATATAGCAGGGAATCTCTTCTGGTTGGCTAGTACCTTTGTTCTACCAATTGTTAAATGTTTTCAATATTGCTCCTACCTATACCTCTAGAAAAATCAGAGAAAGGGCATATGCAGAAACAAAACTGTGATTCTTTCTATATAAAATAAATCACTTGAGATCCATATGATTGAGGAAGAAAAAGATACATTTATCATGATGCTTGTGCTTTTTTTTTCCATTTAGAGAATCTAGGACACTCTTTTTTTTGAAGGTAAAACCTAATGTTTACTATTAGGTTTTATTATTTTAAAAAATAAAGAATGATGGCTAATATTTTCATACATTTTCTATATTTTGAAAAAATGTATTACTTAACTAGCTAAACAAAATCAATATTTGAAGTATGTAGCACTTATTAACAGATTTTTGAAAGCAAATTTAATTATTTAATCTAAATCTTCCTAGAATCAGTGTTCTCCAAAAATATGACATCTATTTTTATCTTTTTTATTTTCCATCAGAGATCCACCCATATTTTAAGAAATCCACAGTTACTATCATCAAAAAGAGAAGTGGTACCACTTGTTAAAATGTAACAATTATCAAATGATTGATGTGAAGAGAGATTACCTTTATGGTCCCCACCCACACTTTATGACTGTGTACAGTGAATGTATCAGGCATCCTTCCATTCTTAGCAATCCTTGTCTCAAGCAGACACTTGAAAAATTTCTGTGTAGGCAAACTATTAATACATCATCAAAGGTTAAGTTGACCAGAAATTTGAAGCCTTTTGAAAGTAGGACATTAGATTGACTTTTAGCCAGATGTTAGATTGAGTCAGTATGTTTTGTAACTTTCATTAGAACATCCTAGAAGTGAATTAAAACCAGAATCTAATATGCCCAAGTTCTCATGTGGTTTGACTCTTGAGTCATTGAAATTTGACTTTGAGCCACTGTTTTAACCACTACCCAAATGGACAGCTCCTCTTTATCTCGGGGCCTGAAAATAATGTTAAACCTACAATACTAATATTCTGATGCCACAAAAATGTCAAATGGACAAACCTACAAAAAATAACATCCTTAGTTATCACTAACTTTATTACAGCTAATTTTCAATATATTATCAGGAGGAAGTTAGTGTAATGCAGGGTGAGACGCAAGTTCCTTGTCATGTGTGGTGGTAGCAGCGTCTGCTGCTGCTACTGTGGGTATTTCTAAAGAAGCATATGCTTTCCTAGCCATGGCAAGAAAGCATGCTGCATTTGTCTCCGGGGCATCACCCTTTAGACTCTAGTAGTCTCTCCTTATTGAGTGTCACCAACTGCATGCTTCGCCACAGTGTCCCAGAAAATCAGTAAAAATAAACGATCTTAACCAGACTTCTGCTCAAGGCATAGCCCAACCTGGGTTTGTAATGGACAGGATATCTGGAAATGAAGAAGAAAAAAATCTATTATAGGACAAGAAAGAAATATGCTTACTTCCTGCCATTTAGTAAACATTGAAAGACAAGAACTACGGAAGGAAGAAGCGGTAGAGGTTTGCAGCAAGAATGGGGGAATCGGCAAGCTGTAGGGAAAAGAGAGCCAGCAAGGGAATGACTAAGAAGGAAAATCGCTGCCAGAGTGGTGTCTGAGGACAGCAGTATCGTGCTGAGGCCACACCAGCCAAAACAGTGTGGGAGCCTGCGGGGCTGTCACTGCCTCCTTCCCATTTCCAGGCCCCACACTGTCTACATCTGTGACTCTGATGTACATTAATAGCTGTTCGTAATAACAAGCCTAGAAAAAGTAAGGAAAGGTCAGCAAGGAAATGTTTTTTTAAAACATTGTACGTAAAACAGTTCTATTAAGATTGGATTGTAATTGGTTAAACACTGTATCTTGGAAATTATCACAGTACTTCATTTTGCAGTGAGTCTGGTTAACAAACTTTTCCCTGCCCTTTTATTTGATAAGACATAGGAGAGGATTCACATTGTGAATTTCTGAATGGAAATTGTAGAGGTGTTGGCAGAGACATATTGAGCCACAGGACTTTCCTGATGCCCTTTAAAAACCTACCTGTAGAGACGCAGCTATTTGCTCATTAGTAGAGTCCTTATGCATCTTTGGATTGTGGATTAAGCAGGAGAGCATTTCTAGGCCTAGAAAAAAAATTGCATTCTTCAGCTAAATGATTTTTTAATTTTTGGCAGCACATATTGTACATATGTTCTTGTCACTTTAACTGGACACTGGTCTGTAACTGGACACTGGTCTGTACTGGAGTCAGAACTCAGAACAGAAACGTTGTTCCATTCATGTGAAGAGCAGAATATTTTCCATTTGTCCTTGTCAAAAAATGGTTTGTTTGAAACAAATCATTACAACAAGGAAAATTAAACTGGTATAATGCAATTCAGCAGCATAGCAACATGTAGGCTTTTCTGCTCTAATGTGTTAAGTATCTTGGAAAGACTTCGCATTCAACAAAACGTGCGCTAAGTACAAAATGTGCACTAAGTGACAGGAGATGTAGGGCAAATAGAGGACAGGCCATTCAAAAGCCTCTGCAGCTGCAGCCACAGCCTGAACAAAAATGATTATTGGTACCTAGAAAAATAATGTGGCTCTCTTGCCTGGCAGCTCCCATGTAGTTGAAGGTTGCCATGCCAAGCACTTAAAAGTCTCAGAAGTGTCAAACACATAGAAGCAGAGAGTAGAATGGTGGTTACCAGGGGGTGAGGGGCAAGGGGGCAGTGAGGAGATATTGACAACGGGTAGGAAGTTTCAGTTAGGCAGGAGGAGTAAGCTTTAGAGTGCTATCGCACAGCAGTGTGACCGTAGTTACTATTAATGTATAGTTCAAAATTGCTGAAGATAAATTTCAAATGCCTTGCCACAAAAAAATGACAGGTAAGTGAGGAGGTGGATATGGTAATTAGCTTGGTTTAATCATCCCGCATTGTGCACTTAGATGAAAACATCACATCGTACCCCAGAAATAGATACAATTATGAAGAAAGAAATGATTTTAAAAATAGCAAAAAATAAAAGTTGTTTTAACATGAACAAATAAAAATTCTCAGAGGAGTTAGAGGCTATATGCCAGCAACGCTTTTGCTGGAGCAGGCACAGGTGGAGAAGCTGGTGGGGCTTCTCTTAAGGTGGGCTCGTGAGTGAGTGCAGAGTGCCAAGGGTGGGCCTAACTTTTCTCCCCTGGGGAAGGATCTCTGTGCAAGTGCTCACATGTAATAGTTTTATAATAAAGCCAAAAGGGATCCTCCTGCCCATATAACTGCAAAGCTGAGAGTTTGGTATTTTTTATCCCCCACTGAAAGTTATACTTATCTTCCTACTATTTTCCTCCTGTTGCCAAGAAAGAGCATGTCTAAATTATATCTGCGTCATTCCTCTAGTTATCAATAGTGTATGAGCTAAGTTGCAATACAGAAGCATGTGTGGTAGCTAAACAGATTGTTGATTAAAATAACTTTTTCTGCTTATAAATGTAATTTGCCCTTACCAGAAATTTGGCAAATATAGAAAGGTGCACAAAATAAAATGAATGTTGGCTTACAAGAAATAAATACTGTTTTAAGGAAACAGTGATTTATTTCCCTCTGGCCTCTTTTCTATACATGTATTTATAAAATTGTGTTATACTGTGGATGCAAATTTGTATCCTTGGTACTTATTTATATTCTGCATTTTTCCATTTTATTAAATACAAGTCAAATTTTTGAACTATCATTTAATAAAACCTCTATTTTTGGATAATAAATTTATTTTAAGTTATGATAATAAACACTGTCTTTGATTAATTCCTTAGGCCGGATTGCTAAGGAGGAAATCATTGAGTCAACGCATGCAGGCACCCCTTTAAAAAAATAATCTGATAATAGTAAACTTTTATTCGTTGTGATTTTTTTAAAACATAAGAACCTTAATATGATAAGGAAAATAGCTAACAGTAAGCCTGGTATATTGTCCCTTCTTTATCAGAGGGATATCACTTATTAAAATGGTAGTATGTCACAAAGTATGTTTTGCTCACTACCAGGTGTTTGCCCTTGTAAGGGATTTGGTAATCATGTAAACACCTATCTGGTAAGCAGCTCATATTCAGCACATCCTTGATGATCAACAGGTCTAGTATATGCCATATCTGTATCATGTATACAGGCTAAACCAAGTATCAGAAAGTGGACATCAGTCTTGCCCTTTCAACTCAACTCTAATTCTCCTGTGTATAATTTTCTGCCCTTCTCCTCACCTACCCTGTGTCCCTCTAAGTCTGTCTTATCCTTGGCCTCATGATTATGTCTGGCAATGACTCTGCTTTAAAGTCTGCACCCATCCCTAGGTCAGGCTACTTTATGACGTCAGAACCTCCTGTGGGACTTCTGAGGTAATTTGGGTGAGGAGAGGAAGCAGAGTCCTCTGGGATATGTCCTTCTGATTCTGAGGTCCTTTGTGTATAAACATGTGCAGAATGGTTGAAAGTACAGGCTGTGGAATAAGAAATATCTGGATCAGAGTCCTTGCTGTGCTTTCTTGAGCAATAAGTGCTTGGCGTTGGGAGCTCATGGTAGTTGTGGTATCTGTAGTAACAGCAGCAGCAGCAGCAATTGGATACACTCAAACAATTGATCTTGATTGGTTTTCAAAGATAATAGGTAGCTTAGCATCTTTTTGAGAGGGACTGTAAAAACAATTTGGCGGTGTCATATCTCAAATGTAATGAAAATAAACTAATATTCAGTACAGAAGATTTGGTTTCTTTCCATTGCAGTTTCTAAGTAAAGTGAACTAATGGGAGTTCTGAAGAAATTGCTTCTGTCAAACCTTGGGATATTTATGAGGGAAACCAAGTGAATCCAATAAAGTAGAGGCAGATGGATGTACTAACAATCTAACCAGCAACTTTTTTTGAGATGGAGTCTCGCTGTTGTCACCCATGCTGGAGTGCAATGGCATGATCTCGGCTTACTGCAACCTCCGCCTCCCAGGTTCCAGCAATTCTCCTTCCTTAGCCTCCCAAGTAGCTGAGATTACAGGCGCCCACCACCATGCCCAACTAATTTTTTTTTTTTTGTATTTTTAGTAGAGATGGGGTTTTACCATGTTGGCCAGGCTGGTCTCGAACTCCTGACCTCAGGTGATCCACCCGCCTCAGCCTCCCAAAGTGCTGGGATTACAGGTGTGAGCCACCACGCCCCGCCACCAGCAACTATTAAACCAGTGTCACAGGAGACTTCATTGAAGACAAGAAAGGGCTACTTCCAGTTCTCCGAACGTTTTAAAGAACAGAAAGTTATTCACAATGACTCAAAAGTTGACTTTCTTCTTCTCTTTGCAGCCAGCATATGTCCCAAGGAAACTAATCCCAATAACAATCATCAAGCAAGGTAATTTGTCTGCTCTGGAAATGTGTTTAGAGCAATCTTTAACATACTTTTAGCTAAGGTAATCAAACACGGCACATATTTTCTCGATTTTTTAATTGATTTTTTTTTTGAGAAAAAGTTCAAAGAAAATATAATGGTCTAGTAAACTGGAAGTTAATGGATAATTTTGGCTCTTTTACCAATACACCAAGCTTTGGGCTGGTCACACTGGTCAGACAACTAAGGACAAAGCAACCATCACAAGTATTAAATTTTTTAAAACAAGTTAAATATGTGGAGCTTTGCCCAAGATTAAGTTGTCATACCCGAAGAAACCCACTGATTTAGTGGTCACTTTAAGGAAAGTAAAGATATCCAGGTTTCCAGAATTATAATGTCACTTCACGTCAGTATCTGACTGTTTTTGTTTTGGCTTCTGGTTTTTCAAATTATTAAAATCTATTATTTCCAGAAAGTTTCTTGGTAGAAGAGACAGGGCCCTTAAAAAAATAGTTCTTCATTTTCAGAAAACACAACATCCCAAGTGTATTCTCAAAACAGAATCAGTTAGTGTTGATATTACTCAAAGGCTCTTTGAGAAAATAAATTTTCTAAATTTTTATTGCTGGGTCATCACCTCATTTTGTGCTAGTACTGATTGATTTGGGGAAAAGGAAAGCTTCAGGGAATAGAGTTAGGAAGAAAATTTTCCAGTAATTAGAATGGAACACCTTATGATAGAATAATAGCCTTTCATTAGTTAAGGGCATAGGTGTTAAGGTAAGGTATGCCTTCCAATCCTTCTGTTGGCTATATAGCCAGGCCACTGAGTTGCTTTGTATTAATTAATAAAGTTAGATCAAGGCTTTTCCAGTGCAGATGGCTTCACATTATTAGCTTCTTACTGCCTCCTATTTCCCACCCCCTCACACTGTCTTTTTGTATTTCAACAGTGATTCAGAATGTTACTCACAAGGATTCAGCTAAATCCCCAGAAAAAGCTCCACTGGGAGGAGTGATACTAGGTGAGTGGATCTCGAAATCTATGCCGAGATTAAGCAAATCGGGCTATCTTTTGAGGATAGGGCTTTTCTGGAGTTTTGCAGTGTGAGTAGTTCTGTTTAATTGATGTGGTTCACTTCCTTTCACTGTTTAGCATCCTGGCTCGTGTCCATTCCAGGCTAGGAGCCAAGCCACGCTATCTTTATCATGGTGTGTTAAAGAAATAGCTCTAGCACATGTGCAGTGGGAATGATGGCACCTGTCCTACCTGCCCCACAGAGTTGACTGAACTGCTTTTTTAAAAATCATTGTTATTGATAATAATCTTTGTTCACCACACATCTTAAGCAGCCATTATACAATTTTTGAGTCTGTGGATTAAAAGCCAGAGGATTTTAGAAGTTTGGTTAAATATGAAAAATATTCTATTTAGAATGTATGGTTATATTTTTTCCAATGTTTTAAAGTTTGGGTTAAAATTTACTAAGCAAAATAAGTGCTATGCTTCATAGTTTGTAATATCTGATGTGCTGAGCTTCATTTTATGTCATGATGCACTTTCTTCCCCTTATCTTATTTACATCTATTTCCTTGCAGTCCACCTTATTATTCCAGGTCTTAATGAAACTACTGTAAAACTTCCTGCATCCCTAATGTTTGAGATTTCAGATGCACTCAAGACACAATTAGGTAAGCAGAAAAGTTTTGTATTTGAACTTTGCAGTAACTGAGTACTAGCACTGATATTCTTAGGAAATCCAAAGAATCTTGCTAATGAGCTGTTTGAGGATCTCAAAGTAAAAAAGTAGAGGCAAAGAGGTTGGAGTGTTGGAGGTATTCATTATAAATAACATTCTATAAGAAAATGGTTATTTTATATGTACATATTTATATAAGGTATATTTATATGTATGAAATGAGAGTGAATGTTTATGAAAATCTTCAAAATACATATGTATAACTTTCTAATAAAGTAATTCTAAATTATACTTACTATACTATTATGGGGCGACTAGGTATTTGCAATGAGAATTGATGTGAAGGTCAGGTTCATTAGAATTATTATTTACTTGAGATTGATATTGCTTCCTATTTCTAGAACTGGTTATGTGTTCAGTGTTTAAAAAACATAAAACATAAGAGTAAAAGAAAAAAACGGAAAATCCACTTAAAAAAGGGCCAGGGAATAAATGTGGAGGTCACTGGGCTGAGTTGGTTGCTGCATTTAAGTATCAAATTAGGCTCCAAATTGTATCTTAGCAGAGAATCTCAAGCTTGATCAAACATCAGGAGCACCTGGAGGGCTTAACACAAAGACTGCTGCCCACCACCCCCCACCACCAACCCACCTCCCGAATTACTGATTCAGTAGGTCCGGTATGGGGCCTGAGAATTTGCATTTCTGACAAGTTTCCAGGTGATAGTGACACTGCTGGTCTAGGAACCACACTTTGAGAACTACCCCTCCAATGTCTCTAGAGAATACCTTGGGCTGTTAATAAATTTGGAAGAAATGGTGCTGTAGAAATTGAACAAACCTTAAGAATACAGAATGTATTCCCTGAGCTAGGCACTGGCTGTGAACTTTAATGTTTAATATATGATTGAATCAGCACATTGTATGGATAAAGAAACGGAGGCCCAAGCCCCTGTTTGGCCACAGTCATTCAACAAATACTATGCATTACCCTATGTCAAAACCGCAAGTTGCTGGGGGCTATGATGGTGAGTTACCCAGGCATGGCACCTGCTCATTCTGGGACCTCAGACAAGGCCCTTACTTTCTCCTCCCCTACTGGGGGCCTTATCTGTCTGCTTCAGTTGATATTTCCTCTTTTTTGGCTGAGAGAGAGGCAGAAGAAATGATAAATAAGATATAACCCAAATATTTTTTATTTCAAGAAAACACCGTGAAACATAACAATAGGCTGGGGTCCTAGGTGGGCAGACCCTCTGGTCAGGTCAGGGCTTGCTGTGATCTCTCTGTTATCAAGAGCATGCATCCACTGGGAACAAACCCTTGATGTTCCTGACAAGTAGCTGCTGGTACAGTGCGGATCCCACAAGCCAATAACTCTTTTCCTTTTTCCCCCTTTCCCTCCCTGCCCTGGAGACTTACTGGGGGAAAAAAGACATCAAATCTAATGAGGTACCAAATGTTGATGTCTTTTTCTTGTTTCCAATTTTCTTCTTTAGGGAATAGGGCCATGTAGAGATGTTTAGAAGTTTTGTCCACATAATGTCAAGCTACTTAATTTTTTAAAAAAACCTGAAAAGAAATTGCTATCTCTTCATGTGTTTTTCAAATATCCAGACACTTAACTTTGCATAAATAGTGTTACCTGAAAGTTTAAGTTAACTTTTTTCATTTTTTGCTTGACTGATCTGGGGCAATCCAGTTATAAGAATTTTAAAAGGCAAGCTCTTAAGTTCTCGTTAGGTGCTGATTTTGAGAAACTCCTGGAAGAAGGAAGAGGAAGGCCTTAAGTTGGTAGAAAAGCACTTAACTGGGGACTATTAGACTTACAATTTTTGAAAATTTTCCAAAACGTATGGTTCAACATCTTAGTAAGGTGTGAAAATATTTGCCAATATATCTTTGTGGTTTTGTGCAATCCTTATATTTTTACTTTAAAATAGTCATATCTAGTAGTCCTAGAGTTAGTTACTTCCCAGAAAATAGTCAAGTGACTCTGGACTTCATTTTCTTAATTTGTGCATCAGACTTGGTCACCTCCCTTTAACTATAAAACCCTGTTATCCAACCCTACATCATGTAAATGTGATGCTGCCAGGATGCTCCCAAATTAAGATCCCTCAGTGGATCTGTGTTTGGAAGAGTTAAAGCTCTGGACTCTTACATTAACCTGTTCTCTGCCCAGAGACTGTATACTTTGCCCCATGCCTAGAACTTGTTTGGAAGGAGGAAAAAAAGGAGCTGGCCAATCTCATTGATTTGGTCCCTAATGTTACCATCAAAACTGCAGAAAGCAGTGTTTGTGAAGGGGACTGAAAATGAGCAGAGTTGTTTCTCAGACCACGGCTGTCAGTTTTAAACTGGAAGATGTCATGGTCTGGTCCTCAGTGCTTAGTCTTGAGTGATATTTCCTAATCTTTAAAAAAAAATTTAAAAATTCTACATGCTACCATAATACCAATTTAGCATTTTTGCTTTCTTTAAGGAATTAAAGTGGATTTTTGTCTTGTGATTCGTTTTTACTTTTGTTCTTCTGATATGATTCACTAAAAGTCCAGAATTAAGTGTTATTTTAATAAAGAAAAAATAAATGCAAATAGTAAAATGCAAATAATTAAAACTATGAAAATAGTAAGTATGTTTTTAAACTTGGCTTTTGAGGGAAGTGCCTATCTTAAATTGAATACATGGGCAAGATGGGGTGGTTCATGCCTGTAACCCCAGCACTTTGGGAGGCTGAAGCCAGGGAATCGTTTGAGACTAGCAATGCAAGACTAGCGTAGGCAATATAGCAAGACCCCATCTTTACAAAAAATATTAAAATAAAAAAATAGCCAGGCATGATGGTACATGCCTGTAGTCCTAACTACTCAGAAGGCTGAGGCAGGAGGTTCACTGAAACCCATGAGTTTGAGGTTTCAGTGAGCTCTGACTGCACCACTGTACTACAGCCTGGGCAACAGAGCAAGACCTGGTCTCTTAAAGTATGATGCTAATAATAAAAGAACACATAGAAAATTTAACACATGGAGAATTTCTTACACACTGTATTAGTCCATTTTCACACTGCTGGTAAAGATATACCCGAGACTGGACAATTTACAAAGAAAGAGGTTTAATTGGACTTATAGTTCCACATGGCTGGGGAAGCCTCACATTCGTGATGGAAGGCAAGGAGGAGCAAGTCATATCTTACATGGATGGCAGCAGGCAAAAAGAGAGCTCTTGTGCAGGCAAAGTCCCATTTTTAAAGCCATCAGATCTTATGAGTCTTATTCACTATCACGAGAATAGCATGGGAAAGACCTGCCCTGATGATTCAATCACCTCCCACCAGGCCCCTCCCGCAACATGTGGGAATTCAAGATGAGATTTGTGGGGACACAGCCAAACCATATCACACACTGAAGAGACTGATAGCCAGTATGTTTGAAAATGTCTGATAAATCAAAGGAAAATCCTACCCAACAAATGTACCAACTTAGTAGACCATGTTTCTTTAAAAACTACATATACAATTTTTTAAAATTTTTTATTGTATATGCTTCAAGCATCCAAGATGAAGTTTTTTTTATATGTGTACCTAGTGAAATAGTTAACTATATTCAAGCAAATTAACATCCATTCTCTTGCATAGTTACCCTTTGTGTGTGCATGTGGTAAGAGTACCAAAAATCTTAACACTTTTCCAATATACAATATTATAATTATAGTTCTTGTTTTCTACTTTAGATTTCTAGTCTTATTCATCCTATGCATCTGCAACTTTTTACCCTCTGTTCTACATTTCCCTGTTTCCCCCTCTCCATCCCATCCCTCATAAAGTTTTATTCTCTATATATGTGACTTTTTTTAGATTCCACATATGAGTGAAATCATGCAGTGTTTTTCTTTCTGTGCTTGGCTTATATCATTTAGCATAATATCCTCCAGATTTATCCATGTTATTGCAAATGGCAGGACCTCCTTTTTTAAGGCTGAATAATACTCCAGTGTGTGTGTACCATAATTTCTTTATACATTCATCAATGAACATTTAAGTCGTTTCCATATCTTGGTTGTTGTGAACAATGCTGGAGTGAATGTGGGACTGTATGTATCTCTATGAGGTGCTGATTTCATTTCCTTTGGACGTATGTCCAGAAGAGGGATTGCTGGGTCATAAGGTAGTTCTATTTTTAATTTTTTGAGGAAACTCCATACCATTTTCTATAATAGCTGCACCAATTTACATTTCCACCTCAACAATAAACAAGAATTTCCTTTTCTCCACACCCTTGCCAACACCTATTTTTTATCGTTTTGCTTAATATCCATCCTAACAGAAGTGAGGTGATATCTCAGTGTGGTCTTAATTTTGCATTTCCCTGATGATCAGTGACGTTGAGCACTTTTTTTTTTATACCTGTTAGCCATTTTTATGTCTTCTTTGGAGAAATGTCTATTCAGGTCCTTTGCCCATGTTTTAATTAGGTTATTTGGGGTTGAGGGTGGTTGTGTTATTTTGTTTCGCTATTTTGTGTAAGTTCCTTATATACTTTGGATCTTAACCCTTTATCAGATACATGTGGTTTGCAAATATTTTCTCTCAATGCATAGGCTGCCTTTTCATTTTGTTTATTGCTTCCTTTGCTGCACAGAAGCACTGTTTTTTGCAAAGTGTGGGCATAAACAGTCCTTTATGCCATGAAGGGAGAAATAAACTGCGCTGAAGTTAATTATCACTGCAACTCAAAAAAGCTACATTTTTTGAGGTAGTAAATCCTAAAAACAACATCCTCATTCCAGCAGAGCTCATAACGGGGCATCAAGAAGTATAATAGCTTGTTCTAAGAACACATGGTGTGAATAATGAGAGATATAAACAAAAAAGTTAGGATTACACACACATCCCCAAGGGACATACAAAGGGTTTGCCAAAGTCAAGACTTGGCCTGCCAAAAATTAAAGGAAACAACTGTGATGGAAAAATGTACAGAAGAAATAGAGGAAAAGGAATTTCCTGGGTTTTAGGCTGTGTTCTGATTGCATTTTACTTTCCTATTGCCAAGATTGCAGTTGTGCATAGATAGTGTGGGTGAATGCTCAGGGGTTGATATATCAAGAGTTCCCCATTCAAATACCCTCCCCAACTACTAAGTTCTCTGATGTCTGAAATATCATTTATAGATATACAGTATGGCCTGGTGCAGTGGCTCCCACTTGTAATCCAAGTACTTTGGGAGGCTGAGGCAGGAGGATCACTTGAGCTTAGGAGTTCAAGACCAGCCTGGCAACATAGTGAGATCCCGTTTTTGCAAAATAATATTAGTAATAAGCTAGGTGCTGTGGCACGTGCTTATAGTCCCAGCTACTACTAGGGAGGCAGAAGCAGGAGAATTGTTTCACTTGAGCCCAGGAGTTTGAAGTTTGAGGCTGCAGTGAACTATTATCATGTCACTGTATCCAGCCTGGGCAACAGAGTGAGACCCTGACTCAAAAAAAAAAAAAAAAAAAAAAAAAACCAAAAAGAAGAAGAAAAAACAATATGCCTGTAAAATGAGTTAGTAATATAGAAAGAATATAAATGTCTCTGTCTCTTAGGAAGGGGTAGTTTGCCTTTCTTCATTAACAGCCTGATTTTAGGCTAATGTGATTGCCAGCTAAGAACATGTTTTGAATAAAGAAATTGAGAGCATCGCCTGTGAAAGTCTAGGATCTGGACGATTAAACAAATAAATAATAAGAGGTCCTAGGTCAGCCAGGGACTCACTGAGAACATGGGATATTCTTAATCAGGAAGGAGCCCTGGAAGGAGAAGAGAACACTGAAAGAGAAGAGATCGTGAAAGGAAACCTTATAATTTTACATTTAAAAAAACTTCCTGTGGGGCATGTTGAAAATAATAGGAACAGAGTGCTTGAAAAATTCATGATCTGAATTTTTTTCTGTGTTGACAATCAGAATGGTTCACACAAAAGATGTCAGAAAAAAAACTGATAAAATTTAGACGTTTTAAAAATAGAATTTCATAAAATTATGCTAGATTTTTAAAAAGTTCCTTTTTATGCCCTGCTAAATTAATTTGAACAATGCTATTAAATATTTTGTTGTGTGAACATGCTTTGCAACTTCAGAAACACACAATTTGTTGCAAATTATCATTTATGACACTTAGTGGTGGCATTTTAAATAATTCCTGAAAATTAGCTATCTAGAAATCTGTTGTATGCCTTTATCAAGTAGGGATTGAAAACTGATTTGCTGCTATAAACGTCGTGAAAGATGACTTTCTAATTGTCTTCAAGCTCATCAGAATTAAGTAAATATTTTTGAACCCACATTAACAGAAAAGAAGATGGTCTTTACAAAAATAAAGTGAACTACAGATTATAAAATACATGTTCAAAGAATTTTGAGTGTGAAAATTAAAGTTTTCAACAGGGAGCAATTTTGTCCCTTAGGGAATATCTAGAATTGCCTGGAGATATTTTGGTTGTTAGAAAAGTATCTGTGGAGCACAAAATATTCCAAAAGTGTGTGAGAGCACTATTGGAATCCAATGGGTAGAAGCCAAGAATACTCTTCAACATCCTACAGTATACAGGCCAGCCACCCATACAAAAAAATAATCTAGCCTCAAATATCAATAGTGCCAAAGTTGGGAAATCTAAGTTCTGTATAGCCTTAGGACTCTGAAAAATCCTGTCCGATTATGTGATCAGCTCAAGGTGGCATGATCAGGGTATCCCAAAGGGGCATGAATTCTTTCATGCCACTAGACTGTTTCAAAATATTATGAGCAGGTAATATTATGATTCAACACAGAAAATAACTGAATAGAATTAATCCTAATTATACCCTTTCAAATGGGGAATACCATAATCGCTGGGGAACACTGGCTTAGAAATGTTACTTTCTTTGAAAAAGAACATCTACATTTTAAAATGAAGTTTCTCAAATAGTTGCATAAAGAGGAAAAATGGAAAAAATTATTCTTTGTACTGAATTCCCACAGAGATTAAAAGAGAAGATCTACATTAATATGAGGCTCAAATAAAATTTACTGTTAAATTTTTTGCCACAAATATTTTCAAATAGCTTAGTTTCCTATGTGTGGTGTTTGTGGTTTTCTAAAATCTCAATGTCATAACTTATTACATTTTTTACCATGTAGAATAACGGAAATTTTCTTTTTTTTTTTTTTTTTTTTTGAGACGGGGTCTCGCTCTGTCACCCAGGCTGGAGTGCAATGGCGTGATCTCGGCTCACTGCAAGCTCCACCTCCCGGGTTCACGCCATTCTCCTGCCTCAGCCTCCAGAGTAGCTGGGACTACAGGGGCCCGCCACCACACCCGGCTAATTTTTTGTATATTTAGTAGAGACAGGGTTTCACCGTGTTAGTCAGGATGGTCTCAATCTCCTGACCTCGTGATCCACCCGCCTCTGCCTCCCAAAGTGCTGGGATTACAAGCATGAGCCACCACGCCCGGCCGGAAATTTTCTATAGGTTGATTTTTTAAAATTGGCAGTACTTGAATATAAAATTCCAGGAAGCATTTGCAATACAACCTATGCCTTCCAGAAATTCTATTTATCAATCAGATGACTTTGAGATGTATCCAAGTATTGGGTTGTGATTTTTTTTCTTCATTTCAATGCCAATTTAGATCTTAAAGAATTACCTAGGGTTAATAAGAAAGAATTATGTAGGGTTAATAAGAAAGAATTTTGAAGACTTATATTAGTTCCTGCTAGAGATACACAATAAAGTTGTTGACTGGCTGGTGGGGAAGGAGTGTGAGATTAGATTTTTAGTCTGCTACTTGATTATGCATTGAGGGAGGTATTTTTGGACACTGCAAGTGAGATAAATTGTTTGTTCTCTGACTTTTTAGCTAAGAATGAAACCTTGGCATTACCTGCCGAATCTAAAACACCAGAGGTTGAAAAAATCTCAGCACGACCCACAACAGGTAATGAGATCGCTATGTTGTTGACCTTGAGAAAAGAAAAAATGCTTTTTTTCAAATACTAATCTGCAGTCTTTTTTTCAGTAAAGAGCCAGTAGGAAATACATTTTGATCATAAATGCAAAACAGTAGGAGATTCTAGGTCTCTAACGTTTGGGAAAACAATAGCTGCAAAATGGAGTATTGAATCACATAACTGATATGTAATACAGAAGCTGTATTTTTTACTCTAAATGAAAATTATTAGTTCAACACTGAAATATTTTTATATTAAAAACATCATACCACAAGTTTGGTGCTGTTCTTTCATATGATGACATTAGACCATTTTTCATTTCTACACTTTTACAAGTGGTCAGTGTAGCAAAATGCCATATATTCTTCACAAATCCATAGCTTAATATCTATGAAAATACCCTGGAATCATTTAGAAACAAATGTCTCTGGAACTTTAGCAATCCTAGTGTAGAGAATATAGAATAGTTCAGTAACAATCCTTCAAAGAATTAATGCAGTAAGCATTTTCTCCATAGTTTGTCACCATTACTAACAAACATTCAGCATCTCTTCTATTAATGAACTACTCAAGTCCAGTCCAGGGGGGAGGCATTAATCTTTGAGCTAGAGTTTTTGCCAGAGTAGTACCACCTTATCCAGGACCTGATGAAACAGACATCTGGCAAGAATTTCCCACAATCTATATTTAGCAGAGTCACTCCAATCTGTAGTGAATTTTTTAGTCCACAAAATCCTATAACTTGAAATATTGATGATGTACCTTTTACTAAACTTCTGGACTCGTAACTGGTCCAGAGAAGATAAAAGTTGTTGTGGCAGTAAAATAACTTCAAGAAATCCATTCAAGTAGGAATATGTCTGAGAGAGCAAGGTGAATATGGTCCTTTTCCAAAGAAAAGAGATGAACCTTTCATCCCCACCTTCATGGGAGTTGGAGCAGAGGTATAGCTACTGGAGTGACCCATTTGGATGAAATTCCTAGATGGTTTTTGACTTCCGTATACGTGATCAATATCCAGAAAAGCATAGGCATGGCTCTATAGGGACTCCAAATCCCTTTCTCCCTCAAAGATTCTACCCACTTTCCCCAATTATACTTTTTTCTCTTGGCAGCATTTCTGATGGGAGAGTCTACATGTTTTTAGTCCTCTGCCAAACCCTCCTCAGAGTTTTCCACTTCAGAAACACTTAGGAAAACACCACAACTTATTACTCAGGGTTATTGTGTTTATTTTGTGTTCTTGCCCTGCAACATTCCGGGGCTTTCTGGCTCTCAATTCATTTCAGATCCCAGTGATCTTAGTTCTTATTTCTCCAAAACTGTTGACTGGCTGGTGGGGAAGGAGTGTGAGCTTTTTAATTGAGCTTTTTATTACCTTTAATCTAGCATTTGGGACAAATCTGTGGCTGAGCATTTAAATTCTGATCATAATTTCAATTCATTTTCAAGCTTTGCATATTCATTGCAGTGTAAGAGAGAAGTCTTATAATGTGGTAGCTCTAAGTAAGACTTTTAGCCCAGAGTCATCCTTTCATTTGCCCATTTATTCGTTTAATAAACTATTATCTTGATTATCCTTCAGATTCTTCAATAAATGATTTAAAAAGTAATAAACTATAATCATGTGCTTGTTTACTCTATCCCAGGTATTGTGCTAAGCCCTGGTGATAAAGAAAAAGGCAGATTTAAAATTATTATTAAGCTTATAAGTGTTTCAATGAAAGTCAGGTCAGAGTGCTCTTTTGGATAGAAAGCAAACCCAGAAAGGACCAGTTGGAGAGGAGTGTCAGCTCAGGCACTTGAGACAAGCCAAGGAGCTCTTTACATAGTAACACAAAAAGAAATGGGCTATACAAATATCAGCCACTAATTCTAAAAGGCAACAGGATGTGTCTCCTGGTCTTTGGTTGCTTCACTTTATCTTAATTTGTAAAGTTGTGCTTTTTACCTTTCAGTGACTCCTGAAACAGTTCCAAGAAGCACTAAACCCACTACGTCTAGTGCATTAGATGTTTCAGAAACAACACTGGGTAATTCTAAGAACTTTTTTTTTTTCTAAAAAAACAAAAGTAACAACGAAATAACTCCCAGGACTCACAGAAAAGAAACCTGGTGCCTTAACTTCTCTCTCCCTCCCCACTTTCTCCTTTTCCTTCCTTCCTGGCAGTGGTTAACCTTCCTCTTTCTTGGACAGATTCCACTGAAGAGTTAACCACATGGCTGATCCTGGTGACTGAACTTCTGGGCAAATCTGGATGCTAATTGCTAACTAAATGCCCTTTTTAACCAGTCTCTGGGTTATACAGACAGAATACCAGCCTTTTAACTCCCAAATCTTGGGGGAGAATGAAGGAAACCTGGAAGTCTTGACTCTGTGCTTTCTGCTTAGAGTGGCTTTGGGAAGTCTTGTGCATACTAAATTTGGGAAGAATCCCCAAAAGTGTCATGCTTTTAAACAAGAATTTCATGGCACCCATGTTTGTTGTTTCTTAGCCCAAGAGAATCTAACTTGCTTTGTTGTTCTCTTTCCCCTGAAGAAAAGGAGCAGCATGTGTTTTGTTCTGTAATTTGATGTTGATCTTCTCAGCCACACCACTGCCCTTTGAATGTACACCTTCATATTTTAACAGCTATGTAACTTTTCCAGGGAAGGTTATTTCCATTAAAGGTATTGGCTGCTCTGTGTGCAAGAGTCTGTTACAAAGCTTGCTGTGCATGATCATGGTTAAGCCACAACATCAAAACCCAAGTCCAGGAGTTGCTAACTGCACTCTTTTTTATTGTAGTTCTCAGCAAAAGGACCCCGGAAACATTGCAAACTATTCTAATACCTCAGTTTGAATTGCCACTGAGCACTCTAGGTAAAAAATAATAAATACTGCAGCTTTATTATTACCTTGGATATTGTATGCATGCTTCAAAGAAGTCTTTTGAATTAATTACGCTAATTTATACCCAATCCCTTAAAGGTGACACAGTCTTCAAGTTTAGGATCCCAAAGAGGCTCTCCCTATGACAAATTGTTTGGTTGGGTTGTTTTTCTTTTAAGTGGTCATATTTTAATATTATGTTTGATTCTTTTAATTCAGAATCAATATGTCACTGAACAAATTGATCATTTCTGTATTTTTTGTAAATGTGTTTACTCTATTGTCTCTCTTAACAGAGAAGATATATTTATGATATTTCTGCAGACTGCTTCTTATAATTCTTAGAATTCTTCTGAGTGAAGTATGAGAAAAATGAGGGCAGGGTGCAGCGGCTCATGCCTGTAAGCCCAACACTTTGGGAGGCTGAGGCAGGTGGATTGCCTGAGGTCAGTAGTTCAAGACCACCCTGGCCAACCTGGTGAAACCCCGTCTCTATTAAAAATACAAAAATTAGACTGGCATGGTGGCATGCGCCTGTAATCCCAGCTACCCAGGAGGCTGAGACAGGAGAATCGCTTGAACCCAGGAGGTGGAGGTTGCAGTGAGCCAAGATCGTGCCACGCACTGCAACCTGGGTGACAGAGCGAGACTCCATCTCAAAAAAAAAAAAGAGGTTGGGGGAGGAGCTTACATATAAAGCCACGTAGTTACCAAAACTCTATTTTTAAAAGCTTTCAGATGGACATTTTCTAGTTCAGATGTGTTTGCTTGGTTTAAATTTAAATGAAATATATTTAAGAACACACATAAACATAGCTGAAGAAATCAGCAAACTGGTTTAATAAGGGTGGAAAGAAGAGTCCAAATACAGTAGCTTAAATTTAGTCACTTAACTATAAAAAACTGAAAAAGAAACTTTCTTATATTCAACATTGAAACATAGATGTAAGAAATACTACTAATGGTCTCTTAACATGATTTGCCTTTTTGTGTTTGCTTTTGTTTTTGCAAGCTTAAAATTTTAAAAATCTTTCCTGTTACTTTCACCTCAGGTCGTAACTTTCTTTATGTGTTTCATTACAGCTCCAAAAAGCCTTCCAGAATTTCCTGAGGCAAAAACACCCTTCCCTTTTGAGAAACCTAGGGGCACATTGGGTAATAAGAGTACCTTAAATTTAATATTAAGGCTGTGGGTGGTGATTGCTTAATTCTGCAGGACACATTTACTGCATCTTATTTCTGGAAACCTCATGAACTGATAGTTAGGCAAACAAATGGTTGATTTGATTTTTTTTTAATAAATCTATTTGGATTTTCTGCAAATTCGGTAAAACCCATCAGTCTTAATTCCACATAATCCACTTAGCTTTTTGTCCTTAAAAATGCTGACAGTCTGACACCAAACTCTGGTCTCTCTCTGACCACTAATCAAATGTTCTCTGGATGGATACATACTGATTTCTTACTGATATATAATGACTTTTTATTGTATTGGTATACTGCAGGCTTCTGGTAGCCACTTAACCATACCAGCAACCTATTTCTGTCTCGTTCTCCTGTTAAAAAAAAAAAAAATCTTCAGCAAATTCCATTTCTTTTCAATATAGCTTCAAGTGAAAAGCCATGGATTGTGCCTACAGCTAAAATATCTGAAGATTCCAAAGTTCTGCAGCCTCAAACTGGTAATTAAATCCTTTTCTTAAAAAAATCGATTATAACAAGGAATATTGAGTAACTTATTGTTTTTATAGGTTCCTTAATTGATTATCATTATGCTTTGTAATAAATGGAAAATCTATCATACATTTGTTGATACTGAGATGAACCTCATTTTCCCCATTACAAAAGCAAAATGGTTTTGAATGTTTTAAAGACACCTGTTCTAATTTCTGGATACTATAACATCTTAGAAATGTGGCCAGAACATGAACTATGAATTGGCTCATTGATAGAGATCTCTTTAGTGACAGGAAAACAGTACCAAAATAAGAAGCATCAGCATGGGTCTGATTTAACAGTATGAGTTTCACAGTCTCTTGCAGGGAATATTTGCTTCTTTTTGGCAAAATAATTAAATAAACATTTAAGAGCTTACTATGTGAAGATAGTATAGTAAGTTCTAAAATTTGTAAGTGTAGCATGATATGTAGGAGAGACCACAGGTCCTTGCGGTTGATAATAGACCTTGGTTCCAGGCCTCGCTCTCCTAGTAACCATGTGATGGCTACTTTCCTCTACTTTTGGAAGGTATTGGTTTCCTCTTTTGCAAACTGTAGCAATTGGCTTTTTTTTTTTTCCTGTGGAGAATTCTTGTGTTCCATCATTAAAATTGATTGAGATATGTTTCTTTTACAAAAAATATTTTTCTCAATTAAATTCTGTACATCTTTTGATTGCCTAGCAGTCAACTAAAGTGCGTATTCAGCATATGAGAATTATAAGAAGACCTCAGAAACCATCCTTTATGATTACTTCCATGATTTTTGTGTTTTGCTTATTTGTATTTTAATTTTTGTAAATCTTCTAGTTGTTTTGACTTTATTTGGGGTACATATCATATAGTGTATAATGAAGTTGGATGTTTCATGTAATGAACTTAAATGCAGCAGCATTTTGTGGTGTTCTCCAGAGTCCAGCAGAGGACTGGGTTTGAGAAAGGATGAGCATGAGCCCCCACAGATCTTGGTGAAATTATCCTTTCTCTAGTATATGTAATGGGCTCAGATATCTGCAAAAGATAGAAGATGACATCAAATTAAGGGAATATGTCTATTATAGTCACCCCTAGTTTCCTTAAGTGGGAACACACTTGAAAGTTGGCCATGCTTGTTCGCTTATCCAGAGAAGCCTCAAACTGTATCTAAGTCTTGGTTTCCCTAGTCACTGACTCTAAAATTCTAGTGCAATTAACTAAAGTGGGTGCAAAAACCCCTTTAGCAATCCAAGTCGCCTGGGTCTAAAATCTGGGTTCTGAGTTGAATTTCATACTGAGTGAGCCTCTGGGTTCAGTAGCCATCACCCAGGTGCAGCTGCATTGTAATTATGATGCAACAACTAGTCTAGGGGCATATGTGATGGTTTATCTGCTGCACCGTGACAGCCCTGGCTGTGACTCCCACATCCCTCAGGAGCACCTGAGCCAAGTGCCTTTGGGGATTTAGGGACTAGATAAACTTTTAGATCCCTTTCATCTTTTAGCTTTTCGGTTATAACATGGGGAACATGGGGTTCTTTTGGGTTTTCTTTAAGCAATATCCAGTGTTTGGTTTCTATGAATATTCAAGAGCAAACTAACCAAAACATCAAGGAAACCATTTTCGAGACTTTAATACCTGGCATATGAATTATATATGAAGGCTCGAGTTGAACCAAGCATTGGGGAGTGGGGAGAATATGTTGGGATGTAAAGGTTACAGAGTTACAATGAGACGAAAATAGATGATATCGGAAATGCCAATAAAGGAAAGGTTTCTTTTGCCTTTAATTCAAAAAAGGAATATTCTGGTTTTGCCCTGAAGGAGTATGAGCAGCGGCTAATGCAGAAGGAAACTGACTCTTTATTCAGCTGCTACACTACTGCCAGGGCAACCTTAGGTCGCCAGAGAACTTCCAACTGAGAACTCCCCACCCTCTCTAGACAAAGAATTGAGACTTGTCAAAAACTGTAATAACAGTACAGTATGTGATTGCACATATTAACATTAGCCATAGAAGCTTCCCATCCTGCCTTATAACAGTTAATTTTTATGTCTTTGCTACTTAGCATGATCCTCAGTCCAATAGCATTTGGCATCACCCGGGAACTTGTTGAAAAGGCAGAACTTGGGCTCCACTCTAGATCTATTGAAACAAGATCTGCTTTCCAACAAGATGCCCAGGCGATATGAACATTAAAGTTTTTGTTTTTGTTTTTGTTTTTTGAGATGGAGTTTGCTCTTGTCTCCCAGGCTGGAGTGCGATGGGTGCGATCTCGGCTCACTGCAACCTTTGCCTCCTGGGTTCAAGCGATTCTCCTGCCTCAGCCTCCTGAGTAGCTGAGACTACAGGCACCTGCCACCATGCCTGGCTAATTTTTGTATTGAACATTAAAGTTTGAGAAGCGCTACCTTATCGATGTAGTTTATAGTGTTTTTACATGGTACCAGTAAGAATCATCGGGTGTAGTTGGTTATAGCACCATAGGCCTCAAATCAATACAAGCTTGATTTTTCAAAGTGGGTAGTTAAGTATCTCTTGTTTCTGCTAGTGTGCAACGCTTCCATTTCTAGTGTAAGTGCTCTGTGGCATCTTCCTAACTTACGTTACATTTCAAATTAAAATTTAATAACAAATGTAGTATCTGTGATTTAAAGAGTGGTATATTTATGTAGCCCTTTTATTTCAGCCTTTGTTTTGATTTTGTGCAAATTTACATGTGTACTAATGTTCTATTTCCCATTTAGTTTCAACATACATAATAGGTATTTTATTTTCCAATTACTCACACAGCTTCCTAAAGCAACTATTTTGAGAACTGACAAAAGAGACAGGTAGAGATAGTGTTTAAATGGTGGTCCACAAAACCATGAATCCCATTTTTAGTTGCAGTATCTTTTAAAGAAACATAATATAGGTTGGTGCAAACGTAATTGCAGTTTTTGCCATTACTTTTAATGGCAAAAGCCACAATTACATTTGCACCAACCTAATATTTTTAACTGGTATTAATGACATTATTACAGCCAAATGAGCACATTCTGTTTTCTCTGTTGGGGTATGATGCATCTATATTTACTATATCAATTCCTTTCAGCCAACGACCAGCAGAACACACTTGTAGTTGAACAAATTTACATTCATTTACTTATTACAATGATGGAGAACACAGACCATGATAAACTGGGGGATCTCTTAGAAGATGATAGAAAAGACTTATTGTAAGAGTTTGTCTTGTGTTAAATGATTGAGGGAAGGGTCCAAGGCAGTAAAACTTTGCTCTGAATTGGATGCAGTCAGAAATTGGGAGTAATTCTGTGATTGAATGTCTTCATAATTAATTAGAAGGCAAGACCAGCAGAGGGAAGCTAAAGCTGTGACTGGTTGAGAAGCCACATCTACTCGTATCAGCCAGAAGGTGGGGAGGGTAATGTTTGTGCTCTGGGTGATGTTCATGTTTTTGTCTGTGTGCCACATAATTAGAGACTGGTCTTGTTTTTGTCTTGATCCATCATGATCAGAGAGTGGTCTTGTCTGATATTGGCATCCTTTGGAATTGTTGATGTTCAACAGGAGAACAAACACCACAGCCTACCTGTGGGTACTAGACCAGCTCCTGGATGCCTGGGGCTGCTTTTCTCTTTATCAGCCATTAAATGAGATTTATCGTACTTTTTGTAAAGTTTATTTTGCTTTACTATTTTCTGGATCTGTTTTCAACATATTCTGTATCAGCAAATCAGAATATGTGTACTCAAAAAGATTTCTGTACCATTCTTGGATATAAAAGACTCTATGAAAATTCTAACTTGCACACTGAATATTGAAATTCCTGGGTCATTTCAACAGTTTTTGGCAACCAGGGGACAGAATATTTGAAATTTGGAATATCCCAGGAAATCTGAGATGTGTAGTCATCAAATATATTCTTCCTGCATTCAGCCTATTTGTCCTGATCTGTCATTAGTGCTGCATTTTGTGATTTCATTATTTGGAATTGCATTTTGCATTAAACCTTCTATAAAGTATGTTGAAATGAAATTGATTGATTTTGATTCCCTTGGCAAATCTAACTTTCCTTAAAATATATAAAGGTAATCATGAAAACCTTCTCTATAATTATGTATCAGAATATAAAATTACCTATAAATTTTGTATCTAGAGGAAGTTGACCACACTTTAGAACTTAACTGCTTGTGACAATATTTCACAAAAAGTCAGTCTTTCTGATGATGCAATAAAATTGGTTCATGTTTTATTGTAAAGTAGCTAGTTAACTATAATCTCAGTGTTGTTAAGGAGCAAGCGCTAGAAAAGTTCTCAGTGTCTTCCATTCAGATGAATTGTGCATGTGCACGTATGTGCACCTGCTTGTTGGATCATTTCTCTACTGGAATACAATAATTTGTGTTTGCATAGCAATTTTCTTCTAGGAGATTCAAGGGGCTATTATATACCATCATATTGAGACTTCCAAAGTCCCTAGAAACTGGCAGAATTATTGTCTTTTATCTTAAAGTGATACAAGAGGAACTTAACTCCAAATGGGTTAGAGGGGGGAAAAATTAGGCTCATTCATTTCTTTCCTAATATATTATTCAATAAACCACTCCAAGTTAAAAGTAAAGCAATGACATATAGCTTGCTCTGAAAATTTGAGAACAGCCTTTACAACTGAGGAAATTAAATGTTATTACTGGGGCCATGTGCCTTCCAGATATGGTGTATAAGAAACATCACATGATCTGTGAGAGGCCAGCCAGTCCCTGAAGCTTATTCTCGTTGTGAATGTGATCACAAATCTGTGAGATCTAAGGTGGGATAGAGCTAGGTTAATAGCCAGCTCAACTACCAGTTAAATAACTTGTTCCATCTATAAAATGGAAATAAGGTATAAATTTTTCACCAGGTGGTTACGTCTTAGAAATAATGTATAAATTACTTAATATAATGCACAATATATAAAGGGGTGCCTTGTTTTCATTTCCTTAATACAATGAAATCTTGCATTGGCTGCCACCCCTTCACATCATACTGTTTATCCCAACTTCCTGAATTGCTACATATAATCAATAATAGCAATTATGCTTTTAAATTACTTAATAAAACATGAGGAGGAGAGAAGAAAAAACTCTAAGCTCATTTTATATGTATACAATCATACCAAATGATCTATGGGTCTTCATTTCACTTGTAAAAAAAAGTTTGAGAATGGAAAAGACATGCAGTATTACTCAGAGGTTGTGCTGCCCCCTGGGAATAGCCTAATGTCCTATTACCCCTACAGCAAGGATGGTAAATCATATCACATAGTCTCTCTCTTCAGTTACGGTGGCAGCAAGAATCACTCTATAAACTGGGCTCTGAGGTCCTTCTTGGATCAATGAGTAAAATAATGCCACTATCAACTTGCTGTGTTTTCTGTGGGCACCAGGGAAGGAGAAGCAGCATAAATGCCATGTATTTATCATCCCACAGATGGGTGTGTGCACGACTTCTAAAGACTTAATATGGGTTGGGAGGTTATGTGGAAATGAGCTTTTTGTTTCTAGTTTGATAATGCCATAAGTGTTAAGCCTCCTTAATTTACTTAATTGTAACCTTAAAAGACCATCATTGAGTACCAGGAGAGTTTCAAAAGCAAATAAAGACAATGCTTGCAAACCCATTAATTTGAAGTGTTTGTTTTCATCCTTAGGAAATCCTCCTGCCTGTTCTTCTCCCAAGTGTCCAGAAAAACCAAATGTTGCTCCAACTTTACTGTTACTTGTTACTAAGCTGCTACTTATTCTGGTATAATTTCCTCTTGAATCATATACAGTTATCTTGTAGAGACTTCCCTTGACAGAGAGAACCAAGCATGGTCAGCTTCAGTTTTTCCATTAGATTTTTCTTTGGGAGCTTCCTTTAGGAGGTCATCACTAATTATTTTCAGTGTTAAATTCTTACAGTACTTTGTAGAAGTAGAGTAAATTGCATCTGTATTGAGTCCTATATATCATTTCAAGGCTTGAAAGCTGCAGTCATCAGTATGCCCAAGGAGTAGTAGATTGGTTAGAAAGTTTTGGCAGCAGGTGGTTTGCTAAGAGTGGTTGAAAAGAAGTAAACATATAAGGACATGCTCATTTATTATCTGTCTGCCCTGTAAGGTGTTGATTAGCACAGATCTGGCCCACCCAACTGGATTGAGTTCAAAAGAGGAGAAAACGAAGGAGTAGGTTGTGGTGTTGATGCTTTGAGAGTAGGAAAACAGATTTCAGGTATAGCAGATGTTTTGTAGATTCACTGTGGCTTTGAAGAGATTTATATCTTCAGCCTTTAATTTTATTTCATGAACATTTTAATGAATATTTTCTTGCAGGCAATATTTTCACAAATTTCCAGGCCAACTAGAAAGGTATTTTGTTTTTCCACTCACTGAAGAAAGCATTATCAATGTATTTAAGTGGTACTGTGAACTCTGTGTGTGGTATTGTTTTTCTCCTCTAGCTACTTGCTGTATTTTTCTCATTGCTCCTTCATATATTTTTTTTAGAATTCCATTTCCATGACAGGGTATGTCTACACAAGTGTATGCCAGGTATTTGTGTAGTAGAGGAAGAGATTTGTGTGTACACACGTGCACATCATAACATAATTAAAAGACATGTTTTCATTTATTCTCCAAACTAAGCCAGAAAGTTATCCTTACTAAGAGCTTAAGCTACCCAACCATCAAACTCACTGTTACTGTTTATTGTAATGGACATCTTGCAGATTAATTCTGCTGAGTATCCACCATGTACCAGTTTCTGGATTAAGTAAGTCGTGATAAGCATAATGAGCATGATAGACACAATTTCTCCATTAATGAGGTCTTTTGTCTAAGAGTTAATGTTAAAAAGGAAGTTTTCACATAGTTACTAATATTCAAAGGATTTGAATAAGATAAAGTCTTGATCATATGCAATGGTTTGCCTGTATGCCATCACATGTTTCCACAGCAGTATCAGGGCATTTTTATTGGGGGCTTTGCATCTAGTCAGTTTTTCAAAGTAAAACTAAAATGTACTATCAACAAAACATAATTTAGGGCTGGACACAGTGGCTTGTGCCTGTAATCCCAGCACTTTGGGAGGCCGAGGTGGGCGGATCACAAGGTCAGGAGTTTGAAGCCAGCCTGGCCAACATGATGAAACCCTGTCTCTACTAAAAATACAAAAAATTAGCCAGGTGTGGTGGCACATGTCTGTAATCCCAGCTACTCAGGAGGCTGAGGCAGGAGAATCACTTGAACCTGGGAGGCGGAGGTTGCAGTGAGCTGAGATCGTGCCATTTCACTCCAGTCTGGGCGACAGAGCAAGATTCCATCTGGAGAAAAAAAAAAACATGATTTAACAAAGTAGTTTTAAGAAGGTGTAGAGCAAATGGTAATGCAAGTTATTTCATATTATTTTTTCCTCTGGAAAATCTGAAAGTAAAACTTAGTTATGACTGTAAGTCATTACTATTTTTTGAAATAATCTAATGTTGACTTTTATAACCTGTAAATTGAATTATCTATTTTATTTGTTGCATTCGATTTAACCTACAACTTTTGGTCCCATGTATGTTCTGTGAATGCAAAATCAGTAATACTGCTTAATGTCTTATAGCTGTAGCATTTCACCCACTACAATAAGCATAGTGATAGAAGTTTGCCTCTAAGTAATAATATATGATAATTTACAGGCTACCATACAGAAGGGTTCACCCTTAACTCTTGGCTACTTATCAATTTTATAGCTAGTGTAGCTTTTAGAAACCAGGCCTAACAATTTCATGAATTTTTCTCAGGTATAGGCATGTATATAGAAGGGTTTTATAAAGAAATCAAGAGCTGTTGATTGTTAGGGAGCTTTTCAAAGAACTCTATTTCAACACTGTCCTCTCCCCCGACATCTCTTTTTGTTGTTGTTGTTGTTGTTATGGAGTTGCTGTCGTGCAGGCTAGAGTGCAGTGGCGAGATCTCGGCTCACTGCAGGCTCTGCCTCCCAGTTTCAAGAGATTCTCGTGCCTCCCGAGTAGCTGGGACCACAGGTGCCCGCCATCCCAGGCCTGGATAATTTTTGTATTTTTTTTTTTTTTTTTAGTAGAGACAGGGCTTCACTCTCCTGGCCAGGCTGGTCTCGAACTCCTAACCTCAAGGGATTTACCCGCCTCGGCCTCCCAAAGTGTTTGGATTACAGACATGAGCCACCACGCCCAGGCAATCTCTTTACTTCTGAATCAAAAGATCTTGTTTAACTCATAAATGAAATGAGGTGTGGTGTGCTGCTTAAAGCTGACCAAACAACATAAAACTTTTAGTGGCATATGTGGCTTTTTAGCACTCTTTTTATTTCCAACTCATGGAAACTACAGAAATAGAAATATTAAAAACAAAGTATGCTGGCAAATGTCTTATTTTTGTCTTAAGTATATTTGATAAAATGTTTGGAAGTTAAGGGATCCCTGAAAATTGGGAACTTCCAGATTTGAGCCACAGTTGCCAAAGGATGATGGAAGAAAGGCTTCTTTCCCCAGCGAATGCCTTATGGGAATAACGAGGGGAGATGGATGCCTGGCTTGGAGCCTCCTGATTGAAAAGAAATTGTAAATATGAAAAATAGGTAAAAAGAGTGAATAAATATCATCTTTTGGAACTAAATACAGACTATAGGAAAATTGGTCCAATGTCACTAAATGGAAGGGAGCTTTAGGAGTTAGGATAACAAAGACAGTCATGACATTTTTCAAAAGCAACAATAGAAATAAAAAGCCATTAACTCATAGTTTCTTACCTAGTGTGAGAGGATTAAATACAAGTTGGCAAAGTTTTTCTTATTTTGTAGGAGATAGAGCTGACCATGCCAGATCCATGACTTGAAATTGGCTGAAAATAAGCTTAAGATCAGAAATTGCGGGCACTTTTGATTAATCTTTTAAAAAATTAGTCATTCTTATCTGACCTTTTAAAATGACAGCAAGGCTAAAGGAAACTTGACATTACAATATAATAGATGCATTCTCAGAATGTGTGCATATCTTTAACTCACAATATTCTTGCTATTTTTGAGGATTTTGTGAAATAGTAGATTCACCTTCACACATTGCAATGTATTTCCTGCCTCTTTAGTATGTAGTACAATATAAAATGCTGTCTACTTTCAGAGGATGTCACATGGTCTGATACTATCTTTCTTACAGCTTCAACCAGCACTGGCTCAAAAGCATTAAACTGTCATTGAATTACAAGTAACCCCAATGACTACGTCTTCCTGTGAGCTCCTTTCTTCTTGATTTCTGTGCTGCCATTTTGAATGGACAAGAAAAGCAACATCTACCTCGTAATAATTCATGTGTTCTCTATATCCCTCGTGACCACAGTGACAGCTGTTTGTACAGGAAAGAGAACACTTTGTGATGCTGTTTTTGCTTGCAGGTTCAACTCTTATGTGAACATGAAAATTATCCCCATATTAAAATAAGTCAATCTTTATATTTAAGCTCATACTACTTTCCTTTGTACAGAATAGAAAATTTATCTTTAAACCTGCCCAAACTCGAGAAAGGCTCATGGCTGTATGGAGAAGCACAGAAAGCTGCCTCTAGGTAACATGTCAGGAGGGGAAGGTGCCAAAAGAGAATCCTGGTTTTAGCCCTGCTGTTTCTGGTCCTGCTGAAGGAAAGGAAAATACACTGGATGGGACAATTTCAGTGTGTGACCACTGGCAGATGTGTTCATGCTATAAACCACAACTTGGTTATCTAAAAAATGGAGATAACCTCCTATTGTCTACAAAGTGGGGCTACTGCCTACCTCACCTATTTCTCAGGGATGTTAAAAGGGTTCAATAAGTTGATGTATGAGTAAGTCTCTGCAAACTGTGAAGTGCTGTCCATACATAAGATATTGTAACAGTAACTTTTACTAAGCAGAAAGACTGAGCAATAGACTTTGGGCAAATTGCCTCAATGGGACTGCTGTTTTCCTTCTTTGAAAATCTCTCCCCAAACTGCCATCTGACTTTATTTATGTTTATACTCTTTGCAGCTCTTTGATTTACAGCTGGCACTGCATGATTATAAATATATAGCACTATGTTCTCATCACCCTGGAGGCCAGCATCAGGGCTCACTATATAAAATCCTGCGGTTCAGAGCAAAAAAGGACCAAAGGCGAGTTTCGGTGCTTAGATGTTAGTGACAAGGCTGGCAGCCTGGAGCCAAAATGTACCAGTACCTACATAAAACTGTCCTTCAACCAGCATTACAACATGTCATGTAATCTTTCTAAATTAATCAAATTTAACCAAAATTAACATCTCTCTTGTTTTGCCTTTTTTTTTTTTTTAAGCAACTTATGATGTTTTCTCAAGCCCTACAACATCAGATGAGCCTGAGATATCAGATTCCTACACAGGTATATCTGGCCTCTCAATTCTGTCTTTGGATCCCAGGTGTTCCAACACTTGGTGGTTCTTCCTTTAGTTTTTGCAGAGTGGAAAATTGTATCCTCTGGAGCTCTGCATGGGAGAAATTTCTACCTGTGTCAGGGAGTTGTGTTTTACCCACTCCTCCCATAGAGTGATTAGTTCTTTACATCTCTCAGTAAATAAGCTCTGTCACATAAGGGAGATGCAGATAGATTTGGTTGCCACTGAGGAAAAGTAATGTAATAGCTTAATGAATTGTTCAGAATCATAAAAAGGTCTTCGAGTTTCTAGAGGGTTTTGTCTGGAGCAGTAGTTCTCAAATGGGGGGTAATTTTCAACTCCCATACCTTCCCCAGGATATTTGCTAATGTGGAGACAGTTTTGGTTGTCACAACTTGGGGAAGCACTCCTAGCATCTAGTGGGTAGAGATGAGGGGTGCTGCCAAACCCCTGCAGTACACAGGCAGCCTCCCACAGCACAGATTATTTGACCCTAATTGTCAATAGTGCTAACGTGAGAAACCTTGATGTAGAACAGTCACATAATTCATTCGGCTGTAGCAGTTCAATTGGGTCTAATCTTTGGCATTCAATTACTGACCCATCTATAGTGAGTTACCTCAGTCCGACAGCTCCTTTCAGCAAATGTTTATCAAACACCTACTAAACTGGGTACTGTAGGAGATTCAAAGGGAGTAAGACTGGTTTCTGCCAGGTATAGATATATGTCTGATATTTTTTGTATGTATAATATTATTTGTGTCATGGTAAATAAAGATGAATAATTTTAAAGAGCAGAAAATAAAACAATGAAATAGAATGTCAGTGGTGAGTTCAGTTAGCAATTATGAAACAAAATGGAGGAAACCAGAAAAACGTGTTGAAAACCAGTTGAATGTATAAAACACTGTTTAATCATGGTTTCTAATATTTAAAGTATGTATGTTTTTTAAAGTGAGCTCATCTTCAACTCCTGATGTATCACTAGTTTTAAAATGTGGGCCAGCAAGCCCTCAAGTATTCTTGATATTTTTCCTCATATGAGGCATAATTTATTACTCATGAATTTGTATTTTATTCCTGGGGCCTTCTACTGCTTTTACAAATGTTGACATTTATTCCAACAGCAACAAGTGATCGTATTCTGGATTCTATCCCACCTAAAACTTCTAGAACTCTTGAACAGCCAAGGGCAACACTGGGTAATGTTTTTAACAGAAAAATCATACTTTATTTTCCATCAAAAAAAAAAATCATGTGAATGCCTTTCTTCCAAATGACCATTTCATTCCATCACATCTAATCATTTATCTATCCTATTTCTCAATATATACATCTATATATTTTAAATGCAGTCATCTTTTACGTTCCATTTAGGGCTCTATTTTATTTTTTTGAGCTGTAATAGATAATATTTTCCCTATCCTTTTAGTTGTGAAAGCTTTGAAAACTGCATGGACGTCATCACCTGCACCATCTCACTTCACATGTTTGTGGCCTGTGTCACTTTACTTCCATGCATCAAGTCTGCCTGAAGTCATCTACTGAACAATCATCATTCTAGCCTTTTCCCTACTTTAAATCAGAATTTTATTCACTAGCTTTCAAGACTACATGCATTTTTCATCTTTAATCATGTACTCGTGGCATGTGCTTTATACCATCTAAAAGCATGTTAAAATTCTTCAAATACCTCATTTTAACTGGGATTATTTGATGGGTTGGGGTGTTTGTGCTTTCAGCTCCAAGTGAAACACCATTTGTTCCTCAAAAACTGGAAATCTTTACCAGTCCAGAAATGCAGCCTACGACACCTGGTAACTAATGACATTTATGTAGTTATGTATGCATTGACGAAACAGGTAATGTGAGAAGTCATGTTGGCCATTTCAGAATTTTGTTTTTCTTTTGTTTGTTTTTGCTAAATATTTCCCTTCAGTCTCTACCATGAAATTCTTCCAAGAATCTGACTACTTAGCCTTATGATTATCCTTAAAGAATTTTCACAATCCTGATGACTATATATTTTGAGGAATTGTTTCCTTCCAACTCTTCTTTCAACTTTGCCAGCTGGAAACTAGCAGCAGAATTATAGATAATTATTTCAAAATATGTTCCCTTCTACTTAACACAGTTAGGTACCATTTGATCAAAGTATTTTACCCAAAGTAGTCTAAGTATAGAGAGCACCAAGTAGGCTTTGCAGTCCTGGACATGATGAAGAAAGATGGTTAAAGAGAGGTAACACAACCTACATTTTATAACAGAAAATTATTGAAATAGCGAAGTTCATTGACTCTTGGTGGGGATAATAAAGAGCTACAGAATTAAAGTTCTGGGCCGGGTGTGGTGCCTCACGCCTGTAATCCCGGCACTTTGGGAGGCCAAGGCAGGCAGATCACATGAGGCCAGGAGTTCAAGACCAGCATGGCCAAAATGGTGAAATCCCATCTCTAGTCAAAATACAAAAATTAGCCGGACGTCATGGTACATGCCTGTAGTCCCAGCTACTCAGGACGCTGAGGCAAGAATTGCTTGAACTCGGGAAACCAAGGTTACAGTGAGCCAAGGTTGCGCCACGCACTCCAGCCTGGGTGACAGAGTGAGACTCTGTCTCCAAAAAAAAAAAAAAAAAAAGTAGTTCCAAATTTCCATTATTTGTGCTTCTCTCCTGCTATTCAATGTCATCCTTTTGAGTTCTTAATTGTACCTTGTGTTCTGAAATGCCTCAAGGGTGCTCACTTCTGATACATTTAATTGAACAATGTATATCTTCAATTCTCATGTAGAAATTTTATACCTTTTGTCCCAGTCACCCCTTGTTTATTGAGCACCTCCTGTGTATAAAACAAGGTATACTGGACATTCTAAGGATACAAGGAAATATAAAGCAGTTCTTGTACTTGGAGTTTGCAAATTTACAGGCACAACCTGATTGACCCCTGAAAAATATCATTTATCAAAGCTATATTAAATCTTCTTTCAGCTCCCCAGCAAACTACATCTATCCCTTCTACACCTAAACGACGCCCCCGGCCCAAACCGCCAAGAACCAAACCTGGTAAATGTCTCTTTATATTTACATGATATGTAATTCCAGATAGACAATGTCCATTTTCTTATAGTAAGAAGGATAGCCAGGTGCAGTGGCTCACACCTGCAACTCCAGCACTTTGGGAGGCCAAGGCAGGAGGATCACTTGAGGCTAGGAATTTGAGACCAGCCTGAGCAAGCTAGTGAGACCCCGTCTCTGCAAAAGTTTAAAAAATTAGCCAGGCATGGTGTGCTTCTTGAGCCCAGAAGTTTGAGGCTGCAGTGGGCTATAATAGCACACTGCACTCAAGCCTGGGCAACAGAGCAAGACTCTATCTCAGGGAAAAAAAAAAAAGGATATGTTTTATAGATTAGTTTCTTTACAAAATTTGAGATTAACTAAAGATGAATAATTAATAATGCAGAATAACAAAACTCAAGTGTCCAAAAGGGGTTTACTGAAAATTATATTTTTGCATGTGAATTTTGGTAAAAACCTAGAAACAAGTCCCACTCATAGCAATACAGAGTGATACATGTAATTCGTTTTTTGGTGTGCATGTTTATTATAATGTTCATTCGAGTGATGTTTCTATTTTTTTTGGTACCTACTCTGTTTTCAGTTTTTCACCAGGGCAATGGCTGAGTTAGAGAGGACATGACTCTGGTTTTCAAATAGATTATAACCTTGAGAAGATAAAACATAAAAATGACAGCACAACGTACATTTACATAACTTATTTCCAAGACTGTAATATTTTTGTAAATGCTCCAAGAAAGAGTTGAAGATACAGACCCCAAAATACATGTAGGATTTGGAAGAAAAGGAGAAGGGAATAACATATATATTATAGCACAGAGTTTGGGTGGTACAGATGCTTATTAACCTGGAGGTCAATTCTTCATTGTCAAACAATATACTCAGAATCATGCTTGACCAACTGGGTTTTGCTTATTCCATTATAAGATAAATGTAATTTTGTATGATGTATACTGTTATGACAGTTTAACAATTCTTCCTCAAAACTTTTACTCATTGTATACTTTGACTACTAAATATGGCAGGATTTTAAATGGATCATTTAGTTCCTCTTTAGAGGGTGTCTTTTTATTGTCTCTAGGATATTTCAATATTTTTTTCCTTTCCATCACCAGAAAGAACCACAAGTGCCGGAACAATTACACCTAAAATTTCTAAAAGCCCTGAACCTACATGGACAACACCGGGTAATAATGATATGTCCTTAGTAGATGTGTTGCTTCATTTCACCATGGAAAATCCAGTACCCCAGCTTTTATGTAATGTCTGTTACCTGTTAAGATACTCAAAACGGTTCATTTGAACAGCATGGCCCATCTCAGAGAGTGCACCAGCTCCATGGCTATTGTGGTTGTGGCTAGCTGGCCCAACAGTTAGTAGATCTGAACTCAGCCTTCAGATGTCATTCTGTGTCAGCTTTTGAACCATTGCTGCTTCCTTGTCATCTATCCAGTCATTGTATTTGAAGTTGAATCTTGTATATAGTTCTCTTTTTTTTATTTTTTAGTAAGACTCTCAAGTTCAACTTCCAACTTCATTTGGAAAAACAACTTTTAATTTTAATGTTAGTAGAATTACTTTATGCTTCAGATCATAGCATTATACCTATTGGTGAATTTTTTTGAGAGTAGTTTTTTTCTTATTAAAATGTGTTTAGGTAGACAGGCCCAAAGTGACAGATTCTGGAAATATTAGGAGAAAAAGAAAAATGCCACCCTAAAATTGTATGCAGGAAGTTTAAATTTATTGTTGCATCTGCAAAAGATATGCACATCAGCTACTGGTTGAATGATTTTAGATTTTTCCTTTTTAGTTTATAAAGCTGATAAAAATATAGCTGGTCTTAATACCTAGGTGAGGGGTTGATAGGTGCAGCAAACCACCATGGCACAAGTTTACCTATATAACAAACCTGTACATCCTGCACATACGTCAGTGAATATTAATTGTAAAACATGGTGTTTTTTCCCCCTAGTGCTCAGACTTAGATGAGATTGAGAAATATGAAGTAAGGGTGCAAAATAATTAGACTGATTTTTAAAAATCATAGATTATAAGAACTATCTTTACTTTGAGTAGTTACTGTGACTATTTAGTAGTAATGCTATATTTGTTGATTAAATATACTCTTGAAATGTTTTTTCTAAACAAGATAAAATTAACTACTTCTCTGTGAATGGATCATGAAATATTCTCTTAATGGAATATTTCCAAAATCTTCCAAGACGATGAGTTCATTCCATTTAATGTATAGTTTATTTCTAGGTTTTCCTTCTGTGTTTTTAGACACTGAAATGCCTAAATATTGATTTGTTTATTATTTTGTTTCTTTATTTTTCCAGCTCCCGGTAAAACACAATTTATTTCTCTGAAACCTAAAATCCCTCTCAGCCCAGAAGTGACACACACCAAACCTGGTAATTACCCTAAACTTTTTTGAATATTCCAAAAGTGGGGTTGAAAACAAGTTCTTTGCAATTATTTGGAGCAAGAATTTCTGATTTATATTTTGACATTTGTTACATTTTTCCATGAAAAGTGTAAGCATGCAATGAAATGATCTAATCATAAATAGCCACTGTGATATCACAGCATTGCTCTCAGCAATGTTCATGATCATCACAGAGAAAACACAGAAATGTAATGATATGAATGATTGCGAACTCCCTTGTCTACTACTGCAAAATAGTTTCCAATACCAGTGTTGACTGGAATTCTAATCTCATGAACAATAGCCTTTCAGCTGGAAAGGGGAGAAGTGTTTCTATCTTCTAAGAACTCTGCATTATTTTAGAGTTTCTCAGTTCTCAGGCTAGAAGACCAGAAAGACCTGTATTTTCCCAATGCTCCAAGACTTCTAAATTGGGGCTGATTTCTGAACACTGACCTCTGTTTACCTCTTAGGAATTTTTAGTGGTGTTTTCCTTTAAAAAAAAAAAAAAAGGCTGCTTTTGCAGGAAGGGATCATTCTATATATATAATAATTTAAGACATAAAAAGACATAAAGATTGTGTAACATATTGAATGACCACATCTTGGAGTTTTTTTTATCTATCTGTAATCCATGTGGCAGTTTTAAATGTTGACTTATAAGATTGACTACAGGGAACCTTGTCACCACTCAGTGTCATCATTATCTAAATTTTAAACCCTTAGCTCTGGGAAGAAATTATTTCTCACAATAATGTTTAATGGATTTTGAACTTGCATTTCCATTAATGGCATGTTTACACAGTAGGATTATTAAAGCAAGAGATTTTCTGCTAAAGTGGGTATGATTTATTTTTGCAATGAAATGGCTAAGGAAGAAAAATGTAACTGCTTAAAGAAAAAATTCTCATTACTCCCTGTAAAGAAGCAGTGAGATTTCCAGGTGTAGGTGCAGACGGAAGGAAATTAGGGATTAGGCAAAGGGAGTATAGTTGACACTGTGACCATGGATGAGGTCTCCAAGTCAGAGAAATGGAATGAAAAACTCTCACTCAGGGTTTTCAGGGGAAGAAGCGTAGCTAATAAAACTCAAAAGCCTTAATAGTGGTTTAAATCAAATAACTCTGACAGCTGTATGAGAGAAGGGTTTAATACACACTTATTTAAAAATCATGCTTAGAGAGCTTTGGGATAGAGTAGTAACTATGCTGTATTTTGAACAGAGGACTATTACCAAGCTTGAGTCACCAAATTTAAATAAGGTTTCTCTCAAATGAATTATTTCTGTTATTACAACATAAAATTGGAAATAGTCAAATTTCTCCAAACATTGGTTATAGTTTATATATGATAGGTTGCGTTATTCATTTCAGTGGTTTCTAAGACAAGATTTCTGAGAGGAAATTCTTTAATACAAATGAGGGAGGAAGGTTATATTTTTATCATTGTAAGGTGTTTGAGCAAAAAGACTTCTTAATTTGACATTTCCTTTTAACATGGGAAGAATTACTTGGAGGCTAATGTGTTTACATTCCTTTGATTTCTAAACCTTCTAATCATCAAAGAAAATCCACCCCTTTTCCTCTAACAGCAATGTAATGACTTCAGAATCCACACCTAGGCCTGTGCCCTCAAATGGACCTTGAATGGTCCATAGCAACACAGGATGATGACTGGATCTCCGCAAACCATTGCTTTGATTTTAGCTTCTTAAATTTTATTTATTTTTATTTAGGGCAGACCACCTTTATAGCTCTCCTAAAGATGTCTCTTTCTAGCCAAGGTTTGGAAGAGCAAATACACCACCCAAAGCTTTTTGAGGCCTTTCCCAGCCCTCTCCGCACACTCTTCTATTTTTCTGTTTCACTTTCCTTTACAGGCTCCTTTTCCTTTGGCTTTGCTTGGTGGTTAAGTCAACGAGTAAAAATCCACATTGATTTGGGCTTGTTTTATAAGTACAATTCAGCGCATTTCTCAAAAACCACAGCCACCTACCATGTCTTAACTTGTCTACCTCGTCCAGTGGGAATTGTTTCCTTCATGGTTTAATCTTTAAGCTTCTAATGGACTGAAAATAAGGGGGTGCCCCCAATTACAGGTGTTTGTTTCACTTGACCGTCTTCCAACGTGGATAGAATTGTAAATTGTTCTCATTCCTACACACATGTGAGTCAAATTTGTCTTTGTTTTGTGCTGAGATGAGTGGCTTAGTCATTTACAGACCACTCAGCTTTGTTATGGAACATTTTATACCTTTACCTATAATACCTTATGATTGTCAAATAGAAGGCGTGTCAGAAGATATATTTATTTTTACTAAACATAGACCTTACTGTTTTTATGTGCAATTGACTTTGAAGCTTAATTGATGGAGTTCTATCCCTATTTGGTCTCAAACTCAGCCAGGAACTCAAAAATGCAGATTTTTCCTTATAATTTCAAAAACAACGTTCTTTAATTTTTGTGAAGTCTAAAAGATGCAATGAGTAGCAAATTTTATTTTTCACTTGTGGAAGGCAACTTTGTAGAATCAAAAACATGAATTACAATCTTGAAGTTTCAAAATAATTTTTTGTTTGCTATCTTCAGGTATGAATGCTTATTTGATATTTATTGTATTTCATGTATTGATGTTTATTTTCTTCTTGTCCTATAGCATCTGAGGTACTTAGACCTATACATGCACTCCCTTACACATACAATTCCCTTTCTCTTTCTCACACACTCTCTCTCACATGCATACTCTCCTCTCTCTCTCCATCTCCCAGACACTCTTTCTTCTCCCCTTCCCTCTCTCTCTCTCTCTCTCTCTCTCACACACACACACACACACACACATCCTCTCCCTCCCTCTCTTTCTTTCCCTCCCTTCCTTTCTCTCACACATACACACACTCTCCCTCCTCCCTTCTCTCTTCTGTCATACAGACTCACTCACACACACACACACACACACTCAGAATTTTTACTTTGTTATATGAACTTCAGTCTGACACATCACTACTGCTTTTGCCGTTCATCTGTTACAATCTATTTCTGCACAAGTTCTTGAGAAATCAGAATTCGGGGCTTTTAAAAACAACTTTAACCTGCTTCTTTTGCACCTAATTTGTACTCTTTAGCCTCAACACAAAAATTTTTTGATCACAGATATGTTAATGGATGATAATGCCTTTAAATAGCACCTTATGCTGTTATGCATTGCTTTTAGAAGAAATAAAAATTCTGTACCTGCGTTATTATATTTTTCCATTGAAGTAGTTGTTGTTAGTTGCTACATAGAAACTTGTTATAGTTCTTTTTTAGTCGCTACGTATTCTCAAAACCTGCCACACTCCCTTGTCAAGTAATATCAGAGATCATTCCTGATAAGTCTAATATTAGAAATGTATAAGTAGAAGAATGACTTCAGTTCTATTAAGATGGTCTATGAAAGCCACATTGATTAGTTTCTTTCTTTAAGAAAAGTCAAAGAATCTTAACTTTTTCTTTCCATTTCAAAAATAAACAATTCCTTTTTAATTTTCTCCTTAAACAATACTTTTTGTTGATAGAATAATGAGAAACCTATTGGGTAATCTTTTTTTAAGCCCAAATATTGTAACCAAGCTAAATTCAACATGAAGTTTAATTTACTTATTGCTAGTTTGAATAAACATTGGAAAGTTTATCAGAATATTTAGATACTGTTATTTAATTTAGCATCTTATGAAATCTGAGACTGCTTTTGGACTCATTGGTTTACCAGTCCAAATGGGTTAAGTTTCATATGTGAACCAATTTGTTTACCAGCGATAGATACTAGTGAATACAGGAGGCATCATATGAACAGTTGTGGTCGCTTTTGAACAATAAGTTTAATTCTTATCTTTTTTGTGAGAGAACGTCAGGTCCAGCCAAGCTGGAGATTGCAAACTAACAGCACAGACACAGTACCAGGTGGTGAGTCTGTTGCCTGTTCCATTTCCTTGGATGAACCTGGCTGTCCTGCAAGAAACAAATATCAGGTGACAGGACACTCTGAACAACCTCAGAGAGGCTACCCAGAACTCCCTCTAAGTTAGTATTTCCTCAGCACCAGAGGCAAACCAGAATATTGGGAAGTGACGGTAACAGCTAAAGATCAACAACAAAAATGAGAATTCTCAATTCTTGTGGTTTGTAGAGAGGATGTGGAAGGTTGAACTTCACTGGCAGAAGCCAGTAGAACCTAATCATTCACCCAGGAGAGAACTCCGTTTATAGTCAAGAACATGTCACTTCTATCTCAGATGGTGCTCTTCAGCATTGCTTTTGATATTACTTGCTTTTATTACAGCCCCAGAACCTCAGACTCTACTGCCATCACAGTCAACAATAGGTAATAAAGCTTTTTTTAATGAGTGAAAACAAAGTATCTTTAACACTCTCCATGTTCAACTTTGTTCAGCTTTGGGTTTTGTTTTTTTTTTTTTTTCTTCTCCAGATGAAGTTTCACTCTCGTTTTTTTGCCCAGGCTGGAGTGCAGTGGCGTGATCTCAGCTCACTGCAACTTCTGCCTCCCAGGTTCAAGCAATTCTCCTGCCTCAGCCTCCCAAGTGGCTGGGATTACAGGCCTGAGCCACCATCCCTGGCTAATATTTTATATTTTTAGTAGAGACAGGGTTTCACCACGCTGGCCAGGCTGGTCTCAAACTCCTGATCTCAGGTGATCCACCCACCTCGGCCTCTCAAAGTGCTGGGATTACAGGTGTGAACCACTGTGCCCAGCCTAATATTTCTTAATTTTCCTTCAGATCTTTTTCCAGCCATTTTTGCCCGAAGATATACTCTCAGCCTGTGCTTGACTTAGCAGTGGTTCTGAGACACCCATGAAAGCAATACTAATTTTAATTTGATAGATTCTTTATTCTCCTTCAATTACATTTGAGGAATATGCCCTGAGCTTGTTCTAACCTGTTTATTGCCAGGGAGGACCCTGACTTTCATAGGATATATTTATGTTTTCTCTTTTGGAGGTGTTTTTCTTACTTTCAAAACTCTAACTTTTGCAGATTTTCTTGAAAAGTGCCACGGACTAGGAAATCCACTCAAAGAGAGAAATAGAAAAACCAACCCCAATCTTTATAGCTTCTTTTTCTTCAAAAGAGCAAAAAAAAAAAAAAAAAAAAAAAAAAAAAAAAAGTGTTCTAATGCCATCTTAGCCAATTACCCATATTTTCCTTCATAACATGAACTGCTGGTTACTTTATTACAGTCACATGTTCCAAGTGAGAATCATGCCTTTTTGTTCCATTTCTCTTTCCAAACTTAACTGACTGGCTACATTTTTTTGTTCGCTTTGTCGAAAACACAGGAATCTATTGAAGTAGAAAAGAAACTTTGCATGTGGATAAAAGCTTCACCATTTATATTTGCTCAATCTAGTAATTAAAAATTAAGCATATTCCATGTTTTAAATACATGTCATTTTTCCTTTGATCTTGATTCTTTCTTGGTGATTTTTTCACATTGTCTTAGGACCTGAAACACCAGGAACCAAACCTTCAACAACATTAGGTAATAGAGTATTGAGTGGGTGACCTTTGTTTCTTCTTTTCCTGTCTGCTGGTATCTGTGTTGACAGACTCACATTAATGAATTAATACATTAATGTCCCTTTGTGTGTGTGTGTGAGTGCTCTGTTCTTCAGAAAAAAAAGTTAATTCCTATAGGTATAGTTTATAAACTGTATCTCATTTTTTAAAAGTTGCCTGTCCTGACATAATTAGTGAATTTAAAGCCTTCTGCATATATTGTTGATTTGTGGATATTTTAAATGCTAAGTGAAAAATTTATCTGTTTAAATCTTAGGCCAAATTTTAATTTTTATCCCAAATGGCTTTATAAAAGCAACCTTTCTCATGTTCCTGTTGAACATATGCCTTCAATATTTTTGAGTGACTATCTTCTCTAAGCTGTACAAAGTTTTGAGATTTTCCATCTCAAAATGGAAGAACAGACAGATCTCTTGGACAGTTTATTAATCTGTGACAAAAAAATTATTCAAGACCTCATTTAACTACATAAATAATGATAGAAGTTTGCAAAACAGATGGAAACATGTCCACAGTAAATCAAAGGGTTTAAATGTCCTTCTAAGATGGATGTAATATTTATCATCAGTTTGTAAATCCACCCTTCTTGTATTAACTTGCTAATTTTCTTTCTTCAGCACCACGAAAGACCAAAAGACCAGGTCGTCGCCCCCGCCCCCGTCCCCGCCCTAAAACCACACCTAGTCCAGAAGTGCCCAAGTCCAAACCCGGTAAATGTGATATTCAGGTTCCAATTAACATAGAAAGTGGAATATGGCAGCTTCTGGTTTGATATCAGCTACTTGAGCAACTGGGCTTTAGGAACCAGTGGAATTGACTTTTATAACTGAGCATCTGTACTCAGTTTCTATATTCATTTTATATATGTAATATTTTATATAATATGTTTATACTCTCAGTCATAGTTATTAGGTACACACAGCAGAAAGCTGGCCCATTAAGTGAATTATTAAAGTAAAGCACCTTGAAATCTTATGATGTACATTCATGGCAGATGAGGTGTGGGAAAGCAACAAGGAGAAAGGAAAATGGGAACTGTAAAAGGGAAAATCACATTCAGAAAAAATGCATCATTTAGGTAGTGTCCCAGCTTGAGGCATAATGTCTCCCTCCTCACGATGCCACTTCTTGAAATATTTCATGTTTTTGGTATTTGCTTCTGTAGCTCTGGAACCTGCCACGATACAACCGGAGCCCTTGGTGCCCACAACTGGTAATTCTACTCCCTCCACCACGGCTGCTTTCACGGGTTGTAGCTTTTGCTTTCCCCACTCTCCATTACAGGCATGACTGCAGTTCCACCACCTCATCACAGTTTCATCCCACGCTTTTCCTCACCTTTCCTGTCTGGGTCTGAAGATCCTAAAGATAGGAGAGTTCTAAAACAATCCAGTGTGCTCATTTAGGGAAGGTCTGTGGTCTTGGACACAACTTCCTGGTTCTCTGCTGACCTTCTGTCTGCCCTATATGTGTCGTGGGGTTGAGAAAGCCATCAACTCCTTCTCAGACAGGGACCTCTGTGCTCATCCTGAACTGAACAAATGGCAAAATTTTACTCCAGTGCCATGGTTAGCATTTCATTGCTTTACTGATTCAACTTCTAGGACTTTCTTCTTTTTAAAAAGTTGCATGAAATAATGGCTTCTTCGGCTCTTCTGTTTCTTTGAAAAATGTTTTTGAATAGGTATGGATAGCGAGAGGAACCAAGATCGTTCTTGATCTAGAATCCAATGTAAAACTAGTGATGGTCTTTGGAACTTGACAGCATTAAAAGTCCCAAACTGGTTTTATTGTTTTTAGTACTAATACTGTTTGATTATAATCATTTCATTATAGTTTCTTAGCGCTCAAAATCTATCATGGCTTTACTTTGGGAAATCCCAGACATCGGCAGCCATGTAACATTATTTCTCATGTGTAATTTCAAATGTTTATGGATTACTTCCAGATCGCCTCCTAAGCAATCAGATTTCTACCTTACTGTTTGTATACTGAAGAAAACCTTTTGATCAAAGACATAGAACTAATATACTTTGTCTATTTTGAAATTATTTATATAGGAAAAATGTCTTATGACTGTCCTCATTACTTTTGCTCAAAAACACATTTTGAGCATTTAGTAATTAATTTTCCTTTCTGGAAAAACTAATTATGCTAGTGTGTAGTTAAAATAGACACTCTTTTCACCCTTCCCACACCCCAGAAATGTTTATAGATTCGTTGAATTTATATAGTGTCTTTGTTCTGCATAATTGTCCTTAATTTTGACAGTCACAGCCATGACCCATTGTGGTAATTTTAATACCTTTTTCTTTAGCCTCAAAACCATCTGAGAGACCTAAAACCACACACAGACCAGATGCACCTCAAATTCAGCCTGGTAATCATTACTTTCAATGCCTTGATCTATAAATAGGAAAACAATGTGTAAGTAACATTAATCTCCACATTCACAGCTCAGCCGTAACACTAATTATGGCACTCTAATTTTCTTCAGGTTCAAAACCACCAAAACAATTACTTCCTAAACCCCAAACCACAGCAGAACCAGACATGCCACCAACTAAATCCGGTAAACATAATTTCCAGTGCTTTAGCTTAACAGGATTTTCTTTGGAAACATTGCTGAAAATGTTTCCAATCTGTCATATCATATAAATCATAGAAATCCAAATACCATAATTTTGTTCATTATCTTCTCCAAGTAGCCACACTGATGTTTTAAGTGCTAAATGAAAAAGTCAATATGTAGGAAATTAGTAAATTTTATACCTGATTGACTGGCATTTCATTTTCTTAAAGCTTTTTTAGGCCTATTTTCTGAATTTGTAATGAACAGAAGCCTGAGTTTTCTGTATCTGAAACATTTTTGAAAGTCATTTTAGTAACCACTGTTAGTACACACAGAAGGCTGACACTGTTCTTCATTTATAGGCACAACTGAAAAGAAGACTTGCTAGTCAGGGATTAGCTTCCTCTAAAATACTCTATTGACATTTTATTTTATTCTATTTATTTATTTATTTAGAGATGGAGTCTTGCTCTGTCACGCAGGTTGGAGTACAGTGGTGCAACCGGCTCACTGAAACTTCTGCCTCCCAGGTTCAAGTGATTCTCCTGCCTACGCCTCCTTAGTAGCTGGGACTACAGGCACCCACCACCACACCAGGCTAATTTTTGTATTTTTAGTAGAGACGGGGGTTTCACCATGTTGGCCAGGCTGGTCTTTTGAACTCCTGACCTCAGGTGATCCACCTGCCTTGGCCTCCCAAAGTGCTGGGATTATAGGCATGAGCCAACGTGCCCGGCCAACATTTTAAACAGTAACTGTTAACTGAGTAATTTTCTACCACATAAGAAGATATTTATATAACAGTTCTCAGAATCCAACTGTTTTGCAGTTGAAATTTTCTCCCAAGATTCCAATTAGTATAAAATTTTAATTTGCTAAGAAGCATCTCACATAATAAATAAGCCTATCAAGAAGGCAATTTATATTAATTTAGAATAAACTAGACTCTGTGTCCTCTGAATTAAACACCAATGAGCACCCAAAAGTTTAGACTTCCTTGCTTTTATTACTTATATCTGTTTATTTTTTATGATGCAGTCTCTGAGCCTGTTCCATTTGAAACTGAAGCTCCCTCAATGACCATAGGTAATGATGCTTTCTTCCTTCTTGGCCAATGTTTCTCTGAGCTTGCGCCTCTCATCTCTTTTTTCATTAGCTATAATATGCACAATTGTCATTCACCATTTTTGTTTTCATTTTTAAAAATTTTCACTATTTTCAACAGGGGCCTTTTTAACATCATTAGGCATCCTTACATCTGCTGCTCAGCTTGTAACACATAATTGTTATTCTTTCTTCGATCACATTCAGAGACATTCAGATTGCTTGAGTCACAGTCACTCTGTCTATATCCATCTTTCAAACCAGAAAATTTTTTGAAACCTCTGCTTCTTTGTGGGTACAATTTATGGATGTGGGAGGGGAGCAATGAAAAAGCTGGTTGGAGTTTGTCCTCAATGTGTTTATAAGGAGCTCATGATGGTACATAACTGTTTCTTTCTCACAAAAGTCCTTTCTTCCTGTTCCACATTATTCATATGCAAATTGATCTTTCTGTTGCTAAATTCATCTTGCGATGCAAAATTCCCAACAAAATAAGGATTCTCTGTTTTGTTTGAAGGCAATTAATTATAAATATTGTTGTCATCCTGTTGTCCTGACTTCCTCCATCTCTTCTATTATATATGCCTTTAGTTCTGAAGATGCTCTCAGTGGTGGCTTAAACCAACTTTGTGCTATGATGTCTTGAGCAATAAGAGAAAGTCAGCCTCTCTATAAATGCCTAAAGAGTTTTTGAGGATGAGATGTTTGAATGTTACATTTAGCCTTCTGGGTTTAGTGAAAGATAAATGGAGATGCTAATACCAGAGAGTTACAATTCTTGATTAATTTTATATCTATGTATAATCAATTTCAGAATGTTATAGAAATCCTTTATATCTAGACAAAAAGTTGTATTATTACCTTTTAGACCTTCTTCTTAATTATCTCTGTTTTCTACTTGAATAATTATCTCCTAATTAGCAATTTGAAATAAATGAATAAGGAGGCAGAGTAAGAAGCAATATCACATTTATTACAAATAAAACGTACAAGACTTTTGCACAACTCTCACAAATCTCCAGTAAATAGACTGAAAACATCTTTCTAATTCTCCTCACAACTACCACTCTCAAAACAAATTAATAATGGTGGTGAAAACTTTTTAAATACCAACAGAAGCTTTTATAACAAATTTTTAGAGTACTTTAAAATTATATATTGGACAACTAAGATTTTCTTGGATCCAGGTTTTTTATGTTGTTGGAATCAGATAATGAAATACAGAAAAATATTTTTCATTGCCCTTATAGGGATGCAAAGGGTATGGGTATTTTGTGAAATAAATGGATATGATAGTTTGGCTACTTAGGGGAAAACAAATACTATTTTCCCAGAGTTCAGAAATGTATTTAAAACATTAAAGGGTTAAGAAGATTCATTTTCAAAATAACTTTGTTTTTCTGTATTTCTTAATCTCCATTGTTTATTGTATTGCTTTTGGTTAGTTCCCACCACAGACATTGAGCCTGTAACTGTGAGAACTGAGGCTACAGTGACAACATTAGGTAATGACCTCTTATGTCTTTAAGTATGAGTTTTTTCTGCTCATTGTCTAGTCTATTCCATCACTATTTGGGCTAAGGGTTTTTTCTTTCATAAGATTTTCTCATCATCCTCTTGTCATTGAACTATATTCTTCATTTTGAATGTATTGAAAGTGCTTAAAACAAGTTACTTGGTTATAAGCCCATACGCCACTAGTGAACAGCATCTGTGTCCCATTTTTCCCATATTATCCAGCTTTATTAATGCTTGACAGAGCCTGTGATTCTGCTCCAGTAGTGTTCTATGTTAAAACTGAATTTCAAATACAATTAGGAATGTCTGCCTGATAAATATCAATTATAATTCTGTGGGCATCTTACTTTCTGTTGTTTTAAGATATACAGAGAATTTTTATTGTCTACCAACTATTTTAGAAAACAAAATGTGTTTATACTAATAACTTGTAATGGAATGTGTGTCTGAGCCAAGTAATTTCTTAGTACGCTCTCCCAAAAGCAGGCAGGCCTGGGTCCCTCTCTGATGTGATGTCTACGTGCCTATGTCTGACTTCCCTTGGGTCTGGGCCCTCTTTGAAAATCCTATACCAGCAACTAATAATAAAGTTGCAGTTTATTTTTTTAAATTACATATATTCCATCTGTCTCAAAAGACCTGTCAGTAGACCAAAAATACATATTTTTGCATATAGATGATCAGAAGAAAATTCTAAACCAAAGAGACAAATTTCTCAAGACTTAGGAAAACTTTAGAAAACCTAGAACCATGTGTAATCCTTTCTTTGGTTTCTGGAGTCATATGACTACAATAACCAGTTTCCTTTCTTTAGCTCCAAAAACATCGCAACGAACAAGAACACGTCGTCCACGTCCCAAACATAAAACCACGCCACGCCCAGAGACACTGCAGACCAAACTAGGTAAATAATATGTGGTTCCTTGTCCCTGTGGCATCCCATTGGATGTGGCATGGGGGTGGCAGTTTAACATGCCACTTTATAACCCACTTGACCCTTGGGGTGAAGGCCCAAGTCATGGAAAGCAGCTGCTACCAACACAGTGCTCTGGCGATACCTGTGACTTCCTCATTCTGATTGCGTGAGGACCTCCTTGGTGCCTGGGAATTTTACTTGCTTCTCTGACATTCAATTACATTTTTCTCTTTGATTCCTCAGCTCAGCAAAAACTGACCTGATTAGGTGTCTAGTTAGCATATTTAGTTCAACCTGTCACACATTTTGAACGTTTGTATCTGTGAGGAATATTTTAGAAAAAAACAAATGACTTACCTGTGTGAGACTCTTCATAATAGATATACAGGAATGTGAGGAAAAGCAAATATTTATTAAATTTTACCAACTGTTAGGCACATCGTTAATTCTTAGAGAAGCAAAACATCTGTGGGCTGATAAGTGTAATGTGAACCTTTAGGGAGAACTCCATTTCTACAAAAAATTTAAGAAAAACTAGCCAGATATGGTGATGTGCACCTGTAGTCCTAACTACTTGGGTGAATGAGGTGGGAGGATCGCTTGAGCCCAGGAAGTCGAGACTGCAGTGAGCTACAATTGCACCCTTGCACTGTAGCCCAGGCAACGGAGCAAGAGCTCATCTTGTGGACCTTGAAATTTGTAGAGCCTGTAGATTTATTGGTGGATGGGTAGGAATCATATAAACAGAGGCAGGAAGGTGTCGTGTGAGGGTGACATTGGAAGGATAGGAATTGCAAGTGCAACCTGATTGTAAGAAAGGCAAAGTTCTTTTAGTTGGACAGTAATGCTGCTTTTGATGGGTCTACAAAGAGCACTTCGAATGCCTGACTTCGATGATTGGATTTGAGCCAATTGGCTCCAGCACGCTCTCCTAACCTAGAGGTCAGGCCTTTTCTCTCCTGATAACAAAGAGATGCACTAACAAGTTTGATGGATTGAATGACCCTCTATATCTGGTTCTTTGTATGCCTTTATTTGAACAGAGGTCTTGGTCTTTTTCCAAAGTGCACTCTCAACAAAGAACAGCATTATCTGTTTTAGTCATTCATCAGTGTATCTGCTTAAACATATCAGTAATTGCATCTATCATGAACTAGGGCTTTGTTTTCCAGTTTATAGTGTAACTACACTTTCACATTAGTTTTTCCTAATTTTTAAACATAACATTATTAGATGTCCTAAGATTTTTCTAAGCAGTGTTTTCTACTATATCATCAGATAATATAAAAATAAGAAAAACTGGTAGTTAACCATGTTACAGATGCTAAGGTTATATCTGTTTCATAAAAGCAAATAAATATGTACCCTCACTTGAGAACTTCAAAATGTTTGCTTTGTGGCTATAGAACCAACGCTATAATGGTAAAGTTCACTTTTCAAGAGAATGATGGCTTTTCTCGTGTGTTTAACATTTATTTCTTTTTAAAATTGCTTTTGATCATTTCTTGCTACAGACTTTGGACCTATTACTCCTGGGACATCTTCAGGTAATGACTCTCTATGTCCTTCAGCAAGTCCTTTTTCTTACTCATTGTCAGATTTTGCTATGGTGCTATATAGGCTATTGTACCATCTTTTGTTGTCATCTCATTACAGTATTCATCTCAAAATATGGAAAGCTTGCTTTTTAAAGAAATATGCAATGACTTAATTCAAGACAGCTATCTGCTCCATAGCCCAGCTTGAAACTGTGTCATGTCTGAGTCTCTGAACAATACTCTTAGAGCCAAGATCCAACTACAATTCCCCATATATTCCTTATTTAGAGCACCAACGTAGTATCAAATGATATCATGAAGTTTCTTTATGCACCTTTCTGTTTTTCAAATTGTATGTAATTTTTTTTGCTTTATTGATGTTTCTGTGAATTTTATATACTTAGTCTAGTAAGTTACCAAGTGGAAAATTTGCCCAAGCCTAGTTATCTTAAATTATAAGTGAATAGTGTAGGGTTGGTTAGAACCTCTCTCACACCATCAGAGTTAAGCAGTGATTTGGGTTAGGGACACTTTCAAGAAAATAATGATAGTTTCTAATGTTTGTTTCTTAAATGTAATTGTATGTACAATATTTGTCTCTGGAGAACTTTCAGTTATCAAAGAAAACCTATTAAGATACTGAAGGAGAAAATTTCAAACGAAAATGACAAAGTTCTGTCAACTCAAACTCTAACAAGTATTTTAAAACTTAGAGCTATGTCATCCTATTCACAGTGAATGGAGCCATCAGCACCATATTAATCCTAAATTTTCTTCCTTCAGCTCCAACAACAACAACAAAAAGAACCCGTCGTCCACATCCCAAACCTAAAACCACGCCCCATCCAGAAGTACCTCAAACTAAACTGGGTAAATATGTAGTTTCTGTTTTGTAGAATCCAAGCAGTCTACCACGGTTGGGACTGTAAGTTCTATGTACATATAATCTATTGTGTTGTGCCCTATATATCTCTTAAGAGTAAAAGCTACTGGTTAGTGAGGAGAACATGAATAGCTTAGCATCTCTTGCTTCCTTTATAGGGATCTTCTCTGCTGATGATTATTTACTCTTCTTGCTCTTTTATTTCATTCCTGTCTTAAAGACAAAGCTGCTCAGTATTGAGCCAGCACAATCATTTAAATCAACTACTTTTATTAAGTCCCTTCTAATTCCCCAAAGCCATATTAGTCCATACATCAGAAGTGGGAAGAATGTTTTCTTTCCCAATCAGTTTACACTGTAGTTGTAAACAAAAGCTGTTCCTGCATAACCAGTTAGAAACGAATATGAGGCAGCATGTTTATGCAAATATAATTTATTGCATTGCATAAATGCCACCTCCTAGAAGCATGGCAAATATTTAGAGGAGGAAAATGTCCAGGATAATTAGAAACCAGCATAGAAACTGGATGAGTAGAGGGATGAGGGAACAGAGGCTGATAAGCAGGGAATGTGTTGAAGTTGGCTCACCAGACAGAGGATAACTCGTTGATACCCTCCTGTTCAGTGATGAATTAAAGGGGGCTGGGATGTCTACTCAAGAGCTTAAATTTGATCTAGGGGGCTTCAATGATCCCTACTTCTGCACAGGATCATGCTTTTTCTGTTCTTAGAACTGAAGATACCCAGCCCAATGATACCAAAAACTGAGAGTTGGTTCTTCAGCTACTTATGTTAAGTAAAGCTGTATTTACTAAAGACTTAGTCTCTTAATGAGTGTAGTCTCAGCTTCCTTTTGGCTGTTAATATGTGTGGTGCACAAACTCTAGGGCAACCTCCCAGTGATTCCCTGCTCCTGGAGTTAACACCTTTATATAATCCATCCTCTCCTCCTCATCCTCTCTCTTTCCCTCCCTGTCTCTCTCTCCCTTGTGCTAGCATGGCAGACACACCCCCAGCACATGCACCTATTCAACAGAGTGACACCCATCACCTTTGCCTCATTTTATTGGTTAAAAAGATGTCAGAGATCCAGCACACACTCAAGGGGAAGAGATGACTCAAAGGTGTTAACACCAGAGGCAGAAACCACTGGGGATCACCATAGGGGCTCTCTGCTACACTGTGTTTGCTTTCAAATGTAAATGTTTATTCTATCTATCATTATTGATTACTGCTTATAATGAGTGCTCTTTGGTTTTTTGGCTTCCACAGAAGTTCTAGTCTTTACCATATCTTTTTCTAAGAAAATGACTAGCCAGATTTTCTAGTGTTCATTCGAATCATGGTTAACCAACAAGAAGATCTTACTATTGACCTCAGTGAGATGCTCAGCGAAGTCCAAAGGCTATTGCTGACTGTCTTCTGAGTCAAACGAGTACCTGATTAAAGTTTGGAGAAATATTCAAAGGAAAAAAATACAGCCACTTTCTTTTGAGTTATGATATTAAGAATTAATTTTGCAGCCTTAGAAATCCGATTTTTGGTGGTAAGATGAATGTTCCAACATTTCATGCATTCACAAAATCTCTTTGGTTTCTTTTATTACTTTTGATCAGTTCCTGCCACAATCCTCGAACCAGTTCTTAGAACTGAGGCTTCAGGGACAACAGCAGGTAATGGCACATTATGTCCATCAACATCTGCCTCTCCTGCTCATTTCAAACCCATTCATCACCATCATAACCACAGCTTCTCCCGCTTCACAAGGCTTCTGTGTTATCCTCTATTATTCATTACTTCTTAATATGTATAAGAGTATTAAAACAATTTCTTGTTGGTAAAAGAGCCAAGCGTGAACTTAGGGTCGGTTTATATATTGCAATGTAATGACTTTGAATTACCCACATCTTGCCCCCACATAACATTTTAACCACATTCTTTGTTACTAAGTTTCAAATATAATCACTGGAGGGTGGAGGTGAAGGTGTTTGTCCCTGATCTAGACTGAGTAAATCGGCACAGCTATTACGGTGTGACATAGTTCTCTTGCAGATCTTAATTTCTACATTTTTACTATCTGCATTTTATATATATATATATATATATATATATATATATATATATATATATATATATATATGTATGTATGTATGTATGTATATGTATATAGCCATTTGGGGTAAGGGTGTGTTCTTGTTTCAGTAAAGAGTAAAATTTTCCCAAGTAAAGAGTAAAATATGCCCAAGGTTGGTAAATTTAAATTGTAAGTACCATCACAAATATAAAATCACCCTATACTTACCCCCATCACCGCCATAACTCAGCAAGATTTTAGAACTTGTTCTTCATTCAGGAATCCCTGTGAGAAGCTCCTTGAAATATCATCAATAAACTCATATTTCTATGTGATTTTTATTCTTCAGAAAAAGCTACATGATAAAAAGAGACACTGTATTGAAATAGGGGCAAATATTTCAAACCCAAAAGAAACATTTCTTGGAAGTCAAGAAATTATAACAAGTATAATCTTATCCACAGCTTCCGGAACCAAACACGCTGTATTAACCTGAAGTTTTCTTCCTTTAGCTCCCAAAGTGCCTCAACGAACTCATCGTCCACATCCCAAACCTAAAACCACACTGAGTCCCGAAGAGCTTCAGACTGAACTGGGTAAATTTGTAGGTCATGCTTGAGGAATCCTAACAGCCCACCCCAGTGGGACCCAAAGAGAATGAAGTAGCTGGGCATGGTCAGCAGCTGATTCCACATCAGACTAGGCAATGAGGAACAGGGCTGGGGAGATGACGTGGTAGCCAAATTCCTTATGCTTCTCTCTCAGCATCTATTTAATTTACTTCTCATTCAATTCTCTTCATCCTTTCAATGTTGAATATATGATAAAGTGAAACAGCCAGAGAAGGAACATATGTTCATGCAAGTGGGAGATTATTTCTTGTTAACTATAGGAGTCACGTAAGTCACAAATAAGGATCTAAGGCAGGAGTTGGCAAACATTTTCTAGACAGAGCCAGATAGTAAATTTTCTAGGTTTTCTGGGCCATATAGTCCCTGTAGTATTTTCTTCTTCTTCTTCTTCTTTTTTTTTTTTTAACAACCACTTAAAAACAGAAAAATCATTCTCAGGGGAAAATCAGGGGAAGAGTAATAGAGAAATTCAGAAAGGCAGGGAATGTATGGAAACCAGCCTGAGGAGGCAGTTTCTCTGACCACTGGAGGCTGTCAGGCTTCTAGGTGTTGATCAGAACATTTCGTTGAGGTGTCTGCAGCTAAGTGAGAAGGGGTCTTGAATGCTGGCCTGAGGAGTTTGGATTTTAGGTAGGAATCATCTGCATCCCTGTGCAGTCAGGCTTTCTCTGGGTGTTGCCCAGCTGTATACCACAGACTGAGGGGCTGGCCCTCTTCTTGTCCTCTTTGGTACTCACGTTGGACAAAGCTCATGGTCTTGTTCCAAAGATGAGTTTTCAGCAAAATGTGTATCATCTACTATGCTCTATTAGTTAGGTTCAGATCACCAAAGAATGAGAAAAACTCCTGGGACACTTCACATGGACCGTTATCTGAATTATCTGACTACAAAGTAAATGGCCATTCTTCCTAAGAGATGAATTGGTACCCAAGGACAGAGGTGTCATTTTCTCCCAGCTCAGGAGGCTAATTGTGTTTGCTTCGTGCTCTGGACAGATATGTCATGACCTCGTAAAATTCTTTTTGAATGTTCTGAGTTTTTATAAATTTTTAATGTTTTGTTGGTGTTTTATTTTTATTATTTTTGGCCAGTTCCTGCTACAATCTTTGAACCAGTTTCTCCTATAAAAGAGGCTCCAGGGACAACATTCGGTAATGCCACTTTTTGATCTTCAGCAAGTGCTTTTTCTGCTCACTGTCAAGCTTATTCCACTGTATATTGCCATTCAATTACATTTTTGGTTTTGTAACGGTTGAACATGCATAAAACAAGTTGCCTCTTGCTCATAAGAGAGCTACATCTGAATCTAGTTTGGGATCTTTCCTGGTCTGTAACTTAAAATGTTTATCATATCATTTTGTTTTTGGCTTAACCAGAGTTCTCTATTAAGGGAGATTTGACATATTCTCGCGAGGTTCTGACCTGATCTACGCTAACCAGGCTGTAACACAGAAGTTTCTTAATATATCCCTTATACACCTCCCTTTTTATTTTTTTCCTTTTTTGGGGGTTTATATTTTTGTTTGTTTTTTTATCCCACTTGCAGCCATTCCCAAACATCTACCTTTTTAATCTGCCTGTTATTTTTGTTATTTTGTTAATGTATGAGTAATATTTTTAGTGAATTAATCAACAGATAATGTGATCAAGGCTAGTAGATTTAAATAATAAACTGTATCCTTAGTATAAATTGCATTCCCCCTAGTCTCCATCATAATCTGGATGATTTATAACCTTTTTAATCCAGGCGGGGCACTCTACAGAATGTGATAAACATATTAATCCTAAGTATCTGAATTAATAAATTTATTTAATCTGTCAAATTTGCATCTTTGCAAATTTGTTATTGAAGTATCTTAAATAACAGAAGAAGATAAAGTATAGTAGGAGCAAAATTTTTGCATTAGAAAGATATATTTTCTGAAGTTCAGGAAAATCTACCAAGCTTTGGAAAAGCTAAAGATTTTTTTTAAGTCTATGATGTGCAGAAGCATAAGATTTAAAATAACTAAAGGTTATCTTTTTCTACCTCCAAAAACCTTCCATTGAACATATCATGCACAGCACAAACTTAATACCACTCCTTGTCTGGCTACTCTTGAGACTATACCAGATAAGTGTAGGGTCTTTGGTTTATGGAGCTTAGGAGCCTGTCACTGATAGAAATAATAGACTCACATACCCCTTAGTGAGGGCGTCCAGAGGGTTGTTACCCCCTCATGGTTGACAAGGAGTCAGTTTAGAAGAGACCTGCAGGATCTTCCCTTTTTGTAGTAGAAGACATGTTTTACTTCGCAGTGTGCAGGCTAGTTGAACACAAAAACTTCCCACGCGAAAAGCCTAGAGAATGAGAATAAGCCAGGGTGTTTTTGCAAATTAAAGATTTTTCTTGGGAATATAAATGTTAAGTGTTAGACTTATTGTAGGGTCTTAAAGTAAAAAATGAATTTGGGTTTCAACAGAGCCAGGAAAGAATTTGGGTCTTGAAGTCACATCACAATTTGCACAAATAGGAAGGTAAGAATGAACAAAGATAAAAAAATTGGATATAAATAGAGGCGACCAGAAAGGGCAGAGATCCTGCTTCTAGGGTCAGCCAAAACATTTTTGTTGATAATTCTGCATTTGGATGACACCGTGGAAAGTGGACGGAGGGCTTGAATGTCTCATTCATTGAGTCTGACATTGTTCTCATGAGCATCAAAAGTCTTTCTTCCACACTAGATCATGTTTTCCCTCTGCTAAGTGTAGACAATAATTTACTGGATGCCACAGACTGAGTGGCCACCCCTTACCCAGCCTCTTGAGTGCTTTTGTTTGGACAGAAGTGAAAAGTTCTTTCCAAAGTGGAGTTCCCAGCAAGATCATCAGTCATTTTTAGTTATTTGTGTGATGACCATTTGGATATTTCATCACTTTTTCTGCAACCATAATTTGATAAACATATAGTACATGTTTTCTTTATTCAGCATCACTAAAGTGCAAATTAGTTTTTCACGTGCTTCTTGAGAATTATTAGAAACATATTTAAGTAAATGCCTTAAAACATCCTAAAGTCTTCCATATTATATTCAGATAAACACCATAACTACAGGAATTGTTTGCCTCATGTAGTGCTAAACAGAGACCAAAGATGATGACCATCTCATGAGATGGTGTACTTGATATAGTTCAGCCAAGTCTAGACAAAAAAAATTAATTTCCATTTGAAAAAGAGCTGCCATTACAAAGCAGTATAAATTAGGTGGCTTAAATAACAGAAGTCTATTTCTCACAACTCTGGAGGCTGGAAGTCCAAGATCAATGTGTCTGCAAGTGTGGTTTCTCTTGAGGCCTCTCTCCTTGTCTTGCAGATGGCCACCTTCTCACTGTATCCTCACATGGCCTTTCCTCTGTGTGTGCAGCTCATGTCTCTCTTTCATATGAGTCCATCAGTCCTGTTGAAGTAGAGTTCTACCTTTATGACCTCATTTAACCTTAATTATCTCTTTAAAGGTCTCACTATGAGGATTAGGGCTTTGACATATGAATTTGATATGTTGGGGGTGAGGGGTGGAAATATAATTCAGTCCTAATGCCCTTCCCAGAAATGTTTAATTATCCTAGAGGCAGTGTTACACAAGCAAGATACGTTTTGATGTGAATACTATAGCTCCCACACATTTTTTACCATCTCTTTTGTTTATCTTATTACTTCAGTTCCTGTTACAGACCTCGAGCCTGTTACTTTTAGAACTGAGATCCCTGCAACAACCTTAGGTAACGACCCTACAATTACCTGGCTGTTTGCCAAGTGCTTTTGCTGCTTGTTGTACAGTCCATTCAGTCTTCATCCCTATAACATGGCATGTCTTCCTCTACAAAATAGCAAACATCACTGCCTGTGACCATTCAACTATTTCTATCATCTGAAGAATACTGAAGCCTCCTAAAAACAAGTTTCCTGCTGTTTTTATGAGAGCCAGGCATGAGCTTAACTCAAAATATTTACCTGCCATGTGGCACATTTGAAATTATCATGTCATCCTGTGCTTCATTTGCCGAGTTCTATATTAACATTGAGTTTAAAACAAATTGGGATCTATTTCTTATCTAAGCTGATTGGCAATAACGGCTATTCTTACTTTCCTTTGCACATCTGAGTTTCTAGATTTAAAAAAAAAAAAATGCCCAGTATGTTTCTTTCTTTATTAGTGCTTTAAGTAATGTTGTCTTATTACTAGTTTGACAACTAGGGAATTACTGAAGTCTGAAATCTTAAGTTATAAGCCTCTTCCTTAATGTGACTCTAACTTCCTATCCCTTCTCATTGAGTACTCTGCCCCAATCATTTTTTTCCCCCAGCAAGGAAGTTCTATAAGTTTCTCAATACAAGTGCTAATCTTCACTCCTTGAGTGAGCAACTCGACTGTATACATGAATTTGCCTGAAAAGTACCATCAATGATAAAATGACGCATCGTTATAAAAGGAATGAAAAAGTAAAACTAAAAACAACTAAAGTTTCTGGAACTATAGGAGATCTGACAAGCTTTGGAAAAACCTTTCCTCAGTATCCAGAATCATAAGACCTAGAGTAACACAAGGCTTTTTCTTCCTTCAGCTACCAAAACATCAAAAAGAACCCGCCCTCCACGTCCCAGACCTAAAACTACACCGAGCCCTCAGGCACCTGAGACCAAACCTGGTAAATCTGTGATTCCTTGGTTTAAGGGTGATCCCTGGCAGCCTGTCGCAGTGGGGACTGAAGCAGTGTCAATGCTGAGCAGCAACAGGTCTTATTCTCCCTAAGCACGAGGGCATAAGGCATCATCAGTACCATCTCCTCTGCTCAGCTTTCAAGGAGAATAATGTGTGGGTGAGACCCAACTGATGCCAGCATATCTTATTATTTCTATGTGAGACTTTTCTTTGAAACCACATAGTTAGTATATTTCTTACTGTCAAATTCCATTCACATCTTAAAGGTAGAACTTCTTTAGCAGAGCCAACATATTCAGTTCAAGAAAACATAATCGTAAGTGCCTTGCATATTCCCGTTCCCATGCTGGCAACCATGGGTGATATGTCAGCTTTAGGAGAGTTATTTTACTGCAGAAAGCGTGGAGTTGAAGATATGTTTGCCTGACACAAATATAAAGCAATGATCTTTGTGTTTTATCTCAAAAGATAAGATCGAGGTGGGCTGGACTTGGACCTTGGGCCCACTGAGGATTTGGATGAATGGAGGGAAGAATGAACTAGGGCAGAAGGACCACATGTGTTGGGTCAGCTAGAAAGGCAGTCCAGTCTAGATGGACTCCTTCTAGATGGTCATATACGACTGTTGATGATGGTGCATTTGGAAGGGTACATCAAGCCAGATGAAGAAGGATTTTGAGGACCTGATTCAGAAGCTTAGATTTGATACAGAGACATCAAAAGTCTTTGATTTCCACTTATTCTGGGCTGAGGGCAGACAGATGCTCTACCGATTATTACAGGCTGAGTGACCACCCTGTTCTCTTAGGTGTCATGGTTTGGACAGAGGTCTCAAACTCTGTGTATAGATGAGTTCTTGGCAAGATGAACATAGTCCACTTCAATGATTACTTTTTTATGTCGGTATCAAACATATGAACTGTCTCTTGTATCCATGTTTACTTATATGTAATAAGCGCTAATATTCAGAAGTACAGAGTAATTGTATCTTTTAAGACAATTTCTAAGTATATGTGAGATAAATGCATTAAAATGTTTTCCAGTGCAGTTTTCCATATCAGAATTCATTAGTTAAAAACATAATAGAATTTCATGTTGACTTCTTTAACATACTCAAGATAGTTCAACAGCTAAGCCTGAGACTCACCATGCCTATAGTTTGGCCAAATCATCAATGAACAAACACACATTCTTTCCTTCAGTTAAGAAGTTAATTTTTTTTTTGTTTCTCTGGAAGAATTGACATACCAGTAAAATTTGTTTGCATGTGAGTGTTCTAACTTCTCATATGTTTAAAAATCTCTTTGATTTACATGTTGTTTTGGTCAGTTCCTGCTACAGTCCTAGAACCTGTCACTCTTAGACCTGAGGCCTCAACAACATTAGGTAACGTTGATACAGTGTTTTCGACAAGCTTCTTTTGCTTATTGTCAAACCTAGAGTTTCAATTTGTTTCTTGAGACAACAGTGTCATTCTTGATGGCCATTCAACTCTTCTTGAAATTATAAGACTCTTAACTGTTGTTTTTAAGAGAAGCAGTCATGCATGAATCTACTTGAGGACGTTTATATGCCATATAATCTGCTTGAAATTGTCATGTTATTCTGTGTTTTGTTTAAACAGTGTTTGTGATAAAGCTATGTTTCAAACATATTAGTGGGTTTCTAACTCCTTCCTGGACAGATAAGGCTATTAACTCTCATAAAGCCAGAGAACCCATTGTACATCTGAATTTTTACCCTTTTTTCTATTTGCATAGATATTTATTGTTTTGTCTCTAATAAGGTCATAATATGTTCAGATTTTAAGAGCTCTATAGAATATGTGCCAAAAATTGAAAGAGTAAGTTGTAAATCTCAGATTTAGTGGAACTGTCCTTCATTATCCATTAAAATTTGGCAATAGTACTTAACCTTTTTGGTACCCAGTAAAGCTACCCTATGAGATTTTCATTAAAATTTCTAATCTTTATTTCTCAAATTAAAAAGTGATTTTTGTCTTAAGGAGCTTTCTATGATAAAAGATCTATAAGGAGGAATGCATGTGACAAAAATCTCGAACTAAAAGGCAAATATCTATCAAGCAGTAGAGTCATGTTTTTTTACCTCACACAGCTTCCAGAATCATAGATAATGCAGTTATGTTGTAACCCAAGAACTTCTTCCTTCAGCTTCCAAAACATCACAACGGACACGTCGTCCACGTCTCAGAACAAAAACCACACCACGTCCTGAAGCACCTGAATCCAAACCAGGTAAACTATGTGTTCCTGGTTTAAAGAGTCCCTGCAGCCTAAGCCAGTAGGGTCTCAAGAGTAATCCCAGTGGTTGGGAGTAACCAATAGGCCCCTGTGAGAGGGAAGCTACAACTCATGGTTAGCAGCAGATCCCACTGTGAAGATGTAAGAGAAACACTGTTAGGAGATCTGTGGAGCAACTGTGAATGCCTCATGCTTCCTTTGTGCAGTCTTTTCTGGCACTGTGCATTTTATTAACTTCCATTTATCTCTTAAAAATAAAACTTCTTTAGAAAAATTAGACATATTCAGCTCAAGTCAACAAACATTAAGTGCCTTAGATATCCTCCCAATCATATTAGCACATTTGGGGTATACATCAGATGTCAGAGATGCATTTTGATCCTCAAACCTGTAAGACAGTTGAGAACAGAAGCCTTTCCTTTGTAAATAAAGTAAAAGATGGTATGGGGCAGTATCTGTGCAAATACAAGACTGGTTTTGGAGTGCTATCAACAAGATGTGCTTGGTGTGTAAATATTTGGATCAGGGAAATATAGATTAAGGAGAAATAGAGCCTTGAAATCACCAAGGCACAGGGATGAGTAGAAGGGTGGGAAGAATAAAATCAAAAGGAAAAGACACAAGTAGAGACCAACCAGAGGAGACAGTCTAACTGGACAACTGATATAAAGATGTCTTACTTTGCTGGGCGCAGTGGCTCACACCTGTAATCCTAGCACTTTGGGAGGCAGAGGCGGGTGGATCATGAGGTCAGGAGTTCAAGACCAGCCTGGCCAAGATGGTGAAACCCTGTCTCTACTAAAAATACAAAAATTAGCTGGGCATGGTGGTGGGTGCCTGTAATCCCAGCTACTCAGGAGGCTGGGGCAGAGAATTGCTTGAACCCCAGGAGGTGGAGGTTGCAGTGAGCCGAGATCGCGCCACTGCACTCCAGCCTTGGTGACAGAGCAAGACTCCATCTCAAAAAAAAAAAAAAAAAAAAAAAGTCTTACTTCAAGATGACAGGCAAATCCCTTCTGAATCTCACTAGGACCATGGATACCCATGGCGGAGATGCCTAGGTCCTTGATGGAGCAGTTGAGATTTGATCTGGTAGACATCAGCAAGCTGTTCTTTCCACATGAAGGCATGTTCTTTCTTTGCTCAGAATGGAGGAATATCCTACTCAATTCATCATGCTAAGGCCTCCGTCTCTTTCCAAAGATGAGTTCTTAGCAATACCTACATAGTCCATTTTGTATTATTAATTAGATAACCAGAGAATGAGGAATAAGGAAATAGGTACCTGAGTTAGGTATAGTCAAATTTTAGGAAATCAACTGTCTACTTTTTTAGTTTTAACAGTTTTTAAAGGTTGCTATATAATTCTATAAGCTGTATTATACTAGTAAGACTCATTTTTGAAGAAAAGTTTTGAGTTTACATTCATTTAAAATAATCATTTGGTTAATTTTAATGCTTTTGATCAGTTCCTACTGCGGAGCTCAAACCTGTTACACTCAGAACTGAGACTTGGGTGACAACACAAGGTAATAGCACGTTGCAATCCTCATTAAGTGTTCTTCCTTCTCATCGTCAAACCCATTCCATCATCATAGCCGCAGATTCTTATGCTTTTCAAGACTACATCATCATTCTCTGTTTCATTCCATCATATTCTTCATCCTAAAAGTATTGAAAATTCTGACTCTTAAATCACCCTTTGTTTTTAAAAGAGCCATGCATGAACCTAACTCAGTCTATGTTTTGGCTATGTAACCATCTGAAATTATTTTGTCATCCAGTGTGTTTTTTAACCAATTTTTTTGTTAAAGGTGACTTTAAAATGCAGTTTTCTTGATTCTAACATGATTGTGATACCAGAGAGTTTCTTTATGAATCTAAAGTTCTATTTACTCATTTATTTTTGCTATCTATGTGATATTCTCTGATTGACATTTTCATTAATTATGTGGTCTTATTTTACTAATTGTCAAAGAACTTATAACTGACCACCACCACTATATTTTAGCAGTGACTCTTGACCTTTTTATTTGGTGAGTCCTATTGACTATTCTTCACTTCTTAATTTAGCAATTTCATTTTAGAATGTGACACTTCCTCCCAATCAACTTTCTTCAATTGTAATAGTGAATGTTTCTAATTAAAAAGTTAAAAAGACAAATTTCCTGAAATATGAGAAAATCTAGTAAGTTTTAAGAGATCTCAAACCGTATGTCATGCTACTCATAGCTTCGGAGCTACGGACTCTGTAGTAACTAAAGGTTTTCTTTCTTCAGCTCCTAAAACATCACAACGAACTCGTCGTCCACGTCCCAAAACTAAAACCACACCAAGTCCTGAGGTTCCTCAAACCAAACTGGGTAAATTTGGGTTTCTGGTTAAAGTAGCTCATCCTAGCTGCTCTCAGGAATTTATAACTGATGCCAATGATGGGAGTGATGGCCTGTGTGAGTACCATGTGGATGAAGGCACAAAAGATGTGCTACTGCTCCCCCTGTTGAGTTAGCAAAGGAGAACACAGTTGGGATAGATCTTTGTGGCAGGTGAATTCCTTGCATTTTCTGCATATAGGTCTGTCTCTTACTGTGTATCTTATTTACTAATTCTTTCTTTTTTTTTTTTTTTTTTTTTTGAGACGGAGTCTTACTCTGTTGCCCCGGCTGGAGTGCAGTGGCACGATCTCAGCTCACTGCAACCTCCACCTCCCGGTTCAAGCAATTCTCCTGCCTCAGCCTCCTGAGTAGCTGGGATTGCAGGCGCGTGCCACCACACCCAGCTAATTTTTGTATTTTCAGTAGAGACGGGTTTCACCATGTTAGTCAGACTGGTCTCAAACTCCTGACCTTGTTATCTGCTTGCCTCAGCCTCCCAAAGTGCTGGGATTACAGGTGTAAGCCACCACGCCCGGCCTCTTATTTACTACTTTTTATTTCATTCAATTGTCCTCATAAATACAAAAATGCATTAAATAGAACCAGGCATTTTTATTTCTAGAAAAAAAATTAAGTGCCTTCTATCTTCCCACAGCCACATCAACAACTGTGAGGCTATCACAGGAGGAGGAAGCTTGTTTTTCACATCTTACTCTGTAGTATAGTCAAGATCAAAACCTGTCCCAGTATGAAACATTCAAAGATTGAAGCAAGGGAGTGTATCTGGGTAAATTGAACTTGTTTTGAGGGGTGCTATACACATCTAAAAGCTTAGAAAAAGAAAATGTTATGAAGAATAAGAATAAATAATTGGAAAGAAGTTGGGTCTTAAAATCTTAAAGATGAAGAGAGTCAGACAGGAAGAGTAGAGGCAAGTCAGAGGGCACATGCTTCCTGAAACACACAGGATTCGGCTTCTAAGTAGTGATGACAGCTGAATTTGGAAGGGTTTATAAGAGCAGTTGAAGAAAGTCCTTGAAGATATGACTCGGAAGTTTGCATCTGACCCAAGAAGCATCACCCATCTAGGGTCCTGCACTTTTATGATTAGAGAGTAGAGAGCTACTCTGCATGTTTGTCCCTTATCCTGATTTGCTGAGTGCCTTTACTGCAAATGAAATCTCAGCCTATGATTCACTTTGCTTTATTCTTTGCTATGTCTTCTCTCAAACAGGCTGTTGACTGTATTCGTGCTCATTTAGACACACTGTTAAAGCTTCCACAAACATGCCAACAGTTACTAGGACAGTTAAATAAGTATATATTTGGCAAAATGTCTGAATAAGCTTCTAGGGCAGTCTTCTACAATAGTTGGAACTAAGTACTCAGACACCTAGGAGAATATTACATGGGCTTTATTGAGATGTGTGCCAAATTGTGTAGGCTGTGACTAAGTGCCTTTTAAAAAAATTGTTTATCTGGCTATAAGATGGCCAAGTCTTCAAATAACAAGTATCAAGTTTCAGAAAATTTCTTAAAATTGCTATATACTGATTGAAGCAGTATTATAATGGAAAGATATAATTTACTGGCTTTTCACAAGTTTATTTCATTGCTTTTAATTAGTTCCTTCTACAGATCTTGAACCTGGTACTCTCAGAACTGAAGCTCCAAAAACCATGGGTAATGAGAATGTGTGTCCTTCAAATAGTGCTTTTCCTGCTTATTGTCATACCACTGTAGTCAGTTTCTTCTTCATCATAAGACCATCCTGTCATTCTTTGTCATCATTCCATTATAGTCTTTATCTTGAAATTATGCTAGGCTCTGTGTCACATTATCAGCTGAATTTGAGAGAACTGTGCATGAACTAATATCAGGACATCAAACTGCTTTTAACCGTTCAATGTGTCATGCGATCATGTGCATTCGTTTAAAGAGCATTGACCATTTTAAGCTGCATTTCAAGCACGAATCTCTATCCCTTATTTATGCTGCTTATTCCTCATCAATTGTAGGGAAGCACAGTGTTTCTTTGCTCATATTATTTTTCATTTTATTAGGATCTGTGTAACATTGATTTTTTTGTTTCAAGGAATGATGTTTTTAGTAAATTGTCAAATTGTAAAATGTACGTAAGTCTTGAAAGTTTTAATGAGAGGCTTCCATAATAGGATAGACTGACTCTTTATTCATCTCTATTAAGATTTAACAGTTTCTTAACTTTTACTGAATCAAGGAATACTTTGAGATTTTGATAAGCACAGTTTATTAATTACATGGTGTTCTTTATGCTTTCATACATATGAACTCTTTATTGTATCCATAGTTACTTAGACAGTAGTTAACAAGATATTTATCCCAACTTCTATAGAAGTGCAAGTAGACTGATAAACGCCTTTTTCAATACAGTTAGAAAAGCATATATTATGCAAATGTGTAAAAAGCTTGTCCAACAATCTTCCACTAATGTGTAGCAAGAATCAGATAATCAAACATCTAGGAGAATGTTTTGTTGACCACATAGTGATATTAAGCTGAGTGCAATGCTGTCTTGCAAATCTGTCTTATGAGACTAATGGGTACCTGACCATGGTTTGGCCAAATCTGCAAAAAACAAGCCTTACTTTTAAGTTCTGAAGCTTAAAAATTGAACTGTGAAATTAATATTCAAGTTAAATCTTTTTGCTTTATTTTATTATTTTTGTCTAGTTGTTACTACAGTCCTTGAACCTGACACTTTTAGAACCAAGTTTCCAGAAACAACGTTAGGTAATGATATTCTGTGTTCCTGAATAACTTTTTCCTCCTTATTTTCAAATCCATTCCATCATTATCATAATCACATTGTCATCAGCTTTGTAGGACTATCTTGTCATCTTCTGCTATCCTTCAACTTTATATTGTCCTTCAACTTTATATTTGAGTATTAGTGATCCTTAGAAGTTACCTATTATTTTCAAAAGCTATGCATGGACCTAGTTCAGAGTCTACCATGTAATCTTATTTGAATTTGTGTCATGTACTTTTGTCTAAACAGCATTCATGTCACTCATGTCTGAAGCTAAATTTCAAACACAGTTGCTGGTGGCTATATCATATCTAAACTGACTAAACTCTAACAGTTCTTATGGTATCATGGATTCTTTGGCATACTCAAAAGATTTAGTGTGAGCCTGAGACTCTATCATCCAGAGTTTGGCTCTAGTGTTTCTGAAGTTAAAGATGTATGAGTCTCTTCACTTTTCAACTTGATTTTATATGTAAGTTTTCTCTCTCAAGAATCTTCAGTGATTAAGAAAATTAACAAAATAGAAAATATTTTAATCTTAAAAGACATATGACTTAAATCTCAAGGAAATATGACATACCTTTAAAAACCTAAAGTTTTGTCTCCAAAGCCACCTGCACTAGAGTAATCCAAAGTTTCTTCCTTCAGCTCCTAAAACACAACGGACACGTCGTCCCCGTCCCAGACCCAAAACTACATCAAGTCCTGAAGTACCTCAGAACAAATCGGGTAAATGTATGAATCCTTGGCTTAAGTAGCCAAGGAACCTGAACCCTGGCAGGCTGTCCCAATAAAGTCCTAAAGAAATGCCTATGACGGGAAGTAACAGTCATCATGTTTTCTAAGAATCAAATTATTTAACATGGGTAGCAACTGCTTCTCGTACAGAGCTATCCAGGAGAACATGGCTTGGAGCCACTTGTGTGCCTGATCTCCTAAATGACTTGGTTTGGATGACGTTCTTGGTCCCTCTTTAAAGATGTGTTTACAGCGAGATTAGCATACTCATGGGTATTTATTGCTATATCTGCATTGAAACATGTGATCCATTTGTTATGATTACATAAACAGGCATTTATTTTCAACTTCCAAGAAAAGCAACAAGTTACTTTCATATATATTTCTCTCTGTATTTTCGTATCTGTTGCCTAAACAAATTTCCAAAGCCAAATATCCATACTAGTTAGAAAACCAAATACCTAGGAAAACCTCATGTGGATAATATCAAGATATGTAACAGAGTTCAAAGGTTGTAACTACCTTCTTTGATGAATTGTTCTAGCTAGTGTGGCCAAATCTTCCAAAAGCAACTATATGCTGCCTATCAATTCAAAAGTTTTAAAAAATTGTGTATCATTTGAAACTCATGTTTTAAAATAAAAATTGAGGATTTTTTTTAAAAAGTCTTTAAGCTTTCTTGTATTCATGTTGTTGCTTTTGGTTAGTTTCTGTTACAGGCTTTGAACCTGTTGTTCATAGTACTGATGCTCCAGGAACAACATTTGGTAATGATTTTTGTGACTTGCATTAAATGCTTTTTATTGCCATTTAAAAACGCACTTGAGCACTGTCATGACCAGAGTTGCTTCTGCTTCCTAAGACGCTGTTATTCCATTCTACACTTCATTTTAAAATAGTCAGCAGTTTTAATTCAAGTGTTACCTGTTGTTTTTCGCAGATGTCCCTGGACCCAGTGAAGGACAGCTGTCCAGCATGAAACTCTCTTTAAATTTGCACCATATGATTCAGTGTTAAATCTGAGGTCCAAATTGGTATTTAGTATTTATAGATCTAAATACCCTTCCATTTGGTATTTAGATCTATAAAGCAACAATTAAGTACCATGAACTCCCTTTGAGTAACTTAGTTTCTATAAAACCTGTGTCTTAGTCTCATTATTTTCTTCCTATTTTAAGGAATAAGGTGTCCCTATTACATTAAAATAGATTTCCCTGAAAGTTCCAGGCTCCTCAATCATTGATAAGCTTGACCACTGTTCTTCACTACTGTTTAGTAATGGCTCTTAATCTTCGCTAAGTAGGAATCCCTCTGAATATCTATGCATGTTCAATATTTATTCCTTTAATCACTTCATATGTGATTTTGGTCTCTAAAGGAACCCTTAGTGATGATCAGAAACAAAGTAATTTTTTTTAATTTAGGAAATAAACTCAAGAAAATCTAACATGTTTTAGAAAACATAAGTCTACATACAATGCTTTCAATGATTTCTAGACCTACAAACACTATAGCAACCTAAGATCATCATCTTTTAGTTTCAAAGACATAAAGGAGGATGAATAGGGGTTATTCCATCCCTCAGACCTTAAACTCCCTAAACCCTCTCAGTTGAAATAACGAAAATCTATGGCTTAGGTTTTAGAAGGTTTAAGGAGTCTTAGCCCATTGCACTTGAATCACAGGTATGACAATAAGCTTGAATATCATTTCTGTGCCTTCTGAGAGAAAAGGCACTTACAGTGGTCAACAGCTTGACAATTACAGGGCTCATTATTAGATTCATAGCTGAGGGAGATCTATCCAGTGGCTAAATTCATCGTGTGCCCTACATAAGGACTGTATCTAACAAAGGATCGATCTTATACAGTTCTTATTCCATTTCATTCATCTCTTTCTCAATGGTGCTGCTACTTTTGCTTAAGAAGACAATCATTTCCTCATTCTTTGTGTACCCAACACCATATTAACAGTTGAGTGGGGTGGAATAAGGAACAGAGGTAGAAACCAAAAGAAAGGACACATTTTACCTCTTAAAGTACAAAGTAATCATGAAGAAACCCTAAGGTTTTCTTAGATACAGTTTTCTAGATATAGAGCAATTTCCTCCTATGAGAGTTCTTGTTTAATTGAGTAGTAAAAACAAAATATTTACAGGAGTCAAGGAACGATGTGGGCTGATGACAGAGAGTAGTTGGACTTTGAAATAATTATAGGATTTGGATTAGAGGGTGGAAGGGTGGGAACAGCACAAATAAAACAAGTATCAATACTTGTCAATGGTGGCTAAGGGGATGGTGAAACTAAAATATAGAACAAAACACTCCTAGATGATATTCAACATTTTGTTAATATTACTGTCATGAAATCAGCTATAGGCAGCTCTTAGCTCTTGTAGGAACTGAGATTCAGATACAATAGTCCATGAGAACTTAATTTTCCAAATAGGCTCCTGCTTTTTCAGAAGGACATTTTGAATCAGGAGTCAGCAATTTTTTTTTTTCTGTGAAAAGTTAAGCAATAACTATTTTAGAATTTGTGGGCTGTTCAGTTTCTGTTATAGCTACTCAATTCTGCTGTTTTAGCTTGAAGGCAACCAAAGCTGATTCATGAATATGCCCTGAACAATTTTAGTTCATTCTATGGCTATGTTCCAATAAAACTTTATTTGAATTTCATGCCATTTTCACGTGTCATGAAATACCACTTTTCATTTTTTCCCATCGCTTAAAAAAAATGTGAGAATCATTATTGGCCCACTGGCTAGACTTGGAAGGGCTATAGTTTGCTGACCTCTGCTTTAAATAGGGCACATTCTGTATGGCTCTCCATAACCTCATGATTTTCAGGGTCTGTGTATTTTATTTCACTGCTACCTCTGTCTAAAACCTATGAAATAAATAACTGAAAATTACTCTTACAATTGAGACCCTCTTCTTTCAGCTCTGACTGAACTGCAAACTCTTATTTTGAAACCAGTGACATCACCAAGCCTAGAAATGACAGAAAGTCAACCTGGTAAATAGATTGTTTTATCTGTCTGGGTATACTGTGTGCTTTAAGAGGCATACTGTAATTCTCTAAGTTATATTTCCAAAGATAAAAAATGAAAAAGGAATATACATTAATAACTGTAAATATTGCACAATGCTCTTTTTTGTGATTCCATATTGTTAAATTAGTAATACATTAATATTACTATTTGAATGTATAAAAATACTTTTCAATGCATTTGTATCATTCTAGAAAATAACCACATATCTGATTAAGTGGTTGACAAACCACTTAGAAGAACTGATTTTATTATTTATCCTTATTTTTTCAACAGTTACAAGTTTGTGGCTCTCTTTAATAGTAAATTAAATTTGTGCTAAAAGAACACTAGTTCAATTGTGACCATCAAGGAAGGAGAAATTTCTCACTTCAGTAAAAATAATAAAATTTCCACAAAAATAATGTGAACCCTTTAAAACATACTGCCCTTCAAGCTTGTAAATAGGCCAGGCATAGTGGCTCACACCTGTAATCCCAACACTTTGGTAGGCCAAGGCTGATGGGTTGCTTGAGCTCAGAATTTTATGACCAGCCTTGGCAACATGGCAAAACCCCAACTCTACAAAAGATACAAAAATTAGCTGGGCATAGTGGTGCATGCCTGTAGTCCCAGTTACTTAGGAGGCTCAGGTAGGAGGATCGCTTGAGCCCAGGAGGTCAAGACTGCAGTGAGCCATGTTCATGCCACCCTACTCCATCTGGTTGACAAAGCCAGACCCTGTCTGGGGAAAAAAAAATGGATGCAAATTTTAAAAGTCAGTATTAGTAATGTTGTTGCTACTTCCTGACATTTATTTTAAAACACTGGATCCTATATTTTTCTTCCGTAGGACTGTAATTTCTTTCCATCTCTTATGAGTATCTTTTAATTAGATAAATGACATTTTGGTACTCATGTTGAATGTACAAAGTAGGTTGTTAATGGTAACGTACAGTAGTTATCATGTTGTGAATTCAGTTCAGTTATGAGAGCTTCCCTTAGTGTTAATAATGTTGTTACCCTATAACAGTTAACATTGAACACTTACTGGATGCAAAGCACTTTTATAAATACTTACAACCTATCCTTTATCAATTGTACCATTTTCTGTTTTTTACTAGTTTCTGATGTTCTGGAATCGGTTACACTTAGTACTGAGTCACCAAAGGAGACCATAGGTAAAAATGTTCCCCAATGGGAAGTCAAGCATATGTGCTTTTCCATCTCATTGCAAAGTCATCTCTGGATGTCCTCATGCTTTGTGACATTTCATAGCCACTTGCTCCTCACAGCTTGTCTGTGCTCATCCAGTGGGTCTTGAATGTCATTGTATACAGCACATTGTGTTCACATCTGCTGTATTGCTATGCAAGTTTCATAATTTCCTTATTCTCACTCGAAACGAAAATTTTAACCTTTTCTGATTGCTCTTTCAATATGAATATGTACAACCTACTTTTCATTTTCATATCACTTTTAGGATTCATCCCGTGCTTTTGCTCTCCAAGTACTCATTCTATGTGTGTTTCTAACTGGAATTCTTATACGAAAAAAAAAATGAAAATGGAATTATCTGCTTTGTTCCAGGTAGAAGTGCTGTTGACTCTGCCACACATTATGTATGGGGTGTGCATGTTTCCCACATAGCACACTGCCTTCATTTCCTGCTTTCATTTCTGCCCTCCTAAATTGTGGTCATCTTCATAATCTACCTAAATGTTAATTATTCTCAAGAATATATCTGCTTAAGATAGCTCAATTCTATTTTTAAATTAAATGCAGGGTTCTATTACAGTGTGCTTTGGGTTGGCCACCACTAACCAGCCATTCCCGTTTCTTCCCTAGCACCAGCCAAAACAGACTATGTATATCCCACTGCCAAAGCACCACTCTGGCCAGAGGAGCCAAAGACTGAAGGTAGCAAAGGTTTTAATGCTTTGATTCATTTATTCCACACATTTTAAATTAACATCAGTTACATCCACGGAATATGAAAGTTCAAGCTGTGGTACTTGATTCACAATTAAACAGATTTGAAGGAGCTACAGCTTCCAACATTCTTGAATTCTTAAAGTGATAATTGACTCTCTCTGAATACAGAAATAAATTTGTCTTTCTCTGCTGAAGTCTAAAGGTTGAGGCGTAATAACATTTGAAACCCAGTTAATGACAATTAAAACATAAATATTAATTGGAGGATTAGTATTATAGAATAGGATTTTTCTCCCAATTCTTTTTTCCTGTCTAAATCCATTGTCCTGTCTGTAAAATTATGATGCAAATTATTAATAAAATTTGATATTCAAAAAAATGCTATAGCTTAATATCTTACAGTTTCTAAAATTTTTCTCCTTTGTTTTGGTACAGTTGTGGAATCTATTACATATGTATCTGAACCACCTGAGACCACACTAGGTAATAACCTCGGTAGCCCAACCCTGGGTGCTCTCTGTCTTCATTGCCACCATCGCCTGAGAACCTCTGGGTCTCTCTCATTGTGAATTCATGTTACACCGTCACTCTTCGCCATGGCAGTTACTTTTCTTTCAAGGTGCTCCTATCCATAACCATTGTCCAAAAATGTCCTTCCTCCCATTCAGTTGTGTAACAAGACTTTGCTTTTTTTCTCTTCATAAGTCAGCAGAACTGTTGAATCTAAAATATTTTCTTCCTAACACTGTACATCCTGCCAGCTTGGCATTGTGTTGAATGTTTCAGATAATGCTTTTTTGGTGCGATGATCCATTTATACTTTCTGACCTAGCAACATACTTTCCATTAACACTTATCCCATCACAGTTATTTATATTTGTGGTTTTCTTCTCCATTCTTTAAGTGAAATTCAGTGCTGCTTAAATGACTCATACTATAATATTTTTAAAATTCCTTTTTCCCTTCATGATTCCTATTGAATATATCTTTGTAGCATTGTTGAGGAGGTAGAGTTCTAATGTGAAATGAGAACTTTAGAAGTACTTTGTAAGCTGCATCTGCAACCATTTTTTTTTAACCAAATGCATTATGAAGGAGTAGGAATGCTGTTTTGCTGCAGACTTGCAATTTTCTTTATTTTAAAAAAATCTATTTGTTACCATCCTGTCTGTTATCTGTACTCAAGGTCTGTCAAGTGCTATAGTAACCCGCGTACTTTCCTTCAATTACCATAGAAACGTCGCCTCTGCCTTCTCAATCTATAACCCTACCCAGCCCAGATGAGCCTCAGACTGAACCTGGTAAATACATTATTTTGTATGTCATATATGAGGTGAGTGTTTGCAGAATGTCAGTATGGTCACCTCAAGATATCAGAGGCCCTGACTTCATCATTCTGCCCACAGACTTTGATGGGTAATCCTACCTGTCTGATGTCCTGCTATCATTGGTAATTACTCAAATGGCAGTGTTGTTCTTTAGGATATGGTTGAAAAATACCTCTCAGCTACTCTGCAAGTGTTTAATTCAGGGAATAGGAATGCTTCTGGGAAGAACATTTATATTCTGTTCTATTTTAAAATATATATATTCTGATTTTAATTCTAATTCATCTCAACTAGTTTTACAAGTTCTATGATCATGTAAAAAGTATATTAAGCTTTCTGATTTGCTTTTGACATTAAAAGAAACCTCCAGAAACAGGTTTGACTGTGCAATCCACATGAAAGGGGGTGTACTGGCCAGTCACCTTGTAGTTATTCAGATATCTTTCTTCTTTCCACTCCTTTCTGCAGTGCTTTGGCCATTTCACTGCATACAAATAAAAAAAATCAAAACAATTATTTTGGCTTATCACAAAGCTTTACATAGTAGTGGAGTTTGAAATGATTGAAAAATAATCAACATGAATAACTAAATATGCTTCTTGTTTTAAAAAGTCCTCTTAATAGCTGTAGGTTTCAATGTAATAGAAGGTTATAAATAAGCCCAAACTTCTGTTTTGATTGGCATTAAACTATTTTTATATGACTCTGTTTCCAAGGGAGATATGGATTTTAAGTTTACTCATTGTCTGCTGAATATCCTACTAGATGTTGCCTATAAACCCTACAGTTTTTTAACTAAAAGAAATCCACATTGACTAAAATAATGAAATCAGTCAGTTATACCTAACTTTTCCAAATTTTGTTCTTAATAACTATAATAATTAATATCATTGGAATGTCTCATTGCAAATACTGCTATTAGTGATTCTTATCTCATTGTGTATCATTTTTCATGGAATTGCTTTATGACATGCCTAACCTTCAGGTGGTCTTTCTTATCCTCTGGCAAAGTAAGTGGCATATCAGTTAGAACCTTAGTAAGTAGGGTAGTTGAGAATCAGAAAATCACGAACTGTGAGAAATGCTGGAATGACAGAATTTTAAGATTGGAAGGGTTCTTTAAAATTGTGTAACTTCTGATGAAGAAACTGAGACCTTAGACCCAGTGATTAGCAAAGGGAGCTCTAAATCCCCAGGTTCCAGGCTTCTAAACCAGGTCATCTCCAACATATATCAGTATTCATCTCTCTACAGGCAAGAAGATTCCACTGAAACCATTGTATACCTTGTATTTTTTCATTTAGTATCAGGAAGAAGATTCTGCAGACTCCTTCAGAAACTTCTGGTGTCAAATAACTCTTATTTTCAGCAAGTTTTTCTTAAGGTGTCTGAAACTACATGACGTTGACCATGTTTCTTCTTACCTTTCTTTATCCCAAACACGTTTTAGTTCAACCAAATGAGGTGTTTCCATAAGCTGCAACCTTGCATCTGATAATTCCTTTCCTTCAGCAGGATAGATTTTTCAATTTTTTTTGGTGAAGAAAAAATTGGTTTTTACACTGATTGTCCTAGAATTTCTTTCGGATTTGCTCAGCAAAGGAATAACTCTCCATAGAAAATATCCTTGGTGTTCAATTTCTCTTCCCTCTCTTCCCCTATATAACCAATAAAATTGTGTTTTGTTTAGTAAGATTAATTTTTCCATTAGCACTTGCTATTAAAATACATTATATATTTGGGCTATAACATGTTAACTTTGTTTTTTATTTAGAAAACATATGTGTCTGCATTTAAAATAGTACAACTAAATATTCTGATAAAATTATATGAACTTATAATAAGGATGAATTCTTGTAATTATGAATTTATTTTCAAACTATTTAGAAGGTATTTGATGTCAATATTTCTGCAATCCCAAGTTTCATTTTGCCAGCTGAACATCTTAGATATCATTTAATGTGACTTTTTGTTTTGTTTTCTGTTATATAAAAAAGTTACCTTCCTATACTTTGCAGATCTTTAGAAGCCTTCATTGTTGAGTATTTAGGTCTTCAATCACTCAGTAAACATCCCTGAGCTTCTAGAGGCTTAGGTACTGTCATTCTTGAAGGGCTCAAGATTTCCGAACCTATATCCTTTCTTTTAGCTCCCAAGCAGACACCACGTGCTCCTCCTAAGCCAAAAACATCACCACGCCCAAGAATCCCACAAACACAACCAGGTAAATATATATTTTACATTTTAGCTTGAAAAGTTTGAGGTTAGTGGGGTTATTCTAGCAAATTGTTCATTAATAGTTATGATAGCAGATTGAGTCTTTAACACTTGTAAAACAAGTCTTCCTCTGTAACCTAATAAATATTTAAATTTCTTTTTGGACTTACTAAAAAAGTACATCATTGGAAGAGCTTATTCCACAAAGCTTCCCTTAATGTTGTGTTATTGAAGATGAGATGGACATGAATGGCATTGCTTAAAAAGAATAGCCTGCCTACTTCGTTTTCCTTCCCCGGCCTGAGACTACACTCCTATCCCTTCCACTATTCCTGAATGTGCTTCCTTCTGCCAATCATCTAATTTGAAATTTTTCTCAATACATGGCCTGACTACAACAAATGTCTGAGGTTCACCCACCCAGGATACCGGCAAAGGAAGCTTCGCGACCACTAATCTAGTCTGGGGAAAGGAAAATGTTTAGCACCATCACATTATGTTTGATCCAGGTAGTGATTCTGGATTCCCACCACAAATATTTCACTCATACCTCAGAATCTCTGTCATTAGGTACTGTCATTCTTGTTTTGCTACAGGGGAAAAGAAAACCCCTGTAGTTTTAGGTGTGGTCTCTAATATCAATTGAGGGAAATTTTACCTATCATTAAATTTTTTCTATGATTTTAAATCTGCCTTATTTAGCATAATTTTAAATATGTTCTAATTACTAAAACTTAGCTATGAAAATAATTTATTCTGATAATAAATATATGAAGGTACCAAGGCAATATTCCCCCAAATAATATGAAATTTTAAATAATAATAATACATTTGAAACATTAACATACTAAAAGTCTGAGAAAATAATGATTAGTGAATAATAATGAATAGGAATAAAAACATCAAAGTTTTAAGAATATACCAAGTTATTAAATAAACCAAGTATATTAAATTTGTTATTATAATAGGAAACTAAAATCTAACGTTAAAAATAGCAGACAAAATTATATGAGAAGAAGCTCTCAGCTTTGGATTTGAGTATAAAGCATAGAACAAAAGTAGAAAACAAATGGGGAGAAGAAACCATGAAAACTTGAATGTTGAACTATAAAAGATGAAAAATACTAAAAATTAAGAGACTTGGGCATGAATCATGGTCAGTAAAAAATGTTTAAGGTAAAGGAGATATGAAGTAATAGGAAAAATTTATTTGCAGTTTTATCTTTTTGAGCTGTACTTTGTACTTACTAAAATGCGGTATAGTAAATCAGGAGCTTGCTCTAATTTTCCATTGTTATACTATAAGTTTCAAATTTATTTCATTTTGACTTAGACTTTTAGCCAACCTTTCTTGACAAGACAGGCTCTTCAGAATAGATAGATTCACATCCTCAGTGAGTTCCACTCTCTAACTCTGAAACCATGGAGTGGCTGCCAGACTGTAATGAGAGAGCCTTCTGATGTCCCGATTGAAGCAACTTCCAGTCCATCAGCATCTCTTGCGGAAAGTAGCTGCAAACCAGATACTTCTGGCTTTGTCAGTGCTACTTAATGTAAGGGAACAATTTGAAAACTGGTCATGAAAAACAAAATGCATTCTACTTATTCTTTTTAAAAGTGGGTAGAATTGGGACCTCCTCATCCCACAAGAATATGATTCTTACGTAATAGTTTCCAGCAATATCCTGGATTTTTATAGTCTTTCAAGGAGGTGTGTATATGTACACATATATATCACAAAATATTTTAAAGACAAATAGTTGAATCCTAATACTTCTTCCCTTATCCTTAACTAGTTCCTGCAAATTTCAAAAAGTCATTTGGACAGGAGAGTGTCCTGTTTATATGCATGATACCAATACAAACTATTGTTGTTGGGCTGTAATATCATCTAACAATAGTATTTACAACTTAAAGCGCAACAAATTTTGTTCATCCACCACCTTTCACAGAATAAGATTCTGTAATTTGGCATGTAACTTTTATTGTTAGTTTTACTGAAAGTGTGTTTATAAATTGGCAACGCTTAAATCTATGTTTGGCATTCAAAGGCAAAATGGGATCTAAAATCTGAAAGAAAGCATAAGGAATATTTTATAAGTCAATAAAGTTTGACTTCTTAGATCCCAGTGTGTATAGGTAATAGCAATATTATTAATTGTATACCTAGAATTTTTTATAACTCAAAATTATGGGTGCTCCTAGATTTCACATGGGCAAACAATGTGAAAATCAGAATATACTCAGATTCTTCAAAACCAAATTTGTGAAGCTCCTTGAGAAGTGGAAAAAAAATTTATAATAGTATAATTTTCACATCATTTTGACATTTCACATTGGATTCTTATAACCATATCTTGAGTTAGGGCAGGTTTATTGTTTCACCTTAAAAAATGAGAAGCAACTTAAAATCTGACCTGCAGAACTGGGATATAGAGATCCCAAGTGTTTAGACCTGTTGATAATGTTTGATCCTCAGCATTTGGTTCAAGTCCTGACTCTGGTACTTAATAACCATAACCTCAAGCAGATTATGTCACACACCCGAATCTCTGTTTCCTCAGCTTTAAAGAGGAGCTAGTAATTCCTTCCTCCCAACATTATGGTGAGACTCAAAGGGTGTAAACTTTATAAAGGCATTTTTGAAATCATAGAATACACTATAATTGTTAGACTTATTTTCCTGGTGTCTATTATATTAGTACCTTATTATTCCCAAGGAACAGTTGTGGAAATCTAATTTTAGTTGTCAGCAAATTCATTTGAAGGTTTCTCTGGAGCCAGAGAAATGCAGGGCGGGTAAGATGTGAACCAACACATTCCATTGCATTGTCCACTTACCACTCTGCTGTTGCCCAAGAGGACTTCAAGCATATCCATGTTCCATAGGATTCCACCCTGACCTCACCGTCTTTACCTACTTTGTCTTTAAGGAAAGACATAAAAATGGGTTTAAGGAGAAGTCAAGCAAACATATCCAGTAAAGAAAAGCTCTCTTACATTCATTCCATTGTCATCTCCTCTGAAATAAAGATTTCTAAAAAGTTGTCATCTTACTCTGACGCTTTGTAATTTGAAATTTTGCAGTTTCTCGGATTTCACTATTATATAATTATCTGGAATTCTAACTAACCTATTTCTAGAGCTTAAGGTTAGGTCTTCTTTCTAACTCCTTCTTCTGTCTTCTCTCTAATGCTTTGTTTTATCAGTGTTCAGGCTACACCTTGACATGTCTTATGTTTTAAGCATGACTGGAAGATGCTGAAACCAAATGACTTACAATATGAGTTCTCTCTTTCAGTTCCTAAGGTGCCCCAGCGTGTTACTGCAAAACCAAAAACGTCACCAAGTCCAGAAGTGTCATACACCACACCTGGTAAATGCTTTATTTCATGTTTAAGCCAAATGCATTCTACTGTCCCACTCTGCTTCAGTGAAACATGAGACTTGGTGGAAGTGAGGTCAATATTTCACTTATGTTTAAATCCCATGTTGTATCATATGTGGTATGATAATTTCAGAAGTTTCATAAGAGTGCCCACTGGTTCATCTAGTAAAGCTGTGATCACAGTCAAAAGGCAGAGAATTATGCCAAGGGTAGAATGTCTTTCCTAGAACTAAAGTTCTCTTATTCCCTGACTTACAAAAAATGCTGCCAATTCTACGCTATGCTCAAATATTTCACTAAACACAAAGATAAAGACTTTTGTTCTCCCCCACAAATGATAAATTAGTGTTTTTACAAATGGAGGCAATGATGTTTAGCCATTTACTTGGATACATAAATTGTACTATGTCCACATTGAGTTTTTTCCCTGTCACTATTCTATTTTACAAATTGATGGAGACATATCTTGGGTTAAGAAATTTCTTTCACACACACACAATGGTTTCTTTAGCTACAAATCTGTTTTTTGCCAATCATCTGAGAAGGCCTTTTGTTCACATATGGGGAAGGTAATCTCATGTTTGTGGAGTATCTTCATGGGTATTACCACCACTATTTACATGAAGTCTTCAAGTGGCCTTAGGAAGCCGCTGGTAACTGAACAACTTTCTCTAAAAAGCCAAGCTCATTTTTAACTAGAGAATCTGGGAAATACTGTGAGTTTTTTCTCTTTCCTTTTAAAGGTACAATTATTATAAATTCCTAACTGCTCCTAAAATCATATAGAACATTTCCAGAGCCAAAGAATTTCTAAGCTATAGTTTAAAATGATAGCATTTTGGAAGCAAGCCTGAATTCACTTCCTATAATGTTTTCCAGATTGTATAAGCAAAGGCTATTATTGCTGCTGTGGTATAGTCACTTTGGTGGTGGTGGTAGCAGGCTAGAGAGAATCTCCTTTGCCCTGAAGTCTAGAATGTAAATTTGTACCACCAAACACAATAGCCAATATTATAAACAGGAAGTAAGAAAAAAACCTCATCTCACTTGCAAAAGATCAGCTTATTTTCAATTGTGGAAATTAATTTGTTATAGATAACAGTAGATTTGAGTGACTTTATTTACTTTTCCTCTTCAGTATAAAAAATAATATTAGTATAATCTCATTACATCAATATATTGAATAGTTAAGTTTTTTCCTCTTTTAATATTTAATATTTGCCCTACTGGGCATGAGTTGGCCATTATTGAAGCCAGGTGGTGAGTACCTAAGAATTCATTCTACTATTTTTCTATTTTCATATACCTTTGGAATTTACTATCATAAAATTATTTTTAAGGTATATATTTTAAAATCTTCTCTGTTAGCTAGTCCTTCTCTTGAACCACATTCTTCAAAAGTTCTCCCACAGCTAAGTTATAAAGAGCGGACCACTTTTGGCAGAAAAAAAAAAAAAAAACTTGCCTTAATTCTACCAACACCTTGCTTTTCATACAAACTCTAACCCGTGATCTTGATCCCTGTAACAACACAAATAGTTAACAACTATCCCTATTTATTCTTTTTATCCAGAGTTTGAACGAGCAGAGTAAGAGAACTGCCTCCTGGAGAACTAGGGTCTCTCTTAGTGGTCTTCTGTCACCTCTCCAGCTCCACATGTTCAGAGTTAAGTTTCTGTCCCTAAATCTGGTGTTGGCCCTGCCATATGATCAGGGTTCTCCCTTGCCCCAGGGGTGTGGCACCCCCAGGAATAATCATAAGGCAACTCTTACCACATTTCAGTTTTCTCAGAAGTGTTCAAACACATTGGATTCTGATGTGTTCAAACAGTTCTAGATTTTATGTAGGCTCAAATTCACACCCTAATGAACCCAATACTTTGTTTACCAGGTCCTGTGGGTTATACTTCAAAAAACAGAGGGTAAATGACATGTGTAGTTTAATGTATATTAGTATCCTGGAGAAATAAACTCTTCTGTAAAAGTCTAAAAATGTAAAAGGTAGTGCTGAGGTCAGGACAGAGTTATGTTTTATTGTGACATTTATCTCAAAATGTATTCTGAGAGAGATCAGAAGTAACAAACTTCAATTTCTTGACCTGTATCAAAGAGGAAGTCAGTCTCAGATTCATTGTACAGCACTTCCATTCTATAGATTCCTAGGCATAACACCAGCTTCATCCGGTGAGGCCTTTAGAAAAAACCTTCCAGCCACTCAGTTGAATTATCTATTACATTTAATGAGGAATCTTGACAAATCGGGCCCACACTCCATGTCCACACCAAAATGAAAGTGGCTTTTCTCCACATCTACCTTGGAAGAATGATTTAGAATTCAGATAATATTTAACTTGGAGTCTAAACAGGAGGTTCCTGGCTTAACAGAGTTCTGTCTTCCTTATGAGTTCCTTTCTACACCAAGAGCTGTCTTGGCTTTGTGGTCAACCTTCTGACCCCCAGGCATTGGGATAGGTTTCAGTCATCAGGAGCAAACCAGGAAGTAAATCTAGATTTCAGCAAGCTATCCAAATCCTCATGAATGTTCTACGTGTCTCTTCCCTTTGGAAAATTCTTATGTGTAGTCACACTCTTCAGGATTTCTGTAGTTAGTTTTATGTTTTCAGTTAAACTGGTTTTAAGGGGAGTTTTTTGTGAACTAATTAAAAATAAGTGTTTAATTCTAAATATTTCTTAAAAATTGAGCCTTATTGTTTAAAATGATACAGTTCATAAAGCAATCATTTGCTTGGATTACATACTTTAAAATATTGCCAGATTTTTATTAGGGAGAAACCTGATTGGACATTCACCTAATAAATGTATTTTTTCTGATATAGTCTTAGAAGACAATACGTTTAGAATTGAGCAAGCCAAGATAACAATAGTTAACAATTATTTCCATTTATACTTTTTGTCAAAATAGGAGTTGGGATGAGCAGGGTAGAGAACTGCCTCCTTAAGATCATACTGTTATCATTACAATTCTACAATGTTTCATTATCATCTTCTCCACATTTTGCCATTTTTTCCTAAAGCTTCTTATTTTTCCCCTTAAGGATGTACTATGTAATTTTATTCTTTGTTAAAATAGTTTCTTTTTTTCAAACAATTTTCCTAGAGGCAAGATGGATGTCTTCTCAAATATGAGAATTCAAATCAGGAGTTTTCAGCAATTTGCTTATTTGCCTGATGATATATTAAATATCAGTATGCTTTTCCCTCAAGTTTTAGTGACTCAGTGCCTTCCTCTTTGCCTCAAAATCTCTTTAAGCTTATATATGCCATTGATGTGATTAATAAATTAATTCTTTAGATCTTTTTTTCTTTTCTTTTCTTTTCTTTTTTTTTTTTTTTGACAGGATATCACTCTGTTGCCCAGGCTGGAGTGTAATGATGCAATCATAGCTCACTGCAGCCTCGATCCCCTGGGCTGAAGTGATCCTCCTGCCTCAGCCTCCCAAGTAGCTGGGACTACAGGTGTAAGCCACCATGCCTGGCCTAGATTTTTAAATAATGTTTTACATTTCCCTGGAAAAGAATTAGAGACTTTTGGGAGAGGTCAATTTGAGTCTTTAAAATGTTTCTTAGCAAAGTACAATGCTGGTTCATGGGAATTGCCCATCTTTTCCAGATTTGCTCTAAAAAAAAAAATGCACTAATGCATGTTCAATTCAGCAAATATTGATTGCCACTTATCTGCCTGGTTCCATGCTTAGGGATAAAATCAGGATTAAAAGAATTAGATATAATCTCTACCACCCAACACAGTGCAGTGGAGAAAACAGGAATAATATCAATAACTATAAAACAAGGCAAATCTCAGTAATTAATGGGTTAGTGATATAAACAAAAAATGAAATAACAGAAAAGTAATACATTCTAAATGTATGAATTAGAGAAGGTATTATCAAGAAAATGAGCTTTAAGATAGATTTTAATAGGCAAGTAGCTATTGATGATTTTTAAGGAAGCAAAGATTCAGAGGTATAAAAAGTGCTCCAGGCTGGGCGTGGTGGCTCACGCCTGTAATCCCAATACTTTGGGAGGCTGAGGCGGGAGGATCACGAGGTCAGGAGAACAAGACCATTCTGGCTAACATGGTGAAACCCCGTCTCTACTTAAAACATACAAAAAATTAGCCGGGCATGGTGGCACACACCTGTAGTAGTCCCAGCTACGTAGGGAGGCTGAGGCAGGAGAATGGCATGAACCAGGGAGGCGGAGCTTGCAGTGAGCCGAGATCACACCACTGCACTCCAGCCTGGGTGACAGAGTGAGACTCCGTGCTCCATATAGCTGAGAAACAGCATGACTCAGAATGACTACATTCCTGGCCATATGATGAGATTATTGAGAGATGAAGACTTAATGTAAATTGGATTCATATGTTTGAAGGCTTTTAGGTTATGCTAAGCACTTCAAATTTTTTTTCTTTAGACAATTAGGAGACATTAAAATTGTGTGTGTTTCTTTTTGTAATCATGGGAGTGATATAATTACATCTGTATTTTAGAAAGATGGCTGTGATTTTTTTAAATGGAATATTAACAGGCAAAAAAAAAAAAAGATTAATAGCCAGGAATCACTTAGTAGGTTTGCAACAATCTAGAAAGATAAGTCTGAGAAATTGAACTAATTGTGGTAGAAAGGAAACTAAGGGAATAATGCTGAAAATGCTTTTGGATATGGAACTACAAAGACCTAGAGAATGACTGAATGCTGTTATGGAGAGAAGGGTGACAATGCTATTGCTAGACTGGCCAACTAGTAGATAATGATGCCGTTAACTGAAACAGGGAATAGAGAGAGGAATAAAGATGGGTGTGTACATGCTAGCCTTGCAGGACCAGTAGGACTTTGAGTGGGAAGACCCTAACTGATGGTTGAAGATGTTTTCTGGACTTCTAAACAGAAGTCAGGATTTGGGGCAGAGATTTAGGAGCTGTTTGTTTACATCTAGATAGTTCTTAAATGTTGGATAATATCATAGAGGAGAAAATATAGATGGAGAAAATAAGAAACCGGAAATCCAATATTTAGGCAGCATAGTTATATTCAAGGAGTAGGCACAGGAAAAAGAGCTTCCAGATGTTGTCAAAAAAGATAAGAGAGAATCAGGAAAGGAGTTGGGAGATGAGGCAGGAAAAGGCCTAAGAAGAGAAGGTTGGCAATGGCATTGCAGTGGCAATGAGATGGAGAGGGGTCAGAAGAGGCTGCCAGCTTGACTGTGCATGCCCAGAATCCCACTCTCTGAAACCTTTGGGCTGCATGCTTCAGAATTAGCAGTTTCCAGATTTTAGAAACTTACGTGAGTACATATACCATTGATTAGAAACATTAATATGTATTCAGTGAGCAGTATGAATAGTCTTCCCAAGCAGAATAACTAAAACCTATAAACAGCCCTTAGATCAGTACAAGTTATGTTTTGCTATTGAATAGATTAAGAGAAAACTCAGCTTTCAGAGTTTCTGGACCTAAGAATATGATGAAGGCACTGTTGCAGGAAATGAGTGGAGGCTGGACCACAGTGGATGAAGAAAATACATCTAAAAGGTGAGGAAGCCAAGGCAGATATATAGTTTTTTTATTAAAGGAATGAGAGCAAGAGAGAGGGATTGTTTGAAGGAGAAGCCATGTCAAGGAAATGATTTTTTTTAAAGATATTAGAGCATTCGAGCTGTTTTGTAGGTAGAGGGGAAGTAACATGGAGAAATGAAAACATGGACAAATAGAGAAAAATATAACAGAAATAATGGAAAGTAAAAGGCCTCAAATGAGATAGAAGGGAGGGTGGCCCAAGAGCACAGGGAAAGCCAGCAGGTAGCCTCCAACGGGGCTTCCTCTCAGACTCAGACTGGACCTAATGGTACAAGGTTAGAATAAAGGAATAGAGAGTATAGATTAAAGGAATAGAATATGGTATGTAGTCTATATGTCTTACTTTTTTAAGAGAATCAGTCTCTTTGTAGCCTATTGCCAGGGTAAACCTTATTGCAGACTTCATATTCTAATTTTATCAAAAGCAAACACATTAATTATTTTCTAACTCTATCAAAACATTCATGCACATTCATTTACGTTTATCTATGACAGACATTGTGCATTCCTACTTGTGTTGGCTTTTCTTTGGAGTGGCACACTTTATTCAAAAAGACAGATTGGTTAGTATAAATGGTATAAGTTGGTTAATATAATTAAATCTAAAATTATAATAATAGTAAATATTATTATAAAGAAATCAAAACTGCTTTCTCAGAAAATTGTCATCATTATTTTCATTGATGAGTTTCTCCCAGCATGAAAGATGTACGTTTTAGGGACCGTGCTCTTGTTCAATTTAACATACAGAGGAATGCCACATAGGAAAAAAAGAAAAAACAACTTGAATTTCTTGGAGCTGTAGTTGACCAAGTAGGAGAATGATTCATATTACTTTCCTGTAAATATTTCTATTTCTTTCCTTTCCACTGATTTCACCTGCTTAGGAAGTCTGCTATGACAGTTTATTAAATCATCACTTCACGGTTAAAAAGAAAAGTGCCAATTTTAGCAGCTGGAATCCACATTACCCCAGCCTAAATTCCTCAGTAAACTAGAGCAGCAGTGAATAATGTATTTACAGTATGGTGGATTTATTAGTACCACATCTCTTCTCAGCTTCTCCTTTCCTTAATCCCAGCTCCTTTTTGTTTGGTGTAGTACTGTAACTAATTAGAGTATTTATAAACTAAAGGCTGCTTTGAATGTTCATGGCCTTCACAGAGCTAAATCAAAGTGCCTTCTTCAGCCTCAAGATAAACATTTTGTTTCATTTACAGCTGGAAATTTCTCATATGTTACTATTTGAATCCCAAAAAAAACCACATGCAAAAGCAAAATGTTCACTATTGTGGTGGGCTTTCTCTACCTTATCAACCACTAATCTTTTTAAAGTTTCCTTTTTTCTTTAAGAAAACAATCCATATTTTCAAATTCCCTTGGATGTTACCTTTTAGCTCATAAAAGTTCTGAGTCAAGTTTCTGTTCAGTGTACCAGTTTTCACAATTGTAATTTCACTAATACTTAGCAGCCTAGTCTAAGAACAGATGTGGCATGCAAGTTAAACATGATTCCCAAAAACAATAAAAAGAGATTGTTCATTTTATATAACCTATTTCTCCACTAATGGTAAAGTGGTGCTTGGCCACCTCATAATAAAAAAAAAAAAAAAAAACAGTTTCTTCATCTTTCTTCTGAGGCAGAGTTCTAGCCTGAATCATAATTTTTTTTCCAGCATTATATAAGATGCAAGGAAATTACATTGCCTGACAAAAAGACACTGGTGTGTATGAAAGGTTTAGTGTGGTAGGAAAACCTTTCATTGAGAGAGTAGGCCTGGGTAGGTTTGTGGGGAAACTGAGTTGAAGTACTTTACACTATTTGTGGAATGAGATTTTGTTGCAGAAATCTGGTACTAACAAATAGACAAATCACCCTAATATTTTCCCCACTGAGAAATACGGTACCAAGTTTCCAATCTACTGTTTAATTTTGCTAAAATAGAACACAAACATTAAAAAATATACTGGATTTCAGGCACTGCATATACGAGTAGGCCTATTGTTCAGCTGACATTTTTGTCTTGTTTTCATATGCTTATGTCAAGCATGCTTGACACCTAATATACTGGAAGCCACATCACTAAAGAAGACAAAAATGGCAACAGCTATCATTTACTAAGTAACAAGCACTATCATTAACTTTACATGTGGTATCTTCTAATGACTAGCTGATTCCTTTTGCTTCATTTTCTCCCCCCAGCAACGGTAAGTGCCATTTAGAATAAGACTGTGTTATCTTCTTACATATTCAAGATTTTTCCATTTCTTATTGTTTCCCCCAATTTGTAGCCACTTTTGTACTTTATCTAAGATACATATTTTTTGTTGCTGTTAGTGGACTTTAAGCATGAATATCAAACAGCAGCTAACCACTTTGTGCAAAAACTGACTTTCTATTTTGAAAGCCACTTGAGGGAGCTCTACCTCATTGTTTAATTATGTTAGCTATCTCCTCCTCTTCCTCAAGGAAGACTTCAAAATGAACTGTGACTGACTTCGTTTCTGTTTCACTGCCACCAGAACCTTCCCTGCACGGTAACATTTTTCCATTTTGAAGAAAACAGGCATCTTCTCAACTTTGGTCATTAACCATTGTAAAAATACTTTTGCTTCATTCATGCTTTCTGGGATTTTTATATCTGTGGGTTAAGCTCACTCCAGTTGGGTTATTTAGAGTATGCAGTGTTTTATAATCTTTTTCTTTCAGCTCCAAAAGATGTGCTCCTTCCTCATAAACCATACCCTGAGGTCTCTCAGAGCGAACCTGGTAAATTAATTATTTCATCCTTCTGGCTAAGAAGTATATTTTTCAAAAAAAAAAATTCTTGAAGTAAATATATTTTTAATGGTTGTGATATGGAAGAAATTTAGAGAAAAAATATGGGTATAAAATGCATATTTCTTGTGGGTAAATTGAATCATCTGGTTGAAATATTTTTCCTTGGTGAAGTGAGGGAATAGTATATAGGTTCATTGAGTAGATCACGCTAAAATTATAAATATCATTGTTAACTAAGCCAACGCTTATATCCTTTCAAAATGTAAATGTAGCTACATTACAACTATGGATGTACTTTTAAGTAAAAAAAAGTGGGTGCCTACTCGAAATTTTCCCCAAAGTGACAGTGAATGAGAACTTCAAAGTTTTAGTTAAACTAAGTTCTCTGATTGGCATCTAATGTGAAGAATTTTCTCTTATTTATTACAATTCTTAGAGAACATTTAAATTATTAAATCAATGCATCTAAAAAATAAGGAAACTATTTTGACTTTGCCAGGTAGTAATTCTCATAAATATGTTCCTTTGGCTTGCTTTTGGCATAGTTCTGCAGCCTGTTACCTTTAGATTTGAGCCACCAAAGACAACAATAGGTAATGGTTTTCCCATATTGACCAACTCTGTTTTCTTTGCTACCATCAAGATTGCAGGCCTTTCTCAAATGATCCTGTTGAAACATCATTTCTTCTCAATCCATTCATCATTTCATTCTCATTATTATTACTCTTTCCAAAACAGAAAAGCAATTATTTCAGTGTTGTAATGGGTTTGCTTTGAAGACCACCTTAAGACATTACTGAATACATCTTCATTTACTTCATCTATCTCCATGTTTCAAAATGAGTCCAGTATGTTTACTAATGGTGCCCATTTAACAATTTCCATTGGTTTAGTGGTTCTCAGCTGTAATGTAACATACTAGTATGTGGTAAGTTTGAAAGATACTGCAAGTAATTATCAATATTGGTCAAAATACTGAAAATTCCCAGTGATTTGTTACTTGAGTCTACTCAAGCAGACTCAAGGAGATGATACCAACAATGATGATATTCTCACTCATTTGGTAATCATGCATGCTCTCTTGAACGGGGGAGAGAGGGACAGAGCTACAGCCAATAGTCCAGGACTGTGTCTAACCCACACCCCATCTCAACCAGCCATTCTGATGGATTGGTTCAAGAACAGAATGTCATGTAGTATGTGTCCTGGTGGAAAAACAGTTGAGAACCATTTTTCTAATATTCCGCAGTCATTTTTCTGAAAGTCGTGTGCACACTTAACTTTCTTCTTTCCTTTTTCTACTTCAAATGAAGGAATTTCATGTAATACCAATCTGGTCTGGTGCTGGCTTTGAATCTAAAAATTTACAACCTTGGTCCTTTTCTTTTTGCAGCTCCTCTAGAGACACGAGGCATCCCTTTTATACCCATGATTTCCCCAAGTCCTAGTCAAGAGGAACTACAGACCACTCTGGGTAAATTTCGTTTTAATATTTGTTCAAAGAGAGCTTGCCTTTTAGGAATTTCCCTTAAAGTAACCATAATACATTATGTTCACAGATTTTTTCTAAATAATAGGTTATTTAAAAATCCATTTCACTCAATACTTTTACATTAACTGTGTATTTGTCCTAATATTTATGCTGATTTTCAATATAAAATGAGAATGTTTTAACACATCTAAGATGTGTTAAATTGGCTCTGGTGATTAAGTGTGATTTAGAATACTTAAGAATTTTAAGTATTCTAAAAAGAAAAATGTTCCTAAATCAATGCTGTTCTTTTTTGTTGCTTTTTCTGTATTTTAAACTGCATTTGGGAAGAAAAATTACTTATCTAGTATTTATTAAGCCTTTACTGGGTGCACTGTTAGGTGATGCAGTTCTAACAAGAAACTTTTAAAGAGGAGTCCTTACACTAGAGGGCTCACCCTCTAATATGAAGACAGGACTTGGTTATAATACTGCAGCCTCTGTGCCACCCAATACACTACATGCCTTTTTAAAATGTAAACCATGTAACTCTGTGAAGTAAGTTCTATTACTTGTTCCATTTTACAGATTAGAAAATTGAGGCGTAGAGGGTTTAAAAGTTTGGCCAAGGTGAAACAGCTGGTGTCAGAGCCAGGATTAGAATCTACACACTCAGCCGACAGGGTGCCTAGGATTAACATCAATGTTATACTAATTACAATGAGTGTGATAGAGAAAAGAGCAACATGTTGAACAAACAAACTACCTGGAGAAATAAGGAAAGGCCTCTCAGATTAGGGTCATTTACACTGGGTCTTCAAGTTGGAATGAAAGTTGACCAGTCAAAGATGCAAATGGTTCTTTGAAGTTACGGACAGATGGGAAAGAGGCACAGGGCAAGGAATGACAGTTAGACTAAACTGATAAGCAGGTAGTTGCCTGGAGAAACAAGGATGGGTAAGTTGGAAAGGTCCACTGGGATGAGCTGAACATGCTTTCAAGGAGTTCAACACAAATGTGCTGTGTGGGAAACTCCAGTTTGCCTGCCTCTTGGTTGAAAATGAACCAAAAAGCTAAAGTTCTGGCTTGTGTTTGTTGGCTCCTCTCTCCTGTCTACATTGCATCCCATATGGCTTTGTTTAAGTCAGTGGCCCTATTTGTCTCCCTTCATTCCTTTTCTAATAATCCATCCTTTGTGGGTATCTACTGAAATAAAGTTACTGATCACATTTTAAAATAAAATCCTTTTGGAAGAAAAATTAAAATTGAGCAAATATATTCTAATCAAATATTCATCTAATCTAGCTTATTTCTGCAAAATCAATAGTGCCCATGATGGCAAAGTTAAAAGTACTTTTCAAAAACCACTACTGAATATGCTAATTATTTAACTTCTACTCCCTATTTTTCTAATGTGTCTTGGTTTATTCACATCAGAACCATTGCCTGTCAATTATCACAAGTGTATTTCTTGAGCAGAATCAAGAGAATACAAAAGCAGGACAGAAAACAAAAAGATAGCAGTGTATCATTTATACCAAGTATTTCCTTGGATCCAATATGGGCAAAGTGAACAGTGTAATTTGCTGTGTCTATATAATATATGATTTCAAGGTAACATGGGAATGGGAGTATTGCTGTATGTATTTTTTTTATTTTGTCAAGAGGATTGTGTTTGTATGTCAAACATACGCTCTGATTTTCACATGAGAAAAATAGAATATTTGTTTTATGTGATGTAAATATACATCTTTTCATATGATATACTTCCTTTCCAGCTCATCAAAATAACATGTGAGATTTATGGGCAGGAAAGAAACATGAAGGAGATAAATACATCGAGGCAACTAGGAGACTTTCATACATGAGCCATATCCAAGAATAGCCACAACTAGATTAATGATACAATGATCCTGAGCTAAAAGCTTTTGGAAATCCTTATAACAATCATTAAAATAATAGTGTAAAACAGCAGATATCATAAATGAGAGTTATTAAAATGTACCACTAACTTTGAATTATTGTGATTACTGAGTGTATTTCTAAATGCAACTTATCCTTTTATTATTGCATGGGACAGAAAAGAGTATGGGTTTTTTTGGTCATATTCATAATGTTAATTATTTAAAACAAGCAATCTTACTGTGTTTTCTCTAGAAGAAACAGACCAATCCACCCAAGAACCTTTCACAACTAAGATTCCACGAACAACTGAACTAGCAAAGACAACTCAGGGTAATCCTCTCCCCTACCTCTGGAGAATAACTTTTCCTTATTTGCTTTTAATCAGGAAAGAAATTTTCTTTCAGAATGTCATTTCTCAACACAGTGGATTACTTGACTTTTTTTGTCATTTTATAGGTGAAAGAAATCAGCCAAATCTGAATACTCATATGAATATCAATTGAATGTAGGCAAGACCAGTTCTTTCACTGGCACTTACTTTTTTTAATGTATTGTTGACTACTTGATGCTTATAACTAAGAGTGGAAGATCCCATTTTTTCCACACATTTGACCTTCATTTGCCTCGTTTTCCATATCTGATAAATAATAACTGTTGTCTTCCTCTTCCTGCTCCCTCTCTAACTTCCTCCTGGTCCTCCTCCTTCTCTTCTCTCCTTTTCTCACTTTCTCCAATCTTCCCCCATTTGATGAAATACATTAATAAGAAAAAAGCTATTAAAAAGAAAAATCATTTTTCAAAATTATGACAATATTTAAACATCCAGAGAAGTGATTTCCTACTTTTTATTTCTTCTCTGTGATTTTCTGCTTTTGGGGAAGTGAACTCGCCTACACAAAGCTCTATCTCATCTTCATGCACTCAGAAGTCTTTTCCTCTTTACACTTTTCTATCCTACTATCCTACTTAGGTTATAACACTTGTGGACTGCTAATACCCCTTTTGCCCATCTCTGCCTCTATCAGATGGTAGAAAGCCAAAAATAAGACCAAAACCAGCAAACATTTAGGGAGTTAGAACACAAATAAATGTATGTTGCCCATTATGAGTTCTAATTTGAGGGGGAAAGTTGGTGGGAGAAGTTTGATAATAAGAGGAAATGATAATGAAAGAAATCTCATTTTAAAGTACATGTGTCACTGGGGCAATATTTATTACAAGTAAACGTGACTAAGAAAGACTATAGTAAAGGGCAGTTCCTCTAAATTTTCTAAATCTTTTTTATTGTTTGTTTGGTTTAACTTTTTGTTACGTTTTAAACTTTTATTCAATTACTTCATTTAATTTTTATTTGCTGTTAATTTATAATTACACACAGAAGTCTGAAGTATAACATATTGACAGCCCTCTCACATCTCTATTACCAGCCTCAGCAATGAACAGATGTTCCGTTGTGATACATCCCTATTCCACCCTGATTTCTGTATGTTTATTATTTCATGTTTTTGCAAATCTCTTTAATTTCTGGCTTAAGAGAAGATAGCTGGATTCTCATAATCAATCTGTTTTTACCACAAAATACATAAATATTTACAACAAGCAGGATAAATAAAGACTTTCATTCCACACAGGTTGTGTTGCCAAATGAGAAAGATTTCAGCTTTTTAGAGATTTAAGGATTTCAGAATGAGGATAAAAGATCACAGGCCTGTTCTTTCCTCGTTTTGCCTTTTCCTACTTTAAAGAGAATATTGTGTCACCATTACTAGTATATATGGAATTTTAATCAAATTCCTTCAAAATATTGTATTAAATATAAATTTCACCTGTTATTGGGAGTATATCCATGATCTCATATCATTATATAAATTGTCTTAACATATTTGTACATGCTGACTTTTTTCTTATATCCTTAGCTCTTGTACTATGTTTAAAATTGAAACCCTCAAGGCCATATATTGTTTGGTGATGAGCTATATGAGTAAGTTACAACCTAAACTTAAATTATATTTAAGCTCTTTTATAAAAAAATTCTTTCTAGACTTAAATGAAGACTATGGAGAAAACTAAAACAAAAATTCAGATGCCATGGCTTTGAAATCATGTAGTGCTGATTATTTCTGTGGTCTACTCTCAATCTCTTTCCTGTCCAAAGTCTTAAAATTTATACATATTCTAGAATGAGACAAGAACTATGATTCTTATCTTTTTTAAGCAGAAGCAACCTAACATTCAAAGGGATTTATGTGGAAAGAAGAAATAGGCTAAATTAACAGGGAATCCCACCATCTCAAACTTGGAAGAAAAAAATTGCAAATAATCATCAGGCACTTTAGGGTCTGTGAGAATTAATTTTTATGGTTATTATACTTGGGAAGGCCCAAAATAAACCTATAGAGAATTTCAGTGTGTGTCCGCTGTTGTTGGTTTGAAGTATGGCAAAATTCTGCTCATCACAGTCTTTACATTGGAAGTTTATAAATGAGCTACATTATAACCAATTTCACAGGCATACTTTTTTAACTTAGTAGGCAAGGCATTGCTGATTTATGGCTATATAAATATCCACTCAATATGTGAATAAAATCATTAAAATGATGTAATCTACTTACAAAGTTTGCAAGAAAAAATTTTTCCAAAAACATTACCAAGAAAGCTGGTGGCAGGAGGCAGTATGTGATAGGGAAGTGGGGACAGGAGAAGCAGCATGGAATAGATGAATTCCAGGATGAATGCTTACCTTAAAACCTTAGGATGCATTAATATCTCAGCAGGTTCTCACAAGTTTGCCTGCATACAATGGTCACCCACTTATTCATTCCTTCAGCAAGTCTTCATTAGGATGCCTTTCTGTGCAGGTCCTGGATAATTGGCCCAGGGATTATCTGAGTTCTTGCTCCTTGCTTGTCCTCTTTTGATAGGCAGGGCACCAGATGTCATTTTCTGTCATTTCTACAGCATTATGGATGACACTGAGTGAATACTTACTTGTTTCAGGTTCATGAGCAAAGACCATTTGATAGAGACCATATACTCCTACTCTTTCTTCTTTACCTACCTAAACATTCAATCTCTTTTTACCTTTAAGATTGCTTGACTTCTTTAGCAAAATAATATTTCACAATGACTCTTCACTGAGAGATTAGATGGATGGATGGATGGACAGATGAACAGACAGATGGATGGCTTATGGGTTTATCATGCTAAGCAAACATCTGGTAAAATGAATGCTCTTGAAAAATAGGGACAAAATGATGACTAATCCTTAACACATCTTACAAATGAACTACCTCATTCTATGTGCATCTTTAATTTTCAGTCATGTATATTTTCTTTGTTTTATTTTCCTTTAGCGTGAAGTCTATAATGCATAATGGGAATTTTCTGAACCTTCTTTATACGTCCATGCAAAGTGTATGAGTTGTTGGTCCCTAGGATGCTAAATCTCCATTCAGGAGGCTTTGGTCTGTTGGTTATTAAATATAAAGTGTTCCTCTGTTTCAGCGCCACACAGATTTTATACTACTGTGAGGCCCAGAACATCTGACAAGCCACACATCAGACCTGGTAAGTTGTTTCTCTGATGACTTAAATAATCAGCAGGCAGGGGAAGATATGAAATGGACTGAAATAGCCAAATACACCAAAGGGGAACCCTTACATTGCAATAAGAGATGTACAGAGACTCTGATCTGTGTGGATAAGTGGAAAGGTATTGATGAATCCATAAATGTGACAAGACTTGACTAAGGATTTTGAGGATAATCAGATGCAGAGATCACTATGAAATTTTATTGATTTAAAAGTATTTAAAAATAGTGTTGGACAATTTTCCTGACAAAGAGGTTGCATAGAGTTAGCTATGACATGTTATTATTTAATACTTACTTTCAGATATTCTTTCTCTCTGAAGAAAAGAGGGTCTCTTTTCAGCACAGGAAAGCTCTTGTTCTGGGAGAACATTTTTACTTGATTCCTTCAGAGAATAAAAATATCACAAGTTATAAACAGCAAAAATAGTTATATATTGGGAAATACGTTAAATTTACTAAATTCTCCAAAGGTCCTAGGATTACCCTCATTGGAGCTTGTTCAGAAAAAAAGTTAACTTGCAGGGGTTGATCTAGTTCATGTAAATCACTCTTATGCTGAGGCACAAGTTGGACCACACACTGGTGTTTCATTTTCTTTTTCTTTGTGATTCTAAGGACTCTTAAAGTTCCAAATGATGAAACCTGCTACGAATGAATGTTCTCGGGGAATGCATCTTTATAACAATAATTTTATATTATTTGGTTTATGTAGAGTCCATATATTTTGTTATAATTTTCCAACTTCTAAAGATAATTGGGCACAGAAATCTTCTATAACCATGTGTATTTCTCTCTGACTTTGTGTGTCATGATAGGTGTTGAGAGCTTAATGTGAGACTGGTTATATTAAACATTTCTAAAAACTAAGTAGTAACAATCATGGCTAATAATGACCGAGCACTGGCCATGTGCCCTGTGAGGTACAGTTGAGGAAGCTGAGGCACACAGAGGAACTAGAAAGTGGATCAAAAGATGAGCAGTATGGCTCCAGAGCTTCTCACATAAGCACAGTACACTTAGTGCTCCTCCTTAAAGAATCTTCTAAATGGGTTATAAAATAGATCACCTCTCAAGGCTTTGGTAAGGCTATGACTTTCTCCCAAGCAGGAAAGAAAGTAAAATGGTTTCATCAAGTTCTGTGCTTGGCAATGGACTTTGTGAAAGGACTAGTATAATGAAACCTCTGTACCTAGGGATTCCCACAAAAGGATGTGGAAAGACTCCAACTTATGAATGGAGGCCTTGACAAATACATTTCAGATTTTGGTTTTTCATTAGACATATGTAGTCCTGATCTTTCTTCAGTTCCATTTTGGAATGTATCTAATGCCTATAAATGAAACAAGATCTTTCCCACTTCGGATTATAAATTCCCTTGCCAGTTACTTTTTCAAGTCAAGTATTGAAGCCCAGTGATCACCTCAGAATACAAATTCAGGTCTCTATTTTCAAATTCAAGTCTATTATTTTTATACGAGACTGTGGTTTCTATATTCTGAATAATATTTTTGGTAAGTCATCTTTTTTATTGCCTAAATGACTTTCAATTCTCTGAGAAATTTTGTTTTTCTCGGCTGCAAACTTTCAATAAGAAAATGAACTATTTATATCCCACTTTATTTTAGTTCTGAATAGGACAACTACAAGACCTACTAGGCCCAAACCCAGTGGGATGCCCAGTGGGAATGGAGTGGGAACAGGTAATAATCACAAATGTATTTCCTTTTTATCCTGTCAAAACTATAAGTGTTATTTAATTTTCATGATATTGCTGAATTCACATTTTAATTTCCTTTTTACCAGTTTTTAAAGTTCTTAGTAACTCTGTAACTGAAAATTATAACTCATTCCAAAATCAAAACTTCAAATGTCTCTAAAAATAGTGAAGACTTTTTCACTTTTCTAAACCTAGTCTACTAGTTACTATATATAATCTTGCTTCTGAAAACGATCCTGATTAAGAATAAATTGAGTGAAAACACTAAAAATAGCTATTTCCCCTAATTTCAAAATGCTTTTTCTACACAGACTAGTCTTTGAACTGTAATTAGTTGGTTTTTAAGTTTATAATTTACCAAGTACCATTAAAATTTTTTTTGAATAACTGCATCTGTTAGCAATCTGGAATATGAAATTTAAACAACAAATATTTAATCAGAGCAATTCGCATCTGGTTACCCTGGTAACAGTCACTAATGTTTTCAAATCATTCATCTTAAATAACATAGCTCTAATCTAATCAGATCTCTGGGAGTAAGTATTATGCTAGAAAAACTAGGACACTGATCTAATAAATATTCAAACACCCAACTTCATGGATAAATGGTAGTTATTTAGATGCCTTAACATAGAATTGTATCATTCCCTTTAAATATTTTTAGTAGTATAACTCTTGTGTTTGCTTAGGTAAAAAAATTAAAATTTATTTAATGTATATATATCTGATGAACCCATGACGGTTCTCTAATGAAAAAGAGATGTGAATAATACCTAGAGATATTTAGTCTACAAATTATTTAGCTTTAAGAATGTGCTTTTTGTACTTGATTATTACAGTCTCTGAATTTCTAGGAATTCACTTATCTTCAAACCAAATAATGAGGCCAATACTATAAATTCATGACTTATGAAAAGCAAGAAAGCATCTCAATATCTATTTGTGCTCAGCTACTCTTTTTATTCTGCCCAACTGTGGGATTAGATGGTGCACAATTTTTCAGATTGACATAAGCAATCTGGCTGTAAACGGAGCCACCTTCTCTCAGATCCTTTTGGGAGGAAGGCAGGTACAAATTGTTTAATATTCAAATAATTCCTTGGAAGTTGCATAAGTAAAAATAAAAGCACTTAGATGTCAACCAAGCAAATGAAAGAACAAGTAAAGTAGCTGTGATCACACTTGAAAGCTACTAACCTTCACTATAATACTGATTCTTATTAGGAGCATGCAATTATCTCTCAGGGAAACAAACCATTATTATATTTTAGCTTATCAACAATATAAATATTCTTCCAAAGCCCACTTGTATTACAAATGGATATCTATTACCTTCTTATATACATAAAGTCAACTTTATAATAATGTATCCAACTTAGCTTTGGAAGAATAATATAGCAGGGCTTTTCAATTTAATTTGTCAATTGTTGGGAGAAATTGGGCTGGTGGGCACAGGTAGACAAAGCTGAGCTCACTGTTTCCTCTTTCTTTACTCCACCTCCATCCCCAAACAAAATTTTTTGTGCCTGGTCTATATTCTTTTATTTGTTGATTGGGATCCCCTGTCAAGGAAGGACTTGCTGCCTGCCTGCAGGGAGTGAGGTCAGCAGACGGCACCCAGCTATCATCTCCCTCAGAGTAAGCTTCAACCAGAGAGCACTGAATGGAGATCTGGGCAGTACATCTCCATGTCAGCCACAGTAATTTATAGCAACCAAATGGAATTCATCCTAGGAATGCAAGGTTGGCTCAACACTCAAACAAATTAGTGTAATTCACCATGTAACAGAATAAAGAAGAAAAATCATATGATTATCCAATTATATGCACAAAACAACCTAGACAAAATTTTAAATTCATCCCCAATGAAAGCTCTCAGGAAATTAAGAATAAAAGGAATTTTCCTCAATCTGATAAAGGGCATCTGTGAAAAAGCTACGACTGCCAAAATTCACACCAGCAGTAGTTGTGGCCGAGTGGTTAAGGCAATAGACTAGAAAAAGCTGCAACTAACACTGTACTTAATGGTGAAAGACTAAACACTTTTCTCCTAAGATGGAGAGTACAGCAGGGATTTCTATTTTCACCACTTCTATTGAATATAGTAGTGAATGTTTAGCCAATGCAGTAGGCAAGAAAAGAAGTAAATGGCATAAAATTCAGAAATTATAGATAACATGATCATCTATGTAGCATATTATTATGGAAAACAACAGCTCTCAGATATTTGCCTAGAGAATACTATTTTCAAAAATTGGTGAGGAAAAAATGTTTAAAAATCTCTCCTCTCCCGGTTGTAGACTTACCTTAGTCCACCTTCCTTTGATTCTGCATAGTTTTGATCAGACTTCTTTATAGAAATGCAGCTGTTCACAAAAGTTTCTTTTCTTCTCTGACACAATTCTACTGTCTCATCCACACTTTCAGCCTCTGTTGACTCTTCTAATGCATCATTTTTGTGTTAAATGGTTTCATGTTCAGCTTTGACATCTTACTCAGAATATTTATCTTTATTATCCATCTCACATTTTCCTATAGTTTTTCTTGCTGAAGTTTTCAACTCAGATATTTCACATTTTAAAAAATTAGTTAATAAAGGAAGTGTTTGTGATCTATAGGACATATTCTTTTTAATTTTATTTTTTAAAATTTTTATTTCAATGGTTTTTGGGTTTTGTTGTTACATGGATAAACATGAATGGTTTTTTGTTACATGGATGAATTATATAGTGTTGAATTTGAGATTTTAGTGCACTCATTACCTGAGTAGTGTACACTGTACCTAATAAGTTGTAGTTTTTTATCCCTAGCTTCCTCTCACCCTCCCCCTTCTGGGTCTCTAAAGTTCGGTATATCACTCTGTATGCCTTTGTGTACTTACAGCTTACCTCCCACTTTTAAGTAAGAACATATAGTTTTTGGTTTTCCACTCCTGAGTTACTTCACTTAGAATAATGGTCTCTAGATCCATCCAAATTGCTGCAAAAGACGTTATCATGTTCCTTTTTTATCACTGAGTAGTATTCCATGGTGTATATATACCAGACATTTTCTTTATCTACTTATTAGTCAATGGTCACTTAAGTTGGTTCCATATCTTTGCAATTGTGAATTGTGCTGCAATAAACATACATGTGCATGTATATTTTTCATATAATGACTTATTTTCCTCTAAGTAGATACCCAGTAGTAGTATTGCTGGGTTGAATGGTAGTTCTACTATTAGTTCTTTAAGGAATCTCCAAACTCTTTTCTGTAGAGGTTGTACTAATTTACATTCCCACCAGCGATGTATAAGTGGCCCCTTTTCCCTACATCCACGCCATCTCATCTATTGTTTTTTGACTTTTGATAATGGCCATTCTTGCAGGAGAAAGGTGGTATCTCATTGTGGTTTTAATTTGTAGTTCCTATAGGACATGTTCTTTACAGTCTTAGACCACCTAAGGTTGTGCCCTTGGAAGACTTAAAAAAGGAAAAACAGATTCTGAGGCCTAAGGACTACAGACCTTTGACTGTTGAGGTCTCTATAAAAATCTTGTGATTCCGTAAGCCCCAGGAATATCTTGAGCTCAGTATTTTATATGTTATTTCACTCATTTTAGATATTTTCCCTGATGTATGTGTATTTTATGCATGTATGTGTAGATAGACATTGCTGTACCCCAAGGTTAGAAAGTAGCCTGCAGAGGTTGAGGTCTAAAGTGGGTCATTTTTCTAGCATTCTGCTTTTCCATGGTTTCCAGAGACGTGTCCCAGCTTAGCTGATGTGTCCTACCTATTAAAATCTCCTTGAGACCTGCCTACAGAGATGCTACAAGCCATGCACACACCAGGCCAAGGGATTGTGCAAACTACAGCCCCACAGGCCAAATCTGGCTCACTGCCTGTTTCTGTAAATAAAGTTTTATTGGAAACACATCTACGTTTCACATTGTGCTATGTACAATGTGTACTGTGTACAAAGGTACTTATACAGTACTATGGCAGAGTTGAATCGTTGTGGCAGAGACAGTATGGCCCACAAAGGTGAAAATATTTATTGTCTAGCATGGGGTTGGCAGACTGTTTCTGTAAAGGATAAATGTTTTCAACTCTGTGGGCAAAACAGTCTCTTTCACAGATATTTAATTCTGCCATTGTGCTGTGAAAGCAAGTATAGAAAAAGTTTGCCAATCCCAGTGCTAGACAATCTCTCTGACTTTCTCCCTGAGGGAAGTTGTGCAGCTATTTTTTTCATTCAACCAACATTTATTGAAAGCCCATTATGTACTAGGCAAAGTGTAATTCTGAAACCACCTTGGCACATATGATTTGGCAGATATTGTTAAATACCTGAACCCTAGACTCCTTTCTCTACACCCTAATGAGGGAACCACAATTTACTGCCCCCACATGAGTGTGCTGCACGATAATCCAGTCCCCTCAGGCTGAGGAATGTGTTTTTCTGGGCTGTAACTAAATCTTCCAGCCTGCTGGCTCCCTGCCCGTGGCTTTTTAACCAGGTGCTGAGATTTGGGACAAGAGTGCAGAAACCAATCATCCATAAATATCACCCCTTTTTGATCACAGGGAATGAAGTCACTGGTACATTTAAGAACCGATTTCCAGTTTACTGTTTGTTTGCAAAGTTTTTGTTACCATGGTTAAAAATACCCAAATTGTTACTTCATTTTGGATGATAAATTGCTGAGGGGTGAACTATGTAAATCCAGAGATTTTTGTAGGACTCTTTTATGGCAGTTGGGGGCTCATTCTGAGGCTCAAGTCTTGATGCTTACAGAGCTGACTCTGCCCTTTAGAAGATGTGTTGGTTAATCCTGCCTGAGGGAAAAAGAAGTCAGGTCACAGCTTGGGCCAGACTGTCTAATTGGGTGCCAATTCCTGAGAATTTGTTCTTTACAGTATCTCTTACTGATTTTCTCCTTTCTCTTACTGATTTTCTCCTTTCTCTTACTGATTTTCTCCTTTCTCTTCCCATTCCCTCTCTGCTACCTTTGACCTTCATTTGCTCTCCTCTGACTCAAGGCAAGAGATGTTCACTAGTCTCTCCAGTTCTGGCCCGGGTGAAATGCCTCAACAGCAGCTAGGTGCAGGAGAGCAAGTCCAGAATAAGAGCTCAGTCTCCTGCCCCCAGATCTTTCCACCGAGCCACACAGCTGCCTTTTGCATGGCCCTTCCCAATGCTTTCAGGCACCACTGGCTTCTATCCATTTCTAAAGGCTGGAGAAAGTCCAGTTTTGCAGCTGCTTCTCTATTTGATTTGGGAACTTATGTCTAAGGATCATAAGAATATGATGCCTCTGTCTCCACCTACATAGAAAATGGCTCATTTCTTCCAGTTTCTCCCTGGATAAAAAAAAAAGAGGGCAAGGGAATTTGTATCTTTGGTCTTACGTATAATGTAACTCTGCAAAATTTGGATTCTCTTCAGAGCTCCTAGATTTCTAACCTACCAGCCCCTGTGACTTGGTGGACTTGCATATGCCTGGTCAGTGACTGCTGGCAGCCTTGGACTACCTTCTGAGTCCCACACACCCGTGGCATGGCTGGATAACACATGCTTGCCAGCTATGGCCATTTAGCCCTCACACAGTGGTGGCAGCTCAAGCCACCCAAGAGACAGAGTAGAGGGCTCTGGGAATGTATTCACTCAGAGTTACTATGAGGAATAGCAGGAAGAAAATGATCAGATGACAGTAAGTACTCTGTTCTTTGCATCTTAGTGCTGAAGAGATAGGCTTTGGATCCTGGCATATGTAGGCCTGAATCCCACTGCTTCCTAGCTGTGAGACCTTGGGCAAATTGCTTAATCTCCCCTTGCCTTGGATTTTCTCATCTGTGGGATGTGGATTATATTCCACACACAGACGGTTGTAAGGATTAAGTCAAGTCATGAATATGTAAGGCACTTGCACAGTATTGGATCAAGATACTTTGTTTTTCAAGGGCAGGAAGATTTGGAAAAGGGCTGTAAAGAAGGGTCTACTCAAGACAGCCTACTAGCCTTCTAGGGTATATAAAACTTTGTGTTACCCTGGAGAAATCGTGGTAAACCAAACCTCGGCAAGCCAAGTTACCCCAGTGACCCCCATGCAGGTATTCTTCAATTCCCTATGCTGTTCACAGAGTAACCACTCAAATGAGCCATTTCCCTTCCCCACTACCCCTGACAGTGAGACACAGGAGGAAGACTAATGAACCATTTGCCTGTGGCCTGCCTATGAGATTAGTCACAAAAGTCATTGCCCCCAGAAACATTTTTTTCCTATCACAAATAAGTTTAATTCATGATTCCATATGTAATTTTCTCCATGATTTTATGTATTTTATCTCTTACTCAAGCAGCAGAGGATGTGGGATTGCAATATTAGGTTCATCCCCTGAATGTCATAAATTAATGTGAAAATGTCATCATATTTTTGGGAGGCAAAGCTTCTGTTGTATATTTAATATATCTGCCCACACATTAAATGAGATCAAGTATATAATGTCCCCAAACAGTTTCTGGAACACAGTGAGTCCTCAAAACAGGGTTGTTGTCATTGTTAATGTACTAACTAGTATATTAATGTAAATATTTCATTCCTATTCTTAATATGTAAATTACAGTCAGGTCCTCAAAGTAGTATGAATTCTTTTTTAGGACAGGTCATTATTTCTGAAGTGATTTTTATTGTTTAAATTCTAAAAATGTCTGTTTCTATTCTTTTATAATGAAGACTGTCACCCAAACCAAGGAAGATTATTTTATAATATCAAAGAATAATTTTTAAAATACGACAAAAACCTAATTAGTTCCCTTTGGGATTGCTACCCAAAGTCCAAGCCTGAGTATTTAGGCAAATGGCTAGTAATAACCACAAGATTATTGAGGGGCTTAGGAGACAAAATATCACACAAAGTAATTTTCAAATCAGTTTCTTTCAAACAGTAATTTTGAGTTAGAGGCCTGCCCAGGGCTAATTTACAAATCCCAAAAGATCATTTGTGGTCTCAATAGCCTCATAGCCAATGCCACTCCAGGAATAATTTTAAAGTCAATTCATTAAGTATAAACCCAAACACATTGGAATTCTAAGGTGTATGTGTGTGGGTTTTTTTTAATGGGCATAGAGGGATTGGAAGAAAAAAATTTTTTTTGAATTACAAAATGTACTGATGAATATTGGCAAAAGGTGGCCAGTTACCATAAATGAAATCCCACCTGGTGAGGCAATACCACCCAGTAAGGCAGTGCAGGATGAGTTTCATGAAAGATTTGGACAAAACCACAATTTACCATGAAATGCTAATTCTACAGAGAAAACATCACAACTAGTGAATGTAGGGTTTTTATTTTTTTCTATAGCCAGATAGTAGAAGCCCGTAAAATGTCTTGGCATAAAAACACCAATGCTCCTGCTCTGCAAAGAATGTACGTTATTACTGGCAACTCTACCAAGTTTCCATGGAACATTTTTGCTATATGTTTATTCCCTTTCATTATCTCTGCTCATAGGGGTCAAGCAAGCACCCAGGCCATCAGGTGCTGATAGAAATGTATCAGTGGACTCTACCCACCCCACTAAAAAGCCAGGTAAGTAATAACATGCTGACTTTTATGACAGCTCAGCTCTGAAACTTGGATGGTAACTGCAGTATCATTCCTGGTGGCAAAAACAGCAACATCCACACAGCCCCCGAAGTATCAGAACCACACACACAGTGCATGGGTATTGCTAGGAAAACATTTGGAATATTATCTTTGGAGGAATTAAAAGTGCTCTGTGCACAAATTAAGTATTAATAGGAACTTCTGATGTGATACTAACTTAATCATTACTTGCTATAATGTTCTGAGGGACCATAATGGACAAATGCTGCAGAATCACTGTGGTTTCTAGTTTTTATCATGTTTTAAGTTCTGCTCTTGTGTAATTTATTACAATTTTTTTTTGCCTGATATTACTTATGTTCCTGATTTAAGAGTATGATCTATGTAATAGGCCAAAAGTATGAATCTGGTGACTCAGAATACCTTTGGATTGAATAAAGACTTTTATTAATGTCAACTACCAGTACACTCCTGAACACATAGAGAGAGAGAGAGAGAGAGAGAGAGAGTCTTTCTCTTACTAGTATACCAGGCATTTTCCTGGATTAACAATTTTTCTTGAAGATTTTAAAACCAACATATGTTATGCCAAAAAAAGATATAAATTGTTTAACTATAGCACAAGACTTAAAATGTGGGTTAAAGCAGACTTCTCCAAGCACCTTTGACCTCACCAACCTTTCTGCAAATTATAAAAAGGTGCCTGTTTACCCCACCCTTTAGGCAGACAATGAGAAAAACAAAGCCCTTCCTCTTGTCTGGTGCCTTGCATGAGAGCTCATAAGTGGATGAGCAGAGCAGGTGCTAAGCTTTGTCCCCCACTTACACCTCCTGGGCCAAGTGTCTTTGTGTGGTACACAACTACCACAACTGTTCACAGTGAGCCTGCTCCCTACAGATACAGACTTGTTTCAGCTATCAGGGTTACCTCGATGTAGTCTTTGAGAAGTTCTAAAGGGTTTTAATTATAATTACATAATAGAGCTGAGAATGGATCAAAACACCCACAAAAGGAGAAATTTTATGCTTTAACAATTTAAAACTAAAATGGTATAAGAAATTGTAGGCTCAAAATAAAAGGCAGCTGGGGATAATGAAGTTCAGAAGTGCTTCTGTTAAGTCTACATGGAAAATGAAAGATGTTAAATTCTATGCGTGTTTATAGCCTTTCAAAAAGTAGATATACCTGTGTACAGTCATCTCTTGGTATCTATGGGGGATTGGTCCCAGGATTTTCCTCAGATACTAAAATCTGAGGATGCTCAAATCCCTTATATAAAATCATATAGTGTTTGCATATAACCCATGCACATCTTCCCATATACTTAAATCTTCCATTATAATACCTAATGCAATATAAATAATTGTTACATTTTGTGTTTTGCTGTTGTTGTATTGTTATTTTTATTGTGGTTTTTAAAAAAATTTTCCATCCACAGTTGTTTGAATTAACTGATGGGGAACCCACAGATATGAAGGGCCCGACTGTATATTCATCTATAATGAGGACATGTTTTCTATATACTACAGTGCGTTGTTGTCCCTGGGGACATTACCAACATTTATTTATAGGAATATCTGAATATATTTGTGTGCACTTTTCTGTAGAATCTATTCTCTGTCATCCAACTGCTAATTATCAAACATTATTTTTTATTTTTAAAAACCCTGTTTTTTTCGATAATGAATCTTTATGATGGCTTTATCTAAAATACAATCTCTTATCCACAATCCCAGGGACTCGCCGCCCACCCTTGCCACCCAGACCTACACACCCACGAAGAAAACCTTTACCACCAAATAATGTCACTGGAAAGCCAGGAAGTGCAGGTACGTTAGTCATGTACCTTCCTTTTCCCGCCATGATTTCGGTTTTACTAGCCAACATAAGCTCTTCTTGGCGTGCTAGCAACAGGCACACTATTGATGTGTGTGACACGTTTGTGTTGGCCCTGAAGACTAGACACTGTAAATGATGGCTTTCAGGACTTACAACCTGATTCTTGGACTGAAAGAAGGAAACCATGCCTCTGCATCTAGGCAAGTTTGCTTCTTAGATGTCTGAGTGCTTGGAGCCTAGATTGAAGCTGACTCAGACCCTTCAACAAATGGATTATTTTGGACAAGATGCTGTACATTGCCAAGGCCCCAGGAATAATAGATGTGATGACTTGTCATTGACTTATCATTCTGTCTCCTGAAATAAAATTCTATATGTCCCACTGAAAGCTCTCCTATCCAACAGCCTTCATGCCAGGCCTGGTATTATGGTGCTCAGGGGAAGATCTGGGACTAAAATATTCAGGGTGACGGAAAGGCCTAGCCTGTGCAACAGTACAGGAGTATGTTTTGGAGGCAAGCTGCCTCTTACCTCCATGCCTGGGCACACACATTCCTCCTCCCTATAGAATGACCCTTTCCAGGCTTGGCTTGGGATACTCAGACTTCATCCTTTTCTTTAAAAACCTCCCCTGACTCCTCAAGGTAGTCTTGGCACTGCTTCTCTGTTCTTGTCCTTGACATACCCCTCTGTTAGAGCAAAGAGAAAATTGTGTCAGACCTGTTTGTTTGCATACTTTTCTTCCCCAATAGACTGTGAGCTCTGTGATGACAAAGTCCTTGGTTTTTTTTCTCTGAATTCCCAGAACCAAATCCAGTGCTTAGCACTTAGAGGATATTTGATGAGTAATAACAAAGTGAATAAAGGAATGAAATTGAGTCAGTAAAATTGACCTAGTTCAGACAGAAGCTTTACCTCATACTGAGGGTTCTTCACCCAGGACATGCCAGCAAATTTCAGCATGTTCCCCATCTTTCCTCCCTCTCTCCAGAACACTACTTCCGAAATATTTTGTAGGTGGAATCGGGATAAGAGTGTTAAAACAGCTGTGAAAGATGAAACTGATGAGGATCGCCATGAAAGGGAGTGGATGTCACTGTTCTCACAGGATGAAAGGAGGCTGTTGTGATGGAGCTTGTAGGACGTCCCATGTGCACAGTGAACTCTAGGTCATTTTCCCATGGGCTGAAGGAGGAAGCAGCCTCCCATCCATACCTCTGGTGCCTTTCTGAGTCAAGGCCCAGTGACATGGCCTTGCTAGGAGACCGGGTTTCCCCATTTACTGTAACCTGGGGCAGCTGTGACTTGAGCTCCAGCAGCTTGCAGATCAGACTGGATGAGCCACAGGGTGATGCCTGAGTGTGCCACTTGGGGGCCCCCTCCAGAGCAATGCTGTGAGGCTGTGTGCCTTAAGGAGCTGTTTGATGGCCTTCTTGCCTGCCATATAAACCCTTGTTCTCTCCTGTCAGTAAACATAGCTTTGGTACAGCCCACCCAGCCTGAAGAAGAACTGTAAATACATTCCACTTCTGAGATGAACCCTAGTCCCTGCTCTCCACCCTCACCCTCCACCATTCACCTCTAACTCAAGGGAAATGGCTGCACTGAGGAGCCAAACCATAATTGAGGGCACTGGTACAGATTTGGCCTGATTAGCATCACAGAAAGTGTATCTTGAATTCCAGTCCAATGTCCTGGAGTCCTCTGAGGCTCTCTCACATGTGTCTGTGAACACAGTCTGGGGCTGCCACCATGTGACATGTGCCACTTGCCCTCAATCTCCAGATCCACCCAGGCTTCTGAGTCCCACTCTCCTCACCAGAATGAAAATGCTATGCTATGCCAGCATTTCCTGTTGTCTCTGTCAACTCTGGAAAGCCCTTGTGGACTGCAGTGCAACTTCTCTTGGGTTTTGCTTGACCTCTTATTGTGGCTCATACTCACTAGGGTCAGGAACATGCATCCCTGGAGGCCAGGTCAGAGGCCCTTCTGACTACTCAGCCCTGATTCCATGCTGGGTCATAGTCCTTGGGTCAGGCTTGTATCCCTTGACTCTCTATTGCCCAAAAGTGACTCCTTCTCCCCGGTGGAACATAAAATTCAATCTAGTCTCCTTTCGACTCCAAACACCCAGACTTGCCTGGACCTTGGGATGGATCCAGTTTTAGGGACTTATAAGTGTTTTAAGAGTGGAGGAGTCACTGTTGAATATAGCAATCAGGGTAGCACTATACTGGCCACCAGGCCAGAATCATGGACATTAACCCTAGGAATCTTTTTCCTTCTTCTGTAGCCATCTTCCATGCCTGCCACTGAGTCTCCTGACAGCTCTCATGTCCACCCCTTACATCCTGTCCCACTGCCTTTGCTGTAGTACACCTTCCTTTCTCTTGCCTACACAAGTGACTCAGTCCCTAAAAATAACATCCAAATCCATGGTATTCAACTTCTTTCATGATCTGCCCTTCCTTGCCCTTCCACTCTCAGCTCTTATTGTACCCCTTCAAGTTAAACACACCAGGCTGTTGCATGCTTCCCTGACATGTTTCTTGTTATAACCTCTGTCTATAATACTGCTCTTGTCTCTACCTACCAATAACTTCTCCTCTATTGGCACATCCTCTGTGAAGGCATTTCTCTGCCCACTCCAAACCGACAACCCTCCATCTTTCCTCACAGACATAACCACTCCCTCTTCTTACGCGCCCCCTCTGTGATGTTATCTAGTACTTTTTCACAATGTCTATAATAATGCTCTGATATACTTGGCTCATACATCTATCTCCACCAAGAATCAGGTCTTGTTTTCTCTCCAAGCCTGGTCTATAGTGCCAAGCCACATGGTCAGTGCTTAAAAACATTTATGGAATAAATAAATGTTTATAGGAAACTTGGCAGTGTTCCTATAAAGCCTGACTACTTTGGCTCTACTTTACAGGAATCATTTCATCAGGCCCAATAACTACACCACCCCTGAGGTCAACACCCAGGCCTACTGGAACTCCCTTGGAGAGAATAGAGACAGATATAAAGCAACCAACAGTTCCTGCCTCTGGAGAAGAACTGGGTTCGTATGGCCATCAGTTCTCACTGGATACTTAGCTGTGAGGTGCAAAAGATTTTAAATGTTGGTGGGGATGGGTGAGTCTCAGTTTGAGGTCTTCTATTTTACTCCATTTTATGATTAATATGGTTGTTTTTAATTTTAAAATAATACTTATTTTCAACACTCCCTTATAGAGTATTATCCTTCCCTTAGCAGACATAGAAGAAACTGCGTAACTTTGGTTCATAAAAAGATCTAGACTACCTAATGCTACTACTAAATCACATTATTACCAACTACACATATCTTAAGTTATTAGTGCATATTAACCACTTGGTTATAATTTGTAATTCATTACTCACACTATAGAACACCTTGCAGCAGGACACAACTAATGGCCTTATATTGTGGATGAATATGTATAATTTTAAAAAATCAAAACTGCAAGCAGTTTACAAGAAGAAATATTGAATATCTTTAGTCTACAACTTTTTCATTGTATTGTGAAGCTTTTTTATCTTTTGCCAAAACTGTTCATTATTTTCCATTCTCAGAAAATATAACTGACTTTAGCTCAAGCCCAACAAGAGAAACTGATCCTCTTGGGAAGCCAAGATTCAAAGGTATGTATGACTGGCTGTGAATCTCACATTTGAAAAGGCCATTTTTGGTAGGTGTATCAGCCAGTTATTGCTGTGTAAAAAACCACAAATCTTAGTAGCCTATTATAATAATAAGGTTTTATTTTTCATGGGTGTCTGCAAGTCAACTGGGTGTCAGCTGATCTAGGATATGTTTAGCTTAGTGGTTCTGCTTCTAGCAGCAGGTACAGCTAGGCCTCTTGTGGGTTGGACTCAGGTCCACCCCACATGTGTTTACTCTGATTCCCAGGATGAACAACCAACAGTGACCCAGGGGAAGCCATTTTCGTAATAATGCAAAATCAAGAAAGGGGGTGTCCAAATGCAAAACCACATTTAAAGCTCCTTTTTGTGTCATATCTACCAATGTCCATTGGCCAAAAAATGTCACACAGCCAAGATCAAATCAAGGATTGGGGAAGAATACTTCTCCTGTGGACATAAAGAATAGTTTTGAACAACAATCTACCACAGTAGGAGAGATACAATATGACATAGAGCCCTTTTTTTTCTGAAATGTAACATTTGATGAATTTTAATATATGTATACACCCATGAGACCATCATCACAATCAAGATAATAACCCATATATAACTTCCAAAAGTTTCATCATGTGTCTTTGCAATCCCTTTCTCTTATTCCTCCCACTCAACCCCCCAGTGCCTACGTGGCAACAGGCCTGCCATACTATAGTATGTACTTTATGAAATTTTATATAAATGAAAACATACAGTATGAACTCTTTTTGTTGTCAGGCTTCTTTTATCAGCATAAATATTTGGAGATTTCTCTATGTTGCTGCATGTATATCAGTAGTCCATTCCTTTTTATTGCTGACTAGCATGCTATTATTTGGATATTCAATAATTTGTTTCTTTAGTAAATGCATTCGTGGCATTGGTATTTCTTTTACATTACTGATAAAGCTATTATGACCATTCATGTACATGTCTTTGTATAGCCATATGCTTTCATTCCTTTGGACAAATACCTAGGAAGGGGTGGCTACATGACATATAAGTGTTTATATAACATTTTAAAAGACTGTTTTCCAAAGTAGTTGTACTGTTTTACCTTTCTATCAGCAGAGATGAGAGTTCTAGTTCCTCCAAATCCTCACCAACATTTGTTATGGTCAGTCTTTTTTATTTTAGCCATTTTAATAGGTGTGTAATGGTATCTGATTATGGTTTTAATTTGCAACCACTTAATAACATTGAACATCTTATGTGCTTATTTGCCATCTATATATCTTTTTTGCTATTTCCAATATTTTTGCCCATTTTAAAAAATGGAGTTGCTTGTTTAATGTTGAATTTTGAGAATCTATATTTTCTGGATACAAGACCATTTTTAGATACATACTTTGAAAATATTTTTTCCCAGTGTGTGTCTTCTAATTTTAATGAAGCTCGGTGTATCAATTTTTAGTAGAATTCACTTTCTTTAATAGGTATGGAGCTATTCAGAATAGTTTTTCTTTTTCTTTTCTTTTTTTTTTTTTTTTTGAGATGGACTCTCGCTCTGTTGCCCAGGCTGAAGTGCAGTGGTGTGATCTCATCTCACTGCAACCTCCGCTTCCTGGGTTCAAGTGATTTTCCTGCCTCAGCCTCCCCAAGCAGCTGAGATTACAGGTGCCCGTCACCATCCCCATAGTTTTTGTATTTTTAGTAGAGATGTGGTTTCACCATGTTGGCCAGGCTGATCTCAAACTCCCGACTGCCAGTGATCCACCCATCTCGGCCTCCCAAAGTGCTGGGATTATAGGCATGAGCCACCACGCCCAGCCTGCATTTTATTTTGGGTGTGTAGAACCTTACATTTAATATGGCTATTGATATTGGTACATTTAAATCTTCATCTTGCTATTTGCTTTCTATTTTTCCCATCTATTCTTTGTTCCCTTTTTTCCTCTTTGTCAATCTTCTTTTAGGTTGAGTATGTTACGATTTCATTTAATCTTTTTTGTTGTCTTATTAACTGTAATTTTGTTTTATTATTTTCATGGTTGCTTTGGGGTTTATAGTATGTATCTTTAATTTATCACAATCTGCCGTCTAGTGATAATCTACAACTTCACATATAAGAACCTCACACTAGCATAGCTTTACTCCCCTCTTGGCCTTTGGACTATTATTGTCATACATTTTACTTTTACATGTTATATACATTACCGTAAGGTGTTTTTATTTATGTTTAAACAGTAAACTATTTTTTAGAGATAAATAATAAGAAAAACATTGTGTATGTTACCTATGTGTTTACTGTCACTGCGCTTTTCATCACTTTGTGTGGCTCCATATTTCTGTCGGCATTGTTTCCTTCCTACCTGAAAGACTTCCTTTAATATTTCTTTTAGTGTGGGCCTTCTGGCAAATAAATTCTTACAGATTTTGTATGTCTAGAAAAAGTGTTTTGCTTTTAAGGTATTTTCACTACTTATTAAATTCTAAATGATGTCTTTTATTTCAATAATTGAAGATGCTGTTTCAATGCCTCTCACTTGCATTCTTTCTAGTAAGAAATCTGCCACAATCCTTATCTTTGTTGTTCTGTATACAACATGTCTTTTTTTGGTCTGCCTCCTTTAAGGATTTTCTCTTTATCACTTGTTTTGAGAAACTTGATTATGACTGGCATATAGTTTTCTACATTTTTGTTGTTTCTAGGTATCTTTGAGCTTTTTGGATCTATGGGTTTAGAAGTTTTATCATATTTGGAAGATTTGGGACCATTATTTCTTAAAATATTTTTTTCTGCTCACCCGCTTCTTTACCTCAGGTACTCCAATTACATGTATATGAGACCACCAGAAATGGTCCACACAGCTCAGTGATGTTCATTATTTTTAATGTTTATCTTCTCTCCCTCTTTTTGGATGTTTTTATTGCTATGTCTTTGAGTTCACTAATCATTTATTCTGTATTATCTTATAGGTATTAATTCTAACCAGTGCATCTTCTGTCTTATAGCTTTCATCTCTAGAAATTTGATTTGGGTCTTTTTTAATATCATACATGTCTTTACTAACTTTTTGAATATGTGGATTATAGTAATAAGTATAATTCTTATCTGATTATTCTAACATCTATGTGAGATCTACATTGGTTTCAAATGATTGATTTTTTTCTCCTTATTATAGGTAATATTTTCCTATGAATTTTACCTTTTAGGTGCTGGATTTTTTTTTTAATTATTCCTAGATTATTCTTGAGTTTTGTTCTGGGATACAGTAAAATACTTGAAGCTACTTGATTCTTTTGAGTCTAGTTTTTAAAATTTATTGAGTGGGACCAGAACTGTGTTTAGTATAGAGCTAATTATTCCCTACCACTGAGGGTAAGACCCAGTGCCCCATAAAGTATGAAGTTTAAACTATGCTTAGGGGGATCAAATTACTTTCGGATATTAGCATAAGCTAAACTTATTCAGTAAGTAAATCAACACCACCCTATATCACGTATCTCAGAGGCAAGATTTTGAATTTTCCTAGTTTGAACCATCCACATCATGGCTTTCAACCATCCGCTTATAATATGAGACCAAATGTCCTCAAATTATATTTATGAGCTCACTTCTATCTTCTTCATGAGTTTCAAAAATGTTAAATGTCAAGGGTCCTCTCTCTCGTAGGACCTCATGTGCGATACATCCAAAAGCCTGACAACAGTCCCTGCTCCATTACTGACTCTGTCAAACGGTTCCCCAAAGAGGAGGCCACAGAGGGGAATGCCACCAGCCCACCACAGAACCCACCCACCAACCTCACTGTGGTCACCGTGGAAGGGTGCCCCTCATTTGTCATCTTGGACTGGGAAAAGCCACTAAATGACACTGTCACTGGTAAGATCATGGCATGAGGACTGTTATGGTGGGAAGCTTTGATAACAAGATACCCTGGGAGTGGGGTACCCTGGGTCAACGTTGACATGTGAAGCATACCTGGGGAGGAGACAAAACTAGCAGTTTTGCTGCCTTTAAGGCACATTATTGTCAACAATGTCATAGGATGAGAAAAGATCATCTTTGTCCTTGTTATGGTCTCCCTGTTAATTTAGTAAATCTCCTCAAGCTGCATTCTTTCCATCTCCTCTCAGAACTCTTTTTCACACAATGAAGAAGAAGCTAGTCTTTCATTATCCAGAAAATTACATTGCTGATTAATTTAAAACTAATTTTCCTTTCACCAACCCCATTTCTTATTGACCTAGAACTTTCTAGCAGACTAAAGGTTACTTCAACTGTCTTAGGATAAATAAAAACAAAAATTCTATTCCTGATCAATTTTCTTCTCATCTTAAGAAATTTTTATTCTGTTACCACCCACCAATTCCTCTAAAAATGATTGTAAAAACTAAGAAACCCCAAGACACTCTGAATTTGTTATACAACAGTCTGATTCTCCATAACGAAGAGGATAGTCAAACGAGAGGAGGATGAAAAAAGACTAGCAAGCTAAATCAGCTAGAGGATATAGCAAATAGCATGGTAAGTGAATTCCTGCCACCCAAGTTCCTGCCATGTACCTGGTGCAGGCAGGCAGGGAATAGAGGGGTCAACTAAGAGGCCATCAGGAAGGGAGAGGAGCAGTGCACAGGACCAGGTAGCGCATGCAGGGACTCAGGATCTGCCAAAAACATTTCCTACTGCACATGGAAAACAGCAGCTATGTCTCCTCAGACAGAACCATTGGATCTGGGCAACTTCCAGTGTAAGCGGCTTATCTTAACTAGCTTTCTTTACCACGTTTTGTGAGTTTCCCTTTCTCATGCAAAGCTAGCCTTTGTTTTGAGAAAGAACCCACTGCTACCCATGGTTCCTGGAGATTTTCCTAGTCCTGCTTCTTTCCTTGGGACTGTGCTAATAGGTACTACAAATATCTAAAAATCAATTAATCTCTCAGTACTGATTATCTACATCCATTAAAATGTCTAAAACTCTTCATATACTGTGCTAGTAAGGAGTTCCTGTGATCATCTGAGGCTTAGTTCTCATGAAACTAAATGATCTATAAAATTTCATTTGCCTTAAAGATACGGAACATTGAGTTGGAACTGGTTAATCTAATACATTTAATTATCGAATACACATCAACTTGGATATATTCATAATATCCGATGTAACTTTATTAAGCTGAAGAATTGGCCTTTCTGATTGTATATATGTTTAATCTCAAAAAATCATGGATAGAGTATACTTTATCCATCTAACCAAACTGCTTTTGTAATGCTGTTACTAAATGTTAATGAGGTGCTTGAGATCTGTCACATGATACAGAGGACTTATAACAATTTTTGTGGACAAGGATCACATCTCTTTAGCTGCAGAATTTCCTAAATAGAATTAAGTTCGTATTTAACCATAGTTCACCTAGTCCGTATTTAAACATTAGACCATTTGCCCTAAAATCCTGTTGGTTTTTCATTCCATTTTGTTTTAGTGTTCCCTTAAATACCACTTGATTTCAAAAGCGATTGTTTACAAACCAGCAGCTCAGATAATATAGAGATTAATTCTTATATCTCTTGAACTGACTTTACAAAAAGGAACTGAGATATAATAGAGTTATATCTATTCTTCCCCCTGAGTTGGCTTCTTTCTTTGAGTTGATGGGGACACATATTCACCTCCAGTGAAGACATCCAGCTTCAGCTGCTTCTACATGTCCTTTCTATACTGAAGTAGAAAAAGGTACACCAAAAAATTGGCCATAGCCTGGATCCTTGGGCAACTTCAAGTTGTTAGTTATCAGCATCATAATCTGATAGTCCAAGAGCATGCTGACACAGATTTAAATCCCAGACCAGCTTTATTTTAGATACTCAACTTGTGTATAAAATTAGACTGTTTGAGCCTTAGTTTCCTTAGGTGTAATAATAATAATAATCCTCATTGTTATCAATTTATCCTGAGGAGAAAAATAAGATATTTGAATATGCCGCATAAACTAGAAATTGTTAATGTTTATCGGTAGGAGCAATTTTTGTAATGGTGGATTTACGAAAAGGTATTAGCACTTGAAAGGATTAAAAAATGGGAAATATATATTTACAAAGCACAAGACAAATGTATATTCAAAAGCTACAATTCTGAAATTCTAAATGTCTTTTTAATTAGGAAGAAAGCTTCTAGATCCATTTTGAGAATTCTGATCTTCCATAAAAAAAATTATTAAATCAGCTTTTAAAACTTGAGCCAGGCCGGGCTCAGTGGCTCACGCCTGTAATCCCAGCACTCTGGGAGGCTGAGGTGGGCGGATTACGAGGTCAGGAGATCAAGATCATCCTGGCTAACACGGTGAAACCCCGTCTCTACTAAAAATACAAAAAATTAGCCGGGTGTGGTGGCGGGCGCCTGTAGCCCCAGCTACTCCGGAGGCTGAGGCAGGAGAATGGAGTGAACCCAGGAGGCGGAGCTTGCAGTGAGCCGAGATGGCGTCACTGCACTCCAGCCTAGGCGACAGAGTGTGAGACTCCGTCTCAAAAAAAAAAAAAAAAAAAAACTTGAGCCAAATGGAAATCAGAGAAGACATGCAATAGAAGTTTCAACTACTAAAAGGCAGGTTTAATATTAAGAAGAATGTCATACAGTTGAGGAATGTCCCAAGCCAAAGATGCTTTCTGAAGGTGGTTGCTTTGGTGCATAACCAACTGGAGTGTCATATAAATTGTTCTTTTGGTGATTTAGCAGCACGTGAACCTTTCCTATTGGAATCTTAAAATTTTTCTAGTCATATTTTCAAACCACAACTCAAGGATGATAAATAATAATAAAAGCAGCATAATAATAGGTACCACCTGTTGAACAAAATCTATGAAAAATACTATCAAGGCACTTTCCACCTGTACCCAATTTAATCCCCATAAGCAGTAGTATGAAGAGATATTATTAACCTTCCACGGATGGGAGGACTGAGACCAAGTTCAAGGCAGGTGGCTTAATTTGTTTCTTTCCATTAAGCTGTTTGGTTTCCTTTTTTTTTTTTTTTAATCAATTTTACTTGCATTTTAAGTCCTTCCATCTTTTTCTAACAAATATCCCTTCACAGCTGAGGAAAAAATATAAAATGGACAGATTTTAATTCAGAATTCTCTCCCTTCCTCTCCCTTTCCAGTCCGTTCGGAGAGCCAGCTGAGAGATAGTTTTGGATCAAAAAGAAGTCTCAGTGACAGCACTAGATAACAGTCATCAGTACTTTAATAGCTGCACCAATAGTATCCAGAAACCATGGCCACTGTCTTCCAGTTTAATTTTTAATTTTTGGAAGAATGGTCATACAAAATTGTTCAGAAAAAATCATCCTCCTCTTGGGGTATTTTAAATATGCAATGAAAAATCTTCCTAAGGCTGGGCGCAGTGGCTCACGCCTGTAATCCCAACACTTTTGAGAAGCTGAGGTGGGTGGATCGCTTGAGCTCAGAAGTTCAATACCAGCCTGGGCAACATGGCAAAACCCTGTCTCTACAAAAAATTAGCTGGGTGTGGTGGTGCGCTACTCGGGAGGCTGAGGTGGGAGGATAGCATGACCCCGGGAGGCGGAGGTTGCAGTGAGCCTCCCCAACAAAAAAAAATCCTCCCCCAAATATGAATTGGTGAATTGGGGTCTATCTGGGTTATTCTAGTTTTTTATTTTATTTCCAATGTCCATCTCATACCACTGGGCTCAGTGCTAACAGCAGAAATCCCTAATATAACTTGCCAGATCTTTGGCAGCCTTTTCACCTTGTCTGATGTCCAGTACTTGCATATTTCTTCATATTAATGGAGCTGATTTTGAGTGGGGTTTATTGTTTGGGTTTTTGGTTCTTTTTTAGTCCTCTGTATCATCTCATCACATGCATTAAGCTAAGTCCCAAATGAGAGCAGAGAAATCCAATGAACAAATGTGTAAATGGCATTCCCTTATTCTAAATTTCTTTCCCTTTTGATGAGCCCTGCAAGTTCATAGAAATGTGCCCTTAAGTGAAATTTAGGCAGATCTCTATGCAGACTTTAAGGACATTAATTTGTTTTTCAATACAAGGAAAATAATCATGGGAGCATAACTTATGTAGGCAGCGAGTACAAAAACCAACTACTCCTATAGTTCAAAATAATGAACTATAGAAAAGTAGAGTTTATTATTTGATTAGCTGCTATTTGGTGCTGTGATGCTCAACTGAAAGAAGTTTTCTGCAGCAATACCAGGTATCCAGTAGCCTTTTCCCCAACTATATTCTAAAGCCCATAGAGCAGAGAACATGTCTACTCAGGCACCACTCCTCCTACAGTGCTTTCCCCAAATGGGGCTTTGCAGCAGCGGCAGACTATCTGACTCACCTAACAAAATCAAAGGCTATGTATCCAAAGCAACCACAGGCGTGGCATGGGTCTTCACCAGTTACCAGGTCTTCCTTTGCCTCTGGTAAAGGAAATGCAGAAATAGTCAATGAACAAATCCCAAAATGCTTCTGGAGCCTTCATCTGCTGACCATCCCCATATGGAAATTGCCAATGTGTAAGATCAATATGTCTCTAGAACTTCCATCTCAATTGCTTACTTTATGTAAGTGGCTTTTTTATGCTATTAGCTTCAGGAGCAATTAAGTCAGCCAAGAAATAAAAACAAGTATCTGTTGGCTTCTTTCGCTTTACAGAATATGAAGTTATATCCAGAGAAAATGGGTCATTCAGTGGGAAGAACAAGTCCATTCAAATGACAAATCAGACATTTTCCACAGTAGAAAATCTGAAACCAAACACGAGGTAAGCCACCAGTGCTATTCCAGGTAAATTCTGAGAGTGCAAAAGTTATAACCACAACAAGGGAAAGAAATGATAATCATCTTCTCTGTCTTGAGGGTGGCTCTAGCTTCCATTTCACTCTTGGGTTTTCTATATATAGCACTAGATACCTCTGGAGTCATGTTTTGCAAATACTTGAATTACTGGTGGGTTTAAAATTGCTGACAAGGTGGTCTTGTTAATTAACAGTATTACATCTTTAAAAAAACATCTGATACCAAATGTTGATATTAAATACAAAAATAAAAGTCTGTGGACCAGTGACAACTGGACTGTGCATAATGTAAACTACATGGGAAGCACCAAAAAATTAAAACGCTGGAAAGGAGAGGGCAAGAAAAGGAAAGTCTTGTGACAAAATGTAGGTGAAAGTTTTTAAGCGTTAATACTTAAAATAACTACAGACTAGTCTCAGGCACAGCAATTCTTTGCTTTGGGACCTTTTATCATGGATAAAATGAAATAGGGTTTTGACAAGAGTTACATATCTTTAACGTTGTTTGATAACTTTTCTAAGTATCCCTGTTTATTACACATTGATACCAGGTTGTTCATATTGCTGTACAGTTTTGTGATTCTTTTTTCAATCTAAAATATCCAACATTTTATTAGTTCATTTTATTACTGAAAGAAAAATAAGTGTCTTAGACATTTCTAGAAATGTAGTAAGGAAGTTCCAAGTTTTTTTTTTTTTTCATAATGTTCACATTGTCATCAATTGATTGAATTGAATTAGTTATTGATAGTGACGCTCAAAAGAGCCTATTTTGGCTCTGACAGTAGGGAGACTCTTCTGATCTTTTTGTAGAAAAGGGAGGACCATCTAATTCACTACAGGCAGTTCACTGTGTATAAACTAGTCCGATACTGCAAAAACAATACTTCTTTCACAAGCATGGGGTTTTTCTTTAAAGTTCTCTAAGATATATTTTACAACTGCTAATTTTCTTAAAAGACTTTTAGCCAAAATAAGCATATGTCAGTAAAAGCCCATTTGCTCTTTGTTCTGTTTCCTTAGCATTTCCTTAGATCGAGAGGGGGAGAAAGTCTGTTTTGCCATAATATATTTGAAGGAATGAGTGAAAGAAAAGGTCACTTAATTTGGACTTTTTAATAGGTGAATTTGTGCTTATGAAAGTTGGCTTTTCCGTTTTCTGCTTTTTATTCCACTTTATAAAAAGTGACTTGTAAAGTACAAGACAGTCATTGAAAGGCATCCAGTTTCTAAATGTTCACTGTGGTTTTTTTCTGAATTGGACTGTCCTCAGATCTTCTCACAGTGCACTTATTAGCTCATGATCTGAATGTTGAATACAGTTATTTCAGTATCATTTTAAACCCAATTTGTTTGTAAAAGGTTTGCATTTGCATTTCCATTCAGCAAACATTTATTAAGTATGGCTACACACACGAATAAACATGGTGGCTGCCCTTGAACTCAAGGCTAGAGGAGAGGCAGTTAATGACCAAGGATTCTACACAAAGTAGTGAGAACTCTGAATGAAGCATGCCCAAGGTGCTATGGGATCCCAGGGTGGGAGGCACTACGCAACGTCATCAGAAATTAGGAAAATCTTCCTGAAGAAGGTGACACCTGGTCTGAGGCTTGAAGTATGAGTGGGAAGGAGCTAGTCAGGTGATTATAGGCAAAGAGAGTGTTAGAATAGTGTATGTCAGTACACGGAGGGCCAAAATGGCATGGTTGTGTGCAGTGAAAAATAGGCTATTTTTACCTCAGCATGAGTAACGGTAAGTGGATGGGAGGCAAAGGAAACAGTGGGAAGCCAGGGTGGAGAGGGTCTTATAAGCCAGATCAGGAGATGGGGAGACTCTGAAGGGTGGTAATTGGGAGGATGACTTGCTCCCACTTTTCATTTGTGTTTTCATTCTGGCTTTTAGTCGGAATAATCACTTTTAGTATTTGAGCCTGTTTATATTGAGCAACAGTTGCTGGAATAAATCTAATAAAAAATAACTTTTTGTTCATGTCTTGGCAAGAGTGCCATTTGGGTATCTGACCTGCCTGGTGAAGTAGGTAGAGAAAAGTGCCCCAGGGCTAAGATGCATTTTATTCTGTAATCACAGGTCATGGGGCTCACATGTAGCTTCTGGTTGTAATTGTTTTAGGACTTATTCTAGCTGTTTCTAGAAATTGCTTCACACTGAAAGACAGTATGGCCCTCTTTATCCCACCCTCATTATATGTCCTGTTTATTGCTCCTGTCTTTTGTCAGTGGGCCTTCTGAGGAGGACCCCTAAAACCTATCCTTACCTCAAGACTAGCAAAGCCCAGAGGAGTGCCTGTCTAGATTTTTTCTTTTTTCTTTTTTTTTTTTTTGAGACAGAGTCTTGCTCTTGTCACCCAGGCTGGAGCACAATGGTGTGATCTCGGCTCACTGCAACCTCTGCCTCCAGGGTTCAAGCGATTCTCCTGCCTGAGCCTCCAAAGTAGCTGGGATTACGGGCACCTACCACCACACCCGGCTACTTTTTTTGTATTTTTAGTAGAGATGGGGTTTCTCCACGTTGGCTAGGCTGGTCTTGAACTCCTGACCTCAGGTGACTAACCTGCCTCAGCTTCCCAAAGTGCTGGGATTACAGGTGTGAGCCACCACGCCCAGCCCCCGTCTAGATTTAGCTTTGGGAAAAAGCAATGTTAAATCAAGTTTAGGGCCTTCTAAATCAGGATCCCATGCCGAATTTTACCACTGGCACTAATTTGAGGTCATTCAGTGTGTCTATTATATGTGGCTTACTTAACATTATTTTAAGAATTTGGTATGGTTCAGTGAAATCCATCAGGATATCAAAATCATTAATTTTCATATAAATGATTTGGCCAGGATTATATTGGTAGTCCCTAACTAATGGATCATGACTTAGGAGTTGTAAATCAGTAGTCTGAAGTAAAGAACATTTTTGCATTTGGGGAAAAATATAATACATATGGATGTAAAGGTGCTTTCATGAACACTGTTTAGTCCTCAGTATGTGAAACTTTATGGTGGTCAAGGAGTTCAATAGATCCTAGCCTCCGATGAGCCTCTGAATGAATTTCACATCTCTTTTACCAGGTATGTCAGAGATTCAATGAGCAAAAATGTTTGGGCTGAAATATTAAAATATATTGAAATCTCCATTAGAAAAAATAATGAATTATGGAAAAGTAAAATGAGGTAAATTATTTCAATTAGAGATTTCTGAAGCCTAAAAGTATCTGGGGAAACAAAAGTAACACCTGTTAAATAATTGGAGATCATAAAAAAAGCATACCAAGTAAGTGTAGGATTGATACCAAGGTTCTGTGATTTAGGAGAGAACGCTTCATAGAATACTTGAGACTAGAATTTGATAAAGAATAGGATGGAAGGGGTAAGCCAACAAGGAAAGGAAAAACAATAACACTATTTTTCTTTCTCATCAAATCCATATACATGATTTAGGTGACACACAAGTAGTTCTCAAACTTACTACTGATAGCAAGGCTACAGCCAGAATAATAAAATCACTAGTGTCCAAATAGTATGAAAAGCTTTTTTCATACTACCTTAAGTTGTTAAGGCAAGGTTTCTTTCCATTGTGTTTCTTCTACCCAACCATGATCCAAGATTAACACTAATAAAAGACACCATAAAATAAAGAGGAAGTATGTACAGGATGCAGCCACCACATGGCTCTTGTTAGCTGTAAAAAAATAATAATAATAACTCTAGTCATATTTCAATGCTTGGAGGAAATTTGGAATCAAAGTGTATGGCAAAGTTGAATTTTTGAAATAGATAAACTTTGAATTATAGCTGTTAAAATTCCCTCATGAGGTTCTGGAATTCCCTGTTTGAATAACTGGAAGATGGATCAAAGCTTCTGAAAGAATTATTACAGCAGTGTTCCAACACTAGGAGATATATGTAAATCATTTATTTTAGTAGCATTTTCCATCACTTGTCCTGACTAAAAAACATGAGATCTGAATTCAGATGATAATTACTGGCTAAACTTTACCCACAGACATGGGTGGAGTAGAGCTTCACGTTACAACACTTAACCCAGGAGAAACAAGGCAGGGATTAGAGATCTATAGAGTGCTTTTGTTAGAAATTCTGAATGCTCACACCCTAATCCTGAAACAGAGTGACAGTGGAGTATTCCCCTACCTTTCCTTTCACAGTGTATACCAACCTTCTCCTGCTTGTTTTCATGACATAAGCAGGTTTTTATCTAGCCTGCCAGAAGCTCAAAAAATTGTCCAAAGGACCATCCAGCAGCTGTTTTGCTAATGGTAGAGTTTAGCTCCACACCTGGCATTAGACATTCTTGTCAATAGAGAGCCACATGGGTGCAGCTCCAAAGGTGCAGCTGGGTGCAGCTCCAAAGGTGGCCTTAAGGGGCCTCCCCAGCCTGGCTACCAGCTGCAGTGCACTGTGGTTACATATGTGCACAGGGAAGGGGGTGTCATTTGTGGGGAGATGTGATTGTTTTAGTCAAATGATGCAAAAGAGATGTTAACACAGGCAAATTTCATCTCTTTAGGGGATCCCTCTCTCACCCCTTACTCCTAAAATAAAAAGAAATTGTAGATATTGGTATCCAGCTCAATCAGTACTCATCTACCCTCCCCAGTATTTACTTTCCATTTATTTCTAACCTAGAGGTCCTCTTCTAACAGAAAACCAAGTACTGTATGTTCTCTTATAAGTGGGAGCCAAATGAGGAGAACACATGGACATAAAGAGGGGAACAGCAGACACTGGGGTCCACTGAAGGGTGGGAGAAGGGAGAGGAGCAGAAAAATCAACTATTGAGTGCTAGGCTTTGTATCTGAGTGACAAAATAATCTGTACAACGAACTCCTGTGACATGAGTTTACCTACATAACAAACCTGCACATGTACCCCTAAAATGAAAATTTAAAAAAAAAACCCTCTCTGCCATACAATTACCCAAGAACACCAATCCTCTGTGTGTCTCCTTAGGCAATGTATGCCTCTTGTTAAACTAAAAGAAAAATATTAAGAGCCTCTCCTATCTAGAGCAAACCACTTTGCAAAGACCACTATGATTAGCTTTAGTTCTGCGAATAGAGCAGCTGATAAAGTATGCCTTAATAAGTCTTACACCACTGCTTATTGGGACAGTGAGTGTGGATTATCGTTCTCTTAAGTCTCCTCCAGCTCTAAAATGATATAATTCTGTGATATTCAAAGCCATGCATGGAGTCGGCCAGAGAACTGAAACTGAAAACTAAAACCTAGCTCAATCCCATAACAAGCAGAATTGTCCCAGTAAACATTTTTTTTTGTCTTTAAATCTCTGTCTGCAGTCTGCAATTTGTTTTCAGATGAATTGTTTCTAGCACACATTTTGATAATCCACTGATGGACGGAGTTCTTCCTAATGAACTGGCTGGGCAAATGGATGAACACACACAATCACTGCACACTGAAAAAGCCCTTTAATCCTACTCTTCTCTTCCAATGAACTCACCTCTCTCCTTACTTTACTGAAAAATTAAAGAATTCATTGTGTGTGCCAGACTTACATGTGGTCTAATAATTTCCTATGGAAAATGTACTGTCTAGTAATTGAGATAAATCAAATTCACTTAATCTGCTCAAGTACTTTTACTGACCTCTCTGGCTTGGGAGGATTTTGAAGAACAAATCTTCCTCTAAGACTGAAACTTACCAAAGTATCCTATAGCTGGCAGCAATGATGGTTTGGGACTGTTGTTTTGTTGATTTAATAAAATGTTGGCACTGGTTAGCTGGAATAGACACAGCAATTTCTTATACACTGTCAATCTGGCTGAATGATGCAGGCATGTGGAATAGCCATTATACCCTTTTCATAGTGTTTCTGCGAAATTCTAGTCTCTGCATATTCTGTATTAACTTCTCAACATCTCTTCTTATGGGCTTTGTAGAAAGGAGTAAAATAAGCTACCAAAGCGTCAGGCATTTTATTTAGTTTGTGGTAGGTGTGGGCAGCAGCAGACCAATTCCTTCCTTGTTGAAGAAGAAATTGACTTGATTGCTCAGTTTGACAACTTTTCATGGGGCAGAAGGACAGCTACCTAAAAGTACATAACTCCACTAGTCTATAAAGAGAACAACTATTCCCTCTCACATAACCACATAGTTTTATTTTTCTTTGCTATTGCTTGGCATTTAGGAAGGGAGTGGAAGAAAGTGATAACAGTACCACAGAATTAGAGTACAGCCCAACTCTGGAATTTGTGTCCCCACAGAAGTGGGGGAACACAAAAAAATGCCCCTTATGGCATAAGAGCCAGCTAGTTTATGACCCCACGACTACTGATACCCTGATTTAGCCTTATTTTGTCTTCTGAGTGCCCCCTTGGCTCTCCCCTCTTGCTCCTTATCTGTGTTCCCAGATCAGCATAATAACTTTACATGTGGCAGGTATCCAGAAATGCTTACCATAATCCTTCAGTGTCCTTGCAGTCAAGCTTACCCAAACTGATTAGATTCTCCTTTCCCATGTTGAGCAGTCCTTCCTCTTTTTTTCTTATTCTACTTGTCCATTTATCTCCCTCTGAACCTTCACCTGAATGGGGATCAAATATTTCACGACTACACTAGGGGTAAAACTCGGCTGAACAACTCAAACCAACAGCTATAGGGTAGACTTTCTATATAAAAAACAGTTTGCTTGAGATTTGTAAGACTTTTGTTAGAATGAAAACCAACTTTTTAAATCAGTAAGGAGTATGTAACTAAAAAGTTTATTAAATAATGAAAACTTTACTTCAGTTCTAAATTGTAGGCAAAAAATAGAAGGAAAAGATTATAGAAAGGATCAAAACGGGGTAGGGAATGGCAAGCATCTGCTCCATCCAGATCTGAAGGTTATGCTTGAGGATATTACCTCTTCCACTAAAGAAGAAATCAGTCTCAGGCTAGAAGCCTACAGGTTGGAGGTTCTTGTCTCTTAACAGTTTTGCTCATGAGCCACAGGTCACACTTTTTGAAATCCTAGTTTTTCACTTTTCAATGAACTGATCTATGTTTTTTTGTTCTCATGCTGATTTTTACAGCTGCTCTCAAACTGTTGGTGTCAAACAATACCCTCTATTATGCCACTCTTCTGAGATAATGCTTTTTAGTGCTTTCTAGACTCAATGAAATATTAATATAACATTTTTTTCTTAGCCTGTGGATCTATGTTGATGGCAGGCAGAAAGGTTTACCTGTTAAATTTTCGATCTTTCCAATAACCCGTGGGCTATACCCTTCTTATAAACTTCACAAGCAAAAAGCAAGTGTGTGGCCATAGAAGAGTTCTGCCTTGAGAGTTCTATGGCAGTGTTTGTCAAATTCCCCAATAACAGAAACTCTTTAAAAAAAATTATCTAGAGATACAAATATGATACTAGTGAATACTTATTACTATGTGTCAAGCACCTTGCTTTTACATGCATTCTCATTTAATCCTCACAGATGCTTTTATAGCCCCCGTGAAGTTATAATTACTATAACGAATAGTATCCTCACAAATAGCATTATCCTCATTTTTATGTAAGAGTAAACTGAAGCTCAGAGAGGTTAAGTTACCTTAAAGTCACACATTAGTGAGCTGTGAATCTTTCTGGTTCTAGAACCCATGTTTTTAACGCCCCCTGGATCATGCTGCCTCCTGATGGGGATGCGCGGGGAAGATTGTTTTTTTTTTGTTTGTTTGTTTTTGGAGGGGATTTACACCTACCCAGGTAGAATCAGGCATGGCATTCTGTGAGGCTTTATTTACCTGGCTTGTCCTAGATGGGGCCAAAAGGCTTGACAGCATTTGTCATCTGGACTGCATTCCATTTAGATATTCATTTTGATGTGGTAGGTCTTATAGTTCTTTAATTTTCATCAGAAATATATGTACAGTTTTAAAATTAAATTATCACAAAAGCATCTCCTCCCTGTTGCTAAATTTGGTTCCCCAGATGCAAATTTTTTTTTTACCATTTTGTCCATTACTTCTGTCAATTAAATCCCTATGTCTAGACTGACCTTTTCACAAGATGCTCAAATACTCCAGTCATTTCTTTGTTCTATTTGTTGTATGTTTTTAATGGCAACATCTCTTTTGGAATTCCTATACATCCTTTGCCTCTGTTTTGAATCCCAATTCCTGCATCACAAGACTTCTTCCTTGTTTACTCCATTACTTTGTAGCACTAAAGAAATAAATCTTGAGGAAAAGTTATAAAAGGCAATATTTTTGAGTCCTCACATGTTTTAAAAGTTGTTTTACTTTGATACTATTCTTTAGCTGGACATATTAGGATATAATGAAGACTTTTGAAGGAATTGTTCTATTTTCTAACTTCCAGTGTTACTGTTAAAAAGTCAAATGTCATCCTGATTCTGGATCCCTTGAACGGGACCTATTTTCTTCTCAGTTTTGAGGACTTGTCTTTATCACCCCAGTACTCTGAAATTTTGTAACTCATGTTTTAGTCCTTTTTCTTTTATTCATTTTGCTGGGCAGAGTAGGTCTTTTCAATCTGGAAACTCTTGTCTTTCAGTACTGGGAAATTTATTACAAAGTTTCTAGGATAATTTTCTATCTCCTTTCCTTTCTTTCTTCTACAATTCCTACTAGTTGGGTACCATATTCTCTGGAATAATTCTCCAACTTTCTTTTCTCTCATTTTTTCATCTCTTTGACTTTTTGTTCTAGTATTTGTGAAATGTCCTCAACTTTATCTTCCAAAACTTCTATTTGAAGTTTCTTACTTCAAATAACTGTTTCCTGAAACTTTAAATTTTATTTTCTATGTACAATCAATATTGAGACATTTCTCTTAGACCTATGATGTCATTCATCTGTGACAAAATGTGCTTCTTCAGAAAAAATTTTACCAACACAAATAATTTTTGTTATATAGGGTTTAATCAGGCCAAAACAAAAATGTGCCTTTCAGTTCCCATGTTAATTAAATTTAGTGCAAAATAATTTCTTTGAAACTTGTCAAATATCACAAAATATTGGCCAAAAAAAAAAAAAAAAACCCAAAAAGTAGCTTGTATATGTGGCATGCTGAAAATGGAGCTTAAGTGTACGTAACTGTGAAATAAAAAGACATGGAGACAATTCCAGCAATCAGACTTGGCCAAAGCACAGGGCTTTTGGCAATGGCCTGGAACGAATGTGGAATGCACTGCCCATTTGAATCAAAGTCCAGATGGCTATGATTTCTTTTTTTCCATTTTCAGTTCACTGTAGTTCTATGGGCTTTTTTGTTTTGTTTTGTTTTCAGGCCTCTTAGCAAAAATTTAATCTCTGGAAAATATTTCATGTGAAAATACCCCATGTGTGTGTGATTTCTGTAGGTGACAAAGGTGTTTTTGTATCAACAATCTCTCATTGCAAATGACAATGACAAAGGCATGTGCCACCATGCCCAGCTAATTTTTGTATTTTTAGTAGAGACAGGGTTTCTCCATGTTGGTCAGGCTGGTCTCAAACTCAGGACCTCATGTGATCTGCCTGCCTCGGCCTCCCGAAGTGCTGGGATTACAGGCACGAGCCACCGCACCTGGCCAGTTTTAAAGTTTTGAAAAGCAAAAATAGTAACAGTACAAGTGTTTTGAGCCTCATTGCTCTCAGCTGAAAATTAGGATAAGATTTATCTCATCAGGGTTTACATGTGTTGTATTGCTTTATATATGTAGAATGTCTAATGCATCTGATACATAGTAAGCATTCAGAAAATGGTTGCCATTGTTGTAGCACTAGAATCTGTTCTTAGATACTAGCAATGTTAACACAATACCTCAGTGATCAAGAAACTGACTCAAATTTTTTTTCCTGCTCATTTAGTACCATCCGTACCAAACTGACAGCTGTCATCCATTTTTCACTTGTTTATAAAATATCTATCTTTTGTGCATTCTGCATTCTTATTTAATTATAAACTTCTCAAAGACGAAATTTATCTCCCAAAAGCCTTGAGCAAATCTGAAACTCTCAAAATATTATTAGCTGACTCAGGTTGACTTTTGAATTCAATGTTCTTTCACTGCCAAGTCCACTTGCTGCTGAAGGGAAATCTTAATTTCAGGCAAATGGCAAATTGCTTTACTGTTTACATTTCTTTAAAAGATTTGCTTTGCTTACATATTTTATGAATAAAAATTGCTAATACTGCACAATAATTTGAAGAATAATTCTTAAGGATACAATCAACGGAACTTATAATTCCAAGGGACCTAGGGTTGTTTGGGGGTTTTGTTTAACAAAAGGTTAAGGGACTGGCCGATATGAATTTGGGGTATGGAGGGAGAGAAATGCCTGTGTTTGTGTTCCTGCTCTTTGTAAGGCAACATTACCATGCCTCTTTTCTGGAGACATCATAGAATCCTGTGATCCACAGAAGACCCAAGTTCCAGGCGATACAACTAGGAAGTCCTTGCAAAGAAACATTTATGTGTATCTATTCCCATAGCTTAGTCTACAGTTAAACAGACTAACTATAGCTTAGTCTAGTAGTTCTCAAACTTCAGTGGGCACATGACTCACCTAGGGAAGTTATAAATTCTTACCTGAATCTCCTCAAAAATTGCTTCAATACCTAGAGTAGGACAAGACACTTTCACCACTGCCACCCTATGATGTGATTCTGACATAAGTAGTTCAAACTCCACAGTGAGAAAGATGGCCTAAGTCCAGGGTTATACTCAGGGTTGGGATAACAGAAAATAAAATGGAATCTTGCCACTTCTTGGCCCCAGGAAGTAGCTGAGACATCTTAAAGAAACAGGCTCCTTGTTACTGGAATTAGCCTTTGTCTACCATATACCACTTTCTTATATGTTTATTAACCTGCCAAGTCATTTGTACTAATTGGGAGATTTTTAAAGACAACCATCTTTTTTATTAACTTAATGCTTACTCAAACATTAGACAAGCTGTTCAGATAGTAAAACTAAGAAATCATTTTTCTTTCCTCAACCTGCTTCTGGAACATATGTTACCATTCACTGTCATAATTTCAAAGGGATGTCAGTATAGTGGATGTCCGTATAATAGGGCAATGTTGCCTCCTAGCCCTCAAGAATGTATTACAAGTATTTTTTTATTTTCCCCTAAACAGTTATGAATTCCAGGTGAAACCCAAAAACCCGCTTGGTGAAGGCCCGGTCAGCAACACAGTGGCATTCAGTACTGAATCAGGTAATTACATCAACAGTAATTCCCAAAAAGGATGTAAAAGGGCCACAGTGGAGCAATGTTTTGCGTAGGAAGTTTGTTTGAAACCCACTACATGTACTGTTTCTTGAATTTCTAAAAACCCATTTGTGGGAAAAAGCAAACTGATGAAGGTTTAGAGAAACACCATGCATATTTTTCCTCACTTAAAGACACATCAGTTTAATTTAAAAAGCATAATGAATCTATACTCTTCCAAAAAGCTAGTCAATGAATCCTCTCCTGCATGTCTAGAATGAAAATACCAGTGAGTACATCCACAAAGGGAACCCATGATAGTTTAATAACAGCTGTCAAACTTCCCAATTAGACCTTACAATCTCCAATTCCTTAATGAGATACATCTGCACATACAGCATTAATATTTGCATAATTTTTATACCAACTGTAGTTCATGGCATCTTGGTGATTTTTACCATGAAGTTTTTCTATCAAACTAAAAGCAGCAGCTTTTGAAATTCAAGTGAAAGCTGGAACAGCGACAAATGTTCCTAAGTACTCAAATTACATGTAACAGATACAGCTGAATACCTACCAGGCAGGAGATTATTCAATCAAGAACAATTTCCAAAACAAAGCAAACTTTCAAATTCAATCCTTAGCAAAAGAGTACCATTTTGCAAATAAGACTTCTTAACAAGTGTAAGCCCCCATCATCTTCACCATGCCACTGGAATGTTGGGGTTTTACCTAGTAAGGTCTGACTTTTCTATTTATTTCTCCTCAGCGGACCCAAGAGTGAGTGAGCCAGTTTCTGGTAAGTACCTGTCTCAATGAGGCACAACTACATGCTTTTCTAAATTTATTCAACTGAACAGGCATGGCAGAATCTGAATCATGATTTCGCGTTTTTCCACTTAGTCTTCTTATAACACCAAACAGTTGTGAATGTTTACCTACACATTGTACAACACTGAGGACCCATGATGTTCTGGGAACAAGTTGGACATTTTGAAATTTGCTTTCACTCATGCACCAGGCTTATTACTGTTTAATAAAACAGCCAGTGTAATCCCAGCACTCTGAGAGGCTGAGGTGGGAGGATTGCTTGAGCCCAGGAGCTGGAGACCAGCCTGGCAACGTAATGAGACTCCCTCTCTACAAAAAATTTAAAAATAAAAAATTAGCTAGGCATGATGATGCACACCTGTGGTCCTAGCTACTTGGGAGGCTGAGGTGGGATGTTCACTTGAGCCCAGGAGGTTAATGCTACAGTGAGCCATTATCCAGCTTGGGCAACAGAGTGAGATCCTGTCTCAAAAAAAAAAAAAGATATTAACACCCTCATTTCCACTTTTAATAACAAGTCATATTAAAGCAGTTGTCTAAACTTTATAACATGCTACAAAAAAGAAACCTAAATTTGCTCCTAAATGACACTGTCTACATCCAGCTCTGCAGAGGCTATTCAACACCTAAACACCTTAACATGCTGCTCTCAGATTTATCTATTGACAGAAACTTACTCTGGGGTTTACTTGTTTAAATCCCTCTAATATTTTTGGCTCCAGTATTTAGCATGGGGGGAAAAAAAGGTATCAGCAAGTTGACAAATTTTGTAAACTGATTTCTTGAAGTATCTGACCCAAGAGTCAGATACTAAACTCAAACTATTTTCCTTTTGTAGCAGGAAGAGATGCCATCTGGACTGAAAGACCCTTTAATTCAGACTCTTACTCAGAGTGTAAGGGCAAACAATATGTCAAAAGGACATGGTATAAAAAATTTGTAGGAGTGCAGCTGTGCAACTCTCTCAGATACAAGATTTACTTGAGCGACTCCCTCACAGGTAAGCAGAGCTACCAGCTCTGTTTTCAGCCCTTAACTTATGGGAATGTTTTGCAGCATTGTACAACTTGGCCTTTTCTTAAGAGTTTCAGGCACGAATGGGTGCTGTAAACACAAGTTTTCCTCTGAGCAAAATGTTACGGAAACAGTTATCATTCCTAGAAAGCAAGGATTTAAGACATGCTATTAGAAGGTAAATAATAAAAATGCAATTATAAAACAGTGCCATCATGACAAACTGGAATGTACATTCACTAACCATGGTCAAACTCCATTTTGTTACAACCATCCAGGGATAAAAAAACCGACTGACAATAAAGTGACTAAATCTAACAATAACCATGGAATGAATATAACATCTTCAAGATGCTAGAAGAGCTACAACCCCCTGCTCCGTGCCCAATAGGTTATAATTTTCTATATTTACAGAGTAAAAATTTTTAATGAATAGGCCTGGCCCTAACATTAAAAAGTAGATTTTTTTCAGTCATTCAACTCTTCTAAGTGCTGAACACAAAGCAGCATAAAAGATATTTCCTATTTTCCTAAAGCTTACCTCTCCTTCCCTTCCTTAGTAAGAAGAGATAGACAATACATAAATAAGTAAACATTTCATAGAGGTACTTTAAAGAACATTTTCAAAAAGGTGAAGGCCTCTCTAAAAAGTTAGTTAGCACTAGCTAAGGAGAAAATTGAGAAGGAACTAACCACACAAAGGTCTAGAGGAAAGAGAAGGTCAAAGGCCTAAGGTAGAATACACCTGGCCAGTTCCACCAGTATGGCCCAGACTTAGTAAGTGGAGGGGCAGGCAGGTGTGAAATCATGTGGAGTTTGAAATCAGGTAAGAACTTTGGATTTTATTCTGAGTATAATGGGAGACTGCTGGGGAAATTTATGGAGAGAACGAACATTAACTGACATGCATTTTTAAAAGATCACTAATCCCTGAAAGGGAGGGGAGGAAGAATACAGGTAGGCAAGAAACATTGTTGGTTTGAACTAGGGTAATAGAGAATGAGGGGAGAAAGTACAAAAACAGTAATGATGATTTCAAAATTGTCACATTTCAAAGTAAGAAAGTAAACTTTATCCTTTTAATTTCTGGTTCTTCAGGAAAATTTTATAACATAGGTGATCAGAGGGGCCATGGAGAAGATCACTGCCAGTTTGTGGATTCATTTTTAGATGGACGCACTGGGCAGCAACTCACTTCTGACCAGTTACCAATCAAAGAAGGTATGTTTTCTGATCCTCCTCATAAGAACAGAGTTTTACAGATTAACTCAGAAAGAAATCAAGCTGAGGAAAGCAAGCAATTTAAAAAGAATTCTATAGTACTACTGCTCCACATATCTAGGAAAAAATGAAGACTTCAATGTAAGTTTCTCAGCTTAGAAACCTGGAGCCAAGGGAAATTACAGACATAATATAAATGCATTCTACTTCAAGAAACTCTAAACTTGCAAAAACAGCTATAAAAAAGCAGTTTCCCAAACTTAAATCACTCATTTATTAATGTTATGGGTTTTGTCATACTGAGTGTACTTGCGTTATTTTTATTTCCTTAAGAAAAAAAATTTTTTAACTACTGCTATCATAAATGGAAAAAATAGTACTTACCTTGCAAGTAACTGTATAAATATAATTAGAATAATTCTGTGGGAAATGAATAACCTCTGTAAATTGCTAAAGACCCATTGGCACCAAGCTGTGTAATGAGGACTGAATAAGACTGAAAATTAATCCTTGTCTAAGCAGTGCAGAAGGGGGTAAATTAATTGTTCCTATTAGTCCAGAATCACCTGGAGGTTCTCTAAATAAACTATTTGATTCGATTTTTCAGTAACACATTTTGTTCACGGGCACTTAAAAATACCAACAATACTGAAAGATGACCTACTAAGTTCTTTGAACACATAATGGGCAGTGAAACTCACTACCAACCATCCCCTCCTAACTTGACACGGCAAATGTCAACAATTTTTCAGGTGCCCATTTTAGCCAACCATGACTACACCTCAGGAAAAAACACCAGAACTTCTTGCTCTCAGTTTTCTAAATTACCTCGCTTCACTAAGATTAGCCTTCAGCTAGTCAACGACATCCTTCAATCTATGAGCTGTGAGGGCAAAAATATAATACAGCAGCTATTAAAATGAAACTATTTTCTCTCTCAGGTTATTTCAGAGCAGTTCGCCAGGAACCTGTCCAATTTGGAGAAATAGGTGGTCACACCCAAATCAATTATGTTCAGTGGTATGAATGTGGGACTACAATTCCTGGAAAATGGTAGATGCTGCACAAAGTTACCTTCTGTTTCATCATTGCAAACAAAAATCATTGAAAATACTATGCCGCATTCATTTAAAGCTATTTTGTTTACTATGTATAAAAGTCTACAATCTAATTAATAGCAATACTAGATGTTTATTATTAGAAAAGATTGCTGAGAGTATTTATCAGGTTTTACAAAGTCATTTTAAGAAAGCAAGATACTGATGTTAACAGAATAACATTTTTGGGGAAGCTGGCTCCCTATTCATGGTATTTTAAGAGATCATTTGTATATTATTTATCACACTGTTGTAATGATGTTTTGAGATACTTTTATAACAAAATTAACATCAAAAAGGTATATACTTTTTAAAAAAAATTTACTTTTATTGATGTGTACTCTTCCTATTGATGAGTTAATTCCATAAATCTCTACTTAGTTTAACTTATTGGATCAAATTATCTTCAGCATGTATATCTGGGGAAAAAAGGTCCGAATTTTCACATTTATATTTAAACTTCAATTTTTTATATTTAAACTTCAATTTTTTAGCAACAGCTGAATAGCTTTGCGGAGGAGTTTAATAGTTACACATTCATGCTAATATACATTTCCTTTAAACATCCACAAATTCTTAAAAAGATTGAATCAGTAAATTTCATTTCAGCTAAAAATGGAGTCTAATATATTGTTTCAAAAGATACATTTTTACCCACCATAAATGTTACAATATCTGAATATGCTTTGTCAAACTATCCCTTTATGCAATCGTCTTCATATTGTTTTTATGATTCTAATCAAGCTGTATGTAGAGACTGAATGTGAAGTCAAGTCTGAGCACAAAAAGATAATGCACGATGAGATTGCCTACCATTTTATAGGATATTTACTATGTATTTATACGTTAAGACCTCTATGAATGAATGTATCAGAGAATGTCTTTGTAACTGTTTAATTCAATCTGTAATAAAAATCTAACTAACTAACTCATTTATTTCTATTAAAAAGGTATTGTCCTTTAGGCGGGGAATGGGAATCCTTGCTGCACTGTTGCAGTCATTCTGAAAGGACCTTTCCCTGTACTTACCTTTCAACATGCTTCAATCTTATCAACGCTACATTTTGTATTTTTCAAACAAGTATAAATTCTGCAATAAAGAGATGTAGTTTTTTTTTAAGATTGAGTTTTTGTTTGTTATTTCTGAATGGTTCATCAGTATGTTAACTATACCTTTTATCGAGAAGGAAAATCACTAAGTTTTATTCAGGCTCTACCAACCCCCATTATATCTACTGTTTGTTTATGTCCTAAATTAACCTTTCATCCTATGAAGTAATAAAGTTCATTTTAAACCAACGATTACCAAATGCATTTTTTTCAAAGGAAGGGCAAAAACCAAATGGCACTGTTTTCTCTGAATGGAAATCTGTAAGTTAGTTAAAATGTTTATACTTCATTTTAAGACCAAACACCAATAAGGACTTCTGAAAAATTGTTCCTTTTTTCACATAATGTTAGTGACTAAATTAAAATTTCAAGACCACTAATGGATTCAATCATCTTTATTAACCTATCATCAGTGTTACATTTTATACATAATATCTTGTATTCTCAAAGGGCTCTACTTTAGTACATCATGTTAATAGTAAAAAGCCAAGTAAGATGGCTAAACCTCACCCTAGCATTTTAATATCCTCCGGACAAGGGAAGCTAGAAAGTCAAGTCAATCACTTTATACATGTAAGAGTAGTGTTCCAAAGTAACTAAGAAGCTGCTACATTTTTAAGCAGGGAGGAAAAAACTTTCATTTTGGTCTTTGTGTTCCAGCAAATTATACTTTCAATTAACACCAACAATGATATCATAAAAAATGCTCTGCTTTTAAATTTCTGAACTTCTTCAATACAAATTAAAATAGTACTGGAGTCTTTTGGGAGGCCAATAGCTAGCAGCTACATTAATTGGTGTAGAGGAGCCTCCTTATCGATAACCAGGTCCAGGTTGGGTATAGCCCTGACCAAAGGGAGGACGGTTACGCGCATAAGGATTAGGCCCACTTGGAGGAGGGGTCATGGTACTTCCAGGAAGTGAAGTAAAACCTGGTCTTGGTTGATAGGCCCCAGGTTGGCTTGGAGCCATTCCAGGTTGAGAGGCAGGAGCCACAGTATAATTAGTAGGCTGAGAAGTTTGGGCAGTGTAAGTTTGTGCAGGATAATTGCTCGCCTGGTACTGCTGTGGCGGCTGAGCAGGCAGTTGTTGAGGCTGACCAGAAAAGGCAGGAGCTGGTGCCTGGGAAGTTGGTTGCTGGCCATATCCCTGGAACTGCTGAGGTTGTTGAGGTCCAGTCTGCTGACTATAGCTTGCTGAAAAGGCAAAATAAATAACATGTATCTTATCTTTTAGTAAAACTACTTTTCCAAAGAATTAGTCTTACTGTTAGGTGGACCAAAAATGGTGAGAAATTTAATAAATATGTATGTAACAAGCAGAGTGGTAGATTCCATCACATAATATTTCAAGACCAAGTAGTTATCAAAGAGGCATTCTCTACAATTTTTTAAACTCTCTAAGACATAATCCCTGAGAGCAAATTCCTGACATAGCATAATTCCTAGAACAGATGCTCAAATGATAAATGAAAGAATTATACTTTCTAGGAAGACCAAAAATGGGAAAGCTAAATAGTCATTAACCAGGTTTTCAGGGGAGACCTACTTAACAGTATCAAATAAAAACACATTGCGGAGAATGAACATTTTTATATGAAATAATACTATAAATACATCTTATTGTACTAATCAGGTGCTTTAAATTTTGCAAATAAATAAAAAGTACCATTTTCACAATCTTTAAAATCATTCCTTTTAGATTTGGTATCTGATGTTTTTTGCCTTTACAACTCAAAATTTTTACTTAGCAGTACAGCATAACACATAAAAAGCATACCATATTGCCCCATAAAAAGCAACATCTATATTCATTATTTACTAGGATGTAATTTTTTTTACAACGAAAGTCTGCTTCACTGAAAACTTTTATCTCTACCATGAAACACACCTGCAGCTACTTGCAATGAAACCTCTCCATTGACTGGAATCCTGTCAGCATTAAATACCAGATACATAAGAAAATTATTAAAATATGTACAACCCTGCATTAAAAAAAAAAAGGATTGAATGAATTTGAGTATATTCTGAACTCACCTTGAACCTGGGTTCAAAATTTACTCATGAAAGAAACCTTTATGACATAGTCCATGAACAAAACTGGAAAAGGTCAGAGGGAAACTGGCAAACCAACAGTGTCAAAGATGGTCCAATGTTACCACCACCACCTCTTAGTCTCCAAGCAGAGTATTTAGTTGACTATTTCCATATCTCTCAATCAAATTCAAGTTAATAGACTAGTAGGATCAGAAATACAAAGATAATAATTTGAAAAGACTAAATTTTACTCAGAGTGAAGACCCTGACTAAATTTATTAAGAGCAAGCTTAGTTCTTAATAAGTAAATCAAGTATCTTTAACGCATTAACTCATGGTAGCATCTAAATACTGACCTGAAACCAACTCATAAAAAATTCTGAATGTCATACAAGTTCTCCTATCCTCTACATAAAACTTAAATTTTCACTATAAGGTTTTGAAGAAATAGATGGATTCAGCTTTATACTGAAAATGCCTATTCATTTTAACACTGCGAGAAAAAAGAAAAGTGCCTTTTCATCCTGGCACCTGAAATCTGAATTGTTTTTTTTTAACTGGGCCTGGAAGTAATCTGATCCTTAATTATTGCTTAGGGGAGGGAATAACCCTACAGGCTGAAGATTTCATTAGCAGCCCACCAGTCTCTTGAACATAATGTGGCAATGCTTCTATCATGTGTGTGTGTGTATATATATAGTCTCCCTTCCGTCCCTCCAAAATAATAAATAACTTTAGGTGAAGGACATCAGAAATAGCAAAAAAATGGAAATATGGAAATTATGTGAGTTTTTTTTTTAATACATAGGACATCTAGCCTTTTATGGAGTAAGTCTGCCAACTCCAGTCTAGGTTGTAGAATGCAGAATGATACAGGGAAATACTGAACTGATCCAGCTCCCTCCACTGAATGGCTGTATGTGCTTTGACAAGTCACAATCTCTTTCAAAACTAGTTGCCTCATTTATAAAATGCAAACGCCTGAGTCCCACACCCAATCAAATGAAATTCAAAATCTCTGGGAATGGGGCCCCACACATAGCCTCCCCCAGGTGATTCTAAAGCATAGTGAGGACCGAAATCCCGAGATTAAATGATGACTAAATCTCTTCAGCTCTGCTATTCTTTCTATAAATAACATAGTTTGTAACACTGATTTTTTTAAAAGAACTGCATCCTAAAAATAACCTTCCTCCTGATATAATCCAAACTTAAGTTCTATGTATTTTATACAATTAAAAACAAGTAGCTACAAGTTAAGTCACTCTACAGCAAATACAATCTAAATAAAATTGTGTCAAAATATTTCAAATTTTAATTAATGACAGAATGTTATGGTCTAGGTCAGGAGTCAGCAAACTTTTCTGTAAAGAGCCAGATAGTAAATAGTTTAGGCTTTGTGGGCCACATGGTCTTCTGTTGCAACTACTCAACTCTGCCATTCTAGTGCCCAAGTAGCAGTAGAGAATATAAAAGTAGAAGTGTGTTCCAATAAAACTTTATTCAAAAAAACAGGCAATAGTCCAGATTTGGCCTGTGGGCTATACTTTACTGACTCCTGCTCTAGCTGATACCACAAAACTCTATAAAATAGAATTTAGACTAGATTCAACCTGCATAAATTATTTCTAATTACAGTTGAAATTCTGATACTTCAATCTTTGGCTGTAAAACAAGAGTTGGACACAAACTCTCTGACATAACTGTAAAAAATACTGGAATTATAGCCAAAGTTACATTAATAATATTTATCATACTTAAATACATATAATCTTCAGTGGACAGATGGTAAAATAGAAACAAAATACTCAGGATGCTTATTTAAAACAACTAAACAATGTTCTTAGTTGCCTGAATTACATTTTATACGATTTTATTTTTATGGCCTATTTCTGGTATTCCTACATACTTGCAAGAGATTTTAAAATCTAAGTAGCTTAATTGAGCTCTTATTTAAATAACATCACCTTTCCATGTATAGTAAACTGTTCATATTTCTACAGGTACTAAGAGTACACTGGAATTACGTGTTACATATAAATGGAGAGGTGGAGGGAAGGGGGAAAACTTGCACTAAGTCGCCTAAGAGATAAACTGATAATGTTAGTAAGACAGCTTTGTATTAAAAACTTTTTATACTACAAGTTACTGCAGAATCATCTACTGTAAGTTTTATCTCCCCACCAGAAAACTGAAATGTTGATTTACAATATTAATGTAAAATATTTAAAAATAAATAAAACAAATGTTGTTTCCCCTAATAAAAACTTAATACCTATTATATCAATGTACTACAAATCAAGGAATTAAGAACTTAAAGTTTAATGAGTATAGAAACAAAAAACCATGAGCCAACTCCCTTTCAACACCTGCTCACCTGAATACTGAATACCATACTGTTGAGGCTGCTGAGGTGGAGCCTGCGGCTGCTGTGCACCATAGCCGGCCTGTTGCTGGTACTGTTGGTACATCTGACCTGAAAACACACACACACACACACAAGGAAAAAAGGCATGTTTAATGTGGCAAAGAGAAATATTTTTAAGATACATATACATTCCCTCTCCATCCAAACAGAGTAACAATATACAAGAAAGTATTTGTTCAACTTTAAATGTCTATGAAGAAGAGAATGAACCATTTTAGAAGTGTGATTCCTCTGCTGTGGATTAACTGCAGAGAACTAACTGGCAATAAACATTAAGTGCAACACCAGTGGCTACCATTTCATAAAGTCTAGAAAAACAAATGTTTTCCAACCCAGCTGCCAACAGATAAGTAACGCTAATGTTCATTAAAAGCCAAGTGAGTTGAAAATCAGTAAATAAAAATGAGAAAAGGGACAAATACCATTTATATCATCTAAGTCCTTCCTAAAGCACTGTATTTGCCCTCTAAAGGTATGGGCCTCTATTACCATATGAACAAACTCTTTGGTAGCAAGGAACTATATGACATCTTTTGTTCCAGAGCTGAAAGACACTTTTGGAATTTGTCAAGTTTGATTTTCTATGAATATCCAACATCTTTTGCCAATAACGTGGACTCTAATAAAGTCTAAATGGTTCTTCATTGCACTATTTAATAATGGCAGACCTTTTTAACAACGGTGATGTGTTCTTGAACATGGGAGTCCTATTTGTCCTATTTGGGGTCAACAACCACTGTTCCTATGAAGAAACCCTTTAGACACTTATTACCTATGATTTTTCTTTTTACTTTTTATTTTTCTGTCCTCACAATCTGTTCCCATACCTGTGATTTTCAAGCAAAGATTTATTGGTTTATGTCTTTATTATCTCTACTTCTCAATTATTTCACAATGGTTGATTTAGCTAGATGTAATATCTAGTAGCAATAACCTTGCATTTTAATATCTATCTGGTATTTAAATCTTTAAAATAATCACATGTTGGCTGATTCTTTGAAAAATATTCAAACTACCTATTAATCAAAAGACTATGAGCAAACCAGATACTTACTGCTGAAGTGAGAAAAAAAAAAAGACATTATATCAACTCCCACTCAAATCGAGCTGCAGTAGGCAGCTAGGACTCACAGGCTTAGAAAATGAGACGGAGCCCACTCTATTATACCAGCTGCTCAGCCCTATACGTGTCTAAGTTTTTAGTGCTGGGTAGCACTAAAGGAGATACAACTATGTTTATATCCAGCTTATTTCCTAGCAAATGTTTCTTTATAATAAAAAAAGAATACAAATAAAAATCAGCTCAACTATTTTAAGCTATTTATCCTATTCCCAAATATGACAAGAAAAAAAAAGAAACGCTTACAAAAGTTTCTTAAATGCTTTCTTAATGATTTAGACTAATAGCATAAAAGGTAGCACAGAAATTAACCAAATTTAGATGCCACCTTAATCCTGGATTGTACTTCATAACTAACTTTCGGAATAGAAGTGACCAGAATCTAAAATAAAAAGGTAAGTAGGTACAGAAATATAATCAAGGGGAATAAATACGTATAGCACATAACAATGAACTCTTAATTCTTGAAAATTAGAAGGCTTAACTCCACAATAAAAAAATAAGCAAACAGGCAATAAACACATTTAAAAAAATTCAACCATATTAGTATTCCTTATCTCAGATACAGAAAAATTAAGCAACTTACCTGCAGTCAATAGCTAAGAACAGAACCATGAAGAGCTAAGAACCATCACTGGAACTCAGGCATAACTCCAAAGCTTTAGTTTATAAAGTCATTTTGCATATATTATCCCATGAACAAAACAATATAAATATTAACTTGGGCATCATCAAAAAAGGCTGAGATTAAGGTTCCACGTAGTAGTAGACTGTGGTCATCAATGAGTAAGGAACTCCTGGTCAAAACCACAGTTATTCCCCTCAATAAAAATTTATAGGGTACAACTCTTCATAAAGCTTTTTTTTTTTGCATGTTTTCATAAACTGCTATAAATTGATTTTGAAAAACATCCCTAGAGTTAAAAATTTCAGAGGTTTATTATATCTCTACACAAGATTCCTTTTACACAGCAGATCCTCAAATAACATCTTTTGTTCGACATTGTTTCGTTAAAACACTGAGAAGGAAAAAAAAATTATTCCCAGTTGGGGTTACTGTTCTGTGTAGAGTCTGCACATTCTCCCCAAGTCTGTGTGGGTTTTCTCTGGGCACTTCAATTTCCTCCCACATCCCAAAGATGTGTATGTTAGGTTACTTAGCATGTCTAAATGATCTCAGTCTGAACGACTATGGGTGTGTGTGTGGTTGCAATGCACCCTGCAATGGAATAGCAACCTGTCAGGGTTGGTCCCCACTTTGCTACTGAGCTGATGGGATAGATTTCAGCCACCCACAACCCTGAATTGGAATAACTGCATAAATCATTATCTTATTTGTTTTTATTAATCTTTCTTAAATGTATCTATAACTCACATTTGTTTTTAGTCTTTATCTAGAAGTCTGGGGGTATTTTTGTGATCAGAGATATGCTGTAGGAACTCAACTTACTCATATCAATTAGCCTATGGTAGAACTGATTTCCTCATACGTCATCTCACTTAAAGTTACAATTTCCAAGAACCTATCAACAATGTTAAGTGAGGATTTACGGTACTTACTTTAAACCCACCTCATTCAAGTCCAAATGGGACTGTCACAGTATTCTGAAAATTAATTAAGAAGTCTGTTTAATTGTTTAAAAAAAGAAAAAGGATGAACTTCTTCACATACTTGAGAGATCTATAGGATATATGAAGAGAGCAAAATGCAGACATTGTTTATAGTAAGCAATGTTTTGAGTAATAAAAAATATGGTCATGCATTGCTTAATGACAAGAGTAGGTTCTGAAAATTGTGTCACTGTATAATCATATAGTATACTTACACAAACCTAGATGTATATAGCCTACTACATAGCTAGGCTATATGGTACATAGCAGTCTACAAACCTGTAGAGCATGTTCCTGTACTGAATACTTAGGCAATTCTAACACATGGTAATTATTTGTGTATCTAAACATATCAAAACATAAAAAAGGTACAGTGAAAATATGGCAAAAAAGATAAAAAATGGTATGCCTGCCTAGGGCACTTACCATGACTGGAGCTTGTAGGATTAAAAGCTGCTCCAAGTGAGGTACTTGTGTTGAGTGAATGTGAAGGCCAAGGACATTACTGTGCACTACTAAAGGTTTACAAACGCTATACACTTAGGCTATACTACATTTATTTTTTAAAATTCCATTTCTTCAATAAATTAACCTTAGCTTACTGTAATGTTTTTACTTTATAAACTTGATTTTTTAACTTTTTTAATACTTTAGCTTAAAGTACATTGTGCTACTATACAAAAATATTTATTCTTTATATCCTTATTCTATAAGCATTTTTCTATTCTTTTAATTTTAAATTTTTACTTTTTTAAACATTTAGAAAAAAATTATGACACAAACATACACATTAGCCTAGGCCTATACAGCATCAGGATCATTGATATCACTATTTTCCACCTCCATATCCTGTCCCACTGGAAGGTCTTCAGGGTCAAGAACATCCATGGAGCTCTCATCTCCTATGATAACAATGCCTTCTTCCGGAATACCTTCTGAAGGACCTATCTGAGCCTGGTTCTACAGCTTTGTTTTTTTTTAAATAAGTAGGAGTACACTCTAATGATTTAAAAATATAGTATAGTAAATTCACAAATGAGTAAGAGAGTCACCTATCATCATTATCAAGTATTAGGTACTACCCATAATTATGTGAGCTACACTTTTATATGACTGGCAGTAAGTCTGTTTACACCAGAATCACCACAAACACGTAAGTAATGCCTTGTGCTACATTATGATGGCTACACATCACTAGGCAATAGAAATTTTTCACCTCCATTATAATCTTATGAGACCACCATCATATATGCAGTCCACTGTTGACTGAAATGTTATACAGTGCATGACTATATATAAGCTATGTTTTATGTATATTTTCAAAAAGAATCAATGACAGAATAAAGTAAAAAGTAATAAAAAAAATTAAGGGGAAAAGAGAACAGGATGAAGCAAAGAGTAATGGTAAGACTTCTGGGAATTATTTATTACACAGAGTAGCCAACCTCTATCATGACCCTCAACGGCTTCTGCACATGTATAGCATTTATGACAATGGGTTGGTATCGTTTATATTCTTAGAAATTAGAAAGATTTAACTCCACAATACAAAAATGACCAAATAAGCAACAAGCACATGAGTATCTGCTCCCTGTTAGTCCCTCACATACTGAATAGGGCTGACCTGTATACCAAGAAAATATTGCAGAAATGACAGTGACATTTCTGAGGACAGGCTATAAAAGGTTATCTTCTACCTCACTCTCTTCTGATTACTCATTCTGGTGAAGCTGTCATGTCATGAGGTCACCCAAGCAGCCCCATGGAGAAGTCCAAATGGTAAAGAACTGAATCCTCCAGCTCTGGTTAAGCTTCAGATGACTATAACCCCAGCAGCCATTTTTAACTGCAACCTCATGAGAGATGCTGAGCCAAAATCACCCAGCTAAACCATTCCGGGATATCTGTCTAAAACTGTATGAGATAATTAACTTTTGTTGTCTAAGTATCTATGTTTTGGGATAATAGTTACACAGTAATAAATAATACACATAGTTTTGATTTTAGAAACATGTAAGGGATTTTAGAAACATGTAAGTTTTTTCTAATGGCTATTAGAAAAAACGACTCAAGACACATTAACAATGCAAAGTGTGAACCTTGTTAGGCCCCTCATTTGAACAAGTCAATTTAACAAACGAATCTTGAAACAATTAGGGAAATTCAAACACAGACTAGCACACGTTGACATTAAGAATCACTGTTGAGGTTGCAGGTGAGCTGTAATCAAGCCAGTACACTCCAACCTGGGCAACAGAGTGACACCCTGTCACAATTAAAAATAAAAAGAATCACTGTTAAGTAACAGCATGGTGGTTATATTAAAAAGAAGATTATCAGTTGGACATATATACTGAAATACCTGAGTATAATAAGCTGTTCATAATTTGATTTAAACTACTCCAGCAAATTAAAAGGGGTGCAGTGGGGAAAAAATGATGAAAAAAGAATGCCAAAATATTGGTAAGTGTTGAAGCCACATGACTACATGAAGAGTTGATTATTCTATGTATGTTTCAATATTTACATAATAAAGGCTACTCAGCTTTTCATTATATTGGCATATGATTTTAAAGATTTTAATTATATGCTTTTTCATTTTTTTAGGCTGTCAAACAGCAATATCTCCCGATCTCTGATGATTTTTAGCGTTCTTCTCCTTACCAGTTACATTTCTGGCAACATCACATAGTCTTCCTGTAACAGGCACTGGCTTTATATGAAAAAGAGTAACATTATCCCTTTTGGTTTTTTTTTAATGATGCTCAATATCTTGTTGATCCTTTTAACTGAAAAACATATTAAGACTACATTTATTTGGAATAAAATTCACAGTTCCAAAGTCCCTTTTATGGGAGTTAAGTAACAACTCAGAATTCTTAATTTTAGTATGGACTATTAACACATTGTAAGAGATTGCTATGTTAACAAATTATAAGTAATACATTTTATGTTGGTAATTCTGCTCAAATTATAACCAGTAGTTGATCTAAATAACTGACAATGTCAAAGACTCATTATACAACAAAAAGTAAAAGTAGCCTATAATTCATGCTGGGAATCTATAAATAACGACTATATTTATCTAAAGCTGTGCTCTTAAAATAATCACTAGCTACATGTGGCTATTGAGCACCTGAAATGTGGCTTGTTTGAAATGTGATATGTTGTTTGTTGTTTGAAGTGTTCCAAATCAGTGTCAAATCCCAGACTTCCAATACACAGTACCAAAAAAATTAACTTTTTAATAGTGAGTACACGTTGGATACATTAGGCTAAATAAAATTAATTTTACCTTTTCTTAAACATTTTTCTAATGCTGCTAAATAGAAAAACTACATGTGGCTTCTATCGTAATTCTTTTGGACAGCACTGATCTAGAATTAGATCAGTTATTAATAGTTTAAATGATGTCACATATTAATTGTACAATTTTCATACTGTATGTTTTAATGTAAGCTAACAGTTAATTGCAGCAAGGCATACAATACTACTCTAAAAATTAAATGCATATAAACAGTGTTAATCTGCTACCTCTGAAAAAAGGAATTTGGTTGCTGTGGACAGAGGTGGGAGAGAGAATTTTCACTGTATGTCCTTTCGCATTTTTAAAATTTTACTTATTTGAAAATGCTCAATTAAACACTTCATAGAATGTTTAGATATTGCTAGTAGCGCCTTAATTCCCATTTATTTATACATAAACAGCAAACATTATTTGGTACAATGATCCTTCCAACTGTCATTGTATCACAGTATACACTGCTTAAAATGGGATTTATTTAAAAACAAATCTTTAGTTCGCTTGATGTAGGCATTAAACTCTCATCATACCTATACTCTGCTTTTGTCCATTTCAGCTGACATCTGCTTTAGTTCTAGTTTGTTCTAGTTTTGGCAGTAGCATTTTGGTGCAGAGGAGGAGTTAATTAAAGTTGGTTGAGAAAAGGCTTAAGCAATAAGAAATTCTTCGCAAACCACTGATTCATCAGCAAAATGTCACCTGCTAGTCCATAATGACTGGTGTTCATCCAACAGACAACTCTGTGGATTTTTTTTTTTTTGGCTTTGTTTGTTTTTGAGACAGGGTCTCGTTCTGTTGCCCAGGCTGGAGTGCAGTGGAGTGATACAGCTCACTGCAGCCTAGACCACCCACTTCAATTCAACAATGCAAACAATCCTCCCACTTCAGCTTCCCAAGTAGCTGGAACTATAGGCACATGCCATAGCACCTGGCTAATTTTTTTAAATCTTTTTTTATTTTGTAGGGACAGGGTCTCACTATGTCACCCAGCCTAGTCTCAAACTCCTGGGCTCAAGTGATCCTCCTGGCTCGGCCTCCCAAAGTGCTGGGATTATAGGCGTGAGGCACCACACCTAGCCAGGTAACTCTGAAAGTATCACCACAGGATGATAGGATTCTATTCCAAAAGTGGTCAGTTCATTTTAGCCTATGTTTTGTTTTTGTTTTAATGTAATTGATAACCTTAATCACTTGCTTCTGGGGCTGGAAATACATTATACCACTATCTGACCCGTTAAACAAATAGTTAGAGCACCACCTGGTGTTTGTTTTGAAGTGGAATGCGGCTTTAAAGGTCCCAACACACATAGACAATACAAAAATCACACTTCATTATCTGGAAGGCACCCTAGAGATTAGTTAAGTACTTAGTCACATTCTGCAGAACTCCAAGGTTTTCAATGAGGCACCTTAGTGCCTGCTGTGTGAAGTCTGTTGCCCTTCAATCCCCTATTTTAAATATGGAGCTTTCAGGTTATATTTCATTCAGAACTAAAGACATTCTTTTGAAACCACTGGGTTCAGTCCAGTTTTCACATTTTACAGTGAAAGAATATCAAAACCCAGAGAGACTAAACTGCATATCCAAGGACAGATTATTTCAGAAGAAAAAGTCTGACTTAAAATACACTGCTTTTTTTCCATTAAAGACATATTGCTAAATTTACAAAATTATAAAAGGCTACTAATCTTAACAAAAAAAACCCACTACAACTAAAGTTATCCTTTACCTCTATTCAGAAATCTTTTTTAAATTAGAAAAATCATGCACAGATGTTGAAGAAAGGAGGGAGATAAAATAGCATCTATAACACAAAATAAAGTGTGAAATCACCAGTCTGAACTTCACTATCCTCCCCTCCAAGGGTCACCACTGACTAATGACTGGTCTTTCACTCTGTATCTATATTCATAGAAACACTTTTTTGAGGTATTTTTTTCATTCCAATAATTGGAAACATACCTGACATATTGTTCTATTTGGTTTTTTAACATCAAATCATGTCAGTAAATCAAAATTTTTCCTGTGTTTAAGGCATGACTAAATACATGAAGTGTTTACAACAATGCTGTAATAAACACTTCTACACATGTACTTTCCCAAACATGTGTTCTAAACTCTATTTTACCTTCAATCTGACCTGCTTGAGTCTGAGCTCCTGTATATGGTGGCTGCTGTGGCTGAACGCCTGGTGGGTGAGCTGCTGAGGAGGAGGAAGCAATGCTGTCGGGTGTTCCTGAACGATCTTCTGCAGGAGCACTGGGTGGCCCTGGATAGTCAAAAAAAAGTCAGTTTAGTATCCAACACAAGGCCTTCCCCCAGCAAGCTCAAGGAATAAGTTTGGTTAAAAGATACTAAAAGTACTATAGAATAAGTATATAACCACAAATACGCCTTTTTACATTAAATGTATGTACTTTATTTTTTCCTTTGCTCCAATCTCTTAATCCAAAGCTACAACTGGAACTCCTTCCTTATAAAGTGTAGAGTACTATATTCCTGAGTCTTAACCTCTCCCTGCAAAAATCAAAACTCATGTCTGCAATGCCAATATCCCCCTACTCCAAGCAATGTATTCTGCACAGGAACCAAAATTGTCACTTCATTCTTCAAGGGGTCTTCACTGACCATAAATTAAGTTCAACCTCCTAGTTTGGCATTAAGGGTCCAAACATTATTTCTCACAATTTCTCTTCTCACATGCCTCCCTTTCAGCTAAACTAACCTTCTCCCTACTCCCATAACATAGCTAATATTTTTTTGACCTCTATTTCTCTCCCACTAGATCCCATATATTTAAATATAACATTCACATATTTAAATATAACATTATTTAAAATCCAATTATAATTCCACACTTCTAGTAAGCCTTCTTGACTCATGAATACTTTTTCTACTAGTGAACTTCTATCTAGTTTACTTTTGTTAACTCATACTGACTTCTACTTTGCATTTCTGAATAGCTCTCACTTTCCCTCTTAAAGACTCTGCACTCTTTTGGCCGGGCTCCTGACTGTTGATTCTTTTTGTCTGCCGAACAAGGCCTAGCACTCTAACTTACATATGGAGCCACTATAATTCTTACAAAATAATGAACACAGAAATGAATGGAGAGAATATATTACAGTTCCAATGCTGTGACAGTCAAAAAAGATATTCTGAGGACAATGTAAATATGTCTTATTCCTTTAAATTCTTTCTGCTTTGGCAATGCAGAAGAGTGGTTAAAAGCATAGGTTTTGGAGCTAGACTACCCAGGTTCAAATCCTAGTGCTGTCACTCACTAGCTGTGTAACTCTGGACATGTTACATAATCTCTTTCTGTGCCTCAGTTTCCTCATCTGTACAAAGGATATACTAATTCCTACTTGATAAGGTTATTGTGAGGATTATGAGTTTACAAGAGCTTATAGCATGGGCTTATAAAAGGAATTATACAGCAAAAGCTTATAAAAGTGACTACTACTCAGAAAGTTCCATATAAGTACTTGCTATTATCAGCAGACTAATTTCTCTAAGGGCAAACCTCTATCTTCTGCTCTGATGTATCCCCAGAACTTACCACAGTATTAGGCACAGTTGACAGCTGACAGTCCAAGTATTAATAAGAACCTAAACTAGGATATAATAGTGGTAATGCAAGAGAGACTGATGATTGCCAAAATAAAATGGATGATGGTTTCTATCTACCACCATTTTACTTAAATTTATATCTATGTAGATAAATACACACATTCTTCCCACAAAAGACACTGTTATTAGCCTAAATATATATATTTATTACTTTGGCTCCTCTTTCCTCCCTTATATGTAATTTATTACAGTTAATATTCATTCCATGTTTGTAATATTTTATCCCTCCTTCCCACTGCCACATTCATTATTCTAATAAGCCACATTTTTACCACATCACACCTGAAGAACTACAAAAGTATCCTAGCTATGCATACAGTTTTTCCTACTATAATTCAACATACAAAGCTGTGAGAAAAATGGTCTTCAAATAATGTGAATCATATTAATATTATTCTAGTCTGGAATATACTACATTTAAATCAAAATTTAAAAGTCTGACCTCATCAAATTTTCACACAATTCTCTTTTGTGAGTAATTCCATGAAAGTCTCTAAGAAATACAAAATGGACTGTACACATTTCCAACTACTGATAAAGGCAAAGTAAATCCATCAGATAAACTCTCTCCCAGGTAACAACTAAAAACATGAACAAAACAAAAGAAACTATTTGAAATAACTGAAAGTCAATCAGAAACCAGAGGAGTTTACCCCAATAAAATTAGAATGGATAAGAATTAAAAGCGCTGACCTCTGCAGCTCCAATGGCAGAAAACCACAGTGTTAACAACCTTATGGCTAGACAAGCAGCTGAAGATTTAGGAGGAAAATCCCGGAAGTGAAGGTGCTACTGAAAGGGTAAGACCCACGATCTAGGTATATACACTCTGTCCAAATCCCCAGCTGACTATAGGGCTGGGAGAGCAGACGAGGATATCTCAAGAAGGCTCAGAGAAAAATGCAGCACCTAGAGCAAGCTGAAAGGACTGAGCATACATATCAGCTGCTATACACCATAGGGAGAAAGAAGGAGCAGTTTTGAGTATGTGAAAGTTATCAAAACCAAAATGAAGTCATTAATGTTAAAAAAAAATTAAAAACTCTGATAAGGCCATGAAGAGAGGATTCTTGCAAAAACTATCACAAAAGAGTTCAAAAACCACAAGCCTACACAAAGGCCATCACAACTTTGCAAAAAAAAAAGCAAAAAAAAAAACTTCTGTGACTGTGAGGACATCTGCCCAGAAACTGCCTGTCCAACCTCAGACTGGCATCACTCTTGCTAATGATCTTTGTAGCCAACAATAATTATTTCAAAACAATTATATATTCTCCTCATTTTTTCCTTTAAAAACCTTTGTCTGCCTTTACCTCACTGAATATGCACATAGTTTACTATGGCATGCATATTTTCAATGCAATGCTCTATTCCCAAATACCTTTTTCTTTTAGAGAGCGCTTTTCTGTTTGTTATTTATGTTAAGTCCATACAAATCAACTCCCTGCTAGATCAACAATAACAGAAAATCCTCAAAAGAATATAAGTCCAAGTCACTACAACATATTAACCAGAATGTCTAGTTTTCAACCAAACACTATCAGACAGGCAAAGAAACAGAAAAATGTGACCCTACTGGAGTTGGGGGGAGTGTGTGTGGGGGAGAGGAACCCAGTCAATAGAAACTGACTCCAAATGGGTCCAAGTGTTACATATTGCAGATAAACATTTTAAAGCAGCTAAATATTTTTAAAGAATCAAACATAAATACATTCAAACAATTAAAGGAAAATATAGACTTAATGAATGTAAAATAAAGAATCTCAACAGAAAAACAGAAACTATAAAAACCCAATGGAAATTCTAGAGCTGAAAGCACAATTAAACAATTCACTAGAAAGGTTCCACAGCATATTAGAAATCACAGCGACCTTGAAGAGTTCAACAGAAATCACCCAACCTGAAGAACAGAGAGAAGACTGAAGAAAAATGAACCTTAATGACCCATGAGACAGTATCAAGCTCTCCAATGTATGTGTTATTAGAATCCGAAAAGAGAAAAAGCAGGAAAAAATAATGAAGAAATTATAACCAAAAGTTAAACAGAATAAAACAATATAGGTACTGCTTTAAGGTTAAAAACTTATTTATATAAAAACCCACTGTATACTCAAGCAATTTAACAAGAAAATCTACATTTAATTTTCAATTTCTCTAAGATGAGGAGATAAGACAAATCAAATATAATTCGAATACTGCAACTAATCAAATTATAAAATAGTTCAGATTTTTAAAAACTTTCTAAATTTTACTTTCAAAAATTTACTTGAACCCAACAGTGCTTATTCTTTAAGGGGGAGGGTGCTACTCTTGGGGAGAGGACATAAGAAAGCTTTCTGAAGTGCTGGAAATCATCTACATCTTAATCTAGTTAGTCTTTTACATAAGTGTACACATATGTAAAAATTTGTTAAGCAGAACCCTTAAGATTTGTGCACTTCACCATATCCAAGTTATTCTTCAATTAAAGAAAGAAGGAAAGGGAAGAACGGAAAGATGAAGGAAACGAAGGGTGTAAAGGAGTTGGAAACCAACTTACCTGAAACCTGATCATCTGTTAAGCCAAACGCTGACATAACATTTTTATTGATTTCATCTTGGTTTTTTAAAGGATCAAAAGCAGACATACTTGCTGCCATAACCTGAGTAGACTGTTTTCCAGAAGAATCAGAAGCAGACTTTTCTTCCCTACCATCCACAGTATCTGTAAAAATAGAGGAATAAACAAAAACTTGTTTCCTTTTTATCTATATTCAGTAAGGCCTAAAAGTACAAGGGAAATAATGCAGGTGTATAATGATAGTCTGGAATGTTAAGCATGTCGGAATATAGGATTACAGATCATTTTAATTCCTTTATTTTTTTTATATTTTTCCTTCTAGTAACAGGGAGAAGAGGGCAAAAAGAAACAGAAGATGAACAAAAGCTTTCCAAAAAAATTATTTACCTCCTTTTGTAAGAAACATTAGATGAAAAAAATACAAGCTCCTTGATAAAGAGAAACATTTTACTTTTTTTGGTTTTTTTGGAGCCCAATAACCTATATCCTAGTATCAGATACCCACTGGGCACTCTGGAAATAATAATTATAGGAACTAAGGCTTTATTTTATAAAAAGAAACTGAACTAAGGTTATAATCTCAAATTTTACATTTTATTTCTACTGTCTACTGGTCCACTATTAAATTACATGGAAATCAAGCCAACCATAATTAATTCATAATCTTCCATAAATAGCACATTAAAAACATTTTTGAATTTGCTACCTTCTATTTTAATATGTATTACTTATTAAAATACTTATTAAAATGCTTACAGATGAAATGATGTATATGGGATCTGCATCAAAATAATACAGGAGGGGAGCCGGGTGCAACAGCTCATGCCTGTAATTCCAGCACTTTGAGAGGCCGAGGTGGGTAGATCACTTGAGGTCAGGAGCTCGAGACCAGCCTGGCAAAACCCAATCTCTACCAAAAATACAAAAATTAGCTAGGCACAGTGATGCATGCCTGTAATCCCAGCTACTCAGGAGGCTGAGTCACGAGAATCACTTGAACCCAGGAGGCAAAGTTTGTAGTGAGCTGAGATTGTACTCCACTCTGGGTAACAGGAGGGGCGGAAATGTGTATAGTGTAATTATATGATACTATAAGTTGGTAACTGTTGAAACTGGATGTGGGTTTCTGGGATTCATTATAATGTCTACTTTCTTATATACTTAAACTTTTCTATAATAAAATGTTTAAAACAACAACAGAAAAACAAAATGTCAAATATTATGAGCAGGTTAAATTTAAAATCATGCTTTTCTTCTCAGGATACTAAGATATTCCACAGGCATTTATACTACTGTCTTGTGAAAGAAAAAGAGTTCAAGAATTTTAACATACATTTTACAAATAGGAATCCAAGTCCAAGATACAAAAGACATCAAAAGAAACAAACAAAAAACACGAACAAGTAAACAAAAAGACTGTTGCTAACCATTTACTCAATTAAGGGACAATGATTATCACTTTTGTTACCAAGCAAGTAAATGAACATCAGTTCTTAGATCACCCCTGTAATCAATACAAAATGTATCTTCTGAAAAAAATGTTAAGTGCTAAACCGAATATAAGTACCCACAGCACACACTGGCTGGCAGCTCATTCATTCCTAACATACCATTCCAGGCTACCCTAATATTTTCTAAATGTTTGGAAAAAGAAAACTACTACTAGAAGTATTCCTTTAAAACATGTCTACCAGTTATCTATCTTCCCTACCAACTTCCTTCCTCTAATCCCAAGAGCATACCACGTCAGTCTTACAAGTTGTTTCCCCTCACATCTCACTACCTATGCCTCTTTTCACTTATCACAAACTAAAACCATCAGGAAACATACTATACGTCCTACTACTTGCTCCATTAGCTGCTGGAGATACTGCAACAGGTCAATCTTCTATCTAAGGTAGTTTACACATCATTTGCCTCTTAAAGGAAAACAAGCATCCAAGAACCGCTGTAATAGAGAGCTGAAGACCACAGGTGGCCACATTTCTTGGTGAGGGTAAGCCACAGGTTCTAAATAGCACTGATAGCTGATTGGCAATTTCATTTTGTGGACTAGATTTCAGTTTCTGATGTATGGTTTTCTTGTTGTTTTTGTTTTCTAAAAAAATAAGAACTATCTCTAAAAATATAATGCAGATTGTATTATTCTTATATCATCTTATCATCAGATATGTCAGACAGGACACAATAACTAGAAAATGGCCATACAAGAAAACAACATATGGCATGATTTCCAAAATGCAGAGAAGAAACCAATTTTAACACCTTTTACATTAACATAGGTAAAAAGCTAACAGTATGTATAAAAAATATAGACACAAAGAATAAAGTATAAACAGTAGCAAGAAAGAGGTGAGGAAAAAGTTTCACCTAAAGCAAAAAACTCATAAATCCATTCCTTAGAGTAGAATGTGGGCCACTGTAGCTAATTTCTGAACAGTATTGGCTATACTGGTTAAATTCTCATCTACACTTCTTAATATTCTGCAGATGGTTAAATCCCCTGAAATTATATGCAAATGTTGTGTCAGCATCTATGAATTCTTCTGGAAAAATTGTCTAACTTTTTCATTGATTCTTGATCTAAAATTGGAAATTTTTGTTTGGAGAGGTAGGGCTCAGAATAGGCAACCTTCTTTGACCTGAAATATAAAAGGTTTCATCATAAAGTGACCAAGAGGATCTCATTATAGTATTCAGCAAATCTCCATTATGTTCTGAAATAGAAGTGCAACTAGGAATAATCAATCACCAAATATTTATTAAACATCTATCATTAACATAATTCCATATGACTATTAGAAGACAGGAAGAGAGAAATGATGGAAAATACATCTTTATTTAAACTGTAACTAAAATAAAAATAGAAAACAAAAACTTCCAAAATATTTAGTGGCCAAAAATAGAATACATACCATTTATCCACAAAAATTATCTCATGTTAAGCCCTTTATATGCAGTCATCCAGTCTAGACTTTTTTTAAATTACTATTTCACAATATGGACAGTTTTAAACTATGAAAATTATAAGCAAACAAAGAATTTGTAAAAAGAAAAAAATAATAATAAGAGTTTTCTTTAAATGCAACATCTAAGAATCTTAAAAGAAGAAAGCAGTTTTTTAACTGTACTTTCAAGTCATTAACACATACTTAAAGTTCAGTCCACATTTTAAAATACATTCGGTCCCAAAATTATGTCAGTTCCAAATGTTGACACATTTTGCTTTATCTTAACACAAACAGTACATGTCATTATACAATGGGGAAAAAATTAGTTTTTCTTTAATTATTATTAAAAACTGTGTTTCAAATTTACAACATACCATTTTTAATGAACATTACTAATCTAAGTGATTTTTAGTTGAAAATACTTCCAACACTATGTAATTATTCATGAAATGATTTTCAATTCCCAAGGTTCATTACTTATCTATTATACTAAAAAGGGTTCATGTGTCAAAAGGATTTGAAAACTGACCTGTGTAACAAATCCAAAAGTCTAAGACTAGTTGCGAAAGAATCACCCAAAAAACACTTTAAAAATGGGATTTCCAGGTGCTACGCTCCAGTAGGTCTATGATGAGATCCAGAAATTGGTATAATGAAACCTCCTAGTAATTCTGATGAACAGCAAAGTTTAGGAACACAGACATAAATACTAGTAGAGAGGCAGAGGAAGAAACAAGAGTGACATTGGGGATGCCATCCTTCTCCTACTTAAAAAGAGTTTTTTAAAACCTCCAAAAAGACGTAAGAACAATAAGTCAGAATACAATGGATTCAGGGTTTACCATTTTCAGGAATATTGGTGGAAGGTCCTGGTTCTCCAGGTGGTTCCAAGCTATCCAATAAACGATTCACTTTATTTCGAAGTTCTATCAGTTCTCGACGGAGATATTTCACCTGACTTGATTCAAGGGGTCTTGGCTGGCCATTAACTGAAATAAAAACATTTATTTGCTTAAAATTAGAAGTTCATGAATAAGTATACTAATAATATGCAACAAGGAAAAATAAATACAATTCCTTTAAAAAAACAAAAACAAGATATCAATGTAATGGAGTAACTTTTTTTTTAAAAAAAAAGAATTCTCTATGGCTAATAACTTATTTTGGAAAAAAAGCAGAATTATCAGTCTTTCTTGATGCCATACCTATAGCCTATGACCTTACTGGTAAAAAGGTTTGGTAGGAAAATCCGAGCTCTACTTTTTAATAGAAATGATTAAATTTAATAAAAATCATAACTTCAAAAGCTCACTTTATTTCATGCTGTTCTTAAATATTTATTAAATTTAATAGAAATTATTAAATTTAATAAAAATTATATAACTTAAAAAGCTCATTTTATTTCACGCTATTCTTAAAATAATACAAAAATACCTTACTCTATACATGTTTAAAGATATAACATGACTGATAGGTCTGTTATCCCTCTTGCATAACTTTGTCTTGAAAAAAAACAGCTAACTAAAATAGCTGATCTTAAAAGAAATCGTTAAAAAAATATATGCAGGGCCAGGCATGGTGGCTCACACCTGTAATCCCACCACTTTGGGAAGCCAAGGAGGGAGAACTGCTTGAGCCCAGGAGTTCAAGAAAAACCTGAGCAATACAGTGAGACTTCATCTCTACAAAAACCTTAAAAAATTAGCCAAGTGTGGCAGCACATGCCTGCAGTCCCAGCTACTCAGGAGGCTGGGGTGGGAGGATTGCTTGATCCCGGGAGGGGAAGTCCAGTTGGCTGAGATCACTCCACTGCACTCCAGCCTGGATGACAGAGGGAGACCTTGTCTCAAAAAATTTTAAAAAATAAATATAAATTTAAAAATATATGCAGAACTTATCTACATCATGACTGTCCTTCAAAGCAGTTACTTCCAGAAACAGTATATAAGCCACAAAATGCCAGAGATTACTCGGTAATCTCTAGTTGTGATTTTTTAATGAAAGCAACATTACTTCACTTATTATTCATTTTGTCCAAATGATTTTCAGTTGACTGAAAAAAATGAAATCCTTCATTCAGCAACAAACACTGTCACCACTCAGGTTATTTTTAAAAAGAAAGTGACACAAGGCTCTGATTGCAAACCCCAAGACAGGCGTTCAAAAATTAAACTAAAATGCTTTGCACATTGCCAGTATACATACATACAAACTCCTGAAGCACCTAATTAGAAAAGGACATCTACGTGAAAATAAAAGTTCAGGGCGATTCTTTGTTAAACATGTTTCAAAATCAAACCACCAATTATAAGCTTTTAGAAGAAAACTCACAGTAATTCACATACTCCCTGCATAGCTATGAAGTTCAATACAATCTCCTACCTACATCAATTATTGGTTTTCACTTGGTATTACTGTTTTTTCTCCAATATTTGATGAGAAAAACAGCTCCTAGCAGCCAGAAACTGGTCTGGTACAGTAAGACAGGCCTTAGTGTTGCTGGAAGCTGGCCTGGCACTCACAGGTAGGCTGTGGTGTTCTCCCGTTGAATATAAATATTTCAAAGAACACCAACATCACACAAGACTATAATCTGTGATAGATCAACAGTCCATAACCATGTCAAAACTCCAGACAAAAACAAGAACACTGACCACACCAGAAAAATGACCAAACAACCTTTTATCCTGGCTAATATGAGTAACTGCTACTACTTTACCAACTGCAGCTTTAGCCTCAATTCATTCCTCTCACCTTCCAGATAAGATTTAGTAAGATTCATTCCTCTCACCTTCTAGATAAGATTTGATAAGATACCCAAACATAGAATCATCTCTACTTCCTGAGAGCATCCAATGCAGAGCAAAGCTCTACTTCCTTGAACCTTATCCAAAATCAGGTAACACAAACCCAAGCCCAAAAAAAAATACTTTTCTAACATACTTGTAAGACATCCTATTGTTCTCCGTGGTATTCATTCTCCCTTGCTGCAGTAAGTCAGTAAACCCAACTTCATTCAACTACAGGTGTGTTCCTGGTGGTCTTTGGAGCACACTGATACATCTTACCAGAACTTTTAAGAACCTTGCATTTACATTCCTAGTATGGCCTATAATCTGTTATTATCTACTCAGTGGGTTTAAGAGCACTAAGCTCCAAATTATACTCAATTAAAAGTTTAAATTAGCTAAGTTTAAATTAATTAAGTTAATATTAGGTGTCAGCTTGATTAGAGTGAGGAATGCCTAGATGGCTGGTAAAGTACTGTTTCTGGGTGTGTCTGTGAGGGTGTTGCCAGAGGACACTGACATTTGAGTCAGTGAACCAGAAGAGGAAGACCCATCTTCAGTGTTGGTGGGCACCACCCAATCAGCTGCCAGTGCAGCTATCACAAAACAGGCAGAAGAAGGTAGGATAAGTTTGCTTGCTGGGTCTTTAGCTCGCTCTCCCTCCTATGCCAGATGCTTGCTTCCACTCCTCCTGCCCTTGGACATCAGACTCCAGGTTTTTTGGCCTTTGGACTCCAGGGCTTGTACCAGCAGCTTCCCAGGGGACTCTCAGGCCTTTGGCAACAGACAAAGGCTGCACTATCAGCTTCCCTGGTTTTCAGGCTTTTGGACTTGGACTGAGCCACTGAGCCACTATCAGCATCAGCTTCTCTCTTTCCCCAGCTTGCAGATGGCCTATCACCGGACTTCGCCTTGTAATCACCTTGCAATTCTCCCTAAAAAACTCCCATGTATCTTATTGGTTCCATCCCTCTGGAGAACCCTAGCACACATAATAATGTATCTTCATTAGTGTGAATATAATCATAAGACTTTAATGAACCATTTCAAGCACACAACAAGATAAACTTACTAAACACCCATCTTTGTTAAAGCTTAATATGTATTTATATTTTTTTTGAGACAGAGTCTTGCTCTGTCACCCAGACTGTAATGCAGTGGCCTGATCTTGGCTCACTGCAACCTCTGCCTCCCAGGTTCAGCAATTCTCATGTCTCAGCCTCCCAAGTGGCTGGATTACAGGCACGCACCACTACACCCAGCTAATTTTTTTTTTTTTTTTTTTTTTTGTATTTTTGGTAGAGACGGAGTTTCGCCATGTTGGCCAGGCTGGTCTCGAACTCCTGACCTCGTGATCTGCCCACTTCGGCCTCCCAAAGTGCTGGGATTACAGGTGTGAGCCACCGCACCTGGCCAAATCTTAGTATTTTTTTCATCTTTGCTCCTAACCACTAAGAAATGAAACAGCATAGACATAATTAAATCTCCCAGAGTACCTTTCCTCAAAACCCATTCCCCTACTTGATTTTAAAAAATTTTATGTTTCATCCAAAACAATCTTGCCATGTTAGATTTATCCCAAGTATCTTTTGTTGTATATAATTATAATAGGTATTTTAGTTACATTTATAATCCTTTTATATTAGGCATACAGCAGTTGTTCTACGTAATAAATGCCCCCATATGAGGTAAAAGAATTCCCTTTTGGCCAGGCGTGGTGGCTCATATCTGTAATCCCTGCACTTTGGGAGGCCGAGGCAGGCAGATCACAAGGTCAGGAGATCGAGACCATCCTGGCTAACACGGTGAAACCCCGTCTCTACTAAAAATACAAAAACAAATTAGCCGGGCGTGGTGGCAGGTGCCTGTAGTCCCAGCTACTCGGGAAGCTGAGATGGGAGAATGGGGTGAGCCCCGGAGGCGGAGCTTGCAGTGAGCTGAGATCGCACCACTGCCCTCCAGCCTGGGCAACAGTGAGAGACTCTGCCTCACAAAAAAGAATTCCCTTTTATTCATAGTTTGCTACGACTTTTCAACATGATTGAGATATGAATGGCTTTTCTTTATCTAGAGATGATCTAGTTTTTCTCCTTTAATCTGTTTTATGGAAAATAGTATGTGATTTTCTAATTTAAAGCAATCTTAGACTCCTTGGGTGAGCAATTTTGACACTGGTGTGTTTAAATATTCACTGATGAGTTTGATTTGTAAATATTACTTAATATTTTCTATCTATGTTCATACGTGACACTGGTTTGCATTTTCCTTGGCTGGTTTTCATGTTAATGTTATATTAACCCCACAAAATGAATTAGTGTATATTCCCTCTTTGCCTATGCTCTTGAATAGTTTGTATAATTTAGAATCATCTGTTCCTTAGATATTTGGTAAAATAGTTGGCCCAATTTCTTTAATGTTAATTGGGGCAACCAATTTTTCTACTTCTTGAAACAGTACATTAAATTTACCTAGGATACTGTCCATGTCACCTGAGTTTTCAAATTTAAATAAAGGAATTCATGGTATATATAAATTTTTAAAGTTTCTACTATAAACTTCATTTCTAACATTGCTTATTTGTGCCTTGTTTCTCCTTAACTAATCCTCATAAAGATTTGCCAACTGCATCTTTTCAAAATTGTTGATCCTAACAATTCCAATTTCTAGTTCACGTCTGCTCTTATTATTTCCTTCCAAGTTATTTGAGGTTTGTCCTTTTGTAACTGTTTGAATACCTTGCTCAAAAATTTCCAATCCAGTTTACTAATATAAAGTATTTAAGGCTGTAAGTACTACTCTAAGTACAGCTTTAGCATTCTCTAAAAACTTGGTTACATAGAAGTCATTATCTACTTATTTATAATTCCCATTATTATTTCTTCTTTGACTTATTTAAAACCATATTTTGTCTCCAAAAGTAGGGAAATTTGGGTTACATATTCTGTCCAATAGTCTCTAAAGAAGCCAGAGAATATGACCTTTAAGATATCTAATTATCTGTTACATTTTGGGATTTTCTGGAAGACTTGACTTACAGTCAACTTCTATAATGCACTATGAGTACTCGAAAAAAAAAAAAACTGTATTTCTCCCTAACTGCTAGATGTACAAGACCAACGCTGTTTGAGCCTGCTTGATTTATCGGCTCTCCCATAATTGTAAATTTATTGATTTCTCTTTGTTCTGTCAATTTTTCTTAGGGGAAAACATCTAAAGCTAACATGCATAAGTGTTCAGATTGCTATATAGTCCTAGTGAATTATTCTTTTTATCATCATAAAGTGACTATTACTACTCAAGTTTTTATATAAGTCTATTCTGTTAATAACCAGCTTTCTTTGCATTTGTCTAGTCTCTTTTCCTAGCCCTTTACTTTCAAGCTTTGCATAATAATCTTTTATGTCTCTTGGAAGTAGCATGGAACTGGATTTTTTTTAAAATTCCATTAAGAGATTATTTTAACCGATATATGTAGTCAATTTCTGTGTACTGTGATTAGTATTCTGTTCTATCTATTGAGCTTTCTACCTCTTTTATTCCGCCACCACTTTCTACTGAACTGAACAGGTACCCTTGTTTTCTTTTTTTCTCCTTTCCTGACAATGTCTAATTTTTCAATTATAACTCTTACATGTACACCATGCATACTTCTGCATATGTAGTATGCAATTAAAAAAATCTAAAGGTAATTACAATGTTCCTCCCAAATAAGTCCTTAAAATATTTTTATTCCTATCATCCCTTCCTTTCTTACATATTATTGCCCAGTATTTTTGTCCCAAATTGTTTTTATTCCCTAAGACTATTAATTTTGTAACAATCAATGCTCATTAAAACGTACACATAAATTTCATTGGTGCTTCCCAATCCCCTGACAGCCCAAGGTTTAAGAGTTAAGCTTCCTTGACTTTTTCTGTATCAATGGAAAAGCTTTTCTAAAATAGTTTTTGAAAGCATAGCCTACTGACCAAGCAACAGTTTATCTGCTCACATTGCTTCTTGCATCTTTCACCACCTTCTGGACTAAATTTCCTTCTTGATGAAGACCACTGTTAAAAATTATTTTAACAAGGGTCCATGAGTGGTAAATTCTCAGTCTTTCAAAGTATTTTTACTTCTCCTCATTCGTGAAATTTAGTGGAGTATAGGATGCTACTTTTCTAGTTATTTTTCTTTACTGTTTGCAACTGTGATAATACTGTCTTTTAGCCTCTATTATTACTATGAAGAAGTCTACTAACAGTCTAATTGTTTCATATGTGATCAGTCTTATTCTCTCTGGCTACTTTTAAGGTAATCTCTCTGTCTTAAGACATTTTCCAGTTTCATGACAATATGTCCAGTGGGGATTTACTTTTACTTATCCCTGCTCAAGGCTCCCCGTGCCTTCTGAATCTGAGGGTCTATAGCTTTTATATAACTCTGAAAATTTCTTTAGTCATTACCTCAATGTATTTCCACTCTCCCATTCTCTCCTTCTTGAAACTCTGAATAGAAATATTCTGGATGTTCTCATTTTCAACTTCTCTTTTGCCTGTGTTTTTGTGCTTTACTCTGTAATTTCTTTGGATTTCCTTTTCAGTTCACTAATTCTCTTTTTAGCTATGACTAATGTGTTTAACCTATCCACTTAGTATTTAATTTCAATGATTATATTTCTCATTTCCAAGTTACTTTAAGTTCTTTATAAAATCTGTTTATTGTTTTTCCATAATACAATAGCATCTTGCTCTTATGTTCTCGTTTTGTTTTGTTTTTTCTGAGATGGAGTCTCACTCTGTCACCCAGGCTGGAGTGCAGTGGCGCGATCTCGACTCACTGCAACCTCCACCTCCCAGGTTCAAGCAATTCTCCTGCCTCAGCCTCTCAAGTAGCTGGGACTACAGGCACACACCACTACAGCTGGCTAATTTTTTGCATTTCAGTAGAGATAGGGTTTTACCGTGTTGCTCAGGCTGGTCGCGAACTCCTGCACTCAGGCAATCCGCCCGCCTTGGCCTCCCAAAGTGCTGGAATTACAGGCGTGAGCCACCACGGCCGGCTGCTTTTATATTCTTATTCCTTCTTCTATGTCTTAAATAACTTTTAATTTTGTAGACTATCACATATCTTAACTGAAGTTGTTGAAAATCTAATCCTGCTATTAGTTGTGTCCAGTGGTTCTTGCTTACCTGACAGCTTCATGTGTCTTACGGTTTTGTCTGTGAGAAACCTATGTGACCTGGATTGAGAATATACCCCTCAAGAGAGATTTTGGCCTTTCTTCTGAGATTTTTCTAAAATGGTAACATCTGGGCTTGGGAGTTACCAAACTACATGGATAGTTTAAATTTAAACCCAACTCACCTAAGGACCACAATTATGAATCCTGAAGGGAGACTTCCCAAGCCCCTGACGGCCCAAGGTATAAGAGTTAAGCTTCCTTGACTTTCCCTGTATCAAGGTAGACTTTTCTAAAATATTCTTTTTGAAAGCATGGCCTACTGAGGGACTAGGACCAAGGGCCTACACCATGTAGACACCAGATGGCAATTCCTTAAATTATGCAGGCTAAAATCTCTACTATCACCACCAAGAACACCCCAAGTTTCAGCTTTTGGTACATCAGGCCTTTAGTTCCCTCTACTTTTTTGTTCCCTGGATATTTCCCTTACTTTCCTGTGCAAGCTGAGTTACAGAATTCAGAAAACACATTTGTAAGTTTATCTAGCAGATCCTGTTTAAAGTAAGGGTCTTCAGATTATCTAATCTGCTTTATGCCTAGTCAATAGTTAAGTATTTTACATTCAATACTGTAAAAAGATACCTTTATTTTAAATAATTTTAAACAGTTTTTGTTATTAACATTTAAATTCTGATTATTCATATTCATCCTTCCTAGATGGAGATGAAATAGATACAAATTAAATCAATAGACCATGATCATATTTCACACTGAACTCTAAGTTTCATGCAACAAAATTAAAAAAAAATAAAATTAATGCTAAACAAAACAACAAAACAGCCGGAAAAAGTGTACACATTTTATTTTTCACATAATCACACTACCATTTAACTCTGTAATCTTTTCTATCTTGTCCCTTAAGAGTTCTGCCTTGCATATCTATTAAGATCTAAAAGAAAAAATCTAAAAGATTAAAATTAGTCTTCTATTGGTTTTTATCAGAACTATTTTTAATCTTTAAGTACCCCTCGGGAAATACTGTCTAAAGCAAGGGTCCCCAACCCAGTGCTACTCTGTGGCCTGTTAGGAACCAAACCGGGCTGGGCAGCACAGCAGGAGGTTAAGTGGTGGGCTCCGCCTCCTGTCAGTTCAGCAGTGGCATTAGATTCACATAGGAGTGTGAACCCTATTGTGAATTGCACATGCAAAGTGGAAGAGTTTCATCCCCAAACCTTCTCCTGCCCCCTTCCATAGAAGAACTGTCTTACACGAAACCAGTTTCCAGTGCAAAAAGGTTGGCGACTACTGGTTTCAAGTATCAGACTTACATGTTAAGCCCTGATAATAAGTAACAACATACTGTAATGTGAAGGAAGATAATTACAATTTAAAAATTCTAATACAGCTAAATTAAAACTATAATACTGCACCAGGGATACCTAAGTTATACCTGATTTCAAAAAAAACATACTTAACACTCTGTTCTTACTGAATTAAACTTCTATCATTTTCTTAAAAACATACACAGCCATAAGCTTCAAGTAATCTAAAACAACTACCTGAACACAAATAAATGTAATAATATTTGAATAAGTTATTGCTTACCTGAGTCTTTAAAAGGAAAAAAGCCAAACATCTTTAAAATACAATGAATAAAATAGTAAATTCATTAGAAAGTTTACTACTCACCAAATAATGTCAGTTTCAGTATCCTACTGCACTGAATTGCAAAGGAAAGGTCAGAACTATCAAAAATTGTTATAAGATCTCCATCTGGAATTTAAAAAAAAAAAAGGTTGTTTTTTAATTTTTTAAATTTTCAGATTTGTATAAGCAGTAAACTAGTAAAAATTAAAAATCCAAAATGTAGATTGTAGAACATAGTTGGACTCTCCCATAGAAACCTTAAACTTTAAAGGTCTAGCAAAAATGCATTTGTTCAAAAATATACTAAATCAATTTTGCTTATTACTCTTATGGCAAGGTATTTACACATATCCACATGAAAAAATACAGCTAAAGTGAATCCATTAAGTGCCTTAATATTTATTAGTCACTAGTAAGAGATTCATAGAGAGCAATATCATAAATTGTTGGTTTAGACTGAAATCTTTTCATTCCAAAAAATTTACATCTTTTACCAAGAAATAAAAAAGTTTCCCAAAGTTCAAATCTTAATCATAGGTAGAGTAAAACACTACTGTTGCAAAACTGCTTTAATGAATGGATAGACAGTAAATTCTTTCAGGTCACTGACCATTTTGATATTAAGATGAAAACAATCAACTCTCCCCAGAAAAATATTTATATATTCAAAACAGTGTGTATTTATGACCGTGAAATCCCCCAGATCTCAGGGATAAAGAATGCTATAATTGGCATACCAACTGTGTGTCTCAAAAGCTTTCAAAGGGCTAAGGGAAAAATACATTCTCTAAAGAAAGCAAGAACAGAAAAGCAGCCAGAGACAAGGAGTTCATCAGGGACCTCTGCAGGGTGTCTTCACAAACAGTTGGGTGGGGAGGAGTTCTGTCCTGGGGAGGCCACAAGACTACTTCTGGGATGCTCTGCTGCACCTACTTTAACACTAATTAGTTGGATTTATTTTGGGCAAAGATGACAAAACTGAGAATTTTATAACTGTTTTTAGCTCCTTATAGCCAGACCCACTTCCCATAACATACTTGTTTAATGTTCAATTTTCATAAACACATTTTTTAAAGAAAATAAAGTATGTATGTAAAAGAAGAAAACTTCCTGTTCTTTTTTTCTTTTCTGAATCCTACAACAGAAACAGAGTATCTCTGATGGCAGGAACTTTACCTAAGCCATCCCTCCACTCTACTAACAGAATCTAACGGACACAAATCAAAACAATCAAAAACTTTTTGGCCAAGTGCGGTGGCTCACACCTGTAATCCCAGCAGTTTGGGAGGCTGAGGTGGGCGGATCACCTGAGGTCAGGAGTTCGAGACCAGCCTGGCCAACATGGAGAAACTCCGTCTCTACTAAAAATACAAAAATCAGCCGAGTGTGGTGGTGTGTGCCTATAATTCCAGCTACTTGGGAGGCCGAGGCAGGAGAATCACTTGAACCTGGGATGTGGAGGCTGCAGTGAGCCAAGATCACCCCACTGTACTCCAGCCTAAACGACAAAGCAAGACTTTGTCTCAAAAAAAAAAAAAAAAAAAAAAAAAACCATGAAATACAAAGTTGTAACTAAATGTGGAAGACAAACTACAACGAGGACACCTCAAGCTAAGGGTCCATGAACTGTGACCAACGGACAAAATCCCTGTGTTGTTATAGGTCTGTGAATGAAAAATGGTTTTTACATTGTAAAAAAAAGATGAGACAGAGGCCTTATGTGACCCACAAAGCTACAATATTTATTCTCTCTGATCTATTAAAGAAAATGTTTGCTGACCTTTGCCCTAAACAGTAGTTAAGAGAAAGCCAGTCAATGAGGTCAGTTTGAGATAAAGGCAAAGCATCTTCAAGTGGGAAAAAAGGCAGTTAAAGGCCAGGCACACTGGCTCATGCCTGTAATCTCAGTACTTTGGCAGGCCAAGGCAGGAGGATCGCTTGAGCCCAGGAGTTCAGGACCAGCCTGGGCAACACAGTGAGACCCCCATTTTGATAAACATTAAGAATAAGAAGCTGAGTGCAGTGGCACATGCCTGCAGTCCCAGCTACACGGGAGGCTGAGTTGCAAGGACTGCTTGAGCCCAGGAGTTCAAGGCTTCAATGAGCCATGATCACACCACTGCGCTCCAGCTTGGGAGACAGAGCAAGACCCTGTCTCAAGACAAAAAAATAAAAAATAAAAAAAAGACAGTTAAGCAAGTACTAGCCAGAGCAATTATGCAAGAGAAAAAAATAAAAGGTATCCAAATTGGGAAGGAAGCAAACTGTCCCTGTTTGCAGATGACATAATCTTATATAAACAAAAACCTAAAAACTCTACCAAAACCCTTAGAACCAATAAATGAATTCAATAAAGCTGCCAGAAACAAAATAAGTACACAAAAATAAGTAGTGTTTCTATACACATACAATAAAAAATAAAAAATGCAATCCCATTAACCACAGCTACAAAAATTTTTTTAAATATCTAGGAAGCAGTTTAACCAAGAAGATGAAAAACCTCTACAAAAAAAAAAAAAAACACTGATGAAAGAAACCAAAGAGCATACATATGTAATGACATCCCATGCTTATATAAGAACAAATATTGTTAAAATGACAAAATTACTCAAAGCAATTTACAGATTCAATTCAATCCCTATCAAACTACCAATAAAATTATTCATAAAAATTTAAAAACAAACCATAAAATTTGTACAGAACTACATACAACCCCAGACAGTCAAAGCAATACTGAGCAAAGAACAAAGCTGAAGGTGTCACACTTACTGACCTCAAAATATACTACAAAGCTGTAATAAGCATGGACTGGCACAAAAACGGACCCACAGACCAACAGAACTGACATAAAAACAGACCCATTGACCAAGAGAACAAACACATAGATCAATAGAACACATAGAACAAAAGAACATAATCCATGTTATCTATAGCCAACTGACTTTTGACAAGACCACTCATTAGGAAAAGGATAACCTCTTTAATAGGTCGGGAAAAGATTTCATGAATAAGACCTCAAAAGTGCAGTCAATAAAAGCAAAAATAAATATGATTATCTCAAACTGGAAAACTTTTCTGCACAGCAAAGGAAACAATCAAGAGTGAAAAGAGAACTTACAGAATGGGAGGAAATACAACTACTCATCTGGCAGAGGATGAATATTCAGAATATAGAAGGAACTCAAACATCTCAACAGCTAAAAAACAATCAATCCGATTTTAAAATCGGCAAATGATCTGAACAGACATTTCTCAAAAAAAGACATAGAAATGGTCAATAAATATATGAAAAAATGCTCAAAATCACAAATCATCAGGGAAATGCACACATATCAGGAAAATGAAGACCACAACAAGGTTCACCCCAGTTAGGATGGTTATTATCAAAAAGATAAATAACAAATGCTGGCAAGAATGAAGAGAAAAGGGAACTCTTACACATTATTGGTAGGAATGTCAACAGTACAGCCACTAGGGAGAACAGTATGAAGGTTCCTCAAAAAACTATAAATCGAACTAACACACAATTCAGCGATGCCACTACTGAATATTTAACTAAAGGAAAGGAAACCAGTATATTGAAGAGAAATCTGCACTCACATTTTACTGCAGCACTATTCACAATAGTCAAGATATGGAATCAACCTAAGTGTCTAACAACAGATTAACTGATAAAGAAAATATGGTATATATACACAATGGAATACAATTCAGCCATAAAAAAGAATGAAGTCCTGTCATTCACAGCAACATGGATGGAACTGGAAGACATTAAGTTAAAAAGATACCACATGCTCTCTCTCATATGTGGAAGCTAAAAAAAGTTGATCTTATACAAGTAAAAAGCAGAACAGATGACAGTAGAGGCTGCAAAGGGTAGGGGAAAAGAGGGATAGGGAGAGATTTATTAAAAGACACAAAAGTACAACTAGATAGAAGTAGTTCCAGTGTTCTATAGCACTATAGGATGACTACAGTTAACAATAACATATTATATAATTTCAAATAGCTAGAAGGAGAATATTGAATGTTTCTAACCCAAAGAAATAAATATTTGAGGTGATGGATATGCGAATTACCCTGATCTAATCCCATTATATGTAATGAAACATTACTATGTACCCCATAAATATGTACAATTATTATTTGTCAATTAAAACAAAATTTAAAAAAAAAAGTACTCTTGGGACTTTGCTAAAAAAAAAAAAAAGTTAAAAATCTGAATTGTAGGCTGGGCATGGTGGCTTATGCCTTTGGGAGGCCGGGTTGGCAGTATTGCCTGGGGACAGGAGTTAAAGGTTATGATGAGCTATAATCATGCCACTGCACTGTAGCCTGGATGAGAGTGAGACCCTGTCTCAAAAAAAAAAAAAATTCACTGATCAAATTAAGACACACATTTCAAAGTCACAGAGGTGCAAATCAATGTATGATAAGCATAAGAAAACAGGAAAAAAGTACTATCCTTTATTGTTTCTTAACATGGGCAACTCTCAAAAATTTGTTTTGGGTATTCTTAGACTACACATCACAAAAACAAAGGAGAATTATACCTTTAGCTAGATGGTCAATTTAACTGATCACCAGTGATTTACACTTCTCCTCCACAGTATAAGTTGTGCTAAGTGGCTGCTCAGCCAGGGACTATACTTCCCAACCCATTTGCATCTTAGCAAAGCCATGTAACTGGGTACTGACCAATGTCATAAGGGCAGAAATGACATACAACACCATCAGGCCTAGTGAGTAAAATCTCCCATATGATTCTTCATACTCTGTCTTCACTCATCTGCTTGCCAATGTCAATGCCTATGGTGAGCTTATAAGCCATGTGTTGAAGGTAACAGCTTCTTTCAACCTGGATCCCTGAAAGATTTCTCAACTATTAAACCACTCAGATTTTAAGATTTCTATTATATCTGCTGGCATTACTTTAAGCCCAACCCTAACACAGACAGAGAAAAAACTGTTAGTGATAAGAAAACTAGGTTAAGCAGTGTCAGAGATGTTAAGAGGTAAAAGTATTTAAAAACAAGGATGGTGTGGGTAGCAGTGCTAAACAGTGAGGTCAAGATTAAATACACTGCAAGTAAGTTCCACAGTAAAAAACACTGGTAACCACCTAAAGAGAAAATTTCAGCAGAGATATTAACAAAGAAGGCAGGTTGAAGAATAGGAAATACAGTCTACTACTATAATTCTACTCAGTGTGTTTGCCGAAACATTTTTCATTCAAAACCTATTTCCATAAAGATAATTTTGTCAACAAATGAGTCTGGGAACACTGCATACTACTAACTTCTGAAAATGTATATAAGCATATTACATAATCTGAAAACTCCTACAATAAAGAAACACTTTTGTCTTTGTTTAAACCAGCTTTCCCTTACTTAGTTGACCATAAAATCCTTTTTCATTCAATACATACTAAAACCTTTCATTTCGGGAAATAAGAATAGAAAAAAAATTTTTTTAAGCTAAAAGAAACCAGAATTATATGGACAAAAGGAGAAAATAATGCTTGTAAAAAAAATGTATGTGAAAATGTTCTAACACTTAAAATTCCCTTCTAATAAACCAATTAGCTATTTTTTTTTTTTTGAGACGGAGTCTTGCTGTGTCACCCAGGCTGGAGTGCAGTGGCACGATCTTGGCTCAATGTAAGCTCCACCTCCCGGGTTCAAGTAATTCTCTGCCTCATCCTCCCGAGTAGTTGGGATTACAGGCGCACACCACCACGCCCAGCTAATTTTTGGTATTTTTAGTAGAGACAGGGTTTCGCCATGTTGGCCAGGCTGATCTTGAACTCCTGACCTCAAATGATCCGCCTACCTCGGTCTCCCAAAGTGCTGGGATTACAGGCATGAGCTGCTGCGCCCGGCCCCACTTAGCTAATTTTAACTGATGAGAGAATTATAGTAACTATAGGAACATCACATTCAATACAAGAAAGTGAGGTCTCAACTACCGTGAAGAGAGGATGGGAAAGAGTCCAATAAAAATGGGCAAAATAACACATACAATACTTAAGACTTTAAGGTCAGGCATGGCAGTTCATGCCTGTAATCCCAGCACTTTGGGAGGCCGAGGCAGGATTGCTTGAGCCCAGGAGTTTGAGGTGACACTGAGCTATGATCACACCACTGTACTCCAGCCTGGGCAACAGAGGCTCTGTCTTTTTTTTTTTTTTTTTAAAAAGACTTTAAAAAATAGCTTTAAAAACACTCTTACCTTCATCTTTATACTTTATTGTTACTTCATCATTACTCAGAAGTTTTCCTCTGAAAACTCGTTGCATCATTAGCACTAATTCATCATAAGTAATATCTTCATTATGAATAGGAATTCGCCGAATATCCTCCCCAAGTTGAGCTTTGATGATTAGCTTCCCACTTAGATCCAACTGTCCGTTCATGGTGGACTCCAGGATGTTCTATATATACAACTCTAGAGAAAGACTGATAAAAGTGGTTTTGATAATTAAACAACAAAACATACCGTAAAAGTTGAGAGCAAAGCTACTATTAGATGCTAAGAAACTCTAGCCTCCAAAAGATTCATTATCCCCATGTTACCATATTTATGTTAAAATGGTCTGGAGGCAACATTATTTTACTGTAGGGATAATAAAATAAGCTTTTATTTTACGTCTACTATTATTTTTTCTCATATTTAACTGTTCATCTGACATGACCATTTAGATTTTTCTTAATATATCTAAAAATAAATTCCTGATCTTCCACCTAAAACCTGCCTCTCCTAGAGGCTTCTTTATCTTCCTTCGAGTTGTATAAGACAAAAAAATCTTGGTTGATCTCTCTCTCTCAAACCTTACATCCAAACTGCCAAGAAAATATGGTTGCCACTGCCTTTAAAATAACTCTGGGGTCCAACCACTTCAGCACCTTCACTGCTATCAACTTGATTCAAGCCACCATCATCACTTGCCTAAATGACTGGAAAAGACTCCTAACCAGTCTGCCTGCTTTTTACCTTTGCCCACTTTTAATCTAGTCTCAGAACACCAGAGTTAACACTGTTAAGTAAAACCTAGTATCATTCTGTTCAAAACCTTCCAATGCATTCTCATCCCAAAAAGCAAGACCTATAAAATCATCTGGCCTCCAGTCCCTGGCCAAGTATTTAACTTCATTTCCTACCTCTCTTCTTCACTCACCCCTGCTATTCCCATACTTCAAGTTTTCCCTTTGTCTTGACCCTTTCTGATACCCCTCATATGATTCAGATTCCTTATCAAGTGTTAACTGAGAGAGATCTTTCCTAACCATCTAATTTAAAATGGCTCCCCTGGCATTATCTTCTTATCCTGCTTTATTTTTCTTCAAAGCACTTAACACTACCAGACATTAAAAATTTATAACATTTTATTGTCTTTTCCACTTGATGGTAGGAAGTAAACGATTATGTTTTCCATATTCCCAGAGTCTACAACAGTGCCTAGCAGACAACAGTCATTCAACAGCTATTAAATAAAGGGAAAAATAATGGATTAATATCTCTTCTTCTCAAGGCCAAGATGTTCCTGAATGTTATCTATAATCGCTGAACATTTTCCAAGCATAACTCCTTCCTCCTCCTGCCCCAAGAAAATGATCTCTTGAGACTTTTCAAGGTATCCTACAAACTACTACTGGCCACATTCTAGTTTCAACTTCCCGCCTTACTACTAGCAGCTTTCTGCTTCCTCCTCTTAAATCTGTTATTTCATTAACACCACACTTCTCTGCAATTATTCTTTATTCTTTCGGGGTATGTGAAAGCACTCACCTACTCCCCCAACATATCAACCCTTCAAGTACTTCAAAAAAGTTTTCATGAATCCTATTATATGAATATTATATATTAATGCCCTACTATTCTTCATATAAATACGCTAGGTCCTTCCATCTAACTAGTCCTTAAATTAATATCTCTAGACCCCTCACCATGCTCTCAACAGATATTTTATTAATAAATCTTCAATGAAATGGGTCATTAAAACTAAATATAACACTCTAAGGTCAATGCAGAACAGAGTGAACTGCATTCCACTCTAGGGATGCCATGCTTATCTTAATGCAAAATAAGAATACAGTTAGCTTTTTATCTGCCAGTTCTCACAATGGACTTCTCGTGAAGACAGTGATTAACAGAAATCTCCACACAACCAACTCTTCGCCTTCTGCAATGCCTTCTGCAATGCTTTCGGTATTCAGGAACTACTTATTAAATACCTACTATGTGCCAACTCTAAAGTATAATTACTTCACCAAGATGGTAAATATTCCATCTTGCTTGCTCTGGCAGCCTAAGAGTAATAAAGACCTTTCAATAAATCAATGTATTTGTTACCTTCTCCTTCCTACAAGAAGTGTAAACCAGCAATAATGTAAAAGGAACCAGTGCTTAGCTTCAGTGAGCTGGTACTATCTATTCCCAGCAGCACCTAGAAAAGTGCCTGACATATAGAATTTAAAGACTTTGTTTAAATTTTTTAATTATGGGAGAAGAAAGCTGTAATATAGATCAGTTTTTACATCCGACCCCTCACACTGTACCTTCTTTATGTAGCTAGAAGTGACTTCCATCAGACACACTCCTAATTAAGAAAAAAATTCCAGCTTTGAAGATAATTGATGGTATGTCCTTCTGACTGGGGTACGGGTTTGTTGCCCAATTTCAATGGATTTAAAATTTGAGGGCCGGGCACGGTGGCTCACACCTGTAATCCCAGCACTTTGGGAGGCCGAGGCGGGCAGATCACGAGGTCAGGAGTCCAAGACCAGACCGATCAACAGGGTGAAACCCTGTCTCTACTAAAAATACAAAAATGAGCCAGTTGTCGTGGCGCACGCCTGTAATCCCAGATACTCAGGAGACTGAGGCAGGAGAATCGCTTGAACCCGGGAGGCGGAGGTTGCAGTGAGCTGGGGGATCACGCCACTGCACTACAGCCTGGGCGACAGAGCCAGACTCCGTCTCAAAAAAAAAAAAAAATTGAGTCACGTATACTTTCTATCTGCCGTGTTTACCTGCAAATTCACTTTTTGTGTTTCCTATTGACTGTAAACATCTTGTGGCCAGGAACCAGTGCTTCTTTCCTAAAGCTGTCGTTTGCTCTTGCAGTCATCTCCCCAGAGTAAACACAAAAGTATCTCAAAAGTAAGTGTGCAACAAAACTTTCCCTTCAAGGGGAAATCCCAACCCAACATTACTTCACATACAGAATTCTGGTACTCATTTTCTCTTCCAAAGTAGAGACTGGTATTAACTAGTTCCTAGAACTGCCAGTAGGAGCCCTACGACAAGCTCTTCTCCCATCTTGTCCTTGCCCCGCCCCCTCTGAAGTCCAGAAATGACTCGGCTTCTAACTTGTATAATATAACCCTCTACCAGGTACACTTTTCTCAGCACTGGGAATAATCTGACACGCCCAAGGTCATATAAAAAGCCTGCCTCCTGAACCAGGTTCTAGGTTCGGCGGACAAACTTCTGGTTCTACTACCTCTAAGGGTAAGACCCTGCTCAATTTCAGAGGCTGTGGCTTAAGCACCTCCTGAGGGGAGCAGTTTCCTTCAAGAAATACTAAGCCAAGTCAACCTGTAATTATTCTAAAGAATGCCAAGAGGCCTCAAACCCTGCCTCAAAGGCAGTGCAGCAAGACGGTAAAGATTCTCACTACTAGCTATGTGATCTTAAGTCCTCCAAGGCTCACTTTCATCACATTCGAAATGAAAACAACCATATCTGAATTTGGAGGAATCCTTGTGATGATTAAATGAGACAGTGCATCCAAAATACTTACTGTAGTGTCCAGCAAAGCAAACTCTTAAAGTTAGCTAGAATCATCACTATAAACCAGGCTGGGCCTCCAGCCGGCGCTTGATTAAGCGCTGACTTAGCCAAGGAACTAGGCTCCGATTCTATGACCCCAATCAACTTATTCCCGTAGGCGCCACTCCACACCCTTCCGAGCTCCTTCGGGTATTGGGCGCCGGCCGCCCCAAACCTCCCAAAGCCCCTCTCCTCTCAATCCAAACGCTTGGAGGCAGGCTGCACCAAGGCATTAGCTGGCGCACTCCCCTCCCGGAGCCCCCCAGGCGCGCCTCCTGGCCACCGCAGCCAGGGGTTGCCTCTCTCCCCTCCCCCTCCGCGACCTCCCTTCCCCTCCCCCCATGCAAGGCCCCGCCCGCCCTCCCCCCCGGCCTCGTCCTCCCTCCCACCCCCTCCTCCCTCCCACCCCCTCCTCCCTCCAGCCCCTTCCCACAGTGCCTCCGACCCCAGCTGCCGCGCGGTTCGAACGAGGCCCTCCCAGCGCCTCCTAGTCTCCCGGCCTCCTCGGACAGAGCGCCCGCAACCCCCGTCTCCAGTGGCCATACCGGCTTGCGGAGGCCGCGGCCGCCGCCTCTCCGCAGGTCTCCGCTGAATGGGCGGACGCGAGGCCACTGGACTGGGGCGTCGCGGGGAGGCGGTGGTCACGGCCCCCTCGGTTGCCCTTCGCGACCGCCGCACCTCGCTCGCAGGCTCGCGCGGGCCCCGGCCAATCGCGCTGACCCAACAAGCCTAGCGAGAACTTGGGCTCTGTACGTGGCAGGTGGGGGAAGAACAGAGGCGGGAGCAAGAAAAAAAAAAATGTCCTTTCGCCCCTCCTTATTGCGCGTGGACATACCCAGGACGCATGCGCGACGGCGCGAGGCGCAGGGCTGGCTGGGTCCCGGCTGCCTAGGCCGAAGAGTCCCTGCTTTCTCACTGGATGACGGGATTTAGGAAGCGTGAGCTGCCCCGATGCACGCATGCGCGGGGCGTGACCACGCACTTCCGGTTTTCTCGAAAGCGGGTATTTCCGTTTCTCGCCAATGGGCGGGGCGTAGTGCGCTGTTCTAAACTTTTTGAGAGTTGGTTGCAGTAGACGTCTGTCCAACTTTAAGTGGTTTTTGTCGTTATTGTTGACCATTGTAGTAACAGCTGAAAAAGAAAAAACCTTTTCTTCTATAAATCCATTCATTCATTATTGGGAGCCTATGCTTTGCCAAGCCCGGTTCTAGGAATGGGGGTGAATCATTTTGTGAGCAAGGAGTTTCCAATTAAGCAGGGAAGACCTACAGCGTTTATGAGCAAGGAAAATCTGTAACTGTGTAAAGGACAAAAGCTGGGAAATTAAGGCTAAAGATTCCTGAGTGATTTTTAGAGGATAAGGCATTTGAGTGTGTCCTACGTACTCTTCCCTTCTCCCTTACCTGTTCAAATAGAAATACAGTATGAGTAAGTAGGAATTTATAGCCAAGGGGTGGAAGTCGGTCAGTGGATGGAAAATTACTAAGAGGAAATATCAGGGGCAAGGGAGATTCTGGCTAAACCAACACAACAGGATTCTAGACGAAGATAGGCCAGGATAGCAGACATCACCTGGGGGTGGTGGAGGATGAGGAACCCCATCAAGGGTGAGGGATTCTCACTACACTGCCTTAACAAGGTTCTTTGCTGAAACTGAGTTTTACAAGAAGATGCACAGATGGTCCTAGGAGAAGGCCCAGGAGCCCGAAGTTTGGCCAAACGGAGAATGTTTGTCACTTCTAAGGTGGAGACTAAGCTGATAAATAAAGCATTTAGACCCTACCTGGTCTCCAGTTGTTTACCAGTTATAAAAGAAAAACTTAAGCTGAATTAAATTTAAAGGAGTTTAATTGAGCAGTGAACGATTTCACGAATTGGGCAGCCCCCAGAATCACAGCAGATTAAGAGACTCCAGCAGAGCCACGTGGTGGAAGATTTATAGACAAAAAAAGGGAAATGAGGTACAGAAATTGGCAGTGAAGTACAGAAACAGCTGGATTGGTTACAGGTTGGCGTTGGCCTTATTTGAACACTTAGCAGTCTATGAGTGATTGAAGTGTGGCGGCTGGAATTGGCCAAGACTCGCTTATTGTAAGAGACGCATACTTCTAAGTTAGGTTTTCAATCTTGTCTGTTAAGCTAGGTTACAGTTCATCCACAAGGATTCAAGTATAGATGTATGGAGTCCTTCTCAGGCCATATTTAGTTTGCTTTAACACCAGATACTCCTAAAGGACCTGGAGTAAATTCTGGTGTTTCAGGGTGAGAAGCTACGTTCTTTTACAACCATAAGTAGTGTGATCTTTTTCAGTTATAAGTCTCTGAAACTTCTGTTTGAGAGTGAAATAATGTAAGTTTACACTGTTCACTTCTGATTTGTATTTTCCAACAGTTGTATTGACCTTTGAGCAATTGTTTGCAGGGATAAGGGAGTGGAGTACTGCAGAAGAAATGAAAAACAGTTCCTAATTGCTCTCCAAAGAATGTTATTCATTGCTTATTTTTTAAAACTGAATAATACAGATTTGGGGAGATGCACTGCTGTCAGATAATAGTATTATGATGTCATTAAGATGGTTTGGGATGGGGTAAAACCACAACCATATGGCAAAGGTAAAATATTCCCTGAAGGAAGTGAATTATACTACTGTTATAGTAGTATATTTAAACTAAAAAGAGGTCAGATCCTGAGGCAGGAGATAAGGAGGTGAACCTTGGCCTATTATAAGGTGAAAAGAGTATCTGCTGAGGATCCCCAGTGAGGGGGCACTCAAGAGTCCTGCTACTGAGGAGAAATAAGCTGGTCCCTGTTACACTGTGGTCATCTGTACGCTAGGAAGAGAGGCACCCATAAGCTGGCCTTGTGGAAAAGCTGGAGCTCATGGAGCTCATGGACTCCGAAAGCAACTTGAGGCTCTTTATGTTGTAATTTCCCTCATGCTTCATCCCGAAGCCATCAGTAAAGTCTTCTTTATGGTAAAGCCTATTCCCAGCTACTTCTGTGGAACTTGAGAGGTGGGGTTCTGGTGATTTCTCAAGTCGAAGCTGATGCACATCTATGTACTTAAGCTCCCAATAAATACAGGTGATATCTAGTGACAGAGCCATAACCTGAATTGAACCAGTTACCTCACTTACAAGAAGATGGGTCTCTTCTACTATGTCTGTAGATACATACTGGCCTTCTTTTCTGCATCTAGATGAATTTGGTTTTAAATGAACACTGAGCATAGTCTTGAACTAGAAAATACTACTCATTTCTTCCAAGGAACTGCTAAGAAAAAAAAGAAAAGAAAATACTGCTTAATGGTAGTATATTAAAGTTGAGGATATGTGAAGGAAGGAGAAGGAGTGCAAGGAAATATCTTTGACCCAGACTGTAGCAAGGAAAGATATGAGATTCTGCACTACACAGGTTATTTTCCATGTTTCATCTGAAGAAGGGTTAAGACTTACACTGTGATTTTAAGAGAAGGAGTCAACCAACCAACTTAGCTACCACCTGCTCTTTCTCCCTGAAAGTCTGTGTAGCTAAAACTCCTCACATGGAATGGGGGGAAAAAATCCTAAGAATGAAAACGGGATTCTCAGACTGGACAAGAAATGAGACAAAGACTATGAGCCCTGTTAGCAAGTTAGATAAAATCTATGTTTCATCATGTTCTTCTTTAGTACTTAGTATAAATCATTTTGAAAATTTGAGTCATCTTATATGTCCTCAGAAGAACAAAGGAAAGCGTGTACATTCCTCCTTGGATGAGAATTTCCAACGAGAAGTTATGTCCCTTGCCAAGAATCAGCTCTGTTGTGGCAGCAGCTAGCTAAAAAAAGAGAACTCCAAACAGAAGGGGAATCATGAGGACCAAACAGGAGCCAGCTAGTCAGCTCAGCCTCACCTTCACTGGCTAAATGTAAAGATTTGCTTGTGTGAACATAGGAAGCTGCCACCCTATGCAGAGATAATGAAGGAGAAAGGAACGATTTCTTACTTTGTACCTTTGAGTGAGTGATTCTTAGCACTAGCTAAGCAAAATACTTCAACCTGTCCTACCAGCTTCACATCCGTGAAATCCCTAAAATGCTTTTGCCTTACCATGATGCTCTATGTCCAATCTCTCTTTAGAGAAACTACTCTCAAAGGCAGTTCTTCCTAGATTTTGTATCACTAGAGGCTGATCTAGACATTCAATACATAGTTATTGAATAAAATAATGAAAACTAAGTTCCCCACCACTTTACAGGGCAAGCTCCCAGAAAAAACAAAAGGATCAGCTGTCAACGGGTAAGTTCCTAACTCCCTAGCCATGTAGGATTTGTCTCTTAGTAATTTGAAATCATTCACTTTTCTTCATTTACATCCCCTGGAGACAGTGCTAAGTTACCTCTCTGCTAAATTACCTGTCAGATTTCAAGTTGAAAGAGAAATGCAATTGTGAGCTGAATTGCATCCTTCCCCCAGAATTCATATATTGAACCACCTCAAAAGGTGACTGTATTTGGAGATGGATTCTTTAAAGAGGTGATTAAGTTAAAACGAGGTCATTGGGGTGAGCCCCTAATTCAGTATGACTGATGTCCTTATAAGAAGAGGAGATTAGGACACACAGAGAGAAACCAGAGATGGGTGCACACAGAGGCAAGGCCATGTGAAGATACATTAAGAAGGCAGCCTTCTGCAAGCCAAGGAGAGAGCCCTCAGAAGAAACCAAACTTACCAAATTTTTATTTCCAGCCTCCAGAACTATGAGAAAATAAATTTCTGATGTTTAAGCCACCCAGTCTGTGGTGTTTTGTTATGGTAGCCCTAGTAGACTCATACAAATGCCACAAGATGTGCAAGAAGATATAACTTTTCATTTGATCAAGAGTAGCTTTGTTAGGCTCATTTAAGAAACCTAGGCCCAATTAGCCGGGCATGGTGACATTCGCCTGTAATTCCAGATACTGGGGAGACTGAGACAGGAGAATTGCTTGAACCTGGGAGGTGGAGGTTGCAGTGAGCCAAGTTCGTGCCACTGCACTCCAGCCTGGGTGACAGAGCGAGACTCCAGCTCCAAAAGAAAGAAAGAAACCGAAGCCCAGTGTGGTGGCTCCTCATGCCTATAATCCCAGCACTTTGGGAGCCCAAGGCAGGATGATCACTTGACCCCAGAGTTTAAAACCAGCCTGGGCAATATAGTGAGACCCTGTCTCTACTAAAAATAAAAATCAAAAAAATTAGCCAGGCATAGTGGCATGTACGTGTAGTCTCAGCTACTTGGGAGGCTGAGGCAGGAGGATCCCTTGAGCCCAAGAAGGTCAAGGCTTCAGTGAGCCATGATCTCACGCCATTGCACTCCAGCCTGGGTGACAGAGTGAGACTCTCTCAAAAAAAAAAAAAAAAAAAAAAAAGAAGAAAAAGAAAAGTAAAAGAAACCTAGTTGCCAGAGTCTAGGAATCATGCATATCAGAGACAAAATCAAACTCTGGGTACTTGGAGACACTCATGTCTCTAATCTAACATTTATGCCAAGGATCCTGCTTTTAGTCCCTCCATATAAATGCATAATTAAACAGCATTCTCAAAAAGCCATTTCAATAAAGAGAGACTTATAATAAAAGATGCAAAGTAAAACCACAATGAGATACCATTTTTCATATATTCATCTGAGAAAAATAAAATAGTTACATAACACTTTGTAAAAAAAAAAAGTATGTGGCAAAATAGGCATTCATGCTTTGTTGTGGGGACATTAGTTTGTATCAACATCTAAAATGCCTTATGACACAACAATTTCATTTACAGTGTACCAGAGAAACGCTTGCACATAAGAGCACACCCATTGTTTTGTTTTCAAATGAAAGACTATAGAGCAATTAAAAGAAATGTACACATGCATACAGTTAGATATCAAAAACATTTTGATGAGTGCAAAAAGCAAGTTTTAGGAAGTTACGTTAGTGTGAAGAAAATAGTTAACATAGCAGCCTGAATCTGCTGTCCTCAGAAAGGCCCACTTGCAAGATTGGCCGTTGGCTGGTGTCTGAGAAATTGGATTTTAGGAGTGTTCTCATCCCATATTTGATAAGAATGGTGAACTGTGTCTAAACTGTTTGTACAATGTGATTTATGCAGAATACCTGCTTTCTTGAAGTCTAGAATTTTGGTACATGCCAGGCAGTGGGTGCCTATGTGACCAGGCCCCAATAAAAACCCTGATTAATGAATCTTTCATGAGATTTCCTGGTAGACAATATTTCACATGTTGTCACAGTTTGTTGCTGGAGAAATTAAGTGCATCACGTGTGACTCCACTGGAAGAGAACTCCTGGAAGTTTGCTCTGGTTTCCTCTGCACTTCTCCCCATGCAACGTTTTCCTTTGCTGGTTTTGCTTTATATCCCTTCGTAATAAATAATAGCTATGAATGTGAGTCTTTGCCGAATCTAATGAGTGCTTCTAGTGATTCATCAAACGTGGGAGTGGTCTTAGGGACCACTGACACAGTTCCTTATACCATTTATGTAAAAGAAAGTACACAAGACTATGAGTTGCTATGAGTGTATAATGTATGCACATATTTCTTTAAAATCTGAAAGTTTACACACAAAGCTCATTACAGTGGTTAATTCTGGGGAGAAGAGGAAAAAGACAAGAGGGGCTTGGATTTGGTGGTAATGGTCAAAGGGGACTTTAGCTCTATCTGGAACACTCTAATTTGTTCTTTGTTGTTGGGTTTTTTGTTTTTCTTTTAAGGAAAACATATTCATGTGTTTCTTAGATGAGAAAATATTTTAAGTTAATTTAAGAACAATTTCAGCCTGCAGTTAGATTCACAAAATTTTAGAGATAGTAGGAAATTTAGAGTTCACCTAGTCTTGCCAGTTCCTTTATAGAGACAGAGCCTCAGGTTCTGATGCCTGGGTAAATGGGGTAAATGTCTTGCCACAAGTCACATAACTTATAGCTGAGATGACAACTCCCAGTCCGGAATTCTTCTTTACCCTGCTGTTGCCTACTGAGTACAGGGCTAGAAATACCATTTTCTTTTTTTTATCACAAAGGTCCATAAAGTCTCAGTTGTTATATCGTGGCTTCATAGCAGCTTATATTAAAGTTCAGCAAATTATAAAGGTCACACTTCCACGTGTACAAAAGCACCAACTTGCAAGGTTGCAAGAAAAATACAGATAAGAATTGAACTATAGTTCTATGAGAAATACTTTGTAAAAGATAGCAGCGTTAAGGCATACCACTCTGCGTTCCTTTTTCTTCTGTTTGTTAAAGGGTTAACATATATGGAATTTTTTTAGAAACATGATCAGTGGCCTACAAAAAATATAAATAACCTATTTTCAGTTTCTGAAATACTTCACAAATTGGACTTCAAAACTTTCATATATTGCTGTTGGGAGCATAAAATGGTACAAACATTTTAGAAAACTGGTGGTTTCTTTTAAAGGTAAATACACACTTACTCTATGACTCAGCAATTTCACTACATATTTCTTATTTAATTTTTTTTTTAGATTCAGAGACGGGGTTTCACCATGTTGTCCAGGCTAGTCTCAAACTCCTGAGCTCAAGCAATCCTGCCCTCCTAAATTGCTGGAATTACAGGCGTGAACCACTGCACATGGCCAGGTATTTCAACAGAGAGAGAGAATAAACATACCCACACAAAGACTTGTATAACAATGTTAATAGCGCTTTAATTTCACAATAGTCAAAACTTGGAAACAACAAAATGCCCATGAACTGGTGAATGCATAAACAAATTGTGGTATATCCAAACAATTAAATACTACTTAGCAATAAAAAGAAACTAACCACTGATACACACAACAATATAGATGAATCTCAAAAACATCCTGAGTGAGAGAACCTAGACTCAGAAGAGAACATACTGTATGATTCGTGTGATATTCTGGAAGAGACAGAATGGTGTGTATCTGATGGATCTGATGATAGAAAGCAGATCAGTGGTTGCCTGGGGATTAGAATAGGGGAAGAAGCATGAAGGAATGTTATGCAGTCATGGAAACATGTTTAATCTTGTCTGGCACAGTAGTTTTACAGGTGTATGAATTTGTTAAAACTCATCTAATTGTGCACTTAAAATGAGTGTATTTTATTGTATATAAATCATACATCAATAAAATTAATTTAAAAATGAAAAAAAGCAAACCCTCTACCAAAGCAAGCAAGCAAAAGGAAAACTAATTTCACCAGTCAAAATTAAGGAACACAAATATAAGACAAAAGACAAAAAAAAAAAAAAAAAAAGGCCCAGCCCAGTGGCTCAAGCCTGTAATCCCAGCACTTTGGGAGGCCAAGGTGGGCGGATCACGAGGTCAGGAGTTCGAAACCATTCTGGACAATATGGTGAAACCCCGTCTCTACTAAAAATACAAAAATTATCCAGGCATGGTGGCGCGTGCCTGTACTCCCAACTTCTGGAGAGGCTGAGCCAGAAGAATCGCTTGAACCCAGGAGGCGGAGGTTGCAGTGAGCCAAGATGGTGCCACTGCCCTCCAGCCTGGGCGACAGAGCGAGACTCCATCTCAAACAAACAAACAAACAACAACAACAAAAAACTCCTCACTGATCCACTTTTGATACTAAAGTTTCCTGTGGTGCATTAAGTGTGTCTTTATGTGTACATAGTATTGTGTAACTTCAGAGTAACACTGATTATACATAACTTTTCAGTGTATGCACTTAGCAGACTTGCAGGCATGTATGCAAATATACTGAATTTACAAATGAGATATAACAATCTCATCTTGGTCTCCGTTCAACATAGTTTGCCCTCTGATTTGGTAATATATTCAAATGGACATTTTCAAAGAAACTTAATGCCAATTTCATGTACAGTCAAAATAATTGTATTTTCGCCAAGAAATTCTGGTTTAATTGTTAAGAGATGGATTTGTGTAATATTTCTATATTTACGTTGAGTGTTAAAAAGCTTACAGTCTAATTTGTGGCTGATTCCTAGCAAAATTACAAGATTATGATTCTTGGGTCTCACTCTCATCCCTGGCTTCATACTTTTTGTTTCTATTCTTATTTTCCCTTACTCCTGACTTCTTAATCAGTTTTTCAGCAGCTTTTATATCTTTTTTTCAAGTACGCATTATAACAGGTACATAAGTAAATGAAGTAATGTAGATGACACACATGTAACGTTACTTTGAACCTCCTTGTGGTTTTTAAAATTTTTTCTAATTAATAATTGCTAATAAAACTTCTCCAAGATTTAGTGTTTTCTTTTTAAGAAAAGGCGGGTGGACACAGAGAGACAGAAAACATTTGAAAGGAAAAAATAACTTTGTCATGGAACCCTACTCAACTGCTATCTGATGTAAAGAAGGGTTAGAGATGTCACGTGTCATACATAAGTCATTTGATCTCACGTAGCATATTTATGCCACTGTTCTACATTTTAGAAGTTTCTGCATAGTTCTTAACATATTTCTTAATCTAACATGAAAAATTATTCTGCCTGGGTAAGGGCATATAAACTCAGAAAATCCTAAACGCTCTATTAATCTTTTGGACATTTCCAATCAAATCCAGAGTAATCATTTCATTATTCTAAAAAGAGAAGAAAACAATAAACTGGAAGAAATATTTTCACCAAGTGTAATAGTTAAAAGGCTATGATCTATAATAGATAAGAAACACAAATTTCTGAGAAAAAATTACAATACCTCAATTGAAAATGGGCCAAAATTATAAATAAGAAAATACTGCAACAAACAACTGTATTAAAAAAAGTTTATGGTCCTCCAAATGTTGATGACATTATACATTCTTGCAATGTTTTCTAAACAATATACCAATATACACTAGGGTCTTACATTTATCTGGTCAAGAGAATTTGGCACATTTATCTGAGTCAAGAGAATTTATTTTAAGGAAATAATGAAAAAGAAAGGAAAAAATACATGTACTAGTTTATTCATCACAGTGTCACTACATGTTAAATATTAAAATGATCTAAATAGACAATACTAGGGAAACAACTTAGTAAATTATATCATATTATGTAATCATTAAGAAGACTGCATAACTAGGTAATAAGTGAAAATCAAATCATGTATTGTCATTAGTTATGTAAAATTCTTATGTTTTCAGACAAACAGCATAGAGATTATGGAAAAACAGACAATAGTGAAAGTTAGGGAATTATGGATTTTGCTTTTGTAAAAGATACGCTTTGTGAATATTGCTTTTTCTGCTCCCAGCAAATTTCAAATGTGTAATACACCGTTATCAACTATAGTCACCATGCTGTACATTATATCTCCAGAACTTATTTATCCTATAACTGAATGTTGTACCATTTGACCAACATCTCCCCTTTCCCCCAACTTCCCAGTCCCAGTCCATTCTACTCTCTGTTACTGTGAGCTTGACTTCTTTTTAGATTCTACATATAAGTAAGATCATGCAGTACGTTTCTTTCTGTGTCTGGGTTATTTCACTTACCATAATATCCTTCAGGTTAATCATGTTATTACAAATAGCATTACCTCCTTTTTTAAGGCTGAATAGTACTCCATGGTGTGTGTGTGTGTGTGTGTGTGTGTGTGTGTGTGTGTGTGTGCCTGTATCATAATTTTTTTATCCATTCATCCTTCAATGGACACTTATGTTGTTTGTATATCTTAGCTATCATGAATAATGCCACAATAAACGTGGGAGCAGAAATATCTCCCTGAAGTACTGACTTCATTTCCTTTGGATATATACCCATCAAAGGGATTGTGGGTCATATGGTTGTTCTCTTTGTAATTTTTTGAGGAGCATTCATACTGTTTTCTATAGTGGGTATACCAATTTCAATTCCCACCAACAATGTAAAAGGATTCCCTTTTCTCCACATCCTAGCTAACGCTTGTTATCTTTTAACATTATTGATCATAGCCATTCTAACAAGTATGAAGTGATATCTCATTGTGGCTTTCATTTGCATTTCCCTGATGGTTAGTGATGTTGAACATCATTTCATATAACTGTTGGCAACTTGCATGTGTTTTTTGGGAAAATGTCTACTCAGGTCCTTTGCTCATTTTTTAATCAGGTTTTTTGTTTTGTATGGTTTTGATTTTGGGTTTTTTTTGCTATTGAGTTGTATGTGAATATTTTTTAAAGCTGAAATTGTTACAGCAGTTTCCTCTTTCAGTAACCCCCCTCCCCGCAACCCCCAGTGTGGAACAGTCTTGGACCTCATCTGAGGAGCCATAGGAACTAAAAGGTTACATTAAGGGGTTTCCACAGAGCCAGAGAGCTCCGGTGTTTGACAGACTGGTAAAATCCAGTTGACACTTCTGTCTCAGATTTCCCAAACACTTACAAAAAATGCCAAGCTCTTCTGAATGAGGCAATGATAAGCTGATAGCAATGAGCTTGAGAACGATCTCCCTTTGTTGGTGACAGGAAGAAAAAAAAAAGAGAGGCAAGATAAACTTTAAAATAGGAAAGATAAGAGAAAAAGCAATCCAAACTCTGACAATTTAACAGTGAACTCTGAATTGTCAATTAAGACTCAGAAAAGGAAATCCAAAGGTCAGGACGGTTTGCTCCCCAAAGAAACTGCACATGCCACCACAATAAAAAATAAAGGCTATTGGGCACTGTTATCACACAAAATAAACCAGAAAACACAGAAAGGCACAGCTGCCCATATACAATATCACAAAAATGAGTTCTGCAGTGCCTTGAGTCTCCCTTTCCTGCAATCTCTTGTTTTTAAAGTAAGTCACCCTTCTGCTCTTCTAATTTCTCTTTTTGCTCCTCAACTTCCAAGGCACCAAATAATTTCTTGGTCTCCCTAATTTCTTGATCTCCCTACCGACCCTATTCAAACCCTGCTCAGACAAGGGAGATGACTGACGAGTTTTAAAGTAGTTCTTTCCCAGGGAGTACTTGTACTTTGTCAGGGAGTGTAGTAGAAGTTCTTTAATGTTTTGATGCCAACATCCCTTCCCTGATATAATTGTCCTTTCTCCAGTCCATGCTATCCTATCAACCAAGTCATCTTCCATCTGTCCACTTCATAGTGGGTATGTGACCCAAGCTGGAGCAATATTCCCGGAACACAATGCCTGTGGGTACACTACCCAAGCAAGATATGCCAGTCCTGGGCCTGTTTGCCTTCAGTTCTCTCCTCTCCTTGCACCTGTTGTATTGTGTAATACAGGGGGACTTGGCCCGGGCTCAGCAGGCTACAGCCAATGGAAGATGTTGATGGGAGGCTGCAGGACAGGAGGAAAGGGAAAGCCAGGATTCTTCTTCGGTTCTTCTTTCTGGGTAGAGCAGGCTGCCTCTTTTTGGCTGCAGCTCCCACCATTGGCCCGCCCTGGTTTCAGCCGCAGGCCTGGCTATGGAAATTCTTCTTACTTTATCTCTCTGGCTTAAAAGAGGTTTCTGCTTTCTTATTTTGCTAATCTCTACATTTCCTGCCTCATTCTCCAATTTGTCTCTGAGCTTGTTAAACACCACAAAACCAACTGTCTGCTTTAAAATTTTATTTTAAATACTTAATGTGCTTTCTGTTTTCCTGCTGGAATGATAACTAGAATTAGAGTCATTCCATGAGATTTTACTGTGGATACTAAGAGAAAAAAGGTCTCTTCCTGTTAGATCATTAGGCTATAAGATTAGGGATGCCAATAGCCAATTTCCAGCCACCTAAACCCAATTTTAGAATGACATCAAACACAGAAGCACACAGACCCAGGAAACAGAGAGAAAAAGAATATCTGACACATTCTTAGCACTCCCTGTGAAAGGATAGAGTTCCCTGATCCCCGTCACAGGGCATGTGACAGGGGTGTGGCTCGCTGGGCTCCCTGCCTCCTAGGCGGAACATGCAGACAGGCAGGTGAAGAGGTCGTGGGGAAAGCCTTTGGGCCCCAACCCCACAGCACCGTCTATGGGTGGGTGTCTGCCACTCCCAGAGCCCAGGTGGTTGTGTGTTACAGTGTGCGCTTTCAGCTTTGCCATCTGCAGACAGCTTGTGTTAATCAGTTCAATAAGCCCTCTGCCTTATCGCCAGGGCAGAGGGCCAGTGTGATAGCTTTCTGTATCCTGAGTTCTTACCCAGTGTACCGGCAAAATCAAATCACACGTGGGCTTGAAGGATGAGTGCAAGGTTTTACTGAGTGGTGGAGGTGGCTCTCGGTGAGGTGGATGGGGAGCTGGAAAAGGGGAATGGAGTGGGAAGGTGATCTTCCCCTGGAGTCTGGCTGTCCTTGGCCAACATTCAGAAGCCTCTTCCCTCCTTCTCTGCCACACCACCCCACCATTCTCCACCGCTCTTTTCCCCTGCTCTTCTCGATGTTCAGCCCCTTATGTGTGTGTCGCTAAGGTCTCGGGTTTATACGGACACAGGATGGGGGTCGTGGTGGGCCAGAGTGGCCTTGGAAAATGCAACATTTGGGCATGAAAACAGGAGTGCCTGTTCTCACTTAGGTCCATGGGAGCAGACCCCAGGGTGGAGCCCTCACCAGGGACCCTGCCCTTCTCTACTCAGCACTTCCCTGCCCCCACCCATATCACTTGTTCTAAATAGACCTAAAGTTAGCATTATCATATATTTCATAACTCAAACCATGACACTTGAAGGTAAAAGGGGCTGCTAGTAATGCTTAACTCAGAAAAACAGGCACAAATTGGGACTTGCCCAGGCAAACTAAAACACATAGTAATCCTACCAACTCGGTCCTTGGACTTTACATTAACTGATCCATTAAATTACCTTCACCTTTAACCTAATTTGAGTTGGGTTTCTATCATTAAACTGAAAATTGCTGACCGGTGCATGAGACAATGATTTAAATCAAAGGAATTATTTCCTAGTGGTAGGATTCATTTCAGGGTAGACAGAAGAATATCCATGTTCACCTGAATTAGTCACCACAATTGCATGTGGAGCTTGCACATTTATAGTACAGATATTTCAGCAACATTTTATGGAATTTTAGTTACTATGCCCCAAAAGTGCTGAAAAACGTGCAAAGAAAACAACTGTAATTACAAAGGGAAACACATACACTTACCCTCAGGCTAAATATGGCTCTTTGGTGATTTTTTTTTTTTAACATTTAAAGTGGCCCTAACTTAAGCTTAATTTTCATCTGAATACAAATTTTGAGTCAACCACATCTTATCATTTTCCCTGTGCCCAGCTACTATTTAGGTGCAGCCCTATGATGCCACCAAGAACACTGGCTTTTGAGGTCTGCTTTTATTCTTTATTCTCTTCCCTTTACTTTTTTCTGTTCTCCTATAAATATAGGCTCTTGTTGGCTTGCCCAGGAACCCAAAAGTCTTCTGCAACTATTTCTCTAGAAAACACACATTCTTTAGGGAGTGCCAAGCCCACATGACATTTGTTAATCTCGGAATTCCGTGCACTGACAGCAGCTGTCTTGTTTATGGCAAAACAGAAAACAGCAATTTAAAGACTATATATCCTAAGTCCAGTGGGAATGCTCACCACCCAAATAGAGGCCATTTTTTTTAATGAGGAAGCCATTCATAATTCAAGTGTTTGACTTTCCATGAGCAGTTAAATCTTTTAAAAGCCATAAATGATGATTATGACTAACTTCTCATTTTGGGGGTCTCAGTGCCACTTCAGTGAAAGAGCAAATATATTAAGAACTGGAAGGAAATATCCATTTAGTAACAAACTAACCTGTCTCGCTGCCCATTTCTTACAGAGCCAATTCTCCTGGTCACAAAACACACTTTTTTTTAAACAGAAAAAAATATCGCTTTTCAAAGTTTGAATTGGTGCCAAATTCTTCATTGGAAATAAAAGTACAAGCACATACGACTGTAAAATATTCAGAGGTCAAAAGTTTAATACATACAAGCAAATCCCCACACACTGTTCATCAGGAGTCATTTTGTTCTGGAAGGTAAAGTTTTCTCTTTGTGTCCTTTATAGTAACTTGTAAAAGAATTTGTTATAGGTTCTACATTTTTGTCAAAGTGTGTCACAAAGATTTAACGATATAAGGAACAATGGTACTCTTGTATGTTGTGTGAAATTCTTCACCTTATTCAAGTACAAATCTATTGAAAAATAGAAAAACTACCAAGTCCATTATGCCGAATAATAATAAACAACAGGTTTTATCTAATTCTTAATCCTGAGCAAAATACATTGAGGAAGACTTTCTGAGAGGACTGGGAAATAAAGGAGAGAAACAGATAAAACTCAAACGAGGTGATTAAAAAGACCACAACAGGTAAGTTTTACTGTCTAGATGCTTTCCTTTGCATTGTCACTTTCAGAGAGTGTGATTTCCTCAGTACTCGGAGAGGTTTCCAGTAGCCTAAAGCGTTCATGTAAGGTTGGCAATGACCTGAGGAAATTATACATCTTTACACGCAGCCTCGGCCGCGTCACTGAAGGCAATGACTTCCTTCTCCCAATAGACGATAGCAACATCAACACTTTGGAAGCTTCACTCTGGAAGACTTTTGTTCTAACAGTGTACAGGATAAAAATTTGCAATCCCTGCAGATAGAACAAAAGTTTAATGTTGGGTAAGTGCTGAGATACAGTATCAAGGAAGACATTTTATTTCACTCTGCCACCCAACCTTCTCATCTGCACGGCACTTCCCCAACTTGAATTTGCCAGTGTGCAGCTGCCATGCACTTTTTAATCTAAGAGGGTTGAGGCAAAGTTTTCCCATATACAAAGACCTACATGTAACAGTACAATAGCAGATATAGAAGACCCGAGTTCAGGTCCTGGGTTGCCACTAGCTGGCTGTGTAAATTTGCTTATTTCATAATCTTGATAATCTTCAACTTCCTGAAGGAAGAAGATTAACTATGAAATACCTAATTCTTCTCCCAGTTCTAACATTCTGTGCTTCCATATTTCTTGGAGTTATAGTAACATAGCTAGAAATTTGTGCACTTAAGGACAAAAAAATGTAAAGCCCTTCTAGTCACTGCTTTTCTGTACTTCACAGATGAAGACCAGATGTACATGAGAAATTGAGCCACAAAACACTGAATAATATTTTCTATATGTTTCCAGTAAAAACTGCCATTTATAGAAGTCATATCAGTATCAGACCCTTGCTTTTCACTTAATCCTCATCATTTGATCATTCTCATGTAATCCTCACATCAACCCAATACAACAAGCTTTATCATCCGCATGTTTCAGATAAGGAAACTAAAGTTCAGATAAACTAAGTAGTTTGTCCACGATCACCCAACCAGTACTCAGTGGAGTCTGGAATTGAATTCTTACATCTTTAGCTCCAAAACCCCTCCTCTATCCAATATACGGTGCTGCCTATACTGTTGCCTGTAACTGTAACAGAAAGTGACTGCAAAGTGTATCATAGCTTTTAAGATGCTGCTGTTAATTCTTTATTAATATCCTTTGTGGAAATGACAGATGAAATAGCATCTGTAGTTAAGTTGATAATATTGTGCCAATGTCAGTTTCTTGATTTTGACAGTATACTATGGCTGTATAAGATATTATCATTTGGGAAAGCTGGACAAAGAATATGTGGGAGCTATACTATTTTTCCAAAATTTTTTATTAAATCATTTCAAAATGAAAAGGTATTTTTAAAAATAAATATCCTTGGATGTCTCCCACATTAGCATCTATAGGGCCCCAACCTTTTTAAGAGTTTATTTTTGGAATCATATCCTGTGAGTACTGTTATTGGAGACTTCTGGTACTCTGGAAAGACCCTTATAGTTTGACTAAAAAATCAATAAGTGTTGGCAAGAGACAGACTTGTTCTCTGGCCAAAAGTAGAAAAAGTAGCTTGATTATTACTCAACAGGTGGTATCTAACACATCAGAAGAAAGGCCCTATGACAGTGTGTGCTTGGAGACACAGGTTTCAGAAGGACAGGAGTGGTCATTGGCCATCCTGATTGTTCAAGGGAGAGAAATTTATTTGGGGCACATGAGAAATCCAGTCTCTAGAAAACCATCTTTTTTGTGGCATACACTATTTCATCTGATTTTTCCAGAATTTAAATTCTAAAGTAAACTAAGATTTGATCAAATTTCTGTTGGTACAATAATTAGGAAAAGACCCTAGACCATGGATAATTCATAAAAACACCATCCTGTTGGACCTGTTTGGGTGGACTCCCAATATTTCTGTGCTTCCTAAAAGCCCAAAAATGTTATTTGAAAAGAAAAAATGTGTGGGTCAGACTGACTACCAGTAACACAAAGTTCAAATTGTGCCTTCTAAGTAATATCTGTAGCATTTAGTAAATGTTTATTAGAATTATAGTATTCTAAATCTAGAAGTTTCACGTGTAAACAAATCTAGATATTCCTACACTTTAGTGTACATAGAAATCACCTGAGGTCCTTGTTTAAAATGAAGAGTCTCAGCTCCTATGCCTGTAGATTCTGGTTGAGTAGGTAAGGGGTGAGGCCCAGGAATCAGCATTTTAACATACTATGTAAGTTCTGATGTAAGCAATATTCAGATCCATTTTACAAAACACTGTGTTGATTTTAACACACATATTGCCCCACTACTCCATTTTATATTTTGCATACCTCACCCACAGAGGTTATGTGATTTTCCTATAATCATAGGAATCAATGGTAAAGCTGAATAACAGCCTAAGTTTCCTGACTTTTAGCTCCATGTCCTTGCCACATTGCGATACTCAATTTTACCATGTTGTAATTTTTATCATTTTACCATTAACAGTTTTTACCATTTTACCATTAACACTTTGTTACGAACCTCTCTTTTATAATTTCCCCCTCCTATGCATGGAGAAGAGAAAATCCTTGACTGTGCCTTCATTCAGATTCCTCCCTAAATTCCTGCTCACTCTGGGCAACAAGCCCATGGATCAATTGGCAATGTCAGATGAGGCTTACCCTACTTATTGATCTTCTAGGAGTTTCCATTTGATACTGACAATCATAAAGAACTGAGTTATATCCCTGTAAATTTAGTGGCAGGCACCCATCCATTATCTAAGGGAATTAATCCTAAAAGGCACTGGAGAGGGCTACCTGGGATAAAGGATGAGGTTCTTAGAAGCATTAAATATGGTGGTAGCAATTCAAAAAGCCAAGCAGCTCCCCACACTGCATTATATAGTCTGATCAAATGCCCTTCCTAACAATTTCCATTTTGTATCAAAGACTTTCCTCCTCAATGACATTTTACCATAGCCAGAAACAGCCAACATGACACCAGCTTCACACTGTAGTTACCGTTCTTAGCAACTTAATGGGATAGTCATCAAAATTGCAGTTTCTTCATGAAATACAGAATAGCTCATCCTGATATTGAACAAAGATGTTATCTACTGTGAAAGATATGCACAAGCAAGTTCCTTGCACTCAGAGTACTGATGTTCTAGTTGAGGAGATGAGAAGAGTATGCATAAAAAGTTAATTTTATAGGGTAAAAAGAAGAGAGGACAAAAACATTTACAAAACAATATTTTTATTTGATAATGAGTCATATTTATTCACTTAGTTGATAGTTAATAAGGCTAGAATGAAAGTCATCACCACAAAAGAATAAAGCCCATCAATAAATAAACTATGTAGATTGTATCAATGTCATTTTGATAATGTATTAAAGTAACATAAGATATGATCATGGGAACAGTTGAGTAAAGTGTACATGGGAATTCTCCATACTATTTGCAACATCTTATGGATCTAAAATTGTTTCAAAATAATTTATGTTTAAAAAGGGATGACATAAGAATGGGGAAGGGTGGAGCCAAGATGGCCGAATAGGAACAGCTCCAGTCTACAGCTCCCAGCCTGAGTGATGCAGAAGATGGGTGATTTCTGCATTTCCAACTGAGGTACCGGGTTCATCTCACTGGGGAGTGCCAGACAGTGGGTGCAAGACAGTGGGTACAGAGCACCATGTGTGAGCTGAAGCAGGGCGAGGCATTGCCTCACCCGGGAAGCACAAGGGGTCAGGGAATTCCCTTTCCTAGTCAAAGAAAGGGGTGACAGACGGCACCTGGAAAATCGGGTCACTCCCACCCTAATACCGCACTTTTCCAATGGGCTTAACAAACGGCACACCAGGAGATTATATCTCGCACCTGGGTCGGAGGGTCCTACGCCCATGGAGGCTTGCTCATTGCTAGCACAGCAGTCTGAGATCAAACTGCAAGGCGGCAGCAAGGCTGAGGGAGGGGCGCCCGCCATTGCTGAGGCTTGAGTAGGTAAACAAAGGCACCGGGAAGCTCGAACTAGGTGGAGCCCACCACAGCTCAAGGAGGCCTGCCTGCCTCTGTAGGCTCCACCTCTGGGGACAGGGCACAAACAAAAGGCAGCAGTAACCTCTGCAGACTTAAATGTCCCTGTCTGACAGCTTTGAAGAGAGTAGTGGTTCTCCCAGCACACAGCTTGAGATCTGAGAACGGGCAGACTGCCTCCTCAAGTGGGTCCCTGACCCCCGAGTAGCCTAACTGGGAGGCACCCCCAAGTAGGGGCGGACTGACACCTCACATGGCCGGGTACTCCTCTGAGACAAAACTTCCAGAGGAACGATCAGGCAGCAGCATTTGCGGTTCACCAATATCCACTGTTCTGCAGCCACCACTGCTGATACCCAGGCAAACAGGGTCTGGAGTGGACCTCCAGCAAACTCCAACAGACCTGCAGCTGAGGGTCCTGACTGTTAGAAGGAAAACTATCAAACAGAAAGGACATCCACACCAAAAACCCACCTGTATGTCACCATCACCAAAGACCAAAGGTAGATAAAACCACAAAGATGGGGAAAAAACCGAGCAGAAAAACCTGAAACTCTAAAGATCAGAGCGCCTCTCCTCCTCCAAAGGAATGCAGCTCCTCAATGGAACAAAGCTGGATGGAGAATGACTTTGACGAGTTGAGAGAAGAAGGCTTCAGAAGATCAAACTACTCCAAGCTAAAGGAGGAAGTTCGAACCCATGGCAAAGAAGTTAAAAACCTTGAAAAAAAATTAGACAAATGGCTAACTAGAATAACCAATACAGAGAAGTCCTTAAAGGACGTGATGGAGCTGAAAACCACGGCACGAGAACTACGTGATGAATGCACAAGCCTCAGTAGCTGATGCGATCAACTGGAAGAAAGGGTATCAGCGATGGAAGATGAAATGAATGAAATGAAGCGAGACGGGAAGTTTAGAGAAAAAAGAATAAAAAGAAACGAACAAAGCCTCCAAGAAATATGGGACTATAGAAAACACCAAATCTATGTCTGATTGGTGTACCTGAAAGTGACGGGGAGAAAGGAACCAAGTTGGAAAACACTCTGCAGTATATTATCCAGGAGAACTTCCCCAATCTAGCAAGGCAGGCCAACATTCAGATTCAGGAAATACAGAGAACGCCACAAAGATACTCCTCGAGAAGAGCAACTCCAAGACACATAATGGTCAAATTCACCAAAGTCGAAATGAAGGAAAAAATGTTAAGGGCAGCCAGAGACAAAGGTTGGGTTACCCATAAAGGGAAGCCCATCAGACTAACAGCACATCTCTCGGCAGAAACTCTGCAAGCCAGAAGAGAGTGGGGGCCAATATTCAACATTCTTAAAGAAAAGAATTTTCAACCCAGAATTTCATATCCAGCCAAACTAAGCTTCATAAATGAAGAAGAAATAAAATCCTTTACAGACAAGCAAATGCTGAGAGATTTTGTCACTACCAGGCCTGTCCTAAAAGAGCTCCTGAAGGAAGCACTAAATATGGAAAGGAATAACCGGTACCAGCCACTGCAAAAACATGCCAAATTGTAAAGACCATCGAGGCTAGGAAGAAACTGCATCAACTAACGAGCAAAATAACTGGCTAACATAATGACAGGATCAAATTCACACGTAACAATATTAACCTTAAATGTAAATGGGCTAAATGCTCCAATTAAAAGACACAGACTGGCAAATTGGATAAAGAGTCAAGACCCATCAGTGTGCTGTATTCAGGAAACACATCTCACGTGCAGAGACACACATAGGCTCAAAATAAAGGGATGGAGGAAGATCTACCAAGCAAATGGAAAACAAAAAAAGGCAGGGGTTGCAATCCTAGTCTCTGATAAAACAGACTTTAAACCAACAAAGATCAAAACAGACAAAGAAGGCCATTACATAATGGTAAAGGGATCAATTCAACAAGAAGAGCTAACTATACTAAATATATATGCACCCAATACAGGAGCACCCAGATTCACAAAGCAAGTTCTTAGAGACCTACAAAGAGACTTAGACTCCCACACAATAATAACGGGAGATTTTAACACCCCACTGTCAACATTAGATGGATCAACAAGACAGAAAGTTAACAAGGCTATCCAGGAATTGAACGCGGCTCTGCACCAAGTGGACCTAATAGACATCTACAGAACTCTCCACCCCAAATCAACAGAATATACATTCTTTTCAGCACCACACCACACCTATTCCAAAATTGACCACATAGTTGGAAGTAAAGCTCTCCTCAGCAAATGTAAAAGAACAGAAATTATAACAAACTGTCTGTCAGACCACAGTGCAATCAAACTAGAACTCAGGATTAAGAAACTCACTCAAAACCGCTCAACTACATGGAAACTGAACAACCCGTTCCTGAATGAATACTGGGTACATAATGAAATGAAGGCAGAAATAAAGATGTTCTTTGAAGCCAATAAGAACAAAGACACAACACACCAGAATCTCTGGGACACATTCAAAGCAGTGTGTAGAGGGAAATTTAGAGCACTAAATGCCCACAAGAGAAAGCAGGAAAGATCTAAAATGGACACCCTAACATCACAACTAAAAGAACTAGAGAAGCAAGAGCAAACACATTCAAAAGCCAGCAGAAGGCAAGAAATAACTAAGATCAGAGCAGAACTGAAGGAAACAGAGACACAAAAAACCCTTCAAAAAATCAATGAATCCAGGAGCTGGTTTTTTGAAAAGATCAACAAAATTGATAGACCACTAGCAAGACTAATAAAGAAGAAAAGAGAGAAGAATCAAATAGACACAATAAAAAATGAAAAGGGGACATCACCACTGATCCCACAGAAATACAAACTAGCATCAGAGAATACTATAAACACCTCTATGCAAATAAACTAGAAAATCTAGAAGAAATGGATAAATTCCTCGACACATACACTCTCCCAAGACTAAACCAGGAAGAAGTTGAATCCCTGAATAGACCAATAACAGGCTCTGAAATAGAGGCAATAATTAATAGCTTACCAACCAAAAAAAGTCCAGTACCAGATGGATTCACAGCCGAATTCTACCAGAGGTACAAGGAGGAGCTGGTACCATTCCTTCTGAAACTATTCCAATCAATAGAAAAAGAGGGAATCCTCCCTAACTCATTTTATGAGACCAGCATCATCCTGATACCAAAGCCTGGCAGAGACACAACAAAAAAAGAGAATTTTAGACCAATATCCCTGATGAACATCGATGCAAAAATCCTCAATAAAATACTGGCAAACCGAATCCAGCAGCACATCAGAAAGCTTATCCACCATGATCAAGTGGGCTTCATCCGTTGGATGCAAAGCTGGTTCAACATACGAAAATCAATAAACATAATCCAGCATATAAACAGAACCAGAGACAAAAACCACATGATTATCTCAATAGATGCAGAAAAGGCCTTTGACAAAATTCAACAACCCTTCGTGCTAAAAACTCTCAATAAATTAGGTATTGATGGGATGTATCTCAAAATAATAAGAGCTATCTATGACAAACGCACAGCCAATATCATACTGAATGGGCAAAAACTGGAAGCATTCCCTTTGAAAACTGGCACAAGACAGGGATGCCCTCTGTCACCACTCCTATTCAACATAGTGTTGGAAGTTCTGGCCAGGGCAATCAGGCAGGAGAAGGAAATAAAGGGTATTCAATTAGGAAAAGAGGAAGTCAAATTGTCCCTGTTTGCAGATGACATGATTGTATATCTAGAAAACCCCATCATCTCAGCCCAAAATCTCCTTAAGCTGGTAAGCAACTTCAACAAAGTCTCAGGATACAAAATCAATGTGCAAAAATCACAAGCATTCTTATACACCATTAACAGACAGAGAGTCAAATCATGAGTGAACTCCCATTCACAATTGCTTCTAAGAGAATAAAATACCTAGGAATCTAATGTACAAGGGATGTGAAGGACCTCTTCAAGAAGAACTACAAACCACTGCTCAATGAAATAAAAGAGGATACAAACAAATGGAAGAACATTCCATGCTCATGGGTAGGAAGAATCAATATCATGAAAATGGCCATACTGCCCAAGGTAATTTATAGATTCAATGCCAACCCCATCAAGCTACCAATGACTTTCTTCACAGAATTGGAAAAAACTACTTTAAAGTTCGTTCATATGGAACCAAAAAAGAGCCCGCATCGCCAAGTCAATCCTAAGCCAAAAGAACAAAGCTGGAGGCATCATGCTACCTGACTTCAAACTATACTACAAGGCTACAGTAATCAAAACAGCATGGTACTGGTACCAAAACAGAGATATAGACCATTGGAACAGAACAGAGCCTTCAGAAATAATGCCACATATCTACAACTATCTGATCTTTGACAAACCTAAGAAAAACAAGTAATGGGGAAAGGATTCCCTATTTAATAAATAGTGCTGGGAAAACTGGCTAGCCATATGTAGAAAGCTGAAACTGGATCCCTTCCTTATACCTTATACAAAAATTAATTCAAGATGGATTAAATACTTAAATGTTAGACCTAAAACCATAAAAACCGTAGAAGAAAACCTAGGCAATATCGTTCAGGACATAGGCATGGGCAAGGACTTCATGTCTAAAACACCAAAAGCAATGGCAACAAAGGCCAAAATTGACAAATGGGATTTAATTAAACTAAAGAGCTTCTGCACAGCAAAAGAAACTACCATCAGAGTGAACAGGCAACCTACAGAATGGGAGAAAATTTTTGGAACCTACTCATCTGACAAAGGGCTAATATCCAGAATCTATAATGAACTCAAACAAATTTACAAGAAAAAAACAAACAACCCCATCAAAAAGTGGGCAAAGGATATGAACAGACACTTCTCAAAAGAAGACATTTATGCAGCCAAAAAACACATGAAAAAATGCTCATCATCACTGGCCATCAGAGAAATGCAAATCAAAACCACAATGAGATACCATCTCACACCAGTTACAATGGCGATCATTAAAAAGTCAGGAAACAACAGGTGCTGGAGAGGATGTGGAGAAATAGGAACACTTTTACACTGTTGGTGGGACTGTAAACTAGTTCAACCATTGTGGAAGTCAGTGTGGCGATTCCTCAGGGATCTAGAACTAGAAATACCATTTGACCCAGCCATCCCATTACTGGGTGTATACCCAAAGGATTATAAATCATGCTGCTATAAGAACACATGCACACGTATGTTTATTGTGGCACTATTCACAATAGCAAAGACTTGGAACCAACCCAAATGTCCAACAATGATAGACTGGATGAAGAAAATGTGGCACATATACACCATGGAATACTATGCAGCCGTAAAAAATGATGAGTTCATGTCCTTTGTAGGGACATGGATGAAGCTGGAAACCATCATTCTCAGCAAACTATCGCAAGGACAAAAAACCAAACACTGCATGTTCTCACTCATAGGTGGGAATTGAACAATGAGAACACATGGACACAGAAAGGGGAACATCACACACCAGGGACTGTTGTGGGGTGCGGGGAGGGGAAGGGATAGCATTAGGAGATATACCTAATGCTAAATGACGACTTAATGGGTGCAGCACACCAACATGGCACATGTATACATATGTAACAAACCTGCACGTTGTGCACATGTACCCTAAAACTTAAAGTATAATAATAATAAAATTTAAAAAAAAAGAATGGGGAAAAATACAAGAATTTTAGTTCCTTCTCAGGCTTTATTTTCACAACATAAAATTTCCGTTCGTCTATAGAATGTCAATGAATAAAGGTCATTGCCAAGAATTAAATGCCAAACTAATTTGTAGTTTATGTGTCATAGTATCTAAAGAAAAATTGTCAGCTAGAAAAGTCCTCATTAATGTTTACCAACTATCCACTAAATATTTACTCAAAAATTACTACCATTGATGAGAGTTTCCTTAAAGTAAGGAAGTCAAAATAACAGGACATTCCAATATAAAACGACTGGCAAAACATTAAAAACATTTAAATATAGAGTTAAGCATAAGAAAATACAGTTAATATAATTATCAAACATAATCTAGTATTATAAATATTTCTTAAAAGAAAATAATGTAGACAGTATAACTTAACCACAACATGATAAATTTTAAATTGTACCAACAAAACTGCAAGAAGCAGTTAAACTGTGTTAATATTATTACCTTAAAAAGAGAGGAATCAATATCTATTGTTTTACTCTGGAAATTGAAATTTGTATCTTATAAGTTGTAGTAATATTTAATAAAGATTATAATTAGTAGAATTTAAAATAGAATGAAAATATTCCAAATAGAGGAAGTTATACTAAAAAACATAATTTATATAACACAATATATAAAATTAAGGAGGCAGTGATAGACGTATAGGGAAAAAAAACTAAGATAACACAATAAAACAAACATTAGTTTTAATAGCTACTATTTAACTAAATAGCCAAAAGTTTAACATTTTTAATAAAATGGCAAAACTGGCCAGGCACAGTGGCTCAGGCCTATAATCCCAACACTTTGGGAAGCTGACGCAGGATGACCACTTGAGCCCAGGAGTTCAAGAACAGCCTGGACAACATAGTGTGACCCTATCTGTATAAAATAATTGGAAAAAAATTAGTCAGGCATGGTGCCACGTGCCTGTAGTCCCAGTTACTTGGGAGGTTGAGGTGGGGGGATCAATTGAGTCCAGGAGATTGAGGCTGCAGTGAGCTGTGATTGTGTCACTGCATTCCAGCCTGGGTGACAGAGAAAGACCCTGTCTCAATAAATAAATAAATAAATAAATAGATAAAATGGAAAAACTATGAGAAAATTATCAAAAACAAATCTAAATATGCAGGGTCTAAAAAGAGATAAGTTAAAACCAAAGTGATGAGAAAACTTAAAAATAAAAGAATTAGCATAAATAAATTAGATAAAATCAAATAAAAACAAACTAGAAGTTGGTACACTGCTAGACAGAAAATCAGATTTCAAGATGAAGTGGGACTGAGAGACTTGTTATATTGCTGAGAGGTATAATGCTCCACAGATATATTAAATACCATATCCATAAATTTCCAGGAACATGATAATGCAGCATTGAATTGTATAAAGACAAATTGCTATAACAGTCAGAAGAAAAATTAATAGAAAAATAGAATAAAAGGAAGTTTTACACACCTCTTTCAGTCTTTGATGAACAAGTTAAAGGTGAATGAGGTTTTATAAAAAAATAATTTGAGAACTAAAGATAACAAGCACCTTCAAAAAGTATTGTTAGTGTTATGGGATCCTTGGGGTGTTGTTTCATCAGACAGAAATCTATGTGGCCAGTGGCACCTTTGCCAACATTTAGCTCTAGCCCACTGGGCTCATTCCTCCTACTCGGTCTGGCAGGCTGTGCTTGGCTTAGCTACCGACCTGGATCCCACACCTGCCAAGGACGAGCCAGGTGTGGAGCGGTGAGGGGTGTGTAAGCAAGCATGGGGTCCGGCCACAGGGCACAGCCAGGCATGCCAGCTGCGGTGGGGCAGGCAGCTCCAGGCACTGGCACAAGCGCCAGCTCCCTGAGAGGCTGCAGATGGACCAGGCCTACCATAAGCAGCTTCCATGGCTAACACCAGGGAACCGGGTGACACCCAGAAGCTTGGTGACACCAGGAACCTCAGACCCCTAAAGAGAGTGTCACAACCCTGGCTCAGGGAGTTCCTAGGTCTGGGCTCCCCGAAGAGCCACAGCTCTTCTCTACTCTCTCCTCTCCTTGTTGCCCACAATGTGGAGAACAAAGGGCATGTTTCAGCCCTGCCCTGTTTGCGTTACAGCTCTTTTAGCCCCGCCGTTCTGGTGGGTCCCTAGTTCTTGTCCTGCATCCAGAATGAGGTATGCAGACAAGTGGAGGGTGAGCAGGACGAAAAGGAGCTTTACTGAGTGATAGAACAGCTCAGAGGACACCTGCAGCCGCAGTGGGTAGCTCCTCTCCTTAGCCAGGGTGTTCCGATGAGCACTCAGCTCTCAGGAGAGACAGTAGCTCTTCACTAGAGCTGCTCATCAGGCCCTCCCTGGCTTTAAGGTGGGGCTTCACCACGGACCCTCCCCCTTCCACCCAAAAGCCTGTCTGCCTCCTGCCTCTATTCATGGCACCCAGGCAGGGGGGTCTTCCTGGACCCCTGAGAGTGCAAAGATGCCTCGGTCAGCAGCTGCGACAAGGCAACTGCAACTGCACCCAGGGAGCTCCCACCCGGCCAACTGAGAAGAGGTGGGGCTCCCGCTTGCCCCCGGTTCCCGCTGGCTCAGTGGAGTGTGTAGCCCTGGCCGTGCCTCCTCACAGCCTGGAGTGGGAGCTTCAGGTCCTCGCTGGGCCCGGGCCAGCCTCCGGAGCAGGGGTGACGTCACTGCAAGTTCTTCTTGTGGCCCCAGCACTCAGGGGCAGCCTGGGGCTCCCCCTTGCCTGGCTCATGGCCCTGACTGGAGGTCACTTCCGGGAGCAGATCGTGGGCCCTGGGCCTGGCCATTGGAAACGTCAGGCTCGGCGGTCACCTTGATGTGGAGCAGATCCTGAGGACGCAGCCTCAGGTGACTCGGAGCAGAGACTGTTCCCCAGGCGCAGGAACTTGGCGCCGTCGGCGGGTTGGGCGCGGTGGCCACGTTGCTGGCTGGGTCCTCGAAGCGGGCACTGCTCCCACTTCCCACCCCGGTCCCCTGAAGCGTGACCCCAGCTCTACATCTCGGGCCTGGCTCCCACGTTCCATGTGCAAGTGTGGCACCGCCCCAGACCCAGTTCCTCCTGGGGACCCTCTCTGCTTGCTCTTCCTTGCCCGACTGCACTGCTCTCCCTCCGGTGAGCGGCTGGGTCCGGCCCCATCAGGGCAGCTCCCGGGGGTGGGTTCCCAGGGCGGTGGACTCCGGGGGCGCTCCCTGGGGCAGGCTCTGGGGACTGCCTGCCTCAGCATCTGCATCTGAGGACCCACAGCCTGCGCCTGTACCCCACTGCAGCCGGAGCCATGGCAGCGGCCACTTCAGATGGGCTGCCGCTGGCATCATTAGGAAGTAATCTCAATAAATACCAAAACTGAAAATTCTCAAAAAGTTCTAACAATCATGTGGATTCCTTGAATTATTCCCTTGCTTTTAGGGTTCATGGTCTGGAGTTTCAGGAGTGAGCTTTCAAAAAGGGGCTCCTTTCCTTGCCCTGTGCAGGTAGTTCAGTGGTGATGTTTGTTCATACAGGTGATCCTGGTAGGGTGCGAGTGCTTTAAGGGAGAAGTATTTTCATTCTACTGAAGTTTAATGAATTCTGCCAGCTTAGAGAAGACATGTTTCCATACTACAGAGAGTAAAGTCCATTTAGTAATTTCATTGCTCTTTCATCAGAGTAAAGAGCAATGTTCACTATGGGAGGAGGCATAGAGTGAGGAGTGTAAAGAGAAATTCTGGTTTCAAGATGTCTTTCAATGTCTGGTGTGGTGGCTCACAACTGTAATCCCAGCACTTTGGGAGTCTGAGATGGGTGGATCACTTGAGGTCAGGAGTTCAAGACCAGCCTGGCCAACATGGTGAAACCCTGTCTCTACTGAAAATACAAAAATTAGCCTGACATGGTGGCACATGCCTGTAATCCCAGGTACTCAGGACACTGAAGCAGGAGAATTGCTTGAACCCGGGAAGCGGAGGTTGCAGTGAGCTGAGATCATGCCACTTCACTCCAGCCTGGGTGACAGAGTGAGACCCTGTCTCAAAAAAAAGAAAAAAAAAAAAAAGAAAAGAAAAGATGTCTTTCAATAACACATCTTTGTTTTATTTAAAAGTCTTGATATTCCTCACACATAATAAATAACTAAAAAGGTTAAAAAAAAAACCTCTCCAAAGTCAAACAAATTTATTTTTATCCACCATTTTGGTTTATCTTCATTAGTACTTTTATAATGATAAAATCAGGAGGTGACCAGAATCCAAATTTTTACCTTTGTAGAATTATTTCCAAAGGAAAAATATATAACTTCTTTTCAGATTTTGAAAACAAAGTGTGAATTTAATTTTTTAAAGGTTTATGGTTAAGTATGTCCTTGAGATAAGACTCAAGGAATAAAAGCATCTTCAGTCCAATGTAAAATTGTGCCACAAAACACTTCATGAAGTTCAGATTTTCAGAAAGGGATGAAGAATACTAGAAATCATAGATATATGACTGAATATAAAAATTCTTCTCTCTTAATTTCCTTAAAATACATATCTAAAGCAAAAATAAGAACATTGCATAGCAGGTTTTGTAATGTATGCAGATGTAATACATAAACGTATACTATGAGAGAACGGAGGATGGCAAGAGGACTTATATTGTTATAAGATTCTAAGATTTTACTGGAAAGTAGTAAAATATTAGCTCCAAGTTGACAACGAAAAGTTAATGAAATTTAATGTATCCCTAAATTGACCCCCAAAACGCAAAGAAGTATTGCTTAATAATTGAAGTATAAATTAAAATTAGAACCCTAATAACATTAAATGTATCCAAAAGTAGGCAAAAAAGGAGAAACAGGAATAAAAAATAGAATGGCCACAGAAAACAAATAGGAAAATGGTAGACACAAATTAACCCATATAAAAAAATACATTAGATCTAAATGGACTAAACACTCAATTAAAAGAGATTGCCAGAATGGATAAAAACGTAAGACTTGTATTTGCTGTCTACATGATACACACTTAAAATATAAAGGCACAAATAGATTGAGATCAAATGGATGAAAACATATATATCATGCAATCAATGTGCATAAAGCTGGATATCAGATAAAGTAGACTTTATGACAAAAAGTATTATTGGAGGTAAAGAAACCTTTTTATCTAAATGATAAAATCAGTTCATCCAGAAGATATAACAATAATAAATGTATATGCATCTAATAGTAGAACCCCAAAATATGTGATGCAAAAGTTGACAGAATTAAGGAAATATACAAATTTTCAATCATAGGTGGAGAATTTAATACCCCTTTTTTGACAATTGAGAGAATCAGGCAAAAATATTGGTAAGGATAGGTGTACCTTTAACAATCACTTTGACACAACCTTTTTTAGAATACTTTAACAACTACAGAATACACATTTTCTTCCAGAGTAAATGTTTTATTCACCAAAATAGACCAAATGTTGGGCCATAAAACCAGACTCAATAAATTTAAAAGAATTGAAAGAAAACCTTCAGCCAATCCCACAGAAGTCTAAGCTTCAGCAATAACTATAACACTGTCTGTATCAATCATGGTGAGGAGTTGCCATGAACCCCTTACATAGGAGAAAAGGAAAGAAGATGTGTCCCAATCCAGCTACTTGACAAAAATCTCTCCTACTCAAAGAAGAGGGACTAAAGTGGTCCAACTCTATTGCTACTATATTCTATGATATCCAGCTCAGGAAAGTACATAGTAGGTAAGTCATAAAGAGCTTTTCTTTCACTTCCCAGAAATGGTATTAAAAATAGTCTGTAAGGAGGAGAGAGGTGGAGCAAGATGACCAAATAGAACCCTCCAGCAATCATTCCCCCATGGGAACACAAATTTAACAGCTACTCACACAAGATAAGAACCAAAATCAGCTTGGGTACTAGCTTGGCCTCAATGGGGTAGAACACCAAGCAGGCTCTTGGGGTCTCTGATTCCAGGCCTCGGCTCCTGGACAGGATTACTGGACCTGCCTTGGGCCTGAGGAGAGTACACTGCCTTGACTGGCAGCATTAACCACAGACTGACTGAAGAGCCTTTGGGCTTTGAGTGAACATCAGTGGTAGCCAGGCAATGTTTGTCACAGGCCTGAAGTGGTGGTAGCCATGGAAAGAGACTCCTGTGCTTGAGGAAAGGTTGGGGGATGGGGAGAGTGGGAAGGACTTTGTCTTGTGGTTTGAGTGCCAGCTCAGCCACAGTAGAATAGAGCACCAAGTAGTTTCCTGAGGCTCCTAACTACAGGCCCTGGGTCCCAGATGGCACCTCTGGACCGACCTGGGGACAGGGGGATCTCATTGCCCTGAAAGGAAGGAAACAAGCCTGGCTAGATTTGCCACCTGCTAATTGTAGAGCTGTTGAGCCTTGAGTAGCATAGGTGGTAGCCACACAGTGGTCACCACAGGCCTTGGGAGAGAACCAGTGCTGTTCTGGCTGTAGTTCTGACCCAGCGCAGTCCCAGTGGTGGTGGCCACAAGGGTACTTGTGTCACCCCCTCCCTCGGCTAGCTCAGCACAGAGAGAGAGACAGAGAGAGAGAGGCACTCTGTTTGCTTGCAGGAAAATAATGGAAGAGAACAGTCTCTGCCTCATAATCCATGCAATTCTCCCAGATCTTACCTAAGATGCCAAGACAGTTCCTCTGTATGTCTAAAAGAGCCACAAGGTTACTGGACTTGGGGTGCCCCCTAAAGCAGATATGGCTGCAGTGACCAAAGACTTAGATTATAACACTCAAGTCCCTTCAGATATCTAGAAAGCCTTCTGAAGAACAGGTACAAACAAGCCTAGACAGTAAAGATTACAGTAAATACCCAACTCTTCAATGCCCAGACACTAATGAACATACCCAAGCATCAAGAACATCCAGAAAAATATGGCCTCGCCAAAATAAATAAATAAATAAATAAGGCACCAGTGACCAATCCCAGAGAGACAGAGATATGTCACCTTTCAGACAGAGAATTCAAAATAGCTATTTTGAGGAAGCACAACAAAAATTCAAGATAACACAGAGATAAAATTCAGAATCCTATCAAATAAATTTAACAAACAGATTGAAATAATTAAAAAGAATTAAGCAGAAATTCTGGAGCTGAAAAATGCAACTGACATATACTTAAGAATGAATCAGAGTCTCTTAACAGAATTAATCAAGCAGAAGAAAGAATGAGTGAGCTTGAAGACAGGCTATTTGAAAATACACAGTCAGAGGAGACAGAAGAAAAAAGAATAAAAATTAATGATGCATGCCCACAAGATCTAGAAAATAGCCCCTAAGGGAAAAATCTAAGAGCTATTAGCCTGAAAGATGAGGTAGAGAGAGGTCAGTGTAGAAAGTTTATTCAAAGAAATAATAACAGAGAACTTCCCAAACCTAGAGAAAGATATCAATGCTCAAGTACAAGAAGATTATAGAACACCAAGCAGATTAGACCCCAATAATACAACTTCAAGATATAATAATAAAATTCCCAAAGGTCAAGGATAAAGAAAGGATCCTAAAAGCAGCAAGAGAAAATAAACAAATAATATACAACAGAGCTTCAATTTGTCTGGCAGCAGCTTTCTCAGTAGAAACCTTATAGCCCAAAAAAGAGTGACATGACATATTTAAAGTGATGAAGGGAAAAACTTCTAGCCTAAAATAGCATATCTGGTGAAAATATCCTTCAAACATGAAGGAGAAATAGAGATTTTCCCAGACAAACAAAAACTGAGGGATTTCATCAACACCAGCCCTGACCTACAAGAAATGCTAAAAGGAGTTCTTCGATCTGAAAGAAAATAAGCAATAAGAAATTATGTTAAAGTACGAAACTCACTGGTATTAGTAAGTAAAATAGAATACTCTAACATTATACTGGTGTATAAACTACTTACATCTTGAGCAGAAAGATGAAAAGATGAACCTATCAAAATAACTATAACAACTTTTCAAGACAGTATAATAAGATATAAATAGAAAAAACAAAAAGTTATAGAGTTTTTATTAGTTTTCTCTTTGTTTGTTAGTTTATGCAATCAGTGTTGTCATCAGCTTAAAATAATGGTTTATAAAATATTATTTGCAAGCCTTGTGGTAACCTCAAATCAAAAAACATACAATAGATACACAAAAAATAAAAAGCAAAGAGTTAAAACATGTCACCAGAGAAAATCATCTTCACTAAAAGGAAGACAGAAAAGAAGAGGAGACCAGAAAACAAGTAACAAAATGGCAGAAGTAAGTCATTACGTATCAATAATAACACAATAATAACACAAATGAACTAAACTCTGCAATCAAAAGACATAGAGTGGCTGAATGAAGGAAAAAACAAGACCCAATGATATGTTGCCTACAAGAAGCAAACCACCTATAAAGACACACAGACTGAAAATAAATGGATGGAGAAAGATACTCCACAGAAACCGAAAAAGAGCAGAAGTAGCTCTACTTAGAAAAAATAGATTTCAAGACAAAAACTATAAAAAGAAAGGAAAAAGGTCACTATACAATGATAAAAAGGTCAATTCAGCAAGAGGATATAACAATTGTAAATATATATATATGCCCAATACTGGAGCACCCACATATATAAATAAAATATTATTAGAGCTAATGAGAGATATATACCCTAATACGACAATAGCTAGAGATTTCAACACCCTATTTTCAGCATTGGATAGATCTTCCAGACAGAAAATCAACAAAGAAATATCAGAATTACTCTGCACTATATACTAAATGGGCCTAATAGATAATTATAGAACATTTCATCCAATGGCTGCAGAATACACATTCTTCTCCTCAGCATGTGGATCATTCTCAAATATAGACCATATGTTAAAACATAAAACAAATCTTTAAAAATCCAAAAAAATGAAATTATATCAAGTATCTTCTCTGACCACAACGCAATAAAACTAGAAATCAATAACAAGAGGTATTTTGGAAACTATACAAACACATAGAAATTAAACAATATGCTCCTCAATTACCGGTGAGTCAAGAAAGAAATTAAAAGGGAAGTTGAAAAATGTCTTGAAACAAGTAAAAATGGAAACACAACATACCAAAACTTATGGGATACAGTGAAAGTAGTACTAAGAGGAAAGTTTATAGCAATAAGTGCCCACATCAAAAAAAATAGAAAAGCTTCAAATAAACAACCTAATGATGCATCTTAAGGAACTGGAAAAGCAAGAGCAAATCAAAACCAAAATTAGTAAAGAAAATAAATAGTAAAGATCAGAGCAGAAATAAGTGAAATTGAAATGAAGAAAACAAAAGATCAATGAAACAAAAGGTTATTTTTAAAGATCAAAAAAATTGACAAACATTTAGTCAGATTAACTAAGAAAAAAAGAGAGAAGACCCAAATAAATAAGATCAGAGATGAAAAAGGAGACATAACAACTGATACCACAGAAATTCAAAGGATCATTAGTGGCTACTATGAGCAACTATATGCCAATAAATTAGAAAACCTAAAAGAAATGGACAAATTTCTACACACAAACAACCTACCAAGATTGAATCATGAAGAAATACAAAACCTGAACAGACCAGTAACAAGTAATGAGACAGAAGCTGTAATAAAAAGTTTCCTAGCAAAGAAAAGCCCAGGAACTGTGGTTTCACTGCTGAATTTTACCAAACATTTAAAGAAGAACTAACACCAATCCTACTCAAACTACTCCAAAAAATAGAGGCAAAGGGAATACTTCTAAACTCACTCCATGAGGCCAGTATTACCCTGGTGCCAAAACCAGAAAAAGGCACATCAAAAAGAAAGAAAGAAAGAAAGAAACTACAGGCCAATGCATCTGATGAACGTTGATGCAAAAATCCTCAACAAAATTCTAAAAAACCAAATTCAGCAACACACTAAAAAGGTCATTCATCATGACAAAGTAGAATTTATCCCAGAAATGCAAGGATGGTCCTACATATGCAAATCAATCAATGTGATACACCATATCAACACAATGAAGGACAAAACCCACATGATTGTTTCAATTGATGCTAAAAAAAATTTTATAAAATTCAACATCACTTCGTGGTAAAAACTCTTAAAAACTGGGGATAGAAGGAACATACTTCAACACAATAAAAGCTGTATATGACGGACTCACAGCTAGTATCATGCTGAATGGGAAAAAAACTGAAAGCCTTTCCTCTAAGATCTGGAACACAAAAAGGATGCCCACTTTCACCACTGTTATTCAACATAGCACTGGAAGTCCTAGCCAGAGCAATTAGATAAGAGAAAGCAATTTAAAAAATCTAAATTGGAAAGGAAGAAATCAAATTATCCTCGTTTGCAGATGATATGATCTTACATTTGGAGAAAACTAGACTCCACAAGAAAAAAAAAAGATTAGAATGGATAAATTCAGTAAAGTTGCAGGATACAAAATTAACATACATAAGTTAGTAGCATTTCTATATGCCAACATCAAACAACCTGAAAAAGAAATTAAGGGCTGGGCACAGTGGCTCACGCCTATAATCCCAGCACTTTGGGAGGCCAAGGTGGGTGGATCACGAGGTCAGGAGATCGATACCATCCTGGTTAACATGGTGAAACCCCGTCTCTACTAAAAATACAAAAAATTAGCTAGGGGTGGTGGCACATGCCTGTAGTCCCAGCTACTCAGGAGGCTGAGGCAGGAGAATTGCTTGAACCTGGGAGGTGGAGGTTGCAGTGAGCAGATGTTACACCACTGCACTCCAGCCTGGGTGACAGAGCGAGACTCTGTCTCAAAAAAAAAAAAAAAAGGAATTAAGAAAGCAATCCTATTTACAAAAGCTACAAATAAAATGCAATACCTTAGAATTAGCTTAACCAAAAAAGTGAAAGATCTCTACAACGAAAACTATAAAACCTGCATGCAACCAATTGAAGAGGACACAAAAAATGGAAAGAGATTCCATGTTCATGGATTGGAAAATCAATATTTTAAAACTGTCCACACTACTCAAAGCAATCTACAGATTCTATGCAATCTCTATCAAAACACCAATGGCATTCTTCACAGAAAAAGAAAAAAATGTTCCTAAAATTTATATGGAACCACAAAAGACCTAGAATAGCCAAAGCTATCATTAGCAAAAAGAACAAAACTGGAGGAATCACATTACTTGACTTCAAATTACACTACAGAGCTATAGTAATGAAAACAGCATAGTACTGGCATAAAAACAGAAACAAAACAGGCAGACATAAAAACAGGCAGAAATAAAGATGTCCTTTGAAACCAATGAGAACAAAGACACAATGTACCCAAATCTTTGGGACACATTTAAAGCAGTGTTTAGGGGAAATTTATAGCACTAAATGCCCACAAGAGAAAGCAGGAAAGATCTAAGATTGACACTGTAACATCAAAATTAAAAGAACAAAAACTATAAATTAAAATTAAGAGAAGCAAGAGCAAACAAATTCAAAAGCTAGCAGAAGACAAGAAATAACTAAGATCAGACCAGAACTGAAGGAGATAGAGACACGAAAAACCCTTTTAAAAATCAATGAATCCAGGAGCTGGTTTTTTGAAAAGATCAACAAAATAGACCACTACTCAGAATAATAAAGAAGAAAAGAGGCCAGGCACGGTGGCTCACGCCTGTAATCCCAACACTTTGGGAGGCCAAGGCGGGTGGACCATGAGGTCAGGAGTTTGGGACCAGCCTGAACATGGTGAAACCCCATCTCTACTAAAAATACAAAAATTAGCCAGGCATGGTGGTTCACGCCTGTAATCCCAGCTATTTGGGAGGCTGAGGCAGGAGAATCTCCTGAACCCAGGAGGCAGAGGTTGCAGTGAGCTGAGATCACACCATTGTACTCCAGCCTGCATGACAGACCGAGACTCTGTCAAAAAAAAAAAAAAGAAGAAGAAAAGAGAGAAGAATCAAACAGACATGGTAAAAAAATGATAAAGGGGATATCACCACTGATCCCACAAACATACAAACTACCATCAGAGAGTACTATAAAAACCTCTATGCAAATAAACTAGAAAATTGAGAAGAAATGGATAAATTCCTGGACACATACACCCTCCCAAGTCTAAACCAGGAGGAAGTCGAATCCCTGAATAGACCAATAACAAGTTCTGAAATTGAGGCAGTAATTAATAGCCTACCAATCAAAAAAAGTAAAAGTCCAGGACCAGAGGGATTCACAGCCAAATTCTACCAGAGGTAAAAAGAGGAGCTGGTACCATTCCTTCTAAAACTATTCCAAACAATTGAAAGAGAGAGAATTCTCCGTAACTCATTTTAGGAGGCCAACATCATCCTGATTCCAAAACCTAGCAGAGACACACACACACACAAAAAAAATTTCAGGCCAGTATCCCTGATGAACATCGATGTGAAAATCCTCAATAAAATACTGGCAAACTGAATCCAGCAGCACATCAAAAAGCTTATCCATCATGATCAACTTGGCTTCATCCCTGGGATGCAAGGCTGGCTCAACATACACAAATCAACAAATGTAATCCATCACATAAACAGAACCAGTGACAAAAACCACATGATTATCTCAATAGACATAGAAAAGGCCTTCGACAAAATTCAACACCCCATCATGCTAAAACTTCTCAATAAACTAGGTATTGATGAAACACATCTCAAAATAATAAGAGCTATTTATGACAAACCCACAGCCAATATCATACTGAATGGGCAAAAACTGGAAGCATTCCCTTTGAAAACTGGCACAAGACAAGGATGCCCCTCTCTCACCACTCCTATTCAACATAATATTGAAAGTTCTGACCAGGGCAATCAGGCAAGAGAAAGAAATAAAGGGTATCCAATAGGAAAAGAGGAAGTCAAATTGTCTCTGTTTGCAGACGACATGATTGTATGTTTAGAAAACCCCATCGTCTCAGCCCAAAATCTCCTTAAGCTGATAAGCAACTTCAGTAATGTCTCAGGATACAAAATTACTGTGTAAAAATAACAAGCATTCCTATCCACCAATAACAGACAAACAGAGAGCCAAATCATGAGTGAACTCCCATTCACAATTGGTACAAAGAGAATAAAATATCTAGAAATACAACTTACAAGGTATGTGAAGGACCTCTTCAAGGAGAACTGCAAGCTACTGCTCAAGGAAATAAGAGAGGACACAAATAAATGGAAAAACATTCCATGCTCATGGATAGGAATAATTAATATCATGAAAATGGCCATACTGCCCAAAGTAATTTATAGATTCAATACTATTCCCACCAAACTACCATTGACATTCTTCACAGAATTAGAAAAAACTACTTTAAATTTTATATGGAACCAAAAAAGAGCCCACATAGCCAAGACAATCCTAAGCAAAAAGAACAAAGCTGGAGGCATCACGCTACCTGACTTCAAACTATGCTACAAGGCTACAGTAACCAAAACAGCATGGTACTGGTACCAAAACAGATATATAGACCAATGGAACAGAATAGAGGCCTCAGAAATAACACCACACATCTACAACCATCTGACCTTTGACAAATCTGACACACACAAGCAATGGAGAAAGGATTCCCTATTTAATAAATGGTGCTGGGAAAACTGGCTAGCCATATGCAGAAAACTGAAACTGGACCCCTTCTTTACACCTTATACAAAAAATTAACTCAAGATGATTAAAGACTTAAATGTAAGACCTAAAACCATAAAAATCCTAGAAGAAAACCTAGGCAATACCATTCAGGACAAAGGCATGTGCAAAGACTTCATGACTAAAACACCAAAAGCAATGGCAACAAAAGCCAAAATTGACAAATGGGATCTAATTAAACTAAAGAGCTTCTGTGCAGCAAAAGAAACTATCATCAGAGTGAACAGGCAGCAACCTACAGAATGGGAGAAAATTTTTGTAATCTATCCATCTGACAAAGGGCTAATATCCAGAATCTACAAAGAACTTAAACAAATTTACAAGAATAAAACAAACAGCGCTATCAAAAAGTGGGCAAAGGATATGAACAGACACTTCTCAAAGGAAGACATTTATGAACCCAACAAACATATTTAAAAAAAGCTCATCATCACTGGTCATTAGAGAAATGCAAATCAAAACCACAATGAGATACCATCTCACACCAATTAGAATGGCGATCATTAGAAAGTCAGGTAACAACAGATGCTGGAGAGGATGTGGAGAAACAGGAACACTTTTACACTGTTGGTGGGAGTGTAAGTTAGTTCAACCATTGTGGAAGACAGTGTGGCGATTCCTCAGGATCTAGAACCAGTAATACCATTTGATGCAGACATCCCATTACTTGGTATATACCCAAAGGATTATAAATCATGCTGCTATAAAGACACATGCACATGTATGTTTATTGCAGCACTATTCACAATAGCAAAGACTTGGAACCAACCCAAATGCCCATCAATGATAGACTGGATAAGGCACATATACACCATGTAATATTATGCAGCCATAAAAAGGATGAGTTCATGTCCTTTGCATGGACATGGATGAAACTGGAAACCATCATTCTCAGCAAACTAACACAAGGACAGAAAACCAAACACCACATGTTCTCACTCGTAAGTGGCAGTTGAACAATGAGAACACGTGGACACAGGGAGGGGAACATCACACACTGGGGCCTGTCGGGGGCTGGGGGGCTAGGGAAGGGATAGCATTAGGAGAAATATCTAATGTAGATGATGGGTTCATGGGTGCAGCAAACCACCATGGCACGTGTATAGCTATGTAACAAACTGGCATGTTCTGCACATGTACCCCAGAACTTAAAGTTTAATAATAAAAAAAAGCTAAAAATAGAACTACCATATGATCCAGCAATCCTACTGCTAGATATATATCCAAAAGAAATCAGTATATCAAAGAAATATCTGCACTCCCGTGTTTTTCACAGCACTATTCATAATAGCCAAGACTTAGAAGCAAAGTAAGTATCCATCAACAGACGAATGGATAAAGATAATGCAGTACATATACACAATGGAGTACTATTCAGCCATTAAAAAGAATGAGATCCTGTCATTTGTAACAACATGGATGGAACTGGAGGTCATTATGTTAAGTGAAATAAACCAGGCACAGAAAGTCAAACTTTGCATGTTCTCAATTATTTGGGACCTAAAGAGTTTAAAAAATTGAAATCCTGGAGATAGAGAGTAGAATGATTGTTACCAGAGGCTGGGAATGGTAGTGACGGGAGGGGAAAGCGGGAATGGTTAATGGGTATTGGTACAAAAATATAGTTAGAATGAATAAGATCTAGTATTTGACAGCACAACAGGGTGATTATAGTTAATAATAATTTTTGTTTTTTTGAGATGGAGTCTCCCTCTGTCGCCCAGGCTGAAGTGCAGTGGTGTGATCTCAGCTCACTGCAACCTCCACCTCCCTGGTTCAAGCAATTCCCCTGCCTCAGCCTCCCAAGTAGCTGCAATTACAGGTGCATGCCACCATGCCCAGCTAATTTTTTTGTATTTTTAGTAGAGATGGGGTTTCACCATGTTGGCTAGACTGGTCTTGAACTCCTGACCTCAGGCAATCCACCTGTCTCAGCCTCCCAAAGTGCTGGAATTACAGGCCGTGAGCCACCACGCCCGGCCAGTCAATAATAATTTAATTGTATATTTTTAAATAACTGAGAGTATAATTTGATTGTTTGTAACAGAAAGGGTAAATGCTTGAGGATATGGGTACCCCATTTACCCTGAAGTGATTGTTATACATTTTATGCCAGTATCAAAATATCTCTTGTACTCCATAAATATATACACCTACTATGTACCCACTAGATTTTTTTTTTTTTTTTTTTTTTTTTTTTTGAGATGGAGTCTCACTCTGTCGCCCAGGCTGGAGTGCGGTGGCGCGATCTCAGCTCACTGCAAGCTCCGCCTCCCGGGTTCAAGCCATTCTCGTGCCTCAGCAGGAGACTACAGGAGGAGATTACAGTAGGAGGAGACTACAGGAGACTACTCCCTAGCTGGGACTACAGGCGCCCGCCACCACACCCGGCTAATTTTTTGTATTTTTTTTAGTAGAGATGGGGTTTCCCCATGTTATCCAGGATGGTCTCAATCTCCTGACCTCGTGATCCGCCCACCTCAGCCTCCCAAAGTGCTGGCATTACAGGCGTGAGCCACCGCGCCTGGCCTAGATTTTTTTAAAATAGTCTCTTAAAGGTAACTAAGATATCAAGATGATATCTCCACCACTGCGTGTTCTGCTACTTTCAGACTAATCCGCACCATACCTGTGTAGTGTTGAAAAGGCAGAATATGTAGCTGAAGACGATCCTGATGCTATCATCATTAACTAGCATCAGGTATGCTAGAATCCAGGTAATTCCAAAAACAACTGCAACAGATAATGTGCTAACAATCTTCTTCATGGATGAAACTTTTTTTGTGCTAGGTGAAAGAAAACAAGAAAAATAATGTGGTTCATTAGGGTTTTACTTATCAACGTCATTATTACTCTCCTATTTAGAATGTATATTCAGCTGCCCATATACATTGTTCACTTAACAATATTATGCCCCAGGTGGAAAAATGATGCTAAGTCTTACATCACTCTGGAGAAAATCTGATTTAGCAAGCTTTATTTTGAATACATTGATACTTGTTTAAAACTTCAGGCAAACACAGCTCCTTAATACTACAGCAGGCAAATTTTAAGAACCAACTTCTTCATTGAAATGGAATTTTCATTTTGTGAATATTACTACAGATCAGCCAATGGAGGAATCCCCTTTTTTGGCACCTGGGAGCTTCCTGAGCCTTAAGTTGATGAGGGAGAGAAAGGTTAGTTAGATGCAGAGTGATCTTCTTCCTCTTGTGGAAAGTCTATGCCCCTGGATCCTGGGCTTGGCCATGTGACTTACTTTGGCCAGTGGGACATTAGCAAATTTATCAAGCAGAGACTTGAAAGCATCTGTTTATTAATTTGCCTTCCCTCACTCCTCTTTAGAACCCTGAGACCACTATGTTAAGAAGCCTGGGCTGGTTTAATGGCAGATGAGAGACTATGTGGAGCAGAGATGAGCTTTCCCAACTGAACAGTTGCTACTAAAACCAACCAAACACCAACCACCAGACATGAAAGTGAGTCATGAAGGATTCAAGATGGCCAAATAGGAACAGCACAGGTCTGCAGCTCCCAGCAAGATTGACGCAGAAGGCAGATGATTTCTGCATTTTCAACGTAGGTACCAGGTTCATCTCACTGGGACTGATTGGACAGTGGGTGCAGCCCATGGAGGGAGAGCTGAAGCAGGGTGGGGTGTCACCTCACCTGGGAAGCACAAGGGGTTGGGGAATTTTCTCCCCTACCCAAGGAAAGCTGTGAGGGTCCCAGCCTGAGAAACTCCCACACAGATACTGCGCTTGTCCCACGGTCTTTGAAACCCACAAACCAGGAGATTCCCTATGGTGCCTGCCTCACCAGCGCCCTGGGTTTCAAGCACAAAACTGGGCGGCCAATTGGGCAGACACCGAACTAGCTGCAGGAGCTCTTTTTTTTTTTTCTTTTCATACCCTGGTAGCACCTGAAACACTTTTACACTGTTGGTGGGAGTGTAAATTAGTTCAACCATTGTGAAAGATAGTGTGGTGATTCCTCAAGGATCTAGAACTAGAAATACAATTTGACCCAGCAATCCCATTACTGGGCATATGCCCAAAGGATTATAAATCATTCTATGATAAAGACATATGCACACGTATGTTTATTGCAGCACTATTCACAATAGCAAACACTTGGAACCAACCCAAATGTCCATCAATGATAAACTGGATTAAGAATATGCAGCACATATACACCATGGAATACTATGCAGCCATAAAAAAGGATAAGTTCATGTCCTTTGCATGGACATGGATGAAGCTGGAAACCATCATTCTGAGCAAGCTATTACAAGATCACAAAAACAAATACTGCATGTTCTCACTCACAGGTGGGAGTTGAATGATGAGAGCACATGGACACAGGGAGGGAACATCACACACTGGGGCCTGTCAGTGGTGGGGGCTAGGGGAGGGATAACATTAGGAGAAATACCTAATGTAGGTGACGGATTAATGGGTGCAGCAAACCACCATGGCACATGTATACCTATGTAACAAACCTCCCATTCTGCACATGTAACCCAGAACTTAAAGTATAATAATAAAAAAAAAAATTAACCAGGTGTGGTGGTGGACGCCTGTAATCCTAGCTACTCGGGAGGCTGTGGCAGAGAATTGCTTGAACCCAGGAGGCGGTGTGGGGAAAAGCAAGAGAGATCAGATTGTTACTGTGTCTGTATAGAAAGAAGTAGACATAGGAGACTCCATTTTGCTCTGTACTAAGAAAAATTCCTCTGCCTTGAGATTCTGTTAATCTATGACCTTACCCCCAACCCCGTGCTCTCTGAAACATGTGCTGCGTCAAACTCAGGGTTAAATGGATTAAGGGTTGCGCAAGATGTGCTTTGTTAAACAGATGCTTGAAGGCAGCGTGCTCCTTAAGAGTCATCACCACTCCCTAATCTCAAGTACCCAGGGACACAAACACTCAGGGACCTCTGCCTAGGAAAGCCAGGTATTGTCCAAGGTTTCTCCCCATGTGATAGTCTGAAATATGGCCTCGTGGGAAGGGAAAGACCTGACCGTCCCCCAGCCTGACACCCGTAAAGGGTCTGTGCTGAGGAGGATTAGTATAAGAGGAAGGCATGCCTCTTGCAGTTGAGACAAGAGGAAGGCATCTGTCTCCTGCCCGTCCCTGGGCAATGGAATGTCTCCGTATAAAACCCGATTGTACGGTCCATCTACTGAGATAGGGAAAAACCGCCTTAGGGCTGAGGTGGGACATGCGAGCAGCAATACTGCTTCGTAAAGCATTGAGATGTTTATGTGTATGCATATCTAAAAGCACAGCACTTAATCCTTTACCTTGTCTATGATGCAAAGACCTTTGTTCACATGTTTGTCTGCTGACCCTCTCCCCACTATTATCTTGTGACCCTAACACATCCCTCTCTCGGAGAAACACCCACGAATGATCAATAAATACTAAGGGAACTCAGAGGCTGGCGGGATCCTCCATATGCTGAACGCTGGTTCCCCGGGTCCCCCTATTTCTTTCTCTATACTTTGTCTCTGTGTCTTGTTCTTCTCCAAGTCTCTCATTCCACCTTACGAGAAACACCCACAGGTGTGGAGGGGCAACCCACCCCTTCAAGGCGGAGGTTGCAGTGGCCGAGATCACGCCACTGCACTCCAGCCTGGGTGACAGAGCAAGACTCCATCTCAAAAAAAAAAAAAAAGTGAGTCATCCTTGATCATTAATAAGCATCCAAGCCCGTCAAGACAGAACTACCCAGCCAACACTCAACTCATGGCAAATAATAAACATTTGTCATTTTTCACCATTAAGTTTTGGGGCAATTTGTTATGTAGCTACTGAACACATGAAAGTTACTTATTAAACAATTAAATCACAGTCTGCTTGTCATTATAACTAGGCTAATTTATGAACCATAGTCTATCAATCAACATTTAGCAATACAAATTTGATTGGTATCTGTGGCCAAACATGATAATTTTTGTATGAAGGAAATATATCCTAATTTGCAATTAGGCAAAGAAGCCTTTACCAAGGTTTTTCTGCATTGCTATTAAACATACTATTTTTTCCTTCCACTCTCACCACTTATGTTCAGTAAACATACTTTTAATGTTTATCAGTGATAATATTTTAACCATATTTCTTCTTAATATGAACTACCGTTCATATAGGAAGAATGATACTTAACCTTGATCTGTAAAGTACATATGTAAGATATAGTCCCACTAGAAAAAGGTGCCCAAGTGAAGGCAACAGGCCACTGACGGCGGAAAGGAAATGAGTGAGTCTTTGGTGGTTTTGATGTTGCTGAAGATTTAGTGGAAAAGCTGAGAAAGTTTCGTTTTCACAAAGAAACAAACAATGCTTCTATTGTAATGAAGATTGAAGGATAAACGCCTGGTGGTACTGGATGAGGAGCTTGAGGGTATTTCACCAGATGAACTTAAAGATGAACTACCTGAACGACAACCTCGTTTCATTGTGTATAGTTATAAATATCAACATAATGGATGGGAGAGTTCCATATCCTCCGTGCTTTATTTTCTCCAGTCCTGTTGGATGTAAGCCTGAACAACAAATGATATATGCTGGCAGTAAGAATAAGCTAGTCCAGACAGCTGAACTAACCAAGATATTTGAAATAAGAAATACGGAAGAACTGACTGAAGAATGGTTATGTGAGAAACTTGGATTTTTCCACTAATGTGAACTTCTGTGTTTCTAAAGTATTTATGTATTGCCCTACCATACTGGAACCAGACATAAATACTTATTTGTGTCTAAAAATGCATTGTTACTTACAGTTTGTTTTCTGCAGTAAAGAAAAATTCTTCATTTGTGCAAAGTTTGATCAAAGATGAAATCATCTTTATAGTAATGAAACTTTGTACAGTGTTTCCTTATATTGGTAATTATTCGGTGGATTACTTTTCTCCATGGACTTTTTGCACTCTTGTGACTAACTTCTATAACTTATGGTTCAGAATTTGTTACTATTTACAGACACCACTGGAATGTGGATATATTAGATTGTGAGAGACAACAGTTGCCTCCTTTTGACAAATACTGGATATTAGCAGTTTATTTATGAAAATAGCTTATTATCACTTGTCAAATCATTGAAATTGATGTGGGGTCAAAGACTTGAGTGACCCAGTATTGAGCCATGAATAATTTACTGTAGTGTAACCTGCATTACAAGTACATTGATCAGTTCTGCATCTTGTTTGGTTTTCTGTATCTTTTTAATCAAGTCTAGAAACTATGTTCATCAATCACTAATTTTTAAGGTTGGGGAGTTAGATTTTATGATAGAATTATGACCGTTAGCTTTTCTCCTTATGGAAAATAGCATCTTAGTCTTAGAAATTGGTGGGTTGTAATAATCAAGGGCTTCATTCCTTTTACGTCATTTCTAAACAGTTTTGCGTCTAGGTTAATAACACTTCATTTATAAAGCACCGCTTAATGTCCTGTGAACACTAGTTATTTTAAATGTGTTAATACTGTGCCTTTGATTTGTTAGCTTTAAAGTTAGTCTAAGACTTTTACACTTCAGTATTCCAGATTTGGTGAAATTAATACTTTTTTAAAGAGTCCAAATAAAATAATTTTCTAATGCGTATATCTGAAATTTATAATAAAATCAACTTCATATTTTAAAAATTCCGACTATCTGCTTGAATTGGTGAATACATGGCAGTCGAGAGTTATAATTTTGGGTATACTTGTGATTAGTTTTGTGCCATAGGAAAAAATTAACTTAAAACTTTGGCCATAGATAATAACGTTAAAACATCAATATCACGTCTTATATCCTAATGGTCAGAAGATATTCTGAACTGGATGCTTGAATAGTTAACTAAACCAGTCTTGTTAGATGATGGTATTCTTGGCATAAAGCAAGGATTCTGTTATTTGGCATACTTATAAAAACAAATATATAAGTAACCATTGAACATTAATTTGATAATAGGTCTAGAGACTCTGAAGACTAACCAAATTTGGTGAGTGAATTCTTATATTAAGAACATCTTAGTCATCTCAAAACTAGCAAAATTTAAATTTTGGCATGTTTTCCATTCGTATGTTCTTTGTATTTTATTTTTGAGGTTTCTGTGAGAAGTAAAGATGGAATTTTCATGATATTGAATAGAACATCTTCTGTTCTCAACCTTGGCTTCACTAATTTAGAAGTCAGCAAGCAGTAGAAAGTTAGTTGGAGATGAGAAAGTTCTAGAGTAGGTGTTTGTTTTGGTTCTTGGAGGCAAAAGAATCTTTATTCCAATTTCCAGAGAGAGAGAAAACCCACCCAGGAAGTTTAAGAATTCTTTAAACAGGTATTTTGATATTGGATAATAACATGCATATAATTCTGTAGAAATGCAAATGTAATCCAAGTGAGTGGAGAGTGTTTTTAATGTTTTTGAATGAAGGAAATGAGGTTTAGGTTTTGATTCACCTGGTTTGCAGCAATAAGAGAAACTAGTGCTGCAATAATGTATTTTTAAATGAAGTTCCTTATTTTTTCTTGCATGTTTTAGTTTTATTTTTAAATTTGGAGGTCCTCCATAATGTCAGATAATATTGACCTGCCGTACATTAGAACCCTTAGTTCCCCTACTCTCTTTAACAGGAGCTAAGAGCTGTGATAAACCATGCTTTTTTGAGCTTGCCTGACTCCTAGTCAATAACATGTTTTTTGCAACACAACAGATTGAGGCTAGAGGATCAGTAGGACATTTTTATTTTATCTGTTCTATGGGGAGATTTACAAATCCCATGCTCTAAAATGTTCTCAAACATTTGTATAGATTTCCCTTTCATCTTACTAAATTTTGCATTGTTCTTTTCAAGTATATTTCCTATTTAGTGTCTTTTTTCTGCCATCCCCCGATAATAACTCCAGGTTTCATAATTCCAGTTTTTTGTTTTTTGTTTTTTTCATAATTCCAGTTTTTACATTCTGTATCTTTCTGGTACAACCATTCCCATTCAACCTTAATCATTCTTTCCTTTTTGGCAGCAACTTTTTTCCTGGGACCCTCCTTCATGGTCTTCTAAGTCAGCACTAGTTTTGAAATTGTTGGCCTTGCATAAGTTCTGCATAGCATCTAATGTCAAGATAAAATCAACTGGTAATCACAGTATTATTTAGTGTGGTTTCCATGACAACAAAAACACATATGAAGAAAACTTCTCAGGTTACTATGCTGAAATTCCAAAATGGCTGAGTTTTTAATAGTGATCACTTTGTTCTGGTGTTGATGCTATTATATTAGCAAAAAAGTTGGTTGACTGCTTTTGTTTAATTGACTTCTAAAATAAATGTTCAAATTGTCTAGTTCTAAAAGTTTACTAAATGCCTAATGCAGTTAAACATACTGTTAAGAGCGTGTTGCTAAATTTTTTTACTGTCATTACTAAATAATCTGTGTGGCAAAATGTGTGTCAGCACTTTTCCCTCCCCTTTTATCTCCCATTTTCAGGAGTCAAATGTAGCCATAAACTGTATCCTCGTCTGACACTTTAGCTAAAAATTTCCAGTTAGGGGAGTTTATTGCCAAATTAAATTTGGCTGTTTCCCCCCAACCCATATAGATACTAAGGAAGGTATACTTAAAAAAATGTTTGAACTACTTTTAAAACCTGAGCAATGTCATTAATCCATATGTGGACTAGTGATGAATAGATATTTTCATAAAAGTTTAAATGCTGATATTTGGTGGAAGTAGAGGGTAACTTGCATTCTATAAATTCAAGTATTCTTACTGTGGTTGCTTTCCTTATTTGTTCAATAAACTGATAATACTGGAATCTATAGAGTTTGAGCCATTACAACTTCTGTGAGGATGTATTTCAAACATTTCTGGACAAATCTTATTTTGTATTTCTGAAAGAATGTAATAATCTTCTAGCCACTTAAAACCAATGGTCCCAAGCTGAATATTCTTGAGAAATTTGTTTTTATTATGCCATTTGACATTTCAAATCAGTGCTCATATACAGTAATCTTGTGATAGAAATTGTATTTTCTTGCTTTTTGGAGTATAATTCATGTAAATATAATTACTTGAATATTGTTTGAGATCATTAACATGCCAGGGCAGTTCCCACTGATTTCCATGGTCCAATATAATCTCATTCAGGAGGCTTGAAACATTAATGGTTTAGTCTTGTGAATTTTAACAGTTCTCTGTCATCATTTAAAAAAACCAACAACTGGCACAATTTCTTAAGCTGTGGTTTCAGTCTCTGCTAGTTCATATTGCATGTTTATTTGGGACAGTCTTTTGTTAAGCATGGTGCTTGTACTGGTTTAAATAAAATGTTAACATTAAAAGAAAAAAAGATATAGTCCCACTAAAGATGGTGGCTTTTACTCATCTGGTATTACTAAGTGGACCTATTTGTAAGCTTGCTATAAGCTCACAGACATGCTTGCTTTTATTAAGTCTACTTACTATATGAGCAAAATCTTATAGAATTAAATCTGAACTCATAGTCTCATTAGCACTGTATTCCAATCAATTTATGCTATGGAGATGGGGTCAGGGAGGGTAGAGTATATGTGTTTAATAGTTTCTGCTTTTTGTCTCTCCAACTGAATGCTCTTGTTGTATATCAGGGATGACAATGAAAATGCTTTTTGGAGCCAGAAAGGTTATAGAAAGGAGAGAAGCAGTACGGATGGGAACTGGTAAATCAGAAAGCACATGACCCCCGCAGGGAATGTCAGCTTAGAGTGGCCAGATATTCCAATTTTTTCAAGAGAAAATTCAATTCTTTTTTTTTTTTTTTGAGATGGAGTTTCGCTCTTGTTGCCCAGGCTGGAGTGCAATGGTGCAATCTCAGCTCACCACAACCTCCACCTCCTGGGTTCAAGCGATTCTCCTGCCTCAGCCTCCCAAGTAGTTGGGATTACAGGCATGTGCCACCACACCCGGCTAATTTTGTATTTTTAGTAAAGATGGGGTTTCTCCATGTTGGTCAGGCTGGTCTCAAACTACCAAGCTCAGGTGATCCACCCACCCCCGCCTCCCAAAGTTCTGGGATTACAGGCATGAGCCACTGCGCCCTGCCGAAAATTTAATTTTTAAGTGAGCTCTCCAAATTTTTGTATGTTTGCCACTAATTTAAAAAATTTAAGGCTGGGCACAGTGGCTCATGCCTGTAATCTCAGCACTTTGGGAGGCCAACTGGGGAGGATCACTTGAGCCCAGGAGGTCAAGACCAGCCTCTTTTTTACAGAGACTATATCGCTATAAAAAACAGAAAAAGATTAGCTGGGCATGGTATTGTGTGCCTGTAGTCCTAGCTACTCTGGAGGCTGAGGGGAGAGGATAACTTGAGTCCAGGAAGTCGAGGCTGCATTGAGCTGTGATCGTGCCACTGCACTCCAGCCTGGATGGCAGAGCAAGACCCTGTCTCAAAAAATAATAATAAAATAAAATAAATAAGAAATTTTAGTGCTATTGTGTAATTCAAGCAACACATGTAAAATATAGCCAACAGGTACTGGACTGTATTAATAAAATGAAAATCCAGGTATCAGCATTTTCCCACAACCTTCTCATTTCTTTAATTATCCAAATATGATTTCTTGAATATTTAGGATAAGGGACGAAAATTTTTTTTCTTGAAGTCTAGGTTTAGTTTTTAGTTGATCCTCACTTTGTTGAATCCACAGATGTGGAAACCCAGGATATTGAGAGCAGACTGTACGGATGTGAGAAGACGAGAAGATCCACCTTCTGAGTCAAAGTGTAAGAGAAAAATCTCTCCTGTAAACCACGTAGCCCTGCCATTGTCTCAGTTTGAAAGCTTCTGAAACTGTGGATGTGTTATGGTGCTGCGTTAAGTGCTGGATGAGCCTTGCCTGGCAGCTTCCCATTCATTGGGAATCTTACCTTGTCAGGTTCTGGTTATTCTTCCACAGCACTTTGATCGAGATTGTAATAAACATAACAACATTGCTGATGAGGATAATGGTTACAGGTACGATGAATGACCACAACAGCGGACTTTTTATAACACCATTGGGTTCTGGAATTGCCAGCCAGCAGCTGTGGAGGAAAAAAAAAATTGCTTCAGCAGACTAAGAAAGGTATACATACTGGTCTTTGTGCTATTAACACTATTGACATTCACTCAACTGAAAGATCTGCTAAAAGTTAACATCCCTCTGCATTTTACACATTTGAGATGACTTATGACTTTCAAGAATTCTACCCACTAGAAAAGTGAAATAATATACTATAACTTTAAACTGTCTCCTATTGATGGGCCTTTTTTTTTTTTTTTTTTTTTTTTTGAGACTGAGTCTTGCTCTGTCGCCCAGGCTGGACTGCAGTGGTGCAACCTCGGCTCACTGCAAGCTCCGCCTCCTGGGTTCACACCATTCTCCTGCCTCAGCCTCCCGAGTAGCTGGGACTACAGGCACCCGCCACCACGCCCAGCTGATTTTTTTGTATTTTTTTTTTTTAGTAGAGACGGAGTTTCACCGTGTTAGCCAGGATGGTCTCGATCTCCTGACCTCGTGATCCACCCACCTCGGCCTCCCAAAGTGCTGGGATTACAGGCATGAGCCACTGCACCCAGCCTTGATGGGCATTTTTTAAATATTAATGTTTAAAAAGAGTTTGAAAAAGTTATTTAACCTCATTGTACCTGTTTTGTGTTTGTTTTGTGGGGTTTATTTTGTTTTGTTTTGTTTTTTGGTGGTGGTGGTTGTAGTGGCGTTTTTTTCTCATCTGAGGTGAGAATAATAGTAACCACCTACAGGCATTGTTGAAAGAATTAATTAATTCATTTAATAAATATTTAGAGAGTACATATTATGTGCTAGACACTGTTTTAGACACCAAGGTATCAGCAGCGGACAAAACAAAAATCCCTTCTTTAGTGAGGTTACATTCTAGTGCAGAGAAATAGATAAAACAAAGTAAATAAAATACACAATATGTCAGATGGTGACGAATGCCATGGAGAAAAAGTAAATCAGGTAATGAGAGTAGAAATTACCGTGTATATGTGTGTGGAGGGGAGGGGTGTTTTATTTTAAATAGAGTGGTCAGGGAAAACCTCATGGAAAAAAGCTGTATTTGAGCAAAGACCTGAAGTAGATGATGGGGAAGGGTGTTCCAGGCAGAAATCACATCAAGTGCAAAGGCCCTGAGGTGACAGCTTAAGAAAGAAAAAAAGGCTAGTGTGGCTGAACCACAGTAAGTGGATAACGTTAGTGGAAAGATACAAATTATGTAGGAGCTTTGTGGGTGATTGCTTGTACCCTAGACAAGATGGAGAGACATGACGTGATCTGTCTTGAGTTTTAAAAACATTAATCCAGGTGCAGTGATGAGAGAACAGCATGAGCAAAAGTAGGAAATATAAGGTTGGTACAAAAGTAATGGCAAAAACTGCAATTACTTTTGCACCAACCTAATACCTAGGAGTCTATTGCAATAATATGGATAGTTTGGACCAGGAGAGGAGATGTTAAGAAATAGTCTGATTCCTGATATATTTAAAAGTAAAGCAAAATAATTTATTGATGGGTTGGATGTGGTATGTAGGGGATTAAGAATGACTCCAAAATCTGAGCACCTAGAAGGATAGAATTACTATTAACTGGGGAAGACGATGAGATGAGCAGGTTTGGGAGGGAAGATGAGGAGATGTCTATTAAACAGTCAAGTGGAGGTGTCAGGTAGGCCATTAGGTATTACAATGATGTGAGAAGCTATGGCACATATTTGGCATTCAATTAATTTTATTTTCTTTCCCCTGGAGTTTTGTAAAACACCATTATTATACACGTGAAAGGATTTCTAAATTTTTTTTGCATTGGAATAGTTTTAATTTAAATTATTGGAAATCATATTTCTAATCTGAATGACCTAGGAGGAAACTGAGATGATGTTCCATTCTCTATAATGAATTTAAAAATGCAAAGGCATGCTTGCCTCTAACAGATACAATAATAAGTCCATCCATAAATAAAATAGTGCCAAGTTTATCTTCAGGATGGTGGAGGTTGATCTGACAAATAGCTATGGACTTGAGGTCTGCAGAGCATTATAACTGGATGCAGATGAAGTGTTTAACTCCTTGGTTTGCCATGGAACATAGGGAAAGAAAGCTTCAGTGTAAAAACAATACTTGAAAAATTTCCCCCCAATTATAATTCCCCATGTTAACCTCAACCCTTTGGGAATGTCTGAAATGGCCTACATAGCAGTGGTACAGAGAACTGGGGGTAGAGCATTAAAGAGGAATGTGGCCTGCCCTACATTCACCCTGTAACTGGGTCTATGCAGACACAGCAGTACTTCAGGTAACTGGGTCAGGGATTTCAGGATGATTGGCAGAACTGGGAGCAACAGGGGAGTGCACAGGCTCTTGAGGAGCAACTGCTAGGAGAATAACTCAGGAAAACCAAAAATAATCCCTCCTGAGTTTCAATATATCCTGAAGAAATGTGGCCCTTGATGGCATGTGTGTAGGGTGGAAGGTGGGGGAGAAAGTTCAGGAGGAGGCAGATGCTTATGTCACACATCCTTTCCTCTCTCCCCAGCTTCTCTTATTATCAGTTGCCTCGTATCTTCCCCAACAACTAACACCGTAATCAGGAAAGGAGCTGCCCTTAATTATTTACAGCTCAGTGTGAATAAACTGAAGTCAGTTGGCTTCTTTCTTCTGAAGACTTTTAAAGGAGTGAGTCTAGCCCTGTGCCTGGGTTAACACCAATTAATAATGCAATTTGAAGTGAATTACCTCCCCTATGAGATATTTGCATCTTGGGTATCTCTAATTAGATATTTCTACTGGTGGCATTAAAATTTTAAAACCTAAAACTATATTTAACCATAATCAAACGTAGTATCTGGGAGCATGAAATCAGGCCAGGCAGTCAGCTCCCCAGCCTACAGTTGGGCATGATCAGCCCTGGGAAAGAGGAGTTCCCAGACACCACAGCCTTCCTTTGGTGTACTTGCCCATTTCCAAAAGTTTTGCTTTCATTTGCGTTGGTTTGGGACTTCCGGTGGAATTTGGAGATATGAATAGTTAGATTTATAAAATGAGAAGAGAGGATAAATTGAAGAGTAGTTGCCATTTGGTAGCAGAAATGCATATAAAGAGTTGAGTCTCAGTTCAGCTCCACTTTCTTTTCTCCCCCACACAAAAAAAGCAAATGTCATACAGTCAGATGCTTCTGTTACAACAGTTAATTATTCACACTGGAATCACAGGAAGAATTTGTTATGTATGATAAATCATCATGAAATATTCATTAAAATCATATCAACATAGAATTGGTTTATATGAGTGAGACATATAGTGTTCGAGTTATTAAATGTTTTCACACTTGATTGATCCCTTGAAGTAACCCCAGAACAGGAATTACTATTATTGTTATTCCCATTTTCTGGATGAGAAAACTAAGATATAGGATTACTAAGGATAATACCTATTGTATCATGATTTTCAGATTTAATGAAAGAAGACAAATTTAACATAAGAAAGTTCACATTTATAAATTTCGAAGGTGATTACTTGCTTTACAAAAGGACTTATGGGAAATTTCCATGTCATCACATTTAAAATATAACGTGTTCTTTGAGAATTTCAAATGTCTACCACTAAACATGACAATTATAAAGTGAAATGCAAATTACAGTGACACTCGGAGTCAATATCACTGAACAGTTACACTTTTAGGTCAAACAATTGGACATTTAAAAAAATATAAACTCACATTTTCTCTTGCCGGTAGTCTAATTCCCACTGTGGATTATTTCCATTCTGAGAATAAATAACTCCCACTGTTATAGCCACTACTATAGCTGGGACTCCTATGTGATAAAGAGAGGCACATAATTAATGATTTATCCAGACTTGGATTAATTATAAAAGATCATACATGAATTATACATCTGACCCTCTTCAGGATGTATGTTGTTTTCACTATGGACAATATACAAAGTGATCCTACAGATGTGGGTCGACAGTGGACATAATTTTTCTCCAAGTGTTTTCCCTTCCCTTTCACTGATGGCTCTACATATCAATCCTATTTCCAGTTTCTTTGTAACTCTTACCAGAATTGTCATGTTTCAGTGGCATAGTTCCTCAGTCACTTGAATACATTTAAATTTAGATATCCCTGAAACAAGTCTTCCTTTGCTGGAACCCAATAAATTTTTCAAATATTTTTGCTTAAAGAGTCACTCTGATTGTCTTTCTTGAAACATTTCTTTTAAACTAGCTGGAAGTTAATTATTTGTGGCTAAATCTCAAATCAAATTAATAAAAAGAGATGTTAAAGGAAATTAACATTTTTAAGTTAGTTAAGTTAGTTTACGATGTATCTCGTATTCTTGCCTTGATCGCATCTGCCTCCTTCACTGGAATATAAGCTACTAGACGGAACGTATTCTTAGCAATCACTATATTTTCTATCTCCTCTTAATTACGTCAAGGCCTTGGACTATTAGGCCTTCAATAAGTGTTTAAATTAAATGATTTCCACAAAATTAAATTCCTGAGAAAGGGGAGATGCAAACACTTACCCCATCCAATTAATGAGATGAAAAGAATGAAATGCCGAGGAAGAGGCTTCATGGTCCTTATTAGAAGGTAATAGAGCTGTGCAGCGCTGAGTGCGTTCCAGGTAAATGTCACTAACAGAAAATAGTGCAGTAAGGCGGCAATCGCAGTGCACATGGGATTCGGGATGTTAATGGTGTCTGTCCTGGGTATGTCATTATTGTCAAAGTCAATATTATTGATGTCACCATCACTTGTCTGCAAGTTCTTATTGGAGTTTTCAATTCCAAACACAAAGAGGAGGTTGAAAATCAACATTGATATGCACAGATTGACCAAAACCCAGGTTACTGAGGTTTTTCTGACTTTCCTGAAAATAAGTAAATTAATATAAAAAAATTAAATGAAACACAACAACTGCACAAAACAAACTGCAGTGAAATTTCTGGGAACAAAGAATATTATTGCCCAATGTAAGTTCAGTTCATAGCCCAGTTGTGACAGCTGGTAAATCTACCTTCTCGATTACATCAGAAAACTATACTTTCCTCTTATCATTTCCACAAAGTCATGAGTTAAAGGATACAGGTTGACATATCTTTTCTTGAAACTGTGTTCTGATCAAAAGTGATAGCTAATCTCCAAAAATGGCCCCCAGTGAACCCTACTTCCTGGTAGGTAGCCCTGCGTAGTCCCTTCACAGTAACCTGGCCTGTACCTTGATTTAACTGATGGGATGCAACAGAAGGCCTGGCAGCCAAGGCCGACTTATGCATTAGACACAATAGTGCTTAGTGTTCATATCCCATAGTAATGTTTTAACTTCTTTTAGACTCAGAAGAAAAAAGAGAACTCTTAGCTCAAAGGATATTAATATATTCATCTTTGTACCTATGCAATCATAAAATAAAATTTTTAATCTTTCATTAATGAATGAAAGGTTCCACAAAGGCACAAGTGCCTGGGGAACATAAAAGTCATAACATGGCCCTCCACGTGAGACAACCTAGTATAAAGGTGTACCGGGAGAACCTCCAACTGACCCGCGCACTGGGAGAACGGGGTGGAGCTGTGGGAAGTTCCTGCCCTTTGCAGAGGGGAGGAGCCTGGCCTCTCCTCTTCCGAGGAGGTATCCGTGGATTCAATCTGCACGGAGGGAAGCCTAGTAGCAGGACTCTCACTTTGCTGATAGTCCCTGTTTCCCTTTTTTTTCCTTTACACCCAATTAACCCTGTCCTTTTCACCCTTCAAAGTGTCTGCGAGCCTAACCTTTCATAGTCGCGTGACAAGAACCCAGCTTTTAGCTGAACAAAGGAGAAAATCCTATAACACTGACAGCTTTTCCTTTTGTGCTCCTGGAGTTCTGAGCCACTGTGTAAAAAGCCCAGCCACCTCGCTGAAAAAAAAAAAAATTGCATGAAAGTCCTCTGAGACTGTATGGAGAGGGAGAAAGATGCAGCTGCCCCAGCATCCTAGGTGAACCTCCAGATGACTCTGGCCCAGCCGCCATCTGACTGCAAGACTCCAGCAAGACCAGTAGAAAAATTACCCAGCTGAACCCAGACAAGCCACAAAATCATTAGAAATAATATGTGTTTCTATCCACTGAGTTTTGGGGCAGTTTTTTTAATATAACATGAGGTAATAAGTTCTACTGTAGATTTGCAAGCTTATGTGAAGGCCATCTGTAGAAGAGGCCCTATATGGAGTTTTAAAATTTTTATAATAGAAAACTCTGCACATTAGTAGATGAACTCATGTTTAAATGTAGAGAAAAAGTCTCTTGAGTTTTAAAATGTAATTTATATTTAAAAGTCACTTATACATTTTAAAATAAGGCCAAATACAATTTTTTAATAATTTCCCATAACAGTGTAACAGCTTTAAAACAAAATTAGGTAATATTCAGCTTACTTTACGTTTAAAGAATGAAGCTTACATGAAGATTTAAATTAGGTAAAAATATTTTTAATTTGTTTCATGGCCTATTGTTACTGATGCTATTCTTTATAATTTAAGTAGACTAATGATTACTGCTTTTTTAAATGGTTTATACATAACAATATTTCACATATCTTTTCTGCAAGACTTTTCAGAACCTTATTTTCATCAAGAATCTCCCTTGGACTAATGTTTCAAGGACCACATTTTGGGAAATGCTTGCTGATTGTCAGATGGTCAAGATGTCCTGAACCACATTTTGAATGTAAATCATTCCGAAGGACTATCCCTTTATTGGAAGATATAATTTCTGGGTGTACAACCAAGTGCTCTTTAAAATTGCCTTTTTTTCCCTTCTCATGCTTACCTAATGTCTTTGCTCTAAAAGAGCAGCTGTTTCTCTTATTTTGTCTGCAGGCCGGCCTTGTTTACCAGCAATTTTCAGAAGGCAGTATGAGTGAATGTGTATGAGTGTGTGTGTGTGTATGTGTGTATATGGTGTGGTGTGTGTGTATGTATGGTGTGGTGTGTGTAGTTCATGTATATATTCTGTGCTAGCCCACATGTATATCTTCAGATTGGCAGAGAATGCAAGATTTCTCTTAATAAAGTTGATTTCAGAAGTAAAATGTGATATTCTTTTTTGTACATGTATTATTTTCCTTATTGCTTAAAGGCAGATATATCCTTATATCCCCTTAAAGGCATGTTACACTTTCATGTACACTATGGCAGACAGTTCCTCGCCAATAAAAGTTATAAAATCTCTACTCACTACCATCTAAAGCCTTCTGGATTTTTCAGACTGCAAGACCTCTTGGAATACCATTTCCCAGGTTTATTACTATGCCTAAAGTTCTAACCTTCAAATGCCTCTCTATTCTTAATAACTCATAATTTGATGAAGTCTATTTGCCCATTATGTATTCTTTATGTTTTTACGATGTTTCATCATGACCTCGCTTGATCTTTGGATTCCCACACTGAACAAAAAAGCTTTCATTCAAACAGAACTCAGTCCATCTGCTTGACATTTTAGTTGAGATTTCTGGACAATTCAAAATTTCATTAAATCTATTGAGAGGTTTAATGACCAGAACTGCAAAAAGTACTCAGAAGAATCTTTTTATATAAAAGTAAGATTAGAGTCTAGTTTTTATCTAATTTTATCAATTATAATCCACAGGAAGAAGAGGTGATTTTCAAATAGCCTGGCCCTTCTTATAGATTATTACTATATAGATGCTCCTCAACTTACAATGAGATTGCATCACAACAAACCCATCGAAAACTAAAAATATCATTTCACCTTACCATATTTTCAATTTACAATGGGTTTATTGGGACATAACCCTATCATAAATCAAGAAACATCCTGAATGCTATCACTTTTGCAACATCTTAAAGCTGAAAAATCGTAAGTTGAACCATGGTCAGTAGGGGACTGTTTGTATTCTGTGCATTATTATTATATGGGAACCTGTCCAAGAACAAAGAAAATTTTATAATTCAGGATTTTAAAATCAATAAAATTTTGTCTTTATTTTTGTTTTGTTTTTTCTCTCTTTAAAAAAAAAAATTTGTTTGAGATGTGATCTTGCTGTATTGCCCAGGCTTGTCTCAAACTCCTGGGCTCAAGCAATCCTCCTGCCTTGGCCTCCCAAAGTGCTGGAATTATAGGTGTGAGCCTCCATGCCTGGTGTTTATTTTTATTTTTGTTTCCTGATGAATTTTAGTGGTATCTTTGGTTGCATAATTGTGCTAGAAAACATATTGATGAAAGAGGAAAAAAATCTGATGACAAATGAAAAGAGTGAGGTTTTGGCAAAGAAACTAGTTATGCAGCAACTATGACTCATCCCTATGGGACCAAATAATTGTCAGTACAACTGTGGTGATGGTAGAAATACAAATAATGAGACAAATTTAAGAGGCATTTAATTTTACATGACAAACATGTAATTTTCCTTCAAGGCACTTACCACAATTTGTAATATTCAGTTGTGTAGATATTTTTATAATGTCTGCCTTTTCCCCCCAACAGTGTATATTTCATGAGAGATGGGAGATTATCTGTCTGTTCATAGTTTTGTATTCAGCTCCTTACAACATAAGCACTCACTATAAAACTTTTAAATGAATGGCAAGAGACTCATTTAATGTGAAAAGGGGAAGAAAAGGAATCGAAAACAATTCTGGCTCTTTGGAGAAATGGCTGGTTCAGGTATGAGGCAGAGAAAGTGAAAGATGATCATTTTGCTTTTGATTGAAATAAGGAAGTGACTAAAGACTGAGACGTGGCAAAACAACATGAAGGGGCTCCCTCTGGCTACACTGGGAAGTATGCTTTTTACAAAAGAGTATAGCAAACAAATATAGAAAGAGTGATAGCCTAGAAAAATCACCATTTTTCAACCACTTAATGTAATAATTTGTTCCAGTAAGGATGAGTAACAAGATCATTAAGTAAAAGATTTTTGGGAAACAGGATATCATGCAGCCTCAAAGTGGCACCCCACGAGTCATCTATTATTTACACAGGGAAAAAATGTGGAAATCTGGCAGACATCACTTTAAACGAGGAATCAAACTTACAGCCAACAATAATGGGACATACTGATACGCACTTCTTGTTGTGTCACACTAAAAAAAATTCCATGATTGCAGTATTCCCACCAAAAATAATTAACCTGCATCTCTTCATGAGGAAAATTTCAGACAAATCTTCATTGTGGAACATTTTTCAAAGTAACTGGCCTGGATGCTTGAAAAATTTCAATGTCATGAAAGACCAAACAAACATGAAATGTGAAGTTGACAGAGGAAACACACAGTAAACGGAGTAAATTAATAAATGAACAAGCTTCTAAAAGACCGCAGGCAGTTAAAAAAATGTAGCATGTGACAAAAAATAATGAATGGGATACAAAATTGGACCTCAAATGAAGGGGTCAAGGTGGAGAGAAGTATTTGTTTATAGGTCATTATTTAAAATTAGAATTTAATGTATGGGATTCAAAAACTTTCACCATTTGAAAACTATATTTTTGAAAAACGTTTCACCATTTGAAAGCTTGATATATTTTTTAAATTACTTTTTTAAAAAATTGCTGTTTGCAATGTCTCTTTCCTTAACAAATACAAATTGCTAGGCATGGTTCTATTCAACACTGAGGAATTATAGCATTAATGAGCTGCAGGACCACATAAATTTTACATGACAAACTTGTAAATAAGTGGCATATAATTTTCTTTCAAGGCACTTGCCACAATTTGTAATTACGTATTTATTTGTGTGTATTTCTTAGCCTTTCCAGGCCTAAATGTCCTCCTCTGTAAAATAAGTACCTCTCTGAGTTCTTGCCTAGTTCAAAGACACTACTCATGAGAATTCTCAGAGTAAATTATATCAAGATAGCAATTTCTCTTCTGAAAAGAGCCTGCTTCTGCTCTTACCTGGTGACAATCTGAAATATAACTGTGAGAGCCAGACCAGTAACAGACAGTGCACATCCAACGTTGGATAATATGTCAAGTGATTTGGGATATTGATAATCCTTTTTGAAAGTCTGAAAAACAAGGTAAGACTCATATTTTTAATTAGTCATCCCTGAAGTGTTAATGAAAGTCAACATCACAGAGTTACATGGGTCAAAATAACCAGACAGTTGCCAGATATATCTTCCTTTTGTAAAGCTCATGATATATTTAAAAGCGAAATACATTAACCCCTTATTGCTGAGCAGTTTACCTGAAGTATACAGGCTTGAGAATAATTATCTAACTAATTCAGTTAAGGAAAAATATACAGTCATGTCTTGGTATTTGCAGGGGGACTGGTTTCAGAACAACTTGCAGATGCCAAAAGCCATGGATACTCAAGTCCTGCAGTTGGTCCTGTGCAACCTGCTGATGTGGAAAGCTGACCTGCATATACCAGTTTTGCACTCTGAAAATACTGTTATTTTCCATCTACGTTTCCTCATGGATGCAGAACCTGCCAATGTGGAGGGCAGACTTTTTTATTGAAAACAATCCACATATTAAGTGGACCCATACTGTCCCATGTGGTTCACAAGTCAACTATTTATACTTTTCCTTGATGTCTAAAATCAAAATTGTTTGAATTAGATCTAAATTGTCAAAAGTTGCCTCACTTATTCATGACATTATTTTTATGTGTAACTGGACTCTAAGTATATCTAAATTGATGCACTAAAAATAAAGTTGCAGAAATATTTTCATAAATATGGAAAGATGCTCATACCCTGTTAATTTTTTAAAGGAAGCCTTATTTTTATGTAATATAGCTATATATCTCTCAACATGTTTGCGTGTGTATATATATATGAAAATATGTACCATATGAGTATGTAATCTTAGAAATCTGGTGAGGTAGTGGTGGTGGTCACAGGGTGGGTTGGATATGTATAGTTCATTTTGCTTATCTGTACTTTCTGATTTTTTTAAGTTGTTAAAATTAGAAAAGCAATGTATTCTTATTTGTAAAATATGAAAGGAATATAGAGGCATAATAAAGAAGCATATGTTCCTTTATACTGCCTGCTACCCCACACCATACCTACCTCTTGAGAGCCTGTCTTTTTTTCTTACATGCTTAAAAATACTATCTATGTCTCTTACACAAACATACAGGGGTTTGCTAACATAATAGCATTATGCTTGAATTGCCATTTTACTTTTTCATAAACATTTTTCCATATCAGTATATTTTTGTTTGGTGCATACTTTCATGCTTTATGCAATGCCTGTGTATTGCTTTTATAGAAATAAAATAAAAACAAAATACACATTTAAAAATAAAACAAAAATTTTATGTTATTTCTTATACGTAGTGTACTAAGTAGATGCAAAAAGGATCGTAAGATTCATAGGTCTTCAGATTTTAAAAATAATATTTTTCACTCAGAGCCGATTTGCTCTTAATCATGCAATTTTAATCAGCCATTTAAAAAAATAATGCAAACCAAAACTAATTACAAATGTAGGTACGTAGACATTGAGACAGTCAGATACTAATGAGAAAAAATAGCTGAAAGCCTAACCTCAAGAAAGGGAAAAGATAACTATAATAAAGTAAACTATATCATTTAACATGTATAGCAACCTGAGCTTTACATAGCTCATCAATGATCCTATGACTTTAAGATATCAAAAAGTTAAATTTTTCTCCTGTATCTCCTGATTGAGAAGGCAGATCTCTCTGTAATACAAATTAGAAAAGAAATAATCCAAATGAATTTGAATAAGAGAGCTTTTATAATTAAAATGAGAAAACTACAGTTATCTCAAAAAGTTTTAAAAAGCAAGGTTCTGTGCTTTGATAATGCAAGCTATACCAGTATGTTCTACCAGTCTCCACTGGCTTCCCAAATATGGCTATATTATAGCTACTGGGGAATGAAAACATCTGCTTCTCCTTGGGAGATTCATAGCATTAATAGTCCCTTACTAAGGAGAAGAACACTCTTCATAATTCCCCATTCCATTGTGTATAAAAAACATTCCATCAAGTATATAAACTAACTTTTTTTTGTTTCACCGGAATAATAGATTTCTGGAAATAGAACATACAGAAGAAGCCCCTCTTCTTACAAAGGTCAGCACAAGAACCTTGAGAGACGCATGCACAGCTGCACGCCAGAGCTAAGTATTATCAGTTACTTGCACAGTATAGCTTTAGAGGTAAAAGAATTAAGGAATACACGGAGAAACTAGGGGACAAATTGAAGGGATTACAGAGTTTTTCTTTTATATCTTCTAGCAAAAACTTAGTAACCTGAGCAATTTCATTGGGAAAAGCTTTGGGTAACTGATTTAAACTGTCCACATACAGCTAAGTAAATATTGAACCTGTCTCTGGCACACAGCTATACAGCTTTACCTCTGGCTATAACAACTTTATGCTTCAGAACGTGTGAGTTAGTTGAATGGAGCCCACCAGCTTTTCTTTCGCACATGGACTCCCTTCCCATGATCAAATACATAGTTCTGACCTCTCTATCCTAAGACCACATAGCAAAAAGTTCTATTCTACTTGCCTTTACCTTAGTCCTATTTTTTTTGTTTGTTTTGTTTTTGTTTTCGAGACAGAGTCTCACTCTGTCACCCAGGTTGGAGTGCAGTGGTGTGATCTCGGCTCTCTGCAACCTCTGTCTCCCAGGTTCAAGCGATTCTCCTGCCTCAGCCTCCTGAGTAGCTGGGATTACAGGCGTGCACCACTACACCTGGTAATTTCTGTATTTTTAGTAGAGACGGGGTTTCACCATGTTGGTCAGGCTGGTCTCGAACTCCTGACCTCGTGATCTGCCCGCCTCGGCCTTCCAAAGTTCTGGGGTTACAGGCGTGAGCCACCGCGCCCGGCCTTAAGTCCCATTATTTTATTTCTTGTTTTTCTATTTAATCTGAGTTGAGAATCTATGTAAATTAAATCCCAAAGTTATCTCCAAGGAGCACCTACTAGAATTGTGTATAAGGAAAATTCTCATCTGGAAAGAGATTGCTATGTATATCCTTACCATTAATACAGCAAAATTAGTAGTATGGTTGCAGCGGCAGCGCAGGAATCCATCAGTGCCCTTGTCTTTTTGACAGCCATATGTGTCCCAGTCCTTCGCTGACAAATTCCAATAGACACAGGCATAGGAATAGAGTTGAAATTCTTTTTGGTTGTACTATGAATTGATAAGACAATTACAATTACTGTTTCTAAATACTTAATTGGGTTAAAAAAAATCAAGTAGTATAAGACAGTCATCTGAGAAATGAATTAAATATATACTAAGCATCAGCATATTCATTATGATTAAGGAGAGGGAAAAAAGGAGATAAAATTTAAATTAGTTAACTTTGCATTTAGTTAGTTTGACAACAGATATGGTTGGGAGGGATATTCAAATGGATACATCAAAGAACCTTTTGAAGAGTTTTGCTATAGATTTCTTTTATTCAACATATCCCTGCTTTTGCTATTCAAGAGTGGTCTGAATTTTTATTATTTCTGTTCATGGAAAACCCTCCCCCCCGCCCTCCTATTCTCTTCTTCCCCTGTATTACTCTACTCAGTCTCAGCTGCCACCATCAGAAAGAAAGCATGAGGACACTTTTTTCTTGCATCTGCAATGAAAAACTCACCTTTGGACTAAAGACCATGTCAACAGAAGCACTCTGATCTTGCTCATTTTCATCAGTTTTGCTTGAGATAATTTTTTGACTAAAATCCGATTTAGCTGTAAAAGTTTTTGATTGGAAAAGCTTGTCATTTTGATAAACTACAAAGCCGCATGTCTTGGTGTAATCTATAGGGAGAAAAAGACATTAAAATCAATAAGTGCACTGTAAGGTAAACAAAAAACAATATGTCACGTTATTGTAGAAGTGCATGGCTGCTTAATATTTGAGTAAAGTACAGTAAAAATGGTTTACTGGTTGAACCTTTACTTAATTGCAATATGTAAGTAACACATATAACCTATGGCGGGCCATTCCACCCACATTAATTTTTTTTTTTCTGAGCTTCAGTTTCCTTACCTTCTACACAGGAACGAGAATTTCTGCCTAGTCCACCTCAAAAAGGTATTGCAAAGATCTCATATATAAAGTAAACGTCTTGCTTTATACATGAGAGATGGAGAGAGTGAACACAACATGTGGGTAGCTCCAGCCCATGTTACCTCCTGCAATGATAAAATATGAGACAGGAAATAGCAAAGCTTGGGACACCAGGATGGCTAAGCCCAGATGAGGTCGGTCTCCTGTTCAAAGGGGACAAGTGGTGTTAAGTCACAGAGCAAGGAGCTCAAGTCACTTCTGTGGAGTTTTTGAGGCAGGCACTCTTCACCATCTCTTCAACTATTGTCCCCTGCTCTGTGTCATGACAATCATGGGCTTCTCCCAAGGCTAGCAGTCTACTGTGAAACATCTTCTGGACATTGGAAAAAGGAATCAGCTGTTCATCAAAGATCCTGAAAGACCATCGCTGCTGTGGAGGGTTTGGCACCCAGCCCGTTGGTGGCAGCAGTCAAAGAGAACCAGGACTGCCTCCTAACACCTTATACAACTGTTGGCATATTTAAAACAGCAGAAGCGTCAACAGTATACATTTTAACTGAATTAATTTCCTAAACTCTGTTGTCTTTCACAAGTGATAAAAGGAAAACATTGTGGTGTGAGACCAGAGTATTCAGTCATCTGATTTGAGAGGGAGACAGGCAAGGCCCCGACAGCCCCCAAATTGTCCTCCTCTGTGGCCATTGTTGGAGCCTCTACCTGGAGAGAAAGGGATGGGTTGCTGTCTTTTGTTCACAGTACATTGACATCACCAAATTGTTTCTCCTGGACCCTAAATGAAAAGTTAACCCTAATAATGGAGCAAGGTTTCTTTTTATTCTTTCTTTAAAAATAAAAGAATGAGACTAGGCAGAGTGGCTTATGGCTATAATCCCAACACTTTAAGAGGTTGAGGCAGGAGGATCACTTGAGCCCAGGAGTTTGAGACCAGGCTGAGCAATATAGCGAGATTCTGTCTCTACAAAAAAAATTTAATTTTTTTTTTTTTTAATTAGCAGGGCTCCTATAGTCCCACCTACTTGGGAGGCTGAGGCTGGAGGATTGCTTCCTCCTGGGAGGTTGAGGCTGCAGTGATTCGTGAGGTAGAGGGCTTCAGGTGCAACTGTAATATTGTCTCTCTCTTTTTTAAAGAGATCTGAAGCAAATATAGGAAAAATTGATATTTGTTTACCTGGCTGATAGTTACATAGGTACTGTTCACATTACTTTCTGTACTTTTCTGTATGCATGAAGTATTTTTAAATTAAAAGAAAAAATGCACAAGAAGATAGAAGACTTAGATCTAGTCTCTACCATCACAAAGCATGTGGCCAAAGCAAATGAGAGCAAAATTCCAGAGTGCCAGATTCACGAATAATACTCTCTTCTTTTTTAGTGCTATTATAAATATATTCTATCTAACACATATACTTTCTGACATCGGGTTTTTTTGCTTGGGGAGAAATGAAAAGTAAGTGTGTCTGTTTGATTTACTTATTTTTTTTTTAGATTTTGAAAAATACAACCACTTCAAGTTACGTGTAAGAATTTCTGAAAGGTTATATGTAGGACAATAGTGAGCACATGGTGGGCACCACAGAGAGGAGATAACCTAAAATTGATACTACTAAATGATGTCTGTGCCAATTACATAGACTTCTCCAGGGTTAGGTCTGCAGGATGCATCTGAGCCTGAGAGTGTCATGCCACTAGTAAACATGGTCAGAGCTTGTGATTGAATATGTCTTAAATTTGTAAGTGTAAAACAGAACCACCTTAGCAAGATTTTTGTAGGAAAACATATTTGTGTACATGGCCTGAACATTTCAATTCTGCTACCTTCCAAAAGGCTTTTGAAAAAAGAAAAAACAAAGAAATTATCTTTTTGACTTAGAATAGTAGAGTTGAGATTACCATAATATGTCAGAGCTCAAACTTACTCAAATGCAAATTACTCAGTATGAAACTAAGTAGACATTATTTCTCCTAGAGTAAATTAGAAGTTATTAGTTCCATGAATTCGAGTCCATTTTTTTAAATGTCACAAAGTTTGAGACTTACTTTTCGTCATATTAAGCAAGACCTGAAGCTCAGTCTGTGCATCTGGGTTAAGGCCATCCACATTTGTATGTATAAATGTTGAACTAGAAACTAGAGAACTGCTAGCTCCTATGAGAAGGGAAAGAGTAGAATTGTAAAAGTCTACATTATCATGAGTAGAGCATTATTATTCATCATCAGTAGCAGAATGCTCTTTGCTGTTACAAGCACATAAGATTAACAGCTCACCTTTCTGCACAGAGAAGCGAACATTTGAAGGCCCCACCGCATTTTCTGAAGAGAAATTTGCTGACTGTATTGCTATGTTAGGTTCCACCACTGATTGATTACCCAAAGACAAGGAATAAGTCTCCATTTGCTCAATAAGCCTGCATATAATAAAACACAATTTAATACTCAAGATTTTGTCATAAAATGAAAGGTATGTGTTCTGTCTTACACTACAGCAGAAAGACATGAGCATAGAATTGTGTGGTCATGACAACATTGACAATTGCCTAAGAATAATTGGTTTTCTTTTCTAGAGTTTTGTTGTGTTATATGTACTTAAATAAAACAGTTCTGGTGGACAGTCCTCACTGAAGGCTACCTTGAACATAGATGGCAAAAAGGTAGAACTCAAGAATTATAGAATTCCCAAAAGAAATAGTCTTTATTATGATGCTCTTCACATAGAAGGATGGTGTTGCCACCCACCATTGGCAAGGCATGCACTTCTAATTTTTTCTCCAGTGGTGAGAATCCATTTCCATTTATTCATCTTCTTCCTCTCACCCAAACCCCTTAGGATCCAAAGCATGTTTTGTAAGTTGTTCGTTCCTGAGGTGACAGTTCAGATGGAACCACCAAAGAGCAGAGCTCTGAGCTCATTGCCTCAGCTATGAACTAAACCCTGAAGGTTTTTACAATGTTCTTTTCTACTTTGGCTAAGTTCAAAGATAGATTAGATGGAAGGTGGGAGGGAGTGGGGGCAACCTGTCAATTTGGCATTCTCCAAAGAAAAGTCATAAGACCTTTTCTTTTTCTTGTTTCCCATAGAAATATTTGAACTATTTCTGTACTTGACCAAACAAAACCTCTGTATGTAAAATAATCAGTCTAGTTCTTCCAGAAATGAAAGGATTTCATCAAAATGTAGTTGTTCTATATGTCAAATCTTTATTTCTGACACTAAAATATCTTTTCTCTACCTCCAAATGAGATAAAAAGAAAGTTTACAATAATTGAGGATTGCTTTATAAAGAGAACATAATCATCATTCGTATGGAAACATTCAGGTTAGATCCTCTGATTGAAATGTTTTCCTTTTATAAAACCATTTTCAGCAATTCACACATACCCCAGAGCTGCTTTCAATGGGAGGAATACCTAACAAAACTCCCACCTGCTAAGAATATCATTCTACCAAACAGTATCTGTTGAGTATCTATGTAGAGGTCAGCACTCTGTGAAACAGTGGGAGTTCCAGGAGCTGCTCCCTCAGGCATTTGCAGGCTAAAAGGAAAGATGTGGTAGATATACAGGAGGTGTTTTTCATGTTCCCACTTTTACAGGGTTGCTCTAACCATAGCTACTTCTAAGGTCATTTTTTCTTTCTTGTACTTCTTTCCTCCTCTTGTCATAACTGATAAGATTACAGATGGGCACCTGCCCCAGAGAAGCCAATCCAGAAAGTGGTCATCCACCTGGCACAATTGACTAAAATAAGTCATCAGATTCTTGGAAACGGGGTTTTTTTTGATTAGTGCTGTAGTTATATCAGGAAAGTCATAATTTAGAGGAAGCCAGAGAGGTCATTACATCATTGTGAGAAAAACCACAAATTAAAAATAAGAGGCTAATTCTTCCTGTTGAAAATAAGAAAAGACCTGTAAACTCCTCTACTAAGGCTTCCAAAGCTGCCTTGGATCCTCAGTCATCTTCCTGCTCCAGGGTCCATATGGCAATAAAAGAAAATAAAATTTCAAGACCCTCTAAATTTATTATGTCAAAAGGAAGTTAAGCCCTGGAGACTGAATCACGTGTAGCGTGTTTGCAACTTCTGCTTATTAGATTATAGATTAACTCTCTTCCTCATTGTTCTTGTTCTGTAAATGACTAGGAGAGGCCAGACCTTTCCCCTTTCTAATGACTGATCTATGTTACAGATTAATTGCCTCCTTTTTTGTCCTGTACCTAACTCAGACCATTTAGCTCATGATTGTTACGTCTTCAGTGTAATTGTTACACCTTCAGTGTGGAATGTTAAATACACATTTCCCAAAAGAAAAAGACCACCTCAGCTAATCAGATTACTATAACCATGCATTACTATAAGCCTTATATAGAAAGCCTTATATAGAAAGACGTTAAAACTCTCTTAAGCTTCCCTAAACTTTGTTTATATAAATGATCCCAAACTTATATACTTCAAAACATTGACTTCCATTTTTTGGAATTTGTGCTTCCCAGGCAGCTGTCCTTAAACTTTGCACTTGAACGAACTCTCTTTAAACTAGATTCTGACCTTTTTGATTATTTTGGGTTGACAAGGCCCACTATATTATGATCTAGTTCTTGGGCCTCCATGAGACCCCATATGCCTATTTACGATAAATCTCTATTTGTTCAAGATATTTGAGTGGGTGCCAGGCTAGCTGGAACAGAAATAAAAAAAGAAAAGCGAAATGTAAATGTACAGGTGGTCAGTGCTAGGGAGGCATTTTGCATTCCCAAAGTCAGATAAACCAGGGTAATTATGACCTTCAATATGAGATCAAAGGTCTAAGGTTACAGATCAGACTATGCAAGCAATGTCTACAATGGTGAGGTCAGCCCGTCGCGGTGGCTCACGCCTATAACCCCAACAGTCTAGGAGGCCAAAGCAGGTGGATCACCTGAGGTCAGGAGTTCAAGATTAGCCTGATCAACATGGTGAAACCCTGTCTCTACCAAAAATACAAAAATTAGCTGGGCAGGGTTGTGCATGCCTGTAATCCCAACTACTAGGGAGGCTGAGACAGGAGAATTGCTTGAACTTGGGAGGCAGAGGTTGTGGTGAGCTGAGATCTTGCCACTGTACTCCAGCCTGGGTGACAGAGCAAGACTCCGTCTCAAAAAAAGGAAAAAAAAATGGTGAGGTGAAGTCCTAAACTCATTGATTGTACTATGATGCCCTCACCAGCAGAAACCCTACACCTCCAGAGCTCTGCCCACTTTGACAGAGTCAAAGAGTCTTTCTTCTCTGTCACTCTCCTCCCTTTTATTCTCACCCTCTCCTCTTCTCCCTATACTATAGAAAGGCAATTCAGTAGCTGAGAGATACCAAGAGAAAACTGGAATGAAAGAAGGAAGAAGTCAAAGTGAAATGGGTGACTAAGGCCTGATGTCTGTCAGGGAACCCAGCATCTGGCCTAGGTTCAGAAGATAGAGTTTGGAAAGCAAATGTTGTCCTAAACAACAATTAATTTCCTTCTCGTGGAGAGATGACCTCTGTTGGAAGCTCATCAAGAGTATTCTCCTAAAGAGAGCTAAAGGGTTGTTGACCTGACCTTGGGGCTAGAAGCAGAGGAGGAAGCTTTATCTAAGTGAATGAAGGAAGGATCTGAGTCCACAAGAGCTTATGCAAAAGATCACGTTGGTAGAAGATAAACTGATGGAACATTATTAGAAAATAATTGGACTAGAAATTCAGAGTGATAAAAGGAGAAATTGAGCATGCTTACACCATTTTAAGGTTCACTGTATCTTATACCTTAAATTTTTATTTATCCTTTAACCACCTCCTTTAAAACTATTTGGATATTGTGTAAAAATCACACAAAATTGTATTTTCCTTTATATATTAAGTCAGCAAAATTCATAATTATTTATTTTTAGGAAAATGTTCCTATCTTTTTTGTGAACTGTGATGTTCAAATCCCACAACTTCTCTTTTCCCAGCTTTCTCACCAAAAACGTTCATTCCTCCCGTCTAGCAAGAATCTGCAAACACAAAGCTTTCATCTCTGAAGGGAGCCCACTCTGGCTCTTGGCCTCTCTGTTCACTGAACATAGACTCTGGACCCCATGGCCACTTCCTTCTCATATGTCAAGAAAAATGAGAGACATCCACATTCTCCATGAGAAGGGCCCAGACTCCTATTGAAATCTGAAGTCACAAAGTATGCCAGTAAAACTGTTCACTCAACCTCTACAACCACCTCTCAGAATTGTAATCTTTGAATGCTCTATTTTGTGCCTTTGTGCTTTTTCTACTTTGAAAATTCAACGCTAAGTAGGTACTTGTCATAATCATTAGAAAACTAAGAACTACTTCTAGGAATTTCTCCTGAGGAAATAATGGGTCGTGTAAATAAAGATTATGTACCAGAATGCTAATTACTTAGAACATTAAAAGACTTCCAGCAATGTAAATGTCCAGTTGCTGAGCAGAGAACTGGTTCAATAAAAGTTTACACATATAATGCAGTAAACTAAAATTATGATGTAGATGTGTATATATTTATATAAAAGATGTTTACAGAAAAAAGTTTGTAAGGTATTAAGTGACAAAAGCAAGTTATGAATCAATATAGTATGTAATATACATATACATACACACACACACACACACACACACACACACACACACACACACACACAGAAACAGAGGGAAAAAAACCTGGAATATATACCAACAGGTTAATAAAGGTAAGATAATTTTTTAAATTTTGCTAAACTACATATTTTCTTATTTTTCTACAATAAGCATGCATGCTGATGTAAGTTTTAAAAGGGTTTTGACAAGTGTGCATAAGGTAAAAATACAGTGAATACCAACAAGGGGCCTCTATGAATAAAGTACATGAGTTTTAATACAAATATTCAACCAACAGTAATCCAGAACAGAGGAGGAAAAAAGAGAGAAAGCAGGTAGAGTTCTCTTTTTCTTTTTTTTCAATGTAGTGTTGGTCAGAAAGGGAGGAGGCAGAGAAACTCTAAGCAGACAAGGGTGGATCCCAGGGGGAAACCTTCAGGCCAAAAGTAGTCTGAAACCCAAAGTGAGAACTTCAATCCCTGTTTACCCACTCTCTCCCATTGGTTGGTTCTTTCTGAATAATGTCTTTTTACGAATCAAATGTTGCCTTTTCCAAAACTACAGCCTGCCCTACTCCCCCATCCTGTGCCTAAAAAGACCCCAGACTCAGCTGGTAGGGAAGAGAAGTGGCTGGATGTCAGGAAGAGGTGTCTTGACTTCAGAGACAGTGAGAGGCAACCTGACTTTGAAGGAGAGAGGCTGAGAGGTGACTTGACTTCAGGGGAGAGCAACCTGCCCTTCCCACCCACTTTCCAGCTCCCCTCTCCACTGAGAGCTTCCCTCATCACTTAATAAAATTCTCTGCATTTGCCATCCTTCAATTTGTCCAGGTGACCTAATTCTTCTTGGGCACTGGACAAGAATTTGGGACCCACCAAGTGCAGGTACCCAAAAAGGCTGTTATGCTGGCCCTTTGCCTTCACTGGTGGAGGGCAGCCACCCCATGTGACAAGGCAAAGGGCCCACTGGGCTGATAATGCAATGTTGTCCATGGATGGTGGAGCTAAGAGAGCATTGTAACATGCCCTCTGGGGCCTTGGGGTTGCAGGCACCCCTCTGGATGCTGCTGTGGGGCCTGCACAGAGTTCGCTCCTGACAGTGGAGAAGTGACTGGCTGATTCCCACACTTGCTCATCTACACATTCCCTCCCGCAAGGGGTTGAGTGGGGTGGGCTGAGTAAACGGGGCACCCCTATCACAAGTCCCACGAAGGGATCAAGAGTAAAGCTAAGGAAAATAATCAAAATATACCAGGGCCTTGGAAAGAGAGAAGTGAGGTGCAGCTTGGGGGATGGCAGTATGTCCTGCAAAGTGAGCTGTTCTCTGTAGCTCTATGTTTTGCAAAAGAATTTGGAAGAGGTCTTGCTGTGCATGGAAGTTGTCCCTTGGTCATGCCAAACTAAGGTGAGGAAAACAAGTTCTAATCTAAATCAGCCCAGTTACTCCCTATCTCCCAGGCCATGGCCAGCACCCCTGGATGCAGGAGGTAACATATACCACTCCATCTAGTAACTAAAGGTCAAGTGGAAAGTCACAGCTCTTATCTACATTCCAGAGGAATCAGTCAGTTACTGCATCCATGAGAGAAATAAAGATATCTCTGTTAATACTTTAGCCTAGGAAAGTAAACAGCCCTTAGTCAAGTTTTCTTTCCAAATTGAATTTGTGCTTACGTTGTAAGGGCATCATCATTAGCAGTAGCAGCAACTCTTTGAAAAGCATCTTCACTGGCATCTAGGAGTTGACTCACTGTTACTATGGCAACTTTCTTTGCCTGCCAAAGAGAAGATACTGATCATCAGAGAAGCATATATCATACATTATCATCACCATCATTATCATCATGAATCATTGTAGTAGCAAGTGGCATCACTGATATGATAATGTAGAGGGAAGCATTTTACAAAATTAAAGGTTTATTCTTTGATCCACATAAGATGACAGAGAGAATCAAGATAAGGCAAAGTGAAAATATAAATTAAGGTAGTGAATTAGGAGGTTTAAGTCCCTGAATTCGACCTCATAGCAAGATCTTTCACAGACTCCCCACCAAACTCCAAGGACACAAAATCAAATGCTTGGATTCAAAAGCAGAAACAAAATAAGAAGAGTGCAATACTCTGGTTGTTAAAAATTACAGCTCATAATACTTAGCATAACTAAGTTATACTTAGTATACCTGTTAGACTTAGTAAAATTATTTGTAGTTTTCTTTCAATCAATAACTCAGGAGTGTGTCAGAGAGATGATCTTTTGGCATTTGATTACTATTTATCTTCCCTCTTTGGGAGTGTTGAAGCCCTTCTGCCTACTTGTTAATCCTTCCATTAATTCTACATTTGGAGGTCAATATTTTCTCTTTCAATTCCATTTTTATTAACTTGAATCCCACTTACTTTTTAGCAGGAAAAATATTTCAATTTTTTTTTTCTGAAACAAAACATTTAAAGGGAATGGAAGAAAGGAGTAGCTATTTTCAGGGCATGCTGATATTCAACCTATACACAAGGTGAGTCCATATTGGTGGTTTGTAGCCCTGTTTGATCACTATCCAGCTATACCAATTAGTAAATGTTGAATATACTTGTTTTCAAGTACCAGGGTTTAGCAAATTAAAATATCAGGAATGTAAACTAGGCTTAAAGTTTTCAGAAAGCCAAGACTAAAATGTAAATATTCTTAATAGAAATGCATTGCAGTTTAAAATCACATGTTCCAAATTAAATTCTTGAAACACTATTTACTTGGAATGCACTAGGGATGGTAAGGTCAAATGTAGTTGGTAAACATATTCATAAGGTGAAGTAGACTTATGCATTCCAGGACTTCCTAAAAGACTTAATGTGATAGCCAGGTGTGGTGGTGTGTGCCTGTAGTCCCAGCTGCTTGGGAGGCTGAGACCTGAGAATCACTTGAACCCCTGAATCCAGAAAGCAGAGGTTGTAGTGACTTAAGATCGTGCCACTGCACTCCAGCCTGGGTGACACAATGAGACTCTGTCTCAAAAGAAAAAGACAACACAATAATGATCATTAGGAATATCCTAAAATAAAATATTTGGACAAGAGGCCCTTTTTTTAATCTTTGAGCGTCTCTCAGGAGTGCTATGCAAAATGCCTTTAAGCAACTTAAACCATGCTCAAACCATATTGTGGAATAAGGAGTGGTATTCAGGACATCTCTCTTTCTTTCCCAACACCCCCTCTAAAAATAAAAAAAAAATTTTTTTTAAAGCTCTGTGAGTTTTACCTCAGGTGAAGCATTTCTGGAAGTGTTGAATATCTGTCCAACCACTCGCGTAGCACTAGTGATGTTCTCAGCAGTTAATTTATTGGCATCAGATGTTAAAATCTGGACTTCAGAAGAAATGTTATTAAGTGGTGCTGTGACATCCTTTACCTGTTTTAAAAACCAGAAAAAAAACCCTAGCTTTACACAATTATGTCCAAACACTTTGTAAGCAACTGCAGGTAAATAAGCTGGAATTTAGCTGAGCCTCAATCTCCTGAACACCATGTCCACTCAGTTTTCCACGTTTGCATCCTTCCTTGTGTAAAGGACAAAGTACATGCAGACCAGTGGTTTTGCCAGCCTTTCCTGTTTGACAGGATTGATTAACTATAAGGGGCTGCCTTAGCTAGATTGGGGCTACTAGAGTGTATCCATGGGCCAGCGCTGGTTCACTGTGTGTTACAAAGGTCGTAGAGAGATAAGCACAGAAACTGAAAGCAATTGGTCAGAGATGTATATAGCAATTTTTTGCTGTTGAATCTAACAGTTCTAAAATTTTGGTTTGTATTTTATACATATTTTTTATTTCATTTTTCCAGTAATTTATTTTTATTATTTCACAAAAATATTGGTGTGCAATGGGTTCAAAATTTTTTGAACTGGCTTTTCAGCACTGGTAGTTTGGAAGGCACTGGCCGAGATGACCTCTCTAGGTGCCAGTTAGCCCCAGGGCTCTGTGTTGTGAGGCTAAAACATGCCAATCCATATTGTCATTGGTGAAGCTGGGTGTCCATGCGCGCGCACGTGTGTGTGTATGTGTGTGTGTGTGTGTGTGTGTGTGTGTCTTGGTTTTCACTAGATGGCAGCATCATTTCACAAATTATACCAGTGTTATAGGCTATTCACACTTGGGTAAGTGTCAGAAACAATACCCAATCAGTAGACAGAAACAAATAACCCTAATTCAATTGCTAGATCCCTGCTATGTGCTAGGCACTCTGTTAGATGTTTACAGGTGTTATCACATTTAATAAGCAAAACAACTTTGTGAGTTGTTCACCCTCAGGAGAAGTTAGGGACCTCAACCAAGTTTCACACAGCTTAGAAGTGGCAGAGCTAAGAACCAAACACTGGTTTGCCAGATTCCAAATTTAGCATCTTTCCTCAATCTGTGGGTTGGCACAACTTGTGTGGTTGGCAGCCACATCCACTCTCCAACTTCTGTTCCCACCCAACCCCTACCCTGCCCATCTGTGATTAGGGAGCCAGGGTAGTACAATGTGAACTTTAAAATAAAGAACAGCTCTATCACTTTTTAGCTGTGATCACTAGGCAAAATGCTTCACCTCTCAGAACCACATTTTCCTCATCTATAAAATGTGTACATTAATACCTATTTATGGTGTTATAAAAATTAAATATGATAAACTAATAAATACATTAATATTTGGCACAATATTTGGCATGCAGTAGGTGCTCAACAATTAGTAAGTGTTATTGGCTATAATTATTTATAATATGGGAATAACATTCAACTCACAGAAGTTTTATAAGGATTAAATGTGATAACATATGCAACATGCCAGGCACATGAAAGGCTGTACATAAAGGTTGGTTTCCTCTTCCTCCCCCTTGCTTGTCCCCTAGTGTTAGCTCTTCCATGCATGTGCATTTGGGTACAACTTTGGTCAAAATAATTTAATCTGCATGAAAAAACATCTAGTTAGATGTACTTTCTATTTCACCTGCTCATAGATACTGCCCTGAGACCCGCATCAGGTTTGGAGTTTCCTGTTTCCAAGGGTCTTTGATAATAGTTTCTTTCTCTTCATTCTGGTCCAGTTACACCATCAAGAGGCTTTCCTTTGGTCTCAAATGTCAGGGATCTATATCCAGTCAAAACTTCCACAAAGATGAAGCCATTTTTAATGTGCTATTGATCATCATTTGCTGAAATTTGATGAAACAACAGTCCTTTTTCACAAACTGATGTCAACTTTTAAAAATAAGAGTGGCGGCCAGGTGTGGTGGCTTACTTACTACGCCTGTAATCCCTGCACTTCGGGAGGCTGAGGCAGGCGGATCACCTGTGGTCAGGAGTTCGAGACCAGCCTAGCCAACATGGTGAAACCCCATCTCTATTAAAAATACAAAAATTAGTCGGGCACGGTGGTATGAGTAATCCCAGCTTACTCAGGAGGCTGATGCAGGAGGATTGCTTCAACCTGGGAGGCAGAGGTTACAGTGAGCCGAGACGGTGCCATTGCACTGCAGCCTGGGTGACATGAGCAAAACTAGGTCTCAAAATAAATAAATAAATAATAAGAGTGGCTTTAGTCACTAGTTTTTGTTATTACTAATTTGAGAGTTTTAAAAGAATTGATTTGACCATCAGGTATCTGAAGAACAGAAACTGCACGGAATCAGAACTTCTTCCAGTTGCCCATCAGTGAGTCATATGGCATACCTGCTTTTCCAGGGTTTCCAGATTTTCATTGCAATTTCCTATTGTCACTTTTTGTAATTCTATCTCTCCATATAGAGAGAGACTGCACAACCGGACTGCCATTGGATTGCCCGCTTTAATACAAAGAAATTTTTTATTAAAAATAAGTATTTATTAAAATTATTGCCTATTATTTTTAGGCAATAACTAATTTTTATTAAAAGTTATAATTTATTAAAAATTATTGCCTATTATTTTTAGGCAGATACCACTTATTATCTTGATTTTTGAATCTGGACTTCAAAAGACCAGTTGACTATTTCCTTCCTTTGATGTCTTCAAGTAAGATTTACCTTTCAACAATAAGGTACATAATGGCTTTGAAGTGGATATGATGAGAGAATGCTAGGCTGAGAGACTAGAAACAATATGAAAAATTCCTAATAGATACTGAATTATATGTTGATCTTGACTGCTTTATGAAATCTGGATAACAGCTGAAAGGCAAAGAGTTCTGTTATATTCTATTATATTTATTAGATGTTTAGTTGCCTCAATAAATGTTTGCTGGGTCATTTGGTTTATTTCCTAGGATTATCACTTAAGCCTCCCTACCTCACTGCCTTCCTGTAGTTAATACTTAAGTAGTTGCTATAGAAAAAAATCATAATTAGAGGGACAGCTGACCAAAAGGTAGATTTTTCCTCAGGACCAGCTTTGGGCAGCTCCTTCTTGGGACAACAACTAGAAACACTGAAATTAGAGATTGCTTCAATAATATGTAAAGCACAAAGTTGGAGTCACTCTTAATTTATATGATGGCTTCACCTCTACACCATGACATAATGAAAATTTCTAACATATTTATGGGCTATAAATAACTTTTAAGTGGACACATGTCAGATGCATCTTTTCCTCAATGTTACCTAAAAGTGCAAATATCCCCACTCAAAAATCATTGAAAAGTATTTTGATCATTTGGTATATAATATTGAGTAATTAGAAGCAATTATTAATATAAGACTAAAAGGAAAATTGCCAACAGTTAGAATCCAAATCTGTAAAATTATAGGCTCAATCTGAAATTTGAGGATAAATATTATAAACATGATTTTATAATAGGTGTTCAGAAAAGAAAAATTAATAACCAAATAAAAAATGTTGAGTCTCTTGTCCCAAAGAATTAATATATATTAAACAAGTGTGATGACTCTTCATGGGTATGTTACTGACACTTTTACTCTTCCTAATTCAGTAGCACAGTTATGTTTTGTAAGTTGTATCTGTTTTATAAACCATTATGAAATATTTAGGACACACAAAACATGTAAAATCAAGACAATAGTTACCAATAGCATACCATATAGTATAGTATGGTATATATAGTATATATAGTGTCAACATGGTAGAAGCCCCTTTTACGCTGTGAGTAAAAAATTCAGGAGGACTTATAGATAGAGTAGCATCATGAATACTTGAGTAAGCATGACTGATATGGCATTTCAGATATTTCTTTATAGCAATGCAAGAATGGACTAACACAATGATATATATGGGTGGAAGCAATTTGAATTCCACAAATCAAATACGGATATGCATAATTTCTCATAATAATAAGATAAAAAGTAATTTAAAAAGAGCAATTCATTTAATTTATTTAGTGCTTCAGAGTTCCCTTGACACATACAAAAATAAATATCTAAATAAAATGTCACATTCTCTTCAGGGCCATTGCCGGCAGTAGTTTTATCAAACATCTTTGTCAATGATCTAGAATTGGCTGTATTCTTGAGATATCTAGTTCCATAGGAAGTAGCGAATTACCTGCAGGAAGATGTGAGAAGTAGGACTGCTCAAATGCAAGTCAAGGCAAACAAGGGACAGGTAAAACATTAGTGGAAATTAAATGGCATAATAGGCTCTGGTTATCAGGATAGAATCTAGGAATTCCTAAAGCCTACACTCAGAAGACATTACCCAATGTGGCACTGAAATGAATCACCAAAATCTTGGATATTATCAGGGACCATATTAGAAATAGAAAATACTATTTACTCTTTCACTCTCTGAATGCCTCTATACAAGTAAGGTAGTCATGTTAAGAAAAGTAGAATGAAGCTAGAGAATGTTCCAAGATGGATAACTAAAATGACCAAAAAGGTGAAGGACTACCAACTATGAACAGACTTAACCATGCATCTCTACCTGGAAAGATGAAATCTGAAAATAGATATGATACAAGTCCATAATTTTGGCTGATTAGAACTTTTTTTTTAATTATATAACTAAAGGAGCAAATGTCAATTTAATTGAACTCCAGGAGAAAGCAAAAGCTGGAAAAATAAACCAATTAAGGAAAGATTCAGAGAAATTCACAAACAACTGATTCATATGAAACTGTTGGGAAATTTAAGATTTTGTGAGATACTACCTTAAGTTTTGAACATTAGCATCACGAAAGGGAGTTAAGTCCTTCCACAAAACCTTTCCTGATGCCCTTCAGGGACCTAACACTAGTAGGAGGTATGAGAGGTATGACTCAGCATAGTAATTCTTATGCATAGAGTAAATGTTTGGGAAAACACATACCATTTGGAGTATCCTTGCCACATGTTTGCAAGGATGGTCCATATCTGCCCACTGGGATTCTGGCAAAAGTAAAACCCATATAGGTACTATTTTCACAAAAATTAGCTGTAATAAAGAGAAAAAGTTCTTTATTATAAATTGTATTTTAAAAAAATTGAAACCAGATAAAAGTCAAAGGTCAGAACCTATGCAGTGAAATTTGAAAGGCAATAGAAGGCTTATAGAACCCACTGGCCTGTGAGGAACTTCTATACTTTGCTATCTGGTTAAGTCATTGCCGTTAGAATAACTAGTATGTTAGACAACAGGTTCCAGTTAAAATGTGCACAATATAAACCTGGGTAGAGAGGGAATGTGAGCTAGGATACTGTAACAGATTAGTTGGAATCTTCAGAACTAAAAATATAGAGCCTATAGTGGTCAACGGTACCATGAGGATGTGGGCAAAGCAAAAAGGCAAATTCATGGGATCTGTGGGATATATTGACTGGTAGGAGTATAGGAAATGATAGCAGTGGATATCTAGGGCTCTGAACCCTAAGCAGACAGCATGAAGTGTACGGTGTTGGGAAGCACACCTCAAATTTAAAAATGGCCTTGAACTTTGATTCTGAGACACAATTGATTGAAATCAAACCACTAACTTAATAACAACTCTTCAAGGTAGAGGAAGAAAAGATAAAAATTTAATATAAGTATATACTCAGGAAGATGCATATTGATTTCAGAAAAGTTAAATATATTAGAGTAGTGATATTTGAAATGGTATATTATGGCATATTACCAATTGAAAGGACCTGAGAGAATCATGTCATTCATTGCCCTGGATTAGTCATTGCAGCCAGGAAACACGACTGTGAGTTTGCAAAAAAACTTAGTAGTCAGGAAACAGATAAGGTGCATTGAATATACTGATAAATTGGCCAAGAAGAAAACTCAGCTTTTACTATTGAGCTGATAAACACATCCTAAAGCCATCATCATTATGTCCATTGTTTCTGTAACCATTAACTGAAGCTTCTAGAAGCTTTATTGCTATTCTTATTAACACAAGAGTGACGTAAACCTTACACTTTAGCATTATCCCAAGTAATTTACCAATTGTACATCTCAGTCCTTTCCACTCTTCTGTACAAATACATCTGCCATTTTCCCAGGTTCCACCATTCCTGCAGAACTCTGTAGGGGTGCTTGATGAGGAAGTAGATTTTCCTAAAGAAACAATAAATAACAGAATAGTCATGAACTGGCTGATTCATTTCTCCTTTCATGCCTGTGGCCACTTAATTTCTACACGTAAAACCACTGCTTTGAGTATCATTGCTGAGAAATATTCTTTGTAATATCATCATTAATAAAATATACACTGAGAATCTACACTAGATGTACAATGCTTACTAGATGCTATGGATACCAGAAAGATGTAGTTGAAAGACATAATACTTTGACCAAGGAGATTAGAATCCCCTGAGAAATCAGAAATTATATAGATGGTAAGTAGATAGATAGATAGATAGATAGATAGATAGATAGATAGATAGAGTCAACATGGAGGCTTATAAGTACAGTAAAAACACATAGGAGAGAGGTTGATGACAGAGGTAACCTAGCCAAGAAGACCCGGTAAGAGATAGTATGTGGACTGGATTTTAAAATTACATCTTGAAAAACCAGATGAAAATGGGTGACCCGAGTAGGCAGGATACGAACTGCAAAAATCACAAAAACATGGAAAGTTCTGATGTGTCTAAGGAACAGAGAAGAATTTAACATCAGCATTGGTTCTATGTGGAACAACATCAGGACATAGATTCAATTGGAAGGGACTTTATAAACCAAACCAAGAAGATTTAATCTTGAAGGAACCTTAGAGGGGTCATAAAACAAAGGAGTAACATAAGGAATTATTTTTAGGAGGATAAGTGAAGGAGTATGGGAAATGACTGAGGCTAAGGGGGAAGGAAAACCAGTTAAATGAGAACTAGAACTCAAGCAGTGACTCTAAGAAAGTTAGGTGTCACTAGGTTCAGGAAGCATACCTGAGAAAGAATTGTTAGGATCTAATGACTAGTTATTTTGAGTTGGGGATAGCAGAGTTTCTAAATTGTAAAACAGAGTGAAAGGTGAACAAATTAACTAAGTGGAAGAATACAGGGTTGTGTGCAGTGGCTCACACCTCTAATCCCAACACTTTGGGAGGCTGAGGTGGGCGGATCACTTGAGGTCAGGAGTTCGAGACCAGCCTGAGCAATATGGTGAAACCGCATCTCTACTAAAAATACAATTAACCTGGTGTGGTGGTGCCTGCCTGTAGTCCCAGTTACTTGGGAGGCTGAGGCACGAGAATCACTTGAACCTGGGAGGCGGAGGTTGCAGTGAGTTGAGATCACACCACTGCATCCAGCCTGGGTGACACAGTAATCTCAAAAAAAAAACAAAAAAAACAAGTGGCAGAGTTCTAGTTTCAATAATGATGGAATAGATTGTACCATATTAACCCTCTCATAGATAACAATGGTAATAATTGCACAAACGTTTTTAAAAAAAAAACTACTTGAAGGCATTGGACAGCAATGAAAAACAGGCAGAAACTGAAAGGTATTCGAAGTCTCTATAGTATTTCCACTAAGGGCACTACCCAGTCTCTATGGCAGAAGTGGCTGAAACTTGATCAGAAAGCCAGTCTTAATGGGTTAAGGTATGACAGGAAACTCTTTGGGGTTGCAAGAACAACTGGAAATTGAAGGTAGATATCCCAGAATAAAAGGAGCCATATAGAAAAGAAACTCAAAGTTTGTGTAGAAATTACTCTCAAATCCAGGGAGAAAAAAGATTTAAAAAAATAAACAGAGCTTCAAGAATCTGTGGGACAATATCAACATATTGTCTAACATATAAGCAATTGGAGTCCTAGAAGGGGAAAAGAGAAGGAATAGGGAAGATAAAATATCAGAAGAAATCATGTCAAAATTTCCCAAATTTTGTTAAGAACTTCAGCTTATAGATCCAAGAGGCTCAGAAGAATCACAAGAAAAACAAATGCAAGAAAAACCATGCATAGACACTTCACAGTCAGTCAAACTGCTGAAACTCAAAGATAAGGAGAAAATCCTGAAAGTATCCAACTGCCAGCCCAGATAGTTTTACTCGTAAATTAGAAAAGAAATAACACCAATCTCATACAAACTCTTTTAGAAAATAAAGAAATGAAGAAACTTCCCAAATCATTTCATAATGCCAGCATAACCCTTATACCAAAATCTGACAAAGACATTACAAGAAAATAAAGTTACAGGCCAATAAATCACGTTTACACAGATGCCAAAAAAATCCTTTAAAAATAGCAGGAAGTCAAATCTCTCAACATATAAAACTAATAATACATCATGACCAAGTGAGATTTATCCCAGGGATGCAAGGTTAGGTTGGCAATCAATAGAAAATCAATTAATTTAATTAATCATATGATAGAATAAAGGAGATAAACTTCACGATCATCTCAATAAATGCAGGAGACAAAAAGCATCTCACTTTTTTTAAACTCTCAGCAAACGAGAAATAAAACAGAACATCTTCAAACTGATAAAATCACCTGTGAAGAACCTACTACAAATATCATACTTAACAGTGTAATATTGAATACTGTCTCTCCTAAGACTGACAAAAACACAGTTCAATATAATTGCTATAACCACTTCGATTCAACATGGTGCTGAAGATGCTAGCAGTGCAATACGCAGGAAAAAGAAACAAAAGTGTAAAATTAAGAAGGAATTGCAGATGATATCATCAAATATATGAAATGCTAAGATATCTCCAAAAAGTTACTATAATTAATAAGTGAATTTAGCAAGACTGCATGACATAAAATAAAGACATTTTCACATATTAGCAACAAACAATTGAAATATAAAAGCATAAATCATTTTCATTTAAAATAGCATCAAAAATTATAAAATTCTTGGAAATAAATCTAACAAAATTTACTTAACAAGATCTCATTGTTCAGATAATTTTTTTTTCTTTTGACGGAGTCTTGCTCTGTTGCCTAGGCTGGAGTGCAGTGGCACAATCTCGGCTCACTGCAACCTCTGACTCCTGGGTTCAAGCGATTCTTCTACCTCAGCCTCCCGAGTAGCTGGGACTACGGGCACATGCCACCATGCCCAGCTAATTTTTGTATTTGTAGTAGAGATGGGGTTTCACCATATTAGCTAGGCTGGTCTCGAACTCCTGACCTCACGATCCGCCCACCTTGGCCTCCCAAAGTGCTGGGATTACAGGCATGAGCCACCATGCCTGACCCCGTTCAAATAAATTTTAAAAGATCTAAATAAATGGAGATATATACCTTGTATGGATGGAAGATTCAAAGTTGCTAAGGTGTCTATTCTCCCCAAATTGATACAGTCAAAATCCATAAATGAAAGTTTTTTTATAGAAATTAACAAGCGGATTTAAAATATTTATGGAAATGCAAAACACTTAGAAAGGCCAAAAAGAAGAACAACTCTATGCAAATAAACTAGAAAATCTAGAAGAAATGGATAAATTCCTGGACACATACACCCTCACAAGACTAAAACAAGAAGCCAAATCCCTGAATAGGTCAATAACGAGCTCTGAAATTGAGGCAGTAATTACTAGCCTACCAACCAAAAAAAGCCCAGGACCACACGGATTCACAGAGCTGCATTCTACCAGAGATACCAAGAGGAGCTGGTACCTTTCCTTGTGAAACTATTCCAAACAATTGAAAAAGAGGGACTCCTCCCTAGCTCATTTTATGAAGCCAGCATCATCCTGATAACAAAACCTGGCAGAGACACAAACACACAAAAGAAAACTTCAGGCTGATATCCCTGATGCACATCGATGCAAAAACCGAATCCAGCAGCACATCAAAAAGCTTATCCACCACGATCAAGTTGGCTTCATCCCTAGGATGCAATGCTGGTTCAACATATGCAAATCAATAAATGTAATCCATCACATAAACAGAACCAATGACAAAAACCACATGATCACCTCAATAGATGCAGAAAAGGACTTCAATAAAAATTCAACATCCCTTCATGTTAAAAATTGTCAATAAACTAGGTATTGATGGAACATATCTCAAAATAATAAGAGCTGTTTATGATAAAACCACAGCCAATATCGTACTGAATGGGCAAAAATGGGCAGCATTTCCTTTGAAAACTGGCACAAGGCAAGGATGCCCCCTCTCACCAACCCTATTCAACATAGTATTGGAAGTTCTGGCCAGGGCAATCAGGCAAGAGAAAGAAATAAAGGATATTCAAATAGGAAATCAAATTGTCTCTGTTTGCAAACAACATGATTCTATATTTAGAAAACCCCATCGTCTCAGCCCCAAAACTCCTTAAACTGATAAGCAATTTCAGCTAAGTCTCAGGATACAAAATCAGTGTGCAAAAATCACAAGCACAACTATACACCAACAATAGACAAGCAGGGAGCCAAATTATGAGTGAACTCCCATCACAATTTCTACAAAGAGAATAAAATACCTAGGAATACAGCTAACAAGAGATGTGAAGAACCTCTTCCAGGAGAACTACAAACCACTGCTCAAGGAAATAAGAGAGGACACAAACAAATGGATAAACATTCCATCTTCACGGATAGGAAGAATCAATATCATGAAAATGGCCATACTGCCAAGAGCAATTCATAGATTCAATTCTATTCGCATCAAACTACCATTGACATTCTTCACAGAATTAGAAAAAACTACTTTAAATTTTATATGGAACCAAAAAAGAGTCTGTATAGCCAAGACAATCCTAAGCAAAAAGAACAAAGCTGGAGGCATCATGCTACCTGACTTCAAACTATACTACAAGGCTACAATAACCAAAACAGCATGGTACTGGTGCCAAAACAGATATATAAACCAATGGAACAGAACAGAGACCTCAGAAATAACACCACACATCTACAAACATCTGATCTTCAACAACCTGGACAAAAACAAGCAATAGGGAAAGGATTCCCTATTTAATAAATAGTGCTGGGAAAGCTGGCTAGCCACATGCAGAAAACTGAAACTGGACCCCTTCCTGACTCCTTATACAAAAATTAACTCAAGATGGATTAAAGACTTTAATGTAAAACTCAAAACCATAAAAACCCTAGAAGAAAACCTAGGCAATACCATTCAGGACATAGGCATGTGCAAAGACTTCATGATGAAAACACCAAAAGCAATTGCAACAAAAGCCAAAATTGACAAATGGGATCTAATTAAACTAAAGAGCTTCTGCACAGCAAAATAAACTGTTATCAGAATGAACAGGCAACCTACAGAATGGGAGAAATTTTTTGCAATCTCTTCATTGCAAAGGTCTAATATACAGAATCTACAAGGAACTTAAATTTACAAGAAAAAAACAAACAATCCTATCAAAAAGTGGGCAGAGGATATGAACAGACACTTCTCAAAAGAAGACATTTATGCAGCCAACAAACATATGAAAACAAGCTCAACTTCACACTGATCATTACAGAAATGCAAATCAAAACCGCAAAGAGATATCATTTCACACCAGTCAGAATGGTGATTATTAAAGAGTTAAGAAACAATATATGCTGGCAAGGCTGTGGAGAAATAGGAATGCTTTTACACTGTTGGTGGGAGTGTAAATTAGTTCAACCATTCTGGAAGAAAGTGTGGCAATTCCTCAAGGATCTAGTACCAGAAATACCGTTTGACCCACTAATCCAGTTAGTGGGTATATACTCATCATTCCACTATAAAGACACATGAACCCATATGTTTATTGCAGCACTATTTACAATAGCAAAGACATGGAACCAACCCAAATGTCCATCAATGATAGACTGGATAAAGAAAATTTGGTACATATACACCATGAAATACTATGCAGCCATAAAAAGGAATGAGATACTGTCCATTGCAGGGACATGGATGAAGCTGGAAGCCATCATTCTCAGCAAACTAACACAGGAACAGAAAACCAAACACCGCATGTTCTCACTTATATGTGGAAGTTGAACAATGAGAACACATGAACACAGGAAGGGGAACAACACACACCGGGGCCTGTTGGGGAGTAGGGGCAAGGGGAGGGAGAGCATTAAGACAAATAGCTAATGCATGTGGGGCTTAAAACGTACATGATAAGTTGATAGGTGCAGCAAACCACCAGCGCACACGTATACCTATGTAACAAACCTACAAGGTCTGCACTTGTATCCTGCAACTTAAAGTAAAATAAAATTTTTTTTAAAAATTGGAAAAAAGAACAGATTTAGAAGGCTCACATTACTGAGGGTATGACTTACAATAAAGCCATAGCAATCAAGACAGGATGGAATCAGCATAAAGGTAGACAAATACATCAATGAAGTAGAACAAAAGGTTAGAAATAGATAAAACATATATGGCCCATTATCATTTTAAAGACGTACCAAGGCAATTTAATTGAGAAGGGAAAGTTTTTTCAACAAATGGTGCTAGACTAACTGAATAAAAAAATCACCCTCAAAACTCAGTCTGAGGTGGACTGTAGTCCTCAAATCAGAAAGCTAAAACTAAAATGCTTCTCAAAGAAAACATAGGAGAATACATTTGCAACTTTGGGCTAAAGATTGTTTTTTAAAGGACACAAAAGCACTAAGAATAATAGAAAAAAATTGATAATTAGCTTTAGTCAAATTAAAAACTCCTGTCATCAAAGGCACTGTTAAGATAAAAATAGGCCAGACACAGTGGCTCCTGCCTGTAATCCCAGCATTTTGGGAGACCGAGATGATGGATTATCTGACGTCAGGAGTTTGAGACCAGCCTGGCCAACCTGGTCTCAAAACCCTGTCTCTACCAAAAAAAAAAAACAAAAACAAAAATTTTCCGGGCATGGTGACGCATGCCTGTAGTCCCAGCTGAGGCAGGAGGATGGCTTGAACCTGGGAGGCAGAAGTTGCAGTGAGCCAAGATCATGCCACTGCACTCCAGCCTGGGCAACAGAGTGAGACTCCATCTCAAAAAAAAGGAAAAAAAAGAAGATAAAAATGGAAGCCACAAACTGGGAGAAAATATTTGCGGTACATATATCTGACAAAGGAATTGTATCCAAAAGTGTAAATTAGAGTTGTAAATCTAATTGTAGATTAGAATTGCAATTTGTAAATTGTGAAGAATACACATTAATAATAAGAACCCAAGCAGCCCGCTTTTTTTAAGTGGGCAAAAGACTGGAACAGACACTTAATAAAAGAAGATATATGGATGGGCAATAAACAAGTGAAAAGACTCAGCATCTTAGTCATCAGAGAAATACAAATTAAAGCCACAGTTAAATATCATTTCACATCCCACTAGAATAGACAAATAGATTAATAGAATAGAATAGAGACTCCATAAATAGACCCATGCAAATATAGTCAACTGCTCCTCAACAAAGAAGCAAGGGAAATTCAATGGAGAGAGGATAGTCTTTTCAACAAATATTGCGGAAACAACTGGACAACCATAAGCAAAAAAAAAAAAAAAAAAAAATGAATATAGAGAGAGACTTACATCTTTCACAAAAACTATCTCAAATGAATCATAGATCTAACGTAAAATGCAAAACTATAAAACTCTAGTACAGGGGTCCCCAGCCCCGGGTACCAATCCATGGCCTATTAGGAACCAGGCCACACAGCAGGAGGTGAGCCATGGGCGAGTGAGTGTTATCTCCTGAGCTTAGCCTCCTGTCAGATCAGCAGCATTAGATTATCATAAGAGCACAAACCGTAACATGAACTATGCATGCAAGAGATGTAGGTTGCACGCTCGTTATGAGAGTCTAATACCCAATGATCTGAAGTGGAATAGTTTCATCTCGAAACCACTGGTGAATGAACATTGGCTTCAACTTTAGGTCACCAGCCGTATTAGCTACTAACAAGAGAACCTGTCCTTTGAAGTTTGGAGCCAGATGTTTGTTGACTTCTCCTCTCTAGCTGTGAAAGTCCTAGATGGCATCTTCTTTCAATAGAAGCCTGTTTTATACACTGAAAATCTGTTGTTTAGTGTAGTCATCTTCATCAATTATCTTATTTATATATTCTGAAAAACTTGCGGCAGCTTCTACATCAGCACTTGCTGCTTTCCTTTGCACTTTTATGTTATGGAGATGGCTTCTTTCATTAAACTTCATAAACCAATCTCTGCTAGATTCCAACTTTTCCTTTGTAGTTTTCTCAACTCTCTCAGCCTCCATAGAATTGAAACAAGTTAGAGCCTTGTTCTGGATTAGGCTTTAGCTTAAGGGAATGTTACAACTGGTTTGATCTTCCATCCAGACCACTCAAATTTTCTCCATATCAGCAAAAAGACTCTTTTATTTTCTTACCATTTGTGTGTTCACTGGAGTAGCATTTTTAATTTCCTTGAATAACTTTTCCTTTGCAATCACAATTTGGCTAACTGTTTGGCACAACATACTAGCTTTCTGCTTTCTCAGCTTTCACATGCTTTTCTCACTAAACTTAATCATTTCTAGCTTTTGATTCCAAGTGAGAGACATGCAACTCTTCCTTTCGCTCAAATAGTTAGAGGCCATTGTAGGATTATTAATTGGCCTAATTTCAACGATGTTGTGTCTCGGGGAATAGAGAGGCCTGAGAAGAGTATGAGAGTTGAGGGATTTGCCAGTCTGTAGAGCAGTCAGAACACATACAACATTTATTGATTATGTTTGCCATCTTTACATGGACGTGGTTCACGGCACCCAAAAACAATTGCAATAGTAACATCAAAGATCATGATCACAGACCACCATAACAGAAATAATAATAATGAAAAAGTTTGACATATTGTGAGAATTACCAAAATGTGACTGACACAGAGACATGAAGCGAGCACATGTTATTGGAAAAATGGGACCAACAGACCTGCTTGACACAGAGTTGCCACAAAACTTCCAGTTGTAAAAAAAAAAAACATAATACCTATGATGTGCAATAAAACAAGGTGTGTCTGTATTGCATTTACTTTCTTCTGGATTCAATTTCTTGCTTTTTGATGTATACGATTTAATAATTCTTTCAGCCAGGGTCTGTGAGGGACAGATTCTCCAGTGTTTAGCTGAAAATGCTTTTATTTTTCTCTCACTGTGATTGTCAGTTTGATAAGGTAGGAATTCTGGGTTGACAACACCTTGAAAATATTATTTTTCTAATTGAATACCCTTTATTTCCTTCTCCTGCCTGATTGCCCTGGCCAGAACTTCCAACACTATGTTGAATAGGAGTGGTGACACAGGGCATCCCTGTCTTGTGCCAGTTTTCAAAGGGAATGCTTCCAGTTTTTGCCCATTCAGTATGATGTTAGCTGTGGGTTTGTCATAGATAACTCTTATTATTTTGAGATACGTCCCATCGATACCTAATTTATTGAGAGTTTTTAGCATGAAGGGCTGTTGAATTTTGTCAAAGGCCTTTTCTGCATCTATTGAGATAATCATATAGTTTTTGTCATTGGTTCTGTTTATATCCTGGATTACATTTATTGATTTGCGTATGTTGAACCAGCCTTGCATCCCAGGGATGAAGCCCACTTGATCATGGTGGATAAGCTTTTTGATGTGCTGCTGGATTCGGTTTGCCAGTATTCTACTGAGGATTTTTGCATCGATGTTCATCAGGGATATTGGTCTAAAATTCTCTTTTTTTGTTGTGTCTCTGCCAGGCTTTGGTAACAGGATGAGGCTGGCCTCATAAAATGAGCTAGGGAGGATTCCCTCTTTTTCTATTGATTGGAATAGTTTCAGAAGGAATGGTACCAGCTCCTCCTTATACCTCTGGTAGAATTTGGCTGTGAATCCATCTGGTCCTGGACTTTTTTTGGTTGGTAAGCTATTGATTATTGCCTCAATTTCAGAGCCTGTTATTGGTCTATTCAGAGATTCAACTTCTTCCTGGTTTAGTCTTGGGAGAGTGTACGTGTCGAGGAATTTATCCATTTCTTCTAGATTTTCTAGTTTATTTGCGTAGAGGTGTTTATAGTATTCTCTGATGGTAGTTTGTATTTCTGTGGGATCGGTGGTGATATCCCCTTTATCATTTTTTATTGCATCTATTTGATTCTTCTCTCTTTTCTTCTTTATTAGTCTTGCTAGCTGTCTTTCAATTTTGTTGATCTTTTCAAAAAACCAGCTCCTGGATTCATTGATTTTTTGAAGGGTTTTTTGTGTCTTTATTTCCTTCAGTTCTGCTCTGATCTTAGTTATTTCTCGCCTTCTGCTAGCTTTTGAATGTGTTTGCTCTTGCTTCTCTAGTTCTTTTAATTGTGATGTTAGGGTGTCAATTTTAGATCTTTCCTGCTTTCTCTTGTGGGCATTTAGTGCTATAAATTTCCCTCTACACACTGCTTTGAATGTGTCCCAGAGATTCTGGTGTGTTGTGTCTTTGTTCTTGTTGGTTTCAAAGAACATCTTTATTTCTGCCTTCATTTCATTATTTACCCAGTATTCATTCAGGAGCAGGTTGTTCAGTTTCCATGTAGTTGAGCGGTTTTGAGTGAGTTTCTTAATCCTGAGTTCTAGCTTGATTGCACTGTGGTCTGAGACACAGTTTGTTATGATTTCTGTTCTTTTACATTTGCTGAGGAGTGCTTTACTATGACATGATTGTATATCTAGAAAACCCCATAGTCTCGGCCCAAAATCTCCTTAGCTGACAGGCAACTTCACCAAAGTCTCATGATACAAAATCAATGTGCAAAAATCACAAGCATTCTTATACACCAATAGTAGACAAACAGAGAGCCAAATCATGAGTGAACTCCCATTCACAATTGCTTTAAAAAGAATAAAATACCTAGGAATCCAACTTACAAAGGACGTGAAGGACCTCTTCAAGGAGAACTACAAACCACTACTCAGTGAAATAAAAGAGGATACAAACAAATGGAAGAACATTCCATGCTCATGGGTAGGAAGAATCAATATTGTGAAAATGGCCATACTGCCCAAGGTAATTTATAGATCAATGCCATCACCATCAAGCTACCAATGACTTTCTTCATAGAATTGGAAAAAACTACTTTAAAGTTCATACGGAACCAAAAAAAGAGCCCGCATCGCCAAGTCAATCCTAAGCCAAAAGAACAAAGCTGGAGGCATCACGCTACCTGACTTCAAACTATACTACAAGGCTACAGTAACCAAAACAGCATGGTACTGGTACCAAAACAGAGATATAGAACAATGGAACAGAAAAGAGCCCTCAGAAATGATGCCTCATATCTACAACCATCTGATCTTTGACAAATCTGACAAAAACAAGAAATGGGAAAATGATTCCCTATTTAATAAATGGTGCTGGGAAAACTGGCTAGCCGAATGTAGAAAGCTGAAACTAGATCCCTTGCTTATACCTTATACAAAAATTAATTCAAGATGGATTAAATACTTAAATGTTAGACCTAAAACCATAAAAACCCTAGAAGAAAACCTAGGCAATACCATTCAGGACATAGGCATGGGCAAGGACTTCATGTCGAAAACACCAAAAGCAATGGCAGCAAAAGCCAAAATTGACAAATGGGATCTAATTAAACTAAAGAGCTTCTGCACAGCAAAAGAAACTACCATCAGAGTGAACAGGCAACCTACAGAATGGGAGAAAATTTTTGCAATCTACTCATCTGACAAAGGGCTAAAATCCAGAATCTACAATGAACTCAAACAAATTTACAAGAAAAAAACAAACAACCCCATCAAAAAGCGAGCGAAGGATATGAACAGACACTTCTCGACAGAAGACATTTATGCAGCCAATAGACACATGAAAAAATGCTCATCATCACTGGTCATCAGAGAAATGCAAATCAAAACCACAATGAGATACCATTCTCACACCAGTTACAATGGCGATCATGAAAAAGTCAGGAAACAACAGGTGCTGGAGAGGATGTGGAGAAATAGGAACACTTTTACACTGTTGGTGGAACTGTAAACTAGTTCAACCATTGTGGAAGTCAGTGTGGCGATTCCTCAGGGATCTAGAACTAGAAATACCATTTGACCCAGCCATCCCATTACTGGGTATATACCCAAAGGATTATAAATCATACTGCTATAAAGACACATGCACACATATGTTTATTGCGGCACTATTCACAATAGCAAAGACTTGGAACCAACCCAAATGTCCAACAATGATAGACATTGTGTATGTGGCACATATACACCATGGAATACTATGCAGCCATAAAAAATGATGAGTTCATGTCCTTTGTAGGGACATGGATGAAGCTGGAAACCATCATACTCAGCAAACTATCGCAAGGACAAAAAACCAAGCACCGCATGTTCTCACTCATAGGTGGGAATTGAACAATGAGAACCCATGGACACAGGAAGGGGAACATCACACACCAGGGCCTGTTGTGGGGTGGGGGGAGGGGAAGGGATAGCATTAGGAGATATACCTAATGTTAAGTGACGAGTTAATGGGTGCAGCACACCAACATGGCACATGTATGCATATGTAACTAATCTGCATGTTGTGCACATGTACCCTAAAACTTAAAGTACAATAAAAAAGAAAAAGAAAAAAAGAAAATATTATTTTCCAATTTTTATTTATTTTGGGGGACTCTTTTTTCTATAAACATCTTTTAAATTTTCTTTATCTGATGTTCTGCAATTTTACCATGATGTGGTTTGTTTTTGCTTTGCCTACTTGAAAAGTCATCCTTCAATCAAGAAAACTTTTTAGTTATTACTTCTTTAAGAGTTGCTTCTCCCATATTTTCTATTCTCTTCTGAAATGTCTCATAGACCCTGTTGGACTTTAGCCTTCTATACATCAAATTTTTTAATCTCATTATTGTTAACATCTCTTTATATTACTGTGTTGAATTACAGTTTCCTAGCTTTCTTTTCCATTCCCTAGTTTTCTCTGTAATTATTAGGGTGTGGAGGGGGGACTTTATTTGTTTGTTTTGTAGAGACAGGATCTCCCTCTGTCACCCAGGTTGGAGTGCAGAGGTGTAATCATAGCTCACTGTAGCCTCCATCTCCTGGGCTCAAGGGATCCTTCTGCCACAGTCTCCCCAGTAGCTGAGACTACAGGCAGGCGCCACTACGCCTGGTTATTTTTGAAATAATATTTTGTGTTTTGCAGAGATGAGGTCTTGCTACGTTGCCAAGGCTGCTCTCAAACTCTTGGCTTCAAGTGACACTCCAGCCTGAGCTCCCAAATGCTGGGAATACAGGCATGAATCACCATGCTCAGCACCTTAATGATTTCTAACCTCCTTTTAAATCACTCATTAATTTTTTTATCATTACTATATTTTCTATTTTAAAAGTATTATTTGGTTCTTTTTCAAATTCTCCTATTCTTTTTAAAATACTGTATTTTTCTTTTTTTATTTTTCTCCTGTATTTTAAAGGCTTAATCTTGTTAAACATATTTTATATTCTCTTTCAGATGGTTTTGTTATATCCAATTCTGGGAGGGTTAATCCTTTTGATGACATCTGATGTCTCTCCAGCATCATGGTTCGCATGTAATTTTGTATTGTAAACTCATCTTTGTCTTATTTATTATTCTTCCATGAGACTTTTATGGGTTTTGTTTGTGGAAATATTTCCACAGGAAAATTTCATGATTACTTCTTTTACGATCCTGGGGCACCATCAGTAGTAGTCTTGAACTAGTATTAGGATTATTTTTGGAGATTTCAATACTGTATAGGTAGGACAGATTTAGATTGTAAAGCCTGGGGTTTCAATTACTGGTAGTGACTTTTTTTTCCTTACTTATGGCTCTGAACAGATGATAGTGTTATTTAATGCTTCTTTGGGCTAGTAAGTAAAATTTTTCTAATCTTCTTTTCTTGGTTGATCCTACTCAAGGCTTAGGTATTTTGCTGGTGGCTCAGGTCCAGCTCCCTTGCTTCATACAGCATAGAAATCATGCCTCCTGTCCCCCTGAATGCATTGAAATTGCACCAGTGCTTGCTGCCCCTCATATGGTTGACTTTACTCTTTATTTCTGCCACTTGTGATTTTTCCTCAAGAAAGAAAGCCTGCTTGCATATTTGAATTATTCTCATATTTTATTTGTAACTTCTATGTTTGTAAACAAGAAGGAGGTCCATCCATGTCTACTCCTTCTGTCTTTTTGCTGTAAGTCAAGAGTCATTTCTTAAAGTTAAGGAGTAATTTGCCAATTTTTAGAACAAGGGTCTTGGTCCATATCTTCAAATCCTAGCACAATGCCATTGAATAGAAGGTACCCAACACACATTTGCTGACTGGCTTCTTTGCCATTTGCATCTTGGTTGAGGATATCTAGTCCAAGTTGAACTAACAATTCCTCTGTCACAATCACCTGTTTAACACCTTGTACTACACACTTCAAGACTCTAGCCTCTGAAATACCTAAATTACCCACAAAATACAGCAAAAATAGTACTGGTATCTTTAAGACTGTATTTTTACCTAAAGAAAGTCACACTCAGAAAGATTAAGTGGCTTGTTCATATCATATAACCAGTTTTAGAATTATGATCTTGAAAAAAAGTGACATTAGTTATTCATCAACCCAACCCCCTCATTCTACATAAAGGCTGAGTGATTAGTTCCAGATCAGTAATTAATTGGTAGCAGAGCAGGTGCTAGACTCAGACCTCCTTGTAACTGATCAAGTGCTTCTGCTCCTTCCTCACAGTGCCTGCCTTTACCATTGATTGCAACAGGCAGCATCAGCTTCCTTTTATTTGAGGCTCCATATTTTGGAATACATTTAGTAGCAATATTTTTCTTTTATAACATCAGTATGATAATAATAATTTTCCTATATTCTTTTAAATTGTACAAAGTAGTATTTCTAGAATTATTAGCCCTATTTTCAATGTTTTTACTACACATTTTCAATGCTTTTAATACACATCTTGGAAGTTTAAATACAGAACATATACAACACATACATGCTGCTTGAGAAAGTAGCATAAAATAATATTAAAGATTCCAAATAAAAAATATTAATTTCTTCTCCTAGACAAAATTAGAGTCTGCTTTGAAAAGTTTGATTTTAATAAGTAGGGAAATAAAAACATATTTCCTTAGTCTAAGAAATTTCATCTGCAGATCCTTTCTAGTGCCTAGCTTAGTCTTTTGGGGTTTAAAATCCAGGCATCTCTCATTTGTCCTAATTTGAAATAGTTTGGTGACAATAAAGTTAACTCTTAAATGAGAGGACAATGCTTGGGAAAGTTTATTCTGGTTGTAAAGAGAAAAACCCTGAAAGATTTATACAAATAAAATACACATAGTCTTTATTTAAGGTAAACTTTGTCCGGTATTAACTACCTGGTTAAATATTTCAATAAACTGGTTAAATAATTTTTCCTTTTTTAATTCTTATTATACTTTGGTATGCATGACTAAATATTTTAATAAACATTTTTCTTGATGGTACAGTGTAGCATAAGTATTGAAAGGCAAATACAGGAAGATGTGCCAGTTCTTAGAACTGTTTCTGTTTCAGTTTTGAGCTAGTCAATTGAACTTAATGATTAAACCTATTGTAAACTTTTGGATTGGTAATTTGAGTCTCAATCCAAAGGTCCAATCTAGGTCAATGGTATCTATTCAAGGTATAAACCAGGGAGTGGAGAAAACTATGCTCTGCACTGAATTATCTAAAAATACCTAGAGGATAGCAGCCAACAATTATTAAGTACTTACAACGTCCTAGACATCATCTTAAATTTTTAATATATTGACTCATTTAAGCCTCATGGGTTTACTACTATGCACATAATAAGCAGGAAAACTGAGACTCAAAAATGTTGAATAATTTGCTCAAAGTTAATAATTTGCTCAAAGCTAGTGAGGGGCATTATTGGGATCTAAACTCAGGTAGTTTGGCCCCAGAGTTTTCTTTCCCCTACTCTTGTACATTTTTCCCCTATACTCTCAAGTGTCCATTTTAACCACTATATTCCATGTTAGATCGTCAACGTTTGTGTCATCAAAGAACAGCAAGTATCCAGAATTTCGAGTAAAAATATCTAATACCTTGAAATCCAGGAATAATCCACTAAGCCAAGATTCTAGCCCCTTAGTTCAAGAAAGTAACTTTTAAAATGGAATCAACACTTTAAACATCACTGATTCTGATATTAAAATAATCCATGCCCCTCAGCCAATTACATAGCCAAACTGGAATAAATTTATTTTAAAAATCCCTTCCCTTTAATAGACTTTTTTTTTTTTTAATTTAGGGGGTGGTTATGTGAGGAAGCAAGAAGGAAGACTGGTTAAGGAGCAGAAGAAAGATTTACAACACCAGGATTAAGACAAAAGAACACTATAGCTGCCTAAAACCAACTTTCTCTCTCCAGAAAACTCTACTCTGGACTTTTTTTATTTTTTAAACCCCCAAATGCAAATATACTCCAGGAACAGTCACATGAGTTAGATTTATTGAGTTTGCCTCTGAAAGAAGTACTGTAAATGAGTGAAATTAAAGCCAAGTATCTATGGTCAGATTATTTTTTGACAAACAATAAACTCTCATTGACCTTTCATAACAACCTGTATTTTCCACAGTGTAAGAATTATCAGGCCAGGTGCGGTGGCTCACGCCTGTAATCCCAGCACTTTGGGAGGCCGAGGCGGGCAGATCACTTAAGGTCAGGAGTTCAAGACCAGCTTGGTCAGCATGGTGAAACCACATCTCTACTAAAAATACACAAAATAGCCAGGCGTGGTGGTGAGTGCCTGTAGTCCCAGCTACTCGGGAGGCTGAGGCAGGAGAATCGCTTGAACTCAGGAGGCAGAGGTTGCAGTGAGCCGAGATCATGCCACCACAGTCCAGCCTGGAGACAGAATGAGACTCCTTCTCAAAACAAAAATAAAACAACATCAACAAAAATTATCAATGCTATGAAGTCAGACCTTGGGGTTTGGGAATATTTCAACGTCCTGAAATCTCTTGCAGGACTGAAGAACAGGTGTATCCTGTGATAGAGAATGAAGGTTAGAATATCTGGAGATAAGCGGGGATAAAGAAAAAAACAGTCCTGGTGGCAAAGAGCAGGAAATTCTACGAACCAGAAGAGGTGTAGAATATGGTCAAGTAAGGCACTACTCATGTGTTTTGAGGTTCAGATACTCTCCCTTTGGGAGGAGTTAAAGAAAACATTTTCTACCATTATGATTGTGGACATCTGTCTATGATTATATCAGGCTTAGCACAAGTTGGAAAATGCCAATGGGAAGAAATATAATAAAGCTTAATTATGTTTTCATTTTACTTTCATCATCAAGAGTGAAGGGGCCCAAAAGCTATACTGCTTCTTGTGTTTTTCTATGAAGAATGCCCAATGTGAAAAGGCTGGAGTTCTGGCAAAACTGAGATTTTCTCTAAGTTTTTAGCATAGTACCTAGAACATAGTAAGAATTTTTAAAACTATAGGTATTATAATAATTAAATACATAAATAGCATAAATATTGTTGTACATCAGTGTTTACTGCCAAATCAGAGTAACTTCTTACTGAAATTTACTCAGAGCAGAATTTGAAATTTTTTTTTATTTTTCACAATGAGGCCATTACTTTTCCAAGAAAAATAAAAGTGAAAGAGACTTAATTTATATGTTCTTTTAATTTATATATATGTTACTCCAGCCTGGAGTGATTCTTCAAAATAAATTTTGAATGCAATAAAATTAATTTATGCAAAATTTTGTGTGTTTATATATATTTTCCCTACTAAGACATTTATAGCTTTCATCAGTTTCTCAGAGATATGTGTGACCTCTCTCCCCCTTAAAAAAATGTAAAAACAATTTATGTCTATACCTGAATAAAGGAACCCAAGCAAGAATATTCAACAATTACATAGGATGGGATGGGATAGGATAAAAAGAAGTGGAGTAGAGTGGAGTGGAGTGAAGTGAAAAGAAACAGAATTTACCAACTCAAATGCACTCTCAATAAAATGTACAAGGCAAAATAGTAACAGCAAATGGTGCCAGTCTTTCACTCTTTTTCTTTAAATGACAGTGAGAACCCTCTCCTTTTCCATCGGGTTTACCCCAAAGCTAAGAGATGACCCTTATATAAACAGCCAATTGAAATATGCTTCTCAGAACAAGAGAAAAGTTTTTCTTTTTGAGGAGCTGGTATGCCTCTATTGTTAGACATGGGATCTTTATTACTTATTATGCCTCCTTTTGGATCTTAGTACTCAGAAAGTTCGGGAATATATTTTGTATTTATTTTCAGCAACTCCCCCCAAGCCTTGAACTTTCAGGTTTTCTGTCCCCCATCCTGCACTCTTTCTCATGTTGTTTTTGTACTTTGGTCCTTGTTTTTAATGGTTTTGCTATAACTGTGTCCTTTATAAGTCATCATAAATTTCCCTTTAAAAATAGATGTCGCTTACATAAAGGAAAAAAGGAACGGGGGGAAGGAAGGGAGGAAGGAAGGAAGGAAGGAAAGAAGAAAGGAAGGAAGGAAGGAAGGAAGGAAGGAAGGAAGGAAGGAAGGAAGGAAGGAAGGAAAAACAAACAAACAAAACTTTGTGAAGTATGTCCTTTAAATGAGGTCTTATAAATTTGGCAGCCTTAATGGGGTAAAATCCATAGTTCATAATTTTTTAACCTGAATGAAACTATTTTACAACCTTAAACAAACAAAAACACATTTGCTCCAAGTTTAAATTTTACTATTTTTGTTCTGGTAAATTTTCTCATTCTAGTTCTCTAAATACTATCGATACAGTATTCTCTAAATACTGGTTAGGGCGGTGGGGTAGGGGGAGGACAAATCCATCCCCAGCTACCACTCCATCAGCAGCCAGTATGTCAGATCCCTCTGTTGGTCTTCAACACTGGATCTTTGCAGCCATGCTCCATGCTCCTGCTAGCTCCCCAACCTTCTGTCCTCCCCAGTTACCTGCTCAGAGGGCATACTGCCTCTCCTGCTGCCTTTCCCGATCGGCATTATTTACCCTTATTTATTGTTTCATTAGAAGCTTTCTCTGATTTTCACGAAAGGGAGTATGTAGCCCATCCAACATTGAATTCCTTTACGGAGAAGCTCTACAGCCCAAGGGATCCAGCATTAGGATCATTGAAATTTCGCGTTCTGAGTTCCAGCGGGCTTTTCTTTAACATCATTGTTTTACTCACTACTTCCCCTCCCACGTCCTCCTTTTCCAGGCCAGCTCTGGCACACAGCGGGGGACTAACAAATGTTCGTTGAATAATCAGGAAAGTCATTTAAAAATGGTTTTTAAATTTTTGATTAGTTTCCTACATCTGGAAAGTGGGAAATTTGTATGCAAACCATGAGATCATTTCACTTAAACCTTAGTGATGAGTTTCTTTAACTTCTCTCTTAAAATGAAATTCCATTCTGTGTATGTTTGATTGTATGTGTGTTATGCATGTGTGTGTATGTGTTTGATGCATGTGTGTGTCCTTGTTCATAACGATTTACCCTTTCCTGAATTTAGCCAAACAGACCTAAATGTGTGTTACTAATCGTTTTAATTATTACTCTTCTACCAATTCAGTCTGGAGTTAAAAGAGCATAAAGAGGCCAATTCAATTATGTCACTCTTCCCCCTGCCCACTCACACCCACACCTATTCATTTCTATTCAACCATCTGCTAGGCTTAACTGACTTGGTCTTTTATATCCCATAAATGGCACCTTGGTGGAATGCCTCAGACTGGACAAGGTACCTCCCAGTACTTGTGCACCAGGTGGCAGGGACAGAGGTCCCATACCTTCTCTTACTCTGAGTTAAACATAGCAGGACAACATTACCTCTTTGGATCCTGATCACAATCCTCCAGATGCCCAGTCCCAAAATGATGCCAGTCAGTAGTCCACACACGACAGCCACCAGCACCCTAAGGTTCCAGGCACGGCAGGAAGCCATGGTGAAGCCAAACCACAAATCCACTCCTGGGTGAGAAATAACTAGCTTCTTTTCTTCTTGAGCTAAAAAGTTTAATCGGAAACTATTCTAAAACAGAAAAACAAGTCCTCCCCTCAGTGATCTGTCAGATGGATGTCTTTGTATTTTAGGACTTTTGAGGCTAATCCAGTAGGATGCAGTTTGAATCTCCTAATAAAAGGTGCATACTCTGCTTTCAATTTCCTCATCCTTCACTCAAGGAGAACATGAAAAAAGTGATTAGAGTTATGGGAATAGGGAGATAACTCAGGGCAATAAAGAAGAAGGGGAGGGACTAGCCACAAGGGTCAAAGAGTGAATGCCCAGACAAGCCACAGAGTGAAGGAAGGGAACAAAATAGAAGAAACCAAAGAGGAAATCACAAAGGCAGTGGTTGCCAGTAGTCACCTATGGCTCGGCTTCCTGTATTTTTGTCTTGGGAGGGTACAGCAGAGATAGACTGGCAGGTGCTTCAGACCACACAAAACACTCTCTCGGGGAAATGAACTAGGTTGTCAATAAGAGGATAAATGGCAATCACCACACATGGTTTTTAGCGCTTGCATTTCTTTAAGGAGCCTACATTTTGACAGATGCAGTTGGTGAGTGTGCATACTGGCACAGGCTGGGTCTTGACAAGCACTAAAGCCCAGCATGATAACCCACCTGCTATGGGCTGAATTGTGTCCCCTCCAACATTCATATGTTGGAGTCCTAACCTTCGGTACCTCAGAATGAGGCCTCACATGGAGATGTGGTTACTGCAGAGGTGATCGAGTTAAAACGAGTTTGTTAGGGTGGTCACTAATCAATATGGCTGGTGTCCTCATAAGAAGAAGAAATCTGAACACAGACATGAATACAGAAAGATGATCTGAAGAGACAGAGAGAGAAGACGGCCATCTACAAGAGAGAGTCCTCAGAAGGAACTGGCTCTGCTGACACCTTGACTTGACTTCTAGCCACCCAAACTGTAAGACAACAAATTTATGTTGTTTAAGCCACCCAGTTTGTGGTACTTTATTAGAGCAGCCCTGGGAAACTAATACATCATCAGAGTAACTACAAACTGGTGTCTCTCTATAGATGCAGCTCTGACCCTCTCCTGCCCAGGCTCCCATGTTCTCCTTCCCTACCCTCTACCCTTACAGGGAAGAACAGATACATGAACATTCACCTCCTCAATCACAGTTTTGTTTTGGTAGAGAGAACAGATGCTCTGGTCTTCTCTGGACACTCCCTTGCTTCATCAAATCCATATTAAATGCCTTTAATGTGTTTGAATTGGTACAAGACATGAACAGGGTCCTCAAAGAACTCATAATTTCTCAGGGGTGAGATACCTAGATATAGCCACCTATAAGGCAAGTCATAACTGCTAAAATAAAAGATCATCATATTTAATTATTATGGAGTGCAGGTGCTCCTTGACTTACAATAAGATTACATCCCAATAAATCCACCTTAAGTTAAAAAATATCTTAAGTCAAAACGCATTAAATATACACCTAACCTGCTGAACATCCTTGCTTAGGCTAGCCTACCTTAAATGTGCCCAAAACACATACAATAGCATAAAATTGGGCAAAATCATCTATCACAAAGCCTATTTTATAATAAAGTGGCGAATATCCCATGTGATATATTGAATACTGTAGTGAAAGTGAAAAACAGAATGGTTGTATGGGTACCCCAAACATGGTTTCTACTGAATGCATATTGCTTTTGCACCATGGTGAAGTTGAAAAATCAGAAGTGAAAAAAACCATCATAAATTGGAAACCTATGTACTAGCCCGTTACTACCTACATACCAGCCCATTAATTCCTTCAGGAAGTATTCAGCAAGGCTTTACCAAAAAAGGCTTTACACTTAAACTGACCTTTAGTTAACCCCCAAACACTATGGGGGTTTCCAATTCTCTGTGACATTCACTTTATAAATGTTTTGCTATAAACATAAGGCCCTAACTTTACCCCTCCCAAGAATTTCAGAAAAACAAATTGAGGTAGCACAAAATGGAAGAACTTAGAAGTACTGCTGCAGAAGTACAACACAAATGAATGCAAACCCATTACCTCATTTACTGGGAATAGATCTTTAAAAATCTGTTTCTGATATGTCTGCATACACATGCACAGAAAATGTCTGGAAAGGTACATGAAAAAGTTCCTCTTGGGAATCTGAGGAATCTGAGGTAGGAGAGAGTTTTAAAATTTTATATCCCTTTTATAGTTTGAAGTTTTAGCCTTGTGTATTCTTTCTATTATTATAAATAAATATATATAACTTTTTCAATAATAAAACAATGGTTTTCAATAAATAATAAATAAATCTAAGAAAAGGAATTAACACCTATCATATGTGTAGTGTATACCAAGGATGGTGCTTTATACTTTACACATGTTTATCTCATTCACTCTGTGTAAAAGCCCCAGGTAACATAATGTGTTTGCCCTTTGCATGAATGAGGAAATGAGACTGAAACTGGTATTATTCTACACAGGAGCTTTATGGTTAAGTACCTTTGGATGAAGCCAGGTAACACAAAGTTAAACAGTTTTCTCCACTCTAGCATTTCTTAGAGCATTCACAATGTTCATGTCCATTGTGAACTGCTAGAGAAGACATGTATGCAAGTATGTTCTCAATGTTATTTGAACTCAGAATCCTCTTCTCAAGAAGGATCTCTCAGAGACAGGGTTCTTCAACACATGCTTTAGAAACACTGCCCTGTGTGGTCATCTGCAGAATGGTCTTAGTTGAACAGTGTGACTGAAGGAAGGGATCCTGGGTCTCAAGTTTGCCATCTGGTGATGGTGTTTTTCTCTTGTAGGGTTCTGAATCTTTTGAAGGGATTATAGTCTAATGACTAGAAAACTAATTTTGATGGTGATCACACATCCTCTCTTCCACAGTTGGTGGAAGTCCTGGAGTCCTGGGATGCTGTAATGACTGCTGCTTTATAGGGCTTCCATGTCCTTAGCCACATGACAAGGTTTATAAGGCTTGCCATCTATCCAGCTAGAAACTCCAGAAATTCATGGAATTGAAGAAATTCCTAGGCACAGAAATTAAGATGTTGACATTTATGTAAGGGCATTAATTACTACTGATAAGAGACAAATGTGTAAAGGGTCACCAGTATTTACACATACATACAATACACACATACCAAGATGACAAAGAAGAAAAGGAAAAGAGTTAAACAGGAAATAATTCATTTATTCTTTCATTCTACTCAATGCAGACATTGTGCTAGGCACTGGGGATAAAGTAGTGAACAAAAGACAAGATCCGTGTCTTCACCCAACTTACACTCAGGGAGAACTGGATTTGTACCGATGCTGCCACTAATTTGCTGTGTGACTCTGGGCAAACCGTGGGGCTTCCATTTCTTTATATTTTAAACAATCCAGTTGAGGCCTTCCCTTCCTGAACATTTCAGTTCTAAAGTCATTAGCTGAGGAAGAACAAGGCAGGTGTCTGTGGTAGGGGTAGAGTGGGGCAGTGGCCCAGAGTAGGTGTCAGAGCCCCAGTGCGGTAAAGAAAGCATTGATAGGCCAGGGCCAGTGGCTCACACCTGTAATCCCAGCACTTTGGGAGGCCAAGGTGGGCGGATCACCTGAGGTCAGGAGTTCAAGACCACCCTGGCCAACATGGCGAAACCCCATCTCTACTAAAAATACAAAAATTAGCTGGGTGTGGTGGCGCATGCCTGTAATCCCAGCTACTCGGGAGGCTGAGGCAGGAGAATTGCTTAAATCCAGGAGGCGGAGGTTGCAGTGAGCCGAGATGGCGCCATTACACTCCAGCCTGGCGACAGACAGAGAGTCCGTCTCAAAAAAGAAAGAAAGAAAGAAAGAAAGAAAGAAAGAAAGAAAGAAAGAAAGAAAGAAAGAAAGAAAGAAAGAAAGAGAGAGAGAGAGAGAGAGAGAGAAAGAAGGAAGGAAGGAAAGAAAGGAAGGAAGGAAGGAAGGAAGGAAGGAAGGAAGGAAAGAAGGAAGGAAGGAAGGCAGGCAGGCAGGCAGGCAGGCAGGCAGGCAAGCATTGATAAGAGGGAGACCTAGCATGAGATGCCAGAGCCCAGGCAGGATAAAGAAGGCATCAATAGGATGAGGGTGGGGGGAGGGGAGGGTGACCTGTCACGGAGAGACAGAGCCCAACCAAGCAGGGCAGGAGAGCACCCTGGGTAGAAAATCAAAGCCAGAGCAGGGAGAGGAGGGTGGCCTTCAGGGACCAAGAGCAGTCAGGAGGGCATCTAGGCAGGCCAGCAATGCAGTGCAGGAAGCCCGAGCCGGAGCTGAGTGGGGAGGGTGTCCACACGGAGTGGCCGCCTGAAACAGGGAGTCAGAGCCCAGACACAGAACCAAGGGGGTCCCCGCATGGATGGGCAGTGGTAGTGGAGCTAGTGGAGCTCAGAGACTGGCTACAAAGAGGATGACGGATCAAACAGGCAAGCACAGGAGGATGCCGGGAGCCAAATTTCTCCTTCAGAGCTCTGGCTCTGACTTCCCATGCTGCATTGCCCACCTGTATAGATGAGAAGGGGAAGGACATTACAAACATGGAAGGGGAGATAATGGGAGTTCCATGAGAATTTCAAAACAGGTCATCAGAAATAAAGAGAAAGAAAAGCTACGTGCCGTTAATTCTGAAGGAAGCAATACCTCCAGGAAAGAGGGCTGTCAGACAAATGCATGAATGAAGTCAGGAACTTCTCATGCAAAGGAGGAAAACTGTTACGACGAATACAACAAATTCAAGTATTTCAAAGGAAGGGATGTGATATTATTTCTTTTGCCAATACTTGAAGTAAATAATTTTTATTGTGCCTTTAGCATAAAAACCTATAGTGTTGCGTTGGAACTGAATGTACCACATGAATCATAATATATATATATGTATTCTCATATATACATACACGTGTATATACATATACATATATGTATATGTATATACATATATATACACACACATACAAAGAGAAAGAGAATATTTTATATATTTTAAATATATCTAATAATATATATTATATATAAACAATAAATAAATGTAGACACAAAAGTGTGTTTATATAAACACACATGAACATTTGTACATATTTTTTATATATATCACATATTTACATACACCTATTCTCTAGCTCTGGCCTGGAAGCAGTGATACCCTGTTAACAATGAGCACACCCAAAACCCAGAACTTGATTTGTAAATACAAGTTTCCACTAAGAGTAACATGGCTCCTTGGAAAATGGCTAATTCCAGGACTGCAGCAGAGAAAGTCATAGGTGAGCCAGGAATATCTTGTGCAGAAAGCAAGATACAATGAGTGTATATCAAATGGACACACAGAATCCAGCTTGAAAAGACTCCCCATTATCAAATGGTGGACAATTTCAGCATCAAAATAAATAATGCTTAAAAATAAACATTATTATAAATAATAAGTGTTTATAATAAATAACATTATTTTATTATGTTATACGTAAGTCCTAAAAATAGTAAATAATACATATAACAGATTATAATCCATTAAACAAAATAAGAAAACTAATGAATCTGAAATCCTGGGGTGGCACCCAGCAATCTGCGTTTTAACAAGTCCTCCAAGTGAGTTGATGTCTGCTGAAGTTTGGTAACCACTACTCTGGGGTAATTCTCCCAAAAGAAGTGAATCAAGTTTATAGCAAAGTAGCAAATGGTAAGAGATTAAATGGCATTTTGTTTAATAGGTCATTTATTTGTTACTTTATGGGAATACTCATGGCCTTAAAGATAGCCAGATTTTCAGAAAAGCCTGCTAAAATTCATCAAGAGCCTATATTTCTGTTGTCTGTACAACCACTCTTTTTTGTTTCATTTTATTCACTTATTCTTTTTAGCAGGTTTTTAATGAGCTTGTACCTGGAAGGGTCAAGAGGCTCGGAAATCCCCTTTATTTCCCTACAACCTGCACTGTGACCCCACTGGAAAGTTAAGAACATAGAAACCTGCTTATCATACCTCCTGCAGCATTGATGAAGGCTAATCCCAACTTCCCCATCTCAGGACGGAGCCTCTGAGCGTCTCCACTTGGGAAACCACCAGTGCCCTTTGCTGCTGCTTCACTGTTGGAAGCTCTGAGCTACTAATAACAGAGAAACCTTAAACTCATCCTTTAGTACATCTGTACAATAAAGCACCCTCCGTTTCCACCTAGTGGTTAAGGGAGGGCAGGGAGAAAGGGATCCAAAAAGCTTTTCCAGGCCAAAAGGAAGTCACCGGCTCATGCACCTTTCTTTGCATCTTCTTTTCTCTATAGCCCTTTGTTCTTAGGAACTTCCTACTCTCCCCAGAGCCAGGTGTTCCAGATAGGATCTTCGGGGCTGATTGGTTCCTGGAGGCATCATTTTGTGGAAAGTAACTCATTTAACACTAGTGGAAGTTTATTGTCCATGAAACTAAAATATGTGCCCATGGGAGATGCTGGACTCTGATTCATGTAACCCTGAATGAAGCTCTCTGTGCTCTAGAAGATGAAAGAAAAGGAACTCCCGAAAGTCTTTTTTAGTTTCAAATTTACTTCTTCATTTTGCTCTAGAGAACATCAGTTCCTCTGTTTATCTCTGCAGATTCGTTTCCTTTATCTTTCTTTTTCGCTTTCTCTTTTATTTCTTCCATTTTCCATCTCCAAAGTCTGAGCTGGTTGGCAGAGGTGTATAGTAAAGATTAAAAGAGCAGAGAAACAGTCATGGTTAAGTTGAGAGGCACAGTGTAGGAAATAGTTTGATTTTCTTCTTTTCGTTCTAGAAAGCCCAATTCAAGTGAAAGGCAAACCCCAAATTTGTAGTAACTAAGCAAGAGAATCATCTGAGAAATAGTCCCGTATAAACACTAGTCCTAAAAATAGTAGTAGGAAGTCATAAGCTGATCTGAGCAAGATGGGTTGAAATTTGCAATGTCCTGTGTGAAACAGCACTATCCTTTACATGTTGACAAGATAATATTCTGGATCCTAATTCTTTCCATTTAGTAAAGTATAATTATTTAATGAAATGATCAGTGTAAGTTATTTATTGCTACGCAACAGGTCACCTCAAAACTTAGGGATTTAAGATACAATCACCATTCATTTGCTTATGACCATGCAATTTGGGCAGGACTCTGCAGAGATAGCTTTGTTCCTCATGTTTATTTAGCTGAGTCATCTGGAAGCTCAGCTGGAGCTGGAGAATCCAAGTTGGCCTTTCTCACCTGTCTGGGTCTTAGCTAGTTGATTAGAAAGGCTAAGTCAGCTGGACCTTTCTTTACCTCATAGTCTTTTCTCCGCTAGGGCCTCTTTCTTCCTGAAGCCTCCTCAACAGAATAACCTTGCTTCTTCACATAGCAGTTGAATTCTAAGACAGCAACAGTGGAAAATAAGACCTCTGGCAGTCTGTTGTACCTGAGCGAGTTAGAGAAAACACCACAATTTGAGATGAATTAAGAGTCCGTTTATTTAGCCGGCGGCCAAGAGACGGCTAATGCTCAAAGTTCTCTTGGCCCCGAAGAAGGGGCTAGATTTTCTTTTATACTTTGGTTTAGAAAGGGGAGGAGCGGTCTAGTTAAAACAATTTTACAGAAGTAAAGTAGGCAAAAAAGTTAAAAGGATAAATGGTTACAGGAAGGTAAACAGTTCCAGGTGCAGGAGCTTTAAGACTATTACAAGATGATAGACGCGGGGCTTGGGGCATTATCAATCGGACGAATTCCTGGGAACTGCGGATATAGCTTGCCACAGTATCTTATCAGTTAATTGCATTCTTGGATGTGCTGGGAGTCAGCTTGCACAAGTTAAGTCCTTGAGGAAGGGGCTGCGAGTGAAAGAGCCAAGATGGAGTCTGTCTGGCTCTCTTAGCTAAAGGAGAGTCAATTCAGGTGGAAACAAGGCTAGGTGATTAAAGGAAAGGGAGAGTCTAAAAACAGCGTTAGTAAAAACAAGGTTGGGCATTACATTCTACAACCAGAACTTGTTCAGTGTCACTTCTACCATATTCTCTTGGTCAGAGAAATCACCCATGATTATTGCAGCACTATTCATGATAGCCATGATATGGAATCAACCTAACTGTCCATCAACAGATGAATGGATGAAGAAAATGTGGTAGATATGCACAATGGAATACTATTGGGCCATAAAAAAAGAATGAAATCAATTAACAGCTGTAGCTGGGGCAGCAGAGGAAGTCAGGCTCCACATGCACTCCCCCAAGAAAGGAGCATAATCCAGTCGCTAAGAAGCAACTGCAGACCTCGCCTCCACTGCATCTTACAGGCCATAGTACTATTAAGAAGTAAAAGGGTGGGAGTTTCTGATCATCATGGCGGACAGGAGACAGGACTAGCTTACAGCTCTGACTTGTACAGACAGAGCAGTGTGCAGAGGCTTGTATTGTGAATTTTAGCTGCAGAACGACTGCAAGAACAAACCAGGAATCCCAAGAGGACCCACAGACCCTCTGAAGGAAGCAGACTACTCCTGCAGGACCCAGGAGACCCCCAAATGCTGTGAGTGCCCCAACTGCCGAAGTGGGAAAAGAAGATTCACTGCTCCCGAACACATACCCCCACTGGGGAAAATAAGGGTCTAGTTTGCAGGAGAAGTTTCTGACCTTGCCTGAAGCTGAGTCAATTTAGAGAGCCAAGCAAAATACAGGGGTAGAGCAAGCAGCGGGAAAGGCCCTGGGAGCTTCCCGGGTCCCCAAGTAGGCCACTCTTGCCTGGCACCACAGGGATCCTTCAAGAGGGCAGCCAGAGGTGTGGGGGGAAATGCCACAAACAGAAGGAAATCTTTAGCTAAACTTTGTAACAATTTGAACCAGGCAAGAAGCCTCCTGGCCAGAACTCGGGGCAGAACAAGAATCCGGCATGCAGACTCCACAAGCAGGGGAAGAACCAAAGTCCTTTTCTTTCCAAGCTGGGAGGCAGGTAGCCTGGGGCAAGTTCTCAAGCCCTGCTTGCCCACTGCCTGGACACAGACTCGGGGCTGTTTGTGGGGGTTCATGGTGGAAGTGAGACCGCCCTTCAGATTGCGTGGGAGCTGGGTGAGGCCTGTGATTGCCAGCTTTCCCCACTTCCCTGACAACCTGCATGACTCAACAGAGGTAGTGATAATCCTCTTAGGTACGCAACTCCAGTGACCTGGGAAGCTCACCCCCATTCCCCACAGCAGCTGAAGCAAGATATGCCCAAGGAGAGTCTGAGCTCAGACATGCCTGGCCCTGCCCCAACCTGATGGGCCTTCCCTGCACACCCTGGTAGCTGAAGACAAAGGGCATATACTCTGGGGAGTTACAAGGCCCCGCCCACCACCAGTTCCTCTCCATACTACCATAGCTTATGCTCTCTGGAAAGCACCACGTGCTGGCAGGAGGCCAACCACCACAAAATAGAGCATTAAACCACCAAAGCCAAGAACGCTGACAGAGTCCATTTCATTCCCCTGCCACTTCCACCAGAACAGGGGCGGGTATCCATGGCTGAGTGACCCATAGATGGTTCACATCACAGGACTCTGTGCAGACAACCCCCAGTACCAACCTGGAGCTGGGTAGACTTGCTGGGTGGCTAGACTCAGAAGAGAGATAACAATCACTACAGCTCTGCTCACAGGAAGCCACATCCGTAGGAAAAGGGGGAGAGTACTACATCAAGGGAACACCCCATGGGACAAAAGAATCTGAACAGCCTTCAGCCCTAGACCTTCCCCCTGACAGAGCCTACCCAAATGAGAAGGAACCAGAAAACTAACTCTGGTAATATGACAAAACAAATCTCTTTAATATCCCCCAAAAATCACACTAGCTCACCAACAATGGGTCCAAACCAAGAAGAAATCCCTGATTTATCTGAGAAAGAATTCAAGAGGTTAGTTATTAAGCTAATTAGGGAGGTACCAGAGAAAGGAAAAGCCCAATGAAGGAAATCCAAAAACAAGGTACAAGAAGTGAAGGGAGAAATATTCAAGGAAATAGATAGCATAAAGAAAAACTTCAGGAAACGTTGGACACACTTAGAGAAATGCAAAATGCTCTGGAAAGTCTCAGCAATGCAACTGAACAAGTAGAAGAAAGAAATTCAGGTCTTCAAATTACCCAGTCTAACAAAGACAAAGAAAAAAGAATAAGAAAATACAAAAAAAGACTCCAAGAAGACTGGGATTATGTTAAACGACCAAACCTAAGAAAAATCAGTGTTCCTGAGGAAGAAGAGAAATCTAAAAGTTTGGAAAATATATTTGGGGGAATAATCGAGGAAAACTTCCCTGACCTTGCTGGAGACCTAGACATCCAAATATAAGAAGTACAAAGAACACATGGGAAATTCATTGCAAAAAGATCATCGCCTAGGCACATTGTCATCAGGTTATCTAAAGTTAAGACGAAGGAAAGAATCTTAAGAGCTGTGAGACAGAAACACCAGGTAAACTATAAAGGAAAACCTGTCAGATTAACAGCAGATTTCTCGGTAGAAACCCTACAATCTAGAAGGGCCCTATCTTCACCCTCCACAAACAAAACAATTATCAGCCAAGAATTTCATATCCAGCAAAACTAAGCATCATATATGAAGAAAAAACACAGCCTTTTTCAGATAAACAAATGCCTAGAGAATTTGCCACTACCAAACCACCACTACAAGAACTGCTAAAAGGAGCTCTAAATCTTGAAACAAATCCTGGAAACACATCAAAACAGAACCTCTTTAAAGCATAAATCACACAGGACGTATAAAGCAAAAACACAATTTTAAAAGCAAAAACAAAAAACCAAGGTACACAGGCAACAATGGCATCATTAATGCAATGGTACCTCACACCTCAATACTAACACTGAATGTGAATGGCCTAAATGCTCCACTTAAAAGATACAGAACTGCAGAATGGATAAGAACTCACCAACCAACCACCTGCTGCCTTCAGAAAACTCACCTAACATATAAGGACTCAGATAAACTTAAAGTAAAGGGGTGGGAAAGGGCATTTCATGCAAATGGACACCAAAAGTGAGCAGGGGTATCTATTATATCAGACAAAACAAACTTTAAAGCACAGCAGTTAAAACAGACAAAGAGGGACATTATATAACGGTAAAAGGCCTTGTCCAAAAGGAAAATATCACAATCCTAAACATATTTGCACCTAACACTGGAACTCCCAAATTCATAAAACAACTACTAATAGACCTAGGAAATGAGACAGACAGCAACACAATAATAGTGGAGGACTTCAATACTCCACTGACAGCACTGGACAGGTCATCAAGACAAAAAGTCAACAAAGAAACAATGGATTTAAACTATACCTTGGAACAAATGGACTTCACAGATATATACAGAACATTTCATCCAACAACTGCAGAATACACATTCTATTCAACAGTGCATGGAACTTTCTCCAAGATAAACCATAAGATAGGCCACAAAATGAATCTCAATAAATTTAAGAAAATTGAAATTAAATCAAGCACTCTCTCAGATCCCAGTGCAATAAAACTGGAAATCAACTCCAAAAGGAACCTTCAAAACCATGCAAATACATGGAAATTAAATAAGCTGCTCCTGATGATCATTGGGTCAAAAACAAAATCAAGATGGAAATTAAAAATTATTCCAACTGAACGACAATAATGACACAACCTATCAAAACCTCTGGGATATAGCAAAGACCATGCTAAGAGGAAAGTTCATAGCCCTAAACACCTACATCAAAAAGACTGAAACAGCACAAACTGACATTCTAAGGTCACACCTCTAGGAACTAGAGAAACAAGAACAAACAAAACCCAAACCCAGCAGAAGAAAGGACATAACCAAGACCAGAGCAGAACTAAATGAAATTGAAATTTAAAAAAGACCGCAGAAGAGAAATGAAAGAAAAAGCTGGTTCTTTGAAAAGATAAATAAAATTGATAGACCATTAGCAATATTAACCAAGAAAGGAAGAGAGAAAATCCAAATAACCTCATTAAGAAATGAAATGGGAGATATTATAACTAACACCACTGAAATACAAAAGATCATTCAAGGCTGCAAAGAATACCTTTATGCACATAAACTAGAAAACCTAAAAGAGATGGATAAATTCCTGGAAAATTACAACCGTCCTACCTTAAATTTGGAAGAATTAGATACCCTGAAAGCCCAATAACAAATGGTGAGATTGAAATGGTAATTTTAAAATTACCAACAAAAAAAGTCCTGGACCAGACGGATTCACAGCAGAATTCTACCAGACATTCAAAGAAGAACTGGTACCAATACTTTTGACACTATTCCACAAAATAGAGGAAGAGGGAATCCTCCCTAATTCATTCTATTAAGCCAGTATCACCCTAATACCAAAACCAAGAAAGGACTTAATGAAAAAATAAAACTACAGACCAATATACCTGATGAACATAGATGCAAAAATCCTTAACAAAATACTAGCTAACCAAATCCAACAGCATATTAAAAAGATAATCCACCATGATCAACTGGATTTCATACCAGGGATGCAGGGGTTGTTTAACATACACAAGTCAATAAATGTGATACACTACATAAACAGAATTAAAAACAAAAATCACATGATCATCTCGATAGATGCATAAAAAGCATTTGACAAAATCTAGCATCCCTTTATGATTAAAACTCTCAGCAAAATCGGCATACAAAAAACATACCTCAATATAATAAAAGCCATCTATGACAAATCCACAGCAAACATAATACTGAATGGAGAAAAGTTGAAAGCATTCCCTCTGAAAACTGGAACGACACAAGGATGCCCACTCTCACCACTCCTCTTCAACACAGTACTGGAAGTCCTAACCAGAGCAATCAAACAAGAGAAAGAAATAAAGGACATCCAAATTGGTAGAGAGCAAGTCAAACTCTCCCTGTTTGCTGACCATATGATCGTTTACCTTGAAAACCCTAAAGACTCCTCCAGAAAGCTCCTAGACTTGATGGAATGATTCAGCAATGTTTCCAGATACAAGATTAACATACACAAATCAGTAGCTCTTCTATACACCAGCAGCAACTGAGCAGAGAATCAAATCAAGAACTCAACCCCTTTTACAATAGCTGCAAATAAAATAAAATAAAATAAAATAAAATAAAATAAAATACTTAGGAATATACCTAACCAAGGAGGCAAAAGACATCTGCAAGGAAAACTACAAAGCACTGCTGAAAGAAATCATAGACAACACAAACAAATGGAAACACATCCCATGGTCATGGATGGGTAGAATCAATATTATAAAAATGACCATACTGCCAAAAGCAATCTACAAATTCACCGCAATCCCCATCATAATACCACCATCATGTTTCACAGAATTAGAAAAAACAATTCTAAAATTCATATGGAACCAAAAAAGAGCCTGCATAGCCAAAGCAAGACTAAGCAAATAGAACAAATCTGGAGGCATCACACTACCTGATTTCAAACTATATTATAAGGCCATAGTCACCAAAAACAGTATGGTACTGGTATAAAATTAGGCACGCGGACCAATGAAACAGAATAGAGAAGCCAGAAATAAACCCAAATACTTACAGCCAATTGATCTTTGACAAAGCAAACAAAAACATAAAGTGGGGAAAGGACACCCTTTTTAACAAATGGTGCTGGGATAATTGGCTAGACACATGTAGGAAAATGAAACTGGATCCTCATCTCTCACATTATACAAAAGTCAACTCAAGATGGATTAAGAACTTAAACCTAAAACCTGAAACTATAAAAATTCTAGAAGATAACATTGGAAAAATCCTTCTAGACGTTGGCTTAGGCAAGAATTTCATGACCAAGAACCCAAAAGCAAATGCAATAAAAACAAAGATAAATAGCTGGGACTTAATTAAACTAAACAGCTTTTGCACGGCAAAAGGAACAGTCAGCAGAGTAAACAGACAACCCACAGAGTGGGAGAAAATCTTCACAATCTATACATCTGACAAAGGACTAATATCCAGAATCTACAACAAACTCAAACAAATCAGTAAGAAAAAAAACAAACAGTCCCATCAAAAAGTGGGCTATGGATAGGAATAGACAATTCTCAAAAGGAGATATACAAATGGCCAACAAACATATGAAAAAATGTTCAACATCACTAATGGTCAGGAAAATGCAAATCAAGACCACACTGTAATACCACTTTACTCCTGCAAGAATGGCCATAATTTAAAAATGAAAACACAGTAGATGTTGGCATGGATGCAGTCACCAAAACAGTATGGTACTGGTATACAAATAGGCACATAGACCAATGGAACAGAATAGAGAACCCAGAAATAAACCCAAATACTTACAGCCAATTGATCTTTGACAAAGCAAACAAAAACATAAAGTGGGGAAAGGACACCCTTTTCAACAAACGGTGCTGTGATAATTGGCTAGCCACATGTAGGAGAATGAAACTGAAACACTTCTACACTGCTGGTGGGAATGTAAACTAGTACAATCACTATGGAAAACAGTATGGAGATTCCTTAAAGAACTAAAAGTAGAACTACCATTTGATCCAGCAATCCCACTACTGGGTATCTACCTAGAAGAAAAGAAGTCATTATATGAAAAAGATACTCACACACAGAAGTTTATGGCAGCACAATTTGCAGCACATGCATGTTTACAGCAGTACAATTTGCAATTGCAAAATCATGAAATCAAACCAAATGCCCATCAATCAACGAGCGGATGAAGAAACTGTGATGTAGATATATACGACGGACTACTACTCAGCCATAAAAAGGAATGAATTAATGGCAGTTGCAGAAACCTGGATGAGATTGGAGACTATTATTCTAAGTGAAATAACTCAGGAATGAAAAGCCAAACATTGTTTGTTCTCACTGATATATGGGAGCTAAGCTATGAGGACACAAAGGCATAAGAACGACACAATGGACTTTGGGAACTTGGAAGGGTGGAAGTGGGGGCAAGGGATAAAAGACTACAAATAGGGTGCAGTGTCCACTGCTTGGGTGATGGGTGCACCAAAGTCTCACAAATCACCACTAAAGAACCTACTCATGTAACCAAATACCACCTGTATCCCCAATAACCTATGGAAAAATTATTTTAAAAGGAAGTGAATCATTATACCAAAATTAATATTTCTAGAAACATCAAAAGCCACAATAAACCAATTCCCCTTTATGTTGCAGAACATCAGTTGAATAGCATTGCTTTATAAAGCCATATGACCATAATAAAAAACCTAATAGAAAACTAATGATCTATATCACAATTGAAATCAATAAATCAATAAAAGAAAATAACAGTGACTCTTAAGCCATTCAGCATCCTTAAGATAAAAAAATAAATAAAATCCTGTCATTTGCAGCAACATGGATGAGACTGGCAGACATTACGTTAAGTAAAATAAGTCAGGCACAGAAAGACAAATGTGACAAGTTCTTACTCATGTGCAAGCTAAAACAATTGATCTCATGGACGTAGAGAGTAGAATGGTGGTTACCAGAGAGTGGGAAGGGTAGTGGGGAGGGGGAGATAAAGAGGAGTTGATTAATGAGTACGAAAATATGATTAGATAGAATGAATAAAATCTAATGCTCAGTAGCACAATAGGGCAACTATAGTTAGCAATAATTTATCATGTATTTTAAAATAACTAGAAGAATCATCTTAGAATGTTTCCAACACAAACAGATGATAAATGTTTGAGATGATGGATATTTCAACTACCTAGATTTGATCATTGCACATTACATGCTTGTGTCGAAATATCATATGTACTCCATAAACATGCATAACCATTATGTATCCATAAAAAATTTTAAAAACCAATGATCACAAGACCAGTCCAGATTCATGCTACAAAAAGCACAAATTCAAGATGGCAGGATTCACTGGAGGCTGTGATGATTAATTTTATGTGTCAACTTGGCTTGGCCATAGTATTCAGATATTTGGTCAAAATTTATTCAGATTTTTTGTGAAGGTATTTTTTATTTAATTTTGTTAACATTGTCTCTTACATTTTCTCTAATTTACAAATAGCCTGGTAACAGAAGTTCTAATAAACTGAATTAAAATCCTAATGCTGAGCTGAAGCTTTACCTCATTTATAAAATTCCTTATTTTCCACTGATGATTCCCCTGATCATCTCATTTGTTCAAGATTTTCAAATTTTGGATGTTATTAATTTGCCTGAGTGTTTTGGAAGAGACTACCAAATAACCTACGATCTATCCTTTCCTTCTTTAAAAAAAAAAAAAAGAACTTTAATTTCAGGGGAGCTAATGGCCTGCAAGCAAGTCACGATTATTTCCAGCCTCCCTTGAAGCAAAGTGTAGTTATATGACTAAGTTTAGGCTATTGGAAAATAGGCAGAAAGGATGATTGCACCTTCCAGATTTCCAGATCACAGTAGAAATTACACATCACATTAGAAATTCCAGCCACTCTATTTTCCCCTTCTATAGTCTTGAATGCCGACATGGACATCTCAAAAAATGGTAGAACGATCAAACAAAAGGAGCCTGGGTCTTGAATGTCCTCCTAGATCAGAGATGAAGATGAAAGTATTTTATAGATGAGAATTAACACTTAACATTTAAGTGAGTAGACTTTTTGGATTTTGATTTTTTTTATTTTTTGACAGACTCTCGCTCTATTGCCCAGGCTGGAGTGCAGTGGCATGATCTCGGCTCACCGCAAACTCCGCCCCCAGCTCAAGTGATTCTAATGCCTCAGCTATCTGATTAGCTGGGACTACAGGCATGCACCACCATGCCCAGCAATTTTTGTATTTTTTAGTAGAGACAGGGTTTTGCCACGTTGGCCAGGCTGGCTTCGAACTCTTGGCCTCATGTGATCCACCTGCCTCGGCCTCTCAAAGTGTTGGGTTTACAGGTGTGAGCTACTCTTGCCCAGCCTTAAGCCAGTAGACTTTGAGTAAAGTGAATTACCCTTGGTAATGTGGGTGGGCCTCATCTGTATTGGGCCATTTTTGTGTTGCTATAAAGGAATACCTGAGGTTGGGTAACTGATAAAGAAAAGAGGTTTAATTGACTCATGGTTCTGCAGGCTGTACAAGAAGCACGGTGCCAACATCTGCTCAGCTTCCGGTGAGAGCCTCAGGAAGCTCACAATCATGACAGAAGACGACAGGGAGCCAGCATGTCACATGGAGCTAGCAGGAGCTAGAGTGACAGCAGGAGAGGTGATACCCTCCGAAACAAGATCTCACGCACTCAGAGAACTCACTATCACCAAGGGGGTTGTGCTAAGCCATTCATGAGGGATCTGCCCCCTGATCCAATACCTCCGTATAGGCTCACCTCCAACATGGGGGATCACATTTCAACATGAGATTTGAAGGGGTCACACATCTAAACCATATCATTATACAATCAGTTGAAGGCCTTTTTTTTAATTTTTTTATTTTTCCACAGTTTTCACTCAGTCACCCAGGCTGGAGTGCAGTGGTACAATCATCTCATCACAGCTTCAATCGCCCAGGCTTCCCGAGTAGTTGAGACTATTGGCACTGGCTAATTTTTTTTTTTTTTTTTTTTTTTGACACAGGCTGCCTATATTGCCAGGCTGGTCTCGAATTCCTGAGCTCAAGCAATCCTTCCGTCTTGGCCTCCCAAAGTGCTGGGATTACAGACATGAGCCACCATGCCCAGCCCAGTTGAAGGCCTTAATAAAAAAAGGCTAACCTTTCCCAAAGAAGAAGGAATTCCTCTGGGCTTGAACTGTAACATCAACTCTTCCCAGCCTGTTGTCTCAAATACATGCCTTATTTTGAATTCTAAAACATGAAGCTTAAAACTAATGTTAAAGTAATAAGATTGTATTAGTTTGCTAAGGCTGCTCTAAGAAAGTACCACAGGTTTGGGACTTGTCAGCCTCTACAGCCACTTGTGCCAATTCCTTAAAATCCTCCCCTCAAGCCTACATTTGTATATTGGTTCTGTTTCTCTGGAGAACTAATACAGGGGCCATTCTGCAATAAGAACCATGCATTTTACAGGATATGAAGGCCCATAATCCCCAGAAAGCTTAATAATAATGTATGATATTCAAGGATACTCAACGAGTTTGTGATCTAGTTAGCAAGCGTATAAAACATTAGAAGACACCAAAGACAACAATGCAGAAGTCACTAGTTAATAAATGATTTACAAGTATAAACATTGCCTCCCAGAGGAATGTTGGAATGACAAAAATACTGGTTAAGGACACTTGCCAACCTGGTGAGCCCATAAAATAGTATAAATGTATAACTAAGCCAAGTTGTCAGTAAGTTTCTCAACAAAGATAATGCATTTTATGGCTGGTAATAAAACTTGGGGTAGATAATATCTTCATCCCTGGCATTTGCCGTATTGCCCTCAGTGTACCATTTTCCATGCTTTATTCTGAAATCTAAAAACATTAAGCTTAAAACTAATGTAAAGTAATGGGGTTGTTTGAGTTTGCTAAGGTTGCTATAAGAAAGTATCACAAACGGAGCAGCTTAAACAACAGAAATTTGTCTCACAGTTCTGGAGGCTAGAAATTCCAGATCAAGGTATTGTCAGGGCCATGCTCCCTTTCAAGGTGTTAGAGAGAATCTGTTCCATGCCTCCCTCTTAGTTAGCTTCTGATAGTATGCTGCCAAACTTCGGCATTCCTTGACTTGTAGACATATCACTCCAATCTCTTCCTTTATGTCCATATGGTGTTTTCCACGTGTGTGTGTGTGTGTGTCCAAATTTTTATTTTTTATAAAGACATAAGGCATATTAAATTGGAAACTACCCTACTTCAGTATGGCCTCATCTTAACTAATTTGATCTGGAATTATCATATTTCCATATAAGATCACCTTCTAAGGTACTGGGGGTTAGGACTTCAAAATATGAAATTTGTGGGGGACAGACACAATTTTACCCATAACAATGGATTAAAGTACTAATAAATTAAAACCTAAGATTTTTTAAAATAACTCAAACTCTACCTCTAACTATTTTTGTGGTCTGACTTCTTGGGGTGAAGGACGCTTCTTTTAGGATGTGAACTTGGTGTTTGCTTATGAGTTGTGTTTCTACACTCTGCCACTAGAGGGCAGCATCATCGCTCTTGTCTTTTTCACTGTTCAGCCTATTCCGCAATATCGTCAGTCCTCAGTCATCCTCCGTACTATACACACAATAGAGACGGAATATATTTTAGACACATATCTTGAGAAGTGAGAAGTGGGGAAGGTATCTTATTCTGGGGAGTCTCGTGTGCCCTGGCCATCACTGTCCTGGTGGTGATCCTCCCTTTCCTGAATCTCTGACTAGAATCAAATACCAGAGATATTTGAACAGAAGCTGGCATTTCTTCCTCTGAATGGGACACAGGAAGAGAGGTGGGGGTATGAAGACAGATGGTCCTCAGAATAAGGCAGGTCCATCTGAGAAGGAACTGAGCCATTCACTATGCAATAGTCTAACCGCTGAAGTGGAAAGAGCCCGCACTTACGGTGCCTGGAGACTTACCTCTGATGATGGGCTTGGCCACTAACTGCTTGCTCTTGGACAAGTCACTAACTCTCCAGTCTCAGGGTCTTCACCTACAGACAACATCTTAGGACATATTGATAATATCTTCCTTATACTTTCTCTCTTCTTTCTGCACCTAGAGCTCCCTATTCAATACTACATGTTAAGAAAGATTCCTTAGGTGCTATAATAGAGACCAAAGAAATATGTTTCTCTTTAGGGAATTATAATGCAGTGAGAAGAATTTATGGATAGGGATAATTAGAGGACTAAACAGCATATGATCCAGTAATTCCCCAGGCTCTCTGCTCTAGGAATTTATAGACAGAAGAGAGCAGTATGAAGTAGTAGGAGGGAAAGGTTTGGAATTTGGCCATAAAGAATCTTCAGAATTAAGCTGATAGGTTGAAGGAAGAGAGGGCGGTTAATTCAACATAGATATGGGAATTAAAATAAAATGTTTTGGGAGAACAGAGAACAAGTCAGCCTGATTGGTAAAAGCCTTATGTTAAGAACATAAGATGAGCACATAACTATACATTGAATCACATGCAATTGACATTATTTGATTTGATTTGATACCCAAATAGTCTAAGCTTTGAGAATAATGTTAATTAATTTAGACTTGGTATCAGAGGCAAAAGGAAGCTGCGTCAGTTTCTGAGCCGATGAAAGAGGGTTGTTCCATCCTAAACTGCTAAGCCCCTTAATTACGTGGGTGAGCTTATTCCTGTATGTTTTAGAGGCTGTATGTATTTGGGCCTCAGGCACAGATCAGCAAATCAGGTGTTATTTGGCCTACACTTTCAGCTTTTTACTTGAAATCTTTAATCCTCCCTTTAGAAGATGTGAAAATAGGCAGAACAGCCCAAGATCATGAGAGGACTCAGATAAGGAGCACTGTTTCACCTCCATTTGAACATTTCCTTAACCATCATAATTCTTCCCACAACTCATATACACACTCAAGAAATATATGTCATCCCAACTTTAAGGCATTAAAGGTTAAAGGCATTAAGAAATACTGACGTCCAATCTCAGAGCTGTTGGTTGAATTACCTTTGAAAGAGAACTAATTGAGGCACAGAGCCGAATGATGGTTACCAGAGGCTGGGAAGGGTAATGAGGTTGCAGGGTAGGATAAAGTGGGGATGGTTAATGAGTACAAAAATACAAGTAGGTAGAAGGAATAAGATCTAGTGTTTGGTAGCACAATAGGGCAACTATAGTTAACAATAATTTATTGTATATTTTAAAATATCTAAAAGAGTAGAATTGGAATATACTCAAAACAAAGAAATGATAAAAGTTTGAGGTGATGGATACCCCAGTTACCCAGATTTGATCATTACATATTATATGCCTGTATCAAAACATCACATGCACCCCATAAGTATGTACAACTATTCTGAACTCATAATAATTAAAAATTTAAAAAGTTTTAAAATTCTTAGCATAGGATTAAATTAGTATTATGATAATAATACTTAAACATGTAAACATAATTGTTAGAAATTCTTATAGATTTCTAGAGCCGTAAAAATAAAATAATATATTATTTTACACATTTTATAAATCAAACACAAATAAAAGTAAAAAATATAAAAGAATCAAGAATAAATAATTAAAATAAAAGAGGGCGACCTAGAATTCATTAGGTTATCATCCTTAATAGCTATAAAAATTAAGTAGTCCTATGAGACAGGCAGCATATTTGGAAAAAAATTCAGGATTGCATCACGTTCAGAAGGCTTTAGACTTAGAATAAAATCTGTTTAAGTTTCTTAAAAGCTAAAGAATTAAAAAATATCTCATCAAGTGACATGACATCCTGGGTGGGAGTTGCAGATTTTTCATGAGTAGGCAGCAAAGACAGGTTAATTATAACTCCAACTCAGGAAGGTGCACACCCTGTACATAGAAGGCTGGAACACAACCTATGCAAAGGGTTTGATATGTGACTGTAATGAGTTTCAGATATGCCATTATGGTCACTGTCAAGAATCCTATCCCATTCAGTACCCCTGGGTCTAATAACTCACCAGCTGCCTAGGTACTCCCCAACATTACCTGCCATAAACAAATCACTTTCTTTTTTTTTTTTTTTTTTTTTTTTTTGAGACGGAGTCTCACTCTTTCGCCCAAGCTGGACTGCAGTGGCGCTATCCCGGCTCACTGCAAGCTCCGCCTCTTGGGTTCATGCCATTCTCCTGCCTCAGCCTCCCGAGTAGCTGGGATTACAGGCGCCCACCACCACGCCCGGCTAATTTTTTGTATTTTTAGTAGAGACGGGGTTTCACCGTGTTAGCCAGGATGGTCTCGATCTCCTGACCTCGTGATCCGCCCGCCTCGGCCTCCCAAAGTGCTGGGATTACAGGCGTGAGCCACCGCGCCCGGCCACAAATCACTTTCTTAAAGCAAGGCTGTTTTAACAGAGAAAGACTTAGAATTAAATACAGAAATGTTTAAGAGAATCAAGACCACAATGCTGATATTTTCTGTTAAGGAATTTTGTATGTTTACCATTTTAGGTATTTGTAATTTTCAAAATGATTTTTTTCTATTCAGATTAGTTTTATAAACCCAATTTATCAATGTGCAATTCAGTAACAAACTTAGGCCTGTGATTTTATGAAATCTCATTAAGTTTATACCCAGTATTTGAATATTTAAGAAAACTTAAGTTTCATCACATTTATAAGTTTAATAAATTAACTTATAAGTTTAATAAATTAGATTTCTAAGAATTACATAAGAACTTGGGAGGATTCATGAGTTAATTGAAGTACTTAAGAAGAATGTTAGAATATTTAATTCGTAAATACAGTTTAAAATGCTTAAAGGGGAGACTGATACGAGAAATAAAACTCTGGTCTCCTGCATAGCCGGCTCTGCGTGAATTACTCTTTCTCTATTACAATTACCCTGTCTTGATAAATCAGCTCTGTCTAGGCAGCAGGCAAGGTGAACCCATTGAGTAGTTACAAATTTGGGGGCTAGTCCAGCATTGCCCTTGTGGCAACTTACCCATGGTTCAGTAGTCTGCCTCCTGCAATGGATCCTGAGGCCTCCTAGTTCTCTTGGACTGGGGGCTGACTCTGGTACTGTCTCTACTGGAGGGGTGCTGCTGACCCAATGTGCGTGGATTTAATTGCAATAGAGAAAGAGTCCTGGGAAAACATCCTATAACTGTAGCTCTATCACAGGGTGTCTGCCTGTAGCTCCATGGTGGGGTGTGTGTAACTGTAGCCCTATTATAGGGTGTCTGTCTGTAGCTCAGTCATGTCATGGAGTATCTATAGCTGTAGCCCCATTACAGGGTGTCTGGATTGGTAAATATCCTAGGTGCTGCCAACACCTCTTTCCTTCTCCCAGTTGGTTTGGCTCCTTCAGGGGTTTCAGTTTTTCTGTAGCCCCATAGTGGGGTGTCTGTCTCTAGGACCCTTGTGGGGTGTCTGTCTCGGTTCCGCTCCTTCAGGGGTCCTGGTTTGTCTGTAGCCCCATTGTGGGGTGTCTGTCTTCTCTCAGCTTCTGAGGGGTCTCAGTTGGCTCTCCCTAATTCTTAGGAAGAGTCTTGGTTCAGGAGACTTCTCAATCAGGAAGATTTCGGGGAGATTTCTCAGATGGAGAATAGGAGGATAGTTTCAAAGGGATACTCCTGGAATTCTTGGTTAGGGATCTTGGTTTGGAAGACCTTCTCTCTGTCTTGTCTTTGTTGTGTGTGTGTTTGTATGTATGGATGGGATCTCTGAAGGAATTGCTGATGAAAGTTCAGCAGGCCTAACTTGGAAAGTCTGGTCACATTTAGTGAGCCCTGAAGAAAGTTCAACAGGCCTGACTTGGGGAGACTGTCCGCTCTTTGTCTTGCCCAGAGACCACCCATTGAATTACCAGTCAGAGGCCCTCTCCACCTGGAATGAATCAAAGACAACAGGGACCAATGGGAGAAAGTTTCAGCCTTGCCAGGTGGATACTGAGTGCTGAACGAGGTGATTAGTGTCTGTTTTGCTATGTGTATTTTGCTTCAGCTGGGATGGAAAATGTTAATTCAGTTTCTCATGCAGCTCATTGGGCAGCATTTTGCAAAAGTAAGAAGATTTTGCCTATGGTTGCATAGGAGATTTTTTAAAAAATTTTTTTAAAGAGCTTGATATGGTTTGGCTGTGTCCCCACCCAAATCTCATCTTGAATTCCATACTTGTGGTAGTGAATAAGTCTCACGAGATCTGATGGTTTTATAAGAGGTTTCCGCTTTTGCTTCTCTCTCATTCTTTCTTTGCCTGCCGCCATCCATGTAAGACGTGACTTGCTCCTCCTTGCCTTCTGCCATGATTGTGAGGCCTCCCCAACCATATGGAACTGTAAGTCCGTTAAACCTCTTTCTTTTGTAAATTGCCCAATCTCTGGTATGTCTTTATCAGCAGCAGGAAAATGAACTAATACAGAGCTCTGTGGTTAAGATCAGCTCATTAAAAGTGGATATCCAAGCTATAAATATATTTAAAAGACCTTTATGATTTTTTCTCTTCTTGGATCTTATTTTTCTTCACAGCTGACTGAATTGTTTTTCTCCATTTTGTCTTCTTACCACTCTTGATGCCCACATGAGAGAACCTAAGATAAATTCTAACAGCCTAGGACTCTTGGGGAAAAACAGAGGAGGTGCCACAGACTCCATTCTAGGAAAAACTTCTGTTTTCCTCATGGAACCCCAGGAATTGAAAGAGAATAAACCCTTCTCAAAAATCTAAGGCTCTGTTCTGTTTTACACTACGTTGCCTAACATTTTCTATTTTTGGGGGGGGGGGGGTGTCAAAAATTACATTGCATTATGGGACAGCTTTTAGCCTTGGTGTGTAATAACCAGGTAGGAAATATACTTAAAGGGATGGCTAATAGCAGTTAGAAGGCATGCTTGACTCTTTGATGTTTGGATTAGAGAAGCATGCTCTTGGCTACCTGGAAGGTATGAAAATATCTCCACCCTCCACTAAGAGATAAGATTCCCATGGGGGATGGGCTGATTGGCTTTGGGTTGCTTTGCAATGAAATGCACAGTAGAAGCATTGCACTGTCTTCTCCTGTAGTATTTCCCTCTTTTGGGGGGATCCAGGATGCAGCATAAAAATGGCACCCTTAATTTGGGGGTTATATTTTTCCTTCCATCTGTGCCTACTTATTAGGCCCTAAAAGCTGTGTGCTTTCCTGGCCTGTTCCTCCAAGGGCTCCACCCTGAAGCTAGTAATCCAACTAAGAAACTGGCAAATGAAAAATCTTACAACTACTGGATCTTCTGTCTGTGTATTTATATGTGTAGGGTGTGTGATGTTTAGATAAAAGAGTTCTGACTAATTGGCTTAGAAAAATAAGCACTTAAATCAAATATTTTGTCAGAAAAATAGAAACTTTTTAATGCCTTCTTCTTCATGTGACTTTGGTAATCTTTCAGAAATAAAGACAGTTTTAATTATTTTTGGTAAAATAAACATGTCTTCAAAATTTAGACATTTGATCTAAATTAGGTCAGATATCAGGTTTGCTAAATGCTTTAAGTTCATAAACTGCTTCTTTGACTTTTGAAAATTGTTCGACTTACCTACTTTGGAGCCATTAGAGACTCTAGATAAGGCCTGGGGACATGTGAAATTAGCCATGCCCCCCTAGCTATGCTGGAAGGAGTCAGGCCTTGTCTGCACTTCTGTCTGATGTCCTAGGCTCCACATTTAGTACATAATTAAAACCGCTTGCTTATCAGGTTTCTCGTAAAAAATAAAAGTTCCTAAGAGTTAACATAGTTGAGACTACTGGAGAAACAGTTTTATATACAAGGTACGTAAGGAAAGTAGAATGTGTTTTTGGTAAAAGATGAAAGAAGACATGGGAATATGGTTTTTGTTAAAGGGAATGTAATTTTGTCTAGTTCAGAGGGTTTTAAAGATTGTCTTAAACTATAAGAGTAATGGGACAAAACTGAAGGTTTAAGCAAGTTGAAAAGGGTTTATGAAGGCTTGATCTTTTGCAGAAAGTTCTGTGGGCATGAGCAAGTTGGCTAGGATTTGAAGGGGATTATTTAACTTTTTTCTGTAGATTGAATGTTAAAGTAGAAGTACACTAATGCAGGGCTGGGCCCATGTGTCTAAATAGCAGAGTTTGTTTAGAAAATTAATCTGCTGTTTAACAGAAAATTATAAAGGGCTCTAAAAAGCTTATGCAAATCTTACTTTATGGTCAAACTAATTAAAACTGGATAGATTTATAAAATTTTATTAAAACCTAGCTTAAGCATTAAAGATGCACTAATGCAAACATGAAATTTGGTTTCCTCTTTTGAAAAATTTTTATGTAGTATTGAGAGGAAATGAAAGATTTTTGTTTGCCTTTTGAGTAAACTCCAAAAAAAAGGGAGGGGAGAGAGGACAAACAGATTCAGTTGGCTTCATCCTGTCTTCATTGGATCTTGTTGTTTGGAAAGCTAAATCTCCTATCAGAGTAAAGGTTTTTATTTTTAAAAATTTTGGAGTTACCATTTTAGCTAATGAATGACTTACAGTGACCTGGGATTCTATTTTGTCATATCCAGTGTTTCAAACCTTTGATATTTGACAAACTTTCCAAAACCAAATTATAAAATATATCTTTTTCTGACATAATTAATCTTTTAGATATTATGTCCTCTAAAGTCCAAAAGTGATATATTTGGCTTATTTGGTATAAAAATAATACAGTAAGCATTGCCAAATAAGAAATGGTGTTTGGCTTTCTTTGGGCTATGTTTATGTAAATGTGTTATTGGTATATGTTCCAAAATTATGTGAAACTCCTATAATTCTGATATAACTCAGTCTATGGTATCAGTAATAATTATAAGTGTTGCGTTATGTGAAATTATTGTGTGCTACAGAGGTAACACATTTCCTTGTCAATTGTGTCTTTGACTGTGGCTGCCCTAACACTTTTTGTCATCTATAGACAATTATTATTTTGGTCTGTTCCTCTTTAAATGGTGATTTTATAATCAGCTATACAACTCTAACAGGTGTTCTTAAATGCAGGTTTCTGATAACTTTGGAGATTGTGACATTAGGATAGAGCAAAACTTTCAGAACTCTCATGGAGTGCTGAAATGTTCATGAATATGAAGCAGAACAGAAGTTAACTGCGTGGACTGAACCAATATAAGACTGAAGTAATCCTTTTTGACTTTTTGCTAAAAACATTGCTGATCCTTTTTGTTTTTCAGAGCCAAGTAAACTTTTCTTTTAAGCTATTTACAGCTTTTAACAATTGAGTAAAGTATACTCCTATAAACAAAATTTGGAGCGTATGTATTTCTCTCTAACTGCTTTCTCTAGAATTTGGAAACTATTTGTGAGTATTCTTAACTTATGGCAATATAGTTATTGGCATAAGTGCAATAAGAATGTTTTCTTTTGCAACAGAGCACCATCAGAGAAACTGGTTAGTATACCAAAGCTTGGCTGGAATGGTATGCTTTCCTTTAAGGAATCAAATCTGACTTGTAGAGCCAATACCTACCCCTTGGGAAAACTGGCCTCATACCCTGTCTGTGCAGTCCCTGTACAGGGTTCCTGACCTGTGGTAAGTAAAGAATGTCACTTTCTAACAGGCTCAAAAACCCCGAGTTATCTTGGTATCTCAAGAGGAGAGGAATTTACCCAACTTCTAAGTATTTGAGAGTACAAACCCATGGCTAGGCTCAGCTTTAAAAAAGTCTTCTCTGAGAGTCCTTATGGAACAGAGTTCCATCAAAGCCAACTTTAAAAGCCTATGTGGAAAATAAGTATTCTTGCTGCACTTTATGCAAATAATCAGGTCAAGTATAATAAGACTAAAGTTTATTTTGTAAACACATCTGTCCTATCATGATTTGTTTTTGTGTGTTTTTTGGTTTTTGGTTTTATTTGAGATGGAGTCTCACTCTGTCACCCAGGCTAGAGTGCAGTCACGTGATCTCGGCTCACTGCAACCTCCACCTCCCGGGTTCAAGCGATTCTCCTGCCTCAGCCTGCCAAGTAGCTGGGATTACAGGTGCGTGCCGCCATGCCCGGCTAATTTTTGTATTTTCAGTAGAGATGAGGTTTCGCCATGTTGGCCAGGGTGGTCTCGAATTCCTGACCTAAGGTGATCTGCCCACCTCGGCCTCCCAAAGTGCTAGGATTACAGGCATGAGTCACCCCGCCTTGCCCATGATTTGTTTTTAATAAAAACAGGGACTGGAGAGAGAAAAAGTATGTTTCAAAAAATTATAGTATACCTGTTGTTAGCTGTACTTGAGTTTTTCCAGCAGTTTGGCCTAAATTCTAAATTCTTGGCAGGCTACAAGTTCCCAAACTAATGCTTTCAAATCTTTACTTTTAAAACTGGGAATTGCATTCCTTGTTCTGGTACTCATTATTTACCTTATAGTATGCTGTTTCCTTAAATGTGGTACTAAAACTATAGTTGACAATACTAATGCCTCTATCATGCAAGCCTTGGAATCTCAGCCAGGACTGCATGAGTATGCTTTGACAGTTGCAAAGTGGTTCCACTCCTTTCACCTTGGGGTCAACACCTACCCCCACACGCCCCTGGTCAACAGGAAGAAGTTACAATGGTCTTTGCCCTTTTTCTATCTTCATTAGCCAACACCTTAAGATGAGGTGTTATAAAACCCAAAGGGTTTTTTGGGATTGAAATTGCCATTGCAAAATTATAACTGAGACAGTGAAAGAGATCTGACATAACCAACTCCAAGTTGCTTCTAACCTGCAAGCTGTTCATTCCTGGCTGCAGGCCCGACTAACTTTGGGAGGAACTTGTAGTTTATAGGTTGAAACAAAGATGATAACAGCCCTTTCCCAAAACAAACCCCCTTCTTGCCTGGGGACTAGACTGCTTTTATAGGACTAAGAAATTAGCCACAAAATTAGAAATTATGTTTTAGGAGTCATGTAGCTAGAGGCTACAAAATTCTGACCCTCCCCAAATTGCTCCTGGGGGTAAAAATCACTATTGTAAAGCCTAAGACCAGTGCTTGAGATATTTTGCAGACCCTGCAGTTGATGGATCAGCTGGCACCACCCACATTGATATACTGGCTCATCTGATCCCAATCTGGGAACTGACTCAGTGCAAGAAGACAGCTTCAACTCCCTATGATTTCACCTCTGACCTGACCAATCAGCACTCCTTGGTGGCTTCTCCTCGCCCACCAAGTTGTCCTTAAAAACTCTGATCCCTGAATACTCGGGGAGACTGATACGAGTAATAATAAAACTCCAGTCTCCCACAAAAAAAATAATATGAAATGCTTAAAGGGAAATCTAATTATTTAAGATTATATTCAAACATTAAAGACTCCTTAAAAATGAGTGTTAAAATTTGCTAGACTTAGAATAACAATATTCACAAATTGAATTTAAAAGTATAAGACATAATTAAGCTTTTAAATTTTTATTACCAGAAATCCACACTATCCACTGCAAATCTCTCGAAACACCCTTCCAAGCTTAAAGCAAAAATCTCTCTTCCTTGCCATTAAGGGATATTCTCTTATATTATTTCATGCCTATCCTCTATTCTCTCAATTTTCTCTACCTGGAATGCATATGAAACAGAATATAGAATTTCTGGATATATTCTTCAGGTGTATTAACTTTTCTTTCATACTTTTAATCTATCATTTGCTTGTATTTTGGGAGAATTTCCCAGTTCTCAGCTTTTATTTTTATTGTTCCCATAGCATCCATTGACTCTTGCTGCACCTTATCAATCCACAACCAAGATACAATTAATCAACCTTGATTAATGAGATTCTCTAGAAACGAAACGATGAGGAGTGTACCATAACCAAGCCTCCCATTTCAACAATGAGCTGGAAGTTAGTGCAATCAGAGGTTGCAGATTCCCAAGCAAAGGAGATTGGAGAATTACAGAAATCACTAAGGAGTTGGTATCACATCAACAGCCAAAGTTGATATTGCTTAATAATCTGTCCCCACCCTTCACTTTCCTATTATACAGCCACAGAGGCTTTCCATCCACAGGGTTCTGTCTGCTTTATAAAATGTCCTTGAGTCTTTCCTACATTAACACCTGCACTAGAAATCAAACATTGATTTATGTAAAGGTTTTCTCCACTTTGGTTATGACAAATGAAGCATAGGATACTCAAAGTTTGGCAAAAGCTCAGGAATTGAGATCCTAGGTTTTTGGAAGAATGGAGACAAAATACAAATATAAAGTAAGGGAGTAAACCTCCATCCCCATCCCTTCTTTGATAAGGTTTTCCTTTCAGAGCTAAAGGCTCTGGAAATATATAAACACTATAATGCCTGATAATGATAGAGAGGGATGGGCAGAAGTTCAGGGGCTATTTTCCCTCGGGTGGTTAGTGGAGCACCTCTAGGAAAGGACCACTCTCAGGAAGGTGGTGCTTTCCCCCACCTGTCTTAGCCTGTTGCGTTGCAATAAAGGAATACATGCGGCTGGGTAATTTATAATAAAAGAGGTTTATTTGGCTCACTGTTCAGCAGGCTGTATAAGAAGCATGGCACCAGCATCAGCTTCTGGTGAGGGGCTCAAGCTGCTTCCACTCACAGCGGAAGGGGAAGGGGGGCTGGCGTGTGCAGAGATCACATGGTGAGAAAGGAAGCAAGAGAGGGAAGGGAGGTGCCTGGCCCTTTTCAACACCAGCTTTCAGGAAAACTCTCTGGGGAACTGATAGAGTGCAAACTAATGAGGATGGCACCATGCCGTTCATGAGGGATCCACCCTTATGACCTAAACCCCTCCCACTAGGCCCCACCTCAAACATTGATGACCAAATTTCAACATGAGACTTGAAGGGGACAAACAAATCGTATGTAAACCATAGCAGCACCCCACCATTCTTTATACTCCTTCCCAGCTTTATTTTTCTTCATATAACTTATTATTGCCTCAAACTGTAGAACTTATTTGTTGACTTTGTTATTGACTGTATGTTCCATGGGAATGTAAGCTTGATGAAGACTGGGACTTTGGCTTAAGTACTGCTGTAGAATACCACTGTATTCCTAGTTTATTGAACACTGCTTGGCACATGGTAACTGCTTAATAAACATTCATTGGATGATTGATTCCATTGGTACACACGGGTTAAGTATAGCCTGAAACTAATTTTTCTCATCCCATGATCTAGAGTTGAAAACTTTTTATATTTTTATTATAAAATATTTTTCATGGTTTCAGAACATTTACTGAAACATACTTTTTTATAAATCAAAACCTTTAAAAATTGTACTTATTGATCTAAGATTTCCTAGCACAAGAAAATATGACTGTCTCATTTTTGGCTCAAGTTCACAGTTTGTTAATTTTTCACATCATTCCATAAAAATGTTAGTCACAAATTACAAACCCAATAATGTAACCATAAAGTTGTCATGATAGTGTTCCAATGTATTGCTCATTTCAGGAACTAGAGGCAGATAGCCCTAGAGTTTAGACTTAGACCTGAACCAAATATTCCTCCTTTGAGAACTTGCTGAGTTGATTTTACTTGTAATCTGTGTGCAGACTAGAGGAGTGGAAATTTCTGCTCTCTCACAAAGACTGTAGACTATTTGCACTTATCAGTTTTCAAAATTCCAGGCTTAATCTGGTTCATGCTAATTATTCCCAGTGTTTCTGCTCAGGCCTATATACCAGTGATGCCAGCTTCATGTAACTGCTGCTGATCGCTCACTCACTCACTCCTTTGAAACCCAAACTTGTCAAAATCATAGAATTTTGTGGGTCTAGCAAACAGCCCCGAGAGATAAGACATATATGGGACAGAATGCCATGACCCCCAAGGACTGTGGCATGTGGGCATTTTCATATGCCAGAAACGTCCTAAGGTTCATGGCATTATTCAAGATAAACCTTTAGGCACTCACACCTGCTCTTTTCAAACTTATGTGACAAAATGAATGTGTCCAGTTCTGGGGCCTGAAGAATCTACTCACCTGACTCTTCAATGTCACTGTGACACATATGAGACTAGGCAGCCTTCTAGACTTGCCAGTGCTTCTGGAAAGCTAGGGAGCCTTCAGGACTTAGTTGACCACATTTCAGCTCTAGCTGTGCACAGGGCTGCCTCCTTTCCTCCAGGTTTGGGTCATCCCTCAAGGATTCGTGCAATCCTCCTTCCTTTTCTCTCATAGAAAATACTGGTCTTTGTGACTAACATTGTACTAAATTATTAGGTTGACATTGAAGAAAAGACATTGCTTTGCAATGGCAATAACCACAACTACTTTTGCACCAACCTAATAGCTTTCCATATGCTTCCATTTCTAGATTCTTAAAATGTGACAACCAGAAGAGCCCCATGGTTCATTCAATTCAATTCCTTACTTTAGAGAGAAGGACATGGTGATTGCCAGAGACCTAAAGCTGGTTAATGGTAGAGCCAGAATCAGAAACAAGATTTCTTGACTCTCCACTGGGGGGCTACTTAGGGCACAGACTAGGTAAGAGTTCTGACTTTTTACCCAAGCATTCCATAAAAGGCTTTTCCTGGTTTTAACCTTTCACTTACTGTAACAGAGGGGATGCTGTGGTGGCCATGCTATGGTGTGTGATGACTTTTTACTCTTATGGACAACACCCCAGTTCTCCTTTCCCAGTCTCTCGTGGCTTTGCAACCATGTGTCCTAAGGATCATCCCTTTTATCTTCTCTGAAAGATCACACACCCTAGGAAGACTTCTGGCCTACTATTCCCTGTGGAGAACTCAGGTACTATAGAGATGTCTCACAAAAAAGAATTTCTGTGTCCTGCAGCTTCTTCTGCATGATAAAAAGGAGGAGTGTAGCTAAATAACAAAAACAAAGATTTCAGGTGTCTGCACCAAAATACATACATTCATTTATTTCTCATTGCAGCAACAAGATAAACAAGTATAATTCCATGGTCAAGGAGTTACAAATAGTAGCAAGCCCAGTAACCTTGAGCATATCTATAAGGCAAATAAAACAAATATTTCTTTCATAGTGTGGGCATCCAACTTTAGATAATCTGGAAAAAAATCACTCTAGCCCCTGAATACCATGATGTGCATGATGTGCAAAATGAAAGTATCACCCAAAATATTTTCAAAGCTAAAAAGAAAATATTTAAATTCAAATACTTTAACCAAATTGGAAATGCAAACAGTACACTTAGAGTCATCCTTAGCCAGCTGTTCTCCAAACAAAAGATCGAGAAACAAAACCAAGAACAATGTAAAAAAGAAAAGGTTTATCTAGAAAAACTGGAAGCTCATCAAAGTCACATTTCTTCTTCTGATTCTTGTTCTCGTTCAGCATTTTTCAGAAGTCCAACTTCTGAGGAGCAGAGCCTCTTAAGTCTAGATTTAACCAACCTGAGGAGAAAGAAAAGCATCTCAAGTTAGACGGTTTTTAAAATAGAAACCCAGAGCAATATGCACCCATTATACCACAAAGTCTAGATTATTTGGGCAACTGGGGAAGGCAACCCAAAAAGGAAAATTACTTTTATTTGGCTTTGGAGCTGCCTGAAAATTTTTGTGGATTAAAGCAGGGTATAAGTAAACAGATACAACGTGGTTTTCCAATGTATTGCATCATTGTTTAATTAGGCCTCAGAAGATAACTTTGCTCATTTCTTTTTCTTTTTCTTTTTCTTTTCTTTTCTATTTTTTTTTATGAGACAGAGTCTTGCTCTGTCACCCAGGCTGGAGTGCAGTGGCGCAATCTTGGCTCACTGCAACCTCCACCTCCCAGGTTCAAGCAATCCTCCTGCCTCAGCCTCCTGAGTAGCTGGAATTAGAGGCATGTATCATCACACCCAGCTAATTATTATTTTTTTTTAAACGGAGTTTTGCTGTGTCATCCAGGCTGGAGGCTGGAGTGCAGTGGCACAATCTCAGCTCACTGCAACCTCTGCTTCCCGGGTTCAAGCAATTCTCTGCCTCAGCCTCCTGAGTAGCTGGAATTACAGACGCCCACCACCACGCCCAGCTAATTTTTTTGTATTTTTAATAGAGATGGGGTTTCACCATCTTGGCCAGGCTGATCTTGAACTCCTGACCTCGTGATCCACCTGCCTCGGCCTCCCAAAGTGCTGGGATTACAGGCGTGAGCCACTGTGCCCAGCCAATTTTTTTTATATTTTTAGTAGACAAGGGGTTTCTCCATGTTGGTCAGGATGGTCTCGAACTCCTGAACTCAAGTGATCTGACCGCCTCAGCCTCCCAAAGTGCTCCGATTATAGGCATGAGCCACCGTGCCCAGCCAACTTTGATCATTTCTAAAACAATTAAGAGAATCGCTGGGCTGTGGCAAGCCCAGATGAAACCAAGCTCAGTTGAGTTTCTCCATAAAAGCCACATCTAACTGTGTATTGCAAACAGGTGCTATATCATATAAAGGAAGTGCATGAAGCCCGCCTCTAGGGTTGGCAGCCCAAGTCAAGGCCCACGTCAAGTCTGGGCTAAATTCAGCCCCTACTTCCTGCTACTAGCCCCTTCCAGGGGGAGCTTTTGTGCAGGGAACAAGCTGTTCAACTGCATGTGATGCCTCTGCCATGATGAATTAAGAAGCTCAAAGAAGTACCCTCCATCCTGGTGACTGTTTTCATAGTTTAAGAGAATCTGGGCTGGGCATGGTGGCTCATGCCTATAATCCCAGCACTGTGGGAGGCAAGGCGGGCAGATCGCCTGTGGTCAAGAGTTCAAGACCAGACTGGCCAACATGGCAAAACTCCGTCTCTACTAAAAATACAAAATTAGCTGGCCATGGTGGCACATGCCTGTAATCCCAGCTACTCAGGAGGCTGAGGCAAGAGAATCTCCTGAGTCCAGGCGGTGGAGGTTGCAGTGAGCTGAGATCACGCCACTGCACTCCAGCCTGGGCGACAGAGCAAGTCTCCATCTCAAAAAAAAAAAAAAAAAAAAAAAAAAAGAGAATCCATAGGCCTGGGGGAAGCACGGATTATAATTTTTGACACTAGAAGATGTGACACTGATTAGCAGCTGAAGCTCAGCAGGCTCTCCACTTCTCTGATGTGAGAAAGAGTGTCATAAGAACTAGGCAAAGCTTTTCCTGTGCATCATTATTATAAAGGCATTGTGCTGTGACCATATCAACAAAGCATAGTTAACTCCCAGAAATACATAGGAATATGCAAACAAATTTGATAAGCCAAATCACCAATATCACTCTTCACAAATGAAAAATTTCACCAGTCTACCTGCATCTTTACCCTTATTTTCTGCTATATTTTTTCTGATGAAAGTCTGGCCTGCCTGTATCAATATGTAATGGCTTTACTTGTGCTCTGAGAGGGGTTTTTGAAATACTTCTGTGGAACTAACTTAAGCTATTGCTTAAGTTTATATCAAAATATATCAGAAAATTTAACCCTTGGTCTTATCTTTTCAAGAACAATATGACAGTAAAATTGAAAAGTATATAAAACATGATTTCAAAACAAATGAAGCCTATATTTAAAGAGCTCTGCAACATAAATCTATTATCTATTAAAACAGCAAACAAGGGTTTATTGAGAATCTACTATATGTTTGGCAGTGTGCCAAGAGGTGTGGGAAATATGGAAAGGGTCTCATACTCAAGGAGACACAATCTAGCCAGTAGATAACACTAACCCACATGACCTAATAGTGAACATCACAGGAGAGATCCCAATTGTTAAAATGCATGGTGAAGACGACGGGCTGTAAAAATTCTTGGAGGGACCTCTGGTAGAATTCGGCTGTGAATCCATCTGGTCCTGGACTTTTTTTGGTTGGTAAGCTATTGATTATTGCCTCAATTTCAGAGCCTGTTATTGGTCTATTCAGAGATTCAACTTCTTCCTGGTTTAGTCTTGGGAGGATGTATGTGTCGAGGAATTTATCCATTTCTTCAGGATTTTCTAGTTTATTTGCATACAGGTGTTTATAGTACTCTCTGATGGTAGTTTGTATTTCTGTGGGATCGGTGGTGACATCCCCTTTATCATTTTTTATTGCGTCTATTTGATTCTTCTCTCTTTTCTTCTTTATTAGTCTTGCTAGCAGTCTATCAATTTTGTTGATGTTTTCAAAAAACCAGCTCCTGGATTCATTAATTTTTTGAAAGGTTTTTTGTACCATTCCTTCTGAAACTATTCCAATCAATAGAAAAAGAGGGAATCCTCCCTAACTCATTTCATGAGGCCAGCATCATCCTGATACCAAAGGCTGGCAGAGACATAACCAAAAAAGAAAATTTTAGACCAATATCCTTGATGAACATGGATGCAAAAATCCTCAATAAAATACTGGCAAACCGAATCCAGCAGCACATCAAAAAGCTTATCCACCATGATCAAGTGGGCTTCATCCCTGGGATGCAAGGCTGGTTCAACATACACAAATCAATAAATGTAATCCAGCATATAACAGAACCAACGACAAAAACCACATGATTATCTCAATAGATGCAGAAAAGGCCTTTGACAAAATTCAACAACCCTTCATGCTAAAAACTCTCAATAAATTAGGTATTGATGGGACGTATCTCAAAATAATAAAAGCTATCTATGAAACCCATAGCCAATATCATACTGAATGGGCAAAAACTGGAAGCATTCCCTTTGAAAACTGGCACAAGACAGGGATGCCCTCTCTCACCACTCCTATTCAACATAGTGTTGGAAGTTCTGGCCAGGGCAATCAGGCAGGAGAAGGAAATAAAGGGTATTCAATTAGGAAAACAGGAGGTCAAATTGTCCCTGTTTGCAGATGACGTGATTGTATATCTAGAAAACCCCATCAGCTCAGCCCAAAAGCTCCTTAAGCTGATAAGCAACTTCAGCAAAGTCTCAGGATACAAAATCAATGTACAAAAATCGCAAGCATTCTTATACACCAATAACAGACAAACAGAGAGCCAAATCATGAATTAACTCCCATTCACAATTGCTTCAAAGAGAATAAAATACCTAGGAATCCAACTTACAAGGGATGTGAAGGACCTCTTCAAGGAGAACTACAAACCACTGCTCAAGGAAATAAAAGAGGATACAAACAAATGGAAGAACATTCCATGCTCATGGGTAGGAAGAATCAATATCGTGAAAATGGCCATACTGCCCAAGGTAATTTATAGATTCAATGCCATCCCCATCAAGCTACCAATGACTTTCTTCACAGAATTGGAAAAAACTGCTTTAAAGTTCATATGGAACCAAAAAAGAGCCCGCATCGCCAAGTCAATCCTAAGCCAAAAGAACAAAGCTGGAGGCATCATGCTACCTGACTTCAAACTATACTACAAGGCTACAGTCACCAAAACAGCATGGTACTGGTACCAAAACAGAGATATAGACCAATGGAACAGAACAGAGCCCTCAGAAATAATGCCACATATCTACAACTATCTGATCTTTGACAAACCTGAGAAAAACAAGCAATGGGGAAAGGATTCCCTATTTAATAAATGGTGCTGGGAAAACTGGCTAGCCATATGTAGAAAGCTGAAACTGGATCCCTTCCTTACACCTTATACAAAAATTAATTCAAGATGGATTAAAGACTTACATGTTAGACCTAAAACCATAAAAACCCTAGAAGAAAACCTAGGCAATACCATTCAGGACATAGGCATGGGCAAGGACTTCATGTCGAAAACACCAAAAGCAATGGCAACAAAAGACAAAATTGACAAATGGGATCTAATTAAACTAAAGAGCTTCTGCACAGCAAAAGAAACTACCATGAGAGTGAACAGGCAACCTACAGAATGGGAGAAAATTTTCACAACCTACTCATCTGACAAAGGGCTAGTATCCAGAATCTACAATGAACTCAAACAAATTTACAAGAAAAAAACAAACAACCCCATCAAAAAGTGGGCGAAGGATATGAACAGACACTTCTCAAAAGAAGACATTTATGTAGCCAAAAAACACATGAAAAAATGCTCACCATCACTGGCCATCAGAGAAATGCAAATCAAAACCACAATGAGATACCATCTCACACCAGTTAGAATGGCGATCATTAAAAAGTCAGGAAACAACAGGTGCTGGAGAGGTTGTGGAGAAATAGGAACACTTTTACACTGTTGGTGGGACTGTAAACTAGTTCAACCATTGTGGAAGTCAGTGTGGCGATTCCTCAGGGATCTAGAACTAGAAATACCATTTGATCCAGCCATCCCATTACTGGGTATATACCCAAAGGATTATAAATCATGCTGCTATAAAGACACATGCACATGTATGTTTACTGTGGCACTATTCACAATAGCAAAGACTTGGAACCAACCTAAATGTCCAACAACGATAGATTGGATTAAGAAAATGTGGCACATATACACCATGGAATACTATGCAGCCATAAAAAATGATGAGTTCATGTCCTTTGTAGGGACATGGATGAAACTGGAAACCATCATTCTCAGCAAACTATCGCAAGAACAAAAAACCAAACACCGCATATTCTCACTCATAGGTGGGAATTGAACAATGAGAACACATGGACACAAGAAGGGGAACATCACACACCGGGGACTGTTGTGGGGTGTCGATAGGGGGGAGGGATAGCATTAGGAGATATACCTAACACTAAATGATGAGTTAACGGGTGCAGCACACCAACATGGCACATGTATACATATGTAACAAACCTGCATGTTGTGCACATGTACCCTAAAACTTAAAGTATAATAATAATAAAATTTTTAAAAAAAGAATATTGCTTATCATACAAAAACTTCATTCTTGTTTTCTAAGAGGTAAACAAATCAGTTTAAATTGTATCGAATGTTTCTTAAGTAGCTATTAAGATCACCTTATGGTGTTTCTTAATCATAAGAAACTGGACCTATCATTAGGGTGCATTTAATTAATAAATTTTTCAATATTAAATCATCTTTATATATGTGCAGTAAACAATACTTGTTGGCAAAAAAAATTAAAAAAAAGAATCAAGGACTCTACTAGAAAAAATATGTACTCACGTGGACATTTAGGCATATCTACAGCTTCCATCATGTTTTGATAATGTGAATGTATATTGGACGGCTGCTGTCCATGTTCACTGGTTACATTAAGACTGTGGGAGTAATGATTGTGGAGGGAAGGTCTATCTTAAAATATTTGTGGAAGATGGAGCTCTAATGATATGGAGAACAGATAAAGCATTTGCAGATTTGACCTAACACCAAGAAAGAGTGTAAGAAGTTTTAGAAGGTGATAGACCAAAGATAGTTTTATGCAATAATAGAACATTTTGTAAACCGCATAGTTGCTACATTTTACCCATATGTTTTTCATAATAAAATCTTTTGTGGTGTATTTGAAAAAAAAAACAAAAACTCTTAAAGGGAGATGAGCAAGAGCTAGAGTCACCACAGAAGTTTTCATAGAAAAGACGTGCATTTAATGTGAATATGCCAGGTGGAGGGAACTGCATGGTCACAAAGATTAGGATATTATGTGTTGGGGGTAGAGGGGAAGGTTGGAAAATAAAAAATGGAGTGTCCAGTATCCAGAGTACTATAAGTGGATAAGAGGCCCATTAGGGGTATGAAGCGTTTTGAAACAGGAAGAGACAGTAGTCTTCTTTTGGCTCTGGAGGGGAGCTGACATGAGGAAGAGCATTTCCTTGGATGCTGGCACTGATCTTGAAGGCTTTCCAGCCCCTAAGGAGATGAGGCCCAGAAGTCAGCCTAGAACAACAGGGAGAAGCCAAGTTTCACTCAATGGCAGAGCCAGTCTTGACAAGGAGCACATGCACATGCTTTGGAGGAAGTGAATGGGGCTAATAGAATGAGAAGGTGGAATTTCCTAGTACCCAAAGCACCTAGAACTCTAGAAGGAAGCAACTATAGATCAAAGTGGGCTGACCTGCAGCTGAACAGAGATAGCTGAGAGCTAGACAAAGGAATGATTTCTTCACCCGGTGCCTCAGCACCAGAGCTGCTTCAGCAATGAGGCACAAAGAAGCACAGAGCAGGAGGGGTGACTTGGGGTCCATGTCTAAAGAGAAGGGTGGAAAGTTTGTTCTAGCTGGGACCTCACTGGGCCTAGCAGTAGCTACTGCAATTTAGGAATCAGAGAACCTGCTAGATGTGTAGTGTCCAATACAGTAGCCACTATCCACACATATATGGATATTTAAATTAATAAAATTAGTGTGGCATGAGCCACATTTTAAGTGCTCAATAGCTAGTGACTACCATATTAGACATTGTAGATACAGAACATTTCAATCAGCACTGAAGTCTGAAGGATTAGGTGCTGGAGTCTTCATGCCTGGTCATTGAAATCAGCCAAGCCAACTGTGGTTCAGCATTAACCACCTTAGAGAAAGGAACTGTGATCACCCCTTTCTATTCCTGCTCATCCTTCAAGCTGCAGCTTCATTCTCAATTGTAAAGAGGCCTCCCCTGAACTCCAAGAGTGCTTTGTTCTTCTACTATTTCTGTATATTGCACTGTATTTTCATTGTGCATCTCCCTAATTTAGTCCTAATTATAAGACTAAAAATTCCTCATGGGTAGGATTCATATCACATTCATTTTTTTTATGCCAAAGAGGAATAAGGAAGAGGAGAGGGAGGAAAAGAATAACAAGAGGAAGAACAACAAGACAATAATATTTATTGAGCTCTTATTATGTCCTAAGCTTAAATACTTGATCTCATTTAGGTCTTATTATTTCCCCATTTTACAAACAACAAAACTAGTACTTAATGTGGTTAAGTAATTGGCCCAAAGTCATACTGCTGATAAATAGTGCAGCTAAAAATATGTGTTCTTATAACTCTGTTCTACTGCTCCTTACCCACCTATGGAACATTATACTGGGGTTCTTATAAAAAATGTATTCAACTGGATCTGACTTTTAGAAATATTAGTCAATGTCAAATTAGGCAGACACCTACATTTAATGGAACACACACAAGTTGGTCAAAAAAGGACTCGAAGCTTAAGAAGTGCTATAATTGAAGTATCTACACATGGGTAAATGGAGGACTCACTATAGGCAGTGCAGGGTGAGGGAAACCATTCAGAAGAGAGAAGAGGAAATAGCATATGTGGAGACATGGAGGCACAGAGGAGTGTGATGAAGGGAAATGTGAGCATCAGAGGCACAGCTGAGGCACTGTTGAGTGACTAACTTTAAACCAGCATTTATTCTTTTTACTGGGAATTTTTGTGTTTGCAGATAATGTTCTGCTATGCTACCCTGTCTTATGGGATGATAAGGAATGAAATACCCTTTTGAATTTTAAATTCAATACCACTGAGTCTTGATAATCACATACCAAGGAACAGAACTTCCATTAACAGAAATCGCTAACTTACCAGGTAATGAAAGCATAATTCATTCCAACGATGACAATGGTTACTGCATAATGCCAACAAAAGCATATGGTGAGAAACAAAATATTTTCATGATCCATCAGATCCCATGCAGGACCTCCACTGGGGGGATACAGGACAAATCCAATCTGTAATTTAGAACAAAAAGCATATATTAAAATAACCAATCACATTCCCAAAAATGGTACATTTCAAAATACTTGCTTCCGAGGTAAATAACTAAGTTAACTCCAATTATCTAAGATGTAACAGATAAAACATCAGGTTTTGCTGCCTGTTTTAGTAATATAGAGAGTCTCTAATATGTCATATTTTCATAAAAGTTTTAAAAGGACATTTAATGATCAGTTTTCAAAATATAAACAGTCATCTTGCTAGGAATGTCTGGACTTTAAGAGAATGTCTTGGGTTTCTACATTGTGCAGTTTCACTCTGTTATTTCAAAATTGGAGTACAAAAAGGTTTTAAAATAAATAAATGCCCACAGTTAACATTATATTTAATGGTAAAAGACTGAAATCTTTCCCCCTAATATCAGGAACGAGACATGGATGTCTGCTTTCACACTTCTATTGAATGTTGTACTGAAAATCTTAGCTAGAGCAATTAAGTTAAGATTTAGCTAGAGTAATTAAGCCGTTAAGAAAAATAAAAGGCATCCATACTGGAAAGAAAGAGGCAAAAATATCTACATTCACAGATGACATGATCTTATATATAGAAATTCCTTTAAAAATCCATTAGAAAACTATTAGGGCTAATAAATGAGTTCAGCATAATAGCAGGATACAAAATCAATATACAAAACAGTTGTATTTCTGTACAAAAGCAATGAACTCAAAAATAAAATTAAGAAAACAGTTCTGGCCAGGCGTGGTGGCTCACGCCTGTAATCTCAGCACTTTGGGAGGCCGAGGTGGGTGGATCATGAGGTCAGGAGATCGAGACCATCCTGGCTAACACGGTGAAACCCCATCTCTACTAAACATACAAAAAAATTAGCCAGGCATGGTGGCAGGCACCTGTAGTCCCAGCTACTCGGGAGGCTGAGGCAGGAGAATGGCGTGAACCCAGGAGGCGGAGCTTGCAGTGAGCCGAGATTGTGCCACTGCTCTCCAGCCTGGGCGACAGAGCAAGTCTCCGTCTCAAAAAAAAGAAAAAGAAAAAGAAGACAGTTCCATCTACAATAGCATTAAAAAGAATAAAATACTTTAAGAATAAATTTAATCAAGGAGGTTTAAGACTTGTACACCAAAATCTGCATAACATTGTTGAAAGAAATCAAAGATCTAAATAAATGGAAAGCTATCTCATAGTCATAGACTGGAAGCTTAATACTGTTGAGCTGGCAATACCACCCAAAGCAATCTACAGATTCAATGCAATTGCCATCAAAATTCCAATGTTCTTTTTTTTTTTTTTTTTTTTTTTGCAGAAATGGTAAAAGCTGATCCTGTAACTCATATGGAATTGCAAGGGATCCAGAATAACCAAAACAACCTTAAAAAAGAAAGCTGGAGGACTTCAATACTACAGAGCTACAGTAATCAAAACAACAGTGTGATACTGGCATAATGATAAACATTTAGATCAATGAAATAAAATTGAGAGTCCAGAAATAAACTCATATGTCTGAGGTCAATTGGTTTTTGACAAGGGTGCCAAAGCCATTCAATGGGGAAAGAACAGTCTTCAACAAATGGTGCTGAGATAACCGGGTATTCACATGAAAAAAAATGAATTTGGACCCCTACCTCATATATAAAATTAACTCATGTATAAAATTATATATATATAAAATGAACTCAAAATGGATTAAAGACCTAAATATGAGAGCTAAAACCACAAAATTCCTAAAAGAAAATAGGGAGAAATCTTCATCACTTGAAATTTGTTGATTTTTTTTAAGCTACGACACCAAAAGCACCATCAACCAAAGAAGAAAACAGATAAATTGGACTTCATCAAAATTAACTTTTGTGCTTCAAAGGACACTATTAAGAAAATGAAAAGACAACTCACAGCATGAGAGAAAATATTTGCAAATCATATATCCGATGAGATTATATCTAGAATATAAAAAGAATTCCTAAAACTTAACAACAACAAAAAATTTTAATGGGCAAAGGACTTCAAGAAACATTTCCCCAAAGCAAATATACAAATGGTCAATAAGCACATGAAAAGATTATGGATATCATTGTTCATCAGGGGAATGCAAATCAAAACCACAATGAGATACCATTTTTTATTCATTAGGCTGGCAATAATAACAATAAAAATAACAAATATTGGTGAGGATATGGAGAAATTGAAATCCTTATATATTGCTGATGGGAATGTAAAATGGATAATCTTGATTATCTGGATAATGAAGATAATAATACATGAAAATGAGGATAATAATATATCCTCAAAAAGGGCCATTGCAAGGAAAGGCCTAAGCACTGTAACTGACACATAGCCAATAAATGGTAGACATTTGTAGGAGTATCCATGATATTATCTTGGTTTTGAATTTCATTTAGTTCTAGAAACCTGAAATACATTCATCCATTTATCTATCTATCTAATTTTTTATTGGGATAAAATTCTGCAGCTACTGTGGCAACCGTTTTGCAATTCCTCAGGAAGTTAAATATAGAATTCCATATGACCTGGCAATTTCACTTCTACCCAAAAGAACTAAAAATAGGTATTCAAACAAAACTTGTACATGAGTGTTCATAGTAGAACTATTAATAATAGTCAAAAGATGAAAACAACCCAAATATTCAAAAACTGATATGGATAAGCAAAATGCAGTATACTCATACAAGGGACTATCAATCGACCATAAAAGGAATGAAGTACATGCAACAACATGGATGAAACTTGAAAACATTTATACTAAGTAAAAGAAGCCAGACACAAAAGTTCACATATATTATGATTCTGATTACATAAAATATCTAGACTAGACAAATATTCATAGAGACAGAAAGCAGACCAGTGGTACCGGGGGCTAGGAGGAGAGACGGGAGAGTGACTATTTTATGGGCCCAAGGTTTCCTTTCGGGGTGATGAAAATGTTTTGGAACAGATAGAGCTGATGGGGGCACAACATTGTGAATATACTAAATGCCACTAAATTGTACACTTTAAAAATATTAATGTTATGTTAGGAAAGTTTTATCCCAATAAACAATAAGTAGATAGAGAGATAATAGATAACTGGATGAATGTATTGCAGGTTTCTGGAACTAAATGAAATTCAAAACCAGGATAATATAATGAATAATCCTACAAATGTCTACCATGTATTGGCTATGTGTCAGTTACAGTGTTTAGGTGTCTCCTTGCAATGGCCCTTTTCAAGGATGTATTATTACCCTCATTTTAATGTATTATTATCCTTATTATCTCGATAATAAAATCGGGTGATTTAGTGATTTGCCCATGATTACACGTCTAATAAATGAAAGGTTACAAGAAAAAAAAACACTTCATGTGCAATATTGAATAAAACATTAATTCCATTTCTGTTTGAAATTTCAAATAATTAGAGTAAGTCGGGGAAAACTAAGATTTGTGCCTTAATCACTTGTTCCCATTTCAGGATTCCCTTTAATTGGAAAGAAAACTTCCATTTCTACTGTCTGACAGATGGCGGTACCACCACGTGCTTGTCACGTAATCCTCACTCATGTACATAAACGGTAATCCTCACTCATGTACATAAACATCACAATAATTCTTAGCCCTTGAAACAACCTCAAGAAGAAGACATCGTCATCCTCGTATGTCGTAGGAAAAGATTGGAACTCAAGGACTTCAACAACTTCCCCTAGTATTACAAAATGGCTGAACGACTATGGTAGGGATCCAGACCAGTAGTTTCTGGCTCCAAAAACTCCATGTTCTTTCTCCCACCCATACTCTTTTCACCATACAGCCTTTCCATATGGGGCAATACGAAGGACAGTGACCTGGATAACAAGATCAGTTTGAGACATCTCAGCAGTTCTGATATGGTTTGAATAATCAGTACTGAGATGGAAGGTGGTCCCACGAGGACATGGCACTATATTACCATTAAAACCAGATGACAGACTGTTGCCCTTGAGCCACATCTCTAATTCCCAGACATGCTTTGTCTGGCCTGCACATTTAAAACAATAATTTGCGGCCAGGTGTGGTGGCTCACGCCTGTAATCCCAGCACTTTGGGAGGCCAAGGCAGGTGGATCAGCTGAAGTCAAGAGTTTGAGACCAGCCTGGGCAACATGGTGAAACCCCATCTCTACTAAGAACACAAAAAATTAGCTAGGCCTGGTGGCATGTGCCTATAATCCCAGCTCTTGGGAGACTGAGGCAGGAGAATCGCTTGAACCCGGGAGGTGGAGGTGGCAGTGAGCTGAGATTGTGCCACTGCACTCCTGGCCCACAGCCTGGGCCACAGAGTGAGACTCTGTCTCAAAGGAAAAAAAAAAAAAACAATAATAATAATTTGCTTTAGTTGCCAACACTTAAAAAATTAGGAAACATTACACAAAAGTTTGCATTTTCAGCTTTTTTGTAAAAATAGAACTATCTGGCAACATTAGGCCTGTATTCCTAAATGGCAAACATGAGTGGAAGCATGCAGTCTCCATTGATTCATCATTCAGTTTACCTTCCTGACCAAGTGGAGTGATCCAACCAAGGTTTTCTATTTTTGTCCTGGCCCAATGCATTTTATTTGTCAACCAATGTCAGAGTCATACATTTTCCCAAAATACCTTATTAGTTGAAATTAGCAAGGTACTTTACAATAACTTCCTCTTTCCCTTCTTTATATCCTAGGACACAGAATACAGTTATTGTCTATTTTAGAAACAGGAAAATTAAGTAATGCACACCCTTGCCTCTCCATCCCCAAACAGCTGCAAAAACATTTGCATCACTGCCGCTGTGCCTCACCCACCAAGGGCTGGGGCCTCTGCATTAGAACATGGATATATTCTAAAGGCAAGATGTGTCAACATCTGTGGAAGAAGATACATCAGTCATTAAGTTAGAGGTATGAGCTCACAATACTCAGAAACTGCAGGTGGAAAATGCCACCCTGCTGGTTAGACTGTTGCTTTGGAGATATCAGTGTTTTGCAATACCCCTTTTATATACTGCTAGGAAAGCTCACTGTGGGAGCCAAAGTGACCAGAGCCCAGGTCCCTGAAGCCCCCGGAAGAAGGCAAGAATTTCTAGGTCCTCTATGTTCACTGTTTGGAATAACAAGAGAGAAAATTGAGTCACATAGTCAACTCCCAGTTCAAAGGCCCAGTTATCTAAGCTGGGGTCTCATGCCTTCCTCTTACAACAAATTCATGGAAATTGACAGAAAAATTCTGTGTAGAAAGGAGAATTTTAGGGAAGATGAGTGTTTAGAGCTGTGGACTAGCCCTCCAGATCCCATCCATCAGTCCTGCCAACATTCCTCCAATGCCATCCACATGACCTGCGATCTGGGAAGTGATCTGCTTCAGCTCCCAGAGATAAGAGTTAGCATTTGTAGTGGGTTAAATTGTGTCTGCCAATATGCTGAAATCCTAACTCCCAGTATCTCTGAATGTGATTGTATTTGGAAACAGAGTATTTGCAGAGGTAATCAAGTTAAGGTGAAGTCATACTGGATTAGAGTTGGCTCTAAACCCAAAGACTGGCATCCTTATAAGAAGGCCATGTGAAGACATAGGAAAACAAAGAAATACAGGAAGAATATCTTGTGATAATAAAGGCAGAGAATGAAGTCTTGCTGCCACAAGCCAAGGAATGCCAAGGATGGCTGGCAGTTGGCTAGGAGATCAGCATGGGACAGATTCTCCCTCTGGACCCCAAGAAAAAACCAACCCTGCCAACACCTTGATTTCAGATTTCTGGTCTCCAGAAGAGTAAAAGAATAAATTTCTCTTGTAAGTCACCCAATTTGTAGGGATCTGTTACTACAGCCCTAGGAAACTAATACAACAGTTGAGTTCAAAATAAGCAAAAGGGTATCACTTGCCCTAAACCTTAAGCCTAGACACATTGGTGACTCTCTTCCATCTTTCACCTTCTTCTGGAAGCTTCCTCTGCTCCCCTTCCTCTGAAATTAGCAGCCCTCTCCCCAGGACAGCATGCATTGTCAAGTTATAGCATATATTTTTCCCAATAACCCCATGAGATATTATTAATATTTCTATTTTACAGTTGGGGTAGTAAGCCTAATGGCACAGAACATATTATCTATGGTGATTCATATAGTTAGTGTGGTAAAGCTAGCATACAGATTCAGGTTGGTCTAAACTGCAGGCCCAGGGACTTGTCACTGCATGCCACATTCATAATTGCTTTTTGAAGCCTCCAAAATAAAATCTCAAGTCACCTCCATTAGGCATCATTAATTCTACCAAACTTTTTGCTGTTTACATCAGGAGAAGAGAAACTTGGAGCCCCTCCCGTCGCCAATCTCTTTAGCAGCCCCAGAGCCTAATGCTGAAAGCTAAAGATTTGACTGAGGCCACTGAACAGAGTTAACTGATGTGACTACAGTGAAAGCCATAGAAACATTCCATAGTCATTCTAGGCCAAACACGAATAAATTAGGAAAGCTGAAAGCCCAAACTAAGGCTAGAAACTGCCACAACTCATTAAATCCTCCTTTAAATACAGAAACCACACTTTTATTTGTCGTCTTAATTTATTTCCTTATATAAAATTCCAAAAAAAAACCTCAATCTGCAAAAAAAAAAAGTTTTTCTTGCTGTAACTTGTATGCCATTCCTGAACATCTGGTTTCGACTAGTTTAAGCTTCATTAGTATCACATTTCAAATTTAAATAATTATCTTCTCTAATAGGCAATAAGCCTGGGGCCAATTTCCTATAACGAAGTCTGAATTTCCTGTTGTTATCTGATTATCCAATCATTTATTTCAACACTAAAAGCCTAAGCAAATGTTTGATCTGCTGCCGCATCAGACCTCAAACCATTACTGCTTAGTTGGGCCTTTTTGTCATTTAAAAATGAACTTTCGTCCTTCATAAAGGCAAAACAAAGGCTGAGCTTTCGTTTGGGCTCAGGATCTGTGCAGTGATGGGAGGAATCTCTGGGGGGACTAGTGGAGCTGGGAGATGCAGTGGAAGCAACTGTCCTAAAAAACAAGAAGCAAAGACAGCAGGAGCACCTTCCTCATTCCCTGATTGTCCCTGCACCTGGGCGGTGAGGATGACTGGAGGGAGCTTGGGAATGAGAAGTTGCAAAGGGAGCTTTTGAAATATTCTCCCACACAGAGACACAGGGAAAACATGATTCATAGTATAAAGGGGCTTGCAGGATTTTTTTTTCTTTTTTAAATTGCATGATGTGGCTAGGTTATTGAGAAAGCATTTTTGACTGTGATGTGGTTCAGGAAAGAAAGCATTGCTAATAAGTTGGAAGGGAAATTCCCTCTCCATTTACGTATTACCCAATCATTTATATGTGTGTGATAAAAAAGTGGCCAATCTGAGTATTGGTTTCCTTCAATTCACATCTCCATACTTACGGTTCCAAGAGTCTAGGTGGATGTTTTATCTAATCCCTCTATACACAGTTCATGCACAAGTATTAACATATTAACCATTTATGGAGAAGTAGTGAGAAAAAAATATGGTAATATGGTGAAAAGCAAGTCACGACATAATATTGTTAGCTTAAGACAGCGTTTTGCTGTAAACATTCATATGCCACACTTACCGACTGGAAGCATAATATATTCACCTAAGTTTCTAGACAGTTTTGTTTCAGAGGGGTGCAGTAGTGGGAATGTCACTATGGCTAAACCTTCATTTCCTGCCAGTGTGTGTGTTTGCGCTGGTATTAAATGTTCATTTTTCTTTAAAGCTGCGGACATTATTTAGGCTGACCACCAGGAAGAAGGAAACAGTCTAGTCTAGACATATTGGTAGATGAAAAATTTTCTAAATAATCACGGATTTATGCCCAAAGACATTAATCTCTTCCTTAGAAAAGCTTTTGGGGGAAATATGAAAACATTTATCTGCCAAAAGGGGCAACACTAAGCCAACCTATTCCCAGTTGAGGTATAACCCACAGCTTCCTCCTTCAGATCCTAGACATTAATTAGTCATTATTAACTGAACACTAATTAATTTCATTAATTCTGCTCTTATGTTTATAATTCCGCTCTCTTGGGGTTTCCCCTCTTGTCCTGCCTTTCTTTATTTGAATATTTCGCTTTTTAACAAACTTGATCTAGTAAATATATGAGGACTCCTAAACCAAACAGAGGATATACTTTCCTTTGACTACATGGATCATTTACAACCACTGACACTGGGCCGTATTCCAAAGGAAGTCTCAACACATTACAAAGAGAATACATTCCCTGACCGTAAAACAATTACATTAGAAATAAATAATAAGAAAAAAAGAATATTTTTGGAAACTTAAAAGTGTACTCCTAAATAACTCATAAATTAAAGAGAGAAGCACATGGAAATAACATTCAAAATTACCCAACAGTGAAAACTACATCAACACATCAAAAAAACTACAAACTAACACATCAAATCTTACAGAAGGCAGCTCTAGCAGTGTGCAGACAAATGTATTTGTTTAAATGCATTTATTTTAAAACAAGAAAGACTGAAAATAAATGAGATCAGCATCTAACTCAAAAAAAAAAAAAGAGAGAGAGAGAGAAGCAGAAAACAGCCTTACAACAAAGCAAAAAATGAACATAAGAAGAAATGGACAAATCCAGACCTGTAATATAAAACTTCAACAGACTTCTATTAGAAAGTGAGAGATCAATCAGATGAAAAACCATTAGGAATATAGAATATATAAAAAAACACAATCAAAGAGTCCCAAAAGCCTGGTTTCATCCTCCACCTTGAAAGGAGTCCTTTTACTTTCTTTTAGTTCCACTGGAGCCAAAAAACCAACCATCACCGTCTGCTCTGGGCCTGCAGGCTCAGCTCGACTCTTGCTCTACATTTCTGTTCTACATCCAGCCCACAAGTTTCTTTGGCCTGTTTTTGTTTGTTTTGCTTCATTGCAGTTAGTGTTTTCTACTTTATTGTTTAAATTTATTTTTGAAAATTTATTTCCAATTTTCTAGGTTTTTATTTTATTTTATTTTATTTTATCTGTCATTGCTATGTGTCAGGAGCACACAAGATACACTGGAGATAAACTGTGTCATCTTGACCAGAAGTCATCTTAACCAGAAGTCATCTCTTTTAAAATGTTTTCCGTCTATTTTTATTTTTGAATAGGAATACGTGTATATAGTAAAACATTCCAAGCAAGAGATATAGATTTTATATAATATTTTATATAATTAAATTCACCAATTATCAGCTTTATCACATTATAGAGTATTTGTTAGCTTTTTTCTATGAAGTTTTTCCATTAAAATAACCCTTGGATCTAGCCCCTCTTTACTAGCCTTTGCTCCAACAGCCTTTCCGCTTTCTTACATGCTTAAATATTGCATCTTTTCTATCCCATTTGACCATGATGTTTCTCTCCCCCTCACCTACCAATGCTTTTTATCACTCCTCATGTGCAATACAAATCTCTAAAATAACCTCATTATCCCAAATCTGTGTTCTCTGGTGACTAAAAATCTCTTCTAAGAAGTCTTCCCTGATTAAACCAAAATTCACCTTCCATCCTAGACTTTGTTTACAGATATGTATGCATGTTGGATTATGATTCATCAGTCTCTATAAAGTGTGTGTTTACTGATTGGAATTCATGTTTTCAACAATTCATCAAGGTTAAAGAGTTAACAGCTTAAAATGGAAAAAGCCTGCGGCCTCGGGTCAGATGAATCCAAATTTAGATCCTAGCTCTGTTATTGTATGAGACTTGGTCTCTCTGAGTCTTCCTATCTGTAAATTGATGATGATAATGCCTGAATTCCAGGCTGTTGCAAGGAAAAAATAAAACAATGTATATATAAAAGTTTGGTACAGTAGCCAACACATAGTTATTTCTCAATAAATAACAGTTTGCTCTCTTTTCTGCCTTCTATATATTTCTTAAGCTTATTATGCTATAAGCTGCTTTAGTGTCAGAAGCTGCTTCTAACTAAAAGCATCGGCTCAGAGTTCCTACATAATGGATGTCCAGGTGTGATGAAGATGTGCACGCACCACTTCCCAGCTGCTCTGACAATTCTCCCATCAGGGCTATTGGGACACTCAAAGAAACATCACTTCTCAGAGGCCCATGATCTTACTACAGGCAGTATGTTGGAGGGAAGTCTCCGGGAGCAAACTGCCTCATCAAATAAACAGAGAAGTTACAGGCAAAGAGTCCAGGTACATTAACTAGAGGCCCCAACTCACCTGAAAGAACCAGCTCCCCTGAAGCAGAATGAGACTTGACCGCAATAGCTCCAGAAGTACATTGTTCCGAACAAGGAACTCTAGGAAGGCAACGAGGCCTGTCAGAAAGACGACCAAAACCAGCAGCTGGTGCACAAAGATGTCCAGCATTTCCCGGCCATGAGTGTGGTTGTAGAAGATAAAGGCTGATGGGGAAAAAACAGATTGTCTTTTTCAGTGGAACCAAGGACCACCCACTGTTTCTCTCTCTCCCTCTCTCCGTAGACAGAATTTTACACATACACACATTTGTCCAAAAGAGCAGGCGCCCACTGATTCCCACAGTACTGCATTTTTGGAGACATCACCACCTCATTAGAATAGGATCTTTGAAATTGAACCCTCTTTTTGCTTTCCCTGACCTTTATTCTCTCTCTAACACATTGTGACATTTTCAATGAATGGATTCTCATTATCTCAGGGTGTTAACTGTATTTTTGAATGAATATCTTTTCCTCTTTATCTAAATGAAAAGGATTAAGACGAAGTTGGAATCTCCATAAGATGAAAATATTTCAAAGCATCTTCTAAGCAGGACAAACAACAGTAAGCATGGCAAGTGCAATAATTCAGATGAGCACACAGATGAATAAGTCAAAGCATCGCCTTAAGGAATTCAGTCCACTGGAGGAAGCAAACACATACGGGTGGATTTTGACAGATATAACAACATGCTCTGGAAGCTCCCAAGAAGTAGTAAATAACTGCATTTCTTCATCCTGTAGACAGATTCCAGCTTCATCTTTTTCATGAAGACAAAGAGAAAAGATTGATACAAAAATACGGTAACCCCCTGAGATAATGAGAACCGGGCTATTAGTTGTTGACATCCATCTTTTATCCAGCCCTTGTTCCCGAGGTATGGGCAAAAGTTCTCATCTTTGGATGCCAGAGGCAAGGTGAGTAGGAAGTGACTGCCTCCTGATCAATTTGTGGTTATCTATTTCCATAATCAATCTATTTTTTACGTGTGTAATACATGAAAAAAAAAAAACCATTAAATGCTTGTTTTCTTTTTTCCTCCCTACAGTAACTGGGAGACCAGCTGAACAAAAAATATTGTTTTTAATTAACTTTCCAAAATTAGGACCCCATATTTTTTATGTGACTGCATTTTTTGGACCCTACTTATCATCAAATGGCAGAGTATTACTGTATCAATATGAAAAAGCCTGTTAGTAGATAGTGGAAGCTGTTCCACTGTGAGTGGCTGCCTCATTTTAGTGTATTCATGCTTTATTATTCTGGGATCAGTTTTCGTTTGTTAAAAGTGAAAAAAAATGATAATCTTCAGAACAACCCAGAGATGAGTAACCTTTGTAAGTGGTCCTTTGAGACAGATGTGAAATGTGAACATAGCAATTGAACAATTGTGTTTACCCAGTTCTACTAAATGAGTCAGTACAGCATGTAGATTTTTGGCGCCCTGCCTAGGACACCCAAATATTTCATTATGGCCCAGATATATGGTCCTATCAATCAAGGCTGCAACAAGATGCCAGAGGTATATTAATATGAAGGGCTACATAAATGCTCACTAATAGAGAAAGGTACATGAAAATACTCACTAACACTTACCCTCCACAAATAAGGCATTTGACAACATTAACTTGGTTAAGGACACAGGAAGTGAACTGATGGTGAAACATAAGATATCTGCCACACCCAACAGCCCAAAGAAGAAATACATGGTGAAATGATGCCAGCCCAGGAGTTGATTCCAGTGACCTTGTTTATAGTCATATAACATCAGATGGGGCCCTCCAGGAATAAACTGCTCCCCAGCCATGCCTGCCAAGAAACATATCACAGTTTTAGCAACTCTGCTTTACATAGAATTCAAGAAGATGCAGGAGGACTAGTCCATTGCTTATTCCAATCTAATGTCCTCTTTTGACATTAATTCTTCTCTCTGAGCTGTTCCCTAACAGCTGAGCACTGGCACTTTAGGCTTCTTTTGGAGGTTCAGATGCTGGTTCAAATAAATAGTTTTAGTCAAAGATAGCCAATTGAATCAAACAGCTATTTCAGATCTTCAATGCCAATGATCTTAGTTCCACTGCCTATTCCAATCTAATGACTGAGATACATCCTGAATTATTTGGAGATTTGAATTTGGGAGACAACTCCTATGGAGATAGATTACTTCCTTCTTAAATACTACATCTTTGGGTAGCTGCCATAAAATAGGGGATTGTGCTTGGTACCAGATAAAAATGCTAAAGAGTTCAGCTTTTCTCCAATTATGATAACTGAGAAAGCCCAGACAGGACTGGGCACAGTGGCTCACACCTATAATCCCAACACTTCGGGAGGCCGAGGCAGGCAGATCACTGGAGGTCAGGAGTTCGCAACCAGCCTGGCCAACATGGTGGAACCCCATCTCTACTAAACATACAAAAATTAGCCGGGTGTGGTGGTAGGTGCTTGTAATCCTAGCTACTTGGGAGCTGAGGCACAACTGCTTGAACCCCAGAGGCAGAGGTTGCAGTGAGCCAAGATAATGCCACTGCACTCCAGCCTGGCCAATAGACCGAGACTCCATCTCAAAAGAAAAAAGGAAAAAAGAAAGCCCAGACAGATACAGCAGACGATCTAGTCTGGTATGCAAACAGTTAAACTTTCCTACAGATACTGCCTTATTTGTTAATCTATAGAATTTGGCAAGGAAATTTCCCTCTTTGGAAATGTTACTGTGTAATTTGATGCCATAGCAAAGACCTGTTGCCATGAATAAAGCATGAAGAAATCTAATGGGAAAACTGGAAATTTTATCTTTTATAATGGAGAGGCTAGAGTGGAACTCTCAAGAACACAGAACATTTTCATTGAATCTTCATATGGAAGATTCAGTGGAAAGGCCTTAGAAGTCATCTGGCCTAATCTCTTTCTCCAATTTAGGAACCAAGAAAAAAAGATGAGTGCAGAAGGCTAAAGTCTTCTACAGCCTATCAGAAATTATTTATTACTGAAGCTTTTCCATAATAACTTGATTAATTTCATATCATTTGCAAAATGGTTTTTGATAGGGTTTATTCTTTCAGAGATCAGAACAATTGATATAAAATTATTTCAGAAGCTCCAACCAATTCTTTAAAAGAATGAAAACACCTAAAAGGTAAAAATAGAACACAGAATGGTCCACTCACCAGTTAAAGCCATGCCAACTATTGTAATTCCCTCCAAAATTTCCAATCGATAGAATAATGTTTTGGAACCAAGATAGCAGGTTCGCTTTTGCTTTTTGCAGATATACTTCAGAATACTCTTTGTACACCACCAAAGACCAATAATAAAAAAGAAGGTTCCAGGGAGGGCATGACCTCTGAAATTCCCCATGATCTACAAATATAAGAACACACAGAAAGTAAAAGACATTTCATTGCCAGAATCTGGACAAAACATCACTTGTTTCCATAAAGTACACTGTCTTCTGATTATTATGGATACATCACTGAGGATGATTCTGAGGATCCTACATTACTGTGCATACTAGTAAATACCAGTACAATATCATAATACCAATAAAAACAAAATAAAAACTCACATTTGTTGAATACTTACCATGTACTCTGCACTGTGTCAAGTGTTTTATGTTCAGTCTTCAACCTAATTTATGCAACATACCCATGAATGAAGCACTGTTACCCCTTTTTCTTTAGGGATCCTCATTTAGAGAGGTTAGACCACTTGCCCAAATCTCACAAATATTAAGCAAAAGTTCCATTATTTTTAACACAGAAATGAAAAGGATTTCTTCACATCCACAGTATATACTTCGCCATACAGTGGCCCTTCAGGCCTATCTGAAGGAAAGTGATATGAAAGTTTTATCTTTATGTTTAAAACTTGAAATGATGTGAAATTGCCTACACATTCTTTTAGGTTGATAATTTCAAAATATCAAGCATCAAGTGTATGGAAGAAACAATTAGTGTTCATCAAATATCTGTGTGCTGCTCCCCACTCTTTCCCAGCCTCTCCCTCCAGTTAGATTGGGCCCATGTTTTTAGTTCTGGCTAATACACTATAAGTTGAACTAGCACATGTCACTTTCCAAGCAGGGTCAGTTAGCAGTCTACACAACTCCTTTACCTCTCTCTTATCTTGCCTGGGCAACCTTGGTGTGGCATATCTGCAACCCAGAAGGTGATCAACCAGCCTGCTTCAGATTTTGTAAGAAACAATCCCTTATTGTGCTAAGGCAATGAAACTTTGAGATTTACTGTTAAAACACCTTAGCCCCACCTAGCCAGATATCAAGCCAAATCAAATTGCAAACTTTGTTTACATTATTGCCACATAGTGGAGTCACTTCTGGTTAATAAACAGTAATACCCTCCATTTTTGGTCCCTGCTATTAAAAAAAAAAAAAAGAATTATGTGAGTTTTTAATTACGTGAGTAGCCCTTTGTTGAAACATATCATACCATCAACAGAATAATGAAAAGAGAGTCCAGAATCACCCTTGTGGATCTGACACTAGGCCAGGTCCAAGGAAACTCATGAAAGGAGATTTCAGGATTTCCCCTGGCCCAGCAGATTTATTTTATCTCTAGGTGATAATGGGCTGCTCAGTTCAGGACAGACCCTTTTGAGTTACTTCCATCCCTCTGATACAACTGTGAAACTCAGGGGGAAACCTGGAAGCTGACCCAAACACTAAAAGTCTCTTATATCTCAGTGGTGACCCCAGGCAGTCATTTCAGGACACCATTGAATCGTCCAAACCATCCAAGAGTCTCAGACTCAATATATCACATAGTGCTATGTGCAGGTCCTTGTCCTAACTATACCTGTAATGGTGTGTTTGCGTCATGTTTCTTAACCTTTCTAAGCCTTGGATCTTAATTAATAAAAGAAGGAGGCAAGCCTAGATGAAACCTGGAGTTCTTTCCTGCCCTAAAAGTCTTTGATTTATTATCTTAACCACCACCTTTATCACAGTGTTGCTGAGTTCTGTTTTGGTTTAGGCAATCATATGGGATCGAGAAAACTTCTATATGGGATTGAAAAGTATATACAGACTGCAAATTTTTTGAACTTTTCTGAAAATGGGTTGTATTTGGTTTAAGAAGTCTTAAACATTTTATATTTCTTAGTACAGGAAGCCCACTTGCAGGGATTTATCTTGCAAATATAAATGGAAATACAAGCACTAGGAGAATGTCAAATAAATTACGCAGCCACTGAAAATAAGGTTTTCAAATAACTTAAATGATAGGGAACATATTTAGTTAAAAAAATAGGATTAAAAATTAGGGGAAGGGGCTTTGAATTTGGATTATCTAAGTCCGAATACCAACTTTATAATTTGTTAGTTACATAACTTTGGGCAAGTTACTTAACCCCTCAGTGCCGCAGTTTTCTCTTCTGTAAAATGGGACAAATAACAGTACCTACATCATAAATTTAAAATGAATTACTCCAAAGCAAATAACCCACAGTACTGTTAAATAAGCTCATGCTATCTTCAACCTACCTCTAACTACCAGAGTAAAACAAAAGTAAAACCAAATGAACAATTTTACTTAGATACTAAGATGGATATAGAAAATCAAGAAACATTGATACAATTCATTTGGCAATCATTGATGTAGTGCCCAAGACACTTCTCTTGCTGTTGTCTTAGAGGGTTACTGGGATAATCTGTGGTTATTGAACTCCTTGACTGCAATTAGAGAATAAACTCCTTGAAAGCAGAGGCCATATATCCATTCTTCTTTCTATTCCCCACTGGCTATCCACTGCCTTACATACTATGAGGTTCTAAATTTACAAGGAGTTACTAAGCTCTTCTCATAACACAAGATCATATATTTGCAAAACATCTCTACTCTGATGTCTCAAAGGCCACTCACACTCAAAATACCCCAAAACTGAACTAATCATCTTATCAACCCACCTACTGCCAGAAAATAATTTTAGTTATCCTAAAAGAATCCCTGGTTACCTAGTTTGGTTAACAACACTGCCAATTCACCCCTTTGCCCAAACCCAAAATATGAACATCATCCTAGAGTTTGGCTCTTTCCTTAAAAAACAATTGGTAATTGAGATTTATCACCTCTGTTGTCTAACATTGATCCCCTCTAGGGGTAGGAGATCACCTGCTTGGAGAAATCCTTCCTGATGGCCCAAATAGGGGAGGGTCCCTATTACACCCTTTCAAGGCACCCAGTCCTCACATTAGTGACTTCTTTGCATGATTAGTTATTGAAGGTCTGTCCTCCTCAATAGCCTCTATGACCATTACCATATTATGAAAGCCTGTGCAACTGACTATGGGGGCACCTCAGAGGTTAAATGCCTGGGCCTTCTCCACTTTTTTTTTAAGGCTGTTAGTATATTAAAAAAGAAAGAAAATGCCAAAACAGAGTCACAAAAATTTTGGTTGCTTTTAAATATTTAGAATTACCTAATAAATACTTTAAACATACAAGCAAACATATTGCCTATGTCATAGATATGATGAAATTTTAAAATCCAGGCCTTCCCTGAATGTACAGCTCTAGGCCAAATAGCCCTCCTGACCCACCCCTATGACAAGCTAAGAGGCTCCTGCTGCCCCCAAAGCTGAGAGGATCAGTATATCTCAGCACATCCATCAGGATGTAATAAGGAGGCAATGGGGAATAGTGGAGGGTTTGTGAAGAAGAATATGAGCTGATCAAAGTGGGGAAAGAAAGGAGTCCTCCTTCCTACTTCAGTTATACAACTCCTGTGTCTTCAGCCTTTTAATCTGAAACAATCTGATGGTTCCAATCTTTCTGTTTAAAGATCCAAACAAAATGAAGTCAAAGTATAAGGGTTGTTAACATTTGTCTGGCTAAGGAACCCAACAGATACAGTTACTCCTGGCAATAAAAACATCATTCATCTTATTTCATTTTCATTGTGAAAGAAAACATTGTCCATATCCTCAAACGTTACTTCACTCTCATCTCCTAGAAACAATTATCTGTAAATCTCTTGTTCCCTGCTTTACTGTTGCCTTCAGGTGCAACTTACTCCTTGTAAAAGCCAAGTAAAGTAGCACAGAGTTTGATCAGATTTAAACACAAAAGCAGACATTCTCGTTTGAAGGAGACCACGGGGCTTTCCTCGCCCACCAAAGAGAACATGCAAGCAGCCAGCAGCAACCCCAGGGAAAATGCCAGGGCAGGAAACATGAAGGTCCTTCCTCCGTACCCTCCTACCTGATCCTACCACTTACAACCTCCTAAGAAAAGCAGTTCGGCCGGGCGCAGTGGCTCAAGCCTGTAATCCCAGCACTTTGGGAGGCCAACACAGGCGGATCACGAGGTCAGGAGATCGAGACCATCCTGGCTGACACGGCGAAACCCCGTCTCCACTAAAAATACAGAAAAGTCTCTGGGTGTGGTGGTGGGCACCTGTAGTCCCAGCTACTAGGGAGGCTGAGGCAGGAGAATGGCGTGAACCCGGGAGGCGGAGCTTGCAGTCAGCCGAGATCCCGCCACTGCACTCCAGCCTGGGCGACAGAGGGAGACTCCGTCTCAAAAAAAAAAAAAAAAAAAAAGCAGTTCACCCAGGCCTAAAAAGACGGACTGAAAGATTTCATCATTGGTTTCCAGTGTGATTCATCCTAAAAATTCTTCCTCCTCCCCCATCCAAAGAAGCCCTCCACTTCTAATGATACCAAGCATTACCCTCTGGCCTGAAAACCAGAAACCCCTCCTGGTATCCCCATTACCCTACTTTTTGCTGAACACCCCCCGGCGTAAACACAGACTCACTCACCATGCAGAAGGGAAACATTTTAAAACTCTATCCCTTAAGAGATAATATTGGGCAGAGCCCAAGATCTAACTCAGGTGCTAGGTGTTAATTCCCAGATGTTAACAGCCACACAAACCACAGACTAGGTCTATACACAGAAAGGGAAAACAACTCACAATAACCCAGAAAAAGAGATGCAATGGTTTGCTTGGTGGAATTCTAATCGAATAGCTAAATTCAATATAAAATGAATACCATTATGAGAAAAAACTTAAAATTTCATCTTGCGCCACCACCAAAATGAAGTATTCCTAAGTCTTCATTAGTGACTCATACTTCAAAATACATTTGTAAATTCCAATACACTAAACAAATCTGAACAGCTTTGCTCTGTTTGTCTTAATACTCAAATTGTATCCACATACTATGTGGATACAAAAATATGTAGCTTTAAAATTTCATTCTCCATCATTCTGTACCAGCACTTTCTCCTGCAAATTTCATTGGTTTTGAATGAGTCTTCTTAAAGTATCCTTACCTTCACACTTTCCTCAATGTCAAGTCCAACTCAATTCTCTTCTATTAAGGATTTATTTTTTTTTCTTTTTTTTTTTTATTATGCTTTAAGTTTTAGGGTACATGTGCACATTGTGCAGGTTAGTTACATATGTATACATGTGCCATGCTGGTGCGCTGCACCCACTAACTCGTCATCTAGCATTAGGTATATCTCCCAATGCTATCCCTCCCCCCTCCCCCCACCCCACCACAGTCCCCAGAGTGTGTTTATTGTGGCATTATTCACAATAGCAAAGACTTGGAACCAACCCAAATGTCCAACAACGATAGACTGGATTAAGAAAATGTGGCACATATACACCATGGAATACTATGCAGCCATAAAAAATGATGAGTTCATGTCCTTTGTAGGGACATGGATGAAACTGGAAACCATCATTCTCAGTAAACTATCGCAAGAACAAAAAACCAAACACCGCATATTCTCACTCATAGGTGGGAATTGAACAATGAGATCACATGGACACAGGAAGGGGAATATCACACTCTTAAGGATTTATAATGGCTCTAGACTCAAGAGGGAAAAGCAGATGCTGAGTGGCCCTAAATCTAAAACTGCCCACTCTTCCTCCTTTGAGATTAAACCAATGTGCTCCTATCTTTCTAGCATGAGCAGGTAAACCTTCAGACTAGGTTCCAATGCATTTAAACCCAGAGAACACACCCTTTGGAACCTCCAGCCTCCCTGTCCAAACATTGTGCCAGAGGGCAGTTCTGGATGTGACTCACCTTGCCATCCCACCTACCAGGCCACTAGCCTCAGTCATGTGCCACCTGCTCTGAGAACCAAGGCCAGTGAAGGATATTGCCACTCTTGCAGGCCATGGAGACAGACAGAAGACAAAGGGAATGGTTAGAGCAGCAGTAACATAATAGATCGTGTTCTGTAAGGCATAAGAAGATAATCCATTTTCGTTTTGGTTGTTTTTGTTTGTTTGGTTTTGGTGGTTTTTTTGTTTGTTTTTTTGTTTTTTTGTTTTTTTTTGAGACAGGATCTCACTCTGTTGCCCAGGCTGGAGTGCAGTGGGGCAATCTCAGCTCACTGCAACCTCCACCTCCCGGGTTGAAGTGATTCTCCTGCCTCAGCCTCCTGAGTAGCTGGTATTACAGGCGCATGCCACCATACCAGCTAATTTTTGTATTTTTAGTAGACATGGGGTTTTACCATGTTGGCCAGGCTGGTCTCGAACTCCTGACCTCAGGTGATCCGCCCACCTTGGCCTCCCAAAGTGCTGGGATTACAGGCATGAGCCAGCATGCCCGGCCAAAGATAACCCATTTTCTAACACACAGTGCCTCAAGAAAGAGATCGCCACAGGGTTGAAGTCATGGCCAAAACCGAAGTTATAGGAATAAGAAAAATGATGAAAGAAAACTGCTGTAGGTCAACAGTGCAGCGCAAAGCATTTGGGATGCTCTTCTAATCATCACTTGCATTGTACAGGGACACTTCAGGCGCTTGAGGCACCCACTGCAGAATAGACACAGCCCCTGCTCACAACAGAAAGCTTATGATAGACTGAACAAACCACAAAAAACAGAAATGCTAAAATATGTCCCTAAGGAACAAACTAATTACAAGTTCTATGGAGGTGTTAAGATGACTGGCATGTGTAAGACGGGGAGAGGACTTTGTCTAAGAAGGTGCCTGATGGAGGAGATCGTTCTAAAGTAGTGCTGTAGAGGAGGAGCCCGCAGTGACCAGGGGACAGTGGAAAGGAAGCTTCTCAACAGTGGAAAGCAGTTAGGTGAAATCAAGAAAGAAGTGAGAGCTCTGGTCTGCAAGAGAGCTTCTCGTTCACTCTCAGCTTAGCAAGCCCAGCCTTCCAAATAAGAGGATGAGTGTCTCTTCTTTTTGCAGATGATAGTGCCAAGACACAGGAATGCTATTTGAATGAGCATGTGGAGACAAACAGAGTAGCATCAAGATACTGAGATTTAAATCCAACTTCCCCATCTCTGTACTCCAGAGGCCATTTGTCTCTTGTCAGTGTCATAAGCCCGGATGTGTTCATTCATATTAGGCTTAGCATGTGACCAGAGATGAGTGTCTCAGCAGCTGCTCCCAAAGCCAGAATGATAATAAAGCTCTGTCAGAAGAAAATAACCACTCTAGAGTGCTATTACCTTATTTATTTTATCTTATTTTGATCTCTCCTGTACCTCTGCCTATTGTTCCCACTACCAACCCCTCTCAATGTTTAAATAACTAAAACCATCCACGGAACATCAGCTATTCTTAACCAAACATCTAAAATGACAAGAACCCTAAACTTGGAAATATAAGAAAGGATGAGGCAATCCAAAAACTTATGTCTTTAAAAATAAAACACAAAAACAAAAACTAAGAACAAATGTCATATGGCATCACCTGCTTGTAACTAACTCTTCAAAGTAAATAGAAGTCTGGATTGTTTGTCAGTAGTGATGCACCTGTGATGGGAAGGAAGGCACTCATTGAACACCTATTGTATACTAATAACTTTACATACATACATCTGTTTATCATTAAAACAACTCAAGGAAATACAGTTGACCCATGAACAATATGGGCTTGAACTGGGTTGGTTCACTTATACATGGGTTTTCTTCTGCCTCTGCCACCCCCAAGTCAGCAAGAAAGATCAACCCCTCCTTTTCCTCCTCCTCCTCCTCCTCCTCAGCCTATTCAACATAAAGATGATAAGGATGAAGACCTTTATGATGATCCACTTCCACTTAATGAATAGTAAATATATTTTATCTTCCTTATGATTTTCTTCATAACATTTTCTTTTCTCTAGCTTACTTTATTGTAAGAATACAGTACATAGGCCAGGTGCAGTGGCTTACACCTGTAATCCCAGCACTTTGGGAGGCTGAGGCACGCAGAACATGAGGTCAGGAGTTTGAGACCAGCCTGACCAACATGTTGAAACCCCATCTCTACTAAAAATACAAAAATTAGCCCAGCGTGATGACACACACCTGTAATCCCAGCTACTCAGGAGGCTGAGGCAGGAAAATCCCTTGAACCTGGAAGGCGGAGGTTGCAGTGAGCCAAGATCGTACCACTGCACTCCAGCCTGGGCAACAGAGCAAGACTCTGACTCAAAAAAAAGAAAAAAAATACAGTATATAATGAAGCTACATTTCATAACATATGAAACATGTGTTAATTGGCTGTTTATAAAAGGCTTCCAGTCAAGTTTGGGGGAAGTAAAAATCTATACTTGGATTTTTTACTGCAAGGGGTGGCCAGACCCCTAACCCCTGCATTGTTCAAGGGTCAACTGTATTATTATCTCTGCCATAGATATAAGAAAACCAAAGCTCCAAGGTATTTAGTGACCTACTCTATGTCACAGAGTTAACGAAGACCAGAGCCAGGATTTCAAAGTCCTTGTATGTCTGACTCCAAATCCCTTACCTAAGAACAAAGACTAGAAAACACTTTTCAATGGCCCCATCAAAGGGTCTCAGTCAAGTACCTTGAGTAGGTTAAATAACATAGGGAAAAAGGCATCTCCTTCTGTTCCTTTCTACCACTGAGCTGCCAGCACATGTTAAGGAGGTAAAGCTTTGCACAGAGCCAACAGTATTTACTTACCACCACTGTAGTCAAAGTCAGAGGGCATAGGACTGCTAACGATAAGGAAAACTGGTCTTTGTCATTCATTTGTCATGGATTGACAAAGGTCTAGATGCTAGTGATAAGCATCACACTGATCATTAATGATGTAGTAAGAACGTAAAGTTTTCATTCTGTAGTTCCAAGGTACATGTTGCTTCACAATTCAACTCAGTGAGCAATGATTTATCACTTTGTATCTAAGGATCTGCTTCAAGTTACAGGGGACTCTATGGTGAGCAAATATATCAGTTTTCTATTGCTGCTGTAACAAACTACTACAAAATTAGTACATTGAAACAACACACATTTATTATATTACCGTTCTATGGGTCAGATATTCAACACAGATCTCACTGGGCTATCAAGGTGTCAGCAAAGCTGCCCCTACATGCCTATCCCTAAAACCAAGGTGCCACCTAGGCTGCTGCTATGTCCCATTGAAGAGGCTGTAAGGGAGAATACATGTCTTTCCCTTTTCCAGCTCTTAGAAGCCACCTCCATTCCTTGGCTCATAGCCCCCCTCCTTCCATTTTCAAAACCAGTAATGTTCCATCTCTGACCACTTCCTAACCATGGATTCCTGTGACTCTGAATTTATCTGGTAAAGGTTCTAATTTTGAGAACTCATGTGATTAGACTGAGTCCACCAGAATAATCCAGGATAATCTCTTCACTGTATGTCATTAATTTAATCACATATGCAAAGTCCCTTTTGCCAAGTAAGGTAATATATTCACAAGTTCCAGGAATTAGGACATAGGCAGGTAGGAACACTGTTCTGCCTACCACAAAAACACTAAAGGGCTTACAGTCTGGCAGTTACCACAAAAACATGAAAGGGCTTACAGTCTGGCAGAACAAAGAAGACAGACACAGAAGTGACTGTGATTCCAAAAAGATAGGCTAAGATTTATAGTAGAGGAATAAAATGCTATACGTGTGCTGAGCCCCTTCATTTAATTCAAGGGAGGGACAGAGGCATATGACTGGATTTGGGAAGAACTTTAAAGGTCATCTGAGCTAGACCTTGAGCAATGAGTGGATTTCGAAAGGTAGAACAAAAAGGAGTCACCCTAGACATAAGGAAGAGCATAAATAAACTCACATTGGAAGGAACATGCAGGAGACATTGTAGTCACTGGGGTAGGAGATAATGAAAAATACAGCTAGAAACTATACACATATGAGAAGCTGGTGAGTGATACAAATGACAATATAAATTACCAATCCATGGAAAAATTATTAATGTTTTTAGAACTGAGTTTCTATTCATGGATAAAAATTTAACTAGATTCCCTACTCACATCAGATTCAAAAATAAATTCTAAGTGTATTAAAGACCTAGTTATGAAATTCCAACTTTAAAACTTTTTAGAAGAAAATATTTGAAGACATCCTTATGTCCTTGGGATAAGAAAAAAATTTTTAACAAGATACAAAAAGCAAAACAATGAAGAAAAAGACTGAGGAAGTTGACCACATCAAAACTTAAAACTTCTGTATACAAATGGCAAACATGAAAAGATGTTCGAGATCATTAGTCATTTGGGATATGCTAATTAAAATAATAAAAACCAATACACACTCACTAGAATGGCTAAATTTTAAAAGACTGACAATTCCAAGTGTTGGTATGGATGTGGACCAGCTAGAACTCTTATACACTGCAGGTGGAAACACAAATAGAACAGCCCCATGGGAAAGCAGCTTGTCACTTTTTATAACATTAAACATACACTTACCATTTGACCCAGCAATCCTCACTAGGTATTTACCCAAGAGAAATGAAAACGATGTCCACACAAAGACTTGTACATGGATCCTCATAGTAGCTTTATTTATAATAACCCAAACCTGGAAATAACCCATTGACATGTGAATGGATGAACAAACTATGATACATCTCCACAATAAAAAGGGACAAATTACTGATACATGCAAAAACCTGAATTAATCTCAAAAGCATTATGTTACATGAAACAAAACAGACACTAAAGGGTACTTACTGCATAGTTCCATTTATATGAAATTCTAATATAGAGAAAACTGTAGTGATAGAAAGCAGATCAGTGGTTGCCTCCAGGTAAAGGGAATAGAATTGACTGCAAAGGGCATTAGGGAACTTTTCAAGGTGATGGAAATATTCTATATATTGATCGTGACAATAATTAGACAACCATATACATTTGCCCAAACTCATCAAATTATACTCTTAAAAGATGTGAACTTTATTGCATGTAAATTACACTTCAGTAAAGCTGATTGAAAAGAAGGGAAGAAATATCACTTCTGCCCTTCCTTCTCTGGAAGGCTGGAACATGGTTATGATGGTTAATGCTTTGGCAATTATCCCAGATTATGCAGATAAGACTCACATCTAGGGGATAGGAGCAGTGCACCTAAAAGAGGCTTATTCCTGAAGACTGTGGATCCACCACTCCATCCCTGCATATCTTATTTTATGTGAGATGGAATCAAACTTTTATCATGTACAAAAGCAAAAAAAATAAATCTACCTTGTATAATAGCAAAAAAAAAAACCACTTAAAACTTCTATATGTCCAAATATTAGCTAATAGTTATTGACTGCTTTCTGTGTACCACTTTTCATTTATGTAAGTGCTCTTCATCTTAACTCCTTTAATCTTCAAAACAAACCTCTGAAATAGGTAATGCTATCGCCCCCATTTTACAGATGAAGAAACTGAAATACAGTTAGAGATTAACTAAAATATCCAAGGTTGTGCTGGTGATAAGTAACGGAACCGGGATTCATACCCATCCTTGGCCCTATGCCTCTCCCACAATGGTACCATAAATAAAGTTTTCAAATACATGACAGACAGAAAAAAATATTTGAAATAAACATAAATGACAAAGGATGAGTACTAGGGAATGTAATTTTTTAATTAGGAATCAATTTGAAAAAGAAAAACTGCTCCCCCAAGGGTAAAAAATAAGAATAGACAATTCAACACAAGGCAAAACACTAATTGTCCAATAATCACATGAAAAGATCCTTGATTCACTAAAAGCAAAGAAAACCAAATTAAAAACAGGTATTTTTCATCTATTTTATTGCAAAATTTAAAAAATCTATTATATCAAGTGTTGGTGAGGGCATGAGGAAACAAGAACACTCATACACTACTAAAAGTGCAAAATGGCATTACTATTACACTTTGCCAAGAATTTGGCAGTAGCTAGGACAGTTGAAAATGCACATATGACACAATCCAGCAATTCGATGTGTAGTGTGTACTCTCCCAAAATTCCTATACATGCTCTCTTGTATATGTCAAAAAAAGTTCATTACTGCAACTGGTTGTAGTAACATAAAGTTGGAAATAATCTGAACATCCATCAATAGAGAAATGAATAAATAATATGATGTAATATATATACAACAGAATATAATACTACCAGTAAAAGATTTTTGAATAAAAGAAGTATATCTATATTTACAAACAGGAATGAATTTTGAAACCATTAGGTTCAGTGAGAAATGCAAATTGCAAAACAGTGGTAAACTTTGATGCAATTTATGTACTGTTTTTATTTTTCCATTTTTATTTTAGTGGATATATGATTCAGTGGATACATGTGGAGCTTTGTTACCTGGGTATAGTGCATCATGCTGAGGTTTGGGGTATGAATGATTCCATCACCCATGTACTAAGCATAGTACCCAACAGTAAGTTTTTCAACTCTTGTCCCCTCCCTCCCTTCCTCCTCTAGTGGTCCCCAATGCCTATTATTGTCATCTGTATGCCCATGTATTACCAATGTTTAGCTCCCACTTATAAGTGACAACATGTGGTATTTGATTTATTGTACCTATGTTAATTCACCTAGGATAATGGGTCCAGCTGCAACCATGTTGCTGCAAAGAACATGATTTTCATTCCTTTTTATGGTTGCATAGTATTCCATGATGTAAATGTACCACAAATTCTTTATCCAATCCAGTGAGCACCTCACTTGGTTCCATGTTTTTGCTATTGTGAATGGTGCTGTGATGAATGTGTGAGTGCATGTGTCTTTTTGGAGATGTTTGTTGACTGAATAGTTCGTGAAAATTTGCTCCCATTCTGTGGGTTGCCTGTTTACTCTGCTGATAGTTTATTTTGCTCTGCAGAAGATCTTTAGTTTAATTAGGTTCCACTTATTGATTTTTGTTTTTGTTGCAATTTCTTTTGGGTACTTAGTCATAAATCCTTTCCCAAAGCCAACATCCAGAATGGTGTTTCCTAGGTTTTCTTCTACGATCCTTCTAGTATTCATATGTCTATGAAATCATAGATGACATAAACAAATGGAAAAACATTCCACGTTCATAGATTGGAAGAATCAATATCATTAAAATGGCCATACTTCCCAAAGCAATCTACAGATTCAATGCTATTCCTATCAAGCTACCAAGGTCATTTTTTACAGAATTAGCAAATAATATTCTGAAATTCATATGGAATCAAAAAAGAACCCAAATAGCCAAAGCAATCCTAAGCAAAAAGAACAAAGCCAGAGACATCACATTATCTGACCAACTTCAAACTTTACTATAAGACTACAGTAACCAAAACAGCATATGCTAGTATAAAAACAGACACATAGACCGATGGAACAAAATAGAGAACACAGAAATAAAACATGCATGTACAGTCATCTAATCTTTGACAAAGTCAACAAAAATAAGCTAAGGGGAAAGGACTTAAAAGGGGAAAGGACTCCCAATTCAACAAAGGTGCTGGGATAGCTGGCTAGCCATATGCAGAAGAATGAACCTTGACCCCTAGCTTTCACTACATACAAAAATTAACTCCACTTTGGGAGGCCTAGGTGGGCAGACTGCTCGAGCCCAGGAGTTCAAGACCAGCCTAGGCAACATGGCAAAACCCTGTCTCTACTAAAAATATAAAAAGTTAGCTGGGCATGGTGGCACTTGCCTATAGTACCAGCTACACAGGAAGCTGAAGTGGGAGGATCACCTCATCCCAGGAAGGTGAGGCGGCAGTGAGTCATGATCGTGCCATCAAACTCCAGCCTGGGTGACAGGAGTGAGACCCTGTCTCAGAAAAAAAAAAAAAAAAAAAAGGAAAGAAAAGAAAAGAAAAAGAAAACAATTGACTCAAGATGGATTAAAGATTTAAATGTAAGACCTTAAACTATAAGAATCCTAGAAGAAAGCCTATGAAGCACCATTCTGGACATTGGCCTTCATAAAGGATTTTTGACTAAGTCCCCAAAAACAATTGCGACAAAAACAAAAATCAACAAGTGGGACCTAATTAAACTAAAGATCTTCTGCAGAGCAAAATAAACCACCAACAGAGTAAACAGGCAACCTATAGAATGGGAGCGAATTTTCACAAACTATTCAGTCAACAAAGGTCTAACACCCAGAATCTACAAGGAACTTAAACAATCGAATGAGCAAAAAACAAATAACCCCATTAAAAAGTGGGCAAAAGACATGAACAGACACTTCTCAAAAGAAGACATACAAGTGGCCAACAGACATATGAAAAAATGTTCCACATCACTAATCATCAGAGATATCCAAATCAAAACCATAATGAGATACCATCTCATACCAGTCAGAGGGACTATTATTAAAGTCAAATAAACAACAGATGCTGGCAAGGCTTTGTAGAAAAGGGAACACTTGTACACTGCTGGTGGGAATGTAAATTAGTTCAGTTCCTGTGGAAAGCATTTGGAGATTTCCCAAAGAACTTAGAACTAACATTTGACCCAGCAATTCCATTACTGGGTATATACCCAAAAGAAAATAAATTGTTCTCCAAAAAGACATATGGAAGGATATATTTGTGCATCGTTGACAATTGTGAATAAAGCTGCTATTCATATTTATGTGCAGGTTTTTGTATGGACATTAGTTATCAATTCATTTGAATAAATACTAGGAGCACAATTCTGAATTGTATGGTGCTCCTAGATAATTGTATGTTATCTTTGTAAGACACTGCCAAACTGTCTTCCAAACTAGCTGTACCATGTTGCATTCCGACTAGCAATGAATGAGAGTTCTTGTTTCTCCGCATTCTCATCAACATTTTGTGGTGTCAGTATTTTGGATTTTAGCGTTCCTGATAGGTGTATAGTAGTATCTCACTGTTGTTTTAATTTGCAATTCCCTGATGACATATGATGATGGGCATCTTTTAATATGCTCATTTGCTATCTGTATGCCTTCTTTGATAAGAAGTCTGTTCAGATCACTTTTTAATTGAGTTGTTTTCATGTCATTGGGTTTCAAGAGCCATTTATATTGTTTAGATATGTGTCTTTTATCAGATTTATGTTTTGCAAACATTTTCCCCAGTCTGTGGTTTGTCTTTTCATTCTCTTGATGGTGTCTTTCACCATTAATATTCAAACAATGAATCTAGACATAGACCTTTCTTTTTCCATAAAAATTAACTCAAAATGGTGAAAGACACCATTAAGAGAATGAAAAAACAGAAGTTTTAAATTTTAATGAAATCTAACTTTTATATTTTTTCTTTCATGGATTGTCCTCTTGATATATTATTTTAAAACCCTTTTCCACACCCAAGAGCAACTAGATTTTCCTCTGTTATCTTTTAGAAGTTTTACACTTTTGCATTTTACATTTAGGTATATAATCCATTTTGAGTTAATGTTTATGAAAAAGGTAAGGTCTATGTCTGGATTCATTTTTCTGCATGTAGATTTGGTGGTTAATTTTATGTGTCAATTTGACTGGGCTAAGAAATGCACAGGCAGCAGGTAAAACATGATTTCTGAGTGTGTCTGAGAGGGCATTTCCAGAAGAGATTGGCATTTGAATTGGTAGACTAAGTAAAGAAGATTGCCTGGGTGGGCATCATTCAATCCATGGAGGGCGTGAATAGAACAAAAAGGTAGAATAAGGGTGAATTCACTGTCTCTTCTTGAGCTGAGGCATCCGTCTTCTCCTGCCCTTGGACATAGGAGCTCCTGGTCCTCAGGGCTTTGGACACTGAGGCTTATACCAGCAGGCCTTCCAGTTATCAGGCCTTCAGACTTAGGCCTCCATAATTGTGTGAGTCCATTCCCATAATGGTTCCCCACATATACGTATACGTATACGTATACGTATACATATACATATACATATACATATACATATACATATACATATACATATACATATACATATCCTATTGGGTTCTGTTTCTCTGGAGAACCCTAATACTGTGGGCATACAGTTGTTCAGCTCCATCTGTTAAAAAGACTTATTTTTTCACTACTGAATTGCCTTTGCCCCTTTGTCAAAGATCAGCTGACTGTATTATGTGGGTAAATTTCTGGGCTATCTATTCTCTTCTATTCACCTATGTGTCTGTTCTTTCACCAACACCATACTTTCTTGATCACTGAAGCTTTAAAATAAGTTTTGAAGTCAGGTAGTATCAGTACTACGATTCTGTTCTTCTCTTTCAATATCATGTTGGCGTATTCTGGGTCCTTTGTCTGTCCATATAAACTTTAGAATCAGTTTAATATCCACAAAGTAACTTGCTGGGATTTTGACTGGGATTGCATTGAATCTATAGATCAGTTGGGAAGAAATGACATCTTAACAATATTGAGCCTTCCTGTTCATAAACAGAATAGAATATTTCTCCATTTATTTAGATCTTTGATTTTTTGCATAAGAGGTTTATGGTTTTCCTCATATAGATCTTATATATATTTTATTAAATTTATATCTAAATCTTTTCCTTTTCGGTGCTAATGTAAATGATGTTGTATTTTTAATTTTGAATTCCAGTTGTTCATTGTTGGTATATAGGAAAGCATTTGACTTTTATATTTTTTTAATTTTATATCTTTTTGTTAACTTTTATATATTAATCTTGTCACCTAAAACATTGCTAAAAATCACTTAGTTCCAGGAAGGGTTTTGCTGCTATTGTTGATTGTTTGGGATTTTCTACATGAACAATTATGCCATCTGTGAACAAAGAGAGTTTTCTTTCTTCCTTCCCAGTCTGTATACTTTTTATTCCCTTTTATCATATTACTGCATTAGCTAAGACATCCAGTAGGATGTGGCATAGGAGTGATGACACGGGACATTTTGTGTTGTTCCCAGTCTTAAGGGGAAAACACCTAGTTTCTCACCACTAAAGTATGATGTTGGCTGTAGGTTTTGTGTAGATATTCTGTATCAAGTTGAGAAAGTTCTCTATTCCTAGTTTGCTGCTTTCTGTTTGTTTTGTTTTGTGTTTAACTTATCTTTTAAAAAAGAAAGACCTAGGAAAGGTTTAGAGCCAAATAATAGAAGACCCTGAATGCCAGTTTTAGAAATTTAAACTTTATCCTATGAACAATAAGAAGCAATAGAATATTTTTGAGCAAAGATGGGATATGATAGGGATATACATCTCTCTGCCTCTGAGAGCCCTTAAACCATCCCATAATACAAGAATCTAGTTTCTATTTGAAGACATCCAGAAAGGTAAATTCCTCCAAGTGCTTTAATAACCCATTCTGATGACAAACAAATCTCACTCTCTATTGACCTTTCCTTATAGCAATCTTGAATCCCTTATAGGTCCCAGGAAAGATGCAGAACATTCTTCAGTGTTGATGAACTGCTTCAAAGGCAGGACTCCCAAACCCGGTATTACTCTACTGGCTCCCAACCCAGACGAGAAAGCTGTTTCTCAGTTTCTCTTTGGTTCAGCGCAGTCACAGGCACCCAGTGGGCCTGACAAGTTTACAAAACAATGTACAGTCAAAATGCAGTGACCACACCTGAATCAGCAGGGCTGACACATTCACTTGCATCACAGCTTCTAAAGGAGAGAGTTGCTATTGTCAAGAGCTCTGTGACAATGACACCTGTGTGAACGTTTGGCTATCTCCTGGGCCAATCTACAGAGAATGCCCTGTGGCCCTGTTCTTATGGCCTCGCCTTCTTTGCCTCTTCTTTACTCCTCTTCCTGTCATCCTGCTCTTCTCTCTCCTTTCTGTCTTCTGCCCAACACAACCAATTCTCAGGAGGACACTGGAGCGTATTTTGGGTTCTGAGCAAATTCTCTACAAGAGCACAGGGACCACCTTGGGAAGGAAAGCCACTCCTAGATAGGATTCCAAAATGGCTTTGTTTGGATTTCCTTGTGTGCGGAAGGTGGAAGACAAGGGCAATCAATGGAGGCCCAGAGAGCAAAAACAAGGAAATGATTTGCCAACTGAGGCTAATAGATCTCTGAGTTCCCAAAGCTCACAGGTGTACAAACTATACCAGCATCCGGTTCTCCCCACCCCTCAGCTCCCTGTTGCCCACTAGAAGACGTCTTTCCCCCAGAGGTTACACCATGAAATTCAATCTAACCTCATTTTCCTTTAAAAACCTATTCTGGCCAGGCATGGTGGCTCATGCCTGTAATCCCAGCACTTTGGGAGGCCAAGCTGGACGGATCACCGGAGGTCAGGAGTTTGAGACCAACCTAGCCAACATGGTGAAACCCCGTCTCTACTAAAAATACAAAAATTAGCCAGGCATGGTTGTGGGGTGCCCGTAATCCCAGCTACTCAGGAGGCTGAGGCAGTAGAATCACTTGAACCTGGGAGGCGGAAGTTGTAGTGAGCCGAGATCGTGCCATTGCACTCCGGCCTGGGCGACAACAGCAAAACTCCATCTCAAAAAAAATCCCCACTTCCTCCTTCCCCCTACTGCCAAAATACAAACAAATATGATTGAATCTAGGCCTTTCACCTTGGGACAGGCTGGGGTGTGGGGCCAGGGTTTGGGCCTCTGGTTTTTCCCTCTATTATCAGCCCAACCATCTATCCAGTGGAACTGCATCGAAAGGGACAATGTGAGACATCAGAGAAAGGAGACCATTTTTAACCTGAGGAAGACTGTCATGCCCTGAGCAAAGCTGTTGGTGAATTTCTGGCTTTGTTGAGAGGAAATTCAGTTTTTTTAAGAATAAGTGCCTCTAAGGTTCTTCAGAGGTACGTGTGAGAATAAGCAGTGCTCCTGCCTGTCTGCTTATTTATTCATTTCTTAATTCCTCCATGGATCCATTCATGCTTTCAACAAATATTTATTAAACAACTATGATATGCCAGTTATAGTTCTAGCCATTGCGGACAGGACATAGACAAGGTCTTTGTTCTCATGGAACTTATCTTTTAGTGTAGGAAGACAGATAAGAAACAAGAATTCTAGGACATTTAAACTCAAATTGTGGCACTCACACCAGCAGTGGCTACACCAAGTGGGAGCTGGTTGGAAATACAGACTCTCATGGGCCACCTAGACCTATCAAATCAGAATCTTTTTTAACCAGATCCCCAAGTGACTCATATGCACATTAAAGTTTGAGCAACACTGATCCAGGATGGAATTTCTCAACAATGGCACTATTGACATCTAAGATCAGATAATTCTTTACTTCCTTGGTGCAGGGGCAGGGTGAGGGGTTCTGTGCATTGTAGGATGTTTAGTAGCCTCCTTGGCTTCTAACTACGAGATGCTGGCAGTACCTTCCCCCTAGATGTGACAACCAAAAATATCTATGGATATTGATAAATGTCACCTGGGGGGCAAATTCTCACTCTTGTCACTAGTTAAGAAACATTGTTCTAGGAGAACCTTGGTGAAATCCCCTTAACGTCAAGACTTTTTTTCCCCTTTTCTCTTAGGAAAAAAGAATGTAACAAACTTAGCTGTTAACTATTTTATCCAACTAAGTACAACCAAGATCATGTTCACTTTTTTCAAAAGATAAGGTACAGCAACTAATAGAACAAACAGAACATCATTTGGAAAAAATGAAGTTTGCACAATTCCCATGAGAAAACTTTCACACAAAAGTCACTCAAGTTTGCGGTTTAATATTACTACTAAGGATAAAGAGACTTAGTATTAAATATGCATATATGAGGCCAAGGACTTATGATTGGATGTCATCACTACCAATTATATTTGCACTAGGTACAGTCATACAAAGGTCTAGAATATCTCCCCTTTTTGAAAGAGCTGGCCAATTAGACATAATGCCCCATGTCCACCCTCAAATACTGGAAGTAGGGCAGGGAGAAGTTTGTGAAAAACAAATAAATCACAAAAGCAGAGTCTGAAGCCAATGAGGTGATATCAAAACATTGTGCAATTTTGACTGGAGTGGAGGGGAAAAGCCAACAGAATAACTCTGGTCTCTCGGTCTCTTGGTGTTGGGAAATTTATAGTTCATTGTTAATTTTTAATTAATTTCTTAAAAAAATAGGCCCAGCCATTCAAAACCAGCCTGGCCAACATGGTGAAACCCCATCTCTACTAAAAATACAAAAATTAGCCAGGCATGGTACCTGTAATCCCAGCTACTCGGAAGGCTGAGGCAGGAGAATCCTTTGAACCCGGGAAGCGGACGTTGTAGTGAACCGAGATTGCACCACTGTACTCCAGCCTGGGTGACAGAGTGAGACTCCATCTCAAAAAAAAAAAGGCCCAGCCAAGGAAATAGTGCCTCCTGATTTTAGCAAGTGCCTGTGACAAGTTAACACACAAAATAATTTCAGCCAGTGGTAAAATAACCCAGGACAACATGATAGAGAGCTCAGGCTCAGTTTGAGGGAGCGAGAACAGTGGTTCCTATTGGGAAGTGCAGAGCTGAGCTGAGCAGAAGAATCAAGGCTATGGCAGGGAGTGCATCTGTGAGGTGTGTGAGGTCATCAGCCCAGTCCTGCCCTCAAGGACATCTGGTTTCTTGGCTCTAATTCCCAGAAGAAACAGCTTATCTTAAAGACATCTGGTGGCTTGCCAGAATTATTCACAGCCAGTGAATGGTAGAGTGCAGAAATGGAATCCAGTTCTCTGGGGTGCTGGAGGACAGTGCACTTTCTACAGCACCAAATACCCCTGGTTTAATTTCCCACTGCTGGTCTAACAAATTACCACTAATTACAACTCAAGTTTATTATCTTACAGTTCTAGAGGTCAGAAGTCTGAAATGGGTCTCACAGATGGAGAATCAAGGTGCTGGCAGGGCCACGTTCCCTCTCGGGGCTGCAGGGGAGAATCCCTTTCCTTGCCTTTTCCAGCTTCTAGATACCTCCTGTGTTCCTGGGTTCCAGGCCTCTTCCTCCATCTTCAAAGCCAGCAGCATGGCATCTTCAAATCTCTCTCACTGACTCTGACCCCTTCTCCTTTTGCCACATCTCCTTCTTCTGAGTCCGATCCTCCTGCCTCCCTCCTTATGAGAACCACTGGGCCTACCTGAATAATCCAGGATAATCTCTCCAGCCCCAAATCCTGAACTTTAATCATGTCTGCAAAATCCTTTTGGCTGCATCAGGTAACATATTATCTGTTTCCAGAAAATAAAATATGGACATCTCTGAAGGCCATTATTCAGCTTATCACAACCCTCTTAGGAATGACAGTCAGACCGAGGATCTCTAACAAGCATGAAAACAAAAAAATTTTTAAATCGCCAACAGAAGAGGGGAAGAAGAGAACAGGAATAAAAGGAATCTCTATAGACTCAGGTTCCAAGTCAGCCTGGGAGACAGAAGAGCAAAGTGTTGTCTAGGTCTCACATTTGGCTTGAACAGCTCATAAAAAATACCAGTATATAGGGCCCAATCTCTAGAGACTCTCCTTCAATTAGTCTGAGTGGACCCAGGCGTCATTTTTTTAAGACCCCAGATTCTAGAATCAGACTACTCTAATACAAAGACCACTGTGCGCTTGACATTGGGCATGTTATTTAACTTTGCCTCAATTTCTTCTATAAAATGAGAATGACAATATCAATAAAACTACCTCATAAAGGATAAGCAGACATAATACAAGTAAAGTTCTTGCCACACAGTAGGCACTGCCTCATGTCATAGGTTTGTTTCTCCTTCAAATGCCTCAAAGCTCTCCAGAGGGGTGTCTTCTTCCTCAGGCAGGAACCCAAAGGGATTTCTGTGTGTCTCAGTGTGAAGGGTGGGGCTGGGAGGCATGCTGAGCTCAGGCTCCCCTGCCCTGCCTGGTTGTGATGGGTTCCAGAAGTGCTCACCCCAGTGTGCCAAGGGAAGGGCAAAGTTGCAGCATTCTCATGGGAGTGCACAAAAACAGGAGTGTGTAGGAAGAAACAATCAGAAAGGCTGGAGCTGGGGGTGGAAAAGGTGTGGTGTGCTGTGCTGTGCAGACGTGAGGAATGCTAAGAGCCATCTGATAGTGATCAAGGCTTAGCTGTCTACTAGAGCCGTGATTCTCAGCCTGGATGCCTATACAAAACATCTGGGAGAACCATAAAAAATATGCACGGTATCTGATCCCAACCCAGAACCTATTAAATCAGAGTCTCTTGGGGTAAGGCCTGGGAATCTTTTTTTTTTCTTTTGTAAGATCTCCAGATTATTCTAGTCAACTGAAATTGAAACCATGGGTCCCCTATCTTAAAGCTGTGCCTAAGCTTGGTTGACCTCGCCAACTGCATCGCTAAGTGAAGGAAGGGAGGGGAGAGAGAGGCCAGTAATGACTGGGCTCCTATTATGTACCAAGACATTTTACATGCACCCATTAATTTAATCATCATAATTATTATCCCCACTTTAAAGATAATGAGAAAGAGCTGCATTTCATAGGGATTATAATGCAACTCACAATAGTGTTGTCACAGAACCAAGACTGAGCCCCAAGTCTATGTCCAAAAAGGAACAAAGGAAGAAAAATGGCATTTATCAAATACCCATCTCTCTAGGAGCTGCATAGCATCCTCTTGATTCCTTGAGGTACTATTTTTCTCCCCATTTAACATTTGACAAGAGAGAGACTTAGAAAGGCTGAAAAACTTGCCCAGGTCAAACAGCTTACAAATGGCAAAGCTGGGATCTTAATTCAGGCCTGTCAATCTCTAAACTCCCATCTTCTCTTTCATCATTTCCACTCATCTCCATGCCTCAAAAACTCACCGTAACAACTATAACAACCATAACAAGAACAATGAACAATTATCAAATGCTGGCTCTGTATCAAATACTGTACTGACAGCTTTCTATGTATTATCCTAGGAAAATAAAACGATCATGGCATAAAGACAAAGCAGTTGGTTGTTTAGACTCAGGTTACTCAACGAATGGCATATGGGCCGGCCGCATCACCTGAGAGAGTCAGAGCTCAGAATCTGCATTTTTAAATGATCTGTTAAGTACATTAAAGCCGGAAAAGCCTGCTGTAGATGACTTTTGTTCTGGTTTTTATCTTTCCAAAAAGTTGTTACAGTAATGTGTAGGTACAGCCTAAGACTCTCCAGTTATCAGGCCTTACAAGGAACCAGCCAAAGATGCAGAAGGAGCCAAGTGCTTCTGTTCTCTGGTTTAACATGATGTCGGGGAGAGCAGGAGGCACCAAAATACCTTTTCATAAATACAGCTCTTTTTCTCTGAGTGTTCCAGGGTGTTGATCTGTAGGCACACACCATTTGACTCCAAGTACTCTGAGCAGAGATCACTCCTTAACAGGACAAATTATGCTGAATGTGAGACTTGCTAATAGTCCTATGAAAGCAAGAATGGGATAAAGCAGCACTTCTCAAACTTGAGTAATGTGAAGATCTTCAAAAAAGGAAAAAATTATTCTTTCAGAGTCAGTATGTTGGCCCAAATCACTTCTATTATAAACTTTCTTAAATAGTAGAAGTATTTACATGGACAACTGTAAAAATGAAACAAATTTACAAATTCAGCAAAACTACAAACCCAGCAAAAATCAAATAAACGAATGCATCTCAAATATAACAAAAAATGATTTTTGCTAAAATAAATCGCCAGCATCATTATGGTACTGACAGCTACAAAGTATCATCTTTTTGGTACAGAATATGTAATTACTGTATGCCCCAAATTGGGGCATAAATCTCTATTCAATTCTCTATTCAAGCCAATAACTACTGAAAAGTTATTTGGCATATTAAGCCCATCTTCTCTCTTCCTTAACCCTTGATAATTAAAGCAGTGCTGCTTACTACCATCATGATAGCAATTCAATTGCTCTAGTTGATTCTCTATTCAAGCTAATAGCCACTGAAAAGTGACTTGGCATATTAAGCCCATCTTCTTTCTTCCTTAACCCTTGATAATTAAAGCAGTGCTGCTTGCTATCCTCATGATCCTAAATACAAATGCAAACTCCAGCTCTGAGTTCATTGATTTAACTTCAATAGATGATCATCTAGGTGATCCAGATATACTTATAATGTTTCTCAATCATTATTGAGATAAAAATGCTGAGTTATATTATTATAATAGAAAGCTTGCAGACCATGTACACACACACACACATACACTCACGCAGACACACACAAAAGAACATGTCAGCACATTTCCAGGAGTTTATCAGTCCCAATTTGGGAAACGCTGAGATAAATAATTAGGAAAAACTATAATGAAATAATTAATGAGGGCAAATTACTCTTTACAGAAATATTTCAATGCATAAATGCAAGAAGAAATGATCGAATTTAGAATTTTACATACCCTAATAAATTAATAGAGTCAAACAATGTTAATCAAAGGCTGCTGACATCTGAAAGAGAGACAACTCAACAAGATACACCCAATGTATTTTTGCAGGAAAAAAAAAGCCTGGGTGTGATGCAAGCTATTTATATAATTACTAATTTATGGGACACACAGGGACAAAGGAACATTTAAATTATATCATGGGAATGCAATCAGTAAAATCCAGATGATGCAAAATTCTACAGGACAAAATAGTTTCTGCAACAGATGAACTCAAAGAAAAACAAAAAAGAGATAAAGAACAAATCCACAGATCAAAAGAGACTTCTGAGTCATATCTGTAATTGCAATGTATGGGCTTTATCTGGATCCTAATTCAAACAAAAATAATTCAGGATGTTTAATTTCATATGGGTCCTAATAGTATTCCATATACATTTTTTAAAGAATCTTTATTTTATAAAGATATATACTAAAGTATTATGGATCAAATAATGTGATAAGTTGGATTAGCTTCAAAATTGTGATGGTTAATTTTATGTGTCAATTTGGTTAAAACATAACTCAGCTTTTGGTCAAAGACCAGTCTAGATGTTACAGTGAATATATTTTTAGATATTATTAACATTTAAATCAGTAGACTTTGAGTAAAGCAGATTACCCTCTATACTGGTGAATGGAGGCTGGAGGGGCAGGAGTCATTCAATCAGTTGAAGGTCTTAAAAGACTGAGGTCTTCTCTAGGATGAATGAATTCTCCCTCAAAACTGCCTTTGGTTTTGCGATTGCAACATCAACTACCCTCTGGGTCCCCAGCTCCAGGCCAGCAGATTTCAGACTTGCCAGCCCCTGAAAATTGTGTGAGCCAATTCCTAAATCTCCCTCTCCACATCCCACACACAACCTTTTGGTTATGTCTCTCTAGAGAACCCTAACTTATACAAATATTATCTGGGGGACAGGAGAAATGGATGGAAGAATAGATAAAACAAAGTTGGCATGAGTTAGTAATTGTTGTTGAAACGGGGTAATCAGTATGTTATACTATTCTATTTTTATATATACTTGAAATTTTCCATTTAAAAAGTTGGGAAGGATAAAAAGAGATGGAAGAGCCAAGGAGCAGAGACACGGTCTTTCTGTACAGGGTCTGTACACGTAAACATGTTGTTCTGATAGAACAAAATATCAGAAATCAAGGTTGGCCTAGCATGGTGGCTCACACCCATAACCCCCAGCACTTTGGGAGACCGAGGCATGTGGATCACTTGAGCTCAGGAGTTTGAGACCAGCCTGGGCAACATAATGAAACCCCATATGTACAAAAAAATACAAAAGTTAGGCATAATGGCACGTGCCTGTAGTCCCAACTACTCAGGAGGCTGAGGTGGGAGAATCTCTTGAGCCTGGGAGGCAAAGGTTGCAATGAGCTAGATCACTCCACTGCACTCCATCCTGGGTGACAGAATGAGACCCTATCACAAAAATAAAAGTAAAAATAAAGGCTGGCCTGAGAAATCTGAGGTTTTGACTCCAAGACTCACAAGGGAGCAGTTACAACCCAAAGGTCTAGTCTTGGAGGTGATTCTTCTCTTGATCTTGAACTTCCAGTCTGATTTAGGCTGTTCCCACTATGCCCCCACAGCGCTTGCACATCCCCTCGCTGCAGCATGGCCTCCCACACTATGCTGAGATGACCTCTTTGAGTCTCCATCTCTTCCCGCTACCCAGGAGCTGCTTATTTATTCAAGCACCAAGCTTGCACTTTAAAATGTTAAATGACTGAATCAAGGCTATGCTGAGTGTGGGACTAGCTAATGCCCAGTGAAAGAAAGAATGAGGTAAAGCAGTGTTTCTCAAACTCATATGCTACTGCCTTCTAGCCCCTGGTTTTTTTCTGTTAATTGTTAAAGCCTACAACTAATTGCTTCATTTTTAATTTCTTCATGTTCTCTGATTTTAAATCCCCCTGCACAACCAAACATTTGAGGTCTTATGGGGGAAAGGAGTGTTTGTGTGGAAACAATGGCATTCACCACCATACAACTTTATAAAATGAACCTTCAAAATTCTTGTCCTTGGTAGGAGAGAAAAGCCCATCCAACAAATAGGAGCTTCATTTGCAGTGCTTTCTTTCCAATCTCCTATAAAACAGAAACTATCTGACCCTTAAGGCCTCATATGAAAGTCATTTTTTTACATTGCTCTGCCTTTATGGAAACAGAATTTTTAATGTGAATGTTCATTAAAATAAGCTATTTCTTTGGCTCTGTCATAGTGTTCTGCATGCTTTTGGAATAAATTCATTGATTCTACAATCAGAATTTAAAATCCTAGGATATTTCATTTATAAATTAAATAAATGATTTAAAAAACAGTACAATGCCAGCTTTTCTTTTAAACTTAGCTTATAGAGGGAGAAGGAAACTGTGTTTAAAAAAAAGAGAGCTGAGCAGCTAAATTCCAATCTCCTTTAAATTCAAATTTAGACAAGAAAAGGTGGAGAGTTTCTAGTCTGCCATGCTTCTCGGAAAATGTTCTGACTCCTGTACAGAAAAAAACAAGGGGTCCAAGTGAGCTGAAGTCTCCTTCCATCCTGCCTCCTCCTCTGTCCCTTGATTTCACCCTTAAAGTCATTACTTCAGCCCCAAGAAATCCCCACCTTCGATTCTGCCCTCACTTCACAGAAGGTCAGGTATACAAATTCATGACAAAACCTCAAAGTAAATGAAAATGAACCAAGAGAATAAATCAACAACTTCCTTCTGGGCTGCCACTGCCCAGGTTGGGTTGCACACCCCTGAGGGAGAACAAGGATCCCTGGGAAAACCAAATATAGAGCCTTACAGACTTAGAGATGCGAAAGGTTCCCAGAAAATGCATCAGTAATCTATGTTGACAGTCATGCTGGAATACAACCCATGTTTTTAGTTCCTGTCCTTCAACCCTTGGCACCACTGTGGACACCTGAAGGTAGAGTGACCATACTTAGCAACAACAGAAGTGTAGAACACCCAGTGAAATTTAAATTTCACATAAACAACAGGTAGTTTTTGAGCACAAGTATGTTCCATATAGTGCACGTGTTGTTTATTCAAAATTCAAATTTCACTAAGCATTCTGCATTTTATGTGGTGATCCGTGAAGGGATTTCCATTGAGTAATGAACACTGCAACAGCTCAGGGTGAAGATTTCTCAAGCAACACCAGTCTTATCTGGTGTCCTGAGTTGTCTTGGTTGTGACTTCTGGATATTTTCAAATCTCTATTTGAACATCCTATGCTTTTCTGAATTATACCCGGGCTATTCCTAAACCAAAAGTGGTCCTGTGCCTCATTAATACAATTAGAAATTTGGTCTAAAATGTTAGTGGTTCCATCAGGTGAACTGAAGATTCCTCGGCCAAAGTTGCATTGCAAGAGGTCATCATGAACTGGTATATCTTTCTTCTCAATCAACAGATACTAAAACACCCACAATAAAATTGCAGGACAGGATGGAGAGAGATCTGGAAATCTTCAGATGTTAAAAATAGGTCTATTTCATATTTCATAAGGTTGGAACCCTTGGTCAAGGACAGTTTCCAATGTTTCTCCCAACCTCATCACAATTCCCAGCATTCTGTAACCACAGTCACTGAATCATTAGATTTTTACTGGTTCTGAGCAAATAGAAAAAAAAGGCCAAAGTCTTGGGCCCAAAGTAAGAAGGACTATCATGAGGGTAGCTGAGAATGATGGCACTATATTCACCTTGTTCCTTTGAACAGATTTTTAAAATATAGTATACAAGACATTTGAACTCTTGTTGGAGTTTTGTTTCTTGTCTTGTCATCAAATACTGCAGTAATCTATAGACATTTCAGTCACCATAAGGGAGTTTTTGAAATACTTTTTTATTGACCCTCATTTATTCTCACTTTACAAATATCTATTGTGCACTAACTCTGGACCAGGTGTCATAGTCCTCTCTTGTTGACTAACTGCTACACACTACATCTTCCAAAGAGATCAATAGAAAGAAAGGCGGTCTCTTGCTCAGTCATTCCTGATGTAGGTGGTGTCCCAAAAAGCATATATATTATAATTTTAAATTACATTTATGTATTTTAAATACCTATTTTAAAATACGGACATAAATAGAGGATATGAGATTTTTACGTCTTCATCCAAAAAATTCAGAAACATGATTATAGCCACATGGACTCACTTTGTGCCTGTGACTGCAAATATAAAAGCCAACCTTGAACTAGATTCTTCCTTCTACTTAAAGCTTCCTAATTTGCAAAGGATCTTGCTTAATTACTTAGGGGACTCTAAGACAGTCTGTTCTTTGTAGCTTAATTTGTTGGAGTTGTGACCAGTCTGTTGCAATCTAAAACTAATGGATTTCGAAAGAGAAAAGAAAATCTAGAATTTTTTTGGCAGATAATTTTTTTCCATCTAAAATAACAAAGTTCTTTATGGCTAACTTGCCTTAAGTCTATCTGCAGTACTATCTAAAGAACCCAACCCCAAGGGATACAAATTACTTTTAGCCTCATGGTGTCAACTGATGAGAAAACTAAGGCTTAGAAAAGATAAATGACTTCTTGAAAAGGTTCCCACAGCTAGTTTAATGGCAGAGCTGGGATTTGAAGCTAGTTTGATGGATGCCAGAACCTGAGCTGTTGTTAATATTCTTTCTTCCCTGGGAGGTAGTGGCCCTTAGCATTTAAAGAATGATGACTCAAGTATGCCTGGCCCAGAAGAAAATGCAAGGCAAGAGTAGAAATATGGGAAGATGGCTGAAGATGAGACTTTAAGAGTTCCTCAAGCTAAAGAGGCTGGCAGTAGAACATGCTTCTCTGCAAACGGTGTCATTGCCCATAGAAGGAAAAGGTAAAGGTGAAAAGTGAGAGACGTCCAGAAGCTCCCAGCACACAGCTCCTCTGCCAGCAGCAGGGTGCTATCAGGGAAGTTACACGGGCTAAATGGTATTTCAGGAAGATTAATTTGGCAGCGTCACACAGAGTATATGAAAGGGAGAAAGACGCTGGAGGCAAGGAAACTGGTTAAGTGGCTGCTGCAGACGCTCATTTCCCAGATGGTGAGTCTGAGTCAGAGCCGCGGGAGAGAACAAGGAATCAAGGGACAAATGCGAGTGTTATTCACTACCCACCATGAAGGAAGAACAGACCAGCCCAGGGACCTCCAAGGGCAGGACTGTGGTCAGTGACGCTTCAGAGGCAGAGAGAAGAAAGGAAGGAAAAGTGCTTCCAGAGCCAGTACTACTTGTCGCATCCCTGTAGCCTAGAGCACATGCCTGTCCTGCCTGTCTCCCCGTACCACAAGCTCTGAAAAGTCAGGGGACCCTTCATGGGTCTGTTTCTCCCCATTGCTGACCACAAGTGTTTGGGAATCTCAAGAAATACTCCCCGGAAGGCTGTTTCCTCTACCTGGAATGCTCTGTCTCCACTTTTGGCTGGAAACTCTGTGGGAAGAGCCTCCCTCAAGGCACAGCACAAATGTGTCTTCCTCAGCGAGGCCTTCCATGGGCCAGCTGAATGAAGTTAGGTCTTCTCATTTTCCTTTCCATAGAAACTTGTCTTCACAGTATGCATCACAATGTGTAATTTTGTATTTGTTGTTTTTTACATTTATTTTTAAAATATCTTTCTGTTGCTGTTGTTGCTTTTCTACCTTCCCCCCATCAGACATAAGCTCCACAAAGTGCTGCCCAACAGAAACACAGTGCAAGACACATATGTAATTTTAATTTTTCAGTAGCCACATTTTTAAAAGTAAAAAGAAACCAGTGAAATTAAGCTTAATAATATATTTTATTTAACCAAATATAGCCAAAATGTTGTCATTTAAATATGTGCTCAATAGAAAAAAATTATTAATGAGATAGTTGGCATTCCATTTTTTTCTCTTTTTCTTTTTTTTTCAGAGACAAGGTCTTGCTTTGTTGCCCAGGTTGGAGTGCAGTGGCTCAGTCATAGCTCACTGCAGTCTCAAACTCCTGGACTCAAGTTATCCTCCTGCCTCAGTCTCCCAAATAGCTAGGACTACAGGCACACATTGCCACACCCGGCTAATTTTTTTATTTTTTTAAAGACAAGGTCTCACTATGTTGCCCAGACTTGTCTCCAACTCCTGGCCACAGCGATCCTCCTGCTTCTGCCTCCCAAAGTGCTGGGATTACAGGTGTGAGCCACCATGCCTGGCCTTTTTTTCTTTTTGTACTAAGTCAACATTTCCAGACTTGTGTGGAAATTAAGACCACATACTAGGAATTTAAAAGCAAGACTGTCATTTATAAAAATGTCATTGCAGGAAGGAAGGTGAGCTTACTGGTCAGCAATTGAAGACCACCTCAGAAACCCATCAAAGACTGGCTTTTTATAGGAAAAGCCTCCACAGACTCAAAATGCCTCTAGTCTCCTGCGCATAGGAAAGCATGCCCTGGAAATGGTGTGGGGACAAGGTGGAGTGTTAACTACCCCAACTTCTGTGTGTATTTCACACTTACAACACATCTCAATTGGGACTAGCTACATTTCAGTTGTTCAATAGCCACATGTGGCTCGTGGCTACCATATTGGACAATGTAAAACTTGCAGGATGCCTGACAAATATTACTTACCTAATAAAGAGCTGATGTATGAAGGCAGGGGAAAGGGAAAAGAGAAGGAAAAGAGGAAGAGAAAAAAGATACATGGGAAGGAAAAAGAAATTAACATCTGTTGAGTAGTTACTATGTTAGATTCTTTCATACAACAATAAATTATGTCATTTAATTATCATATCAACCCTGGTAAGAGAGGTATTATGAGAACCACGTTTATAAATGAGGACACTGGTTTGGAGATGTCATGGCACTTGCCCAAGATCATGCTGTCTTTTGAATGAAAGAAGCAGGATAGAGAAGGCAGTCTCCCCCACCATCCTCCCGCACTCACAGAAGCCACACATAACAAGTCTCTTCAAGCCAGCTTGCCATCTAGATTTCTTTCTCCTCCAGTGGAAACTTTCCAGGGTTTCTATGAGTGAATCCCACAGACATTCTCCTTCCAAAAGTATGATCTGACTATTGCAGGCTAATGTAGAGGTCTCCTCTCCCTCCTTAAGTGATCCTTATTTCATTAGCTACTGTTGCCCATTAGAATTCTACTATGACCAAACAAAATGGTGGCACTTGAAGTTCCGCTCTCTAGCTCTATGCAGTTCCCTTCCTTCCTTCATTCAATTAGCACACATCCCAGATAACTCTGTTCAAAAAGGAATAAGAAGGAGAAAGAGAAGAAAGAAAAAGAAGAAGGAGGAGGAGGAGGAGAAGGAGAAGAAGGAGGAGAAGGAAGAGAAAGGAGGAGGAGGAGAAGGAGGAGGAGAAGGAGGAGAAAGGAGGAGGAGAAGGAGGAGAAAGGAGGAGGAGGAGAAGGAGAAGGAGGAGAAAGGAGGGGGAGGAGGAAGAAGAGAAGGAGGAGGAGGAGGAAGAGGAGAAAAGATTCAAGCTAAAAGTTATCTCATCTCAGCCAGGGAACCTCCTCTGACCACTCTCCAAGTGCAAGAATCTTCCCCTTCTTCTGTGTTCCCACAGAACCCAATGGAATTTCTCATGCATATCATAATTGTTTACTTCTTGGATCTCCCTCACTGCACTGTGAGCTCCTGAAAGGCAGAGACTATGACTTTAATCTTTATATTCCCAGTACCCAGCATTTATTGAATAGGGTTGTTAAACGAGTAAATAAATGAATGAATGGATGGATGAGCCCATAGCTCTGTTTAAATGTAAGAACCACCACCTGGTACCACACAGTCATAAGGGCTAAAAGAGGACTAGTATGTACTCTTGCAGTAGCTGAATTCCACCCAGACCAGTTATCCAGGTGTGGTTCACGGCAACACAAACAGACAACATCAGCAGAACGTCTATGACACCTGCAACCATTGCATAAGAAGTGATGTTCTAAGCGATGCAGAAGATGTAGCAAAGCTGGGAGGTCAGGAACCTGTGGAAGTCATGTGAAATAACCCCAGAATATGGTAGGATGGAAAGAAGCAGTGCTAAGCATTAGAGTTTGGCCACAGAGCCAAGGATCCTGGTCATGCTGGCCTGGAGGGGACAGGGGACATGCAGTGTTGGCATCCTTCTACCCTTCCTTCTAGAAGGACAGGTGGTGGCAGACTGCACCAAGCAATGGGCGCAACCACAGGAACTTGGTTCTCCCAAACTTACAACATCCTGGGAAAGTACATCCACCCTCTAGGATCATCTTCAAAGATGTTTATGGACGAGACACTTTGTTGCACCTTGAGATTGTGGTCTATGCTAGGTCTTGGGCCAGAACTTCTAACCTTAGCTGTAGCATACCTGTGTGCCCCCAGTGGGAACAGGTGTGCCAGAGGGAAACACAAATTTCCCTAAGCCCCAGGAACAGCCAGGTGAGGGTGAGGGGGCAAGGACTATAGTAGCCAGACCCCGATGGCCTACTGCCTAGGAATGAGCCCTCCCACCTACATAAATCATGTCATGTCCATGTATACTGTGACATGAAAAAGGTTGGGAAGCATTGATTAGACTATAGGCCAGCACCAGAGAGTTAGGACTTTTAAGAAGAACTTCATTTTGACAGGCCAAGGAGATTGAAGTCTCTCAAATGTGAGTCCGAGCCAAGGCCAGTCTATTTGCGTGGATGTTTCTGTGAATTCAGAAGGAGGATGGAACACTGGGGCCTTGCACCATTGAAAATAAATAACAAAATGCACAAGAGTAAGTGCCAGACTGTCAACAAAGGTGCAATCCAGAAAAACAAACAAATCAAGGGACTGATACTGCATCTCCCACACAGCTGTGACTCACAGGTCAAGGGCCAGAGTCAGCCCCCCAAACCACTGCCTGGCACCTCCACACCTCGCTTCCCAACAGGGTATGGTCCAGGGAAGAATTACTCCTTAGAGTAGCTTCACAGACAACCAAGGAGGGGTGGGGAAGGGATTGTTATTGTCAGTGCAGCTGGGCCCACTACCCCCACCCCCAACAGTTACTCTCCTGTTACTGTTCATCTTTGTCTTTTCAAGTATAGATTGGAACTCAATATTGGACAGAACTGGGCAGGTATATAACTGGAGCACCAAAATGCTGCCTAAGAAGGACTTGGGATGTTAGGAAAGCCTGGCTTCTACAGAACTCTTACCACCTGAAACAACAAGCAAACGTATAAAAATAAATACTCCTCATTACTACTAAGCTGGGCAGAAATATACTTCACAGTCATGGAAAGTGGCCCAGAGCCGTACTGGGGCCAGCCTAGAGGACGTGGGCAGGAGCTGAATGTGGCAAGGAGGCTCTGGCCACTTGATCAGACATCAGAACAGCCCCACCTGCCACAGCAGCTCTGGCTGACATCATTGTCTCTCTAGATCCTCAGTGGGCAGAAAAAGGCCAACACAACTGGCACAGAATGATGTGGGGTGGAAAGCCCCAGGGTGTGTGCGTACGTGCTGCAGCTGGTGTGGCAATGTCATATTCCTAGCCAAGGAGAAGCCACCTCTGAGATCCATATCAGAAAGAGGAAATGAGGCTGGGCGTGGTGGCTCACACTGTAATCCCAGCACGTTGGAAGGCCCAGGCGGGCAGATCACCTGAGGTCGGGAACTCGAGACCAGCCTGACCAACACGGAGAAACCCCATCTCTACTAAAAATACAAAATTAGCCGGGCATGGTGGTGCATGCCTGTAATCCCAGCTACTTGGGAGCTGAGGCAGGAGAATCACTTGAACCCAGGAGGCAGAGGTTGCGGTGAGCCAAGATTGCACCATTGCACTCCAGCCTGGGCAACTGGAAACTCGGTCTCAAAAAAAAAAGAAAGGGGAAATGAAAGCTAAACCCTACCGTATCCCATCTCAGCTGGAGGTGCAGACATTGCCCAGACCCCATCCATTCACATTGCCTTTGGGGAACTTAGGATGTATCAGAGGGAATTTAAGCTCTACTAAATCCCAAATTAAAAGGCATCCATTGCCTTCACAGAGCTTCACGCGCTAAACTTTGCTCCTAGCTCCGAAAGGGGTTCTTTAACATTTTGAAAATTACCAGAAAGCAGATATCCCCCTTCATGAAAGCTAATGAAACATTCACTGACTCATGATCCATCATGGGCCAAAGAAGACTGGGTGTCTTCTTGATGTGGATCCCATCCTCGTACTGCAAAGGTTGCTTCCAGGTCCCAGCCTGGCTGTGACACCATGATGTGATTGACTTATTTGCTCCTCTTTGTTCTCCTACCTCCTGGACCAAGACGGAGAAAGTGAGAGGCTTTTCTTGGTGATGAGACACTCTCCTTTCACTATGTTGGGTCAGGAAATGGTGAAGGCAGAGGTTGCTGTTATCCAAAAGCATGAAGTTAGGTTGGCAACCCGTGCCTGCCTGCTCCTCCAAGAAAGCAGGGAAAAGACTAGAAGCAGAGGCCTAGCCCTACAAGGGACTATACTTAGCTGCATAGTCAGAGGTTTGTGTGGGGCGTACAAGAGGGGCTAGAGAGGTTATGCACAAAAAGCTCTGCAGGTAGGTACCCAATGTATAAGGCCACATGGATAACAGAGCAGAAGGTATCATTTCCAGAACCCAGCAAGGGCGGAAAAGAGGGCCTCACCAAGGTATCCTTTAACTAGCATCTACTAGCATCTTAACATAGCCCTAAGGGAAAACCCAAAAGTCATATTCTATGCTCTCAAACAATTATTTTTTTCATGGACCAAAAATGGTGAGGCCTCAGTGAATAAACAAGAGGAAGACAAGGCAACGAGCACTGCTGGTTGGTAATAACAAGAAGGCACTGTCTGCAAATTGTTTTCAGAGCTCTGCAGGGGAGCTCTTTCTCAATGAGACCTGCTCTCATCACCTTATTTAAAATTGCCTCAATACCCTACCCTCTTTTCCTGCTTTATTTACCCTGTAACACATTCCCTTTTAATATACCCATAATTACTGACTTATTTTGTTTATTGCATTCCTCCCTCACTAGAATGAAAGCTCCATGTATACAGGATTTTTTTTTCTATTTTCTTCACTGCTTAATCCTTAGCTGTTAGAACTGTGTCTGGCATACAGTAAGTGGTTCAGTACCTAAGTGTTGAGTGGATAAATGGATGGATGGGAAGGATGGATAAAAAGAGTGCCTGGTAGACCTAACGCTTCAGCTGCCAGATTCCTGAAGGCCCCAGAGGAAGAAAATGCTACAGAAATCAAGAGAAGCATTTAAGGCACATATCTTCAACATCAACTCTTCCTATCCACCCACAATGCTAGATCCCAACATAAAATGAAATAAAATTTCTACAGAATCATCAGCATTAGGCTAGTATTAACTTTGCCTTGATCAGCCACAACCCACAATAAGTTACTTGCACAATGTCATAAATACACGGTACAGTCAGGTTCAAACTAGGTCTTTATGAATCAAAAGTTCTTGCTCTTTTCACATTATCACACCAAAGGTTACTGCAGAAACGCCAAACTAACCTTTGGGTGTTTAAATCCCATTTTCCCTTCTGAGTCATTGGTCATCCTTGGTCTCAGTAGATCAGGCACGTTAGAACTGTGGCAGAAGAGATAAGAATGAAGCAGCCAAAATTGAGCCTTTGCTTCTTAGGTAATGCTGAAAAGTTTCTGGAATAAAAAAATCAATAGGCTGAAACTTGACATCTTACAGTCAGTTTTACACACACACACACACACACACATGCACACACACACACACAACCTGTATGCATGTCAAAAGCAACTAGTAAGCAAACACAGTATTAAAACTTACCACACTTTTACCTCTGCCTGAGTCCCCCACGAATCATGCGTACTGAAGATGTGCCACTCAGTAGCTAACAATGCTGGGAGATACTGCTTAATGCTCAAGTAGATTTCACCAGCATACACATTGCAACAGCTCCAGAAAACTCTCTTTTCTTCCTCCCACTCACATGCTTCCCCTGGGCGTTGTACTCACTGCCGGTGGCCTCCACCTCCACCCAACTTCAGAAACCTGGCCCATAGCACCCTGCAATTAATGTCATCAGACATGTAAATCTGATTGTCAACCCATGGAACATGCTCACAGCTCACCAGAAGACATTGTCCTTTACAATCAGGGAGGCACTACTGAGTCACCATTAGCAGATTTTTCTTTAATGGCTATATAGTAACTACACTCATTTATTCACATTTTTACCAAGTCTGCCTCTTGATTATTTGACCAGCCAGCTTAGGTGTTCAGTGTGTAAGCATGGAAAAGTAAAGCCTCCCACAGGGAACAGGGCCACCCATCACTTTGCTTCTCTCACCTGGGCCAACCTAAGCCGACCATCTCATGCTTATCTTAACCCACACAAGGGGAATAGACGAACACTCCAGTCTGCACCCCTCACCTGAGTCTGAACACAAATACGACTCAGGAATGAATATTCACAGTCATTAGTGCTAGTTTCAGCACTTGTACCTGCCAGTCAATAAGGCCATTTCTTGTCTCTTGCTTAAGAAATAAGGCCTGCTGGAATGAGTGTGGAGTGCACATATGAAATAAATAAGAAGATGTATTGTCTTGTTACCATAAAACAAAGTAAACCAAGATTTTAAAAATGACTTCTTTTCAAAGGACAGAAGTTTCACATATTGCCAAGACCTGAATCACCCTTTTAACTACAGACTCTAAATAAGTATGCAAGTTGTACTAGAAGAAGAAAAGAGACCTCTGCAAACCTTCTGTTAAAGGAGATTAAACATTAAATCAATTAAGACAAGAGTATGGACAGCAGTTTCATACAGTGCACATGTGGATACAGAAACTTGGAAGAAAGTGAGGAAATGGGCCCTTGATTCTAATTTCTCACTCCTGTTAACACTTGAGCGACCTGAAAGCATAGAGGCAGAACCAGCTATGCAATCTGTGGGGCCCAGAAGCAAAATGAATCTTTCAGCAGACTTCCAACAAAATGTTTGAGAAGAATGGCTTCCTTTTTTCTTTCTGCTTCTTAACTAGCCTTCCCCTTCATACTGTTCAGGGTCTCAGTGGAACTAACCAGCAGACCCTCCTAAACCCCATAACCACGCCCAATCAAAACCCACTTATCTAATGAATCAAACAGTTCCTCTAATAAGTTAATTTTAGAAACGTGGCTAATGATGGTGGATGGCTTGGAGGTGGAGGTAAGCCCAAAAGTGAGGCCTGTAAACAAGCCCATTTAAACCACAGTCTTTCCTAAAAGGATGCCACGTAAGAACGGCTTTTTCCAATCACAAGCATCACAGCCCTTTCAAGAAGAGGAAGATGCTCAGCTAATTAAGCTAACTTGCTCATCATTTTTCCAGCTGCACAGAGAACCCCAGAAACAATATTCATTCACATTTATCCTCACTTTTTTATTCACCACAGACTCAGAGTTGCCCTCCAAGAATTGTTTCCCAAATCACATCCACAGTAATAAAGAATATCACCTTAGATGCTCAAATATTTCTTTGACAATTAAGGAAAAATATGAAAGGCTGATCTTTGGCATGGGGACAGTGAGAAAGAGGATATTTCTAAACGTCATTTGTTAACTAACACATGGAAAAGGAACTTACAGAACTTACACCCTTACGTGGATGTGCCAAACCATGAAGGAAAGATGATACACTTCAAGCCTGTGGCTTTTCCTGAAAATTTACTTTTTCAGAAAGTATCAAGTTCCTCATTAGGAATATTCCATTCCCAGCCGGGTGCGGTGGCTTATGCCTATAATCCCAGCACTTTGGGAGTTCAAGACCAGCCTGGCCAAAATGGCGAAACCCTGTCTCTACTAAAAATACAAAAAATTAATCGGGCGTGGTGGCACATGCCTGTAATCCCAGCTACTTAGGAGGCTAAGGCAGGAGAATCGCTTCAACCCAGAAGGCGGAGGTTGCAATAATCCCAGATTGTGCCACTGCACTCCAGCCTGGGTGACAGAGAGAGACTCTGTCTTAAAAAAAAAGAAAAGAAAAGAAAAATTTCATTCCCACGTCTGGCAATATGCCTCATGATTCAGCACCATCAGTGATTGAGAACACATGCAAAGGAAAATTCAAAGGCTTAACCAGGCTCAATGTGAGAGCAGATGCTGTTCTCCATAAAATGCGGGCCCAGAGCTCTCTGGGAGCAGGGATGGGTGTTTTTCCAAAGATAGCCCCCATCTTTTCACTTCACAAGGACTCATCTCATGCCAGGGAGAGGATATCTCAAAGTAAAAAATCTCCTCTCAGTTGACCTCTTTCCATTCCCAACTTTTCAAAAACTATTTCCTTCAACACATTATGAAAAAAAAAATGGGCTCTCTTAATTTCAGAAAAATTGAAGAAGGATCCCGTAAGGTGGTATATAAATTCTATTTCCAATCCAAATATAAGATTCACAGAAACAAGGAGGAAAAATATCCCATCATAGCCTTTTCTGAGTCTTTACAATTTCTGTGTCAATGAGAACCTGGAGAGAGTTGCTGACAGAAAGGCAATCATGAGTCTGGGGAGAAAAGGAAGGAAATAAAGGGAAGAGAAAAAAGTGAGGACGTGGGAATAAGACTGCGATGGAGGTAAAGTAAACTTCTCTTGACATTGCCTTCAGTGGTTTCACAATGGTAAGCTAATTCTCTTCCTGTAGAAAAATCAACTCCCATCTGAGAACCAATCAGAACACAGCCACTTATCAGGGCACAGAAGCAGTTTCATCAATTCACCCCACCTCTTTTACTCATTACCACCACAAAACATAAGTCACTATGTATGAAGCCAAAAGTAAAACCAGCAACACTTATCACAATTAACATCAATTAGATTATATCAAGTTTCCAGTGTATTTCTCTCCAGAAAGCATAATCTTGCCCTTGATTGAGACTTCCTACTATCATGTCCAGGAGTATGGCAGTCCGGAGCTCATTAGATAAAAGCAGAGAGCTCTCACCTATGCTCTCTCTTTTTAACATTTTTTACTGATACATAATCATTGTACATATTTACAGAGTACATGTGCTATTTGGCTACATGCATAAAATGTGTAATGATCAAGTTAGAGTATCTGGGATATCTATCACCCCTGAAACATTTATCATTTCTTTGTATTGGGAGCATTTCAAACCTTCTCTTCTAGCTATTTTGAAATATATAATATATTGTTGTTCATGATAGTCACCTCACTGTGCTATCAAACACTAGAACTTATTTTTCTATATGAATGTATATTTGTACCCATTAACCAACCTCTCTTCATCCTCCTCCCACACCCTTCCCAGCCTCTGGTAACCACCATTCTACTCTCTACTTTCCTGAGATCAACTTTTTTAGCTCTCATGTATTAGTAAGAACATGTAATATTTGTCTTTCTGTGCCTGGCTTGTTTCACTTAACATAATGACCTGCAGTTCCATCAATGTTGCTACAAATGACAGGATTTCATTCTTTTTGTGGCTCAATAGTTCTTTTCTTTTTTTTTTTTTATTATTATACTTTAAGTTTTAGGGTACATGTGCACAATGTGCAGGTTAGTTACATATGAATACATGTGCCATGCTGGTGCGCTGCACCCACTAACTCGTCATCTAGCATTAGGTATATCTCCCAATGCTATCCCTCCCCCCTCCCCCCACCCCATAACAGTCCCCAGAGTGTGATGTTCCCCTTCCTCTGTCCATGTGTTCTCATTGTTCAATTCCCACCTATGAGTGAGAATATGCGGTGTTTGGTTTTTTGTTCTTGTGATAGTTTACTGAGAATGATGATTTCCAATTTCATCCATGTCCCTACAAAGCACGTGAACTCATCATTTTTTATGGCTGCATAGTATTCCATGGTGTATATGTGCCACATTTTCTTAATCCAGTCTATCATTGTTGGACATTTGGGTTGGTTCCAAGTCTTTGCTATTGGAGAATAATGACACAATAAACATACGTGTGCATGTGTCTTTATAGCAGCATGATTTATAGTCCTTTGGGTATATACCCAGTAATGGGATGGCTGGGTCAAATGGTATTTCTAGTTCTAGATCCCTGAGGAATCGCCACACTGACTTCCACAATGGTTGAACTAGTTTACAGTCCCACCAACAGTGTAAAAGTGTTCCTATTTCTCCACGTCCTCTCCAGCACCTGTTGTTTCCTGACTTTTTAATGATTGCCATTCTAACTGGTGTGAGATGGTATCTCATTGTGGTTTTGATTTGCATTTCTCTGATGGCCAGTGATGGTGAGCATTTTTTCATGTGTTTTTTGGCTGCATAAATGTCTTCTTTTGAGAAGTGTCTGTTCATGTCCTTCGCCCACTTTTTGATGGGGTTGTTTGTTTTTTTCTTGTAAATTTGTTAGAGTTCATTGTAGATTCTGGATATTTGCCCTTTGTCAGATGAGTAGGTTGCGAACATTTTCTCCCATTTTGTAGGTTGCCTGTTCACTCTGATGGTAGTTTGTTTTGCTGTGCACAAGCTCTTTAGTTTAATTAGATCCCACTTGTCAATTTTGGCTTTTGTTGCCATTGCTTTTGGTGTTTTAGACATGAAGTCCTTGCCCATGCCTATGTCCTGAATGGTAATGCCTAGGTTTTCTTCTAGGGTTTTTATGGTTTTAGGTCTAATGTTTAAGTCTTTAATCCATCTTGAATTAATTTTTGTATAAGGTGTAAGGAAGGGATCCAGTTTCAGCTTTCTACATATGGCTAGCCAGTTTTCCCAGCACCATATATTAAATAGGGAATCCTTTCCCCATTGCTTGTTTTTCTCAGGTTTGTCAAAGATCAGATAGTTGTAGATATGTGGCGTTATTTCTGAGGGCTCTGTTCTGTTCCATTCATCTATATCTCTGTTTTGGTACCGGTACCATGCTGTTTTGGTGACTGTAGCCTTGTAGTATAGTTTGAAGTCAGGTAGCATGATGCCTCCAGCTTTGTTCTTTTGGCTTAGGATTGACTTGGCAATGCGGGCTCTTTTTTGGTTCCATATGAACTTTAAAGTAGTTTTTTCAATTCTGTGAAGAAAGTCATTGGTAGCTTGATAGGGATGGCATTGAATCTATAAATTACCTTGGGCAGTATGGCCATTTTCACGATATTGATTCTTCCTACCCATGAACATGGAATGTTCTTCCATTTGTTTGTATCCTCTTTTATTTCCTTGAGCAGTGGTTTGTAGTTCTCCTTGAAGAGGTCCTTCACATCCCTTGTAAGTTGGATTCCTAGGTATTTTATTCTCTTTGAAGCAATTGTGAATGGGAGTTAATTCATGATTTGGCTCTCTGTTTGTCTGTTATTGGTGTATAAGAATGCTTGTGATTTTTGCACATTGATTTTGTATCCTGAGACTTTGCTGAAGTTGCTTATCAGCTTATGGAGATTTTGGGCTGAGATGATGGGGTTTTCTAGATATACAATCATGTCATCTGCAAACAGGGACAATTTGACTTCCTCTTTTCCTAATTGAATACCCTTTATTTCCTTCTCCTGCCTAATTGCCCTGGCCAGAACTTCCAACACTATGTTGAATAGGAGTGGTGAGAGAGGGCATCACTGTCTTGTGCCTGTTTTCAAAGGGAATGCTTCCAGTTTTTGCCCATTCAGTATGATATTGGCTGTGGGTTTGTCATAGATAGCTCTTATTATTTTGAGATACGTCCCATCAATACCTAATTTATTGAGAGTTTTTAGCATGAAGGGTTGTTGAATTTTGTCAAAGGCCTTTTCTGCATCTATTGAGATAATCATGTGGTTTTTGTCTTTGGTTCTGTTTATATGCTGGATTACATTTATTGATTTGCATATATCAAACCAGCCTTGCATCCCAGGGATGAAGCCCACTTGATCATGGTGGATAAGCTTTTAGATGTGCTGCTGGATTCGGTTTGCCAGTATTTTATTGAGGATTTTTGCATCGATGTTCATCAAGGATATTGGTCTAAAATTCTCTTTTTTTGTTGTGTCTCTGCCAGGCTTTGGTATCAGGATGATACTGGCCTCATAAAATGAGTTAGGGAGGATTCCCTCTTTTTCTATTGATTGGAATAGTTTCAGAAGGAATGGTACCAGTTCCTCCTTGTACCTCTGGTAGAATTCGGCTGTGAATCCATCTGGTCCTGGACTCTTTTTGGTTGGTAAGCTATTGATTATTGCCACAATTTCAGATCCTGTTATTGGTCTATTCAGAGATTCAACTTCTTCCTGGTTTAGTCTTGGGAGAGTGTATGTGTCCAAGAATTTATCCATTTCTTCTAGATTTTCTAGTTTATTTGTGTAGAGGTGTTTGTAGTATTCTCTGATGGTAGTTTGTATTTCTGTGGGATCAGTGGTGATATCCCCTTTATCATTTTTTATTGCATCTATTTGATTCTTCTCTCTTTTTTTCTTTATTAGTCTTGCTAGTGGTCTATCAATTTTGTTGATCCTTTCAAAAAACCAGCTCCTGGATTCATTAATTTTTTGAAGGGTTTTTTGTGTCTCTATTTCCTTCAGTTCTGCTCTGATTTTAGTTATTTCTTGCCTTCTGCTAGCTTTTGAATGTGTTTGCTCTTGCTTTTCTAGTTCCTTTAATTGTGATGTTAGGGTGTCAATTTTGGATCTTTCCTCCTTTCTCTTGTGGGCATTTAGTGCTATAAATTTCCCTCTACACACTGCTTTGAATGTGCCCCAGAGATTCTGGTATGTTGTGTCTTTGTTCTGGTTGGTTTCAAAGAACATCTTTATTTCTGCCTTCATTTCGTTATGTACCCAGTAGTCATTCAGGAGCAGGTTGTTCAGTTTCCATGTAGTTGAGTGTTTTTGAGTGAGATTCTTAATCCTGAGTTCTAGTTTGATTGCACTGTGGTCTGAGAGATAGTTTGTTATAATTTCTGTTCTTTTACATTTGCTGAGGAGTGCTTTACTTCCAACTATGTGGTCAATTTTGAAATAGGTGTGGTGTGGTGCTGAAAAAAATGTATATTCTGTTGATTTGGGGTGGAGAGTTCTGCAGATGTCTATTAGGTCCACTTGGTGCAGAGCTGGGTTCAATTCCTGGGTATCCTTGTTGACTTTCTGTCTCATTGATCTGTCTAATGTTGACAGTGGGGTGTTAAAGTCTCCCATTATTAATGTGTGGGAGTCTAAGTCTCTTTGTAGGTCACTCAGGATTTGCTTTATGAATCTGGGTGCTCCTGTATTGGGTGCATATATATTTAGGATAGTTAGCTCTTCTTGTTGAATTGATCCCTTTACCATTATGTAATGGCCTTCTTTGTCTTTTTTGATCTTTGTTGGTTTAAAGTCTGTTTTATCAGAGAGGAGAATTGCAACCCCTGCCTTTTTTTGTTTTCCATTTGCTCGGTAGATCTTCCTCCATCCTTTTATTTTGAGCCTATGTGTGTCTCTGCACATGAGATGGGTTTCCTGAATACAGCACACTGATGGGTCTTGACTCTTTATCCAATTTGCCAGTCTGTGTCTTTTAATTGGAGCATTTAGTCCATTTACATTTAAAGTTAATATTGTTATGTGTGAATTTGATCCTGTCATTATGATGTTAGCTGGTTATTTTGCTCATTAGTTCATGCAGTTTCTTCCTAGTCTCGTTGGTCTTTACATTTTGGCATGATTTTGCAGCGGCTGGTACCAGTTGTTCCTTTCCATGTTTAGCGCTTCCTTCAGGAGCTCTTTTAGGGCAGGCCTGGTGGTGACAAAATCTCTCAGCATTTGCTTGTCTGTAAAGGATTTTATTTCTCCTTCACTTATGAAGCTTAGTTTGGCTGGATATGAAATTCTGGGTTGAAAATTCTTGTCTTTAAGAATGTTGAATATTGGCCCCCACTCTCTTCTGGCTCGTAGAGTTTCTGCCGAGACATCCGCTGTTAGTCTGATGGGCTTCCCTTTGAGGGTAACCCAACCTTTCTCTCTGGCTGCCCTTAACATTTTTTCCTTCATTTCAACTTTGGTGAATCTGACAATTATGTGTCTTGGAGTTGCTCTTCTCGAGGAGTATCTTTGTGGCATTCTCTGTATTTCCTGAATCTGAATGTTGGCCTGCCTTGCTAGATTGGGGAAGTTCTCCTGGATAATATCCTGAAGAGTGTTTTCCAACTTGGTTCCATTCTCCCTGTCACTTTCAGGTACACCAATCAGACGTAGATTTGGTCTTTTCACATAGTCCCATATTTCTTGGAGGCTTTGCTCGTTTCTTTTTATTCTTTTTTCTCTAAACTTCCCTTCTCACTTCATTTCATTCATTTCATCTTCCACTGCTGATAACCTTTCTTCCAGTTGATCGCATCAGCTCCTGAGGCTTCTGCATTCTTCACGTAGTTCTCGAGCCTTGGTTTTCAGCTCCATCAGCTCCTTTAAGCACTTCTCTGTATTGGTTATTCTAGTTATACATTCTTCTAAATTTTTTTCAAAGTTTTCAACTTCTTTGACTTTGGTTTGAATGTCCTCCCGTAGCTCAGAGTAATTTGATCATCTGAAGCCTTCTTCTCTCAGCTCGTCAAAGTCATTCTCCATCCAGCTTTGTTCCATTGCTGGTGAGGAACTGCGTGCGTTCCTTTGGAGGAGGAGAGGCGCTCTGATTTTTAGAGTTTCCAGTTTTTCTGCTCTGTTTTTTCCCCATCTTTGTGGTTTTATCTACTTTTGGTCTTTGATGATGGTGATGTACAGATGGGTTTTTGGTGTGGATGTCTTTTCTGTTTGTTAGTTTTCCTTCTAACAGACAGGACCCTCAGCTGCAGGTCTGTTGGAGTACCCAGCCATGTGAGGTGTCAGTCTGCCCCTGCTGGGGGGTGCCTCCCAGTTAGGCTGCTCGGGGGTCAGGGGTCAGGGACCCACTTGAGGAGGCAGTCTGCCCATTCTCAGATCTCCAGCTGCATGCTGGGAGAACCACTGCTCTCTTCAAAGCTGTCAGACAGGGACATTTAAGTCTGCAAAGGTTACTGCTGTCTTTTTGTTTGTCTGTGCCCTGCCCCCAGAGGTGGAGCCTACAGAGGCAGGCAGGCCTCCTTGAGCTGTGGTGGGCTCCACCCAGTTCGAGCTTCTCAGCTGCTTTGTTTACCTAAGCAAGCCTGGACAATGGCGGGCGCTCCTCCCCCAACCTCGCTGCCACCTTGCAGTTTGATCTCAGACTGCTGTGCTAGCAATCAGCAAGACTCCGTGGGCGTAGGACCCTCCGAGCCATGCGTGGGATATAATCTCCTGGTGCGCCGTTTTTTAAGCCCGTTGGAAAAGCGCAGTATTCGGGTGGGAGTGACCTGATTTTCCAGGTGCCGTCTGTCGCCCCTTTCTTTGACTAGGAAAGGGAAGTCCCTGACCCCTTGCACTTCCCGAGTGAGGCAATGCCTCAGCCTGCTTCAGCTCATGCACGGTGCGCGCACCCACTGACCTGCACCCACTGTCTGGCACTCCCTAGTGAGATGAACCCGGTACCTCAGATGGAAATGCAGAAATCACCTGTCTTCTGCATCACTCACGCTGGGAGCTGTAGACTGGAGCTGTTCCTATTTGGCCATCTTGGCTCCTCCATCCCTCAATATTTCATCGTATATCTATATACCACATTTTCTTTACCCATTCATTCATTCATTGATAGACACTTAGGTTGATTCCATACCTTGGCTATTGTGAATAGTGCTGCAATAAACATGGGAGTACAGGTATCCCCTTGATATACTGATTTCTTTTCCTTTGGATAAATATCCAGTAGCGAAATTGCTGGACTCTATGGTAGTTCTGCATTTATTTTTTTGAGAAACCCCCATATTGTTTTCCATAATGGCTATACTAATTTACATTCTCACCAACAATGTGTAAGAGTTCTCTTTTCTCCATGTCCTTGCCAGCATTTATTACTTTTGGTCATTTTCATAACAGCCATTCCAACTGGGGTGAGATAATATCTCATTGTGGTTTTGATTTGCAGTTCTTTAATGATTAGTGATATTCAGCAGTTTTTCATATGCCTGTTAGTCATTCGTATGTCTTCTTTTGGGAAATATCTGATGGGATTTTTTTTCTGTTAAGTTGATGGAGTTCGTTGTATATTCTGGATATTAGTCCCTTGTCAAATGAATAGTTAAAAAATACTTTCTTCCATTCGAAGTTTGTCTCTTCATTCTGTTTATTCCCTTGCTATACAGAAGCTTTCTAGTTTAATATAACCCCACTTGTCTATTTTTGTTTTTGTTATGTGTGCTTTTGAGGTCTTAATCATAATACCATTGCCTAGACCAATGCCCTGAAGTGTTTCCCCTATGTTGTCTTCTAGTAGTTTTATAGTTTCAGGTCTTAAAGTTTTTAATCCATTTTGAGTTTTTTTTTTTTATATAGTGAGAGACAGGGGTCTATTCATTCAGACAGTTTCATTCTTCTGCACATGAATATCCAGTTTTCCCAGCACCACTTATTGAACAGGGTTTCCTTTCCCCAATATATGTTTTTGATGCCTTTGTTGAAAATCAGTTGACTGTAAATATGTGGATTTATTTCTGAATTCTCTATTCTGTTCCACTTCTCTATGTGTCTGTTTTTATACCAATGCCATGTTGTTTTGCTTACTATAGGTCTGTGGTATATTTTGAAGCCAGGTAGTAGATGCCTCCAGCTTTGTTCTTTTTGCTTACTATTGATTTGGCTATTTAGGTCCTTTTTTGGTTCCATACAATTTTTAGCATTGTGTTTTCTATTTCTGTGAAGAATGTCATTGGTATTTTGCAACCATCTGAGTAGATGTAAGGGGATGTCAGTGGGGCTCCAGGGATATGGAGATGCATGGGCTGTTGGACTCCACGGCAAGATGCAGTCTTGTCGGGCCTGGGCTCTCGAAAGGGCACCACGCTGCAGTTGCTTCAGTCTTGGGCTATGTGTGTGACCCATGGTGAAATCCCTCTCTGAGACAATGCCATCGTGTGGGCTCCAGGAAGTTTCCTATACTAGTCTCAGGGTCTGTGAGAGCCAAAGGGCACTCTGTAGCTAGGATTGCAGTAGTCCATGGTGGAAATGTGGAACATGGGGCTCTCTCCCTTCCCTTTTCCTGCACTGAGGAGTCTCTCCTGGCTCCGATCTCAGCTGGGCCAGCTGCTTTGCTTTCCTCTCCTTCCATGCCTGAGAGGTTTTCTGTCACTTTCCTGCTGAGTTCCTGTGTTCTCTCTTAAATACTCTATTTGACATCGTGCTTATCTAGTTGCTGTTTTGGTCCTCTTTTGTGGAGAAGGTGAATAACAGATGTCTCTAGTCAAATATCTTGAAGCCCCCTCCTATGCTCTCTTAATCTCTTCTGTATCTATTTTTCTCTCTTTGGAAAACATAGAGAGGGCAGAAGCTCCTCTAGTCCATACTGATCTGAAAGAAATTAAAGTATAAACTTACTCTATCTACTTTCTAGTGTTATTGTCTTTGTCATTATTAAAAACTGTAAGTGAATTGTTCTCGCCATCCAGACCATCATGGTGGTCATGACAACACTGACTAGCATCCATTCTTCATCCCTGCATCCCAACTCTAGTTACTCAATCCATGGTACAATAGCCATTGGGAATGAAAATAAAGAGCTCCAAGAACATTTATTGAAAACCTTTCTAGGTGAAAAAGTGATTTTAAGACCCCCTCCTTTAAAAGATCAACTCATTTCCACTTTTCCCAAAGACTAATCCTTGAGTCCCATTCTCATCTCCCGGAGCAGGTAAAATTTCTATCAAATAACAGTAATATCTTGTGATCATCTTCAAGTAGGAACTTTCCCACAAATTCATCTGGGCTACAATATTTTAAGAAACTTAGTGTTTTCCAGCAGCCAAAAGATTTGTAAATTGTATGCAGAAAAGCCACATTTCTGTATAGGCAGAGTGGGAAAGAATGCCCAGGTGCCAGACAATCTGAAGAAAACATGTTTGTTCTGGCAGTCAAGTGTCTAACTAGGGACATCCTAATGACAGAGTGTCAGGTTGAATTTGGGGCATGGGAGAGAATCGGACAAATAGGCCTGGAAACCAAATTTAAAACCTTCCAAATCTCAGAGGAAGAATGTACATCCCAGGCTCATATTGTGGAGCTCAGTTATGAACCTCTAGAGCAGTAAGTCCATGCATGATCCCAGAACACTCCTCTCTGACCCAGCCTCCAACTTCTGCCAATGAACAAACCCTGACTCTTTAGTCTTGACCAAGTCCTAACAAGACTTTACTCACTTCACTCTCTGTATGTTCCTGTTGGGTTCCAAAGGGCTTCTGGTTCTAGAACTTGGCTTAGCTAGCCCCCTCAGACCTGTCCAAGATCTTGGCCTGCCTGGTTTGGTCCTTACTGCTCTCCAAGCCTTTGAATCTGAGTCATACATTGACCTCAGAAAACTTGTCCCATCTCACCCAACCATCACCATTACCTACGACTCTTAGCTCCAACCTCTTAGGATGCACAATGTAATTAGCCAATATCTTAGCTGAATCTACCTTACCATAATGCAATGGCAAGGTTGAAGGTGTCAAACACAGAAAAAATATTTTCTGAAACACTCATAGACATGAAAGAGGAAGTGCTATCTCAGAAGCCAAGATAAATATCAACACAGACCATGGTTTGGCAGTCTCTAGATTGTTATGTATAAAATGTTACACTGAAGGTTTAAACTGTTGGACTCTTTAAGGGTACAAAAATGTGCATGGAAGTTCACCTCCAGGACAGTCAGGGAGAGTGGTGTGTTTCCACTTTAAACTACATTACTATTTTGGGGTGTCAGATACTGTGAATTTTACCTTGTTTGGCACCGGATTTTTTTTTTATTCCCATAAATATTCTTGAACTCTGTTCTGGGATGAGCTTAAGTAACTTAGATGCAGTTTAATACTTTTGCAAATTGCTTTTTTATGATTTATTAGGCAAATATGGAGCAGTGCTCTAGACTGCTAATTATTCCCCACTACTGAGGCAAGGCCCTCCTGACTGTTCTACCAATACCCTGTGGATTATGGGTTTCCCAGTCTGGCTGGAAGGAACAGGCAATATTCCCAGCCTTTGGTGAGAGCCAGGCTCTGTTCTCTTCCCCCCACAAGCTTGGCCCCCAGGTCTCCAGTAGTTTCCCCACATACAGGTGCTGGTCAGTACGATGCTGAATCCTTGAGGGCCCCCTCTGCAGTTATCGGGGTCCTCTCTCTCCATGCAGCTCTCTCATTCCTGGTACTCTGTTCCATGAACTCTAACCACCTTGGTTTCCCCAGCCTCTTCACACCTTCTCCTCAAATTGGGAGTCTGAATTGCACTTGAGTTCCTTTCCCTGAGTCTCAGCCTGGAAATTCTCTCCATGCAGTAAGCTGGAGCAGTCCGAGTGTACGCCTTTTTGTCTCCTATTTCTTAGAGATTACTGCTGTTCATCACCTGATGACTGGTGTTTCAAAAATCATTATTTCATGTATTTTATCTGACATTTTTGGTTGTGTCAGGCAAAAGGGTAAATCTGGCCCTGTTACTCCATCTTGGGCAGAAACAGAACTTCTTTAAAACTCTTTGCACTCAATACCAGTATCATTACACAGAACAGACAATCTTAAAACCAGTGTTTTTCAAAGTAAGGTCCTTGGACCACCTATGCCAGAATCACCTGGGATGCTTGGCAAAGACGCACTTTGCTACATCACATTCTCCATTCTATTAAACATAAATTTCCTGCCACTAAAATGTGAGAATTGTTGCCATTGCCATGGCAATTAATTAGCAAAAGACAATGAAATCTTCTTCTGAAAGTCCAAAAATCATTGGAATAGGCAATGGATTAAAAAGTCATGGGTTGGGGGGATGTTAGGGAGAACAGTGGGAAGTCAGTTTCCTAGAAACTATGGCTGTCTGTTGCTAAATGAACCATTTTCCATGTAGCTGCTTCTTTCTCATTCATTGCCATGGTAGAGCACGTGGTGAGATGGGTGTCTCTCCCGGGTGCCTCCACACAAGAGGCTCTCTGGGCAGCAAGCACTAAACCCACCAGGAAATTGTTTAACCAAAATTTGTGTTTCCCCCTCAGTCATTAAATAACCAATGCAGCAATGGTAGCCACACTCCCCAGCAATGAGTCTGTGACAACAACCACACGGTCAACCTTTTGTTCTCCAATCTCAGGAACATTTGGAATGACCCCTCCATCATCTCGACCCACGACAGACCCATTTTCTGGGGGAGGAAACAAAGAGTCTAAAAAGCAGGTATGAGACTTCAACAGAATACAGGCATCTTCAGGCTGAGTTCACCAGAGAGGCAACAGGCTACACTACATAAGCACAGTTTTGCACAAATCTTTTCTGAGACTTGGTTTTGGTCATCTTGCTCATTCAGAAATTAGTGGCATGGCTCTCGCTGCTGGAAAGAAAGTGATAGAAGCACTTGTCCATGCTTGATCCAGTAGAGGAAAGGACAAAACAGAGTGTATCTCACATCCCAGATTATTATGTGTTCCCTGTTTGAAACAACTTTTACCCAAGCCTACCTATGTTTCATTAGCATTGGAGATATCCAGCGGGCAAGGGAGGAGATGAAAGCGGGTGGATACAGGCAGGGCCAGATGACCCAGGGACTTTTGGGCCGTTGGTAAATATCTGGATTTTATTTTAAATGCAATAGGAAGCTACTGGAGGGTGTAACCAGGGAAACAATGTGACTTTTAGTTGTATTTTTCAAGAACCACTCTGGCCACTCTGTGGTGCATAGGTTATACGGGGAAAGAATCAAAGTCAGGAGACCCTTGCAGCAGTGCTATTTCAACCACACCCTGTGGACCAGTCCTAGTCTGCAAGCTGTTACCATCTACAAGGACAGGAACTGAGATGAAGTGTTTAGAGGCTTTTAAATATCTTGAAGTAGTTTAACATTGTGGCGATATCCAAGCAAGACTTTTTTTTTTTTTTATAAAAATATAAGGCTACAATGGACTCAGGGGGTGGGGTGGGAAATGGTCCTTTACCACAGATAATTTGAGAGGTCTTTGCAGTAATTCAGGGAAAGGGTGCTGGACACTTGAACAAGAGTGGATCAGGCACAGAGGAGACAGTGTTTCTCTCTCCCAGGATCACAAATGGACAGTAAGAGGAAGCTGGAAGTTCAGGATACAGAGGCTAGAGCACCCAGTGACACCTCTGCCTCTGCCCACCTGCATTAAACCTGAGCACTTGCCAATTCTCTGAAAAGTGGCAACCAATAACATTGTTTCATTCCTGAAAATAATGTTACACATGGCATAAATGTTAACAGTTCAGACACTGGAGTGAAGCTACCCTGTATTTAAATACTGATTTCACCACGGTGTGACCTTGCATGAGTTACTTAACCTCTCTGGGCTTATCAATAAAATGGGAATAATAATAGCCTCTTCCCGACAAGTTGTCCATGAGGGTAAAACAAGAAGAAGCCTGAGAAGAGGTTGAAACCTAACCAACAGTCACTCAGTCATTAGTTGTTCATGTATCTTCCTGTGAAGAAAAAGCTTCATAGCAAGATTGTGGTCACAGAATCACTCACTTCTGCAAAGTATCTTACATTGGACAAAGTCCCATCACACACATTGCTTCATGAAACCTCTGCAATGACATTTAGAAGGAAGGAGAAACAGGCCCAATTTTCTGTTGAGGAAAATGAGGCTTAATTTATATAGAGAAGTTCCCAAACTTGCCCCAAGTGGATGAGGTATTGATTCATCTGTCTGCTCCCCCACTGGAAACAAACTGTCCAAGAAGTCATAGAAGCAGCAAGGAGAGGCCAGGTGCAGTGGCTCAGGCCTGTAATCCCAGCACTTTGGGAGGCTGAGGTGGGCGGATCACTTGAGGTCAGGAGTTCAAGACCAGTCTGGCCAACATAGTGAACCTCATCTTTACTAAAAATACAAAAATTAGCTGGGTGTGGTGGTGTGTGCCTATAGTCCCAGCTACTAGGGAGGCTGAGGCAGGAGAATCGCTTGAACCCAGTAGGCGGAGGCTGCAGTGAGCCAAGATTGTGCCACTGTACTCCAGCCTGGATGACAGAGTGAAACTGTGTCTCAATAAAAGAAGAAGAGGAAGAGGAAGAGGAAGAAGAGGAAGAAGGAGGAGGAGGAGGAGAAGAAAGAGAGGAAGAAGGAGAAGAAGAAGGAGGAGGAGGAGATGGAGAAGGAGGAGAAGGAGGAGGAGGAGAAGGAGGAAGAGGAGAAGGAGAAGGAGGAGAAGAAGGAGAAGGAGAACTCCCCATTCTTCCTCTACACAACCTTTTTTACTCCCTTTTCACTCTGTCTTCCTCTGGTCTTTATCCCCAAGGTTTAGCCATGGCATGATTTTGCTGTGAGCATTTTCTATAATTTTTTTCTTCCTTGCTAACATTTTTAATATTACTTAATTTTCATTAATATAAAGTATTTAGACCAGGTCCAGTGGCTCACATGTGTTTTCCCAGCACTTTGGGAGGCCAAAGCAGGAGGATCACTTGAGGCCAGGAGTTCAAGACTAGCCTGGACAACATAGGGAGATCCCATCTTTACAAAGAAAACAAAATTAAGTTAGCTGGGCACAGTGGCACACACCTGTAATCCCAGTTACATGAGAGGTTGAGGCAGGAAGATGGCTTGAGCCCAAGAGGTTGAAGCTGCAGTGAGCTATGGTCATGCCACTGCACCCCAGCCTGGGCAACAGAGTGGGACCCTGTCTCAAAAAAAAAATTGATAGATCGATAGATACACAGATAGAATCCCCAAATCTTTTCTAAATGCATTTCTTATTATGATGTAGCTCTCAATTTTGGTTTCTTTTAATCTGCCTTTAACATTCTGCCATGATCATTAGTCTGAATTATGCCTGGTTTGTAAGGAGAGAGAAAGAAAAAATTAGATAATTGGTGAAAAACTCCCTGAGATGAAGAAAGACATGGATCCTCAAATTGAAAGGACATATCAGGAGAAAAGGTGTTTAAAAAAAAAAAAAAGATCCATACCTAGACATATCAAAGTCAGATCTGGAACTTTTTCTTTTTTTAATTTAAAGTGTGAGGGTAGTTATATAAAATGTAGGTCTATTTGGATATGAAGAATGTATTCTGAATTTTATGAGAGTAGTTAATAATCCCAACAGTTTGATATTTTTTAGAGGAATCTTTAAGGAACTAACGTGTCTTGTTTCAAGAGATATTTGTCTGAAGTTCAGAAATTCCTTAAATTTCACCTTGGTTTCTTTTTCCTCTGTGAAATTTAAGATAAATTAAAAGTAATATTTTTTTACTGAAATGTAATTAGTGGTCAACTCTGAGTCCGAGATAGACACAGTCTCTACTAAGAATTGGGTCTATGTGGCAACCCTAGTTGTTGACTCATGTCAGAAAATGGACTAATTATACTTTTAGGTCATTGAGAGGGAATTCAGATGTCTCCTAAACACCTATGTTACTACCACGAAATAACTGCGGCACTGAGGGAAGTTTGGCTCCCAAAAAAGTGAAGTTAATAGGAGCTCTACAAATATTGGTGAGAAAGATTCCACCTTTCAGCTTAGTTAGACAAGTGAGTTTTCATGGGAATAAGGCAACAGGATAAAAAGGTAACCTCTGTAAACATCCCAAGAAGAAGGAGTTTCCATCCAATTTATGTGTTTTTAATTAGGACCTTAGGTAGAGCTTTCCTCCAACTGTGACTGCTTGAGGCCAGTTCTAAGCATCATCAGCAATGAAGGACACCAGCTCACCTGTGAGGGTTTGGAACTTTAGCTGGGAAACTCCTCCCACTAGATCCATGGTTCTCAACCCAGGCCAACCATCAGCTCTCTGGGGAGCTTTTCACAGATGCCTTGGCCTCACTCCACACCTTCTGAATTAGAATCTCCAGGGGCAGGACAAGCATGGGTGTATTTTTTAAATATTCCACAGGCAATTCAGCTGTACATTGGTTAGGTACCACAGGACTAGTCTGTAGAATTCTCAAGGGCAATGTGCTATCTTTCGGAGGCAACGGGAATGTTGAATGAAAAGAGAACTAAAATCAGACAAATTTTCATATTCTTTGCTTACTATACAAGTAGTACAGTTTACCTTTCTAAACATCAATTTCCTTAAGCATATCGTATTTTTTAAAAATCAATTTTCTCATCTACTAAAAAGAATTTAATAAAATATTGTGTAGGTGTTTTTAAGCCTGTGGAATTTTACAAGTAGTACAGTTTACCTTTCTAAACATCAATTTCCATAAGCATAATTTTTAAAAATCAATTTTCTCATCTACTAAAAAGAATTTAATAAAATATTGTGTATGTTTTTAAGCCTTTGGAATTCCAGGAATTCTGGAGAAAGGTGCAGGCATACCACCCACTTCCTTGCTGTGGAAAGCACCACCTTGCTGGTCATTTTTTTTAAATTTCTCTTGAAGGAGAAATAAACTAAGCCACAGAAGATAGCAATCTTTGCATAAAACAGCAGGAAGGAAGGAGTCATTTGCCTCTGGACCTGTTGCCACTTCAAGATTGTTGATGGCACCAGAGGGGCCCAGGCTGCTCAGAAGCGGTGATGGGTGGATGCGGGAAAGGATTTGTTGTCTTCCGAGCTTTCTCTGAGACAGACGAATGTGAGAGTCCTTGGCAGGGACATTGAAAGTCAGACGAGACTGGAAACAGTCAATCTGATGGCTCACAGAGAGGAGCCAAGAGTCCAGAGAGAGGGAACAGGGCAAACAGGCCTCGTTCAACAAATGTAACCCAATACCACTGTTACGTGTTATAGAAAAAGAACATTCATTCAACAAATGTAACCCAATACCACTGTTACGTGTTATAGAAAAAGAACATTCTTTCACTTGAGTGCTAGTGTCTGTTCTCCAGGACACAGTATGTTCACGAGATCTCTGGGTCTCAGTGGACAGACTGAGATGTGTGTATTTGATACCGCTGAGACTTTTTAAAAAAACAAGGTCTGAACAATGCATAAAATATGGTCCCATGTATATTTTAAAATAATATTTATGTTTAAATCTATACCTGTGAATGGACTCTTGGAGAAGGTCTAGAAAAATATAGAGCAGACTATTAACAAAGTTTAATTGTGGGGAGAGTAGTGGAAGGGAAGAAACCATGTAAATAGAAGGGGAACCATTACTTTTGACTCTACAATCTATTTCAATTTTTTGCAACATGGGGATGTTGCTTTTTTAATTCTAAACACCACAAAAAGGTAAAAATAGTTTTAAAAAAAATAGCTATCAGCCACCAATGCCATTTGACCACAAGAATAGTTTTTCTTTCTTGGAAATACTAAAAGCTATAAAGTGTAGGGGTTGGTTGGTTTGTTTGTCTTGTTCTGTTGCCCAGGCTGGAGTGCAGTGGCACAATCTCGGCTCACGGTAGCCTCCACCTCCCAGGCTCAAATGATTCTCCTGCCTCAGACCCTAAGTAGCTGGGATTACAGGCACATGCCACCACACCCAGCTAATTTTTGTGTTTTTACTAGAGATGGGGTTTCGCTATGTTGCTTAGGCTGGTCTCGAACTCCTGGCCTCAAGTGATCCACCCACCTCAGCCTCCCAAAGTGCTGGGATTAAAAGCGTGAGCCACTGCACCTGATCCAAGTACAGAATTTTTTAGTAATTCTATAAGAAAAAATCAGTACTTTAGATATAATTAGAAAAATGATGTCAAGAATGAATTAATATTTTTAAACTATGGCTATGTCTATGCTTATGATATCTACATAGAGACAAACATTATAATCGTTGATAAAAATTATTAATGAATTGCTTAACTATCCACATGCAAAAGAATGAAGGTGAACACCTATTACCTTATGCCATTTACAAAATTAACTCAAAATGGAACAAAGACTTATACATATGAGCTAAAACTATAAAATTCTCAGAAGAAGGCATATGGAAAAAGCTTCAGGACATTGAATTTGGCAATCATATCTTAGATATGACACCAAAAGTGCAGGCAAAAAAGAAAAAAATAAAGAAATTAGACCATCAACATTTTAAACTGTTATGCATCAAAAGACACTACCAACTCAGTGGAAAGGTAACCCGAAGAATGGAAGAAAATATCTGCAAATAATATATCTGATAGGGAATTAATATCCAGAATATGTAAAGAACTTCTACAACACACGAAAAAAAAACCCTAATTTTAAAATGGGCAAAAGATTTACAAATGGCCAATAAGCACATGAAATGGTGTTCAACATCACTAAACATTAGGGAAATGCAAATCAAAACCACAACAAGATGCTTCCCACACATTAGGATGTCTATTATTTTTTACATTAAAAACAGAAAATAACAAGTGTTGGTAAGAATGTGGAGAAATTGAGACCCTTGTGTACTGCTGTAGGGATGTAAAATAAAATGGTGCAGCTGCTGTGAAAAAACAGTAGGATGGTTCCTCAAAATATTAAAAATAAGGGGTAATCCAATAATTCCACTTCTGGTTATACACCCAAAATAATTGAAAGCATAAACTTAAATAGATATTTGTACACCAATGTTTATCGCAGCATTATTCCCAGTAGCCAAAAGATGGTGTATTAATTAGAGGCCCGGGTTCTCCAGAGAAACAAAACCAACAGGGGACACACACACAAACACACACACACATACATGGACAGATTGATTTTGAGAATTGGTTCACACAATTGTGAAGGCTAGCAAGTCCAAAACCTACAGGGTAGGCTAGCAGGCTGAAGGTGCAAGGAAGACTTGCTGTAGTCTCAAGTTCAAAGGCAGGCTGGAGGCAGAATTCTCTCTTCTTGAGTGGAATTCAATCTTTTTCTATTGAGGCCTTCAATTGATTAGATGAAGCCTACCAACATTATGGAGGCCATACTCAAAGTCTACTGATTTAAATGTTAACCTCATCTGTATTATTCCATTTTCACACTGCTATGAAGAAATACCCAAGACTGGGTAATTCATACAAGAAAGAGGTTTAATTGACTCACAGTTCCACATGGCTGGGGAGGCTTAGGAAACTTACAATCATGGCAGAAGGCAAAGGGTAAGCAAGGACCTTCTTCACATGGTGGCAGGAAACAGAGAAAGCAAGTGGGAAAAGAGTCCCTTATAAAACCATCAGGTCTCATGAGAACTCACTCAGTATCATGAGAACAGCATGGGGGAAACCGTCCCCATGATCCAATCACCTCCCACCAGGTCCCTCCCTCTCCACGTGTGGATTATGGGGATTACAATTTAAGATGAGGTTTGGGTGGGGACACAAAGCCAAACCATATCATCAACTAAAAAATATCTTCAAAGAAACATTTAGGATAATGTTTGGCCAAATAGCTCAGTACTGTGGCCTAGACAAGTTGACACATAACTAATCATCACAGGTGAAAACAACCTAAGTCCCTCTACCAATGAATGAATGGAAAAACAAAAGATGGTATATACATACAATGAAATATTATTCAGCCTTAAAAAGGAAGGATATTCTGGCACATACCACAACATGGATGATACTTGAAGACATTTTGCTAAATGAAATAAGCTAAACATAAAAGAATAAATATTATATACTTCCACTTATATGAGGTACCTAGAATAGTCAAATTCATAAAAATAGCAAGTAGAATATTGGTTCCAGAAGCTGACAAAGTAAGGGGTACAGGGATTTATTGTTTAATGAGTATTAAGTTTCAGTTTGGGAAGATGAAAAATGTCTGGAGATGGATGGTGGTGATGGTTACACACAATGTGAATGTACTTAATGCCATTGAACTGTATACTTAAAAATGGTTAAGATGGTAAATTTTATGTTATATATTTTACCACAATAAAAAAGGAATTGCTTACATGTACAGGCTTTACTGTGAGCCAGACAATATACTGAATGCTCTCCATGGCTTTTCTCATGTAATGCATATGAGTACCCCCATTTTACAGATAATAAAAGCTTCTAGAGGAAAGTGACTTGCTCAAGGCCACATTGGTAAGAATCAGATCTGGAATTCAAACCCTCACAGTCTGACTTCAAAGCCTGTGTGCTTAGTCACTATGCCATACTGAAAAGAGCAACTACATTAGATAAAGAGCAACCTAAAACATTTTTCAAATATTTTAAAGTTGATTCAATACACAAAATATTTAAGGAATGAATTCCCAAAAAGATAGATGCCAAATCCAGAATGGGTATGATTAATAACTATATACCTAAAATAGACCTTCATTGATATTCACCATGAGAAGTTCTTAGCCCAAAACCACAGCATGTCCAGAAATAAAAAGAGAAACTGAGATGCCCCAAAAGCAGAAGTAGAATGTTTACCTGGCATCTGACCCATTTTCCCACAAGTCTTGGGACATTTCATAGTCTCTCTATTTATTTTTTTAAATAAAAATAGTGTGGTCACAACTTCCTTTTTCAAAGGGGACAGTCATTCAATTGACATGTATTGAGTGTCTGCTAGACAACCAGGTGCTATGTGGGTTTTGTTCAAACAAGGTGAAAAGACAGAGTGCATGCCTGCAATGAGATCCACATGTCTCCTGTCTCCATATGGAGCACATTTCATAGACAAGATTCACATTGATATTCTGGCCCCCGCCAGGCAAATTTTACCAAATCAATATCTCCAAATATGCCCTTTCTCCAATGATCTTCCTTCCATGTACTTCTCAACTATCACCACCACAAACACGAAGAGCAGCTGTAGCTGTATTATACCTAAGGTAGCATAGCCTATTGGGTAAGGCTCGGGCTACAAAGTTAGACTGGTTCTACACCTGCCACTTGTTCACTGTGTAATCTTGGGCAAATTTCTTAAACTGCCTTTGCCCTTGTCTCCTCAACTAGAAAAACAGGACACAAATAGGTACCAACCCTCACAGGAGGATGTGAGGAGGACATGACCATCATCAGAACGTTCTCCATGTATTAAGTGATCAGAAAATATTAGTCGCAGATGTATCAAATAGGCATCTGTGAATAATGGACTGTTCCAGGGATCCGGGGAGAAGAATAAATGATTATCTGAGAGAAAAAGGGCCTCTAGAGATCATTTCACAGATGATGGCAAGGAGGACCACAAGGGTTCAATGTCTTGCCTGAAGTCACACAGGTGGTCAACAGCAGCATCAGGCACACCTCTCTACCACAGAACAATGCTCTCAGGGAAGAGAAAGCAAGGGAACTCCAAAGTGACTCTCCACTTAAGTGCATATTACAGTTCTTATCTACTTCAATAATTGTAAGTTATGAAGTTATATGTGTTAAAATGTGAGTAGATGATTCTATCAGCAGGATGAGAAAGAGCTACTCGGCATACACTATGGGCGTGTATGCGGATGGGGAGGGTTGTAACAATCACATCCATGTCAAAGATTTTAGGGCATGGCCTGTTAACAAAAAGTAGCCTGGGTAACTGCCCTGAGCACCAGACCACTTAAACAGAGCTCCAAGACAGCCACCATGGAATGACTCCAAAACACAGACTCACTGCCCATCCCTACCCACCCAACCTGCAGGACCTGGATGGAGGTTATAGAAGCAGTGGAGCAGATGGGAAGGGAATGCTGGGCAAGAGAGAAGACAGGACCCCAGAGATGGATTATTCCAGAAACACCTCTTCTGTGTAACTGCTGACAGTTCGGCTTGCCATCTCCCCACCAATCTACCTCCCAAGCCTCTCTTTCCTTATCAGGTAATTTATGCTGTCCCTTCCCACCTCTCCCACCTTTCCAAACTTTCCTCCAACTAACCTCCCACAGATTATCCCAATGTCCCAACATCCACAGGATAGCTCCTCACTTTCCAGCCATAGTGCCTTTGCCCCTGCAAAAGGTCTCCTTCCTCCTAAAATGTTCCTGCTCCTCTATAATCCCTTCCCTTCCTCCCATTCCCAAACCAGAACTGTTTGACAAAACCCATTCCCAGAAACGCAAGCCCTTCTGTGAAGCCATCCTACAAAAGATAGCCTTTTTCTATTCCCTGCATTTCAGAACCTTCTAGATCTTCCTAAGAAGATCAATTCTACCTCACTCCTCATTCAAGACTCTCTCTCCTTATAGCCTCATACAATGCTGGCTAGCAAGTGGTCAGCACTCAGTTAATACCAGTTGCTAGAGCAGAAGTCAAAATGGCAGCTGGGGAAACTGATGTGCAACAGTGCAGGCTGGGAAGGAAGATAACAAAGAGTGAGTACAACAGCAAAGACATGCTATGGGACTACAGGCCAGAACTATTCCAAGTGTTCAATGTATGCTAACTCAGTACTCGAGACAACCCCATGATGTAGGTGCCATTATTATTAGCACATTACAGATGAGGGAACTGAGAAGGAAACTCACCACAGAGGAGGAAACTCTCCATGTTACAGAGGAGGAAGCTGAGGCACAGGGGGGCTGAGTAACTTGCCCTAGGTAAGTTACTGTTGTAGGGCTGTAAATTGAACCAGGCCAGCTGGCTCTTTACATCGCTTCTCTGCAATACTGTTCCTTCTAAGCCTGCTTCCCTGCAAATCACTTCAGCTGCTCCATCCACTTTGTATGCATTACCTTTCTGAATCAAAAACACACTTAGAATTTTTTTTTTTTTTAGACGGAGTCTCACTCTGTCACCAGAGCTGGAGATGGCTGGAGTGCAGTGGCGTGATCTTGGCTCACTGCAATCTCTGTCTCTTGGGTTCAAGAGTTTCTCTTGCCTCAGCCTCCCAAGTAGCTGGGATTACAGGTGCGCACCACCACACCCAGCTAATTTTTGTATTTTTAGCAGAGACAGGGATTCACCATGTTGGCCAGGATGGTTTCGATCTCCTGACCTCATGGTCAACCTGCCTTGGCCTCCCAAAGTGCTGGGATTACAGGCGTGAGCCACCGCGCCCAGGCTGCAACTTTTAATTATTGTACTAAATTCCCATCTACTGCTTTCTGAGCCGGAAATTAAAGATCCATTCTATCCAGCTCTCCCATGATAGTAAATAACATATGACAAAAGTCTCAAATCCAAAACATTGGTTAAACAGAGGGGATTATACATGTTTCAGATGGAGTGGGTCTCAGGCCACTCACTTAACTGAATATTTTTCATCATTCTGTTTCTAAATCCTGTAATGTATACCGGAACTATCTGCAAGCATGTACATATAACAATTTTATATTATTTTGATAGAATTATTGTTTTAATATACAATTATAAGGTCGGGTGCAGTGGTTCACATCTGTAATCCCAGCACTTTGCGAGGCCAAGGGAGGCACATAACCTGAGGTCAGGAGTTCAAGACCAGCCTGGCCAACATGGCGAAACCCCGTCTTTACTAAAAATACAAAAATTAGCTGGGCACGGTGGCAGCCATCTGTAATCCCAGCTACTTGGGAGGCTGAGTCAGGAGAATCACTTGAACCCGGGAGGCAGAGGTTCCAGTAAGCCGAGATCGTGCCATTGCACTCCAGCCTTGGCGACAAGAGTGAGACTCTGTCTCAAAAACAAACAAACAAACTACAACAACAACAAAATATATAGCGTATATAGAGTATACTATATAGCATACATAGAGCATATACACCATATAGCATAGTGTATACATAGCATGTATATAGTATATATACCATACTATATAGTGCATATATACTATATAGTATATATATACAATTATAAGTTTATGAACACACAAGTGGTCTGTCACATGTTTGTTTGTTTTTAACAATTATAAAGGAATTCAGGTCTCCCACTATGGATAGGAGAATACCGAAAAGATATATATTTGGCTTGCAACTACCTCCAGATTTAAGTGAAAAATCCAGCAACTACCTGCATAACCCAGGTTTTACGTAATTTATATTAGACATCCTATTAACAGAAGCAAACGTGTTAATTCTGAAAAGATCAGATAATTTTCTCAATCTCCCATCAAAACAGTCCCAGAGTTGGGGATAAAAAACGATTTTGGCTTTACAAATACCCACAGTATTTTCACAGAAAGAAAATAGAGAAATAAATTTATCAATAGATTCAATTTTGGAGTTAGAGGTTTACAACAGAATATCAGTCACATTGCTGCTCCCAGGATATTTAAAACTAGCTCACCAAAAAAAAAAAAAAAAAAAAAAGAATAGCAAACCAAAAAAATTAAATTAAAATGTTAGTGAAACGGAAGAGAAGGGAGCGAAGGGTCCAGTTTGTCGCAGCAAGTGTTACTTTTCTCCCCTTGATGAAGAGAAAGCTGGTGAGAACAGTAAAAAGACACAGGATAGAGATCACGGCAAGAGAAATATGATATCCAGCACGTATCCAAAACTTACCCAACTTGGTCTGTTTACTCAACACTTTATTTTTCCCACTTTGCCAGCTTAAAATCAGACAGCGGCTGGGCTTTTGTTGTTGCTGTTTCTGTTCTTTTGATCCCAGAGCCCCATGAAAATTAAACCGTGTGTTGGATGGGATCTGGCCACGTCTCGCATTGGGTGGGGGGAGGAATTTTTAAACTTGGGTCCCTAGTCGCTTCTTTGGGAAAACGAATAAATAATAAGTGGCGAGAAGGAGAGGACGTGGGGGACGTGCTCGGCTGACGTCGGCCCGCGAGGAGGCCGCACAGCTGTCCAGATGTGCTTCATCTGTTCCCCCCGCGGGGCACGGGCCTCGGCGGCCGCGGCTGGCACAAGCCCCAGCTCATTGGTGGCCGCAGCTCTTCACTTGCTGCCGATTGGCCGGGCGGCCCGCCACTCCGGAGGGCCTCGGGCCCGCCCCTCTCTCAGGCCCGCTGGCTGCATCCTAAGGGAATGTGGAAGTGCAGCGCCGTCGCTGATGTGGCACTCGGCGGCTGCGCGGCCGGGACGGCTCGGGGCAGAGAGGGAGGTTGCCTACTCCCAGGTCTTGCCCCTGCCCCGGCCCTGTTATGCCCCTCCTTTTAGACAGACCGCTTTGTTTAAACAGGATGATTTGTAGCCGTTTGGAGGCTGAAAATAAGGCGGATGATTTGTAGCCGTTTGGGGGCTGAAAATAAGACGCGCCTGGTGCTTGGAGTGGAAGAGGCTGGGGCTCCGGGCTGCCCACGCCCCCAAAGGGCGTTCAGGCCACGCCTTGGGATTCCTCTCTCTTCACTTTCTCCAGGGAGCAAATAATAGGGCCCAAGAGCCTGCTCCCTGGGGACGGTATTCTTTCTTTCGGTGGAGGGAAAACCTTAATGAACCCTTCGTTGAAGTCCTTATTAACCAGAATTGAAGTTGTTCCTGCGGAGATGACCAGGACTGGGTATGAGAGTGGTTTGGCAGACCTGCTTGGTTTTTTGTATTGAGTGATGGTCGTTGTAGGGAACCGAGAAATACTGCTTTGTTGTGTGAGAATTGAGAAAGGACTGCGCCAAACGTTGCTTTGAACTTGGGAAAGCAGTTGGAGGGTTAACCAGTTTTTTGATTAGTGAGTTAGAAGGAGAGGAGGAAAGAAGAGATCTGCAAATCAATTGCCATTATAATTTGTGCATATTGACAGAACCGTTCCCTCATTGAAATATTAAGTGGGCAAGAGCCACACTCACTGGGCTGCACGCCAGGGAAGGCACCAGACCCCGCATTAAACAGTTTTTACCTGCATTATCACATTTAATTCTTACAACTACCTTATAAAATAGATATTAAAATAATCTCCAAGACCCAGCACCTATCCCAGCCTACCACAGATGTCTCCAAACATATGTTTGCAGCACTCCATCATAGATACATAAACTCATCTGCAATTTGCCATCCCTGCAGGGGTCAGAATTTATTATGAGTGTCCAAAGCTTTCACTACAATGATAATGTCTTGTTTGTTGGTGTATTTGTCATCTATTGCTGCGCAACAGATTCCCACAAACTTAGTGCTTTGTACAACACATGTATATCACTGCACAGTTTCTGAAGGTTGGAAGTCCAGGCATGGCCAAACTAGATCCTCTGCTTATGCTCTCACAAGGGTGCAATCAAGGTGTCAGCCGGGCTGCATTGTCATCTGCAGGCTCTACTGGAGAAGAATCATTTCCAAGCTTTCTCAGGTCATTGACAGAATTCATTTCTTTGCAGCTCTAGGACTGACTCCCCAGTTTCTTTCTAGATGTGAGCTAGAGGCTGCCCTTAGCTCCGAAAGACTGCTCTTAGGCTCCCAATGGCCATCCACGGTTCTGAAAAGCCAGAGAATAGAGATCACAGGGGCCACCTACAAGTCTGTCTGCCACAATTGGATAGTCAGACACCTCAATTTCAATGGACCTGACTGCAATGTTATCATAACTCTGTAAGACCCCCACAAATGCAGGAGCCTGCTCAGCAAGTAAAGTGGCACTACATGAGTGCAACCACAACACTCCAATCCTTCTGGCAGTCAAGGAAACCCACAAAGGAGCAACATTTGAATGTAGCCCTTGAAAGTAATGTGTCATGTGTTCAGCTTTCTGAATCATTTGTAATCTCACAATGCTGCACTTTTTATCACAGAAGCCGCTCAACAGTGGGCTGATAGTCAAGGTATTGATTAACCCTCCACACTCATTACCATCAACAGGCATCTGATATTGACCAAAAATCACTAAAAAAAAAAAAAAAAAAAAAAAAAAAGAATCCTTCTGCTCTCAGGAAGATGGAGTGGACATCAGTATTCCATTTCTCCTGCTAAGCACAACAAAAAATCCTGGACTTCATATATTTTCCAACATTGGAAACTCCAAGAGGTTGAGAGAAGAAGACAGATGAGCTAGAAATCTCAGAACCCAAGGAATGACATGATGCTGAGTTCCCTGGGCTTGCTTTCTGTTGTTTCTTTGCCCCAAACTTGGAGCTGAAGAAGCCAGCAACCCAAAAATGACAACAGGCACAGACAAAAAAGTCTCAACGAACCCTGCTCTCTCTAGTCAAGGACCAGGAAATGGGAAGCCTAGAAAGACAGAAAAACTTTTAGGCAGTAATGGCTCTACTTCAGCCAAACACCACAGGAAAAACCCTGGCCCCACTCACTCCTACATGAACAGAGGCTGAGTAGAAATCCTAGACTCCCGCCTTTTCCAGGCTGTAACAAGGTGAAGATGCAGAAATCTTTAACAACGTATTACCAAACAGAATTCAGCAATATATAAAAATAATTATACACCACAACATAGTGGAGTTTTTTTCAGGGATGCAAAATCAAAATTCTAAAGTCAATCAACCCAGGCGTGGTGCCTCATGCCTGTAATCCCAGCACTTTGGGAGACCAAGTCCAGCGAATCCTTTGAGCCCAGAAGTTTGAGACCAGCCTGGGCAACAGGACACAACCCCATCTCTACACAAAATATGAAAATTAGCCCAGCATGGTGTCACACACCTGTAGTCTCAGGTACAGGTGGGACTGAGGTGGGAGGATCACCTGAGCCTGGGGGGTTGAGACTGCAGTTGCCACTGCACTCTAGATGGGGCAACAGAGTGAAACTCTGTCTCAAAAAAAAAAAAAAAAACAAATGTCGATCAATGCAATTCCTGATATGAACAAGCTAAAGAAAAGAAAAATCGCATGAATATATCAATCAATGTAGAACAAGCACTTGACAAAATTCAGCACCATAAAAACGCTCAGAAAAAGAAGAATAGAAGGGAATTTCCACACTTGATAAAGAACACCTACCAAAGTACCTACAGCTGACCTTATACTGAATGTGAAAGACTGGATGCTTTCCATACATACTTTGTAATTCTATTTGTGCAACATCCTTCAAGTTACAAAATTATACAAATAAAGAGCAGATAAGTGGTTGCCAGGTATTAAGGAGATGGTGGAGTAGGAGGCAAGTAGGCTTGGCTATGAAAGAACAACATGAGGGATCTTTGTGGTGATGGAAATTTTTATTAATAGCTTGACTGTATCCATGGGATATTGTTGAGATATTGAGATAATGTAATTCTGCAGAATGTTACCATTGGGGGAAACTGGGTGATGAGTACACAGGCTTTCTCTGTATTATTTCTTACAACTTGCATGTGCATCTACAATTAGCTCGAAAGAAAAAGTTTAAAAAAATACTTCTGACTCTATCTCCCTCACCTCCTCCTGACCACCACAATTTAGTTTGGTCACTGGATGTAACTCTCTCCAGAAAGGGATCATCTTGCTCAGCTGCTTCCTGGGTCATGTTCCAGATGAAAGAAGCAGAGAGTTAGGAAAATTTGGGATCCTGACCTGACCATTCTTGGGCATGATGTTTCATTCTTTCTCTTAATGGTAACACTAGGCCAGCTGGGTTGGTGTGACCTTCAGAGTTAGGCTGGACAAAAGGCTAGGGGATTCAAACTTAATTCTGGTTCAGCCACCTGCAATCTCTTGTTGGACAGACCTTGTCCTAGATCATAAAGGTAATGAACACTTAAGAGTTGAGTTGAGTACACTGCTCACCGAGTCCTCCTATAGTATCCTGTGTGGGCCCAAGGAGTGGACATAAGGGATCTCTATAAACTTATCAAAATGTACTATCCTTCCTGCACCTGGCCCTCTGGACAAAAGGGCTTGGTGTGAATAGGGGACGACTGGGGTGAAAGGAAAGCAACAAGCCTGGCACATGAGGAAGATACACATTAGACCCTGTGATATACAGAGGAAAGAGGGACATTAGTGATACTTTGTCTTTCAGAACTGCCTTAGAGCCTTCCTCCCCAGAGAAAATGCCTTAATGACGCTCTCCCAAACTGTTGCAAGCACCTTAAATTTTACTGACTGTGGTTCTGCCACCCCATCCGATAGTTCTTACCACAATTTGATAACCATTCCCTTAACCTTACCAAGAAGACTGTTGGCAACATCAAAGGATGGCCCCAACTCCTATACTTCCCACACCAAGCACCTGTCAACACCTCTGAATGTCTTCATCGGAGTCTGATGATCATCATCAGAGTCAGGACTGAGAAGTCACTCTTGGGGGTAAACAAATGCCACTCAGCCAGTGGCATGGACAGACAGGACAGATAGGACTGGTTACCCTCGGACAGTCTTTCCAAAAACAACCAGCTTCAATTTTTCTAACTTAACTAAGAACCCCAAGACTTACCAACTAGCCAGGAAGCCACACTGGAAGAACTGTCATTTGTAGTCCTTCCTCCAACCCCACTGATGTGGGTTCCCCTGAGGGCCCCAGCAATTGTCGACAATCCTGGTCTTTCTAGGGGAGCCATGCACATCTCCAGTACCATCCTTCTTGAGAAGTTTGGCATTAACTTGCCTCCCTCCCAAAAACATAGTGGGCCAGGCCTGGTTGTTCATGCCTATAATCCCTACACTCTGGGGGGCTGAGGAGGGAGGATTTCTTGAAGCTAGGAGTTCAAAACCAACCTTGGCAACATAACAAGACCCCATCTCCTCGAAAAATTAAAAATTAGCCTGGCATGGTGGCATTCACCTGTAGTCCCAACTCTTCCAGAGGCTGAGGCAGAAGGGTTGCTTGAGTCCAGGAGGTTAAGGCTACAGTGAGCTATGATAGCACTGCTGCACTCCAGCTTGGGCAACAGAGTGAGATCCTGTCTGTTAAAACAACAACAACAACAAAAACCATAGTGAGTTGCATCTTAGGAGTTGTCAGAAGAGACCTACTAGCATTTAAACAAACACTACCAGCAGATTATGAAACTTTCAGATCACCAAGGAGATCTCTTTAAAAAATGAGACTACTCTGAGGCAGGAGAATCGCTAGAACCTGGGAGGCGAAGGTTGCAGTGAGCTGAGATTGGGCCACTGCACTCCCACCTGGGCAACAGAGTGAGATTCCATCTCAAAAAAAAAAAAAAAAAGAAAAAAATGAGACTACCCCTGGTTACTTGGAGAAGCTTCCCAGAGGGTAAATGATGCATTTCTTATGCACACCCTCCTGGTAGTTTTTCCAACAATGGAAGTTGTATAATTAGAAATGATGGGCCAGGTGTGGTGGCTCTGGTCTGTAACTCCAGCACTTTGGGAGTCTGAGGCAGGCAGATGGCTTGAGCTCAGGAGTTTGAGACCAGCCTGGACAATGTGGCAAAGCCCCATCTCTACAAAAAAAATACAAAAAGTTTTCCGAGCATGGTGGCACACACCTGTAGTCCCAGCTACTTGGGAGGCTGAAGTGAGAGGATCACCTGAGCCCAGAAGGCGAGGTTGCAGTGAGCTGAGATCACCCTACTCTGCACTCCAGCCTGGGCAACAGAATAAGACATTTTCTAAAAAAAAAAAAAAACAAAGATGATGCAAGACTTACCCCTTACTTTAAATGATGTCATCAATGACACCACTTTGGTCCTTAAAGGCATTCAGGTCAGTCTCAACTCACTAGCCAGGATTGTTATAGATGACAGACTTTCTCCTTACAGACCAAGTCAGAGTCTGTACCATCACTCCTATTGTACCATCACTCATACATCCTATTGAATCAAGATTAATGCCTTTTTGGGCCTAGTGGAAAGGTCAACACAGAAACCTAAAGAAAAAGCCATTTGGCTTTCAAAGATAGATTCTGATGGTTTGTGGCATTTGGTCAGCTGGTTTAATCCAGGAGCCTGGGCAGAAAGGGAGGTAGATTTGAAGTCAATATTCTGGGACTCCTGATATTTGGAGTCCTGTTGATAGTAGCCTTAATTAAATGCTGTATGGGACAAATTAAAGAGACTTGGTCCCAGCTCTATTGGTCAGGTTAATCAGATTGGCTGATGGAGTGGCATATTCATGGGAAAATTTGCCCCAAGTGAAGATAGTATTATAAAAACAAGGGTCAATATTGTTAGGAGACAATTCACTGATGTCTCAGGTTTCTGCATATCTTATGAACAGAGACACAGAGAGCCTTTTCTTAGACTATCAGCTCAAGAAGGTAGAGCAAACAGCCTTGGAAAATAAAGATAATGCCTCCTTCCAGAGGAGAGGGCATTTTTAAAAAAATAAAGACAATGTCTTATTTCAGGGCAGAAGTTGGAAAGGTTTGCTTGCAAGCATTATAAAATATTGGAAGTTTCTAAGCTCAGAAACCTGCTGCATGTTTACATATCAACTGGCCCTCACCATGTCATCCTGTAGGATTTGGTATTCTGGGAACCAGTGCGAATGCTGATAATCTGGCTCCTGCTATGACTATGAATAACAAACCACCTTTTGTCCCTGACGCAAGAGTCTCTTGTCCTTTGTCATCATCCACAACACTGTGGTAGACTAGTTTGTTAGCTTACATGTAAGGGAAAAATCTCAGAACCTTCACAGTTCTTAACAGAAACACCATGGTCTGTTAGCCATCACCACAGATCCCTGCCTGCCAAGGCACTAAGTACTCTGGTAACTACTGGTACTCTGACCCTGCATCCCATTACAGTAATTAAGTCCAGCTTATCCTCACCTGCACTCTCATATTCTGAAATCTTATCATTGCTTTTAGGGAGCCCAGCACTGTGGCAGTATCTCCTATTGTTAAATAGTGGATGGTCACCAGTGCTCAGAAACACCAAGTGCGTTACTACTTTACTAATGAATTCCTTATGATTGCAATGGATTCAGTTTACTCTGGGTTCTCTTGGGCAACATAATCAAGGGATGAGATCTCTAGTCTCATATAATAAATCTACCTCCCCAAGCCCTCTGATCCTCCCTCCCTCAATATTCTGCCAAGGCAGATCTGGCATTTCCACCTTTTTTTCTTTGTATTTTTTTTAGAGACAGTGTATTGCTCTGCCACCCAGGCTAGAGCACAGTGACACAATAACAGTGGCTCACAGCAGCATTGAACTCCTGGGCTCACGTGATCCTCCCACCTCAGCCTCCCAAGTAGCTGGGACCACAGGTGCATACCACCATGCCCAACTAAATTTTTATAATGTTCTTGTAGATATGGAGTCTCATTATATTTTTCAAGCTGGTCTCAAACTCTTGGCCTCAAGCAATCCTCTCAAAGTGCTTGGATTGCAGGCATAAGCCACCACACCACCTCTTTTATTGTAAATCCTTATCATGCCCAAGCTTCAAGGAGTCATTCCAGCAGGCTACTAGTATAGACCCCAAATGTCCTTTCCAGGTTACTAAATTCAGAGTCAGAAGAGAGTGCTACCATGTTGATAAATTCTTCCCTGTCTGGTCAATGTTTCACCACATATACTCCAATACTCACATATGTTCTCCTGGTTCCTGCTGATTCATATTAGCTGGGCCCTGAAATTCTTTTGGAAAGCAAGATATTTAATCTTGGTGAAGACTATTTCTCCTCTTAAGCTGTTGGTCTGTAGGCAGTGACATATAGCATGAGCTAATCTCAAGAAGGGTGAATATCGCCCTGTGAAGCAGCCATCTGAGGGAGTTTTTTTATGGTTACCGGGAAAATGAGATTAGTCTCCTCCAGAAGAGGGGAAGCAACTGCTTCTGCGAAACTTTAAGGGTTAGGGCACTTGCTCCCTTTTGCCATCAGAGAATTCCCTGGGACTGAAAGTGAAAAATACATATTGAGTGCTGGAAATGAGATACTGTTCACCTGAGGTAAAGCTGCACTCAGAAGGAGCTCTCTACTACAGTCGCAGCAGAAATCTGAAGTAGGATAAGAGGATATGATGCAAGGTATCAGCTACAGCTACCAAGCTAATTTAAGGGGGAAATGGAATAGGCAAAAATATGAAATTTAAAAGAAATTAATAAAGGAGAGAAAAGGGAACACATAACAGATGAAGCAAATAGGAAGCACAGAGTAATATGGTAAGTTTAAACAGCAATATATCAGTAATTACATTAAATGTAAATAAACCAAACACTTCAAATAAAAGACAGATTGTCAGAGTAGATAAAACACACACACACACATGCACACAAATGCATATACAGGTATATGCTGTTTACCAATAAAGCACCTAAAATATGAAGACAAATAAAGATTGTGTATAAGTGGATGGAAAAATAAACACCATATGAACAGTAAACAAAGGAAGGCTAATAAGATTATATTTTAATACTAAACAAGATAGACTTTAAAAACATTAATAAAAATAGAAATATTTTGTAATGATAAAAAGTTCAATGCATTAGGAAGATATGACAGCTCTAAGTTATATACACCTAATAAGTTATATATGCCTCAAACTATATGAAGCAAAAATAGGCAGAAATACAAGAATAGCAAGGGGTGGTGGCTCATGCCTGTAATCCCAGCACTTTGGGAGGCCGAGGTGGACAGATCCCTTGAAGACATGAGTTTGAAACCAGCCTGGGCAACATGGGGGAAACCTTGTCTCTACAAAAAAAAGTACACAAATTAGACAGGCGTGGTGGCCTATGTCTGTGGTCCCAGCTACTCCAGAGGCTGAGGTGAGATGATCGCTTGAAGCAGGGAGGCAGAGGTTGCCATGAGCCAAGACCTTGCCTCTGCACTCCAGCCTGAGCAACAGAATGAGACCCTGCCTCAAAAAAGAGAAGAAATAATGAAAGAAAGAAAAAGAGAAAGAAAGAAAGAGAAAGATGAAAGAAAGAGAAAGAAAGAAAGAAAGAAAGAGAAAGATGAAAGAAAGAAAGAGAAAGAAAGAAAGAGAAAGATGAAAGAAAGAGAAAGAAAGAAGGAAAGAAAGGAAAGAAAGAAGGAAGAAAGGAAGGAAATAGCATGACAGAAAGTAGATCAGTGGTTGTCTAGAGCATGATGGGAGGAAGGAGCAAAAAGGAAGGTTTCCAATATGTCAAAATTTATCAAGTCGGTAAATTTTATGTTCTGTATATTTTGCCACAATGAAAAAAGAAAATTATCAAATTGTCACTTTAAATATGTGCAGTTTATTGTATACCAGTTATACCTTAACAAAGCAGTTCAGAATGGAATATTTAAGCAAAATAGTGTAAAAAACACCATTACACAAAAATCTTTGATCCCACAATTATTATTTCTTAAGAATGGATTCCTATAAGGAAATGTACAGGGTGAAGTAGTAATAATATTTGTAATATTCTTGAGACACAAATTACATTCAAGAAAGGTTGAACAAATCTCGTCTCACTCTCCCAAGTATTGAGAATTACTGGTTAAAAACATTTGCCAATTTGTCATTTTAAATTGTTTTCATTTACATTTTTATTAGTATGGACACCATATTTTAGAGGGGTTCAAAGGAAGCCATTTAGGGCAATGTGGTTGTGGAACTTAGGTTTTGTAAGGAATGATGGATGGTGCAGGGATGTTCACCTGAGGAGACCCCATGGCAACAGAGAGGCAGAGAAAGGCATGAGAGCTCTTAAAGGAACAGTAGTGACATCATTCAGGAGAGGATTAAGACCTTTGCTTTGGGGTACCAGAGGGAAATAAAAAGACCAAGTTTCATGTGGATGGAATCCTTCAAAGATTTCAGCTCAGGATGGAAAAGGATCTTTGGGGGTCAAAGAGTGGACAGGATTATAACAATATCAACTACTAGAGCTTTAATGCAGTGAAATAATTAATAATAGTTATTATTATTATTATTATTATCATACTATGAAGGTTAATCTGCTTTCCTAGCCCTTAAATTAATCAAGAAAAGCTGGGGCAACTTGGCAGACACATTGCAGAGGGAGTTCCTGCCTCAAGTGGGAGTTTGAGCTAGACAGTCTTGAATCATGATCTTTAAAAGACCTCTGATTTGTTATTCTCATTCCCCCTCTTTCACTTCTTTTCTATTTGCTCCTGTACTTCTCTGGGAATAGTGACTTAACTATCTCACTATGTTTGCAAATTGAGGAGTGAGAAATATAGCCACTTGTTTGTAAGAACATACTGAGCAGACTTTAAATGCAAATTCACTAATCACGGATGATGGAATTATCTCAGATATGACAAGAGAGATTCCTGGCAGAGTACCTGGTTGGCTCCTTAATCCTATTAAAGTGGTTTATGACCAGTACAACAATATTATTACCCTGTTAATGAATGACTAGCCAGTGCCCATCCCAGCTGATGAGTCTAAACAGACACAATAGTCGTTATGAAGACTTAATTTGTTTGCACCTATCACTCCACCAAAACACTTGAAGGCAGTTTACCACAATAGCAATGAAAATATGTGCTATGAAGAAAGATACTGTATACAGTACACACAACAATGAGAAGGGAGGAGAGCTGGAAAAAAGTAAGAGTTTGAAACAATGTCTTCCTTAATGTTTGAAAACCTGCTAGAAGGGGTATTTGATGTCTTGCTCAAGGCTTTTTTATTTACTTTTGTGAACAATGTGTAGCCAGTCAAGGTCTTCAAACTAGCAAGTGACACAATCTTTTTTTTTCATGAGTTATCTTTGTGGAAATGATGTGCAAGGTGAAAGGAGGTAGGAAAAAAAACTAATGGTGGGAAGACAATCTAGGAGACTGTTGAAATAATTGAGATAAGAAATAATGTTAACTAATCTGGTGGCTGTAACAATTGCAAAAGGCTTTCAAACTGCAAGTTTAAATCATTCCACAATTGTTAGTGTAGGTCCCCGAGGTCCCTAATCTTCCATTAAAACCTTTCCCTCCCATATTATCCTGGCCCACACTCCTCTTTTCTTATTTAAGGTTATGTAGAAAGATGAGGAAATTGCATTTACAAGAATTTCTCTTGGGGGATAAAATATCATATGAATTTAAAAGAAATACTTTCATAACTCACTTGATAGAGGGAATGAAATCCCAAACGGTATAACAATAGAAACTCACCAATTCCTTCCACTCCCTCTTTCTTTCCACAACTAAAGATTGACAGACTGCTGGGGGCCAGACACTGGAAATACAAAGATGGGTAAGAAACACAAAGCTCCTAATTTACATTAACTTAAATTAGAATATCTATTATGGAAAACAGTGTGGAAGTGCCTCCAAAAATTAAAAATAGAATACCATATGATCCAGCAATCTCATTGCTGGGTATATAGCCAAAGGAAATGAAATCAGTATGTCAAAGACCACACCCATGTTCCCAGCAGCTTTATTCACAACAGCCGAGATTTGGAATCAATCTAAGTGTCCATCAACAAATGAATGAATAAAGAAAATGTGGTATATACATACAAAATGGAATACTATTTATCCATAAAAAAGAAGGAAATCCTGTCATTTGGGAAGACGTGGATGAACCTGGAGGACGTTGTGTTATGTGAAATAAGCCAGGAACAGAAAGACAAATACCACATGATCTCACATATTTGTGGAACATGAAAGATTTGAATTCATAGAAGTAGAAGTGACATGGTGACTACCAGGAGCTTGGTGAGGTGGTGGGTGGGGCACAGGGTCAGAAAGTTGGGAAGAAGTTGGTCCAAGGATAGGAGATTTCAGTTAGATAGAAGGAATAAATTAAAGGGATCTATTGTATGGTAATTATGGTTAATTAGAATGTATTGTATTCAAAATTGCTAAGAGAATAGATTTTAAGTGTTCTCACCACAGAAAAAAATGATAAATATATGAAGTAATGCATACGTTAACTCACTCAATTTAGCCATTCCACATGTATATATATTTCATAAGACAATGTACACAATTACATATAATTTTAATTTATCAATTAAAAATAATGCTTTTAAAAAAGAAATGCAGATTGAGAGTCACTTCCAAGGTGGCCGAATAGGAACAGCTCTGGTCTGCAGCTCCCAGCGTGATCAACACAGAAGATGGGTGATTTCTACATTTCCAACTGAGGTACTTCGTTCGTCTCACTTGGACTGGTTGGACAGTGGGTGCAGCCCACAGAGGGTGAGCCAAAGCAGGGCAAAGCATCGCCTAACCCAGGAAAAGCAAGAGGTTGGGGGATTTCCCTTTCCTAGCCAAGGGAAGCTGTGACAGACTGTATCTGGAGGAATGGTACACTGTCATCCAAATACTGCACTTTTCCCATGGTCTTAGCAACCTGCAAACCAGGAGATTCCCTCCAGTGCCTGGCTTAGCAGGTCCCACACCCACAGAGCCTTGCTTACTGCTAGCAAACCAGTCTGAGATTGACCTGCGACGCTGCAGCCTGGCCAGGGGTGTCTGCCATTGCTGAGGCTTGACTAGGTAAGCAAAGTGGCCGGTAAGTGCGAACTGGGTGGAGCCCACCGCAGCTCAGCAAGGCCTACCACCTCTTCTCTAGACTCCTCCTCTGTGGGCAGGGCATAGCTGAACAAAAGGCAGCAGACAACTTCTGCATATTTAACCATCCCTGTCTGACAGCTCTGAAGAGAGCAGTTGTTCTCCCAGCATGGCGTTTGAGCTCTGAGAACTGACAGACTGCCTCCTCAAGTGGGTCCCTGACCCCTGTGTAGCCTGACTGGGAGATACCTCCCAGTAGGGGCTGACAGACACCTCATAAAGGTGGGTGTGTCTCTAGGATGAAGCTTCCAGAGGAAGGATCAGGCAGCAATATTTGCTGTTTTACAGTATTTGCTGTTCTGCAGCTTCTGCTGGTGATACCCAGGCAAACAGGGTCTGGAGTGGACCTCCAGCAAACTCCAACTAACCTGCAGCTGAGGGATCTGACAATTAGAAGGAAAACTAACAAACAGAAAGGAATAGCATCAAAATCAACAAAAAGGACAGCCACACCAAAACCCCATCTGTAGGTCGACAACATCAAAGACCAAAGGTAGATTAAAACCACAAAGATGGGGAGAAACCAGAGCAGAAAAGCTGAAAATTCTAAAAACCAGAGCACCTCTTATCCTCCAAAGGATCGCAGCTCCCCACCAGCAATGGAACAAAGCTGGATGGAGAATGAATTTGACAAGTTGACAGAAGTAGGCTTCAGAAGGTCAGTAACAACAAATTTCTCCAAGTTAAAGGAGCATGTTCTAACCCATTGCAAGGAAGCTAAAAACCTTGATAAAAGGTTAGACGAATGGCTAACTAGAACACACAGTGTAGAGAAGAACTTAAATGACCTGATGGAGCTGAAAAACATGCCACGAGAACTTTGTGATGCATGCACAAGCTTCAATAGCCAATTTGATCATGTGGGAGAAAGGATAGCAGTGATTGAAGATGAAATTAATGCAACAAAGTGAGAAGACAAGATTAGAGAAAAAAGAGTAAAAAGAAACAAACAAAGCCTCTGAGAAATATGGGATTATGTAAAAAGACCAAATCTATGTTTGGTTGGTGTACCTGAAAGTGACGGGGAGAATGGAACCAAGTTGGAAAACACTCCTCAGGATATTATCCGGGAGAACTTCCCCAACCTAGCAAGGTAGGCCAACATTCAAATTTAGGAAATACAGAGAGCACTACAAAGATACGCTCTCGCTCTCGCTCTCCCTCTCCCTCTCCCTCTCCCTCTCCCTCTCCCTCTCCCCCCTCTCCCTCTCCCTCTCTTTCCACGGTCTCCCTCTCATGCCGAGCCGAAGCTGGACGGTGCTGCTGCCGTCTCGGCTCACTGCAACCTCCCTGCCTGATTCTCCGGCCTCAGCCTGCAGAGTGCCTGCGATTGCAGGCACGCGCCGCCACGCCTGACTGGTTTTCGTATTTTTTTGGTGGAGACGGGGTTTCGCTGTGTTGGCCAGGCTGGTCTCCAGCTCCTAACTGCGAATGATCCGCCAGCCTCGGCCTCCCGAGGTGCCGGGATTGCAGACAGAGTCTCGTTAACTCAGTGCTCAATGGTGCCCAGGCTGGAGTGCAGTGGCGTGATCTCGGCTACAACCTCCACCTCCCAGCCACCTGCCTTGGCCCCCCAAAGTGCCAAGATTGCAGCCTCTGCCCGGCCGCTACCCCGTCTGGGAAGTGAGGAGCGTCTCTGCCTGGCCGCCCATCGTCTGGGATGTGAGGAGCCCCTCGGCCTGGCTGCCCAGTCTGGAAAGTGAGGAGCATCTCTGCCTGGCCGCCATCCCACCTAGGAAGTGAGGAGCGCCTCTTCCCGGCCACCATCCCATCTAGGAAGTGAGGAGCGTCTCTGCCTGGCCACCCATCGTCTGGGATGTGAGGAGCCCCTCGGCCTGGCTGCCCAGTCTGGAAAGTGAGGAGCATCTCTGCCTGGCCGCCATCCCATCTAGGAAGTGAGGAGCGTCTCTGCCCGGCCGCCCATCGTCTGAGATGTGGGGAGCGCCTCTGCCCCACCGCCCGGTCTGGGAGGTGAGGAGCGTCTCTGCCCGGCCGCCCCGTCTGAGAAGTGAGGAGACCCTCCACCTGGCAACCGCCCCGTCTGAGAAGTGAGGAGCCCCTCCGCCTGGCAGCCACCCCGTCCGGAAGGGAGGTGGGGGTCAGCCCCCACCCGGCCAGCCACCCCGTCTGGGAGGTGAGGGGTGCCTCTGCCCGGCCGCCCCTACTGGGAAGTGAGGAGCCCCTCTGCCCGGCCAGCCGCCCAGTCTGGGAGGGAGGTGGGGGAGTCAGCCCCCCACCCGGCGAGCCTCCCCGTCCGGGAGGGAGGTGGGGGGTCAGCCCCCGACCCGGCCAGCCGCCCCATCCGGGAGGGAGGTGGGGGGGTCAGCCCCCCCACCCGCCAGCCGCCCCGTCCGGGAGGTGAGGGGCGCCTCTGCCCGGCCACCCCTACTGGGAAGTGAGGAGCCCCTCTGCCCGGCCAGCCGCCCAGTCTGGGAGGGAGGTGGGGGAGTCAGCCCCCCGCCCGGCCAGCCGCCCCATCCGGGAGGGAGGTCGGGGGGTCAGCCCCCCGCCCGGCCAGCTGCCCCGTCCGGGAGGGAGGTGGGGGGGTCAGCCCCCCGCCCGGCCAGCCGCCTCATCCGGGAGGGAGGTGGGGGGGTCAGCCCCCCGCCCGGCCAGCCGCCCCGTCCGGGAGGGAGGTGGAGGGGTCAGCCCCCTGCCCGGACAGCTGCCCCGTCCGGGAGGTGAGGGGCGCCTCTGCCCGGCCGCCCCTACTGGGAAGTGAGGAGCCCCTCTGCCCGGCCACCGCCCCGTCTGGGGGGTGTACCCAACAGCTCATTGAGAGTGGGCCATGATGACAATGGCGGTTTTGTGGAATAGAAAAGGGGGAAAGGTGGGGAAAAGATTGAGAAATCGGATGGTTGCTGTGTCTGTGTAGAAAGAAGTAGACATGGGAGACTTTTCATTTTGTTCTGTACTAAGAAAAATTCTTCTGCCTTGGGATCCTGTTGATCTATGACCTTACCCCCAACCCTGTGCTCTCTAAAACATGTGCTGTGTCCTCTCAGGGTTAAATGGATTAAGGGCAGTGCAAGATGTGTTTTGTTAAACAGATGCTTGAAGGCAGCATGCTCGTTAAGAGTCATCACCACTCCCTAATCTCAAGTACCCAGGGACACACACACTCTGCCTAGGAAAACCAGAGACCTTTGTTCACTTGTTTATCTGCTGACCTTCCCTCCACTGTTGTCCTATGACCCTGCCAAATCCCCCTCTGTGAGAAACACCCAAGAATGATCAATAAAAAATAAAAATAAAAATAAAAAAATAAAAAATAAAAAATATAAAAATAAAAAAACAAAAACAAAGATACTCCTCAAGAAGAGCAACCCCAAGACACATAATTGTCAGATTCACCAAGGTTGAAATGAAGGAAAAAATGTTAAGGACAACCAAAGAGAAAGTTCAGGCTACCCACAAAGGGAAGCCCATCAGACTAACAGCAGATTTCTTGGCAGAAACCCTACAAACCAGAAGAGAGTGGGGGCCAATATTCAACATTCTTAAAGAAAAGAATTTTCAACCCAGAATTTCATATTCAGCCAAACTAAGCTTCATAAGTGAAGGAGAAATAAACTCCTTTACAGACAAGCAAATATTGAGAGATATTGTCACCACCAGGCCTGCCTTACAAGAGCTCCTGAAGGAAGCACTAAACATGGAAAGGAACAACTGGTACCAGCCACTGAAAAAACATGCCAAATTGTAAAGACCATCAATGCTATGAAGAAACTACATCAATTAATGGGCAAAATAACCAGCTAACATCATAATGACAGGATCAAATTCACAAATAACAGTATTAACCTAAAATGTAAATGGGCTAAATGCTCCAATTAAAAGACACAGACTGGCAAATTGGATAAAGAGTCAAGACCCATCACTGTGCTCTATACAAGAGACCCATCTCACGTGCAGAGACACACATAGGTTCAAAATAAAGGGATGGAGGAAGATCTACCAAGCAAATGGAAAACAAAAAAAGGCAGGGGTTGCAATCCTAGTCTCTGATAAAACAGACTTTAAACCAACAAAGATCAAAAGAGACAAAGAAGGCCATTACATAATGGTAAAGTGATCAATTCAACAAGAAGAGCTAACTATCCTGAATATATATGCACCCAATACAGGAGTACCCAGATTCATAAAGCAAGTCCTTAGAGACCTACAAAGAGACTTAGACTCACACACAATAATAATGGGAGACTTTAACACCCCACTGTCAACATTAGACAGATCAACGAGACAGAAAGTTAACAAGGATATCCAGGAATTGAACTCAACCCTGCACCAAGTGGACCTAATAAACATCTACAGAACTCTCCACCCCAAATCAACAGAATATACATTCTTCTCAGCACCACACCGCACTTATTCCAAAATTGACCACATAGTTGGAAGTAAAGCACTCCTCAGCAAATGTAAAAGAACAGAAATTATAACAAACTGTCTCTCAGACCATGGTGCAATCAAACTAGAACTCAGGATTAAGAAACTCACTCAAAACCGCTCAACTACATGGAAACTGAACAACTTGCTCCTGAATGACTACTGGGTACATAACAAAATGAAGGCAGAAATAAAGATGTTCTTTGAAACCAACCAGAACAAAGACACAACATACCAGAATCTCTGGGGCACATTCAAAGCAGTGTGTAGAGGGAAATTTATAGCACTAAATGCCCACAAGAGAAAGCAGGAAAGATCTAAAACTGACACCCTAACATCACAATTAAAAGAACTAGAGAAGCAAGAGCAAACACATTCAAAAGCTAGCAGAAGGCAAGAAATAACTAATATCAGAGCAGAACTGAAGGAAATAAAGACACAAAAAACCCTTCAAAAAATCAGTAAATCCAGGAGGTGGTTTTTTTTAAAAGATCAACAAAATTGGTAGACTGCTAGCAAGATTAATAAAGAAGAAAAGAGAGAAGAATCAAATAGACGCAATAAAAAATGATAAAGGGGATATCACCACCGATCCCACAGAAATACAAACTACCATCAGAGAATACTATAAACACCTCTATGCAAATAAACTAGAAAATCTACAAGAAATGGATAAATTCCTCGACACATACACCCTCCCAAGACTAAACCAGGAAGAAGTTGAATCTCTGAATAGACCAATAACAGGCTCTGAAATTGAGGCAATAATTAATAGCATACCAACCAAAAAAAGTCCAGGACCAGATGGATTCACAGCCGAATTCTACCAGAGGTATAAGGAGGAGCTGGTACCATTCCTTCTGAAACTATTCCAATCAATAGAAAGAGAGGGAATCCTCCCTAACTCATTTTATGAGGCCAGTATCATCCTGATACCAAAGCCTGGCAGAGACACAACAAAAAAAGAGAATTTTAGACCAATATCCCTGATGAACATCGATGCAAAAATCCTCAATAAAATACTGGCAAACCAAATCTAGCAGCACATCAAACAGCTTATCCACCATAATCAAGTAGGCTTCATCCCTGGGATGCAAGGCTGGTTCAACATATGCAAATCAATAAACGTAATCCAGGATATAAACAGAACCAACGACAAAAACCACATGATTATCTCAATAGATGCAGAAAAGGCCGTTGACAAAATTCAACAACCTTCATGCTAAAAACTCTCAATAAATTAGGTATTGATGGGACGTATCTCAAAATAATAAGAGCTATCTATGACAAACCCACAGCCAATATCATACTGAATGGGCAAAAACTGGAAGCATTCCCTTTGAAAACTGGCACAAGACAGGGATGCCCTCTCTCACCACTCCTATTCAACATAGTGTTGGAAGTTCTGGCCAGGGCAATTAGGCAGGAGAAGGAAATAAAGGGTATTCAATTAGAAAAGAGAAAGTCAAATTGTCCCTGTTTGCAGATGACATGATTGTATATCTAGAAAACCCCATCCTCTCAGCCCAAAATCTCCTTAAGCTGATAGGCAACTTCAGCAAAGTCTCAGGATACAAAATCAATGTGCAAAAATCACAAGCATTCTTATACACCAATAACAGACAAACAGAGAGCCAAATCATGAGTGAACTCCCATTCACAATTGCTTCAAAGAGAATAAAATACCTAGGAATCCAACTTACAAGGGACGTGAAGGACCTCTTCAAGGAGAACTACAAACCACTGCTCAAGGAAATAAAAGAGGATACAAACAAATGGAAGAACATTCCATGCTCATGGGTAGGAAGAATCAATATCGTGAAAATGGCCATACTGCCCAAGGTAATTTATAGATTCAATGCCATCCCCATCAAGCTACCAATGACTTTCTTCACAGAATTGGAAAAAACTACTTTAAAGTTCATATGGAACCAAAAAAGAGCCCGCATCGCCAAGTCAATCCTAAGCCAAAAGAACAAAGCTGGAGGCATCACACTACCTGACTTCAAACTATACTGCAAGGCTACAGTCACCAAAACAGCATGGTACTGGTACAAAGACAGAGATATAGACCAATGGAACAGAACAGAGCCCTCAGAAATAATGCCACATATCTACAACCATCTGATCTTTGACAAACCTGACAAAAACAAGAAATGGGGAAACAATTCCCTATTTAATAAATGGTACTGGGAAAACTGGCTAGCCATATGTAGAAAGCTGAAACTGGATCCCTTCCTTACACCTTATACAAAAATCAATTCAAGATGCATTAAAGACTTAAACGTTAGACCTAAAACCATTAAAACCCTAGAAGAAAACCTAGGCAATACCATTCAGGACATAGGCATGGGCAAGGACTTCATGTCTAAAACATCAAAAGCAATGGCAACAAAAGCCAAAATTGACAAATGGGATCTAATTAAACTAAAGAGCTTCTGCACAGCAAAAGAAACTACCATCAGAGTGAACAGGTAGCCTACAAAATGGGAGAAAATTTTCACAACCTACTCATATGACAAAGGGCTAATATCCAGAATCTACAATGAACTCAAACAAATTTACAAGAAAAGAACAACCCCATCAAAAAGTGGGCGAAGGATATGAACAGATACTTCTCAAAAGAAGACATTTATGCAGCCAACAAACTTATGAAAAAAATGCTCATAATCACTGGCCATCAGAGAAATGCAAATCAAAACCACAATGAGATACCATCTCACGCCAGTTAGAATGGCGATCATTAAAAAGTCAGAAAATGGCAGGTGCTGGAGAGGTTGTGGAGAAATAGGAACACTTTTTCACTGTTGGTGGGACTGTAAACTAGTTCAACCATTGTGGAAGTCAGTGTGTCGGTTCCTCAGGGATCTAGAACTAGAAATACCATTTGACCCAGCCATCCCATTACTGGGTATATACCCAAAGGATTATAAATCATGTTGCTATAAAGACACATGCACACGTATGTTTATTGTGGCACTATTCACAATAGCAAAGACTTGGAACCAAGCCAAATGTCCAACAATGATAGACTGGATTAAGAAAATGTGGCACATATACACCATGGAATACTATGCAGCCATAAAAAATGATGAGTTCATGTCCTTTGTAGGGACATGGATGAAGCTGGAAACCATCATTCTCAGCAAACTATCACAAGGAGAAAAAACCAAACACTGCATGCTCTCACTCGTAGGTGGGAATTGAACAATGAGAACACATGGACAGAGGAAGGGGAACATCACACACCGGGGCCTGTTGTGGGGTTGGGGGAGAGGGGAGGGATAGCATTAGGAGATATACCTAATGTTAAATGATGAGTTAATGGGTGCAGCACACCAACATGGCACATGTATACATATGTAACTAACCTGCACGTTGTGCACATGTACCCTAAAACTTAAAGTATAATTTTAAAAAAAATCACAGTAACTTAGAAAGATTTTTATCCTCCAATTCAATTGTCAATAAAGAATTGACAAATTTTAAAAAAGCAAACAAACTTTCATTATCCTTTACTATTACATGAAAATCTTATTCAAGAGAGAAAGCCAAATTTTACCCTTGCATTAGTCTACTATTAATGTCAACCCGAATTTTCTAATGAAACCTTATAGACAATTCTATCAAATTTTACCAGTTTGACCATGAGGTGAGATTCTTATAAACCTCTGATAATTCTTTACAAATTTTGCTAGAGAGCAAATTTGTGCCTTAAGAGAACTTTGTTGTGCTTTTATTTCAATGCACAATTTATGGAAAAACCATACAATACCCTTATGAATTTAGTCAATATGTTCATGCACAAAATTTCTTTTGCAGGATTAATTTTTTACAATCCTTCTACAACTTGTTTAAACCTTCAGCTTTATCTCAGCTAATTCAAAACAATCCTTTAACCGTGGGCAAAAACTTACGTTTCTATGCCTTCTTATAATCTTTTACTAAAAACACATTTTACAGTTCTTACACACCTTGTATGTAAATCCATTTTCAGTTGTCTCAATTACGTGTTATAATGGTAACTCTTAGCAATTTTTAACTTTAATGTAAAATCTGATAAGTTGCTTTAATTATGCACTAGGCCCCAATTCAACTCTGACTACTTCCAGTATAATTAAGCGCATGGTTAATTTCATATGTCCCCAGGCCTTACCAAGTTGTAAAGCAGGCTAGTTGAACAATTCTCAAAGGCCAAAGAAGCAGTTCAGTTTACAACCTTAAAACATTTAGCAAATCTAGCATCTGACCTACATGATTCAGCCCACATATTTACATTTTTATGACATTTGTATTTTACCAATTACCTTTAAATTGCCTCTATTTCTCAAAGATTAAAGTCACATGAACTAAAAGGCATTACAGCTTTTATTTTTCCTTCAAAAAATATTTGATCTAAGCACTTATTTTTCTTTAAGCCAATTAATTAGAGCTCTTTTTTATATAAACATCACATATATAACACATATATGATTACACAGACAGACAGAAGAAGATCCAGTAGTTGTAACACTTTTCATTTGCCAATCTCCTAATCTGATTATTGACCTCAGGGTGGAGCCCTTCAAGAAACAGAGTAATCAGAATAATATGGTTTGACTCTGTGTCCCCACCCAAATCTCATCTTGTAGCTCCCATAAGTCTCATGTGTTGTGGGAGGGACCTAGCGGGAGATGATTGAATCATAGGGGTGGGTCTTTCCTACACTGTTCTCAGATAGTGAATTAGTCTTACAAGATCTGATGGTTTTAAAAACAGGAGTTTCCCTGTACAAGCTCTCCTCTTGCCACCACCATGTAAGAAATGCTACTTGCCTTCTGCCATGATTGTGAGGTTTCCCTAGCCATGTGGAACTGTAAGTCCTTAAACCTCTTTTTCTTTATAATTTACCCAGTCTCAGGTATGTCTTTATCAGCAGTGTGAAAAATGACTAATACAGTAAATTGGTCCCAGTAGAGTGGGGCACTGCTGAAAAGATACCCAAAAATGTGGAAACAACTTTGGAACTGGGTAACAGGCAGAGGCTGGAACAGTTTGGAGGACTCAGAAGAAGATAGGAAAATGTGGGAAAGTTTGGAACTCCCTAGAGACTTGTTGAATGGCTTTGGCCAAAATGCTAATAGTGATATGGACAATGAAATCCAGGCTGAGGTGGTCTCAGATAGAGATGAGGAACTTGTTGGGAACTGGAGCAAAGGTGACTCTTGCTATATTTTAGCAAAGATACTAAGGGCATTTTGCCCCTGCACTAGAGATGTGTGGAACTTTGAACTTGAGGGATATGATTTAGGGTACCTGGCGGAAGAAATCTGTAAGCAGCAAAGCATTCAAGACGTGACTTGGATACTGTTAATGGCATTCAGTTTTAAAAGGAAAACAGAGCATAGAAGTTCAGAAAATTTGCAGCCTGATGATGTGATAGAAAAGAAAAACCCATTTTCTCAGGAGAAATTCAAGCCAGCTACAGAAATTTGTGTAAGTAACAAGAAGCCAAATGTTAATCACCAAAACAATGGGGAAAATGTCTGCAGGGCATGTTAGAGATGTTTGTGGCAACTCTCCCATCACAGGCCCAGAGGTTGAGGCATAGGAGGAAAATATGGTTTCATGGGCCAGGCCCAGGGTCCCCATGCTGTGTGCAGGATTGGACTTAGTGCCCTGCGTCCCAGCTGCTCCAATCACAGCTGAAAGGGGCTGACGTAGAGCTGAGGCCACGGCTTCAGAGGATGGAAGCCTCAAGCCTTGGCAGCTTCCACATGGTGTTGAGCCTGTGAGTGCATGGAAGTCAAAAATTAAGATTTGGGAACCTCTGCCTAGATTTCAAAAGATGTATGGAAATGCCTGGATGCCCAGGCAGAAGCTTGCTGCTGGGGTGGGGCTCTCATGGAGAACCTCTACTAGGGCAGTGAGGATGGGAAACATGGGGTCAGAGCCCCTACACAGAGTCCCTGTTGGGGAACCACCTAGTGGAGCTGTGAGAAAACAGCCACCAGTCCAGACCCCTGAATGGTAGATTCACTGACAGCTTGCACTGTGTGCCTGGAAAAGCTGCAGACACTCAACACCAGCCTGTGAAAGCAATTGGGAGGGAAGCTGTACCCTGAAAATCCACAAGGGCAGAGCTGCCCAAAACCATGGAAACCCTCCTCTTGCATCAGCGTGACCTGGACATGAGACATGGAGTCAAAGGAGGTCATTCTGGAGTTTTAAGATCTGACTGCCCTGCTGGATTTCAGACTTGCATGGGTCCTGTAGCCCTTTGTATTGGCCAACTTCTCCTATTTGGAATGGTTGTAGTTACCCAATGCCTGTACCCATATTGTATCTAAAAAGTAATTAACTTGCTTCTGATTTTACGGGCTCATTGTTGGAAGGGACTTGCCTTGTCTCAGAGGAGATGTTGGACTGTGGACTTTTGAGTTAATGCTGAAATGAGTTGAGACTTTGGGGGACTGTTGGGAAGGTATGATTGGTTTTGAAATGTGAAAATACGAGATTTGGAAGGGGCCAGAATAACATAGTTTGGACCTGTGTCCCCACCCAAATCTCATCTTGTAGCTCCCATAATTCTCATGTGTCGTGTGAGGGACCCGGTGGGAGATGATTGAATCATGGGGATGGGTCTTTCCTGGACTGTTCTCATGACAGTGAATTAGTCTCATGAGATCTGATGGTTTTTAAAATGGGAGTTTCTCTGTACAAGCTCTCTCTCTTGCCACCACCACGTAAGAAATGCCTTTCACCTTCCACCATGATTGTGAGGCCTTCCCAGCCAGGTGGAACTAGAAGTCCTTAAAAGTCTTTTTCTTTATAATTTTCCCAGTCTTGGGTATGTCTTTATCAGCAGTGTGAAAACCAACTAATACACAAGGCTAGGAAAGCATGCAGTTTCTAGGGACCAATAAACAGGCATAGCTGGAAGAAAAAAATAGATTTTGAGAGGGATCTATCCACTTTCAATTCCTGGGGTTCTATGAGGAAAACAGAGGTTTCTTCCCAAAATGGGGTCAGTGGCACTCTCTCTGTTTTTCCCAAAGAGTCCCATGTGCCGAGAAGTTATCTACGGCCTCTCATGTGTGCATTAAGAGTGGCAAGACAAAATGGAGAAAAGTAATTCAGTCAACTGAGAAAAAAACCTTTTCCAGAAAAACATAAAGGTCTCTTAAATATACCTATAGCTTTGATATCCACTTTTAATTAAGCTGAGCATTCTTTAAGAAAATCCTTTTAAATCCCTTGTTACCCAACCTTAGCCATGTGAACCCGCCAACATTTCTGGCTTTTGAACTTTACCAAAAGTAACCTCACAGGTGAAACCAACAAGCTTCAATTAAGGTTATGACTTAACTATGAATGTATGAGGTATATATTCAAAAAGGTGGTAAGCAGTTTTTACAAAATCTAGAACCTCTAAAGGTAACTCAGAGAATGGAAGCTAGAAGTTGTTCATGGATGGGAAGAGAATCAGCAAATGGTAGAAGTCACACAGCTGTTTACTTGAAAGTACTCATTCTCCAAGCCAGGATTGAACACAGGCCACCATTGTAAAATGGCAGAGACTAAAGTTAAGTACTGCCACGTGGTTACATTTCAAGCTCCCAAGGACATAAAACAATATGGTGGCCTGCAGCAAAGTTTGATACTGACCAGTTTGTTGGGCTAACTTGAACAGCAGGCATATAGGGTCCTAGGCCAACATTCTATCCTAAGGCACCCCTCTTTCTGACAGAACCATACAGAAAAACACACAAAGCACACCAGATTGGCTATAGCTTAAGACAAGCCTCATAAATCATTTTTCATTAATCAAAACTTTATGGAGAATATAAGCAGTTATCCTCACCATTTTTTCTATCGGTTTGCACAGCAAGAGTGAGGCCAAAAGACTTTGGCCTAACAAGGCCAAAAGTCTGACTGGGTAAAAAAAAAACTTTTACCCTTTTGCTGGCATGTCAGGCTTCTGGGTTCCCTTCCCCTGAGCTCAATTCTAAGCCAAGCAGTTTAAGGTTTGGTAAATTAATTTTTCCTAGTTTAGAGGATGCATCTGAGGAGAGTGTCCTATAGTATGGGGATGCAATTACCCATCCACAAAGAGAGGACAGAGGAGGAAAAAGGAAAAAGAAGGCTTTTTTTCCAAGATGCCCCCCCAGGACTCAGGATGCATTCAAGGGGGGTACGAACTAAAGATGAATGGTTCTTTAGACAAAAGAACTGCCTCAGTGGGTGCATGGACTAAAACAGAGCAAGTGCTACTGACCCCATTTTGGGAAGATGAATTGTTACCCAGCTGGGAAGAGTGGATAAGCCATCCCCAATTCCTTTTACTTCCCAGTGAATACCCAGGGTACATGAGGGAGAGAAAAAATAGGCATCTCTTTTCTTTCTTATGTCCTTGTATCTGAGTCCCAGCGACCTTGACAAGGTGCCACCCATGGGTGCCAATGTGGCTTTCACTCATAGTAACAGAAGGGCCAAGGGGGTGGGAATATTTGAACTCACCCACATATGCCCTGTCCCTGCCTGTTGTCATAACCTTTGAGTTCCCTAGGCCTCATTTATGCCATGGATACAGGCATGACCTCTATCCATGAAACAGGAGGCTTGGTTTGATTGGCAGGAATTAGCCATGGTCACTTATGCTTTGCATTTTAACTTCCATTGTTGTCTGCCTCTGGACCCCTCATATTCAATTTTCTATCCTGAGTCTTCAACTCTAAGCTTGGAATTGAGTTTGGGACAAAAGAACTGCCTCAGTGGGTACATGGACTCATCAAGTCCCAGGTGTCCCTCGCCAGACTGCAGCCAGCAGCCAGCGGGACTGCTCCTCTGCTGCCTCCTTACCATAAGCCAAATGCTAAGGTAAAGCTGAGGAGCTGGGTCCTCTTCAAACAAGGGAGCGAAAAAGGGTGTCCTGTGGCCTAACAAGATGCCTTCCAAAAGGAGGAAAAAAAACTCTTGCATAGAAAACTCCCTATATCTACAGGGCTGTGTTAACTGCTGACAGGGTGGAGAAAAGGAAGAAAAAAAAGCTTAAGTTCAGGGCTGGGAAGATGCCTTGGGTAGAAACCTCTTATTTATTCTTATGCAAGTGGGTTTCTTCAACAGGAAAAGAAACTTTTAATTGCTGTCTCCTCCTTCTTGGCTCAGCAAGGGGAGGAAAGACTCCTTGGGCACCTAGCAGGAGGGGACGGCAAGTGAGAAATGCTGGCCAGCCAGCCATGAGGGACCCTTGTGCTGTGTGCCCCAGCCAGGAGGGGAGCAGGGCAGGGAGCTTGCCAATCTGTCTTGTGTGCATGCCTGTGGCCATTGGGGTGGGGGTGGAACATGCCCACTAAAAGATAGGTGCCATTACAGTCCTGAAAAAAGAAGGAAAATGCCATAGAAAAGACTGGGTTGGACAAAGGCCAACATTCCTGACCCCTGAGAGCAACAGGGGGGCAGGGGGCAGGTTGCAGTATCCCCTGCCTTCCGAAAAAGTCTGAGGATAAGAAAGCTCAGAAACAAAAGTGAAAGAGATTGTTGGGTCCACATTTTACTCAACCTTCTGACAAATGCCAGACAAGCCTCCAAAATGATGCAGAATTTTTTGCTCTGAACTAAGGTTCAGCTTGGTCTGGGTTCTTGTCTCACAATCAGGAAGAAGTAGATACATGGACACTGGAAGAGTGAGCAAGGCAGGAAGTTTTACTGAGTGATGAAACAGCTTTTAGTGGGGAAGTTACACAGGGGTAGTTCCCCTGCCTGAAGGTAAGAGAGTTTCCAATATGGCTGAGCCCAGGGCTTTTTATGGGCTCAGAATAGGGAGTGCGTGCTGATTAGCTTGTGAGTATGCAAAAAAGTCAAAGACACCACTTAAAAATGGGCATGATAGTGTAGGAAACCAATTAGGAAAGGGTAGGTATATGTAAAATAGTTGAAGGCTGAGTATCAATCAGAGGAAAGCACGCCAAACAGGAGGGCGGGTTCTCAATCTGGTTCAAGGATTTACCTGGGACTGTTTCTGACTTGAAGGTTGAATTTCACCGGGGACCCACCCCTACCTGCCTAGGTATTTATCAACAAGGCTGCAATCAAGTTGTCAGTCATGTGAAGCTCGATTAAAGAAGGATCCATTTCCAAGTTCACATGGCTGTTAGCAGGATTCAGTTCTTTGCAGGTTTTCAGAATGAGGGCATTTCCTTGATGACTACTGGCAAGAGGTCACCCTCAATTCCTTCCCCACGGGCTTCTTCATATGGCAGCTTAAACCCCCTTATACATATATAGTTTGCAAATATTTCTTCCCAATCTGTAGGTTGCCATTTCATTTTGTTGTTTCCTTTGCTATGCAGAAGCTTTTTAGTTTGATATAGTCCCATTTATTTATTTTTGCTTTTATAGTGAGCTTTTGGTATGATATCCAAAAAATTACTGCCACTGCCAGTGTCCAAAAACTTTTTCCCTTTGTTCTCTTTTAGGAAATTTATAGTTTCAGGTTTACATTTAGGTATTTTATCAATTTTGCAAAACTCCTAATTTTGGTACATAGCATCTGTTACAGTCAGCCCTCTGTATCTGTGGGTTCCACATCCAGGGATTCAACCAACCATGAAAAAATATTTGAGAAAAGATAAATGGTTGTGTCTGCCCTGAACATCCACAAATTTGTTTTTCTTTTTATTATCCCCTAAATAATACAGTATAACAACTAGTTATATAGCATTCACATTGTATTAGGTATTATAAACAACCTAGAAATGATTAAAAGTACAGTTATTATTCCTTGTTATATGTGGGGGATTTGTTCCAGGACTCCCAAGTACACCAAAAGCCATGCATACTCCAGGTCTTGAAGTCAGCCCTTTGGAACCCACGTATAAGAAGAGTTGGTGCTCCATATACACTGGTTTGACATTCCTCAATAATGTATTTTCCATCTGTGTTTGGTTGAAAACATCTGCTTATAAGTGGACCTGCACAGTTTAAGCCAACATTGTTCAAAAGTCAACTGTATACAGAACGATATGCATAGGTTATATGCCAATGCTACACCATTTTATATAGGAAACTTGAGCATCCATGGATTTTGGTATCCACAGGGGGTCCTGGAATCAATCCCCTATGGATAGTGAAGGACAGCTGTGTATCTTGATGCCTCAGCCAAAATCTCAATATAAGCATTCTGTTTTGTGTATATGTCTATTTTTCCAACAAAAATTGAAGTTCCTTGAAGGCAAGGACTGTGTCTCACTCATCTTGGTGTGCCCCACCTATTACGCTGCAGTACATGCAGCCCTTAGTAAATATCCATGAATTAGCAAAGCAGAGAGGAAACTGTTTCAAGATGTTTATAATACTTAAGAAATGGCTTTGCTGGCTGGGCATGGTGGCTCACACCTGTAATCCCAGCATTTTGGGAGGACAAGCTGGGCTGATCACTTGAGGCCAGGAGTTCGAGACCAGCCTGGCCAACATGGCAAAACCCCATCTCTACCAAAAATAGAAAACTTAGTCAGGCATGTTGGGGCATGCCTGTAATCCCAGCTATTAGGGTGGCTGAGGCAGGAGAATCACTTGAACCCGGGAAACAGAAGTTGCAGTGAGGAGATCGCACCACTGCACTTCAGCCTAGATGACAGAGTGAGACTTTGTCTCAAAAAAAAAAATGCCTTCACTGTTGTTTCATTCATTATTTCTTTCACTCATTCAACAAACCTATTCATGCACCATGCTGTTTGCCAAGAGGATATTCTCAACTTAGAAGGAGAGTACCATAATTTCTTTTCCCACTTCAAGAAACTCTTCTTTGTCTTCTAGCCACAGAGCTAACAATGACTAATGACGGAACTTTGGGAAAGCAGCATGCTAATATGTCTGAAGTGGCATAGCAATATTGCCTCTGTGATGTATCCCTCCCTGAAATTGTCACACCATGTGATTCACTCAAAACCTTCCAATAGCTTCCCATGACACTTAGAATAACAACCACCTAGGTAACAGATTATCCACCCTTTGCATTTTCCAGCTTCGTTTTCCATTGCACACCTGTCATGCACTCCTTTCCAGGAATATGTTGCTATTTTTAAAAGAAGCCAAGCAAGCTCTTACCTTAGTGCCTTTACACTGCTGCGCTGCTGCCTGAGACCCTTTTCCCTCATTTCATTCATACCTCAGCTCAAATACCACCTCATCAGACAGGCTTTTTTGGAAACTCACTCTTAAAAAGCATTCCCGTTATCTCTATTTCCTAACTGTTTTTGATTCTTCATGACATTATGCTATATTTTTCTTTGATTTTTGTTTACCATCTGACATGGTTTGGCTCTGAATCCCCACTCAAATCTCATCTCGAATTGTAATCCCCACGTGTTGAGGGAGGGAACTGGTGGGAGGTGATTTGATCATGGGGGCAGTTTCCCCCATGTTTTTCTCATGATAGTGAAGAAGCTTTTAAGAGATTTGATGCTTACACCTGTAATCCCAGCCCTTTAGGAGGCTGAGTGGGGAGGATCATTTGAGCCCAGGAGCTCAAGGCTGCAGTGAGCTATGATCACACCACTGTACTCCAGGCTGGATGACAGACTCTAAAAAAAAAAAAAAGAAAGAAAGAAAGAAAAGAAAAACGTAACGATAGTGATTTTGTCTTTGGCCAAACACTGAGGCTTGCGTCCAGCATTACCTGTCCAAATGCTGGTTCAAGTCTGCCCCCTAGAGTAGAGTAACCAGAATGTCTTGACAGTAATAATGAGCTGTATTAAGGTCATAACAACACTTGGCTTTTCTGGGAGGCTGTCATACTGTTTTCTGCATTACTTGAAAGTGTGTCAGCTATTACTTTTATAAGCAAAAAAAGTTTCCATTTTAGGAGGGAAAATATCAACTCCAAATACAGTTTTTCATTGTGAGAGAGTCATCTATGACAGTGTTTGGCCTACAATAGGCAGAATTAATTCAAGTTTTAGGGTCCTGCTTGTTTAGAGTCACACTCTCAAACTGTATATGGTCGTCGCTCAGTATGCACAGGAGGTTGGCCCAGGATCCTCACAGATACCAAAATCCGATGATGTTCATATCTCTTATATAAAATGACATAGTAATTGCATATAACCTATTCACATCTTCCTACATACTTTAAATCATCTCTAGATTACTTATAATACCTAACACAATGTAAACACTATGCAAAAAGTTGCTATACTGTATTGTTTTTATTTGGATGGTCTTTTATTGTTGTATTATTATTATTATTGGTTTTATTTTTGAATGTTTTTGATCTGTGATTGGTCGAATCTGTTGATGTAGAACCTGTGCATATGGAAAGCCAGCTATATATTGAGATGCTACTATGTGATAGGTGCCTATTAAGTTTTGGGAATGGAAAGATGATTAAGATATGGTTTCTCTCACTAAGAGTTCACGGGCTAGAGAGGAAGACAGACGTGTAAGGAAATCATTCCATTACATAATGAAGCCTACATGAGCTATACTATAGCACAAGAAAGAATATGAATAGACAGGGCACTTTTATTTCGAGAAGAAAGACGGAAACAAGGAAGAACGGAAGAAAGACAGTTTAGGTATAACAAAATTTACTTAAAATGTTGTAACTAGTATTAGGCCAATTAACCCAAAATAGCACCTTGGATTAATTAAATTTAAATACATTTTAAGCTCAGTTAAACTTAAAAACTAAAATGTTAGTAATATAAAAAGAGGTTTGAAAGTTAGCCAAGGTATAGATCAGTGCTATCTAATAGAAATATAATATGAGACATATATGCTGTTTTAAATTTTCTAGTAACTACATTTATATAAGGAAAAAAGATAATTAATTTTCATAATATATTTGATTTAACCAAATATATCTAAAATATTATTATTTCTATTGTAAGAAATGAAGCAAGATATAAAGGGCCTGAAATCAGGTTGTAGCAATGAGAATAGAGGGAATTCGGTAGATCCAAGTGATATTTAGAGGCAAAATAGACACAAGTTGATGATTAATTAGATGGAGAATGGGAGAAAAGGAGGAGTACAAGTGGCTTCAAACCCAGGTAAGTTCTTCCACGAGCAACTGGTAAATGATGCTACCAGTCACTGAGATAGGGAACACAGAAAGAGGGGCAGAAGGAGAGCAGACAGGGCAATAAAGAACAGTTTACTTTCAAAAGATGAGTTTGAGATGTCTGTGAAACCTGTAACTAATATGTCCAAAGGATGCTTTTATATATGAGTGTGCTGCTCAGGAGAGAGTCTGCACCACAGGGACAGATTTGGGAGCCATCAGCACATAGGTGGCCGATACCCTGCACGTGTTTGAGATTACCCAGGGAAGATAAGGTAACTGAGGCAAATGCTTAGACAGAGCTCTGAAGAAAATCCGTATTTAAGGTATATGGATCTCTCACCAAAGCACCAAAACAACCAGCAGTGATAGGAGAGGTACAAGGAAAACCAGAAGAATATAAGTCTCAACAGCCAGCCAGAGAGGGGCTTCAAGAGGGAGGGAGTAATCAGCAATGTCTGATGCTTCTAGAAAGTCAAGCAAAGTCAAGAGATGTTTTCACAGAATTTGACAGTAAGGAGCTCAAGGGTGACTTTGAAGAGAACGGTTTCTATAAAGGGTAAGGACAGAAGTCACATTGCAGCAGACTCAAAACTGAGGGGAAATGTAGATAACTCTTCAAGAAGTTTTCTATGAAAAGGAAGATAGCTAAGTTGGTTACTATTGGCTATCAAGAATGGTATCTCTTGGTATGTTATGAGGGAAAGTTTTTATGGCAGAAGTGACGGCCGGGCGCGGTGGCTTACGCCTGTAATCCCAGCACTTTGGGAGGCTGAGGTGGGCGGATCACGAGGTCAGGCGATTGAGACCATCCTGGCTAACACGGTGAAACCCCGTCTCTGCTAAAAAAAATATAAAGAAATTAGCTGGGCATGGTGACCGGCGCCTTAGTCCCAGCTACTCGGGAGGCTGAGGCAGGAGAATGGCGTGAACCCCGGAGGCGGAGCTTGCAGTGAGCCGGGATCTCGCCACTGCACTCCAGCCTGGGCGACAGAGCGAGACTCCGTCTCAAAAAAAAAAAAACAAAGTGACTTGACTCCACTTAAACACCATTTAAAATTATGTAATAAACAATTTTATCGATTAAAGAGATGTTAATGATATATTCTTAACTGAAATGAGATTATGACTGAAAAAGTGTTTGATGTGCACTTACGTTCATGTGCACATGTACACGTAAATAGCATTCTGGAAGTACATACACCAAGGCATTAACCATATTTATCTCCGAGAAGGTAAACAAACACATTTAAAATTTTTGTTCTGTTAGGCGTGGGGGCTCACACCAGTAATCTCAGCACTTTGAAGAGGCCAAAGCAGGAAGATCTCTTGAGCCCAGGAGTTTCAGAACAGCCTGGGCAACATAGGGAAACCCCCCCACCTTACAAATACTTTTTTTTTAATTAGCTGGCTGTGGTGGTGTATGCCTATGGTCCCAGCTACTGGGGCGACTAGGGTGGCAGGATCACTTGAACCCAGGAGGTTGAGGCTGCAGTGAGCAGTGTTTGCACGGTGGAAGATGATTGGATCATGGGGAAAGTTTCCCCAGTGCTGTTCTCATGATTGTGAATGAATTCTCACAAGATCTGATGGTTTTATAAAGCAATTTTCCCTGCTCTTGCTAGCTCTCTCTTTCCTGCCATCAAGTGAAGAAGGTCCTTGCTTCCCCTTCGCCTTCTGCCATGATTGTAGGTTTCTTGAGGCCTCCCCAGCCATGTGCAAATGTGAGTCGATTAAACCTCTTTTAAACCTCTTTTCTTTATAAATTACCCAGTCTTGGGCAGTTCTTTTTTTTTTTTTTTTTTTTTTTTTAGATGGCGTCTCACTCTGCCACCCAGGCTGGAGAGCAGTGGAGCAATCTCAGCTCACTGCAACCTCTGCCTCCCAGGTTCAAGCAATTCTCCTGCCTCAACCTCTCGAGTAGCTGGGATTACAAGTGCCTGCCACCACACCTGGCTAATTTTTGGTATTTTTATTAGAGATGGAGTTTCACTGTGTTGGCCAGGCTGGTCTTGAACTCCTGACCTCAGATGATCCACCTGCCTCGGTCTCCCAAAGTGCTGGGATTACAGGCATGAGCCACTGCATCTGGCCTTGTGCAGCTCTTTATAGCAGTGTGAGAATGGGCAAATATAGGAAATCGGTACTGCAGAGAGTGGGGTACTGCGATACAGGTACCAAAAAATGTGGAAGTGACTTTGAAACTGGGTAACAGGCAGAGGTTGGAACAGTTTGGAGGGCTCAGAAGACAGGAAAATGTGGGAAAGTTTGGAACTTCCTAGAGACTTGTCAAATGGTTTTGACCAAAATGCTGATAGCAGTGTAGACAATGAAGTCCAGGCTGAGATGGTCTCAGATGGAGATGCAGAACTTTTTGGAAACTGGAGCAAAGTTCACTCTTGCTACGCTTTAGCAGAGCAACTGGTGGCATTCTGCCCTTGCCCTAGAGATCTGTGGAACTTTGAAGTTGAGAGACATTATCTGAAATTGGAACTTATGTTTAAAAGGGAAGCAGAGCATAAAAGTTTGGAAAATGTGCAGCCTGACAATATGGTAAAAAAGAAAAATCCATTTTCTGGGGAGAAATTCAAACTGGCTAGAGAAATTTGCACAGGTAACAAGGTGCTGAATGTTAATTACCAAGACAATGGGGAAAATGTCTCCAGGGCATGTCAGAGACTTTCACAGCAGCCCCTCCCATCACAGACCCAGGGGCCTAGGAGGAAAAATGGTTTCCTGGGCCAAGTCCAGGGCTCCCCTGCTGTGTGCAGCCTTGGATTTGGTGCCCTGCATCCCAGCTGCTCCAGCTGTGTCTAAAAGGGACCAAGGTACAGCTCAGGCTGTTGCTTCAGAAGGTGCAAGCCCCAAGTCTTGGCAGCTTCCATGTGATGTTGGTTCTGCGGGTGCACAGAAGACAAGAAATGAGGTTTGGGAACCTCTGCCTAGATTTCAGAAGATGTATGGAAACACCTGGATGTGCAGGCAGAGGTGTGCTGCAGGGACAGAGCCCTCATGGAGAATCTCTGCTAGGGCAGTGCAGAAGGGAAATGTGGGGTTGGAGCCCCCACAGAGAATCCCTACTGGGGCACTGCCTAGTGGAGCTGTGAGAAGAGGGCCTACCATCCTCCAGACCCCAGAATGGTAGATACACTGACAGCTTGCACTGTGCACCTGGAAAAGCTGCAGATACTCAACACTAGCCATGAAAGCAGCTGGTATATGGAGGGCTGGGCAGAGGGGCTACAAAGCCACAGGGATGGAGCTGCCCAAGGCCATGGGAGCCTACCCTTTGCATCAGTGTGCCCTGAATGTAAGACATGGAGTCAAAGGAGATTGTTTTGGGGTTTTTAGATTTAATGACTGCCCCACTGAATTTTGGACTTGTATGGGACCTGTAGCCCCTTTGTTTTGGCCAATTTCTCCCATTTGGAATGGGAGCATTTACCCAATGCCTGTACCCCCACTGTGTCTTGGAAATAACTAACTTGCTTTTGATTTTACCAGCTCATAGGTAGAAGGGACTCACCTTGTCTCAGATGAAACTTTGGACTTGGACTTTTGGGTTTAATGCTGGAATGAATTAAGACTTTGACTACTGGGAAAGCATAATTGTGTTTTGAAATGTGAGGAGATGAGATCTGGGAGGGGCCAGGGATGGAATGATATGGTTTGCCTGTGTCCCCACCCAAATCTCATCTTGAATTGTAAACCTCATAATCCCTTGTCAAGGGAGAAACCAGGTGGGAGGATCATGGGGGAGGTTTCCGCCATGCTATTCTTATGATAATAAGTTCTCATGAGATCTGATGGTTTTATAAGGCAGTTTTTCCTGCTCTTACTAGCTCTCTCTTTCCTAATACCATGTGAAGAAGGTCTTTGCTTCCCCTTCACCTTCCACCATGATTGTAAGTTTTCTGAGGCCTTCCCAGGCATGCAGAACTGTGAGTCAATTAAACCTCTTTTCTTTATAAGTTACCCAGTCTTGGGCAGTTCTTCATAGCAGTGTGAGAACAAACTGACACTCCCCTTTTCCTTTTTATTTCTACTAAGTCAAAGTCAATGCTTGCATAAGCAATCAATTACAGTATTAGTTATGAGTAGTACTTTTGGGGGATTTTCCTCTTCACAAAACGGGTAAGCTGCCCTTGGGCATTTGAAAGTCTAAGACAGATGAGGAATAAACAGAGAGAGCATTAGAGAACTCCAGTATCTTTGCTTTCAGGGGAAAACAATTAGTGATCGATAGAGTATGGTTCCACAAAGTTAAAACCCAGTGCATAAAGCTGACCTCAGAGAATCAGTCTACACCCGTGTAATCAAAACTGCAACCTACCCTCACTCCTGCTATTCTCACTCACATCCACTCATTCACATGCACATCACACACAGACTATCTCAGAACCTGCTACTAGAGGAAAATGAACATCCTGCCTCACGTTAGGACCATAAGCTCTGGCATCAGAATGAACTGGGCTCTGGCCCTAACTCTGCCACCACACCAACAAGGTACAGAACTCTCTAAACTTTGTTTCCTCATCTAGAAAGTGAAGAAAAAAATAGGTCTGTGATGGTTAATGTTAGGTGCCAGCTTGACTGGATTAAGGGGCACCCAGACAGCTGGTAAAGCATTATTTCTTTCTGCACAGATGTGTCTGTTAAAGTGATTCTGGAAGAGATTGGCATTTGAATCAGTGGACTGAATAAGGAAGATCCACCCTCACCCATTGTGGGCAGGCACCATCCAATTGGCTGAAGACCTGGATAGATAAAAAAGGCAGAGGAAAGGAGAATTTTCTGCCTCTCTCTCTCTCTCTCTCTCTCTCTGTCTCTCTCTCTCTTTCTCTCTCTCTCTCCATCTCCCTCAAAGCTAGGATGCCCTTCTTTCCTGCCTTGGATATTAGAACTGCAGGTTCCATGTGGCCTTCGGAGTCAGGGACTTGTGCCAGTGACTCTCCCCTACCCTACCTTCAACCTAGAACTGAAAGTTATATAATCAGCTTCCCTGTTTCTGAGGCTTTCAAATTTGGACTAAGCCACCCTACTGGCTTCCCTGGTTCTGAGGCCTTTGAACTTGAACTGAGCCACACTACCAGCTTCCTTGGTTCTCCAGCTTGGAGACAGTTTATGTTGGGATTTCTCTGCCTCCATAATCATGTTAGCCAATTCCCCTAATAAATCCCTTCTCATATATTCTCTATCCCTATTTATCTCTATCTCTATCTCTATGGATCTATCTTTAGCTCTATCCTATTGGTTCTTTCTCGCTGGAGAATCCTGACTAATACAAGGTCCCACCTCAGAGTGCTGAAGCTTATTTTAGGTAATGCATTAAAGCATCCAGCATAGTACTTGGCATGTTAATTACCAGTTCTCCTTAAATGATGGCCATTAGACATACTTACATAATTACTTCTGGATAAGAAAGTAAACTCAAGAGTCATACCAATGACTTTTATTTAAGATGATTTATGAGTTGATGTGTGAGAAGGGTTGGTGAAGCTATGTGGGTGGCTCTTTAAATACCTTCCATTATATTTTCAAATTTTTCTTTATTCTATTAAAATACCTTTTATTCTCTTTATTCCCATAAAAAGGCAACCAAGCAGATTATACTCTCAACTAAGATGCCAGCAGTAATTGGGGTATGATGCAAGTCATCTTGGAGCAGCTACATACCCTGCCCACTGCAGTCAGTCAGCATCTGCAGTTGCTTTTTATAGCTGTTTTTACCCCCAACCCCGCCCCCATCCACATCCTGAAATGGTGAATTGGGGCTCAAAGAAAAAAACCAAAACAGTAGCATCTGATGTCATGAGGCAGAAGCAGAGTATTATTCAGGCCCTTTTTCAAACAGGGGAGCCATGTGTGCTTCTCCATGCTCTTCTTTCCTAGAGCTCCTTTCTTCCTCTACTTTCTTTCGGGATTTTATCTCCATCCTCAGGCATTCTCTTTCATTTCTCTCCTTTCTGCTTTCAGGTCCCTGAAAGGGAAAGATCAGAAACAGGTAAAAATGCACAAGCAGCTGACAACACTCCACATTTCTCTTAATAATCAGACATGGAGAAAGCCCTGATGGTTTAGCAGACTTCCACCTCTTGGTTTCTAGAAATAAATTAGCATAAACCTAAGGATGTTGCTAAAGGTTTCGGTCACAAAGAAAAGAATAGAGGGGGTTGGACATCAGCAGATGGTCTGGGAAGGAAGTACAACCTGCACATGCCTATGACTCTTTGCCTCTGAACATACTGAGGGGTGTGATTTCATGGCACAATGAAATTAATAGTTCCCTGGTGCTTTTTGAAACGGAAAGTGGCAAATGAGATCACACATGGAATGATTCTTAGCTTTCTGTGTTCACTCCCTTAAATTACTTTAATAGTAGAGTTTGCACTAAATTTTAATGTGAGGACTGTGGGAAGAATGAACTGTTAAGGAATGACGCCCAACCAGATTAACACCCCCCGACATGTGTCCCCAGGATTCCACATTATTCACTGATTAATTGAACATAAACTGTTGTTGTAGGATCAGGAGATATAACACTAAATAGACCTACTTCCTAGATATTACACCTAGGTGGAGGGATACAGACAGTCATCAATAAACCTAAAAGGAAATGAAAAAATAATCAATAGTGATAAGTGCAATGATAACTGTAAACAGAGTGATAGGGACCTACTGGAGGGTGGGGGGGTTGCTTCTTTAGTTATATGGCCAGAGGGTGCCTTTCAAAGGAATTATCAAAACAATGGCATGGATAAATGTGGCCACCGTATCTATTTATCCTTCTGTTTTAAAAAATAAACAAGCAAAATCATTACTCCTCTCCTGTTTGAACTAGAAATGTTGGGAAACCCCTGAGTGCTTATCAGGTGAAGTTAAGCAGTGGTGAGTGGTGGTCACATGAGCAAGGTCATGCTTGCTCAGCCGTGTTAGTTGAGAGTTATTGAGGCATCTGTTTAACACAGTGGTGTCAGCCGCTCTACAATGTTAACGCAGTCATGAAGGTCTCTTATCAAAATGGTATAAGAAAGAGAAAATAGAGTGATGATTAAAGACTATCTGAGAAATGCTTGTAAATAATGCCCTGAAATACATTTTATCACATCTCTTAGATGCTAAATGTGAAAATTATCAAAAGAAGCCCACTGAATTTTTAAATATCAAAATGAAAGAATTTAACATTGTTGGTCATGATCAGGACACAGAAACAGTTTCTGGTTCTTTTTTATGTCAAAATATGTAAAATTTAAATCTAGGTATTAGTATACATTTGGTCCCCAAACAAAAGACGATATAAATCATTTTTAAATTTACTGAAAAAGAACACTTTCTAATGTAGTTAGCCTTAGGAAAGTGTGTAGATTATCAAATAGGGAAAAGTTGAAGTGTATCTGTATATGTTCGGAATTTCTAATTTTGCATTAAGATTTTATAATGTACTCTTTAAAAACTGATGTAAAATAAAATATTCAATTTATAATTAGTTATTATCTAATGTGCAAATATAAACATAATTTTATAAATTCCTAACAGATTTCTAGTTATTACATATAACTGTGAAAAAGAGTTTTTGAGTTTAAAAAGTAGAAAATGCTTCCCTAAGTATCTTGGAACCCAAAAGGAAGAATGTGGAAAATGAATGCAACAAGCATATTTTGTATTTTAGAGATAATATGATGAATATCTTTTTAAGCAAAATGACTTTATACACTTTTAGGGCTTATAATAATAATATTAGCTAATGTCGTGAAAGACAAGGAAAGACTGAGAAAGTGCTCCAGGGTAAAATAGAGCACAGGGACATGAACCTCGGTAGCAACACATGATTTCAAATTTCACTATAAAGAATATTATTGGGACAACTGGCAAAAAAATATAAGTAAGGTTTATGGATTAGAGATAATAGTATTATATCAGTATTAATTTCCTGAGTTTAATTATTGTATTGTGTTTATGTCAGAGAATGTTCTTGTGCCTGTGTTTGGAGGTGGGAAAAGGAGAGATAGTGTAGGCAAATAGGGACATGTTAACATTTGGAGGTAATCTAGGTGAAGGGTGTATGGGAATTCTTTGTCCTATTCTTGCAACATTTCTCTAAGCCTGAGACAATATGAAAACAAAAAGTATTTTTTTAAAAAGACAAAACAGGAATTCTTTTTTTTTTTTTTTGAGAGTCTTGCTCTGTTGCCCAGGCTGGAGTACAATGGGCCCAATCATAGCTGACGGCAGTCTCAAACTCGAGCACAAGAGATCCTCCCACCTCAGCCTCCCAAGCAGTGAGGAATACAGGTGCAGGACACCATGGCTGGTAATTTTTTTTTTTTTTTTTAATTTTCGTAGAGACAGGATTTCACTATGTTGCCCAGGCTGGTCTCAAATTCCTGGCCTCAAGCGATCCCGTGGCCTCAACCTTCCAAAGTGCTGGGATTACAGGAATTCTTGATAATAAGGTTTAGATACAGTAAAATGACAGCTGTTCACTATTCTCCCTTCCTTGTTCCTCTTATGATCAGGTGGAGAAAGCAGCCTACTGAAGGGAAACCATATGGATACAGGGTCACTCTGAGCAAAAGTCAGGTGTCACTTGAAAGGCAAAGGTGCATAGTGACAGTCCCAACAGCCAGTCTGCTAGGTAGAGAGCACTGTGCTCAGGTGGACAATGAAATACGAAGCACCCAAGTATCTTCACCAGTGGACTCACAGAGTCTAGCTCCAGAACCAGAAGTCATTACACTTAGGTGCAATTATTTGTTTTGTCTACTACCTGGCAGTGACCCATTATTATTCCTGTTTTGCAAAATAAAACAAAAAACCAAAGACCTACAAAAAAAGAAGCATTTTGCTCAAGGCCAGTCAGTGAGCATGCTGCAGAGTTGAAACTACCCCCACATTAATTGATCTTTAGTTTATTACTTTATGTATCAAGTTTAGCATCACCAGTGGAGATTCTATTCTTCCCCCTATTTCATGTCTGTCTCTTCCTTTTGCTTTACTTTGACTCCCATGACGTCACCATGAGCACCTAGCCCACTCCTATTCCTGGATACTTACTAGACAGTGTTTGGTCGTTCTTGTGTTTTTTAAGTATAGGAGAACAAAACACCATCATAGACTATTTGCTAGAGGATTAAATATGAAAGGAGAGAAGCCATGGGGCAGTTTTTTTTTCTTTTTCCAAATTGTAAAAGGGGAATGAGTTACAATTATTTATAATAAGGTTGATGAAAGCAGGCTCAAGAAACTAGGGGGCTGGGTGTGGTGGCTCACACCTGGAATCCTAGCACTTTGGGACCCCGAGGCAGGAGCATTGCTTGAGCCCAGAAGTTTGAAACCAGCCTGGGCAACATAACAAGACCCTGTCTCTAGAAAAAAAAAGTTTAAAATTTAGTCGGGCATGGTGGCACATGCCTGTAGTCCCAGCTACTCAAGAGGCTGAGGTGGGAGGAACACGTGAGACCAGGAGTTCGAGGCTGCAGTGAGCCATGATCAGGCCACTGCACTCCAGCCTGGGCAACAGAGTAAGACCCTATCTCAAAAAAAAAAAAAAAAAAGAAAGAAAAACTAGAAGACTTTGGTAACAAAAATGTTCTGGGAAATCTTCCTATACCAGATGTCTTCAATTATAAATAATATTCTTTAAAAATTCATTCTGGGTTATGTTAAACTGAATGTCATTTTTCAAAGATCTTATTACCAAGCTGTAAATGAAGAAGTTACATTTGTTCCCCTCAATCATAAAGAGGACAAAACCTTTGGGTTTCCTTTTTTAAAGCGGCTTAAATATTCAGTAGCTCTGTTACATACCAAAGAGGCAGAACGCTTGGTTCTAAAGCACAGTTGCCGTTCAAAGGACTCTGAAAATTTCTCAATTTTGGAATGGGATCTTCCTTTTGATTCCAGTGGCTCCTTGAATGACCCATCCTCTGAGTATTTTCTGTAATCCCGTACGTGGCTACGGCATCGAAATTCTTGGTCCTCATGAGAATGCCTTCTAGGATGGCAGTCAGATGATGGAATTCTGGGAAGCACAGGAAGCTGAGAATACAGAATGAAAAAATTTACAGTATAAAAGGACTGTGCAATGTTAGCACAGAGGCAGAATGTTTATAAACTAGTAACTAAATGAATCTCATGTTGAATTGATATATTATCTTTGTGAAAGGAAAATAAAACTTGAGGCCCCCAAATCACTAAGCTAAAGGGAAAAGTCAAGCTGGGAACAGCTTAGGGCCAACCTGCCTCCCATTCTTTCAAAGTCACCCCTCTGCTCACTCATTTATCTCATGCATTGAGACAAACACATACCTGATTGCCTCCTTTGGAGAGGCTAATCAGAAACTCAAAAGAATGCAACCATTTGTCTCTTATCTACCCATGACCTGGAAGCCCCCTGCCCACTTTGGGTTTTCCCACCTTTGAGTTGTCCTGCCTTTTCAAATCGAACCAATGTTCATTTTGCATATGTTGACTGACGTCTCATGTCTCCCTAGAATGTATAAAACCAAACTGTGCTCTGACTACATTTGGCACATGTCATCAGGACCTCCTGAGGCTGTGTCAGGGGCATGAATTCTCAGCCTTGGCAAAATAAACTTTCTAGATTAACTGAGACCTGCCTCAGATTTTGGGGGTTCACATTTTGGCAACCATGAAGGGATTCTGAATGGAGATGCCCCTGACCTTTGACAAATCTCCCATTGCTGCTTGGTACCAGCATAAGCTAACTTTATGGCTCAAACCAATAGGACAATTTGCTGAGGTCTGAGACCACCCCCTCCAGAGAGTCGCTGATCTCCCAAAATTTGGTCAAGATCTAAAGTTTATTTTGCTGTACAACTCCTCTCTCTCTCTATTTATTTATTTATTTATTTTTGGAGTTTTACTTGCTTCCAACAAGGAAGGCAAGATTTCCTGTTGCCATGATGATGGAAGGCAGGTAACTCCTTTATGGAGTTTGAGCTCACTTCCAACAGGGAAGATGAGGTGTTGTTTTTGTTTTGTTTTGTTTTGTTTTCCTGCTTCTTAGGATGGTAGAGAGCAGTCTACAGCCTGAGACCCATGCCTAAGTAAGGAACTGAATTAGGGTTTGTCTTGGCTAAAGTTAAGATTGACATCCAGGCCAGGCGTGGTGGCTCATGCCTGTAATCCCAGCACTTTGGGAGGACAAGGCGGAGGGATCACCTGAGGTCAGGGGTTCAAGACCAGCCTGGCCAACATGGTGAAACCTTGTCTCTACTAAAAAATACCAAAAAATTAGCCGGGCATGGTGGTGTGTGCCTGTAGTCCCAGCTACCCGGGAGGCTGAGGCAGGAGAATCGCTTGAACCCAGGAGGTGGAGGTTGCGGTGAGCCGAGATCACGCTATTGCACTCTGGCCTGGGCAGGAAGAGTGAAACTTCGTCTCAAAAAAAAAAAAAAAAAATTAACATCCAGTTGGCATTAATTTCTCCTTGCCATTAGAGCACTCAGTGACCATATAAGTTGTGCCATCGTTTAACTGTTTTTTTATTGTTGTTTGTTTCTGTTTTTGTTATTGTTTCAGTCTTTTTCCCATTGGGTTTGATCAACTCTATCTGACTTGATCAAATCCAAAAGAAATTTCCAAAAATATGGGGAACAAGGCCTCTGAAGTGGCTACGTTCCCACCAAAAAAAAAAAAAAAAAAGTGGTATGGTGTGGAGAAAAACGACCAGCAAAAGGAAAAATAAAAAAAGGAAAGTTTTTTTATTTTGACTACTTAAGAGTCTTTATTTACATAACAAGGCCATCTTTTTGCTAGCCAGGCCAAGCTGAAAGCAATGACTGTCACCCCGCATTGCAGTTTGATAGCTAAGGTCCTGCCTTCTTTTTTCCACCATGACAGCCTGGGTTTTGTTTCTTAAATAAAGCCCTTTCTGGTTTGATACTTGGTACTTCTGAAATAACTACAATTTTTCCTAACTAAAATATGGTAATAAGATTTAAAAGGTTTTTTTAAGGAGCTCAATGACTAAAGTAAGCTTAATTAAAAGCTAACATTCAAGATGTGTGTGTATATGTGTTATGTGTGTGTGTTTGTATTTAAAAGGCCTTTATGTTTTTGGTTGTTTTTTTTGGTTTGATTTTGTTTGTTTGTTTGTTTTGTCTCCTAGGACCTTGTCCTTTTATGAGCAAAAGTTTTTTTCTTCTCAGTTGATTGAACCCTGTTTTCTTCATTTACTTCTGCTGTCTCTCCTTTCTCTTGCATCCTCTGCTGCATGAGAGACCTAAAATAGTATATAATAGCCCAGGGTTCTTTAACGAAAACGGAGAAGGTGCCAGACTCCCTTTGGGGGAGAAACCTGTTTTTCCTTATGGAACCACAGGAGTGTAAACAGACAAGTTTATCTCAGCTTTTAAACTGCTTGCTTTTGTACTGTGTCACCTGATTTATTACTAAAATAGTTACTGCAACAGAGGATACCCTTGGATTTTTAAAGAAGAATGTATTTAGACACTTAGAAATGTCTTTATTAAAAAAAAAAAAAGTTTAAGTGCACTATGAAAACAACACATGGGCTAGCCTCAGGGTAATTCTCCGTTTTTGGAAACCCAGAATTCAATGTGGGCTCTGCCCAAAGCTCAGAGATCCGGTTAAAAGACAGGTAGTCCCTATGTAAATAAAATTAGTCTCCTTATACAATCCTATAATAGATTTTTATAATTTTATGTTTTATTTGACATCCATCTTTAATCTCCCTCTAGCACACCAGACTTTTATTCTCCATATCTGATAATGTAAGTTTTGCTACTACATTTTTCACCTGAGTTGTTTCCTTTAATATGCAAATTTAAAGCTATTTAGCTGATAACTGCCTAGGGTTGTGAAACAGGTTATTAAGAATCTGAATGTCTAAGATAGGAAAAAAAACGGTTTTATGAATCTATAAGATGTACTTCCTTCAGCATCTGTAATACCTCTATGTATTTATGTGTTGTGTACACAGTGTTTCACTACTGAAAATATATAAAAGAGCTCTAACTAATTGGTTTAAAGAAAAATAAAAGCACTTGAATCAAATACTTTATCAGGAAAAAAGAAAAGACTAGTCAAATGCGTTTTCAACTTTATGTAACTTAAGTAAAACCCTTAATAAGTAAGCTAACTTTAAAATTATTGGTAAAATAATATTATAAATGTTTTAAGAACTGCCAGCATACATATTTGTTTGCATTTATTAATCAAGTAATTTTATGCTTATCCCTGCCAAATACTATAAGGTGACAAAATTTGACATAGGGGTTACAGAACTATAAACCCAGCCAAAAACAGAATGATCTTTACTCATGTAATATTTAATAAATATGACATTGATATTGGTTTAATAAAAATAGCTACATTTTGAATTTAGTAAGATTAGCATAACTTCTAATCTTGTGGTTTTAGGCAGTCTAGTCCACAGGCAGTAAGGTTTGTTTTGGCAAAGGACTGTTATTGTCTTTGTTTCAAAGTAAATTATAAACTAAGTTTCTCCCAAAGTTAGTTCAGCCTATGCCCAGGAATAAACAAGAACAGCTTAAAAGGAGGTTAAAAGCAAGATGGAGTCAGTGAAGTCTAATCTTTTTCACTGTCTCAGTTATAATCTTACAATGGTGGTTCCATAACGTTAAATGATGACTATCACAGTTTTCATAAATTAGGTAAACAATTAAAATAAAATAATTAGGTAAAAGTAATGGGATAAATACTTGTAGACAAACTCATCATAATTTAGAATCTGAAGTTAATCTAAAGAATAGAGATTTCATTATTTGGGTATTTTCCAGTTAAAAATATATTTGTAGGAAAACATTCTTTCTTAAAGAAAAGGTGTGTCATTTTAAAAAAGAAGAACAATTTTTGTCTAATTCAAAGCTTATTTAAAGCTCATATATAAAACAAGGTAACAGGAACCAGGAAACAAGAGCGATGTAAAAAAAAGTTATCAAAATAAAGAGGGAATTTTCTTGTAAGAAAGCTTAAAGAGAAATAATTTCACAGGAGAAAGACTCTTGTATGGTAAATTTAGTCCTAGAGTAAAATGACTGGTTGTTTAAGGAAGAGGGATGCTCAGGACAAACCAGAAAATCTAAGCATGTTGTGAAAGGTCTGTGTAAGTCATAATAAAGGGATTTTTTTTTTAATTCTTTTTTTTTAAATTATACTTTAAGTTCTAGGGTACATGTGCACAACATGCAGGTTTGATACATAGGTATACATGTGTCAGGTTGGTTTGCTGCACCCATCAACTCACCATTTACATTAGGTATTTCTCCTAATGCTATCCCTCCCCCAGCCTCCCACCCTCCAACAGGCCCCAGTATGTGATGTTCCCCCCACTGTGTCCAAGTGATCTCATTGTTCAATTCCCACCTATGAGTGAGAACATGCGGTGTTTGGTTTTCTGTCCTTGTGATAGTTTGCTGAGAATGATGATTTCCAACTTCATCCATGTCCCTGCAAAGGACATAAACTCATCCTTTTTTATGGCTGCATAGTATTCCATTGTGTATATGTGCCACATTTTCTTAATCCAGTCTATCGCTGATGGACATTTGGGTTGGTTCCAAGTCTTTGCTACTGTGAATAGTGCCATAATAAATATATGTGTACATGTGTCTTTATAGTAGCAGGATTTATAATCCCTCAGGTATATACCCAGTAATGGGATCGCTGGGTCAAATGGTATTTCTAGTTCTAGATCCTTGAGGAATTGCCGCCCTGTCTTCCACAATGGTTGAACTAATTTACACTCCCACCAACAGTGTAAAAGCATTCCTATCTCCACATCCTTTCCAGCACCTGTTGTTTCCTGACTTTTTAATGATTGCCGTTCTAACTGGTGTGAGATGGTATCTCATTGTGGTTTTGATTTGCATTTCTCTGATGACCAGTGATGATGAGCATTTTTTCATGTGTCTGTTGGTTGCATATATGTCTTCTTTAGAGAAGTGTCTGCTCATATCCTTTGCCCACTTTTTGATGGGGTTGTTGGATTTTTCCTTGTAAATTTGTTTAAGTTCCTTGTAGATTCTGGGTATTAGCCCTTTGTCAGATGGGTAGATTACAAAAATTTTCTCCCATTCTGTAGGTTGCCTCTTCACTCTGATGGTAGTTTCTTTTGCTGTGCAGAAGCTCTTTAGTTTAATTAGATCCCATTTGTCTATTTTGGCTTTTGTTGCCATTGCTTTTGGTGTTTTAGTTATGAAGTCCTTGCCCATAACTATGTCCTGAATGGTATTGCCTAGGTTTTCTTCTAGGGTTTTTATGGTTTTAGGTCTAATATTTAAGTCTTTAATCCATCTTGAATTAATTTTTGTATAAGGTGTCAGGAAGGGATCCAGTTTCAGCTTTCTACATATGGCTAGCCAGTTTTCCCAGCACCATTTCTTAAATAGGGAATCCTTTCTCCATTTCTTGTTTTTGTCAGATTTGTCAAAGATCAGATGGTTGTAGATGTGTGGTGTTATTTCGGAGGCCTCTGTTCTGTTCCATTGGTCTATATATCTGTTTTGGTACAAGTACCATGCTGTTTTGGTTACTATGGCCTTGTAGTATAGTTTGAAGTCAGGTAGTGTGATGCCTCCAGCTTTGTTCTTTTTGCTTAGGATTGTCTTGGCAATGCAGGCTCTTTTTTGGTTCCATATGAACTTTAAAGCAGTTTTTTCCAATTCTGTGAAGAAAGTCTTTGGTAGCCTGATGGGGATGGCATTGAATCTATAAACTACTTTGAGCAGTATGGCCATTTTTACGATATTGATTCTTCCTATCCATAAGCATGGAATATTCTTCCATTTGTTTGTGTCCTCTTTTATTTCATTGAGCAGTGGTTTGTAGTTTTCCTTGAAGAGGTCCTTCACATCCCTTGTAAGTTGGATTCCTAGGTATTTTATTCTCTTTATAGCAATTGTGAATGGTAGTTCACTCATGATTTGTCTCTCTGTTTGTCTGTTAATGGCATATGGGAATCTTCATGATTTTTGCACATAGATTTTGTATACTGAGACTTTGCTGAAGTTGCTTATCAGCTTAAGGAGATTTTGGGCTGAGACGATGGGGTTTTCTAAATATATTTTTTTAAAAACCAAAAACTTTGATATGATCCAGTTGTCATAATACTATTAGGTTTTGGTTTGCTAAAATAAACTGAGATTAAAAATGTTTTTTAATTAAGGTTCTTACATCGTGTATCTCTCTGTATACACTTTTAAATACTTGTGACATTGAGTTACAGGCTTTGACTCCTGGGTCTAAAAAGGAAACCAAGTCCTGATAAATGTTAAACACTGACAGCAATTAAAGCCCTATCTTCAGGCCCTGTAGAAAATGCCAATCAAAATAAACTGCATTCCTGAGACCCAGGGCCAGAAATTAAAGCTATTCAACTCCTCAAGGCCTGGGGACTGTCAAGGAAGAGGTGGGTGTGTGAAATTGTAAGGGCTAATTTTGAGAGATAAAATAAGTTCAGTTTCTCTATACTTTTTTTGAGAGAGAGTCTCGCCCTGTCTACCAGGCTGGAGTGCAGTGGTGCAAGCTCAGCTCACTGCAACCTCTGCCTCTGGGTTCAAGCAATTCTCCTGCCTCAGTTTCCCAAGTAGCTGAGATGACTGGTGCCCACCACCATGCCTGCCTCATTTTTGTGTTTTAGTAGAGATGGGGTTTCACCATGTTGGTCAGACTGGTCTCAAACTCCTGACCTCAAATGATCTGCCCACCTCAGCCTCCCAAAGTGCTGGGATTACAGGCATGAGCCACTGCACCTAGCCAGTTCCCCTATAAATTAATCATCAATGTCAAAGGCACACTGATGCAAGACCAGCACATGGGCCCCTATGTCAAATCAACATGGTTTTCTTGAAGCATTAGCTGACGCCTTAATAAAGGTTATAAAGGTTTTCAAAGGCTTATGGAAGGTATATCTTACAGACAAGATTAAAATTTTATAGATTGTTTATAAAATTTTGAAAAACAAATTTAATTGGCTTCATGCAGTTTTTATTAGGGCTTACTGTTTGGAAAATTAAGTCTCCTATCTCAAAGAATGAAGATTTCACCGTTTTAAAAAAATCCTTTGAGTTATTACTTTGGTTAAATGAAATGACTTATTTCACAATGACCTGTGATCCTATTTTGTGATATCAAGTGTTTTAAACCTTGGATATTTGACAAATTTTCCAAATCAAATAATAAATTATGTCTTTTCCTGACCTAATTAGTCCTTTAAGACATGAGGTTCCCTAAAGTCCAAAAATGACATAATTGGCTTAGTTGGTATTACAATTATACAGGAAGCATTATCAAATATAAAATGGTGTTTGGTTTTCTTAGGGCTGTATTTCTATAAATATGTTATTGGTATGTGTTCCAGAAGTATGGGAAACTCCTATAATTCTGATATGACTTAATGGACATTATAAGTAATAATTATAATTGTTAGGTTAAATTATTGTGTGCCACATAAGTAACAATTTTCCTTGTCAATTGTGTCTTTATGACAACTTTTTTGTCATCCATGGACAATTATTGTCTTGTGTTGATCCTCTTTAGGAGGTGGTTTTATAATCAGCTATAAAACTCTTAACAGGTGCTCTTGAATGAGGTTTCTGATAACTTTGGAGACAGTGACATCAGAATAGAAGAAAAACTTCAAGACTCATGGAGAGCTGAAATGTTTATGACTATCAAGCAGAGCAGGAATTAACTCATCAACTAAACTAATTATAGAAGTCTGAAGTAATCTTTTTAACTTTTTGCCTAAAACACTGCTGAGCCTTTGTTTTGTTTTTCAGAGTCAAGAAAAGTTTTAAGCTATTTACAATAGGTTTTAACAACTGAGTAAAGTATACTCCTATGAACAAAATTTGGAGCATATTTGTTTTCTCTCTACCTGATTTCTCCAGAATTTGGAAACTGTTTGGGAGTATTCTTAACTTATGGCAATACAGTTATTTGCTTAAGTGCAATAAGAATCTGTTTTCATTTACAACAGGACACAATTGGAGAAACTTCTTATTTTACCAAGGCTTTGACTGGAATGGTGTGCTTTCCTTTAAGGAATCAAAGTTGACTTACAAAGCCACTAAAATCCCTGGGGAAAACTGGCCGCAAACTTGTCTACGCAATTCCTGTATGGGGTTCCTGACCTGTGGTAAGTAAAGAATGTAACGTTCTTATAGGCCTAAGAGCCTCAGGTTTTATCTTAGAACCTCAAGAGGAGAGGATCGCCCAACTCAGCTCAGCTTTTAAAAAAGTCTTATCTGAGATTCCTTCTATGGAACAAAGTTCCATCAAAGCCAATTTAAAAGCCTATGTAAAAAATAATTATTCTTGTTGAACTGTATACAAATGATTAGGCCAAGTATAATAAAGCACAGCAGTCCTACCATGATTTGTCTTTGGTAAAAATGGGAAACTGGAGAGAGAAAAATTGTTTCAAAAACTATAGCACACCTGTTGTTAGATTCTAGTCTTGCCTAATGTTTTTCAATTTTTATTATTTTCTACATTTTGGACCGAATTCTGTATTTTCTTGGCTCCAAGTCTTCAAAGCATTGTTTTCCATTTTTTCCTTCTTTTTTTCCCCATGTTTTTCTCATTTGGAGTCATCAAAATCCAGGCTGTGCTTTCATAAAGCCCTGCAAACTGAAGCTAGACAACTTAAACTTCAGAAGAAAATAACAGCAACCTATTTACATACATAAGCCACTAATACCTGCCTACTGATGTATGGACTTCAGAGTAATGTGACCAATATTGATTTTCCAGAATTGTTCTTTTGTTTGTTGTTGTTTTTCTTCCTTCCTCCTCCTATTTTCTCTTCATAGGACATGAGACTTCACAACTTGCTAAAAATGAGCCTGCATAACAACTCAGGACCTACCTGTCTAGGAATAAACCATCCTATCTGTGAGAGATCAGATGAAACCTGAGACCAGAGACTCATTTTCTTCTAAAATACTTATTCCAAAAGATTTTATTTTTAAAAAAAGGAGGGAAATGTGAAAGAAAAATAATCTTGGGGCCCCCAAATCACTAAGCTAAAGGGAAAAGTCAGGCTGGGAACAGCTTAGGGCCAACCTGCCTCCCATTCTTTCAAAGTCACCCCTCTGCTCACTGAGATAAATGCATATCTGATTGCCTCCTTTGGAAAGGCTAATCAGAAACTCAAAAGAATGCAACCATTTGTCTCTTATCTACCCATAACCTGGAAGCCCCCTCCCCACTTTGAGTCTTCCTGCCTTGGTTTGAGTTGTCCTGCCTTTCCAGATCAAACCGATATTCATATTGCAATGTTGATTGATGTCTCATGTCTCCCTAGAATGTATAAAACCAAACTGTCCTCTGACCACCTTAGGCACTTGTTGTTGGGACCTCCTGAGGCTGTGTCACAGGTGCGCATCCTCAACCTTGGCAAAATAAACTTCCTAAATTAACTGAGACCTGTCTCAGATTTTCAGGGTTCACATCTTCTTGATCAGTAAGACTTTTCTCCTACAGTGAGGCAGCAGAATCAATTGGTTAAAACATTAAGTAGAACATCCTGAGACTAGCTTTGTTGCTTACTACTCCATCATTAGAACACTAAAACAAAAGACGCCAAGCCTTAAGTTGATATGTAAAAATAAACTCCAAAATGATTTTTAAAATTTTTTAATGGAGCCATAAATGTTTAGGAAATATAAGGGTAAATATTCATGTAATTCCTATATGGAGAAAGAATTTCTAAGCAAAAGAGCAATGGAAGAAGTCATAAGGAAAAAATCAACTTTACTATATAAAAATATAAAGCTAGGGCCAGGCACAGTGGCTCATGCCTGTAATCCCAGCACTTTGAGAGGCCGAGGCGAGTGGATCACCTGACATCAGGAGTTTGAGACCAGCCTGGCCAGCATAGTGAAACCCTGTCTCTACTAAAAATACAAAAAAATTAGCTGGGTATGGTGGCAGGCACCTGTAATCCCAGCTACTCGGGAGGCTGAGGCACAAGAATCACCTGAACTCACGAGGTGGAGGTTGCAGTGAGCTGAGATTGCACCACTGCGCTCCAGCCTGGGCAACAGAGTGAGACTCCATCTCCAAAAAAGTAAAAATAAAATAAAATTTACATATATATATATATATATATTTAAAGCTAATGCGTATCAAAAGCAACATAAACAAATTTAAACTATAGGTAAAAAATGAACTTTAAAAAATTTGCTGCATATTGCTAATGTTTAATAAATATCCTAAAGATACATCAGTACATCTCACACAAATAAAAAGAGATCATATAATATAATGACATCAATCATTAACATCACAACTGGAAAATGGGCAAAGGACAGACAGTTTAGACAAGCCAAACTTTTTGAAATAATTATGACATTTGCTCTCTCAATTTCTCTGACTCACTCAACTCACTCCAGTCCAGCTTCCTCGCCCACAGCTAATTTTGATCAGGATATTGGTCTTCATGTTGCCAAATTCTGTGCACTTTTTGGTCTTCATCTAAGTCATTCAGTGGCATTCAACTCTGTTATCCACAGGAGCCTTTTGAAAACACTGTTTCCTTGCTTGCTACCACCGCACCTTCCTGCTTTCCCTTTGATCTTGCTGCCACTGTAATTTAGACATTTGCTCACTTCTTCCTTCTATCAGCTCATAGCTGTTGGGGCTCCCCAAGGTTCTAGACTAGTCTTCCTTTTCTATCTTTCCTTTCTCACTGGTCTTTGATCTCTTTCTCGAGCTCACCTGCTCCTGTGTAGCGCAGGCACTGGCACAGGCTCCTCCCTGCCAGTGACCTCATCCACAACCCTACTCCCTCATCTTTCTAATGGCTAATCATCCTTCAGTCACAGGAAAAACTGCATTTCCTCAGAAAGCCTTTTCTACCTTTCTGATTGGTTCAGGTTCCTGCCAGATGCTCTCCTGGTTTCCAATGCTTCTCCTCTGGGATACTTATCACAACTGTCATTAATAATTCGGGTAATTTTGTTCAGTGCCTCTCTTCTCCACTAGATTGTGTGCTGCATCACATCAGGGCTATGTTTTACTCTCTGCTAGTACCCAGCACCTTGCCTTGTTCACAGCATGGGTTCATTAAATATATATTGAATGTACAGTATAAAGAATAGAAGAAAGGGAAATACCAAATGGTTACGAATGTTAATATTTAATTAGCAGTCAAAGATTATGTAAAATAAAATAACAATATTTTTACCTTTCAGGGTAGCAAAAAAAATGTGTTTTAATAATACCAACACTGGCAGGAGTACAGGGAGACAGGAACTATCATCCCTTACTGATGGGATTAAAAATGTGTGCAGCCTTCTTAGAAAGCCTTGAGAAATATGTGTTAAGAAGCTTAAAATATTGGTATCCAAGAAGATGTAAAAAAGAAAAAATAATAAGCTTAAACTATTCCCCTCCTTAGATCCAGCCATTGTATGTTGTTATGGGCTGAACTATATCTCTCCAAAAATCATAGGTTGAAACCCTAACCCCCAACAGCTCTGAATGTTACTGCACTTAGCTATAGGGCTTTAAAGAGGTGATTACGTTAAATGAGGCCATTAGGGTGAGCCCTAATCCAATCTGACCGGTGTTTTACAAGAAGAGGAAATTTGAACAGGTAGAGAGACAACAGAGTTGCTCACTGTCAGAAGAAAGACCATGGAAAATCACAGTGAGAAGGCAGCCATCTGCAATCAAACAAGCAAGGCCTCAGAAGAAGCTTTAATCTTGGACTTCCTAGCCTCCAGAACTGTAAGAAAATAAATTTCTCCTGTTTAAGCCACCCAGTGTGTGGTATTTTGTTATGGCAGCACTGGCAAACATATGCATATCTTTCTAGATATGCATACCTAGAAACTTACTCTCAAATAATAATCAGAAATATGGTTAAAGATATGTAAAGCTGCTGAGACACCTAAGGTAAATCTCTATATATTAGTCCATTTACTAAATAGGTCAGTCATGGTAGTAGGTGCTGTGGATAGGATGGGGAGCAAAACAGGCTATTAGAGATGGCATCTGCATAGGAGATAGATGTTAAACAACTAGGGCATGTGCCTACGTCCTTGGCTAAATGCTATAAAGGGGAAGTTCAAGGTGCAATGAGAAGGTAGAACGGGGTAAAACTATATATATTGGGGTGGGTGTTAGGGGGGTAGAGGAGAAGTATCCAGAGAGAATTCTGTGAATGTGTGCTGACTGAACGACAAGCTGAAGGATGAGCAAGGGTTAGAGGACAAGGACTGCTTTCTGCCTGGAGATGAGCACCACATGGGCAGATCCACTGCCATGGAAGAAGCTTGCTGGCATAGTGGTGCTGGGGAGCACAGTGGACCAAGAGGAACCAAGAGAGCTGGAATGAGACATTGAGGGATTTCAAGTAGGGCAATATCCCAAGATTGGTAATGTTAAAACATATCAGACTCTTACCAAAGTTTTTCTCTGTGGTGTGCTATTGTTTTCTTCCTTTTCCTTTTTTTTTTTAGTATTTTTCGTAGTTATATCTGGGGAACATGTGTTATATTGTCAGGAAAAAAATAATAATAAATTAAAGTTTTGTGACTGGGAGTGAAATGGATGTTTGTACAAATGTCCTTTTCCATTAAGGAGCCTAAAAAGAATGGCAAGAGTTTGATCACAACGTAAAGTGTGTACTTAAAACTCCTTACAGCAGTTAGGTTTTGCAGTTTGTCTCTTCGCTTTGGCATATGACTTTGTGGAAAATGGGCCTAAAAGAGAACTGTAATTGGGACAGGGAGAAGCTCCTCCTCTTAAAAAATGTTTACTTGCTATGCGAGCTCTATTTTTGGAATTTTATATGCCCTTCTAAGGTAATTTTCCCCAATAAGACCTAAAACAATGTCCCAAATGGCTTAAAATAGCCTCACCTATCTATCCCCTGTTTTGTGAATCACGCTGTAGCACCTGGGTTGCTATCTTCTCACACTCTGAGCTCACCCTGGGCTCCTGGGCTACAGCATTGCAGCAGGCACTGACTGTGAGGGAAATGACTGCCCTGTACACTGACTCTCCTGATTAGAGTGCTCCAAACAGCATGACTCTTTCCCCTGTGGACCTAGAACAACAATCTCTGTCAAAGAAAATCCCATGCACTCTCTGTCCCCAAGTCATTGGTTCTCATTTAAAAAGCAATTGGTTTTTAGGACAGTGAAACTATTCTGTATGCCACTATAATGGTAGGTGCGTGCCATTATACATTTGTACAAACCCATAAAATGTACAACAGGAAGAGTGAATCCTAATGTGTAAACTATGGACTCTGGGTGATAATGATGTGTCAGCATGGGTTCATCAATTGAAACAAATATACCGCTCTAGTCAGGAAGGTTAATCATGGGAGAGGTATGCATATCTGGGAGTATGGGGGCTATGGAAAATCTCTGTACCTTCTGCTCAATATTGCTTTGAACATAAAACAGATCCAAAAAAAGAAAGTTGTTTTTCTTTAAGTGACAATAAACCTAAAAGGAAAGTTGGGGAGGGGGAAATTGGTTATGTAATATATTCACCTCAAGAGCTTAACTACTCGATGTTCTTTATTCTGGCTGTAATTGCAATCACCCTTCAATTGTATCCCTCCCACCCTGTAGTCAATGGTTAACAGCAAGATGAGACATAATGAGAAAGATCCAGGTGCTGGCATAGTAAGACCCATATTGAGTCCTAGTGCACAGTATGTACCTGGCACTCTGGGGCCAGGTCCTTGATAGCTAACTTCAGAATAAAGTCAACAAGGGAGTGATTCTTCCCCTTTTACATATGAGGAAAATGAATCTTAGTGAGGCTAAGTCTTGCCTAAGACTTATGTGACTAGTGACTTTATTAGAGAGATAAAGTGACATGCCTAAGCATGTGACATCTGGTTCCTGGATTAGCAGTATTAAATCCTTTATCTTTAACAACAGCAACAACTTTATTCTATTTCCATGTGAAACTGCCTGTAAATGTGACTTTTAGCCATGTACCAATTTAAACAGAATTCTATTATAAAGTTAGTAATAATAATCTATAGGTCTTTAGGAATTCATCTGAAAGAATTTTATATGAAGAGTATTTTATAACATAGTCTAATGCTATCATCAGAGCCAAGAGGACTACAAATGAGTGGACTAGCTATACTTGGAAACACTATCAGGGAAAACATTCAAATATTCAACTGGTAAAATGATAGTTCTTTGAGAAATAATAAAGATAAGCTTAGTAACCATGCACTGTACATCCTTTTGGGAAGCCAAACAATGTTTTAAACTAATCAGTAAAATAACTTTTTTTAATTGGGGAAATGAACAGACCCTGCTTGGTCACACTATTACACACTAAATCAATGCAAAACTGTCACCAACACCATATCGTAAGTTATATAGTGGCCAAACAGAGGAGAGCTATAAGAAGAAACTCCTGTGAGCTTATAACGCTTCACACCTCAGGAACTTGGAATCTTTTCCTAAAGCAAAATTCAAGGACTTGTCTTACTCATCCCGAAGCTGCAGTAGCCAAACTAAGCCCATATAAACCATATGCCACTGAGATCATAACCCCAAATGACATTAAATTAGGTCATGTATAATAATGTTTTCCCTACTAGCTCTCCACTGTCTGGTGATGATGCTTGTTATGAAAATGTATTAGTCAGCTTGGGCTGCTATAACAAAATACCATAGGCTGAGTAGCTTAAGCAACAGAAATTTGTTTCTCACAGTTCTGGAGGCTAGGAAGTCCCAGATCTAGGTTCTGGCTAATTCAGTTCCTGGTGAGGGCTCTCTTCCTGGCTTGCAGATGGCTGCCTTCTCACTGCAACCTCACATGACTGCTTTTTTAAATGCATATGTGGGGATAGAGAGAGAAAGAAAAAGCTCTCTGATGTCTCTTCTTCTAAGGATATTAATCCCATTAGGCCAGGACCCCACCCTCATGAACTCATCTAACCCTAATTATCTCCCAAAGGCTCCATTTCCAAATACCATCACATTGGAGATTAGGGCTTCAGCATATGAATGGGGGAAGGGGAAGCACAAACATTCAGTCCATAACAGAACATATGTTACCTGCCAATGTTCAATATAAAATTACCAATTATCTTCCCATTGTAATATAAAAGAGAAACATAAAAGACAATGAAGTAAAGAGAAAATGAAAAACTCTAGAATTTTGTGCAGTAATTAGCTGAAGGCATCTGGAAAAAAATTTCTAAGTGTCAACACCTCTGACAGAGGAGGAGGAGGAGATGCAGAGGGAGGAGATGAGGGAGGGGAAAAGGAAAAGAGAGAGGGAAAGCATCTTATTAGGTATGTAAACGAAAAATAAAATCCTAAGCCCCTCATCAACTGAACAGACCCCCTCTTCACCAAGGGGATTCCATAAAAACCTTAAAAACTTAGTTCTGAGCCATGACGGGATGGGAGGTCAGATGCACCTCGTTGTACTCCCTGTCTTTTATGGTTTAGACACAACAATTGACCAGCATTAATGTTAAAATAGAGATCCTAACACTGACAGAACAAAGCCTTTGTGGCAATAAGATACCTAATTATAAACAGGACCTAAGGCCATGCCAGGCAAGGGTTAAGTTGTGCACCCCTACACTTAAAGAATAAACTATATTCTGACCGCCACAAGGTTTTTCTTTTCCTCTAACAGCTAAACAAGCACCGGCCCTGACATAAGCAGTATTAAAACAATTTGCAGCTCCATCAGATGCTGACTAGCTGATTCCCTTGTTCCATCAGCCATTACTACAGTTTTGATTGGACAAGAGATTGATTTCAATAACTTTCTCCTGACAAGACTACCAACCATGGACTGGTTCTAGCCAGTTTATGGGGGCTGCACACTCACTCACCTTCCTGTCCTAAGAAGATCTTTTCATGAATAGGGCCTAATTGTAATATGTTTAAATATTAAGTCTCCATCCCAAAGTGAACATGGGCCATACATGCTACATGTATGTTTGTTCAAAATTCCTGTGTCCACAGAACTGTGTCAGAACCACCTTCACGAATATTCACAGCTCCTCCTATAAACTGTTGCATGTGGAAGTTTAGCCAATCTGTTCAGCATAAAGCTCCTACCCCCTACCCCTCCTCCTTTGAAGTGCCTGTCTCCAGTCTTTCTGGAGGCTATGCTTCCCAGGCTGTGGGATGGCCAACTTGCAGGCTATAAGCTTTACAAGAAATAAAGTCCCCTCTTCTTTTCTAAATGTATACACTGCATGCATTTAGTGTAAAAAAAATTATTTTTTTAATAAATAAGTTAATAGGTACCAGGCACTGTTCAAAGCACTGTATATACATTACTTATTGAATATTCACAGCACCTTTATGAGGTCTGTACTATGATCACCAATCCCATTTACATGTGGGGAATTGGAGGCAAAGAGAGCTCAAGCAGCTTGCTCAGAGTTATGCTGCTAGTAAATGAAGAACACGGGAGGCCAGCTCCAGAGCACTTGCTCCTGACCACTCCTCTCCACTGCCTTTCTAGCAATTCCTCCACCTTAGCACCTAGAAGAAGAGAGAAAAGTCCACAGAACATTATGCTAAAAGCTCCCTATAGAGTTCTCACTGGTACCTGAATTTCTATCATTAGTTTCATTTCCTTGGATTAAGGAATTGCCTCCTATGAAAATTAAATTCAAATATCATCTGAAATACATCTGAAATACAAGAAGCCACTGCCAATCATGACACTTGATAGTATGTGTTCTCTCCCAGGTTTGTGAGAACTCCCCTAAGAGGGCCATGCCCCACCTGCCCTGTAGTGAGATACTATAAGAATGAGAGTGCAGCCATCTGAAAGTAGATCAACAATAAAAAACTAAAATTACAAATATCTTTCATCACTGTAAATTGAGAGCATGGAGGGAGAATATACAATGGAGAAAGGTAATTTAATTAAAAAAAAAAAAAAAAAGACAGCCGGGTGCAGTGGCTCACACCTGTAATCACAGCACTTTGGGAGGCCGAGGTGGGCAGATCACCTGAGGTCAGGAGTTCAAGACCAGCCAGGCTAACATGGTGAAATTCCATCTCTACTAAAAATACAAAAATTAGCCAGGCATGGTGGTGCACGCCTGTAGTCTTGACTACTCAGGAGGCTGAGGCAGGAGCATTCCTCGAACCCTGGAGGCAGAGGTTGTAGTGAGCCGAGATCTCACCACTGCACTCCAGCCTGGGCAATAGAATGAGACTTCAACTCAAAAAAAAAGAAAAAAGAAGAAAAAAAAAAGGAGGCATCACACTACCTGACTTCAAACTATACTACAAGGCTACAGTAACCAAAACAGCATGGTAACAGGTAACAGGTACCAAAACAGAGACATAGACCAGTGGAACAGAATAAAGAACTCAGAAATAAGACCACACTTATATAACCACCTGATCTTTGGCAAATCTGACAGAAACAAGCAATGGGGAAAGGATTCTCTATTTAATAAATGGTGCTGGGAAAATTGGCCAGCCATATGCAGAAAACTGAAACTGGACCCCTTCCTTACACCTTTTACAAAAATTAACTCAGGATGGATTAAAGACTTAAATGTAAATCCCAAAACCATAACAGCCCTAGAAGAAAACCTAGGCAGTAGCATTCAGGACATAGGCGTGGGCAAATACTTCATGATGAAAACACCAAAAGCAATTGCAACAGAAGCCAAAATTGACAAATAGGATCTAATTAAGCTAAAGAGCTTCTGCACAGCAAAAGAAACTATCATCAGAGTGAACAGACAACCTATGGAATGGGGGAAAATGTTTGCAATCTACTCATCTAACAAAAGTCTAATATCCAGAATCTACAATGAACTTAAACAAATTTACAAGAAACAAACAAACAAACCCATCAAAAAGTGGGCAAAGATATGAACAGACACTTCTCAAAAGAAGACATTTATGCGGCCAAAAAAACATATGAAAAAAGCTCAACATCACTGATCATTACAGAAATGCAAATCAAAACCACAATGAGATACCATCTCACACCAGTCAGAATGGCAATTATTAAAAAGCCAAGAAACAATAGATGCTGGCAAGGCTGTGGAGAAATAGGAACACTTTTACACTGTTGGGGGGAAAGTAAATTAGTTCAACCATTGTGGAAGACAGTGTGGTGATTCCTCAAGGATCTAGAATGAGAAATACCATTTGACCCAGCAATCCCATTACTGGGTATACACCCAAAGGAATATAAATCATTCTACTATAAAGACACATGCACATGTATGTTTATTGCAGCACTATTTATAGCAAAGACATAGGACCAACCCAAATGCCCATCACTGATAGAGTGGATAAAGAAAATGTGGTGCATATACACCATGGAATACCATGCAGCCATAAAAAAGAATGAGATCATGTCCTTTGCAGGGACATAGATGAAGCTGGAAGCCATCACCCTCAGCAAACTAACACAGGAACAGAAAACCAAACACCACATGTTCTCACCCACAAGTGGGAGTTGAACAATGAGAACACATGGACATAGGGAGGGGAACAACGCACACACTGGGGCCTATCAGAGGGTAGAGGGCAAGGAGAGGGAGAGCATTAGGACAAATACCTAATGCATGCAGGGCTTAAAACCTAGATGACGGGTTGGTAGGTGCAGCAAACCACCATGGCACATGTACACCCATGTAACAAACCTGCACGTTCTGCACATGTATTCCAGAACTTTAACTTTAAAGAAAAAAGAAAAAATCTTGGGTGTACATCGGTAGAGACTTATTCTGTATCCTTCAAAGTATATCATGTGGGCAAGTACATATGGTGACTTCCGTGGAGCATAGAAGAAGCACTGTGGAGGTCCGTCTGGAGTTACAAAAGCCCTGGGCCAATAAACTCGGTTTCTTCTCCCAAAGATCTTTCATTTAGCACAGTCTTCCCTTCCACGAGCCCCAGACTACATAGAACAATGTTAACAGAACCATGTTAAGCTGAAGGAGATGATGACTAGAAAGCTAAACAGACTAAAAGTATTAAAAATGCACTTCCATAGAATAAATAAATGACAGGGAAACTGTTTTATTTCAGTTTTGTATTCATATGATGTTGGAGAGAGAAGGCAAGTCAGTTTAATAATGAGAGACTTCATATTATGTTTTTTCACTAAGGACAGCAGAACAATAACATGGGATTTCTTTATTCACTTTAATTCAGCAAACATAGGTTCTAATGAGTCTGGGGAAAAAGTAGCATTCTATAAAAAGGCCTAAGCTTTACCCTTTGTTGTACCTAATTCTTTCTGCCAAATTTGTATTTTCTACTAGACTGACAGTCCCACAAGTGTGGGGACTGGGCATGTCTTCTTTCACCCTGTGATACTCGGACAATGTTTGGCTCACAGTAGGTGTTCAATAAATATGTTAAATTAATTAATGTTGATCACTGTGGTTTTGTGTGAATCATGAGACTGATGAAGATGTATTAGAAACTACATTCAAGGAGAAGTGGGGAAAAAAAGAAACCACATTCAAAGTAGGCAAGGGGGAAAGCTCTTCTCCTCCTATGCATATAATACTTAATGTAATATTGATGGTTATAGATTATTAAAAGGTTGAGAGAGGGAAGGGCCTTAGAGCAGTCAGGAGAGAAGAAAAAAAGTAAGGATAAGAGTAAGCTTTTCTCTTTAAGGTATTTCCATTAGCTCAAAGCAGACAAAAAATTGAAAACCAAATTGTTCCTTAAAATAAGAATATATATATATATATATATATATATATATATATATATATATATATATATATATATATATAAACAAGGTCTCATTCTGTTACCCAGGTTGGAAAGCAGTGGCATGTTCACCGTTCACTGCAGCCTCGACCTCTTGGGCTCAAGTGATCTTCCCACCTCAGCCTTCCAAGTAGCTGGGACTATGGAAGCACCACCACACCCTGCTATTTTTTTTTTTTTTTTTTTTGAGAGACGGAGTCTCACTATGTTGCCCAGGCTGGTCTCAAACTCCTTAGTTCAAGTGATCCTCCCGCCTTGGGCCCCCACAGTGCTGGGATTCCAGGTGTGAACCATGGCACCACGCCAAAAGTAAGAATATTTGATTACATTTTAGAGATAGAAAGTATTCAAGTATAGATTCACTTATACATATACAGCATTATGTAGACAAAGAATGAAGAATTAGACTCCCCAACTACTTTCCAGTACTCTGCCCATTGACCTCTGGTTCCTCTGATTTGTGATCTATGCTTATTGTTTCTCCATTCTATTCAGTCATATTTTTAACTTTTTTAATCCAGCAATTTTTATTCTGCATGTTAGTCTAATAATTACGGAATTCATTGCTGACTCAGAGAATCTAAACAGGTTAATTCAGGCAAATGCCCGAAGCAGGGATAAGCAGATAAAGATGTCATAAGGACACAGTTTACAAATGTTATACATAATAGATGCTGTGATTCCATAGATTAAGGCAAACACCATTGTAACCTAAAAGTGAATTCTGTAAATGGGGTAACTATCTCTGTTTTAAAAGCTCCATAGATGCTAAAGTTTATTCAAGGAACTAGTAAACCATGTTTCTTTCTATGTTTTCATATTTCCTGTGGCTTCAAGAGGCCATTGTCATAAATAGTAAATTACAGTTTTTGTTTTTGTTTATCCCTGTTCTCACATCTGGAAACTGGAAACTAATCATACTCCTGGTTCACACAGCCTGGATATTTTGCTCATTGTGGAATATATATTAAAATGAGAGGCAATAAGCAGGTGTTTATTTTATAACAGAACATGGAAGGTTAGAGGTAGAAGGGTTCTTAGAGATCACTCAGTCCAACACCCCCATCTTTTTCACTTTAGCAACCTGAAGCTGAAAGAAGGGTTGACGATTGCCCTTTGTCCCTGAGTATGCATTTGGCAAGGGATATATTTTGAAATATTTGTGTCTCAAAGAATTCTCTTTCCTCAAACTTGCTGATCACCAGGAGTAATAGAGGTTGCCTTACACACTTTCATATGTCTTATAGACATTATGTGTCTGGGAAGCCTGAAGTTAAAAATAAAATAATATTACCCCAAACAAAACTTACTTGGTTCCGGGGTTGGCAACAGCAGGGGATTGAGAAACTATCCTCTGGTAGCTGACATTTAATGGGACTTATAAAAAAGAAAAGCTGTATTATTGCTGTGTAACTGTGAAGCACAGGACACACATGTCTACTGTGGAGCCTTCTAGCATGCCAGTAGAGCAGAGAGAATAGCCGCCTGTACATGTCACTGAGTCTACAGCTGACCAAGCCCACCCATTCCCCTCTTGGGAGCTTTCCTGCTAGCATCTTGTTCCTCAGATATCAGGTGCTCTGCCTAGCTGTAACAAAACAGTGCTGAGGGCAGGAGAGTTTTAGCTCCCTCTCCCATCTAGAAACCAAATGGACTCCCTGGAAGAAAAACAAGTATGTCAAATTTCTCAAAGGTAGTGACTTGTCATGTGGGATCCCCAGTTCCTTAGAAGGTCTACCAAAGAGTGGAACAATTTTCAGTATTTCAAACGGAAATCACACATTGAGCCACAAGGCTACACAGACTAAGTATAGCATCAAGTTTCTTTCCTTTGGCTTAAATTCCGTCACTCAGTGGGATTATCTCAGGCTTATCAGGAGCTCTGAAGAGTAGTTAAAGATATCTCAGACAACTAAAAATGAAGAAATCATTACCCATTAGATGACAATAAGGTCCCTTGAAAGACAAGATGAAATAATAAGAGAGATTTCTGTGGGTATGAGAAAGACTCAGAAGTACTGGTTTTAAACCAAAGAAAACTTTATATCCAAAGATTCCTCAAAAAATTATCTAAGAGAAACCCCCTCCCCTATTCCAGCTCTCCCCTCCGGTTCCATGACAATCACTCACTGGGCAGGGCAGGGAGGTTTTCCTGTGACTGGTGGCTTGCAGTCGGTGGCGTTCCCGGAGTCCTCTCTGATCCTCCTCTCTCCAGCTGTGGCCCCAGAAGCTGCTCATCCATTTGGCAAAAGACACATCATCATCATCATCATCTTTGTGCTCCATGTAAAGGTGATGCCAAATACTGAAGGCCTGTCCCTAAATGCGACAGAGGGAAATATCACCCAACAGGGCTGACAATGAAACCCAGGATCTCTCCCAAAAGACAAAATGAAACTGGTCTTTTTAAAATGGTCTCCGATACTGGCATCCTTAAAGGAGAAAGATTTACTAAACAACCACTTCATCATCAGGCAGCCTTGGGCAATGTCTATTTATAAATTGTGCAGCCCACATTCCCCTCCCCTTGTCTTTTTAAATTGAGAGGCTTTCTAATCCTTCCATTGCTGGGGCTTGTGCCTCACAGCCTAAGGGTGGGATGCAGAGTCCACTGCCTGGTTTTCCCTGTGCTTTGCTGCCAATGACATGTGATGGCATCTCCAGCTGTCAATGATGATGGAGCATGACCCTCACAATATGCCTGTCAGCTCCAGGCAAGCTCTGAAATGGGGCCACATACAAGGAACAGACTGACCACAGCTTGCAAGGTAGCCAGCTGTTGCCATGTCATATCTGGAGCTAGATACTCTCCTAATAAAATGATATTGATATAAAATCCAGCTCCTAGATCAAAAGGAGTAGTTTTTTAAATTGAGGTATTACTTATATATGTACACATGTAAATAATATACAAGTACGTGTAAAATGTACAAATCATAAGTGCACAGCTTGATGAATTTTTATATACATATACCCCTGTGTTACCACCACCATGCAGGTAAAGACATAAAACATTGCCAGCACCCCAACTGGCTCCATGTATCCCCCTTCCAATCCATACTCCCTTCAAAAGTTTACCATTAATGATCTGTGTCACCATAGATTAATTTGCTTGTTTTTGAACTTACTTTCAATGGCATTATACAGTATGCATTATCCTGTGTTATTCAACATGATGTCAGTGAGATATATCCATGTTTTTGCAGTAACAATAGTTGACGCTGTGTGTAGTATTGCATTGCATCAACATGTCACAATTTTTTAAAAATTCAGTCTACTAGTGATGGTCATTTTAGGCTGTCATTTAGGTTACTTCTAGTTGGGGCTTTTATAAAGTTTATATAAATTTTATAGTCCCTGTCTTTTAGTGGGCATTTTTTTCAAAGTAAAGAGAATATTACATTTATGGAACTCCTACTTTGCATCAAGTATGGAGCCAAGTATTCCATATACGCTAATTTTCTTTTTTTCTTTTTTTTTTTTTGAGATGGAGTCTCGTCCTGTTGCCCAGGCTGGAGTACAATGGCATGATCTCAGCTCACTGCAACCCCCACTTCCCAGGTTCAAATGATTCTCCTGCCTCAGGCTCCCAAGTAGCTGGGATTACGGGCACCCACCACCAAGCCCAGCTAATTTTTGTATTTTAAGTAGAGATGGGGTTTCACCATGTTGGCCAGGCTTGTCTCAAACTCTTGACCTCGTGATCTGCCTGTCTCAGCCTCCCAAAGTGCTGGGATTACACGCGTGAGCCACCACGCCAGATCCCATATATGCTAATTTTCTTATAACAACCCTGTGACTGGGAGATTTGTATGACATTTTACTGATAAGGAAGTTGAGATGCAAATAGATCACCCCTTGCCAAAGTGAAATTAATACTAAGCGGCAAAATCAAGTTTGAAGCGGGGAATAGAAAAACAAAGTCCAGGCTCTTTCCACCATCCTGCCAGTATTTCAAGAGAACTTGGAGAAGTCTCGCATTTTCAATCAGGAATTCTTGGCCATTTGCCCTACGAAAATCCTTCCTTGAGCTGCAAAAAGATAAGCTTGATAACTATGACCAATGTTTACAGAGCATGGCATCACAACTTTTATGTTACTAAGGAAAAGTAGCCAAAGCTTAACATATCTTCTAACATTTTTATTTTTTGCAAATGGCCAAGACTTCCTGTGTTATCACAACTCATTGCTGGAGGAATTAAGCACATCCTGTGGGACTTCACTGGAACAAGACTTTTTGGAAGAGTGTGCCTAATTTCCTCCAGACTGTACCCCATATGCCTTTTCCATTTTCTTTCTCAGTTTTACCTTGTATCCTTTCAACATAATAAATCTTATCCATGAGTACAACTATATGCTGAGTTCTAGCAAATCCCCAAACTGGGGATGACAGCTACTATCAGAAGTGGGATTTGCTAAAAAAACAACCCAAACCACTGAACTATGGCTAAAGCAGGGTTTGGGAAAAGGAAGGATGAAGAAGACATGATGGTGAACCTTCAATGCCCAGTGGCTACCTAGCCATCTATAGTATGAATCAGCTGCTGAGATGATGTCTGTTGTGAGAGGTAAAAGTTACCTACAGAATTCAAAATGACAGATCCAACCCCAGGACAATTGGTTCATTAGATTCCTTGGCTGCTTTTGGCCACGGGTAGCTAAAATGAAGGGATTAAAAAGTGCAGCCTGGCTGATGCCTTTGGGTTTTGTTCTCTCCTCTAGATGAGAAGAGAAAGGGCCCAAACATTCCCAAAACACATTTTGCATGGGCCAAAAATGTTAAAAGTTTGCATTGCTTTCTCCTCCAAGTGGGAAGGAAGAGAAAGCAATGCAAACTTTTAACGTTTTTGTTAAGTCAGTTCCAAGAGCTAGAACAAGGCTTTAGATAAACCAGCAAGAAAGGGGAGGGGGGAAATAATACCCCATCGCCTCATACAGCAGCCCCTTGCATTCCAACTGGGAATCTCTCACCAGGTATAATGTGAATCATATACGCTGAATTTACCACTTTACTACTAGGAGTTTGAGTAAACCTGCAATGAAAAAAAGAGAGATTTTTTAAAATGGCTTCTATTCTGTGTCTATAGCACCTGAATATATGATAAAAACTGATGTAAAATATTATATGCTTATACTTTCATAAATGCTTGAGGGATTACCCCAGTTAGGGAAAGCTACTCTATAAGAAGTATTAGAAGAATATGCACCTCTTGATTTTTGTTGCTACTAGATGAATTACAATGTAAACTCTGAGTATTTAAGTACTGAAATCTCCATAACTGATTATTTTTGCTATAATTTTTGCCTGTTGGAGCCTATGGGAAAAGGTAGACAACATAGAAGCATAGCTCATCTCCACTGGAAAAAACACCTTTTGAATTTTAAAAAGCAGTTTTTAGTTTGCTAATAAGTTCTTATATAATCAGGTGTCTGTCTGACCCTTAGAGGCTAATGATTTTCCAGCCTAACGTGCATATTTTGGAGTGGGTCAATTGGACTCTAAATCTGACCGTGTAAACAGGGCTTAGAAAACATTTCTTGTCAATTGGACTTGGAACAAAGCCGTTTGGCCCTGTATCTTCTTGGCTTTGCTGCTGCTATAGAGGAAAAGTTGCTAGCTAGTTTGGAATCCTGAATTCATAGATCCTAATTGCCTGGAGCTTATGCTAAGCTTGATACTGTCTGTGAGGGATTGTTCCAATCTCTGAAGACAGGCGTAGGCTCAAGGAACATAATTCAGCCTCGGGGACTATTGCAGGTTTGTTTACAACACTCCTCTGTGGGGCCATAAACTCTGCTATCCGAATCACATGGATCACTTGCAGATGCCTACGGGAAAGGGCTTGCTCTTTGATAGGACCATTTGAAACCGAACTAGTTGCACCAGAAATGATGAATCCCAAGAACCCTGTCAAAAGCTGCAAGCTAGGGGAGAGCACATCACAGAGAGTGGGACCCCTCCATCCACTCCTGACAGATAGGGCTCTTGACCCCTTATGGGATAGCTCACTGCTATTAATTTGTGTTCAGCTTGCCAGAGTATTTTGAAATTTGCAATGATGGATTGATAGTCTGACTCTTCTTTGCTCACCTCTCTTCTTAGTTAGGCAGTTTGATTGATAAATGCAGCTGTTCCTAGACAGAAATTGATATTTTCTAGGCTGCTTCCTGAATAAATAATCAGGACAAAAGGGATAGGGTAATGTAAACACAGTCTGAAAATTTTGAAAATTCAGGATTTTGTCCTAGCCCATTCTGGAACATGATGTGTTTTTTCTGGTTGTTACATGAAACAATGATTTTCTATGTAAATCCTTTTGTCCCTCTTACACCCAACCCTTTCTACCCTTCCTTATAAATGGTCTAGATAAGAATAAACAATGGCTGGGGAAAAGGTAAAGTTATGATTTCTGAATGAATCACACTATTGCATAATAGCAAAGAAGAAAAAAACCCGGCACCTGGGGAGATGCAGGAGAAAGAGGGCATTAATGATCTGTTTTTCAGAACTGCTCCTGAACACCAGTGATCCCTTTCCAGGATGCTGGCTTGATTCAAACTGACTGCTGAGCCTATGATCACACCCAACAGCACTGACTATGAGATAGCAGCAACTGGCCCCAGCTCCTCTAGTTTCCAAGAACACCTCCAGATATTGTCCACACTTAGGAGAAAAACTGAAAGAAACAAACTGCCTTCAGGCAGTCCTTCTAAAACAAAGAACTTAGCTGAATTATTTAGACTGGACAGGGAAACCATAGGCTGAATTCCCCACGGTGGGAAGACACACTGGGGGCTCTGCTAACCTGTGCTACCTGACTAACGCATGTTTTCATTGGGGTAACTGAACTTGAATTCTTTGTTTCTAAGAATGCTCTCTGGGATTGTCCTTCCTGTGTACCTATCTTGACTATCTTGGCCTGCCTCAGCCCAAGAAGGCATGCAGGTCAGCTTCAATTTACTACCCAGAGATGTGCTGTGCTCGAATTGATGCCTCGGGCTAGGTTAAAAAAGGTTAATACAAAACCTTAAGGAGAAAGCCACCTGGCTTCCTAAGATTAACCTTTATAGCTAATGGGATTTGTTTTAATTGGCTAAATCCAAGACCTCTGGATTTTAAGTAAAGTCAATACTCAGGTTAGTTTCATACTGTGTCGTGGGACACTACTGTTAATAATTTTGCTATAAAATGCCTTGACCAAGGAGATCAGCTACACAGAAAATGGTTAATATAGCAGGCCTGAAACTGCCCATCCTTAGAAGGACCTGCTTGCAAGGTTAGCCCTTAGCTGGCTTCTGGGAACTTGGCTGGTAAACAGTTCCTGCAGTGACATAACATTTTCCTTAAATTATAAGAGTGGTCTAAACTGCCCGACTAATGTGGTTTATGCTGAACAACTGACTTTCTTCTGCAAATCTGGAGTTTGTGTATGTGGTAGGCAGAGTGTGCCTACCTGACCAGCACCCAGTCATTATCTGGGGTACTGAGTCTCTATTGAGCCTCCATAATAAACACTTGCCTTGCACAATGGCCACAAAGCATTGCTGGAGGAATTAGGTGTGTACTTTGTAACTCCACTGGGAGAGGACTCTTGGAAGCTTGACCCAGATTTCCTCCAGACTTTCCCTATGCAACTTTTATCTTTACTTGTTTTGCTTTGTATCTTTGCACTATAATAAATCTTAGCCATGAGTACAACTATATGCTGAGCCTTATAAGTCCTTTTTAGCAAGTCGTGAACCTCAGGTTGGTCCTGGGGAATCTCCTAATACTGGAAGGAAAGGGAACTCTTCAAATCTTTGATCAAAAATTCTCCCAAAACAACAAGATGTAAATATACCCCAGAAAGAAAAAGGGATTTGGACTACATTAAAGAAAATGAGACTTCCAACTCCATTTTTTCTCCTAGTTAAGCCTATTTCTTCTTTAAAAACATGAGGAAAAGATAGCTCCCTACTCTACTACGCTAAGGTTCTTAAAACAAACATGGGGCAGCAAAAAAGCACTAGCAGAAAGTGTCAAGTCTTTCAGCACTGGGAGAGATGCTCTTCTGGGCTTTCTTGGGAGCCCTGGCCTGAGGGGAGGCTCCAGCCCACTCCTGAAGCCCAGATACCTGCTTTCCCTAGTAACGGCCCTGGGCACCTGCCTTGAGGAGATGCTGCTGGGGATGCGTACCAAAGGGAGCTGCGCTTTTTACCCTGCACCTTTTTGAGCCTGCAGGATGATGCAAAAGCTGCCAAGTGACTGCGACAGCTGCAGCTTCTGAGCTGAGAATTTGAGTATCATGCTGACACTCAAGAAAATGAGAATTTTCTTATCATGCTGAATGTGAAAAAAAAAATACCTTCTCTTACAGAATAGGAAGCTTGCAGTGTGTGTATTCTCATAAAGTGAACGGATATCATGGGTGCCCAGGTAATCAGTGAAAATGATCCTTGGGCTGTCAAGTGGTTTCTCAGTGCCCTCTCTCTTAGGAGACTATGCAATTATGAGAAAATGATTTTCCCTTTATTTATTTTTATAGAGATGAGGTCTCACTACGTTGCCCAGGCTGGTCTCGAACTCCTGGACTCAAGCAATCCTCCAACCTCAGCCTCCCAAAGTGTTAGGATTACAGGAGTGAGCCACCACGCCCATCCGATTTTCCCTTTATTTATTTCACTGTCCCAGTGCCATGCCGTTGTTGCAGTAGTAACTTATTTTTTTTTATTTCGTTTTTCTTTTTCTTAACAGTTAAGGGAAAGCATCATTCCTCTTACTGATTTCAAGCTTGACTGAACCGGTCTCATTCTAGAAAGGAAATGCTATGTCCAGAAGAGCTAAACTGCTACATCTTTTTTTCTTTTTAACGGTCAAAATACATCAGTGGTTTTGAGTCAGTTTTTACTTCCCAGAAAGCAGTGCTTAAATACTTGAAACTGTGTGCTATGTTCTATTCAATGACCTGATTGTCAGACTCTTGTTTAGTGGCAACGTGTCATAGTATAATCATCCATTTCCTTGTATATTATCAAGTTATACTGTGAAGTCTGCCACTCTTTTGAGGTGGTCATCAAAGACACACCTTTTTTAACCAAGTGTCCTAAAGCATGTCTCTAAGGGTATATCACCATTATTTTTTATTCTAAAAAGCCGTGAAGCATGTATTATGAGAACTGTTTTTAAACTATGCCACTAGTGGTGCAAAAAAAAAAAAAAAAAAAAAAAAAAAGAGGAGACAAAGCAAGGTATGTTTTCAGAGATTTGCCTATAAAATATTGGTTATATAAATATCCAGTTACCTTGGCATTAAGCATCATTAAATTCTTCAGGATTTTGGCTAAAGGTGGGCTTCATAATAGTTGTTAGACATTGGAAGAGATTTTGAAGAGCCAATAAATCATCTCTTACACAAGAGACCTTCAAACACAGCCCTGATTCTCATCTGCCAAAGATGAAATCTCTGTAGCTTTGTCTCCAAAAGTGTTATTAGTTGGTTGACCTCTCAAGGTCTCTTCAATCCCTAGGCACCAATTATTCTAAAACAGACGAGCTACTACTGTTAAAATTTACTACTATGTAAAAAACTTTTTGGGAGGCTGAGGCAGGCGGATCACAAGGTCAGGAGATCAAGACCATCCTGGCTAACACAGTGAAACCCTGTCTCCACTAAAAATGCAAAAAATTAGCTGGGCTTGGTGGCAGGTGCCTATAGTCCCAGCTACTCAGGAGGCTGAGGCAGGAGAATGGCCTGAACCCGGGAGGCGAAGCTTGCAGTGAGCCCAGATCATGCCACTTCACTCCAGCCTGGGCGACTAAGCAAGACTCCATAGCAAAAAAAAAAAAAAAAAAAGACTTTATCAATCCAGTTCATCAGTGTGCTATACTTCAGAAAGGCTTCCTTTCAGTTATTAACTGCAATGTCACAGAATCTAAAGGTAATGCCTCAGCACTTCTGTTGAATCTACAAGCCTCTCCATAAGAAGTGATCCAAACAAGAACTGGGGGAATTGAGAGTCCTGAGTGCCTCATATTTGAGAGGGACAAAATGCTGCAATTTACAATAAAGGAGAGGATCATCATACACATAAAGAAAACTGACAAAATACAACATTTAGGAAAATAAATTGCAAAAACTAAAGTTTGAGTTAAAAAATAATGTGAAGTTTTCAGACTATTAAAACAAAAAAACTTGAACCTCCATAACATTCTTTTCTGAGGATCAAATATCACATGTTATTAGCAGGAATAAGGTCTTTATGGAAAGGTATATGGCAAGATGCATTTAAAAGCTTTAAAAAAAATTTGCATCCTTTGACCCAGAAATTTCTCTCTTTTTTACAAGTGGGTAGTAAGAGGTACATACAAGGATGTTTGTTCACATAACATTATTTAAAATAGCAAAAACTTGTAAGATGTGGAAACATCTTAAAAGTACAACAACTGGAGATCAGGCTAATACATTACGATATATTTATATAACAGAATTCTATGCAATCATCAAAAATCATAGGACTTAATGACACAGGAAACTTCTCAAAATAAAATACAATACAGGGTGATAATTAATTTTGTGTGTCAACTTCACTGGTCCATGGTGCCCAGATATTTGGTCAAACATTAATTCTGGATGTTTCTGTGAGGCTGTTTTTGATGAGATTTACATTTAAATAGGTGGAATTTGAGTAAAGCAGATTTCCCTCCATACTGTGGGTGGACCTGAATAGAATACAGATTAACTGCCCCAGCAAGAGAATCAAGAAAGAGACCCACATATATTTCTAGCTGAATTTTGTAAAGAGTACAAAAGCAATTCAATGGAGGAAGGATAGGCTTTTCAACAAATGGTTTTGGAGCAATTGAACATCCACAGTTTAAAAAAATGAGTCTTCAGCCCGGTGCAGTGACTCATGACTGTAATCTCAGCACTCTGGGAGGCCAAGACAAGAGGATCACTTGAGCTCAGGAGATTGAGGCTCCAGTGAGCCGTGACTATCCCACTGCACTCCAGCCTGGGAAACAGAGCAAGACTCTTATCTCAAAAAATAAAAAAATAACATTACACAAAAATGAACTCAAAATGGATCACAGACTTAAATATAAATTGTAAACTGTAAGACTTTTAGAAAAAAAAAAGCATGGGAGAAAATCTTTGGGATCAAGAGCTAGGCAAGAGTTCTTAGACTTGACACCAAAAGCATAATCTATAAAAGGAAAAATTGATAAATTATACATCACTGAATTAAAAACTTTTGCTCTATGAAAGACCCTGTTAAGAGGATGAAAAAAGTAAGATAAAGACTGGTGGAAAATGTTTACAAACCATGTATCTGACACAGGACTAGTAACTAGAATACATTTTTTAAAAAACTTTCAAATTTCAACATTAAGAGAACACATAATCCAATCAGAAAACAAAGGCCAGGCATGGTGGCTCACACCTGTAATCCCAGCACTTTGGGAGGCCAAGATATGAGGATCACTTGAGCCCAGGAGTTTGAGACAAGCCTAGGCAACATAGGGAGACCCTGTCTCTATAAAATTTTTTTTAAAAAAACTAGCCAGGCATGGTGGCATGCACCTGTAGTCCCAGCTACTCAGGAGGCTGAGGTGGGAGGATCGCTTGAGCTCGGGAGGTTGAGGCTACAGTGAACTGTGATCATGCCACTTTATTCCACCATGAGTGACAGTAAAGACACCATCTCAAAAAGAAGGAAGGAAGGAAGGAAGGAAGGCAGGCAGGCAAAGAAAAGAAAACAAGAAAACAAGCCAATGACATCAAAGACATTTCACTGAGAAGGATATACAAATGGTGTCTATGGCCATAACGCCCTGAATGTACCCAATCTCATCTGATCTCAGAAGATATACAAATGGCAAATAAGTACAGGAAAAGATGTTCAACATCATTAGCCATTAGGTAAAGACAAACTAAAATCAGAATGCAATATTACTACATACCTATCAGAATGTGTAAAATTTAAAAAGAGTATTAACACCAAATGTTGAAGAGGAAGCAGAGAAGCTGGATCATTCATACATTGCTGATGGGAATAAAAAAAGGTACAGCCACTTTGAAAAATAGTTTGCCTGTTTCTTCTAAAACAAAAAATACATCTACCATATGACCCAGTGATTGTACTCTTAGGCAATTATCCTAGAGAAATTAAAACCTATGTTCATGCAAGAGCCTGCACATGAATGTACAGGCTTGATACACACAACCTGACACATTCAAGAGAACTATGCTGCGTAAAAAAGTTCAATCTCAAAAGGAATTTTATAATTATATAAATAAAATATAATTCCATATAAATAGAAATAATTTTTATATAGCATTCTTTAAATAACACAATCATAGAGATGAGGAACTGATTTAGCAGTTCCTATGGGTTAGAGATTGAGGAAGTGGCTCTCAGAGTTTAGTTTGAGGAAGCTTTCTGATGATAGACCAGTTCTGTACTTTGATTGTGACAGTTACACAAAGCTATGGATGTGATAAAATTGCACAGAACTACACACACACATACACACACACACAAATGAGTGTGTGCATAGCTAGTGAAATTTGAGTAAGTTATATGGATTATACCAATGTCAATTTCCTGGTTTTGACATTATACTATAGTTATACAAGATGTCAACATTAGAAGAGTAGGTGAAGGATGCATGGGACTTCTGTGTACACTTATTTGCAACTTCTTGTCATTATTTCATAATAAAAAGTAAAAAAGAAAAATGACTTATATCAAGAAAAAGAAACTTCTCTAAATGGGTAGCTACAGGACCAAAATGCTGTTGAGTTAGAGGTACTCTGGGAAGAAAGCAACGATGACAGCATAGGTTTTTAATCTGTTTGAATCCCCACATGAAAACTAATAGAGCAACTGTAGCAGAAAAAACCTATGGACAGCTCTACGACAAAACTAAGTGACAAGATGACCCCTCAAGATGTGCCCTACTCCCAAGTGCAGGTTGTGGGGTCAAACCACCAACAGCTATAGACCTGGTATGGTTGTCCATGCAGGAGGAAGAAGAAAGAAGCAACACGGCATCCTCTAGACCTGAGAACAGGAGAACCACAAAATAGCCAATAGTTTGGAAAGCACAGGGAACCAATTTGAGAATAGTAGCTGAAACTGGGAGGGATTTGTTCTCTCCAATACTGAGTGAGTACAAAAAGCCTGTGGTAAGAAGGATTGAAAGGGCTGAACTGTCCAGCCACCATAAACTCTCAAATCTGACCTTCTAGGACAAAGCCTCACACTGAGGAGAAACTGTGAAGAGTGGAATCAAAACTGCAATAGACAGGGACAACAGAGATAAAGAAAAGAGCGGATCTAAAACCAAATGGGATGGGGAACACAGCCAGCACATCTTAGAAAGCAAGCTGCCATATTTGTAAACACTATACAAACACAACAGAAGAGGAAGCTCTGTGGAATTTCAAAAACTTTCCTGCACCCTATGTCATTCTAAGAGTTCAAGAATTTTACATAAAAATGAGGGACAGAAAATATCAAGGTAGAATCTCACACAGCATTTCTGTTTTAAAAATGAGAATACAGACCTACAGACAATGAAAGCATGACCAAAAAAAAAAAGTACCTACAAAACAGATCAATGTTGGTAGCCACTATTTCAAAATGAACTAAATGATAGTTACAAAGTGATGTGAAGCGGAGCATGGTGGCTCATGCCTGTAATCCTAGCACTTTGGGAGGCCGAGGCAGTTGGATCACTTGGGGTCAGGAGTTCGAAACCAGCCTGGCCAACATCGTTGGCTAAAAATACAAAAAAAAAAAAAAATTAGCCGGGTGTGGTGGTGGGTGCCTGTAATCCCAGCTACTCAGGAGACTGAGGCAGGAGATTTGCTTGAACCCAGGAGGCAGAGGTTGCATTGAGCCGAGCTCACACCACTGCACTCCAGCCAGGGCGACAGAGTGAGATTCCATCTCAAAAAAAAAAAAAAAAAATGGTATGAGAAATGAAAGAACAAAACAGAATTAGAATAACATACAAATGATATGATAAAACTCAGGAAAGAATTAGAAATAAAGAGAAAAAATCATGTCAGAAAAGGTTAAGCTAGAAGGAATGAGTAAAAAATGCAACCAATAATGTCTCCAAATAAATACAAGATAAAAAAAGATTATTTTAACAAATGAAGAAAGAAATCAAAAGAATTCAAGACTAACTAACAATTATAAAGATATGCAAAGGAGAGTGACATTATAGATAATGAACTCCCCGAAAAAGAAAAGCAAAGCAAGGGAACAGAGCAAATACTGTAATTCAAATAAACGCTTTCCTGAAAAGAAAAAAAGATTTAAAACTACGTATTGAAAAAGTATACCGGCAGTGCGAGGTGTCTCACGTCTGTAATCCCAGCATTTTGAAGGGCCAAGGTGGGTGGATCATTTGAGGTCACGAGTTCAAGACCGGCCTGACCAACATGGTGAAACCTCATCTCTACTAAAAATACAAAAAAAATTAGCAGGGCATGGTGGCGTGGGCCTGTAATCCCAGCTACTTGGGAGGCTGAGGCAGGAGAAGTGCTTAGCCTGGGAGGCGGAGGTTGCAGTGAGCTGAGATCGCACCAGTGCACTACAGTCTGGGTGTCAGAGTGAGATCCTGTCTCGAAAAAAAAAAAAAAAAAAAAAAGAAAAAAGAAAGAAAGAAAGAAAAAGAAAAAGTATACTGTATATTTGAAAATATCGTCATACAACCAACACCAGGACATATCATAATATGTTTGCTATATTTTAAAAGAGAAAGAAAGATTCCTTGAGGGAACCTGGGCAGAGATAGGGAGAGGGAGGTAATAGACAGCATGAGTTATAAGGAAAAGACGATTAGATTATCATCAGACTTTTTGCCAGCAATGTTTTATGGCCAAGGAAAATATATGAACTTAAGATACCAAGGAAACATTGCTTTGGAAGTATGGTTGCCAAAAAGCATACTGTCAGCACAATTAGAATAAAAAATATGCACAGACACAAAAAGATAAACAAGGCAAGAAAGAAGGTATGAGCTAGGAATTTTATACCTAGCAAAATCAACTGTGGCAGACATGAATTTGAATGGGACAGGTCAAGATGAACTCAAGGGGAACAACATACACCTGGGCCTGTTGCTGGGTTAGGGGAAAGGGGAGGGAGAGCATTAGGACAAATACCTAATGCATGCGGGGCTTAAAACCTAGATGATGGGTTGATAGGTGCAACAAACCACCATGGCACATGTATACCTATGTAACAAACCTGCACATTCTGCACATGTATCCTGGAACTTAATGTAAAAAAAAAAAAAAATCAAAACAAAAAAATGTATTTATATATTTAACCAAAATATTTTTTTTAAAAAAAGGACAGACCAAAAACACCACACACACACACACACACACACACACACACACACACACACACACACAAAAAAGATATACTCAAGGTATTATTTATATCCTGACTCTGTCCATTGAAAAGGCCTAGAAGCAAGGGCCAACCCAAATGCAATGAACACCCAGATTATGGCCTTGAAATGCCAATTCTCATTAAACAACAACAGCAGCAGCAGCAACAAAAGATTAAAAAATAAATAAAGACAAAGAAAACAAAACAAAACAGGGCTTCCTGAAGAAATGGCTGATTCCTGGTCTGTTGCAGGAAATAAACAAAATGACCTTGGAACCTCTTGACATAATATAGAACAAGGAAACTATGAATGACAACTAGGGCTTTTTTGTTTGTTTTTCAAAAAGACTCAAAGCCACAGATGGAACAGTTTGAATTTCAATTTCCCCTTATAAAAATATTCCAACTAATAAATGAAAATGAGAGAATAGAAAAGAATTAGAATATTGCCATTTTGTGATCACCATGGAATTAGTGAGCATTAAGCATAAGTGGCTGCTTATATTACAGAGAGACAATCAGACATTATCTGCCTTCTGCCTTGCAAAGGAATCAAACCTTGGTCTAGTCCAGACTCTAGGTTCATCTACCAATATAGATTACAAGAAACTTAGAAAACATATCAATTTTTGCTAATGGGCAAGACTAAACGACAGCATCTGGGGTTGCACATTTGGGTGACAATACAACCTTTTTTTTAAAGCAAGTAAACTATTGTTGATAGTCAAGATAATGGTTACTTATAAGTGGTAGAAGAGGATTTGTGATTTGGATAGCAGTCATAGAAGAAGCTTCTAAGGTGGTGGCAAAGTTCCAATTCTTTGCTTGAATGGTGAAAGATAACATCAAGGGTGTTATCTTTATAATAATCCATCCATTCTTCTACTGGTAAGCTTTTATGTAATTTCCACTTTTTGCTATTACAAGCGATGGTGCCCTAAACAGGTTTTCTTGTGTGTGCAGTGTGTTGTCTATCTAGAGGTGAAATTTCTGGATTGGAGGTATCTGAATCTTCCATTTTATTAAACACTAACAGTTTAGAAAAGGAACCCACAAAAAATACTCATAATGGTTGCCTCTCTAAAGTAGTTCAATCAATTTACAATTCCATTTTTTGACATCCTTGCCTCACTGGTACTGCTGGATTTAAAAACTGTTGCCAATATTGTAGATGCAAAATGAAATTTCATTGTTGTTTTAATTTGTATTCCCCTATTTATTGGTGAGATTAAGGATGTTTTCATATGTATATTTTCCATTTGCACTTCTTTTACAAGTAGCTTGTTTATATCCTTTGCTCATTTTTCTTCAGAGTTGTCTTTTTCTTATTGATCTATAGGAGTTCTACATGTATTCTGTATATTAACCTTCTGTAAGTTTTAAACATCACAAATACCTTTTCCCAGTATGTCTTATCTTCCGACTCTTTTGCAGTATATGTTTTCTGTAAGTTAAAATCTTTTAATGTACCCAAACTGATCTTTTTCTTCACAAGCTTATCCTTTACCCTATCACAAAGTCATCAAGATATTCTCTCACATTTTCTCCTAAAAGTTTAAAGTTTTAGTTTTCTGGGTTTTTAATCTATTTGCCATTTTGTGTATGGTATGCGGTAGAATTACCCTTTTTGTTATTTAGGTATCTTTATTAGTTTTCTTTGGTTGTATTTCAAATTATCACAAACTTAGCAGCTTAAAACCACACTAATTTATTATCCTACGGTCTCCAAGATTTAGAATTCTGAACACAGGTTAGCTGAGTCCTCTATTAAGGGTCTCATTAGACTGAAATCAAGGTATTTGAGGCTCATGTGTCTTCCAAGTCCACCCATCATTGGAAGAATTCAGTTTCTTCTAGTTGTAGGACATTTTCTCACTGGTTGTTGGCCAGGGATGACTCTAAGCTCCTAGAGTTCCTTGCTATGTGGCCCCTCCATAAGCAGTTTGCTTCTTCACAGCCAGCAGGAAAAATCTCTTTCACTTCCAATCTCTTTGACCTCTCTGAGGGGCTCTCTTGATTAGATCAGGTATACGCAGGATCATCTGCCCTTTGATTAACTTTTTTTTTTTTTTTAAGACTGAGTCTAGCTTTATTGCCCAGGCTGGAGTGCAGCGGTGCGATCTCGGCTCACTGCAACCTCTGCCTCCCAGGTTCAAGCGATTCTCCTGCCTCGGTCTCCCAAGTAGCTGGGATTACAGGTGCCTGCCACCATGCCCAGCTAATTTTTGTATTTTTAGTAGAGACGAGGTTTCACGATGTTGTCCAGGCTGGTCTCAACCTCCTGACCTCAAGTGATCCACCCACCTCGGCCTCCCAAAGTGCTGGGATCACAGGCATGAGCCACCGCACCTGACCACTTTCATTAACCTTGATTAAACCATCTTGAACCCTTCAGACCAACCCATTCAGCAGCTGAATAACACGGAGTAATCTCTGTTGATATTACCAGAGGAGCCACGTCCAAATTCCTGAGCAACAAAATTATGATATGTAATAAAGCAATGTTTCAAGACACTGAGTTTTGGGGTAGTTCGTGAAGCAGCAACAGATAGTCAGAACATAGTTACAGAAACTATTTTTTTTTTTGCAGCTTTGAATGTTTTTCAAAATTTGACAAAATTGGGTCTTTTCTTCATTGTTGAAGTTAAGGCTATCTTCCACTGGTCGGGAAAAAATGGCAGAAAGATGGAAAAGCACAGACTAGAGGCTCTCAGGTTCAATGCTAGAGCAATGCTAAGAACAGCACTGCATAACCATGGCTGCTAGTTTGAATGCCTTTTATGAGTGAATACTCTACTGTAGGCCCATCACTTAGTAATGGACCAGCATTTTCATGCAAATCATAAAAAGAAGCACCTTTCTCCAGGCAGACCCAGCCTGACAGAAGGCTGTGCTGAGCAAAGTGCATGCTGGACCTCAACACCCACTCGCCCCAGCATTCTTGTGTAGGGCACCATGAGCATAATCTGTATGTAATATCTTTATAAATTAAAGTGCAGGGCAACAATTCTGCATTTACAAATGACACAAATTCTTCTGGGTGGCAATGAACTAAACTGATGAAGATGGAAAGATCTTATAAATCCATGTGAGTGGGAAGAAAGGTGGGAAATGAGTGCATAAAAATATACATATGAGCTATCAGTCACAGCTAAGGAGAGGAAACTAGTGTTACTACAGATTGTTCCCTGAAGATAAATGCAGATGCTCCTTCTGACAGCAAAAAGGGCAACCACTTGATTGAATCATAAAGTGACATTCCCCCTGAGAAGTGAAGCAGTACCACCCACTCAACTGATGCTTTGATGGAAGTTGAATAATGCAGAAACCATCAGGATTGGGGGGAAAAAATAACCGCATAAGGGCTCAAAAGAAACAGGCTTCCATATATCATAAATGAGATACAAAGTATAAACCAATCAGGTCTTCCAGGAAGCAGCTTCAGTGGTGGAAGTGGTAGCAGTGACCACAGCATGCTAGGGACTGGGATCTAGCCAGAGGCTATAAAGGTGGTTGTGATGGAAGTAGACTATTTCTGGTGGCGGCAGCTGCAGCAGCAGGAGCAATTGGTGTCCCGGCTGACACCAGTGGTATTGGACAGCAATGGTGGTACCAGACTGTTAATATTGACAACAATATCAGTTAGAAACTTGTTCAACAAACACTTCATCAACTTTTTATTTCGCATTGACCATATTTCAGGTATTGTGTTGGGTGGATAAATAAGTTAACAGGCACTCATCATATGCCCAACCCTCTTACAGATACAGGAGTACAAAGATGACTAGAACATGCTCCCTGCCCTTCAGGGACTCAGAATTGAGCATAGGCAGCAGATATGAGAATGAATAATTATGGCAATACAGTAATTGTGAGGAAGAAATAGAATCTGAGGGATGGTCTAATACAAAAGAGAAAACATATTACTTTGCTCTGACATATAGAATTAGAGAAGGCATTGTAGATTTTGTACAGGATACAAAATAAATCAGACACGGCTTCTGATGTTGAGATACTTATAATCCAGTAGATGAGTTAGGACAAGTATAATACTATAAAACAAGGCAGAAAAGTAGTAAATTTTGAGAAAGTCCCAGAAAAAGTATTCTGGGAGTTTAGGGGAAGCATGTAATAGACAATAAATATTTTTTTAAGTAAATGCAAATCCTACCTATTCCATCTATGCTACTGTTTGGATATGGTTTGTTTGTCCCCACCAAAACTCGGGCTGAAATTTCATCCCAAATGTGGCAGTTGGGAGGTGGTGCCTAATGGAAGGTGTTCAGGTCAACGGGGTGGATCCCTTTTGCTTGGTGCTATTCTCACGGTAGTGAGTTCTTGCTCTCTAGAGACTGGATTAGCTCTCTGGGAACAGATTAGTTCCTAAGAAAGTGGGTTATTACAAAGCAAGGTTTCTCGTTTGGTCTGTCTTCACACATGTTCACATCCTCTTTGAACTTCTGCCGTGTTTTGATCTAGCACATGGCCTCTTCCAGAAGCCAAACAGATGCCAGCGCCATACTTCTCAGCATGCAGAACCATGAGCTAAATAAATTTCTTCAGAAATTACCCAGCCTCGGGTATTCTGTTATAGCAACACAAAAATGGCTAATACAATCTTGAATGTCACTTTTTCCTTCTTTGATACCTTTAGCAGAATATTTATTTACTTAAAACAGTATTTATTGAGTGTCTATTATATGCTAACTATTATGGACTGAATATTTTTGTCCCCCGTGTTCCCCCAAAATCCATATGTTGAAGCCCTAACCCCCAATGCGATGGTATTTGGAGATGGGACTTTGGGGAGGTAATTTGGGTTAGATGAGATTATGAGGGTGGGGCCTTGGTTTGATGAAATTAGTGCCCTTATAAGAAGAAACATCAGAGAGTTTACTCTCTCTCTCTGCATGCATACAAAGAGGTCATGTGAGAAACAGAGGGAAGGTGGCCTACAGTGAGCCAGGAAGAGAACCCTCACAAGAAAACAAACAGACCTGAACTTTGATCTGGGACTCCCCAGCCTCCAGAAGCATGATAAACAAATTTCTGCTGTTTATGCCACTCAGTCTGTGGTATTTTGTTACAGCAACACTTGTAGAGTACTACAGATTTTGGTACTAAGAGTGGGGCATCTGGCCTCCAAAATTCATGCCCTTCTTACATACAAAATACATTCATCATTCATCCCACCCTAATGTGCTAAAAGTCTTAACTCATTACAACATCACCTCTAAAGCTTAAGGTCCAATGTCTCATTAAATATCATCTAAATCAGGTATGGGAGAGAACTGAAGTGTGATTCATCCTGAGGCAAAATTCTCTGCAGGTGTGAACCTGTGAAACCAGACAAGTCATGTGCTTCTAAAATATGATGGGACAAGGCATAGGATAGACAGTCCCACTCCAAAAGGGAGAAATAGCAAAGAAGGAAGAGGTGATGGCTTTTGTAACAAGTCCAAAATCTAGCAAGGAAAATTCCTTTGGATCTTAAAGCTAGAGAATAACCCTCTTGGGTTCAACTCTCTGCCCCCCAGGCCCTCTCGGGTGGTAGTATCATTCTCACAGCTCTACAGGGTAGCCTTGCCCCTTCAGCTTAAGGAGTAAGGCCAGTCCACAAGCTCTCTGCTAGGGCAAACCTGACCCTGACCCTGATATAGTAGGCAAGGGTTCCTGACCCACCAAAACTGGAAGGGCACACCCACTCTTTGAAAAACAGAAGGATTCAGACCTACTCCCTGGGCCTGTAGTGGGACTGGCAGCCCTGAGGATTTCTGAATTGCTGTTGGAGTCAGTCTTCCCTTTTCTTGAAGGATAAAGTATTTTCAGAGCCAAATAGCTCTATGGTCCCATCCTGTAAAATCTAAGTCTGATAGCTTTCCTTCATCCTGTCTCATTTTTTCTGTTTCCTTAGTCTCAGCCAGCAGTGTTTCTGCTGGTAAAATCCCATCTCTATTCTTGGCTTCTGATGAGATGGCTGATTAAGTCCATGAGTTGTACCCAATCTCCATGTTCTGGCTCCTTTTTCCTAACCATTCCTTCTTCAATTCACCTCTCTCCTCTTGCATTTTACTATAAGCAGCAAGGAGGACCCAAGGGGTACCTTTGATACTTTACTTAGATATCTCCTCTGCTATGTATCCAATTTCATCACTTGCAAGTTCTACCTTGCACAACACTAGGACACAATGCAGCCATATTCTTTGCTACTTTATAATAAAGATCACCTTCCAGTTTCCAACTGTCTGTTCTTTATTTGTATCTGAGATCTCACCAAAATGGCCCTTAACATCCACATTTGAATGAATATTCTGTTCATGTATTTATGTATTCTCTAAGAAAATGGAAGCTTTGTTTCTAGCTCTCCTCTTTACTTTCTGACCCCTCACCAAAATTTCTTTTAATATCCATATTTCTACCAACACTTCCCTCACAACAATGTTGGCTTTTTCTAGCAGGCACCTCAAAAATCTTCCAGCCTGTACCCATCAATCAGTTCCAAAGCTAATTCCATTTGTTTAGGTATTTTTCTGTTACATTAGCACCCCATTCCTAGTACCAAAATCTGTATTAGGGTTCTTCAGAGAAACAAGACTAATTATAGACAGATAAAATAGGTAGATAGATAGATAGATAGATAGATAGATAGATAGATAGATAGATGTAAGCTATGTACATATATATTTATGCATATATTTAATTAAATATATACAAATATATATTTAGGCTGGGTGTGGTGGCTCACGCCTGTAATCCTAGCACTTTGGGAGGCTGCGGTGGGTAGATCGCCTGAGGTCAGGAGTTCAACACCAGCCCGGCCAATATGGTGAAACCCCGTCTCTACTAAAAATACAAAAATTAGCTGGGCACAGTGGTGGGTACCTGCAATCCCAGATACTCGGGAGGCTAAGGCAGAATCGCTTGAACCCAGGAGGCGGAAGTTGCAGTGAGCCGAGATCACGCCACTGCACTCTGGCCTGGGCTATAAGAGTGAGACTCAAAAAAAAAAAAAATATATATATATATATGTGTGTGTGTGTGTGTGTGTGTGTGTGTGTGTGTATGTATATATATATAGAGAGAGAGAGAGCTGGAATTGCAGGCGCCCACCACCACACCCAGCTAATTTTTGTATTTTTAGTAAAGACAGGGTTTCACTGTCTTGGCCAGGCTGGCCTCGAACTCCTGACCTCATGATCAACCCGCCTCAGCCTCCCAAAGTGCTGGGATTACAGGCATGAGCCACCGTGCCCAGCCTATTTATTTATTTACAAAATTATGGAGGCTAAGACCTATAGTAAACAAGCTGGAGACCAAGGAGAGCTGATAGTATCTTTTCAGTCTGAAAGTCACTAGGCTCTACACCTAAGAAGAGCTGATATTTCAGTTCAAGTCCAAAGGCAAGAAAAGATGAATATCCCAGCTCAAGGAACTTAGGGAGGAGGAGTTCCCTCTTATTCATCAGTGGGTCAAGTTTTGTTCTATTTGGGCCCTCATCTGATTGAATGAGGGCCAACCACACTGAGGGCAATCTGCTTTACTCACTCTGCCAATTCAAGTATCAATCTCATCCAAAACATTCTCACAGAGGAAAGTAGAGCAAGATGGTGGAATAGGACTCTCCAGCAATTTTCCCACAGAGAAATATGAATTTGAACAACTATCTATGTATAAAATACCTTCACGAGAGCTAAGGAAACCAGGTGAGAGATTATAGCACCTGGTTATAGCATAATAATAAGAAAAGACACATTTAAGTAGGTAGGAAGAACAGTTTTACATTACCCATGTCACCCTTCCCCCAAGACCAGGCAGCACAGCCCGGAAAAAGATATTGTCTGCTTGGGAGGAAGAGAGGAAAGTAAAGGTAAGACTTTGCCTTGGACCCCAATACCAGGCCTGTCACAGTAAAACTCAGCACTGGGTAGACCCCCCCATGACCCATGACTTCAGGCCAGTAACTGCAGACTGAGACTCTAGACCCATCCCGGCAGCAGATGGGAAACCATAGCCCCTGTGAGACAAACTTGAGTTCCAGCCCACATCACCATCAGCCAACTACAGTGGTCTTGGGATCCAAATAACCCACAGCAACAGGCAGGCCCCCTCAGTGGCTGCAAGCTTCAGATGTACCCCAGTGCTGCAGTAGCCTCAGCAGCTGTGGGCTTTGGGTGCACCCAAGTGCTGCACCAGCCTCAGCAGCCACAGGATTCCATCCCAGTGCTAAGTCAGCTTCAGTGACTACGGGATTTCAGCGTGGCACTGTGCTGGTCACAGTAGGGAGTACATAGCACTCCCTAGAGCTGGAAGGGCTGCAGTGGTCACAGGCTCGGAGACCACACCAAATGACCTGCCTAGAATCTCTGGACAGGCTTACTGTTAGAGGATGTTCCCAGACAAAGCCAGATTGTGAGGGCTGGAATAAGTAACTGCTTCTTGAATGCACACACACTGACACATGACCACAAGAACAATCGGGGAATCATGACATCACTAAACAGACAAAATAAGATGCCAGTCATAGACCCTAAAGACACAGATATATCAACTATCTGCCAAGGAATTCAAAACAGCTGTTTTAAAGAAGCTCAAAGAACTTCAGAAAATACAGAGAAACAAGTCAACAAAATTAGGAAAATAATAAATGGTCAGATGAGAAATTTACCAGATAAATTGAAATAATAAAATCAGACCAATTTTGGAGCTGAAAAATACAATGAATGTAAAAATGTAATAGAGAGCATCAAGAGCAGGATTGATCAATCAGAAAAAGAATCTGTAAACTTGAAGACAGGTTATATGAAAATATACAGAGGAGAAGAAAGGAAAAAGAGTGGAAAGGAATAAAGAAACTTTATAGGGTTTATGGGATAGTATCAAAAGAGCAAATACGCAAATTACCAGCATTCAAGAGGGAGTAGAGAAAGATAAGGGTGTAAAAGGCTTATTTAAAGCAGTAATAGCAGAAAACTTCCCAAACCTGGAGAAATATATAAATAGCCAGGTACAGGAAGGTCAAAGATTTGCAATTAGATTCAATCCAAATAAGACTATCACAAGACATATTATAATCAAACTCTACAGATCTAAGACAAAGACAGGATCCTAAAAGCAGCAAGACAAAAAAAGCAAGTAACATATACGGCAGTTCCAATATGCCTAGCAGCAGATTTCTCAACAGAAATCTTACAGGCCAGGGAAGAGTGGTATGATATAGTCAAAGTGCTAAAGGAAAAAAAAGACTGTCAATCAAGAATACTGTACTCAGCAAAACTGTCATTCAGAAATGAACATGAGATAAAGACTTTCCTAGTCACACAAAATCTGAGGGAGTTCATCACCACCAGACCTGTCTTACAAGAAATGCTAAAGGGTGTTCTTCAAGCTGAAAGGACACTAATGATAAACACAGAAACATCTGAAAGTATAAAACTCCCTGGCAAAAATACGTACATAGCTAAATTTAATTTATAATACTCTGATACTGTAATGGTAGCATTTAAATACTGTAATGAGGGTGTGTAAATCACGTATCTTTAGTAGGGCTAAAAGATAAAAGTATTAAAATTAATAACTACAGCAACTTGTTGATGGATATGCAATATAAAAATACTTAAATTGTGAAATTGAAAGCACAAAATATTGAGGAAAGGAAGTGGAGTTAAAGTGTAGTTTGCATGTGTATGTGTAAATAATCAAAGTTAACTTGTTATCAGTCTAAAATAACCTGTAATATCTATGTTTTTTGAAGCAAAAACCGACAATAGATACACTAAAAATAAAAATCAGCCAGGCGAAGTGGCTCATGCCTGTAATCCCAGCACTTTGGGAGGCTGAGGCAGGCGGATCATGAGGCCAGGAGTTTAAGACCAGCCTGGCCAACATGGCAAAACCCCGTCTCTACTAAAAATACAAAAATTAGCCAGGCATGGTGGCGGGCACCTGTAATTCCAGCTACTTGGGAGGCTGAGGCAGGAGAATCGCTTGAACCCGGGAGGCGGAGGTTGCAGTGAGCCGAGATCATGCCATTGCACTCCAGCCTGGGCAACAAGAGCAAGACTCCATCTCAAAAAATAAAAATAAAAAAATAAAAATCAAGCAATCAAAAACACCACCACAGACACATTTATAATGTTTAAACAAGTATCTGGGTATCCCATGGCCCAGTCAAATTGACACATGAAATTACCCATCACACCACCTATATTCTGGGCTCTGGCTGTACAAAATGAACAGTTTCTGTCCTCGTGGGGCTTACATCCTATTGAGGGGATCACACTATTTTTTTATTTTTCCCACAGACAAGTGTACACCTGAGAGGTTTTTTTTTTCTTGAGGCGGCATCTCACTCTGTCACCCAGGCTGGAGTATAATAGGGTAATCTCGGCTCACTGCAACCTCCGCCTCTGGGGTTCAAGCGATTCTCCTGCCTCAGCCTCCTGAGTAGCTGGGATTACAGGCATGTGCCACCATGCCCGGCTAATTTTTGTATTTTTAGTAGAGACAGGGTTTCACCATGTTGGTCAGCCTGATCTTGAACTCCTGACCTCAGGTGATCCACCCGCTTCGGCCTCCCAAAGTGTTGGGATTACAGGCACAAGCCACTGCACCCGGCCCACATAGGTAATTTCTAATAGTGCTAGGTGCTAATATCGTAGACCAAAGAAAGAGAAGAGGTGTATGAAGGGAGGCATGGGTGGGCAGAAATGTTGAACTTTATAGTGAAAGTGAAGAGGATTTAAAAGTCTTTCAGCTCAAGAGTGAAATTACAGTTATGCTATAGGAAGAGTAAATTGATATCAAGGTGCAGGGTGACACATAGAAGAGAGGCACTAGAGGCAGAGAAATTATCTGGGAAGCAAGCAAATATAGGATTTAGGCAAGATGAAGGAAATGAATAAAAGAGAAAAAAGAGGGGAATGTAATAGTATTAGGAGTTGAGGCCTTTGGGAAGTGATTAGATCATGAGGATGGAGCCCTTAAAAATAGGATGAGTGCCCCTATAAAAATGAGACTCCAGAGAACTTTCTTGCCCCTTTCCACTATTTGAGGACACAAACCAAATTTGCAGTCCTCAACCCAGAATAGGGCTCTTACAGAATTTGACCATGCTGGCACACTGATCTCAAACCCCCATCCTCAGGAATTGTGAGAAATAAATTTCTATAGTTTATTAGCTAAGTAGTTTTATGATATTTTTGTTATAGCAGCCTGTACTAAGATGGGAAGAAACTATTTATTGAGTATCTGTTATGTGTTATACATACTCTTAGGAGTTTTCACTTATATGAACTAAGAAGTGTCAGAATGGGTGAAAAAACTATAAGAAAGATATTACAACAAAGTTGAATTTGTTGAAGACTTCACAGCTGATTTTGTGTTTATGTGTGTATATAAATACAACAGCATAATCATTTGTGCTTGGGTAGGTAAGGATGAAAAAGAGAGAGGTCTAAAAAGGTCTATGGTTTCAAATATGAGTAACTGCTAAGGTAATAGTGGTATTATTAGAAAAAATGGATAACACAGGCTGGGTACAGTAGCTCATGCCTGTAATCCCAGCACTTTGAGAGGCCGAGGCGGGCGGATCACGAGGTCAGAAGATCGAGACCATCCTGGCTAACACGGTGAAACCCCGTCTCTACTAAAAATACAAAAAATTATCCAGGTGTGGTGGCGGGCGCCAGTAGTCCCAGCTACTCGGGAGGCTGAGACAAGAGAATCGCTTGAACCCAGGAGGCAGAGGTTGCAGTAAGCCGAGATCACACCACTGCACTCCAGCCTGGGCAACAGAGCGAAATTCCATCTTGGAAAAAAAAAAAAAAAAAGGATAACACAAAGAGAAAGAATGAGTGGGGAAAATGATGAGTTATATTTTTGACAAAAGTCAGGAATCCAAGCAAAACTGCTCAGTAAGTAGTAAGAAATATAGGGCTAGAGGTAAAAAGGGAAGCTATGCCAAAAGATATATAGACAGTGATTATCTGCACAGAAATGGTACCTGAAGCAATGAGATTTACTTTGGTTACTAATGGAGAGATTGAAGATAAAGAAGAAGACATATTCTAATAAATTCCTCACTTGAGGAATATCTAGAGCTGTGCTGTCCAATATGGTAGTCATTAGCCACATGATACTACTTAAATCAATTAAATAATGAAAACTGTAGTCTTTGTCACACTACATTTCAAGTGCTCAATAGCCACATGTGGCTAGTGGCTACCATATTGGACATCATAAATATAAATCATTTCCAGCATCATAGAAAGCTGTGATGGACAGCACTGATCTAGAGTTTGGTCAGAGCGTAGAAGAACCAGAAGACTCTATTCTCCTGAAGCCAAGGAAAAGAACATTTCAAGGAGAGAATAATCAGTGGTATCAAGTAAAAGTGGGTGACAGCCAACCTCCCCCACCCACAAAAAAACCACAATGAATTTTATGACTTCTAAAGCACTTTCAGCCTAATTATAAAGTTGTAAACTAGATTACAACAGATTTTGGATGAAATGGGTGCCAAATAAGTAACAGATGTAGACAATTCTTTTCAGTAATTTTTCAGTAAGGAAAAACAGAATGAAAACATCAGACAGCTGAAAGAGAATAGAGCTGTTCTATATGTACATGCTTAATATAAGCAGATTTGTGCACTGGCTGGAAGGTTTGGACACCAGTCAACCAGCTATTTACCAACTCTAGCAATCTGAAAGGCCTTTCATGTAGCAATGACAATTGAAGGGACAGAATTACATCATTTTAAAACAATAAGGAGCCTTAAAAATAATCTAATCCACCCCTCCTCACATTATAAAGAAAGCAGAGTTGCCCATGGTCACACACACAACTCAGTGGTATTAAAATTTAGAATAAGAATTCAGGTCAGCTGGGCATGGTGGCTTATGCCTGTATTCCCAGCACTTTGGGAGGCCGAGGCAGGTAGATCACCTGAGGTCAGGAGTTCAAGACCAGCTTGGCCAATATACAAAAAATTAGCCTGGCATGGTAGCAGCCGCCTATAATCCCAGCTACTGGGACGCTGAGGGAGGAGAATTGCTTGAAGCCTGCAGGCAGAGGCTGCAGTGAGCCAAGATGGCGCCATTGCACTCCAGCCTGGGCAACAAGAGCGAAACTCCATCTCAAAAAAAAAAAAAACTCAGGTCTTCCACAACCTAGTCCATTAGACTATCTCATTTAACTGCCTCCTAAGATACAGATCAAAGGTGAAGAAAGCTTCTTCAGTTGAGTTCCACTAATCTACCAAGAAAAAGATAATGTCTATGTTCACATATACAGAACTTTAATTTTTTAGAAATGAAAGGCAGTATTTTACTTCTTTACTTTAAAATTTAGAAAAACTGAGAACTAATCATCAAATATCTATTGCTTTGTAACAAACATCAAAAGAACTTTAAATATTCTCTAATTAAATCTTTACTATAGCCTGAGAGGTAGATGTTTTCACCATTTCACAGATTAGAAAAACATGCATCAGATCAGTAAGGTCCCAAAGCCAGTAAGCGACACTCTATTTGGCTCTACAGTACCATCAATTAGGAAATGGAGGAGAAAATGAGAGAATAGCATAGGCTAGAGAATGGAAATGAGATGTTTATCAAAGTATAAAAGTAACCAGAACAGATTCGTTTACTAATGCCAACCTTAAAAATAAAGCCAAACAAAATCAGGCCTTTAGATAAATATTAATCCAAAAAATGTTTCAAGAAAATAACACCGATTCCCTTTGGAGAGGGGAACTGTGCAGCTGAGGACAGGGACTGAAGGAAGACTTTTCACAGTAAACTCTGTAACTTTTGGAGTTTAACCGTAACAGTGTATTGCTTACTCCAATAAATAAGAAAAAGGTTTAAAAAAAAAACTTCAAATATGTTTTAGTTCCTATCAAGTTTGTAATTGTTAGCACTCTACAATCCTCCAAGAGGCCACAGCAAAACTGAAATTTCAGAAAAAAAAAAAAATCCTAACTTGTGTTCTGAAAAAGGCAAGGCAGAGCTTATATTAAGGGGCAGAAAATTTGCCTTTGGGGATTGGGGGATCAGGAGGGGAGAAAAGCCTATTGCCTGCAACGATCAACTCAATTCCACTGCTATTTTTAGCCCATTTTTTTAGTCTGTTGCTAAGAAACCCTATTGCCTGAAGGCAATTTACTAATAGGAACTTACATGAAGCAGGAGAAACCGGTGATCCTGAAATTCTTTCCAATTAGGCCATTCTATTTTAATCAGTCCATTCTGGTGCCACTTGATAAAATATCTCCTTTCAATCTTTATGTAGCTCTACTGTGATGTTGTTGCACTTAACAGCAAAACAATCATTTATGAAATCTTAATGTAAGGCTTCTGCAAACCAGTATACCAGAAATGGAGAACCATAGTTCTGGACTCTGATTTTTCTATTAATAGTTGTCTTCATGAAAATACCGTGTATTCCAAACAATACCTTGCAAGGTAATTTTATATTTTAAGAGATCTGGTGCAGAGCATCGGAAAAAGAGTTGATAAAGCTATTATAGATAAAAAGCTGTGAACTGAAATTACGATTTGGGAATGAGACGAGAAGAGGGCTGAGACTGCTACTGCAAAACAACCCGGGGGGCGTGCGGATCAGAGCGAGATGTGGGCTGACGCAGAAATCAGCTCAAGATACAAATACGCCAAGAAAGGCTCGAAGCCGGCGGGAACCCTGACGCTTCGCATTTCTACCAACTCAGTTTAAGAAACCCCTAACAACGCAGATGTCATCGCTTCGTTAATTGGTGCCGACGATGAGCCACAGCGACCACGCTCAAACCGTTTCGACTGCAGCCAACCTAGATGTGCCATTTCCACCTAGTCTTCTGCCATCGCTATCTCCCCTATAACCTCAAATTCGTCCAAACTAAAATCTCGCTATGTTAGTGATAAGAAGTTCAGTGATGCAGCAGCCTTCTTCAGCGGTGAGCTCTTTCCTCACACATCTTTAAAAGTCCTTCTAATCCGTTGGTTTCTCGGGCACGCGGGCAGAAAACCGTGCTAACGGCCACAGAGGTTCAAGAGGTGCCAACGTGGCTATAACTGGAAAACTGGATCCGAAATCGACCAGTAAACTGGGTAGCTCGGTCTACGCCCCGCCCACCACCCTTGCTAGCCAATAGCCTTCACAACTCTTCTGCCACTCCCGCCCATTCCAGTGCTGTGCCGCTGCTTTTTCTTCCACTCGGATCTCTTGAGCGCCCTTAGCCCGCTGTATACGCGCCCCTCCTCGGCTTCAGTAGGCAAGAGGGCCATCTGCCCTTCTTTCCTGAAGGTAGAGGGGACAACACCAGCTACGACGGGGACTCCAGAAGTCCATCTCCCGAACAGCAGCGGGGCGAAAAGAAAGAAAAAGGGTTTCCGAAGACTCCTACTCACACCCACGCTTTCCCTTAACCCGGAAGTGATTTCCGCCCCTCCTCTCCCTCTTCGGTTGATACTGGAGGAGAAGGACGGCCAGGTCTGGCCCGGCATGCCCTGGGCTTCCGGTGACCTCTGGCCCTTTTCTGTCGTCCGCTCTCTCTGCCTAGCGTGCTCGCTCGCTCATTGCTTTCCTTCCCTCCCTCGGTCTTCCTTCGCACGCTGTTTGGTGATTGTGGCGCTCGCGACAGACAGGGAGGCGGTGGCAGAGGACACTTGTCATGGCCGCCTCTAAACCTGTGGAGGCAGCGGTGGTCGCAGCCGCTGTACCGAGCTCCGGGAGTGGGGTGGGCGGCGGCGGGACTGCGGGCCCGGGCACGGGGGGGCTGCCGCGATGGCAGCTGGCTCTGGCGGTCGGGGCACCCCTGCTGCTGGGCGCGGGTGCCATATACCTGTGGAGTCGGCAGCAACGGCGCCGGGAGGCCAGAGGCCGGGGCGACGCCAGCGGCCTGAAGCGCAACAGCGAACGGAAGACCCCGGAGGGCAGGGCCAGTCCGGCCCCGGGCAGCGGACACCCTGAAGGTCCCGGTGCTCACTTGGACATGGTGAGAAGCAGCCCCAGGCCGTAGAGGAGGAAACTGGCTCGTGCAGCTTTTCCTTGGCGGGTTGTGTCAGTGAGGGGGCTTCCCATCAGACGGAAGCTGCCAAGCGGCAGCACAACACTTGGGTTTAGGGAGACTCATTTCTGGCTGCCAGTGGAGGGCATAGAGTAGCTCGATGACAGGTTACTGGCATTCTTTGACAGTTTGCTTTTGGTTTCAGAAAAATCCTTTGCTTTTCTTCTCAGTGACACAGCATTTATCCCTAGTGTTGTAGATGGGAGTGGGGCATTTGCAAATGTGATGATTGTATTTAATAAGTGAAGGAAGCTAAATTCGATTAACAATTGGTACATCGTGATACGAACTGTTTCTGTGATTTCCAAAGCCTACAACCTAATCGCTAAGAGCCTTTTAATAATGAGCCACTCCCCCTTTTGGAGTGTGTTTTTGCTGGGGGTAAGTGGGCAACTACAGTGACGGTTAGTTGACAAAAGCAAAACAAAAACAAAAACGATTAGATGGCTTTCTACATAGAAAAAGAAAGACTACACAGGTTCTAAAGAGTGAAATGGTGTTCAGTGGCATTTGTTTTACAGCCTCTGAACTGTAAGCAGAACTGTCAAGCTCCCAAGGCTCGTCCTCTCTCAGCAACCCCGAAGCCCCCTTGGCTGCAAGCACTCAGCGCCCGTAACCTCTCCTGCCATGCCCCAGCCCCAAGGTGTCCTTTTGCACTCCGGACCCCTTGGCCTTTGTCAGAAAACGCTCTGCACTGCACTGTCCCCTCTTGCTGCACAAGAGTAGCGGCCACAGCAATGCTCACCAGGCTTGGTTGCACACAGCCCCCTGCCCCAGGTCCAGGCCTACACACACATACAAAAAAAAAAAAAAAAAAAATGGGAGTGACTTCTTAAACTTTTTGATTGGAAGCATCTTAAATTCAGTTTTTCCATTTCACCTGGAAATGTACATGACCAAGCCTAATATGCATGATACAGTTTCTCTGATGTGAGGCCAAGCATTGGATTATTTAGTGAACTGCTTTGTATGGTTTTGGTGAACTGACTGTTAAATCCTTTTGGTATCTGACAGCTGTGCAGAGAATTAGTCTGGCTGCATTTGACAATACTGGGATTGGGTGTGGTGGATTTTCTCTGGGTCTGGAGTTGTTCAATGGTAGTACCAGAGTAAGTCGAGGTCAGAGAAACGTTTGGTCAAATATCTCCCAGTTTTATACATAAGTATATACAGTTGGTCAAGTAACTTCTAATTGTATCCAAGTGTATACACTTAAATATGTATGCAAGTCATTTCCATATTATACTATTCAGGTTGAATTTTTTTTTTTTTTTTGAGATGGAGTCTCACTTTGTTGCCCAGGCTGGAGTGCAGTGGTGCGATCTCAGCTCACCACCACCTCCGCCTCCTGGGTTCAAGCAGTTCTGCCTCAGCCTCCGGAATAGCTGGGACTACAGGCGCGCGCCACCATGCCCCGCTAATTTTTGTATTTTTAGTAGAGACGGGGTTTCACTGTGTTGGCCAGGCTGGTCTTGAACTCCTGACCTCAGGTGATCTGCCCATCTTGGCCTCCCAAAGTGCTGGGATTACAGGCGTGAGCCACCGCGCCCGGGCGAAGATATTTTTACTAGGATGTCAAATTAGCTTTAAAGGAAGTTTTGGTGTAGGAATGAACAAACTAGTATCTGCAGTGTGTGAGGCATTGTGCTAGGCCATGAGAAAGCCATATGATCTTTCCTATGGGAGAGTGAAGCATTACCTATTTTCTAAAAGGTTTATGACTGGATAGTAGAAGAACTTATGGACTGTGTTAGAACTAGGATTTGTAAGCTTTATAGTGGGCTCTCCAGCATTGTCACTTTGGGAAAGTCATTTTGTCTCCTTGACCTTAGCGTCATCCCTGTAGAATAAGAGGATTAAAATATTAGATCTCTTCTGTTTCTTTCAGTACTAAAAATTGATGATTCTCATTATGATCATTTATAATAGCTCACTGCTGCTATTAAAAGTAGTTATCAAGAGGATTATTTGAATTAATTATCACTTGTCTTACATCAATTTTGGATGTCTGAAATTCTCCAGTCATTTTCTATTTCGTTTGTTAATTTAGTTTTAATCATGGAAGAATAGTAGGTAAAATAAAAGATCCAAAAAGTTCTCAGTTCTGTAAACATTAAAAATAAAGATAGTTTCTATACATGAAACTAAATTTTTTTTTTTTTTTTTTTTTGAGACAGCGTCTAACCCTGTCACCCAGGCTGGAGTGCAGTGGCACGATCTTGGCTCACTGCAACCTCTGCCTCCTGAGTTCAAGCAGTTCTCCTGCCTCAGCCTCCTGAGTAGCTGGGATTACAGGCATGCGCCACCATGCCTGGCTAATTTTTGTATTTTTAGTAGAGACAAGGTTTTGCCTGGTTGGCCAGGCTGGTCTCAAACCCCTGACCTCAGGTGATCCACCCACCTCGGCCTCCCAAAGTGCTAGGAATTACAGGCACGAGCCACCTCACCGGCTGAAACTAGATTTTAACATTTCATTGTGGTTTCAGCCACCCCACCTCATCCCAGGGGATCTGTACCATTGGTATTTGATAAAACCTAGCCATCTCCTTTTCACATTTTAGATGTCCTAATTCCTCTTTTCCACGTTGTCTGGATCAACACTGATGATTTTTTAATTTCATGATATTTCAGAGTTTTTTAGTTTTACAAATAACTTTTTTTTTTTGATACGGAGTCTCACTCTGTCACCCAGGCTGGAGTGCAATGGCGAGGTCTCGGCTCACTGCAACCTCTGCCTCCTGGGCTCAAGAGATTGTCCTGCCTCAGCCTCCCAAGTAGCTGGGATTACAGGCACGCACCACCACGCCTGGCTAATTTTTGTATTTTTAGTAGAGACAGGGTTTCACCATGTTCGCCAGGCTGGTCTCAAACTCCTGACCTCGTGATTCACCCGCCTTGGCCTCCCAAAGTGCTGGGATTACAGGCATGAGCCACTGCCCCTGACCACAAATAACTTTTTATTCACCTGACTGCTGTTAAAAATTAGAATTTAAGATTGGACTCTTTGTGTAACTTAAACTGCTTTAAAATGATTTATTTTTGGCCCCAAATAAAATAAGGCAAAACATTTGCACTTACCATTGTCCATCTTGTGGAATATGTAGGCCTACACCTGTAATCTTTGAATTACTAGATTGTTCTTTGGTAAAGCAACAATAGGAAGGTCTTTGTGATTTTTTTAAACTGGAAATTTATATCTTAACTGTTGGTGACCAGTAAATATTGAAAGACTACTTTTGTCTTCTTTTAATAGTCTGGTCCTTAGAGTTATTATTAGACTATCTAAATGTAATTAATTGATCAGTAATTGTAATTTCTTATCTGTGGTTGGATAAACTGCTGTACATTTGAATAGCACCTCTAAATTGGCATCCTCGGTGGATTTCGCAACCAGAAGCATTTGCTTTCACTGATGGAAACCTGGCAGAATCCTGATGCCCTAACTGTCCTTTCTCCACCTGAGCAATAGCTACAGTTTTTAAAGGAATGAATAAATAGACAAATATTGTCTGTTTAGGGTTTGATATCAGAAAATAGAATGGAAAATCTGTATTTTTGTCTTTTGGCTTATGTTTACCTTAATGTAAAATGATCTGATAGAATTACTGGACTTCTGTCTATTGGGTTGGAGATTTTCCTTTACAATTAGTGTGCACAATTACCTTTTTTCTGGGATAGCAAAAACTTGTAAAGGAAGTGCAAAGGATATTCATAGTTGTTTTAATTAATGGGAATATTGGGGTATCACTGAAGAAAAGCATTTAGTCACAGTTGATAGTGTCTAAGACTGAGGTGCTTAAAGTATTAGATCATATTCCATTTTGAACTATTATAAAATCTACCATGATGTGCCATTTTGCTTCAGTAATTTTTTTAAACTTGAAGAATTAAAAAAAAATTTTAAATTGCAAGGCTTTTTAGAAGATCATATTATCCATAGTGCTTCTCAATCTGTGGGCTTGAGTCATCACGAGGGACCACCACACATATATTCCAAGCATGGTATCCTGGCTGTACCAATGTCCCAGATACTTCTTTTTCAAACATCCTGTGATTTTCTAGAAAAATGCACTTATTTAAAAGCATTATTGACTTCATTGTAACTTTTTTGTCCAATTGTTATTTAATCTGATGATAAAAAATGCATCATTCTTGTGTTCATATTTAGCATTAAATATGTTTAGCCCATGAAATGAGTTTAGCCCACATGAAATGGTTAGGAACCAATAATCTAAGCCAGCCTACTACAGTAGGAAAGGGAAGATGTACCTACACATTTTAGTAAAGGGTCGAGGACTGCATAAACTGTTGTTATTGGTCATCTTGTTTGAAATGAAGTCATTCTCTCCCCCAAATGATCTGTTTTGAGTCATTTTTAAAAAATCAATCAGGGACACCAATGACATTCCCTCTAAGCTTAGTTAACACTTTTCAATCTTAATCCTTGGCAGTATTTCATATTGTGCTCTAAATGTCATAACTTTTCCTGCTGCTTCTGAGGTACTCCATTTTCCTGATTTAAAAAAAAAAAAAAAAAAACCTGATACCAGCCTCATGGATTCTTAGTCTCCTTATCACAATACAGAGGTCATTTCATCTTTTCTGAAACTTCTCTCTACCTAAGCACACCACTATGTGATTTTATAACACCCTGGACTTTTCCATTTTATAGCACTTACCACGTGGTACTAGAATTGCTTATTGCTGTTTCCTGCTATGCTCTTGAATCTGTGAAGGCTGAGACTGGCTCTATCTTGTTCACCATTGTATTGCCAGAACCTAATACAGGTGCATAGCAAGTGTTGAATGAATGAAGTTTCATTTTTTGACTAATAATTAAGGGTTCCTTTGACATCCCTAAGTTTATATTTTATATATGTGTGTGTGTATGTATATATAAATTTCACAAGTGGTATATTTTTCAAATTTTCCAGCTCTTCATTTTTGTTCTACCAGTTAATGCTGGATTCCGTGGAAATCTTTTTTCCTTTCTCTTTTTTTTTTTTTTTTTGAGTTGGAGTCGCGCTCTGTCACCCAGGCTGGAGTGCAGTGGTGCAATCTCTGCTCACCGCAACATCCGCCTCCTGGGTTCAAGTGATTCTCCTCCCTCAGCCTCCTGAGTAGCTCGCCACCATGCCTGGTGAATTTTTTGTTTGTTTGTTTTGGGTTTTTTTGTTTGTTTTTTGAGATGGAGTCTCACTCTGTTGCCCAGGCTGGAGTGTAGTGGCGCAATCTCGGCTTACTGCAACCTCTGCCTCCCGGGTTCAACCGATTCTCCTGCCTCAGCCTCCCGAGTAGCTGGGATTACAGGCGAGTGCCACCACACCCTGCTAATTTTTTGTATTTTTAGTAGAGACAGAGTTTCACCATGTTAGCCAGGATGGTCTCAATCTCCTGACCTCATGCTCTGCCTGCCTCGGCCTCCCAAAGTGCTAGGATTACAGGCGTGAGCCACCGCGCCTGGCCGTAAATCTTAAACCTCATTTGGGCATACTTTTTGTAAATCAGTTGATTATGCATGACCTACAATCATAATCCTGCAGAAGCAGTCATTATAAAAGTATATTCTTCCTAGGTAAAGAGTTATTATGATTTAGTAGGTGGGGTTGGTTGTCATTTTTAAAATTTCCAGACGTGAAATGGGAAAGGACTTTTTTATTATCTTAGGTTTTATTCCTTATTAGGTTTGAATCCTTATTATCTTAGGTATTATTATCCTAGGTTTGATTCATATGAAAGTAACAATTGGTTGGCCAGGTACAGTGGCTCACACCTGTAATCCCAGCGCTTTGGGAAGCTGAGGCAGGTGGATCACCTGAGGGCAGGAGTTCAAGACTGGCCTGGCCAACATGGTGAAACCCCATCTCTACAAAAATACAAAAATTAGCCGGGCATGATGGTGGGTTTCTGTAATCCCAGCTACTCAGGAGACTGAGGGGAGAGGATCACTTGAACCCGGGAGGTGGAGGTTGCAATGAGCTGAGATCCTGCCATTGCACTCCAGCCTGGGTGACAGAGCAAAACTCTGTCTCAAAAAAAGAAAGAAAGTAAGTAAGTAACAATTGGTCAATAAGTATTGAAACATTGTTTCTCATACAGTAAGTGTTCCAGAGTTATTTAGGTTGCAGTGAGTGGACATCGTGCCCCCCTGGGCGACAGAGCAAAACTCTATCTCAAAAAAAAAAAAAGAAAAAGTAACAGTTGGTCAATAAGTATTGAAACATTGTTTCTCATACAGTAAGTGTTCCAGAGTTATTTGCTACTTCTATAAAGCTGTGATTCAAGTATAATATATGCTTTTTGAGTTTGAGAAATTTAAAACAATAAAACCATTTTAAGAGAAACATCAAACCATCTCAGGTATATTTTAACTGGGTATAAGTGTGTCATCATGGTGACAAATTAATACCCATTTTATTTTCTCACACGCAGATTAATGTACCTAATTCTAGCTCATTTTCTTTTACAGTGACTATACGTGATCATCAGGTTAATATTTTATAAATGCTGAGAATTTATAATAGTTTTCTTATTGCCAGATGTATATCATTGACAGCTTTTTGCAATGTAGTCATGTAATCGTGTTGCAGGACTTGTTTTTAGAGGCTGGTGCATTTCTGATCTCCTGAGGTTCTATATGTGGGCTAATCCTTTTAGGGTTATTTTTCCTTCCTGGAGTACTTTCCTGTCTTTTGTTAGTCATTTTTATTTCAGAGCGGATTCTCATGAGTAGCCTTCACTGACTATCCTAAGCAAAACCTGATTTTCTTACTTTGTATTCCACTAGATTTACCTGGATTGTACCTTAATATTGTAGCTTTCATTTCAAAATGTAACCTGTTTTCTAGAGTAGATTTCATGTCATTAAGAGCTGAGGGGTATGTTCCTAGGTTCTGCCTCGTTTGACAAGTCTCAGTACACTGAAGAGAGAAAAGATATATTTATTATTTTTTATTTCAATATCTTTTGTGGTACAAGTGGTTTTTGGTCACATGGATGAATTGTATAGTGGTAAAGTCTGAGATTTTAGTGCACTCATCACCCAAGTGTACATTGTACCCAATATGTAGTTTTTTTTTAATCACTTACATGCTCTGCCACCCCCCTCCTCTGAGTCTCCATAGTCCGTTATGTCACTCTGTATGCTTTTGTGTACCTGCAGTTTAGCTCCCACTTATAAGTGAGAACATATGGTATTTGGTTTCCCATTTCTGAGTTACTTCACTTAGGATATTGGCCTCCAAATCCATCTAAGTTGCTGCAAGACATTATTTCATGTTTGTTTTTTAATGGCCGAGTAGTATTCCATGGGTATATATACTACACTTTTATCAGTGGGCACTTAGGTTGGTTCCCTATCTTTTTTTTTTTTTTTTTGAGACAGAGTTTCACTCTTGTTGCCCAGGCTGGAGTGCAATGGCACAATCTCGGCTTACTGCAGCCTCTGCTGCCCGGGTTCAAGCGATTCTCCTGCCTCAGCCTCCCGACTAGCTGGGATTACAAGCATGCGCCACCATGCCCAGCTAATTTTGTGTTTTTAGTAGAGATGGGGTTTCTCCATGTTGGCCAGGCTGGTCTTGAACTCCTGACCTCAGGTGACCCACCCACCTCTGCCTCCCAAAGTGCTGGGATTACAGGCATGAGCCACCGTGCCTGGCCAGTTCCATATCTTTGCAATGGTGAATTGTGCTGCAATAAACATACACATGCAGGTGTCTTTTTGATATAATGACTTCTTTTCCTTTGGGTAGATACCCAGTAGTAGAATTGCTGAATCAAATGGTAGACCTACTCTAGTTCTTTTTATGTCTATTCTAGTTCTTTAAGAAATCTCCAGGCTGGGCACAGTAACTTATGCCTGTAATCCCAACACTTTGGGAGGCTGAGGTGTGTGGATCACCTGAGATCAGGAGTTCAAGACAAGCCTGGCCAACATTGTGAAACCCTATGTCTCTACTAAAAATACAAAAATTAGCTTGGCATGGTGGCGTGCACTTGTAATCCCAGCTACTCAGGAGGCTGAGGCAGAAGAATCACTTGAACCCAGAAGACAGGTTGCAGTGAGCCGAGGTCACACCACTGCACTCCAGCCTGGGTGACAGAGCAAGACTCTGTCTCAAAAAAGAAAAGAAAGAAATCTTCCATACTGTTTGAAAAGATATGTTTCCCAATGTTTTCTTTGGTGTATTACCTGAAGTATTTACTTTAGATCATGTGTCTCACTTGAATAATATTGGATTTATGTGTGTGTGTATATGCAGTTGCTACTCTTTGGACTAATAATTTTCTGCTTGTTGGCTCAAAAATTTACCAACCACCTAATATATAGTCATGCATCACTTAACAGTAGAGATGCGTTCCAATAAGTGCATCATTAGTGGATTTCATCAAGTATACTGACACAAACCTAGATAGTACAGTCTCCTACGCACCTATGCTATATGGCATAACCTATTGATCCTAGGCTACAAACCTGTACTGCATTTTATTGTGCTGAATACTGTGGGCAACTGTAACACAGTGGTAAATATTTGGGTACCTAAACATAGAAAAGATCCAGTAAAAATACAGTATAAAAGATAAAAAATGGTACACCTGTTTAGAGCACTTAACATGGAGCTTGTCAGACTGGAAGCTGCTCTGGGTCAGTGGGTGAGTGAAAGTAAAGGCCTAGGACATTACTGAATGCTACTGTAGTATACTGTTTAAACACTATACCCCTTAGGCTACACTAAATTTATAACATACTTTTCTTCGATAATTAACCTTAGCTTACTGTATGTAACTTTTTAACTTTATGAACTTTTAAATTTTTTTAACTTTTTTTAGTAACATTTAGCTTAACGTACAGCTACTTGGAAGGCTAAGGTGGGAGGATTGCTTAATCTCAGGAATTCGATACCAGCCTGGACAAATAGGGAGACTTTGTCTCTTAAAAAATAAGTAACACTTAGCTTAAAACACAAGCACATTGTACAGCTTCACAAAAATATTTTCTTTATATCCCTACTCTATAAGCTTTGTCTTATTAAAAAAATTTTTTTTTTTAAACTTTTAAACTTCTTTGTTAAAAACTAAGACACAGATACATTAGCCTAGGCCTACACAAGGTCAGAATCATCAGTATCCCTGTCCTCCTCTACATCTTGTCCCACTGGAAGATCTTCAAGGGCATTAACATGCATGGATCTGTCATCTCTTATGATAAGAAGCCTTCTTCTAGAGTAGCTCTTGCCTTCAAGACCTGCCTTGAGGCTATTTTATAGTTAACTTTAAAAAAAAGTAGGAGTATACTAACATAACAAAAAGTATAGTATATGTATAGTAAACACATAAACCAGTAACACAGTTGTTTATTGTCATTCTCAAGTATATGTACTATACATTATTGTATTTGCTATACTTTTTTTTTTGAGACGGAGTCTTACTCTGTTGCCCAGGATGGAGTGCAGCGGTGCCATCTCGGCTCACTGCAAGCGCCGCCTCCCAGGTTCACACCATTCTCCTGCCTCAGCCTCCTGAGTAGCTGGGACTACAGGCGCCCACCACCACACCTGGCTAATTTTTTTTGTATTTTTAGTAGAGACGGGGTTTCACCGTGTTAGCCAGGATGGTCTTGATCTCCTGACCTCATGATCCACCCGCCTCAGCCTCCCAAAGTGCTGGAATTACAAGCGTGAGCCGCCGCACTCAGCCTGTTTTTTGTTTTTGTTTTTGTTTCTTTTGGGATGCAGTCTCCCTCTGTTTCCCAGGCTGGAGTGCAGTGGCGCAATCTTGGCTCACTACAACCTCTGCCTCCCAGGTTCGCGTGATTCTCCTGACTCAGCCTTCTGAGTAGCTGGGATTACAGGCGCTCGCCACCACACCTGGCTAATTGTTTTGTATTTTTAGTGGACATGGGGTTTCACCGTGTTGGTCAGGCTGGTTTCAAACTCCTGATCTCAAATGATCTACTGCCTTGGCCTCCCAAAGTGCTGGGATTACAGGCATGAGCCACTGCACCCGGCCCCAATATATGCTATACTTTTATACATCTAACAGCATAGTAGGTTTGTTTATACCGGCAGCACCACAGATACATGAGTAGTGCATTACAATGGCTGTGACATCACTAGGCAATAGGAATTTTTCAGCTCCATGATAATCTTATGGGACCACCATTGTATATTCAGTCTGTTATTGACTAAAACATTGTTATGTGGTGTATAACTGTACATTTTCATAATGGGATTTTAGTGTTTCTATCAGTAATAGTTCTTTTGCGAGATTGACGGTTGTTTGTTTCCTACACTAGTCTACAGTATGGTCCTTCAGGATAAAGACTACACTGTTGGTTATTGTATAGTAGAATCATATCAACTAAAATAAATTCAATTATACTTGCTTGGCAAAAAGAAAAAGATGTAATTATCCTGATGATTCTGTTTGTCTTTAACTTTAATGACCTTTTGTCTTGGAGCCAGTGGTGCATGAGACAATGATACTTGAGTTTGTTTCCTTTGTTTCTTTTTTTTTAGATGGAGTCACACTCTGTCTCCCAGGCTGGAGTGCAGTGGTGTGATCTCGGCTCACTGCAACCTCCGCCTCCTGAGTTCAGGTGATTCTTCTGCCTTAGCCTCCTGAGTAGCTGGGACTACAGGTGCCTGCCACCATCCTGGCTAATTTTTCTATTTTTGTAGAGACAGGGTTTCACCACGTTGGCCAGGCTGGTCTCGAACTCCTGACCTGAGGTAATCCACCCGCCTCAGCCTCCCAAAGTGCTGGGATTACAGGCGTGAGCCACTGCACCCAGCCAATTGAGTTTATTTTAAACCTTTATTAGATAAATGAAGATTCATGATTATTGTGCCTTTTTTACAGATTGAACCTTTTATCAGTAAAACTATCTGGACATCATGTGATGCTTTTGAATGGTATTTTGTCTATATTACCTTAATTTTTATTTTTTAGTATTCACCTTCCACAACTTTTTACATTCCTTTTTTAAAAAAAAATTGTTTGGCCTTAGTATGTCATTTGGTTTTACATCATGCCTTATAGGCAGCAGGTAGTTAGTTTTGGTTTTAAACAATTTGAAAGTCTTTCAATGCAGGGCTCTAAACTACTCACATTTATTTTTACTATTTACATGTTTAGCAATTACTGCCATATTTACTCTGCTTTTTTGTTTCTTATTTTTCCTTCCTTTCTGCTTTTTGTTGTATTGGTCATTTCCCTATTTGGGGGTTTATTTTTAGTGGTAAGGAAGCTGTACATTTCTATTTCTGTTCTTGTGTTCAACCTCAAATGCTAGTTTAGCTAGGTATAAGACTTTAGTTACAAAATAATCTTGCTTTAGAACTTTGAAATTGTTACTTAATTGGTTTTTAGTACCAAATGTTGGTGACAGTCTGGCACTGGATTGTTTTTCTTTTTAAATACTTTCAGGATTTTTGTTGTGAAATTTCACCATGATGTGTCTAAAAATGCATGTCATTTTTCTTCAACTCCGAGAATTTCTCCAATTCCTTAGATTTTTTTTTTCTATGCCTTTCCTTTTAGAACTCCACATAGGCAAATGATGGAACTTCTGGATTTATACTTCATGTCATTTAATTTCTCCAAACTTCCCACCTCCCTGTCCTCTGTTTCCATGGCATTCTGTCAGGTTTCCCCCATTCTCTACTTGTTAATTTGCTCCTCAGCTCGCTTCTTTAATATACAGCCAATCTGCTGAATTAATTGTAATAATCTTTTTTCATTTTTAAGATTTCTAATTAGTGCTCTTTAAAAGCAACCTCTTTTAATGATGGGAAGATAGCCTCTCATTTTTTTGAAACTAAATTTTTTGTTTGCTTGGTATATCCTGCTTTCTCAGATACTACTTTTATATTTGAGTTGGGGGCCTCTTTTTTTATGGGTTGTTTTTCCCTTTTGTTAGCAATTCTCGATTGTGTGGTCTCTTAAAAAACAGAGGCAAGGTATGGTATGCCCTGTCACTGTCATTTGTCTCTTTTAAGAGAGTCTGGTCTCAATGTCTCAATATGTTGTCCAGGCTAATCTCAAACTCCTGGGCTCAAGCAGTTCTGCCTCAGCATCCCAAGTATCTGAAACGATAGGTGTGTGCCATGGTACCTGGCCACTTGTCTCTCATATAGAAGATCCTCACTCCTGAATGACACAGCCCTACTCTAATGTGATTTCTGCTTCCTCCAGTGGAGTGGGAGGATTGTTGAGGTTGTCTCAAATGCAAGTTTTCTAGCAATCACCCTGACGATTGCCCCCCAGAGCCCACAACTACATAAGGGATTCCTAGTTTTGCTTTATTGTGGGTGTTTTGTGGGTGTTTCTCTGTCAGTCCTGTAGCAGTCTCTGTTAGTCCTGGCACATATTCATAGTCCTGAAACATATGTATCCTTGAAATTAAATTTATGTCTCAAAGCTTTTGGAACATAATTAAGTCTACTGACAAATGGAAGATTTTAAGTTCATCTATTAATTTATATGTGCTTGTCTTGGTTCCTTTCATCCTCCCACATCAGTTTTAAAATATACATTCTGGTTGACACTAGCTAGCTTAAAGTAGCTATATAATATTCTGATCTTAGATACTTAGAGCTTCCTAGAAATCCTTTGCGCACTTTAAATCCTTTAAAAACTTTAAAGTACTGCAGCCTTTTTGAAAAAGTCTGAGTGTTTTTGAAATTAAAAACATATAAGACTCCAGCCTGGGCAACATGGCAAAACCCCATCTCTACTAAAAATTAAAAAATTAGCCAGATGTGGTAGTGCACGCTGGTAGCCCTAGCTACTCGGGAGGCTGAGGCAGGAGAATCACTTGAACCTAGGAGGTGGAGGTTGCAGCAAGCCAAGATTGTGCCACTGCACTCCAGCCTGGGCGACAGACCCTGTCTCAAGAAAAAAAAAAAAAGTATATACGTGTGTGTGTGTGTGTGTGTGTGTGTGTGTGTGTGTCTGTGTCTGTGTCTGTGTCTTTTAGCTGGACGTGGTGGTGTGCACCTGTAATCCCATCTGCCTAGAACATGGAGGTAGGGGGATTGCTTGAGCTTGAGAGTAGCCTGGGCAGCATAGCAAGACACCTCTCATGCTTTTTTGGGGGGGCAGGCGGAGACAGAGTCCCAATCTCTCACCAAGGCTGGAGTACAGTGCTATGATCTCGGCTCACTGTAGCCTCCACCTCCTAGATTCAAGCAATTCTCATGCCTCAGCCACCCGGGTAGTCGGGACTGCAGGCGTGTGCCACCATACCCAGCTATTTTTTGTATTTTTAATAGAGACGGGGTTCCGACACGTTGCCCAGGCTGGTCTCAAACTCCTGGCCTCAAGTGATCCACCCGCCTCAGCCTCCCAAAGTGTTGAGATTATAGGCATGAGCTGCCATGCCTGGCCAAGATATGCTTTTTGACTCAACAATCCTACTAGTTAGAATCTATTCCATGAAGATATTTGTATGAAGCAACTTACATTGTAAACAGCCATTCTGTCTTCCTGTTTTTATCAATTTATTGTTTAATTACTGTGGTCTGAGTCTGTGAATGTTGATTAGTGTTTGATAATTGTTTCCTCTCATTTCAGAACTCTCTTGATAGAGCCCAAGCAGCCAAGAATAAAGGCAATAAATATTTTAAAGCAGGAAAATATGAACAAGCTATTCAGTGCTATACTGAGGCTATTAGCTTGTGCCCTACAGAGAAGAATGTTGACCTTTCTACATTTTATCAAAACAGAGCTGCTGCCTTTGAACAGTTGGTATGTACTCTAGGTTGTTTCTTCTGTTCCTTTTCTTTCTCTTTATTTGCTTAAAGTTTCAGTTAAAGCTACTCAAATAAACCTAATACATTTTTTGAAGTTGTTTCAAAATTATGGGATGTTGTTCTTATTTCCATTAATTGCAAAACTTTTTAAAGAACAAATTCTATAGTTTTGCTGACTACAGATATACTCCAAAGTTAAGTATATTTCACATTTTATAAAATTAGATAGTATAGAAAGTTTCTGGTGACCCTATTCTCCTCAACAGTTTGAGGCTATTTCTTTAACTTTTTGATATTTATATGAGCTTTTGTAATATATTGCAGATATTAACTCTTTGTATTAGGAATACTTTTTTATTCTAGGACTTTTAATACTCAACCTATCAAGTTTAAACTGATTTCTATTGAACAGTACTTTCTTTAGTGTGACTTTTTTTAAATACTTTCAATTACAGCAAAAATGGAAAGAAGTGGCACAAGACTGTACAAAAGCTGTTGAACTTAATCCCAAATATGTGAAAGCTCTCTTTAGACGTGCAAAAGCCCATGAGAAGCTAGACAATAAGAAGGAATGTTTAGAAGGTGAGGGTAATTTTGTGTTTACATATGAAAATTACTTAATATTTTGTAGTCATTGGTAAATGTATATGAAACTGCCTTGTGAGTGCAAGAATCAGTTGTTTTTAAAAGTTGGATTCCTTTGCACTTAAGATTGTGTCTTCTAGTTTAAAGTAAGATTGCTGATACTTAAGTATTGTCTCTGTTCTCAACTATGGAATTAAATGACTATTAAGATTAGGAGTTTATGTACTACACATTTTAAACTTAGCAGCTAATGAGCATTAGTATAATTCTCTGAATAAGGAAATCAGAAAAGAAGTTTTAGCAAGTGATAGTGTTTCTAAGGTTCTACATATTTCATTTAATATGTATAAATATAGCTTTGAGAGCTGTGTTTATAATATGTATAAACATAGCTTTGAGATGAATCATTAAAGAAAACATTGTTTTGTGCCCTTGGTATTTTCAAACATTATTTTATACCCAATTGGAAATTATTGTTTTATACCTAATTTACACCTAATTGGAAATGATGTAATTGGTACAAAGCATCAAAGTGAATTTGTCATTCTCATTAAATGCCATAAATATTCTGTGGTCTCTGATTGGCCATTTCTCTGCTTCCAAAGCTGCAATTAACAGTATACATCCAGCCTTTAAAGTACATTCTTCTAGGTGACATGAAGCAAAACCAAAGTATAATTTTCTACAATCTAAAAGTTCTTTCCACTTAATATATTTGTCTGCTTTAAAAGCATCAGTAAAAGGAAAAGGCCCCTTTCTGAAAAGAAAAGTGTAGATTACCAAATGAGGGTATTTTAGAGAACATTTTAGCAAAATTTGAGGTTTTGTGGTGGCACATACTTTGGTAGTGTGTGAAAAGACTGTTGTTTTAGAAAAGGGAATCCTGAGTTTTGAACCAGACCTTGAAGTTACTAACACAATAACTGGCAGAGAGGAGGTTGATCGAAGTGTCACGTAGAAGAAACAGGATGGGAAAAAAGACATTGACATTGGCGCTAGCCGTGGTTATCAGGGGAATATATCAGCAGATTGACTTGATTGGTGGAGCAAGGATGTGGAATTGCAAGAAATTTAATTCGGGAAGAGACGAGACGTCCATTGTTTGAGTGCTTTGAACGAAAGGCTGAGAGGTTAAGGAACCACTTACTTTTTAATTTCAAACCACTGCATGCATCTTGAGCTGTGACATAACCAGATGAAAATGGTATTGAGGCAGATTTATTTGAGAGCTCTGTGGCAAGATGGCTTTGGAGACAGGGAATAACTCTGAGGCCTATAAACAAACACCAGACATGAGAGAGCCACACTATGTTTATATGCCTTAGAGTTGCTAGCCAGAAGAGAATGTTAGAGTGGTGAGAAACATCAGAAATCATGCAGCATAGCCCCTTTCATTTCACAGTTAAGGAAAGCAAACCCCAGAGAAGTGGAGTGACTTTCTGAGCTTTCAGTTTGGTCATAGAGAATATAAAATTAGGTATTAAGAATCAGTTAATTGGAAATGAAACAGTCCCATTTGGCCATGAATTTAGTTTGGCTTTCTGTAGTTACATTGTACCCATTTGATGCTGCTGACCATCTTTGCAATAATTTTATATTTACCCTTGTGTTTTTCATCATTTCTAGATGTCACTGCTGTGTGTATATTAGAAGGGTTCCAAAATCAACAAAGCATGCTGTTAGCCGATAAAGTTCTTAAACTCCTTGGAAAAGAGAAAGCCAAAGAAAAATATAAGGTAAATTGATCTGATTTGGGGAATGGGGGAGTACTGTGTACATTGTGAAGGGTATTTTCTAATTTATGCTGCTTAAGCTTAGGCATAGTGGTAATGGCAACAACTGCAATTAGAACTGGGTTATATTTCTTCTTCCTGTTATCTTTGGCTTTTATGGCTTGTCCTTCTTCAGTAAGAATATATGCTCTGTCCATTACTCTACCTGGAGAATATTGGAATTCATCTGTGTTAGGGATTGCCACACTGTGGCCCATAGGCCAAATCCAGTCTGCTACCTGTTTTTATAAATAATGTTCAGTCACATGTTGTTTTCAGCTGCCTTTGAGATACAACAGCGGAGTTGAGTGGTTGTGACAAACTGTATAGACTCCAAAGCCTAAAATATTTACTATCTGGCCTTTCACAGAAAAATATTTTTCTATATTATTAAAGTTTTTAAAGGTATACTGAGTAAGTTGGCATTAGTTTTAGGCTATTATTAACAGGTAGTTTAATTCAACAATCATTTATTAAACAAAGCTACATGTTTGGCATTTTGGAGGGATGGGTTCAAAGACATGGCCCTTACCCTTATAGAATTAAAATTTAGTGAGAGAGACTGACTGTTACTGTGTATAAAAGGCATGCAGTAGTTAAGTGCCCAAGGTGAGATGTAAGTAAAGAGAGTACCATAGGCATCACTAAACATCACTGGAGATTCACTGTTAAATCCCAGTAATAGCGAGATAATTGTTCCTTTTTCCTTTAATAATAACTTGCTTTTTTCTTGAATTGATTTTAGTAATCTGTATTTTTAATTTTATATCTCTGGATATTAGCTGAGTGAAACAGTTACAACAAGTTTCTTCACTGCTGGACTTTAATAATCTACTAAGGTGTGTTGTGAATCTCTAAGAGGGGTATAGCTGTAGTGGCTGTAGTGGTTCCCAGTCTCTCTCTCTGTTTTTTTTTTTTTTGTTTGTTTTTTTCTTTCTTTGTCACCCAGGCTGGACTGCAGTTGCTATCTTGGCTCACTGCAACCTCTGCCTCCCAGGTTCAAGCAATTCTCGTTCCTCAGTCTCCCAAGTAGCTGGGACTACAGGCATGCACCACTATGCCTGGCTAATTTTTTTGTACTTTAGTAGAGGCAGGGTTTCACCATGTTACCCAGGCTGGTCTCGAACTCCTGAGCTCAAGCCGTCCAACTTCCTCAGCCTCCCAAAGTGCTAGAATTACAGGCATGAGCCACTGTGCCTGGCCCCATTCTCTTTAAACCATGGATTTTTTTTTCTCTCGAGCATCTCGTAAGACTAGTGTTTCTCAAAATCACTTTGTAAAACACCATGGTAGAGTCCATAAATTGAACCTCAAAGGAACCTAGTTTCCTTGTACATAGTGTGGAGTAATTAGACTGGTTGGATTGCAAGATGGTAAGAAAATATAAAATAATGTATATTTACATAGGTTACAGATCAGTTTCCACATTTTCTAATCTGTTTGTCACTTTGTAAATCACAAAATACCTTCCATATTATTATTTTGATTTTTTTATAACAACTGTATAAGATAAATAAGGCAAATATTTCTATTGCCATTTTAGAGATGAGAACACTGATACTAGACGTTTAATGACATGCATAATATCACATAGCTAATAAGTGGCAGAACTAGAATTTGTATCCTGTTCCTTTGATACTTAAATCCCTTTCTTGTAACCGTTTATTTTCACTTTAAATTTATAACCCTGTATGGAAGGCAGGGAGGTGATAGCTTCATTTCTAAGCTGAAACAGGAAACTAAAAAACATTAATGATTTATCTAGCTTCAGGTAAGTGGTATTTAAATTTCTATTTAAGCTTTTCCCCTAAAATGGTAAATGATTGCCACTATGTATTTATTCTCAGTGTCTTTAGTAAAGTACTAAAGTTAGGCATATTTATCACTTGATAGGTGACCATTTGACTTAAAATATTTGTTATCCTAAATTAAAACGAATTGAATCTCTCCCCAGAGAGTGCCCACAGATCAATATGGGTTTTCTCTTAGGTTTCCTTTTTAGTTCTCTTTCTATCCCACTTTTATCTATCCTAGATTAAATAATTTACTTATAAAGCCAATTCCTTTTTTTATTCCTTCAAATATGAAGACATTACCAAAATAACAGTAATGATATTTGTTATACATAAAATGAAAAATCGCATGTTTCCATTAAACTCTTTGGGCTGAATTTTATAGATAAAGCATTCAAAATACATTATGAGAGCCTTTTGGGTGTGTTATTTCCACTTTATTTAAAACTTATTTATTTAAAACGGTAATTGTGTTTCGGGAGGAACAAAATACTCCCATAATTGTGAATTGGGTGGCTATGCCTCAAATAAATAATCAAAACAGGAAATGTGATTTCAGTATGGTTTTCAGTGGCACTTACCTGTAATAAAGATCTTCAGATGAAAGCCCAAGGTAAATGGACTTAACATTTTCAGCACCTGTGTAAGATGTGGTCTTACATCTTTGTAGAGGGAAAAGGCTCTCATTTAAAACCAGCTTTAAACAGCTGGGACTGGCAGCTTCACCTTTTCCACTGTCTTTTGTTCTGTGGCTTGGAGCTTAATTTTAGTTATTTGAAAATGAGAATCCAATTTTTATGACAGTTATTCTTAGCGTTCTACAATGTACCTGCTTCTTTGGTTGGTATTTCCCATCCTGATGTCTTTAAACATGACTAAATTTCAGAATCGTGAACCTCTGATGCCATCTCCACAGTTTATCAAATCTTACTTCAGTTCTTTCACGGATGATATCATTTCCCAGCCCATGCTTAAAGGAGAGAAATCTGATGAAGATAAAGACAAGGAAGGGGAGGCTTTAGAAGTGAAAGAAAAGTAAGTATGTCAAGCATAGTGTCTACTTAGTGGTGTTTTGGGTGCTTTGAACTTTCCTTAGGGCCCATATGGGTTCTGAGCCATCTCACAACAGCAGCTATCTATCTACAGATAGAGATAGACAGAAATATAATTAAAAATTATATAATATTATTATTATAAAAACACTTTTCTTTCTAGCATGTATCTGTTACTTCTCTGGTAACTCAGGGTTTTACTGCCAGGAGTCTACCCTGCTTTTACTCAAGGTCCTATATGATCTTCTCAAAAGGACTCCGATTGAATCCAGTGGCTGACCGTGTTTGAATAGAGGCAATAACTTGAAAATTATTGTGTAGCTCAACATGCAGATGTTCTAGTGCAGGGAAGTTTTTAATTTATAAACAGATACTTTTAGGGGTGCCCAAAGAGTGAATTTTTTCAAGGATTTTTCTGCTTGTCTAGGAAGATGCCCATTTGGAGGGCTTCTTGTTGGAGCCTGTAGAGAGCTGAAACCAAAGTACAGGATACTGTGTTTCTAGCTGGAGACCTAATGATATAATGTCGTATAAACCATCTAGCCTGCTTTATTCCATTCGTATTTATCAATACTTGTATTTTTCTGTCAAGGGTAGCCCTCTCTGAGAGAAGGTACAATATTATTATCAACATGATTTTTTTAACGAGTTAGGAAGAAAAGGAAATACTGTTCTAGTAGCTGTGCATAACTGGGTTTTGCATCTTCAGCATATTGGAGGGTTTGAAGAAACAAATGGCTTTTGATTTTTATCTTCCAATTTTTCTACCATTGCTATTGACCTTTTAAGAGAAGATACTGTGCATAATTATACTGCAGTGTACAAATTTTAGTTCATTGATACACAATCTTTGAGAAGATTGTAGTTGGGAATTAAATGTTTAAGATGTCGTATTAGCTCTTGTGACAGTTATGCAAATACTTTCTTCTTCTGGTTAAGAAATAGTCCTTGTCCCAGAAAAACTATAATGAATTTAATACCATTATTCTAAAAGCTTTACTGAGAGATGGTAGGACGTAGCTAGCTATCATCAGCACACTAACTGGAATTGGACCCAAGTTTTAAATTCCATTTTACTCTGAGCCTTAGCTTTATCATCCTTTAAATGGAGCTAGTAATATTTACCTTACAAGGTTATTGTGAGGTGTAGAAATCATGCTTATAAATAACTAGCACTTATGTTCTTCAGTAAGTGGGATTACTTCTAATCTGATTTAATCATTGTTTGTGTTTTCGTTTTCTCTTTTTTTTTTGATAATGAGGTATCTTTCGCCTAGGCTAGAGTGCAGTGGTGGTGCAGTCTTGGCTCACTGCAACCTCTGCCTACTGGGATCAAGCAATTCTCCCACCTCAGCTTCCCTAGTAGCTGGGATTACAGGCTCATGCCACGACGCCAGCTAATTTTTGTATTTTGAGTAGAGACGGAGTTTCACCATGTTGGCCAGGCTGGTCTCGAACTCCCGACCTCAGGTGATCCACCCACCTCGGCCTTCCAAAGTGTTGGAATTACAGGTGTGAGCCACTGCACCTGGCCTGTTTGTGTTTTCTTAGCCTGGTGACCTGAGAAACAAAACTAGAATGTAGGCAACATTGGAATGTCATTACAGGAGAGGTTAGCATAGAGCTTATAAGATTTTTGGCTGACATAACTTTTTAAATTTTTTTAAGAGACAGGGTCAGGTCAGACATGGTGGCTCATGCCTGTAATCCCAACACTTTGAGAGGCTGAGGTGGGCAGATTGCTTGAGCCCAGGAGTTTGAGACTAGCCTGGGCAACATGGAGAAACCCTGTCTCTACAGAAGAATAACAAAAATTAGCTTGGCATGGTGGTGTCCACCTGTAGTCTCAGCAACTGGGGAGGCTGAGGTGGGAGGATTGCTTGAGTCCCAGAGGCAGAGGTTGAAGTGAGCCAAGATCATGCCACTGCACTCCAGCCTGGGGAACAGAGCAAGACTCTGTCTCAAAAAACAAAAGGGAGAGAGAGGGGGTCACTCAGGCTGGAGTAGAGTGTTGCGATCATAGCTCACTACAGCCTCCAACTCCTGGAATCAAGCTATCCTCTCGCCTCAATGTCTTGCGTAGCTGGGACTCTAAGTGCACACCACCATGCCTGGCTAATTTTTTTTGTTTTTAATTATGGAGACAGGGTCTTGCCATGTTTCCCCGGCTGGTCTTGAACTCCTGGGCCCAGGTGATCCTCCCACGTTAGCCTTCCATACTACTGGGATTACAGGCATGAGCCACCATGTCTGGCCTGACGTAACTTTTAAGTCATTTGCCAGTTTTCTTTATACAGATATAACAACTGAAATAAGAAAATGTACTTTAATTTACAATGCCTTATGTTTGGAAGATACCTCATGTACCTCATGACACCTAATACAAATTTCAGTTAAAAAAAATTACTTCTACAAGCATCTCCATAAAAGTCATCATCTTAGAAGAATAATAAGAGATACTGTGCTCACTGCTTTTTAAAACATACAGAAGGGTGTTTTTTAAAGTATTAATTGATGGAAGAGTCTTCCTTTAAATTTGCTTCTTTAGTAAGTTCAGTTATTTATTTATTTATTTATTTATTTATTTATTTGAGACGGAGTCTCGCTCTGTCGCCCAAGCTGGAGTGTAGTGGCGCGATCTCAGCTCACTGCAAGCTCCGCCTCCCGGGTTCATGCCATTCTCCTGCCTCAGCCTCCCGAGTAGCTGGGACTATAGGCACCCGCCACCACGCCTGACTAATTTTTTTGTATTTTTATTAGAGATGGGGTTTCACCATGTTTGCCAGGATGGTCTCGATCTCCTGACCTCGTGATCCGCCCACCTCTGCCTCCCAAAGTGCTGGGATTACAGGCGTGAGCCACCGCATCCAGCCAATAAGTTCAGTTATTAATTCTAGGTCTGCTCACACCCCTTGCCTTAGCTTCTGTGACTCTAAAGTCACTTATTTCCTATTTCCCTGTTCCTTCTTTTAGCCATTAAACAACTGTTGAGTACCATTGATGTGCCTCAGATATGAAGGTGAATAAGACAGGATCCTTACCTATGTTGCAGATCAGTCTCTCTTTCGTTAGCTCATCTTTTCAGTATCTAAATGTCTAAGCTGAGGTATTACCCAGGACTCTGCTGCTTCCTTTTTAAAACTCCTCCTCCAAGGTTTCAAGAAAATCCCCGTCTACATCAAAAATCCTAATCTGTTTAACCGCACCGCCCCTCCCCACCCCAACCCCATGCCACACTGGCTGATTATCTTGTTAAGTGGAAATAGACAATTGCTTAATTAACTCAGGTGTGCCAAATGTGGCATGTTTTAACATTGAATTCTTTCTTTTCTTTTCTTTCTTTCTTTTTTTTTTTGAGATGGAGTCTTGCTCTGTCTCCCAGGCTGGAATGCAGTGGCACCATCTCGGCTCACTGCAACCTCCACCTCCCGGGTTCAAGCGATTCTCCTGCCTCAGCCTCCTAAGTATCTGGGATACAGGCATGCGCCTCCACGCCCGGCTAATTTTTGTATTTTTAGTAGAGACGGGTTTCACCATGTTGGCCAGGCTGGTCTCGAATGCCTGACCTCGTGATCCGCCCACCTCGGCCTCCCAAAGTGCTGGGATTACAGGCGTGAGCCACCACACCCAGCCACATTTAATTTTTTCTTAGTAAATAATTTCCTATGTTTGTTTTTATTTTCAGTTCTGGATACTTAAAGGCCAAACAGTATATGGAAGAAGAAAACTACGATAAAATCATAAGTGAATGCTCAAAAGAAATAGATGCTGAAGGCAAATACATGGCAGAAGCATTGCTACTACGAGCTACCTTCTACCTGCTTATTGGCAATGCCAATGCAGCCAAACCAGATTTAGATAAAGTCATCAGTTTGAAAGAAGCTAATGTGAAGGTACATTAAAAAATGTGTGTGAAGAAATTATTAAATAGAAGGCGATGCCTTTCATTATGTTTTGCCAGATTTTTTAAAGCATTTCAACTGCCATTCTTCAAAGGGCTGTTTTTGTTTTTGAAGAAACTACTCTTAATAATAATGTAGTTGGTGCAGTGAATCTGAAAACATAAATATCAATGATATTTATCTTTATTTAGGAAAGGAAATTTTTTTTTCCTATAGCATCCGGTAGTTTCATCGTCTCCCTGTAGCCACTGCCTACCATATTGGACTGTATTTGGGCAGTGGTAAAGGTGATATGCAATTCTGTAGATAATGCTGTCAGTAACGTGTAATATGTAGCACCAGGTTATAAAACACTTAATAAAAACACATTAATATATTCAGAAAGGTTCTAAAAATAGAATGTATAAATATGCCAAAAGTCTTGCAGTTGTACAGTTGGAACAGCCTTTCATTTTCTAAGTATTCTTAATGTGCTATGTATTACACATTTCATAATTAAGATTCAGGGGCATCTGTTGAATTGTTACATTCTATTCAGTGTAACAAAACAATTTAACCACCAATTAACTATATTACTTATTAGTTTGTTAACATCTCTGTGACCTGTTTCCTCATTGCATTAAATGAACTCTGTAGCCTCTCTCCTCTCCTATATTTGGGGGGGATATAAAAGTTGTTTTAAGACCTAAATATTGTTAAAAGTTTCTTTCAAAATGAGATTTTCAAATTGAAGATACCCTCATAATATTATCTTTAATATTATTTTCTGCTGATTTTCCTGATGATTACAACTGATATATGTTATATGTTTTTGTTATAATTGTGGAGGATGTTATTATTTGTTCTATATGTATGTAGTATTGCTTTGAACAAAATTTTAAAGAAACGCATTGTTTTCATGATCACATGACTTTTAGTGGCAAGTAGTAATGATGCCTACCATATGCCATGCACAAAAATTAACTCAAAATGGATTAGAGCCCTAAATGTAAGAGCTAAAACTATAAAACTGTTAGGATAAAATAGAGGACTAAATGTTTGTTACCTTAGATAAGCAGCAGTTTCTTAGATATGGCACCAAAAGCACAAGCAACCAAAAAAAAAAAATAGATTGGACGTGATCAGACTTCTGTGCTTGGCTGGGGTGGTGGCTCATGCCTGAAAATTAGCCGGGCATGATGGCATGTGCATGTAGTCATAGCTACTCAGGAGGCTGAGATGGGAGGATCACCTGTACCTGGGAGGTCAAGTCTGCGGTGAGCCGTGACTTGTGCCACTGTACTCCAGCCTGGGTGACAGAGATCCTGTCTCAAAAAAAAAAAAAAACTTCTGTGTGAAAAGACACCATCAAGAAGGAGAAAACACATCACACAACATGGGAAAAATATTCACAAATCATATATCTGATTAGGAGCTTGTATCCAGAATAAAGAACTCTTAGAGCTCAACAATAAAAAGACAACCTAAGTTAAAAATGGGCAAAGGATCTGAATACACATTTCTCCAAAGAATATACAAATGACCAATAATAAATGACAAGATTGTTGGCATCATTAGCCATTAGGGAAATGCAAACCAAAACCACCATGAGATGCCACTTCACACCTACTAGGATGGCTATAATCAAAAAGACAATAAGGCTCTAATAAAAAACATTGGACAATAATAAGTGTTTTTGAAGATGTGGAAAATTGGAACCCTCATACATTGCTGGTGGAAATATATTAATACAATGGTGAAGCCCTTTTGGAAATTAGTTTGGCAATTCCTCAGAAACTTACCATATGATCTAGTAATTCCACTCCTAGGTATATACCCAAGAGAATTTAATACGTTCGTTAACACAAAAACTTGTACATGAGAGCTGGGTGTGGAGGCTCACACCTGTAATCCCAGCACTTTGGAAACCCAGGAGTTCTAGACTACCCTGGGTAACGTAGCAAAATCTCATCTCTATTTTTAAAAAGCTTTTTTAAAAACCTTGTATGTGAATGTTCATAGCAGCATTATTTATGGTAGCCAAAAAGTGGAAGCAGCTCAAATGTCCATCAGTTGATGAATGGATAAATAAAATGTGATATCTGTACAATGGAATATTTTTCAGGCATAACAAAAGAATGAAAAACTGATACATGCTACAATATGGATGAACCTTGAAAACATTATGCTAAATCAAAGAAGCCAGACACAAAAGGCTATATATAATGTATGATTCCACTTACATGAAACATCCAGAATATACAAATCCATAGAAATAGAAAATAGGTTGGTGTTTTCTAGGGGCTGAAGAGTAGGAGGTGAGGGGGATGGAGAGTGACTGCTTATTTGTATGTGGTTTCTTTTAAGGGTGATGAAAATGTTCTGGAATTAGATAGTGGTAATCAACACACAACTTAGTGAATACACTAAAAACAGGTGACATGCATACTTTAAAAGGGTGACCTTTGTGATATGTGGATTATAGAAAAAAGCTGTTATTTAAAGAAACTAGATTGGAGGGAAAAAAAAGTAATGATGAACCTTTCCTCACTTGGGGTATATAGCTTCGAGCAAATGCTCTCATCAAAAGAGGCAGCATGTACATGCAACAGCAGCAGCCTTTGCTGTCCACTCAAGATTTTAACATGGCTGCTGACATCGATCCTCAGAATGCAGATGTTTATCACCACCGAGGACAGGTAAGTCTGTTTTCTTACCTAGAGGTCTGACTTGTGGATTGAGCTTTGATACCATTTTTGAGAATTTCTTATGTAATTTTCTTGAGTTTTCTTATATAATTTCTGATAGCTGTGAACAAAGTATCACAGTGGTTTACAGTTTGAATTGGCCTTTGTTTAGTCTGTCTTGAATATTTGTCTTTAATTTTGGTATTTACTTATGAAAAAAGAGTAAAGGAAGGCAAAAACTGTTGGCTTACCAGTTCAAGTTTGTTTTTCTGGTGTTTCTGGTTCATAGGTTTCAATGAGTAAAACATTAATAACATTTAGTAAGCAATGTGAGTTAATTCTAGAATCAACAGGATGATTTTTGTGAGCTTCTTGCTATAAGGAAATAGTCTGGACTGTCCAAATAGTAAAAATAAATATATTTATCTTTTGAAGTTTTATAACAGGCATATTAGTTTTTTAGTAGAAATATATAGTGAAGAAACAGTTTCCAATTACTGCCTCAAGTGGGGAAAACATGGCTTTATAATCAGCTTAACATGGCTTCTTGGAATGCATTATGGTATAAAGTGTGAGCTATGCATTAATAATAACAGAAGAGCCGAAGTTCTTTCTAATGGAGAATTTTACCTAATAGGGTCATGTGTCCTGCCAGGGAAGTGCATTATTAGGCGATTTTGTTGTGTGGACATCATAGAGTGTACTTCTACAGACCTAGATGGTATAGCCTACTACACACCTAAGCTGTATGTTGTAGCCTGTTGCTCCTAAGCTACAAACGTGTATAGCATGTTACTATACCAAATATTATAGGCAGTTATAACACAATGGTAAGTATCTGTGTGTCTAAAACATATCTAAACATAGAAAAGGTACAGTAAAAATGCAGTATTACAATCTTTTGGGACCACTGTTGTATATGTGGTCTGTTGATTGAAATGTAAATATGCATGACTGTATTTCTTTCAGAAGGGTGTTAAGTGTTGAGATAACCTCTTAAAATTCTTGACATTTTGATCTTTACTGGTAGTGTCTGAAGATTAATTTGAAAGGTAATTATCTGATGTCTAACCTGCTTTGATATTAGAATGTACAGGATGTTTAGTTTTCTAGAAGAAGGGGTTTCTTGCTTAATAGTGATCAGAATTGCAGGGCAGAAATGGTTGGCTTGTAGTCCTTTCTATAAGTTGGATACCATTTTTATGTTTTGGAATCTTGCCTTTTAAATTTCAAGATTTTTAAATCACTGTTTCTAGAAAGTAATTATATATTGAATTACTACTACATGCTCAGCATTATGCTGAGGTGTAATAATAGAGATGAGACACTGAACATACTTAACTGGACTAGTTGAATTACATTTATTTACGTATTTTTTTCTTAGCTGAAAATACTCCTTGATCAAGTTGAAGAAGCAGTGGCAGATTTTGATGAATGTATTAGGTTAAGACCTGAGTCTGCTCTGGCACAAGCACAGAAATGTTTTGCATTGGTAGGTACTACTTTCTTTTGTATTTTCCTAAACATCACTTTTATTTTCCAGCGTCAACAAAAATGAGTATCTCATTGTCTACAAAGTCGTCTTTTTCTTTCTTTCCCAAAGGATAACTACTGAGGAAAAAAGGTGCTGATTGATACCTAGCTCTTGTATTTCTCTGGACATTTGTTTGGGTTCATCTTGATAGATGTTTGTCCCTGATTTTATACTTCCCTAAACAGAACTGGTCTCCCTGCTTCATCATAAATCAATATAAAGAGCAAAAACATTTTGAGGAAACACTCTGTAAACATGACACCATGTAACTTGCTCTCTCACCCCTGCTTCATAGAACTGTTTCTTAATATTCAGAAACACAAAGCTCAAAAGGTTGTTTTTTTTTTTTTTTTAAGTAAAAATTTTTCTAGTAAAATAAGATACTTCCAGTTAGCTGTATGGCTGGAGTCGTAAAAGAATTTTCAGTTTAAAGGAAGAAATTATGTCACAAATATATATTATAAATGAAAATGACAAAAATTTTACTAGATTTAAAATTCATTTATTGCAAAGTTCACTTCTTACAAATTAGTATGCCCTCTTCTACAGTATTGAACATCTTGAAATTGTATAGTGGCCATGGAGTCCTAGTTGTACATAACCTTTGGCTCTCTGCTGCTGAGATACCTACTTGGAACCCTTTTGGATGCTGCAGATTATGTTAGCAAATCACCTGTTTTTTTGGAAATATTTATGTAATTTTGTGTGTTTATGTTAACATTCCATGAGTTTTTGAGTTCTTGATTTGACAGGCCTGTTTTGATTTTTTATAGTACCGCCAGGCATATACGGGAAACAACTCTTCACAAATCCAAGCAGCTATGAAAGGTTTTGAAGAGGTCATAAAGAAATTTCCAAGGTGTGCCGAAGGCTATGCACTATACGCCCAGGTAAATGTTTTTTCAGGTTTTTTAAAAATAACTGCATACATATGCCAAATCTCAGTATGGAAATCAGAAAACAGTGCTATCATGGTTGCAGCTTCTTTGGAAGCAGGTGGCTTTGTTCCTGATTGATTCTCATGGCCCCTGGTTGGTCCCGAATCACCTCAGAAGAGGCTCCTTTGTTACACAATTTGGAAATCATGGCCCTAAACTCAATATGGGGAAGCTTAAGGCGAGAATTTCCCTCCTGTCTTCATTTGGATTGGTTTTGCAAAAAGTAATTACCTTAGGAAAATTTACCGTATGCAATTGGTGGAGAAAATATCCACGGAAAGGCTTTTCTTTCTATCTGGTCACTGCCTTTTTATATGGCTAGGTTGTTGTAACGGTTTATTTTAATTTATCTTTGCTTTATCTAAAATTCCTGAAACTCTCTTGGTTTAGGATTGAAGCTATGGAAAGCAGGATTTAAATCTGAATTTTTTTATTGTAGTCTGAAATTCTTGAAAACTTCTTAGTTTTAAATCATCCATTTAAATGAAAATGATTAGCTTCTTGTAGTGACGGTCATACATTTTCCCCTCAAATAAAAGATCTCTGAATGACTCAGTTTTCTTTCTTAAAGCTGAAAATTGGTTTTGGTGTCTACATAAACTAGCCATCTCAATACTCTATATCAGGGGTACAGCTGCTTTGTGGCCTCTTAGGAATGGGGCTGCACAGCAGGTGAGCCTTGGGCAAGCATCACCACCTGAGCTCCACCTCCTGTCACTGTCAAATCTGCAGCAGCATTAGATTCTCATGCCTGATGATCTGAGGTGGAACAGTTTCATCCCAAAACCATCCCTCCTCCTCCTACCCCCATCCATGCAAAAATTGTCTTCCACAAAACCAATCCGTGGTGCCAAAAGTGCTGGGAAGGTGTTGGGGACTGCTGCTCTATGTAATTTATTTTTCTTTTTTTTTCTCTTTTTAATTACAAAAGACATGTTGGGTTTTTCCCCACAGCACAGAAATAGGAAACGATAACAAATTACTATCCCCTGGCTGGGTGTGGTGGCTCCTGCCTGCAATCCCAGCACTTTGGGAGGCTGAGGCAGGCGGATCACTTGAGCCAGGAGTTTTGAGACTAGCCTGGCCAGCATGGAGAAACCCCATCTCTACTAAAAATACAAAAATTAGCTGGGTGTGGTTTGGCGCACACCTGTTATCCCAGCAACTCGGGAGGCTGAGGTAGGAGAATCGCTTGAACCCAGGAGGCGGAGGTTGCAGTGAGCTGAGATCACACTACCACACTCCAGCCTGGGCAAGAGTGAGACTCCATTTCCAAAAAAAAAAAAAAAAAAAAAAAATACCATCGCTGGTTGACCCCTCTCCTTAAACCATTCTTAAGGATGCTTATTTTGTTTTTAATTTCCTTCATGGTATCTGTAGGCAGGTTATAAGAACAATTTCACAAGGATTTTAAGGGTTTATTGAGGGTGGAACTATGAGAAAATTGATTTGTGTTGGATCTGTTCTTTAGAGGTAGGTCTTATATATAACTACATTAAAGTGTACATTTTAATCCTATGAATGGGTACACTTGAGTTTATGCCTTATAATTAGTAACAAACCAGGAAATGACAGCAACATCCTCATCATTGTCATGGAATTCAGAAGGGCTTTTTTGGTGCAGATTTCTCTAAGCATCTAGAAGAGCAAAGGCCACCGAATAGGAACCACTACTGGGGAACAACTCCTCTGCAGAACTTTCCCAATAGCATATTTCCCTATTACCATTCTGCCTTCAAGATAGGTTTGGTTTGTATGAGCTGTCTTCTCATCAGCATTAGCATTATTACAGTCAGTTTGCACTCAAATTTCTTTTCTTTGGTCTGTTTTCTAATTTTAGCTTCACTATATAGTATATGTAACTTTATATATGCATACAGTACGTGTGTGTGTATGTGTATGTGTATATATATATACTTAGTGTAACTTTTTTGGCCCTCAAAGCTTTGGCGTAGATGCTGGCCAACTCGCAAAGTTACAGCTTGAGCATAGTCTGATATCCACAGAACTGTGCCTTCCATTTCAGCCGTGGGATTTGTCTTAAAAAGTTGATTATAGCTGCTGCTTTTGTTTTCAAAATAAGTATTTATTACATTATTGTTAACTATGACAAACAATTGGGGAAAATCCTAAATGTTAACAGAAAATTGAATTATGTTTGCAGAATTGTGGTACACTCACTTAATGGTATATTATGCAGCCATTAAAAGTTACAAATACATTAAAGTTACAAAGCAAGATACAGCACTGCCTATTATTAAAGGGAGAATTGCATACAAAATGAACTCAACCATGTGAAAGAAAACAAATAGGGAAGTAAATAGAGATAGAAAAATATATCAGGAAGGCATCCATGCTCACAATGATGGAAGCTATAAAAATATTTCTACTTTCTATATCTTTCTGATTTTTATTATAAAGAAGATGTGCTGGCTACATTTCTTTGATATTTTTAAGAGCGATTTTTAAAATATTTAAGTTGGCTTATTTTAGATATGAAAAGACTAAGAGCCATACAGCTAAATATAATGACTCACATACTTCTTAAAAGTCATCTTATAAATAACCGGGGTTAACTGAATATGGGCTAGGTATTATAGATAATATTAGGGAATTATTTTTGGAGATATATTAGTTGAAGCAGTTATAGCTGCTTTTTAAAAAATCAATAATTTTAAACAAATAGCTCTGAAGACATTTAACACATACATCTTAACTTATACTTCCAAATGAATATTGCCCTTAAGATAATTCCCTGGCCAGGTGCGGTGGCTCACTCCTGTAATCCTAGAACTTTGGGAGGCCGAGGTGGGTGGATCACCTGAGGTCAGGAGTTCGAGACCAACCTGGCCAACATGGTGAAACCCCATCTCTACTAAAAATACAAAAATTAGCCAGGCAAGGTGTTGGGCGCCTGTAGTCCCAGCTACTCAGGAGGCTGAGGCAGGGGGATCACTTGAACCCAAGAGGCGGAGGTTGCAGAAAACAGAGATTGCGCCACTACACCCCAGCCTGGGTGACAAGAATGAAACTCTATCTCAAAAAAAAAAAAAAAAAAATTCCCTTGGGCTGTATTATGATAAATTATGAATAAGTGATGTGACTGTACCTATGAGAATGTGATATTAGAGCTGTGACTAAGAATGGGATTATCTGTATTGAACAGTTTACCAGAGATTATCTGCTGTGGCATATAACTAACCACTTGCTGAAGAAAGAGGATAGTTAAGATTTCATATTTATAGCAGTGCCACCTAAAAACTCCGATAATTAAGATGTAAAATGTAAATCAGTCTGTATCCCCAAAACGTGATAATTTTGTAATAATGAATGAAGTAAATTTTTATAATGAATAATAAGTATACTTTTAACTGCTTAGGTTGACGGTTACCTTAATATAACTGAAGTATCTCCTCACATAGGCATTAACAGATCAACAACAGTTTGGTAAAGCTGATGAAATGTATGATAAATGTATTGATTTGGAACCAGATAATGCTACAACATATGTTCATAAAGGGTATGTATTTTTGTGATTGTTCCAATGAGATAATAAATTTCTTGCATAGTAATAAAATGTATTTATTTTGGCCACTGAGGAAGGGGACTGTGGTAGAGAAGTTAATTGACAAACTTCTTAATGCTCCTAGATGTCTTTTCATTCTTACAGAAATTAGTTAAGGAGGCCAGGCGCAGTGGCTTACACGTAATCCTAGTACTTTGGGAGGCCGAGGCAGGCAGATCATCTGAGGTTGGGAGTTCGAAACCCTCCTGACCAACATGGTGAAACCCGGTGTCTACTAAAACTACAAAAAATTAGCCAGGTGTGGTGGCACATGCCCGATTCCCAGCTACTCAGCAGGCTAAGGAGTGAGAATCACTTGAACCTGGGAGGCAGAGGTTGCAGTGAGCCAAGATTGCACCACTGCTCTCCAGCCTGGGCGGCAGAGTGAGGCTCTGTCCCAAAAAAAACAAAAAGAAAGAAATTAATGTACTATTCTTGCTCTGTGTTAAGGGTTTTAATTTCAAACTGAACATCCTGTCAGCTGTTGGCTTATATCCAAATACGAAGCATACACAAGTGTTCGTGTCCTTGCGTACTTGAATTATCCTAAGAAACTTCACTTAAATTTATATAAAGTGAAAAATAAGGGATGCAAGATTGGTAATAGAGCCTAGACCATTGAACACTTTTTGTAATAAGGAACTTAGACTAGCAAACCAATATAAGCTGAGAAAAAAAACACAATTTGATGCTGATTATATATTGCCTTATAAGTTATAAGTTAACTTATAAGTTCATTGAAGGCAGAAATTGAGTCATATTAATGTGTGTGTATTCCTACTGATACTGGGCCATGGTCACATCTGACATTTTTTTGCATTTGCAGTTTACTTCAACTTCAGTGGAAGCAAGATCTGGATAGAGGTTTGGAACTTATCAGCAAGGCTATTGAAATTGACAATAAATGTGATTTTGCCTATGAAACCATGGGAACTATTGAAGTACAAAGGTAACTTCTGGAGTCTGTTAGGAAATATATGGTAGCTCCATAGATATTTAGCTTTTTGTTCTTATTACGTACATGTTAAAGTCTGTTATGTTCTTTCCTCTTTTCACCTGTATTATTCACGTTGGAAAAAAAAATGTGCTAAGGCAGTGACATAAGGATTGGTAGCCAAGTTGCCAGAAAATCTGGACCCTCCTCCAAAGAAGCATCCAGCCAAATGGCTGGGCAAGTTGCAACATCAACTCAGAGCCCCTGAATTTTCTTTAAAATCAGAGTTGGATAAGAACATTTTTTGCAGCTCTGTCCTTAACCTCTTATTTTGTGTAAGTGTTTATCCAGAGTTGCTCTTAAGATCCACCATTAAAAGGTGACAGCTGTTTTATATATGGGATTTATTGTATACCATCTTAATACTGGTATTGCCATTCATTTGAGTTTCCTACTTTAGGCCAAGTATTAAACTTTAGATGTTTCCTAAGTACTATTTCAATTAATCTTCATCCCCATCTTTATAAAGGTGGAGATTATATGATCCCTAATTTAACTGATGCCCAGAGGGCTTAGGTTTACAAGGTTGCACAGTAAGCCAATAGAGAAGACAGGGTTTGAGCTCATATATCACTGATACCACAGTCACTGATCTTGGCATTATCACTTGTCAGGAAGCAGCATGAGTTTTCTTAATTCCCTATCATTCAGCCCCTCCTGTAGTCCTCTCCCTGCTCTACAGTAGGCAGAATATATATAGGCTGGTAAAAAAAAAATTGTGTTTCTTTTAACCATTCTGTACCCACAGTGGCATGTAAATATTAAGTTTTTTTTTCTTCTTTTTATGAGACAGAGTCTCCAGCCCAGGCTGGAGTACAGTGGCACAATCTTGACTCTGCAACCTCTGCCTCCCAGGTTCAAGTGATTCTTGTACCTCAGCCACCCAAGTAGCTGGGACTACAGGCATGCACCACCATGCCCAGCTAACTTTTTGTATTTGTAGCAGAGATGGGCTTTTGCCATGTTGGCCAGGATGGTCTCAAACTCTCGGCCTCAAGTGATTTGCCCATCTCAGCCTCCTGAAGTGCTGGGATTACAGGTGTGAGCCACTGCACCCAGCCTAAATTATTTCTTAATTGCTAATTTGTTAATGTGAATAAAATATTCTTGTACTAGAATAGGATAGGGTGGTAGTTCTTAATCTTTTTTGAGCGAAGCTGTGGATTCTTCTTAGAATAATGCACACAAAAACACTTTGCTTTTAATTCAAGGCTTTCATAGATCCTGGGTTAACTAAAGACCTCTGATAGGGTTTGATGGAATTTTGTTCACGTTAATTGAACTTTGAAAAAATCCATTCTGAACCTTACAATTAAATAAGTGAATTTGAATAAATGAAATTGCAGATTATCCTAGGATTTTGCAGATCTGCTAGCTGTTGGCCTAATGCCAGAACATGAACTCTTGAAAAAAGTTTTTTTTAAAAATAAGCCTATCACGTTGCCATATATTATAATGGGGGATTAAATATAGTCACCCTAGTGGTACCTCTTACTGGCATATAAAGTCTAACTGGCACATATGCCAATAAAATGTACCTTACTAACATGTATGCCAGTTAGACTCTGTATATGCAGGTATATATATATATAGTAGGGACTTAATATTCTTTGTAGGATTGCATATATATGTAGCTAATACTAGTTACTTAAAACAGTTGGTTCTTAGATAGCTGTGGATTTGACCAGAATCAGGCAGAGGCAATAAATCTGAGTATTTATTGAGTAGGTGTGAGGAACTCACATAGACTGCCTGAAGAGTAGAGATGCATGGGGTTGGGGATGTGCTGGTAAGAGATGAAACAGAAAGAGGTGGGCCCACATCAGTCTGTGAAGGTAAGGCCCTTGCATGTCATTAGTGTCCCGGTATTATGTCACTGCTTTCTAAAGGAGTCTCATGTTAACAGTAGAAACATGTAAAATTTAGGAACCAGACGGAATTGTGATTTTAAATAAGCCAATCAATTTCCCTAGTCTGACTGTTCTTATCAGTAAACACAGAATACAAGGGATATAATGTAAGCACATAGTATTTGTAATAGTAGTTGACATTCATTGAGTGCTTTCAATGTGGTAGGTACTCTTGTTTATTTTAAAAGAAGCATTTTACTAGAATCATAGTAGAAACTTAGTGGTCAGACTTCATGTAGCATCACTTACAACCTTCATTGAATATTGTGAAGAAACTTAGTGGTCAGACTTCATGTACCATCACTTACAACCTTCATTGAATATTGTGAAGTGCTTGTTGAATCTGAGACTTAAAAATTTTGTTCTTTTAGAGGAAACATGGAGAAAGCCATTGACATGTTCAACAAAGCTATTAACCTGGCCAAATCGGAAATGGAGATGGCCCATCTGTATTCACTTTGCGATGCCGCCCATGCCCAGACAGAAGTTGCAAAGAAATACGGATTAAAACCACCAACATTATAAAACAGGGGGAAAGCAGACTGACCCTCTTTTTAAAAGTTTACCCCCTCTTCAACTGAACCCTAAAGACACTGTCATGAACTGTGTTGAATGGTGGAAATCAGTATTTCTGTTTGTGGTGTTGTTATTTGTTACATCTGTTTCATGTCTAGGTGTTGTGGGTGTGGCTGTTGAAGGAAGTTTGCAGTCTTGCAGCTTTTATTCCCTGTGCAACAAAAGATTAGAACATGTTAAAGGGATTTTTAAATAAAGTTGCAAAGAGTACAAATGATAATTGGCCATGCAAATAAAAACTGATTTGTTGATTTTTTTTTTAAGGGGGGTTGGCAGTTGATTATGTTCTGGATGATTCCGTCTATATATGTGTGAATAATGTAAGTATTTTACAGCATGTTGATTTTTAAATTAACGTAGTAAATGCTGTAAAATAGATTTATATTCAGTTAACCGCTTTCAGTTGATTTTTTGAAAGAAACAAAGGTTAAATGGGGGATTAAAGTAAAATTGAGAGACCCTTTAAACCATTGTCAGCATGCACAATGCCTCTGATTCTGCAGTTTTAGAAACTTGGTGGCACTTATTAATCCTCTTGGCCCCTTTCCACTCTAATGGATAGTGTACATTCTTCTTAAAGTCCACAACAGCAGATTTTCTTGCAGTAAATTATGCAGATGCAAAATATTCTAATTGATATATGTGTTGGAAGACTGAGTATTGATGGGGGAGTGGACCAGACAAAGAGGTAAGATGAAACAGTAGTGTGTTTATAATTGTCTGTGACTATTTTCTATAATAATTAGTACTATTTAATGGTGAGCTTTTAAAAATGTAGGATAGAGGGTACAGTGGCACTGTATATACTATTTATAGTCTCAGCTACTAGGGAGGCTGAGGCAAGAGGCTTGAGACCAGGAGCTCGAGGCTGTAATGTGCCATGATGATTGCACCTGCGAATAGCCACTGCACTCCAGCCTGGGCAATATAGCAAGACCCCATCCTTTAAAAAATTTTAGAACTTTTTTAAAATCAAAGTGCAGATTGCTTGTATGTAAAACCCAAATAAAGGTAGAGTAAGTGTGATATATGGGAGTATTAAAATAGCTTAAAATTTCTCGTGAAGGACATGTGGCTAAAGGGTCAAAAAGGATGTAAGACTTGGAGCCAGAGCATAGTATTTCCTGAAATAACAAGTTTAGTGCTTTAACTATGGCTACATGTGCTTAAGGAATTTTGAGCCACTTATTTTTGAAGATGCTGAGGACATGTAGAGTGCTTTTTGTAGTGAGCTAACCTTGATCTCTAAGGACTAACTACCCAGGTCCAGGTCTTCACTAGGGGTACTGACAGTGTTTAAGCTTTACTCCACCTCCTTACTTAGAAATCACTTTACGATTTATTTCCATTTTCCACTTTTATAGACCATCCTTTTGCTTATATGCTAGATTTTTCTGGTGAGGGAAGGGTTGTGTTCTTCAGGGGTCTTTTGTTTTGAAATACTCAGGATGGGGAGAGGTTTATTTAAGAACGAATTATAATTATGGTTTACACTGTTGGGAGTAAAGGAGCATTTTTACACCCCTTAAGGGTGCTTAATTCTGTTGAAACCAAAAAGATTTGTCTACAAATGCTATCTTTTTTAGAAACTATTAGAAATGACTCCCTTTCAAAGTCAATCTTTGGAAAATATTGAGGAGGTCACTAATTAGTTGGTGCAGTTAATATAATTCAAGATGATTTGGATGATGGGAAGTTTGAGACCGCTGCATTTTGTTTTTAAATTATGCACCTTCTGATAACCCCCAAATACAGAAATGTTCTACATCTCTGAATGACCTCTGACTTTAAAAAAGTTTTTATTTGCATGGCTGTATTTACATTAACACTGACATTTTCTTCTACTCTTCTCCCTTCTTTCATCTTGGGGTTGGGTAGAGAAACACAAAGGAAACTGAAGCATGTGCCATTCTATACTGTCATTCCAAATTCTCATGGACTATTGCCTGTTGTGAAAATGTTTGAAACTGCACTGAAAGCTGCATCTGTCTGTATCTTTCTTTTGTAAATGACCTCACATGTAAATTCACCAAATAAATATTACATTCAAGCTCTTCTATCTATTCTTTAAATAGAAAGATAGGTAGTTTAGGCTGGGCATGGTGGCTCACACCTGTAATCCCAGCACTTTAGCAGGCCGAGGCGGGCAGATCACGAGGTCAGGAGATCGAGACCATCCTGGCTAACACGGTGAAATCCGTCTCTACTAAAAATACAAAAAAGTAGCCGGGTGTGGTGGTGGGCGCCTGTGGTCCCAGCTACTTGGGAGGCTGAGGCAGAAGAATCATTTGAACCCGGGAGGCGGAGGTTGCAGTGAACCTGCTGAGATCACGCCACTGCACTCCAGCCTGGGCAACAGAGCAAGACTCCGTCTCAAAAAAAAAAAAAAGGTAGTTTATTCATTTATTATGCTATTGCGTAAATTCACAGTGAATCTCTTGTGAACTCAAAATAACTTTGAAAATAGGAACATACAGGAAATGTTAGCATATGAAGCAAAGTAAGTTTGTTGGTATGAATGGTGGAGTTTCTTGAGAGCATCCACCCCTCCTACTGTGAAACAAGGCTCCACGGAGAGCTGGTAGAGCCAACTTATTTCATTCTTTGCCTCTACCTTACCCATACATGCACAGCAGCCTGGAAGCTTGCCAATCAGACATGGACCCTGTGGATAAGTTTATTTTGAATCTGGTTTCACCAGTGAGATTGATCATAGTTCTCAACCACGTGGAGTCTCTCAGAAAGCATACCTGAAATAATCATCCTCGAAAATTGTGGTATAAGTAGAGAATACATCCCAAAACAATAAAAAGCAACTTTGGCTGTAAAACAGTTCAGACAGAACTTTCTGCCCTCTGGGAACTCAAATTGTAGTTTAAATAGTAGTTTGTACCTGTAGAAGTCAACTAATTGTTATAAGACTATAACAGGAGGACAATATAGCCAAACCAGGAAACTTAGGAGTATAGAATAACAATTACCCAAGACTGTCCTGTATGGAATTTGTATTTATAAGGAAATAACTTAGGAGTTGTTGTGGGGATACGGGTTATAATTAGTCCTATTCCCATCCTCTGCTAAATTGATTTGTGAACAAAGTGACAAAATTTTAATTTACTTGCAAGCTTTACCACACTGATAGGATGAGTAATGATTCCCCAAAAGACAGCCACATCCTTATCCCTGCAACCTGTGAATGTTACTTTAGTTGGCAAAAAATGGGCTTTGCAGATGTAGTGAAGGGTCTTGAGAAGGGGAGATTATCCTAGATGATCTGGTGACCTTAAAATGCAGTCACAAATGTCTATGTAAGAGGAAGGTTTTAGACAGAAGAGGAGATGGCAGTGTTGCCACAGAGGCAGAGACTGGAGGTGATGTGGCCACAAGCCAAAGAATGTTGGCAACTACCAGAAACTGGAAAAGGCAAGAAACGGATCCTGCCCTAGAGCAGAGTGCCAACACCTTCATTTTGGCCCCATGAATTTGGACTCCAGAAGTAAAAGAGAATAACTTTGTTTTTTTTCAGCCACTAAATTTGTGATGATAGTTTATTACATCAGCCATAGTAACAAATATTCCTTTGGCTATTGTGTACAAGCAGATAAATGGTTTAAAGGAATGCCTTTGAGTATGCTAAAGTAGAATGACTTCATATACACACAAATTTTGGCCAAAGATGGTTTAGGCAGTGAATGTACACCCATGCCACAGACTGGAGTTTTCATCAACAAGTGGGGGTATTTGTGATTTAAAATATGAATGATTGCACTATAACTATCAGACCAAAAAGCTGCCCTTCAGGTATAAAGTAAAAATTGAGATCCCTCTGCCAATATTCTACAAGAGACATCAGAAAGAAGGCACTGTTTTCAGACTCTTAGCATGAAAATAACTAGTCTGGTTTACTTCAAGGTGATAGTGCACAAATCATATTAGGAGTTGACAGCTATAGATCCTTCTCAAAGGTCTTCATGCTGGAGGGCCTGCTGATCACTGGGATAGAAGTAGCTGTGGTACCTGGCCAAGGGGAGGAAGCTGAACATGGTGTATGCTTGGGGTCAAGATGATTGCTGCCTTTCAGAGCTCAGGATACATGGCTCAAATTTCTCCATTTCTTTTGTTGGTGCTTAAAGATAACCTGTGCAAGTGTTGTCCTGGAAGGCTATGAAACAGCTTACCTAGAGCAAATACAGGAAGACCATGACTAACATTGGCTCTTGGGCATTGTTTTAGAGGGCGAAAGGTTTAAAGCAAGAATGCAGCATGGTAGGATTCTCTGCAGAGATGATCCATGGCCTAAATTATGAACTGCTATATTAAATAACTTTTACCTGATTTTATTTCTCAATATTGCTCTGTGTCAAGAGCTGTAAAAGGTCTAAGATGTTACCCTTCTTGAAAACTAGTTTTCTGAATGCTGGCAGAAGACATGAGACTCCTGGGTCAGACAACAGACTTAATTATTTAGAACATAGCAAGCAACATGAGTTTGAGCCACAGATCCCATGGGAGTGACACAGGGCAAGCTAGGTGGATACTGCACATGCAGTGGGTTTGCGTCACAGCCCAAATCTAATGAGGTCACAAGCAAACTGGCCTGACTTTCGCATTAGAGGGAAACACTATTTTGACTGTATCAGATAGTAAACAAACCTGTCCTATGATCCAGAGGAAGATAGTCTCTACCTTCCAAAGCTGTCATTATATGAACATTCTCGATTGGATAGTTTGGAACAAAACACCAATGCCTCTACTCACAAAATGTATGGAGAACTGACTCCCCATCTCTATGTGTTCTTTTATGCATCTCAAGCTTAGTTTTTCAGCAGTGTAGAGCTTTACAGTGTCTGCCTTAGACAACAGCATGATGCAGGGAGAAATTACTGGCCTGAGCATCAGGTGACCTTAGCTCTAAATCAATACTGCATTTTTTTTTTGATACAGTTTAACTCTGTTGCCCAGGAGTACAGTGGTGTGATCTTGGCTCACTGTAACCTCCTCCTGCCTTACCCTCCCGAGTAGCTGGGATCACAGGCATGTGCCACCACACCCGGCTAATTTTTGTATTTTTAGTAGAGATGGGGTTTTGCCATGTTGGCCAGGCTGGTCTTGAACTCCTGACCTTAAGTGATCTGCCCATCTTGGCCTCCCAAAGTGCTGGGATTACAGGCGTGAGCCACCATACCCGGCCTCTGAATTAACACTGCTTTCACTGCTTTCTAATGGAGCTAAGATCTTAAGTAAATGAATATTCAGCTCTACAGCATATGAAGTTACATCACGTCCCAGGCTCTTCCCAGATCAGACTCCCTTAAGGTAAGGAAATCATTCCAGAATTATTTGGCCAGAACACTTGGTGAGAGAGCAAGTGCAACCTGTAGGAATAAATTCATTCCAACTCAACATTTACTAAGCACTCATGATGGTGAGGGTTAGCCATAAAAAGATGAACATAGAGGAGCTCAAAAACTGAGTTTTGGTGGGCTGGATAGTAAATGAACCTGTCATATGCTTCAGAGGAAGGTAGTCTCTAAAACAGAAGTACAATGTAGTGCCATGGAAACAAGAGTAATAAATTGTGCTAAGCATTAAGGAATAAACAGGATTTAGGTAAGGAGCTTCCAGAATGTGGGGAAACAACCACAACAAATCTAAATAAAGGCACAGCATGAGTGTGAGCTGAAAATGAGGCATTCAAGGTAGAGTCCAGCAAAGTGAAGTGGTTGTTTTTAAACGAGTGGGGAAAAGCCAACAGGAGAGCTATGTGAATGAGAATTATCGGCATATATTGAAGACCATGCATGTAGCTGAGATTCCTCAGGACAAAATAAAATGTAAAGGAGCTAAAATAAAACTATTAATATAAGGGCCTTTAACATCTAAGGGACAATGTTAAGTGGTGAGAGAGGCAGTATGAGCAAGGTCACACCAATGGTGTTGAGAGAGGCCACATGGACAGGTCTACAAATCGGTCTTTAGTAATCTGCCAGAAGAGTGTCACTGGACAGATGAGGGCAGAATCTGCCTGCCGGGGTCTGAAAAGCAATTGAAAGAAACTAAGAAATTGGGTGAAAAAAAATCAGGAAGAGTACTTTACAGGATGGCGTGCTCTTTGTTCTGAGGGAGAAACTTTGAGAATGAATCTACAGACAAAAGACTTAAAGCCTAGTTAGCACAACGGGATATACTTGGAGGATTCAATATGCTTCAGGAAGAGCTAGGATGACAACATTTGGAATTACTGGACCCTGCCCACCATGTTCTGTTCTTGCAGATTCTTGTTCATTTGATTATGAATCAGCTGTGAAGTAAATCATTGAACAAGAAGCACTGTCTTTGTATGTATGTGTTTTAGTTATTTGTACATCAGGGGCTTAACTTTTTAATTGGTGATTTTAACAAGACCATTTTATCCTAAAGTGCTTTCTATTCCAACAGCTGGCTTTTTCTTAGTCTCCGAACTTCATTCACAAGTAGAAATGAATGAAGATAATAATTTGATAGGAAATGTGAAACTGTCACACACAGGTGGTTATGAGGCATAAGGAAGAGCCCCTGTTTAGCCTGCAGCACACACATCATTTCCCTTTCTATCCCTCCTGGCTTCATTGTACCCACGCACCACCAAAACTTACACAGCAATGCCTAAAAAGTAGCACAAAAGACTTAAAACCAGTGCCAATAGAGCAGAACATTTATCTTGAAACCTAAACTCTTGTCTAAACTTTTTTCCACTTGGTGTACTTTGCACAGACCTAACTTTTGGTATCAGGAAGGAGTCCTTCCCTAAATACCCAGTCGATGTCACAATCTACTCCTTGGTCATTTAAAACCCCATAATGTTACTTATTTATTCATTTGCAACCAGTGCAACACTTATTATCTGTTAGCTCTCAGCTTCAAACAGCTAGGTCAAAGTCAAGTAGAACTTTCACCACAAACTGCACATCCTGACCTATTTCAACAGAGGTCGTCATCCCTGTGAGGAATTCACTTAAATGTGAATTCATTAAATGTGTTGCCTTACCTAAACTGCAAGAGATAGAGGTTCACAACTTGTGATAGCAGACTTCAAAGTATTATGCAAAAACAAAAAACAAAAATAAAACATCATTGTCTAATTCATTAGAAAGTCGGGGAGTACAGGGGTATGGCAGTTAAAACTTACCCAAGGCCTCAACTGCAATGTTCTTCCACTCCAAGTGGGAATCTAGTGTTCATTTTATTCGGATATCACTTTGCAAAAAGGTAAAATCCAGGGCCAGGTTACCACACATTTTCTGAGAATAAAATGCTACATACTAATTATAGGAGATGCCTACTTCAGTTGTTTCTTTTCATATTTTTCAAGAGTACCAGAAGGCAAGATCTCCTGATATACCACTAAAAGGACAATTCATTTAATGAAATACATAAAAACAAAAACAAACAAAAGGCTGGGTGCCGTGGCTCACGTCTGTAATCCCAACACTTTGGGGAGGCCAAGGCTGGTGGATCACTTGAGGCCAGGAGTTCGAGATCAGACTGGCCAACATGGTGAAACCCCATTTCTACTAAAAATACAAAAATTAGGCCGGGCGCGGTGGCTCACGCCTCTAATCCTAGCATTTTGGGAGGCTAAGGCAGGTGGATCACTTGAGGTCAGGAGTTCAAGACCAGCCTGGCCAAGATGGTGAAACCCCATCTCTACTAAAAACACAAAAATTAGCCAGGCATGGTGGCACGTGCCTGTAGTCTCAGCTACTTTTAGGAGGCTGAGGCCTGAGAATTGCTTCAACCAAGGAGGTAGAGGATGCAGTGAACCAAGATCATGCCACTGCACTCCAGCTTGGGCGACAGCGTGACTCTGTCTCAAAAAAAAAAAAAAAAAAAAAAGAAATGTAAAAAGTTTAGCATCCACCTGCCTTACCTGTTACAGGAATGCTACATCTCTGTAAAGCGTCTTTGCTTCTCTAGCATCAAGACAGCTAGGATGGCTTGTCCACTGGTTTTCAAACTTCTGAGCAGCTCTTTAGAGGAAATGAAGTTTTTTGGGGAATAAGAGAAAATCCAAGAGAAGGTTCCTAGGTTCCACACATCCACATCAACCAGATCATTCTTTCATTTTTTTATACAGATGTGGGCTTTACAGTAAGACTTTCTATTTAAAAAAGAAAATGTAATCTGTCATGAGATTGAGTAAAATATATAAAAGTAAGAAAATATATTTTTAAAAAAGAAAATGATTTCGCACTATTACAAGGTTTAACTTTCAGTGTGCCTGCTAGGATAGAGAGCAGTGGTACTATAGTCTAGGGTTACCTGAAAGCACCTGACATCCTTTAAAAGGATCTGTGAGGTTGCTTTTTTGCAACAGCCAAAATCTGGAAATAGCCCAAATCTCCAACAGCAGATAAATGGATAAACAAATTGTATACTACTCAGCAATAAAAAAGGAATGAATTATGAATTATTAATGCACATACCAGATGAATCTCCAAGTAATTTTGAGGTCTAAATGCTTCCGTCTAAAAATGAAAGAAGTAATTTTGAGTGAAAGAAGACATACAGAGTATGTAATTTTGAGTGATTTTGAGTGAAAGAAGTAATTTTGAGTTCCAAGTGATTTTGAGTGAAAGAAGACATACAGAAAAAGCACTAATGGCATGATTTCATTTTTATATAATTTTAGAAAATGCAAGCTAATCTATAGTAATAAAATTTATCAGTGATTGACAAAGGACTAGCCAGAGGGATTATAATACAGCACATGGAAACTGTTGGGGGTGGTAAATATGTTATCTTGATTGGAGTGGTTTATAGCTGTATATGTCAAAGTTTACCAAATTGCACACTTATTTTTTTAAAGTAAAATTATGCATCAATTGTAAATTAAAAACTTAATTTAAAAAAGTCATTTGTCTTTCTCTTGTTCTCAGTACACAGTGTTGTTTTCCAGAAGTTAAATGACACCGTGTCATTTGGACACCGTGTCCATCACCTTAATAGCTAATGGAATGTGTGCTCATGTATCTTGTGTTTTAAATTTTTCTCCATTTTACTTTCCAATATGGTAAATGGTAAATATCTATATGATATATCTATCTTAAACCAGTGGTGTGCTAGGGCAGGATTGCACCAGCTCCCCAGAGCTGATTGTGCACATCTATTCCCAACTCTGTGTTTAGAGGTGTCATGCAGATAGCTCAAACTCAGCCATGGTTAAGTATTTACACCATGAAAAGCAGCAAAATCAGGGCTTTTTCTCAAATAGCTGGTTGTTCAACAATTACTGGCCCATGTAAGCAAAAACCCATTGAAGTCTTTGAGATACATATATATAGTGAGATAGGGTCTCTGGCTGAACTCAAACTTGTGGACTCAAGGGATCCTCCTACCTCAGCCTCCAATGTGGCTAGGACTACAGGCGCATGCTACTGCGCCTGGCTCAGTCCCTAATTTTTAACCGCAAAAGGATTCTCAAACCAAGCTGTCTAAGAACTACTAGGTTCAGTGATTCCTTATCCGTGGAGCTAGAAAGTGTTACTGGGGAAAAAGAAAAAAGAAAAATAATGGGACTTTCAGACACTCAACGCTATCAAAAAAATCTTTTGCAGACATTCATACTAAATTGTCTTCACTAAATGCCACCACTGCCATTCTCCCATGGTGCTCTTTGTTGGCCCAGTCCTTCCTCTAAGACCAGAAGGGCCTGGGGTTGATAAGTAGCTCCTTTTTAAATTTGAAGAGTGCAAAGGCTGGTAGGAGGGGTGGGGCTGCCAACTTCTCTGGCAAACACCAAAGATGTATCACCTTGCGTTCTATAGCTACTCATGAACCAAAAATGGAACTTCAAGGTACTGCTTGGAAAAGAATAGCACCAGACCACGTTTTCTAGATGATGGAGATTACAACTCCAGCAACGGGATAAGAGGTTCATGACACAAATATATTTATATTAGGTGAATCAATCACCAGGATACCAAGATCTGATACTTTCACAAACTGCTTGGAGGCAACTTAAGTATGGAAGAAGCTTCAGAACCAGCCCAGCTTTCTGCTCTCTGGCTCCAGGCTGCATCCTTTTTAACTATTTAATGTGGCGTGGAAAATGTCAGCATAATGAGGCTTTCTCATCTCAATAGAGAACCTAGGAAGGACAAGGCCGAATTAAAAAAAAAATCTTCATTAAAGAATTTAATAGGGAGTTGATTATGTTGTAGAATCATATCGTCCTATTCTGTGACACATTAGAAACATAAACTTTAGGGCTTTTTCATCTCCACAGCATAGAGGTCTGATCGCTTCTGTCTAAAAACGGGGATTTGCTGGCGTATTTCAGCCAGCTTCTTCAGGTCTGCAAAAAACAGGAAAGTGCACTATTAATAATTTGCAACTCCTCACTAACCAAGGGGATTTCTTCCCCTGACTGTATAAACCACCAGAGTCTTAGTAAGTAACTTAGTAACATAGGTCTTATCTAGGTGCACAGATGGCCTGGCATCATTTCAAACCAAACCAAGAAAATTCAAGCTGATACACTCCCCAGGGATTGGCCAGAGAACCAGACCCTAGAATATCCCCAGAGATCAATGAGAAGGGGCATAAAGGAACCCCTCCAAATGACAGGGACTTCCCAGCCATGGAGTCTGGCCTCAGAACAATGGGGACATCAGAGACCTAAACCATGCCCAGGAAAATCTTACCTATGTCTGAATACACGATTGCTTCTTCTGTGCCAGCTTTGGCTAGAACCTCCCCCCTGAAAAAGATGCAGAAGAGAATGAGTGGATTCACTGATGTTTGGTGATATTCAAGGTCTCTGTTTTTTCCTCCCAAGCTCACAGGCCAAAGGGGAAAGTATGAGATTGAAAACAAGAAGGTAGTCGTACAGATTTATGTTCTATCATTTAAATAGCTCTGTGACCTTATGGGAAGGCATTTTAAATCTCCATTTCCTAATCTATAAAGTGGAAATAAGAGCTCTGTGAGGGCTTAGTGATAAAATTATGGATCATGTTTCATAAATTGCAAATCACTAGGAGACGGTGGTTATCTGATGATTATAAAGATCTGGCAATAGAGCTACCTACCACCAACAGGAAGCTCCATCTCATGCCCTCATGAGTGCATTTCAGTGGACCCCCCCTTTACAATGGCAGTCCAGACCCACTCTTCATACCTGCCTGGGCTGCTACCCTCCCTGAGAGTGGTGAAGCTGGGCCTAGGCAGGGCCCCAGATCTGCTGGGGTCTCTGCCCTGGTGGCTGTGATACCTGAACCCCTGTGTTAATGGGCTTCAGTTTCAGATTTGAGGGAAAGAGTTCAACCTCTGGCGACTGGGTAGAAGTGGCATGGGGGGATGGAGGGTAACCTCACACTGGCAGGAGCCCTGCACTAGGGAACAGCCACACTCCTTCATCAATCCAGGGTAAGGCTGACCTGTAAAACCATCTCCAGGAAGGGTGCGGTAGCTCACGCCTGTAACCCCAGCACTTTGGGAGGCCAAGGTGGGTGGATCGCTTGAGGTCAGGAGATCGAGACCAGCCTGGCTAACAAAGCGAAACCCCATCAGTACTAAAAATGCAAAAATTATCTGGGCGTGGTGGTGTGCACCTGTAATCTCAGCTACTCGGAGGCTGAGGCAGGAGAATGGCTCGAACCCGGGAGGCAGAGGTTGCAGCAGTGAGCTGAGATTGCACCACTGCACTCCAGCCTGGGCGACAGAGTGAAACTCCATCTCAAAAAAAAAAAAAAGAAAAAAGAAACTATCTCCAGTGTCTAGTCTCTTGGCCCAGAGCAAGGGTTCAAACCCTTACCTAGAGAAATGAACCTTCTCCAAAATAATCTGACATAACAACTGATTCTGTTTACCAGATAGCCACAGACAGACTTTTGGCACAAATGAGTTACAAATACAAGCACCACCATTTATGACACGTAACTGAATTCTTTTCTGATTCTTCCCCATTTGCCCTGGCATTCAAAGATTTCTGGACAGTGGAACCTGATGCAAGTTCAAGAAAATTTTCAAGTCAACTTAGTCCTTCAATGTCCCCAAGCCTAATGTGCAGGAGGCCAACTGGAATCTCACACTAGTCATATCTTCCAAGGCCTCCCCACCACACACATTGAGCTCTGAGCCCTACCTATAAAGGCAGAAGACAGAACCCTCAGGAACCCCACAGTAACATTTAACTCTTCTCAGTCTTGTTACTGGTATACTCATCCTGAAATGTAGACATACATACCAGTGTGTGTGTGTGCTTTCATACAGAGAACTAGTGTGGAATACATCCAAGTTCTGAAGGCAAATATCCTGGATTCAAACACTGGGTCTAGCCGCTACATCTGGAATTCCAGTCGCTTCCTCTGTAATTCTACCATCTATAAACTGGGCTTAATAAGAACAATTTCCTGAGAGTTCAAGTTGAGACCATGTTGTGAAAGTAGGATGTAAACTGTACAAATGTAGACTGTAAGGAATGCGTATGAGCGTATGACTGTAATTCTGTCTGGGCAGGCTTATGTGCTGGCTCCACTGAGTAATAAAATGCTTCACCCTTTTGTTGGGGAGAGGGTCATAGTTTCACTTATTGAACCATCCTGACTGCTCCTCTGATCATTATGCTGGAAGCAAAGTCCTCACCCTGTAACTCATTCCTACCCTGGGACTAGTCAGCCAACTTAAATTTTAACCAAAAATTTCAGAGTCTCTTACTACAACCTGCCTGTCACTGCTGCCTTGTTTCCCCATGTGATCCAAGTATGACTGACAGTGAAGGTCACCAGAAACTCAGAAGAGGGCTAAGGCCAAGTGCTTGATCATGAGAGCAGGGTGATTTGCTTCTCACATGGTTTTCAAATGGAAGCTCCTCTCACAGAGACAGGCAGAAAGCTGGCAGGATATGTGGGGAAATGGGAGTGAGAAGTGAGCGCCTGGCTGCTCAGGAACCAGAAAACCCATCTGCCAACGAGCCACCACTCAAGCTCAAGCTCCGACTGAGCCTATTCTCACTTAGCCTTACTCACCAAGGGTTCACCACGGTGCTGTGTCCCCAGGCAACATAGGAGGCTTTGTCATCCCGGGCAGGAGAGGCTGTGGCCACATACACCTGATTATCAACAGCCCTGTAGTCAATAGACAGGAAAGAGGTAAATCGTACATTATAAATCTGACATTTTTCTAACCCAAGTAGATAGATCCTTCTTTTAAAAAATAGGATAGTTCAGGCTAACTCAGATGTAGAAGGAAGCCAGAGCCATGGAACCTTCTCTTTAAAAAGTTACCTTACTCAAATGGTATTTCTAGTTCTAGATCCCTGAGGAATCACCACACTGACTTCCACAAGGGTTGAACTAGTTTACAGTCCCACCAACAGTGTAAAAGTGTTCCTATTTCTCCACATCCTTTCCAGCACCTGCTGTTTCCTGACTTTTTAATGATTGCCATTCTAACTGGTGTGAGATGGTATCTCATTGTGGTTTTGATTTGCATTTCTCTGATGGCCACTGATGGTGAGCATTTTTTTCATGTGTTTTTTGGCTGCATAAATGTCTTCTTTTGAGAAGTGTCTGTTCATGTCCTTCGCCCACTTTTTGATGGGGTTGTTTGTTTTTTTCTTGTAAATTTGTTGGAGTTCATTGTAGATTCTGGATATTAGCCCTTTGTCAGATGAGTAGGTTGCGAAAATTTTCTCCCATTTTGTAGGTTGCCTATTCACTCTGATGGTAGTTTCTTTTGCTGTGCAGAAGCTCTTTTAGTTTAATTAGATCCCATTTGTCAATTTTGGCTTTTGTTGTCATTGCTTTTGGTGTTTTAGACATGAAGTCCTTGCCCATGCCTATGTCCTGAATGGTAATGCCTAGGTTTTCTTCTAGGGTTTTTATGGTTTTAGGTCCAACGTTTAAGTCTTTAATCCATCTTGAATTAACTTTTGTATAAAGTGTAAGGAAGGGATCCAGTTTCAGCTTTCTACATATGGCTAGCCAGTTTTCCCAGCACCATTTATTAAATAGGGAATCCTTTCCCCATTGCTTGTTTTTCTCAGGTTTGTCAAAGATCAGATAGTTGTAGATATGCGGCGTTATTTCTGAGGGCTCTGTTCTGTTCCATTGATCTATATCTCTGTTTTGGTACCAGTACCATGCTGTTTTGATTACTGTAGCCTTGTAGTATAGTTTGAAGTCAGGTAGCGTGATGCCTCCAGCTTTGTTCTGTTGGCTTAGGATTGACTTGGCGATGCGGGCTCTTTTTTGGTTCCATATGAACTTTAGTTTTTTCCAATTCTGTGAAGAAAGTCATTGGTAGCTGGGTATATACCCAAAGGACTATAAATCATGCTGCTATAAAGACACATGCACACATATGTTTATTGCAGCACTATTCACAATAACAAAGACTTGGAACCAACCCAAATGTCCAACAATGATAGACTGGATTAAGAAAATGTGGCACATATACACCATGGAATACTATGCAGCCATAAAAAATGATGAGTTCATGTCCTTTGTAGGGACATGGATGAAATTGGAAATCATCATTCTCAGTAAACTATTGCAAGCACAAAAAACCAAACACCGCATATTCTCACTCATAGGTGGGAATTGAACAATGAGAACACATGGACACACGAAGGGGAACATCACACTCTGGGGACTGTTGTGGGGTGGGGGCAGGGGGGAGAGATAGCTTTAGGAGATATACCTAATGCTAAATGACGAGTTAATGGGTGCAGCACACCAGCATGGCACACGTATACATATGTAACTAACCTGCACATTGTGCAAAGTTACCTTACTGCATAAGCCAGTGGTTCTCAGCAAGGAGCAATGTTGCCCACCAAATTTGACAATGTCTAGAGATCTTCCTGACTGTCGTGACTAAGGAGATGCTACTGACATCGAGCAGGTAGAGGCCACAGATGCTGCTAAACATCCTACCATGCACAGGACAGCCCCCACACAAAGAATTACACACCTAAATGTCAACAGTGCCACTGCTGAGAAAGCCTGCTATAAGCTAACATAAGAGAAGAGCTTCTCTGGTTAAAGCAAGTCAAGGTGGCCGGAGAGAATGGAGTGGCCTTATGAGAGCAATACACCTTGCAGGCCACATGGCGCTTCCATGCCCATGGTGGCAGTCCCACCACCTCAAATAGAACAAAAATTGCAGCTCGCAGTCCAGGTACACCAAAGCACCTCACCTCGGAGCCCTCGAGACTTAACAGACCCATGCTGGGTCATCTCAGTATCCCAGAAACTTCTCACTTTTGACAAAACTGTACCTTCACTGATACTCATGGCATCTTATACCCCTACCCCCATCTTCCACCATGCAACCAGCTAAAACCTCTTTCCCTTACATTAAACATTACCACCATCTCTAGAAGTGAGAACAGCAGCTACCTCTAGGCAGAGGGAGGAGTACTAACTAGAAAGGGGCAAAAAAGGGAGCATCCTCGGGGGCTGGAAATGTTCTGTTATGTTCATCTTGGTGGCAGGTGAATACACAAAAATTCACCAACCTCTATGCTTAAAATTAGTACACTTTTTTTGTATTACTTCAACTTTTAAAAATTCTAAAGAAAACCATCATCTCAGACCAGCATTTCATGGGCTGTAGAGCACTTTACAGACAGACAGACACACTCACAGTCACATTCATTTTCCCTTCCATCTTATGTCCACCTATGCTATTTGCCCTTCACCACCTCTCAGCCTTAGAAGACTAAGGAAAGGCACCTGTGACCTGCCAAAGATGCTTGTGCAAAGCCCTGGAGTTATAGGTTAGAAGAACAAGAGCTTCTCATGAGTTTCTTGGCACAGTACCCTCAGGACTAGTAGGATGGTGTGAAGGAGGGGGTAGGATAAGCATCCTGATCTGAATGGCATAGAATCAGCTGGGTACAGACCACAAATCTCTCCCTAGGTCAAGCTAAACTAATCCCTGCCTTTTAATTGGCTTCTGGGGCTCTGAAGACATAAGCTCTGTGGTTCTCAATTTCTCTGTAAAAGTTGCTGGAACTGACTTAAGAGGGACCAATCCACATCTAATCACAGAAAAATGAAATCCCTTCCCATCTAATACACTGAATATTGAAAATGCCAAAACCACAGTTCCGGCAGGGCTTGGGGCTCACACCTGTAATCCCAGCACTTTGAAAAGCTGAGGCGGGAAGATCGCTTGAGGCCAGGAGATTGAGACCAGCTTGATCAACAGAGTGAGGCTCTATCTCTACAAAAAATAAAAAATTAGCAAGGCATGGTGGCGCATGTTTGTAGTCCCAGCTACTCAGGAGGCTGAGGCAGGACGATCTCTTGAGCCCAGGATTTCAAGGCTGTAATGAGCTATGATTACACCACTGCACTCCAGCCTGGGCAATGGTAAGACCCGTCTCTTAAAAAGAAAAAAAAAAAAAAAAAAGTACAGTTTCCAAAATCCATGAGGTTGGTATTGTGGCTTCTGAGGAGAAAGTGACGTGCAGTAGAAGTCCTCCTTATAGCTTCATCCTTTCCAACTGCATTTGGATACAAGGGCATCCTGAGTCAGGGACAGAATCCACATCAGGAAGGCTGGCACCTCCACCCAACCGGAAATCTTTCTACAAAGAGGACATGCCGAGAGGCTTGAATATATGGTTCCTTTCTTACCGGCTTCGCTGAAGTAACTCCCAATGGGCTGGTCCAGTGGTCAGATTAAAAGCTCCTGGATATACCAACAGCTGGCAGCCTTGGGGAGAGAAAAGCCAAAGAACAGTGGATGCAGTGAGCACTCAACAAAACCAGTCCTCCCCACTGTTCCTTATCTAGCAGGAACTGAACTCAAACTTTCCCAAACATAAAAAGATGTCAGCCAAGTCAGACAGTGCCAGCAGCAATTAAGATATGGCTCTGAATTCCTTTAATACGAACACGTAAGTCACACACATATGGACACACAAGAAAAGTGGTGTTGATGACCAAAATCACATGTGACTTTGAGACAGAAATAATACAGGACGGTCGCAAGAGAACAGAAAATTCCAGGCAGCAGTTTCATATGACTAGCAAAAAGAAACTGTTGAAATAGCTGCCTACGCTAGGGGCTAAGACCCTGAGAAACTAGGGCTAAGACCCAGTGGACTCAATATGGTGCTGGGTTTGACCTAGGTTTCACCTAGGACTTCATTATCCTCATTATAAGCTCATTAACATACTAAATCACACACCCACCCGTGCCATGATAGTTTCTGGAACACCCGTATTTGGTGAAAAAATGAGTGGCACAATTCCGAGAAATCTCCACCTTTTTCTAGGAAGCGTCATGAATATTTCACCCCTTGGTAAAGAAACTCATAAAGGCGGTGGGTGCGCTGGCTCACGCCTGTAATCCCAGCACTTTGGGAGGCCGAGGTGGGCAGATCACCTGAGGTCAGGAGTTCGAGACCAGCCTGGCCAACATGATGAAACCCTACCTCTATTAAAAATACAAAAAATTAGCTGGGCGTGGTGGCGAGCGCCTATAATCCCAGCTACTGGGGAGGCTGAGGCAGGAGAATTGCTTGAATCTGTGAAGCAGAAGTTGCAGTGAGCCAAGATCGCACCACTGCACTCCAGCCTGGGCAACAGATTGAGACTCTGTCTCAAAAAAAAAAAGGAAACCCATAAAGGTAGATGGCCCAAACCTCCTTGCGCATGACTCTCTTGAGTACACACACCCTCCCTTTTTTGAGTGTGTACTTTTCACTTTGCAATAAATCTCCATACTTCCACTATTTTCTGACTCATCCTTGAATTCCTTCTTGCAATAGTGTCAATAGCATGGACACTGGCTGGGGTCAAGGTCAGACTGGTGTTTGGGGGCCTCCCCTAGCCCACCGGTATCAACTTCACTTAAAAAAAGGACGGAAAGCCTGGGCGACATAGAGAGACCCCATCTCTACAAAAAATTTAAAAATTAGCCAGGTGTGGTGGCACATGCCTAGAGTCCCAGCTACTTGGGAGGCTGAGGTGGGAGGATCACTTGAGTCCAGGAGACCAAGGCTTCAGTGAGCCATGATCACGCCTGCACTCTAGCCTGGGTGACAGTGAGACCCTGCCTCAAAACAAACAAACAAAAATAAGGTAGAGAACTGTCATTCAAATTTCTCTCAGCTCTGGCTGGGTGCGGTGGCTCATGCCTGTAATCCCAGCACTTTGGGAGGCCGAGGCGGGTAGATCACCTGAAGTCAGGAGTTCAAGACCAGTCTGGCCAACACGGTGAAACCCCATAACTACTAAAAATACAAAAATTAGCTGGGCCTGGTGGTGGGCACCTGTAATCCCAGCTACTCAGGAGGCTGAGACAGGAGAATCACTTGAACCTGGGAGGTGGAGGTTGCAGTGAGTCGAGATTGCACCATTGCACTCCAGCCTGGGCGACAAGAGCTAAACTCTGTCTCAAAAAAACAAACAAACAAACAAACAAAAAAAAACAAATTTATCTCAGCTCCATATGTCAGCTCCACATGGCCAATGACCACGTTTTGTAATTCTTTTCAACTGAAATTAGGGGCCGAGGAGTTGCCCTAAGGCTTATTGATATATGGCTCAACAGAGACTACTGACCCCAGAGCCCATGCACCTCCACCTTCTGAGCAGGCAGTCAAACCATTTCCACCCACTTCACTTGGTTAAGTGACAGTCTATTTGGAAGTAGCTTCAAGCAGTCTAGTAAGGATGCTGGTATTTGTTGAGTACCACACGAGGGGCTTTATAGGTTCTCTCTTCTTAATCCTCATATCATTCCTGTGACTAAACTGAGAACCACACTGCTCTAGAGGTGAAATCATTTTAGCAAAGTACTGTGCCAATTAAAGGGAAGAGTTGGAACTAGAACCCACATCTTTTGAACTCGCTCTTCCCAGATACTGGCACATTTCTCCTCGTCTGGACCAAAATATCACAGACCACATTTCTACTTGTACCCAATGTCTAGGGGTACTGAGTGGTGAAATCCACTTCATTTCTACTGGGCTTCAAGTGACTCTCCAAACACAGTAACAAGGACTCAAGGGTAGACCAGACCTTTATGAGCACAGCTCCTACCTTAGCTACATGATGTGTTTAATTACAACCCCCCAAAAACCCTGTCATCCATACACAGCAAAAGTCTGGGAAGCCTCATGGGGGTGAAAGGGCTGAAGATGGAGAAATTAAAGAGCCCTCTCCCAGCTTTTCTTGACTAAGGATCCCACATAGACCAGCCTAGAACCAAGCCTCCAAGCACCCACATAACACAGCTATTACACTGCCTCACCTCTCTGTGCGTAGATTTGTGCAAGCTCTGCAAACCGCATGTCGTAGCAGATGCCCAGACCCACTCTGCAGTAAGCTGTTTCCAAACAGAAAATGCACAAATGAAAAGTTAACTCCCTACAGCATGGTGTGGCAGGGGAAATCCTCCATGACATAATGATCACAAAACACTGACAGGGATAAATTAACACAGGACCTGAGGACAGAGATAATTTACAAGCTCATTCCTACTTGGACTTCATCTCATAAAGACATCATTTACATCAGCGGAGTAAAGATGAGAAATTCATTCTAATTGAATGCTTATTATCTAGATGGGAGGTACTCAACTGTAGCCTAATAGGTATACTCTGGAAGCCGTAACAGGAAGCTACAATCAAATCAAAGGGCAAAATCGTGTCAAATCCTTAGTTCTCAAATAAGCCCGAACTTTCCAGATCTGTGATGATTCTCTGCCTTTCTCACTTATGGTCTTTCAGTTAGGTTATGTGAAGAAATCGGAGAGAGACAAAAAAGAAATAAATACCTGATTGTCTTCTACTGAGATTGCTAAAGAGGCAAACTTATCTGGTACATACGAGTATCAAATGTGGAGAAACTATCACCCGGACTCAATGTTTTAGATTCTTGAAATGTAATTTTTCCAGGAACATCAATGTCAAACAGATGGATCTGCATCACAAATAATGGATTTGGTTACCTCTTTTCCAGCAGGGTCCATGGCAGTAATGACAATATCTTTCCCCGGGCAGATACGGAAGGTGCTCTAAGATTAACTATACAAACAGCACCCCCAAACTGCTTATAATCCACCCCACAAGCTGGCTGACACCTTATCAAAATGAATTCTACCACAGGGAACTGGAAAAATGATACTGTACCTTTTATAACCCCTATTTTCTAGCAGTCTGCAAATCAACCTCTAGGTTTCTCATGGGAGGTAACTAATATGTTGCTTTTTAAAAATATAAATGCTAAATAAAGACTTCTCAGAATCAGGCCGGACACGGTGGCTCATGCCTGTAATCCCAGCACTTTGGGAGGCCGAGGTGGGCGGATCACCTGAGGTCAGGGGTTCGAGACCAGCCTGGCCAAAGTAGTGAAACCTTGTCTCTACTAAAAATAGAAAAAAAAATTAGCCGGGGGTGGTTGTGCGTGCCTGTAGTCCCAGCTACCCAGGAGGCTGAGGCAGGAGAATTGCTCAAACCTGGGAGGTGGAGGTTGCAGTGAGCCGAGATCACGCCATTGCACTCCAGCCTGGGTGACAGAGCAAGACTCTCTCTCTCAAAAAAAAAAAGAAAAAAAAAATACTTATCAGAATCAAACTGACAAATTGACAGGAGAGGTGGAAAGTAGGTGGGCATTTAAAAATCACCTGAGGTCAGGAGTTCAAGACCAGCCTGGCCAACATGGTGAAACCCCGTCTCTACTAAAAATACAAAAATTTGCCAGACATGGTGGTGCATGCCTATAATCCCAGCCACTTGGGAAGCTGAAAGAAGAGAACAGCTTGAACCAGGGAGGTGGAGGTTGCAGTGAGCCAAGATCACACCACTGCACTCCAGCCTAAGCGACAGAGCAAGACTCCATCTCAAAAAAACAAAAACAAAAACAGAAAATGAAAGAGCATCTAAAAACACCAATGAGGAATAAATCTCACAAATGTTAAACAAAATTATACCCAAAAAACTATAAAAAGAAATTGAGAGAAAGTAAAGAAAGCGTAATAAATGTCAGGATATATACCACATTCATGGACTGGAAAACTTAATACTAAAAAGATATACTTCAAAGAGTTGGGTTAATAGTCCAATGCTGGCTGTTCTTCCAGCAGGTACACAGTAGCTCCTATCAGACCAGTTTTCTTGTGGTTAACTATGAACTCTGGACAAAATAAAAGGCACAACTACTTAAAGCACTGAAGAATGACCAAAACAAAGCAGACAAAATCTGAAGAGAAGAACACAGACATGTGGAAGCAGGGAACAGCCCTGGGTGAACTTCCTGGTGCTATTTACAGCTGCTACCCTGAAGCAAGGTCCCAGTTGCTGTGATAAGTAGTGGTGAAAATGACCCATAATCACACTGGCTTGAAGAACCAGAGCTGGAAACCAAGGGGGGAAATCCTGAAATGGAGAAAGCAAAGAGGGAGAGCCCTAAATTCTGCATATAAAATCTTTCTAAATCTCTGGCTGATCACTGAGTTAAATAGAAGTGGGGCAGAACAACCAGATAGAACAGAGCAGCTAAAGTTGCTGCCCACGTTTCAAAGAAGATAAGAGTTTGGTGTTTGGGTGCGGCCAAGTTAACCATCAGTTAAAACAAAATATTCAACACTTTTTGGAAGACTGTAATAGCATCTTGAATCTCTACAATATATAATCCACTGTACAATCTTAAATTAGTAGATACTCAAAGAAACAGAAGTGTGATCCAAACTGCAAAGAAAAGGCAATCAAATGAACACAGATCCTGCCATGACCCAGATGTTATAATTTTTTTCTTGTTGTTTGCTTGGATATGAGTTTATTTACATCAGGGGCCTTTTAAAGGCCTAATAGTCTCATTCTGTGGCACACAGATGTGATAATTATCAGACTTTAAAGCAGCTATAGAAACTAACTAAGCTCAACACTGTAAAGAAAAATATGCTTTTAATGAACAAATAGAAAATATCATAGAGTAATAAAAACTATAAAAAAGAAGCAAAGGGGTATTTCAGAACTGAAAATTTTAATATCTCAATTTTTTAAAATTTCACTGGGTTGGCTTACGGGAAATTGAAGAAGACAGAAGAAACAGTGAATAAGTCTGAAAGATCAACAGAAATTATCTAATCTGTAGAAGAGAAGGAAAAAGTATTGGAAAGACAAAAACAGAAAAACAGAGCCTGGTGACCTTGGAAAAATATTTAAAAATATAATATACATATACTGGAGCTCCATAAGAAAAAGGAACAGAAAAATATTTAACAAAATAGTGTCAAAAAACTTCCCAAACACAGTGAAAGATTTAAATTTACAGTTTCAAGAAGTACCAAGGAAGGCAAAGACAAAGGAAACCACATCTAGGCATATCAGAGTCAAAATACTAAGAACTAAAGATTATGAAAACACTTGAAAGAAGGAGAGAAAAAACAACAAATTATATCCGAGGGAACAATACAAATTACTACTCACTTCTCATCAGGGAAGAAAAAAAAAAAGGCTAGATAACAACTACTAGTGGAAAAAAAGGAAAACTATCAATCCAAAATTCTATTCCAGCAAAAATATCTTTCAAGAATGAAAACAATGTAAAGATATATTCATAAAGAAAAACTAACAGAATTCCTAGCTAACAGATCCTCAGAACAAAAATTCTAAATGAGATCCTTTGGTCTGAAGGATATACCAGATAGAAGGAGGATCTTCAGGAAGGAAAGAAAAACACCAGAAATGATAAATATTTGGGTAAACATAAAGATTTTTTTCTTCTTAATTTCCTTAAAATACATATGACTATTTAAATCAAGTATTCCTGTTTTGTGGGATTTATAACATATATACATGGAATACAAATGACAACTATAGCATAAAGAATGAGGGCAGGGGCAGTGGGGTAGAAAAATGGACCTATATCATTATAAGGTTCTTAAATTTCACATGAAATGATATAATATGAACTCTTAAGTAGCCTGTGAAAAGTTAAGGATGCATATGATAATTCCCAGGGCAACAACTGGAAAAAAAAAAAAAGCTAAGATGTATAACTAAAAAGCCAATAGATAAATTAAAACAGAACTCTAAAAAATATTCAATTAATCCAAAATAATACAGAAAAGATGAACAAAGGGAAAAAAAAGTAAAATGTCTCTATCCCTAAATTCAATCATATCAATAAGTGCATTAAATATAAATGGACTAACCACTTCAATTAAAAGACACAGATTGTCAGAATAAAGAAAAAATTAAGATACAATTATATGCTGTTGACAAAAGAGATCCACTTAAAATATAAAAACACATATAGCTTGAGAACAAAGAACTGGAAAAACCACGTACCAGCAAACATTAGGCATAAGAAGGCTGGAGTGGCTATAGTGATAGCAGAGATAAAGCAGAATTCAAGACAAGAGGTATTACAAGAAAAAAAAGAGATATTTCATAATGATAAAAGGGTCAACTCATCAAGAAGACTTAATGATACTAAATGTATATGATTTTTTTTTTTGAGATGGAGTCTTGCTCTGTCTTGCCCAGGTTGGAGTGCAGTGGCGCAATCTTGGCTCACTGCAGCGTCCACCTCCTGGGTTCAAGCAATTCTCCTGTCTCAGCTTCCTGAGTAGCTGGGACTATATAGGTGTGCACCACTACACCCAGCCAATTTTGTATTTTTAGTAGAGATGGGGTTTCACCATGTTGGCCAGGCTGGTCTTGAACTCCTGACCTCAGGTGATCCACTTACTCAGACCTCCCAAAGTGCTGGGATTACAGGCATGGGCCACTGCACCTGGTCATGTATACGCATTTAATACTAAAAAGATGGCAACTCTTCCCACAGTGTTCTCTATATATTCAATGAAATACTAATAAAAATTACTATAGGTTGGCTGGGCACGGTGGCTCATGCCTGTAATCCCAGCACTTTAGGAGGCTGAGGCGGGTGGATCATGAGGTCAGGAGATTGAGACCATCCTGGCTAACACGGTGAAACCAAGTCTCTACTAAAAATACAAAAAATTAGCTGGGCATGGTGGTGGGCACCTGTAGTCCCAGCTACTCGGGAGGCTGAGGCAGGAGAATGGTGTGAACCCAGGAGGCAGAGCTAGCAGTGAGCCAAGATTGTGCCACTATACTCCAGCCTGGGTGACAGAGCGAGATTCTGTCAAAAAAAAAATTACTATAGCTTGTTCCTTTGCAGAAATTGACAGGCTGAGTCTAAAACTTATATAAAAATGCAAATGGCCAAGAATAACCACCTGTGCCAATCAGTCAAAACCCTAATACATGTGTGATATAATGAGAGGGACTAGGGAACTTCATAGCAAATTTTTTTTCCACACATTGTTGCTGGCTTAGAGATAACAAATTCTTATGCCACACTTCCTACTTACCTTTCTATACTTTGCTAGTAAAGTTCCATCAGGCCCAAACACAGCACAGGTGTTATATAATTTCCCAGCATCCTCTTCAGGGATAGAGCCTTTCATTGAGAGAAGAAACATACCATAAGAAAAAGAATAGAGCAATTCTTTTGTGAGAAAGGGATAAAAGCCTGATAACTTGGGTCCAAAAATAAAGAACCTATCTTTTACGGTTTATTTATTCATTTTGTTTTTAGAATAAGGCAACACCTCATTCTATAATACAGAATAAGTATTCCCTTCTATGGGTTACTTAATCATGGTTTTTTTTTTCCTTCTTGAATATGATCTTTCAGAGATAAACTCCAGAGTGTAGATGGGATATGATTAGGTTAGATGCCAAAGACAGGTTTAAAAAATAACCAAACTGTTCCTGAAATTCAGCCATGATCTTGAGTAACACTTAATCTGTAACATTAGGGCAAAATGAGAAATTTCCCATTGCTTAACTTGAATTCACCAGGTTCTGCAACAAAACTGTGTCCCAAAAGATGAGAACGTAAAGTCAGAAGCCTCTCCATCACTGAATGCAGTTTCATCTCCAGGCTTCTTGCTTTGCCTTCATTTCTAATTCTTAATATATCATCATACAGAAAAAATTGTATTTGCTATATTTATAGAATTTTTCTGTGTTTATTTTTTATTTAAGCAAATAAAACCTTTAAACATTTATTCCAAAACCACAAAAATAAAGCTACCTTTATGTATGTGGCCTCTATGGAAAAAAATTTTTTTTCTCAATCCTCTATTAGTATAGTAAAAAACAGTCCTGGCATGATGGCTCACACCTGTAATCCTAGCACTTTGGAAGGCCAAGGTGGGCAGACTGCTTGAGCCTAGGAGTTCAAAACCAGCCTGGGCAACAAGGTGAAACTCTGTCTTTACAAAAAAATACAAAAATCAGCCAGGCATGGTGGCGCACACCTGCAGTCCTAGCTACTCAGGAGGTGGGAGAATCACTTGAGCCTCGTAGGGTGAGGCTGCAGTGGGCCATGATCACACCACTGTACTCTAGCACGGGTGACAAAGCAAGACCTCACCTCAAAAAAAATAAATAAATAAGAAAAAGAAACTCTCTGCTTCAGCTTCCCAAGCTGAAGCTTCCCAAGTAGGGAATACAGGCGCACGCCACCACACCTGACTCATTCAGATGTTTCTAATGTTTAGGTCATTATACCTTGTGGGTAGGAAGTTACCTCCAATGAGATATATGCTGCATTCCTTTGCTACTTCAGAAAGCTTCTGTGTGGATTCACCAGGAATTTTCTCTGCATATTCAGGAAAATATTTCGCTCCATATGGAGAATTAAAGCATTCCTAGAAAAATATTGGCAGAGAAAAAAAAAGATCAAAACACCCACCCATTTTAAAGTTCTGCTGTAAGAGGCCATAGCTGCTGCTTCTAGCTCTGCTTTCAGTCGAAGGGTTAAAACACAGCTAATAAGAAAAACACTGACATCTCAAGGGTAAAGAGCCTGTAGCCACAGGTAAGACTACAAAGCTAGCCTAGTGGGTTGGAGGAGACAAATCACAGGTGTTCTCCCAGAGCTCATTTAAAAAAAAAATGTTGGAGGCTTAGTGCTAAAACCAATATGTTCTGGTTCTATAAAGACTTAGTTAAATAAGGAACAAAGTATCCAAGCACTGAGTATTTTAGTTTTCCGTAAGTCCCTCAATATACTAGGATTTTGGCTTCCTCATCTGAACAAAGAGGAAGATCCAAAACCTAAAGACCTATGACCGTGTTGGCACATCCTATCTCACAAAGAACCTTGCTAAGGTCATCCTCCAGTCAGACTCGGAACAATCTATGGGCTCCAAGGGACACTGCTGGACCCCAGGATACAAGAGGACAACCAGAGCTAGCAAACACCGTTCTGCTTGGGTGTACAGTGGCTAGAACAGAATGGCTGCTCCCATACTGACCGGCAAAGAAACTATTTTGGCTCCTTGCGTTGCTGCCTCCCGGATGAAGCTACAAGCGCGAGTGACGTTATCTGATTTGATGGAAGAAATCTGAAGCTGGATGAGGGCCAAGCGGAAAGCTGAGAACAAAGACAAAAGAAAACAGCTATCAGAAGATCGAACTGCTGGATTCAGACAGAGCCATAGTTCTCAAATGGAAGGCAGTTATGTCCCCGGGGGGACATCTGACAATGTCTGAAGATACCTTTGATGCCACAACTGATGAGGTATGAGTGGCATCTAATGAATAGAGACCAAGGATACTGCCAAACATCCTACAATGCATAGGACAACCCCCTCCATAACACAACGAAGAATTATCCTGTCCAAAATGTCAATAGTCTAAAATCTATCTGGAGATAGAGCAATATCCATGGGCAAAGTCCCATGCCAGGCACAAGAATCTAGAGTGAACCAGCTTCTTACTACGCAGTGTAGGGAATGAAATGAGAATATGGCTTAAAGTAAAAAGACTGGGTTTGAATATGGTCCTGTCCCTTACTGTTTGTTCATGGGCCTCTCGTCTACCTCCAATCCATATACTGAGTATGTCCCAGCACAGAAAGTGTGATTCCTTGGAAGCTGCTCACATAATTCCCATGAGCAGCCCAGCTCATGGGAAGGGAAGATGTCTGTCTCAGTTTCCCCACTACTGGCTGGGTCACAGCACATCGATCCCGCTGCTGGCAGAGGGAAAACCTGGCAGCCAGTGAGCTGCACACATGCCTATTCACAGGACAGGGGTCCCAGGCACCTCTAAAAGTCTGCACTTACCCCATAAGTATTCATGTGTCCAAGAGAACATGATATTAAACAGCAAATAACACCATGAGAGGTTGAAAGAGATACTGCAGAAGGAAAAGCTAACAGCACTTTTCTCTTGCTATCTGAACAAGGGAACTGGGCCCCACAAATTATGTAGCCAGCCCTGACAAGGTCTGTGCTCAGCCCTGGAGCAAGGAGGTTGGGGGCTCTTCCAAGCTTATTTCTTCCTGGAGGTAGTAGCTATACATCATATTTGCTTTTCTTCTGTTCTTTAAAGTTCCCTTTTAGCTTTTATGATAATCACTTTCCATTAGCTAATATTTTTTATTTTGAGGCAGGGCCTTGTTCTGTCGCCTAGGCTGGAGTGCAGTGGCACAAACATGGTCCACTGCAGCCTTGACCTACTCAGTTCAGGCAATCCTCTTGTCTCAGCCTCTTATGTAGCTGGGACCACAGGTATGCACCACCATGCCGGGCTAATTTTTTAATTATGTAATTTTTTGTAGAGACAGGGTCTCACTTTGTTGCCCAGGCTGGTCTCGAACTCCTGGGCTCAAGCGATCCTCCTGCCTCAGCCTCTCAAACTGCTGCGATTATAAGCATGAGCCACCACGCCTGGCCAGATAATAATTTTTTATATAAAATTTTCCGCCGGGTGTGATGGCTCACGCCTGTAATCCCAGCACTTTGGGAGGCCAAGGCAGGTGATCACCTGAGGTCAGGAGTTTCAGACCAGCCTGGCCAACGTGGTGAAACCCCGTCTCTACTAAAAATACAAAAATTAGCCAGGTGTGGTGGTGGGCACCTGTAATCCCAGCTACTCAGGAGGCTGAGGCAGGAGAATCAGTTGAACCTGGGAGTTGGAGGTTACAGTGAGCCAAGATCGCGCCACTGCACTCCAGCCTGGACGACAGAGTGAGACTCAGTCTCCAAAAAAATAAATAAATAAATAAATAATTTTCCTTGTTCGAGTTACTAGTGTTGTTTCCATGTCCTGTCTGGACCCTGATGGATACATAGTTCCTGCTTATGGTCTGGTGGGACGCAGCAGTAAAGGATCCAAAGCACATTATAATCTATGAAGCTCTGCAAAACTTCAGGAATTATTAGTGTAGGGAAAAGAAAGAGCGATCAGATTATTACTGTGTCTGTGTAGAAAGAAGTAGACATAGGAGACTCCATTTTGTTCTGTACTACGAAAAATTCTTCTGCCTTGAGATGCTGTTAAACTATAACCTTACTCCCAACCCCGAGCTCTCTGAAACATGTGCTGTGTCCACTCAGGGTTAAATGGATTAAGGGCTGTGCAAGATGTGCTTTGTTACAGATGCATGAAGGCAGCATGCTCCTTAAGAGTCATCACCACTCCCTAATCTCAAGTACCCAGGGACACAAACACTGCGGAAGGCCGCAGGGACCTCTGCCTAGGAAAGCCAGGTATTCTCCAAGGTTTCTCCCCATGTGATAGTCTGAAATATGGCCTCGTGGGAAGGGAAAGACCTGACCGTCCCCCAGCCCGACACCCGTAAAGGGTCTGTGCTGAGGAGGATTAGTGCAAGAGGAAGGAACGCCTCTTTGCAGTTGAGACAAGAGGAAGGCAGGCATCTGTCTCCTGCCCGTCCCTGGGCAACGGAATGTCTCGGTATAAAACCCGATTCTATGTCCCATCTACTAAGATAGGGAAAACCGCCTTAGGGCTGGAAGGGGGACAGGCGGGCAGCAATACTGCTCTTTAAGACATTGAGATGTTTATGTGTATGCATATCTAAAGCACAGCACTTAATTCTTTACCTTGTTCATGATGCAGAGACCTTTGTTCACGTGTTTATCTGCTGACCTTCTCTCCACTATTATCCTATGACCCTGCCACATCCCCCTCTCCGAGAAACACCCAAGAATGATCATAAATACTAAGGGAACTCAGAGGCCGACGGGATCCTCCGTATGCCGAACGCTGGTCCCCTGGGCCCCCCTACTTCTTTCTCTATACTTTGTTTGTGTCTTTTTCTTTTCCAAGTCTCTCGTTCCACCTAACGAGAAACACCCACAGGTGTGGAGGGGCAACCCACCCCTTCAATTAGTAATGGCCTGCCCGAACTTCCCATCCCACCTCTGCTCCAGAGTCTGAAAATCCTACCATTAGAGAGCTATCTCTTTTGGGTGTTTCCTGTAACAACGCAAATGTCTCCAGAAAAGGCAACAATGACAAACCCTGGCCTCTGATGAAGGCCTGTTTGGCTCAGGGTTAACTAAAAGGAAAACTCAGATGTCCCATTCCTTGATCTATCCTAAATATAGTGAGAAGCACTAAATTTAACCCTGAAGGCAGCCTGCTAAATAGTTATAGAATCTGAAGGGAAACTAAAACAGGAAATAAAAGCTGGGATTATTCTGGGGCAAACAGATATTTTGAGCTGTTATCAGAACAGCAGATAAATCCACTAAACGTCTCCCCTCCATTTCCCAGCGTTAAGCCATTCTCCCTCCTCAGCTTCCCAAGTAGTTTGGGACTAAAGGGGCGTGCCACCACACCGGGCTAATTTTGTATTTTTTAGTACAGACAAGGTGTCGCCATGTTGCCCAGGCTGGTCTCCAACTCTTGACTCGTGAACTCAAGCGATCCTCGTGCCTCAGCTTCCCAAACTGTTGGGATTACAGGCGTGAGCCACGTGCCGGGCCATGTCTGTGCTTCCGAGGGTGGGAAAGATAAAGCTCACCATGGCTACGCTGATGGCTTCCTCTCCTACACATCTCACCCACAAGGGCGGGGTCCTCAACTAAGCTTAGGACTGCCTATCATTCTGCAAATGACCCACTCTACAGACATGCTGCAGCAGGGAAACCCCGCCACTGGGCAGTTCCTCATGCTGAGGAGGAGACGCCCGTCACTCCATCTCATCTGTAAAGTGAAGACTTTTAAGGCTGCCCTAATATTCATCATAATCTAACAACGAAGACCTTACCAAGGGGCGGAAAAAAAGAATAAAATACTGTGAGCGAAGGAAACAACAAAGGAATAACATTTAAAGCAATGTGCCAGGTCCTTCACACATTAACATCATTGTGTGAGGTATCATTAACATCATTTTACAAATAAAGAAACAGGGGACTTGCAGGGGGAAAGCTGCACAAAGTCACTGAACAAAGTAAGTGACACAGCAAGAATCCAAGTCAAAATCTGGAGCTGGAAAGTGAGTGGGGAGACGAAGAACCGCCTGGGCACCTTTGTGCAGGGCGGGGCTGGAGGAGGTCACGCAACTTGAAAACACCCAAGGGAGTTGGATCCTACCACCGCGGCCCACACCGTGGAGAAATACACGTCCATCAGCCTCTGTCAAGCAGGACGCGGCGGGTGCCGGCGCGGCCGGGTGGCCTGGTGCTTTCTGGGCCTCGCCCGCCACCCCGGAAGCCTGGAATCCCGGGAGTGCGCCCGGCCGCCCGGCCACGCGATCCCGGACCCACGCGGACGCCCGCCTCAGGGAAGGCCGCGCACGGCGGGGACGCGGGGCGGAGGGGCTGAGCCGGCCGAGCCACCGCCGGCGCCGCTCCAAAGCCTCCCCCGCGGCCCGAACTCGAGCTGCAGCGCGCGGCCGCGCCACTTACAGGTCATGACTCTGCAGACAAGCACCACCTGCGGCGCGGACTGAGCGCTGGAGATCCGGCGGACCGCGGCGTCGCTACGGTGGGGCGGGGACCGCGTCAGAGGCCCCGCCCCACCCCTCCTCCTGGCCCCGGCCGGGAGGAGAGAAGGGTCTGCGTTCATTCCAGTGCGCCTGTAACACCAGGACGGACCAACGAGAAATGGTTAATTGCAACACAGTCCGGAAAAAGCATGCCTCGAAAGGCAAAGGGCAAAAGGGAACGGCCTAAGTCGAGGTGGTGTGCTGGTGAATGTCTTAACAACCAGACTTTTCAGGGAGGAAAGCCCTGATTTGTAGCGTTTGCTGATTCTCCGCAAAAGGACTGAACTTCTAGCTGGTTGAATCACCTCTGTGGCCAGGTTAACACCGTATGCTGATGGGCTTGAGCTATTTGAACAAGTCTCTGTGACGGGGACGGAATGACCCTGGTTGGTTTAGGCACGCGAGACGTCTGTAAAATCTGACTACAAGGCTGCTAGGCCAACGGGAAAGATGCTGAGGGTTCAACGCCATGCCCTCAACAAGTCAGTCCTCGAATACATTGTCATCTCTTTGCTAATATCCTTTTTTGTTTGTTTGTTTTAGACAGGGTCTCACTCTGTCATCCAGTCAGGAGTGCAGTGCAGCAGTCTCAGCCCATTGCAGCCTCAACCTCCCGGCTCAAGCGATCCTCCGTCCTCAGCCTCCCAAGTAGCTGGGACTACAGGCACACACCACCACACCTAGCTATTTCTTTTCCTTTTTTCTTTTTCTTTCTTTCTTTCTTTTTTTTTTTTTTTTAAGTTTTTTACTTTTAATAGAGGTGGGGCCTTGCTATTTTGCCCAGGCTGGTCTCAAACTCCTGAGCTCAAGACCCTACTGCCTTAGCCTCCCAAAGTGCTGGAATTATAGGCGTGAGCTGCTGCGCCCAGCCTATAGACTATGATTTTTGCATTTTTATTTATTAGATTGCTTTTTAATTTTCGTGTTTTGTGTTTTTGTGCCTTGTCAGACTTGTGGAACAAAAATCCAAAACTTAACCACCTTTTGGAATGCCCCAGAATAGTTTATACTGAAACAGATCTTGGTTTGTAAAAGAACACTATAAAAACATTTTGGGGGCAACTAGGGAGATTTAAATATGAACGAGATATTTGATGCTTTTCTGAATTATTTTGTGTGCTATAGTGTTGTGCTTGTGACAATTCTTTACTCTTAGAAAATGAGGAAGTATTAGGGATGAACCATCAGAATGTTTGACTTGAAAATCGTCAGCAAAAAGAAAACACATAAGATAAAGCAAATATGGCAAAATGTTAATTATTAAATCTAGGAGGAGGACACAGCTGTTCATGGTACTAGATTAAAACTTTGTAGAAGTTTAAAATTTTAAGCTTTCATAAAAAAAAATTGGGGGGAAATACATAGCAGTTATGGTCTTTCTGCAGCTTAAGAGACTATCTGGACTTGGCTTTGTAGCAGGAAGATCTTTAAAAACCTTTTCATTTCTGCTATGCTTATTAACCTATGAGGTTTCAGGGTCAACCTGTGGTCACTTACAACCTGTTAAAAAAATTCATCTAGATTTCCAAATTTATTGGACTAACATTGTAACTAATAGTGGTCCTAAACCTGGCTGGAAATGTTATTTGAAGTGCTTGTTCAAAATGCAAATTATTTCATTTTTTTAGAAGTGGATTCTTACAGTGTTGCCCAGGCTGGTCTCAAACTCCTAGGCTCAAGTGATCCTCCCACTTTGGCTTCAAAAAGTGCTGGCCTTATAGGCATGAGCCATGGCATCCAGGTGGAGATGCCCAGTAGGCAACCGGACCAAAGCCTCAAGCTCAGAAGATGTCTGGGCTGGAAATTGACTTGGGAGTCACCAGCAGTTTTAACTAAGAGGAAGCTCTGAATTTGGATGAGAACACACAAGCGGAGTATGAAAGGCACACGCAAAAGAAGAAGGGCCTGTGGAGCCTGGGAAGGAGCCATTAGAGGAGAAGGACCAGGCCGGGCGCCACTGCCTGGTGGAGGAACAGCTGTGTCCTCCTCCTAGATTTAATAATTAACATAATCCCAGCACTTCAGGAGGTGGAGGCAGGTGGATCAAGAGGTCAGGAGCTCGAGACCAGCCTGACCAGCATGGTGAAACCCCGTCTCTACTAAAAATGCAAAAATTAGCTGGGCGTGGTGGCACACACCTGTAATCCCAGCTACTCAGGAGGCTGAGACAGCAGAATCACTTGAACCTGGGAGGCGAATGTTGCGGTGAGCCGAGATTGTGCCACTGCACACCAGCCTGGGTGACAGAGCCAGACTCCATTAAAAAAAAAAAGAGAGAGAGAGAAGCAGGACCAGGAGAAGGCCATCAAGACCAAAAGCCTATGGGTACTGTGTCCCTCTGTCACATGCAGGGAAACTGCTGACTTGGGCACTAGGGGTGTTCCTAGAAAAGGAAAAGCTAAATGAAAGTGCGCTTTTTAAACCTTTCTTTAGAACTTTCTGGGCACAATGGAAAAGCTAGTCACTGGGTTCTGGTTCTGGCTCTGACACTGATTAGATGTTAATACCTAGGGCAAATCACCTCACCCTCAGGACCTTTTCCTCACCTGTATGTGAAAGGATTTAGAGGCAAAGGAAGAAGAATCTGGCTGAAGGGTGAAGTTTGTGCAGCCCTCCCCACCACCACTCCCCTCACTGTCCCTTCTCTGCAGCAGCTCTGCCTTCGTTTCCATGTTCCTGTTCATCTGACGTATGAAAATAGGCCAAAAAACAAAACTACCAGGCCAAATGGATCTTGAAAGCCCAGCTAAAAATCTGGTGTGCCTTTTCAGTCTCTATTCTCATTTCTACCCATGTCTCACAGGCTTAATGACCATTTCCAGGCTGTTACTAGTCAGATTTTTATTTTTACTCCAGAGGACCTATTTCAACATCTCCGGCTGCCGCCATCTCTATTTACATGTCTCAACATCAGTTCCAACTCAACTATGTGAAACTAAATGTATCACCTCCAAAAGAGCTTCTCCACCCAGCACTTACAGGCACCACAATTTATGCCCAGTTTTCTAATTCTCCCTGCTTTCCAGCCCTCCAAGAAAACCTAAGTCACTTCAGTGACTTTCGAGTCTTTCATTCCCCACCTCTGGTAAGGGACAGGGCTCTTCTTACTCTCAGGAAATGTCCCTGATTCCTCCTTTCAGTTCCCACCACCACCGTCCACAGGTAGGCCTTCCTCACCTTGGGGAGACTGCTACAGGCACTTCCTAACTGGTCTCTCCTTTCCATCAGCATTCCTCCAGCTGCCGCTTCATAGTATGAGGTGAGTCTAGGGGAACGTGAGCTCAGTTTTTGGGGGAGAGGTGGATATGTGTTCCAGGAAAACTCTCCGTGTTTTTCCTCTGCTCTTACATCACCACCACAACAATCATCATCACAGAAGAATTCTGGGACCAAATGTGAGGGGGTTCCTCCCTACCACCAAGCAGCGGACACCAGCTGGGTATCCTCCTATTCAATTCCAACACTGTCTACCTGAGGAAGACACACCGGCACCAGTCATATGTCTTGGACTCCAGAACTTCTGACCAACCACTTTCAAGTTGGGGTTGCCATGATCCCATCTTTGGGTTTGAATAACTTGCTGGAGCAGCTCACAGAACTCATGGAAACATGTTTCCTGGTTTATTATAAAGGATGTTGCAAAGGCTACAAGGAAGAGATGTGTAGGGCAAAGTATGGGAGGAGGGGCACAAAGCTTCCATGCCCTCCAGAACCTCCACGAACGTGGTCAGCTATCTAGAAGCTCTCCAAACCCAGTTCTATTGGCCTTTATGGGAACTTTATGTTATCAGCATTCCTTCCTCCAAGGGATGGGGCAGGAGCTCTCAGGAGGTATTTAAGACCCACAATCAGCAAGATTAGAGTTCTGCCTTGGGGCAGGTGAAAGGAGAGCAGGAGAGGCCAGAGAGATTCTGTTTCCTGAGGCCTGCCCCTGAGGCCTAACACAACTGGCATTATAACAAAAGACTTAACAAGGCTATGGGAGTCAGGGACCGTGCTTGAAAATGTGTGTATGTATGTGTGTGTATACCTCGTAACACCACAATACGCAAGTGACTTACAGCAGTCAGAAATTAGGGGCTGAAAATCAGAATTGCAGTCATTTGCAAAGAATAAGAGAAGAAATCTATGAGTAGATGCAATCGGAGAAGGAAAGAGTATACTACAGAAAGCAAAGGATCAAACTTGGGAATTATCATATTGGGTTAGAACTGTGTACAGGGAGGAGTCAAAGAGTGTGTATGCATCTAAATATACACATAAATGCATAGATACACAGAATTTTTAAATTTCTGATGCAGTTCTCTGCAAATCAGGAGACCTGAGTTCAAAACTTTGCTGACACACCATGTAACTTTGGACAAGTTACTTAACGTTGGGAGACCAATTTAATATACCCACGTGGGTTAGACAGGTAACTGAGTAAAGCTGGCAACCTGAAGAGAAAAGCAAACACTGAGAAGGCCACTAGCTCTCGCCTGCTGTTTCCAGGACAGCAAACAGCAAAGAGGTGGCACAGTATAGCAGTTATAACCATGAACTCTTTTGTGTGGATGTTAAGTTTTCATTTCCCTAGGGTAAATACCTAGGAGAGGGATTGCCGGGTTGTATAGTAAACATATGTTTATTTACAAGAAATGGCCAAACTGTTGTCTAGAGTGTCTGTACCATTTTGTACACCCACCAGCAATGTATGAATGTTCTAGTTATTCCATATCCTCACCAGCACTTGGTATTGTCATTTTTTGTTTTTAATTTTAGCCATTCTAACTGGTGTGGTTTTGATTTACATTTCCCCAACAGCTAATGATGATCTTTTCACATGCCTATTTGCCACCCATCTTTCTCTGAAGAATTGCTTCTTTTCCCCATTGTTTTGTTTTCTTATTGTTGTAGTGAAAATCTTTATATATTCTGAACACAAATCCTTTGTTGGTATGTTTTGCAAGTACAGTATTTTTCCCCAGTATGTAGCTTGTCTTTCCCTTCTATTAAGTGTCTTTTGCAGAGCAAAATTTTTAAATTTAAGATTTTTTTTTTTTTTTTTTTGAGATGGAGTCTCTCTCTGTCACCCAGGCCGGAGTGCAGTGGTGATCTCGGCTCACTGCAACCTCTGCCTCCCAGAGTCAAGTGATTCTCTTATCTCAGCCTCCCAAGTAGCTGGGATTACAGGCGCACGCCACCAAGCCCGACTAATTTTTGTATTTTTAGTAGAGAGGGGGTTTCACCTTGCAGGCCAGGCTGGTCTCAAACTCCTGACCTCGTGATCTGCCCGTCTCGGCCTCCCAAAGTGCTGGGATAATAGACATGATTCATTCTTATGGATTGTGCTTTTCATATGTCTAAGAACTATGGCCTAACCCAAGATCATGAAAATTTTCTCCTGTTTTCTATTAGTTTTATAGGTTTACATTGCACATTTAGCTGTATGATGCATTGAGTTAATTTTTGTATAAGGTTTGAGGTATATAGGTTGAGATTAATTTCTTTGTATATGGGTATCTAGTTGTTCCAACAGTGTATGTTGAAAAGACTATCCTTTCTCTATTGAATTGCCTTTGAAACTTTGCTCAAAACAACTGCCCATTATTTGTGGGGGTCTATTTTTTTCATTTTATTTATTTATTTTAGTTGTTTTATTTCCATAGGTTATTGGGGAACAGGTAGTGTTTGGTAACCTGAGTAAGTTCTTTAGTGGTGATTTGTGAAATTTGGGTACACCCATCACCCGAGCAGTATATACTGCACCCAATTTGTAGTATTTTATCCTTCACCCCCTTCCCACTCTTTCCCCGAGTCCCCACAGTCCATTGTCTCATTCTTATGCCTTTGCATCCTCATAGCTTAGCTCCTACTTATGAGTGAGAACATACGATGTTTGGTTTTCCATTCCTGAGTTACTTTACTTAGAAAAATAGTCTCCAATATTATCCAGGTCGCTGCGAATGCCATTCATTCATTCCTTTTTATGGCTGAATATCATATATATATATATATCTCACAGTTTCTTTATCCACTCATTGATTGATGGGCATTTGGGTTGGTTCCACATTTTTGCAATTGCAAATTGTGCTGCTGTAAACATGTGTGTGCAAGTTATCTTTTTCTTACAATGACTTTTTTTTTTTTGAGATGGAATCTTGCACTGTCACCCAGACTGGAGTGCAATGGCACAATCTCACCTCACTGCAATCTCCGCCTCCTGGGGTCAAGCCATTCTCCTGCCTCAGCCTCCCGAGTAGCTGGGATTACAGGTGCCCACCACCATGCCCAACTAATTTTTGCATTTTTAGCAGAGACGGGGTTTCACCATGTTGGCCAGGCTGGTCTCGAACTCCTGACCTCAGGTGATCCACCTGCCTTGGCCTCCCAAAGTGCTGAGATTACAGGTGTGAGTCACCGTGACCAACCAATGACTTCTTTTCCTCTGGGTAGGTACCCAGCAGTGGGACTGCTGGATCAAATGGTAGTTCTACTTTTAGTTCTTGAAGGAATCTCCACACTGTTTTCCACAGTGGTTGTACTACTTTACATTCCCACCAGCTGCATAGACGCGTTCCCTGTTTACAGCATCCATGCCAATATCTTTTTTTCTTTTTAATTTTTTGATTATGGCCATTCTTGCAGGGGTAAGATGGTATCACATTGTGGTTTTGATTTGCATTTCCCTAATCATTAGTGATGTTGAGCATTTTTTCATATGTTTGTTGGCCATTTGTATATCTTCTTTTGAGAATTGTTTATTCATGTCCTTAGCACACTTTTTTTTTGTGGTAGAACAAAATTTGATTGTTTATATGCCCTGAATTTTTTTAAATTATACTTTGAGTTCTAGGGTACATGTGCACAACGTGCAAGTTTGTTACATATGTATACATGTGCCATGTTGGTGTGCTGCACCCATTAACTTGTCAATTACATTAGGTATATCTCCTAATGCTATCCCTCCCCCCGCCCTGCACCCCACGACAGGCCCCGGTGTGTGATGTTCCCCACCCTGTGTCCAAATGTTTTAATTGTTCAGTTCCCACCTGTGAGTGAGAACATGCGGTGTTTGGTTTTCTTTCCTTGCAACAGTTTGCTCAGAATGATGGTTTCCAGCTTCATCCATGTCCCTACAATGGACATGAGCTCATCCTTTTTTATGGCTGCATAGTATTCCATGGGCACACTTTTTGATGGGATTTTTTTCTTGCTAATTTGAGTTTGTTGTAGATTCTGGATATTAGTCCTTTTTCAGATGTATAGATTGTGAAGATTTTCTCCCACTCTGTGGGTTGTCTGTTTGCTGATTGTTCCTTTTGCCGTGAAAAAAGCTCTTTAGTTTAATTGTCCCAAATATTTATCTTTGTTTTTATTGCATTTGCTTTTGGGTTCTTGGTCATGAAATCCTTGCCTAAGCCAGTGTCTAGAAGGGTTTTTCTGGTGTTATCTTCTAGAATTTTTATAGTTTCAGGTCTTAGATCTAAGTCCTTGATCCTTAAAAGTCCTTGATAAAAAATATTTTTGTTAAGCACTATGTAACACACTGCATGCCACATAATACACTGCATAACATTCTAGCAGGGGTAAGTGACCATAGCTGAATTCTTTTCTTATCAATCAGGAAAATGAAAATCCTTCCTTAATCAATTTCTCCAAAGTCTCTGACACATAACAACAACTCCAAAAATGCACCTCTCTTTCCATCAAACTCCACTGATATGAAAAATGGGCAACCTGTTTTTCCTTGCCCTGTTAGTGAACTTGTGGGTGTACCCAGTGGCCACTCTAAGGATCTCTATAATCAACAAGACACAGTAACAAGTGTTGGCAAGCAAGTGGAGAAATCAGAACACTCACACATTGCCAGTGGGGATGTAAAGTGGAAAATAGTTTGGAAGTTCCTCGAAAAGTTAAACATGGAATTAACATACAACTCAGTAATTCCACTTACTCCTAGGTAATATCCAAAAGAACTGAAAACGTATGTTAACACAAAAACCTGTACACAAATGTTCACAGGGCATTATTCATAATAGCCAAAAAGTGGAAGCAACCCAAATGTCCACCATCTGATGAATAAATGAGTTATATCTATATAATACTATTCAGCCACAAAAATGAAATTCTGATACATGCTACAATGCAAATGAAGCTTTAAAATATTATGTTTTGAGGTTGGGCATGGTGGCTCATGCCTGTAATCCCAGCACTTTGGGAGGCTGAGGCAGGCAGATCACTTGAGGTCACAAGTTTGAGACCAGTGTGGCCAACATGGCAAAACCCTGTCTCTGCTAAAAATACAAAAATTAGTCAGGTGTGGTGGCGCACACCTGTAGTACCAGCTACTCGTGAAGCTGAGGCAGGAGCATTGCTTGAACAGGGAAGGTGGAGGTTGCAGTGAGCCAAGATCTTACCACTCCACTCCAGCCTGGGCACCACAGTGAGACTCCATCCCCGCCCCCTACCCAAAAAAAAGTATATGTGTATATATGTTTTGAAGTTAGATGTGATTTAAAAATTAGAAAAACAAAATATGTATATTAAGTGAAAAAAGCTGGCAAAAACCACATATTGTATGATTCCTTTTATAATGAAATGTCCAGAATCCACAGAGACAGAAAGTAGGATGGTGCTTGGTAAGGGCTGGAGGGAAGAGGGAAAGGAGAGTGACTACTAACAGGTATGGATTTGTGCTGTTTTTCTGAGGTGATGAAATGTTCTAGAACTAGAATTGCACAACTCTGTGGATATTCCAATAACTACTGAAAGGGGGGACTTTAAGGCATGTCAATTATACTTCAATAAATATGTTAAGTTCAAGATGTTAGTGATCAAACTGAGATATTACATTCATTACTCATTCAACCTATAGAGTTGGGGTTCCCCCACATCAAACTATGAATTTTAACTAGGACTGCCAATTTATGGCTGGTTAGTCTAATGTAAGAGTATCGTGCTAAGGAGTTAAAGGTCCTGTGTGAAACATACCAGTGACAAAAATGGTTGAGTATGTCAATACAAATTTATCATACTGACCAAGTTTTATTAATGGTGGGCAAATGGCATCAATCCTATATAGGAGAAATAATTGTATACCTTCACAGACAAAAATAATTTCCAAGGAGTGTGGAGATAAGAGGAATACTTTCTCTTTTCACTCAATTTCTTTGAGCCTTGGTTTCCTTATCTTGAAAATACAAAAAACAACCTCCTAAAGTTGCAACCTTTGCAATCACAAGAGCCCATGAGAGGTGGCCACCCCAGAGTGATTCCCAGCTCTGTGGTCAGTGGGCCAGTGAAGGGAGGATGATCTACACAAGTGCCTAGAACAGTCAATGAAATGTATTTTCATTTAATAGTCATAAATAATCCTGTAACTGTGTAGTTCATGGTAGTAGGTAACTTACTACATGCCTTCAATTCTCTAATTTTGTGACCTTAAGAGATTTGCAAATAGGGAAAAGAAAGAGAGAGACAGTGTCTTTAAGAACAAAGTTTTGGGCAAACTAGTAATTTATTTACAATTGTAATTTATAAACAGTAACACAAACATCTTTACATTAATATTATGAAAAATGTCCCATGGCTGAAATGGGTGAAAAATGAGACTTCAGTACATTTCTAAAGGGGTGCCAAGAAAAGGGAAAAAATGCAATTACAACAGTTTTAGGGGAGAGTTATATCAAGTAATGCACCTAGGTGCAATTTCATGCAGATGTCTTCAACCACTCAAACTGTTTTTATTAGATATTAGAATAAAATTTCCCAAATTATGTTGCCTTTTATTCACTTGATTTCCATAAGTAAATCAAAATGACTGGCTGTTAACAGGGTACATCTAAATATTTCTCCCATCAACCCCTTAGAGATAATCCCTTACATTTTAGGACATGTCAGATTGTGGGTATTGCAACTTCCCAAATGGATTTTACAAAATACTATTCCATGGCCCTAAATGTGTTCCTGGACTTCTCTTACCAAATGTGTCTAATATGGACCATTATAAATTAAATGAAGAACGCTGCAAAATACAGCAGAGCAATTTTCAGTACATTAAGACAATGTGTCCAAAACTAATTTCAAACCACTGGAACTTCAATGAGAGGACAAAACCAAAAGAAGAGAAAGAAATTCAGAAAATGATGACAAAAACAATTGTACTTTATAAGCTCTCTGATTATTTGGCATTTATATAAGTGGATATTACTGTGGTCACAGACCATAATCCTCAATGAGGATAAATCAATGTGGCTTAAACATTTGTTTTAAAATATGAATAAAATAATCCGCTTGTAATAAAACCAATGACATTTTTACAGACACAATTCTGTCCCCAAAATGTTAATTTTAATCTTAACAGCCTACCTACTTATTTTAATGCTTTTAACTGCTCTTTAGAAATCATTAGGATGAAGTTTCTTATCTTTGAAGCATTTAGTGTCCAAAAAATTAGCTAATGGAGCAAAGGTGATTTAGAAACTGATGTTTCAACATTTTACTAGCTGTACTGTATTTTGAGTTGGCAGGAATCTTCAACCATTCCATTAAAAAGATTTCACTCTTTTTAAGAAGAATAGAAACAGTGAGTGAATTATTAATCTATGTTTTAGTTTCTGATATTGCTCAGTGAGTAAAACAATGTAGCAATTAAGGAAGTCTCTTCAACTAATTCTATCTCTAATTTTCAGTGAAGACACTGCAGATATGTATGTGTACAGTTGTTTTTGATCCCGAAAGTGATGCATGTTCCCTTAAAACAGCTCTTCAAAACAGAACTGCATTCTGTACCCTTACTTAGTCCATAAGGGCACAGGGTCAGTTACTTCAAAGTAATTTAATAACTGACCTTTATAATACATCATTTTATAAAACCAAAATGCAGAAGAAAAATTTTTAAAAAGTTTACTGTCCACAGATTGATTATAATAATTTACACTTTCTTAGACCTGCTATTTAAGCAGCCCCATGAGCAAATGAAAGGTCTCCAGTTAGTATTCAGTCAGGAGGTATATGTCCATGTTTCTCTTGGTTGTCTTAATTTCTTTTTATATAATTTTCTTTTATATTAACTTTCCAAAGCATCCAAAACTTTCATGATCTGCTGTTTTATGGCTTTAGTTGCATCCCCTGCATTTGGAATCAAATACCTAAGGGGGAAAAAAAATACATATATATACATATATATATACATATGTATATGTATATAAAAATACAGTGCTTTCCCTTCAAGACTCAGCTGATAGGTCACCTCCAATGGGAAGCTTTCCCTAACCCACAAAGCCAGCAGAGATGCCTCCTATGTACTCCCATAGCTTATTTGAACATAATCCAAAGCTTATTTCGAAAGAAAATCTAAATGCAAAGGCAATGTGATTTTTCATATAGTGTAAAGCTAAAATTCTTTGAACCATTATTAAATATAGGTAATAGCTAGATAAAACACAAGATAAAAAATATAATATTCCACTCCCCAATACAGATGTACCTTCAATTAGCTACAAAAATCACACATGAATTGTTGGTATCCAATTCCAAAGACAATGACAATTCCAACACTTAATAGTTTGACTTTAAGCAAATAATTTAAGTTCACTAAAACAGATTCCTATATAAAAAGTAGCTATAGTTATCCAAACTTTACAGAGGGTTATGTACATAATAAAATGGCGTTATGAGGTCTGAAATATTTAAAAAAGATAAGACTTATGATAACTATTGCAAAATATCAACACCATAGATTAAATGTCAATTTTCTTTTCTTGGAGAATAAAAATAGTGGTATTTTTTTAAAAAAGCATCTTCGGTAAAACCTAACAATTCCACTGTATAAATCATCTATGAGTGTTATATGCGAGGCAGAATAGAGAACCATAAATATCAATGAAGAAAGGGAGAGAGAGAATCTAGTTACTTTATCTTCCACTATTAAGACTATCTTCCAAAACTCTGAATTAAAAAAAAAAAGATGTTGATCCATATATAATAAACTTCAATTTATTTAGCAAAATTTGTGGGAAAGCCTTTAAAACACAATTCCCAACTTTTACTATACATGAGAGAGTCATAATTCAAATCTCCTTTGGTTAGGATTAATTTATAAGTAGATATTAAAATGTGTATACCTCTCACCCATTGAATCTACTTGCAGGAATTTATCCTGAGAAGACTAATTGGACAACTATGTAAACATACATGTTTTTAAAGGCCCACTAGAAGATTAATAGTGAAACACATGAAAACAATGTAAATGCCAATCAACATGAGGCTTGTTAAATCAATCTCCTGAGAAATCCTTATAACAGAATATCTACCATTAAAAAGCTAAGAATTTATATTTATTGGGCCGGGCACGGTGGCTCACTCCTGTAATCTCAGCACTTTGGGAGGCCAAGGTGGGTGGATCACGAGGTCAGGAGATGGAGACCATCCTGGCTAACACGGTGAAACCCCATCTCTACTAAAAATAAAAAAATTAGCTGGGCATGGTGGCGGGCGCCTCTAGTCCCAGCTACTCGGTAGGCTGAGGCAGGGAGAATGGTGTGAACCTGGGAGGCGGAGCTTACAGTGAGCCGTGATTGCAACACTGCACTCTAGCCTGAGTGACAGAGACTCCGTCTCAAAAAAATTAATTAATTAATTTTAAAAAATTTATATTTATTAAAATGTAAGTATATTCACACTATACTATTTTCTTAAAAAATCAGAACACAAAAACAAGCCTATATCACATTTATCTAGTTTTTAGTAGAGAAATAACATATGCATTAAAAAAAATCTGAGAAGATACACATCAATGTGTTAACAGAGAATTAGAATGACATATTCTTTATATTATTAATTGAAAATATCACTATGTAAATATTTATTCTTACATAAAGCAATGAAGTGATTTTTTTTTTTTTTACAAATCAGGTATTATTTTCTTTTAACAAATTACATAAAACAGTATAGATTCATGATGTTTGCTACCTAATTGTCAGTACAAGATGAAAGAAGCTGAATAATTTCCTCTTCCAACTGAAGTTGATTATTTAAAAGTGCTGCGATATAACCTTAAGCTTACTATTTATCCAAGCACTCCTGTAAATAATAAGTGTAATCCTAAATCCCAGTGGGGGAACAACTTGAACTGATGCAAGGTATAATAAACCACAAATCAGGAGTCAGGAAGGCTATATTTGGTTCTGTCACAAACTAAGTGTTAGGATCTGGGAAGTCATTCCACCCCTCTGGGCTTCATATTTTTATCTATAATTAAAAAATGGTTTAGTATCAATATCAGTGTGGTCCACAGCTCTTGGGCCAGTCTGTGAACTGTTAGTGACCCACAATGAGACAAAGGGGGGCTTGTACCAGGCTGTAAATTACCTATATCACCCAGCACACTGCTTAGTTCACTGACAGTTTGTCAAAACAAGAATTTTTCGATGAAGGAAAATAAAAATATCAACATATTCTAAAACAAGTTTCTTATTTCTCTGCAAGCCAGCAATTAGTGCAGCACTGGTACAGATTAACAATAAGGATCCTTGGGTCAGAAACTTTATGAAATTAGCTATGGCACTTACTCAAATCATGTGCTAATGGCTAAACCACACATGACTAAGGACTCCGGAGAAAGAGATAAGAAACACTAAAAGTGGTTCAGCTATCCTATTCCACCATCCATTCCCCAAAATAAAGAAACAAACTCTTTATAGTGAACTACAGTAATTCAGATAATATCTGAATTCAGATAATATTATCTTAAGGAAAATCTTACCTTTCGATTGCCAAGATTTCTATTCCTGAAGCACTGCTATTTCCATACTTGAAGGTAATGAGTTCAGGATGTTTTTTTTTGGATGTAATTTTAACTACAGAATTCAGCGCTTGTCGAGACTGTATATAAGCCAATCCTTTCCGTGAAACAATCTCCCTTAAACAGTACATATGTGTTGCAGTAACCAACAGATGACTTGAGACAAAAAAAGCATTAAAAGAAAAAGAATTTTTAAGTAAATTTAATTCAAAACAGGTGTTGTTTCAACCATCTCAATTATTAGAAATGTTCAACTCTAAATAAAATTGAGTTAAAAGATATAAACAGAGGTTAATCTATAAACAAGTAAGCTACACATTAACACCTTTTAATTGTATGCAAAATTAATATTTTATTAACAGATAATCCTGCAATGATTGAAAATATAATAAATATAATAAAAAGTTCCATACAACATAGAAATCACTACAATAATATATTTTTTATTGAAATGGAGTATATTACGTTTCAGATTTTTTAACGCTATTACCTATATTCATAAACTATTCTCATTCAATGCACCATATCCTATATCTAATATCCAAGATCACTAGGCAATTGTTGGGTTTCCCTACATATTTTGTAAACATTCTGTAACTGGATCCTGAAGGCAAAATGAGCATAGTATTATTAACACTCACCCAACCCCTGTATCTCAGCTTCTTTTTAATATAATACTCTCACATTTTTTATGTACAGTAATACAATACGACAGTTATCAGACAAGTGCAGAATGTGGAACATTCTGTAGGATGATTGACCTGGACTCAAAGGATTCATTCATCATGAAGAGAAAAGGGAAGCGAGGGGGTGGGGGGATGAGTTCTGCTGTACACAGGGTGAGACTAAAGACACATAACAGACAATGCAATGTGTAAACCATGAACTGGATCATGGATCACCAAAGAAAAAACACACTACAAAAGATACTTTGGGGACACTGAAAATTTGGGGTATGATCTGTATGTTAAATGATGTTAATTTACAAAAATTTTTAGGTGGGGTAATGGCATTGAAGTTGTGCAGGAGAATGCTCATATACTTGGGAAGTTTATGCTGAAGCATTTAGGGATGAAGTGTCACATTTGTAGACTTCTTTTGAAAGGTTTGACAAAAATGTACATATACATGCATATGTATATATATATACATACGAAATGGGGTGGTATTAAAAGGTGGTAACAGTTGATAAATCTAAGAATCATGGCCGGCCACGGTGGCTCACACCTGTAATCCCAGCACTTTGGGAGGCCGAGGTGGGCGGATCACCTGAGGTCCGGAGTTCGAGACCAGCCTGACCAACATAGAGAAACCCCGTCTCTACTAAAAATACAAAATTAGCCGGGGGTGGTGGCGCATGCCTGTAATCCCAGCTACTCTGGAGGCTGAGGCAGGAGAATCACTTGAACCTGGGAGGCAGAGGTTGCTGTGAGCAGAGATCGTGCCACTACACTCCAGCCTGGGCAACAAGAGCAAAACTCCGTCTCAAAAAGAAAAAAAAAGAATCATAAGGGTGTTCAATGTACTATTCCTTCAACATTTTTGTATAAAATTTTTCAAAATAAAAATTACATAATACTGTAAATTCAAGACCTGTAATACAAGTAGACAGAAGGGAATTATATCTTATTGTACTAGGATAAATAAAGGTTCTTCTGTAGTTCAGTTTTGTATTATTAACTTCCCCAAATTCAATTTTACTTCTTATGAAGACATTTTTAAAAGTACCTGGGAAACATGTGTCCACTTTCTTTTACTTCTTTACAAGGAAAATGATGTTTGACATCTGGTTTGTTTATCCAAGTCTGAATGTTTACAACCTCTTTTCTATCATCATCTGACATTGAAGAACTGTCAATTTCATCTATAAAAAATACAAAGTATTAAATATGGATATTACCAACTTTTAAAATGATACATTCCCTAACAGTCTAAAAAAATTTCAGTAGTATTTTGAAGATATGGATTGAAAAACAAACAGCCTGGGCACAGTGACTCACGCCTGCAATCACAGCACTTTGGGAGGCTGAGGCAGGCAGATCACCTGAGGGCAGGAGTTGGAGACCAGCCTGGGCAACATGGTGAAACCCCATCTCTACTAAAAAATACAAAAAATTAGCTGGGTGTGGTGGTGCACACCTGTAATCTCAAATACTCGGGAGGCTGAGGCATGAGAATCGCTTGAACCCAGGAGGTGGAGGTTGCAGTGAGCTGAGATTGCGCCACTGCACTCCAGCTTGGGCAACAGAATGAGACTGTCTCAAAAAAAAGAAAAAAAAAAAAAAAGAATAACGCAATCAATTCTAATCCTGCTACTCTATTTCCTTATGCCACTGATAATATAGAAATATTATTATCAAACATCACTTTCATATGGTAACAAAGTCAGGTTTAAATATTAAGAATACACTTTTAAAGATTAAACCATTTGGGGTATTTCAATTGTTTTGATATGCATAACTTAACTATGATCTGACTAGTCTGTAAAGAGATGGCTGAATTGTTAAACAATAGGCACCTATCTTGAGAGTAAAGATGGCAGATTTCGTTTTATCTTGCTGCTTTTTTGATTTTAAGGAAAATAATAAAATCAATCCTGAGATAAATAAGTAAAAATTTAAGGTTATTTTCCCTAAGAGAAATATAAAATAATTATATTTTCTAATTTAAGAAAGGGATAATACAGTCTCTAAGGTAAATAATTACAGGTTCTGTCCTTTGCTTTCTAACAAATACTGCAAAATATAGAGACATAATGAAAAAGGAAATCGCACGTTATCTACACCAGCTTAAACAAAAGTGAAACTCTCATGTATCTCCTCCTACTCACATTCTCCTCCCTTCCCCACCAAGAAATACTAATTATCTGAATTTGGTGTTATCAGTTCCATACATGTCTTTGCTTTAACATATATGCATATCCCTAAATAATATACAGTAGTATTCTATACTTAAATGTATATAAATGTATATATACACTTAAATGTATATAAATGTATATAAAAAGTAGACTACTCAACTGCATTCTTCCACAACTGCTACCCTACTCCCAACATCTGAAATTCATACATACTGATACACATAGTTTCAGTTTTCTCACTTTCATTATGGTCCAATTTTCCATATTGTAAATATGTGTGTGTAGATACATGATAAATGTAAATATGACACAATTTATTCATCCATTTGCCTCTCCCCTTTGTTAATGGAAGAAGTTGAGATATTCAGAGAGTTAACAGAAAGAGATGGCAACAGAGAGGGGAAAAAAGAAGAAAAGGAAACAAGCAGAAATATCACATTTACCTCTCTGCAAGTTTTCTGAAAAGTGATTTCATGTATCTATTAAAATGTCAAATGTGATTCCCTATAACCTAGCAATCTTACTTAGCAGTAAGATTTAAAATTTAAAATTCTTAGCAGAATTTACCCTCTGAATATACTGTCATCAGAAGCTAATCTACATATATATCTTTATATAAAGATCCAGTGTCATTTGAAACAAACAAAAAACCTGGAAAACCACCAGTGTCAACTGGAAGACTGACTAAATAAAGTATGGTATGTTTATATGATAGAAGGAGAATGAGGAGATACATGAGCTGAAATGGAAAATATGCAACATGTATTTATTACTAACTGGAAAAAGCAAGGTGAGATTTGGGAGTCTTTTTTTCTCATTCTGTACATTTATATATTTTTTCCCTAACTCAGTACACATATTAACCAATATTAGTTATGACTGCTTACCTAACTCAATACACATATTAACCAATATTAGTTATGATTGCTTAATTAGGATAAGCTGGACAGTAGAATTATAAACCAAAGACTAAATTTTTTTTTTTTTTTTTGAGACAGAGTCTTGCTGTGTCACCTAGGCTGGAATGTAGTAGCATGATCTTGGCTCACTGCACCTCCGCCTCCTGGGTTAAAGCGATTCTCTTGCCTCAGCTTCCCAATTAGCTGGGATTATGGGCATGCACTCCCATGCCCAGCTAATTTTTGTACTTTTAGTAGAGACACAGTTTCATCATGTTGGTCTTGAACTCCTGACCTCAAGTGATCCGCCCGCCTCAGCCTCCCAAAGTGCTGGGATTACAGCGTGAACCACCGCGCCCGGCCTAAATTATTTTTTTTAAAACATAACCACAGAGAAGATAAACTTCCCTGACACAGTATCACCATCTTGTGGCCCTTTAGGATATTGCCTCCAGTTTCAAGACTTCAGATGTCTCAATTTTGTAATTTTCAGTGCTTTAGTCCCACAACTCTCAATCTCCTAGGTGGCTGATCAAAGGAATTTCAATCTGATCAAAGGGATTTCAATCCCATCACTTGGATTTAAATACTATTTCCACACTGATAGCCTCCAAATTATCATCAGTTTAAACCTCTCTCCTTAGCTGAAGACACCTATAATCAACTGCCTCTACTCAACATTTCTGCTTGGATTCCTTTTTTTTAAAATTTTATTATTATTATACTTTAAGTTTTAGGGTACATGCGCACAACATGCAGGTTTGTTACATATGTATACATGTGCCATGTTGGTGCTTGGATTTCTAATACGTACAACAATTCAAGGTGTCTAAAACCAAACTCTTAATAGAAAGCCACAGATTCTCCAATTATTTCTACAGAATCTCATTTTTTTAAAAAAGCAGTTGATTGGCTATTCCCAGAATGACTGCTGTAATCACTCCTAATGACAGCAAAGCTGTCTGTAGCTAAGTGTATTACTACACCTGTGTCGTATTCTTCTTCATCCCCAATGCTGAAAACAGGCTTTACGCCACGGTAAGGCTTGCCCACTCTGTCACTGCTGCTCACATGCCTATATTCAAAGAATTTTAGGAGAGAAATAATCACTTAAGAAGTTATCAAAGATTTTTACCAAGCATCATTTGAATATTCACACAAAATGTAATTATTCCTTACCTGACCCCCCCAAAACCCCATGTACTACCCATAGTTTTAGGAGAGCTATGTTAAGGAAATTAAAAGAAGATAAAGAAATTATGTTAGCAAAAGTGGCATAAGGCCTTGGTAGGCTGAATGCTCTTAAATATGTAAAAATTAAATTTTAAACAATTTCAATATCCATATTAAAACCAATGCTTAGATCTGTTTGGCCTTGCGGAAGTTATTTAGCCTTTTGTGTTTCTGATTCCTCCTCTGTAAAATAGTGCTAACAATATCTACCTGTCAGGGTTATAGTAAGAACTAAATCAGTCAATTTTATTGTAAAACTATTAGGACAATGCCTGGTGCTACCTTCATGTCTGTTAGGTAAAATAAGTTACTAACACCAAATATTCAAATTCCAATATGATTGGTTAAGGCTTCTCATATAAGTGCAGGTGTCTTAAGGGTTATCTTCACATTTTTTTATTACTGTTACTTTTGTTTCAATAGAAATGAAGATTCTACTTTTGTTGTGTAAATATAAGCCATAAAAATGAATCTGCCTCGGCCGGGCGCGGTGGCTCACTCCTGTAATCCCAGCACTTTGGGAGGCCGAGGTAGGTGGATCACCTGAGGTCGGGAGTTCAAGACCAGCCTGACCAACGTGGAGAAACTCCGTCTCTACTAAAAATACAAAATTGGCTGGGCATGGTGGCGCATGCCTGTAATTCCAGCTACTCTGGAGGCTGAGGCGGGAGAACCACTTGAACCCGGGAGGCAGAGGTTGCGGTAAGCCAAGATAGCGCCATTGCACTCCATCCTGGACAACAAGAGTGAAACTCCATTTCAAAAAAAAAAAAAAAAAAAAAAAAAGAATCTGCCTCTTTTTCAAAAGGCAGAGGCATAAATAACATGTAAACTCAAACTTGATTAGGTCTATAGGAAGTGTGACCTTTCTTTGGAATATAAAAATTAATATCCTATTAATTTTCAGGTAATCCCAAATAAACTAACAGGTAAAATTAAAATGTGTCAATAAAATACTACATGTTTCTGAGGGGAAAAGCATTGTTTTACTTGTAGGATAAGGTTCAGCTAAAATTACCTACTACAAAGGAAGACTCTAGCTTTTTTGGGTGTGTGCATGTAACATGAAAACACTCAAAATCTTCTATTTTCAAGAGCTATTCCAATGTGAGAAAAAATCAAGTTACATGCCTTTAGTTATTAGTAGTAGTAGTAGTATTTTAGAGCCAGGGTCTCACTCCGTCACCCAGGCTAGAGTACAGTGGCGCAATCTTAGCTCACTGCAGCCTCGAATTCTTGGGCTGGAGCAATCCTTCTGCCTCAGCCTCCCATGTAGCTGGGACCACAGTGTGGGACCACGGGGGTGTGCCACTACGCCTGCCTAATTTTTTTATTTTTTCAGAGACAGGATCTTGCTATGCTGCACAGAATGGTCTTGAACTCTTGGACCCGTGATCCTCCCACCTCAGCCTCCCAGTGCTGAGATTACAGGTGTGAACCACCACACTTGGCCTTTACTTAGGTTTAGAATTCAAATTTCCCAGAAGATAGAGATCAAATCTATACTTTACACACTATCAATAAAAATTTTTTTTGTGCCGGTTACAGTGGCTCACGCTTGTAATCCCAGCACTTTGGGAGGCCGAAAGATCCGAGGTGGGCAGATCACGAGGTCAGGAGATCGAGACTATCCTGGCTAACATGGTGAAACCCCGTCTCTACTAAAATTTAAAAATCAGCTGGGTGTGGTGGCACGCACCTGTAGTCCCAGCTACTTGGGAGGGCGAGACAGGAGAATCACTTGAACCCAGGAGGCACAGGTTGCAGTGAGCCGAGATTGCGCCACTGCACTCCAGCTTGGGCAACAGAGCAAGACTCGGTCACAAAAAAAAAAAAAAAAAAAAAAAAATTTTGTAGCCTAATTTTGTTGATTTACTTCTTCCAAAATAACATTCCTCAATAAATATAATGAGAGTTTAGTGTATAACAAATATTCTTTGGAAATTACAAGTTAGGTTAATCAATACATAGGCTTAAAGTCTGATTAAATTACAAGTGACATAATCATTTGGTTTTATGTTAAAATATATCTAATACAAAATTGTCCTGTAAATTACCAAACTATGCTCATGAGAGATAGAAAATGATATAATTTGGATGCCTTTGAAACTCAGATTCAGCTTTCTTACAAAAAGCAAAGACAGAGGTAAGAGCTTTATCTAAAAATGCTTTGATGCCATCTAGATTGTAAAATTTTATATAGATTAGATTATAAGTTTTCTCCTAATATTAAGCACAATTAAACTGCCATAACATAAAAAGTAACAAAGATAAATGTTTACAGCGAATAAGCATTTGCTGTAACCAGATAACCAAATAACCAGAAAGTATGAGTAAAGAGATAATCCTAAAAAACAAATTATTAATTGTTAATCAAGATTTATAATACAATGCAAATTTTTTATAAACATGAATGCTAAGGATTATTGAGACATTTCTTGAAAGACTGGCTAAAAATGAATAAAATTCAACAGCTGTACTATTTTTTAAAGCACAATATCTATACTTTTTTTGCCATGGTAATAGTAGAAACATCTATAGTATGGTTTGAGTAGGCTTTAATTTACTGAGCTTAGAAAGAAACCTAATTCATTCTAACTTCTCATTAGATTCTCTTTTCAAAACAAATATATCTACCTGTGGATCAGAGATGATTTAAGTTACAAAAATTAATAATTTGAGAACTTGGGAGTTGAAAAAAATTAGACTAATTCAATGGTCCTGTAACAGAAGAAAATGGAAAGGATGATTCACAAATAGATTGTAATTTTAAAACAAGCAATTTCCTTTAAAGTAGTGCTAGGTAAAATTATTAGCAGAAGTCCTGTAATTGGCGTTGTGTAGGCATAGTCACAATAAATCAAAACTCTTAGAAGATAAGTTATTAGAGGGTGAACTATTATTATTATATTATTATTATTATTATTATTTTTTGAGACGCAGTCTCACTCTGTAGAGACGGGGTTTCACTATGTTAGCCAGGATGGTCTCAACCTCCTGACCTCGTGATCCGCCCACCTCCAACTCCCAAAGTGCTGGGATTACAGGTGTGAGCCATTGCGCCCGGCTGAAAGTATAGTCTTAGAGAGTGAAGTATTATTCTTAAAAATGCTACTTCAAGTCACTGAGAATACTGAAGTGACCCGAGAAAAATTCCATTCCATTATTCCAAAGCTTAACTTACATTGAAAATATGACTAGAATTTATTTTTTTTTCTGGCCCACTTAGGATTTATAGAATTTCTTTTTAAATGTTTGTAGGTGTTGCTGTAATTGATATTCTAAATTAAATTGCTGAAAAATTCTGTGAGTATAAGAACTGTAAAGTCACACAGAGTTAAGTTAGTAAAGTTCTTTTGTTACCCTAATTGAAGATCCAGTAGATTTTTAAACCTTAAACTTATTGTCTTTAATGAGAAGCACCTCGTTTTATTTGGGTTAGAGAAGTGACAGATTATACATTAAAGTAATCAACTACCTAGAAAAAAATGTAATTTTTTTTCAACAAAAACCAAAGGCAGAACCCTAGAACTGTAGTTTCTTGGAAGAGATTTATATATGCTAACTCAACCTATATACATACATCTTATTAAGAAAAATCTAAAAATATAAAATTACATAATGTACACAAATTAACAAAAATTTTGAACCATGAACGGTGCCTATTTTTAGGTGCTATAATTTTCTCTGCTGCTAGGCGGGAGATAGAAGCAAATGAGCACCAAAGCAGATAACCTGCCAACTCGCGACCACATACTTTCTTTGTTTCACCTTCCCCTGTCTCAGAATAAAAACTGCAGGTTTTGAACAAACTTAATTTTCATCTGTGGAATGGGTGATACAAACAAGCATGCAGGAAAAGAAATTAAAATGATCAAGCAAAAAACAAAAAGAAAAGTGTATCAATAAACATGACACACTCCTAAAAAGCAGAATGAGGAAAGTTTAGCATTTGAAATAGCTGCATGAAATTTGAGCCAAGACAGCATGAGGCTTATAGATGGCATGAAGCATATTAAAGGAAAAGGATGGTTCAAGAAAAATGCTCTACTCATTGGCTTACCGCTCTGTACATGATCTGTCTGGCCAAGGAAGATTGAAAGACATTCTATAGCAAATCAAGGCAGAGGACAGAACAAAATGATTATAAAAAAAATGCAACAGCTTTAAAACAAAAAATATGGTACAGTTTAGTTTTTCTCACCCAGAGTGTACATTATAAAGAAGATGTTTCCATCATCCCAAGTACAAAGAAAAACAAAGAAAAGCCAATTTCAACTAATCAAGGCAGCAGTCTTTTTGACTTAGTTATCACCAGTACATTTTAAAACAAATAAATTTTAAAATAAAATTGTAAATGTTCATGCTACAAAATGTAGCAATAATAGTCCTCCAACTCAGAAGCACCAACAAAAGGTAAAAGGGTTAGCTTTTGAGAAGACATAACTTTACTGCATAAACAAGTCTTTCAGGCTTGATAAAACACCTTAGTAATTATCAGTTGACCATTTTAGATAAGGTACAATGTTTTGGATCAATGAAAATAATCTATTACCTTCTCGGCTATTTACTAAATGCAGAAAAATGTGCTTTTGTATGCATATATACTATACTTAATAAAGGGACAGACAACAAATCCCTGACATTCAATTCTTAAAGTAAAATATGTCAGTTTTCCCAGGATACTGCAAGACATGAAAGTGAAACCAAATACTATAACACATTTCCAATATGAGGCTTCCTTAAAACAAATTCTGTGTTGCAATTATAAGGTTAGCTTTGAACTCTAGGAACAAGAAAGATCAAACAGACTTATACGTGGAGAAAAAAATGTATCCTCAGTTACAATAAGAAACAATATATATAACAGATATTTTTAAACTTATTTCTAAATTGTTAACCATGTCCCTCATTTGTAATTTACAAGGAAATGGGGTTTTGTAAACGAAATTCTATGAAGGTCTGATCTTAAACATCAGAAGGTGGGTTTCTGCTATATTTAGCATGACCAGATTTTCTAGGTTTTAAAATCTTGGAGCAGAAGAAGAAGTTCCTACTATGAGATCACTGAATTCGGCAGATGATTCTCCATCCATTTGACATTTGGGAAGCAGCTACTATATGAAATGTGATACATACTGGGACATAAATTTCTTTTAGTGAATGGCATGATGTGACAGATACATTATTTGCATCTTTGAGTAGTAAGAGAGAATAATTATGGATATAAAGTACATTCCTGCAATTCTAATGAAAACTATGAAATCATCTAATAGAAAATATACTTTATAATCCTTTTCTGGAACACATTAAATTCAACTAACATTTACTTACTCTAAGACATTGTTTCTTTAGTTTTAATTACTCATCATAAACTCATACTGTATAAACAACTCACCGATCCACAGGAGTTGATGTATTCTCTATAAAACTGATAACTTTTTCCCTGACATTAACGGATTTTGTCTTCAAAGCCACAGTCATTTTATTTACTAGTGATTTCATTCCTCTATCACTTGAGCCATTAGGAGATTCACCCTAAAAAAAGAACATAATGGATTAACTGCCTCTGAATGACTAAAAGACATACTACTGCTAATGGTTATCTACATGTTATAGACTGAATTGCAATCCCACCAAAATCATATGTTGAAGTCCTAACTCCCAGTATATCTCAGAATGTGACTGTATTTGGAGACAAGGCCTCTACAGGCATAATTAAGGTTAAATGAGGTCTTCAGGTGGTCTCTAATCCAGTCTGACTGGTGTCCTTATAAGAGAGAAAGACATGAGCACATGAAAACAGAGAAGCCATGTAAGGACACACAAGGCAAGGCATCCATCTGCAAGCCAAGGAGAGAGGCCTCAGGATAAACTAAACCTGCCAATACTTTCATCTTGGACTTTTAGCCTCCAGAACAGTAAGAAAATAAATTTACATTGGTTAAGCCCCCAGTTTGTAGTATGATATTTTGTTGCGGCAGCTGCAAACTAATTCATTAGGTGAAATCATTTTAAGAATAGAAGGTAGATGCTGGGCGCGGTGGCTCACGCCTGTAATCCCAGTACTTTGGGAGGCCGAGGCAGGTGGATCATGAGGTCAGGAGTTCAAGACCAGACTGGCCAACATGGTGAAACCCCATCTCTACTAAAAGTACAAAAATTAGCCGGGCGTGGTGATGGGTGCTTGTAATCCCAGCTACTCGGGAGGCTGTGGCAGAGAACTGCTTGAACCTGTGAGGTGGAGGTTGCAGTGTGCTGAGATTGTACCACTGCACTCCAGTCTGCGCGACAGAGCGAGACGCTGTCTCAAAAAAAAAAAAAAAAAAAGAAGGTAGAATAAAAAATTTAGGATATACTTGCACATATATGTGCGTGGAGTCTGACATTATCTTTTTTATTATATAAGAAACAGTTAAAACTACTGACCTTTCTTATCTCAGACTAGTCTACAAAAATAAGCAAAAGTATGATCAAACTACTATTTGCACATATGTGAGTGTGGAGCCTGAAATTACCTTATTTATTCAATAAGAAATAGTTAAAACTATTAACCTTTCTTATCTCAGACTAGTCTTCAAAAATAAGCAAAAGTATAATCAAACTACTATCCATGCAGCTACATTTTTAAATATCCCTTGTAAATGTTTGCTTTTTAAAGACATTGCCACTTAGGCCTTTATTTTCTGAAGAAAAGTTATCCTGATGTACCAAATGTAAGAGATGCGAGTATAATTCTTTTTTGTGTTTTTTGTTGTTGTTGTTTTGAGACAGAGTCCTGCTCTGTTGCCCAGGTTGGAGTGCAGTGGTGCGATCTTGGCTCACTGCAACCTCCGCCTCCTGGGTTCAAGCAATTCTCCCTGCCTCAGTCTCCTGAATAGCTGGGATTATAGGCACCTACCACCACACCTGGCTAATTTTTGAACTCCTGACCTCAGGTGATTCATCTGCCTCGGATTCCCATAATGCTGGGATTACAAGCATGAGCCACCATGCATGGCTGTATTAATTCTTAAATTGTTTCATGGGATTGCTCATATATACCTTCCTAGAAGGCAACTTCGTGATGGGTGTCAAACATTTAAAAGTGATCCTATTTTCTGCCAATTAATTCCTCTTTAGAATTAATGAGAAGGAAGTGCCCAGAAATTTGGGTACTATTTGATGGAAAATTATACAGCCATTACAAACTCATATTATTTTTAAATAGCATTTTAAAATGCTAGAAAATGCTCATATGTTTAGTGAAAAAGCAGAAAATAAAATTCTAGGTATGCTATGATCACTACTTTTAAAATAAAGAAACACATTCACTAAAAAGGGTTTGATGAAAATACTTTAAAATATGAATGGCAAAATTATCTCTGGTAACAGCTACAGGTGATTTTATTTTCTTTATACTTTTCTTATTTACATATGATGCTAAAATGAACATCTGTTACTTTCAAATTTTTTTTTTTTTTTGAGACGGAGTCTCGTTCTGTCGCCCAGAGACTGGAGTGCAGTGGCGGGATGTGGGCTCACTGCAAGCTCCGCCTCCCGGGTTCACACCATTCTCCTGCCTCAGCCTCCCGAGCAGCTGGGACTACAGGCGCCTGCCACCACGCCCGGCTATTTTTTTGTATTTTTAGTAGAGACGGGGTTTCACCGTGTTATCCAGGATGGTCTTGATCTCCTGACCTCGTGATCTGCCCGCCTCAGCCTCCCAAAGTACTGGGATTACAGGCGTGAGCCACTGTGCCCGGCCTACTTTCATTTTTAGAAGAAATGTCATTAACAACAAAAAAAATTATGTTTCTATTTCCATATCTAAATTCAGAGCCAAATTAAACTGTAAAAATTCTTTGGTACTTTGAAAAGAATGCTCTTTAAGATAATTTCTAAAATAGCCTCAATCAGTGTTTTTCAAATCTGAATATAAAAGCTTCAATAGAAAAACTATCCAGTGATGTGAATGGGAATATAAATTAGAATGTTTTTTGGAGAGCCATTTGATAATAATGCAGAAGTCTAAGGACTTTGGTAACATTTTAATCAAGTTATTCCACTTCCAGGACAAAATAATCATGGCATATGCAAATTTATCACTACAAAAATTAAATAGTGTTTGTAACAGAAAAAAACTGGAAACAATGTAAATATTGAACAATAGAGAACTGAATAAATTATAATACACCCATAAAATGAAATATTATTTAGTTATTTAAAGTGAAAATAGCAAACGTTTACTAAGTAATGGTGATTTCACACAATGGCATCAAGTTAAAAATAAGAGTATCAAATTAAAAATAAGATTCTCAGACAAACCTTATCTGCTGATGTGAAAATAATCTGATTTTGATTTGCATGGCTGAAGATAAACCTCAACTAACACAGGTAGTGAGTTACAATTTCGTAATAACTACTATTAAATATCTGGTGACAGGTACTATACTTTCCATTTACTTGCACTGTTAATTCTCAAGTTATCCTTAGAAAGAAGGTTATGTTGTTAACATTTATATTCCACAGGTGGAGAAACCACAGCTCAAAGATCTTGCTGGAGATCATGAAGAAAGTAAGTTGTAGATGAAATCTGAACCCAGGTATGTCAGACCTGTAAGCCCAAGCTACTAACTGTGACCTTGTACTGCAGTTTTCCTTCTATTTCTGTTTTAAAGAATAATCACTAGGTATGTGAGGACCATTATTTATGAATAATTTAATGACATCTAATTCAACTGACATGAAATATTGAAGTACTGGAAAAGCACAAAAGACCTATTACCCAAATATTTCCAAAGAACAGAAAAACAGATTTATCCACTGTAGCAAAACTGGGTAGTAATACACATCTCAATAACTAAAAATCAAATAAAATAGGATTGGCAACTTGTTCTTGTCTTCCTCTGCCTGGCCAATTCTCAAATGTGGATAGACTCAAGTCCAAATCATTTAAGTCTGTGATGGGGATGGGTACAGACATAGTGTGCACGAGATGATTATGAGCCCTAGTATTCTGGCAAAAACTAACTGGGAGATGCCTGGAATCAGCTTGCTTAAGAGTCCCAGCTATTTACAGGACCCAGATTTGTCCCCATTGATATTTAAGCTGGAACATAAAACTGTCACTACATGATACCAAACTACAGCTGGACAGGGAGAAATTTGAATTCAGCAGCTGAACTTCAAGAGCTCCCACCTAGTTTAACTGTGAAGGCTTGCTGTATCATTTCATTAATCTCACAATAAATAATGGCTTGCTGTATCATCTCATTAATCTCACAATAATATGACTCTTCATTGCATGTGTTTGAAATGTTTTGACTCCATTTCTGTTATGGTGGGGGTTTAGTAGTTAATCACCTTTTCTGGGAACTTATCCAAATCCGGTAACATATTCTCTACATATACTTACATCAACAGAATTGATACTGCTCCTTGAGCCTGAGGTACTAGCAATCCAATGGCCATATCCATTTTCTGGTCCATCCACATTAATGTCTGCCAGGTGCTGCTGCAGTGCTTAAGATAAATTAAAAAAAAAAGAAAAACCTAAAATATCAACACTCTTTGGAAAAATTCATTACCAACGAAATACAATAAACATGTCACAGCTGAGAAAAAAGGACTGAAGGAAATAATCACAGGTATTTCTTTCTGCACGTCTGTAAAGGAGTAAAGGCCTCCAAGCTAGAGCAAACCTTCCTATTCTTCCTTCTAAAACCCTCTGTACACGGATAACTTTTCTTAACTGACGCCAATGTGATGATAACTGTATAGGCTTTACGTTTTCTTCTTTGAAAGGAAATCTTTCAAGTATTAACAGATAATTTCTGCAACATTTTTATGACATAAAGGATAACAGAAAACCGATTGTGACTTTTGTTATACCATAAGGAGATATCAATCAATCTCTCCCATAATAAAGAAGCATTGTTAGCCATTAACAGTTACGGAAAGAGAGATTATTCTTGGTAAAGAAATACTTCATGGTTTTAAAAAATTTTCTAAAATCTGGGTTATACTATAAAAGAATGCTTTTCAGACACTTTTGAGAATTACAAGCTTAATAATCAAGTTTTATATCGTTACCAGGATTCCTAATAAATAACACTGAGCCTAGGGCCAATACATGTTTAACACTACTTATTAAAATAACCCCTTTTGTACATCACTCTGGGTATGAACCTCAAAAGTCATTAGTTATCAGGTCATGATATACAGAAGATAATCATAATCCTTGTTAATATCAACAATGACCAGGAGGAAATACATCCTAATGTTCCCAAAATCCTAAGTTACAGCCTAACTCCCATGATTAAAGCCTAAGATTCCATTACCCTCAACATATACTGATTTGATTTTTGGAGCTTCAGTTGCACAACTGGTCAGCATGTGATTCTTACATATTGATTTGATTTGATCATTAATTTTCCCCAGCATTTACAGCTCAGTATTTTTGTAGTATCTCTTTTTCTAATGTAAGACAGGCTCTTTTAAAATCTTATTACTCTTTTAAAATCTTATTTACTGCAAAGTAAAATTCTCAATACTTGCCTGCAGAGATCCTGCCAATTATTTTACTCTCCTAGATTATTAAATATTAGTCTGCAGTTCTGAAAATATCAGTTTATTTTGTTCCACTTAGCTAACATTTTTTAAACAGAGAATACCTTCAAGTAGTTCAAAAATAAAATAACAAAACACCTAAAGAGTCCAAAGGGTATACTATAAAAAGTATTCCTTGAAGTCTTCCTTCCCTGTCCCATCATTTAATCCTTCTTCTCCATAGAGGCAATCATATGGGCAGTTTTTCATTCATCTTTACAAAAATATTTTTTGGAAACAAATCTATTAAAATAGTCTTACATCAAATAGTCACCAATTTCAATTGCCTATTACGTTTGTCTGTTATCTGTAAGTCCTCCTGGCCTTGCCTTTTCTGAAAATATTGAATGAATGAAGAGTCTACCCTTTAACTAATGTGACCACTCCAGATCAACTCTATTGATAATCAATACAATTTCTTCTGAAACATAGAGGAAAAAAACTAATAAATCAAAATCTTACCCATAAATCCTCCACTGGCAATACTCACATATTCTTTGTTTTTCTGTAATGGAAAAGAAAATTTAAATTCTTCCAAAACTGCGACTTAATTAAAACTTTAGCTAGTTCTAAAACACTGATAAATACAATACCAAGTGATACATTAAATTACCGGGCTTTCTCATTTCCTTGACATTTTGGACTTTGGCAGAGAGAGGTATATCCATTTACCTTATTATGCATTGTAAGTTCTGGTGCTTGGGTGGGAAGAAGGGAACAACTTCAAGGCTATTAACAAGTCTTGATTTTGCTTGTATTATTGTTTCAATAGTGCAATGGTCAAACCAAAATTAGTTAAACAGTATTTTAGGATGTAATCAGAGTGATTTTTAAAAGCTTTCAAAATATTTTGGGTCCTTTATTAAAAGATAATATAAAAAGAAACATTACAGCTAATTATGAAGAAATAAGGGAATGTTACCATTTTGCAAACTACTAAAAACATAATGGATCTAAGTAATATAAATAAAAAAAAAGAGAAACACAAAAAAGACATCTAAATAGTATTTATCATCTAAAAGAGGCAGGCATCACCCCCTCAGAACCTCCTTCCCCTAAACAAAGAAGTCTGAACACATCTCTAAACTACTGGCTTACAGAAAATACCAGGGACAGAACATGATAAATGACACCATGTGAATGTAATCAGCAAAATCCAGAATGTGGGGAACTCTATAACACAAATTAACTGCTTTTCCCAACAAATACATGCAAGGAAAAAATTTTAAAAAGGAACCTATAAACTAAAAGAAACTTAAAAGACATCAACCAAATGTCAACATCTTGTTTTAGATCTTAGGAAAATCAGGGAAACTTGAACACTAGTTAAATTTTTTTTAATAAAGTATGATAATGATGTGGTTATGTCTTCATAATGAGTTTATGGCATTCAGTTCTCCCTACTTTTCAATTTCCTTGAAACTTTCCATAATAAAAGTTGGGGAAAAAATGTATAAAACCACATAAAGAACTCGAATAATTAAAAAAAAGTTCACAATATTCCAAACTCTTGCCCTATGACAGCCCTTACAATATACAGTATAGTTTATACTGAAGCGTTTTTATTTTATTTTGTTTTTGAGAATAGGGTCTCGCTCTGTCACCCAGGCTGGAGTACAGTGGCATGACTATGGCTCACTGCAGCCTCAATCTCCCAGCTCATGCGATTCTCCTGCCTCAGCCTCCCAAGTAGCTTGGACTACAGGTGAGCACATCCACACACAGTTAATATTTTTATTTTTTGTAGAGACAGGGTCTCATTATGTTGCCCAGGGTGGTCTTGAACTCCTGGGCTCAAGTGATCCTCCCATCTCAGTCTACCAAAGTATTGGGATTATAGGTGGGAGCCACTGTGCCTGGCCTGAAGCATTTTTAGAGTAGACCAGTTAAATTTATGAATGAAATGAGTTTGGTTCCTTATTTTTGTTATTCTGTATGCTTCTAAACTCTTTCCTTTAATAAAATTTAAAATTATCCTACAATTCCTCTCCCAAATATCCTGTTCCTTCTCTGATTTTGCTTTTCAAGGATTTCATCTTTAAACTAATTTTTTCAAACCAGATTCCCAGTAAAATACAACATAAATAGAAATGAATCCAAATTGAGTGGCTTGTGTACCATGCCTACCATCTTGCTGATTCCATAGTTCAGGACCATACAAAGTAAGGACTTTAATACATAAACTGCCAAAGAATACCTAATAAGCAACTATTATAATAAAAAACAAGCCATCACTGAGTGACATTTTTAAAAAAGCAGAGAAACAGGTTGCATAAAATCACTAATTCAAATTAGTTGTGTTGAAGACAATATTTAAACACAAAAAGGAAAGATGGCTAGGTGTTGTGAATGAATATGCATATGTATTTATTCAGTTTCAAATGAAGATATTAAAATGAATCATATAGTTACTGTAAAAAGTACTAGGACATAAATACACATAAAGATCAATGTAACATAATAGGCCAGGCACAGTGGCTCATGCCTGTAATTCCAGCACTCTAGGAGGCCGAGGAGGGCGGATCACTTGAGGTCCGGAGATCACTATGTCAGCCTGGCCAACACAGTGAAACCCCATCTCTACTACAAATACAAAAACTAGTCAAGCGTGGTGGCGTGTGCCTGTAGCCCAGCTACTCGAGAGGCTAAGGCAGGAAAATTGTTTGAATCCAGGATGCAGAGGTTGCACTGAGTCAAGATGGCGCCACTGCACTCCAGCCTGGGCGACAGAGCAAGACTCCATTTCAAAAAAATAATAACAAATAGAAAAAAAATAAAAGATCAAATAACATAATAATCCAGAAATAGATCTTGATGCATAGAGGAACTCGGTATATTAATAAGGTGGTATTTCAAACTGTACAATTTGTAAGCTATCTGGAGAAATATTTTTTAATTCCTATCTTACTTCTTACACAAAATAAATGCCAGATGGTTTGAGTTAAATATAAAAAAATCATATAAGCATATGAGAAAAATCTGGAGAAGACCTTAACAAGTCACAAAACCAAGAAAAGTACAGATAAATCTGACAAGCAAAAAGTTATCTATGTAAATTTTTTAAAGGTGATAACATTAACCAAACAAAACTGAAATAATTTATGTCAGCATACCTGTAAAAAGTGTGCCAGGACCATGTTCATATACATGTCTTCTTCCTCCCTGCCACTGCCCATAAAACAGAGGTGCTCCCCACCAGCTATGGAGCCAGACTCAATGGACTGCTTCTGTGCTTCCAGCAAGGATTTTACTGACTGTGCAAACTCAGATGGATTCTGAAGCATCTAGACAATTTTTTTAAAGTTAAAAACTTGACAAGCCTGTGTTTCACATATATTTGTAAATTTGAAATTTTTTTTAGGAAAAACCCCAATATTTAAAGAGCCACAATGAAAATGAAGGGGAAAAAAAGGCTCTTATAAATAAAATCCCTGGGATAAGAGAAATATTTATAAATGTATCTATAATACAATAGAACAAAAGTTGAACATTCACACAAAGATTGATGCAAAGAAAATAATTCTCTACTAGAGAAAAACTGTTTGTTGTTCTTGTTTTTTCTTAAATAACAAGTAGCAACAGTATCCTTAGATATCAAGACAGAAAGAGTATAAAACTATAGATCAAAACAAGCTCTATTTTTTAGTTTCCCCTTAGATGGTAAACCATGTGTTTCTTAGAGGATTGTCAGAAATAACAGAAGGCATTTGTTTATCAGCACTATTCCAGGTAACGGAGACACAAGGATGAAATATTCATTTCTTACCCTCAAGGAAACAAGTACGACAATAACTACAAAGATGTTTAAAAACTGTTTTAATGGAGATACACAAAAAGTATGGTGAAAAATAGAAAAATGGACAGATCATATAGAAAAGCAATTTGTAAAAAACAAAAGCAAATATAAACAGCACACTCACAAAAAATAATGTTCAACCTCATCGGTAATCACAACTATTTTTCACTCATCACTCTGGTAAGATAAGAAAAGATTGATAATATCCAATAATGCCAATGGCATTCTCATTTAGAGTTCTGAAACGTAAGAAGGTTCCACCATTTTTTTTTTTTTTTTTTTGAGACGGAATCTCCCTCTGTCACCCAGGCTGGAGTGCACTGGTGCGATCTCGGCTCACCGCAACCTCCGCCTCCCAAATAGCTGGGTTCCACCTTTTTAAAGGGCAATACGGTGGTCTCTAGTAAAATGTATATATCCACACACCTCATCAAAACAATTTTACTTTTAAGAATCTATTTTACAGAAATATTTGCATAAGTTCACAAAATGTATAAAAAGATGTCAAATGCAGCATTATTACAAGAAAACAAAAAATAACCCACATATACATCAATCAGGCAATAAATTATAGTATACCTACATGTACCATGGACCACTATGCATCATTAGAAAGAATGTACTTAAATCAAAAGATCTCTTAGAAACTGTTACGTGAAAAATCAAGTGGCAAAACAAAAAATATGTAAACAGATATTAAAAGTCTGGAAGATTACGTAAGCTGATAATATTCTTTAAAAATTTTTAAAAATTCAAGCCGGGCATGGTGACTCACGCCTGTAATCCCTGCACTTTGGGAGGCCAAGGTGGGCAGATCACTTGAAGCTGGGAGTTTGAGACCAGCCTGGCCAACATGAACCCCCTCCTCTACTAAAAGTAAAAAAAATTAGCCAGGCATGGTGGCGCACACCTGCAGTCCCAGTTACTCGGGAGGCTGAGGCTAGGGAATCGCCAGAACCTGGGAGGCTGAGGTTGCAGTGAGCCAAGATCATAACACTGTACTCCAGCCTGAGTGGCAGAGTAGAAACTCTGTCTCAAAAAAAAAAAAAAAAAAAATTAATTCAAGTATTCATGAATCACTTGAGTAAATTTTTAAAATAGGAAGGAGAGAGGAATCAAGGAAGAGAAAGGCACAGAGTTCACCTACAGAATATGGATGAGCTAAGATGGCCTTTCTCACAATATCTGTTAGTTCTTCCTCAATATTACCTAGGCCCTTTCACACACCCTTTCAGTTCAGCATCAAATTTTTCAGACGAGTTGGGAAGGGGAAAGGTAGACTTAACATTTAGCTAAGAGGTTTCTCATCCCATTCCTGTGTTCCCCATCCCTGAGGCTTTAATGATCCCAGAATGGCTTAAATGATGTTAGCCTCAATTCTACCAACAGCTCTATACATCTCTGACAATTATTTACCATTCTTCAAATTAAATGACCTAGGATAGTAGTTTTAATAACTAAGTACTTATATGCCAGATACTACCCTTATTAAATATTAGTTTATTATATGCATAAATACTCATGATTAAAAATGGCTCATACTATAAAGCCTACAGAATTCTTACTCAATTACAGTAAGAGCTGATATCCAGAGAGTACTTAGTAGGTGCAGTGCACTATGCTAAGTGCTATACTAGGTAGCTCAAACTAAGTTCAGAATTTACTGACATAAAAATGGTAAGCGATAGTAAGCCATAGTGAGCATTGTTTTCAACTACCCTTTATAATGCCAAAAGGGTATCTGGGCTGGGCGTGGTGGCTCACGCCTATAATCCCAACACTTTGGGAGGCTGAGGCAGGGGGATCACCTGAGGTCAGGAGTTCGAGACCAGCCTGGCCAACATGGTGAAAGCCCGTCTCTACTAAAAATACAAAAAATTAGCCGGGCCTGGTGGTGGGTGCCTGTAATCCCACCTACTAGGGAGGGTGAGGCAGGAGAATAGCTTGAACCCAGGAGGCAGAGGTTGCAGTGAGCCGAGATCGCACCATTGCACTCCTGCCTGGGCAACAAAAGCGAAACAAACAAACAAACAAACAACAACAAAAACACAAAAGGGTATTTGGGTGAAAAGGAAACCTGACAGCAACACTTTTCTCATAAGGGCAGAGACTCCCTCCTTAAGCAGAAAGAAAAAAATTCCCCAATCTGGGACCTATATATTTATTTATGAACTGAAGGAAAAAAAGTTACTTTAAGAATAATTAATCAGCATTTATACTAACCAGGTCTGAATCTAAGTGGAAAGCAGTTGATAAATGCCCAGCATTATATTGTTCTGCAGGACGGCAATCCACCACAAAGAACCGGACTCCTTCCTAAAACGGAAACAACATTTGACATACAGGAATTTCCCATGAGGTTCACATTGCACAACATAATATTCACAGTTAACCAAATAAAGGGAACAAGTTCATTAAAAAATGGATCTCACATGGAATTGGGAGGACCTAGTTAGCACAGAAAATAACCCGAAGGTCCTAAATACTTTTATTTCTTTTAAACAGTTAAAACATTTTTCTTTTTTAGATGTTGTTCTTTACTGGAAAGTCTTAAAATACATAGAAGGAGAGTGTCTGTTTGAGCTATAAAACTAATTATAATTAATTATAAAACTAATTATAAAACGCTATATAGTTATAAACACAACTCTAGATATGCTATTCTTTTTTGCAAATAAATCTGCAAATTTATCAACAGCTCAATTCACGTAAGAACTAAACATCTATTTCGTGTGGGGGGATGAAGGGAGAATGTTCTGAAATACCAGTTTCAACTAAAGAAGTTCACATGGATCTCTTTAAACTGGATAACATGTTTTCATTTGTTTTTAAATATTAGTTTGAATAAGAAAAAAGTGAGATGCTTGTATTTTGAAAATCCTCAATAACCAGCGCAGATACAGTAAGAAATCCAACTAAGAAAGATCTACCATAAAAGGCTATTTTCCCACGTCCATTCCTTTCCTGCCCTCAACCTTGGAAATACACTACACCTTCCAAATACACACCATGGTTAACTGCTGCACTACTAGTAATAAAGACCATATATTAAAAACATCATTGGTCAAATTGACTTATTAGATTTTCATGAAGAAAATTTCATTTTCACAATTCTCCTTTGCTATAAGTTGTATGGAACTAAACCATGTAATTCAATTAGCTGTAAACTACCAGAAACTGTTAAATGCTAAATTCACCCTTTTAAAAGTATTTTATACAATGCCACATTCAGTTGCTCTACTGAAATATGGAAAAAAGATACGGCGATTTACAAAAACTGGTGTCAAGAATGTCAACAATAATTAATTGTAGACAATTAAAACACCACACAAGCTGACAAGTTTTAAAATGACCCTCTGAACATAACATTTAACACAATCATTCAAAAAGCCAAAAGAGCCACCTTGTTGCAGTAAATTGATTTTGTGGGAATCAATGAACAGGGAGGAAGTTGGTTCCTTGTATTTAAAATGAACAGTCCCCTAACAAACTGGGTTTCCTTTACTTACCCCTTGTAGCTGATTCGCTTGAAGGATCTCTGACACGGAGATGGCCAGACAAAGAGCCTGACTCAGATCTGCATCATCATCCTTAATTCCCAACAAAGTACTACCAAAGAGATGGTGATTATCCTGTTTGAAGGGAAATTTTTAAACATTATGAAAAAAAAAATCAAACTTTCTTCCTAAAAATATTCTTATTAAACCATGATAAAAGGTAAAATTATAATACTCTTGAGTTGTGATTTTTTAAAACTTAATACTACATAATCTCAAATTTTATAGGCTAAGAACTACAAAAATGTCACATAAAGTCCCTGTCAGTGTTCATACAAAATGAAAGACTAAGAAAAAAAAAACACATTCTAAATAGCTATTTTCTATACTACCACCTGTAGTTAATATTGAACTTTAAAAATGGTTACTTACAATTTTTCATATCTTAATAAAAACAAATATGTGGCAGAAATCTATTGCATAAATGAGTTAAAATACTGATCCACAGCCTGCTCTAATTCACAACTGCTAGTACAGTTTCACTATGTCTGAAGAATAAAAGGTGCAGCTCTTGAATAAGAAAAAAAATAAGACTTCTTTTTCATTCAGTATTTTAAACTACTATCCTACCATCTGACTTATACAGCATTGTTAGGAACTGAAGAGTTCTATATAAGAAAATTATTAAAATAGTTGAAACTGGTCCCTAGAAATAAGTCTTTTTAAATTAGTTATTTTTGAGGGAAAATGATCTTAAAAGGTTTCCTTTACCTGCTTTCTAAAACACAGTATACTAAACATAACTTAACTTTATCTTGACACTTCAGTGACACGATGAGTACCAACTAGAAATTATTATGGCAGAATGCTTTAAAAAAAAAGGTGCTCTCATGGGCACCTGAAGTCACATACAAACCTGTCTGCTTTATAAACTTGTGCCTCTTCCACTATTAGCTTTTGCTTCTTAGAGTTTCATTTTTCAGGAGTTCACATCACTCATACTTCTAATCTGGTGTCCTTTATTAGGCATCTGTCTGGTCTAAGGATCTAAGTCTTTACGGGGCCTAAATGACCTTTCTTTATAAGACAGCTCAGCATTATTAAGACTATACAAGCCTGAACTCCAGAGAAAAGTGGCAAAACTCTACCTCCTCCACTGGATTACTACTGTAATATAATTTTTTTTTTTTTTTTTTTGAGACAGAGTCTTCACTCTGTCGCCCAGGCTGGAGTGCAGTGGCACAATCTCAGCTCACTGCAAACTCCGCCTCCTGGGTTCACGCCATTCTCCTTCCTCAGCCTCCCGAGTAGCTGGGACTACAGGCGCCCACCACCACGCCCGGCTAATTTTTTGTATTTCTTAGTAAAGATAGGGTTTCACCGTGTTAGCCAGGATGGTCTCGATCTCCCGACCTCGTGATCCACCCACCTTGGCCTCCCAAAGTGCTGGGATTACAGGCGTGAGCCACCACGCCCGGCCCTGTAATATAATTTTTAAAGTCAAGAAAGCACTAATTTAGAAAATATCTCAGTCAATTTTCTTATGATCAGAAATAACAATAATCAGAAGAGAGGTAAGATGCGTTCTACTATCTTTTTAACTTGTCTGTTCCTCCACTAGGGAGGGTATTTACAGAGATGAAAAAAAAAAATCACACAAAACTACAACACATAAAGAAACAGAAAAAATTGACAACCTATTTTAACTAAAGTGAATATAAAGTAATAAAACAATGTACAAAATATGAAATACAACATAGTTGGTCATTTCTGGTCTTATACCTTCCTAAAAGAAGCCGGTGTTTTGCTGCAATAATACTGAGCCAGAGAGAAAAGGTCTTCTATATCTTCTATATTCAGACTGGATGGAGTATTTTCCAAGAACTCTGAAATATTATAGACATAATATTTAGTAGTTTGTGAAAAATGCAAATATTGTTTATGTATCAGAGCCGAAATATCTTCATCATAAATACTATGCAAATGGAGTCTCAACACTGGTGCTTTTACAATGACTTGTGGAAAAGTGGATTTCTCCAAATGAGCTGAAACGGCTAATGTAAATCTCTTGTCAGTGAAGGATAGTGTCAGGCAATCAAATCAAATTCATTAACCTTAATTAGAATTCTATGATTTATTTATTAAACATATATGAAGAAATGCCAAGGCCCCTGAACATAAAAAATGCCTAAGAAATAGTTACTGACTTAAAGAACTTTGTCTTGTGTGAAAAAATAAAAATAAATCATTATAATACAGTAAGATAAACATTGTTATACAGATAGAACAAAGTGCCAGGGAATATAGAGAGGAAGTAACTATCTCTATGTGGGGGATATGGTGGGGAGAATCCAAAAGGAGAACCAAGGTTTCACAATTGAAATATCATATAAACTGAGTATTGAAAGGTAAATTAAGGATGGGTAGGGAGGAACAGAGGAGGGCAATCTATTCGAACAGTGAAACTAATGAAATAGTATATGGAAAGGAATGAAAGAGTGAACAAATATGAAGGAATGAATGAAGATGGCAAAATAAAGGAAAATAGTCTTTAAGGTCTGTACCTGGAGAGTGTTTATATAATCTGAGAGTTGAATGGAGCCTCAGAGCTCTTCTAGACTAATCTCCTAAATTTACGAATGAGGAAACTGAGTAACTTACACAGATAAAGAGACCTGAAATGTTTTCACTACATTAAATGATACTTACTGATAACTTCTTCTTTGCTGTCTGACTCTTGTGTTAAAATAACTTCTCTGTAAAAGGGAATCAAATCAATTTGAGTTAAATATTAACAGAGCACCCTGAGAAAAGAGGAAAAAAAATCTAACCAACCAGATACTTACTTTGCATTAACAAGGATAATTAACATTAAGAAATAAATAAAAAATGGATCTGCTTGTTGTAGATATCCATCCCATATTGCCTGAGTGACTTCAGTGGAACAGTAACATGCAAAAAGACTTCCAAGCTGTAATCAGGAAATGAAATGAGAGACATAAACCACTGGAGGTGACTTGTTCTCTTAAAAGTATTAAAGCAAATGAATAAGAAACATTATATCAAATTATCTGCACCTGATATTTAATGCGTACCTTAATCTTAGTGTATGAAATCCAAAGGCAAAACATGTGAATTCAAGGGACAATGGAGCCACATATTAACTGTGTGACTTAGGACATGTCAACCTCTTTAAAGCTTCCATTTTTACTTCTGTAAAAAAGAGGAATAATGCTACCCATCTTCTACTATTATTGTGAAAAGAATACCTAAAGTAACTAGCACATATCTTTGCCATAGCATAACTAGCATAATTATGGTCTGAGCTCCATAAGAGTAACTAAAATAATTACAATATAATAACAGCACAGTATTTAAATTACAAGGTAATTGTGAGGATCAAACGTGGTAATTTAAGAGCAGCTAATAAAACTTTAATCATAATATAAATATGAATTGCTCCCAAAGCTCACTTGTACATCACTTGAAAGAGATTAGGCCGGGCGCAGTGGCTCACACCTGTAAACCCAACACTTTAGGAGGCCAAGGTGGGTGGATCACCTGAGGTCAGGAGTTTGAGACCAACCTGGCCAACATAGTGAAACCCCGTCTCTACTAAAAATACAAAAATTAGCCAGGCATGATGGCACGTGTCTGTAGTCCCAGCTACTTGGGAGGCTGAGGCAGGAGAATCACTTGAACCTGGGAGGCAGAGGTTGCAGTGAGAAGAGATCTCACCACTGCACTCCAGCCTGGGTGACAGAGTGAGACTCTGTCTCAAAAAAAAAAAAATAAACACAAAAAAAAATAAATAACATTCATATCCTTCAATAAATTTCAGGAGCTAAGAGTTGTTAATTTATAAGCAACTCTACAGCCCAACTGTGTTTTAAGTTGCATGAAGTAATATTTTTAGATCATTCAACTTTCATTAGATACAGAAATAATTCCATCTACAAGTTTAAATTTAAAAAATTTTTAACAGCTAAAGAGAATTAACGGGAACACATATATTTAGTGCACTCTTTGTGCAATACTAAGCTAATACTAAACTATTATCACATACCATTAAAAATATCTCTTACTTAAATTCTCACAACAGGTGTGCAATACTAAGCTAATACTAAACTATTATCACGTATCATTAAAAATATCTCTGATTTAAATTCTCAAAACAGGCCTGGAAAGTAAACACATTTCTCCCCATTTTACAGGTGAGAAAGTAGATTTCAATTACTCCCCATTTTTTTCAGGCGAGGAACTTGGATTACTTTACTTTCTCAAGCTCACAGAGCTAGTGAGTGGTGTTGGGAACAGAAAAAAGCCTGAGATTCCACAGCCCATGTAATTGCCATCACACTTGACCACAAGGCTTTTAAAATACATAATGCTACTAATGTTTTTTGTGGTTGCTTTAAAAATTACGATTACAAACACAGATTAGAAGAGGTACATACAAACAGAATAGCAATACACAGTCATCTTTAAGCTCACTTAGCTCAACGAAAGTTACCACTGCATTGCTCACAGTGGTTTAGGAATTACTTTTTAATTGTTTCATCTCATGATACTTAAAAAACTCTATTTCATCAACATGATACTAGTAGCAAGAGTAAACTATCTGAGGCCAGGCACAGTGGCTCACGCCTGTAATCCCAGCACTTTGGGAGGCCGAGGCGGGTGGATCACGAGGTCAGGAGATCGAGACCATCCTGGCTAACATGGTGAAATCCCATCTCTAATAAAAATACAAAAAATTAGCCGGGTGTGGTGGCGGGCGCCTGCAGTGCCAACTACTCGGGAGGCTGAGGCAGAAGAATGGCGTGAACCCAGGAGGCGGAGCTTGCAGTGAGCCAAGATCATGCCACTGCACTCCAGTCTGGGTGAAAGAGACTCCGTCTCACAAAATAAATAAATAAATAAATAAGTAAACAAACAAACAAACAAACAAACTATCTGGCATATCAGCTGAAGAGAAACCACTCAGTTTAAACCTCCAGCTATCAGCACGAATTCAGAGCTCTGGCATCAGAAATGGCATTTCCTAGGCAGAGAGACCTCTATTATTAAAATGCCTAAGAAAAATAGTTTACTACCTTAACATAAATAGGTAGATTCAGTGGCAACATATGAATCTCAGAGAAGCTACAGTTTTGACAAGACTAGGCTTGGCTCACACCTGTAATCCCTGCACTTTGGGAGGCCTGCGTGAGAGGATTGCTTGAGCCCAGGAGATTGAGACCAGCTCAGGCAATATGGTGAGACCTTGACTCTACAAAAAAATTAAAACATTAGCCAAGTGTGGTGGTGCATGCCTGTGGTCCCAGCTACTCAGGAGGCTGAGGTGGGAGAATCACTTGAGCCCAGGAGGTGGAGCTTGCAGTGAGCCAAGACTGTGCCACTGCACTGCAGCCTGAGAGACCAGAGCAAGACCTCGTCTCAAAAACAAAAACAAAAAACTGACAAGACTGTGGCCAAGAGGGAATTAAAGAACAGGTTACTGAGGTTTGAGATTTAATGAGCCCAGAAGTGAAACCAGTTAGAATTCTCCAATTACCCATTTCCTGATTGTTAACTCATCCTATCATCCTCTGAAGTAGGTACAGTACTATTATTTCCACTTTGCAGATGAGGAATTGAAGCTCAGAGGCTGTCTTAGATCACACAGTTAATAATGGGAAGAAATGGGATTCTTCCTGAAGAAAAGTTAAGTAATACATAATAAAAGGATATGAACATATAGTCTCCTAGGACCCAATCATTGTTTTAGAAAGATCTCAAGTTAACCAGAAGAGCAGCAGTTAACCAGAAGTGTGGTCTGGGGACCTCGTAGAAGTCCCCAGGATTCTTTACAAAGGATCTGTAAGGTCAAAACTATTGTTACACAAATATGTAGAATTTACCTGCCTTTTGCATATATATTCCCTCGAAAATGAACAATAGAATTTTCCAACGCCTACATGATATGTGATATTATCACAGATTGAAATAAGGGCCAGGTGTGGTGGCTCAGGCCTGTAATCCCAGCACTTTGGGAGGCTGAAGTGAGCAGATCACCTGAGGTTAGGAGTTCGAGACCAGCCTGGCCATCGTGGTGAAACCCCGTCTTTACTAAAATTACAAAATTAGCCGGGCATGGTGGCCGGCACCTGTAATCCAAGCTACTTGGGAGGCTGAGGCAGAAGAATCGCTTAACCTGGGAGCCACGGCACTCCAGCCTAGGCGACAAGAGTGAAACTCCATCTCAAAAAAAAAAAAAAAGAAAAAAAAAAGCAGATATGATAATCCATCTTTGATGTAGCCAAACATTAATGAGATTTGCAAAAACATAAAACAATGCCACTACTCTAATTTTCTTTTGGAAAATAGTTGTTTATTTTAAAATAGGCTACTTATATCAACATGTAATAAATTTATAATTACTTTTAAATAAATTAATAAACATTTAAAATTCCTTAATTTTTTTTTTTTTTTTGAGACAGAGTCTCACTCTGTTGCCCAGGCTGGAGTGCAGTGGTGCAATCTCGGCTCACTGCAACCTCCGCCTCCCAGGTTCAAGTGATTTCTCCTGCCTCAGCCTCCCAAGTAGCTGGGATTACAGGTACACGCCACCACACCCGACTAATTTTTGTATTTTTAGTAGAGACAAGTTTCGCCATGTTGGCCAGGCTTGTATCAAACTTCTGACATCAAGTGATCCACCTTCCTTAGCCTCCCAAAGTGCTGGGATTGCAGGCGTGAGCCACTGCGCCTAGTCTAGTTTTAACAACTTCTCAATATAATCCATATGGATCATCAACAAATTTTAAGAGTGTAAAGGGTCCTGACACCAAAAGGTTTAAGGACCACTGACCTAAAGTAAGACTTCCCATTGAAAATAAAATACAGAATGATAGAGCACAGCGTTATACTTTATATTCTTTTATATTAACCATTTGATAACCTTAAGTCATTTTCCTTGTGACTGTATACCAATTCTTATACACACCATCAACAATTTAAACAAAGTTCTCAATTGAACTGATATATGTATCATATATTACATGTACATATTCATATTTATTACATATATGTAAATATGAGTTGTAATATTTATTTGTAATTAGTTGTAAATAGTTACATTTACACATACATGTAAAACAATAAAAGTGAACTTCATATCAAATAAGCTGAACTAACATGAGTGAAGGGCAAAAAAAGTTATTTTGAAATGCCAATAATTTTACCCCTTTGGTTTAAACAGTAATGATCTATAATTAGGACTTTTCTTTCTCTTCCTTGAAAAAAAAAACCCACCTAACTATAGCTTTACATAAATCTATTTTTCATTAAATGTTCCTACTTTCACTTTATTACCCAGTTGAGTGCATAGGAGTCTGGAGTAATTTTCTTTGTATCAAGATAAGAACAAAGCTCAGGCTCATGGTATTGGATGAGCAACCTGAAGAGATGAAATGGTCTCCCTTTCTGGGAACAATCCCTAGAAGACAAGAGAAGCAAAATTTTTTTGCATTAACAGATCAGAAATAATCACATCAGTAACCAATCTTCCTGCTATACCCTCCACAGCATTCACTGGAAGCCTACCTGACAGTAGCAGGCAGAGGTCTCTTGCTAATACCTTTTTCAATGTCCCTGACTTGACAAAAGTTGCAGAAACAGTAGGTCTAAAGCCACTCTAGGGACATTCTCACAGGTGAACCCAGGCAGCACTCCAGTGAGAGAACTACAGGGATCACTGAAAACAAATTTAGGTTATTTTGATAAGGCTGAGATCCCAAAAGGAGATCTGGGGAGTCCTTCCTTCTCTGCCAAAAAAGAGGAACTTCTAGAAACTAGGCTTCAGGTTAGCTCCACAGTTTATATACTCAATCAGGAATGTCCTTTAGCAAAGTACAAGTCTGAAATGGGCAGGTGAACATTTCAGAAATAATGGCCTTAAAAACTGTTGAAGCGGCCCAAGTACCAACTCCTCAGAGCAAATTCCAGAAGGTGCCAAAATACTCATCTTGTTCAATAACTGTCCTACTTCTAAGGGTTATTGTGAGAGCAAAATGGAAAAATTGGATCTGAATGTTGTTTTAAAGTAAAAGGCACCAAACATGTACATTAACATTTTTATCTAAAGGCTTTTTAAAAACAAATATTACCTTTTCCTGTCAGAGACTTCAAAAGTAGAAAGAAGGTACTCTACTTATTACCTGGGTGGTGAAATAATCTGTACACCAAACCCCCGTAACACACAATTTATTTATATAACAAACCTGCACACGTACCCCTAAACCTAGAATAAAAGTTAGAAATAATTACAAAGCACCTACAGATGCATTTTGGGCCATGGATTTCCTACAGTTTCTAGTCATCATCTCAGGAAGCATCTCAGCCTGCTCAGCTCTAAGAAGATTCCTCTGCCACGGGTCACAGCAGCCACTCACAGTCTTGATCTGAAAAGTACTGTCCCTCTACCCAGGCACCCAAGCATCTGAGCCCAGAGATAACAAACCCTTGGAGCAGTTCCAGATGTGGTCCATGAACTAGACTCACTCCTCAGGAAGTATAGTTACTTCCTCTTTCCATGCTCAGTCCCTGATCTCAAATTCAGAAGCATTATCTTCTAACTCCCACATACACAGCACTCTTAGAAAACCTTTCGAGCCCAGAGGATTTGTTAGATACTATTATGTTCACATTAGTTCATTTTCTTGTGTCCATGTTTGTGATAACTCAAACAGAATACTTCATGGAAAAAAACTCTTAAAAGATACCAGATATTTGGTAGTGGATCTTACTGGATATAGGGAGATAATTACATGTTTTTTGGGTTTTTTTTGTTTTGTTTTTTTAAGACAGGGTCTAGCTCTGTCACTCAGGTTGGAGTGCAATGGCGTGATCTCGGCTCACTGCAACCTCTTTGCGTCCTGGGCTCAAACCACCCTCCCACCTCAGCCTCCCAAGCAGCTGGGACTACAGGTACATCCACCATGCCCAGGCGATTTTTGTATTTTTGGTAGAGACAGGGTTTCTTCATGTTGCCCAGGCTGGTCTCGAACTCCTGGGCTCAAGCGATCCTCCCTCCTCGGCCTCCCAAATTGCTGGGATTACAGGCATGAGCCACCATGCCGGGCCAGAGGTAGTTACTTTTTAACCCGTACAGTTAAAAACAAAAAGCAATACTGAAAACACAGTTAATTCCAGACAGTTTGGTTAAAGTATGGTGTTACTGTTAACAAGATGCTGACTAACTCAATCTTCAGTTAGACCAGTAGGCTTCACTAATTCCTCAATTCTATAAATTTACTCCATTCAGCTTTTGTACTGAGATACATTCTACTATTACAAGGGAAGGAGGCAAGAATGTATCTAATGAATCAGCAAAAACTTATAAACAGGTCAAAGCACAGGCCATCATAATAAAAGTCAACTATTTATTGAGGAAATACCATGTGCCAGACAATGTAATAAGCATTTTACAAAGTTATTTCATTTTATCTTACATTTTATCAAACAATCCTATGAAATATATACCCAATTTACAGATGGGAAAACTGAGGCTCAACTAAAGTCAGGTAGCTCACTGAAGGTAAAATAGCCAAGAAGTGATGGAGCTAAGACTTGTATACAGAAACTGGACCTTAAGTCATTATGCCATACTGCCCCCTTCCATATCTAACTCAATATTTCAACAAGTGGTATTTTTGTAGGGGTCCCATCTCTAAAAAAGCAAACTGTAAAGAAAATGAAGTAAAAAGCCTCATGTAAAAAAGTCAATGAAATGAATGACAGTTTTTTTTAATTTTTTAATTTTTTTTTTTTTTAGACAGGGTCTCACTGTTGCCCAGGCTGGAGTGTAGTGGCAGGATCATGGCTCACTTCAGCCTCGACCTCCCTGGGCTCAGGTGATCCTCCCCACTTAGCCTCCTGAGTAGCTGGGACTACAGATGCATGCCCTCATGCCTGGCTAATTAAAAAAATTTTTTTTGTAGGATCAGGGTCTCACTATGTTGCCTCGGCTGGTCTCAAACTCCTGGGGTCAAGTGATCTGCCTGCCCTGGCCTCCCAAAGTGGCTGGGATTACAGGTGTGAGTCACTGCACCTGGCCTCACAGTTTTAACATGACAGCATTAATAAGGAGTGTTTTAAGCAGGGCAGAGTGGCATGTACGTGTAGTCCCAGCTACTCAGGAGGCTGAGGAGGGAGGATCACTTGAGACCAGGTTTTCAAGACCAGCCTAGACAACATAGTAAGATCTTGTTATCAAAAAAGAAAAAAAAATGTTTTACAATGTAATTTAAAGGGAAAAATAAAAATAATTTCTAAAATCTAAGATGTGAGGTCAATGTCAGGATTTGTATGACTCTCAATCTATCACTTTTTGATACTGCAGGTGGAAGGAAGTTTTATAGAAAAGGCCCCAGGTTGGCAATTGAGATGCCCAGACACAGAACTAGATTCATACTGGTATGACTACCTCCTCCTTAGTCTTAATACTTACCCTACTGTATAAATGCAAGGCAAAAGAATGCTAAGGCAGAACACACAGTGAGTAGAGGCATACACTATAGAAACAATTGCCTAGTTCATGATCTCATCTTCCAAAAAAGTGGGGCATCTCTGAGAGTCAGCCACTGCAACAGCAATTATTCATTTAACAACTGTATACTGCAGTGTTGCTCTCAAGTACAAGGCACTGTGCTTGACGGGATTCTGCCATCTTATATGTGAAACTGTAATAAGACATGCTAGTGGTAAAACCCAGTCTCTACCAAAAATACAAAAATTAGCCTGGTGATAGTGGCATGTACCTTTAAACCCAGCTACTTGGGAGGCTGAAGCAGGAGAATCGCTTGAGCTTAAGAGATGGAGGTGGCAGTGAGCCGAGATCAAGCAACTCCACTCTAGTCTGGGTGACAGAGTGAGACCCTGTCTCAAAAAAAGAAGAGAAAAAGGCTGGGCGCGGTAGCTTGCACCTGTAATCTCAGCACTTTGGGAGGCCGAAGGGGGCGGATCACTTGAGGTCAGAAGTTTGAGACCAGTTTGGCCAATGGTAAAACCCCATCTCTACTAAAAATACAAAAATTCGCCGGGTGTGGTGGCACACGCCTGTGATTCCAGCTACTCGGGGGCTGAAGCAGGAGAATCGCTTGAATCTGGGAGGCGGAGGTTGCACTGAGCCAAGATCATGCCATTGCACGCCAGCCTGGCAACAGAGCGAGACTCTGTCTAAATGAATAAATAAATAATTAAAAAGAAGAAGATATGTTAGGGTGGGAGTGGTGGCTCACGCCTGTAATCCCAACACTTTGGGAGGTCGAGTTGGGCGGATCCCTTGAGGTCAGAAGTTCAAGACCAGCCTGACCAATGGTGAAACCCCATCTCTACTAAAAACACAAAAATTAGCCAGGTATGGTCGCACATGCCTGTGATTCCAGCTACTCAGGAGGCTGAGGTATGAGAATCACTTGAATCCAGGAGGCAGAGATTGCAGTGGGCTGAGACTGTGCCACTGCACTCCAGCTTGGATGACAAAGTGAGACTCTGTCTCAAAAAAAAAAAAAAGAAGATATGTTAAAATGGAGTTCCAGCAGCATTCTGTGGGGCTCGGGGTTCCTTCCAGGGCTATTAATGCTGGCCCTGGCTGGAGGGCTGTTCCATATGGAAGTCATGGAAGCAATAACTAGAGAAACCTGACAACACAGTATGTTACAAAGCATAATGCAAAAGTCTTTCCCCACTGTTCCTAACTACCATCACCACCATTCTCCAGAGGCAAAGCTGGGACATCTTATCTCTTGCTATTGCTAGCTGTTAGAGCAAGAGGTGGCCATGAGAAGTGCTAAAATATAGGCAGTTGAGAGACCTAGTACAACAAAATGACTCCTAAATATGAATTCAAGTCTTGGCTCTGCCATGACCTTAGCCTTGTTTTCTGGTATCTTTAAGTCTGTTTTCCTTACATAAAGCAGTATGGCTTCAAGGTAGCACAGAGGTTCTCCATCCTGGTGCATATCAGAATCACCTGGAGAGATTTAAAAATATCTATACCTATGCTCTTTGCAGTCCACTTATATCTGAAACTCTAAAGGCTTACTGTGGAAAAAATAGGAGTGCAAAAGATTTATTGGAAAAAAAAAAACAAAACTCTAGGGACCAGTATGTTTTAAAAGTACTTTGGGTAAAGAGTCATTTCTCCAAAGAAGAAATATAAATTGCCAATAAACACATAAAAAGATGCTCAACATCATTAGCCATTAGGGAAATGCAAGTCAACAACCATAATGAGGTATCATTTCACACTCACTAGGATGGGCTATAATCAAAAAGACAAATGTTGACAAGGATGTGAAGAAACTGGGATCTCCACTGACTGTTGGTGAGAACATATGATGCAGCTGCTATGGAAAAATCCGGCAATTCCAGAAAAGGTTAAACATAATTACCATATGGTCCAGCAATTCCCCTTGTAGGCACATATCCCAGAAATGAAAATACACATCTACACAAAAACTTGTATATGAACGTTCACAGCTTCATACTCATAATAGTAAAAAAGTGAAAACAATCCAAATATCCATCAACTGATGAATAGGTAAATAAAATGCGGTATACGCATACAATAAAAAATTTGGCAAAAAAAGAAATGAAATAAGATATATGATACAATATGAACCTAGAAAACATAATGCTAAACATTAAAGGCAGTCACAAAAACATATAAGGTATGATTCCTTATATACAGAATCATACCAATCATTCCCCCCATTTTGGGGGAAAATGGAGAGTTGACCACTAACGGGAAGGGGATTTCTTGTTGGGGTGATAAAATGTTCTAAAATTGGTTGTGGTTATGGCTGTACAACTCTGTGACTATAATTAAAACCAGTGAATTGTACACATTAAAATGGTGAATTTTATGGAATATAAATTATATCTCAATAAAGTCGTTATTTAAAAAAAGAAAAAGTGCTTCAGTTGATTCTAACAAGCAACCAGGGTAGAGAACCATACAAAACACTTATACCTCATACAGTGTGGTATCACTTAGAAAGTAGTAAAAAATAAGAGTCAGTTAACTATCAAGGTCCAGATTAGCGGTTCTCCACCTTGGCTACACGCTGAAATTAATTAGTAAGCTCTAAACAAACTGATGCCTAGGTCCCATCACCAAGAGATTTTCATTTAATTACTCATGTATGCAAATAGTCATTAGGATTTTTAAGAGCTCCCCCAATAGTTCTAATGTGCATTCAAGGTTGTACAGCCAAGCCACTAGTCTAGACTATGTCTAAAGTTTCTTTTGGTACTAAAATTCTAACTATCTGATCTATTGCACTGGGAACTACAACAATTCTTTCTGGCCTCATGAGTGCTGCCCACCACCACGACCCCCACTACAACCCCCATCACAACCACCTGCACATCTGTCTGGTCTCAAATGCCACTTACCATGGGAAAGCCATCCCTGACCTCCAAGGTAAGTTAGGTTGCCCCCATTATACATCCCCATAGCACTCTATATTTCACCTTTCTAACATTCAGCACACTTCAATTTACTTGTTCAATGCCTATATTTCTAGGACTTCCTTCCAAGCTCAATAAGGTAACACCCCAGAAATTTTACTTTTCACCTGAACACTGTAATATTTTATAGGCAAATAAATTAAAATAGGGATACCACCAAATAAACTGGAAGAATTATATATATAAACTCTAGAAATTTTTAATTTTTAAATTATTTTTTAAAAATAAATTTCTGTGCATTATACAACACGTTATAAAAAACACATACATAGTAAAATGGTTACTATTGTGGAACAAAATAATGCACCTATCATCTCATATTCCCAATTTCCCCTCTGTGGCAAAAGCAGCTATAATCTACTTATTTAGCAAAAATCTTCAATATAATAGACTATTATTAACTAGAGTCCCCACATTGCATATTAGGTCTTTCGACTTGTTCATCACACCTATTTGCTATTTTGTATCCTTTTGACCTAAATCTCCCCACTTCCTCCCCAACTCCAACCCCAGTATAACCACTGTTTCAGAAGTATACATTTTTAACTAAAGAATCTTTTAAAAAATGTTTATAACCACAAAAATAAAATAACAATTATGGATCAAACAATCCTCAAAATTATTTGAACCTTTTACTTTACCGCCAAAGTAAATCTAGCAACTTTAGCTCAAAGCAAACCAGGCCTGTATTCACTTTTAAAAACTACAATAACTGAATCATATTTTACCTGGGAATGTACTTATTCATTATGGCATAAAAGCAGTTGTATAAATCGCTGCGTGGCAGTTGAAGATGCACCAATGGTTTCAGTAGATGTATCCAGCTAAGGGATGTGCTATATTTAATGTTACGTGATTTACAATAAAAGGTAATTACAGATTCAATATCCAAAAGTAATTCTGCTGCCTTCTCCTCTGGCACTGAAAGCTGGTCTAGAAAATAAATGTTAAAAATAAAGTTACTGAGGGCCTGTCAGGGGCTGTTATTGGACATAACACTTGTTTACAAATATATAATACTATGTTAGTGCATTTAGAGAAAGACAAAGTGAAACTACATGAAAGTATATTTTCCCTTATACTTATTTTAACAATCATTGGTTCACAGATCCAAAACCCAAGGAAAACACACAGTCAAAACGCTTTATAACAGCCTTTTTTTTTTTTGAGACGGAGTTTAGCTTGTCACCCAGGCTGGAGTGCAATGGCACGGTCTTGGCTCACTGCAACCTCCACCTCCCGATTTCAAGTGATTCTTCTGCCTTAGCCTCCCGAGTAGCCAGGATTACAGGCAAGCACCACCACACCCAACTAAATTTTTGTACTTTTAGTAGAGACAGGGTTTCACCATGTTGGCCAGGCTGGTCTCGAACTCCTGACCTCAGGTGATCTGCCTGCCTCGGCCTCCCAAAGTGCTGGGATTATAGGCATGGGCCACTGTGCCTGGCCTTCTAACAGTCTTTTAACTTTAAGACAGTTTAAAGAAAATTTAAAGAAAATTAAGAATAACAGTTTCACTTAAGCATGTTTTCTTACCTAGTCTGTTGAGAGAGAAGGGAAAGAAACAGAAGACTTCTATACATTCAGTATTTACTAAACATTAGCACTTAGTAATACCTGATCTATATATATGTCAAACATAAGAATGGCCAATCTGAATTAAAGGGATAGGTAAAGATAGGCATAGCCCATATTCCTGGGAAGCAAAAGGGTTTTCTAAACAGATTATCACCTACTCCATGATGGGCAGTTGTTGCTATAATTTTGGCAAGAAGAGGGAAAGGAATTCATTCTCCACTATCAAATTCTTTCTTTTGTCCACACCAGCAATAATGTTTCTGCTGTGCTTACCACACATAGGCCTATCAAGCTAATAATTTAACTAAAATATGATGGAAAGAGAAACAAAAATACAATGCACTAGAGATGAATTTAAAAGAAGTATAAACTAAATTCATCCACATTGTGAAATGAAATAGATGTTGTGGGGTGACTGGAAACCTATTCAATCACAATTTATAGTAGTTTCTCTACAGCAGTCCACAAACTATGATTTATAGATAAACTTTTGGAACAAAGCTCCCCTTTGAGGGCTGCATACAATCATATAGATCTTTAATTATATAAAAATCAAATTTAAGACTACAACAAACCCATAAATGTACATGAAAAATCTAACATATAATGCAAAAGAAACAGTAAAAACTAGGTTATCTTTTTTGTTTCTTTGAGATAGAGTCTCACTCTGTGCCCAGGCTGGAGTGCAGTGGTGTGATCTCAGGTCACTGCAACCTTTGCCTCCTGTGTTCAAGCAGTTCTCCTGCCTCAGCCTCCCAAGTAGCTGGGACTACAGGCGCCCACCACCACACCTGGCTAATTTTTGTATTTTTTAGTAGAGACAGGGTTTTGCCATGTTGGCCAGGCTGGTCTTGAACTCTTGACCTCAAGTGATCTGTCTGCCTTGGCCTCCCAAAGTGCTGGGATTCAGGTGTGAGTCACTGCACCCAGTCAAAACTAGGCTCCCTTAAAATTAATAGACAATATTTCATAAGAATTTCCAAAGAAAAGTTCTAAAGCTATTTACAAGCCTTTTACAAATTCTGAAATTATAAGATTATTCTGAAGAGTGATTCCTCAACCCAAAAATTATTTCCAAAATTTAACTCTGCTTGAAAGTGATTATTCAGCTTACCAATAAACTGCAGGCAATCTTTGTGAATAGTGTTCTGTTCTGGCAAGTCTAAAATACCATCCCATGATGCCAAACTATCACCTTTTCCTGCAACATTCAGAGCAATCTGGAAGAAAGATTTAAAAAGTGACTAGCTTCATATGTTATTCCTCATTCTTGGAAAATATGCTGTAATAATTAAAGGCCTGAATTTAAAAATAATAACAAAGATTACAATTAAGGTATCCATACTCCACCAAATGTTGAGTATTTAGTCATGTCACAACCAGCAGAATTATTTTAAGTCCTCCTACATTAGATATTTCTTCATGTTGATTTAGTGAATACAATAAATTACCCAAAATATTTATATATTTAGATATGTAAATTTACACAATCAATTTTTTTAATGTAAAAACAACAGAATGTACTGGCAAAGAAAAAGTACATCTGTGCCATGTACATTTTAAAATTATACAAAAGAATACTTAATAAATTGAGCAAATGTTTTCACTGTTTTGTAAGGTTTTTTTTAAAATGTAAAATAAACTGTATTGATTTAAAGAATCTTAAGTGACATATCCAAATGCAACAGGTAGACCTACTAGAATTCAAATTTAAACAAATCACCCATAAAAACACATGTATGAGACAACTGAAGAAATTATTTTATGATATTAAGGAATTACCAGTCTTTTTTATTTTTTGAGACTGAGTTTCGCTCTCTTGCTCAGGCTGGAGCATAGTGGCACGATCTCGGCTCAATGCAACCTCTCCGCCTCCCGGGTTCAAGTGATTCTCCTGCCTCAGCCTCCCAAGTAGCTGATACTACAGGCACCCACCACCACGCCCAGCTAATTTTTGTATTTTTAGTAGAGATGGGGATTCACCATGTTGGCCAGGCTGGTCTCAAACTCCTAACCTCAGGTGATCCACCTGCCTCAACTTCCCAAAGTGCTGGGATTACAGGTGTGAGCCACTGTACCCAGCCAGGAATTACCATTCTTTTAAACGTTTCAGACTTTTAGTATGCTAGCAAGGATTTGCTTTAAAACAATCCAGTGAGTTGGGTGGGGAGGAAAGGATGAGGATACTAATCAAACAACACTGGCTAAATGTTGATACCAGTTAAAGCTGGGTTATGGGCACATGGGAGTTCATTATACAAGTTCTACACTTTTGCATGTGCTTAAACTTCTATAATAAAATGCTCAGAATGCTGTGTACAGTTTTAATTCCATTTCTGTTACATATGTGCATAGGGCAAAAAGGTAAAAAGGTAAGCACCAAGACCTCATCTGTTTTACCTATAGGTGGTAGGTAACAGATTTTTATTTTATCCTTTGTGGTTGTTATGCTGTATATATTTCCACAAATATATGTATTTCTTTTGTAATCATAACAATGCCTTAATTCAAAATTTTAAAAAATAATAATACACATGAACTGTAGAATAGCTGAATAGAGGAAAACAAAGGGAAAATCTCCTATAACCCAACAGCCAGAGGCATACTTCCTTTTTTATTTTTAACATTGTTATGATCATTCTGTATCTGCAAATATACATCCTATTTTACTCACTGATTGTATCTTGTTTCAAGAAAATTTTCATAAACACCATTTCTTTTTGTTTTTTTTTTGAGATGGAGTCTCACTTTGTCACTCAGGCTGGAGTGCAGTGGCGCTATCTCGGCTCACTGTAGCCTCGCCTCCTGGGTTCAAGCGATTCTCTTGCCTCGGCCTCTTGGTAGAGATGGGGTCTCACCATGTTGGCCAGGCGGGTCTTGAACTCCTGACCTCAGGTGATCTGCCTGCCTCAGCCTCCCAAAGTGTTGGGATTATAGGCATGAGCCATTGTGCCTGGCCCCATAAACACCATTTCTAATGGCTACAAAAGCATATATTACATTCCAAAATCTAAGCCATTATTGTTAAATATACCAAACACTACAGAAACAAACATTTTAATAAGCTGCTGTTTGATAAATCTAGATGCGGCATGCTCATAAGGTAATAAAGTTTTCTGCAACTAAGACATCTGAAGCAACAAACTTTTAAAAATATTATTCTTCAGTGATTACATTTTATTCATTTTAGTTTCTAGTTACCTTCCAAACTTTGGCCCTCAGATCAGCAGGCAGCGGTCTTCCTTGAATTATATTTCTCAACGTTTCAAGATCACAACCTCCTGCTTCCAGAGCTTCTTCAAGATCTTTTTCCCTAAAAAATAAGTCCTATTTATTAAAATGAACTTTATCTCATACTTTTTCTTATTCAAGATTCATTTATAAGCATGGCCTATTAAAGGCTTGTCTAAGAAACAAAAGTTCTCAGCAACCAAAATGTAATGCCAAGGTATACACAGCATGTTTTCTTGTGGGAAATCTCAGGCTTCATACAGTCAATTTACTCTCATTTTACCCTTAGTTTGGTTGTCTTTTCCTAGATTAGAGAAATTTAAAGAGGAGATGGGGCAAGCTGGCTGACAGCACTGTGAAGTCATAGTAATAACAGTATTCCTGGTGGTGGTAATAACTTTACATAGCAACTATGTGTGGGGCACTATTTCAAACATTTTATGTGTTCTTTTTAATCCTCATAACAATCCCTATGAGGTAGGTTACATCACTGACCCCACGTACAGATGCAAAAATGGAGGCAAAGAAGGGTTATAGACATTTAGGGGACAACTGAAGAAATAACTTCATTGGTATTAAAAAGTTACTGTTCTTTTAGGTGTTTACCAGTATTATGGTATAGGGTCACATGTCATATTATGGTCACATGTCATATCAGCAGTAGAGCCAGGATTCAAATTTTAACAGTCTGGTTCCTGAATTCGTGTTCTTAACATTATGCTCAATTCAGCCAAGAATTCAAAACACTGCAGCCTGAGACTATTTAGTAAATGACTACATCAGTATCATGCCTAGAGCAGTGCCTAGCCTACAATAAGTATTAAATAAATGTTAGAGGGAAAAAAGGATCTATTGGTATATTAAAGCAAAAGAATAATATCACATCATCAAGTAAATTACCAAGCAGTTTTGTTCAGTCTACGATGTTTAAGGAGAAAAGTATGAATTTAATTTCATTTGTATAAGGTAAAAATAATTAAAAGAATACTTTTACAAAAGTATACATTGTTTTCTAGCCAGAAAATAACCAGTTAAATTATCAATTCCAGCTGGGCGCAGTGGCTCACGCCTGTAATCCCAGCACTTTGGGAGGCCAAGGTGGGTGGATCACAAGGTCAGGAGTTCAAGACCAGCCTGGCCAAGATGGTGAAACCCCGTCTCTACTAAAAACACAAAAAATTAGCGGGCTGTGGTGGCAGGTCCCTGTAATCCCAGCTACTTGGCAGGCTAAGGCAGACAATTGCTTGAACCCAGGAGGCGGAGGTTGCAGTGAGCCAAGATTATGCTACTGCACCCCAGCCTGGGTGACAGAGCAAGACTCCGTCTCAAAAAAAAAAAAAAAAATCAATCAATTCCTTAGGAATTTTCAAAAACTGAGGTTTCAGTCATTGTTTATGATTTCAGCATACATTAAAAATCTGTACAAATTTTTAAGAGCTTCATAACCTGGACAATCTGTAACATTCTTTGAAGCAGCCTAAAAGGCAGATGATCTCACTAGGATCAGGAAATCAGGATTTCTGTCCCATTTTGGTGGTTCTGAAGAAAATAAATTATTCCCACTCTTCATTTTTTTCACTAAGACAATGAAAACTTCCCCACTGATAGGCATCTAAGAATATTAGTTTAAATGTATAAATTTCATAAAGCGTTGCTCTCCTAAGAGAAAGGAATTAAATGAAAATGTAATCACTTAGGATCATACTCAACAGAAAAGTACTCATCGAATTTGAAAGGTTCCTTGACAAAGCTACTACAAATTCATATGAACAGAAGATAACTAATAACCACACAAGAAACATTTAGTTCTTTTGCTATATGGTCACCAAAGTGTTGGAAGGGAGAGGTAGAGAAAAAGATTTCAAGTCTACTGTTGAGAGTTCAGGCCTATAGCTGATAAAAACTGGGGTTTATCTCTTCTCTTCTGGCCAAAATGTACAAGGCAGGCTGTTAGTAACCATGAAACAAAGAAAATTTAATGGCATCTTTGGTGAATAAATACCATATATTTAAATGGTCAAATGTGTCAAATAATGAGGGACTAAAAACACTACTTACTGGGATGAAATTATTTTACTAGATGAAGAATTAGAATTATTCACTTTTTAGTGCAAAATCCTTTTCTTTTTGAAGTAATTTTGCCAAATCCCCTACTATTCCAGAGAACAAAGCTTGTATTTTGTTGCAAAATGCCCAATCCTCAAAGTACTTTTTAAATCACAATAATGTACAAACACATCTCTGTTGATACAGCTGCTGTTGGAGTCTTTGATGCTGTCTCCAGGGAACCACAAATGTGCTCTCCAGCAGTACAACCATGAGCAAGGGCTCCTTTGAAGACCAGAAAATGCTACACCTTAAGTAGCAAAAGATACTTCTTACAAACCTAAATAATTAAAAGTAACACTATTTTCTGAACAAGGCATCCAAAGGTACAGTTAATAGACCTTCGACAATATAAATGTGCTTATAAAAGTAGTAAAGAGCTGAAAATTGTTAAGGTAAATCATTCATAGAAGGATCAATCAGAGATAAGAATTCTATAGCATTTAGCTCCCAAATAGAATTCCTCTTCCCCTAAACCAAGTTTCTGCTTTTAAACAAGTAATACAATTCTAACATACAAAAGCAAAATCCATGTCTGGTGTGGTATGAGTGGGTGGGCTGTGTTTTGTTCAGTCTTCTTTGATTACCAGCAGCTTCTCACTGACCTTACAAATTAAAGATTGGTACAGTTACACTGGACATCCAGACAAGGTTTTAAAACAGAAAAGTACAGGCTTTGTCCATTTATTCTAGAAAGTACAAAAAATAAGCAAAATTATCTCCTTTGCTCAGAAAGGTCAGGACAGACCAAATCCCATGGTTCTGAGGTGGGAAGGAAGGAGAAACTCACCTCCTCCTGACTCTGTGACTTTGAAACTATTAACGTATGTTGGTATAATACTACAGGTTCCTGTCATGATCTATCAATAGCATTATTTTCCAAACCTAAATAAAACATAACAGAATTTCCCCTCACCTGATGTTGTGTGGTAAAATCACCTAATCTAAGCATTGTAGCCCAAGTTGCTTCAGAATTACAGCGAGGCAAACAATGTCACTGGATTTATATGGAAATAGTTTAATATTTATACTCAAGCTAGCAAATGAATTGGATTTTTCTTCTTTAGCCAAATGGTGAATAACATATGGAAGCATTTGCACAATGTATGGGAGAAGGAAGCATGAATTTTCAAGCACTACCAAATTTAATATGCATTTCCAAATGCTTCTATGATTAACAAATTCGTTATTAGAAATTTTGTAATTTTCTGAATAAACCATATTGAATCATACTAAAATTATGATTTTTAAAAGCAACTGGATTACATATATTGTGTTCCTAAAATTAAAATTATAGGAAATAGGAATTATATATTATATTCCTATAATATATATTATAGGAAATCTCCCACTAGGAAAAAATGACTATATACTAACATTTTTCTAAATTCGGTTTTCCTCCCAACCATGTTCTAAAAATTTATTTTCCCCATCATTTCAAAATTTATGAAAACTGTTTAAATATACACACACTCTCGCCAAACAGGGCATGAAAACAAGAAACGAGACTTAGTTCATCTCCTTTTTTTTTTTTTTTTAACAAGTATCTTTCTGCACTTAAAGAAACCCCATACCCATTAGCAGTCACTCGCCATTCCTCCCCACCAGCACCTCCTACCCTGACCCCAGTCTCTGCCAACCGCTGATTTACTTTCTGTCTCTACATATTTACCTATTCTAGATATTTCATATAACTGGAATCATATAATGTGTGGCCTTTATGCCTGGTTTCATTTAGCATAACATTTCAACATCTATCCATAATGTAGCATGTATCAATATATGCTTTTCATTGCCAAATAATAGTCCATTGTATATGAATATACCATATTTTACTTATCCATCCATTACATAATGGGCTTTTGAGTTGTTTCAACTTTTTGGTTATTATAATTACCTTAATTTTGAACACAAGTATCAGTAGTTCAACTGGTTAAGTGTATGATACATATATATTATTTGTTCATTAATTATTTATTCTTCAAGAGGTCTGAAAGAATTTAAAGATCAAGTCTATTAAAACCTCACTCAAAAACTAAACCCAAACCAGGCCAGGGGCAGTAGCTTATACCTGTAATCCCAGCACTTCTGGTTGGATGGCTTGAGCCCAGGAGTTTGAGACCAGCCTGGGCAACATGGAAAAAACCCATTTCCACAAAAAGTACAAAAATTAGCAAGTTGTAGTGGTATGCAGCTGTAGTCCCAGCTACTCAACAGGCTGAGGCAGGAGGATCAATTGAGCTCAGGAGGCAGAGGCTGCAGTAAGGCCAAGATCATACCACTGCACTCCAGCCTGGGCTACAGAACGAGACCCTGTCTCAAAAAACAGGCTACAGAACAAGACCTTGTCTCAAAAAGCAAACAAACAAAAAAAAAACACAAAATAATAAAACCAAACCAAAGAACCTGTCACACTCATGAGGATGACTACTACTTTCAAAAAACATAGGTTGACAAAGATGTGAACCCTTGTGTACAGTTAGTGGAAATGCAAAATGACGCAGCCACTATGGAAAACGGTATGACAGTTCCACAAAGAATTAAAAATACATGTCTCATACAATTCAGCAATTCCATATCCTGAAATGTCTGAAAGAATTGAAGGCAGAGTCTGAAAGAGACTTTTGTATACACATGTTCACAGCAGCATTATCCACAGTAGCCCAAAGGTGAATGCAACCCAAGTGTCCGTTCACTGAGGGATGAATGAATAAACAAAAAGGGGGGGGGTGTGTACTGTATGCATAGATATATGTAATTAATAAACAAATATTATATATTTATCATATTATATATGTTTATTAATTTATATATGTAATTAATAAGTTAATTACATATTATAGAATATATATTATATATAATATATAATGGACTATTATACAGCCTAAAAAGGGAGGAAATTCTGACACATGCTACGACATAGATGAACCTTGACAACATTACGGTAAGTGAAATAAATCCGTCCCAAAAAGACAAATACTATACAATGCCACTTATGTGAGGTACCTAGAGTAGTAAATTTAGAGAGCGGTTACCAGGGCAGAGGGAGGGGAGAATGAGGAGCTCTTTAACAGATACAAAGTTTCAGTTCTGCAAGATGAAAAGCATTCTAGAGATTATATGCACAACAATGTAAATGTACTCAATACTAATGTACACTGAAAAATGGTCAAGATGGTAAACTTTTTACATTATGTATATTTTACCACAATTTAAAAAAATCAACTCTATTTAACGTATTATAAAAATTCATAAATTTGAGCTTTAGTGTCAGACCTGGGTTTCAATTTTGGCCCTTCAACAGCCATGTGACCTTACAAAAGGAAAAAGCACCACAATGCTTATCTTATAGGGTCAGTTAATGCTTAAATAAGTTTCTGAACACAAAAAATTCAGGGCAATGCTTGGCTACATAATTCCTTAATAAACAGAATCCATGAATACTATTTCTTTTGTTATTGTTACTGAACAACAGCTTACTTTCTTAAAATGAATTTTTAATCATAATCATTTTAAAGAATTTTGCCAATGCATTAAAAAAATTAAAAACCAACCACAATTCCATTACCATGAGATAATCACTTTTTGTGAATCACTTTTCAGTTTCTCATGTGTGTATTTATAGACATATATATAGACATATATTTACATATAGACATCTATATTTATAATAAACTCAATCATACTGAAAATACAATTTTGAATAGTATTCCCTGGGTTTTATTATGGGGTTTTCATAGTTTTTAGGCTTCCATCTTGAGTTGATTTTTGTATATAGTGTAAAGAAGGGATCCAGTTTCAATTTTCTGCATATGGCTATCCAGTTATCCCAGCACCATTTATTAGATAGGGAATCCTTTCCCCATTACTTATGTCAGGTTTATTGAAGATCAGACAGTTGTAGGTGTGCAGTCTTATTTCTGGGTCCTCTGTTCTGTTCCACTGGTCTATGTGTCTGTTCTTGTACCAGTATCCTGCTGTTTTGGTTACTTTAGCCCTGTAGTGTAGTTTGAAGTCAGGTAGCGTGATGCCTTCAGTTTTGTTCTTTTTGCTTAGGATTGCCTAGGCTATTTGGGCTCTTTTTTGGTTCCATACGAATTTTAAAATAGTTTTCTCTAGTTTTGTGAAGAATGTCAATGGTAGTGTAACGAGAATAGCACTGAATCTACAAATTGCTTTTGTGGGGAAAAGAAAGAGAGATCAGATTGTTACTGTGTCTGTGTAGAAAGAAGTAGACATAGGAGACTCCATTTTGTTCTGTACTAAGAAAAATTCTTCTGCCTTGAGATGCTGTTAATCTATAACCTTACCCCCAAGACATGTGCTGTGTCAACTCAGGGTTAAATGGATTAAGGGCTGTGCAAGATGTGCTTTGTTAAACAGATGCTTGAAGGCAGCATGCTCGTTAACAGTCATCACCACTCCCTAATCTCAAGTACCCAGGGACACAAACACTGCGGAAGGCTGCAGGGACCTCTGCCTAGGAAAGCCAGGTATTGTCCAAGGTTTCTCCCCATGTGATAGTCTGAAATATGGCCTCGTGGGCAGGGAAAGACCTGACCGTCCCCTAGCCCGACACCCGTAAAGGGTCTGTGCTGAGGAGGATTAGTACAAGAGGAAGGCATGCCTCTTTGCAGTTGAGACAAGAGGAAGGCATCTGTCTCCTGCCCGTCCCTGGGCAATGGAATGTCTCGGTATAAAACCGATTGTATGTTCCATCTACTGAGATAGGGGAAAACCGCCTTAGGGCTGGAGGTGGGACATGTGGGCAACAATACTGCTCTGTAAGGCATTGAGATGTTTATGTGTATGCATATCTAAAGCACAGCACTTAATTCTTTACCTTGTCTATGATGCAGAGACCTTTGTTCACGTGTTTATCTGCTGACCTTCTCTCCACTATTATCCTATGACCCTGCCACATCCCCCTCTCTGAGAAACACCCAAAAATGATCAATAAATACTAAGGGAACTCAGAGGCTGGCGGGATCCTCCATATGCTGAACGCTGGTTCCCTGGGTCCCCTTATTTTTTTCTCTATACTTTGTCTCTGTGTCTTTTTCTTTTCCAAGTCTCTCGTTCCACCTAACGAGAAACACCCACAGGTGTGGAGGGGCAACCCACCCCTTCAGCTTTGGGCAGTATGGCCATTTTAACAATATTAATTCTTCCTATCCATGAGGATGGAATGTTTTTCCATTTGTTTGTGTCATCTCTGGAGGCCATTATCACTAGCAAACTAAAGGAGGAACAGAAAACGAAATACTGCATGTTCTCAAACATATTACTTCTCTAGCGTATTAAGTAACTGCTACTTAAGAAAGGATACTTTACAGAATCATTAAGTAGGAAACAATGTGGCACATGTACTACTTTATCTGTCTCATTTTAGTTCTCCAATACTGAATATTGGAAGGATAAACAGGCGAAACAAGTTCAACTTATAGCTGACAACAAACTGTATTTTAAAGGTTTACAGTATGATAAACTTGGAAGTAACTTAAAAGATATAAAAACATGTGGCTCAATTTTTGAGTGGAGAAAATAATTAATTTGAGGGAGTAAGTATCCTCCCCATACTCCCTGTGGATGGAGACAAAGGTAAGGGATGGAAGGGTGGCATGGATTCGTTAGAAAAGCCTTCATGTGGCTTCACTTTATGTCCTCTGTCTTGATTCCATGGCCCAAAACTTAAAGCACATTCTTGACAACACCCTTGACTTCTTCACTCCTTGCTCTTTCTGTCACATTCAGAAAGCTGCAAATTCCCAACATTAGGTTAATCTAACCAGTCTGCCTTCTCTGTTCCTATACTCTACTCAATGTGGGCTTCTTGGGAAAATAAGACAACTCTATGATGCTATCATATAACAATAGTGCCTGAAAATCTCCTATTCAGCACTTACTTCAGACTCCTTACCCAGCCACTTTACCTCAGGTGACTTTACTTATGACTCCAGAGAGAATATATAGGCCAGCAGGCTTCTCTTCCCTTTGATCTCAGCCCCCTCCAAAAACAAACAAACATAAGCAACTTATTATTCCAGTCATTTTCTTCTTTCCTGTATCCACAGGAGACTTACGTATCTCTTCTCTAGCCTAAGACTGGTAACTTCACCTGACTCTTATCTCCACCCACTCCCCACGATCTTTCAGAAGCCATGTGCCATCCATTATCCCTTCTCTCCTATTTTCCACTTCTTTCTCTACTGGCTCTTTCTTCTGAGAAAACATGCTCAAAAATTGCCATTAGAAACAGCAATGTCCACCACAAAAACGTCTCCACGTTCTCCCTTTCCATCCAGCTACCAAACTTTTGGTTGTTCCTTTCACAAAGAATTCTTGACAATATATGTAACAACTTTTCCCTCATCTTAAATCTATCTCTTCCCTCTCTTGCCAACCCACTTCCATTTCTCATCCCTCTTTGATCCTCACCACTCCATAGGGACCACTCTCTGTATCATCTCCACCCCCTTTCTTAACCAAATCTAAAACACTTAAGATATTAATAGAATGTTTTCTGGGTTGGAAAAAAAATGTTTTAAATTCATGAAGCCTCTCAGTCTATCAACTAAGCTAAGTCAGCTTCACTAATCTTCAAAATTCTTAAAATTGAATCCTTTTCTGTAATTATAAAAATAATGAAGACTAGCAGTTTTTAAAGGACCAAGTAGGGTCTATAATGTATGTAATCACTCTACACTTAAATGCAGAGTATAGAGAAATTACAAAGAAAATCCAATTACCACATTAAAAAAAATTAATATTGTGTCTTAAAGTGGCCAAAGTCTAAGATTTATTATTGTTTTCTTAAAATAAAAATACAAAAGCTACACTACTGGGAAATCAATAAAAGCCCAAAGCCTGACATGATGTTAAAAAATAACATCTTAAATATGTTATTTCTATTGCATATGATATTATTCAAACCTGTGAGTCTGCTAACAGTATTAAACAGAGCCAAGAGAAAACAAATGAACTCAGAAACCTTCACTGAAAGTACTTCTAGCATTCAAAAATATAACCTGTGATTATCTCCTTTCCTTTAAAATTTTCACATTTACTTACTTAAAGGGTCCTATATATAAATATAACCTACTCCCCATCAAAAAGTCATCTCTCTCCTTCCTTTTACAGTTCAACTTCCTTGAAAACAGTAGTCTCCACTCACCTAAACTTACTCTCTCATTCACCCAAAACCTCTATCACTCTACTAAAGGTGCTCTCAGAAGTCATTAGTCATCTTTCTCAGCTCTCGTCCCCTTTACATACACTGCAAAGTTTGACTGTCTTCTTAAAACACTCTCATTTAGATTTTCCTCTGCTTTCCTAACCCATATACTGAATTATTTCCTTCCCTGACATAAGTATTCTTTTATTCAAACCTTCAACACGTATGTATTGAGCACCTACTACAGGCTACTCACTGTGTGAGGCACAGGGGATGCAGTACAGAAAAAAAAAGTCAATGCTCTTATGTAGCTTACATGCCAGATGGCTATTCCAAGGTTCTAGTCCAAGTCCTATCATCTAAATCCTGTTGAACAGAGGTGGGAGCGGCTCTGAAGTGCAATTTATTCATATTTGTTTAGAATGTAAATCACTGTAAGCTCAGATTAAACCATGACAGCCCAGCTTGTCCATGTACATATCCTAATCAGGTATAAGCCTCTGACCAATTACTTAAAACTCTAAAGTGAATACCTAATTAGTCATAAGCACTAGCAAATTGTGGAACAGTGAGTAAGCAGTGGCAAGCTGCATGTATTGAATTGTGGTTTCATGGCTTAATTTGTGCCACCACATTTCTGGGGGTTTCTTAATGCCCAGGGAATGAGACATCAGCACCAAAGCTTTGTCTGAACTTATTTTGCTACTATTGTTAGGACGCTGGTTACAAAGTACTACCATAACAAAACTCCTTAATTAGTTCTTGAATATTCTGTATGACATTTGGTAGAAATGAAAAGAGAAAACTTTGCTACAGATTCACTTGTACAGTAGATATGCATGGAGCTCAAGGACCACAGTATGTCTTGTGCAACTTATTTTTAAATACCAACCTCAAACCATCAAAACTTTCCAAGTATTTCAATAGTATGATAGCACATTCAGAAAAGACCTTGACAACTTAAAGTCTTGTGAGAACAATTTGATACAATTTGATAATTGTGAAGTTATCTAGATTTGTGTCAGAATCAGACATGCTTGTTACAAGCATTTTAACAAGTTACAAATTTATATGCCAAGGGGAAAAACACCCATTCACCAGCTTTAAACAATTTGTAAAATTTTGCATTAGGACCAGATCCACAAAAACAGCTTTGGGAGATTCCCTTATGAATAATGTAATCTCTAGAATTTGTGTTTTAATCAGGATCTTGAGCCAAGTAAAGACGGTGCTAAATCTAGTCCTCTTGGCTTCACAAGGCAAATTTAATAGCTACAGTATTTCATCATTGTATGCAATAGGCAAAAGGGCTAGAGATCACAGAAATGTTATTCTATAAGCTACTAAAATTAACTACAAATGGAACAGGTGTTTTAAATCTTAGATTTATTTTTGATCCACAATCCATGAAGATCAAATTACACCAATGGTACCAACGGTGCCCTTTTCTCTGCTAAGAAAAAAACTCAGTTGTTGCCTAAGTAAAAAATAAAAAGATACACAAAAAACGTTTCTCATAACTATATGTGTAATGTTGCAATGCATTTGCTATAAGATTTTGACTACAAAATTGGAAATTTCTCTAATGAGCAGTCAACTTCAGCGAGCACTCTAAATCCTTTCTTCTTTCATGTTTTCTTAAAATAAAAATCCTCAACACTGTTCCCTTCTATACATATGAGGTGACTTTTCAGTATTTTTAAGGCACAAAGAAATGCATCCTTGTTTTTCCACCCCACTAATGCAGTTTATTTGGAAACTAAAAACAGAGTGTAACTTTTGCCTAAGATAGAGAATGGCACGAAAACAGCAAAGAGAGAGAGATATTACCTATGTCAATTACAAATTTCCACTTTATCCAAAGTGTAATGATAAAAGAAACATTACCAACATTCCTTGTCTTGAAACTATCATTTCAGAAACATAGTTGTTATAAAGAAACAACTACAGCAAATGAAGTGACAACACTTTGCAACATTTGGACAATTCTCAAGGGTACTATGCCAATGGGGATCATAGTTTGGCAAAGAAATACATATTGGGTTTTTTTTTAAGCTGGATTCCAACCATCAAGGAACATTTTTTTTGATAAAAGGATTTCATTGAATTTCATGCTGATGGTTAATCTAAATGGAATTCACAAAATAAAGGATTTCTAGTATTCAAATTGCACATATATATGAGATGAATAAATCTTTTGCATCACAAAGTGATGCACAGAGGCTTCAAAATAAAGGTTAGAAACTGTTTAAAGGAAAAATAACCCATGGACATCATTATTATTATTATTAGAGACAGAGTCTCACTCTGTCACCAGGCTTGGTGTGCACAGCTCACTGCAGCCTCGATTCATCCCGTTAAAGCAATCCTTCTGCCTCAACCTCCCAAGTAGCTGGGACTACAGGTTTGTGCCACCAAGTCTGGCTAATTTTTTTTATTTTTAGTAAAGACGAGGCCTCACTATGTTGCCCAGGATGGTCTCGAACTCCTGAGCTCAAGCAATCCTCCCACCTTGGCCTCCCCAAGTGATGGGATTATAGGCATGAGCCATCATGCCCAATGCATAACTTTGCTTTCTCATAGAGCTGTTTTAAGATCCAAATGAGATGTTATTAATATATATAAGCATTATATATAAAGAGTAACGCTCTATGCAAATGTACAGTATTTTCTTATATAGGTGGAGCATCCCAAATCCAAGAATCCCAACTCCGAAATGCTCCAAAATCTGAAACTCTTGAGCACCAACATGATACTCACAGGAATGCTCATTGGAGCATTATGGATTTCAGATTTTTGATTAGGGATGCTCAACCGGTTAAGTATAATGCAAGTATTCCAAAGAGATATTCAACCTGTATATCTCCTTGCTGAAATTATTAAATACCACCATAACAACTAGTTTAATGTAACAACTACTTTAAAATAAAAAAGAAGCAAACACTACAAGATTTCCACCCAACTATCAAATGCTATGTCAGCTAAAGGATAAGAAAAAACTCCTTTAAGCATCAAGAAAAAAGATGAAGACTTGCAACAAATGACTTTATTAGTCATCATTTTCTTAACTCAGGTTAAAAAGTTACGCAGACCCTTGAAACAAACAGACATTAAATTTCAGAAAATAGGTTTAAGTGGCTCTTAAATTCTTTATTTCTACAAGAAAGAATTTGATTTTATGAGCTTAATGGAAGGTACTTACCTGCTTTCCATCTGTAATTCTCAATATTTAACTCATTTCAAGCCCTGCCCCTTTTCAAACTGTTTAATCCTATTATTTTCTGTTAGAGCCTGTAATTTCCAAAACACCAGCATTTAGATATCTTCAGAAGCTATTTTCACACAGTATTCCTAGAGATAAAATGATGAAAAAAATCAAAGTATCCCAGGAAGGCACCACAATGCACATTCCTGATTGTAAAACTGTTTCAAATTTTTTTCTAAAACCTTACACAGCAGCTTGAATATAACCACTATTCAGTGAATGTTTGCTGAACTGAGAATGTTTTTGCTAAACTCTATTTTGCTTTTTGACACATGAGAGAAGGCACTGTCTTTATACCAAAAAGAATCCACATTTCAGCACTGTGCATCAGAAATGCTTTGTCAAGCATATTTTCTCAATTCTCTCCAGAAGACTCCTACTTAAAAGTTGGCTGCATATTACAGTATATTTAACTGGGTGCTCTGAATTGCTCACTATACTTACAGAGGGAATGCACTTGTCGCCTCTCTGCAGTGATTACACAGAGATAAAAATGAATTAATTGAAATACATTTATTTAGCATGCAAAAACCAATTACTAACTCAAATTATGGATATTAAAACATCCACAGGAAACAAAATCCTAGAAGTGAATTATTACCTAAGAATTACCTTTAGGCTGGGTGCAGTGGCTCATGCCTGTAGTCCCAACACTGTGGTAGGGTGAGGAGGGTGGATCACCTGAGGTCAGGGGTTTGAGACCGGCCTGGCCAACATGGTGAAACCCCATCTCTACTAAAAATACAAAAATTAGCCGGGCATGGTGGCACATGCCTGTAATCTTAGCTCCTTGAGAGACTGAGGCAGGAGAATCCCTTGGACCCAGGAGGCGGAGGATGCAGTGAACCAAGATCGCACACTGCACTCCAGCCTGGGTGACAGAATGAGACTCCGTCTCAAAAAAAAAAAAATTACCTTTAAAAACTCTAAAATCTAAATTATAATTAAAGACTTTAATGTAAACAGTATAAAATAAGTCTTTTTCATTTCTTATCTTTGCCTGCCCTCTAATTATAGTTTACAAAATCAAATAACTGTCACATCATAACCCCAATTCAAAAAATGAAGTTCATTTTCTCATTTCTTCTAAAAGTAGTATCCAGCCTTCCCAGTTCCACAAGTAGACAATGTCCTTCTTAGACAAACAGTTCCTTTTTCTTTTACATTTAATATATTTCTTTATTGATTATATCATATCTGAAATTTCAATCACTTAGTTCTTAAAAGACATTTTAAGTTTTTTCTCATATTTCAATGCTTATTAAATGGGGAACACTGATAGTACTATTTACAGAGTGCAGAAAACTTTGAAAAATATTATTCTCAAACAATTCCTACTCACATCTCAGATTAACAACAATAGAAGATTCTTTGTGGAATTAATATTTTTACAATTTTAAGAAAAGTTTAGCAATAACTTAAGAAAGGTTTAGCAATAAAAAACCCTAATTAAAAGTTGAATATTAAGTAACATTTTTTAATTAAACAAACTCCCAATTTCAACAGTTATATAATTGAAGTCAATACCAAAATAATTTTTTAATTATGACTATAGATCTTTAGACATTATTTTGGGAAGAAAGTATCGGAAAATGAGAACATATGTTCAAATCCAGTGCTAGTTTCTTCAATACCAAGGAGGGTAATTACCAATCTTTTCACTGTAACAATTTAACATGTTTAATTTTACAAATCCAGATTCTCATAACTTATATTAATTTTTTAAAATTAAATTCAAATCACTTAAAACTAACTATAAGCATTTTTACAAGAATTTCACCACACCCTTTGAGCTTACATGGCTGAATCCCAGGGAGCTTGAAAGCTGAGGCATTTTCTGATTACTTTGGCTTTCCATAAAGAATAAGCATTATACCAACAGACAATTCCACAGCTCACAAAAACACTGGAGTCAGGAAATTTATATGAAATGACAGCTTAGTATGCTATTGCACATAATTACAGGAAAGTTTTCATTCATGCGTACATTCATTCAATAAACATTTACTGAGACACCTGCCTTTTATCAGCCACTGCCCTTGAGAAGTTCATTATCTAAAGAACAATGATAAGTCATGTAATTACACATATTTTAGTATAACATGTAAGGTGATACAATGTGACATATACAAATTCCTCTGACCTACTCATTCTGATATATATATAACCTAGAACCCTGCTAACTTAAGTGTGGTCCATAAACCACCAGAATTGGCAACCCCCAGCAGCTAGTCAGAAACAGAGACTCTCAAGTTCCACCTCAAAATATATTGAATCACAATCACAGTTACCTGGAGAGCATTTTAACAAGCTCCCCAGATAATTCCAATGTACGTTTAAATTTTGAGAAGCAGTGAACTAGAACATAACTGAAAATCAGCAAAAACAATGTCATAGAGTCCACATACTTTTAAGATCTTCAAGGTCCATCCTGAGCCTTTTTAAGAATGTATATACAATTTCAACAAGTTCAATGGCTTAGTTTCACAGACTAGGAACAAATTGAGATACCACTGACAACAAAAAAAGAAAATAGGAAAAACTTATAAAAAGCAATCTCAAAAAGGGATAGCTGTGTCACTTAACATAGCAACAATTTGTCTAGATAGGCCCTAAAAGTCTCACCACATTACAATAACACAAAAGTAATCGATGTTCTCAAACATGCCTCCTGTATCTAGAACATAAATTCCCTGAGGACAGAGACCTAGTTCTATCCTTAAATTACACTTACATTTGTAAACTGAATGACTCAAGTCATTAAGATGAGTTTGAGCTAGGCAGTAAGATATATGATACATTTTAGAAAAAATTCCATCTGACAGAGTTAAAATAAAAACATTTACTCCAAAAAGAAAGAGAGATAAAGAAAGAGAGGGAGGGAGGGGGAGGGGAGAGAAAGACAGAGTAGAACACCCGGATGGATGGGGCACACCTGTAGTCCCCAGCTACTCAGGAGTATGAGGCCAGCCTGGGCAACATGGCGAGACCTCGTTTCTTCAACAAAACAAAACAAAACAAGAGTAAAGCATCCCCATTCTATAACCCATTCACCAAGCACTCTAAGAACAGAGCCTTTACTGAACCTCTGGCTCCCAATCCCAAAGTCTTCCTATTCAAATCCTCTTCTGGGGGGCTGATGAGAGTGCCAGGATAAAAAGGAGAAAGATTAGAAGAGGATGGAGGGAAAACAGAAATCACCGACCATGTTAGGGTTCCTCCATTCATGAAAATGAAACCAGCAAAAATACAAAGACACACCAAAGATACATCAATCCTACAAGAGAAAAAATGCTGTCTCTAGTAAACATTCACTCCATGTCCTCTGCCCATGTGAACCAGAGATTCTCACAATCCCTCTAACCTAAGAACTCCCCAGAGGCACCTTAACTGTGGAAACATTTCCCCTCATGGCACTCTATGAGCTGGTTACCGCCAGTTTATGACACAATTCACCGTTCCAAAACAGCAAACTTCAGGCTATAACCAGCTAGGTCACTTTCTGAAAAGTGTTGTAATGTCTGTCACTGATTCTTAAAAGGTGCATTTAATTAGTTAAAAACTTTTTTACTATTTTTCCAGATCTATTTTTCTTTTTTCTCTTGCCATTCTTGCAGGATACCAGAAGCAAAAAGACGTATTTTTCTGCAACTTCTCTCCAACCAGGTAGTTCTCATTCTTACTCTCAAAACAAATTAGTTGTCTTGTCTATGCCCTTGCTTATGCTGTTACTGTCAGGCCTCTGAGCCCAAGCCAAGCCATCGCATCCCCTGTGACTTGCACGTATACGCCCAGATGGCCTGAAGTAACTGAAGAATCACAAAAGAAGTGAATATGCCCTGCCCCGCCTTAACTGATGACATTCTACCAGAAAAGAAGTGTAAATGGCCGGTCCTTGCCTTAACTGATGACATTACCTTGTGAAAGTCCTTTTCCTGGCTCATCCTGGCTCAAAAAGCTCCCCCACTGAGCACCTTGGGACACCCACTCTGCCCGCCAGAGAACAACTCCCCTTCGACTGTAATTTTCCTTTATCTACCCAAATCCTATAAAACGGCCCCGCCCTTATCTCCCTTCGCTGACTCTCTTTTCGGACTCAGCCCGCCTGCACCCAGGTGATTAAAAGCTTTATTGCTCACACAAAGTCTGTTTGGTGGTCTCTTCACACGGACGCGCATGAAAGTTACTCCATTCAGAGGCCTTTCCCATCTCTTAATCTGATTCTGCACTAATATGTTAGCTCCAAGCCATGTGTGGATATTTAATATCTGAAATGTGGCTAGACCAAATTGAAATATAAGGTAGCTGTAAAATGCACATTGGATTTTGAAGACTTGGCACAAAAAAGATGTACAATTATCTAATTTTTTAAACAATGATTACATGTTGAAATATGTTAAATAGATTATTAAAACTGATTTCACCTGTTTCTTTTTAGTGTTTTTTTTTTTTTTTTTTTTTTGAGACCGAGCCTCACACTGCCGCCGGGCTGGACAGTAGTGGCTCGATCTCGGCTCACTGCAACCTCTGCCTCCCGGGTTCAAGCGATTCTCCTGCCTCAGCCTCCCAAGCAGCTGAGATTACAGGCACGCGCCACCACGCCCGGCTAATTTTTATATTCTTAGTAGAGACGGGGTTTCACCATGTTGGTCAGGCTGGTCTGGAACTCCTGACTTCAAGTGATCCGCCCGCCTCGGCCTCCCAAAGTGCTGGGATTACAGGCGTGAGCCACCGCGCCCAGCCTTCTTTTCAGTTTTAAATGCTGCTACTACATAATTTTAAATTACAATATGTGGCTTCTATTAGACAGCCCTGGGGCTTAAATCCTACTTATTCTTCAAAGCCTAGTTGAAACACTGCTGCTTTCATGAAGCTTTCCCCCAGTGACTCCAACTGCCCCAGCCCCCACCGCCAACCTCTCGTAACACTTTGAATCACACTCACAAAGAATAAGATTAATTTTACCTTGTTACACCTTCCCAACTCCAACATAAGCAAGTTGAAGAAAAAAAAACTATATCTAGATCACCATGAAGTTTTCCTCTGACACCTTGGAGAGCCCAGCGCTACGGTAATGTTTGATGTCTGCTAATGGAGAGCTGAATTTCTTAATTACTAATTATCTATCCCTTTCAACGATTTCCATTTTTTTCCTCTGGGATTAAAGTCGATGTCTATCAATGTCCTGTATTATTTTTAAAGTGCCCATGAGCTGTACACATACAATATAACGAACAAGCAAATCCAAAACTAATACATGTGGTCAATACACTTAGATCAACTGTAAAATTTAGACAAGCCTCTAAAGGTCCCTTTTTAAAAAATGATGTTGTACAACCTAACAGTGTATCGTGAGATCAACTATTTCAAAAGTAGAAGCCTTTCCCAAAGATTAACACTGGGTGAGCAGTTTACCAAAAAATTATTGGCGGTCTTCCCCCACAATCCCGAGTATAAATCAGGTAAGCATGCAACAGCTTGGGTGCAGTAAGAGCAAAGTCCCACACTGCATCCAAAGCTCAGAAATCGAGCTGTGAGAAATGTGGTAGTAGGGGAAAAGATGACTTGCGTGAAGGAGACGAACGATGAAAACTGTTGGAATGCAAAACGAGATAACAGCCAGAATAAAAAAAAGTATACCAACTAAGTGGGAGGGATTCTCCTCGGGTCAACCTCTGAACCCTCAGGCGAAGGTCGCAGTGGTCATTTCAAAACGTCTTTTCTTCACATTGTATTTTAGTGACTCAGATCTGCATCCAACAAACTTCCTTCTTCAGCCTACTCCAACTCCCACAGCCAGGACTCCGGCCAAACCCAGCCCTGAAGCCACCCACTCCAGCACACTTTGGAGACTGACAGACGACACAGGAGGACCGTTCTGAGGCCCAGCACCTGGATGACACCCCTCTCCTTGGGAGTCCCGCCCCAGTCCCTTGGGCAGAACCAGGCAGGCAGGGGGCACCCAGCTGGCAGAGGGGTAGGGCAGGGCACCGGACTTCGCCTAGGACCGGCCTCTCCGTTCCATGCCGACGCCAGACGGCTCCTCGGGGACCGGCAAGATGGTGAGAAGGAAGAATAAAGGGGCATTGGAAATTAGCCCCGGCTTTCACTCACCAGCCGTCGCCGCTCGACGTTGGCAGCGGCGGCACATCTTCTCCTTCCGCCATTGCTGTTGACGTCCACGTCACTTTGCCGAAAAGTGGATCCGGCGCTGAGACCAACTCCGAGACTCAATGTCGTAAAAGGTCTTCGGAAGTCCAGCACTGAGCTTCCCCAGAGGGGAAGAAAGAGGGAGGTGGCAAGGGACTGGAGGAACGCAACGTCACGGCGTCCCGAGGCCGAAAGGCAGCGTCTTGGGGGAGGAGACTTGGTGGAGGCAGCTGCCCCTCCAAAGACTACATGTCCCAAGATGCCACGGTGCCGCGGGCGGGGCGGGGCGCGGTGGACGCCGTCCCAGTTGGAGGCCTTGTGTGACAAACAGCGTGTCTTTTTAGCGTCCACTTAGCGTCTTCATTCCAGCTTGGCGTCGAAATTAACAAAGTTAGAATTTACAGTCCTAACTATTGGAGAAAGCAAGGGAAATGGGAATTGACATAGGGAAGGCGGACGTAGGAGAAGAGCCACAGTTCAGTAATTTCCTGCTGTAGCAATTTAATTTGAAGAAAGAGTGGGACGTAAGGAAAGGGGCAGACCACCCCTATTTGTGAGGCCCCGTCAAAAGTGTAAATGAAGGCCCACATACTTTTTGACTGAATATTTAAAAGTTGTAAATGAAGCTATATACTAAAGGAGATACGTTCTAGCCTCCTACCTTAAATATATCTTCCTAACAGTCTGGAAGATCAAGTCCGAATTTAGAATTCTAGGACTGGAATTCCAGGCAAGCAGAGCTGCCAAAATCCTTCTCTACGCGTTCCACTTCCCCTTTACACCGCATGGGCGGACACTTGGCCACCGCCGGGGCCTTGGGGTGAGCACACGCTCAGGAGGATGGACCTAAAGAAACGCTTTTGCAAGCCCTGAAAACAACAGTGATGAAGTAGAACTGCATGTAACAATATGGATACATCTGAAAAATACGCTGTTAAATGAGCAAAACAGATTGCAGACGGATAGGTAAAGTATGGTATCATTTATAGTTGGTGTTTAAAAGACAATATATTTAAAATAGATCCATATGAGTTTAAAATGCAGGAGAATGATATATAGAAAACTCGGAATGGCAGTTACATTCAGGGAAAGGGAGGAGTTTCCATGAATTTTTAAATATTTATTAAGGGCCCCAAGGTGGCCACATAGGTGGCCAGTGTTCTTTATAGAGTCTATACTTAGGTATCTAAAATGTTTCATAGTTTCAAAAACTATTTGTTTTAAATAGATACAAAACAGTACAGCTATCTCATTTACAACCAAAAACATGTTCACTCTCTTCCCTAAAGGGAAATAATACAGATCTGCATGGTACTGCACCCACTTCCAAGGCCCGGATCTCTGTAATGTTCAGTTCTCTGTTAGGGAACATTTCTTTTAACATAGAATGAGACTGTAGATGCCCTCTATCAAAAAGAATAAAAGACGTGAATCTAGGTCACATTACCATTCTAATATTCAGGACCTCCCCTGGGTCCCTTCAATTGTTGCCAGTAGATTTTCAGAAACTTTTCAGAAAATGGTTTTAAAACCTATTCAGTCATTGACATGAGAAGCAGTTGCTCACTGGTTAAGAAGATTCTAGTCCTCAATTATGATTCATTTTGAGTATAATTAAATCAGCAACTGCTTTATAGTCTCTGGTAAAATATTTTCCCATTAAAAATATGTCACTTGACATTTTTAAACAGTTCTTTATTCTGTCAAAATAAAGTGGAAAGTTCTGACTTCTATGTTCTTTAATGGAGCCAGAGCCAGCTTCATGGGCATGTAGTCTATGCAATAGCATGAGACCACATGCTTAGAAGAACTCTGTGCTTGATTTCATGCTCTGGTGTTGCCATCTTGAAATTCTTAATAATTTGGGAACAAGGAGCCACTGGTTTTAATTTTGCACTAGGCCTCACAAATTAGGGAGCCAGTTCTAGATAGGGTCAATATCTTAGTGATGTATAACCCATTGGGGACAAGATTTCAACCAAAATTGTTTAGCGATAGTGTCTTCTAGCGGATTTTTTTTTTTTTTTTTTTTTTTTGAGACAGAATCTCACTCTCACCCAGGCTGGAGTACAGTGGCATGATCTCAGTTCACTGCAACCTCTGCTTCCTAAGTTCAAGTGATTCTCCCGTCTCAGCCTCCCAAGTAGCCAGGACCACAGGCGTGTGCCACCACGGCCGGCTGATTTTTGTATTTTTAGTAGAGACGGGGTTTTGCCATGTTGGCCAAACCATTTTTCTTTATTATTATTTTATTTTTATTTTTCTGAGACAGGGCCTCACTCCCTCAAGTAGAATTTGTTAAATTCTAATAATGGACCTCTGCTTAAAACAAAACAAAAATGCTTTTCAAGAACTAGAGAAGATTTCATTATGAAATCTTGGAGTGCGTCCCCTGCTTGCATTTGTGCATCTAATTGTAGTTCCCACATCCAAATGGGAAGGTGTATTATTTCATATTATCCTTGGATAAAATCAAAGCGTATTTCTTATAACAAGAAAATTAAAATGTCTTAGTTTTAAATTAAATTATAGAGAACATAAAAAGATTTTTCATTTATTATTTGGTGTTCTGAGCCATATAATTATGTAATTTATACTGTATTACATGTACTTAATTTGTACCATGCCTATGACACATAGTAGAATCTCCATAAATATTTGTAAAATGAACTAGGGAATTTTTTGTAGTACTTTTGTAATGGATTAAGCTATTCACCTATATAGAAATGGCTGGTTGGGTTCAGGGACAGGTAAGGATTATGAACTCATCTGCATAGTCATAGTTGTTATGTGAGTAGAATTTAATTCAGTTTTCATTGTAATATTATTTTAGCATTTGTTAAAAAGAGATGGAGAAATAACATAGCTCTTGATCATTTATTCCATATTCGTGCAGCCTTTTCTTGACTTTCGTGCATTCTTAGATAAAGACAAAGACCTAGTAAGATGTTTTAATCTACTGCTGCACAACAAATTACCCCAAAACTCAATGTCTTAAAGCAATAAACACTTAACTCATAATTTCTGTGCATCAGGAATCTAGAAGCAGCTTAGCTAGATGTTCTGGCTTAGGGTCTCTTGAGGTCAGAGGCAAGATGTTGGCCAGGGTTGCAGTCATGCAGTCATCTAAAGGCTTCAGTGGGGCTGGAGGATCCAGTTCCGTGGTGGCTCACTCACATGCCTGATGAGTTGGTGTTGACTGTTAGCAGGAGGCCTCAGATACTCCCCAAATGAGCCTCTCCATGGGCTGCTTGAACATCCTCTTGACATAGTGGCTGGCTTCCCGCAGAGTAAGAGTTCAACAGAGACCAAGATTGAAGCTACAACATTTTTTTTATTACCTACCCTCAGAAGTCGTAAATTCTGCAATATCTTATTGGTAAGCCTTATTCAATGTGGGAAGGAACCACAACAAAGACTTGAATACCCAAAGACAAGAATCACTGGGGGCCATCTCAGAGGCTGGCTGCCACATGAAGTAATATTAAATCCTACACATTCTTCATTGTTCAGTGAAACTTTCCCCTGAGATTCCTGCTCATATCATCTCAGCCCTTCTTACATTCTGTCGCCTCTGACCTAGTTTAGGACCATCAACAGGCACTCTCATCTGGGCACTACAGCATCTTATATTCTTTAACTCTGAGAATGACAACTATTTTTAAGTTCCCCTGTAGCCTCCAGTGCACCAAATGCAGGGCAGAACATATAGATAGTGCTTAAGAGTTCTTGTTAAATAACAAAATATTGATTTTTGTTTCTGCAGCTATTGTGTGAGAGTTTCAGAATTCTAAACTTTCCCAAGAATTTCCCTTTTTATCTTACAAGGACAAATGGTTTCACACTTATCAAAATTACTTCAGTTGTTTGTCGTTTTAAAATCCCATCAGGACCTGCATTCCCAGGCTCTTTAAACTACTGAAGCTTAACATTTGATTGAATGATGAACAAAACCCAGTTAATTCCCATTCACAGATGACAAGTGAACAGTTGGCAGCAATTTCAACATCTGCTTTTAATTCATTTTAAAATGTTGAGCAAACTGATAAAAAAAAAAAAAGCTGGAAACTCTGTTTCTGCATTATCCTTCTAGTAGTCATCTTCTCTAATTGAAGTTGACTCTAAATAGGTTTTATAGATGGACCCAAAATAAACATTTGGATAGGGATTGACCCATTCTTAGGTTTGAGATGTTTGTGCTTTAATGTGGGAGTCTGTTTAACCCTTTGCTCATTCCAATTTTGTTCCCAAATGTTCCAGGCAAAAGGCTTTTATTGGGGTTGAGTAATTCCTGGTTGGAAATAGGGATAGTAAACAATATGTTAGCTGGAACTAGCCTTAGTTTTTAAAACTGAACTTCCTGCTGTTTCATGAACTAACGGCTCTAAGGACACGCACACACATACAGACACAATCTGAAAATAGTATCCTTCAGACAATGGCAGTGCTATTCTTGATGTATAATTTATCTCCATTTGCCTTATACACTTGTATTCACCCTTCCTTTTTGGTATATATATGTGTTGCCAAATAAAATAGTTAGCAAGGAATCATCTAAGGTAATTGGATGGAATTATATGATATACGCTTTTGACAATTTGTGTTAAAAATATAGGTATATATTACAATTTATCTGGATATGTTATTTACAAGCTGATTTCTCTAATACCCAAGCTAAATTGTACAGCTTGTCATTGTCATTTTCACATCTCAAATTTACATAAGGAAAATACAAAAGTAAACAAAAAGAATTCTTAGGATATCATGAACATAAAAGTGACTACAGATACAAAAGCATCCAAAAGTTTGGATAAATAATTTATTCTCTATAATTTTGCTCACACTTTTTTTCTGGACAATAATAAATTCTCTGTTGTTAATTCTCACTTATAATCTGGTAACTCCTGTATCTCCATTTCCAACCCATTATTACTATAACAATAATGTTGCCATAAAAAACATTATTATTTTAAAAAGTATTAATATTTTCAAAGCATTTATTATTTTAAAAAGTATTAATATTTTCAAAGCATTCTGTGATAATCTGTCAGCAGAGAGAAAGCCCATTTGTCTTCAGCCTATTTGGTATGTACATGGTATGGTGGTACATGGTATGTATGTATATGAAAGCAAATGGACAAGGCCCTCCTGGACATTCCAGTCCCTTTCCACACCATGTTCTTCTTTCCCTTATACTGGTCTCCTCTGTGTTCTTTGAATAAGCCATACTCTTTCCCAACATGTGGCCTTTGCTGTCTCTTCTGTCTTGAAAGATCACCCAGCCCTGCACACCTTTGGGCCCCAACATATGTACACATAGCATCTAGTTACCTCCTACTCTTACTTCAGTGCTCAGCTCAGTTGTCTCTTCCTCAGAGAATGACAGCAAAGCCTTTTGGAATATAGCCGGTCCCTTTATCATATGTGTCTGTAGATACATAATATGTGAGTTGAATGGAGGAATCAAGAAGTTAAAAATGGGAAAGGAGAAGGAAAGCAGAGAGTAATGTAGACTTGAATAGTGTTCAGGTTTTAAAACATTTCTTCTTGATCTACATGGACATGTCTACCGGCTTCTCCTACTTTTAAGTTTACTTGTGGTTCTTTGTAAATGTTTCTTATGTGAGGCTATAAAGAATCCTAAAATCATGAATAGATTGTGAACTCCTTCATTCTCATCATACCACCTCACATTGGACAAGTTTCAGCAATCATTTATTGAGCACTTGAGTACAGACCAAGTTCTGTTCCAGGATTTAGAGGGAATGGTCTTATCTACCTCCCACCTTTCCTACATTTATCTCTTCTTTCTCTTTCTTAGCACAAGCTCAGCCCAGCACTATGTTTTTCAATCCTCTTAGCATTGGAATAATCCAAGGAACTTAAAAACATACACACATAAAACGATGTGGGAACGTCACCCCCGGGAATTCTGATTCTGCTGGTCTAGGGTCAGACACAAGCACAGGTGAGTTTTAAAAGTTTCTTAGGCAGTGCTAATGTGCAGGCAGCATTGAGGACCACTGGCCTAGACTAATCTTGAAATAGAAACTCGAACTGGAGAACTGCAGAACATCTGACTTCTGGAAATCAAAACTTGAGTGGTTCCAATGATACTTTTATTACAACTGATCTCTAAGATGGTGTCAGACCTGCAGAAGGTGCTAAAAAGGCTATAACTGATGCATTGCCCCTGAATTAAGGTTGATGACTTTGGACCTTGGTTGTAGGAAATAATGTGATTACTTGTACACCTGTTTCAGGGGCAGTCACTCACGGTGGAGGAAAGCAGACTAAATGCCTATGGGCACTTTTACCAACTTTTAGGTTCTGTTCTCTGACACTCATGTGTCTCAAAGACTTGAAACAAATACTATTTTATGAGTTTAATGCCTGGGTAACCTGAGGCCCTGAAAGGTTTAGGCTTTATTTTCTGGCACAGTGCAGTAGGCAGGACTCCCGACTCCCAAACTCCAGAGATTATCTCCAGTTGAGGGAACCATGAAGCAAGACGCCTGATTCCTAGCCTTAGCTCAGCCACTAGCCAGGTAGATGTGTGGCCCTGTTTAAGTTATCTCTGATATCGGGGCCTCAGTTTCCTCAGATGAGGTAAATTGAGCTAGATGGTCTATCCGGGCCCCCTTCAGCTTTAACAAGTGTCACTAGGTGGCACTCATGTAACTCCAGTGGGGAGCCATTGGAGCAAGTTGGCTGCCAAGCTCCTTATGTCCCTTAAACGACCCTGGGATCTGTCAGGGGCAGCTTAGAAAATAATGCAATTTTAGGAAGACTGTTTAGGAGTCTTTTTACCAAGAATAGCTTTTGAATCTGCGGACACCTGTTGTATTTTACCAGCTGCTTTCAAGTATTATGTACTTCTGGTTTTATATTCCTATCCTTTTACCATCTCAAATTTTAAAATATTGTATAGAAAACTATTTCTGTGGCTTAGCTACATTTGTAACATTGTCCAGACATACTGGTTTGTGTGACATAAACACATGAGGTATTCTTTTAGCAAGTACTGAAGTCTGCCAGCCATATGCCACTGCATCAGTAACTTTTAAGAGGAGAAAGATTCACTATCCCAATACTGGACTTCAAGCAAATGGGATTCTGCCCTGGGATGTGTCCCCACTGGATAGAGTCAGTCAGATATGGTTCTTGTTTAAAGACTTGCTCCCCAAACCTGGTTTGTCCTGGTGTCTGACATTGCTAGGGAGGTTTATTCTCACTCAGATTCATTTCAGAAATTCAGTTCTGCTCAATGTGGCTTCCGAATTCAACTCACAGGTAGGGGAATTGGGAGCCTCCATGATCCAATACTCAAGGATGGCCCTGTCTTCCGTTGTCAAAAGTCATCCAATTCACATGTCAGGTGCTTTTCCTTCAAGCAAGGGCCACAGGAGTTGCTCCTAAGGATTTATTAACAAAAATAAACATGGAAGAACTAAATTTGGGGCCTAATCCTGTAAGATCCAAGAAGAGATTTAAGAAGTTTCATATTGCCAATTCATTTTGGGAGTAAGAGGTGGACTTTTAATAAAGACTGCCTTCATTACCTGTCAATATAGGAGCCTTCGAGTTGCATACATTTCCTGGGTTGAATTATAATTACGACTTTCAGACCTAGGGGCATGGTGTGGTGTTAAGGTTAGGATAAGGGAATGAATATACATACATATATGTATACACAGGTAAAAGAATAGAAAGATCCAAAGCCAAAATACAGCAGGGACATTTTAAGTGATGTTCATTGTCTTCTTTATTCTTTCCATATTTTTCAGGTTTTATTTAAAGACTATGAATTTGGCCGGGCGCAGTGGCTCATGCCTGTAATCCCAGCACTTTGGGAGGCTGAGGCGGGTGGATCACCTGAGGTCAGGAGTTCGAGACCAGCCTGGCCAACATGGTGAAACCCCGTCTCCACTAAAAATACAAAAATGAGCCAGGTGTGGTGGCATGCGCCTGTAATCCCGGCTACTTGGGAGGCTGAGGCAGGAGAATCACTTGAACCCAGGAGGCGGAGGTTGCAGTGAGCCAAGATTGTGCCATTGCACTCCAGCCTGAGTGACAAGAGCAAAACTGTGTCTTAAAAAAAAAAAAGACTAGGAATTTGTTTTGTGAATTATTATTTCAAAAGAAAAAAGAAGAAGGAAAGAAAAGGAAAATAAGTGATCAGCAGGTTTCAACAAAGAAACAGTTATTTGTAAATTACCTTGTTTATGGTAAAATAGCCATTGTGATTTCAAAAAGGAATTGTAGTTTTTCCCTTGGATTTGGAAAGTACTTAACTCTGGTCTGATCCACCAGTGGCAAAGGAACACCTGAAAGATTCTTATTAACTTTATTAAAATTGTCCTAAACATACACAAAAGGATACACAAACATACACAAACCATATACTCTCTTAAAATGAGAGCAAGATACAAATAATTTTTTTTTTTTTTTTGAGACGGAGTCTTGTTCTGTCGCCCAGGCTGGAGTGATCTCAGCTCACTGCAACCTCTGCCTCCTGGGTTCAAGCAATTCTCCTCCTTCAACCTCCTGAGTAGCTGGAGGTTACAAGCACCCACCATTATGCTCGGCTAATTTTTTGTGTTTTTGTAGAGACGGGGTTTCACCATGTTGACCAGGCTGGTCTTGAAATCCTGACCTCAGGTGATCTGCCTGCCTTGGCCTCCCAAAATACTTGGATTACAGGCATAAGCCACCATGCCCGGCCAATACAAATAATTTTTATCATTTATAATCCTTCTCTTGATTGCTTTTCTCTACTACAGTGTTTTTACTTTTCAATCTCATGTCAGTTCTACAAAGCTTGGCAGATACCCAACTGTGGCTTCTTTTAGCACTTGTTGCTGTCACTCATTATTCCTTTTAATATCCCCCAGGTAAATAACTCTCTGGGCTCAGAAAAGATTTGGAGGAAGGTTCTAATGCAGCTTTGACACAAACTAGGTGTGTAAGCACAGTGAGGTTACTGAAGTGTTCTGGATTTCTGATTTTCCATTGGTAAAGTGAAGCATGGGTGCTCTTACTATCTGTATCACCTGGATTATTATAAGGATAAAATGAGATAATCGATATGGTTTGGCTCTGTGTCCTCACACAAATCTCATGTGCAATTTTAATCCCCACGTGTCAGGGGAGGGACCTGGTGGGAAGTGACAGGATCATGGGGGTGGATTTCCCCCATGCTGTTCTCATGACAGTAAGTGAGTTCTCATGAGATCTGATGGTTTAAAAGCGTAGCACTTCCCCCTTTGCTCTCTTTCTCTCTCCTGCTGCCATGTAAGATGTGCCTTGCTTCCCTTTCACCTTCCACCATGATTGTAAGTTTCCTGAGGCTTCCCCAGCCATGTGGAACTGTGAGTCCAACCTCTCTCCTTTATAAATTACTCAGTCTCAGTGTGAAAATGGACTAATACAGAAAACTGGTACCAGCAGAATAGGGGCACTGCTATAAAGATACCTAAAAATGTGGAAGTGACTTTGAAACTGGGTAATGGGCAGAGGTTGCAACAGTTTAGAGGGTTAGGAAGATAGGAAGATGATGGAAAGTTTGGAACTTCCTAGAGACTTGTTGAATGGTTTTGACCAAAATGCTGATGGTGATATCAACAATGAAGTCCAGGCTGAGGTGGTCACCCATGGAGATGAGGAACTTATTGGGAGCCAGAGCAAAAGTCACTCTTGCTATGCTTTAGCAAAGAAACTGGCAGCATTTTGCCCCTTCCTTAGAGTTCTGTGGAACTTTGAACTTGAGAGAGATGATTTAGGGTATCTGAAGGAAGAAACTTCAAAGCAGCAAAGCATTCGAGAGGTGACCTGGCTTTTTTTTTTTTTTTTTTTGAGACCGAGTCTCGCCCTTTTGCCCAGGCTGGAGTGCAATGGTGCGATCTCAGCAACCTCTGCCTCCCGGGTTCAAGTGATTCTCCTGCATCAGCCTTCTGAGTAGCCGGGATTACAGACACACACTACCACGCCAGGCTAATTTTTTGTATCTTTTGTAGAGACAGGGTTTCACCATGTTGGTCAGGCTGGTCTTGAACTCCTGACCTCGTGATCTTCCTGCCTGGGCCTTCCAAAGTACTGGGATTACAGGTGTGAGCCACCATGCCCGGCCCAACCTGTCTTTTTATAAAAATGTACACTCATATGCGTTCACAAAAAAGATGACCTGAAATTGGAACTGTATCCTGCAGAGCCATGGAGGCAGAGCTGCCCAAGGCCTGGGGAGCCCACTTCTTGCATTAGCATGTCCTGGATATGAGACTTGGAGTCAGAGGAGATTATTTTAGAGCTTTAAGATTTAATGATTTCCTTGTTGGGTTTTGGACTTGCATGGGGCCTCTATGCCCTTTGTTTTGGCCAATTTCTTCCATTTGGAATGGGAGAATTTACCCAATGCCTGTAGCCCAATTGTATCTTGGAAGTAACTAACTTGTTTTTTTTATTTTACAGGCTCATAGGCAGAAGGGAACTTGCCTTGTCTTAGATGAGACTTTGGTGTTGGATTTTTGAGTTAATGCTGGAGTGAGTTAAGACTTTGGGGGAATGTTGGGAAGGCATGATTGTGTTTTGAAATGTGAGAAGGACATGAGATTTGGGAGGGGCTTGGGTGGAATGGCATGATTTGGCTTTGCCCCCACCCAAATCTCATGTGGAATTTTTTTTTTTTTTTTTTTTTTTTTTTGAGATGGAGTCTCACTTTGTCTCCCAGGCTGGAGTGCAGTGGTGCGACCTTGGCTCACTGCAAGCTCTGCCTCCCGGGTTCACACCATTCTCCTGCCTCAGCCTCCTGAGTAGCTGGGACTATAGGCGCGTGCCACCACGCCCGGCTAATTTTTTGTATTTTTAGTAGAGACAGGGTTTCACCGTGTTAGCCAGGATAGTCTCCATCTGCTGACCTCGTGATCCACCCACCTCGGCCTCCCAAAGTGCTCATGTGGAATTTTAATCCCCATGTATCAGGGGAGGGACCTGGTGAGAGGTGATTGGGCCATGGGGGCAGATTTCCCCCATGCTGTTCTCATGATAATGAGTGAGTTCTCACAAGATCTGATGGTTTACAAGTGTAGCACTTCCCCCTGTGCTGTCTCTCTCTCCTGCCGCCTTGTGAAGAAGGTGTCTTGCTTCCCCTTCACCTTCCACCATAATTGTAAGTTTCCTGAGGCCTCCGCAGCCATGCCTCCGATACAGCCTGTGGAACCGTGAGTCAATTAAACCTTTCTCCTTCATAAATTGCCCAGTTTCAAGTAGTTCTTTATAGCAATGTGAAAACAGACTAATACAATAATGTATATGACAGAACTAAAATTCTACAGGTGGTTCTTTGGGAAGCAGATGGTGAGATAGAGTTAGGAGTATCAGAAGTGTTTGGGGGAATTTACACCTGTAAAAGAAAAGAGAAATAGGCAGGACTGAGAAGGGGAGTTGTCAGAGTACGATGCTTTCTCTGCTAGTCCAGTAGGGAGCATCTCTGCAGAGGCGGACAGTTTCAGGAGTCCACATTGGATGGGAATGGCTAGCTCCTTGTACCCACTGCCTTGTTCAGTTATTGACTGAGGACCACCCAACTAAGAGTACAACCTCAGCTCCAATGCAGAGCAGGTTTTTAAGGAGCTAACAGCTGGAATCTGTCAGTTAACTACACTTCTTAAAGCTGGGTAGCGAATCTTTTCTTGAAAAGGGGAGCCTGAGTGGCACATCTCATGTTTTCCACAGCCAGCCACTAATATGACTATGCTTGGGGCCACTTAAGACGTTTATAATTTATATCTCAAGATCATGAGTTCCCTTTTTCTGATTACAAACTTCTGCCCTTTGTTATTGTTCATTTTCCCTCTGAGCACTGAAAATGCTCCTCCCTCCATCTGTGACCTCATCCATCAGTCCCTCTTTCTCTTGATAGCTCGTCACCTTCTTCTGATTTCTCTTGCCTTTCTGTCAAGGTTCAGTAGTTTGGACTCAAGGGTCTAGCAATTTAATCTTTCCCTTGCTTACTCCTCTTAATCTTTTGAAAGTTTATCATGCCTGTCAGAATAATTTCTAAGTCTGGGTTACCCCATAGCCTGCCTTCTTTCCTCTGAAATTTGCATGAGTGAGCTCTACTGGAGAAATTTATGTAAATCTTCTGAAGGGTAAACTACACTTCCATAACAGCCAGTTTCATCAAGTCTTTTACTATTGCAATCTTTTTTATCCTGTTCTTATTGTCTTATTGTTCAATCCCCAGCACAGTGGCATTAACTTATTTAGCACTGAAAAAAATTGTAATTGAATTTTTTAAAAAAGAAATGCGTTGCATGTATATTGCAGGCTAGATACAGTGTCACGTTCCTTATATATGTCATCTCACTAATCCTTTTTTTTTTTTTTTGAGACGGAGTCTTACTCTGTAGCCCAATTTGGAGTGCAGTGGCATGATCTTGGCTCACTGCAACCTCCGCCTCCCAGGCTCAAGCTATTCTTGTGCCTCAGCCTCCTGAGTAGCTGGGACTACAGGTGCACACCACCACCCCCAGCTAATTTTTTGTATTTTAGTAGAGACGGGGTTGCACCATGTTGCCCAGGGTAGTCTGGAACTCCTGAGCTCCAGCAGTCCACCCGCCTCGGTCTCCCAAAGTGCTGGGATTACAGGCATGAGCCACTGCACCTGGCCTTATCTTACTTAATCCTTAATCTTCACGGCACTCTCATTTTGTGGGTTTTAATAGTCGTATTTTATAGATTTATCTGTTGCTTGACTATGTCTACCACTAAATATAACTTCCTTAGGGGAAAATATTATGTGATTAATTTCTATAGCTCTCCACTTCTCAGACAATGCCTGACACATAGATGATGTGTCAGATGATGAGATAAAAATTAAATGAGGGATTAAATAAGTGACAGAACCAACAGTGAAGGGGCAATATCAAAACTGAGGCCCAGGTCTCTTCAATTTTAAAGTTTGTACACTTTGTGCCACGCATTGTGGCTCTGTCTGAATTAAGTGTTGTCAACTACCCAAGGGCTTATAACAATTTAGTGATCAAAGCTGAGTGAGAAGAAAATGATCTTCTATGCCATACTTCAATAAAAATAGGGACAGAAACTATAGTTGTCAATTGCTTTACTTCTAAAGAATGTATCTAATAACATAGGAAAGACAATTAGATAGTTCAGTAATTTTCTGTTTTCTCTTCAAACATTGGGTTGTCATTGTTTAATTATTCTCTTACCTTGGTTTGAGGTCACTGGCAACTTAACGAATAGTACTGTGGGACAGGTGCAGTGGGTTACACCTGTAATCCCAACACTTTGGGAGGTCAAGGGAGGTGGTAGATTGCTTGAGCCCAGGAGTTCACGAGCAGCCTGGGCAACATGGTGAAACCCTGTCTCTACAAAAAAATTAGCCAGGCATGGTGGTGCATGCCTGTAGTCCCAGTTAGTCTGTAGTCCCAGTTCCATGGAAGGCTGAGGTGGGACTATTGCTTGAGCCCACAAGGTCTAGGCTGCAGTAAGCTGTGATCACACCACTGCAGTCTAGCCTGGGTGACAGAGCAGGATGCTGTCTTGAAAAAAGGAAAAAAATAATAAAGTAAGTAAATAGTACTGTGTTTGGGTATCACTCAGGAGCCCTGTGAATTCTATATGGCTTCTATTTCTTACCACAGTAACAAAATTAGCTAATATTTGCATATGCTAAAACTGGTGATAAAATGATAAAGCATGAGTTAAATAAAATGCCATTAAACAGAAAATTATAATTAAGTGCTTAATTGATCTTCCTTTCTGCTAGAATTTGGCTTTTAGTCAACTGAAACCTTTTGTTAATAGTGTAATGATGTGGCAAACATCAGAAAGAAGACAGCTCACAGTTCCCAGCAGTAGGTGTATGTTTAAAACATATGTTGAAAATTGAAAAACAATAGATTTGAGATTCCACAATTTCCATTCCCACTATTACTTATGATGGAACTCAATAACCATGAATGCATTTTAGAAATAAATGAGGCCTTCATTCATGAAGCATTTTATGAACCTTTCCATGTAAATGCCAACTATTTTTAAATCTTGTGATTGATTACATGATGAAATGTATTCATAAGCAAGCTGGACCACTCCATAATAGTTCTAATGGTTTCTCTATTTATGTACCTTTCAAAAATAGCCACAATATAGTGAAGGAGAACTAAACAAACATGTCTTTTTAAAATATATGGGTAGTAACCACATGGAAGCATATATTATAAGTTTCTGCTCAAGCAATGAAACCAAAACAGTCTGTAAAACAAGGGAATTGAACTAAATGATCTCTAAAGTTGTTCACTTATGGGGGGAAGAAACTATGGCTGTAACTCTAAGAACATTTAGCCAATGTTAAAACCTAAGTACAATTCACATGCCCTGTTATTCATGCCTTACGTGATCAATTCTTGTTTATGGAACTCAAATCTGGAGGGAAGTTAGCAAGTCTATGTAAATTTATTCATTTGTTTTTATTAACTCATCATTCCATCTCCATATTTAATAAAGTGTTCATAATATACCAAGAGATCCTGGTTAAAGGAAGAGGCATTTTCAGAAATTTTTTTCCTTTATTTCTTTTTGTAAAGGTAGTGACAGAATTTCAAAACCTAGCTTTATATTCCATGGTTATAATTTTGTGCCATATTTATATGAAAAAAAAGAACTGACTCTTGCAGTACCTCTCTTGATTGTAATAATATCTTACATTCATATCATGCTCTACAGTTTAACAAATTATCTTTTTCAGTGTTTTAACTTCCTATCATGTTCACTGCATTGGTTCTTCAAAACCTTCTCATCACTCTTTAAGTAACTAGTCTCCTCGTTCCCTCATTCATCACCTTTGATCCCCTCAGTGGCCCAGAGCTGAGTGCTTGGCAGGCATTGTCATTCAGATATGAGCAAGCTGAAGCTCAGAAAAATGAAGTTCGCTGGTGGGTGGTGATGACTCAGATTACAATTTAGATTGTGTCCGTATAGTTAATTTGCAAAAAAGTTTCTGAATGAAAAGAAATCGTTTGGACAACCAAAAAATGCTGACATCATTTTAGGAAAGTTGATAATTGATAGACCCACATCAAGACTATTGGCCTGGCCAGGTGGGGTGGTTCACACCTGTAATCCTAGCAATTTGGGAGGCCAAGGCAGGAGGATTGCTTGAGACAACATAGTAAGACCCCATCTTTACAAAAAATTTAAAAAGGTTAGCCAGGCAGGGTGGCATATGCCTATACTCCTAGCTACTCGGTATACTAAACTGGGAGGATAGCTTGAGCCCAGGAGTTTGATATCACAGTGATCTATGAACATGCCACTGCACTTCAGCCTGGGCAACAGTCTGAGAGCCTTTCTCAAAAAATTTATTTTGAAGACCATTGCCCCACCCACAAGCATCCATAATGACTTTTAAACAGAACTTAACATCTCTGGACATGTAGTCTTCTTGCTAGAGACAGATCACTCATATGGATTTGGATTTAGACCCTGCTGACTCCCTGTGTGGCAGGTGTGGGTAAATATAGTGCCTGGCATATAGTAGGTGCTGAACAAATATTTGTTGAATTAATAAATGGACTTCAGAATTTTCATAAGGTCTCATTTTTTAAAAGCTACTTCTTTGGCACAATCCTCTTGAAAAACAATAAGTGTAACATGTAGCAAGAACCACAAGAATGTGTGATACTCCTGGATCCAGAAATTCTACTCCAAAGAATTTTTCATAAGGAAATACAGTTGTTCCTTGGTATCCACAGGAGATTGGTTCCAGGACCTCCAGTGGATACCCAAATCTGCAGATGCTCAAGTCCCTTATATAAAATGGTGTCATATTTGCATGTAACCTACACACATCCTCTCATATACTTCAGATCATCTCTAGGTGACTTACAATGCCTAATACAATGTAAATGCTATTTAGTTTCTATACTATATTGTTTTATTTGCATTATTTTTTGTTGTATTGTTGTCGTTTTGAGACAGAGTCTCACTCTGTTGCCCAGGCTAGAGTGCAGTGACACAATCTCAGCTCACTGCAACCTCTGCCTCCTGGGTTCAAGCAATTCTTGAGTCTCAGCCTCTCAAGGAGCTGAGATTACAGGCATGCACCACCACATCAAGCTAATTTTTGTAATTTTAGTGGAGACGGGGTTTCACAATGTTGGCTAGGCTGGTCTCAAACTCCTGGCCTTAAGTGATCCACCTTCCTTGGCCTCCCAAAGTGCTGGGATTACAGGCGTGAGCCACCACACCCAGCTGTATTGTTGAAAAAATTTTTGATCCATGGTTGGTTGAATCTGTTGATGTGGAATCCACAGATACAGAGGGCAAACTGTAATCCCATAAGAGTAAGAGGAATAGCCTTAAAGATGTTCCCAGTGTTATCAGTCACAGCCAAAATACTGAAACAATCTCAAAGTCCAGGATTTAGAATCTGTGAAAGGTACTGTTGCTCAGCTGTTTCTTCCCTATCACTTCCTTTGCCCTTCCTAAATGTATAGGTAGGCACATGACCTAGGGTGATCAATCAGTTTGTCCCATCTCCATAGCCCACAGTGGTTGGTTTAAAGACAAGTCAATCAAAGTCCTTTCCTATGACTTTTCCTTTGGAGTTGGTTAGGAAGACCTCTTCTTTCCTCTAGGGTCTAGAACTGGAAAAATATAACCCTAACATTCTCAGCCACATGCAGAAAGCCTAGCTGCAGTCAGACCAAGTAAGGCCTACACACAAGCAGAGACAAGAGATGAAGAGTGACAGAGACTCAGCTGACACATTCCTGAAAACGTCATCTGAGCCTTGGATCCAGTCACATCTAACATCTCTTCCACCTATGCCCACCCCAGTTATATGAGTCAATAAGCCTCTGTTTTTCTTAAGCCAGTTTGAGTTCTGTCACTTAAAATTAAGAGTCCTGATTACTATATCCACAGAAAGGAATGGTATGTAGGCTTTGAAATAGCAATTATATGAAAACATGGAAAATGTTTATAACAAAATGTTAAATGGAAGTAAAACAAGACCAAATTATAGATGTGTATGTATAAGTATACAAGGAAAAAGGTGGATGCGTTAATAGTGACTACTCTTTTTTTTTTCTTTTTTGAGATGGAGTCTCACTCTGTCGCCTAAGCTGGACACTAAGCTCACTCTATCGCAGTGGTGCCATATCGGCTCACTGCAACCTCCACCTCCCAGGTTCAAGGTATTCTTCTGCCTCAGCCTCCCGAGTAGCTGGGATTACAGGCATGTACCACCAGGACTGGCTACTTTTTGTATTTTTAGTAGAGACGAGGTTTCACCATGTTGGCCAGGCTAGTTTCGAACTCCTGACCTCAAATGATCCACCCACCTTGGCCTCCCAAAGTACTGGGATTACAGGCATGAGCCACTGCACCCAGCCAACAGTGATTACTCTTGAATGGATGTGAAAGGTATAGCACTTTTCCTTTTACTTTTATACTTCTATTAAAAATATTTCAGCATGTATAATATTGCTATTTTCATTTAAAACTAAATAAAACATCACCCAAAAAGTACCTATTTTAGGATTACCATGATATAAACATACTAATTCACCTGGAATATAATATCAAAATAGTTACTGTGTTACAGTGAGATTACAGTTTGTATTAGGGTTCTCTAGAGGGACAGAACTAATAGGACTAATATACATATGAGAGTTTATTAAGTAGTATTAACTCACATGATCGCAAGGTCCCACAATAGGTCATCTGAAAGCTGAGGAGCAAGGAAGCCAGTCTGAGTCCCAAAGCTGAAGAATTTGGAGTCCAATGTTCAAGGGCAGGAAGCATCCAGCAGGGGAGAAAGATGTAGGCTGTGAAGCTAAGCTAGTCTAGCCTTTTCACGGTTTTCCTCCCCCTTTATATTTGCTGGCAGCTGATTAGATGGTGCTCACCCGGATTAAAGGTAGGTCTGCCTTCCCCAGCCCACTGACTCAAATGTTAATTTCCGTTGGCAGCACCCTCATAGACACACCCAGGATCAATACTTTGTGTTCTTCAATCCAATCAAGTTGCCACTCAGTATTAACCATCACAAGTCCACCCCTTGTCAACTTAAACCTATACACATCTCCTGAGATCATACATAATCTTCAAATAAAGACAATAATAAGGTCATAATTACACCTAACATAATACAACTGTCCTTTGTACAACTGGAAATGCACCAATCCCCAACCCAAATACTATTACATAAAGTTAGCAATACTTAAATGCTGACATGAAGTCTATAAATCTTATGTCACATAAAGGAAAAGGAAATTAAATGAAGATACTTTCTTAGTACAAGTGTATACATGCACAAACAGGTTTTTAACAAAAGGAGGAAATACTCATGACAGTTACAGTCCTTGTTTCTGAGCTGGTCACGTGGTTGTAGCTGGTATTGATGAATTTCTTCTACTACCCACTCTGTATTCCCTTTGCCTTCAGCAAGCACCTCAACAGGCCTTAGTCTTTTTTTCCTGATGGAGTGACACAAACCTTCATTCCTAAAGGGTCTGGGTCATTTGTAGTCCTGCCTGGATTGGGCTGTTGTACTTTCCCATTGACCTTAATCACAGGGCATGGTAATACTGAGAGACACCCTAATGGTCTCCTGTATTTCATGCATACTCTTCCTTACCTCCATTGTGGAGTAGTAGACTGATTTCATCTTGATAGTCCAGGTAAATCACCCCAGCTAACACTGTAACTCCCTTCTTAGCCTGTTGACTTAATGGTAGAAGGAGCCCAAAGTTAATGGAAGTTATTCCATTAACTTCCAGTTTAATGGAATTGTTGTCTCCTGGTGGCAGTGTTCCTCCCTCTGGAACTAAGACCTCTAGGCCAGCAGAATGTAATGTTTCAGGAACAGGAAGCAAAAGTTTTGCTAGTGGATCACTAGGGATGATGGTGAGTGGTGCCACTTCCACTTCCACCCCTTGATTCCTGGACCCGTGAAGCCTGGCTATGGGAGAAACAGTACCGTATATTGGATGCTGATTCAGAGCACACATGGCCTTCTGGAGAACTTTGCCTCAGCCCTGCAAGTATTGTCACCTAGTTGGCATTGTAATTGTGACTTCAAAAAGCCATTCCACCGTTCTATCAATCCAGCTGCTTCTGGATGATGGGGAACATGGTAAGAGCAGTGAATTTCATGAGCATCAGCCAACTTCTGCACTTCTTTAGCCATAAAGTGATTGCCTTGGTCAGAGACAATGCTGTGTGGAGTACCATGATGGTGCATAAGGCATTCCCTGAGTCCATGGATGGTAGTCTTGGCAGAAGCATTGCATGCAGGATAGGCAAACCCAAATCCAGAGTAAGTGTCTATTCCAGTGAGGACAAACCTCTGCCATTTCCATGATGTAAGAGGTCCAATAAAATCAACCTGTCACCAGGTAGCTGGCTGATCACCCTGAGGATTGGTGCCATATCGAGGGCTCAGTGTTGGTCTCTGCTGCTGGCAAACTGGGCATTCAGCAGTGGCTGTAGCCAGGTCATCCTTGGTGAGTGGAAGTCCATGTTGCCGAGCCCATGCATAACCTCCATCCCTGCCACCATGGCCACTTTGTTTATGGGCCTATTGGGCGAAGACGGGTGGCTGAGGATAGAGGCTGAGTGGTGTCCACAGAACAGGTCATCCTATCCACTTGATTATTAAAATCCTCCTCTGCTGAGGTCATCCATTGTTGAGCACTCACATGGGATACAAATATCTTCACAGTTTTTGACCACTCAGGGAGGTCCATCCACATATCTCTTCCCCAAATTTCTTTGTCACCAATTTTCCAATCATGCTTCTTCCAAGTCCCTGACCATCCAGCCAAACCATTGGCTACAGCCCATGAGTCAGTATATAATTGCACATCTGGCCATTTCTCCTTCCATGCAAAGTGTACAACCAGGTGTACTGCTAGAAGTTCTGCCCACTGGGAAGATTTCCCTTCACTGCTATCCTTCAGGGATTTCCTAGAAAGGGGCTATAGTGCTGCAGCTGTCCACTTTGGAGTGGTGCCTGCATATCGTGCAGAACCGTCTGCGAACCAGGCCCTGGTCTTCTCTTCCTCTGTCAACTGATCTTAGGGAACTCCCCATGAGGCCATCGGTGCAGGCAGGGTGGCAGAAGTGGAGACCATGGGCATTGGAGCCACTTCGTCATGTAACTTACTTGTGCCTATGGGACCTGCTTGAGCCCGATCATGTATATACCACTTCCATTTGATGATGGAATGCTGCTGTGCATGACCCACTTTATGGCTAGATGGGTCAGAAAGCACCCAGTTCATGATAGCCGTTCAGGTCACATGGTGACTTGATGACCCATAGTCAAACGTTCAGTTTCCACCAAAGCCCAGTAACAGGTCCAGAGCTGTCTCTCTAAAGGAGAGTAGCTATCTGCAGAAGATAACATGGTCTTGCTCCAAAATCCTAGAGGCCTCTGCTGTGATTCACCTATGGGGGCCTGCCAGGGGCTCCAAACAGCATCTCTATCTGCCACTGACACTTCAAGCAACATTGGATCTTCTGGGTCATATGGCCCAAGTGGCAGAGCCGCTTACACAGCAGCCTGATCTGTTGCAGAGCCTTCTGTTCTGGACCCCACTCAAAACTGGCAGCCTTTCAGGTCACTCGATAAATGTGACACACCCAAATGAGGAATGTGTTGCCTCCAAAATCCAAATAGGCCCACTAGGCATTGTGCCTCTTTCATGGTTGTATGAGGGGCCAAATGCAACAACTCATCCTTCACCTTAGAAGGAATATCTCAACAGGCCCCACACCACTGGACTCCTAGAAATTTTACTGAGGTAGAAGGTCCTTAAATTTTAGTCAGATTTATTTCCCATCCTCTGGCATACACATGTCTCGCCAGTAAGTCCAGCATGTTTGCTGCTACTTGCTCACCAGGTCTAATCAGCATAATGTCATCAATGTAATGGACCAGTGTGATAGCTTGTGGAAGTGAAAAGTGATCAAGTTCTCTCTCAATTAGATTATGACACAAAGCTGGAGAGTTGATATACTCCTGAGGTAGGACAGTAAAGGTAAATTGCAGGCCTTGCCAGCTGAAGGCAAATTGCTTCTGGTGGGTGTTGTGGACAAGAATGGAGAAAAAGCCATTTGCCAATTCAATGGCTGCATACCAGGTACCAGGATATGTGTTAATTTGCTCAAGCAATGAAACTACGTCTGGTACAGCAGCTGCATTTGGAATCACCACTTGGTTAATCTTATGATAATCCACTGTCATTCTCCAAGATCCATCTGTCTTCTGCACAAGCCAAATAGGACAGTTGAACAGGGATGTGGTGGGAATCACCACCCTTATATCTTTCAAGCCCTTGATGGTGGCACTAATCTCCACAATCCCTCCAGGGATATGACATTGTTTTTAATTTACTATTTTTCGAGGTAGAGGCAGCTCTCATGGCTTCCATTTGGCCTTTCTCACCATAATAGCTCTCACTCTACCAGTCAGGGAGCCAATGTGGGCATCCTGCCAGCTACTAATTATTATGTATATCCCAATTATGCATTCTGGCACTGGGGAAGTGACCACAGGAGGAGTCCAGGGACCCTCTGGACCCACCATAAGTTGAACCTGAGCTAAAACTCCATCAGTGACCTGACCTCCATAAGCCTCTACTTTAACTGGAGAGCCACAATGATGTTTGGGTCCCCTGGAATCAACGTCACCTCAGCCAATGTCCAGTAGTCCCCAAAGTGTCTGATCATTTCCCTTTCCCCAATACATAGTTACCCTGGAAAAAGCCCAGAGGTCTCCTTGGGGAAGGATGGGAGAAAGATTAACAGCATAAATAGTCAGTAGTGTAGTGGGGTCCTTCCTCAAGGGGACCCAGCCTCCCATTTATTCGAGAAGTTCTGGGTTTGTAAACTGGCTCAAGTCTGGAAATTGATGAGGGGCCATGATTCGTTGTTTTCATAATTCAAGTTAGTCTTTTGTCCATTCGACCTAGAAGTTTCCTGCTTATATAAATTAAGTAGGAGTGCAGTAGGCTTCCTATGAATTTTACTTCTAGGAACACTGTAATTAATTAGCCAATGCAGAGCTGTACATGAGTCAGACTATTCTGATTGCTGCTTTGCCTCTGCTGTTCATTACAGTAGCTATGCCCACCTTGCCTTTCACAGTTGAGTGCCACCAATTGGCCCCTGCCATCTCAGCATCCAATTATTCCCACTGTATTTAAATTTCATAGTTGAGTGACTGTGGTTCCCACTGTTAGATCTGACATACAGAGAAGAGCAATTACAGGGCTCTTCAAAAATGCAGGCGCTGCCCTCACAAATATGTTTTGCAAAGCACTAGAGAAGGGTATATCTTCTGGAACCTCCCAGCTGGGATGAGTATTTCTAAAGTAACTAATCCACTCCACCATCCCAATCTCCCTAAGCCTTTGGATTCCTTCCTGTATATTAAACCAAGCGAGATCAGGCATTTCCAGCTCACTCACAGTGGGCCACCTTTTCATCCATATTTCAGCTCACCAAGCAAATATATATATATATATATTTTTTTTTTTTGAGACAGAGTTCCGCTCTTGTTGCCCAGGCCAGAGTGCAATGGTGCAATCTCAGCTCACCACAATCCTCTGCCTCCCGGTTTCAAGTGATTCTCCTGCCTCAGCCTCCCGAGTAGCTAGGATTACAGGCATGTGCCACCACACCAGGCTAATTTATTTATTTTTTTTTATAGTAGAGATGGGGTTTCTCCATGTTGATCAGACTGGTCTTGAACTCCCGACCTTAGGTGATCTGCCTGCCTCGGCCTCCCAAAGTGCTGGGATTACAGGCTTGCACCACTGTGCCTGGCCGCAAATAAACTATTAGAACTTTTTTTTAACTCCCCGAGCTGCAACATTCAATGCAGATATATACAATAGGATATAAAAGGGAGTTTATTAAGTAGTAGTAACTCTCATGATCACAAGGTCCCACCATAGGCCATCTGCAAGCTGAGGAGGAAGGAAGCCAGTCCGAATCCCAAATCTGAAGAACTTGGAGTCCAGTGTTCAAAGGCAGGGAGCATCCAGCAGGGGAGAAAGATGTAGGCTGTGAGGCTAAGCCAGTCTAGCCTTTTCATGGTTTTCTGACTGCTTTATATTTGTTGGCAGCGGATTAGATGGTGCTGACCCAGATTAAGGGTAGGTCTGCCTTCCCCAGCCCACTGACTCAAATGTTAATCTCCGTTGGTAACACCCTCACAGACACACTCAGGATCAATACTTTGCATCCTTCAATCCAGTCAAGTTGACACTCAGTATTAACCATCACACAGTTGTTTAAATGTTTTAGAACTTTTTTCTTTTTTTTTTTTTTTGAGACAGAGTCTTACTCTGCCACCCAGGCTGGATTGCAGTGGTGTGATCATAGCTTACTGTAGGCTAGAACTCCCAGGCCCAAGGGATCCTCCTTCCTTAGCCTCCCTAGTAGGTGGGACTACTGATGTGTGCCACCATGCCTGGCTAATTTTTTATTTTTTTTAATTTTATTTTTTCAGCTTTTTCTTTACAGGGGATAAGACTCTGAATCAGGACAATCTTAGAAGATTTGAGGCTCAGAATCTGCTTCTGAAGCCGGGAGTTAGAATCCCTGAGTTCATCATTTTCTTTCATCACGAAAGTCTCACTATGTTGACCAGGCTGGTCTGGGACTCCTGATCTCAATCAGTCCTTCTTCCTTGGCTTCCCAAGTGCTGGGATTACAGGCATGAGTTACTGCATCTGGCCCCAAACATCTTGAGATAATTTTACTTATTACTGGCTTTTCAGTAACTAAAGAGATATTTTAAAGAATAGAATGTTCAGGGCACGGTGGCTCAGACCTGTAATCCCAGCACTTTAAGAGGTCAAGGCAGGAGGATCTCTTGAAGCCGGGAGTTCAAGACCAGCCTGGCAACAAAGCAAGACCCTGTCTCTACGATAAATAAATAAATAAATACATTAAAATAAATAAATTAAAAATAAAAATGAGCCAGGCATTATAGCACATAACTAAAGTCCAAGCTACTTGGGAGGCTGAGGTGGGAGGCTTATCTGAGCCCAGGAGGTGATGTGTATGAGATGTTAGTGTAATTAGTAATTTATTATTCTAAAGCACTGCTTGCTGCAAAGGGGAAGAAATGTACAATTAATACAAAGCACAACATTTCTTGATCTCAAGTGGATAAAGATCTGTTTTAGAGCTGGGCAACAATGTGAAAAATAAGTACTCTGAAAAAGTCATTTGTCTTTACCTAATTGTTTTCTTGTATAAAATGGAGATATCATAATAGCTTTCTTGACAACCTCCTAGGGTTTGTATAGCAACTGAGACTAAAACAAGATATCTTTGGCCTATACTTTAGAGAAAAGTATATACATCAGAAGTGACCAGCTTGATGAATTTTCAAAAATTGAACATGCCCATGTAATGAACGCACAGGACAAGAAAGAGAATGTTACCGTACCCCAGACATCTCCCTCATACCCCTTCAAATCACTAATCCCCTGCCAAAAGCATATTCTCTATCCTAGTCTCTGATACTATAGATTTTGCTGGTGTTTGAACTTTATATAATGGACGCACACAGTATGTACTCTTTTATGCCTGACTTCTTTTGCTCAACATTATGTTTGTGAGATTAATCCGTATTGTTCTGTGCAGTTATAGATTGTTCCTTTTCCTTGCTGTACAGTATTCAATTTTATGACAATACAATAATTGATTTTTCAGCTTCTCTGTTGATAGGCATTTGAATAGTTTCCTCTTCTGGCTTTATGAATCGGAAAATAAATATATGCCTTTTTATTGGATATATACCTATAAGTGGGATTGCATAATCATGGCTTGTACATATATTTGGCTTTAGTAGATATCACCAAACAATTATTCAAAATAGTTGGTCCAGTTAATACACCCACAAGTAATGTATGAGATATCTGGTTGCTATGTACTTTGCCAACACTTGGTATTTTCTCTGTTGAGATTTAATATACATAAAATAATTTGGTAAACCATAAATCTTCAAATGCACAGTATTTTCCAATTTTATTTTACTAATGTATTTGTCTTTTTCAAAGTAACTTAAGATGACTAGAAGGTAACACTGTGAATCTCACTTCACTACTTACAGCTTTCCTTCAGATTGCTGTTACCCTCTGGGGTGGCCTTAATTAAACTATGCCTTTGTTAGTCTAAGTAAAAGTAAGCCTAATAAACAGGTCAAATTAAAATTTTCTAATGTTACTTAAGTGTTTTGCAGAAATATTAATTATGCCCTTTAGTTCTGTAGACAACAGAAACAAAATTCTAATTCATAGAACCTGGAGAAGCTATAACACAGGCCAGGAAAATTTAGCAAGCAGCACGTATACTCATTTGAAATGCAAATCTCATTTCCTATGCATGTAGTTACCTAAACACTTAGAACATAATTCATCTGATTTCTTTTTATGTCTACTGCCTAACTTCTCTACACCTGACTTTATGGAATCTTTTAAGTAGTTCTACCCTAGATGGTTTGTTTGTTTGTTTGTTTGTTTGTTTGTTTTGGTGGGGAGGGGTGCAAATAAGATAAATGTTGGATAGAAGAGAGGAAGGGAAAACTCTATACTAAAAATGGCTATGGTTATTAGCGGACCAAGCACAGTTCTGGATCTGTTCTGCTATCAGACAAAAATGATGAAATGCTGGGAACTCTAATGACCAGTTGTCATCTTCCTCCTCACTCTCTGCAGCTGCTGACCCTAATCTTCCTTACTGCCTCAGTCTCCCCTTCAACTTGCTTTAAGTTGATGGGATTTTGCTCTGTTGCCCTCATTTATAGAACCCCACTTCCATCAGAGAGTGTGACTCTGAGGTCCTGTTTTAATTAATTAATTAATTAACAAAACATATTCACAAAATACCTTTTATGTGCCCAAGAAAGAGAACTCAGAGGTAAATAAGAGCCAGTCTGCCTTTAAATAGTTCACAGGCTAGTGAAAGAGATAGTACATATCTGGCTATAAGTACTAAAATAGCAATAATAAAGCATTGTATAAACATAAAAGGACTTCGTTATACAAGTGGATATAGCACAATGAGGAGAAAAATATTTCATTCTCCCTCCCTCTGCAGTTTCATTTTATTTTGTTACTTCAGTCTCAGGTTACAATTATAGTTATTTAACTGGAAAGAAAACCATAATCTGCAAAAGATATGAATGTAGTATCTATGATGGAAAATGCTTGTCTTTTATATTCTTGTTTCTTTGCTTTGGGTGTTTGTTTTAGTTTTTAGAAAAAAAAATTTTTGGCCTGTTTTCACAGTTCTTTCTGAAAATCACTGATGATTCCTATACTCAAAGCTCATGAGCTATCTTCTACTTGGGTTCACTTCTTTTCTGTTTGTTTGTTTGAGACAGGGTGTCACTGTGTCACCCAGACTGCAATGCAGTGGTGTGATTGACCATAGCTCACCGCGGCTTTGGACTCCTGGGCTCAAGCAATCCTCCCACCTCAGGCTCCCAAAGTGCTGGGATTATAAGGGTGAGCCACCACACCTGGCCTTGGTCATTTCTGATACTTTATTTCCATCAGGCTCAACTTTTGCCTTTTCAGGGTGTCTCCTTCAGTTTTTTCCCCTTGTTTCCTTTTTATCTTCCCTCTCTTTTTTTTTTTTTTTTTTTTTGGCATTCCTTACTTTTTTGGTTTTGTTTATTTTGTTTTGCTTCTGCAGAGCAGCCTTCCTAAGAATCAGTTGAAATATTTCTTGTCACTTTTTCTCTGTCTTCAATCTAGATGACTTCTAACACCTTGCACTTGTTTTCTGAAAGACTTTCTTTCATATGTCTTTATTTTCCAACTTAGTCAATGTTGTTTGGTCCTCTGTATTGCTTAATTGCTGTTTCAAATGAACCTAGCTGTCACATGGTGTGGAGAGTGAATAGCTCACCTCTAGTTCTTGTCCTTCTCCACTCAGGCTCAGAAGCTTCTCCAAGCCAGTTGTTCAACAGCCTGTGGTGTGTCCATCCTACCCTTTCCGTCTTCAGCCCTTCTATTCATAGTCTTATTACATATATTTGAGAAGAATTTAATGGACATTTTCTCTTTATTCCTCCATATGTGCAAAAATAAAAGACTAACAGTTGAGCAGATTGGTAGAGTGTATACTAATGGGTGCATAGGAATCACTGGGGTATTCTAAAGGCAGATTTCCAGGCCTTGTTCTTAGAGACTTTGATTTGGTAGCTCTGGCCCAGGGCCTGGGAATCTGCATTTAACAAGCAACTCAGTTGCTTCTGATAGACGTAGTTCTAGGACCTAATTTTGAGAAACTTCATTGTGCTGTAAACCCTTTAATGTATTCCCATTTAATAGCCATACACGTAATGTACAGCTTTGAAAGGAGGCAAATCTGTCCCTGGCCCCTTTCTTCATGCAGACAGGCATTACCAGCAGCTTTTTTTTCTTTTTAAATTAATATACTTTATTTTTTAGAGAAGTTTTAGATTTATAGAAAAATTGAATGGAAAATCCAGGGGGTTCCTAGACTGCTTAAAGAGTCCCCTATGCTGTACCTATTCATCTTTCTTCCCTCCCCCAAAGCCCTGGCAATCACTAATCTTTTTACTGTCTCCATAGTTTTGTCTTTTCCAGAATGTCACATAGTTGGAGTTATACAGGATGCAGCCTATTCAGATTGGCTTCTTTCATTTAGCAATATGCATTTAAGCTTATTTTGTGTCTTTTCATGGCTTGATAGGGTGTTTCTTTTTATTACTGAATTGGAAAAAATGGAATGAATAATATTCCTTTGTATGAATGTGCCACAGTTTATCAGTTCACCTATTGAAGGACATCTTGGTGTTTCCAAGTGTTGGCAATTATAACTAAAGCAGCTATACACATTCATGTGTAGGTTTTTGTGTGGACATAAGTTTTCAACTCATTTAGGCAACCAAGGAGCACAATTGCTGGGTAGTATGGTAAGATTAGCTTTGTAGGAAACTGCCAAACTGTCTTCCAAAGGGGTTGTAACATTTTGCATTCTGACCAACAATGAATGAGAGTTCCTGTTGCTCTGCATGCTCTCCAGCATCTGGTCGCATAGTGTTTTTGTTTAGCCATTCTAAGAGTTATGTAGTCACATCTCATTGTTATTTTAATTTAAAATTCCCTAATGACATATGATGTTGAGCATCCTTTTTTTTTTTTTTTTTTTTTTTTTGAGATGGCATTTCACCATGTTGCCCAGGCTGGTCTCAAACTCCTGAGCTAAAATAATCCTCCCGCTTCAGCCGCATGAGCCACTATGCCTGGACAGCAGTTTTAAATTGTAATGAAGTCCAACTATCAATTTTTTTTCATGGATCATGATCTGATGTTGTGTCTAAAAACTTATCACCACTAAACCCAAGATCACTTAGATTTTTTCCTCTGTTATCTTATGTGAGTTTTATAGTTTTCCATTTTACATTTAGGTCTACGATCCATTTTGAGTTACTTTTTGTGAAACTGTTCTTTTCAAAGGGAAATACTGAGTGACTCTAGCATTGCCGGCACCCTCTTCTCCTCCAACTTTTCCCTCCTACTTTTTTTAATAGAAAATTTAAAACACATACAAAAATGGGGGGAAAACAGTATAATGAACCTCCGGGTAACAATAGTCCACCTTCAAAAAGTCCCAACATTTTACCAATTTTATTTAATCAATTACCCTATCAGCATTTCTTTATTTCTTTGTTTTTGCTGGAATTTTTATTTATTTATTTTTTTGAGACGGAGTCTTGCTCTGTTGCCCAGGCTGAAGTGCAGTGGCGCAATCTCGGCTCACTGCAACCTCTGCTTCCTGGGTTTAAGTGATTCTCCTGCCTCAGCCTCTCAATCAGCTGGGATTACAGGTGCCTGCCACCACGTCTGGCTAATTTTTGTACTTTTAGCAGAGACAGGGTTTCACTGTGTTGGTCAGGCTGGTCTCAAACTCCTGACCTCAAGTAATCCACCCTCCTCAGCCTCCCAAAGTGGTGGTATAACAGGCATGAGCCACGGTGCCCGGCCTGCTGGAATTTTGTAAAGCAAATTCTAAACATCATCACTTCACCCATATATATTTCAGTACAAGCACACCTTGGAAATAGTACAAATTTGGTTCCAGACCACTGTAATAAAGCAAATATTACAATAAAATGAGTCACACACCTTTTTTGGTTTCCCATTGCATATAAAAGTTATTTTTGTGCTATACTGTAATCTATTAAGTATGCAATAGCACAATGTCTAAAAAATGTATATACCTTAACTAAAAAATACTTGATTGCAAAAAAATGCTAACAATCATCTCAACCTTCAGCAAGTCATACTCTTTTTGCTGGTGGAGGGTCTTGCCTCCATGTCGGTGGCTGAAGACTGATCAGGGTGGTGGTTGCTGAAGGTTGGGGTTGCTGTCATATTTTTTTTTTTTGAGACAGAGTCCCACTGTGTTGCCTAGTCTCGAGTGCAGTGGCGTGATCTCTGCTCACTGCAACCTCTGCCTCCCAGGTTCAAGCGATTCTTCTGCCTCAGCCTCCCGAGTATCTGGGACTACAGGCGCGTGCCACCACACCCGACTAGTTTTTGTATTTTTACTAGAGACGGGGTTTCACCATATTGGCCAGGCTGGTCTTGAACTCCTGACCTCGTGATCTGCCCGCCTCGACCTCCCAAAGTGCTGGGATTACAGGCGTGAGCCACCGTGCCCAGCAGCTGTCACAATTTTTGAAAAGAAGATGACAAAGAAGTTTGCTGCATCAATGAACTCTTCCTTTCATGAAAGATTTCCCTGAAACATGTGATGCTGTTTGACACCATTTTACTCACAGTATAACTTCTTTCAAAATTGGAGTCAATCCTCTCAAATCCTGCTATTATTTTATCAACTAAGTGTAGGTAATATTTTAGCTCCTCTGTTGTCATTTCAACAATGTTAACAGCACCTTCACCAGGAGTAGATTCCATCTCAAGAAACACTGTCTTTGCTCATCTATAGGAAGCAATTCATCATCCATTCAAGTTTTATCATGAGACTGCAGCAATTCAGTTCCATCTTCAGATTCCACTTCTAATTATAGTTCTCTTGCTATTTCTACCACACCTTCAGTTACTTCCTCCACTGAAGTCATCTGTGAAAGCTGGAATCAACTTCTTCCAAATTCCTGTTAAGGCTGATATTTTAATCTTCTCGCATGAATCATACATGTTCTTAATGGCATCTAGAATGGTGAATTCTTTCCAGAAGGCTTTCGATTTACTTTGCCCATATCCATCAGAGGAATCGCTATCTATGGTAGCTATAGCCTTACAAAATGTATTTCTTTTTTTTTTTTTTTTTTTTTTTTTTTTTTTTTGAGACAGGGTCTAACTCCCCTCACTTAGGCTGGAATGCAGTGGCACTGTCATTGCTCACTGCAGCCTCGACCTCTGGGGTTCAGGCGATCCTCCGACCTCAGCCTCCGAATAGCTGGGACTACAGGTGCATGCAACCACACCAAGCTAGTTTTTGTATTTTTAGTAGAGACAGGGTTTCACCACGTTGCCCAGGCTGGTCTTGAACTCCTGAGCTCAAACAATCTGCTCATATCAACATCCCAAAGTGCTGGGATTACAGGCATGAGCTACTGTGCCTGGTCACAAAATATATTTCCTAAATAATAAGACTTGAGAGCCAAAATTACTCCTTGATCCATGAACTGCAGAATGGAGTTTGTGTTAGCAGGCGTGAAAACAACATTAATCTCTGTACATGTCCATCGGAGCTCTTGGGTGATCAGCAGCATTGGTCAATGAGCAATAACATTTTGAAAGTGATTTTTTTTTCTGAGTAGGTCTCAACAGTGGGCTTTAAAGATTCAGTAAACCATGCTGTAAACAGAGGTGCTGTCATGTAGGCCTTTTGTTTCATCTATACAGCACAAGCAGAATAGATTTGGGATAATTCTTAAAGGCACTAAGATTTTCAGAATAATAAGTGAATATTGGCTTCAACTTAAGCAGGTGGATCACCTGAGGTCAGGAGTTCAAGACCAGCCTGGCCAATATGGCAAAACCCCATCTCTACTAAAAATACAAAAATTAGTTGGGTGTGGTGGCAGGCACCTATAATCCCAGCTACTCAGGAGGCTGAGGGAGGAGAATCACTTGAACCTAGGAGGCAGAGGTTGCAGTGAGCCAAGATCATGCCACTGCACTCCAGCCTGGGCAAATGAGTGAGACTCCATCTCAAAAAAAAAAAAAAAAAAGTCATCAGCTGCATTAGCCCTTAACAAGAGAGCCAGCTAGTCCTTTGACACTTTGAAACTAGGTATTGATTTCTCCTCTCTACCTATGAAAGTCCTAGACAGTGTCTTCTTTCAATAGAAGGCTGTTTTATCTATGCTGAAAATTTGTTGTTTAGTGTAGCCACTCATCTATTATCTTAGCTAGATCGTCTGGATAACTTGCTGCAGCTTCTACATCAGCACTTCCTGCTTCACCTTGCACTTTTATGTTCTGGAGATGGCCCCTTCCTCTTTCTTTCTTTCTTCCTTTCTTCCTTTCTTCCTTTCTTCCTTCCTTTCCTTTCCTTCCTTTCCTTCCTTTCCTCTCTTTCCTCTCTTTCTCTCTTCCTCTCTTCCTCCCTCCCTCCCTCCATTCCTTCCTTCCTTCCTTCCTTCCTTCCTTCCTTCCTTCCTTCCTTTCTTCCTTCGTTTCCTCTCTCTCTTTCTTTCTTTCCTTCTTTTTTTGACAAGTGTCAGGCTCTGTCACCCAGGCTGGAGTGCAGTGGCACAATCTTGGCTCACTGCAACCTCCACCTCCCGGGCTCAAGCCATCCTCCCACCTCAGCCTCTTGAGTGGTTGGAACTACAGGCATGTGCCAGTACATCCAGCTAATTTTTAATTTTTTTGTAAAGAAGTCTTGCCATGTTTCCCAGACTGGTCTCAAACTCCTGAGCTCAAGCAATCTGCCTGCCTCAGCCTCCCAAAGTGCTGGGATTACAGGCATGAGCCACCATGCCTGGTGGCTTCTTTCCTTAAACTTCATGAACCAACCTCTGCTAGCTTCCAGCTTTTCTTCTGCAGCTTCCTCACCTCTCTCAGCCTTCACAGAATTGAAGAGAGTTGGGACCTTGCACTGGATTAGGTTTTGGCTTAAGGGAATGTTGTGGCTGGTTTGATCTTCTATTGAGACCACTAAAACTTTCTCCCTATCAGCAGTAAGACTGTTACATTTTCTTATCATTCATGTGTTCACCAGAGTAGCACTTTTAATTTCCTTCAATAGCTTTTCCTTTGCATTCACAACTTGGCTAACTGGCACAAGAGGCCTAGCTTTCAGTGTATCTCTGCTTTCAATATGCCTTCCTCACTAAGCTTAATCATTTCTAGCTTTTGATTTAAAGTGAGAATCATATAACTCTCCCTTTTACTTGAACACTTAGAAGCCACTGTAGAGTTATTAATTGGCCTAACTTCATTGTTGTTATGTCTCAGGGAATAGGGAGGCCTGAGAAGAGGGAGAGAGATGGGGGAATGGCCAACTGGTGGAGCAGATGGAACATACACAACATTTATTCATTAAGTTCACTGTCACATGGGCATGGTTTGCATTGCCCCAAAGCAACTACAATAGTCACATCAAAAATCACTGATTACAGATCATCATAACAGATACAATAATAATGAAAAAGCTTGAAATATTGTGAGAATTACCAAAAGGTGACACAGAGACGTGAAGTGAGCACATGCTGTTGGAAAAATGACACTGATAGACTTGCTCCATGCAGAGTTGCCACAAAACTTCAATTTATAAAAAGCACAATATCTGCTAATGTCAATAAAGTGGAATGCATTGAAACTAGTTATCCCTGTATTTATTGCTAATTAAAAAATATAAAAATACAACTATAACCACAATATGATTATCATACCAAATTAACAATAATTGCTAATAGCATCTAACTCCTAGTCTATTTAAATATCTCTCTTGGTCTGATGTCTCATAATCCTTTCTAAACACACAATACTATTGGCTTCAGGCTGCCCCCAGTAGACATCTTTTCCCTTACATTCTCTTTATTCCTATACTTCATCGGGACTGAGGGACCAGGATTTTTCAAACAATATACCAGCTTCTCTAGAGGCTTTGACTTGGGCTGCTGACAGAGAAATCTTTATTAAATCCTTGAGAGTGATATTATTCAAGAGACATACAAGGGAGATGAGTGACGAGAAGAGGAGGTGCTATTAGGAAAGTGGCCCCAGGACATCAGATTTATCACAGAATCCTTTCCATGAGTCAGTTAATCTTTTCCATTTTAGTTTCAGGGAGGATATTTAACCCCATGGAATTAGGAGTTCTTTCCTACTTTTGCCAAACTGCTAAAGCCAATGAATATTCAAGTGAAACCTTATCCAAATTTGGGGCTCTGCTGACCACTGAGGACCCTTTGTCTGAGTTATTGCTCCTGAAATCTTCACACAGCTGTCTCTGGAGAGAGAAATATAGGGGCCAAGTTTCTTGGATGAGCTGCAGTCAGTTTTCCAAGGATATGGTTGATCCCAGAAAATACACAGCTAATTTATAAGACACTAGGAAGAAGGCAGTTGCCTTGAGGATAGCATATTGAGGATTCCAGAGGTCAAAAACTGACCTTAGTCAATATGGGAAACTCTCACTAGTATGAGCCAAAGAAGCCTGCATGAAGCTATAGGCCATCTAAAAATCCCTGACAATGCAAAAGAGGTCAAAAATGAACATCTTGAAATACAGACTGTTTCTGTATTGGCTGAGAGACTGATGGTATCTCATCTGGCCAGAAGGAAGTCAGGGAGTCAGGAACTCCTTCCTTCTAGTGGTCCTGATCCTAGGATTTAACCATTATTTTCAGTTTAACAAATATATATATATTCTTCTTATGGAAGAAGAAGATTGTTTCCACGGTCTTTGAGTCCATAGAAGCCAATAAACCACGTTAAACACAGCCTCAGATTATCTGTCTTCCTTCTTCTTAATGCCTCTGCAAGATCACGCATTATCTCATAGGATTGGTATGTGACAGATTCTATTTTGAGTCTTCCGATGATTCCTTCATTTAGTCTTTCTGAGAACCAGAGTTCAGAAGAATCCGTGCAACTGGGAGTTGCCCTCAGTTAACTAGATCTTGCAGTCCTAATTTCAAAGAGGTCAGTGTCTTTTAAAGGGCCATGTGGAGGCTCCCATGTATTTAGGAGAATGAATTCCTTGTGCTAAGAAGTTATCTACAGAGCATCCTTGACAGAGTTCTGTTCGGTGATGTAGTGACATAAGATGTCTCTGACTGAAGAACTTTTTGAGTGCTTAAATAATGGGACTGTTTTAGCGAACCCAATAAACCCAAGTTAATGAAACTCTCCATTGATAGGGAGACGATTCATTCCCAATGAAACTAGCAAGACTTTTTAGAAGATGCTGCAGCTTTCAGCTGCCGCAATCATCATGCCATCTTCTTTACTGATATTTGGCTTGTTCACATGGTTAGTTCACATGTAATTACCCACTCAAAAAGGGCTTTTCATATCTGCCATTCCAAACTCCAGGCATGGCACATTGATCTTGAGTGTCTGTGGGGGGTTAAAGTAGTAGTAAATGGTTAAGCTCTACACTTAAAAATGGTTAAAGTGGTAAGTACATACATTTACCACTTCAACCGTTTTTTTTTTTTTTTTTAAAGAAGTCATAAACAGCATTTATTACCTTGGTATATCATACTGGTCTTGTTGCTGTTCCTTCGCATTTAAGTGGCTTTCCATCTTTCCTCCCTCCTCCCACAGTCTGGCTACACAGTGCATCCCTGAACTGTTAGCCCACAGCAGCAATATGCTTATTCCATCCACATCCCTAACATCATGCGTTCACAAAGTGAAAGTTCTGGTCCACAAACCCTTCCCTATAGGACGTTCAATGGTTGCGAAAGAATTTGTAGTAAACCAGGCCTCCCAGGATGGCAAGCTCCAGTAAGATGATGATGGAAAGCAGCAGCTTGTTGGTTGTCACTTTTCTGGACATTGAACGGAGAATCTTTCGACTGTTGCCCAAGTTTTCACTTGTGTTTACCAGTCTACTCTTGGTGCGTTCTAACTGGTCTCGTTGTTCTCCCAGCTCTTCTATGATTTCTGAGCCAATCTGGTCAGTCTCCGTGGCAATCTGATGAGAATGTTCAATACTTTGGGTGGCCTGTTTTAGGCTTTCAGTGCCTTGCGGAAGCGTTGCCCTTTGAGACTGTAAGCTGATTCATATGCTCAGTCTCTACAGCATATATGCCATATTTCATGTCTCCTCGGCCTCCAGGTGTGGCTGTCAAAGGTGTGCTTCTCACCTCCCGATGGAGTTTGGCAAGGTCCTTTTGGTAGTTTCGAAGCTTAGACATCATGGGGTTACAGAAAGACAGGGGTGCATAACGTAGCTCCTCCTCCATCTCTGCCAACGTTTCATTTGCTTCCTGTTGCTTTTCATCAAAATCCCTGATTAACTTCTTCTTCTCTTCGGTCCCCGCCGCCCCCAGCAGCCGCTCGGGCACCCCTTGTAGGTCTTCATGGAGGCCGCGGAAGATCTCGTACAGCTTCTCGAAATGCTCTGAGGAGGCGGTGAAGGTGGCCATGGCACAGGCCGCGCTCTAGCAGCGGCCACCGAGATCCGGGGCGCTGGGCCCTCTCCTAGCCCGGGGGTCAGCCGCCAAGCCCAGTGACCATCATGGCGACCGCCGTGCCACCGCAGCCCAGGACCGCTTTAACCATTTTTAAGCGTAGAGTTCAGTGGCATTAAGTATATTCACATGGTTGTACAACCATCACCATCGTCCACCTTCAAACTCTTTTCGGCTTGCAAAACTGAAACTTTACATCCATTAAACAACTCCTCATTTTCCCCTTCCTCTGCCCCTGGTAATCATCTCTGTTCCACTTTCTTTCACCATGAATTTTAGGGTACCTCATATAAATGGCATTGTATAGCATTTCTTTTTATGTGACTGGCTTATTTCACTTAGCATAATTTTTTTTTCTTTTTTTTTTTTTTGAGACAGAGTCTCGCTCTGTCGCCCAGGCTGGAGTGCAGTGGCGTGGTATCTGCTGACTGCAAGCTCCGCCTCCCGGGTTCACGCCCTTCTCCTGCCTTAGCCTCCCAAGTAGCTGGGACTACAGGCGCCCGCCACCGCGCCCGGCTAATTTTTTGTATTTTTTTTTTTTTTTAGTAGAGATGGGGTTTCACCGTGTTAGCCAGGATGGTCTCGATCTCCTGACCTCGTGATCCACCCACCTCGGCCTCCCAAAGTGCTGGGATTATAGGCGTGAGCCACCGTGCCTGGCCAGCATAATGTTTTTAAGGTTCATCCATGTTGTTGTAGCATGTGTCAGAATTTCCTTCCTTTTTAAGGCTGAATTATAGACCTTTGTATGTATATGCCCCATTTTGTTGATCCAGTCATCTCTCAGTGGATACTTGGGTTGTGTCTACCTTGTAGCTATTGTAAATAATGCTGCTGTGAACATGAGCAGGTATATACCTAGGGGTGAAATTGTTGAATAATATGGTAGTTCCATTTTCAAGTTTTGGAGGAACTGCTATACTGTTCTCCCTAGTGGCTGCACCATTTTACATTCCTACCAGCAATGAACAAGGGCTGCAATCACTCCACATCTTTGCCAAAAGTTGTTATTATTATTTTTTTAAATAACAGTCATCCTAATTGGTGTGAAATTGTATCTAATTGTGGTTTTGATTTGCATTTCTCTAATCATTAGATGTTGACCATCTTTTCATGTGTTTATTGGCCATTTGTACGTCTTTGGAGATTTTTTTCAAGTCCTTTTGCTCATTTTCAACTGGGTGTTTTGGTTTTTGTTGTTGAGTTGTAGGAATTTTAAAAAATATATTCTGGATATTAATCTTTTATCAGATACATGATTTGTGCATATTTTCTCCCATTCTGTGAGTTGCGTTTTCATTCAGTTGATAGTGCCTTTTTTCTCCTTCACCATTGGTCATATTTCAGAGGCAGAGGATTTATTTGAGTAGAAGTAGTCATGAAATAGACATGAACTTTACCATTAATAGGCAGCTGGATTTTTTTTAATTGTTGCTATTTTGCTATTTTATTTTCAAGGTCTCTTTCAGTCATGCAAGAGTCAGTTGAAGTATTGCTATAGTGACTGCTTTTATGATGAAGAATTACCAATTTACCTTGGAAAAAGCCTGTGAAAATCTGTAAAATATCTTGCCAGAGGCTGAGTTGTTTTAGTAATAATTCTTCTTTTGTGATGTGATTTTATTTAAAGAAAACTGAACTTCATATTTGTTTGTCATTATAGGATTAAATGTGGGCTTGACTAGCAACTGAAATTGTATGAGGTAATGGGATATGAAATGGATATCTGTAGTGCAATTTATAAGCAATATGGTTTACAAAAGGTCATGGAAAAGTATCCAGGTAAGTAATAATTGCTAGTATGTATTGAGCCCTTTCTAGATGTCATTTACTCTGACACTAAGTGCTGTGGGTACATTTCTCACCTTTCTAGCAATTCTGTGAGACAGATATCATAGTTCCCCTTCATCCGTTGTTTTCAATTTCCATGGTCCCTGTTACCTGAGGTCAACTGTGGTCTGAAAATATTAATAAAAAATTCCAGAAATAATTCATAAGTTTTAAATGCAGGCCATTTTAAGTAGCGTGATGAAATCTTAGGCCATCCTGCTCCATCCCGCTGGGGATGTGAACAATCCCTTTGTCCAGCATCTCCACGCTGACCATGCTACCCGCCCATTAGTGACAGTGACTTGGAGCCCTCTAGGTTATCAGATTGACTGTCGCAGTATCAACAGTGCTTGTGTTCAAGTAACCCTTATTTTACTTAGTAATCACCTCAAAGTCCAAGAGTAGTGAGGCTGGCAATTTGGATATGGCAAAGAGAAGCCGTAAAGTATTTGCTTTAAATGAAAAGCTGAACGTTCTCAACTAAATAAGGAAACAAACAAAAAAAAAATAGTATCCTGAGGTTGCTAAGATCCACAGTAAGAATTTTATCCATTTTTGTCATGAAAAAAGAAAGAGAAATATGTGCTAGTTTTGCTGTTGCACCTCAGACTGCAAAAGTTATGGCCACAGTATGTGATAAGTGCTTACCTAAGATGGAAAAGGCATTAAATTTGTGGGTGGAAGACATGAAATGAAACGTGTTCCAAATGACAGCAATTGGGTCTGGTACTGTCTGTGGTCTCAGGCATCCAGTGGGGGTTTTGGAACATGTGCCATGCAGGTAAGGAGGACTATTGTACTGTGCTGTTGTTACCTTTTAAAACTGTGGTTTAATGAGAAATAACTTCTTCAAGGTCACATAGTTTGTATAATTCTTTTATTTTCCTTTCTTTTCTTTTCCCTTTCTTTTCTTTTTTCTTTTCCTCTTCTCTTCTTTCTTTCTTTCTTTTTTTTTTTTTTTTGAGACCTCCACCTCCTGGATTTAAGCAATTCCCCTGCCTCAGCCTCCCGAGTAGCTGGGATTACTGGTGTGTGCCATCACTTCCAGCTAATTTTTTGCATTTTTAGTAGAGATGGGATTTCGCTATGTTGCCCAGGCTGGTCTTGAACTATTGGCCTCAAGTGATCCGCCTGCCTTGGCCTCCCAAAGTGCTGGGATTACAGATGTAAGCTACCACATCTGGCTGGGAATATTTTTCAAACTTTAAATTGCCGAGGTTTAGCACTTGCCTCAATTTGACATTAACTGAATTTTGTCTGAAAATGCAGAGTTGATTTTGACAAATGGATACATTTGAATTATGTCGTATAAAATTGCAGAATTTACCTCAAGAACTCTTTGCTGTTGACCCAATCACCCTTTCACAAGTATTGAAGGGCAAGGGTCTCTACAAATGCAGGAAGTACATATAAAATATTTTGTATCCTCTGGATATTTTATCTTGTCTCAGTAGCTGAAAAGTACTTAAAATTACAGTTTCTTTTATTTCTCTAGGAAGAATTTGTTTGACTGAATAATATAAAAATTTTGAATTCAAATCTGCTTTCAAGAAGAATGTAAATTCTTAAAAGCAAAAATCGGCCGGGCGCGGTGGCTCACGCCTGTAATCCCAGCACTTTGGGAGGCCGAGGCGGGTGGATCATGAGGTCAGGAGATCGAGACCATCCTGGCTAACAAGGTGAAACCCCGTCTCTACTAAAAATACAAAAAATTAGCCGGGCGCGGTGGCGGGCGCCTGTAGTCCCAGCTACTCGGGAGGCTGAGGCAGGAGAATGGCGTGAACCCGGGAAGCGGAGCTTGCAGTGAGCCGAGATTGTGCCACTGCAGTCCGCAGTCCGGCCTGGGCGACAGAGCGAGACTCCGTCTCAAAAAAAAAAAAAAAAAAAAAAAAGCAAAAATCAGATTGTAGGGATTATTGAAAATTTAAGTAGCATAATCAATGTAATATTATTTTGTCCTCTAAGAAATACTGCACATTTTATCTATTCATTGTTTTGGAAATCATTAATGGTTTTGTTTGTTTGAGAGTTGCAGGTGATCATTATTTTGAAATTCTAGCATTTTGGGTTATAATGCAGGAAGCGCTTTTATAGCTGTTGCCCACAAGAAAATGACACCATCTTTCAGGCTAACCACAGGGAGTCAGGCTCAGTGTATATCTTGTTTCACTGAACCTGTACAGTGGATGGAATCCACTTTTGTTGGAAGTGATGATAGTATCTTTTGATGCACAGGATTTTTAAATTATAATGATATCCAGTTTGTCTATTTTTTCTTTTGTTGCTTCTGCCTTTAGTGTTATATCCAAGAAATCATTGCCAAATCCAATGTAGTGAAGCTTTTACCAGAGTTTTCTAAGAGTTTCATCCTTTCACATCTGACGTTTAGGTACATTGTGAGATAATTTTTGTATTTGCTATAAGGTAAGGATCCAACTTCTTTTTCTTTTTCTTTTTCTTTTTTTTGCATCTGGAGATCCAGTTTTCATGATGTCATTTGTTGAAAGTATGTTCTTTCACCACTGAATGGTTTTGGCCCTTGTCACAAATTATTTGATCATATATGCCAGAGTTTATTTATGGGTTCTCTATTCTAGTCAATTGGTCTATATGTCTGTCTTTATGCCAGTACCACACTGTTTTAATTACCATAGCTTTGTAGTAAGTTTTGAAATCAGGAATGTGAGATTTCCAACTTTGTTCTTCTTTTTTTAGATTATTTTTGTTATTTGGGATAGATAACGAATTTTGGGATAGATTTTTCCATTTCTACAAAAATTTTTTAAAAAGCCATTGAGATGCTAATAGGCATTGCATTGAATCTGTAGATTGCTTTGGGTAGTATTAACATCTTAAAAATATTAAGCCTTTCAATCCATAACATGGAATTTCTTTCCATTTATTGGTGTCTTCTTTAATTTCTTTCAGCAATATTTTATAGTTTTCAATGTAAAAATCTTTCCCCTTTTTGGTCAACTTTATTCCAAATTAGTATTTATATATATTTATGTGTGTATATTAGATATGTATCTATATTATATATATGTGTGTGTGAGTATATATATATTTTTTTGTTGGGGGGAGGGGTTAGGATCTCGCTCTATTGCCCAGGCTGGAGTGCAGTGGCAGAATCATGGCTCACTGCAGATTCAACCTCCTGGGCTCAAGTGATCCTCCCACCTCAGCCTCCTGAGTGAGTAGGTGGGACCACAGGAGTGTGCCACCACCACCATGCTCAGCTAATTTTTTTTTTTTTTTAGACAGAGTCTCACTCTGTTGCCCAGGCTGGAGTGCAGTGGCATGATCTCAGCTCACTGCAACCTCCACCTCCCAGGCTCAAGCAATTCTTGTGCCTCAGCCTCCTGAGTACCTGGGACTACAGGCATGCACCACCAAGCCTGGCTAATTTTTGTATTTTTAGTAGAGATGGGGTTTCATCATGTTGGCCAGGCTGGTCTCAAACTCCTGACCTCAAGGGATCCACCCACCTCAGCCTCCCAAAGTGCTGAGATTACAAGTGTAAGCCACTGCACTTAGCCCCCACACTAATTTTTAAAAATTTTTGTAGACACAGGGTCTCTCTATGTTGCCCAAGCTGGTCTTGAACTCCCAGGCTTCAATTCCCAAAGGGCTGGAATTATAGGTGTGAGCCACCACACCTGGCACCCCAATTGTTTTTTATGCTATTGTAAGTTGAACTGTTGTCTGAATATTCTTTTTGGATTGTTTATCCTTAGTGTAGAGAAACACAACTGATTTCTGTGTATTGATTTTGTATTTTGCAACTTTGCTGAATTTATTATTTTAAACAGTTTTTTTCAGTGAGCTCTTTAGGCTTTTCTACATATAAGATCTTGTCACCTGTGAACAGAGATCGTTTTACCCCTTTTCCAATTCAGATGTTTTTATTTCTTTTTCTTGCCTAATTGCTCTGGCTAGGACTTCTAGTACTATGTTGATTAGAAGTGGTGAAAGTGGATATCCTTTTCTTGTGCCTGATCTTAGAGGAAACACTTTCAGTCTTTCACTGTTGAGTATGATGTTAGCTGTGGGTTTTTAATATATGGTCTTTATTGTGTGGAGATAGTTTTCCTCTTTTTCTAATTTGTTGTGTTGTTGTTGTTTTTAATCATGAAAGAGGTTCAATTTTGTCAAATGCTTTTTCTGCTTCAGTTGAGATGATCACAAACCTGAGCTTTTATAACTAGGAAATGGCTTTAATTCCCAGCCCAAAAAGTTATCGGAAGAGGCCCCAGCAATTTAAAAGTTATAGTTTTGTTTCATGAAACCCTGTTCTCTTCCATGCCTCTTGGTGAATCCAAACACTTGTCAATTGCATCAATCAAACCTAGATATTTTCCTTCCCTGACCTGTCTACTGTATTCTTAAGCCTAGCAGTAACTAACTATAGTATTCCCTTCTTTCTTGCTAACAATTGAAGGAAAAAATAAATCAATTTGGACTAATTAACAAATGGCTAGGAGTCAGGTTTTATGGAATGAATTTACTTTTATTTTGAAAAATCTTACAGTAAAATTGACTTCTTTTTGGTATACAGTTCAAGGAATAAACATGCATAGATTCACGTAACTGCTGCCGCAATCAGGATACAGAACAGTTCTATCACTCCCAAAAAACTCCTGCATGTCATCTCTCTTTATTGTCACATCCTCCTCCTTCCTTGATCCTCTGGCAACCACTAATCTTCTTCTTTCGTCTTTTTGAAAATGTCATATGGTGTGTAATATGTTGTGTCTGTGACTAAAAGCTTAAATGTGACTGATGATTTTGCTAAGAACCATTTTGAGCAACATCCTTCTTGTTCTGCAGAATTGTCCCAAACTGTGAACCTGATATCATCATCATCATGGTAGGAGTTCATAATCAAAGGTTCATAGGTTAGATTGGCCTCACAATACTAGTGTCTAAACTTCTATCTGTCTCTAACTTCTCGATGGAGAAGGGTGTTGGCCAAATTCTAAGGCCAGTGGTTGATGATTGGGATTAAGCTTTTAGCACCTATGCCACAAGAAATAATAGGAAATAAGGTTACCATCTGTGGTACATGGTCATTTCATGACCATCATATGTTATCTATACATGAAGGACAGTGAGGAGGAAATGTAGTAAGCTAAAAACTAAAGGACTGTACAGATATTATTTCAGAGAGATTATAAAGCAACTATCTTTTGCTTCTACTGTAGTGGTCAGTGAATTAATTTTCTTGGTTCGTTGGATGAAACAAATTTAGTAAAGTGGAAATAGTCATATTGTGTCTATTAGAATGCTTTTGACTGCAAGCAGGTAGAATATCTGGCTAAAAGTGACTGAAATAATGAGCTTTATTATCTCACACAAAAAAGACATCCAGAAGTAGGTGGTTCTAGGGCTGAATCAGTGGTCTCAATAATGTCATGAAGAATGAATGAAGCTTTTTTCATCCTCCATTCCACCGTCCTCACATGAAAACGTTTGGTCTCTTACTTGCAAGATGGCTGCTGCAGCTCCAAGTACTGGGTCCTCAGACAATTGCATTGCTATGTAGGAAGCCGGGAGCAGCTCAGGTGACAAGAGAGCTCTTCTCATGTGTGCTTGCTTTTTTTTTTTTCGTCTTGAAGGAAAACTGTTTTCCAAATCCCCCCAACAGACTTAGCGTTATGTCCCATAGTCAGAACTGGGTCCCTTGGTCATTTGTTAACATGAAGGCAAAGTGGGTCTCTAGCATTTAACTGTTATCATGTGACATGGGCTGGGACAGGAGGGATGGAAGGTGAGGAAACTGACTCCTGGAGAGGCAACAGATTTGCCTCACTCCGTTGTGAGGATTAAATGCAGTAATGTGGGTAAAGCACCTCTTATTGGGCTGGCACATAAGGGGCTCAATCCTCATTAATTCTTTTTATTTCATGTTTCCCTTCTCCCCTTCAATTTTCTTTCCTCATTTTTCACGTTTAGGAGAAATACAGAAATTCAAAAGTTTTGCTGACCTTCCCTAGATAAAGGCCCTGCTTGTCTCTCCCACCCTCCTCCTACTTCTTGGAGTTCTGCAGCTCGAGTTTCCACAAACCAATTGGAATCTCCTGGACCTCTCAAAAGTCCCTCACCTTAGACTGAGGAATACATTGTTATGGCTGGTCCATAGATGTCAATTACAGACATAAAACTGAGAAATCCTTATAAAGAAAAAAAAAGAAAACCCATCAGAGTATGTTGTCATTACAATGTTAGCCTCCACTAGAAAATCATCTATTTCAGTGGAGTGAAGCTCTTTTCATACAAAAAAGGAGCAAAAGGCGCCCGCATCTGTGCCTGTCTGTACTGACTGCTGGCTCTGAGCACCATAAGATGTTTCTTGCCATTAGAGCAATGATTTCAATTTTTCCATTCCAACTGTGGTGAAAATGAATAAGAAAACTGAGTCCTGCCTCTGGAAGCAGCATACAGGTTCCACACTAATCAAAAAAGGAAGATTCATTATTAGACAATATTTCACTCCCCAGACTTTGAAAGTTCCTACATTTGTCAGAGTAGCTCTGAATCACTTCACAGCCACCGCAGGATTAGAATGGGGGTATTGTACAAGCCTGACCCTTTGCAGTTAAGTTTTTTTCCCCTTCTAAATGAGCTGCTCTTGCTACTCTCTGAGTCACTGCAATCCAAATCTCATAATTTCATCTCCTTCTCTTCTATCATTTTACCAGAGAGCCATTTAAAGGGGGGGCAGGCATGCAGATTTTATTAAAGGGGCCATAGCACTCCCTAAAATGCATTTAACTAAGAAGTGCCAATGAAATATCGACACTGTCACCAGGTAAAGGAGAATGAAGTTTTTAGGACCTGCTTAGTAGTGATAAATACTTCAAAGGGCCACATTTCTATTTGCCAAACCAAAGCAGATTTAGCAATGGAATCATGAGACCGTCCTAATGAGGGTGACCCTGGGCTGAGTGCCTGAGTGACTCCCGGGCTCTAAGAAACCCCCTTCTCAGACATGGGCTTCCCTTTCTCTCACCCAGTGGAAAAGCCAGCAGAAATCTGCTGTGCAGTCCTATCACTTATGAACATCCAGAGACAACAATGTTGACAACCATAGGCTGTGGCACTGTGCAATTCTGTTGGACACATTGCAAAGGAAAACCACCAGCAGCTGCCCGAAGCTGGTTTTCTCTTATTAAAATTTGGTTAATAAAGCCTGTACCATGAAAGAAACCAGATGAAAAACCAGCCTTCATCAAGGAGGGCTTATTGCAGGCTGGGAAAGATATTGTTTTGTCCAAGTCAGTAGGTTTCTATCAACTTGAACACCTCTGCATGGACTTAGGTGCTCTGGGATAATACGGAGGGAGTTGGAAGACTGCTGCTGTCTTGTGAGAGCATTCCCTTTTCTGTCTTTGGGAGCAGGAGCAGACTGACATACAGGAAACTGAGAGAAACCTGCTTAAGGAGGGTATGGAATCATGCGCAACTGTGTGGGCTGAGTGCAAGTGGATTAAAAAGGACACAAAGGTTGGTGTGAGATGATGAGTGCCTTCCAAACAGGGGCCCAGGTGGCTCATTTTGGTATCCTCAACATTGTGAACTTGTCACACAAGGTAGGGATTTAATAAGTAAATTTCAAGTAAAGGTCAAGTCTACGCTTTCACCTGTAATTTCAACCTGCCCCATTTTATACCTTACTGCATTTGCCCTTGCACTTAAAATATACACCAAAATAAAAGCACCTCAAAACCCCATTGAGTTTCTAACCAGTTACACGCTGACACACACACACTTACACATTCAGAATCTCTCATTCTCGTTGTTCTCTCTCAATCTCACACTCACTTTATATCTCCTCCATCTCCAGCATTGTTGCCAGGAGTTGGAGACAGAGTAGAATAGCACTTACTTTTTTGATTTTTCCAAATTTTCACCAACCAGTTCACAAAAGCACAAGGATGAAGAATTAGAAAAGTGGAGGAAGGACCTGGTGCAGTGGCTCACACCTGTAATTCTAACACTTGGGGAAGTTGAGGCAGAAGGATCACTTGAGCCCAGGAGTTCGAGACCAGCCTAAGCAACATAGAGACACCCCATCTCTACTAAAAAAAAAAAAAAATTTCGCTGGGTATGGTGGTGGATGCCTGTAGTCCCAGCTACTCAGGAGGCTGAGGTGGGAGGATTGTTTGAGCCTGGGAGGTCAAAGCTGCAGTGAGCTATGATCACACCACTGCACTCCAACCTGGGTGACACAGTGAGACTCTGTCTCAAAAAAAAAAAAAATGTGGAGGAAGGAGACAAGCGAGATGATGGGAGAGGGGAAGAGAAGAGAAAGAATAGGTGAGAAAGAAAACCAGAGAAGTTAAGCTTCCCATTGTGGGTAGGGAGTGAATTGTGAATGACAATGCTTTTCCTCTATCAAGGTTAAGGAGGATGGCTCCCAGATTGTACAGCAGAGTGAGAGTCCTGCAAAGATAAACTGCTTTGGATGCACTGACTTGTGGAGAAGGAGAAAAAAGGAGTGGAACAATTTCCATTCTGTCATAAATTCTGGCCATGCATTTTTCTTGAAGAGTTTAGCTTCTCATGGATATGACACGTTTTTGTATAGGTCCTATTCATTAAGCTGACTCTAGCATAAAGTTAAATGACAAATGCTTTGTTGGGAAAATGTTGGACCACTTCATGGATGCAGATGCCTTCTTGGCAGCTGTGATGGTTAATGGTTAATTTTATATGTCAACTTGGCTGGGCCATGGGGCGTCCCGATACTTGGTCAAACATTATTCTGGTTGTTTCTGTGAGGGTATTTTTGGATAAGATTTGCACTTAAATCGGTGGACTTCGGGTACAGCAGATGGCCCTCCATAATGTGGGTGGGCCTCATCCAATCCCCTGAAAGCCTAAATAGAACAAAAGGCTGACCTCAGAGCAAGAGGGAACTCCCCAGCATACTGCCTGTAGACTTCATCTACATCGGCAATTCCTGCTTGTCCAGGAGACTGCCTTGGATTTGAACTGCACCTCTTTCCTGAGAGGCCTCTCCTGTCAGATTTTGGACTTGCCAGCCTCCACAATATCTTAAAATCTATCTATCTATCTATCTATCTATCTATCTATCTATCTATCTATCTATCTATCTATCTAATCTATCTATCCATCTATCATCTTTCTGTCTATCCTGTCCATACACCTGTACACACTTTAGTGATTCTGCTTCTCTGTAGAACTCTGACTAATCCAGCATCCCCTAAGCTGACAAGCAAGGCTAAGATGTAACAAATGTGCTCGTGCCTTTCCTAACCAGCACCGTAACTGAGGAGTGTGGACTAAGAGGCCATGAGCCCAGGATCGTAAGTCAGTGGGCCTAGGTTATGTGTGAGCCTTGTCCCTTCCTAGTGCTCTGCTCTGGATAGATTACCTAAGCTCCAGAAACAATTACTCAGATGACTAAAGCATTGCCAACCTCTGACGTGTTCATTTTCTATTGCCATTGTAACAAATTACCATACACAGTATGCTTGAAACAAGGTAAATTTATTCTCTTACATTTCTGCAGATCAGATCAAAGTGTCAGTAGGGCGTCTGAAGGCTTCGGGGAAGAATCTATTTCTTGCTTTTTTCAGCTTCTGGAGGCCACTTACATTCTTTGGATCATGGCCACTTCCTCGCATCACTCCAACCTCCTGCTTCTGTTGTTGCATCTCCTACTACTCCTTTTATCACTGCCTGCCTCTTATAAGGCCCTTATGACTGCAGTGGGCCCACCCAAATCACCCAGGATCATCTCCTTCTATCAGTGTCCTTAATCATATCTGTAGAGTCTCTCTGGACATTTAATACATTTACACATTCCGGGAATTAGGACGTGGACATCATTGGTGGTGGGCAGGGGGTATTATTCTACCTACCACACCTGGTCAGAGGTAATTGGTTACAAATGGAAGGTGAGATAGGGGAAGGATTCTAAGATTTCAGAGTTGGTACTTAAAATTATTTTATTTTTTAGAAAAGTACTCGATTATGTGACAAACATAGAAAGTTGCAACAAAGAAATGCTTTCTTGGCTACTAAAGAGATGAACATGTGTTGGCACTATATTTTTATTTAACAATGACAATTCTGCTCCTAGAATAATCAGAGTAAAGCTTCCCCCACCTCTAAAAAATTAACATAAAAATGTCTTAAAAAATATAATATTGTGGCCAGCTAGGTATACAAATCTGTGGGGCTTCATGTCCTGACAGATTCACTAAGCATTCCATCCAGTCTCCTGTGAGGGACCTTTGGCAGGAATTAAAGCCTTTCAAGAGAGACCCTGAGAACCTTCCTCAAAACGTTAATTCAAGTATCATAAATCTACAACATCATTTGTATTCTAGAACATGTCATCCCAATATAAGTTCTAGCATTGTTGTGCCTTCAACATGCTGAGTACAGTGTTTGAGAATCAGTCACTTTCAATGCTTCCCTCTTGGCCAAATGGATAACTTTAGGGAAGTTTCTAGCCTTTCTTTTTGGTGCATGGCTGTATTTTGAGTGCTCAGGATATTGCCATAACCTTTGCTTGGTCTGTTCTTAGCAGAAAAAACTCTAACTCTAACTCTATAGAAAAGGGAGAACATTAAAAAAAAATCAGTTTTCAAAAATCATCCTGATGCTGAATTTAGTTCAACAATTGTTGGGGTGGTTATAATAATTTCAGGCCAGGTGCGGTGGCTCACACCTGTAATTCCAGCACTTTGGAAGGCGGGTGGATCACTTGAGGTGAGTTTGAGACCAGCCTGGCCAACATGGTGAAACCCCAACTCTACTAAAATTATAAAGGCCGGGCGCAGTGCTTCAAGCCTGTAATCCCAGCACTTTGGGAATGTGAGGCGGGTGGATCACCTGAGGTCAGGTGTTCGAGACCAGCCTGGCCAACATGGTGAAACCCCGTCTTTACTAAAAGACAAAAATTAGCGGGGCATGGTTGCATGCGCCTGTAATCCCAGTTACTCGGGAGGCTGAGGCAGGAGAACTGCTTGAACCTGGGAGGCAGAGGTTACAGTGAGCTGAGATTGCGCCACTGCACTCCAGCCTGGGTGACAGAGTAAGACTCCATCTCAAACAAACAAACAAATAAATAAATAAATAAAATAGCAAAAATTAGCAGGGTATGGGGGCACACGCCTATAATCCCAGCTAATTGAGAGGTTGAGGCAGGAGGATCGCTTGAGCCAGGAGGATTGCTTGAGCCCAGGAGGCAGAAGTTGCAGTGAGCCAAGATTGTGCCACTGCACTCCAGCCTGGGTGACAGGGTTAGACTCCATCTCAAAAAAAAAAATAAAAGCAAATTTCAAATAGCCAGTGAAGACTCATGGTTTGAGCCTGATCCGATGGTTAGGACTCACCTAATCGTGGGTACCCCAGATTGCTTGCTCTTTTCTGGTGATGGCACTCTCTTACAGAGTTCACCTGCCTTCAGGCTCAAGGACTTCAAATAAATACTGGAAAACTGGTCTAGAGCTCAAGAGTGACTTATTCTCCCCACACCAAGGACATTTTACTACGTATAATTATGCCTCCCCTCTTCTTCCTTCTTCTTTTTAACTCTAAAATTCTCTTCATTGTCTATTTGAAATTGATTTTAGTTCAGTCAACCTAGTTCCCCTTGTTGAAACATCCCAGTCATCTCCAGCCCTTCAGAGATCTTTGGTTCTGTTACTTCACTGTCCAGTTTTGTTTCCTCCTTTTCTTTTTAAAGCTTGACTTTATTGATGGAAGAAGGACATTTTCTTGTTTTTCAGCATGATGTGAATTGCCATCATGGCAAAGGAGGCCAACCATGTCATAGCTCCTGTCACTGTGTAGGCAAGACCTAAGAAAAGGCTATTACCCCCACACCATGTCAGGGTGGAGAGAACAACTGATTTTTCTCCGTGGAACCTGGTTACTGGGAAGTCTAAGAAGACCTGTTAAGAATCTGACTCAACACTTCACATTTCTAGTATTGCATATACTGAATATATTAGGTTGACACATATAAAATTGCTCTTTTTTATAGGTAAAAAAATGGTTAAATATCTAATCTCATATGCTGCAACTTAATCTTTACCAAGCACTACTCTGTATCTTGCTGGAATGAAAATAAAAACAAGCCTTCCCTCTACATAGTTGTAAGCTACGAAAGAGATTCTGACACAGATCTGAATGACTTATAGACAACTGATAATGAACAAATATATTTAATTTCCTTTGGCAAACCCAAGGAAATTACAATCATACAAACCTAAATTTTTATATATGAATTAGAAGACCCAGGGCAGGCTATAGTCCTTTAGTAGGCTAAGGTTTGAATTCCTACCTCAGGGAAAATTCTTTAAGGGGAGTGAAGAACAAGCAAACAAAAAGATCACAAAACATTTTTGGTAGTCGAACTAAAGGTGGTACATTCATTTGGGTTTTGGAAAGGCCAGTATCCCCATGCTGGGGAGAAAGTGTTTGAAGTGGGTTTGCTATCATTAGCATTTTAATGATGTCATTTTGATTATACATGTGGCCTGAGGTTTTTAAACATCTGGTGCCTTTTGTAAACCAAACTAATAAACAAAGAAAGGCTTCTCATAGCAACGGCACAGGAAGGAGGCATTTCCCAGCAAAGCTATTAAAGGGCCTCAAATCACTTGGCAACGTGCTATTTAAAGGCACAAGGAAAATTAGTATGAAACTAGTTCTCTCTCTTCTTTTCCATCAGAATTCCTCATTGTCACCAGGTCCTTGGGTGCCACCTCAACCCATCTGCCTGTTTTCTCCCTCCCTCAGTTCTATATGAGAAGGTCTTCTCCTCATACACAGAACATCTTTTTTCCCCTTAGAAATGGTAGGCACTTTCTTAGTCTGGTTGGATAATACTCACACCAGAGCTGTACCCAGGTAGTGCAGTTATAGGCCTGAAGCTTAGGATTGAAGTTCTATGTACACAAAAAATTTTGATTTGAGAGGGATTAGCATTAAGACATGACTGTGAATGAAGTCACCCAGGGAAAGCATGTCCAGAGAGGAGAAACAGAATGTCTCTGTTATTGGGAACATGCCTCCCTTCCTCATCCTGCCAACCCCAAGGTCATTGTAACACATCGTGGGATAGTAGTGCATGAAGTTTTTTCCTGCTCCTCGAATGCACCCATAACTGCTTTAATGGTAAGGCAGTCCCAAAATTGACAGAATCAGAAGGCCCACCTTGAGAGACCAGTTTTAAGCAACTTTCAACCTCTGCTTCAATTTTTTTGAGGGAGAGAGGAGTTTGCTGAAATTCTTATTCAAAGGGTTTACTCTTTGATCTGTACCTATAATGCTCCATGAGAGGCAATTTGTGGCTTTCATTTTCATTTTCATAGAACTAGACACCCTGCTAAAGGGACTAACTGAAGTCATACCTCCTCCTGGTCAGTAAACAAAAGGAGACAAAAAGCTGAGAGGCAGAGATCATGTCTCATCAGTGGGGGCCTTTCTGACTGAGAAATGCTCCCACTTCCCTGTCAGAATGGAAATGTCCACATACCTGTTCTAGGATGGAAAAGAAGAAAAGTTGGAGCAGGGAACTGGAGCACATGCCATCATTCCCTTCTCCTCAAGAATTTCTTATTCAGCCTCCCTGAAAGGTAAAGAAACTAAGGAGGTGGACAATTTTGTGTTAAAATTGACCCATTGGGGGTCCCATTGAACAACTAGCCAGGAGCCTTGGGAGGATGAACACAGCGGTGCTAACTGGGCTGCAATTTCAAAGTCGTGTAAAAGGCCTGGAATGATTCTGCCTCCAGAGAATGCTACCTCAGGGAGAATCAGGAGGAGACTTGAAAATTAAATCTAAAGACCAGAGTTAGTGTAAATTGTATTTAAATATATAATTTCTTAAAGGTAGTGTTTGGTGCCATGCTAAAGTTAAAGCCTGTTTGTTTTCAAATCAAGAACTACATTTGTATTTTTACATTAAGTGAAAAAATTCAGACTCTTATATTTAAGCATGTGTCAGCCTGGGCAACAAGGGAGACCCCATCTCTGAAAAAAAAAAAGAGAGAGAGAATTAGCTGGGCATGGTAGTGAGTGCCTATAGTCCAAGCTACTTGAGAGACTGAGGTGGGAAGATCACCTGAATCCAGGAGGTCAGGACTGCAATGAGATGTGACTGCGCCACTGTACTCCAGCCTGGGCAACAGAGCAAGACCCTGTCTCAAAAGTAAATATGTAAATGAAAGTAAAAATAAACATATGTCTCCTAAGTTGGACCATATATTCCTAATCATTAGGGCACTAACTCCCACATGCTGGCTTTGTGCCTAAGGGAGGGGGGAACACGGCATCTTCAGTGCAGAGCCTGTTGCACACCTCACGTGGATTTGGATGAACTGGACCTGTCCCTTGAGTCCACAGCTCCTGTGGTCTATGATACTTTTCCCTACAATAAAAGGTTCTATAGTCTCAGTTTTAGTAATTTTTAGTCTATATTTACTTATCAAACTCCTCTCTATTTTCATAGTCTTCCATCTCCTCCCATCCTATCTGGCATGCTTCTCCTCACAGTTTTTTTAACAGATCTCTAGGCCCAGTGTTATTTAATCTTTCTTTCTTTCTTTTTTTTTTTGAGACGGAGTCTCACTCTGTTGCCTAGGCTGGAGTGCAGTGGCGCGATCTCGGCTCACTGCAACCTCCGCCTCCCGGGTTCAAGTGATTCTCCTGCCTCACCCTCCTGAGTAGCTGGGATTACAGGTATGCGCCACCATGCCTGGCTAATTTTTTTTGTATTTTCAGTAGAGATGTGGTTTCACCATGTTGGTCAGGCTGGTCTCGAACTCCTGACCTCATGATCTGCCTGCCTCGGCCTCCCAGACAGAGTCAAGACTGAGAGAAATCTATACAAAAACAAAACAACAACAACAACAACAAAAACCCTTGCTAAACTAACCTTTATCTTCCTAGTTACATTTCTACAATTGCCATTCTTTGTTCAACCTAGTATATGAGAACTTAGACTTAGTCACTTCTTTTTTTAGTCTCCATTTTTCTTGTAAGGGCTCACATGTACATTTAAAGGCATAAAATTCATATGCTTTTCTGTTATTAATCTGTCAGTCCCAGCTGGAGCCTCTGGGAGGGAATAGGAGAATTTTATCCTCCTTTACACTTTTTTTTTTTTGTATACAGATTTGATTAGAAAATAGAAAAGTATAGAATGAAATAGCTCAACAACTAGCAGCCAGGTTTTCTTTCATCTTCAGAAAGAAAAGTGGTATAAAAGGATACTATAGGTTATGTTGAAACTATAATTACCAGCAGGCAAGCCTTCTATAAAATGGTGTGTTCGACTGAGTCGACCATACAGTTTTTTGAAAGTGGGAAAGGCAGCTGCCCGCATCCACACAATGAAGTCATCATTGAGGAAGCCATTGTTTCTTGGATCCTTTTTATCCAAGTCATAGATAGGCTTGGGCCAGTTTGGGGGCTTTGTGGTTCTTGTGGGAAGAAAATAAGGGATATGATAGAGAAAAAAATCACCTATCCTCTTCAGTTTTCTTTAGAATGTAGAGAATGAAAGAACTTCTGCATTCTTGAGGAAATAGAAATAGAAATTATACTTTTTTAAAAAGTGTGTATGTGTGTGTTAGCTACCTGAGTGTGCAACCATGAAAAATAATGGCTTTAAAGATTCTAAGGAAATGATCATGATATTTTCATTAAGTTAATAAAGAGCAGAATATTGGCTGGGTGTGGTGGCTCACGCCTGTAGTCCCAACACTTTGGGAGGCCCAGGTGGGTGGATCACTTGTGGTCAGGAGTTCAAGACCAGCCTGGCCAACATGGTGAAACCTGTTTCTACTAAAAATACAAAAATTAGCTAGGCATGGTGGTGCACTCCTGTAATCCCAGCTATTTGGGAGGGTGAGGCAGGAGAATTGCTTGAACTTGGGAGGTGAAGGTAGCAGTGAGTCGAGATCACACCATTGCATTCCAGCCTGGGCGATAGAGTGGGTAAGACTCCATCTCAAAAAAGAAAAAAAAAAAAGAGCAGACTATCAAATTATATGCATACTGTGTCTTCAACTACATTCAATGCATATAAAGCATTAAAAAATAGAACAAAATGATCATGGTGGTTGCATTTAGTGATAAACACAGGAAATATCTTTTTAAAACTTTTATTGGGAAATATCTTTATTTTATTTAATTTTACTAGTAATCTAAAGAGTGCAAATTAAACCAAGATACCATTTTCATCTAAAAATTTGTTAATATTTTACAAAAAAAGTGACAACCATTGACGAGGCGGTAGAAATGAGAACTCTTGTACTGAGCAGATAGGTGCGTTAACTTCTTCAGCAATCTAGGAACATGCATTGAATGCTTTCATATTTTGCATACATTTTGGCCCAGAAATTCTATTTCTAGGGATGTATTCTAAGGAAATAATCATGGCATGAAGATTGGGTTACATAGATGTTCACTGCAGCACTGCATCTAAGAGCTAAAGCTGGAAAGAGAGAGGAGAAATTGGTAAGTGGGAGGAGGTGGAAAGCAAAGGCATTGTGAGCCTGTTCTCAAGCCAGGAAGCCTGGTAGGTTTGGGAGCTGGAGAAATGTTGGAAGCACAGGGTAGAGGGTGGTTCCAGGAGATGAGCCCATTGGATTTACCGTCATTCTCACACTTCCCACTTTACAACAGGAGGCATGTTTGTCTCTCCCACTCTACAGGAGACTCTTGAAAACAGTGTCATCCTCATCTGTGTTTTCATTAGCATTGAGTCTAGTGCCTGGCCCATAGTGGTATTAAATAAATGCTTGATAAAGGGATGAAAGATTCCAATTAAATCTGATAACAAAAGCCATACAGAATTGTAAAGAGCTAGTCAGAAAGAGTAAATTGCTTAATGAAATTTTTACTTCCATAAAGCCAGTTCTACTATTTGTAGGATGCTAGAATGCTATATAGAGAGTCACTCTTTCTCAACTCTAACTACTGACTAAACTATGTTCTCCTGAAAGAAACCCAGACCTGTTTTCTAAGCATGGGCTGTGGTGCTTGTAAAAGTATACGTGGAGTGTGGTTGGTTTAATCTGCTGACATATGTTTGTACACTTATATTCCCTTGGGAAATAATCCTCTGCTGGAGCATCTTCTGCAAATATTGTAGAGCCCACTTATTTTGGCTCTTCCCAAGACCTCAATCGCTGATGCTAGAAGAATTTTGATCAAAATTGAAATTGCCTTTGGTGCCTGCACTGTGGTCTTCAGCTTCTCTCTACTTTGGCCTGAGCTCCTGACTGAAGGCAGTGTGTCCTATGAGCTATTGACATCAGAATCACCCAGGGTGCTTGTTAAAAATGCAGGTTCAAACGTGTCCTCCCCTACCAACTCCTACTTCTACCCCATCCCATGTCTTCGGAGAGTATGAAAAGTATGGTCTAAGAGACATCAACTTCATTTTCTAAGTTCATTTGGGTCATTTGCATTGATCCATTTATTTATCTATAAGCATTTCTTTTTTTAATAAAAATTATTTTTTTTCTTGGGAGCATAGATTCAAGATGCCCTGAATCTATGTTCCTAAACATATCTTATACAAAACTGCAAAAGACCCAATCTCTTTCTTCAAGGATTTACAGGCTGTGGACTTGACAGGTATATAAACAGATAATTAGAGTATAATGTAACTCTTACAATAGAGGTAAGAACAAAGTGCAGCAGGAGATGAGAAGAAGCTAAGGGCCCTTTGTGTATAGGTCTATGGTTATGTGGTAAGAAAATGCTACAGAATGTTGCCAAGTCCCTTTTGAAAACAGTAATTCAATTATAGATACAGTGACCATATATATCAGTTTGCCTAGTGCAGTTCCAGTTTGTGTCTGTTGTTCATTATCTCATCTGATTTAGCTTGTATCCCACACAAGGTACATATAATTTCATCCTTCCAGCATCCAGCCATGATCTTAGCTAGTAGTGTATGAGATGTCCATGTGCAGTGAATGGAATGCTTACTTTTACATATGATTATATATGAAAGTCAACCAGAGACCCTTCCAGTCAAAACATAATAAAACATATCCTTGTAACCCATGCAAGCTGTTAAGCATTCCAGCCAGTTAGGCAATAGTTTCTTTCTGTGTTAGCCTGTGAGATGTGTGAAGCTGCCAGGCTGCAAATCAATGGGGTCAGTGAGAAACGTGGAAAATTATGGGTTAGGTTATGGGTACATGATGCATGTGTGGGAACTAGATGCTGAGCAGTCCTGCTGGGAGTAGTTTGAACTCTCTTGCAACAGTGGTTTTGTTACTTTACTTTATTTTATATTTATTTATTTTGAGATGGAGTTTCGCTCTTTTGCCCACGCTGAAGTGAAGTTGGCTCACTCCAACCTCCGCTCTCCAGGTTCAAGCGATTCTCCTGCCTCAGCCTCCTGAGTAGTTGGGATTATAGGTGCCTGCCACCAAGCCTGGCTAATTTTTGTATTTTTAGTAGAGATGGGGTTTCACCATGCTGGCCAGGCTGGTCTCGAACTCCTGACCTCAGGTGATCCACCTGCCTTGGCCTCCCAGAGTGCTAGGATTACAGGCATGAGCCACTGCACCTGTCCTTGTTACTTATGTGGTATGACTATATAACTATTGTATTGTTTGGTATCAGTTTCCTATTTGCTAATAATTCGTTTTAGCTGTGAAGAGCTAAAAAATGGAAAATGCATATTTCATGTAAAGTTCAGTACAGTTTTTTAAGATGATTGAATGTTATACTCGCAATGTTGGTTGATATTTACCCCCCACCATGGGTACCATAGTGGTCTCAAATGACCATGTGAAAATCGAAAGATATACATCTGCTGAAGAACATTGTTATCTACTTCAAAAGTTTATGCTTATTTTTTAAAGATTATGTCCAAAGACAGGCCGGGCATGGTGGCTCACGCCTATAATCCCAGCACTTTGGGAGGCTGAGGCGGGTGGATCACAAGGTCAGGAAATCGAGACCATCCTGGCTAACATGGTGAAACCCCGTCTCTACTAAAAAATACAAAAAATTAGCCAGGTGCGGTGGCGGGCGCCTGTAGTCCCAGCTACTCAGGAGGCTGAGGCAGGAGAATGGTGTGAACCCTGGAGGCGGAGCTTGCAGTAAGCTGAGATCCCGCCACTGCACTCCAGCCTGGGTGAAAGAGCGAGACTCTGTCTCAAAAAAAAAAAAAAAAAAAGTTTATGTCCAAAGACAACAATCTACAGAAGGTCCACTTATATATCATTGTGTGAGCATGACTTTTCATTTAGATCAAATGAATATCCTTCTAGTTTCACTTGTTTATTACATTTTGTTTTGTTTTGTGTTGTTTGTTTGTTTAGAGCCGGGTTGTCGCCATGTTGCCCAGGCTGGACTGGAACTCCTGGGCTCAAACGACCCTCCTCCTCAGCCTCCCTCTCGAGAGCTGAGATTACAGGTGTGCACAGCTGTGCCTAGCTACAGGTTGTTGTTGTTTTCTTTTTTTGTAATCAAAGAGCAGCTTTTAATGTGTTGGCTTAGTGCAAAAATAATTTGTAAATAGTTAAGTGAGGTCAATTTTATATGAATGTATTCAGATACTTCAAATAGAAAAACCAAATAGGTTAATTGTAATAATGATTTGATTTTTGTCGGTTTGATTCTTCATGAAATCAAACCTTTTAGACGTTCAATCTATGATGATGAAAACTCTGACATTATTATAAACATTACTGTAAGTTCAGTTACAAAATTCAACAATCGGCCAGGTGCAATGGCTCATGCCTGTAATCCCGGCATTTTGGGAGGCCAAGGAGGGTGGCCACTTGAGCCCAAGAGTTTGATACCAGGCTGGGCAATATGGTGAAACCCGATCTCTATAAAAAAGAAAACCAAAAAAGTTACTACTCAGGAGGCTGAGGTGGGAGGATAGCTTGAGCCAGGGAGGTGGAGGTTGCAGTGAGCCAAGACTGTGCCACTGCACTTTAGCCTGGGCAACAGACAGAGACTGTGTCTCACAAAAAACCCCAAAAACCAAAAACCCACTAAACAAAATTCAACAATCAGGTTTAAATTGTTTGGTTCTGTAGTGCTAACTGCAAATTTGGTGGAGCACAACATCAGAGTGAACATAATGCTCTTAATAAATTGAGAAATTGACAGAGAAGAAATGTACTTAGAATTAGTCGTGGTACATACATAATTCACAATTGTATCCAAATAAGCTACAATATTTTGTTAATTAAATGAAGAGCTGTAGTTGTACAAATTCAAGTATTATTGCATATTAACAGTTAGAAAAACTGAATTTTCTTTTTTTTTTTTTTTAAATGGAGTCTCACTCTCACCCAGGCTGCAGTGCAGTGGTGCGATCTCGGCTCACTGCAACCTCTGCTTCTTGGGTTCAAGCGATTCTCCTGCCTCAGCCTCCCGAGTAACTGGGATTACAGGTGCTCGCCACCACACCCGGCTAATTTTTGTATTTTTGGTAGAGACGGGGTTTCACCATATTGGCCAGGCTGGTCTCAAACTCCTGACCTTGTGATCTGCCCCCCCTCTCCCCGGCCTCCCAAAGTGCTGGGATTACAGGCGCAAGCCACCACGTCCGGCCAAAAAACTGAATTTTCCATTGCAACATTTTTATAATGACACATGTTAAATTAAACAAATACTTCAATGTGGTAGTATGTGTGGTCTCTCTTTGTTGGGCATCATCAACCAGACAGAATTTTAGAAGGGTTTGAGCCTGTAAATAACTTTTTTCTATATCAAACCATCTGTCCTACCACAACCCTGAAATTTTTCTGTAAATAAGCCCTCTAACTTTGGTTGCATTTTGTTTAAAATAGTTGAAAATCTTTAAACAAAGTATCTGAAATATGGAATACCAAAAACTCTAGTTTTAGAAGATTTAGAGAAGTGTAATTATTGAAAACCATGCTTGCAAACAAGAAGACATTGAAATGTACCCATATAGGAGCAAGGGAATAATTGAATATACTACATAATGGGAGTTCAAAATATGTATAAGATTTAATTTTAAAATTCTCTAATTATGCTTTGGAATATCTCAACATATGTGAAGACTCTTTTGATAGTGCTGTTATTTATTTATTGTTTTTATAGAAACAGGATCTTACAATGTTTCCCAGGCCAGTATCAAACTTCTGGCTTCAAGCAATCCTCCTGCCTTTGCCTCCCAAAGTGTTGGGATTACAGACACAAGCCACTGCACTTGGCTGTACTTCCAATTGGACAACATTTTCTGTGCCAGAATGATATTATATTGAGAAGGTGTAGGATTTTATCTAAATTTCATGGTGTGCTCCAAAGAACCAAAATGAGAAAAAAACTTACATGAAGTCAAAAAGACAGTGCTTATGTCAATATTTGGGTTAAAATAGTAACATATTTCAATAAAAAAAATTACAATTGAGAATATCCTCCATTTAGTAAAATTGGCCATAAGCATAATAGATACCTCAGCACTATAGAATATTTTCCAGTAAAGGAAGTTAGGGTCAAAGGAAAAGAATCAGCTAAAGATGTAAACAATTTCCAATTGATTAACCATAAAATGAGACTTTAAAAAAGATTACAGGCCAGGCATGGTGGCTCATGACTGTCATCCCAGCACTTTGAGAGGCTGAGGCAGGAGGATTGCTTATTTATTTATTTATTACATTCAAATCCTTGTCTCAGGAGCATTATTTGAGGCCAGGAGTTCAAGACTAGCCTTGGCAACATAGTGAGACCCTGTCTCTACAAAAAATTTAAAAATTAGCCAGGTGGGGGCTGGGCACAGTGGCTCACACCTGTAATCTTAGCACTTTGGGAGGTGGCGGTGGGTGGATCACCTGAGGTCAGGCTTTCGAGACCAGCCTGACCAATATGGTGAAACCTTGTCTCTACTAAAAATACAAAAATTAGCTGGGTGTGGTGGCATGCGCCTGTACTCCCAGCTACTTAGGAAGCTGAGACAGGAGAATTGCTTGAGCCCGGGAGGTGGAGGTTGCAGTCAGCTGAGATCCTGCCACTGCACTCCAGCCTGGGCGACAGAGCAAGACTCTGTCTGGAAAAAAAAAAAAATTAGCTGGGTGTGGTGACATTCTCCTGCAGTCCCTGCTACTTGGGGTGGCTGGTAAGTGGGAGGATAGCTTGAGCTTAGGAGGTCAACGCTGCAGTGAGCTGTCATTGAGCCACTGCACTTCAGCCTGAGCAACAAAGTGAGACCCTGTCTCAAAAAAAAGGTTACAATTTTGTGAAAAAATTAACAAGGCCTTGGTAAAAAACATAAATAAATTCATTAGAAAAATACACAGGTACGTAATTAAGACAGATATGGCCAAGAAACTCATTAAAGCATGTGAGTACATATGAAGAATAATTATTCTGATTGTTATCTCTTTTTTAGATTTACTTTTATTTTTTAAATTTTTAAAAATTCACCTTTTTCTGTGTAAGAGCTGGTAACTAAAAATAAAAATAAAAAGATTTACATGTTATTTATTTGTTTTTGATATATTTGTACATATTTATGAGGTGCATGTGAAATTTTGTTACATGCATAGAATGTGTAATGATCATGGTGCATTTTTTTTTTTTTGATGTGCCACTGGATTTGATTTGCTAGTATTTTGTTGAGGATTTTTGCATCTATGTTCATCAGGGATATTGGCCGATAGTTTCCATTTTTTTTTGTGTGTCCTTGTCTGGTTTTGGTATCAGGGTAATAATGCTAGTCTTGCAGAATTAGAGAGTTAGAGAAAGTTCCCTCATCTTTGATTTTTTGGAATAGTTTGAGGAGGATTGGTATTAGTTATTCTTTATACATTTGGTAGGATATTGCAGTAAATCCATCCAATCCTGGCCTTTTCTTTGTTGGAAGATTTTTTTATTACTGACTCAATCTTGCTACTCATTATTTGTCTGCTCAGGTTTTCTGTTTCTTCCTAATTCAAACTTAGTTCAAACTTGAACAAGTCTGAATCTTTATTGAAACTTAGTTCAAACAAGGTTGTATGTTTTCCTCTAGGTTTTCCAGTTTGTTAGCATAAAAGTTTGTTAGCTGTTCATAGTAGTCTCAGATGATCTTTTGTTTTTTTGTGGTATCAGTTGTAATGTCTCCTTTTTCATTTTGCTTATTTGAAGCATCTCTCTTCTTTTCTTGGTTAGTCCAGCTAGCGGTTTATCAACTGTGTTTATCTCTTCCACACAACAAATCTCAATAAACTTTAAAAAACTGAAATCATACCAAGTAGCTTCCTGGACCACAGTGGAATAAAACTAGAAATCAGTTCCAAGAGGAACTCTTGAAACTGTACAAGTACATGGAAATTAACATACTCCTGAACAAATTTCTTTTTGATTGGGATCTGTTGCTGGAGAATTATTGTGTTTCCTTGGAGGTATCCTATTTCCTTGCTTTTTCATGGTTTCTGTATCCTTCCGTTGATATCTGTGCATCTGGTATTACAGTCACATCTTCCGATTTTTAAATTTTGCTTTTATGGGGGAGGATATTTTTTTAAAGATATGTCTATGGTGTTGGTTGGGTAGGGCACTTTGGCTTTGATTCTGGGTGCATGCAGTAGGATAGTTTTGAAACCTCCTTTGCAAAATTATAACAGTAAGAGAAATCTGACATGGCTGACTCTATCTTGCTTCTAGCCCCACAAGTTGGCTGCCCCAGCTCATTCCTGGGTGTAGGCCAAGCTAACTTTGGGAGAAGTTTATAGTTTGAGTGATAATAGTCCTTTCTCAAAATTAAACTGTTCTTACAAAACTAATGAAAGGCTGCCACGTTAGGAGGATGAGAGGGGCTTGAATTCTAAATAATTACCAGCCATTATTTGGAAGTCATAAGGTTTGCAACTTCCCCAGTTACTTGCAGATAACATCACTATTGTAGAACCTGAGATTGGCCTTTTGAGATGTCTTTTCAGGTTTTTGCATTTCTGACAACTGGATGGCCGCACCTGGACCTGCCAAACAGTCCTGTGGCCCTCATTCGGGAACTGACTCAGCACAAGAGGACAGCTTTGATTCTCTATGATTTTATCTCTGACCCAACCAATCAGCATGTTCCCTATCCTCCCTACCAGGAGGTGGGCCTCCTGCCCACCAAACTATCTAACTCCTAACCTGCGAGCCTTCATGGAGATTGATTTGAGTAATAACTCCATTTCCCGTGTGGTGTGGCCGGCCTCAGATCAACTAAAATCTTGCTTTACTGCAATGACATGGTCTCAGTGAGTCAATTTTGTTTACGGAAGGGCAGGAAGAACCCTTTGGGCAGTTACAGTGTCTGATTTCTTTGGCTTTAAACAGCATCTATGGTGTCAGTGATTTCTTCTGTGGCTCAGACTGTGGTTGTTAGTGGAGGCTGTGGTGAAGTTTTGCTGGGGACTAGGGCACCAGGTAGGCCAGTTTTTGGGCCCCAGTGATGGCAGCAGTGAACTGAGCACGGGGGTCCTTGGACCCCAGGATGTACACTGTGACTAGTATTAGGAAGCCCAGGCAGGCTGCTTCTTGGGCCTCCAGATGGCTTGCTCGGGTGCCAGGAATGGCAGTGGTGGGCCAGGTGGATTGATGGGTTGTTGAGTGTCTGGGCAGTGGATGTGGTGTGGACAATGGCAGTAGCAGTGGTGGGACAATGCTCTGGGACCCCAGTGGTCCTCGCTGGTGTTGGTGGTAGCTACCATGGGTTGGGCAAGCCAGTTGCCAGACGTGCAGGTGGCATGTGTGGGTGGGTGCCAGCTGTGGTGGTAGCAACAGGTTGAGCGGGCCTAACCTCAGATACTGGGAGGAGTGCTCATGTTCCACTGGTGGTGGGCTGGGCTGTGTGCTTCCCAGGCCCCTGGACTATGTGCTCAGGTATTGCAGGGGTTGGAGCCAGGCTGGGCAGTGCCCTCAGGCTCCCCAGTGGTGCAAGCAGATGCTGACTGCGGTAGGCCAGGGTGGAGTGACCCCAAGGCCATAGGCAGAATGCTCATGTTGGGCTGTAGACTTCCTAGTGATGAAGGCAGAGTTGTTTTTTTTTTTTTTTCCTTTTTTTTTTTTGAGACGAAGTCTCACTCTGCCCAAGCTGGAGTACAGTGGCCTGATCTCAGCTCACTACAACCTCCACCTCCCAGGTTCAAATGATTCTCCTGCCTCAGCCTCCTGGGTAGCTGGGACTACATGCATGTGCCACCATGCCCGGCTACTTTTTGTATTTTTAGTAGAGATGGGGTTTCACTGTGTTGGCCAGGTTGGTCTTGAACTCCTGACCTTGTGATATACCCACCTCAGCCTCCGAAAGTGCTGGGATTACAGGCGTGAGCCACTGCGCCTGGCCTGTTTTTCATTGTCCTCCAGGCATTTGAAAACACATGGCTGCCCCTCTGCTGGGGCAGATTGCTACCTGTGGCTCCTGTTACCGCCCAGGCAGCAGGCTCAGGCAGCTGCCCAGGATGCAGTCTGGAATGGGCTGGGCTCTCAAAATGGTGCTGTGCTGCAGCTGCTTAGGACTTTGGAGTTTGTGGGACCCAGCATGAATTCTCTTTCTGGGGTAATGCCTTCACGCGGTTTCCAGGGAGCTCCCTGTGTTTGTTAGTCTCGTGGCCCACGAGAGTCAAGGGGCTCTCCCATGGCTAGGGTTGTAGGAGTCAGCAGTAGGAATATGAACTGCTGGAGATCTCTCACTTACAATCTTTTCCCTCACTAGGGGGCCTCCCCAGACTTTCAGCTGATCCCAGCCAAACAAGCCGCCTTTCTTCCCCTCCTTCCCTGTTTTTGGTGCATCTGTTAGAGTAGGTAGTTAGGCAGGCAAGAGCAGGGCAGGAGAGGCACCCAACCCAGGAATGTCAGGTGACCATCAGGTGATAGTCAGGTGGTTGTTAAACTGTCTCTGTAAAATAATAATTGGTTGCAGCTGGCGCCAGGTTAATGCAGTCTCCCAGTAGAAAACACCTGAAGCTGGTGATCATCAGCTTCCCAATAAAATCTCAGGAGTTGGGTGAGCAGGCTCAAGCATGGGCACTAAGAGGCAAAATGGAGGCATTTAACTGATATATGACTTTCCTCTAGGAACACCTGACTGGTAAGGAAAAAAATGCCTCAAATGAGCATGTGCACAACTTTAGTAAACACACGATGCGTGTGCCCCGCCCCACCCCCTTCCCGCCCAAGTGCTGGCAGGCCATCGTGCGTGCAGACAGCCCACCCCAAGGGAAAATCAAGGGAGGAGAGATGCAAATTCCAGAACCACACCAATGTATAAAACCCCAAGTCAAAGGCTGAATAGAGCACTTGGATTTCTCAAGTCGTCCGCTTGGCCCTTTTCCAAATGTACTTTACTTCCTTTCATTCCTCCACTAAAACTTTTTAATAAACTTTCACTCCTGCTCTAACTTGCCTCCTCGGTCTCTCCCTCTGTCTTATGCCTCTTGGCTAAATTCTTTCCTCTAAGGAGGCAACAATCAAGTTGCTGCAGACCCGTATGGATTCGCCACTGGTAACACCTCCCATCACTTCTCTGTTGAATTCTAGTGTTCTCTCGTAAATTCCAAGAGTGATTACCTACTCACTCTCTGTAGTTCCTGTCTGTGGAAGAAGCAAGTACCAGATACATCTAGTCAGCCATCTTGAAGCCCCTCCAGGACTCAGTTTATGTTATCTTTTAATGTTTAGATAATAAGTGGAGTAGTTTTGTAAGCTGGTTTAATGTACATGCCATTTTAATTTTTGAATTTTTTTTTTTTTTTGACAGAGTCTCACTCTGTTACCCAGGCTGGAATGCAGTGGCACAATCTTGGCTTACTGCAACCTCCACCTCTCAGGTTCAAGCAATTCTCCAGCCTCATCCTCCCAAGTAGCTGGGACTACAGGCACGCACCACCACACTCAGCTAATTTTTTGTATTTTTAGTAGAGACAGAGTTTCACAATCTTGGCCAGGCTAGTCTCAAACTCCTGACCTCAAGTGATCTGCCTGTCTTGGCCTCCCAAGAAAATAGTTTTTAATTGTATTATTTTATAAGTCCATCAATATGATGTCAATTTATTGACTGATAAATAAAAATTTTAAGTAAGTATATTCAAGTGCCCCCTTTCACTCTCTAAAGGGTACCAGTTTGGACAACAAATTACATGTTCATCCTTATTATAACTGAAGCAATAGGTGTCTTAAACCATTGTCTATTCCCTAATGAAAACTGGAAGAAACCAGGGCATCAAGCATTTCATGTTTTTGATAGATATGGATTGGAGATGTTTATGGTAGGGAGAGTTAGAACAAAAAGGAGTCAACAAGGAGATAAAGAAGGAGGATTCATAAACATTTCCCCACATGTAAGAAACAAAGTTTTTATAAAGAGATAAGTGGCCGGGCACAGTGGCTCAAGCCTGTAATCCCAGCACTTTGGGAGGCTGAGGTGGGCGGATCACGAGGTCAGGAGATCGAGACCATCCTGGCTAACATGGTGAAACCCCATCTCTACTAAAAATACAAAAAATTAGCCGGGTGTGGTGGCGGGCACCTGTAGTCCCAGCTACTCGGGAGGCTGAGGCAGGAGAATGGCGTGAACCGGGGAGATGGAGCTTGCAGTGAGCCAAGATCGCGCCACTGCACTCCAGCCTGGGTGACAGAGCGAGACTCCGTCTCAAAAAAAAAAAAAAAAGAGATACGTATATTGAGCTACTGTATGGATCTTACCTCTAAATTCATCAGCAAGATTCTTGAAACTTAGATTCTGAAATTTGACATACTTATCTGTCCACCACGTAAGTCTACTCTTTAACATTGGCACTTTGATTTGTACAGATGAATTAATGTTGTGTGAAAGAATTATGGTGTCTGTAAGGAAATTAAAAATTTTGTTAGAGATGCAATCTAGCAATTTCGCCACCCTTTGAAATGCAGAACCAGACACAGCTGACAAATAAATCAGGGATTTTGCAGACTCTCGACACGCCTACATGCCATGGATGCTGGAATCACAAGACCATTCTTTTTCCTGTCAAAATTGAGCCAATTATTGAAAAATACCCTTAAGCTCCATTTAACTCATGTTCCTTGACTATTCCTTCAGATTTTTGGCAAGAGAGAAATTATTTGCAAATGACATACTGTATGTCAGTGCTCTGCATTAGTCCGGATGATGCTTACAGAATTAAAATGGAACAAAACAAAAACTGCCACTTAGCTTCAGAGGTGAATTTCTGGACATTTAGGTTGTTACACACTTGTGAAAGGGTACACCATGGAGATAGGAAAAGTCACCTACCATTGAACATGCTGTTGGCAATAGCACCACAAGGAACGATGGGGGTCTTATTGTCGGACATTTTAAATGGGGCACAATCCTCAACAGCGTGGATGCAAGAGGATACAGCAATGAGAAATGCTTTTGGTAAACTCTCTTAGAATGTTAAAAGTGAGAACATTGGCAATATAAATCACCCCCAATGACTTATTGGCAGTAACTAAGATTACAGACTGCTACCTGGTTTTCCTAGGCCTCTGGTTTACTTAGACTGGGACATTTTTGTGTTTTGGAGATATGTATGTGTGTGGGTGTGTGTCTCTGTGTTTTTTCCTCATTAATAATACATAGCATACCAAAAATGTCTGCAAAAAGGAACTTTACCTTACTGTCTGTGCTATATAATGCGCTAAACCTATAATGAAGTACATTTTAAAATCCTCTTTTTATTGACATGTAGCTTATTTTATTTTAGTGGTTTAAAATAGTAACAACTTATTTTTCACTTGTATCACTATCTAATGGGGTGGTGGAGGTAGGGAGGCTTTGTTCCACACTCTTACTCAGGGCCTCGGCAATATTGAAGGATTACATTCAGAAAAGTACAAAAATCATGAGTCTACAACTAGATGACTTATCACAGGGAATCCATCCACACAACTACCAAATACATTTTTAAAAGAGTGGTTGCTAAAAATCACTTCAGTATAATAATGTCGCTATGGAAAAAATTTTATTCTAGCTTTTCTTGCTAGCACGCTATCATCTACCAAGAGTAAAAATGTATAATCATAGGTTTGAAAAGGTATTCGATTAAAGCAAAAGGCTTTTACTCAATCGAATAGAGCCTAATTTCCTAAAAGTAGGCTGGATTGAAGGCCCCAGTGACAGGGAGGACAATGGTAGTTAGGCTCAGCCAGGCTGAGCCTAACTACTCAAGGTTGCTATCAAAATGGTGCGTGAAAGGATAACCATTCAGTTGGACAAGATTCACATCACTGCTCTAAAGAGGGAAAGTGCTACTTTTTAATAACAGTTATCCTGACTACCCAGCCCCTTCAATTTACACAAGAAGGAAATCAGCATTTCTGTTTTGTAGCATTTTAGTTTATTTTCCATCTCCTCTTTTAGACTGAAAAATACACTTGGTTTAAAAAAAAGAAAAAGAGTATTATACCAGATTAAATCAAGCCTTACTTTTACATCTTTGCCCACCAGTTGTCTATTACTTCTGGATCGAATATATAGATACAGGTTCTGATAGAAGCCATACAATTTGTAGTACATATAAACATTACCCTGTGTGGGAGAAAAGCAAGAAGAGGAGAGTAAGAAAAATTAACTGGAATATTAATAAACATGGACAGGAAATTTTTAAATAAAAGCACAGAAAAAATTGACAGGAACTCAAAGCCTATTTATGGGAAATAGAAACCCAATAAGTCATTTTAAAAAAATCAATTTTGGGGCTGGGCACAGCGGCTCATGCCTATAATCCCAGTGCTTTGGGAGGCCAAGGCAGGAGCATCACTTGAGGCCAGGAGTTTGAGACCAGCCTGGGCAATGTAGCAAAACCCTGTCTCTACAAAAAAAGAAAAATTAGGCTGGTGTGGCATGCACCTGTAGTTCCAGTTACTCCAGAGGCTGAGGAGAGGATCCTTTGAGCCCAGAAGTTCAAAGTTAGAGTGAGCTATGATCGTGTCATTGCACTCTAGCCTGGGTGACAGAGTGAGACCCTGTCTCAAAAAAAAAAAAAAAAAAAAAATTTGCACTGGGAAATCCTGTTCTGTACAGAATTGTTGGAATAACTAAATAACTATTTTTGCATGTTTTTAAAGAGCTGCTGCATTCTTGCCATGAAAAATTTTTATAATCAAGCATATTTTCAATACATAAAATTTGGTTTTATAAATGTTCTCATTTCCCAGAAATATGAGGAAAAATGCTTTGCCTAGAGGTTGTGTTGACACCAAAAATAACGTGATTTTTACAGCAAATCCGTGAAAAAGAATGTAAAATTCAAGCCATTGAGCATATTTAGGTGCATGTGTACGTTGAGCACGTGAAAAGCATGAGACTGGAAGCTCCTTGCAGTCCCAGTCTAGGGATTTTTTTTTTGGTAATTTATTTATTTTTCTTTCTTTTTTTTTTTTTTGAGATGGAGTCTCGCTCTGTTGCCCAGGCTGGAGTGCAGTGGCGCGATCTCGGCTCACTGCAAGCTCCGCCTCCCAGGTTCACGCCATTCTCCTGCCTCAGCCTCCCGAGTAGCTGGGACTACAGGCGCCCGCCACCACACCTGGCTAATTTTTTGTATTTTTAGTAGAGATGGGGTTTCACCATGTTAGCCAGGATGGTCTCGATCTCCTGACCTCGTGATCCACCTGCCTCAGCCTCCCAAAGTGCTGGGATTATAGGCGTGAGCCACCGCGCCCGGCCTAGAATTTTTGGTTTTTTAATCTCTGGGATCTAATGCAGTACCTGGCACATAATACTTGCTTAAGAAATGGTGAACTATTTGTTATAGAGAAAAAGATGGAATAATTCACTGATCCAAAAGAAAGAAGGTGATTTTCACCCTAGCCATGAGGAGCCTTGCTGTCATGAGAGATATGTCTTTCATGTATGCTGCCATGTAAGTAAGGCTGCCCGGACACAACCTAGCACCGTGGTTCCACCTCTATGGTAATATATTAAGGCCCTGGAAATTCTCCAGGCCGACTTGATACAGATTTTATTAATAGCACATATGGAAATATCCATATGGATGTAACTAACATATTCATAGATTCTACTAACAGCACATATAGAAATGTCCAATGTAGCTGTTTAAAATTAATACACTCCATACCTCCAAAATAATGAAGACCTGCATCCAAAAATATAAAAGCCTAACTTTAATTAAGTGCTTCCCATGTGTTAGGTGCTATATTCAGTGCTAGAAGTACAAAAGCATTCCTTTACAAGTCCCTGAGTCCATTGATTCTTTTACCCTGTGTAAAAACAGCATTTTGGAAAGGCTTTGACCTTATTTCCTAAGGACCTTAAAGAGCATCTTCTTTAAGATGAGCATGGAAAATGGGAGGTGGTATCCATGGTAAACAGGGAAGGAAAGTCATGGTAAATGTGGCCAGCCTTAGAATGCAAGAAAGGCTGAAGACGAAGAATGCAAGAAAGGCTGCATGACGAAGAAGCAGGCAGCATCATAGTCAACAGGGAGTGTTGGCATGAAGGCAAGCAAGCCAGGCTTAGTGTGAAGGACCCATTACGTTTTCTCATCCAAAGCAGGAACCTCTATTGTTGACCCATGACTACAGAAAATATGAAATCCACAGAATGGAATTTACCATACATTTTCTTGGAAGCTAAAAAGAGAATTCTACTTAATCAGAGTTATATGTTCACATATATGACAAAATAAACAGACAAAGAACGCTCAGCACACTAGGGACTGGGGTGTTTCAATAGTCTCTTTCAGTGATTCTTTGTGCAAGATTTAGCTGAACAAGGCCTCCAAGATCATCTTGATGATCCCTGGAGGCACAATTCACTTTATGGTATTTCTTCTCTTTAAATTCAGTGGCACTTTGTGCAGGATTTCTTCGCTTATTTTAAGACAGAGCCTTGCGTGGATTCATTGCTGTGGTTCCCCATGTGTCATGCATGGTAGCTGCTGAGCTGAAGGCCCTGTGATTGCTCTAAGTAGTTTAGTTGGGTTTTTATGAGAAGGCTCTGCCTGAAGGGAATGGTTAGCAGCTGGTAACACTTCATTTGCTGTTTTAGTTTTGAAGGACACTGATCGATGGGAATTGAAGCACTTTTTGTTTTTGTTTTTGTTTTTTTCCCAAAAACTTTAGCATTCTGAGCCCTCAAGACGAAAGGAGAGAGGAAAGAAGAAAGGAAGGAAGGAGGGCAGCAAGAGAGGGTGAAGAGAGTGAGGGAGGAAGAGCCAAGACTACAATGCATTCTTAAAGTTTCAGCAAGGCTGACAGGAAGTCCCCAAGGACATCCATCAGAAGAGTCCCCACTCCCAGGAAAGGACCTACCTCGATGTCCCTACTGTGCTCAGCCACTGGCTGAGGTGGCTGTGAAATCATGATATTGGTGCAAACACATGGTGATTTCAGAGCACAGCAGCCGGGGATATCCCTCAATTACACTCCCTGCAGTAGATCTGAGAGGAGCCTTTTCATGGCCTCCACAGTCTTACTTGTTAGTCAAGACTTAATCAAACAAAAAATTTGATTTCCTTCAACTCCTCAAGTGTACTTTAAGGTCCTGTTCTGTTTCTGGACTCTACACTTTTCCCCCCTGCAGCATTCTCCACACTGAACCGGTCCCCCATCCTTCCCCTTCATAAATGACTCTACATGGGCTAAATCTAGGTACAGGGAGGCCTTCTCTTGAGCCGCCCACTGAGCATTCTATCTCAAGGCCCTGCTCCCACCTCAAATTCAGCTGGTTCTAAACCAGACTCATCATCTCCTGAAAAATATTCCTCACTTCTCTCCTTCCCTCCTTCCTTCCTTCTCTCCTCCCCTCTGCTTTCTAAGGGTCAGAGCTCTCCCAACCTCCTCCTGCTCCTTCCCCATTTCCCCTCAGAGGCTTCACCCAGTAAATCTCTCCGATGTCTCACCCTGTCTGGGCATCTGCTTCTCAGAGGACTTGACTAACATGAGACTTAAATCAGCCCATGAGTGGGGACTTCTCTCAATATTTCTTTGGCATTTCTCACAGTGCTGGACAGCCAGACTCTCTCCTTGGGAATTACATAATTGCACATGTGGAATGACTTGGGGAGACCCAAGGAAGGTTTCCCCAAGTGTGTGACCCCTGACACCAACCTACTATGTGACCTTAGCCAACTTACTTCACCTCTTAGCCCATTAATTTTCTCACCATAAAATGAGTGGTTAAATTCAATGTAAATTCACACAAAGTCCCTGTGCTGATATTTAGAGTAAAACCTGTTTGGTAGATAAGATTTATGTTACAAAGTTGGATAGGTAAAGAATCTTGCAACTTAGAAACAAAGGAGGAGAATAATACTCAAAAAGGAGGGAGGGGATATGAACTCAACAATCTTTCGGATTCACCACCACCATCCTGCTTTATGTTTCATATTTTCAGTTTTGGAAAGCATTTCATGGAAATTGTGAACTTACTGCTAAGTGTTACATAGGAATAGATCAGTGTAAAGTCAACCGAGTTTCTTGAATTTCACCTACCATCATTTTTCCTGAAAGGTAAAAGGGAATAGAGCAGGTGCATTCCTTGTCAAAATTAGAGGCATTTTCTCGCAGTTTTGCACAATTTGCACATATTCTTGTGTAATTAATCTGTCAGGCAAGGAAAAAAATGATTAATTAAAAGGTTACATGGGTACATACCTTAAAATTCAAATCTGGAGTCCACCCAAGTCTCCGCCTGTCTGGGTCAGGGGCATGGAGTCTAGGACACGAATGGGGCAGCCCACTGTGCAGGGCCAGTATTTCTGGGGATGTTCAGGAGGCGTGGGCCTTCCCACAGTCTTTCATCTGGGGACTTGGCAGCATTTTGCCACTGGCCCAGAGTTTGGTGTTTCTGTTGCCTATTTATATAACCTGTTGTGATGAAGCTTTACCCTCGATCATAAAGAGGTGTCAGTTGCTAGGAAGGTATTAGTCAATGACTCATGAGAACTAGGCTTACAGCCTGAGTCTAATCAACTTTATGGGGAAGTCACTTCACTGTTTTTCCATTCTATTGTATGGAAGATATTTATACTAGTGAATTATTCTACATGGCATCCAGAGGAAGTTATTAAAAATGAACAAACAGAAAAAGAAGTGTTTCCAAAATGTAAGATTATTGACGTATGTTGAATTATTCTGGTTCTAAAATGCTGCTGCATTCTGTTTTTTAAAAGTAAAATTCTGTGAAAAATGGTTTAATGGACTCCTTAAAAAAAGGAAAAAAAAAGGTAGTATGTCCCAAATTGGTGGCTCCTGTGAGCTCTGGCTGAGGCACTGCATTCTGTGAAGATGCAGCTAGAAGAGTAAGGAGGAGAGGCTCAGGCGGGTGGGCACAGGGCTGCACTGCTGCCTTATCTGCAAGAATGTTCATCTCAGGGGCCCTGGGGCTGTCCTGGATGCTGCAGTGGGCTGCTTCTGGCTTGCCCTCACTGTGTTGAGGAGTGATTAGACGATTATGGGAGTGCGGAGAAGCAGGGAAGCAATGGAGTGGCTTTCCCCTGGGTAAGGTGCTAGTAGAAGTTAGGATTCTTTTGGAGAGAAGACTAGCAAGGAAGACAGAAGGAATTTGCATCCTTGTAAAGCTACTAAGGGTTTTGAAGCCCAAAGGTGAAGTGTGAACACTAAATTGAAGACTAGTGAAAATGCTACACTTCATTGTACTTAGATGCTTATATGTAGCTAAATCATTCTTTAAATACACAGCAAGGCTTGAACTATTATTTTGAAAATATTTATGCCATTTCTGTTTGTAGACTACATTTCAATTTATAAAAAGCATTAAAGAACAGGGCTGTATCCCAATGGAGAGACAGCATACTGAATGGTGACTGAGGAAACTGGGGTTCTAGTTCAGCCAATCTCTGACCTTGAGTTAAGTGCTTAACCTCTAGAGTCCACATTTCGCCCATCAGCATCATTTCATGCAGCAATTAATTGATCTGTGAGGTCATTGTAGTATACATGCTACTTCATGAATTCCTCTTGTGAGTTCTATCAATGTAGTATTCAAGAAAATATTTCATGATCAAATAATTTTTGAGTAGTTGATATCTATGGTGCTTTCTTGCCTAAAAAATATCCCTTATCTATTGTCTATGCAATGATGGTATCCTCAGTTTGCTACTTGAGTGGACTTGTACATGAATAGCTATGAGATGGAGCAAAGATCACAGTCTGCTCGTCATAGAATTTTGGAGAGGCAGAAATTATTCTTGTTTAAAGTGAACTGCAGAGAGAGCACATCCTTGTGTCCCAGGGCTGAGTGAGAAGAGGAAAGGCTAACTCAGAAGTCTTTTCTATGATGTTTGTGCCTGATCACATTGGCCTGGAGTGTGCACTCTATATTATCACCCAGTGATACACTGGTTAATGAAACACTGGTTTTCGAGTATAAAAATGAAGTGTCAGAAGCAATCCTGTCTGAAGCAACTAAAGAAACAATGTTAGTTGGAAAATGCCCATAGATTTCATGAGATAAAAGCATTCTGTTTGTGGAGGGGCCATGGCCAATAGTTGGTAATGGAATGAGGTCACCTTCTCATGCATGGGCACCTCTTAGTGAAGGCTGCACTCCACAGTGGGGGGGTGGGGGGCAGGTTTGCAAGGGAGGGAGTAAGAATGACATGGAAGGAAGAACCAGAACGAAAGGGATTGGTGAGGAAGAAAGTAGAAAAGTAAATTGCATGAACTCCGTGGAAATGGACATCAACGTTGTGAGCCCATTCCTTTGCTATCCCCTTCAGCAAGGCAAGATTCATCTCCTCCTGCCATTTTGCCTGTGCCACATGGTGGAGCCTGGTGGGAGTTTACATATAACACTGGAGGTCTTGCTGTCATTTAATTCCTAGGGAGATAAGCGGTGGGAGCTGGAAGTGGGGAGGAAAAAATGTTAAGTAGAGAGGCAACAGAGCAGTGTGCTTTGGGAGGAAGAGTAGAGCCTGAAAAGACATTTTCCTCTTTGGGTTCCGCACTATCTGACCTAGTCCATTCTTTCAATAAGTGTGTGCCTATCACATACTGGGCAATGTGCAAGGAAGAGGGTGGTGAGGCAGCTGGCTAAGCTCTCTGTTCTTACCACGTAGTATTTTACCTATTCTGTTCTCAGCTCATTGAGGGCACAAATCCACTCTTCCTCATCTTACTCATCTGCATAGTCAACAGAACCTGTAGGCACCTTCAGACACTCATAAATTTTATTTTATTTTGAGATGGAGTCTCGCTGTGTCACCCAGGCTGGAGTGCAGTGGCACAATCTTTGTTCACTGCAACCTCTGCCTCCCAGGTTCAAGTGATTCTCCTGCCTCAGCCTCCTGAGTAGCTGGAATTACAGGCATGTGCCACCATGCCCGGCTAATTTTTGTATTTTTAGTAGAGACAGGGTTTCACCACAGCTGGTCTTGAACTCCTGATCTCAGGTGATCCGCCTGCCTTAGCCTCCCAAAGTGCTGGAATTACAGGCATGAGCCACCGCACCCAGGCGACACTCATAAATTTTAAACCAATGTTGGTAGACTTGGCCTTAATCTTAATTTTGCCAGCAGCCATGTCGGGAGAGGGAATAGATCAGCTTTCCATGGTTACTTCTTGCAGAGTGGAGCTCATGCGGTCTGGGATGTCCAGAAATCTGCCTGGAGTTGATATGGATGAAACATATACTTAATAATTAGACTGAATATGGGCATGGCCAATCAAGCCTTAGACTAGCTCTTGTCTTCCCTCTCTAGACCAGCTTCAGGGATTCTCATCCTCCAACAGCTTATTAAGTTGGCAAAAGGCTTGTGCCTGAGAGGTCTGCCCTTAGCACCAGCTTTTCTCACTCTGAGTAGAACTTAGCTTTGCTAAATATCCTTAAGATGCCAGAAAGACTTGGGCTCTTGTCTTTCCTGGATCTCAGAGGGAGTTCATTTGCAAAGGGAAAGACACAATGCTTGAATGTGGGGCAATATTGAAGATCTGTATCTTGGACACTTTACTCTTTTTATCAATATGACTCATGGGTCTCTGGCAGTCATGTGGCCTTGACTCTCCTTCTTCCCCTATTGGTCACTTGCTCTCTTCCCTGCCAGCATAAAAAAAAAAAAAAAAGAAAGCTTCAGCCAGGCATGGTGGCTCACGCCTGTAATCCCAGCACTTTGGGAGGCCAAGGCGGGCAGATCATGAGGCCAGGAGTTCAAGACCAGCCTGGCAAACATGATGAAACCTCATCTCTATTAAAAATACAAAAAAATTAGCCGGGTATAGTGGCAGTCGTCTGTAATCCCAGCTACTAGGGAGGCTGAGGCAGTAGAATTGCTTGAACCCAGGAGGCGGTGGTTGCAGTGAGCCAAGGTCGCACCACTGCACTGCAGCCTGGGTGACAGAGCAAGACTCCATCTCGGAAAAAAAAAAAAAAAAAAAAAAAAAAGCTTCTAACTTTGTCAATCCCTTGTACACAAATATGTCTGAGCTCACTGGCATGAGAGTAACTGCCCTCAAGAGGGAGCAGAGATGAACAAAGCCACTCTACACAGGCTCTGTCACCATCTGTGCTTGCCAGCAGAAACAGGGATGTTCCCGTCTTATCCATACCCTCTTGAGGGCCTGTGTTCTCAAACTAACCATTCTCACGTATGGTGCCAAAGCTGAACATTCTCAGAAACTGCATTCAAATTGTAAGATGGGACAAACCTCTATTTCCTGAGTGCTCCTTGCAGACAATATAAGGATGATGCCCATACAAAGGCAGAATATTCCTGTTGCGAAAAAGACAAAGAGGACTCTCCTGGCCGTGAAATATAGCCGGTGGATGGGTAACTCCTGCTGCTTCAGGGCAGAGTTGTCTAGTAATCTGGACAGGCAGTGCTGTGCTCTCTCCTCCATTTCGGTCCTGCAGGTGACTCGGATACTTTTGGGACATTTAGAACATTTTTACTCATAGTAATACCACATAATGGTAATGTGAAATGAATTATGTGAACCCTTCCTTTGAAGTTGCAAAGTCTTTCTGCTTCCCGGATTATTCCTTAACCAGAGCTGGTATTTAGCAGGAGCTCAGCTGTCTCCAACCAGCCATTACTGAGTATAACTGACTTAGGATCAAAAAGGTTCTTGTGTTAAATGTCATGCCTAGGATGGATAGTCCCCAGCAAGGTCTGCAGAAACCAACATCTGGTGACACTAGGAAGCAATCACGATGGGCTATTTCTGGGATTTGGTGAGTAATTCAAGGCAAGCCCTTCCTGAGAGGGGGAAATGGATTTATCTTTAGGAACTTGCCTAAATCCTTGGAGATTAATAAAAAAAAATAAAAGGGCTGTCAGCTTTTCTCCAAATGTGGCTGTTGCTTAACATGAATATAAACTAAATTGGAAAAATACTCTCAGATCATAGCTAACTTTGCTATTTGTGATAATGAGGAAGAGAGCAGCAAACAGGAAATTGTAGAACACAGATGTCTCATCTCAGCAGCTTCCAATTTCTTTTTCATCCACAAAAAAGGCTCTAGTAGAAAATGTGGATTAAAAACATCTCCTCCTAAGCTGTCTTAAGTGCATGCTTTGGGGTACCCCAAATGAGACAAGAGAAAGGAAGAGGAAGATAATCAATGAGATGTTCAATATTGAAGTACAGTATTAGGTCTGGTTTTGGGTTTTTTCCCTTGTTAGAAATCCACTAACATTAGTTTCCTTAGGCCATTAATAATTAATAATTACTTCTTTTAAAACTGGCATTTAGGATTTAGAATTAGAATTTTTAAAATTAGGGAGCATGTGAATTTCTAATCTTCCCTTTTAATTTACATTAGTCAGAGAAGCCATCCTGGACTATTTTTGTATCAAAGAAAGTAATGACTTTGGCAAATGTACCTAGTTTGAAAGAATACAAAATTGATGCAAATGCTTACACTAGGAAGTTTCCAATTCGGAGTTAAAGCTTTCCATTTACAAACTGTATAAAAAGCAAAATACCAACGGGAAATTTTCAGCATGACATTTGAATCTAATTTGGAGGTGGCAACTAGTACGGTTGTTGGTATCAAACAGCCTTGTGTGAGGAGATGGCAGTGAACACTTCTAGTTAACATTTACCATTTGTTTTACTAAATAAAACATGGTCAAGAGCTTGGGTTTAAAAGGCAGTAAAAGGCTATGAGATTAGATTATAAGAACAGGGTTGACCTACACAACATTGGGGTATGTTTGTGATTCAAATACTTATTCCAACATTGGATTGGATGGCATTATATTACATAGATAATGCCTAGCAAGAGGGTAATTACAGCAAAAAACCAATGAGAATAGTATTTCTTAGACTGTTTATAAAACAACAAAACCAACTAACTCAAATCCCAGACTAAAAGGAGCTTCACAGATAGTGTATTACTCAGGGTTCACCAGAGAAACAGAACCAACAGGAGATTATATGACCATATATATATATATTATAAGGAATTGGCTCACATGATTATGGGGCTGAAAAGCCCAAAATCTGCAAAGCTGATGTCCCAATTCAAGTCTGAAGGCCAACAGGCTGCCACAGAATCAGGAAGAGCCAATGTTTCAGTTAGGAGGCAGTCAGGCAGAATTCTCTTGGGGGGTTGGGGAGAGTCAGTCTTTTGTTCTATTGAGGCCTTCAACTGACAGGACAAGGCCCTCTCACATTATGAAGGGCAATCCTCTTTGCTCAGGTCTACCCATTTAAATGTTAATCTCATGCAAATATACCATCACAGAACACCCAGAATAATGTTTAACCAACTATCTGGGTATCCTACGGCCTAGCCAAGTTGCCACATTAAAATTAGCCATCACAGGTAGTAAGTACAAATATTTCTGGGACAATATTCTTGAGAGACAGCTAGATATACATTCTCCAGGTACTTTTATATTCATCTATTCCTCTCTTCTAAATAAATCTACTTTCAATGTGCAAATATACCTCATATGCATTGCCTTTCAATATTTCCAGAACAGGGTTCTTTTTCTCAGCACTACTGACATCTTGGGCTAGATATTTCTTTGTTGTGAGGGCTGTCCTGTAAGATTGTAAAATGTTTAGTTGCATCCCCGGCCTCTATTACCCATGTTTGAGAATCACTGTTCTAGATTGATACCAATACAACAATTTGTTAACAGCTGTTGTATTGTGGCATCACTAGAAATTTCAAAGTCTAGGTGCAGTGGCTCATGCCTGTAATCCCAGCACTTTGGGAGACTGAGGTGGGAGGATCACTTGAGCCCAGGAGTTTGAGGCTGCAGTGAGCTATGATGGCACCACTGCACTTCAGCCTGGGAGACAGAGCAATATCCCATCTTTAAAAAAAAAAAAAGGAAAAAAAGAAAAATTTTAAAGTGATTTCTAACTTGTCTTCATTTTTCCTTAACCACTGTAGATAACCTTCTCAGGCATTAGCAGACATTTGTATATTTGGGGTTGCCTTATATTTCGTTGTCTTTCCTATTAACTGCTGGGATGAAAATATATATGCTAAATATAAAAATATATATTAAATATACATTATATGAATATACACATGTAATATTCATGATAGTCTCATATTTTGGCGAATTAATAGCCGCTTGGCAGATTGGTCTGAATTCTGACAGCACAGACCACAGTGTCTTAATTTGCAAGTCTCTCCTCTGATACAATCATACTTGATGGCTTTTTTTCCACATTAATCTAAGACGTCACTTGACAGGAAGTTAAATGCCTCTATTGAGAAGGTATGTGGTCCATTTTCTTTCTTACCATTGGCCAAGAATATCTCACCTGTTAGGGTTAAAGGGATGAAAGTGATAGGGTTAAGTTTAGCGATAGCTTAATGTTCATTCTGTGGTGGTTTTTTTTCTTTTAACTTACTGGACTCTAGTGGGAATCCTGGAGAATGGAACCTACTCCTCTTTCCTCTGAGTTCCTGTGTGTGGATTTCAGGCCACAGAGGTGCAAGGTGCATGAACAACAAGGTGCTGGTGTGCAGGCCTGTGTGATTTCCTGGATTTTGACTTGCTAGCCTGTTAGGCTCATTTACAATTTCACAAAATTGGAATGTAGAATTTTATATATCAGTAATGGCATCTGTTTGCTTTCCTATCTCGTTTGCTGTATATGCTTGAGTCTCCAGATAAGTTGGGTGTCTTGAAGTGGATATGGGAGACCTGGGTCTGACTTCTGGTTCTGCTACTTAAACTAGTGTATGTCCCTTCTCAGATTTAGTTTCATTGTCTATACAATGTGACTTACTTTTTCTTTTGGGACTATTTCAGTGATTAAACATGACAGCTTATATATAAATGAAAGTTGTAAACACAGTGCTTGGCACAGAGTGGGTAACCAATCAACATTATTTAAATGAGTAAGAAAAGTGAATTTGAGCAAAAAAATAAAAAACAATACTATTACCTTATAACTCATAGAATAAAATAAGTATCAATGAGTCCATACTGATGTAAATAAATAATTGAACAAACAAGGAAATGGGGGAAAGGAGATAATTCTTTCTTAAAGAGGAATTCTGTAATAAATGTAACACATGTTGAAGGAATGAGAAAAATAGAAAAACCATTACAGTAATGGCTGTCGCAGGCAAGAACTACCAATATTTGCTAGAATTAGCAGGCAAAAGTTTGAGGAAAAACAGATATTTGTATAGCCTCAAAGTACTGCCCCTAAAATAGATATTAATTACAAAGGGAAAATAATAACTTTATAGAAAAAACTGGCAGATACCACCTTAGCCAGGTGATCAAGGTTGACATCACTGGTAATAAGACATATTAACATTATGTACCCCTGATATAATAAATCCAGAAGGACATACTCACTTCTGTGGTATTCTGGTCAAAAAATGCATAACTTTAATCAAATCATGAGAACATTACAGACAAATCCAAATTGAAGGACATTCTACAAAATACACGATGGATACTGTTCAAAAGTGTGAAGGTCATGAAAGACAGGGAAATACTGAGGAACTGTCACTGGTCTGAAGAAACCAAAAAGATACAACAACTAAGTAAGTGCAATGTGGGATCCTGCAGTGAATCCTGGAATAGAACAAGGACATTAGTGGAAAAATTGGAGAAATCCAAATAAACTCTGTAGTTTAGTTAATTATACAGTACCAGTGATGACTTCTTAGTTTTGATAACTCTATTATGGTTATACAAGAATTTAACACAGGGAAAGCTCAGGGAAGGGGATATGGGAATTCTCTATTTTTTAAACTTTTCTATTAAGCCTGAAGTTTCAAAATAGAAAGTTTTTAAAAAAAAGTTAATAAGACAGCTGTAATTATATTGTTGTCTTTTTATACGTTTACAAAGGGCCAAATTCACTTGATGCTCTTTCTACCACTACCCTGCTGATGTGGTTTGGCTGTGTCCCCACCCAAGTTTCATGTCGAATTGTAATTCCCAGTGTTGGGGGAGGGATCTGGTGGGAGGTGATTAGATCATGGGGGCAGATTTCCCCCTTGCTGTTCTCATGATAGTGAGTTCTCAAGAGATCTGATTGTTTAAAAGTGTATAGCACTTCCCCCTTCACTCTCTTGCTCTCTTGTTGCCACAAGATGTGGTTGCATCCCTTTCATCTTCTGCCATGATTGTAAATTTCCTGAGGCCTCCCCAGCCATCCTCCTGTACAGTCTGTGGAACTGGAAGTCAATTAAACCTCTTTTCATTATAAACTACCCAGTCTCAGGTAGTTCTTCATAGCAGTGTAAAAATGGAAGAATACAAAAAATTGGTACCAGAGAAGTGGGACATTTCTATAAAGATACCTAAAAAATGTGGAAGCAACTTTGAAACTGGGTAACGGGGAGAAGTTGCAACAGTTTGGAAGGATCAGAAGAAGACAGGAATATGAGGGATGTTTGGAACCTCCTAGAGACTTGTTGAACAGTTTTGACCAAAATGCTGATAGTGATATGGACAATGAAGTCCAGGCTGAGGTGGTCTCAAATGGAGATGAGGAACTTATCAGGAACTGGAGCAAAGGTCACTCTTGCTATGCTTTAGCAGAGACTGGTGGCATTGTGCCCCTGCTTTAGGGATCTGTGTAACTTTGAACTTGGGAGAGATGACTTAGGGTATCCGGCAGAAATTTCTAAGCAGCAAAGTGTTCAAGAGGTGGCCTGGTTGCTTCTAAAAGCCTATGCTCATTTGCATAAGCAGAGATAACTTATATTTAAAAGCAAAGCAGAGTATAAAAGCTTGAAAATTTGCAGCCTGACCATGTGGTAGAAAAGAAAAGCCATTTTCTGGGGAGAAATTCAAGCTCACTGCAGAAGTTTGCACAAGAGGAGCCAAATGTTAATAGCCAAAACAATGGATAAAATGCCTCCAGGGCACTTCAGAGACCTTCGTGGCAGCCCTCCCCAGCCCCACCAAACAGGCCCAGAGGCCTAGGAGGAAAAAAATGGTTTCGTGGGCTAGGCCCTGGGCCCAGCTGCTCTGTGCAGCCTTAGGACATGGCAGCCTAATTCCCAGCTGCCCCAGCTCCAGCTGTGACTAAAAGGGGCCAAGGTACAGCTGAACCATTGCTTCAGAGGGTGCAAGCCCCAAGCCTTGGCAGCTTCCACGTGCTGTTGGGCTTATGGGTGTGCAGAAGGCAAGAGCTGAGGTTTGGGAGCCTCTGCCTCAATTTCAGAGGATGTATGGAAACGCCTGGATGTCCAGGCAGAAGTCTGCTACAGGGGTGAAGCCCTCATGGAGAGCCTCTACTAGGGCAGTGCAGAGGGGAAATGTGGGGTTGGAGACCCTACACAGAGTCCCCACTGGGGCACTGCCTAGTGGAGCTGTGAGAAGAGAGCCATCATCCTCCAGACCCCAGAATGGTAGATCCACTGACAGCTTACACTGTGTACCTGGATATGCTGTAGGCACTCAACACCAGCCTGTGAAAGCAACCATGGGGACTGTACCCTGCAGAGCCACAGGGGCAGAGCTGCCTAAGGCCTTGGGAGCCCACTCCTTGCATCAGAGTGGCCTGGATGTGAGACATGGAGTCAAAGATTATTTTGGAGCTTTAAGATTCAAAGAGTGCCCTGCTGGGTTTCAAACTGGCATGAGGCCTTTAGCTCCTTTGGGCCAGTTTCTCCCACTTGGAATGGGAGCATTTACCCAATGCCTGTACCTCCATTGTATCTTGGAAATGACTAACTTGTTTTTTATTTTACAGGCTCATAGGTGGAAGGAAGTTGCCTTGTCTCAGATCAGACTTTGGAGTTGGACTTTTCAGTTAATGCTGGAATGAGTTAAGACTTTGGGGGACTGTTGAGAAGGCATGATTGTGTTTTGAAATGTGAGAAGAACATGAAATTTGGAAGAGGCCGGGGTGGAATTGACATGGTTTGGCTCTGTGTCTCCACCCGAATCTTATGTTGAATTATAATTCCCAATGTTGGGGGAGGGACCTGGTGGAAGGTGACTGGATCATAGGGACAGATTTTCCCCTTGCTGTTCTGCTGTTCTCATGATAGGGAGTGAGTTCTCACAAGATCTAGTCGTTTAAAAGTGTGTGGCATTTCTCCCTTCACTCTCTTGCTCTCTTGTCGCCATGTGAAGATGTGCTTGCTTCCCCTTCACCTTCTGCCAAGTTTCCTGAGGCCTCTCAGCCATGCCTCCTGTACAGCCTGTGAAACTGTGAGTCAATTAAACCTCTTTTCTTTATAATCTACCCAGTCTCGGGTAGTTCTTTATAGCAATGTGAGAATGGATTAATATACCTGCCACCCTTTTTGCTGGGACCATGCCTCAGAGTTTACAAATCTGCTCCCCATGTACTATCTCCTGGAATCCTCAACAATGCTGTGAGACATTCCCACTTTGAGTTGATAAGATGGGGCTCAGAGAGGCAAGACCTTACGCTTGCCTAAGGTCACCCAGCTGCTCTTTCCTTTCTCCTGCACAGTTACATCAGAAGCCAGTTGGTGACAGAAAAACACGGTCCGCTCAACAAGGATCATACACAAGCCGGTGATACTTTATTATATAAGAGAGTTGTCAAAAGGACAGTTTCATTTCTGTTTCAGAATCCCCACATTCCAGTGATCCATCTGTTGACACAATTAACATAAACTATTTGCTGATATTTACTGAGTGCTTGCAATGTATCAGAGTCATTAAATAAGATGCAACTTCTACTGTGAAAACTGGAATCTTCATTAGGACACAGACTTAGAAAAGGCCCAGTTTCAAGGATTCTGACTTGCACAGACTGAGCACTCCCATTTCCAGAAGTTCGAATACCTCCTTTCTTATCTAAATGAGAGAAAAGGGGGGAAAAAAAGATTAAGATCAAGCCAAAATGGTCTTGGTGAATACATTCAACCATCAGGACTCCCTGATATTTACCCAGCTGTTATGGCCAGAATCAGAGAGTGCAAAAGTCCTAACACACATTTGATTCAGAGTTGAAATTTTTAAAATTATTATTATTATTATTTTGAGACAGAGTCCCATTCTGTTGCCCATGCTGGAGTGCAGTGGCGTGATCTCGGCTAACTGCTATCTCTGCTTCCCAGGTTCAAGTGATTCTCATGCTTCAGCCTTCTGAGTAGCTAGGATTAGAGGTGTGTGCCATGATACCTGGCTAATTTTTGTATTTTTAGTAGAGACAGGGTTTTGCCATGTTGGCCAGTCTGGTCTTGAACTCTTGGCCTCAAGTGATCCACCTGCCTTGGCCTCTCAAAGTGCTGGGATTACTGGTGTGAGTCACTGTGCCTGGCCTATTATTATTATTGTTTTGTAGAGACAGGGTCTTGCTTTGTTGTCCAGGCGGGTCTCGAACTCCTGGCTTCAAGTAATCCTCCCACCTTGGCCTCCCAAAGCACTAGGATTACAGGTGTGCACTGCCATGCCTGGCAGAATTAAAATATTTATATAAATGAAGGAGGAGGTACTATATAAAACATTAGTTTCATTAAAGTGCCCTTTTGTTTGCAGCCATTCAAAATAAAATGCTATACAAAGGTGTTTCAAGGACTCCACAGTGTGCTTTCTGTAAACAAGATTATATACAATAGTTCAGTATAGGATTTTATTGCCTTAGGATAACTGCTGAGAATGACAGCAACAGAATAAAAATAACTATGGGTGACAAGATGTTTTTGGACATTTCTCATTATTAGAATTAGAAACTTAGTAGATTAGTCAAATTTAATATTATAACTGAAATAATCAACTATGGCCTCATGCCTGATATCAAATTTGTTAAACCAGTTTTAAGAAACCAGTCAAGTCAGGGGACAAAATGCACGACTGTGTATGTGTGTGTGCATGTGCGTGTGTGTAACTGAGCAAATTGTTTTTTAACCTGAACTGATGTCTGAAATAACTCACTGATCAATTATAATCAGGTTTGGTCAATCTGGAGATATAGCTTTATGTGATAAATTAATTCATTCAGCATGTTTGGAAGAGTATTTCCAAGCCTCTTTGATAGTTACTGCCATGATTTGTTCTTGGTTAGTGACTGGTAATCATTTTTTTTCCTAACAGCTACTGTGAAGCATCAGGCTAGATTGAAAAATTAGCCCCATAATAGCGTGGTAGGTGGCAAAGTAATTTTTTCACATTATGATGATAATGGATTGTTTTTAAAAATATATAATGAGCTAATACTGTGCCCATAAATGCATTCGGTCATTCAATTCTGATCAACTGAGACATCAAAAAATTTCCCCACCCCATGAACCAAAATATCTTTCTAAATTAAGTAAGTGGGTTCTTGGGAATCCATGTGGAGATGCTGGCAGAGGCAAGTTTGTACCCCTGCTCCCCTAACCCGAGCCAAAAGTGCACATATAAGAATGAAAGATAAAGACGAGTGTGTCTACAAAGAAAGGCACAGGAGAAGTGCAGGTCCTTCAGATCTTCTTGTTTCTCAAAATGGTCCCTAGTGAGGAGAGGCCATTGGTCATTTAAGGAGCAACAGAGCTGATTCCCATGAAACACATGGAAAGGATACAATTATGTGTAAGGGGATGAGGTGGCCTCTATAATTATAGTTAGCTCAGAGTTAAAAAAGATAGAAATCATTTCAAAATCTAACATGTGCTGGCTCCTCATGTCAAAGACTTTATTACTGTGTTTGAACCAAGTTCAAATAGAGAAAAAATGATTAAAGGCAACTGCTGGTTACGTGGTACCTCGGGAATGTCCATCATTCTCCTCAACTTCTGATCTCTCCAGTTCCAGTCAAAAACCAGAAATTTTAAGGGGCTCAAATTAAGGCCACCTGAAAGAGACAGGAAGAGAGTTGCTGTAGTAAAGACCTCATGACATAAGCTTATTAAAATGATTTTTTATTCTCCGGGTTACTTTTTGTCTCATATGTTGTCCTCTCCCCCAGTAACTAATCTCCGCACATTAAGTGCTGCCCTTCCCTGATGGAAAACAAATGCAGCACTCTGAGACTTGCTCTTCTTATCATCTCATCACTCCTCCTGAGGAAAGCAGAGAAACTGCTCTTGCTAAGCTCCTCAAATGCTCACACGCTGGCCAGGCATCCATTTCATGAAGCCCCAGAGGCTATAGTCTCATTCCTGACAGGGATTTGCTAAGTTAAATCCCGCAGTTTGGGGTAGTTGCCTTTCAAAGGAGTTGAGTCCATGGAGTCTGCAGGGCTCTCAGGAGGTGAGTGGGGAGAAAGATGAGGACAGGGTTGGGTGGTTCCTTTTAGGCAGAAAAGGAAGTTGAGATGAATAGGCTCTATTCAGCTATCCTTCGATGAGGTTGGTAAATCACTTAATGACTCCATTCTCTGCTTTCCTGTTTGTCTAGAAGACAATTATGGACTGTGAGGGCTGAAGGGGACCTCAGGGAATGTGTAGTCCTCAGATGTCTCACAGTTGGGCATAGAGTCAGTTCTTGCCTCTGCTCCAAGCTGTTCCACGTCTCTTGTGTTAACAGTACCTGCAGCCTTCCTCTCCTGTGGCACTTCCCCTCAGCTTTTCCCTGTAGTATTTAAATATTTTCCTCTTTGCCCCTAATACTTGTTCATGCTTTTTATAATTCAAATGCCTGTTATTAAAAACTCTCTGCAAAATTAAAATAAAAATAGTGAACTGGAAAAGACAATGAGTTGATCATCAGTCTTCCCTTAATATAACTGCTCTCAGGAAAGCAAATAGGTACAGCCTCTCTGGAATGAAACTGAGCATAATATTATAACAGCTTCAAAATGCTTTTATTTGATCTCAAATTCCTGACCTCAAGTGATCTGCCCATCTCAGCATCCCAAAGTGCCGGGATTATAGGCATGAGCCACGGTGCCCAGCCAAAATGCTTTTATTTGATAAAATAAATTTCCTTCTATGACATATCCCAGTGAAGCATCAGAAACATAAACATAGCTACTTGCAAAAATGATCATTGCCACATTATTTATAATAGCAACAATTTAGAAACAACCCAAAGTCTACCATAATAGAATTGCAAAAAAATAAATTTACAATAGAATATTGTAAATAGTGTAGCTATACAAATGAAAAATTAAACGTGCTTCATGACAAGGAAGGTAAGTCCTCATGAGATATAGCAAGTGAAAAAGGTAGGTTATAAAGTTATGAGATGCAGTATAATCAATCTCTGTTGTATAAAAATAAACATACAAATTGTATAGAAAAAAGACTCAAAGGAAATACATTCATTATTAACAAGAGATTGCTTCTAAAGTGACTTGTTTTCTTCTCTGTACATTTTTGCATTTTCAAAGGCTCCTATAGTCAGAAAATCCCCTTCATTACTAAATTAAAACAACACAATTGCCTGTAATTGTATACATCCCAATGTCATGGGATATCTTTCAATGTCTGAAAACTCTCCTTATATATCAAACGTATAAACATCTTATTAAGTCATAAACAGCTACATATATGCTATTGGTGTCACTCTGTTAGATTTTTCACTTTTAGGGTGCTGGGACTATTCTCTTTAAACACTTTGTATGTAGGCAAATACCTGTGGTTAATGAATATGAAACCATTCATCCAATTAGAATCAGATGTAAAAATTATTTTCATTAATATTTTTTTAAAAATCGCCCTTTAAATGATTTTTCCATATGAAATAAGCCTTCATATTGAGGTCTCACAACTCTGTAGAGATCTGATTTCAATAGTCTGGATAGCTTTGCTTTTTCTCTTCCTCTCTTTCTTTTAAATACAGAGAAGAGTAATCCTGTTGCATGGGGTGGGGGCTGGGGAAGTCTGGTGACACACAAAAAAATCTGGATTCCAGGAGGGGCTGGTGGTGAATCTTTAGCTAAAAGCTGTTAGGGAGGCAGGAACCAACCTGAGAGTCCATCCTTAGCTTCTGATACCCAGCCAATTACTCCCAAATCTGTGTCTCATAGAAGGCCTTGGTGCCTCTCATCTGTTCCTTAACTTTCAAATGCCATAGGATGTCCACAAGACAAAAATCCAAACTCCTCAGCTTACTGTTCAAGGACTTTCCTCAAATTTCTTTCCAGTTACATCAGCTGCTACTAGAGCCCACGAAGTTTCCAAGCAAGAAAGTTGGTCTCTTTAATAAATAACTAATATTTGTTAAGTGTTTAGGGTGTGACACTTACTGTGCTGAGCTCTTTATTGGCATTTTGTTTTTATAACAAACCTCTAAGTAGCTACTATTACTATCCCTGTTGTTCGCACAAAGAAACAGGCTGAGAAGGGTTAAGTAACTTGCCAAGGTCACAGAGCTGGTAAGTTGCTAGACCTGGGATTTGAATCTGGAGGTCTGAGTCCATCACAGGGGCTCTTAACTGCAACATTGTTTTACCTCCTCATCAATTCCTTGTGATATACCATGTGCATGTGCCTGCTTTCTGAGAATCTCACTGGGCTGTTCTCCCATTCATGAATGCTTCCTCTGACCCTCCCGGCCTATTTCAATCCTCCCCACACTTCAAAGATCAGTTAAAGACCCTGCCCTGCAGATTCAGGCCAGCATAACTATCTCTTTCTCATTTCAACTCTTGTAGGACTTAGAAGTGCTCATTTGGCTCTTGGCATTTACTGCCTCATGCTATCGATCTCAGTCTATGTACACTTAGTTCTTCAGCTGGATCAGGAGCTCCTTGAGGGGAAAAGGCTCTAGAACCAGGAGAGCCTAGACTGACAGACCTTGGGGAGGGTGACTTAACCCTCTGAGCTTCAGTTCTCTCTCATAAAAAATAAAAAGGCTAGCCTGTAAGGATGCTGTGAGTGCTAAATGAGGTAACATATGTAAGGGTGTCAAGCGTAGCGCTGCGTACAAGTAGGAACTCGAAAGTGTTGTTTCCCTTCCTTGTCAGGGGCAGCCAAATTTGTTAGTTGTTGGTATTTGTACAAAACTCTGCATATAGTGGGTTCAACTAACCCTGGATGATTTTCATCTGGAGAGAAACAACAGTAGTTTTAGCTTTTGTTGCTCCCTGGCAAATGACCATCTCTATAATGAGTTACTACACTGATGAACACATTACTTTTAGATATATAAAATAATCTGAGAATAGCTCCAGACAGTTATTTAAAAAAAAAGCTCTATTATATAATACATAAGTAATTTGGAAATAAGTATTGAAAAGAAATCATTCAATCTGCCTGGTAGGTAGAAGAGGTAATAAGATAATTGGCAGGTTAGCAGGTTCTTAGGCTACTGGCTTTGAGAAAGTTGGCAAACTATAAAAACCCACCAGTGGATGTTGTCTAGAATACTTTCTGTAAAGCACTAAAAGAGAAACACATTTGGGAAGAACTATTATGGAATGCCTGCATTACATTCATGGAAACTACGTTTTTTGTTTTAGTATGTTTTATATACCAGCCCTCAAAATGGGAGTCTCCCCAAGACTCAGTGGAGTGACAGGGAACTGCTCAACTCAAGCAGTGGCTGCACACTGGTGGAATGAAGGCTATGTGGAACCACTAACCTGCTTATAGCAGCTGGAATTTGACTCTGTTTAGGTGGGCACACGTACTTCAGTTTGCCACAGTCCTTATCATTCCCTATTGTGCTATACTTGCTGGTTGGTTTCAGAGATTAAAGGCTGAGTTTCCAATTCCTGAATTAACACAGAGGTCTGGTTTTTGTATATCCTGAATTTAGTTTCTGAGACTCACATGTAGGTAAGGCAAACTCCCAGCCCTGGGCAAGAGTATCACTGCCCTCTTGTCATACCTTGTTTAACAAGTTCTTTAATTCTCCCCGGAGTTCCTACACCCAGGTGCACCACACGCTTCTCCAGCAACTTTACCTGCGCCTGGACCTGTTCCAAGATGAAAGAGAAGAAAGAAAAGGAAGTCATTAAGAAAGTGCTATCTTACACCAATTTAGAACATTTTATCTCAAAGTTAAGAAAGTGAAATACAAATGGAGCTACCCTTGTGTAGGGTCGACTTCCAGGGCAGAGATGAGCATATCCCTAGAAAACTGGTAATCTTCAAGGAATCAAAGGGTCAAGCCTCAGGTTCTATACAGGGACAGAGCATGGCAGTAGCGACTGCCATACTGGGGAGGTAGGTATGCAGAAGCATAGAATTTAAAAAACCAGAAAAGTTGTTAAATGTTACATAAGGAAGGAACTCAATAAAATATGTGCTAAGGAGATTAGGAGAAGAGGTTGAAAGGAAAAAAGCTGAGGTCTGGGAGAGGCCTTTAGGGATCACACAGGCCCTTGCTTACCTTTATGTGCTTTGCAAATAATTTTATAACTTTGCCGTCTCCTCTGAATGCTGTCATCGACCTAATGAAAAGAAGCAGGTGAATGCTTAAGAAAACCAACTCATTCTAGGCCACGATGACTACTTAAGTATTATGTCTTGCTTTATTCAAAGGATGTGTGCATACGTGTGTATATATGTGCATATGTACATACAAATTCTGAGATTTGCAGGTTAGCCAATCTTTGCAATGAGAGTGGGGTGGCCTTTTATTCAGGCACATATCTGGGTTGGCTTTACACTGCCATACACAAGGTCAACCTTACTTAGGCTTCCTTGATTACTGAAACACATGACCTGCCTTTCATTTGTAATACAGAATTCCTGTATTTCAGGTCCCTGGCAGAAAATTCATCTTCCAACTATGCAGTGCAGTTCTCATACAAAATTTGGTTGCAAAAGATATCTTGGAGCGGTGATGTCAGCTCGTTCTCTGTGGAGCCAAGGGCATCTACAAAGGTCTGCCTGTGGTGGCCATGAGGGAAGCCAGGAGATGAGCTTGAAAGGGGGAAGAGGGGGGGCTTCTATCCTTCTATCACAGCTGTCCTTTCTTATCTACTTTGTAGACTAAATTCCTCTATAAAATTTTATAGGTGGAAATGAAGCTTCAGCCAAAAAGCAGGAAAAGAAGGAAGGAAGGAAGGGAAAGAGGAAGCAAAGAAGGAAGGAAAAAAAGTAAGAAGAAACCACTGACACAAAGGACTGGCTGAATTAAAGCTATGAGGGCAGGGGGTTATTGTAAATGAGGTGATCTGGGAAGCAGGGGTGAAGACTGAGGGGCACTTGAGAGTGATGCCCCCCGTAAAGGGGTCAACTAGTGCTCAGCTTTGCCAGTTATGATGATGTGAGACTATGGGCCTAAGACTCTCTGATTTTTAGAGAAGCCAGAAATCTAGATTTTTATATGTGCAATCTGATTTTAAATATGGGCAAGTCACTCACAAATTTTTTAGGTGCCAAACACTTGTAGGGTAAACTTAGCCTTTGAGTTGTCACTTTACAGTCTCTGGCTTACACCAGTAGGACAGGCAGTCCATTTAGTTTCTAGGTAGTCAAGAAGCTAGATCTATCTACAACAATCCAGACCACCAGCTCTGAGGGCTGAGACGGCGCTGGTGCACCTGCCGTGCCTGCCTTTCTACCTCTACTTTGGCATCAGGTCCTCAGCTGGCACCAACAGCTGCTCTATAAACAGCCACATAACATTATCTGTCCAGGGTTTTTGTTGTACAGATGATACTGAGAATGCTGCTGTCACTATGTCACAGAGGGGAAAACTATTTCTCAGGGAACTCTTTTTTTTTCTTCTTAAACCCACAGAATGTCATCAATCTGGCAACTGATAATGTTTCCCAACAGATCCTGGCTGTTGGAAAGTGCAGGCCCCCAGTTGGGGCCACCTTTGCAACTGCACAGGGATTTATCGATGTGATTTTCAGCACCATTTCTAGCTCGCTTCACCTAATTTTCTGTTCTTTATTTTTTCCTTGCTTCTATTTTCACAACCTGTTTCTCATTTGTTCAATGTATTTCTATATATCATCTATATTTGAGGACAGACCTAACATGGGTTTTCTACTTTCCTTCATATATCATTATTATATTTTGAGAAATATTGACCTGTAAAAACATATGAGTTTGCAAAATAGTGAATCATGCTATACAAGTTCTGTTGCCTCAAGTTTTTACTTACACATAAGCTTTCTCCATGGCAAGGTTAACCAGGAAGACAATTTAAAATAAGTCATGGCTCTCAATAGAACAGATGTTCTTATAAAAGTTAGAATTATTAAATATTAGTCTTTATGAATAGGGCTTGTTGTGCCTACTCAGAAATCACCTTTTGTAAATCACCTAACCTTGAAATGGATCATAGTATTACTGGGGACACAAAAAAATACTGCAAATTGGTAAATGAAGTGTGACAACACAGTACTTTTATGCCCTCAGTAAGGAATTTATGTATAACAAAAGTTCAAATCAATTTGATAGCTTTATTTTAAGAGTCCACCTCCAGGCCACACTCTTTGCCCTTAGCATCTGAATGTGAAATGAGGTAGTTTTTAAAGCACTGAAAAGTCAGTGTGAATTCCCATGATTTCAGGACCGGCAAGTACAGCTGCCCGGAAGCAGTTGGAATCTTCAAGATAATTATGTTTAGAGCAGAAAAAATGGAAAGAAACACAAGTGTTTCACTGGGAGATTATATGCTACAATTTAATGTGTGTGCATAATGTGATACAATTTAATGTGTGTCTCCACTTCAGTGGAGAAAGGAGGGTTTGAAGGACTATTTCAGTTTAACAACTACTTTTCTAAATTCATGATTAGATTAGTTCATTTAGAAAAAACAGATGTAAATAACTATTGAATATCTAGATTTGCACCTTAGTCTATTTGACCAAGTTCCTCTTTCTTCAGGACTTGGATTTTCCTTTGTTTTGTCTCCTGTCAAAGCCTGGCCCAGAGCCAGGCTCTCAGAGAGAGCTGGTCCTAGCAAATCCCATCTGACTCTCACGGCTCTTCTCTGAAAGCTGAATATTACCACTGACCAGTGGAAGCCTTTTTGTTTATTCTACAAAAACAATAGTAAATGAAAACGTATGTGCAAGCCCTTAGTAAAGCACTGACAAATTATCTTTAAAACATAATCTTTACCTTTAAGTTTTTATTCCATTTGGAATTTATCTTGTTATAAGTGAGATATGAATCCAACTTTATTTTTCCAGATGGCTACTCAGTTGTTCCAACACCACTTATTAAACAATCCGTCTTTCCCTACTGATTTCTGATTTGTCACCTTAGGCATATGCTACATTTTCATATGCATTTGGGTCTGATCCTGAACTTTCAATTCTGTTCCACTCATCTGATCTGTCATGCATGTGCCAGTTCCATACTGTTAATTATTTTATTGAGACTTCAGAGTGCGTGTGTGTGTGTGTGTATATATATGTGTATATATATATGTGTGTGTGTGTATATATATATATATATAATTTGTAATCTCTAGGAATATAATCCTCTCATTAGTATTCTTTTTCAGAATTTCTTTGCCTATTTTTAGTTGTATATTATCCCATAAGAATTCAGAACTAGTTTATCCAGTTAAAAAAAAAAACAACACAATTCTATTGGAGTTTTACTAGGAATGTGTGAAATCTGAAGGCTACCCTGAGTAAAACAGACATCCTTACAATATTGAGTTTTCCTGTTCAAGAATATGGTATACATTTTTGATTGTCCAAGTTTTCTGCATCCCTTAGATGATGTTGTCTGTACATAAGTTTTGGTAAGTATATTCCATGGTATTCTATCTTTTCTTTTTATAATGGAGATGGGGTCTTATTATGTTGCCCAGGCTGGTCTCAAGCTCCAGGGCTCAAGAGTTCTCCCACCTCAGCCTCCCAAAGTGATAGGATTATAGGCACAATCTGCTGTGCCCGGCTTCTGTCTTTTCTTGTTACTATTTTAAGTCAGATCTTTTCTTCTAACTGGTTGTTTGGGGTATGATCTGGCTTTTACCCTTGCTCTCTATAATGTGTGCTCTCCACACAGCAGCCAAAGTGAACCTTTAAAATGATGATTCAGATCAAGTAAGTCCTCAAAATCCTATAATGGCATCCTATCTTGGGGTCTTTTGTGCTTACTCTCCCCTCTACCTGGAATGCTTTTCTTCCAGATAGCTGCTGGGCTTTCTTCTTCACTTTGTTCAAGTCTCTGATCAAATTGTCATCTCCTTAGAGAAGCTTTCTGTGACCACCCTTTTAAAAGTAGTCCTGATCTACTTATATCCCTTTGCCATGCTTTATTTTTTCCTTACATAACTTATCAATGTACTTGACGTTATAATGTATCTTCATTTGTTTATTATCTGTCTCCCCCACTGAAATATAAATTCCATGAGGGCAGGGACTCTGTTTTGTTTATTGCTACATCTCCAGCACATAGAACATAATAGCTTGGCATATATCAGTTATTCAGAAAACATTTATGATATGGAATAGGTGAACCTTCCAACCTAATGAGCTCCAGGGCTCGGACGGCCGAGCTGCAGATGATCAGCATCAGGACCGATTTCTTCTCACTGTGGTTCTTCCTAAGTTTTACCCACTTAGGACAAACTGGAAAAAAGAACAGAAAACAATTATTTGAAATATGGCAAAACAGGGCACACCTCCCAAGTTGAGCATTTCTTCTTTGTTGAGTATTTAAACAAAACAAAATATAGTAAGCATGGTTCATTATAATTACAATTGTAATTCAATTTTCTGGTTATTGTAAATATTAGATTAAAATAAAGTATCATTAATTTGTAACACAAAACAAACATACCAAGTCCCTAAATGTGACTAATTTTAAAATTAAGTAAAAAAATTTGGAATATTACATTTTTGATATTTTAATTTAGGTTTGATACTTGAAGACAATGTTGATTAAATAGGAAACAAATGCTGATTCAATCATGTTAAATTTTAAAGGGACATTCAACATAAGATATAAAATGGAACAAACATTTAAAAACAGCAAACATTTACTAAATACTGACATGGTGCTAAGCACTTTACATACATTTTCTTTTTAGTTCTCATAATCTAGTGAGTTTGATTCTATTATTACCTAGATTTACATTTTCTGAATTTGAAGCTGAGAAAGGTTTATGAACTCAAGTTGAGTGTCATCAGAATTGCTTGTAGTTTGAAAGAAGAATGGAAACTCCCTATATCTAAACTATTTCATTGCTGGCCATGAATAAATGAACAGTTGATATGAATAATTTAATTACTGCTGGCTACATATAATACATATTGAAGGGCCAGACACAGTAGCTCATGCCTGTAATCTCAGCACTTTGGGAGGCTGAGTGGGGAGGATCTCTTGAGCCCAGGAGTTTGAGACCAGCCTGGGCAACATAGAAAGACCCTGTCTCTACCAAAAATAATTAAAAAAAAAAAATTAGCTGCTTGTGGTGGCACACAACTATAGTCCCAGCTGCTTGGGAGGCTGAGACAGGAGGATCGCTAGAGCCCAGGAGGTTGAGGCTCCACTGAGCTGTGACCAGACCCACTGCACTCCAGCCTGGGAGATGGAGTGAGACCCTGTCCCTCTCCAGCCTCCCAAAAAATAAATTTTGAAAAGATAAAATTAGATTGACTTCACAATAGCCATGGTCTGAGTGGTAAACATGCAAACAGAATTTCAGAATCTCACAGATGGAACACATATCACATAGTCCATCTTCCTTATTTTTCAGATAGGAAATTAAGTCCAGGGGAGTACTCAGTGACTCGTCTCAGGTCAAACAGCAAATTGGTGGGGGACCTGGGACTAGAACACCATTCTCTGGATTCCTAGAGCAATAATGGCCTAATGTGTTATAAAACAAAAACGAGACCAAAACCTAAATTCCCAAAACCAGAGCAAAATAAGAATGAGTTTAAATAGATTAAAATCAGAGTTTACTTACTTTCTTTTAGGTATGAGGAAAGACTGTGAGTCAAATCATTGGCCTTGAGGAAACAGGAGTCTAGAAATATAATAAACATGCTTTGTAGATAATTTTGTAAACACACACACAATCAAAACAGATTATATGTGAGTTATGAGTGATGTATAAGGTTGTAAAATATTAGTGAATTGGGGGCCCATTTTATATCTTAAAGTGTTGCCTATATTTAAAATAACAGCAGCAGCAACAAGTAAACTTTTAACCTGTCACGGAGCTGCCCATAATTTCTTAGAGCAGTGAAATAGGAGCTTCTTACATCACTCAGCAGATTTATGAAGCAACTTTATTTTCCAAATCCATAAAATAGGGACTACACAAATGCAAAATGAAGTGGCTAACAAATCTATGTAAACATGTTGAAACTCACTAGTTATCAGAGAAGTGCAAGTTAATATAATGAGCATACTTTACACACTCATTAGAATGGCAACTATTAGCAATATGTATAATACCAAGTGTTGTTGAGAATGCAAGTTGATGGAAACTCTTGTGAACTGTAAGTGGAAGTATAAACTGGTATAGATATTCTGGAAAGTAATAATATTAATATGTATATACCCTATAATTCTATCATTTCAATTCAAGGTAAATAATAGAAAGAAATTCTTGCATGGTCTATTAAGGTACACACACAAGGATATTCATCCTGACATTATTTGTGATAGCAGGGTGCTTGAAGCAACCTAGGTGTCCATATCTGGGGAAATGGATGAGTATATGTGGTAGATGGAAACGCTGGAATATTATGTGGCATTTAGAAGCAATGAACTAGATATGCATAAAATTACTTAGTCATATCTGGAAAAAGTGTCAAGTGAAGAAAGAAACAGAACGAAAGCATTAGCACAAAGCCATTTTAGATACATTTTAATATGTATATACATACACAGGATGACATATTTTATAAGAATATATATATATTTTTAAAAATTCCTATCATATGAAAATAGAGTTTGGATTAGGGAAGAATGAGAATAATGTCTCAAAATACAACACAACATAACAATACAATAAAAAACAATATAACACATTAAAATAAAACAGGGGCTGGACTGATCAAAATGAAATTTATGTTGTGACCCAGCACATATAACTCATTAAGTGAGTAATTCAAAGCTGTTTTCTCCTATATTGTTGTGGAGCCTTTGGTGGTCTTTATAATGTCCCAAGCCTGGATATGATCAGACTCACCTGGAGAACTGAAGATACAGATTTCTGGGATGAAGTCTCTTTTGCATAGTGAATTAGAATCTCTTGGGGGTGGGCCTGGGAATCTGATTTTTAAGAAGTTCCTGGGTGATTCGGTTGCAACTAGCCTATAGGCAATTAGGAATCACTAATCTAAATCACACTGCAGCTCTCAGGAGACAGCAGAGAAGTTAATTAGCTCCGGGTGACTCCAACCTTGAAATCCTAATTAAGTGCCCATGTGTATGACATTAACAATGTACAGTGCACAATATTAATTGAAAAGACATGTTCCTGCCCTACAGACACAAACAACCTCAAATCAAAACCAAGTCAGAGGCTCGACAAACTAAATAGGAACAGTATGTTATTATTTATATCTACCTTATATGTGTATATATAAGGGGATTTATGTCCCTCCTTGAGCCTATTCCAAATAACCCACTGTATCTCCTTCCCCACATCTAGCTTAGATCTATTCTCTGTCCTTGGTCTCATCAGTGTAGTGACCAGGGCCTGTTCTCTCAAACCTTCCTCTGATGTCTCAGTTTATTGTGTCTTAAATGGCCTAATTTTTTTAACTAAAAATAAAAACCTGTCCTTTTTGGTTATAACGTTATTTCAAACATATTTTCCTTCCTCCCCAAACCATGACCACACATTCTTGCCTAACTATATTACTGAACTCTAATAAAACAATAATACCAAACAAATTCACTATGGAACTCAAATGACTCCTTAAAAGTTTCTTCTGAGCTTTGACTCTCTCTAACTCCAGAGAGGAGCAAGGTTTACGATGTTCCATGAGGTTACAGAACAGCAGTGGTCCCACTGCTCACAAATCCTTCCTAAGTTCAAGTTGCTCTAACAAAGAACTAGAATGGAAAACTGACCATTGAGTCACAGTAAAAATTAAACTTCAGTTAAAGCTTCAAAAGTGGTTTTGTTAGAATAGTTCCTGTGATAGTGCAGTCAGGACATAGTTTTCACAGCAGAGGCCGTGGTGTGCTGAGAAGAGTGGATTATAACTGCTATTGGAACTGTCTGGGCTTAGTAAGTCTAAAAGTCCAGATCCTGCTCATGTGCAAATGCACTCCTTCAATTCCCTAAAGGGTAATCTCCTTGGAAAACAGACAGGGCACTCATGTCTCCAAACCCAATGTGTGTTTTTGAAAAAGGATATCACAAAAGAATTATAAAAATTCAGGGAACAGATTGTTTTTCAGCTTCTCAAGCTTCTAGAAAGCATAAAGTTGTAATGGAAAACGGAAATCAAGCCACCCTCTACTTTTTCCAAAAGCAATATTAGATATGCCTAGTAGTCTATAAATAGCTCATCTGAAGCAGTTGTACCCAAACTTTTATGGTTTGATTTTATGACAACATCTATTTCCTCCCATCCCTGCCTAAAAGAGTTAAAGGATGCATTATAATTTTGAAATTAATTAAAATTAGTTGTTTAAGCTGGGTATGGTGGCACGTGGCTATATTCCCAGCTACTCGGGAGGCTGAGATGAGAGGATCCACTTAAGCCCAGGAGTTCGAGGCTGCAGTGAACTACGATGGTGCCACTGCACTCCAGCCTGGGCGACACAACAAGACACTGTCTCTAAAATAAATAAATAAATATTTTTAAAAAATTAGCTGTTTAAATTTTGTAATATCTTTTAGCTTAATTATAAATACACTAAGGCAGAGGATCTAAAATTCTAGTAGGCCTAAGAATCCCTTGAGGCAAAGTGTCAGCCTCGCAAAACATACAGAATTTTGTTCCTACCTTTTGACAGTTTGCTTGAAAGAGTCTGGCCTGCAACCTAAAATACTATTCTAAAAACCATGACTAGAAATCCATAATAAGAGCAACAACAAAACTAAATTGCTTATTAAGGCTAAAGTTCTTGTCTATAATAGTTGAGTAAATCAGTGTTTCACATCCATACTTTTAAATGTGTACTTCAACTTCTATCCTCATGATGAATTCCTACTCATTGAATAGTTTGTTAAAAATGCACACCCAACAATTAACCTTTTGAATAAAAAAATACAATCACAAATCTTAATATTAGATTTGACAAATACTGTTTAGCATCCAGTAAGGATATAATCTATCAGTTAAAACTATTTGATATAATCTATCAGTTAAAACTATTAGATTGAGGAAAAGAAGTATTATGTTTCTTTTTTTTCTTTGAGATGGAGTCTCGCTCTGTCCCCCAGGCTGGAGTGCAATGGCGTCATCTTGGCTCACTGTAACCTCGGCCTCCCAGATTCAAGTGATTCTTCTGCCTCAGCCTCCCAAGTAGGTGGGATTACAGGCGTGTGCTACCACACCCAGCTAATTTTTGTATTTTTTAGTAGAGATGGGGTTTCACTATGTTGGCCAGTCTGGTCTTGAACTCTTGACCTCAAGTGATCCACCCGTCTCAGCCTCCCAGAGTGCTGGGATTATAGGCGTGAGCCACTGTGCCTGGCCTGAAAGTATGTCTCTTTAAACAATTATTATTATTATTCTTATTTTTAATAGCGATGAGGTCTCACTGTATCGCCCAGGCTGGTTTCAAACACCTGGGCTCAAGCGATCCTCTAGCCTCAGTCTCCCAAAGTGCTGGGATTATAGGCATGAGCCACCATGCCCGCTGGAAAATGTGTTAATTGACTGCCTGAGACACCTAACCATAACAGATACTTATGTTTTGCTCCTTGTCTTTAGGAAAATTGAAGCTTGGCTATACCTGGCAGGTTCAGTTCTTCTAATTCAATCACCAAGCGTCTGCTGCTATAATAGTCCTTCATCAGCTTCTGTAGGTCTTCAGGTAACCCTGGTTTTGGTTCTGATTTTGCAAGAACATCAGTAATTTTCTTCTAAGATATGAGAAAGAAGAAAAATGGGACGACATATTTTAAAATGGCATTTGGTTGGAATAGGTTAGTTCCTCTGGCATTTAAACGGCACATAGCTTTTGGTGTTAGCCAAGTGTGAATGTGGGTTTTAATAAATACATTTGAGAAAATTCACTAAATACTTCTTGGACATAACTATTGCTTTGAAAAATGAAAAAATGATCTAGAAAGCTCCCTGTAACTCTTGGTCTATGACTTCCAAGATAACTAAATTTTTGCAGGCATCTCCATACTGGGGTATTATTTTCTGTTAAAAGTAAAGAAATCTCATTGCTATGGAGAGCTCTCTTTTAGCCCTAGATGATTTATATTCCTGTAGGATTAGAATTTTGAGAATTTCTTGCCCAATCTGGTTTTTGAGGTGCTGAGTCTTAGTTTGGATTTCTGTCATTAGTGTAAAACCCGCAGTAGGAATCTGAGCATAGGGGCCTACTGAGAAGGGGACTTAACACCCTCGATTCTCAGGTCTTGGATAACTGATGGTATTAAAGTGGCCCTATGCAAAGTAGAAAAAATATTACAGGAAATACTTTCCAACATCGATTTTGATTTGGACTCATTTGTGTAGCATGTATTGAATGCTGCAGTAGTAGAAACCCACAATCATTCATTTATTTCCATCATAAGCTTCCCTTCTCACTTCCTTCTAATGTTCCACCAAAGATCCAGAAGGAGCATTCCCCACCCCTGACCCCAGATTTTCCCCCTCCTTCTACAATATCCTCATTTCTAGACACTTGCCAAGAATGGTCAAGCCTCTGTCAAAGAAATTAACTTTTAAAAATATGTCATCAGTGGGCACATTTTAGTGTGACCTCAGTCAAGACTAAACTATCTAGCTAGAGTTTTGACCTTGAGCCACCAAGAACTTAACACTCCAGAAGGCCATTAGTGTACAAATTATCAAAGCGAAGTTAAAGTCACTTATTTAAGGACTTGCCAAACCTCAGCCAATTTGGCATCTCCCATTTTCCTATTTGGCCATTTGTAAGAAAAGAAAACATATGCACACACACTCTCAGTTTTCTAAAAGCTTGCTGTTAAGTAATAGGTTTGAGTCCATCTTCTTTCCTCTAATCCCAATCGTATTTCCTCGGCTGACTTCAGCAGCAGACCCCTCTTGGCAGGGAGAGAATTACACTGCTGTTTTCACAACTGTGGGAGAAGGTCATAGCTAACCATACTTTCTCCAAGGCTGAGCCATAAAAAAGTTTGTATATGAGAAAGAGTCTTTCCTGTGCTCACCAGCAAATATCAAAATGCAAGGTAGGGGAGCTTTTTTGACCTAATTTATGGTTCCAAATTAGTCAGAAGTGCCTCATACTACCTTCATCTGCTTATTATTTTCTTTTTATTCATACTTTAAGGTATAAGGTCTTAAAATCCGGAATGAATAGAAAAAGGAGGTTGGTATATTTCTTTTCATGGACAGAGCCAGAAGGGCCGGGGGAGGATAGCTCTGGACTCCTTCTAGAATTAGAAATCTATGTCTGACATCTGACCACACTGAAAACATAGGGTGGGTAACAAAGATATTTGGCACTCCACAGGACTGAAATAGGAGTCAGAAGAATTTATTCTTAGCTCCAACAGAAACACTTATTAGTAGTGACCTTAGGAAAGTCACCAAACCTCAAAGAATCTTACAATGTCTGCATCTCTTAGGTGGGGATTACAATAGTTGCCTCAAGAAAGTATGATATATAAAAATGTGATGGAAACCATGTGGGGCCATACAAATTTAAGAAATTATTAATATTACCTTTCTTCTTTTCCTGGTCTTGGTGGTATTCTCTTTTCTTTCCTTTGGTTGTATCAAAAAACATTCTTTAGGCTATTAAGAAATACAAATGAGAACATTTTAATCTTTTCATGATAAAGTGTCAATTAGTGGCATGAACCCCAAAGTACTTTCTGCCATGCATGTATTCTTCAGAGTATCTTGGTAATATTCTACAGAAAGAGAGATGCTGGAAGATCTACCGTAGGTTACTATGCAGCGGTTGGGCTGAGAGAATTTGAGAAAGTCAGAAAGCGCAGATGACTTAAGACTGGAGAATCTTTGAGCAAGATCAAATTGTGAGTGAGTGTATATGTGTGCTTGGTGTGGAAGTGCAGTGTATTGGAGATTGAAGACAGTGGCTGAGTTTGTATAATACAGCAGAAATCGATGTGATTAAAATTAAGATGTGGTAAGACAGTCTTTGACTAGAGTGACTAAGGTTTTCCATGAACTAGCTGTGTGTGAGCCTACATTTCCAAGTCACTGGTTTATTGTTTTGTATTATACATTCCTTTCCTCTTTTCAATAAGCATAGAAAATCCAAAGTAAGATATATTAACTTACGTTTTTATAAACCAGCTGCATCAAATGCCTTTGCTATAATGACTACAAAATGAATGTCTTTGCTACTAGTCTGATAACCGTCTCAGCACCACAGTATCTAGAGTAATCTGTTTTGCCTGTTGCCTTGACCCCTGAGTACCCCAGTTTAGTACTATTTTTACCCTGAGGGCTTTTTTCTAATGTAGAAAAACAGGAAATTTGGACTAAGACCTTGATTTATAAAATAGAATGCCCCAGATTCCATATTTATTAATCATAAGCAGGAGTATAAAATGTTTCCTGTGCTGGACCTTTTATGCAACATTGTCAAACAAGTTGCCAAGTAAGATATAAAATGTAAGTGAAAACTTATTCTGAGTTTTCCTTGATTAACTTTCCATTCCAACCAGAGAATACTCAGTTTAAACTGATAAGCTACTAACTAAAGCAATCTTGTCTCCACTGGCTCTGCTAAAATGATTACAGATGAATCTTTCTATGAAAGCTTGCAGACAGCCTGCAGATTGAGAATGTCTATGGCCTGAAGTCAGAGAGAAAGATATAATACTACATAATTTCTTCAAGACATGGGGCCAAAGACCCGCAGTTTCAAGATTCTCTTTTAGTTATTACAGAAATAGATTTAAAAAGTTCAGGATTAAAGTGACATGGGAAATCTTGAAATTTTAGTTTCCTCTAAGATAAAACAAAAAACCTGCAAAGAGCAATTGCATCATAGCTAAAGAAAAGAGAGATATGGCTTCTTTTATTTAGAAAGTTAAACTGTCTTGTGGATGTAGATACATGCCAATTTGATGCTGGTACATGCCAATTAGAGACTGTGCCAAGGCCACTAATATGTCACAGAAGCTGCCAGATGGCCATAAGAGTCCAATTACAAACCAGGCCAGTGTTCAGCTCATGTTCCTAAGGCAAAGGCCGGGATATGATTAGCAGATCCCTTAAACTATACTGCATTATCTCTACCAGTATCAAGGTTTTTGGGAAGCGTATTTAGAAACCTGTTACAATCTATTAACGTATGGAGGTGTTCTCGAGGAATATGTTCAGTGTACTGGTTGCATTTGTGCTAGGTTTACAAAGCCAATTAATTAAAACATGACATAAATTAAATCTAGAAATGAGCTCAATTGTAAGAATATGGACTCTTTAATTCTGGGAGAAAAAATAAAAATGTAATTCTGAATCATGCACAGGAAAACGAAACATGCTTGATGAACTGCTTTAGCCATGATATTGCTTCAGTTAAATGATAGGTTCAAATTCTTACATCATCCTAAAGGAAATGCAAAATAATCTTTGGTTTTGGAGACTAGTTACTTTAGCTGGCTGTGGTAGGGTGCCAATGAAGAGGCCAATTTTATGGGGTCAATTTCCATAGAGGTGAGATGACTTTATGGAGAAATCCAAATCCACAGTATTGAAAATTCTTACATTTAGTTAACTGCTTTATGAATGTTGCTGTTTACCCTCAGGGAGACTAGGTAGGAAGATGTGAAAGAATCCGGCCAAGCCACTAAGCATTTCTGGAAACCAATTCCAACACTGTGTGACTTTGACAGTTGATAAGTAATGTCATTTCTTTATATGAAATGTAGCAATTTTAAATATGTAGTCTGAAGAATCACACTCCCCTAAAAAAATGTTGCTTTTAAGGGAAGCAACTAGAGCATATTTTCAATTCCTTAAAGTATCAAAAATTACTTTAAGAATGATTCTCCTGGTTACACATGGCAAATGGACCTCAAAATACCAGTAAACTGAAAATAAAGGGCATTGAAAAGGACCTATTGAGCAGGATCTATATAAAAACCAAGAAACCAGGAGAGAGAACAACAGTAATGGAGAGATTTCAACAACTTTTTGGAAAATGGAAAGTGGCTGGAGCTGGATAGAAGTGACTTGGCACAGAGAGAAAGCTAGCAGCTGGGTTTCAGAAGGGGTGGAAGCTAACAATAAGTAAGTCTTTGACCTGCTCGACTCTGAGAAGGTCCAGTACTTTGGAGGCACAAAGTACTACAGAGAGTAAAGGGTTAAAAAAGAAGAGATTGGCTGAAAGTTTATATTTAGAATGATTAGCTACTCCTGTCCCCCACTAGGTGATATCTCCTACCCTGGTAGCCAAGCAACTATCCCATTACTGCTTCCTTTCACCTTGCCTGTCCTGCCAGCCGACTGGAGATCTATTCTCTGAAGACATCAAGAGGATCAAGGCTGGGCCAGGGGAGAAAGGGCAGAGGCTGAGGCTTGCCTCCATTTCCTGTCCCTATTCCATGCTTACATATTGCAGGCAGGAGACTACTGAATTCCTCTTTGGAAAAATGGAATGGCCTAAAAGAAATACCATCAGAGAGTGACGTTTGGGAGTTCCATAGTAAAAAATCCAGCTTGTTATCCTATCACCCTACCATGAATACACTAATTGACAAACCCAACTCATCACTGTTTCAGTGTATCTCTCTTCAATAAGAATGGATAGCTAAGGTTCCTCAGACATCTAAGGAAAGTCTCCAACACAAGAGCAAATAAATAACAAAAAGAAAAATGAACCTAGAGAAAAGTGGGATGGTACCTCAAAATAATGACAATTCATATCCTCAGAGAGATAAGGGAAGATTTTGCAACCATGAAACAAGAACAAGATGCTGTAAAAATGGGAAAAACAGTTAAGCATTAAAACAAATAAGAAATGTGGAATAAAAATAAACGAGGAAGGCTTGAAGATAAAGTAGAGGCAATGTCCCAGAAAGAGATGAAAAATGAAAAGAAAAAAGTGGTGAGAAAATCAGAGAATCAGCCCAAGAGATTCAATTTTTCAATAAATGATATTATAGAAAAAGAGATCACATAAAACAGTAGGGGGCTTGGCATGGTGTCTCATGTCTGTAACCCTAGTGCTTTGTGGGGCCAAGGTGGGAGGACTGCTTGAGGCCAGGAGTTTGAGACCAGCCCTGGTTACATAGTGAGACCCTGTCTCAACAACAACAACAACAACAAAAAACAGCCAGGCGTGGTGGCTCACACCTGTAATCCCAGCACTTTGGGAGGCCGAGGCAGGTGGATCACGAGGTCAGGAGATTGAGACCATTCTGGCTAACATGGTGAAACCCCATCTCTACTAAAAATACAAAAAATTAGCCAGGCGTGGTGGCAGGCGCCTGTAGTCCCAGCTACTTGGGAGGCTGAGGCAGGAGAATGGAGTGAACCCGGGAAGCGGAGCTTGCAGTGAGCCAAGATCGTGCCACTGCACGCCAGCCCGGGCGACAGAGCGAGACTCCGTCTCAAAAACAAAAACAAAAACAAACAAAAAGGCTGCGCGTGGTGGCTCACGCCTGTAGTCCCAGCACTTTGGGAGGCCGAGGAGGGCGGATTACGAGGTCAGGAGTTCAAGACCAGCCTGACCAACATGGTGAAACCCCGTCTGTACTAAAAATACAAAAATTAGCTGGGCGTGGTGGCGCACGCCTGTAATCCCAGCTACTTAGGGGGCTGAGGCAGGAAAATCTCTTGAACCTGGGAGGCACAGGTTGCAGTGAGCCAAGATTGCGTCACTGAACTCCAGCCTGGGTGACAGAGCCGAACTCTGCCTCAAAAAAAAAAAAAAAAAAAAAAAAAAAGAAAAAAAATTAGCTAGTGTGGTGGCGCATACCTGTACTCCTAGCTACTTGGGAGGCTGAGGCAGGAGGACCTCTTGAGCCCAGGAGTTCAACGTTGCAGTGAGCTATGATTGTACCACTGCACTCCAGCATGAGTGACAAAGTGAGACCCTTGTCTCTAAAAAGGAGTCATCAAAGACATAAAACATGACAAAATAAAATTTAAAAAAAAGAAATATATATGACAAACTTTTGTGTTGCCTGAAGGAAACTTTCTAGAACATAAAACTCCAGATTGAAAGCCCATTAGGTATAGGGTACTATGAATATGAAAAATACCCATACCAAGGAGCATCACTGTGAAATTTCAGAAAATCATGGGCAAAGAAGATTCTAAAATTTTCCCCTTCAAAATAATAACATACAAAATACAAAGGATCAGAAAAAAGAATAGTGCCAAGATTTCTAAAAAGCAATAATGGATGCTAGAACTTAATGGAATGATGCTTTCAAAATTATGAATAAAGTTTATTTGCAAATTAAACTTTTATACCCAGCCAAAGTATCAATCAAGTGTAAGAGTAGAATAAAGACATATTCAAATATGAAGTCTCAAAAAATTTACTTCCTACCTGCAGATACTGAAGGCTGTATTTCAGAATATAAAGGGTGAAACCAAACAAAAGGAAGCTATGGGATTTAGCCAAAAAGGAGTCCAGCCCAGGAGGGTGCTGAAGGGGCATCCTAGGATGACAGTTAAGAGGTCTCAATTGTTCAGTGGGCCTGGAGAATAACCAGTTTGGAGTGAAATAGAAATATGGAGTTTTGCAGCAAAACAAAACAAAACAAAACAACTAATCTATTTGAGCATATGGAAAATATTATTCATGGGAATGTGGAAGAGATGTTGGAACATATGGAAACAATTAACAATAGGAACAGAGTAAGCCAGGCAAATAAAGAAATGAAGCAACTGTTAATGCCATGAAAATAAAGAGCTGTATAAGAAAGGAGGGATGGTTATAGCTTCTTTCTCTCAGTGTTGAACAATATTTCCATCATCATAATGATGTAATAGTGACAACTGTTTTGACCAAAATGTGGTATCTTGTTGGCAGGGGAGGCAGCAGTTGGTGAGGAAATAGGAAGTATAATAGATAGGAGAACCATGTCCTCATATGCTATGTCAGGATGTCAGTAGATTATGTCAGAAATCGATAAGTCAAGAAATACCCGTGTAAACTGTAAGGCAGAAAGTAAGGAAAAAAGCTAGAGAAGCTGAAGTTTTCTCTTAGTAAATAAGTAATACTGTTTGATTTTTAAATTTTTTAAATTTTTATTTTTTGAGACAGAGTCTTACTCATTCTGTTGCCTAGGCTGGAGTGCAGCATCATGATCTCAGCTCACTGCAACCTCCGCCTCCTGGGTTCAAATGATTCTCCTGCCTCAGCCTCCTGAGTAGCTGGGATTACAGGGGTGTGCCTCCATGCCTAGCTACTTTTGTATTTTTTGTAGAGTTGGGGTTTCACCACATTGGCCAGGCTTGTCTTGAATTCCTGACCTCAAGTGATCTGCCCGCCTCAGCCTCCCAAAGTGCTGGGATTTACAGGCCATGAGCCACCACGCCCAGCTGATATTTTTTAAAAATATATGTATGATTATTAGGTTGGTAAAAATAAAAAAATTTAAATTGCCATTTTACAACAAAACAAGCATGTTCATTATAAAGATAAAAACAACTTAGAAGTGGCTTTTAGTTTCTTTTGGACATGGTCAAAGTTATTCAATACACACTCACCAAAATGTCAAACATTAAAAGGCCAATAACTCCAAATGTTGACAAGGATGTACAGCAACCAAAACTCTCACACACTGATAGTGGGGGTGCAAAATGATACATTATATAGGAAAAAGATCTGACAGTTTTTTTTTATGAAATTGAAGATGACTCAGCAATTGTCATGTATTTACTAAACAAAAATAAAAATACATGTTCTGCTCTGATGTGAACACTATACAAACATCACTATGTACCCCATAAATACGTAGAATTATTATGTGTCAATTAAAAATGTAAAAAAAATAAAAAAGCTTAAAAACCATTCCCCAAGAAACTTGTATGTGAATATTCATGGTGGATTTATTCACAATAGTGCCAAACAAGAAATAGTCCCAGGCTGGGGTGGCTCACACCTGTAATCCCAGCACTTTGGGAGGCCCAGGTGGACGGATCACTTGAGGTCAGGAGTTCAAGATCAGCCTCGCCAACAAGGTGAAACCCCGTCTCTACAAAAATACAAAAATTGGCCAGGCATGATGGCAGATGCCTGTAATCCCAGCTACTCAGGTGGCTGAGGTGGGAGAATTGCTTGAATTCAGGAGGCAGAGGTTGCAGTGAGCTGAGATCGCGTCATTGCACTCCAGCCTGGGCGACAGAGCAAGACTCCATCTTAAAAAAAAAGAAAAAAAAAAGAAAAAAAAAGAAATAGCCTCAGGTGTCCATCAATAGAGGAATGGATAAACAAAATGGTACATTTGTATAACTGAATACTACTCAGTGTTCTAAACTGAATTGTATTGCCTTGAAAGTCATATGTTAAAACCCTAACCCCCAATGCCACTATATTTGGAGATAGGGCCTTTAAAGAGGCAACTAAGGTTAAATGAGGTGTCATAAGGGTGGAGCCTCAATTCAATGTGACTGGTGTCTTTATAAGAAGAAGAGACACCAGGGATATGCACAGACAGAGAAAAGACCATGTGAAGACATAGTGAGAAGGCCATCTGCAAGTGAAGGGGAGAGGCCTCAGGAGAAACCACACCTGTAGACATCTTGATCGCAGACTTCTAGCTTTTAGAACTGTTGTTTCAGCCACCCTGTCTATGGCATTTTGTTATGGCAGCCCTAGCAGACTTAATGTGCTCAGCGATAAAAAGAAGTGAAATACTATACACTGACATGGAGGAATCTAAATAATACTGTGTCGAATGAAAGAAGCCTTAAACAAAACAGCATGTAACTGTATGATTCCATTTATATGCCATTTTAGAATAGGCAAAATTAATTTTTTAGAAAAAATATCGGAACAGTTGTTGCCTCTGAGGCAAGGAATTTAGCATCGTGATTGACCCAGGTGGCATGAAAGGATTCTGGGGGTGATGATCCTGTTTTTTCAATCCAGACTGGGCTTTGAATTACATAGTTGTATTTATTTGTCAAAATTCATTGAATGGTATATTTGACATTTGTACATTTATTGTATATTAACTTTACCTCAAAAGAAAATATACATACTTTAAGATAAATATTAAACATTAGTCAGTGATATGCATGCTGAAGTATCTGGAGTGAGTGTACTGATTTTGCAAACTACTCTGAAATGTGTCAAAAGTAAAGTGATTGATGAAGAATGCGCTTGAACAACACTATGAAATTTTGGACTTTGAAGACATGGAAGGTGAGGGCTTGAAGAAAGAAAAATCTTATTGGAAACTAAAGGAAAGGGGCTCTTTGTTATGCAGTGGTAGAAAGTTTAGCAATACAGTTTTCTGAAATTATATGGAAAATGTGTCTATTGGCAAGGGTAATCTAGCTAAGGAGATTTTCAAATAGTGTTGAAGGTGACACCTGATTTCTTCTTGGGTCTTACAGGAAGGCGTTGAATTGAGAGAAGGAAGATTAAAGATGAAATCAAGGGTGTGACTTAAAACCATTCGTGAAGACCTCAGAAGAAACAAAGATGGTGCCTCAGAATACGATTCAGTCACATAGGAGCGCTTTAAATAAATTAAGGGTGTGCTCACAGATTTTTTTAAACAAGCTGCCTCTAGGAAGCTTAAGGAATATTGCCTCATATTCTCTCAGCAAGGGCCCAAGGTAGAGAAGAGATTAGGGGTGTGACTTCTGCCTAATGGAGTGAACCCCCAGAAGCATCACAGGTGACACCCACAGTTTTTAAAGGAGGTATATATGCAGAAATACCACTAGTTTGGGCTGAGAGAGTCAGAGAACAATGAGAACAGAGGCCTTTGGACACGGAGAATTCTGTCAAGAAGCAGGCTGCATTAGCTGTTCAGTTGCAAACCCATTCTGCTTTTAATAGAAAAAAAAAAAAAAGAAGAAGGATAATTGGAGGACAAAACAAAGCCCCAAGGGCAGAGCCAAGAACCATGGAGAATTACTCTTAGGCCTCGAGACTTAATAAATAAACTCCTGATATTTGCTTGGATGGCCTTCAGAATGCTGTGTACCAATGACTCCATGTGCCTCCTATTTGCCTTCTTTTGAATAGAAATGTCAATAAAGGTTATACTACACTTGTCCCACCACTGTGTGTTGAGCATGTGGGAGAGGTAACTTGTCTCTTTAGTTTCACAGGTTAAGAAGAAGAAATGTACTCAAAGAGCTGTACTTAAGGAATTAAAACTGAGGAGCCCCAACTGCACCTGGACCTGATTTAGATGACAAGATTTTGGATATTGAGCTCACACTGCAATGGGATGAGACTTTGCAATCCTTGGAGGGGTGAGTATATTCTGCACATTGAAGGGATATAAGTCACTGGGGGGCCAGAGGAAGAGTGTGGTAGCCAGATTCCAGGATAGCTCCTCATGATCTCGATCTCCCGGTACTCATATTCCTTTGTAATCTCTTCCCCATGAATGTGGACTGGATTTACTAACTCGCTTAATATGGCAGAAGTGACGAGGTGTCAACTCTGAGAATAAACTATAAAAAGATTGTGGTTTCTGTCTTGGGTGCTTTTGCTGGTTCCCTCTTGGATCACTCGGCCTGGGGAAAGGCAACTGCAACGCTGTGAGGCAACCCTGTGGAGAGGCTCAAATAGTGAGAGATTGAGACGTGCCGGCATCCACACCAGTGAGCTGCAAGGTAAACTCTCCCCAGCTAAGCCTCCAACCCCAGCCCACAACTTGGCTGGTACCTGACAAGAGAAGCAGAGCCAGAGGCACTGAGTTAAGCCATGTCTGTGAGATAACAGAAACTGACATAATAAATGTTTTTGTTTTATTTTAAGCTGCTAACTTTTGGGCAATTTGTCAATGAAACAATAGATTAATACACAGAACAGAACTGAGAAACCATAATGAAAAGGAAAAAGGTGAATCAGAGAATGAATAGGACACAGCTCTGTTTTCTTTCAACAATAGATAAGCATAATCTTGGAGATGAAGAGTGGAAGAAATATGAAATGACCAATGGTCAAATAAAGTAGTAGCAAGAAAATACAACAGTAGAGAAAGGAGAGCAAGAAGGGAAAGGGAGAAACACTCCTGCTGAAGATTCCTTTATGATTAAAGGAGATAAACAAAGGCCAGCAGAAGAAAAAAGAAGTCCACTGTGGTCTCTGAGCAGGAGAAGATGGGTCATGGAACCACTGAAATGTTACTGACATCATGGAAGCATCAAGGAAAAGTCAAAAAATCCTTCATAAGGGTTTATATTCTGGGAACCATAATTACAAAGTCACTAGGGCTGGCTCTGAAATGACTGATGCTGAAGAGGGAAGAGGGTGATGCAATCTCTAGGAGTAGGGAATTCATCATTTATTTTGGAAGTGATTACTGGGGGAAAAAGAACTATTGGCAAATCTTTATACTCACATTATTAAGCAGGCCAAGGATGATTATTTAGATGTGAAATGGTTGCTAGAGATGAGGTAGTTGCATGGATTTAAAAACTTTAAAGTTATAAATCTGCTGCTTAAAATACTGAACAAACTAGAGGCATGTATTCAGCGACAGAAATGTGAGGCCCAGCTATGGCAAAGGAGGGAACATCATCTATCTTGACAGATGCTCTTGCCTGGTGATATTAAAGCCTAAATGTATATTACAGCTGACAGCATCATGCCAAGTAGTTCCTGTACAAGCATAAAGAAAAACTGAAGGAATAGTACAGTCTTAAGCAAAGTTGAAACAAATCTAAAATTTAAATATAGCATAACATTTTTAAAAAATTGATCCAGAAAAAATGCAGTTATATTTAGAAAACATACATCTGGTCATATCTGCCAAATAAGAGCCCCAAACTGTGTTAGGTACTATAGTGGACACAAAAGAAACCCTGGCCCCAAGGGACTTACGAACCAGCTGGAGACTCAAGTTCTATGCGTGTAAACAATTAGAGAAGGACTCCTGAAAGGACAGACAGTATGCCTGACAAGTAAGTCATCCTTGGGGTGGTGGGATGAGTTCCAGAGGGAGAAGAGCAGTGGGAGAGAGAGGATGAAGGAGGCCACAGGGGAGTTGGAGGGACTGTGTGGGCAGGCAGGGATGGAGAGGACAGACCCCAGCCCTGAATGTCAAGGTGGAGGAGCCTTTCAAGGAGGGAATTGTGTTGGGAAATCAGGGATGTGGTTGGAGGAGGGATAGGGCATCACAAGGCCCCAAGAGACCTCTGCAGGCAGCTGTGTCAGGGAGGGGACAGCTCACAAGCTGGGACAAAGGGCTGAGATGGGAAGAGTCATGAGAAAACTGGGATACCGGTATGGTCATTCATTCCTTCATTTCACAAATAATGAGTGCCAATTAAGGGCAAGGTTCCATGTCAGGCGCTGTGGAGACGCACAGATAAAATCTGTCCTCGAGGTGAGTCTCCTGGGGATAAGCAGGGACCAAGATGGGCAACACTCATATGAGGCAGAGGAGCACATGCAGATTCTCATGTCAATTCAGAAAAAAATGATATTTCTCTGGCCAGGGAAATTAGGATAGGGTTGGAGAAAGGGGTTAGGACTTGGACTCTTCAAAGCAATTTGGTGGTGAAAGAAATTAAAGCAAGAGAAAAGTGATTAAAAGGGGGCAGTAACAGCTTAAGGTTTTGTAATTATTTTTTTGCTTGGCAGAAAATAGCAATGGCATGTGACCAACAAAACACATGAGAACACGGTTAATCCAATTTTCCTGAGCTGAAAGAGAGAGGACAGGTAAAAAGGAAAGTGAAAGCAACAGTATCCTTGGAGTCTGGCTCACAGCCAAGCAGATGGGCCATGACCCCCAGAACCCATCTCTCTGAGCCTCTGGTTCTTTGTAAAGTGGGTACCACCTACCTCCTAGGGATGCCGTGAGGATTATGTTACAGTGTGCCTTATACAGTAACAGTATTAACTGCTCAATAAAAGGTCTTTATTGTTTTACCAATGAGTCCAGAAAGAGCAAGGAACAAACAAGAAGAAAATCAAGGGGAAAGCAAGAAAAAAACGAAAGCCAATGGAGTATGAAGAAGACTACGTGCAAGTAAGTCCTGTAGGTAGACATTGATTAGAGGCAAAAGTCAGAGAGGGCATGACTATGGTATGATTAGTGGGATAAGCTAGGGAAAAATTAAACCCCACCTTGAGGAAATAAATTGAAGAGCTACGGATGTGTTACCCTGTAGGTTTCCAGAAGAATGATTGAAACTAAAACTAGTATAGGGCCTTTGAGCAAAATATTTAATGGTTGGAGAAAAAAAACCAAGATGATTATATATTAAACATGTATACCTTTCTGCATGTCCCTTCCCAGGAAGAAAAAATAATGGACAAAATAAAAAAGATTATAATATAATTATTAACTATATAATAATTAACACTTCAGTGATTACTCTCTGATAACCACTGTTTGAAGTGCTTATCAAGCACAGTCTTATTTAATCATCATTACAACTCTGTGAGGAAGAAATAATTGTTATCATTTACCAAGAAGGTGACTGAGTCACAGGGAAATTTAACTTGTCCACTTCGGTGGGCAAGTTAAGCAACACTACACTAAATTGCTTCTCACAGTTATCCTGAGCTGGGTCACAAACTTTGGGTAGAATAACACTCTGGTGTAATGAGTTTAAAGCACCTACAATAAGAATAAGACCCCAAATTGTTGCAATGAAAAATATAGTAACTTTGGATTGGTAATAGACAGTCCTTTAAAAGATCACACATAAGCCAGGCACTGCGGCTCATGCCTGTAATCCCAGCACTTTGGGAGGCCAAGGGAAAGAGGATCACTTGAGCCCAGAAGTTCGAGACCAGCCTGGCTAACATAGTGAGATCTCATCTCTACAAAAAGATAAAGAAATTAGCCGGTGTGGTGGTGCACATCGATAGTCCCAGCTGCTCAGGAGACTGAGGTGGGAGGATCACTTGAATTTGGGAGGTTGAGCCTGCAGTAAGCCATGATTGTGCCACTGTCCTCTAGCCTGGGCAACAGAGCAAGACCCTATCTCAAAAACAAACAAACAAAACCCCAAATCACATAGATTTATTAGGTTGGTGCAAAAGTAATTTTTTAAAATTAAAAGGAATGGCAAAAACCACAATTACTTTTGCATCAAACTAAATACCAATCAGGTTTGATGGAAACCCAATGAGAAAAAGCTACAAATGGATGTGAGTGGCATTTCTAAAGTCAGTAGGAAGATTAAAAAGGCAATAAAAGGTCACAAGTTTAGGAAAAAAGATTATCCAAATGGCCAATTCTGGTAATGGCAAAGACCACGAATCACCTGTTAAGAATGCATATGACAGACCATAATTCTGGGCAGAAATAAGGTCCCAGGAGCCTGCTGGCAGCATGGCCTGGTGCTGTAATCATGCACTCTAGTGTGTGATAACCTTCTCTATCTTTATACTATTTATCTCCTTTTAGGAGTTGTACCCAAAAGCATAAGGCTGGATTTTTGGCAAAAATGTGATGTAAGAATCTAAGATATTATTGTGAAATGCATTTATATAGTTAAAAAACATTAGGAACCAGGAGCAGTGGCTCACACCTGTAATCCCAGCACTTTGGGAGGCCAAGGTGGGTAGATTGCTTGAGCTCAGGAGTTTGAGACCAGCCTGGGCAACACAGAGAAACCTCATCTCTACAAAACATAAAAAAATTAGCTGGGTGTGGTGGTGCATGCCTGTGGTATCCCAGCTACTTGGGAGGCTGAGGTAAGAGGATTGCTTGAGCCCAGAAGGTCAAGGTTGCAGTGAGCCATGATTGTGCCACTGTACTACAGCCTGGGTGATAAAGCAAGATCCTGTCTCAAAAAAAAAAAAAAAAAAAAAAAGAAAAAGAATTAGGGCAAAAAACAGAACTTGCTGGTTTACAATGAAGGAAGCATGGCCCATGGCCTTTTCAAAGGGAAAGAAAGTAAAAGGCTCTCTTAAATCCCACCAACAACCGATATTAGGACATGGGGAGTTCAATAGAGAGGAGGAAAAGGCTGATTTCAGAATTTAACAGTGGTGGCTCTCCCACAGTGACCCCTCACCTGTTTGGTTTTCTCTGAAGGTACAGGAACTGGAACTGTCTCCTGCTGCATCACTTCTGTGTCTCCTTCTCCTTCACCATCTGATGCTTCTAGAAAATATAAAGTTTGAAAATCAGAAAAGTCTCTCTCTCTCATTGCTAGTGCAATCTTGGTACCATCTTTCTAGAAGGTTCTATCTCTTCACTTTTTAATTCTACCTCAAAGAAGCTGCACTTAAGGAAATGGTCCAAAGTAAAACAGATATTTAAGCACTAAGATGGCATTCTCATTTATAAAACTGAAAAACTAAAGATAACTTAGATGTGTCACCTTAGGAGGGAATGTTTTGTCACAGAACACTCATACAAGAGGACGTTTTACAGCCTTTAAAAAGTGGTATTTATTAAGAGTTTACAATGACAAAAGGCTGTCTTATGATGATAATAGTAAGTGGTCAGGGCTAGAATTATTGAGTGGTTACTACATGTTTAACACTATGCTTCACAGACATTATTTAATTTAATTCTTACAATATAACTACTGATTTTACAGATATGAAATCCCTCTATTCTTAGATAAAAAGACTGCTGTTCAGAGAGGTAAAGCCATTTGCCCAAGGTCACACACCTGGGAACTAAAGTCTATTTGAGTCTGAAGTTATCCCCAGCAAGTGATGCCTGCACCCAGAACCAGCCAGGCCTTGACATCAGATGCTGGCCCCAGGAGGAAATGTTGAGAGATTGTGACAAAGGGATTACAGGTCATGAGAAATTCTTATTTTGAATTTTTTAACCTTTCCACAATAGAAAAAATAAATTCTTACCCTAAGAATCAGGAAAAATAAAAGTTTTAACAGTTTTCCTATTTATAAAGCTCTTCTGAAGAAACACGGTGACCAGAAGGTTCTTATTTCCCATAATGTCGCGCTGCCTTTCAGATTTTAGTGCTTGCTTCCTTTAAACAAATTTTTGATCTATGAAAGACTTTACTCATTCCCTTGAGTTTCTCTGTATATCTCAAAGTGAGCCTCAAATGTGAATATGTGAACATGTTCTGTCAGAGTTCATATTTAGGTCCAACTTAACCATTTTGTTAAGCCTGTGCTTTTAAATGTTTGCATACTGTGATGGTCAATCTTATGTGTCAACTTGACTGGGCCATGGGGTGCCCCGATATTTGGTCATACATTCTGGGTGTTGCTGTGAGGGTATTTTTAGAGAGATTAACATTTAAATGGATAGACTGAATAGAACAGATTAATTTCCATAATGTGAGTGGGCCTCATCCAATTGGTTGAAATAAAAGCACTGACCTATCCTTGAGTAAGGGAGAATTATTCCTGCCTTTCAACTTGAACTGAAACACCAGCTCTTCCTGGGTCGCAAGCCTATCATGTTTAGACTAAAACTGCATCATCTTCTCTAGTTCTAAGGCCTTTAGACTAGGACTAGAACTAAACTATCAGCTCTCCTGGATCTCCAGTTTGTCAACTTGCCATGAAGATCTTAGGGCTGGGCTGGCTAGCCTCCATAATCATGTGAGCCAATTCCTTAGAGTAAATCTCGTTCCTTATATAATCCTGTTGGTTCTGTTTCTCTGGAGAACCCTGACTAATATGTATACTTTTTTTTTTTTGAGACGGAATCTCTCTCTGTCGCCCAGGCTGGAGTGCAATGGTGTGATCTCAGCTCACTGCAACCTCCGCCTCCCGGATTCAAGCGATTCTCCTGCCTCAGCCTCCCGAGTAGCTGGGATCACAGGCACCCACCACCATGCCTGGCGCCTGGCTAATTTTTGTGTTTTTAGTAGAGGCAGGGATTCGCCATGTTAGCCAGGCTGGTTTTGAACTCCTGACCTCAGGTGATCCGCCTGCCTCGGCCTCTCAAAGTGCTGGGATTACAGGCATGAGCCACCATACCCAGCCTAATATGTATACTCTTAAGTGTGTAGCATGAGAAAAAAAGCCTACCCAAAAGGGTAGTGAAAAATAGCAGGCAGATTAACAGGGCCTTCAAAAATGAACAATTAAATTGTCATTAAAAGTATTTATAGGATCTCTGCTTCTAGGAAGATAGCTGTAGTAGTTACACTGTTCCCTACCCCTCTGGCGAAGTACAATGAAAAATCCTAGACATTACATATTTAAAAAAAATAGAAAGACTCTGAAAGGTGGAGATAAGATAGCAGACCAGCTAGAGATTTTAGGGACCAAGAATAATTCAATAGCAAACTCCCTGGGTTATCTTTTTGCCTCATTATCCCAGACTAGGAGCTGAAGAAGGCAGCTACCTGGAAATGCCAATGGAAGCCAACCAAAAAAGCCCCAACAAAAGTCTGCTCTCTTTACCAAAATGACCACGAAAGAGGAAGCCTAGCAAGACTAAAACCTTTCAGACAATAACCACTTGACTGTAGCCAAACAGCACAGAAAAAACTATGACCTCATCCTCACCACCAAAGACAGAATGGGGAGCCTAGACTTCCACCCTTGACAGGGTGTAATGAGGCACCCCATGATGGACCCCTGAAGGCTCCATCTCCTACCAGGGTGATGTTGGAGACAAACTGGGAGCTGGGATTTTTATCCCCAGAGGGTGGTAATGAGCCCTCATCCATCCCCAACTTCACCACCACCACCACCACTGCAGTATCAATGGTGACCACATGAGGAGCCTGGACTTCCATCCCCTCCTGGCTGTAATGAAGTATATCTTTCCTATCCCACTGGGATGGTGTCAGAGGAAGCCTAGTGGACAGTTATGACTTTCTATATCACCCAGCAGTAATGAGGCCAAATCCACACTAATAGTTTCAGCAACCATTAAAAAGGCTACATAGAGAGATGTACTCAAAAACACTGAGATAAATCAAAGTGGGCTTCTACAATATGTTCAAGTAACCCATAGGAAGATAGGGGACCAACCCCTACTCCTCCCCCGCACAGAGATGGAAAAATTAGTGATCAAACAAAAGAAAAAAACGTATACACAGATTTAAACCCCCAACATATCAATGAATATATTAAATGTAAATAGCCCAAACATACCAATTTAAAGACAGAGATTGACAGAATGAATTTTAAAATATGACCGAACTATATGCTGTTATAAGAAACTTACTTCAAATATAATGATATAGGCAAACTGAAAGCAAAGGGATGAAAAAAAGACATAATATGAAAATATTGGTCAGTGGAAAGCAAGAGTGGCAATATTAATTTCAGGGAAAGTGGACTTCAGAGCAAAGAAAATTACCAGAGAATGAGAGAGACATTATATAATGATAAAGGGTAATCTGTCAAGAAGACATAGCAATCCTAAATGTGTATGCACCAAACAGCAGGCTCTCCATGCTTTGTAGAAGTACAAAGCATGCAAAGTAAAAACTAGTAGAAATAAAATGAGAAATAGATAAATCCATAATTGACTTGTAAACTTTAACAGTCCTCTCTTAAAAATTGAGAGAATGACTAGATAGAAAATCAGCAAAGATATAGAACTGAGTGGCACCATCAAGCAATAGGATATAATCAACATTTGTAGAAGAATCCAATCAACAACGGCAGAATACACACTCTTTCCAAGTGTCACAGAGGGTCTACCAAGACAGACTATATTCTAGGCCATAAAACATTAACAAATTTAAAAAGAATTGAAATTGATAAACAGCATGTAAAAAAACTTTCAGCAACATTATGGCTAATAATGAAAGGCCAAAGCTTTGCTCCTGACTGGGAACAAGGCAAGGATGTCCGCTCTTACCAGTCTTATTTGACACAGTGCTAGAACTTTTAACCAGTGCAATATGACAAGAAAAGGAAATAAAAGGCATATACATTAGAAAGGAAGATAGCAAACTGCCTCCATTTGCAGATAACATGATTGTGTACATAAAAAATCCCAAGAAATCTAAAGGCTACCCCAAGTTCTGTGAAAATTCTTATATTGGCTTCTATCAATGGGGGCTCCTTTCTCTTAATATTCTCCAACCCATCTTCATCTGGGATCCTTAAGGGAAACTATGTTTCTCCTTCTTCCTCTTGCCTCTGTACTTCTTTCTACACTGTTGGTAGCCTGTACCTTGTAAATTGGCACATAATTTTACCTTGTCTTACAATGTGTACTGGTGTTGCATAAATGTTAGGTTTTCTCTCCATCTGAACTGTAAACTCTCTGAGGGTACATATGAGTGCCCAAAGTACTTGACCCAGTGTTGACTAAAAGTAAAAAGGACTCCCCATACCTATTGCTTTATTTACGTTTTTATTATAAAGTAACATATATTCTCTATGTAAAGCATTTAATCCCTTATACAAATTTCCTCATATCCTCATATCATAAAAATCCTTTGAGGTAAAAAGAATGACCTACAAATAAATGTCAGGATCAGCCCCATAAATGTTTAAAAATCAATGAATGATCTTAAAAAATAGAAACTCTGTATTCCTCCATTCTTCAGAATCTGCTAGCTGAAGAACACAGTCTATATTTAAGCAATCTAGTTGAAAATAAATACAGTAGTCCCTTGGTATCTGTGGGGGATTGGTTCCAGGACCTGTTTCACCTACCAAAATCCACAGATGCTCAAGTTCCTGATATAAAATGATGTAATATTTGCATACAACCTATGTACATTCTCCTGTATACTTTAAATTATCTCTAGATTACTTATAATACCTGATACAATATAAATACTATGTATAGAGTTCTTACACTGTATTGTTTATGGAATAATGACAAGAGAAAAAAGTCTGTACATAGTAAAGACACATTTTTTTTCAAATATTTTTGATCTGTGGTTGGTGAAATCTACATATGTGGAGCCCATGGATATGGAGGGCTGACTGTAACATATTTTTAAAGATGTGTGGCACTTATGCAACAAAAACTATGAGAAAGATTTAAAATACCTTGCTTATAAAATGCTCTAAATCTGTTACTTCTTGTTCCAAAAAGTTATTTTATGTGACACCTTTTAACATATAAAATGAGATCATCTTATATCACTGTAAATTGGATAATTTAGTTGTTTCCTTAGCCTGTGATGTTTTTTGATTCCAAAAGAAGAAACTGCTTTTCTGAAGTAAGGATGCTAGTTCTGTGATTTCCATTAAGAGAATATTGAAAGAAAAGTATGGGGACCCAATCTAGCCAGGTTGGCTCCAGTACTCAGGTTCCTCCAGGACTGCTGGGATTCGAGGAGGCTAAGCTGGGCCTGTGCCACTCAGTCCCAGTGGTTGATTCAGCCAGTTAAGTGGAGTCACTAAGACTGCACTGCCTCTTCCCCAACTCCTTGAAGAGTCTACTTAAAAAAAAAGACACTGCCAGATGGGATTGGTTAAGTTATTCCAAAAGAGGAGTCATCAAGTACACTGTCCTTTTTCAACCCCTGGCAACAACAGCAAATGAAAATATAAGGTTGCACATCTTCTCTTTACCTCAATCCCTACCTTCATCTTCTTTTTGATAAGTATCTGAAGTTCAGTTTCCCATCATTTTCCTTAGGTTTTCAGGTATTTGCTTGCACAAACTCTTGAAGACACTGGGAGGGGCCCTGGCAATGGGATCATACAGTCAATTGTTCTTTAAAATGTGCAAAAGAGTACGTTAAGACCGCCGTCTTCACCACAATATGTTAAGACCATTGTCTGTTTCCACTCAGAATTCTCCTGCCACGTATCTCCCAGGGAGTAGTGCTGGATGGCTGGGAGCATTTTTGGGGATCCATTTAGAGGAAGCTAGTTGCACATACATTTAGTTTGAATTTAATGGGATTTTTATGTGGTTTGCAATCACTTTTGTCTATGATCAAATGATTGCTAGCTGTTCTAGTGCTGGCATCCTGCACTAGACATCCTGTGCTAACTCACCAGACATTCTGACACAAAGTGGGCAAGGCTAGAGGGTGTAGATCATGACACAGATGTGCCTAGAGCATCAGTCCCTAGAACCATGTGGGAAGTGGAGGAGGAACCAGGTTTGGAATGTAGGAAACCTCAAACTAGTCAGTGGAAGATTCTTCCAATCATAAAAAATATAAAACTGTAAGTAGAGAATTAGGTTCTCATTTTTGCCTATTTGAAATGGAACGTCTCTCCTGTAGGATACATATAGTAGATGGTGCACTGTATATGACTGAAAAGAAACTATGTTTTTTCTTTATTTGATGAGGATGAGTAAAATACCAATTTTCAGAATTGCTGTGGTTGGGGCAGTACTGTTATTTTTTTCTTATTTAAAATAACTTCTTTCATATCCAATTAAAAAAATTTTTTTTCTTTTATATTTAATTTTATATTAGGAATTTTGCATTCTTTTTCTAAGAGAGGGCCCATGAAATTGCATAAGCTCAGGCCTCAGAAAAACCTACATCTGCCCTAGCGAACAACCTTGCTCCTCTGTCTTTATTAGTTCTCACAGTTAAGAACAACAGGCTAGGGGTTGTAGCTCACGCCTATAATCCCAGTGCTTAGGGAGGCTGAGGCAAGAGAATCCCTTGAAGCCACAAGTTCAAGACCAGCTTGGGCAACAAAGTGAGACCCCATTTCTAAAAAAGAAAGAAAAAGAACAGAAAACATAACATGGATGAATTTCAACAGCATGATGCCAAGCAAAAGAAGCCAGGCCTAAGAAGCTATATAATGCATGATTTTATTTATTTTAACATTCTAGAAAGGGCAAAACTATAGAGGCAGAAAAAGGATCAGTAGTGACCAGAGACTGGAAGTGGGGGACTTCTGGGGGGTGATTTAAAAATAAAAGCATCAAAGAGACCTCTTACCAAAATAATAGAGGAATAGAAGGAAATTTCATTAAGCTGTAAGCAGCTTCTTTTGAAGCAAGGATAGTGAGGAAGATTATGGATTGTGGGATTAAAATAATCTGGGGTTCAAATCTCTGCTTCAGCAATTATTAGTTGTGTGATGTTGGGCAAGTGTTACAAATTAATGGAAGTTAGCTTCAATCATTATTTCTTAAAGTGAGGTTTATTGAGGAATAATTTACATATACTAAAAATAACTTTTACTGAAGAGTTCTATGGATTTTGATTAATGCATACAGTTGTGTAACTGCACCCAGTGGGATCAGCATACTTTTAAGGTAAAGGACATAGGGTAAGTAGGTGTTGGGTTTGCAGAGTAATATGAACATTATTGATAACTACTCAACTCTGCTGTTCTAATTTATACACTGCCCTAGGCAGTGTATAAACAAATGGAAATGGCAGTGTTCTGATGAACTTTATTTATAGAAACTTGTCCTGGCTGGATTTTTTTTTTTTTTTTGAGATGGAGTTTTGCTCTCGTCGCCCAGGCTGGAGTGCAATGGCGCGATCTCAGCTAACTGCAACCTCCGCCTCCTGGGTTCAAGCGATTCTCCTGCCTCAGCCTCCTGGGTAGCTGGGATTACAGGTGCCCACCACCATGCCCAGCTAATTTTTGTGTGTGTGTGTATATATATATATATATACACACACACATATATACACACACATATATATACACATATATATACATACACACACACACACACACACACACACACACACACACATTTTTTTTTTAGTAGATACAGGGTTTCACCATGTTGACCAGGCTGGTCTCAAACTCCTGACCTCAGGTTATCCACTCATCTCAGCCTCCCAAGGTGCTGGGATTATAGGTGTGAGCCACCATGCCTGGCCTCCTGGCTGGATTTTTAATCAATTAAAAAAATGTTTCAAGGGTTTTTTTTTTAAAGAGTTTAAACTTTTCATTTTATTTTGTTTTACTTTACGTGCCAGGATCCATGTGCAGAACGTGCAGGTTTGTTACATAGGTATACATGTGCCATGGTGGTTTGCTGCACCTATTGACCCATCCTCTAAGTTCCCTCCCTTCACCCCTCACCCAACAACAGGCCCTGGTGTGTGATGGTCCCCTCCCTGTGTCCACATGTTCTCATTGTTCAACTCCCACTTATGGGTGAGAACATGTGATGTTTAGTTTTCTGTTCCTGGGTTAGTTTGCTGAGGATGATGGCTTCCAGCTTCATCCATGTCCCTGCAATGGACATGATCTCATTCATTTTGTGGTTGCGTAGTATTCCATGGTATATATGTACCACATTTTCTTCATCCAGTCTATCATCAATGGGCATTTGGGTTGGATCCATGACTTTGCTATTGTAAATAGTGCTGCAATAAACATACGCGTGCATGTGTCTTCAGAGTAGAATGATTTATATTCCTTTGGGTAGATATCCAGTGATGGGATTGCTGGGTCAAATGGTATTTCTGGTTCTAGATCCTTGAGGAATTGCCATACTGTCTCCAAGAATGGCTGAACTATCAATTTACACTCCCACCAACAGTGTAAAAGTGTTTTTATTTCTCCACAGCCTTGCCAGCATCTATTGTTTCTTGACTTTTTAATAATTGCCATTCTGACTTGCATGAGATGGTATCTCATTGTGGTTTTGATTTGCATTTCTCTAATGATCAGTGATGTTGAGCTTTTTTTCATATGTCTGTTGGTCACATAAATGTCTTCTTTTGAGAAGGGTCTGTTCATATCCTTTGCCTACTTTTTGATGGGGTTGTTTTTTTCTTGTAAATTTGTTTAAGTTCCTTGTAAATTCTGGATATTAGACCTTTGTCAGATAGGTAGATTGCAAAATTTTTCTCCCAATCTATAGGTTGCCTGTTCACTCTGATGATAGTTTCTTTTGCTGTGCAGAAGCTCTTTAGTTTAATTAGATCTAATTTGTCAATTTTGGCTTTTGTTGCAGTTGCTTTTGGTGATTTAGTCATGAAGTCTTTGCCCATGCCTATGTCCTGAATGGTACTGCCTAAGTTTTCTTCTAGGGTGTTTATGGTTTTGGGTTTTACTTTTAAGACATTAATCTATCTTGAGTTAATTTTTGTATAAGTTGTAAGGAAGGGGTCCAGTTTCAGTTTGCTGCCTATGGCTAGCCAGTTTTCCCAGCACCATTTATTGAATAGGAGATCATTTCCCCATTGCTTGTTTTTGTCAGGTTTGTCGAAGATCAGATGGTTGTAGATGTGTGGTGTTGTTTCTGAGGTCACTGTTCTGTTCCATTGGACTATATGTCTGTTTTTGTACCAGTACCATGCTGTTTTGGTTACTGTAGCCTGTTTCTGAGTATATAGTTTCTAATTGTTAGGTACAGATGTCTACGTATGGTCATAAACTTGTGTTTTAAAAAATGTTACATGCTGGCTGGTCGTGGTAGCTCAGCCTGTAATCCCAGCACTTTGGAAGGCCGAGACAGGCAGACCATGAGGTCAGGAGATCGAAACCATCCTGGCTAACATGGTGAAACCCCGTCTCTACTAAAAATACAAAAACAGAATTAGCCGGGCATGGTGGCGGGCGCCTATAGTCCCAGCTACTTGGGAGACTGAGGCAGGAGAATGGCGTGAACCCAGGAGGCAGAGCTTGCAGTGAGCCGAGATCACGCCACTGCACTCCAGCCTGGGCGACAAAGCGAGACTCTGTCTCAAAAAAAAAAAAAAAAGTTACATGCTTATGAATTTTAATCTCTTTTATCTATCAATTATTGGGGTGTATGTATATTAACATCTTCCCCTCTCATTTTGAGCTTGTCAATGTTTTACAGTAATTCTACCAATTTTTATTTACATATTTCATAGCTGTCTTAGGTGCATGCAAGTTTAGAATTGTTATGACTTCCTGTAGAATTGTTCCTTTTATCATCATGTTGTGGCTCTATTTTTAAAAATCCATTTTATTTAGTTCAGTATCATTTTGTGGGGGAAGTTCTATATTTCTAGAGGTCATCAGCTGTTCTCTGGGAAGGCTACACTATACACACTGAAAAGTAATGCTGGATACACAGCTGTACTTCAACAGTCTACAGTGTTTTGCTAAAATTACTCAATCCCTAGGAGCCAGAATGTTTTATTTGGCCAGGGCTGGGAACTACTCTTCAAGAACCATGTTCCCAGCCCATTAAGAGACTCCCACCAGCATCACTGAGAAAGAACACAATTCCCATATCCAAAGAACAGGACCCTGAGACTGAACTCTGTGAAGGCCGTAAGGCCATGCCAGCAACACAGATCATAGGGAAGGGAAGGGGAGGAAAAGGCAGTGAGCAGCCTAGCCAAGGAGGAAGAGGCTCTCAATTCTGAATCCACCTATACTCACAGAGGTTGTGTAGTGAAGGAAGGTCAATCTTTTATTGCTTCTGCACATTTTTTCAAAATAATTACTACAGATAAGCTATGACTAGAAAAGAAGGGTTTATAGTCAATTAGGCCACATGATCAAATAATCATATGGCCTGTAAGTGTATCTCTCATTTACTCTAATTATTCAGAATGCCTGTTCTCACTTTATCCTTGTCTCCTTTCCTTTTCCATCAAAATCTCACCCCTACCCTCTAAACCTCAGCTCAGGTTTTCCCTCCTCTGTGAAGATCTTCTGAAGGCAGAAACAAGAAACAAGACTGTCTTAGGGGATAATGTAGCAAGCAGTTACAACTTTCACTAGGAAAGGAAAATGGGGCAGGGCCTGTATGAAAATGAGGAATTCATTGAAGGAGAGTCCAGGAGGAGCAAGACAGGCTTGACATGCCCACTGCAGGGCATCTGGTTGCTTTGAGGGGGCTGCTTGGAGGAGCTCAGGCAAGTTCGGCCCTCAGCCTCCTGGCTTCTTCAAGTCCTGCAGTCCTGGGGTCCAGGTCCCAGGACACAAGACCACTCAAAGCTGTGGGCGTGTGGTGCTTCATCGGGCTTTCTATTGGCGCCAGTCCAGTTTTATTTGTTTTTTTTTCTAGTTATCATCTCTTCCTTTTTGCTTTTTTGCTGTCTAACATACGGCAAAAAACTGGGCATGATCTATCTTCTCCATCTCTCAAGCTCCTTAAGATCTCTTCTTCTCTCCAAAAGATTTAACAAAACAAATGCTTCTGGATATAAGTCCTTGTGATTTGATTCTCTCTATCAGAAGTTTTCTTGTCATTCTGAACTGGAAAGGAGAGTGGGTGATCCTTTTTCTCCTTTCATTTTGCCATTTTTAGTGGCAACAGCTATAGCCTGATGTACATTCCAATAATGCTCCTATTTTCCTAGTTGAGACAACAGATCTAGAGTTTGCTTACAAAATTTTTAAAGTTTTCTGTTCCCACAGAAAACTTTAAAGCTAGAACTTTTGGACTAGGATGGTAAAACACTGAGCTGGAGTCATTTCATGGGTCCTGATAATTTGACAGAAGGCAAAGTACTAAGAACAAAAAGATCATTTGAAAAACACAACTAAAGAAAAATGCCTCAACTTTTTATGGGATGCTTAAATGCTACAAAATTTCTGTCACTAGCTGCAAGTCAGCAAACTTAATGGTTATTTTCTAAAAATTTGACTGCTCCAGTTTAGTAATGTTGTATTCACTTATTTTTAAATATGCACACAGGAAGTGAGGTGCAGTGGTACATGCATCTGTAGTCCCAGCAACTTGGGAGGCTGAGGCAGGAGGATCACTTGAGCTGAGGAGTTCGAAGATACAATGAGCTATGATGATGCCACTGCACTCCAGGCCTGGGTGACAGAGCAAGACCCTGTCTCTTAAACACACACACACACACACACACACACACACACACACACACACACACACACACATGCACACACACACAAAGGCTCCTCAGGAATCATTAGTCCACATCAGGGGTTTAGGTGACATGACCTCAACTTCAGGCAATGTTAAAGCTCCCAATCCTTCTTCCTTTCTAGTTTGTTTTAAATGTTTGAACATTTATATATTTTGGGGCAGTTTTGAAGCTATGAGCAATTTCAATTCAATCTTTTCTACCCAACTTTTACAGTTAAATGAACAGAGCCATGGATGTTGGTGGTGGCATTTTGGGCCTGAATACTTGTACATTTGGAAGCATTGCTATATAAATTCTTCATTCTTGGAATAGAAACCAATTCTAATGATAACAGCTCTTACATAATCCTTACTTTGTACAAGGCACTGTTCTAAATGCTCTTTGTAAATAACTCATTTAATTCCCATATCAATCTTATGAGACAGGTACTGTTGTTATAATCTGTTTTACAGAGGTAGAAATGGAGGCACCTGCTCAACATTAATAAGAAAGAGAGCCAGGATTTAGACCTACACAATATTGATTCAAAGTCTGCTCTTAACTACTATGCAATATTGCCTCTCAAATTTGGAAGGCAAAACAAGCAGCTTGCTGGTGGCACTGGTCTTTAAGCAAGTTATTAGAATCCATTGGGCTTTATGGGTAGAGCCCAATTTCATATAATAATGTATGTTATATTTAACTAACATTCATCTACATGTGGCCGGCAGCCTCCCTCCTCCAAAAAAACCTAAACCTAATTGAGTTCAAATATCTGTCAGTAACTCTCTACCACTCCTTCCACCCCATCCTATCTTTTAGCTAGGAAGAAAATATATCCTGGTTTGCCTTGGCTAGTCCTGATTTATACTTGTTTTCCCTATATCCCATCTGGTTTATTAATATTATCTGTCTTATTGCAGAGATTCTTTAATATATTAATATGGATTACTACTGTCCAAGTAAGGAAATGGAGATGAGGCCATCCTCGAACTTATTTGATCCCCAAACCCCTCACTGCGGAACACCTGTTAACAGCTCCCAGAACAGCGACAGAAGAAAGCCTAAATTTTAGCTTTAATTTTTGTGATCCTGAGCAAACCACTTTATGCCACAGTTTTCTTAATTGTGGATTGATGAAGTCATACTGCTGTGATTTATGATTCTCTACTGGTTTGGGCCAACTTCTGTTAAGAATGCTATATACCCTGGATGTGTCAAAATTTCCAGAGTGAGGTGGAATGCTGAAGTACAGAGGAATAGGGTAACATTAAAAAAAAATAGGTTAATGTGGCCCACATGTGGGTATGTGAGTTACATAATTTCCCCGAACAGAAATTTCATAAGAAAAAAGCCTATGAGGCTACATCTAGACCTACTATCCACTCACCCTTGTTATAGAGTGTAACCCCAAGGAAGAGAAGTGTTACAATGGAAAAAACACAGTACTTCTGTTAAGAGTACCCTTTGGCATTCACAGAGACTTCAACTACCTATTATACTATTAATACATAATGTATCCCGTTAATGTAAATTATTCAAGGTAGGTATAATGCTCACCTACCCTGCTTCAGAATGCTTAATTTTCTCACCCAGCTTCTCAATGGAAAAAGCCTTTTCTTACAGAGTTTTTGGGTATAGCTTAGGACAAGGTCCTTCATTGCTTCATCCTTAAAGTTTCCTATTGACAAACTGGGCTTAAGGAATTAGCCTATCAACTGACTACCAACTATACGAAAAGTATTCACATAATGATTTGTGTTTGGATTGATCTTCGAGAACCACAACCCTAAAGTCTTACGTGATGGGGGTGAGATAACGCTGAGATGTAAGTCTAATGGAGTAAATAAACAAGACAGAGTAAAATAAGATTTGGTTTATCAATACTATACTACAAATTTGATAGCATCATAATTTTTAAAAACCTTTTTTTACCCTTTTCCTTCATATAAAAATAGTACATATTCATTGTGGAGATTTTTAGAAAATGCAGAAAAGTAAAAAAAAACCAAAAAAATTTGGTTCCACTATAAAAAGACAGTCCTACTGTAAAAGATATCCAGCATTCTAATTTTGGTATTTACTTTTGTTCTGTCTCTGTGTGTATATGAATAAGACTATGTATATATCCACATAGCTTTACATGTCTGGAATTATGTATCATATACAAATGTTTTATCCTTTAATATTATATTATGAGTATTTCCCCATGTCATTAGTCTTGAAAAACATTTTTAGTGGCTTTATAGTAAACCATGGTTTGTCTACAATATATTTCTTTGTTCTTCTATCATTACTTAGATTATTTCAAAAATTTGGTTTTGCAAATATAGTATAATAAACATCATTATATGTAACATTTATATATTTCTGTTTAGAATAGATTTCTAGAAGAAAAATTGCATTGTAAAAAGGTATACATGTTTTTAAAAGGTCTTAACTTCTAAACTCTTTTCCACAAGCTTTTGGGTCAATTTATAAGTCATCAACACTGTATAACACTGTGTATGTTTTTATCACACCCCAGTAAACACTGAATATTACCTTTCTAATATTGTAAATAGGTAAAAATAATATAGCATTTTACTAATTTGCGATCATTTGATGAGACTAAATATTTTACTTTTTCTTTTTTTTTTTTTTTTTTTTTTGGGATGGAGTCTTGCTCTGTCGCCCAGGCTGGAGTGCAGTGGCGGGATCTCGGCTCACTGCAAGCTCCACCTCCTGGGTTCACACCATTTGCCTGCCTCAGCCTCCTGAGTAGCTGGGACTATAGGCGCCCGCCACCATGCTCGGCTAATTTTTTGTATTTTTAGTAGAGACGGGGTTTCACCATGTTAGCCAGGATGGTCTTGATCTCCTGACTTTGTGATCTGCCGGCCTCAGCCTCCCAAAGTGCTGGGATTACAGGCGTGAGCCACCGCACCTGGCCTTTATTTTCTTATATGCATAGAATGTTCTTAACTGTTCATTTGTCAAGGAAAGTTTTAATGTTTTGCTTATCAACTTTTATGGCTCTATTAATTTTAAGGTTAATCTTAACAAATTATTTATTTATTCATTTTTAGAGATAGGCTTTCATTCTGTTGCCCAGGCTGCAGTGCCGTGGTGCCATCATAGCTCACTATAGCCTTGAACTGCTGGGCTCAAGTTATCCTCCTGCCTCAGCCTCTTGAGTTGCTAGAACTACAGCTACATGCCACTATGTCTGGCCAATTTTTTAAACTTTTTTAGAGATGGGGGTCTTTCTTTGTTGCTCAGGCTGGTCTTGAGCTCCTGGCCTTAAGCAATCTGCCTTGGCCTCCCAAAGCACTGCGATTACAGGCGTGAGTCACCATACCCAGCCAAGATTAATTTTTAATGCTGCCTAATCTTTTAATTTTTATGACTTTCGATTTACAGATGTTTTAAATTATGAGATCAAATATATCATTTTTCATTGCAGTTATGCTTAGAAAAATTATCTCTATTTCAAAGTACATAATCTAGTGTTTAAAATAATTTAATCTTTAAAAAAAGCATGTAACTTAAATCCATATGGAATAGATTTTGTTGAGTATAATGTGGGGCTCTAACTCTGTTACCTTTACAAATATTTAATCAATTGTCCCAATGTCTTGCCAAATGATTCTTCCTTTCCTCACTTTCTTGTCATGACACTTTTATTTAATCAAAACACAAATTATACATATGCTATGGTATAATTCCATTGATCTGCCTATGAGTTTTCTATTGCTACCACACCTTAAGTTATTTAAAAAACACATTGAGCTTTCTTCTTTTTTATTTTCCTAAATGGCTATCACATTGGGGTGCAGGGAGTAGCAAGGAAGCGAGAACCAGATTTAGGTCAAAATCTCCAAGAGAACTGGGAAAGGCCTGAGGCTGGATGGGGGTCAGTAGAGATGTAGGGAGGGAGCTCAGGCTAAGTCAGGTACCAAGCTGTGTCCTTCCACAATGCCCTGGTTCACATCACACCTCTGCCACTCAATAGCTGGCTTTGGGCAAGTTAGTTCCTCTTTGTGTGCTTTGGTTTCCTAAAATATAAAGTGAAGTTGTTGAAATGAGATAGGGAGAAACACTCAGATGAGTGTATTGCCCGTGGTAGACATCGTTTATCACTCATTTGAAGCTATCTTCCACCGCCATCATGCCACTGTAAATTACTATAGCACGGGGATTAAAATTACAAGCTCCCTAGAATCGGGATGCCTAGACTGGAACCTTACCTCTGTCATTTACAAGCTGTGTGAGCTTGGAAAAGTTACTTGCTCTTTTTGCGCCTTAGTTTCCTCATCTATAAAACAGGGATATTAACAGTACCTACTTCATAGGGTTGTTACATGGAGTCCTGATGTAATGAATGTAAGTTACTTAACACACAGTCTGGCACACAAGTGAATTCTCACAAAATGGTCATCATAACCATTACCTCACTTGATTACCCTGGGGCATTTGGTACTGATGTTAACTCTCAACTTTTTGACACTCTCTCCTCCTTTGTCTTCTGGAACACTGTGATTTGGTTCCCAACCCATCACTTCATGCACTTTCTTATTTCACCTACCCCTTAAAATGCTGTCATCCTCCAGGATGTCCTCCACTATCCTATTCTTTGGTGACCAACCATACACTTTCTTGATGCTCCTTCTAAGCTAGAAGATGGCAATTTTTTAAGTTCAAGGACCAGGTAAATACTTTAAGCTTGTGGGCCATATAATCTCTATCACAACTACACATTGTACAATATGTAAGCCATTGAGAATATGTAAAGGAGTATGCATAGCTATATTACAACAAAACAAGCCATACAAAAACAGGTGGCCAGCCCACATGCCATAGTCTGCTAGTTCGTACTCTAGGTGGTTGTTTCGGCTCAGGTATTAGAAAACTCTTCACATTGCGTCTGTCCTCCCTACTGGGCTGTGGTCCCCCTTAGGGCAATGTGTCCTTTCATCCTTGTATGTTCTGGAGGCAGCATAGGATCCAGCAGATATATACAATCAACTTCTGCTAAAACACTCAATGAGATGGCCACATAATATGAGTCTTTACAGATAAAAAGTTTGTTGTGCTGCAGGGAAGAAATGAGCCCTTCAGTAGCTACCAAAACAAACTTTTAGAGAAGACCTCATGGCCTACGTAGTGCACTGAAACATCCAGTAGAATTAATTTTTCTTTCCCAAATGTGAAAGGGAAATTCAGGTCCAGGAAATTCACAATTTCAAGGACCAAGTAATATTGCAGACATCAAAATAGAGCTGTTCAGGGTTATCTATAAAACAGGACACACTTTATAGGAATGGAACAGCTGTTTCCCCATTTCTGTTTTAAAAGGGGAAATAGGCTATAGGGCTCAGGGGTATATGCTAAGCATATGGAGAAAATTTATTTGCTTAAAGAAAATGTGACATGGAGTTGGCAAAGGGCTCAGTTTGTAGGAGATAATATCCTGGTGGGTGAAATTTAGAGGATAAAAAGAATATATACAGAGTCATTTCAGCATTGTGATTAATGAAAAAGGAAACAGTAATAAACACTGAAAGGAAGAAAAGAAAAGTAAAGTTGAAGCTGAAAAGAACTGAATATGCTCTAGGGAAGACACTATGAGAACCAAGTGTCACTTATAGTAATAATGACTTTAGTAAAACGAATTTTAGATAAAGATGGCACTGGTTTAGGAAAAAATAAGAAAACCAAAACCTCAGTCAAAAGTAACAGTGTGAGTATTGAGTTTCTCTGAATACAGTGTAAAGGATCTTTATAGAGCTGGGGATAGCTGAAAAATATATTAAAGACTCTGGGGGAGAATTTTAGGCTTCTGGAACATAGTTAGAAACAGGTAATAGACAAAAAAGCATGTTTAAATTTTTCCTTTTTAATTTTCAAGCCCAAACTTAATCAGCAGTAATATTTTTAGTATAAACATTTGCTGAACTCCTTTTATGGAGAGATTACTGTTTTGTGTGACTTAACATATCCTCTTAAGTAGCAATTACCAGAGAGCACTCTTTAAAATTTCTTGAAATCATAAAATCATTATTGCTGTGAAAAAAGGACCTAAATTTTTCTTTAAAAGAGCAAAGGTAATGTTGGTTTCCTTCAACCTTCTTCTTCCCCTTCCCTACTAAGAATTATGAAAGGACTCATTGTGTGGCCACATGGACATTCATTCATTCATCCCTCAAAAATCTAATGGGCACCTACTATGTACTAGGCACTGTGCTAAGCCCCGAGGAGGAAAGATGAAGAAGATGTGGTTCTTACTCTGAGAAGCTGACAATATAGCAGGAAAGACAGACATGTGTATAAGCAATTAAAATGCAATGTGATACTACAGTGATGGAGAACAGGTGTGAGGTACGGGCTAGGGGTGGTAGGGGGTAATATAAAGGGAAGCACCTGGGAGTTATCTCATGATACTGTCTGTATACTGACTGTGGTGGCACCCACACAAATCTGTACAGTATTAAAATTCATAGACCTGTATGCCAAAAGAAAAAAAGGCCAATTTTACTCTATGATAGTTAAAAGTTAAAATAAAAAAATTCTGATAGATGCCCATCAACAAGAGAGAACGGATAAACGATGGCATATTCATACAGTAGACGCTACTGAGTAATAAAAGGAATAGATAGCTGACAAATGCAACAACGTGGATTAATCTCAAAAGCATTACTGAGTGAAAGGAGCAGATATGATGAAGTACATCCTGTATGATTTCATTTATAGGAACTTCTAGAGTAGGCAACATTAACATATGCCGATAGAAGTCAGATCAGCTGTTGCTTCTGTGTATATGGGTGTGGGGAGTGGGGTGGGTTTGATTGGGAAGGGATCTTAAGGAACTTTTAGGTGTGATGAAAATGTTCTAGGTCTTGGTAAAAACTGATTGAACAGTACACTTAAGATGTGAGTACCTCAATAAATGTAAATTATAACTCAATTAAAATATGCATTTAGCTATTGGCTTGTCTTTCACAGCATAAAATTTCTAATGGTGTTTAAAGTTGCAAAAAACATTAACAATCTCTCTACCATATGTTATGTTTATTTTTAAGATCAATTGGATTTTTTTGGTGTCTTAATGAAGTAAATATAATATCTAATAATAAATCTTGTGACAAAGATAATTAATAATTAAAATGTGCAGAGAAGGGCAGAACTCTACATTCTGCTGGGGTGAGGATTTGTTGCTGTATTTTAGGAAAGGCAAGAAAGAGGCAAGTCTCAAGAGGATGTTGAAGGGTAGAAGTTCAGTGCACAGACCAGGAAAAGAACGTTCCAGAACAACATGTGCAAAGTCACAGATGTGAGAAAGGCTGGCATTGTGCTAAGCACTTTGCCTGGACAGTTGAATCCTCATTATTATCTCCATGTTTCATAGCCCAGGCTTGACAAGGCATGAGGCCTGGTCCAGGTTCCTTGGCTGTCATATAGGCAGAGCAAGCATTCTCACACAGATAGTGCAGAAACTCACTCTTGTCCTCCTTCGTGTGCTGTCTCCTGTCATGCTGGGGTGTCTGGCTTTAATCATGGCACTGATGGGACCTAAGAGAGGCTTTTACCTAACCAGAATCTACTTTAAGAAGATAACTAGACTGACAGTAATGGATCATTTGGGCTGTACTTACCAGCCTTTCTTCCTGCTTCCCTTCACCTGAAAGCACAACTACTTCAACAAGATCACTAGTAACAGCGGCTGAACAGTGATCACCAAGGTCTGTCTCCACGCCCTCCATTCCACAGACTCCTTTGTCAAGAGGTTCTAATTGTGGGATTATGTAAGCAGTGAGATGATGGTCCCATAAGTTTCTAAGTGAGAGATGGGATGCTCTTGGGGTCCCCAAATCCCACTGGGAACTATATATGGGGTGGAAGGTCCCTGACTGGGGAATTTTGTGCAAATGTCCTCACCAAATCTCCTAGATGATACTGAGACACTGAGGTAAACAGGATTTCCTGGCTAGCTGTTTTGCAGCTAGATAATTAGATTTCCTAGCCCTGGAACAGCTAAGGTACAGAACTCTGTCGGGCTTGGAGGTTTTAGAGCCATCCTGGGAAAGACGACATTGTCTCTATGTGCTGTAAGGATTCTGGTTCTTGGCTGGACCCATGGAAAGCTCTCAGAAGAGCCTGGGCCCTGCTCTCGAGGGAAGTGCCTTCTACTGGACAGAGATGAATGAGGATTAGGCCAAGGGTTTGGCAATGGAGAATTGCCTCAGTTGAAAATGGCTTTAAAATAATCACAACAAAGCTACATAGAGCTCTATAATTTATAAGGGTAGAATTTATAAACTGTGTTCATGTTCATTATTTAAAAATGATTTTGAGTCCCACAAATATGCTGGACGTCAGCAATTTACAGATTTGAAACTTAGGAAGGTTAAGTGACTGAGACGTGCATAGCTGCCTGCCTGTCTGCTTTCTTTCCTTAGTTCTCTCTCTGCCCAACTTTCTTTTTTTTTTTTTGAGACGGAGTCTCACTCTGTCGCCCAGGCTAGAGTGCAGTGGCGAGATCTCGGCTCACTGCAAGCTCCGCCTCCCGGGTTCACACCATTCTCCTGCCTCAGCCTCCTGAGTAGCTGGGACTATAGGCGCCCGCCACCACGCCTGGCTAATTTTTTGTATTTTTAGTAGAGACGGAGTTTCACCGTGTTAGCCAGGATGGTCTCGATCTCCTGACCTCGTGATCCACCGGCCTCGGCCTCCCAAAGTGCTGGGATTACAGGCATGAGCCACCGCATCCAGCCCCAACTTTCTTCTTTTGTGTTTTCAATATCTAGCTCTTAGTTAACTATAGATCATCTTATTCTAGAAAAAAATTTAAGGCAGCTTACAAGGTTACAAAAAAAGACTATATAAATTAAAAGTGGGAGTGAATATGAAAGAAAAATAAGAATTGGACCTGAAATTAATCCAAGACTTATGATAAAGATATAATGGCCTATACATTTGCTACTGATGGGGCACAAATTTGATTCTACGTTTGTAGGAACCCATGTGAAAAAGGAAACCTGGTCACTATTCATAGTATGCATAAGCTAAAATGACAATGACAAAACAATCAATTACTCAAGAGAAGTACAACTATTTTAGGTTCCTAATAATTACAACTTGGCATAATGCACAGTAGCTTCCTTTGATTATTAAACAAAACTAGGCATTCAAAGATGATTTTGGTTTTCAACTGTCTTTTCAGTATACAAGATAATTCACCATGTGAATTTTAAAAAAACATGAAAAGCATACCATCTCTCTGAACTCATGTAGCAAATTCCATTACGAAAGTCAAAGCAGGTGAGACCCCAGTGAGCCCACTAGCTGTAGGAACAGTTCTAGGACTCAGGGATATGGGTAGAGTGACAATTTCCACATGTACTACAGGGGAAGAGACAAAGCCACTCACTGTGGCATAGGAATACATAGATCATCATACAGACGTTATATCTTATTTTGTAAATTTTTTTTAACTTGGTGGCAAATATTAACATGACCCTTTATACCACAAGTTCCTTATAATGGCTGTTTTTAATATAGAAAAGCATTGTTCCAGAGCACCATTTTCTCTGTTGTACATCTTGCTGCATTCATGCCCTAGGGCTAGAGTTTATTTACACTGGCTAGTTTATACCTTCCTCACTCAACCCTCCAGTTTCCCTTACTTTTATGCCAAAAAAAGGACACAGAGTTTTTCCTTTTTGTAATTTACATATGTAGAAAATATGTCCAAGTCAGGATGCCCCTTTCATCCACAGGAAGAGTCTGGGGCCACCTGACTCATCAACAGGACAAATCCAGAAATAGAAAATGCAATCTAGCTAAAAGAGAGAGACAAGTGGAAACTTTTAAGCCAGCACACAGCTAAGGTGTTATGTCATATGAAATTAATTATCTGAGGTCAGCGATTAGAGTTAGGTTACAGCCCAATCATAATTCTGCCTGCTAATTACTTGACCCGTTACAACATTTATTTCACTGAGAGTTGCTCAGCTATAACTTCCAAGGGTGGGCTTGGGACAGATGGAAGGAAGCAGACAGCCAGAGAAACAGCAACTCCTTCCTTTTGCAAACAGATGTGTCTCCCAGGCCCCTAACTAAAATGATTATTTCCTGCTTTTCTAAGTGAGGGATCAGATGTGTCCCGCTCTTCCCTTTCCAGCAAAACGAAGCACCTGAGATCACAGAGCTCTTCAGTGAAGTGCAAAAGATGACTGAAGAAATTGAGTTATGTTCCGTCATGAGAAGCACTAGAGTAACATGATAACAAAACCACCCTCCCTATGGGAAAGAGGAGGAAGCCAGGGAATAAATGGTGTGGCTAGAATGGTGCATTTATATATTTCTTTCACTTCCGAAGACTGACCTCTCCCAATAAAGAGATTTGGAGTGGCACTAAGAAGAAATGGCAATTGCCGAATGGAGATATTGGAATAATGCAAGTACTGTGAACAGGGGCAGCTCTAAAATACAGAGAATAAACAGCCCTTACTCAAAGGGAAGCGTCAAGCAGTGCCTGAGGGATTGTGCAGGAATGGCTGGTGGGGATGAGGTACAGACTGAAAACGGGGATCTGAGAGTTAGTACCTGACATGTGAACGCATATACATCTCATCAATTTATAAACCATTGACATCAATAATAAAGAGCAGCAGCAGCAACTGCTGCTGCTACTAGACAGCATATAGTGCCAGGTCCTGTCCCCAGAGCCTTGTGTTTACTACCTCGCTGAGGAGTGCTGTCCCCTGCTTTCTCACACGGGCCCAGGTGGCCTTTTGCCATTTGGGGATGTATTTCCTCCTCTAGGATGTCCTTGATGTTCAAGCAAGGCTATTGGTGCTGGGTGGTGAGGACTGCGAGGACAGGGAGGGAACCAGGACCTACCCCGTGACTGGTTTGCTGCAGGCTCCTAATCACATGAGGCTGCTGAGAAGGTCAGGGTCACCAGCTGTGACCTGGGGGCCAATGGAAAGGCCTGTACTCCTCAGCCTCTTGCTTTCTCTCATCATTCTCATTTCTGCCCCTAAATCTACTCACTGTGAAAGAAAACAAGGGAAACACTGATGCCTGTAGCTGAAGTGTGCAGTTGAATGGTCAGAAACTAGACTTCTCACATGTAATTGAATCATCATAGTGCTGGTGACAGCGTTCCTATTCCAACTTCCAATTTTCAAGTTATTGTTGGGGTTGAAATATCTCTCACCTCAGAATTTTTATTTTGGAAAATCTCCAAAGCACACTTTTAGCCAAAATTGAGTAACTGAAACAGGAAAAAAAAAATAGGAATGTTTTCAGCCACATTAAACTCTAACCAGATGCTCTTAAAAAACTTTTTGTATGTATACAGCACCTTTTATTCTAGCGGAGAGTCATGTTTTTCAGCTCTGAACTGTATCTGTCATAGACTGAAAATAGTAATACTTTAAGAGCCATGGTAACCACCTGACAAATATATCCTCTCCACATAGGAGGTAAAGAGGACCCCAGTGCTATCTCTAATTCTCCCTCTCTACCCAGACCACTAGAAATCCAAGTGAAGTTAATGTAATGAATATTTATTGAATACCTTATTTGTACCAGGAACAAAGGTGAAGAACACTGGGAAGTTGGCATGAATTTAACCAACCTGCAAAGTGAAAATGATAGCAGATCTAGGACATTGTACAAAGCGTTAGGGCCGGGACCTACCTTACTGGACCACCTGAAAGACAGCACTTCTGACACCTTTTCTTCTGTTAATCATCAGGCAGAGAGAAATGCTTTTGGCCTTTAGAGGAAGAGCCGTGTGAAGGAAAATTAATGATAGGCTGCCTACAGTCCATGAATTCCCAGGTCATTTTCCTTGGGTCTACCCAGCGCACGGCCTGGGAGTACCCTGTTCAGGCAGTATTTGGACCCCCAGCAACCACTTCGACCCTTCCATTCTCCATACGAGAGCCAAAAAGATCTTTCCAAAAGGTAAATAGGATCATGTAAACTTCCAGGTTAAAACATCGCAGCAGTCTGCTTTTATACTTAAAATAACACTCACACTCCCTAGCACCACCCCCAGGGCTCCCCTAACTGGGACCCTAATTCCTCCTTCAATCCCACTGCCTCCTCTTTGGCTCACAATACCCCAGCCATGCTGACCTCCTGGAGTGCCTAGAACATGGAAACTCCTTTCTTGCCCCGGAGCCTTCACACCTATTGTTCTCAGACCTGAACGCTTCCTCCTCTAGCTCCTTCACATCACTCCCATCTCAGGTTAAATGGCCTCTTCAGAGAGAGGTCTCCTCTGACATCTGAGGTTCGCTCACTCCCCCAGTTCTCTGTCATGATTTTCTCTTCCTTTCTATTACAGCACTATCACAAGATGTACTTATCATCTGATTTGTTACCTTGTTTTTATTTGATCCTTCCCATAGACTTTACATTCCAAGATAGGAGGGACCAATACCATCTGCTTTTTAAATATAATCTCCCCAGTATTCAAGATATGCCTGGACATAGTGGACATGTAATAAATAACTGTTGAATAGATGAATGAAATGAATATAATTGCAAATAATAAATTTTTTGTAAAGAAGGCCATCTTTATATTTTATGTTTTTACTACCATAAATACTATTGTACTACCATAAATCTGGATTACTATTAGAGGTTTTTCATGTATTCATTTTAACCAGGACCACCCTGACTGGACTTAAGAAGCTGAGAGAATGGAGAGCTGATGTATGGCTGCAATTAGAAAGTTTCAAAACTATTGCTTTAAAACACCAGGTTTGGCACACAATGCATTTTGAATAAGGGGGAGAGGGGTTAGTCCTTCTAATTTAAAGCTATTTGCGGTTGAGAGCAGAGTTCCTATTATGTATGTGGCATGGTGTTCCTTAACTGAAGAAAAATGACAAAGAACCTTAACATGAAGCACCAGAACACTAAGAATGAATAGCACAATGTATTCCTGGGGAGCTATTGTGAAGCTGGCCTAAGGAGGAATACCCTTGTCACTTTGCCATGTGGCTCCGGCCTAGGCTGCCAAATCATGGAGTTGTTGGAAACTAAGAAGTACCCTGGGTGCCAGTCTTGTTTTTCCAACCATGCCCAGTGGCTAAAATGGAAGATCTTGAGTCTTCACACTGTGTCCTGTCTGGTTCTTCAGCCAGCAAAACCAAATTTTGTAGGTTACCAGGAGCCCACCCACACCAGAAAGGGGGGTCTAGAATTGTCTTACTGCCTAGGGATGCTCTCTGGAAGCCCTGCAGTGGGTTCTGGGTACTTGTACACAGCATGAACAGCAGTCTTTCTCCAATCACCTCCTGATTTGCTCAGGGTATAGGCCCAAACTTTTCCCTTGGTTTCCTCCATGCATTTAATTTCTCTGTTAGGACTATAGCTCTGCTCAGCACCTAGTTTATTTGCATGGGGTTCTGCTTCCTTGCATAATTCTTATCTTTCCATGTCTCTTGCTACTCGTTCCTTATCTGCTGCTTGGGATCAGGCCCCAACCCAAGGAGCACACCTGGAATTGTGCCGCAGCCTTCTGCCGAGATTCTCCTTGCAGTGTTGAAATACCTCACTTGTAACATATGCTACTGGTTCTGCTGCTGGGAGCAGCCTCACCTATTTCTAGCCCCTCCGTGAGGCCAGCCTCTGAGGTCCCAGCATCCTTCATCAACAAACATGTATTGAGGTGACACCAGGGGCCCCCTCAGAGCACCAGGATAAATTTGCTTGAGATGGGAGTGTAAATTAGTTCAACCATTGTGGAAGACAGTGTGGCGATTCCTCAAGGATCTAGAACTAGAAATACCATTTGACCCAGTAATCCCATTACCGGGCATATACCCAAAGGATTATAAATCATTCTATGATAAAGACATACACACATGTATGTTTATTGTGGCAGTATTCACAATAGCATCACATGTACACGTATGTTTATTGTGTCACTATTCACAATAGCAAAGACTTGGAACCAACCGAAATGTCCATCAATGATAGACTGGATTAAGAAAATGTGGCAAATATACACCATGGAATACTATGCAGCCATAAAAAAGGATGAGTTCATGTCCTTTGCAGGGACATGAATGAAGCTGGAAACCATCATTCTCAGCAAACTATCACAAGGACAGAAAACCAACACCTCATGTTCTTACTCATAAGTGGGAGCTGAACAATGAAAACACACGGACACAGGGAGGGGAACATCACACATCGGGCCTGTAGGGGGGTGGGGGGCTAGGGGAGGGATAATATTAGGAGAAATACCTAATGTAGGTGATGGGTTGATGGGTGCAGCAAACCACCATGACACGTGTATACCTATGTAACAAAACAGAACGTTCTGCACACGTAGCCCAGAACTTAAAGAATTAAAAAAAAGAGTTTGCTTGAATTCAGGGGTCACTTTGGAGAAGCTGTGACGTAAGTGGTTTATCTAAGGTTTTATGTCAAATACAGGGCATGCAGTGGTACCAAAGTTAAAGCTGAGCCACACAATTTTCATGAGTACAAAGCTGGATGCCATAGCCCTGTCCTTAAGGCACGGGGCAGCTGCAAGGGCTGAAGCCATCCTGCGCTTTCCTGCCAGGGTGCCTGGGTTGACTCGGTGTCCTCTGCCTAGAATGCCCTCCTTCTTACTCTTTTCCTGCCAGAAACCTACTGCTCCTTGCCCAAGGTGTCCAGTTAAAATAGTTGCATCCCCACCCCCACCCCGTGAAGCCTCCCTGACCTCCACCTCAGGAAGACTTAGACAACAGGCTACTCAGCCCTACATCAGAACACCTAGCCTATTAAAATGAGAATCTCATACCACCTTTCCTATTAGACTATGAGTTCCTGAGCGACAGAGACAGGACAACGTTTTGTCTTTAAAGGACCAAGACCTAGCACAGTGCTAGGTGCCACGCTTAGCACGGTTGGTATAATACCTCTTTATAAGATGTGCAATTAATACAGAAAACAGGATTAGAATGAAATAACATTTTTAGACAGAAGGAAGGCTGAGAGGGGAGAAAGACTTCTAACTCGTGTATTTTCCTGTGCAAAAGGAATCTTTTAGCCAAGGAGAAGACACTGGTCCAATCTGAGATGTTGCTAGAATTATCCCTTCCCTCTCTTTTACTCTACATTTCAGAGAACCAGTGCCTATTTGGAAAAGTAATATGGGCACACAAGGAAGAAAGCAATGCAGTGACATATGTCAACAAGGCTACTGAACGATGATAGCTATGCCAGAGAAAAGCATTACATAATGACATCAAAATAGGACACTTGAGGAATGTCTTAGAGCTAAAACAGCTGTCACCTGGTATTTTGGCATTATTGAAGAACATGAAGAGATAGTCCCTGGAAACTGGAGAGTACAGCTTATTTGCAACAACAATTTTCAGAGGTCAAGAACATGTTTTCCTCATTTTTTAAAAAAGTTAACCTCTTATTATCATTTTCACTTGAGAAAATTATGATGCTCTAAAATGTCTAATACTTAAACACTGCCTATAGGTAGGCATCAAAGGCAGACAGAGGCTCCCCTCATTATACCAGTTCCTAAATAAACCTGTAAACTTGGAGATATTTGTCTATTTTGTAGATTATCCAGAACTTTCAATTTTACATATAAATAATCCCACTCTTAAGGAACATTAAGAACAGGATAATACATGAAATTCTAACTGTCAATTTTGCTGTTAGTCAAATGTCTGTTAGGACAAAAGTTTACAACCCTGGAATTGAAAAATGACTAATTGGTTTAATATGTGTAATTTTCTTATTTTTTTTACCCTCTAGCTCAGTGAGATGCTGTTCTGAAGTTGCTTTCCTCTGGGGCTGCTACTCTCATCCTTTGTTCATTTGGTTAAAGAGGTCAGATGCTTCATCCATTCAAAGATGCATCAATTCTATGATGTGTTGTGTATTGACTATGTGCCAGAGGCTGCAACTGCAAAGGTGGAAGGTGCACTCTGCACCCCAAGAACTTCCCATTAGTGGGGGAGAGACAAGTATGCTTGGCAATTGCAATAACATGGGATTGAGGGTAAAGTATGGTTAAACTCTGGGTGCCTTGGGAGCACTATGAGGGTTACATGATCCATCTGGGATACAGAGGGGACAGTGGGAAGGATGGGATTTGGGATGTGAGTCAAGAAAAAGTAGGCATGCCTGGGGGAAACTGATGTCCTGTGATCTAGCTCTGCTACAAGAATTCATTTTTCCTTTATAATTCATAGAAACAAAATAAATAGACAAATTAATTTATACCTCATATTTTCTAGAATTAGCAATATATATCTGTCAACACCTTGCAGACATGTGCAGTAATAATTGTAAAATCTAGCAAAAAGCACAGTATTAGGCTTCCCTGAATCATTTTAAAGTCATTAATTCACAGACTCACATAATGTTAGTACTAAAATAGAACTAAGACATCTTTTTCAGTGCAAAACCTTCACAGAGGAGGAAACCGAAGCTCAGAGAGTCAACAAAAAACGAAACAAAAAAAACAACAACACGACCACCAAAAGATTAGGAATGTTTTTCTTGATATTTCCCTTCTTTATTTGGTTGCTTGGTCACCTGTCAGTGGGTGGGACTAAGACATCTTTAGAGAATGTGTTCTGTTTATGGACTCACAATTCTTTCAGTTATCTGTAGGATGATATCTAAGAGTCAGCCCAATACATTCCCTCCTTTCCTCCCCATACAGATACCTATTTTTGGTAGATGCTGTGACAGAAAGGCCACAGGAAAGGGGAAGAGTTTCTGTCCTAGGGGTCAACTTTTGAAAGTTAACTGATGAACTAATATCAATTCCATGGACCCAAGGAAGCTTAAACGGAGATGGAATTTTAAGATAATTATATTGTAGGATCTACATAGGCTGAGACAATTATGTTAGTGCTTGAACAGAGGCCGCATGGATACTCTGCAACTGGAAAATGAACTATTAAAACAACAAATGGCTAGTTTCATAAAGTTAATTTCAAAAGTCTATGTCACTAATACAACTGTAAGTGAAAAGCTGTCCTGTAACTCTTTCAAAGCTGACTGATCAGGAGGTGAAAAGTCTAATGTAGGATCATTTAATATCTCAAAATCTCTTAAATAACTAATTTTCTGTATTAATAATACAATACTATAGCAATGCTATCTAATAGAGATATAATATAAGCCGTGTATGTTATGTTAAATTTTCTAGAAATAGTAAAACCAATTTTTAAAAATAATAGTAAATACACAGAACATATTACCATTTTAACCCTTTTCATGTGTGCAACTCAGTGAAATAAAGTACAACTACACTGGTATGCAACCATCACTACTCTCTATTTCCAGAATTTTCCCATCATCCCCAGATGAAATTCTACACCCATTAAACAATTCTCCCCATCATTCCTTCCCACCAGCTGTTGATAACCCTATTCTACTTTCTATTTCTATGAATTTGACAATTCTGGGTACCTTATATAAGTGGAATCATAACAGTATCTGTCCTTTTGTGCCTAATTTATTTCACTTAGCATGCCTTCATGGTTCATCCATATTGTAGTATGTATCAGAATTTCAATCGTCTTTAAGCCTGAGTAATACTCCATTGTATGTGTATATATATATATATATATATATATGTATATATATATATATATATATATATATACTGCAGTTTATCTATCCATTGATGGACATTTGGGTTGTTTCCACCTTTTGGCTATTGTGATGGTAAAAAAAAAAAGTGTATCTGTTTTACCCAATTTATCCAAAGTATTATCTTTCAACCTGTAATCAATATACACATTATTACTGAGATATTTTACATTAGTTGTTTTCTAATGTCTTTGAGATCTGCTGTGTATTTCATAATTACAGCATATCTCCATTTGAATTAGCCACACTTTATGCTCTTAATAACCATACGTGGTTAGTAGTTAATGTACTGGATAGCACAGTTCTATAGGAGAGTTTGCATTCAAGATTTTAAAAATCATGATTCCTTCTGGATGCCACCATGATGAATAATTCCACCTTATTTTTTTCTCATATAGCCCTAGTGTTTAGAGTTAGGCCTCGGAAGTCAGACTAAACTAAATGCAGATCCCGGTCTCTTACTAATTATCTCAGTGATGTTGGAAAGATTACTTAATCTTTCAAAACCTCAGTTCCGTTTTTTGTAAAGTTGGAAAAAAAGACTATTTCTCCCATAGGGTTTCTGTCTGAATTAAAATCAAATAACATAAATAAAGTGCTCAATGTACTTAATGTAGTGTTGCCAAAGTGTGACATAATAAATAGCAACTATAATAAAAATAATCCACTAGATTATAGGTTCACAAGGGCAAGGGCTACGTCTATCTTTCACAGTGTGCCTGACACATGGCAATTATTTATTTATGTGAATAAATAATTGAACTCTTCCCTCAGTCTTTATAAACTTTTGTTTCCATGACATCTTCACACCTTCACAGAGATTGCATGATGATTTCTAATACCTACCTTGCCATGAAGATACAGATACTTTATGGTATAGAAAGAACATGAAACTCTTATTCTCATCATTTCCTTCTTTTTTATTTAAAAAATTTTGACTACTTCCTTTCCTTTTCCTTGAGAAATCAGGGATGATGGGGCCAAAAAGACTAAGGGCCAAAGGGGCCCTTACCCACAGGGGCAATGAGCAAATACATAAGTATTCTGAGGATAACAGAAACCACCTTATCCTCACTGTTGGGGAAAGGAGTTACAAATATGGAAAGGGTTAAAAGCCAGATTATGTCTATGGTGTTAGATTGGAAATGCAGCTATCAGTGTGATCTCATAGTCTTTAATATAAATAGACAGAGCAACAGATATAGGCGCGCGTGTGTGTTTGTGTTTCCTAGCCTATTACCTGAAAGGGCCTGGAAGCAATGAGCTCACGCAATCCCCAGATCTTGGTTTCTAAATACCATTTTCCATAATGGATGGAGGTCTTCTTGAAGATATGGCTAATTCCAGAGTTGGGCACAGAAAGTACAAGATGCTTATGGAACATTTTCTTGTGCCAGAAGGTAAGAAAGTACTCAGAAAAACATGAGGACCACATCTGAGATCATTTGAGCATTAAAATAAATAATGATATTAGTGATTTATAACTCATTCAATAAAACAGCAATTTATGAGCTCATGTTGATATAAATAAACACAAAAATAAGTGAGGAGAAGGGAATGCTCTTCTTCACTCTAAGAAAGTTTATTTAAGAGCAATATGTTTACCTAGTCTCCAAGTATCTCCCCACAAAATATTTATTAACTGCAAAAGGAAAAACCATAATTTTACAGTAAATCTAACAGATACCACCTTAAGCAAGTGGGTTTGGTTACAAGACTAACTCCGTTTATGTGACTCCTGATATGATTAAGAAGAATACAGCATTGTTTCTGTAGTATTCCTGCCATAAAAATACACAATTTCAATCTCACAATGAGGAAACATCACACAAATCTAAACTAAGGAACATTCTACAAAACGTACTCTTCAAAAATGTGAAGGTCACATATAAAAAAGGAAGATTACAGAACTGTTCAAGATTGAAGGAACGTAGAGACAAGGCAACTAAATGCAACACATAATCGTGGACTAAAAAACCATTTTTTTTCTATAAAGGATATTATTGAGACATTTGGTGAAAAGTTGAATGGGATCTATGGATTAGAAAGTAAAGTTGATTTACTGAATTTAATTGTTATACTGTGGTTATGTAGAAGAGTATACTTACATTTTTAAGATAATCACACTAAAGTATATAAATTAATTCAGAAAAAAATATACACACACCAAAATAAACTCACGGGTGGAAAGGAGGATGAGAGAGAGAGACAGAGAGAGAGAGAGAGAGAGAGAGAGAGAGAGAGAGAGAGAGAGAGAGAGAGACAGAGAGAGAGAGAGAGAAAGAGAAAGAGAGGGAGAATACAACCAGTGGTAAAATGTTAAACATTGGAGAACCTTAGTGAAGAGCATATGGAAATTCTTTATTATTCCTGTATTTTTTCTATAAGTCTGAAATTATTTTGATGTTAAAAATTAAAAATAAAGAGCATGGGCTTTGGAGTAACTCAGATTCAATTTTGAATCCTCAGTCTTATATCTATCATCTGTGAGATCCTAGGAAGTTATTAAATTATTCTGATCTTTGGTTTTCTCATTAGATCACCAGGAGTAGGACTAATTTAAAGGGCTGCTGTGAGGATTAAATTAGATAATGCATGACTTGAGCACTGGGCAGGTGGTAGGCATGTCTGGTAAGTGATCTGATACATAATGGATGCTGAAATATATATTTGTTGAATAAATGAACAAACTCCTCCCTTCTATCCAACCCCTCAATCTGAACAAGTGATCCTACTTAAAGAAAATTAGATGCTTCAAATTTTAGCAATCCTAAGTATGAAGGTTTTCTTAACACTTGAATAATATAAAACAAAATGTCAAATAATAATAATAAACATACCACCATGCATTCCGATGTTGCTCTAGAGTTTCCTCAGCACTTTGCCCTCGTGTCTCCTGTGACACTAAATGGAACAGGCAGGCATTCAAGTTTGAGTCCAACACAGCGTTAATAATAGCGAATGTTTACAGTGCCTTGGGTTATGGGTGTCAAAGAAGGGGTCATGCCCTTGTTACTTAAATCACAAACAAGGCTTACATCAGCTCATGGCTGCAGGGTACAAAATGAGGTGCAATTTAATGTCCATCTGGGCATCTGTTCCTAAGGTGCTAGCACTGCTGTCTGTGGTTCACAATATATCTGGGGTAGCAACACAGCAAAGAATGGGACCCAGGTTGTGCTTGGGAAGTTTCTACTCTCAGCCAAGATGTGCACATGAATTTAAAATTACCTAAGAGGGTGTTTCAGAGTTGCTGGCCAAAGAGTGGTGTCTTCTAATCTGGAGAGCAGCTGCTGGGCACAGGCATGCAAACACACATACACAGACACACACACACACACACAGACGTGCTCACGGAGCCTGTGCCTGCCTCTACTTGTCTGCTCTGCGCAGATGGTTCCTGGCTTTTGGGTCACCTCATCCTGCAGCCCAGTCCAGTTAGAACCTTTCTTCCACAGAGACTGGCAAGCTGTGGGGTAAGAGTTTTGGTAAGGCTGCCTGTCTTCAGAGCATGAAGGACACTGCCCGGAGAGGGAAGAGGGCAATATTTAGTGTTTGGGCCTACTTGTTGTTGGGCTCCCCACTGCCTCTCCTTTGCAGAGCTATCACTGGCCCCTGGTTGCAAACTCTCGGTGGCTTTCAAGCCTACAAAACAAAAACTGAGAGGGTGTCCAAAAAGAGAAGAAGAAAACGTTGTTGTTGGTCCTGGATTCCACTGTTGGATTTTGGTGGGGATGAGAAGAAGGAATTACCAGGTGTGATCAACACCTGCACGGTACCTGCACGGTAAGCTAAGTGTCCCCATCCTTGCTGAGAAGAGGCTTTGGGATGTTTCTGTGTTATTCACCAGCTAGGAGCGGCCAACACCACTCTCCAAAAGTAGGATCTTGTGAATATTATGCAAGGGAACGTAGTATGATTAAGAGCTTATGACAGATGATGACTTTTAGGCTAAAATGACTAAGAGTTGCTTGCAAAATAGAGGAACTATCCTGACAGTAGGTAAGTTTTACTATAGTGATACACATGAAAGAAAACCAAAATGAAACTTTAAATTGTTATCCTGTTAAGAGTAAGATGGATAGTCAAAAATTAAAGAAAAAGTATGTTTGGATAAATGGCTTTCCTTCTTAATAGCTTGATTTTGTAAGCTGATGTGAATGATCAATATACAGTGTCAAAATCATCACAATGTGTTGAAAATGGAGAATTATACTGAATAGGTTAAATTGCAGAGGAGGAATTCTCTTTTCATGGAAAGATTAATGGAAGAAACTAACATTTTCAAATGGCAACTATATTGTATCTTTTTTCTTTTGTTTGTTTACCTTCTGTTGATGTTAAGATTTAATGAATGAGAGCCAGAGAACAGAAGCAGGTTTCTGAGATAAGGTTTTTGGCAGGTCTTGGGAGATACCTATCAAGAACTTGTTCTGTAACACCCCACAGAAGATGACTGGATATCCATGGGCACATCACATCTGGATATAAATGGGAAATGATGCTAGGCTGCTGCCAAATGATATCACAGAAAATTCTGCTCACTGTACTCCTCAATGGGAGGATTATTCAATGTTTAGGGTGGCTGCACAGTTTTGTATATAGGCGCTCCACTGAAGAGAGATATGTGTTCAGTTAAAATGGTTGTGACATATTCAGTTATTCTTTTTTCTTTCCATACCAATTAATGATTACATATCTTTCTTTATTCATTATCTGTTCACATCTCAGGAAGGAATAGAAGAGGTGCAACACATACACTGTTTAACTACACTACCATATTCCACGTGTGTATTAGATATGCATAAAGGAGAACATGGTGTAGTTAATACTAGAGAGAATGCATTGCAATTACAGCAATGTTCCTTTAGCTACAGTTAAACTTGTTTTTCCTGTGATGACATTTTCTGATTTATCAATCTGCTATCTCCCAAAGCCAAATATTCCAAGTAAACATTTCTCTACATTTATCAGTTGACACTATTATGAAACTCTCATTATGCTTAATTAAAAATCAGCATAAATACTGTAAGAGCTGTTTGTTAATAAAAACTTCTAAAGGCAGCAATAATATTCATGGGCTCTTTCCACCTGGGTAATTAAGGTCTACTACTCTGATGAGAATTTTCTCAGTAATTTCCCAAAGCAATGTGGGGTTTGGATTCTTATACTAACCAATACAAAGATACTCTGTAAAAGTTCTGCAGCAAAGAAAAGCATTCATTATTTAAAGAGTGACAATTTATTTTTAGAGTTTACCTTCTATTAAAGTTCATGTGTAATTGTCTTTTTTGCTTAAGCTTTATTTAAGCAATAAATTAGCAATAAATTTAAGTAATAAATTTAGTCAAGACTTGGTCTTAGGTAGTGGCGCTGGCACTGGAAATGAAGATATTTTATTGTGCCATTGAAATGATGGTGCCTTTAATAGAGTGCTATTGTAGGAGACTGCCATTGCAACTTGCCGAGAGTCAGGCAGGTCCAAGGATGCAAAAAACCTAAATGTAATGGGCTCTATCTTCTTTTCTTCTGATTACAGTCCATATTATTCTATGTTCTAACCTAAAGCAAAATTTTCATTACCAATGTAATACCCGCTTCACCTTTCTAATATGTTACATTAAAAAACATTTAAAGAAAAAGTGCTAGTAGCTTTTATTTTCCTTAGAGTAGAACTAGTGCCTACCAGCAATACACAGTAAGTTTGTTTAGTTATATTAGGGGAACACTTTTATAGTAATAGCTTAGTTTGTTTGCTCATTTGTTCATTCATTCATCAACTATTTTAGAATGCCTACTCTGTGCCAGGCCCCGTGCTGGTTATTGGGATTATAACAGTGAATGAGGCAAACATGGTCTCCAGATGCCCTGAGTGTAGGAATCTGCACAGAGAGTCTGATTACTAGTGATTTGAATCTGTGTATTGTGCATGTTGTTCAACATAGATATGGAGACAATTTTAGATACCATCTCAGCATCAAATAATTGAATTAGAAAACACATTTTAGTGCAAATACTTGAGCCTTCTTTGAGGGATGTTGACATTTTGGTGCAAGCTATAGATGTTAGACAAAAACTTTACATACTAATACCATCTGGTTCTTCAGAATTGGGTCAGACAGGAAGTCTAAGACAGAAGAAAATTTGTATTATAGCCTCTTAGAAGTCTAGGGTTCAAATCTGACAGTAGTTCAAGATTTTCTGTTTAATCTGATGGTCAATCACTGGAGCCTACACTGAAAGAGCAGCCCTACTGTGCTTCTCATCTTGGTTGAGGAGACTTTTCATAATGGCATTAACAATGTCATTTATACCTACAAGGTGTTTTATATTGTGTATAAAACTCGCATATCAATTACGCACTTGACCCTATGTAGTAGGAAAGGCAGGTATTACCATTCCCTGTTCAGCAGATAGATAAACTAAGTTTTAGATATTTAAGGGACTAGCCCAGCTAATGTTTTCTCTAACGCACAGCCTCATGGAGTAATCTCTTAAATAAAGTTCTAGAAAAATTCTGCATTTTCAACATGAGTACTCATAGCCCTGACCTATTGTTTGAAAGTGGTATTAGCAAACAGGAAAACATGCAGGTAGAGGAAAGTTTCACTCCTCCCCCTACCATCCTCTTTCTGCCTCCATTGCCCTTCTAGGTCCTTACCCTAGAGTTCTTCCTTCTGGCCCTTGAAAATTCAGTTTAGTTGCTAAAAGAGATATAAGCTACTGCCTTTTTCTTCTTCTTTTTGGGTGGAATGATGAAGTAGAATATGGCGAACTGGGCTGTAAAGCTCTGAATTGACTCCTATTATTGTAATGAAATAAAAAATTATTCTGAGTAATAAGATTTTAAAAAGTTTGTGACTGTTTAGGACAGGAACAGTATAGTATATTAGTATATCCACCTACATGCAAAATACAAATGGAATTTTACACTGCTGGTTAGTACCACCAGCCTAGCAACATAAAACATTGTCACATCAGATCAGACAATTTTCTACCCAGTCCAGATCCTGCTTCTGGTGCAAGCATAAGTAGGCTGTTGTGAAGAAGCAGTTTATCATGGGTAAGAGGAAAAATTCACAAGAAAAAATACTCTATATGGAAAAATGGTAAGCACAGGTAATGGAGAGCTATACAGAGCTGAGCAGAGCAGTGAATGGAGAAGGTTTTTCTGATGGATTTTGAGAGTTAAGCCACATAGCTAGTATTGTCTATTATTAGCTATGACCAAGCAAATACACGACTTTATTTCTTTTTTTACGTTCTTCCTGGAATTTCCTGTACATGTATTTAAAGTTTGTTGTAATTCCTTGGAGGCTTTTAGCTACTTTTTTCTCTATTTGTGGCTTGAAATGGATGACAGGTATCTTCATGATGGATCCAGGGACAATCACTTGACTAGGAAATTGGAATGCAGGGGAGGATAGCAAACGGGATAAAGCTGCTTCTGTGCTTCTCCTTAGAGTTGCTGCTCCTGACCCTGAAACAAAAAAATACAGAGGCAGCTGCTTCTGAGCCATGATATTAAACTGACAGGTTGTGACTAGGGACACCAGCTCCTTGTTTCAGCTGCCCCTAACATCTCTAAATGAAGCTATTTTAAGAACCTTTGCATTTGATCAGGGAGCATGTGGGGTTAACCTTATGTTTTCCCCTCCAGTTTTAGATTCTAAGCAGGTGCAGTTAGTAGTTCAAATTTTTAAAACTTATTATTGCATTTCCTTCCAATCAATGTAAAAATATTATATTCCCAAAGCTACCAGGGGTGTATTAGTGACTTGATTTATCTTCGGGCTGGTTCTATTTCAGATGACATCTCCTAATCTTTCTTCTTCGAACAAGAAAAAAAATGGTTGCCAACAGTTTGAAGGGTGGGTATGGGTACAGAAGTTACTAAGGATTCTTTGGCTGGGGGGTGGTGCTGGGGGGGGGGGGTCATAAAAGAAACATTTGCAGATGCAGATTGCAGTGCCTATCTCTTCCTTCAATGATTCCTGAGTTTGATGCTTTTTAATCTACTTTAGCAGCTAACTTATATATCATTAACCTTAGAATGTTAGGTAACAATATTTACAGTGGCTTCATTCATAATTGCCAAAACCTGGAAACAACCCCTTCAATTGGTAAATGAATAATCAAACTATAGTATATCAATACTATGAATTACTCAGCAATACCAATGAAACACACAACAATATGCATGAACCTCAATTGCATTATGCCAATTGAAAGAATCCAGACTGAAAAAGCTGCATCCTGAATGAGTTCATTTATACAACATTGTGGGAAAAAACCCCCAAAAACTATAGGGACAGAAAACACATCAGTGGTTGCCAACAGCTGACGCTGAGGGGAGGAACTGACTACAAAAGGGTGAGCAGGAACATCTCGGGTGATGGAACTGCTTTATGTCTTGACTATAATGGTGGTTACATGATTGCATGAGCTTGTCAAAATTTTCAGAATTGTACGTTATATAAGAGGTAATTTTACTATATGTAAAGCATACCTTATTGTGTGGCTCTATATTGAGAGAATCCCACTTCAAACTTCAACCAGCGTATCCTGCTTTGGTGTTGTATGGAATTCTTGCAGATTTTCATTGAAAAATTTTTTTTTAGGATATTAAAACACACAAAAGAAAAAGAACCCTTAAAAAATGATTAATAGAGTCCAACCACCTTGATTTACAGCGGAAGAATTGAGGCCTGAGAAAGTTAGTGGCAGAGAAATATGCTTTTTTTTTTTTTTAAGAGACAGTTAAAAACGATCATCCTGTAGAACCCAGAAAACTCAACTCTGTTCTTGTATAATACCGACTGTCAAACTGCATTGAAAAAGCCATGGGACCAAAAACTACGCAATAAACTCTAAGTACCTGCCTTCCAAATGCCATGTTGCGAAACTGGCCAGAAGCTGCTGGCTTCTGACAGATACACAGTTACAAGGGAATATGATCTGATTTTAGTATTCAGATAGACATAGCAAGCCTACTGTTTGTCAAAAACAACAGCCACCACAACCACACGCTGTGCTGAGCATGAGGTGTACCACAAAAGAAGACCCAAGCCATGTTTGGAAGGGGCATACATTTGTTCATTTGCTTACTTAGTTATCTAACAAACAAACGAGTGCCAGACACTGTCTTGGGTCCTGTAATCCAATGTTGATCTCGGAATTGTAACACAGTAGCATCTAGATACAGGGCAATGCCCAACCACTAGAATACAGTGAGGACTGTTTGAATTGAATACATGAATATCAAACAAAATCAGAGTCAAAACCAGAATGTACCACAATGCATTTAATGTCTAAGGGCATAGATTTTCCCAGATGGCATCACTGGCTTCTAATTCCATTTCAGTGTGTTCCTCAACAAGTTACCCTCTAAAGCCTCATGTTTCCTCAGCCATAAAATGCAGATAAGAATTGTACCTGCCTTGGTAAGTAATAAGCACAGTTAGTGACACATAAGTGCTCAATAATGAGAGGCTGTTATTATCATTATCATTAATATAGAAAACTCCCACTATGGTGCTATACCTTGGATCTATAAAAAATAATCAGTCTTGACAACGTGGTCAGTTCCTTCTGAAAGGCTGAAAAATGCTACAAGACCTAGTTAGATTGCACACAGACACAAAACTTTGGATTCCCTGGACCGAATTAAGAAGCCATGGGCTAGAAATGTCATCTATAAATAAAAGGAACTAGCATTTGAATCATGTATTTTCTTTGGGACCCTAAGTTAAGAACCAGTGCTCTAGAGTACACATCCACGGACAGGTATGAATTTAAAATGCCTCATTTCATGGTTTTGGCATTAAGAAAAATCCCAGAAAATTGATTATTAAATGTAAACCAGAAATTTTCTTGACCGATGTTAGAAAGGTAGAAACATCCTTTTCCCTTCCCTGAGATTCTCTGGCCCTAAGCAAGTAACTTTTTTTTTTTTTTTTTTAATTCTCTTGCTCTCTTCTACCATAAAATATAAATCATGTAATGAAGATTCCATAATCAAAAAAGTGTTAGTTTATGGCCTCACAGTCCAGAGGATTCTGAGGAGACAATGAAATTTCTAAAAGTGCAAAATTATTCCATAATGGGAAATGACTCTTCCTGTCTAGCAGTAATTATTTATGTAATACTACCTTGGGAGAATGTTAACAGTAGAGCGTTAAATTACTCCTTTTAAAACAAGGAATTTCCAACAGGGTTTTATTTGTTCTTTCCTAATTTAAAAAGACAGCATTTATACTCACAAGACTGCAAGTTTTACTAGCCTATCGTTTAGTGGTTAGGTTAGTTTCAGAAAGACTGTACTGAAGCATTAAATACCTGCCAAATGTGCGGAAGGAAAGCTCCAATTCAAATCATGACACACCCGTGGATTCATCACTCTCAAAGTAAACAAAGTGTTCAGAAATTCTACCAACAAAGTGTCAGAAGAGGCTATAATGCTTACTGAAGGGAGAAAAACTTTAGTTTACTTAAAACCCACATGCACTTTGTCATTTTCCCAGATGGCATCATAAAACTGCAATCATGACCTAAATAACCTAGTTTTTTCAGCATAGAATTCTATTATTATATTCCCATCTACATCTGGACAGTTCATCTTTAAAAGGCAATTTCAGTTGAAAAGAGAACTCAAAAGGTCCAGCTAGGTCTAGTGGAATTAATCTGTATATAAAACAAGGATTTTTTTTTAACTGTATGGAAGAATATAAAGATTTTCACCTGTACCTGCAGCACTAAGCATTTTGAACTGGTAGCTACAAATTTATATCTCTTGGCTGTGTAACAAAATCCATAAGTATTTATTCTTTGAGAGTTAGGTCAGACACACATTGGTGGCAAAATGCCAGTCACCACTGTAATGGGGCTCCCTTCATCTACTGACCAGAAAATATTTTTCTCAGAGTTTCCCTTAGCATACTTCTGTTATCTTATTAACTTTCTGCATATTTTTAAAAAGCAACAATATAACCTCTGGCATCTTAAATTTTCCAGACATATGAAAACATACTACAGGGATCAGGGCATTAGGTTAGGAGTAGTACAACCACCAGTTAGACACAATTTGAGTGAATCAGATGGGGTATAACTCATCTAAAGCATTCAAAAGGAAGCTTACATTTACAGCAGGAAGGTGAGCAACATGCTTTAGGCCAGGTGAGCATGCATATGCTTCTGGATCCTACAGCCCTTACCAGGGAAACACAGTTAGAGAAAATGATACCCACACATGAAGGCAGATCTTTTTCAACTAAGAAATCATTCTCCAGCTCTCAACCTTTCTTTGGGTAAAGAGTCAAAGTGGGGTTTCTGGGTGCAGTTTTCAGATGGGTGGCTCCAGATCATCTGCCACCATTACCCTCATTTCTGCTGGAGTCCTTCTTGTCCCTGGGGCCATATCTTGCATAATCCTGAGATTAATAAATCTGGCTAGATGGGAGGGTCCTTGGAACAGATCCAGATTAGGTTACATGTAGAATCAGTCATGCCTAGGCTGGCCTGGAAGAGGACTGAGCTTTCAGTCTGACATTATCATCTGCAAGTGTAAATCCCTGGAGAGTATTCCACAGCTGGAAGCTTGCACCTCTGCTCATAATGGTATCCTGGCTGTACTGACTTGTTGCTGCATCCTTTTGATAAGTCAACCTCTTCTGATTTACTATGTGGTATCTGTATCTGATTGTTCCATCAATCCTAGTCTACCATTGACAGTAATATCATATTTTCTCCATATGCTATACACAGCACATATGGATATTTTATTTAATTGAAACCCCTAGGAGGTATAATCTGTCTGTCTTGACTTCTAGACTCCCAGGCACAACTTTCTGTCCACACCATCTGATGGTGAGAAGCTATGTGAATTGAATGACTTCCAAGATGATGTTTCTAAGTTTGAAGTGAGAAAAGAAAGCTCATTGATTAAAAAAAAGTTTTTGTTTGATAAACAGAGAACTTACAACTCCTTTCAAAAAACTACTTGCATCCCAGGAGGTTAAAAGCCTGAGTATGAGGTATGCTATTTGGAGAAGGAAGAGTGACAACAGTAAGAAGCATGGGCTTCTAAAAAGGAAACTGATCTTCTGAAATGTCTCCTGGGATTGCATCAGCTTGACCTAGCAGTTGTTTTTCATTTCTACTTTCCAGACCACCTTTGTGTAAGAATTAATGACCTTCCCTCAGCCTATTAACTCAGAATGTCATTAATCTCTAGGAAATACCTTATCAATTCTGCTTAAAGGGTATATGAGAAGTGCTATGTTTTCGGTTAATCTTATAGCCCTTTAACCACCCTGTTCAATGATTACTGAACCTTCCTGGAAGTCCCTTTTGCCCCAGAATTAGTTAACATTTTAATAGCAGTCTTACTTGTAAGCTATGAAATTGTTAGATACGAATTGCAGTTGATTCAAAAGAAATGCCTTCCAGGGAGCCAAACTGAGTTGTGAGAAATATGTGTCTAAAAAGATATTACTAGTCCAAATTCCTATTGCTCATGTCTTTCCTGAGTACTTAACAAACTAAATATTGCCACTCCCAAATCAGTATTAATGGTCAGCTTCAATTATATGTTATTTCAACTTTAAGCTCTGGTAGGAGAATACATTATCTACTAAATCAGCCTTGTCAACAGGCCAGAAAAATCTTTACAGGCATAAATGTTTGTATGCTGTTAGAGGAAAGTATATGAGACTTAAACAATGCTTACTTGTGAACACCCTTTCCAAGACTAGGCTAAGAGAACAATAGCTACACCTAAGTATAGTAAAAGAAACAATCTGTAAATGAAGATTCTTATATACATAAATCATGTCATGAGCAGAAAGTTAAATAAAGGCAGATACTTTTACAGAAAGATTAGAGTTAATGCATAGGTGAGGTTTTGGCTGTTACAGACAGAAGAAACTATAGAGGTAGAAAAACATGGAAGTGAAGAAACAAGGATGGCAATAGCTAGATATTGAGCTAGCTAAGCTGTAAATGGTGATTCTCAGCCAGTTTTGGGGGTAAGGGAAAATAACAGGGGTGACTCTTTTCATCCCTGTTTTTTCTGAGTTTCTCTTGATGAAAGTTTTTCTTGATGAAAGCTAACAAGCTGAGAACATCAGTGCAAATCACCAAAGCAATCGGGTCAAATTCACTGCTACTACTCCTGCAAAACAGGAAAAGGCCCTCAAGCTTAACTTTTAGATTCCTGGGCATGCAAAGCAGGCCTTGGTCAGCCAGATCTGTACTCGGTTCTTCTCTGCCTTGGTCACTGTCCTCTGGGTCTTGGGAACACAGGCCTATGTTCCAAGCCATTGTTCTTTAAACAAAGTTGTGAACTGCTAACAGTTTTATTTAAAAGTTTATAAAATGGTAACCACATTGCTACATCTTTCTGGAGTATCTCAAACAAAGTGTGGGTCACATTTCTTGTGTAAAAAAAAGTGTAGCTCAGAGTTATTGAATAAACAAAGACAACTGATGTAGTTAACGGGCTTTGTGTGACCACAGCTATGTCATCTTGGTCTTGATTCCAGTTTCAGGCAGAGGTCAGGGTGAGCCATCCCACAAAGGGGCCTCCTACCAGTCAGTCCATCTAGATGCTTTGCCTGAGCAAGCTTCTTTGCAGTCCCTACCCTGTAACTTGGCATGACTGGCAATGGGGGTGGGGGTGAGAGAGGGCCACTCTCATTGTAACCTGTGCTCTCCAATCCAAACACACACAGAGAGCAGTTGGCTTCATTTCAGAGAAATGAAAAGTCACCTCTCCTCAGTGGATGGCTAGAAGCCCCAATTTGGTGACATGGCCTCTGGGCCTTTAAGCAAATAAGGTAAGAGGACGCTTCTACTAACTGAAAACCTCTGAGTTAATGCGCCTGATTAAACAAGCTGTCAGGAACCTTGGCAGACCCGTGCTCATGATTCTTATTAATAAGGTTGATATTTACATAAATATCAGCTGTTCATTGATAATGCTGCCAACACACAGGGCATAGACTCTTTTCTTTAGGATAACACAGACAGATTTATCTTAATGCAACAATTTGTTATTTGAACAAACATGTTTATTGCAAGGCCAGTGAAGTGAAACCCAAAGGTTTTCTTGTTTGAATTTCCCAGGGGGCAGTTTGTAATAGCTGCTGGAAGAGACCATTCCATGGCTTCTAATACAGTGCAATGCTGGCAACCAATATTCTCTCCTCCATCTCAACTTTGGCTCTTAACTGCCCACACCTCCTTTTTGCTCAACATGAAGAATGGTTGTTGTTACCTGCCCAATCCGTGCTTCCAACTTGCCTAGAAAAAACCTGATTCAAGTTTTGAGGAATAAACTCCTAAAGACTCTAGATCTTCAGTTACACAAAGGAGCTCACACCTAGAGTGGATTTTGCAAATATTAAAACAGTTATCCCAACACTAGTTTGCTTTCATGCCAGTACTTGTGTGGCAGCCCCCAGTGGGGCCATAATAACCTTCAGAATGGAGCAGCTTTGCCCAACCTCCTGCTGTGCTCAAGACTTCGGGTTCTGCATGTGTGTTTCTGGCTGACTCTTGCTGTCTCATAGCTCTTGCTGCCACTGTGAGCTGCTGCCTTCTCCATGGTCTGAGTGGGCTTCTTTCAAAAAGCTGCTTGGTCTGCTTATGTGGGGAGACTTCAAATCACCAGTTTCCTATTAAAGACTCCTGGCCTACAATCACAGGGTGAACAGGAATATACAAAAGTCAGGGAAGGTATTTCACAAAGACTAGATCTGTGTACCCACAGTCGGTCTGCTTCATTTTTACAGCACTTAGTCTCCCAAGCCTCAACCTCACACTTTTTTCCTCCACTGGCACCTGTAGTGCCATAAGCAGAGGGCATTACATTGCTTTTTCCTTTCAACTGCTCTTGCCAATCTGCTATGCTCTGGCAGAACTTAGTGGTAGATGGAAAGGTTATTTTTGATGACAGGGCTTAGCAACATTCCCTAAACAGAAAACCTCTCTCCTATACACTTATAGCACTGCAAAATACTTTTAATATAATTTAGTCACTGATCTCAGAAAAAGGAGAAAGTTGGCTTTGCAAATTATTGTCTTTCATAGCCAAGTAAATGAACAAACCCAGAGGAAGCACAGTGTCCCTGGGGTCATGAATTTAGTCAAACACGGAGTAACTACTGAATGCAAAGCATGGCGGAGGACACAGAATGCAGCTTGGCATTGTCCTTGCCTTCAAAGAATTAATAGTTTAGTAATGGAAGTAGGAAAAACACAAAAAATATAAAACAATATGGAATATAAAAAGTGTTACAAGAGACGTACAGATAAAATACTGGAGTAATTTGAAGAAAAGAGAGATCTCACACCTGTGGAGAAGCAGAAATCACGCTGATGAGGATCCAATTTCTTCTGTGCACATCTTAGGCTACTTTCACTTCTCTTTCCTTATTATCCCATTTCCAAGGATATTTAGTTATCCTCTTAACACCCGAGAAATGCAAATCAAAACCACAATGAGATACCATCTCATACCAGTTAGAATGGCGATCATTAAAAAGTCAGGAAACAACAGGTGCTGGAGAGGATGTGGAGAAATAGGAACACTTTTACACTGTTGATGGGACTGTAAACTAGTTCAACCATTGTGGAAGTCGGTGTGGTGATTCCTCAGGGATCTAGAACTAGAAATACCATTTGACCCAGCAATCCCATTACTGGGTATATACCCAAAGGATTATAAATCTTGCTGCTATAAAGACACATGCACACGTATGTTTATTGTGGCACTATTCACAATAGCAAAGACTTGGAACCAAGCCAAATGTCCAACAATGATCGACTGGATTAAGAAAATGTGGCACATATACACCATGGAATACTATGCAGCCATAAAAAATGATGAGTTCATGTCCTTTGTAGGGACATGGATGAAGCTGGAAACCATCATTCTCAGCAAACTATCGCAAGGACAAAAAACCAAACACTGCATGTTCTCACTCGTAGGTGGGAATTGAACAATGAGAACACATGGACACAGGAAGGGGAACATCACACACTGGGGCCTGTTGTGGGGTGAGGGGAGCGGGGAGGGATAGCATTAGGAGATACACCTAATGTTAAATGATGAGTTAATGGGTGCAGCACACCAACATGGCACATGTATACATATGTAACTAACCTGCACATTGTGCACATGTACCCTAAAACTTAAAGTATAATTAAAAAAACAAAAACAAACAAAAAACATCCCAACCCCTCCTGTGTTGGACTGGATCAGAGAGTGCATGTGTTACTTTGAAGGGTATATTTATTTCCACCACAATCAAGAATTCCAATGGAAGTACTTCACCGAAAGCAAGGTTGTGAGAGTCTCTTCAGTTGCTGCCTCTCTGCATTTTTCTTTGCTTCTTCTAACCCGATCTACTTTACCTGAGGCCACTGCTACCTGCCTGCAAAGCTGGACTGCTCCTCCCGCCAAATATCAAAGCTTCTTCCCACAAAAGTCTCTGGTCCTGGTCTGTGTCCTCAGTCAACGAAGTCAATGCACTCCCTCTCCTCATAGGCAGTGGGGAGCTGTCATTTTAGCTGTAGTATTAACTGTCCCTCAGTAAAGGAAAGTAGGACATTACCTGTGCCTGGGATTCTTTCTCAGTCTTAGTATAACGCTGTCTCAGAAAGTAACTGGTTACTACCACTCAGGAGAGGCTAATACATGTGTTTACTTTTCACCATAGTCTAATGAGAATTCCAGTATGTACCACCCAGCTCCAGAGGCCCCCAGGTACAAAAGTGGTCAAGGTACTCCAAAATCTGAAGGCTGCTATCCTACATGCATGCAAGTGAGATGCCACTGTCATCACACACTTTCTTCTCTGTTCTCCATATACCTGGGCTAAAAAACTGACCACTAACACACAAGGAAGCTAAATCTTGGTCAACCACTCCACCAGGAATGGAAGAATCAGGAAAAACTGATCTTCCTCATGAACTGCCTGAAAGAATTCTCTTCAAAAGACACCAGGACACCTTCTCCACAGCACTTCACCAGAATATGCAGCAAGGCGATACTAACCTTGCGAGGTCTCACACTCCACCAGATATCTTAGTGATGCTATTTCTCATCATCTTGGTATTCTCAGCTACCAACAAAAATGTAAGCCTCAAGGGTCAATAGTCCTTTCATTTACTGTATTTTCATTCCTGTATAATTTTGCATTCTTCCCTCTGATTCTTCCCTTCCTCTCTGACTTGCCTCCAAATCCTTCCCATGGTGTGCTCTGAATCTCTCTGAAGACATGTAGAACCATGCAAAAGCACAGCTTTGCAGCCAGGCTGAACTGGATTTAATGATTCAAATGTGGACTTGCTGTGTAATCTTAAATGCATATGGCCTCACTGTGCCTTATGACCTAATCTGTAAAATCCAGATGATAGTAATTACTTTGCAGGGTCTGATAATATTATAATGTATAAGACAGCCAAGTATAGTACATGGTACATTCTAGGTGTTCAACAAATGACAAATATTGCTATTTTTGGGACTACTACATTTTACCCTTTTCACAGACTCCTCATTCTAAGTCCTGTTCTATCTCTTGTCCAACCCTTTCCTCAGGATGTACAACCCTTGAATATCTCAGGAGAAGGCTACTTGTGCCCCCAGAGCCCACACACCAAAATCTGAGTGGCAGCATTGTCCCAGCCCACCATGCCACTTCCAGGCCATTCCTTTCCATTCTCTTATCAAAATACCTCTGCTCTCACGGCTCATGCCACACTTGCCCACTCCTCAGTTCTGCCTCTCCTCATCATTGCACTTTCTTTAATAAGGACTTTGACAACTGTGTCAAACTTTTTTCTCTCCTAATTCCCTCCCAGTTGTGGTTAGTCTCAACTTGAGCATGGATGATCTTTATAACACTGTGGCTTCAGAATTCTTCAACTCCAAAACCCTCTGCCCACTCTCAGCAACTCAGTTCCATAACCACACCTGGAATGTTCTACCGCTGCATACTTATGATACTTTACCATACTTAAGTGGTTCAAATGTCTGGCTCTCCTTGGTGGCCTGTTAGGTTCCCACTGCTACAGAACATATCTTATGAGAGGTTTTAATCTTATCCCTAGGACAGTGTCTGGCACACGGTGGGTATTTAATAAATATTTATGGAATGAATAACATGGTATATTTATATAGTTTTCTAGAGATAATCTTGTTTGCTTATCACCTTAGGAAGACAGAAACATTATTGTAATTCCCCTGTGTAAACAGGGAAATGAGGCTCAGAAAAGTTAAATGACTTAGTTAAGGATACATAATTAGACCGATACAAATACTTTTATATCACCTAGAGGCTGGCAGGGGCTTTTCCTACCATCCTAGCTACAAGATCAGCTCTCTTCTTCCTCTACCTTCCTTACCCTTGTATACTTGTTTCTTATAAAATCTTATCAGAAAATTTGGAAAGTGATAGCTTACTCGTTTAATGCACATATGCATAATTCTGATAGGATTATGCATCTCTGTGCTTTAAAGGGTGTACTGAAATGAGACTCTTGGTATCTTTTTAAAGGAACTATGTAATGTTATATTTGATTGCTCCTAGTGTGCGTACTAAGATGATAAATATTCAGTCTATTACCTACATTAAGTCAATTTCAAAACTAAAAAATGCAGAAATCCAGTATTGTATTCTCTGATTAATTCAATCCTGCATTTAAGCTTCCTGAAAAAGCCTGCAGAATGACAGTTCAAAACTTCTCTGGGTTACAAATGAAAAATGATCATTGGTAGAAATTTGAAAACTCCCTTTTAATATATAAAGAAGAGTTCTGCAATCAGGAAAGCAAAAACCTGCTGAATCACTCTACTCCACATCCCATGCATGGCTGAATCCAACACCATCTTAACTGGCATTATTTATAATCCCAAATTGAGAAGTATCTAGTTCCAGGCAATGAATCAAAAATATTTCTTATCAGCTGGAATCTTTAAAAATGTTTTCCTAGTTTAAGGAAGCCATTTGAGATCCCTAAAATATTTTCCTAGTTTAAGAAAGGCATTTTTAAAAACAGATCCTTGCTAATGGTTTGTTTTCATGGTGAGTTTCCACCTCTGTATACGGCAATGACATTCAACATTCTTCAGAAGGCACTGCTATGCTACACAGTGAGGCATGTAAAGTTTTCAGGGCTGTAGGTACTTATACTCCAGTAGGGAAGAAATATATGCACAAAAATAACTTCCTTGCATGTACTGGTATTGATTAGCAGCAAGAGCCGAAGTTCAATTATGAATAATACAAATAAAACTTATAGAGTCAGTCAATTATAGCTAACAATTCTTGAGTGCTTGCTATCTGCCTGGTACCATGCTGAATACTTTAATACACTAACTTATTTAATTTCAAGAATCCTGTGAGGTAGCCATTCTAGTCATCATGTTACAGATGAGAAAGTTTAGCCTGAGAGAAGTTCAGTAACTGGCCTAAGGTCAAAGAGCAGTTTAAATGGTGGAAATGGCATTCAAATATAGGGTTTTTCACTCTAAAACACAGTGCTTGTTTCTTTACTTCTCGTTACCTCCTTCTACTGAAGCTTATCATCACCAATACAGGTACCGTGTAGTTTGTTTTTTTACCTGTCATAAAATGTGAATCTGCTAACTGGTGAGGGAATCACAGGGAGGCTTTCAGCTGGCTGTGCTGCAAGCAGTACAGACTCCAGTGGGTTGGCAATAACAAATTACAGCACAGCCAAGAGTCAAAGTAGTCCCTGACCTATGATCTTGTTGCTATTCTTGTTTTACTAGATTTTTCAAATAGCAATGTGGCACGTACCATTACTATGCCTAGCTAAACATTAAAAATCACTATTACCTTGTCAGATATGCTACCGTTGATGAAATTTTAAAAAACCAACAAAATAAATGATAAGAGTTTCTACTGAGTAAAAATATAACACAAAGCTATTCAGAAAAAGTGCAACAAAGCCATTGCAACTTAGAAGGTAGCAAGTATCCAGCTGAGTATTTTGTTGAAATGGAGGCCTAATCCTGGGCTAGGAAAAATTTAATAACCAAGTAGTCTTTGTGATATTTGCCAAATAACGAAGAATATTCAAATCCAGAACTAATTATTAGAGTCTATTAATGGTGCTGAAAATAACCTAATAGTTTAGAAAATATTCATGACGTACATGTTCACAAATACATGGCTTTAAAAACAGAGTGCAATCTCACTTTTAGATGTAAATCCAACAAAACATGTATATATATAGGCTTGTATACTGAAAACTACAAAATGCTCATGAAAGACATCAAATATCTAAAAATAGAGAGATATACTGTGTTCGTGGATTAGAATACCGGGTTGTCCCTCCATATCCACAGAAGATTGGTTCCAGGACTCCCTTCAGATACCAAAATCTGAGGATGTTCAAGTCAGTGATATAAAATAGCACAGTATTTGCATATAATCCATGCAGATCCTCCTGTAGCCTTTAAAAAATGTCTAGATTACTTACAATATCTAATACAACAGTGGTTCCCAACCTTTTAGGCACCAGGGACTGGTTTTGTGGAAGACAATTTTTCCACGGATGGGATGGTTGGTGGTTTGGGGATGAAACTGTTCATCTCAGGGCAACTGGAATTAGTCTTTCTCATAAGGAGCATGTAACCTAGATCTCTCGCATGTGCAGTTCTGTAGTTCACAATAGGGTTTGTGCTCCTATGAGAATCTAATGCTGCTGATCTCACAGGAAGTGGAGTAATGACAGTAATGCTGGCTTGCCTGCTGCTCACCTCCTGCTTTGTGGCCTGGTTCCTAACAGGCCACAGAGTGGTATGATCTGTGGCCCAGGGTGTAATGCAATATAAATGCTATGTAAATAGTTGTTATACTGTATTGGCTTTCATTTAAAATTTTTTTATTTTTAATTTTTGTGGGTACATAGTAGGTGTATATATTTATGGGGTATATGAGATATTTTGATACAGGAAAGCAATGTATAATAATCACATCATGGGAAATAAGGTATCCATTCCCTCACACATTTATCCTTTGTGTTACAAACAATCCAATTATACTCTTTCAGTTATTTTAAAATGTACAATTAAATTAATTTGACTGTAGTCACTCTGTTGTGCTATCAAATACCTGGTGTTATTCATTCTTTCTTTTTTTTTTTTGTACTCCTTAACTAACCCCATCTCCTCCCCACCCCCTACTACTCTTCCCAGACTCTGGTAACCATCCCTCTACTCTCCATCAACATGTGTTCAATTATTTTGATTTCTACATCCTACAAATAAGTCAGAACATGTGATGTTTGTCTTTTTGTGCGTGGCTTATTTCACTTAACATAATGACCTCCAGTTCCATCCATGTTGTTGTAAATGACAGGATCTCATTATCTTTTATGGCTGAATAGTATCCATTGTGTTTAAGTACCACATTTTCTTTATCCATTCATCTGTTGATGGACACTTAGGTTGCTTCCAAATCTTGGCTATTGTGAACAGTGCTGCAATGAACATGGGAGTGTAGATCTCTCTTTGCTATACTGATTTCATTTCTTTGGGGTATGTACCTAGTAGTGGGATTGCTGGATCATATGGTAGCTCTAGTTTTAGTTTTCTGAGGAACCTCCAAACTGTTGTCCACAGTGGTTGTACCAATTTTCATTCCCACCAACAGTGTATGAGAGTTCCCTTTTCTCCACATCCTTTCCAGCCTGTGTTTTGGATAAAAGTCATTTTAACTGGGGTAAGATAATATCTCATTACAGTTTTGATGTGCAGTTTTCTGATGATCAATGATTTTGAGCACCTTTTCATATGCCTGTTTGTCATCTGTATGTCTTCGTTTGAGAAATGTCTATTCAAATCTTATGCCTATTTTTTAAATTGGATTATTCATTTTTTTCTTATGTAGTTGTTTGAGCTCCTTATATACTGCAGTTATTAATCTCTTGTCAGATGGGTAGTTTGCAAATATTTTCTCCCGTTCTGTGGGTTTCTCTTCACTTTGTTGATTGTTTCCTTTGCTGGGCAGAAGCTTTTTAAGTTGATGTGATCCCATTTGTCCATTTTTGCTTTGGTTGCCTGTGCTGGTGGGGTATTGTTCAATAAATTTTTACCCAGACCAATGTCTTGAAAAGTTTCTCCAATGTTTTCCTGTTTCAGTTTCAAAGTCTGAAGTCTTATATATTTAAGTCTTTAATTCATTTTGGTTTAATTTTTGTATTAGGCAAGAGATAGGGGTCAAGTTTCATTCTTCTGCACATAAATGTCCAGTTTTCCTAGCACCATTTATTGGAGAGACTGTCTTTTCTCCAATGCATGTTCTCGGTATGACTGTCAAAATTAAGTTCACTGTAGTATATTGTTTTTAAATATGTATTATTTTTAATTGTTTTTTAAATAGTTTTTAAAAAATATTCTTGATATGTAGTTGGTTGAATTCACGGATACAGAACCCAAGGGTATGAAGGGCCAACTGTGTTTAACATAGCAAACACGTCGATTTATCCCTAATTGATATATAGTGTTAATGGAATTCTAACTAAAATCTCCGCAAGATTTTTGTAGATATAGGCAAGATGATCTAAAATTTATATGGAAAGGGAAAGGTAAATAGAATAACTAAAACAGTGTTGAAAAAGAAGAGAAAGTGGGAGGAATCAGTGTACCTATTTCAAGACTTTTTTAACTATAGTAATCAAGACTGTATGTACTGGTAAAGGGATAGTCACATAGATCAATGAAAAAGAACAGAGAATCTGTGAACAGACCATGCAAATATGCCTGCCTGGTTTTTCACAACAGTGCAAAAGCAACTCAGCCAACAAAAGACAGCTTTTGGCCAGGCGCAGTGGCTCACTCCTGTAATCCCAGCACTTTGGGAGGCCGAGGCGGGTGGATCACGAGGTCAGGAGATCAAGACCATCCTGGCTAATATGATAAAACCCCGTCTCTACTAAAAAAACACACACACAAAATTGCCAGGTGTGGTGGCAGGTGCCTGTAGTCCCAGCTACTTGGGAGGCTGAGGCAGGAGAATGGCATGAACCCGGGAGGCAGAGCTTGCCGTGAGCCGAGATTGTGCCACTGCACTCCAGCTCGGGTGACAGAGCGAGACTGTCTCAAAAAAAAAAAAAAAAAAAAAAAAAAAAAGGCAGCTTTTCCAACAAATGGTGCTGGAGAAATTGGACATCCATAGGAAAAAAATGAATCTGAACTCAAGTCTACCACCTTAAACAAAAATGAATTCAAAATGGATCATGAAGCTAAATGTAAAACATAAAATTCTCTTAGAAAATAAGAGAAAATCTTTGGGATCTCTGTCTAGACAAAGAGTTTTTATACTTAACACCAAAAGTATAATCCATAAAAAAATTGATAAGTTACACTGTATCAAAACAAAAGACTTTTGCCACATGAAAGATCCTGTTAAGGGAATGAAAATAATATCTTGATATTGGGAGAAAATATACCAAACTACATATGTGAGAAAGGACAACCATTTAAAAAATATAAGGAACTCTTAAAACTTAACAATAAAGAACAATCCAATCAATTCAATTAGAAAATGGGCAAAAGACATGAGCCAGCATTTCATTCAAATGGATATATAGATGACAAGTGACGAAAAGATGTCCCACATCATTAACTGCTAGGGAAATGCAAATGAAAATCAAAATGAAATATCACTACACATCTATCAGAATTACTAAAATTAAAAAAATAGTGATGACACCAAATGTTGGCAAGGATGCAGGGAAATTACATCACTCATACATTGCTGGTAGGAATGTAAGTTGGTACAGTAACTCTATAAAACTACCATATGAACCCAGCAACTGCACTCCTGGGCATTCATCCCAGGGAAATGAAAACTTGTGTTCACACAACAACCTGTACACAAATCTTTATGGTGGTTTTATTTGTAATAGCCAAAAAATGGAAAAAACTCAGATGTCCTAGATAACTCTTCAGAAAATTGTGCTATGTGATAAGTGAAAAAAATGTCAATCCTAAAAGGTTACATGTTGTATGATTCTATTTATATACTGTTTTTGAAGTGACAAAATTATATAAATTGAGAAGTAGTGATTGCCAGGGTTTCAGGAGAGAGTAGGGGATGGGAGGAAAATGGTTGTGGCTATAAAAGGTGAACATGAGGGATCCTTGTGGTGACAGAAATGTTTTCTAAGCTGTATCAATGTAAATATACTGGTTGTGACATTCCACTACAGTTCTGTAAGATGTTACCATTGGAGGAAACTGGTTGAAGTGTATGTGGAATCACTCTGCATTATTCCGTACAAATGCATGTGAATCACAATTATCTCAAAGTAAAAAGTTTACTTAAAAAATTAAAAGTATATATTTTTTGTAAAAAAGTATATATTTTTTGTAAGAAAAATAATGTAAGTATATATTTTTTGTAAGAAAAAATATGTATCAAAATCTTTATCCCTAGGTGGTAGTATATCAGTGACTTTCATTTTCTCCTTCTGGATTATCTGACTTTTTCTAAAATGAACATACATTGTTTTGGTAACTAAAAAGTTACAGAAGACATCAGCTATAAAAACACAGAACTAATATCTAATGACATAAGCTGCTCAACTCAGTATATCTGGTAATATGTTAGGCCAGAGGTCCCTGTTTTGATTTTGAGATTTCTAAGTGTCTGATGACCAGTGCATAGAGTATGTTTAAAATGAGCTAACCTTTTCTTTTAAAATTTTACACTTCAATTTTTTCCATTCTGTATTCTATTTCTGCAGTTATCTAGTAACCTCTACTCCTTCAACGTATTTATGAAACCCCACAAATTCTCAATTTATGGAACCTTTAGCATCAGGCTGGATCCATAGGTAGTGAGAGTTATGTGTATCCAGGAGAATGTCATATTTATAGATAGCTAAACTGAATAGAATTTGACCAGAAAGTCCCCGCTGTTAACTCCTGGAATGAGTTTGTCTTGTGAGAAGAATGGAACCATGATCCCAATACAGAGGTAATAGATACTTCTGATCCTTAGTCACTTAATTCTAAAGGATGCTGAATGCAGGGAGATAAGACATGAGGACAAGGTAGGACCTCAGAGTAAGTATGAATATTTTTTTCTCTAAAGGGAGAACCTAAAATAATAATAGCAATAATGTATGTTTGCTCAGTGCATACTAGATACCAGGCGTTATTCTAGGAGCTTAACATGCATTGACTCATTTAACCCTCATAACTAGTGGCCTTCCAACTGGGGTATGTGTACTGGGCATGCAAATACAAGATATACACATGCAAGGGTATTTTAAGGAAATTTGTCTTTAGACCTTAACTTCCATTTGTACTTTATTTTTCAGCTGCCTGAGAATCCAACTACATTCATATTGGCTTTTCCATGTTAAAAAAAAGCCAAACTTCTCACTCAAAACAAATCTTATTACAGTTCATTATCTTGTATACCATTGTCTTTGGGGTAAACAGACTCCTGGAATCCAAAATATGCTATGACGGGAAATCTACTGGTTTCAGGGACACATGCTTTCATCAGGACATCTTTAGCCAGCATGTCAACTATTTCCAATCACAATCAATTCTTATTTAATACTGTTATAGAATATTTACTCTTTTCTACCTCCTATTTAACAAAAATAAACTTTGAAAGCCATGATAAAAAGTTTTAGATCCAACTTAAAAATGTGTGAGGAAGTATGCATTTTTTCTAAATTCTTTACAGAGTACATTTTTAAGGACCACTGCTCATAATAGCCCTATGAAATAGATATTAATATCCGCAACCCCATTTTACATATGTGGCACAAATAAGGTCCAGAGAGATCAAGCAACTTGCCCTAGGACAGATAGCTGGTAAAGATCAGCGTTAAGATTCTAACCTGAGAAATCTGACCCTAGAACCTGAGTTCTTAACCACCATGTTATATACTGCCTTTACAGTTTCAATTAATATTTACTCAGGCCCAACGTGGAATCGGAACAATGTACCTGTGAATCACGAGAGGAGACGCTGAGCAAATAATCCTGTCTTAAGGAAAATATTGGAAATATGTCTAGAAAAAGGATTTTACTCTGACTAATGATACTGGTAGAAAATGGTTAGTTTTCCATTATTTTTATTCTTGTCAGAGATGGCAGAAACAGGAATTTGGGATACTCAAGTGGCTGCAGATAAAAAGATTATGTGGGAAATTGAGAAGCTAGTTATACTTTTGTAATGTAAGTCAGGCACGTAAGTTAGAACATGGCTACACTTTTGGTGACAGAATAACTTATGATGCTTATGGCTGGGAACAGGGTAGAAGGCTTGTGCTGCAAAGCATTTATCAGCATGCATCTTTAAAACTGGCTGCTCTTGTTACCTAATTTCTTACACTTCTTCTTCCCTTACAAAACATGAGTCTTTCCAATCAAATTCCACAAAGTTCATTTATTAAAACATTTTGTTTTGGAAGAAGAAGGTGAACATACATACACATACATACATGCACACCCCTTAAAGGCAGGGTTTCTTTTTTCTTTTTTTTTTTTTTTTTTGAGACGGAGTCTCGCTCTGTCGCCTAGTCTGGAGTGCAGTGGCGCAATCTCGGCTCACTGCAAGTTCCGCCTTCCAGGTTCACGCCATTCTCCTGCCTCAGCCTCCCGAGTAGCTGGGACTACAGGTGCCCGCCACCATGCCCAGCTAAGTTTTTGTATTTTTAGTAGAGACGGGGTTTCACCGTGTTAGCCAGGATGGTCTCGATCTCCTGATCTCGTGATCCGCCCACCTCGGCCTCCCAAAGTTCTGGGATTACAGGCGTGAGCCACTGTGCCCGGGCCTAAGGTAGGGTTTCAGGAATGACATTTTCCAAATGACCTTGGGTTAAAATTACTTGTAATCCCAAGCTACTTTGAAATGTTTAACCTCTGCACTCATTTCAAGTTTTCTTAAAATATACTTTAGACTACATGGGATGGAATGAAGCAGGCAAGCTCTAGGGAGGATAGGAGATACCATATTCCTGAGGCCAGTCAGCCTGTCAGCACTGGCATACCTGCAGAGAGCTCCTAGGACAGTGGTGATCAGACAAGTTGTGCAGTTCTGATGGAGAGGTTTTCCTGAGCATTTGGGTGTCCTAATTAAATACAGCCTTATTTCATGATAGGAGTGACTCAGGGTCAAAGGCAATGGGAAATGCTACAGAGAACACGACTGCAACACCAGGAAGGCTTTGGAAAGGCAGAGGCTAGTGTTGCAGAGAAAGAGCCCAGGCAGGGGATTGCAGAACAGTTTCATAACCTACCACTGGGAGGGCCTGGGCAAGTCATGCATCTCTGTCGCCTGGTTTTGCTCTCAAAGACTATGACTCAGAAAATCAGAGGTGGAATTGCTTTCTCTAAATTTCTTAGAAAATGTTATAAGGTAGAGGAATAATCTCTTCCCTGAAAAATCACGACCAGCATGATTGAATCCCATGCTTGCATTCCCAGCTGCACTTTTCCAAAAGGTGTTTTCAATTATTTTCAGTGAGCTAATGTTCCCTTGACTATCTTAAAGACTCAGAAGATCGGGACAGTTAAATTTGAATCTTGAAGAAAACAATAGCAAACAGCTGCACAATGGACCCATGTGGACAAAGGTGCCTGGGGCCTTACTAGAAGGGGCATTCATAGAGTGCTTCATAGTTTAGGGAGGGACTGCCCTTGGAACAAGCCCTCCATGGAAGGAGCTCAGAAGGATCAGCTGCAGACAGTGAAGCAATGAGCTTTGAGATAAACATCAGTGAAGTTTTCTGTGGCTCCACGCACTCCTATCAGGAGAAAAGCTAGCTGGCTTTGCAGTTGCGGGGGAGTAGGGAAGATGAGTGTACTATTTCCTCCCTCCAATTTTGTTCAGTACTAGAGGAGGTCTTAGAGATCATCTGAGTCAATTCCTACAGTTCACAGCCTAGGAAACGGAAGACAAGACTTGCTCCAGGTCACTGAACTAGTAGGTGGCAAAAATGGAGACTAGAATCCAGTTGTTCCTAATATGACATTCTACTTAAAAAGCCTGACTAAATCTTCCTCAATTAGCCACGGGTGTCTTCTTTTCCAGATTATTAACGAGCAATGAATTCTTACTTCATACAAATGCCTATGAAATTTGTATTTATATTATACTACCTTTTCACTCAATGTAAGACATCAGTAAAGTGATTCAGTTATCAAATATCATATAAAGAACCATAATGGGAAATGCTTAGTTCTAGTCTGTTAAATTGTTCAGTTTTAGAAATGTTTCTGCTTCCTATCCTTTTTGCTTGACATGAGGCTTTGACTTATAGGTGGATGCAGAAAAATCTTCATATCTTCATCTCCATCTACTCTTTAGGGCTTTAAATTCAGTTAATCCATTACTTGCATAAAGTTAGTAAAAACAAAGAATATTTAATTTTGAAGAGTATTAGCTAGCATTGTTGAGTAGGAAAGAACAGGAAAACCAAGTAAATCTCTCTGGATGGTTTTGCTTGTGGATATGCGTGTAGTAATAGAAAATGCAACTGAACTCTAAATAATAAAATACTTCCTGTAGGGCAAATACAGCCAGAAAAATTGGAAAGCAGATCAATAAGATTACTACATATCTTTAAGCCACTGAAAACAAGAGCTAGACGTTGGAATGTATTAGCAAAGTAGCTATGTCTAGACACTTCATGTTAACTATATTATATAACTTTTACTCTTGGATACTTTACTGGTAGGGAAATGGATAAAATGATCCTCACTGATGCCTTCTAATACTGGTGCCTTACAGAGCAGAGGTGGGTAATGTCCTTATTTCATCAAAGGATACTTTCTCTCTGGAGAGTGTAAACCATGATTGATTCAAGTACATGCAAACAGTGACTTACTTAGTGCTTCTGAAAAATTTCTGAGTCAGAAGGACAAAAAATAAACATAACAAAAAACAAACATTTACATCACAAAAAGGAAAAAAAAGCTCACTAAATAAATACTACCCAGAGAAAGAAACTGGTTTCATATTGTAGTGAATTAAAAGATACAAAAAAGTGGGGCAGATAGAGAAGAGAGACAAAAATATGAAGAAAAAGAAATTACAAGGCACAAGGACAAGAAAATATGTCAGGATTAGCAAGAAAAATGGGAGACTCAAGGGAGTGATGAGGAGAAAAAGAAGAGAGAGAAAACTGCAGAGAAGGAGAGAAAGTGCAAGAACTTGATGTCTCTGTAAGACTGAGGAAACTGGTGTGCTTTGACACTTTTGAAAATGTAATCGTTTTCTCAGCAATTTATTATGAATTATTAATGTGCAGAATATTCATTTCCTACAAATATAAAGATTTTGAAATGATTCAGGTTTTAAAAGTTAATTTCAATCAGAAAATGAATAATTTAGTTATCCATATATTAGCTATATCTTCATATATTTCCTCTGACAATAATAACTTACTCATTTGCATTATTTGTAGTTTTGGGGGATCTAGGTATCTGTATTCCATAATGTCTGAGCGTTACACTGAAAACCTATATTAACTTCTGAAATGAAACTATTTTTTTCTGTATCAATTTAAGCTTTTGGTTTAGGTAAGGGATGTCCAAGGGACACATATAATGATAACTTCTCTGTTTCACTGCCTTTTCCATCCCAGCAAGCTCCCAAATTTCACTTTAAAAACCTACAAAAGTAGTTTAAAAAAATTATAGTTAGAGCCAGGTGCAGTGGCTCATGCCTGTAATCCCAGCACTTTGGGAGGCCGAGGCAGGCAGATCACTTCAGGTCAGGAGTTCCTGACCAGCCTGGCCAACATGGTAAAACCCCATCTCTACTACAAATATAAAAATTAGCCAGGCATGGTGGTGGGCACCTGTAATCCCAGCTACTTGAGAGGCTGAGGCAGGAGAATTGCTTGAACCCTGGAGGTGGAGGTTGCAGTGAGTCGAGATCTTGCCACTGCACTCCAGCCTGGGTGACAGAGTGAGACTCAAAAAAAAAAAAAAAAAAAAAAGTTGAAACAATAGGAGAAAATCTTTGTGAGTTTGTGTTAGGAAAAGATTCCTTAGGTACAATACCAGAAGCACAGTCCACAAGAGAACACTGATCAATTGGTCTTCTTCAAAAACTTTTCCTTTGTGAAAGACATTATTAATATAATGAAATGGCAAACCAAAGACTGGGGAAAAAAACTCGCAAGTTATATATCTGAAAAAGAATTGTATTCAGAATATATAAATAAATCTCAAAACTCAATAATAAGAAAACAATTAAACAAAAAAAGCAAAAGGTTTGAAAAGATGCCTCACTAAAGACTATACTTGGATGAAAAATAGGTCTATGAAAAGATGCTCAACACCATTAGTCATTGTGGAAATACAAATTAAAACCACAAGGAGATACCACTATTAGAATGACCAGAAAAACAAAAGAAAACAAAACCCAGTCAACCAAAACCAAAACCAAACTAACCCACTGACAATACCAATTGCTGGTGAGGTTGCTGAGCAACTGGAATTTCTCATACACTGTTGGTGGGAACACAAAATAGTACAATCACTTTGGAAAACAGTTTGGCAGTTCTTTATAAGATGCTAAACATTCATTTACAACAAAGCCCAGTAATTCCACTCCTAGAGAAACACTCACAAGAAAGCTACATTCACTTAAAACCTGTACGTGAACATTAATAGTGGCTTTATTCATAATTGCCCCAAACAGAAAATAAACCAAATGTCCTTCAACTCGTAATTGGATTAGCAAACTATGGTACAGCTGTATGACAGCACATTAAACAGCAGCAAAAAGGAACAAACTGTTGGTACACATGACAATTTGGATAGTATCTCAAGTACATTCTGCTAAGTAAAAGAAACCAGATTCAAAATACTGTGATTCCATTTATATGACATTCAGGAAAAGGTAAAATTAGAGGAACAGAAAAAAAATCAGTAGTTACTAGGGGTTGAGAATAGAGAGAGGGACTGATTAAAAAGGGAGCCTGAAGGATTTCTGGGGGTGATGGAAGTGCTTTGCATTTTGATTATGGTGGTGATCACACTGCTGTATGCATTTGTCTGAATCACAGACCTGTCCTAGACACAAAAGTGAATTTTACCATATGTAAATTTTAAAAAGTGAAAAAATGGGTTAGCCATTGCTCCCAACTCTCCAATGATTTTTATCAAAAATTTAAAGAGGCTCTACACTAAATTGCTGCAATGATTCATAGGAAGGCACATATTTTGGACGTTAGCCTGGTGGGTAATAAATACCAGTTTAATTTTTCTTAAAAAGGTATTTGATTTGGGTAAACAGGCTTAGGGCTAAAACAAATTGTAAAAAAAGTATTTGAGTATCAACTAGGAGTTAGGTACTGTTATAAGTGAGAAAGCACAGATAAGAGTAGAACCTGGATTTTTTTTCCCCCTTTATGGTATTAGAACTAGAGGGGGTCAGCTGATTCCAAGACATTTCTCAGTAGTAATACTTGGAATGATATAATCAATGATATTGATGTCCAAACAAGTACAACTAACTTCGTGGCTTTTCTGTCCCTTTCTTCTGTGGTACTGAATGACTTCTAGTTGTTTTCTAATCAGCTCAATAGGTTAACTATTTGAGACTGAATAAAATAAAGCAGCCCATGGCAGGTCAAAGACTCTCTACCACTGCCAGAAAGGAAACGCAACTGTTCTATGCTCTTTATGCAGGTTCGCTGCAGAAAGATACATGTTTATTTCATTAAAAGCTATTTTATTACCTGGAGGAAACCAAACATCAAGTTTAGCTCTCTAACACGAATCATATTTTATTCAAATGCAGATGTACTTTTCAACTACAGCAGCCATTTGATTAACTTGTCCAATGACTAAACTCATGACCCTCTATATTAAAAGTGGTGACCTTTATGCTGAAGAATCTAACCCAGAGCTAAGTTATCCATTAAAATGCAACTTGGGAGTATATTACTCTTCATGAAAATGTAACCACCTCTTTTCCTGCTAGTCGAGGTCTCCAGAGAAACACAGAGTGAATAAAAGACATATGTAACTTCTTTTATTTGGCCACTTAGGAGGGGGTCATCATCCACGTGCATAGCTCTGATTCCCAGATGACAGACAAAAATGACAGAACACTGCAGTGGCTGAAGAGTACTTCAGAAACATTTCAGTTGGAGGAAAGGCACTTCATTCCCTCATGAGAGACGGAAAGCCTGTAAGCTTGAGGATGTTATTTGCCTGCATCTTAGAGCTATGCTGAGATGAAGGATGAAAGAGGAACACAGAGGGGTCTTGGTTGATAAGAGAGGAAGAAATGGGGATATTTTTGCTTCTGAGATAAAAAAGCAAAGGAACTTTGGATTGATGTATGGTTTTGAGAAATTACAAGCACTTGGAGAAAGCATAGTCCCAAATGGGCAACATTTGTATAAAAAGACCCTGCTATTATAGTAAAAGTCAGTCATTTTTCCCTACATGAGGAAGCAGAAAGAAATGAATTCCTTAAGGAGAAGGGAAGATATAAAACATCAGTCCTCTTAGTGTGAAACATTTTAACTAGTTTATAATCACACTATCTACAATAATAAGCTGTTCTAAAATATTAATGTTCTCTTCTGGCAAACTTCAGGTTGGTTGTACGGTATAATCACCTTAGATACTTTTAAAACAATTCCATATCCAGGGATTCTAATTCAACTGATCAGGACTGTTTCTCTTGTGATTCTATTGAGCAGCCTGGGCTGGAAACCACCACTTTAGGGGATACGGCTTAGTTTAGGAGATTCAGCAGAGATCTGTACCATACATACATATTTAAAAGTGCGCCACAATTCAACAAATGACAGAAAAATCTGAAGCTAAAGACATGGACAGAGAATGAGTTTCTGCATTATAAGATAATTTTTGGATTCATTACATTACCTTTACATAGTGGCTACTTCATTTATAATTCCCTAACTTGATGCAAGGCTGGGACTGATTGGGGATAGGTATTTTAGCAACCAAATTCCACCTACGCAAGTGAAAAAGAAGCTACAGCTCTGAGATGATAATATGAACCAAGTGAAAACTATGATTTGATTTATAAATATTCAGTTTTCGGAACACAAATAAGTGGAAAAAGTGAGGTTGATCTGTAATATCCATATCCTCATGTTTATACGTAAGTGACAATTTCTCTAACTTATGGCTTTACGGTCAAATCCCTTGCATAGACATAGTAAAACCACATCAGTTCCTCTTTATAAAGCTCTGTTTAAGAGACACGGCTATCATAAGGTTCTTACTTCCCATAACACTGTATTGTTTTCCCGTTTTTAGTGGCTGTTCCTTTTAAACAAATCTTTGGAGCACTGAAAGGCTTTATTCATTTTCTTTGAGTTTTTCTATATATCTGAAATCTGAAAGTAAGCCCAAAATGTGAATTTGCAAGCAGCCTTGATCAAAATTCATATTTAGGTCCAAATTAACTAGTTTGATGGACCTAAGCTTATAAATATTTGCATATTTTTATGTGGGTAGCATGAAAAACCCCTCTACTCAATGGGCTAGTGAAAAATAGCAGGTAGGAGACTAAAAGGGACTTTTAAAATGAGCCACTCCAAAGGCTGCTATTAAAGTTATTTAAACATGTACATGAAATAACAATACGGAGCTTTTGCTTAACTGGGGCACAAATGCATAATCTAGAAGTCTAGACATGCAGCAAATGACATGGGTCTCATGGCCCGAGGCTTTATTTTAAAAATTGAGCTCCTTTCTGCTGGCATGGGGGTAGCAGAAATTTTAATACAAGCATTATTATTATTTTATGAAAGGAAGAAATAACACAAATTAACTATAACGGAGAAATATTCTTTGTAATTCAGCTGTCAACTTCAGCATACATAAATTTTATTTTGATAATTATGCTCACAACCTTAGTACTTCTGACCAAAATCTACTATAGAACTTCCAATGGCAAGAATCACGCCAGGCACCGTGGCTCATGCCTTAATACTAGCACTTTGGGAGGCCAAGGTGGGAGGACTGCTTGAGCCCAGAAGTTTGAAACCAGCCTGGGCAACATAGGGAGACCCCCTTCTCTAAACAAACAAACAAACAAAGAAATGGTGATGTTAAAAATTTTTTTTATGAAGTTGAAAACACAATTTAGTTAAGACTGATTATTCTAACACTTTAAAAAATATGACACTAAATGTAGGCCTCATATTTCAAACAAGATAAAGAAGCATGCACTAAGCAACTAATATTTGTTTCTTGGCAAAAATCATTTGCTTTTCATGGCATCAGAGACAAGACGGGAAAATGTCACAATGATTATGGTCTGAAACAATGGTTCTGAAATCTCGCTGTGCATTAGAATCAGACGGAGAGCTTGCTAAAATACAGATCACTGGGCTCCACCCCTAGGGTTTCTGATTCAGTAGGCCTGGGGTTGGGTCTAGGAAGTTTCATGTCTTGCAAGTTCCCAGGTAATGCTGATGCTGCTGTTCCACACAACATACGTTAAGGGCTACTTATCTAAAATAATCCTTTGGCAATTAACTAGTCGGTCAAGATAAAAACAAATAATTACAGGCGCAAGCAAGCCCAAGATAAAGTAAAACTATTTAGTTAATTCTTATGTTGAATATTCTGGAGAGTCTTATGTTGAATATCCTGAAGCATTAAGTAAAAAAACTCTCACTTTGACCCTGTCAGGTACTGACTGCCAATATGTCTGACCCTAAACAATAAAATCCATACATGATTTTATTTAGACCTGGAAATTGCTGGAAAATAATTGTAATTTCATAAATATAGCCAGTAGAATATACACATCCCAAAGTACTAGACTAAACTTGAATTTTTCTAAACATTAAATAAAACCACAAGGGCAAGAGTTCTCAATTTGTTCTTTTTTCAAAACCACAGGCAAGCTAATTCTACAGATTGTGGAATGTACAATAGGCCATTCTCACAAAATAAACCCAAGGGGTGAATTATATCTCTTCAAACTAGGTGGTGTCTTAAGTCAACGAAGGTAAGTCTATGACTACCATGCTGAAAAACAGATTTTGTGACATGTATGGACCTCACAGAAACAGAAACATGTAACAATAAATTTAAGTAAGGGTATAAAAAATGGGTGTGTTTGTGTGGCATCTATAAAGGCTTCCTAAATAAAATTTGTTGGAGCTCGACTATAACCAAAAAATAGTTACCCTGTGGGACCCTGTTTCCCAGAGCTGCATTCTTCTGACCAGAAATATGAATGCCATGCTGCTGTTTAGGGTCTTCAAAGCTGGCTCATTCCTCACTCAGATATTATGGGCTGTCTTCTCCAAGAGATTCCTGGAAACGAATAATTTCTCACTGATAGAAGAAAATAGAAACCATTAACTAACTACCAGTCTTAAAGCTGTAAGTTATGATAACAGTGAGTTTTCTTATCTGTGATGACAAAAAATTTTGACCTCTCTCCCCAGCAGTACAGAGGAGTTCCTTTTAAGTTTTTGCTATACTGTATTTGTAAATTCTTGCCTATGAATTATATGAGTAATAAGTAGTATTTACTTTTTACATGTGCAGCTTAGGTCAGTATGTTAAACAGATTCTATTCTATGAATTCTATGCAGCACACTTCATGATATATGACTCTTTAGCAATAATGTTCTTGGTTTGTTATAAACAACATAATGGGAAAATAAAGAGTTGTTTGTATTTTGCAATTTCATTTTAAAGACTGAACTGAACTAAAAATGTCTAGGAACATGCCAGTATTTTCAGAGGCTCATGTAGCACTTTTTGGAAGATGGGGAGAGAATATCATAAGATACTGGAACAGTTTTTCCTCAGATAGCCTAAAGTCTAAATATGCCATACCTCCTACTCTAAAACAGCAATTGAAGGCAATGTTATCTTGGGAAGACATCTGACAGTGTCTGGAGACATTTTTAATTGTCACAACTCGGAGGGTGCTACTGGCATGGTAGAGGCCAAGGATGCTGCTAAACATCCTACAATGCACAGGACAGCCCTCTGCAACTAAGACCCAGAACAGAAGGAGAAACCTGGCTCTAAAACAACTAAGAAAAGACATTGATAATAAAAATAATAAAAAGATGTGATGTATCATTGTAACATTTACTATTTACCTGTATTGATGGATATATTTTAAAAAATCCCTTCTTAGAGAACTTTTCATGACTGTTACTCTCATAAAATCACACTATACTGGCATGCAGACTTCAAGGAGGCAACAATTAGGGTGCAGAGGCCAAACTACACAATGTTATTCCCAACCAAAGAATCTTCATGAGTCGTTAATCCCTGAGCTATCCACAGAGATATCTTTCTACATAAGTATACATGGAAGATAAGGGTTGTCAAGTATAATCAGATTCCTCTAAGAGACTAGCATTGACAGACAAGATTAAAATTTGCTTAAGAGTATGACAGTGGGCTTTCAAAGAATCCTGCTGGGTTTCCAAAAGCATAAACTGACCATCAGTGTATCTGCTGGATAATAATAAACCATGGTATATAATTTGTTTTACATGAAAGGTGATTTGTTCTCCATTTTTATTGCTGACAAAAAAAGAGATAAAAGATGATTTATCTCTTGAACATGTGAAGATTAGAAGGACTCTTGGGTGGCTTCGGTGAAGTTCCATCTTGAGAGAGGATTATGAACCATGGAGGTGGTCTGAAGTTCTGCAATTCTTTTCAAAAATTAAGGCTCATCAAATAAGGGGGCTAGAAATATCAGCAAGACTAATGGATATAACATTGGCTGTTGAGAGTGTCTAAAATAACACCTTCATTACACAAGATGCTCAACAGATAGTTCTTGAATAAATAATGACATAAATACATGACTCCTTTTTATCTTCTGCAAACACAGACCTAAAACCAATTAATACTCTCAACTCATCCTTTAGGACAGAACCATGGGCTGGTTTCAAAGGGATTGCTTTGGTAACCATGGCAGGAAAAGTGTACACATCCATCCTAAAATAGGACTATGCAAGAAAAGGCAGTCCTTGCCTTATTTGGTTAATAACTGACTGGTGAAACATTCCATATCTATTCTCACAAGCCTTCCAGTTCCAATGCAAATAAAGAATTAGCTGATATGACCAAGAAATGGCATCGATTCTAATCATGTGACAAACCCACATTAAGTCTTTCTGCCATCCCCACTGCCTCTTGCTATCGGGAGAACAGAACAAGGCATCACTCCTTCATACCTAACCAGTTTCAGCCTTTCTGAGACTGGCAGGAGAAAATCTAAGCTGGATTTCTCAAAATGTGGTCCACAGATCACCTATATCTGCATTGCCCCAGGTACTAAATTCAGATCCTGGGCCCCATCTCTTACTATAAAATTGAAATTGTCTAGGGTACTCCCCAAAATCTACATTTTAACATGTTCCCTGGGTGATTGTTATGCTCACTAAAGTCTGAGAAACCCTCTGTAAAGGGATAGTTTGTTCAGGGAGAGTCAGAACCCTAGAGTTATTAAATTTTTTTTTCCCCCTCTTAGCTAGGTTATGAGAGCTTTAAGAAAAATGATGGCCGGGTGCAGTGGTTCATGCTTGTAATCCCAATACTTTGGGAGGCCAAGGCAGGTGGATGGTTGAGCTCAGGAGTTTGAGACCAGCCTGGGCAATATGGCGAGATCCCCGTCTCTATTAAAAAAATAGAAATTTTTAATTTTTTATTAATTAAAGAAAAGAAAAATAGCTTATTTCAGCAGAGGGATGGAGTAAAAGTTAAAAGAGGGTGCAGAAGACCCAGTGTTGACACCGTTAATTTTGTGAAGCATTTAATTTCTCATATGGTGAATTCTGAGTTGCTTGATCTAGCCACTCCAAGCCACTCTGTTTCTCAATATGCCATGAAAACCTTTGTTAGAGATGACATTACCCATATATGCATTATTTAAACTTTAATAAAAAGAAAAAATCCCAACATCTATGTTTATTTTATGTTAGTTATTTTTTAAATAATAGAGATATCAAATCTTGATTTTTTTTTTTAGGTTATCATGAGAGTAATGAGGCATAGAAATTGTAAAACGGTAGTAACTCCTCAAATCTGGGATTTGCTGTGGGATTAATTTTTGTTCTAAAGTGTGAATACAGGTACCTAATGTTTGGGGCATTCATATAATCTCACATAAAATAATGGAACCTCACAATGAATTGAAAATCAGAAGGATTTGAAAGAGGATTCTGATTCCACACCCTTACAAAGATTTTTAATAATCAAAAGTGACACTGACTGTATCTATTCAAAAATAAAAAATCTACTTTTTTGCTGACATGATAAAATAACTCTTTTGATTTTTCATGAACTATGAAGTAAACTCTACCACAAAATAATAACATAAACATCACTTCAGTGCAACCAAGGACATAAAGAAGTTCAAATGCAATATTCGTACTATCAGTCAACAAATATTTACTAAGCAACTATATGGAAATTAAAGATGGTTACAAATTCTTTGCCATCCATCCTGTCAAGAAGTGAAGGCTATTTCCTCTACCTTGAATCTAGGCTGGCTTTTTGAATACTTCGACCAACAGAAAGCATCGATAGTAACTCTTTACCACTTTGGGGTGTAAACAAGCCTCAAAATGGCCTGGCGACTCTCACCTTTGCATTCTCGTAAGCCAGTCACCATGCTGTAAAGACTGTAAAAGACTGCTAACGCTGAGAGGACTGGGGAGAGAGGCCTGGATTATGAGGGGTCATTTTGTACATTTCAGCCTCAGCTGAATGCTATTGCAGAGGTCTTGCCCACCTCATTTGGAAAAGAGAGCCATCTAGTTGAACCTAGTCCAAGCTTGTCCAACGTGGGCCACATGTGGCCCAGGACAGCTTTGAATGTGGCCCAACACAAATTAGTGAACTTTCTTAAAATATTATGAGATTTTTTGCAATCTTTTTTTCCGTTTTTTTTGATATGGAGTCCCACTCTGTCGCTCAGGCTGGAGTGCAGTGGTGTGATCTTGGCTCACTGCAGCCTCCACCTCCCAGGTTCAAGGGATTTTCCGGCCTTAGCCTCCCGAGTAGCTTGGATTACAGGCACCCGCCATGATGCTCGGCTAATTTTTGTATTTTTAGTAGAGATGGGGTTTCGCCGTGTTGGCTAGGCTGGTCTTGAACTCCTGACTTCAAGTGATCTGCCTGCCTCGGCCTCCCAAAGTGCTGGGATTACAGGCCAGCGAGCCACCATGCCAGGCCAATTTTTTTTTTCTTTACCTCATCAGCTATCGCTAGTGTTGGTGTATTTTACGTGTGGCCCAAGACAATTCTTGCAATGTGGCCCAGGGAAGCCAAAGATTGGACACCCTTGACCTAGTCAATAAAAAATAAATTATTGCTGTTTTAAACGACTACATTTTGGAGTGGTTTGCTATGTAGCAATAGAGAATTAAGACAACCATTATGTTTTATATTACATATGTGTTATGTCATCGTTCTACATGTAAGAACTGTAACAGAAAAAAAAATTAGGCAAAGTTCTACGTTTTCTCTGGATTTATCAATTATTGGCTAAAATGCAAGGGTGCATTTCTAGAGGGTGTTTTATTTCAATAACTACTGTTACTTTCCCTCCTATATACTTCAACACTTTGAAAAGTTAATTTACTTTTCTTTAGTTGTTCTGAGGAATGGGAGCAAATATATTAGCACCAATATGATGTTTGTATACTAAAATACTGACATGAAATTTTTATCAAACCAGCATATATTATCTTTTTTTTTTTTAAAGCAAGCCCAATTCTAACTTATAAATAGGATAACTCAATATTGTTAGTACAATTAATAATGTTTTAGCTGGCTGTTAAACGACTGACATTCCATTTTAGAGTCTGAGTAAGTGAAACTGGGTGTCCTAAATTTCTATTTTAATAATTCCTTATTATTCTTATTTTTTTTGAGACAGGGTCTTATTCTGTCACCCAGGTTGGAGTGTAGTGATGCGAACACAGCTTACTATAGCCTCTACCTCCTGGGCTCAAGTGATCCTCCTGTCTCAGCCTCCCAGTAGCGGGACCACAGACATGCACAGCCATGCTTGGCTAATTTTTTTATTTCTTGTAGAGACAGGGTCTTGCCATGTTGCCCAGGCTGGTCTTGAACTACTAGGCTCAATTCATTGTCCCACCTCACTGTGATTATAGGTGTGAGCCACTGGGCAAAGCCAATTCCTTATTATTTTTACTGAATTTATCTCATTCTGTACTGTTTTACTATGTTAATTCTTGTGGGGATGAAGGCTATCTTGCAATTCCTCTACCTGGAATGTTACTCTTCTCCCCTCTCCATTTCCTTAAATCCTCCTTATCTTAAATACACACTGCCTTGCATTAACTTTTTGTGCTATAAAATCCAGCCATGGCTTAATAGCTAACCACCTTTTTTGTTTAACTACTCTTATTTTTAAACTGGTTGCTGTCCTGAAACACTCTCAGTGAAGTACAAACATACTTGCTTCTCAGATTGTAAGAGAAAGAAATGACTTTGGCTGTTGCCTGAGTCTACTTCTTAAGAACACCATGCATCACTGATTGGGAGCTCACAGGATAACGGCAGATAGAGAGTTTCTGCATGATGGTGTGTTCCCATTTGCTTGGAACCTACGAGCAACATGTGAAAGTATGCAGTTCCTAAGTTCTTTGCATGTCAAGTACAAGCTATCCAAGCATCCACTCTTCTTTCAAAGGACGCTAAATGCAAAACACAGCTGTCTGTGACCTTGGGAGACCTAACCGGAATCTGCAAACAAGCTTATGTAAGCGTACCCTGGCCAGCCTTGTTCCGAAAGCCCTCTCTAATTAAATGAGAGTTTTGATTTCTTATGTGGAACAGTAAAGGGTCTTCTGGGAAGAGACATCTCTTGCAGGAACTGTAATTTGAAAAGTAATTTTTGTCTCTATTGCATCCTTAACTACACAGGACATAATAGTGGGCAAGAAATGATAGCAGAGCTGTAAATACTGAGTAAGTCTGACTAATTCCCAGGCTGCACAAAAGATCTTATTAAACAACTTTATTAATGACCTGGAAATCTGAGAAGACGTTACATTAATAAGTTCCTCACATGGCACTAAAGGTGGAGATGGTAGAAGAAACAGAGGTGAAGTCAAACAATATTCATGGATCCCTGGAGATCAGAAAAATGAACAGTAAAGTACACAGTGAGTTCAGTCTGGCAAAATACAATTAAGTACAAGTATCCAGGAAAAAATAACTCAGAAGACTGACATTCAGTGGGGATGAAACCTCGAAAGCATGTCAAAAGCAACCAGATAGATACTGTAACCCACAGATTAGATAGGATTTTGCAATATAACAGAAATAGCAAAGCATAAAGTAGATGTGAAGCTGTCCATCAGAGGGGCTCAGCACATGCTGACAATGATAAAAGAAAAAGAAGGGTGTTGGGCGGGTGGTGAGTAAAAACAGCTCAGTTATTAAGTCCAAAAGTGTAAGCACCTGGACTTTGGCTTTAAACATTCTTTCAGAAAGATGAAAAGCATCTGAGAGGCCTTTAGAGAGGGAAAAATATATTTACAGAGATAAGCATATGATGAGAGATTAAAGGAATGAAACAGACAAGCCTCCACTGAGCAGTGACAAAAAGAGGTACTTAACTCTGATCAAAATTATTGTTTACATTTTTAAGGGTTTTCCGGGCAAGATAACTAACAAATATATTTCTTAATTATACATATGGCAGATGAAACAGTGAGTTTCCAGGAAGCATCAGCCCTGCCCAAAGCCATGTAGTTGAAAGAAGACTCAGAATCACAGAATTTTAGGCAGGAAATGATCTTAGAAATTACATAGTTTTGTGTCTTCAAAGTGAGGTCTGAGGGCCTATTGCCTGGAGAGCTTATCAGAAATGAAGATTTCTAGGCTCCAACTCAGCTCTCCTGAATCGAATCCTAATACCCCAGAAGGATTAGCTCAAGAAGCTTGTAGAGTTTAAGATAAGTTTATAGATAAGAAAAGTCAAGCTCAGAGATAAATTGCCCCAGGTCAGTCATCAATAGGTCCTGGTTTCAGGTCCAACGATGTTACTATCACTGTGGGATGAAATTCTCCCCAAATCTATAAATTGCCTTTATAATTAGTTATTACCATGTTGTGTAATTTTTCCGAGAATTTATATTATAGATGTTGCTTCATTTAATTCTTGTGTAATAAGGAAAAGAAGATAAAAGAAAACAGAGTCTGCCATCAGTGGGTATAGGAGACAGTTAAAAAAAAAAAAAGAAAAAGAAAAGAGAAGACAAAGATTGGGATATGAAGTAAAAAGCAAAAACCCGAAGCTTCGAATAAAGCTTTGAAGGTAAGAGAACTTATAAAAATGCAAGAGATGTTTAAAGAACAAATTATGGTCTTCCTAACCTCTAAGCTTCCTAAAATAAAAGTGGAATCTCTGCTCGTTATCATAAGCCCTTCTCTCCTGTAGGGTAAAGGACACGAGGATGAGAACCAGACTGTGGGTTGTCTCTGTATCCATTTCTGTGGCAGCAACTAGCATGCTCTAGATTGTTCTCTTGTGTCATTAGAAGTCCATTATTTGAAAGGTAATCATATTGCATTGATATATCTTCTTTTAGCAAAAGCTGACCAGGAAGTGTTTCAGGTTGATCATTTCTGGTTTTGACGATCTCTATCTAATGTAATCCTTGTAGGGAGAATCTGGGTTTGACCCCAGGATAAACCAAAACAAAGGGAACTAACATAGACCAATAAAATATATCCTAAAAAAATATAAGCAATTAAAATAGCTTTATACAAACAAAGGTTTATAAAAAATCATTATTATAAAAGAAAATCAGGCCGGGCATGTTGGCTCATGCCTGTAATCCCAGCACTTTGGGAGGATAAGGCTGGTGGATCACTTGAGGTCAGGAGTTCGAGACCAGCCTGGCCAACACGGCGAAACCCTGTCTCTATTAAAAAGACAAAAATTAGCCAGGAGTGGTGGTGCGCACCTGTAATCCAAGCTACTCTGGAAGCTGAGGTAAGAGAATCGCTTGAACCCAGTAGGCAGAGGTTGCAGTGAGCCAAGATCGTGCCATTGTACTCTAGCCTGGACAACAGAGTGAGACTTCGTCTCAAAAAAAAAAAAAAAAAAAAAAAAAAAAAAAAAAAATCAAATGTTGCACATGCATAGAAAATAAGATTAAAAGAAACATTGGGAACCAAACTTCAACAGAAAGATGTATTTCTCAAGCATAGTTTTTACTAGTTTTTAGATAAATAAGAAAGCTTATTTTATTATAATTTTGCCAAACATACTGGCTATAGAATAAATTTGCAAAATGATTTCTGGAACATGATAAGAGATCCACAGAGAAAAATGTAGCAGAAAGATGGGTATTCAAGTTACATTTTAGAGTAGAAAAGGCCTCTGGAAAACAGATTTCAAAGAACAAGTTAATACAAGGGAAGAAAGCCTCTGATTTTTAATAAAGCCACAACATTGACATCTTGTCTGTTCCCAGAGTGTAGGGATTCAGCAACGGAAACCTTTGCCTTGCATTTTGGAGCTGGCCTGGGAAAGCAGCGAAGAGCTCTCCACAGTCTGTGCCTGGAGGCCCAGGGGGGCTGTCAGATTTAGAGCTCTCGGACTCCACTGCAGGATAAACAGCTTGGGATTCTTCTTTAATGACAACAGCGTATCAGCTCTTTTTGAGGTTACAGCATACATAAACAAGATCTGCCTCATATTTTCCAGTTGTGGAGGAGGGAAGGGAAAAAAAAGGCCCCCACAAACCTTTTCCCGCAGTTAACAGTAGAAGACGACTTGCTTTTACTTGAATGCAAGACTGAAAAAAGGGAAGGAGAACCATGGCGTGCAAAATGGCCACACCGAAAGGAAACAGGAAAACCATTACTTCCTCTGTGAAAACTTCAGTGGGCAATCAAAGGGAAGAAAGGTAATGAATGTTGAATTCTGGTGTTTTAAAAGGAAAGGGACATAAGCTTAAAAAGAGTGAGTGGAAAGATTCTTAATAAAGCCCTCCTGGAGACAAGACCCACAGAGGAATCAAACAGGAGATCTTGCCCGGCACACACCCTACTCTGCATTTGAATGTAGAGTGAACACCGGCTGTCATGTTAGAAGACAGACCAGTGGGTTATTTCCTAGGCTTCCTCAAGGTTTATTACTGGCATGAAAAACTTCCTGGCCTTCTTTGAGGAGCTCTAACAAAATGTGCTAAATGAAGATATTTACTCATAGAATTCCCTCTCTTGCATCCTGGACCCAAGTTCCTTATTTCTTTTTGGATTCAAGAAAACCTCAAGATTTCTGTTTTCTTGACCTAAGCCTACAATTCCCTGCAATCTCCTCTACCCCAGTCTTTTCGAGGAAGCTGCAGACAACATTTACTCTATTTGTATTTAAATGTATACTTTCATGACAGGACAGCTTGCTTCATTTTGCTGTCCTGGGCCAGCAAACTTTTTTTGTGAAGGACTTGATAGTAAATATTTCAGCCTCTGTAGGCTATGCAATCTCTATCACAAGAACTCAACTTTTCTGTTGTAGGATGAAAATAGTCAGATAATATATAAATAAATGAGTATGGTGGAGTTCCAATAAAACTTTATTTATAAAAACAGGTGGCAAACCAGATTTGGCCCACAGGCTATAATTTGTGACTCCTGGTACTAGTTCTCCCCTGTTCTATAATATAACAGCATTCTTAAAAAGTGGTGGGCAGATGAAAGAAACATGATGGTTTCCATTTTATTATGAACATACACATAAACTAATTATGCTTTGCCTCTGATATTAATCAAGATATATATTAAGGAAGTGGATGTAAAAAAAAACTTTAAAAAGTGCTCTTCAAACATATGCTATCATCATTATTCTCCCTACCCTGTGACAAAAGCAGCCTCAGTGTTCACTCTTCTGGCGAGGTTTTCAGTGACAAGTTAGAGGAAGTGGGTAGGTAGTTTATGGGGGAAGGAGAGGATTATTTCTTGTATTGAAGTGACTCATGAGTCCCTAGAATTTGAGAACCTCTGTTCTTTAGCAAGCTGTCCCAATTAAATAACTATACATTATCAAGTGAGGTCAGGTGATAAGTCCTCATCACCTCTGTCCAGTAGATAATCTGTATTTCAGCTGTGTTCAAGCAATCCCATATTTCTGGAAGGCAATAAAGATTTCCTAATTGTTGCAAAGAAGACTGTACCAGCTGGGGATTGGAGGTGGGGTGCGATGGTCGGTTGACAGTTAAAATGCTGGAACTGGATGCCAGAGAAGGTGTCACAACTTTACAAAGTAATGCAAGATATTGCACCACTGCAAATGCCTCAGTTGATGAAATCAGTCATAAGAGAAAATCAGGCACCATTAAGGGCCATCTAGAAAGGGGGGAATCCAGGAAGTCAGCCAGAGACAACTCTGTTACTTGAGCTCCAAGCCTGAATCAAGGAGAGCTCTCAGAGCCATGTTCAAGTTTGAGCCCAGATTTGGAAATGCACAGAATGAACTAGGGCAGGAGGCCAATGAGAAAATTATCTCCTATCAATTTTACACACATTCTATTTCTGACTGAATAATCCTTGGGTTTGGGCTTGGGGAGATAGAGCTGAAAGACTTTGGCACATGAGATTTGCAGTGGCCAAGATCAGTAGACCTTTAGTTCACAGCATATTGCCTAGTGTTTGGTCTTAAAATATGGTCCATGTAACGCTCAAGTGGGTGATGAGTCCATCTTTCTCTTCTGGAAGAATGACAGTTTTAAGTCCATCAAAGATGACAGTTTTATCCTAACGTGCTAATTACTTTGCCACGGAGACAACTGGTCCTCTGAACTGCTGCAGATGAGAGAGTTCCCTATATTTCAGTTTCAGTCTGCCGATCAAGACACCAAATTGTAAAAATGTAATTAGCTGATATGGCAAAGTCCCCCTGAAGACACCTGGTTGATGGGTCACTGGTTCACACCTGGGAAATAATGAAGTTGGGTGCCCAATAAGTGTAAGCCTTGAGAGCTGACAGGAAAAGGGACCAGGGCAGGAAGAAGACAATAAGAGGTGAAAAGTCAGGAGGTAGAGCCAGACAAGGATCATTTGGGGAGGAGCAGTCTTGGCCAAGAAAGAGCAATTATGGAGCAGAATAAAAGAAAGACCTAAGAATGGACCAAGGAAGATCTGTCCAGGATAAAGATGTGTCCAGAAGTTGACTTCCAACACTGGCCCGAGGACATCAAAAATGGGGCTTGGCTCTGACTGGAACCAGTAGGACAGAAGACCCACACCCTTGGGCTATTCTGTACTCTGCCCCCCACCCTTCTCCCATGTAAATTTTAGTGAATGCTTTGAAATCCAGGCAGGCTCAGGAAGAGGAAACAGTATCTACTTTGACTGTCTTTCTCAGGTGAAGGCCAGGCTACAGTTAAGATGGGGAGGCTGGCAGTCTCAGCAGGAACTGAGCATTACTGAGGCAGTTCTTCCCCATAGAACAGGAGGTCACAGTCCCTGTCCCTTACTGTCTTCTTGATGTACAAGTTTCTCCATCTTACCCAGCTAGTTATGTAGCAAATTCAGCTCTCAGGAGATGAAGTGAGTAAGAGAAAATCAGGATAAAATCTAATTTCTTTTCTCCACTTCCCCAGCATAAATTGACAGTGATATGTCTGAAATAGGGGGTAATTATAAGAACTTAAAAAGAAAGTTTGGAAATGCTAATCCATCCAAAAAAAAAAAAAAAAAAAAAGAGAGAGTAGCTTCTCTTAAAAACAAACAAACCCCTTTCTTTTAAAAAAAGAACTTGGCTTATTTTTTTCTGTATAACTGAATAGCTTAAAAGCAAAACAAAAAAAGGGCATTACATAGTGAGAATTTAATAAGGAAAATCATACACAAAGAAAACCACAGGCCAGGCGCGGTGACTCATGCCTATAATCCTAGCACTTTGGGAGGTCAAGGCAGGCAGATCGCCTGAAGTCAGGAGTTCGTGAATATCCTGGCCAACATGGTGAGACCCGGTCTCTACTAAAAATACAAAATTAGCCAGGCATGGTGGCACATGCCTTTAATCCCAGCTACTTGGGAGGCTGAGGCAGGAGAACTGCTTGAACCCGGGAGGTGGAGGTTGCAGTGAGCCGAGATTGCGCCACTGCACTCCAGCGTGGGCCAAAAGAGTGAAACTCCGTCTCAAAAAAAGAAAAACAACAACAACAAAAAAACCCCACGATGATATGAAGTCTTTATTCATAGACAACTTTTGATGGGGATGGGCAGTATCTTATTACAACCCCATACATCCACTTAAATTGGCACAAGGTTTATCTGTAAGTTTTATACCTTAAAATGTATTTAAGTTGAAAACTAAACTGATGGGGAGAATAAATCAACATTATTTAATATTCAAGTCCTAAGTAAAACAGAGTACTCAAAATTGGCACTAGTATAAAATTTTCTTTAAAATTTCATTAATTAGAAGAGATCAAACAGTCATTTCAGATATGTCTATTAATTTTACTCTGATCACACTCTTTCAAGTATTATGGTGATCAATTTTCCCCACAAACTTGCAAGGGAGAAACAACTGACCTCCCCACAAAATCTAACTTCAATTAACTATCTAAGGATGATATTCAGTGTTTCTCACATTAAAGGAGTTCAGAATCATGCTCTGGCTGTAACAGGAATGAGCACAGAGCACTTCATGTTAGCTGTTTGGTATCACTGTCCAAATCCACGGCCTCTTTCTGCATACCTTATGACAGTGCCATGTGTACATCCTTAATCAAATACTGTTAATTTTTAACGCATGAGTTTTTTATTTGAGGATCAAACAAGAATTATGTTTGAAATAAAAGGAAAAAAAAGGAGAAAAATATCTTAATGTACCATAGACTTGAATTACCCTATCAAACCAGATTTTCTTTTTTTAAGTTTCCAACAAAATGAACTGGATAGTGTGAGTCCTCTATTTCTCATATCCAGGGTAGATATCAGCTCCCTCTCGTAGGGCAAATATTTCTGCTTATGCCCTCACAAATAGACTGGCCCTCCATTCTGCCACCTCCTCTTACCACAAATTCTGAAATTTCTGGCAGAAAAGAGATCTGTCAAAACAGGTTACTTGTATTTTTATTGGTTCCTCCAGACCATGACGACATTTCCTGATAGGCAATGCCAGGAAACTATTAATGTCTGTGAAAAGCAGTGAAAATTCTTAAGAGTATAAACTGTCTGGTGCCTCAGGAGACTGAAGCCTGAAGGAACCACTAGTTTTTAGACTGTGACATTGATTCCATTGGCTGCCGTATCAGAAATCCAAAACACCACTATCAGAGGAGAAGAAAAAGTGTCTTTCCAAAAAGAAAGGTCTGGAACACACAACCAGCCATCTCCTTTCTCTTAACCACTTGCCTGCTTAGAACAGAGCAGGTGAGCATTATGTGGGCAGCTAATGGCTGGCTCAGTTAAGGCTGTTGCAAAAATTAGGTAATTTATTCAAGAAATTAATAGATCTTTTCCCAAGCAGGAGGGGTAATAATGCCTACAACAGGATGAAGAGAGTGTGGCTTTCCCTACAAATGATAGAAAGAATGCAACTAACATCCATGTGCAGAAATAGAATTGCACCTTTTTAAAGGACCTCAGTGATCCGCTCAGTATGTGAGCACTTGATGCCACTGACCTTAAAGGAGTAGGAGCCTTACAGAAGACATGAAACTAAATGGAACAAAACTAGTTTGAGGCACCAGACTTGTATGAGACTTTCAAGTATATCAACTGATCTATTATGAAGTGCCCAAATCACGTGGGTACTTGCTAACGTTCTATCTGGGTTTGTGGAGCAGAACGGCAGCTCCCTGCACTGTCATGTCCCTCTATTTCACAGTGCCACCTGCTGGGCGAGGGTGAGAGCAAGCTGAACTTTCTTGGGAGTGGTACCTGTGAATTCACAAAATAACCTCTGAAATCACAAACAGAAGAAACATCTTTGAGACCAGCCTGGCCAACATGGTGAAACCCCATTTGTACTAAAAATACAAAAATTAGCTGGGCATGGTGGTGGGCGCCTGTATTCCCAGCTACTTGGGAGGCTGAGGCAGGAAAATCGCTTGAACCTGGGAGATAGAGGTTGCAGTAAGCCGAGATCGTGCAACTGCACTCCAGCCTGGGTAACAGAGCAAGACTCAGTCTCAAAAATACAAAAAACAAAAAAACTATTGTTTCAGAATTTTTCATGTTTTAGAAAAGTAAACTGATACATATACTATGTATTATATGAAACTTGCAGTGGGTTCTTTGGCAGCACCCACTAATCCAACATTAATATTCCTATAGCAAGATGTATGAATATTTACATTAAATTGTTAAAGAATCTAGATAGACTTGTGTGTTAGTTCAGATGATGTTTTGTAGTTAAATGTGTTTACTGAGTCAAAAGATACTATATCTCTCTGACACACACACACACACACACACACACACACACAGAGGCTCTTTCATCATTCATGTTTGTCTCACTATGCATCCATCCAGGTTTATAATAACATGGCAAAATTGCTTTAAAGGCCATTTACACATCTACTAGCAGTGTGCAAGTGCACGTCCTAATTCACTGTATCTTTGTCAATACCAGGAATCACCATTAAAAAATTTGCCAATTTGACATGCAAACAATGGTATTTCTTTGATTAAATGTGCATTTCTCTGATTGCCTTGGAGTTTTACATATGCTCCATGTAATCTTTCACAATTTTAGGAAGTAGTTATTCCTAAATTCCCATCATTAGTGGTGGATCCAGGTTGGCTTGACTTTAAAGCTTATGCTGTGGAGGCACTTAAAAGAGGGTTCTTGGAGGTGCCTTGGGTCTTTGGGACACAGACTAACACAAGGACATGAATGACTTGCCTGGGTGGTAGGGTAGGGAAAGCTTTGATTGCATCTGTTTACTAATATTGTGCTTCTCTACTGTGCTTCCCTATTGTACTATACCCAGAGTCCTCCTGGGTGGCCATTAAAGCCTCTTTGAAATGTCAGCCCACTTCACTCAAGGCTTGGATAGAGACCACAGAGACTATTTCAAAGTAGTGTGGTATATATTTAGCACCTACTCAGTGTGCAGTACACAGTTTTTAAACTAGTTAATCATTAATCAGTTTATTATCAAACCAGTATACTACTGAAAATTGAATCATCTAGATAATCTTGTGAATTCTAGTTGTTCTTCTTTCCCCCTAAGGGCTTATATTTACATTAAATAAACCTGTATCTGAATCAAATCTGCAAAATTCAGATGATTTGACAGCATTTTAGATGAAGTGAATTTTGTCAGATTTCACCTGAAAAACACTCACTATCCTCAATCATGTATACTAATGGAGGAATGGGAATAATTGGAGCCAGGGATTCAACAGACATTCCAAAAGCCTCCACCTTTCTTATATATACAACCTTCACCAGGGTGCTTAGTTACCTGCTTTCCAAGGTATGAGTCTCTAGACTTTCACCTGCACCATAGGTAGGCCAGAATAACTTGTATAAATGCCAAGAAAGCCAAGAAGAGAGAAAAGGTCATGGTAATTCAGTTTGAGTAGGGATACCTTACTTTTGTTCAACTGTGATGCTAAAATTTCCCTATTTAAAACAAACAAACAAACAAACAAACAAACAAACGAGATCAAAAACATAGCCAGGGCTTCAGAGTTGCAAAACTCCTGTATTCTAGGTGACTGGTGCCCTGGGAACATGCATCTCAGTGGCCCTGTGACAGTTAACCTAATCACAGTCCACGCTTGCCCTTCTGAATACAAAGCACACTTGACTGAGGAATCTCACTCAATATGTGTATGGGACACACATTTTTATGTGTCTTCTAAAGAAGACAAATATTCTTTTGAAACAGAATATCCTGTGAGAAAACAAGTAATGACTGGCTATAAATATGGTATGGTCAAGTAAAAATCTTTAAACTGTGACCCAGGATTTCAGGAGTTGGTCTGGTCCCTGGGTGGTTTAAGAAGCAAAGCCACGCCTGTAATCCCAGCACTTTGGGAGGCCGAGGCGGGCGGATCACGAGGTCAGGAGATCGAGACCATCCCGGCTAAAATGGTGAAACCCCGTCTCTACTAAAAATACAAAAAATTAGCCGGGCGTAGTGGCGGGCGCCTGTAGTCCCAGCTACTTGGGAGGCTGAGGCAGGAGAATGGCGTGAACCCGGGAGGCGGAGCTTGCAGTGAGCCGAGATCCCGCCACTGCACTCCAGCCTGGGCGACAGAGCGAGACTCCGTCTCAAAAAAAAAAAAAAAAAAAAAAAAAAAAAAAAGAAGCAAAGCCTTCCACATCATCCTTGCTTTAATCACCACTATCCATGACATCACCATTCAAACCATTTATTTAGTCTGTTTTCAAGATCACCACATGGCAAATGACTGCCTACATAAACAAAACAATCCAGTTCCATAAGAATTCTTTGCAAATCAGACCCCTGGAGAAATAAAAAAGTGTAACTGTCATCTGAAACATACTTTAATTTCTGTAAGAGGTTTTATAAATGAGTGATTGACTCTCATTAAAATAATAAAAAGAAAAGAATCCCACAGAGAGCTGCAGGAGGCATTTCTGAATCTAGCAGACATGGTAAAACAAAATCATTATACTGCTGTCAGCTCTTAGCTATCAGAAATTCCAGTTTGAATTCAGACACTGACAGGTGGGCAAGGGAAAATAGATGGTAATCTCTTAAAGAGTAAAGACCATCTCTCTAAGTTCTCTTATCCCTTATAGCAGTGGCTCTCAAACTTTAATGTGCATTAGAATAATCTGGAAGGGTTTTAAAAGTACATATTGCTGGGTCGCATTCCCAGAGTTTCTGATTCAGAAGGTCCAGTGTGGGGCCTAATACTTTACATATCTGAAAAGTCCCCAGGTGATGCTGTTGATCCAGGAGCCATATTTTGAGCACCACTACCTTACAGCATAGAACACAGTATTAGGTAAATGATACCTGGCCAATAAACATTTATTGATGGAATTGAATTAGTATTGAAATATAACGTTTTATTCTCCACCTTGAATCTGAATATGAACTGAGAGGCTGTTGGACTAATTAGATACAAGAATACAGGTGGTGATGACATAGCAAGGAAAACAAATCAAGTGTCATTTGCACCTCAGCTTTATAATGGTGACAACTATGGGGCACTATGGCAGTGGTAAAATGGTTAAAGTGAATACTTTTTTCATTAGGAAGAAAGAGTAAGATGAAAAGTGGAAGACCAAGAATGAAATCTTAGAAAAAATGGCTTATATGTGGTTGACAATAGTTTCTAGGATGAGGCAGCCACGGGTAGATGGAGGATACAGACAATATGTGGTTCAACAGAACTGGGATTGAATCTAGACTGCCATAATGTTAGCAGGATGATTTTAGGCAAAGTTACTTTATTCCTCTGACTCTCCACTTCCTTACCTGTGAGTGGATAATAATGCCTATCATGAAGGTTAGATTGGCCTGAGAATTGCAATTTAGAGCAATGGTTCTCAAACTATAGCAGGAAAAAGCATTATCTGGATATTCTCGTTAAAACATAGGAGCTAATTAAAACACAGATTGCTGGATGGTACTCCCAGAGATTCAGATTCAGTAAGTCTGGGGTGGGGCCTGGGAACCCGCATTGTTACATCACACTAAGTAGACTGCCCAGTGTATATATTAATTATATATACATTCCATACTGTCTTATAATTCAGGCATTTGGGCTCATAGTTTACAATCTTATGAGACTGACCCTAAAGCAAGAACTGTATCTTGTTCCTCATCTCACACATAATGCCTAGCATAGTGTTTTGTTACACACACATGTGTATGTGTGTGTTTAACATATGTTAGTAGATATACATTGCATAGGCAGCAACAGCAATACATGTTTGTTAGTCCCCCTGCCCCACCACCCCACCCCCAGGCCCCTGGCCAAATCTCTGCCCTCTACCAATCTTTTTACTGTGTGGAAATCCAACTGCTGAATTCCTTAAAAAATTAGCTGTTTGTCAAATTGACTCTCATGTAGTAGACAGCAACACGGAACTTATTAGAATGTTCTTACAGATGAGTATGATTTGCCAACATGCCCTTAATGAATCTGAAGCTAAAGAAAATCAGCAAGTGGAAATAAAAAGTTCCATTAGGTCTGTAAGCATTTTCCAAGCCCTTTTGCCAGTCTCCCTTCCTCTGCTCCAGGGCCTTCTATCCTCTGGAGAGCCAAAGGATCTTAAAGTTCTCTACATATAATAGTGGGTGGCATTTGTCAAAACATAAAGAATGAAAACCAGCTACATCACAAATTAAACCAAGAAGTCACAGCACACTTAATGCAGTAAGGGGCTGGCAAACACGAACACTGTTGCACATTGAATGAGTGGCTTTAATGTTGAAAAAAAAAAAAGGGTGTTGGGGGGGTCAGGATTAGCTGGAAAAAGAGAGGCCGTGGGACTGGGGAGCTGGTGGCAAATTGGTCCTTTAGGATACACAGGAAATCGTCAGAAGTTTTGTCTATTAGTAAGTTAAACTGCAAAGCAGAAGCTCATGAAATGTTTACTTTGATACATCCTCCTCTTTCCCAATCCACCACACGTCCTAAATACATTCCCGGAAGACAACCCCACAATCCTAACAGGAAAGAGCCCTTGAAGGTTTACAGCAGACCTCAAATTCACTTTCAAAATCTCCATTCTTCTGGGTTCTCTGAAACCAGAAGCAACAAAACAAAGAACAAACAAAACAAGAACTCTTCCACCTGCTTCTAGAGGTCCGAGGTTTGAGAGGAGAACTAGAAGCAACTTTTCCAACCTTAAGTGTGAACATTCAGTACTGGCACCAATGGGTTTGGCTGACGGTATGTACTCCTGACAGTCTTGGGGTAAACATGTGGAGAGATTTTAACATTTGATTAGGTTTTTCTCTATACTTCAAGTAACAGAACAAATCACTTTATTTCTTTAATGGAATCCTCTTTACAGAGAGAAGAAATTAGATGCTTTAAAAATTAGTTTTCCTCTGTACCCTGAAGTCCAGAGTTTTGATATGAAATTTTATTCAGGTTGACTTTTTTTCTTGCAACCTTGCAAACTAGAAAAAAACCCAACACACACAACTCACTAACCAGTTAAAAAGTGGTATTTAATGAAAAGTCAAGTCCCCAGATTAAAATAATCCTTAAAATAACTTTTAAAAGACTACCAAAGTCTGGATGAGAAAGTATTCAGATCTGCACATTAGTTGCTAATTATGCAGGGTGGGATGGAAGCTTAGGAGCCTTTAAATTTGATTTATAAAGTTTTTCTTTTTTTTAAAGTAAATTCACCTGGAGAAAATTAAGGCCATCATTCTGAGTTACAGTAAAAAGCTATTCAGATAATAATACTATAATAATAATTACACCAAGAAGAATACAATAATTCAGATATATAGTAATAAGTCATTCAGACCCTTTAATGGTTGGTTGAGATCATTATAATACTGAGTGTGGAACCAATTTTTAAATTTTCTGTTAAAATTTTATTTCTAAACTGAGGAGAAAGGAAAAATGAGAAGCAGTACCAGGGCTTATTTGGGAACAAGTGAGCCAGAGGTGAAGTTCTAGGGTAAGCAGATTTTAAATGGACAACAAGTAGTGGGTGAGGGTACTGATACCTCAGCAGTAAAAACAAAACAAAACAGGGTGCCAACTGATAAAATAATGACAAAGAGGCATATAATATAGTTCAAAGTTCTTCTGACTTTGGCCTCAATGAACTCCAAATGCCATCTTGAGGATGCCTGAGAACTCCTAGAAATTTTGCCTTTATGTGTCAAAAGGAAACATCTATTTCTATCCTCCTTTCGTGCTGAACAAAACGTCTGCTGGCTCAGAGAGATTAAGCAAGCTGCTCAAGGTTATAAGACTAGAACCAGGTCTCATGATGTCCACTTTGTACAAGTAACTGAGAGTTGGGGGACTAGTCATCACAGTAATCCAGGCTGGAGGGGAGGAGGCTTGGGCCAGACAGGTGTAGGGCGAATGCTGAGGAACCAGGACAAAGCTTTTTCACAACGACATCTCAGCCAGGACAAAGAGTTTATTTCTTTAAGCCTAAGATATAGGGGCTTTTAAATTTCTTTTAGGGTTTTGAGATTTTTGAAATTAGTATGCAGCTTAGAATCAATGTTAAAAGACAGGCAGCAGAGGTGATGTAGCTCTAATTGCCCATGCATATGCCAACACACAAATCTCTTGGAAAAAACAGAAGCACTTCAGAGCCTGGAGAGGTTGGTGTGACTGACCCCCGTATGAGGGACTGGCTGCAAGGCATGCATAACACAGAGGACTAATGGAGAAGTAATGAAGTTAAGGCTTAAAGGGCTCAAAATCTTCTGTTAAAAGAAGACAGGATAGACCGGGCGCGGTGGCTCACACCTGTAATCCTAGCACTTTGAGAGGCCGAGACGGGTGGATCGCGAGGTCAGGAGATCGAGACCATTCTGGCTAACACGGTGAAACCTCGTCTCCACTAAAAATACAAAAAAATAGCTGGGCGTGGTGGCGAGCGCCTGTAGTCCCAGCTACTCGGGCAGCTGAGGCAGGAGAATGGCCTGAACCCGGGAGGCGGAGCTTGCAGTGAGCCAAGATCGCGCCACTGCACTCCAGCCTGGGGGACAGAGCAACACTCCGTCTCAAAAAAAAAAAAAAAAAAAAAAAAAAAAAAAAAAAAGAAGAAGACAGGATAACCACAAGTGGATATTTCCAGATCTCTAAGTATTACTAGGGAAGTAATATAGAGTAGTAAAGGCTTTCAATTTGGGAAGATGAAAAAGTTTGTGGAGATGGGTAGTAGTCTTGGTTGCATAACAATGTGAATGTTCTTAATGCTATTAAACTGCACAGTTAGCAATAGTTAAAATGACAGATTTTGTATTATATATATTTTACCACAATAAATGAATAAATGAAAAAAGTGAAGTCTCTGGAATCAGTCTTCTTGGCTTCAAATCTTGCCTCTGATATTTCCTAGCTGTGAGTCCTTGGGTATTGCATTACCTTCTCTGTGCTTCAGTTTTCTCACCTCAGAATGGGAGGATAACGACATGCACCTCGGAGGTAGTGAGGGTTAAATGAATTAAATGAATTCATATGTGTAAAGCACTTAGCACCTAGAATGCAATAAAAGTCCAAGAAATGCTAGTGGTTGTTAATGGTGTTGTAATTATTAGTACTGCTCTTATTATGAGGTAAAGCAATTTTTTAAAAAAGTTCCATCTTCTTTCTCTTCTTCTTTTCATTCTCTGCAGGAGGTATTAATAAGAAATAAAATAGTGAAAATGTGGGTAGGAGGAGAAAGAAAGTAAAACAAGGGCCTGGGAAAATTAACACCCTGGAATAACCAAGAATTGCCTACATCAGCCAAACATTTAAGTTTTAATCTCTAAGCAAAACTGTGCAGGGTCCTCAACCACCTGTGAAGATTTTCGAATGTCATGTGCTTGGCCCCAACTTGGACTCACCCCATCTGGCTGTCCAGAGATAAGGAGCCTCTCATTACACAAACATACTCAGTGTGTACAGAGGGATCACTTGTTTTTGGTATTTTAGGTTTATTTAGAAGAAGTATAGTTTTTAAAATCTAAAAATTGTACCCTTCCTTCCTTTTAAAATTTTTTTTTTTTTTAAATTTTAACAGTGCCTTTCTGCCTTGATTAGAAGTAAAGGTCAACTTCTATGTGCACATCTATTGGCCACTTAAGAGAGAAAGCCCTGCTAATAAATCTTGGGGCAAAGGGTGTGGTTTCTTGTGTGTGGCTATTGCTATGCTGCAACTCATCACCTCGTGCGGTTAATGAGGATGTGGTTCTGCAACTTGCACTTCCATTTCAAAGCCATGCAGGCCATTGATAGATCTGTATGGCTCAAAGAGATGCCCTATTTGTTTTTTATTTTTATTTTTTCGAGACAAGATCTGGCTCTATTGCCCAGGATGGAGTGCAGTGGTGTGTGATCTTGGCTTAGTGCAACCTCCGCCTCCCACGCTCGTTATCCTCCCACCTCAGCTTCCAGAGTAGCTGGGACTACAGGCACACACCCTGTGCCTGGCTAAATCTTGTGTTTTTCTATTTTTTGTGGAGATGGGGTTTCACTATATTGCCCAGGCTGGTCTCAAATTTGTGAGCTCAAGGTATCTGTCTGCTTCAGCCTCCCAAAGTGCTGGGATTACAGGTGTGAGCCACTGCGCCGAGCCCCTATTTGTTTCTTAAGTGGTGGTTTTTACTCAGTGAGAGGTGGTAGCTAAGCATTTTTATGTATTTTTTTTTTCTTGGGTGAAGATGCTATTCTAATGTGCTCTGATTTCATTTTCTTGTTTTCGTTTAGGGCATTGGCATACTTTAAAGCTACCTTGCTAGGCCAAGGAGCTGCCTTCTCTTAGAAGGGCATCAGGAAGATGGTTTTTGGATGTGGTATAAAGGGATGGAAGAGGAGGTGGAGTGGGAAACAGTTAAAGTACTAAGGCAAGAGTCTCCTCATGGTTTCTCCTTGCATGGTACTTCACTCCTTTACCTCCCAGTAGATTTTATTTTCTAAAATAGTAGATCAAAAAAATCTTTAGGGGCTCCTCATGACATAGAAAGTAAATCTCAACCTCTTCAGTCTGGCACCGTAGCCCACCCACCATGTGACACACACCTCCAGTTTCCTCAAATCCCTTTACCATACCCGGCACAGCTGAGGGCACATGTACCTGGAGCCCATCTTCCCCCCGCCCCCATTTCCCCAACCGTCCTCCTCCAGCAGGAAAACTGCCTGTGCCACCCCTAGTCATATGGGTCACATTTTAAATTAATCATTTCATACATATGTGATTTACCTCACTAACGAGGCCAGAACTCCCCAGACTGGAGGCTCATAGGTTGAATCCAGTCCACATGCATGTTTTGTTTGGCCTACATGATGTTTTTGAAGAATATGAATTAGTTGCCAGAGTTTTTTAAAAATCAGGAGATGATACATACACACAGAAATCTGGATTTCTGATTTCTCTTGACAAACTGGAAGCTCTGACAATTCTAGGCCGGCACATATGGATGGTTCCAGTCAGCTGGAGTTGTGTAATGACTGACTTCTTCAGGCATGATGGGTCCTTTTCATTACAGTACAGTCCCAGTCACTACTCTGTCCTGCACTTGGCCCCCGCCTTCTGGCTCACAAACCTTCCTGGCTCCTAACGCTGTTTGAATCTTCAACCTCTGAACTACACCCTCTACCCTTGGAGGATAGAAACTTTGTCTTCATCTCCTCACCTCCTCAGGGCCTAGCACACCATTATTTAATAACAGGTGCTAAAAAAAAATGCTTCCTGAATGAAAGGAAGCAAGGCTAGAGTGAAGAAGCAGGGGAAAGCAGTGATGATCACGGAGATGAGGCTAAAAGCAAGCCACGGACAAGGACACAGGTGTGAAGCATTTTTCATTGTCTCAAAAAAGATGTCACATGGAAGGCTCGTCCCATTATAGCCTCAAATGCCAGAGATTTATAAAGCCCTTTAAGGAAAAAGAAAATTAAGAGGCATTGTATTTTTTAAAGGATAGCTTCCCAGAAACTGGACAGAAACAACCTAGAGTATCTAACAAAGCTCTTCAACTCCAAGTATATGTTTCTGTATCAACAGTGAAGTTAGTCAATCTGTTCTTTCTTTTAAGGAAAACCATGAAACTTTAAGCTTTACTTTGTAGTGCTGACTAGGTAAAAGAGAAATTACCCTAAAGGTAGCCTTTATTTCAAGTCTATCTACAAAATCTAAAAAGAAAAACACTGGAAGAGATGGATGTTACCAAGGACCTTTTCCTGAACTTGCACCAAATGCCTTCTCCATGCTGTCCAAACTGCCCCTTTGCTCTCAAATGCAAGTTAAGTTAGAAGATCAGAAAGAAAAAGGTTCTAGAATACTAAACACATCACTCAACTACTAAACTTTATTTTAAACTTCACATATGAAACTGTGGCTCCAGAAGAGAAGTCATGGCTTAACTCAGTGTTCTAACAAAGGAGGTTATACAGCGTCCTCCTTCTACTGAAAAGCCTCTGAGTGGGACAGTCAGGAAAAATGGGCCCTGTTGTCTGTTGATGCTTCTGGGTTTGAGGGTGTAAAATGAAGTCAGTTTGTGGTGAGGTGCTTGGGAATTTAGAGGAGAAAAAAAGCGGAGAGAAACTTTTCTCTTTGTCCACCAAGGGGATTTGTGTTTGAAATGAAAGTTGGAGGAGCAAAAGCTGAGCAAAGCTTTAGATTGGGGATGTGAGTATCTCAAGCTGCCGGGACAGAGAGGAGGTCATCAATGGGAAGCTTGTAGAAGCACCCAAGAACAGACTTGTGCCTCACTTAACTATGTGTCAACTTTTCTCTGCCTGCCTTCAGAGGTGATCTCATTTTACATTCCAAAGAATGACAATGGAAAATCATACCCGTTTATAAGCATCTGATTGTACAAAGTTTCATTCTGTAAGTAGGAGCTTATCACAGTTTCTAAAATCTCCAACTCTGTTCCGTGCCTTGAACATAGAACAGTATTCAGATGCCTCTTAATTTTCTGCCTGAGAGAGGCAGTAGGGTATAGAGAGTAATAGCATAGGCTCTAGAGTCAGACAGATAGGAGTCTCAGTCTTGGTTCTGCCAGTCAGTAAATGTGGAGCCCTAGGAAAGCTAGGTAACTTCCCCAGCCAGTTTCCTCAACTGCAAAAAGAAAATAAAAAATTGTGCATATTGCCTGGGATTACTTTGAGGCATGAGTGGGAGAATGGACACAAACACTTAGCATAGTACCTCACAGAGAGTCAGCCTCTAATAACTAGCTATTTTCATCAGACTCTCACGATGTCGAAAGATTTAGACAGTCAGTTAGTTGGGTAAAAGGTCATCAGGATCTTTGAGGAATACATAGAAGTTGGACCGGCATTGTATTCACAGTTGTTAATTCTAAACAAGGATGAGGGCAGTGACCCTGTTAAAAAAACCTAGGGTTTGAGTGATTTTTCCAGTAGCAGGGGTAGGTTATGCTGAGCCAGCCACGCTCACATCCATACCTTCTGCGACCAAATGCATGCATTTATGAAACACCCGGGCAAGCAGGGGGCTTCTCTGCATGAAACCAACTGTCCCATATGGGGCCTGATCCCAAAGCATTGGATTTCAACCAACTGAACTAACTGGTAACAGATAACCAAGGGGACATTCCCTGTTTGCAGGAGGGGAGCAGACTTTTACAGAGACATATCACGAGAACTTTAATAAGACGCAGAACACAAAATGCATTTTAGTGTTACCCAAGAACATGTAATGTTTCAGAGTTTGGAGAAACCGCAGCAACTCTGTCCATTCCAATTTATAAGCAGATTCTATAGCTTGAAAGGTCTGGGCTTTTATTGGCCTTTTTCCTTGATGATATAATGAGTATTTGAAACTGACATGCCTAAGGCCGGGCAAGAAGCTTGGCCTAGAGATCATGTCATCTTTCCTTAAAGTAACATCTCACTGCTTTCCTGGTTTCCTGCAGAAAGATTAGACTCTTGGAGAATAGTCACAGAATATTAGAACGGGACGGGTCTTTAGTCACCTAGTCCACTGGAGGGGCAGAGAAGCCACGTGGCAGGCAAAGATTATACAGCTAAATCCTGGCTCTGCCAGCACCAGAGCTTCTCTGACTGCAGGTCCAGGACTTTCCATTAAAATCTCCTGCCCTGAGCCTGCCAATCATTAGTTCTCTTACAGAGCTACCCCAAAGTTGTGGGAAAAATCACTTGCCCAATTCTTTTTTTTTTGAGACAGAGTCTCGCTCTGTTGCCCAGGCTGGAGTGCAGTGGTGCGATCTCGGCTCACTGCAAGCTCCGCCTCCCAGGTTCATGCCATTCTCCTGCCTCAGCCTCCCGAGTAGCTGGGACTACAGGCGCCTGCCATCACACCCGGCTAATTTTTTGTATTTTTAGTAGAGACGGGGTTTCACTGTGTTAGCCAGGATGGTCTCGATCTCCTGACCTCGTGATCCGCCCGGCCTGCCTTGGCCTCCCAAAGGGCTGGGATTACAGGCGTGAGCCACCGCGCCCGGCCCCATTTTTTTTTTTTTAATGGTCTAGAGCTGCTACCTGGTTGTGTGGCAGTCCAAAGCAATAAGACATTTATTGTTTCCAGCTGCCTAGAAACTCAACATTAGCTGTGTTAATTAGATTATGACAAACTTGTTAATCACAAGCAGATAAAGCCAGTAAGGGCTAGCAGCATTTCTGACCTGGAGGCTAAAATGTTAATGATATCTCTAGCTCAACAAGAGCAGATTATAAACTTTTGTTATCTTTGTATCACCAGGTAGTAAGCATTCAGTCACTGAAATTTATTTATTTTAATATGAAATCACTTTTGTTTAAAATAAGTATTTCTAGGCTGTAAGTTTCTAAAAAGCCTCCCATAGAAATTTAAAAAGTAGATGTAAGGTCTGGAAAATGTAACAATATTTATGGAAGGATGCATTGGAGACTTGTCAATTTATCAGCTGGAAATGTTGTGGGGAAATCCCAGAGCTGAGAGTCAGACTTGGTTCCTAGCCAGGGTCTTGCCACACCCTCAGCTGGTAATAATATTTGGTACCCTACCATTTTTGTAATGTAAAATGCACCTATGTAGCTTTCTTCTCTACTCCCTGCCTTCCCTTCCCTTCAGGCCCCAGCTTAAGACCTTGGTATACCATAGCTTGCACTTTTATGCTACTTTGAGCAAATATGAATCTTCTTTTACCTGTGTCTTATTTCCCCAACCAGATCAACTAGGCTATCCTTCTCTGAATGCCTAAGATTAAGCTTGGACTCCATACACAAGTGTTATCTATAATACAATCTATCCTATCAGAAAAATGAGGGTACTATACAGATAATCTTTGGACTCCTTGAAGGTAGTTATGAAAAACTTCATATCTACCCTTCATATTGTGGAAGAGTAATTTAATATAAACAAGAAAGAATGTGTACAATATTAAAAAATTTCTGAAATTTAAGGCTAGATTTTTCTCTAGCCTATCTCTCTTTTCTAAATTACTGGGATAATCACAAAAATTACTCTCCTCTCAAGAATGTTTGACTACTAAAGAACAGGGAAAGGAAGAGATTAAAATATAAATGTGAAAATGCACATATCAAAATGCTGGCTGTGGTTTTTAATCTAGGTGGTATAGCAATGGGTAATTTATATTTTTATCTTTGCATCTTTGTATATTTTCCACATTCAATGAACACAGGCTACTCTTATAAACTCTAAAATAAAGGTAAAGACAGTCTTTAGTATTTACAAATACTTAACGAGAGACAAATCAGTTTTTTTCTAGCATTAGACAGTGATTGTCACAGTGTGATAACATGTCCTAGGAATTTCCGAGAAGAGCATATGGCCACGTGGATCATACAGTCACCTTGATTTTCTATCGCCTGGATGGACTGAGTGTGCCAGTGATGTTGGGGATAACAGAACTAAGAGGTGTTCAGTAATGCTAAAGATACTGAGGAAAGCAAGAGAGACATTGTTCAGGATCCTCAGTGCTTGAGATGATACTCTTGTACTGGAAATCCTATGCATACACGAAGAAATTGATAAGAGTAGGACGAGGAGAACTGGGAGACCTGAATTGGGATAGGAGCTGCTGAGAATGTTCTGAAGGGCAGACCACGAGGACTTTGGTAAGAGTCTGAGGCAGGAGACTTCCAGAAAGACAACTGTGACCTGACAACAAAATACTATGGGCCAGGAGGTAAAGGGTAAAGCACGGAAGCAGAGATGATCAGCAAGAAGGCCCAAAAGAGGCTCTGCAAGCTGGGAAAGGGCATTCAGAAGTTTCTGGAAGGAACTATGTTGTGATTAATGAAATCCAAGCTTAACAGAATAACATGAGACTAAATTTGAAATGACCTCATACTTCTGAACATTTCAGTTTTTGCATCTGAACTCAACTGTGACACCAGTGATGGTGAGAGAGAGGGGGCAAGGTTACGGGATCCAGAGGCATTGTGATAGAAGTTGTGCATCTCATCCCAGGGCTTGAGGGTATTGGTGGGAACTGCTAAAAGACAGTGCAGCCCAGAGGGAAGGGAAATCAGTGATCTGCCCTCCTTTGATCCAGTTGTCCAGCATGGTTTCTTTGAGCCACATCTGCAAGATTATTCACGTTGTATTCCCAAGTCCTGGGCCAGGAGTGGATAGTTCAAATGCCAACAGGGGCAGGTAGGTAACAACATAACATGACATAACATAACATAACATAACATAACATAACATAACATAACATAACATAACAAAACATAACATAATATAATGAACGAAGCAGGTCAGACTGGCTCATGGTGCAGGCAAGAGTACGTGCTCCACTTGACGGGACAGCCACTCCCCAGCTCTGGCCAGCTACAAGAATGTAGGCCTAGGTTTTCCAGATCTGAGCTTTCAAGAAAAGCCAGATATCTCAATTTCTTTGTGAAATTTGCTATTACTAGCAACTAACTCATGTTCTTTCAAAAAACCATCAAGCAAGTCAAAGAGAACATATCAAGAGGGAAGGGGGAATGTGATGTCTCGGTTAGTTTGTGACCTTTGCTCTGAACCTCCTTCACAGTACAATGGCAACTTTGGTTAAGGAAGGGATTTAAACACTACATGCTATCTTGAAAGCACACAAATGTTTGACCCTTGGCCAGCTTTTACAATACTAGGGAAGCTCAAGTGGTAAAAGATTTGGAAATAATGTAGCTCTTCAAAGCCTTGGGGAGAATATTACATACTTTTAAGTAAGCCGAATGTCCAGATATACAAAGAACAAAGTATAGAATTTGGGAAGAAGTGTGGGCCAGAGTCAATGCTTGGAAACACTTGGATGCAATTTACTTTGATTCTAGTAGGAAGCTGCATATGAATAATGGAGAACAAAATCTGGCCCCAGGGGGCAGTTTTATAAAATAATACAGACTCAGCATGTGTTGTGGCAGTCACTAAAGAATTGATTAGTTAGGGTTTCTGTGGCTTTGGATAGATTTCCAGGTAAGAAAGATAACACAGTGAAAACAAACAGAATGCTCAAGTGTAGACCCCTAAATGCTCAGAGAAATGAGAGAATGTAGTAAGATTCTTACTGGCTGTACCAGGTTGAATACCCATTCTCCCCACTCCCCCAAATTTATGCACCTAGCAAAACCTGTGAATGTGACTATATTTGGAAATAGGGTGTTTGCTGACGTAATCAAGTTAAGATGAGGTCAAACTGGATTAGGGTAGGCCCCAATCCAGTGACTGGTGTCCTCATGAGAAGACAGAAATTTGGATACAGACACAACGAGGGAAGACAACTATGTAAAGACAGCGGCAGATTTGGGAGTTATGCTGCCACAAGCCAAGGAATGCCAAGGACTGTTGGCAAGCACCAGAAGCTACAAAAAGCAAGAAAGTATTCTTCCCTACGGCCTTTGAAGGAAGCATAGCCCTGCTGACACTTTGATTTCAAACTTCTAGCCTCTAGAACTGTGAGAGTATATATTCTTGTTATTATAAATCACCCAATTTGTGGTAATCTGTTATGGCAGTCCTAGGAAACTGTGTCTTTTCAAGACACTTCTGGGGCAGAAGGCTTGCTATGGTGAATTATACAATGACTTACAACTATGCCCCAAATTGGAGCAATATATAGGGTTTAAGAGATAAAGGCACAGGAAGCATACTGTCAACAAGGAGCACCCTTGTTTCAGGAGAGAATAGAAATAAGAAATAATGACTGGTAACCAAAGGGAGAGCAGGCGAACAACTCCACAGGTGATATACAGAGCATTTATCCCAGGGATGAACTAAATTTCATCTTATTTAGGGGAAATTATATATTACAGGTTTTAAAAATTCCTGTGAAAAAACAAATCCTAGAAAATAATAACAAGGCACTTAAGGATATTTACATATTTAAAAACAAGATCAAATATGAATTTATTTATAACTTTATCTTGTATCATATCCAGAAAGTTTACCTTATACAGTATATACTCAAACAACTGGTTTACATGAGGTTGGGGAAGGTACCTTCCACCTTGCCTTTGTAAAATTTTAGAATATACTTATCTTAAAATGTGGTTATAGAAAGAAACATTGCATTAACTTACCCATGGATTCTCAGTGTTAATACTTGCTCCTGAGCTATCTTCATGTCTCAGGCCCTCTTTCCTATACTAGCATTGAATTGCTAATGTATGCCCAAGAAAATGGAGGACAGACTTCATCAGTTTCACTTAGAGGTTCAGTTAATAAAACCACAATAATAACACAAATGGTGCCATAAGACCCATCCTCCAACTGGGTGCACTCAGTTCTAATAGGACATGCACACGGATACACCACTACCATCACCACCACTACTACCCCTCAGACCTTGGAACAAAAGTTCCCCCTGGAATTTTGGTGCAGAGAAGTGAATCTCTCATAAATGTGCCATTCAATAAGAAGGTTATTGCTCTGCATTAGTTTTTTATTCGTTTCTGGACTGTGCCATGTCTGCTCATGCAAAACTCCAATGGAGTGTATTAGTATAGCCCACATATGCCATAGTCAATTACATGTCAAGAAAAGCTTGAACTCATTTGCCTATTATAAGTGTGCATCATGGGGTCCTAGTCAGTTCTAAAGGAACTGAACTCTCAGATCACAAATTATGCCCATTAGTAGCCTAAATAACATGTGACAAATAACACATATGACATAATAATATAGATCATTTAAGGGTGAGTTGGTAAATTGCATGTGTTTCTTGCTTGAAATATTTTATATTTATCACATTTATATTTATGTATAAATACATAAAATATTTTATATAATATACTTCATATTATAAACATATATTTTAATAACACATATTAATAAATATATGACATATAAAATATATTACATTAAATTATATACTTATACTATAAAAAATATATATAATAAAATGTTTGTTTTTAGAAATATAAGCCATTGGCACTATTCACAATAGCAAAGACTTGGAACCAAGCCAAATGTCCAACAATGATCGACTAGATTAAGAAAATGTGGCACATGTACACCATGGAATACTATGCAGCCATAAAAAGGATGAGTTCATGTCCTTTGTAGGGACATGGATGAAGCTGAAAACCATCATTCTCAGCAAACTATCGCAAGGACAAAAAACCAAACACTGCATGTTCTCACTCATAGGTGGGAAATGAACAATGAGAACACATGGACATAGGAAGGGGAACATCACACACCGGGGCCTGTTGTGGGGTGGGGGGAGGGGGGAGGGTTAGCATTAGGAGATATACCTAATGTTAAATGACGAGTTAATGAGTGCAGCACACCAACATGGCACATGTATACATATGTAACTAACCTGCACATTGTGCACATGTACCCTAAAACTTAAAATATATATATATAAAAAGAAATATAAGCCATTGGTTTATATTATTAAATTTTGAAATAAAATTATTTACTACTCTTTCAGTCTTCTGGATTATTCTAATTGCACAGCATATATTGAGGTGGGTGTCCAAATGAGTTTTAAAAACCTGTAACAAAACAGAATATCGGAAAAAATAAGAAGCTGGACTCACAGAGAAGAATTGTGATCCATTTAAATTTCTGACTTATGGAAAGGGTTTCACTGATCTTAACAACTGTCTTTATAATAAGTATATATTATTCAAATGATGGTTTAAAAATAAATTTATACTAATAAAATATCACTTTTATGTGATTTCTCTATTGAAGGTGGGTATAAGATTGTTTGCAAGAAGAAACTGCTACCTAAAACATGTGAAAATAGTTTGGTAGAGGGCATTATAGAGCTGACTTTTGGATCAAATTCTTGAAGACTCTTCCACAAGGAGCCACTTCCATGCTCCCAAAGAATGTGTCTCACAGAGTTATCTTCCAAAGTTAAAGCCGCTAATTTAACAAAACCTGGGGGAGGCTGGGTGCGGTGGTTCATGCCTGTAATCCCAGCACTTTGGGAGGTCAAGGTGGGTGGATCACCTGAGGTCAGGAGTTCGAGACCAGCCTGGCCAACATGGTGAAACCCCATCTGTACTAAAAATACAAAATTAGCCAGGCAAGGTGGCGCACACCTGTAATCCCAGCTACTTGGAGGCTGAGGCAGGAGAATCGCTTGAACCTGGGAGATGGAGGTTGCAGTGAGCAGAGATTGTACCACTGCACTCCAGCCTGGGCAATAGAGCGAGACTCTGTCTCAAAACAAACAAATAAACAAATAAACAAACAAATTGTGGGAATTTACAGAGATGCCTCTAAAAAAACAGAAAATGACTATGATCTAATTTGGATCTTACCATAATCAGATAAGCATTCTATTTTAGCATTAAAACATTTTATAATCAATTTTAAGAGATTTAAAATTTTCATACTGAGCATTTCACATAAATCTAAAAAAGATATGGCTTTCTCTGATATTGCCCAAACTCCCTCTCTGTGTAAGTTCCTGACTCATTAGAGGGCACATTTAAAAATCACTCAGAGTTATAAGGGAGGTTAATACAGCACCACAGTGTCATATTTTTAAGAAGGATTCTTCTTTTTATTTATTGATCTATGAAACTGATCTACCAGAAATGCTGGTAAATAAACAAATTTTAAAAATTTGCCCCCGAACACTACCCCATGATGCCCTTAATAGATTCATTCCACAGGTGAGTCTGTGTGATTAAAAAAGCATGTTCCTTTTCACTTAGGCCACTAGGAAGCTTAGAGCTAAATAGTGATTAACTTCTAATAACCGTAAAGAACCACACAGTATATGGTCCTTTGAACAACTCAGAAGTTAGGGTCACTGACCCTCTGTGCAGTTGAAAATCGCATATAACTTTTGACTCCCCCCAAACTTAACTACTAGTAGCTTACTGTTGACCAGAAGCCTTATTGATAAAATAAAAAGTCAATTAACAAGTATTTTGTATGTTGTATATATATTATAAACAGTAGTCTTACAATAAAGTGAGCTAGAGAAAAGAAAATGTTAGAAGACAATCATAAGGAAGAGAAAGTACATTTACTATTTGTTAAGAAAATATATTTACTATTCATTATTCTTCAAGTAGGCTGAGAAGGAGGAGGAAGAAGGGTTGCTCTTGCTGTCTCAGGAATGGCAGAAGTCGACAGAGTTCAAAACCATGTTGTTCAAGGGTCAACTTATTTCTGTTTCTCACTATTATCTCTGGCTTTATATTCTAATCACTTTTATTCCCTCAATGAATTATTTTAATTTTCTGTACTGCATATGTTTTGGAAGTGAGGTATAAATAGATCAATCAATAAAAAGAAGACTCCCTCTTAAAAATATGACACTCTAGTGCCATATTAACCTCCCTTATAATGCTGAGTGATTTTTTAAAAAGCTCTCCCCAAATTAATCCTTCATCGACTTTGGTAAGTTCGGTAAGACCCTAGGGTTTCATAACAAGCTAGAAGAGCAATAGTCTAACCTCTAATCTTTGTTGAGTATGCTCAAACCTCAAAAACAGATGATAAATGAAACAAGAGAACAGTTTATTTGTTACCATGATTTATTGCCACGTTTCTATAATGTAGAGAAGATATGTGTTCCCAAAGGTATAACTTCAAATAGTAAGGAGAGAAGGTAAAAGAAAAAACAAGGAAAGAGAACTGTTTGCAATTGTCAGACACAAATTTCTACAGTTTTTTTCCAGTTAAATTCAGACATCGACTTTGTTTCTGGCATAAAAATTTTATGCCCTTTTGTTTGCTATACTCTTTTATTCATATAAGATGTAATCCATTAGGTTTGAAAATAGACAATTGTGTGTGTGGTAACTTTAATTCCATGACACAAACAAAAGTGCTTTTCCATAACTGTCCAAGTCCATATTTAAGCAATCAGTCTAGGCCATCATATCAACCTTATATAATTCTGCACAACAGATTTTTTTTTAAAGAGTAAAATACAATTTTAGAAGCAGAAAGAAAATGTCCTAGGAGAAAAACCTAGGGCTAGTTAGGAAAATCTGGAATCCCAGTCTTTGTCCATGTACAGGGGCTGAGAAACATAAAACCCACCTGGACTTGATTGCTTCCTTTAGTGAGATGTTAACAGAGTGGAAATGATTCCTGATTTGGCTTTTATTTTCCCTCTCTAAATGGCAGTCCAAAAAAGTGGTGCAAGAATCACCTGGCACCTCAATTACCATGCTCAGTTTCTCCCCTGACACTGTGTGGTGGGTTGTGTCACAATAACTTTGCACCCACAGATATGGCTTCAGGGTGGGCTCTGACTGAGATGGAGTGAGCTCCGTGTCACAGCTTGCCTCGGTTAGCCACAGCTGCAGGGAAGAGCTGGCTCTACTCTTCCTCCTCTTTCCCCAACTCACCCCAAGCAAATGCTTCAAGCAGCTGCCATACTTGAGGGCTGGCAGTGCCGAAGGCTCTGAAGGTCTGGAAAGGGGAGAAATGAGGGGCCTCTGGGACTAAAGCATAACCAAATTAAGGGATAAACAAGTGAGTTAACTTTAAGTCTATTGCTAGTTTTCCTAGTAAAATAAAGACAGTGGAAGGATTTGGTCTGGACCTATCTGTCCCCTTCCCTGAGGGCTGTTCAGCAGAGCTTGGGACCTGGTCATTTGTGGGGCAAACAGGGCCAGAATGCAGGAAGACAATGCAAGCACAAGTGGACTTGGATTGTGGCTGTTTGGCCCCTATATGCCAGCTTGCCTGGGACAGTCCCTTACTACTAATTTAAACCCTTTCACTTTCACAAGCTATGGCCCAGTGTTTCTTAGGAGGGTATATTTACACTATAGGAGGGACAATTCGTTCTTTCATGAGTCTGCTCAACTCACCATAGAAAATTTGCCTACTAAGTGCCAGAAGCTACCTCCATCCTATCATTTTTCGCCCACCCTGTCATTTTGACAACCAAAAATGCCTTCCTTTTTTTTTTCAAATGCCTTCTGGGGAGAGCAGTGAGGCCCAGACGCACAGCCACTGAATGCCCTGTCAGTTAAAAGAGGAAGCAGAGGCTAAGAGAGGTGAAATGATTTGATTGAGGCTATAGCTAGACAGTGGCAGGGGCATTGTTTCTTGACTTCACATACAGTGAGGCTTCCAGAAGGACAAAACTCTACTGTCTCTTGACAGACACCTGCAGTTGAATCACTGTTTGCGGAGGCATAAACTGCAGGGAAAGAATTTACATGTGGTAATACCAGTGTTTTATTTGTGGCCACTTAATCATTCGCAGTCAGTAGCTTTATGACCCTCGCTGGTTTCAGAGGTTATGAATAATAATGGTATTCTTTAAGGAGGACATGATACTTTAGTTTTTTTAAACACATAGAATTTGGAGTTAAGTCATAAAAGCTTTCCAGAAAGGAAGAGGAGAGTTGTCATTAATTTTTAAATGCATGAAGCTTAAAGAGGGATTTACAATAATAGCATCAATAAATATGCTTTGGAAGCACCTTTTCTTCAAGGAATTCAAAACCTTTTTTTCTTCTAAAAATGTTTAAAGATATATTGTTCTCAAAAGAAGAAAATAACAACACTTCCCTCCGATAGTTTTTACTAGTTTCACTTCCTTAAAAGCATTTAATCCTGAAAATAACCCTAGAAAGGTAGGCAGAGAAAGTATTATACCCATTTTACCAACAAGGAAATTTAGGTTAGAAAACTTCAATGGCTAAACATTTAGCAGTTTTGGACCTTCAAAACCTGAGGACAATACCCTTTACATTTTATCTTGAAAACTCAAGTCGGGAGCACTGTTGATAGTCAATTATTATATTTACTTAAATAACAGCCTCTTTCTCCATGATTTAGGAGGAAATATTTTTTCCCTCTACCTAATTACTCATGGTCATTTGTTCTGCCTACCAACAGTAGTCCTGAACCATGGAAAATAGGAAAACTGGGTTACTTGGCCACTCACCACTCACTGAGCACTTACTATCTATTAGGCCCTGGCTGAGGTATTGAAGATACAAAGGCTAATCAGACCTGGCCTTATCAGGTTTGAAGGGTTCAAAACCATCTTGAGAGCATTTTGAGTATTTTTCTCACTTCTGTCAGCGCTGACTTATTTCTATTACCTGGAGCTGAGATGGCCAAGTGGTTGGTTGTGATTTTGCCCAGGCCAGGTCATTCCCTGTAATGACAACAGGACCCCTCTTTTGCTAACCTCTCTCCTCACAAAAACATCAACAACAACCAATTGTAACAACAATCCCAAATCCTGGGGGGAGTTGGGGAATTCTAGATTTATAATCTCTGTATATACAACAAGCTCTAGAGATAAAACTATGATCTACCAGTTAGGCTACTACTAGTAAACTTAAAAAAAAAAAAAGGTTGTTTACTTTCAGTGACAACTTTGAGAAATAGGTGAACAACCTGATACTTTTAACTACATTGCCAAATATAAAAATAATTCTGCAAATTCTGAATTTCCCTTTTTAAGACATGTCTGAGGCATAAGGAGGAGTGGACTATCTAGAATTAGGAATTTTCACAACTCTAAAGAAGTTACTGGATCCAAACGCTGGAATATCCTGGCCCTGATCAGTTTCAAGTATTCAGGATTAGATTCATAGAGTTATCAGTGCCCTGGGAAATTTGATGAGCCTGTTATTGAGAATACAGCTATTTAGCTGTGAAGCCTTGGGGGAAAACCAAGCAGTCATCATGTTACAATTCCTCACTATTCTCTTGCCTCTCCATACCCTTTCCTTAAAAAATAAACAAACAAAGCAAGCATGTGGCAAACATGTTTCCATTTTTCCACCAAGAATGCAGATGTGACAGCTTCTTCCCCTTCCCTTCTCTCATCCACCCCAGCTCCGCCTCCTCCCCCTTCCCCAGTGACCTCATCCCTGCGCAGAAAGGACACCAGCTGCAGGGAGGGTCAGACTCCACCAAGTGGGATCATTATCATCATTAGGAATGCCAAGAAGCCCAGAAGGCCTTGCTGACATGTGCAATGTGTTACAGCTTTCTGTGGTTTCCCCACATTCACAGCAAAGCTGCCGTCTGGAAATGTAAAGGCTTTGCCTTCCTAAAAATAATGTTACCAGAAGAATATTTAGACAGATATTTCTCAACAAATCAATCAGTCACTGCAGCAGCAATAATGAGAACCCACCAAGATGAAGAACCTGGGGGCAGCCTCAGAAATCATTTGGGTCCAAATGTCCCATTTAAGATAAATGAAGTCCCCTGATTTTTCAGGGGGAGAATTATAGGAGGTGTTTGCGAGAGGAGGGATGCCTGGGAATTAAAAATTACAAAAAAAAAATTCTAACACAGCAGCACAATGAAAGCTAATGGTTTTATCTCGATTTTATACACATATTTTCACAGATTTATGTTCATTCCTTTATTCACTCTTTTCCACTCTCCTCTTTGTCAATTAGTGCTAACTCAGAGAATAAGGCTGTGAGATTTTCCTAGACATAGTAATAATGGCAATTACCATATATTGAGTGCTTACTATGAGCTAGATACTGTGCTATGTGCTGTACGCATCCCTTTCAACCTCTTTGCACAGCTAGATCATTACTTCCAAGTTATAGATGCAACAACTAAGGCTTCGAGAGGTCATATTCGCAGCTTTAAATATAATCTATAAACTGTTATCCAATTTATATTTCTAGCCTACATCTCTTGTGAGCGCCAGATCTGTTTTTACAATTACCTGCATACCATCTCCCCTTGGATATATCACAAGCATCTCAGATCAAACATGTTCCAAACTGAGCTTAGGATCTAGTCCTCTCTACGCCCAGGCTAGACTCTCCTCTAAATGTTCTTAACTTCAGGAAACAGCACCTCATATCAGAAAAATGGAAGTCATCAGAGACACTACTATTCTGCAATGTCACCAAAGCAGAGAGCCACTAGTCCTGTCAGCTCTACCTCCTAAATCTGTTTTGGAGCCATTAACCACTCCATTGACTGCCACCATCATCTCTCACCTGAAAAATGGCACCAGCCTTTTTCACATTGGTTTCCTTCTCTCATCTACTGTGTGATGAGGTACAATAATCAGAGTGATTTAAATACAAATCAAGTTTTTACCTCATTAAAAAAATCTTTCAATGGTTACTCATTGCTCTTAGAAAAGACCAAGATTCTTGCCAGTGCCTATAAGGCCCTGTATAATCTGGCTTCACTACCTCTGTATCTTTCTACTTCCCTCTCTTTCACTGGGCTCTAGTCTAGCTTGACTTTTTTCAGTTCCTCTTTTGTCTCAAGTTCCTTCCTGACTTGGGTTCTTGGAGCAAGCTGTCCTTTAGCCTGTGATGCTCTTGTATACTCTGTTTGGCTAACTCCTACTCATTCTTTGAGCCTCAGCTTACCTATTGTTTCAAAAATAGTTTTCACTGCCCCCCTTGACAGATTACCCCTGTGTTACTTCTTTATACTATGATGTAAATACTTATTTAAATATTTATTTTTCACTGGTTTCCCTAACTAGAATATAAACTTCATTAGGGCAAAGACCATGTCAATCTTGTAAACAACTGCATCGCTTGTGCCCATCACAATGCCTGGCACATAGAAGACGCTCAATCAAAATTTGTTAAATGAATAAACGAGGCAAGTAACTGGCTCAAGGTCACAGGATTTGAACCCAAATCTCAATGTGTCTTGTTCTAAAGCACATTCCCTTTTAAAATCTTGCAAAGCAGGACAGAGTTTGTCATAGAAATATGGTATATACACCCAATGAACTACTAGCTAGCCTTCAAACAGAAGGAAATTCTGTCCTTCCAACAACGTGGATGGAACTGGAGGACATCATGCTAAGTGAAATAAGCTAGGCACAGAAAGACAAGTATGTATGATCTCATTTCTATGTAGAATCTAAAAAGCTGATCTCTATTGCACTGCATAATGACTACAGTTATTCAAAATAACATACTGCATATTTCAAAATTGCTAAAAGGATAGATTTTTAATGTTCTTGTCACAATAAAATAAGTTGGTGAGGTGATGGATATGTTAACTAGCTTGATTGATTCTTTCTATAATGTATACAGAGATTAAAATATCACATTGTATCCCCTAAATATACACAATTTTTTGTCATTTTGTAAAAAAAGTTTTAAAAAATAAATTCAACATATCATAATCACCTTCCAGGGATGTAAATTTCTCAAGTCTCCATGTCCTAACTGACTCAAATGGATGGCTAGTTAGATGGTTAAAAGGAATAAAGTCTGGGAGTATGGTAGGATGGGGTGGAGCCTGTCTCCCACAGCAAATGAGACATAATAAATACCTACTGGCCTGCAAAAGTAGTCAAAAATAGAGAAGTGAGAGTATGGATGAGGGAAAAGAGACCTTAGAGACTGCTGAGCTGCTATAAGCCTCAAGAAAATGAGATTCAAGAACGAAGGAAACAAATATTTAATATAGCTGAAAAGAACAGAGACAGAGAGACTTTCAAAAGACAAAATATAATCTTTCAAAGGGGAATAAAACTTACTGGACATGATTTTCTGCATATATTTTCTCTTTTCCTTACTTGTATGTACAGAGAGCAGATAAGGCACAACACAGTAAAGAATGAAATACTGGATATGCCTGAAGAAAGCCTCTCTGAGCTTTGAGGACTGGGGAGTACTTCTTGTCAATTTGAGACACAGGATACTTGTCTCCATCATTATAATTCAAAAAACATTCCCTGCTCAGGGGGTCTGTCACTGATCTTCACATTGAGGTAAAGAGAGATGAGCAAAGAAGGCTGTGACCAGCACAGGCTATGTTAGCCCTTTATCCCTCTTGTTCTGCGAATGCAGTCATTTTCTTCCACAAACATGTAGGACTTTACATTTTTCCATGATGAATGTGGACTTGTTACATTTGCCCTAGTTGTCAAGGTCTGGGAACTTTGGCTCTATTCCTCTCCTTCAATCCATTTTTTTCTTGAACTGTCCCAGCTTCCCGTAAGAAGTACTCGATTGTTAGGAACTTTAAAACGTGTATTTCTCATGTTGTTGTCCCTTTGTGTGGAAGAAATGGTTATAGCAACTGGGTTATCAGCTATGTGGCAAAAGAAAAGAAAAAAAACCTGTTCTCTATTCCTCCCTCATGTTCTCCATAAAAGGCAATAAAATTCTTCAGTAAATACAGTATCATCTGGCATGGTTGGAATTGTTCTAATTATGTACTCTGGTTAACAATGTCTGAACCATACATGGATTACCAATTTCCAAAGAATTAAAATAAAATACACTTGGTAATAAAATAATACAAGAGCCTGATATGATTTGTCTCTGATTAGTCAAAAGGTGCACAAAGATCTTGTAGCACCGTGAATCACAGTTTAGAGAATTTTATTACATGATGGTGCTCACAGGCTAGCTGACGAAACATCAGATAACAGATTTCACTGTATCTGGTATTGGCTGGTCACAGAGCCAATGTTTTTTTGTTACTGGCTGGTCTTCTTATTAGAATACAAAAAAAAATCAAGTTTATATTGACATTTACAGCACTAAGCTCTGTGACTGGATCATTCTGTTTGTTTAAGAGGAATCTTACAAGCTTGTGGGCTTTAAAAAATTTCAGTGGCTATTGTTTTCATCTACTGCCACAATTTTTGCCCTTTGTAGATCCTTTAATATGTAATAATGACTACATTTAAAGGTCAAATTCCAGAATTTCTATTAATATGACAATGTTTTAGGGATGGATTACGATCCAGAGCTTATGGCAAAATAAAGAGAAAGGGGAGCAGAAGGGGGCATATATGAAATAAAAAGGGACTCAGATCATATAGCTGAAGAAAGAGGAAGGAATGGCAATGGTCCCTGTTCTCACTGTTCCTGAGGTGCAGCCTGTGCCTTTCTATCCTAGTTTTCAGCTGTCATTATTTTTTTAAATCAAATTGTAGTTGGGGTCAGCATGTGATATACTTTCATGTTGAAAGAAGAAAAAGGTGAGATAAATCAAGGCACAACATGAGTTATCCTTTCTCCTGAATTTTACTGTTTAAAAGATCTCTGGTAGGTCTAAAACCATGCTACATAGACATAAAATACCTCCATTTCACTCATAGCCAGGATATCTGCACTTATCCCCCTTCCCCAAACCAAATACATACAAGTAATTCTATTTTCTTGGTAAGGCAATTGTTGATTAATGAATCATCTTTCCTGTAATTTTTATTTTTATTTTTTTTGTAGCCTTAGTTTGGCTAAGTTCCCTGGCATTCCTGTTGAAGTGTGTAATGGAAAATTTGACCTCACATTCTTTGCTTTTTTGTAACATCACAAAACACTGATATAACAGGGCTACTAAAAAGTAGCTTGGAGATGAAGGGATGCACATAAAGAAAAAGCTCAGTGTGGAAAGGAACAAAGACGCAGTAAATCATGTGGAAGGTAAATATTTAGCTTCACAGACCTGAAGTTACATTCATCTTCAAGTGCTTACAGCTTAGGATGTCATAGAGTTTCCATCATAATTTTGCTTTTCTAAAGAGATTACAAACCAGCCATAAAAAGCCATTCTCAAAATTAACTTGGAACACAGGTAGGCCATTTTGTAGATTCCATAGCTTGTTTGAAAAATGGTGATTTAGGGTGGGGCAGGCAGAAGAAAGGTGTCAGGAAGTGATTTCTTGCATTTAGCTATATCTGAGCTGAAATAAAACTTTGGCAGTCACCCTTCTGTGATCACATCCAACTGTCTAAGGAAAATGTAACAGGTCATACAGAGTCAACTTTGGTTAACTGTAAAGCGTGGGATTTGGCAGCAAAGACATACTTCAGGACAGATTTTTCAGCAAAATTCATAGTGGAATACATGAACTCGTTATAAAAACCTTTTTCTTTTTAAAATGAGACTCTCTTCCCTAAGGCAAAGAAACCATTTTTTCAAATGCATAATCCAGGCTCAAGGGACATCTACCCAGCCACTGACAAAGTTTCTCCCTTTGCAGCCCTAATGATCCTACAACCTGAGAAAATGTCAACTTGGCTGTGATGGGAAAAGAGTCCCACATGGCTCCCAGCACCACCCTCTCAAAATGTCACAACCTCTTGGCATAGGACATCCTGTTCAGCCTGTAATAGTCATTCAAATGAAGTGTTTCATGATAACAACACTGGCTTATGTGTGTATTGTCAACCAAGACCGTCCTAAAGGCTGTCAGAATGCATATATAAGGGCCTGTTCAGTCTATTAATCATCTAGATGTGCTGAAAAAAGGAAGGGGGGAAAAAGCAGATGCAGAGAAGTCTGTACAAATCACTACTAGTTACTCAGGCTGCTGGGAAAATGTGCAGATGTTTCTTGATGCTACCTAAACTGTTTCTAAAACCACGGTCACATCTGTGTACTCATCTATATTAAAATGGAATGCTATTATCTGGAACTATACAAATGATTCTCGGGGAGAGAACTTTAATATACTGTTTATGGCCTGGATAAATAGTATTTATTTGAATAATTAATACTTTTTTTAAAAGAGGGAGTTAGATGAGAATTATGCAAATGAAATATGCAAATAAGCCACAAGAGAGAACTCTTTGTTTAATCTTATGTTGTAAGTGGTAAGAGATGGTTACCTGTTCCAGAGATTGTCTTAGGTTCCTACTTCTCACTGGCTTTTGTGGGTGCAGGAAGAAAAAAAAATATTCAGACAGCTTGGATTGATTCATGTATCCAATTATAAAATGCAGGTAGATAGATCAAGAAAGTTGTTAACTATGAGGCCAGGCACGGTGGCTCATGCCTGTAATCCCAGCATTTTGGAAGGCCAAGGTGGGCGGATGATGAGGTCAAGAGATCGAGACCATCCTGGCTAACACAGTGAAACCCCATCTCTACTAAAAATACAAAAAATTAGCCGGGCATGGTGGCGGGCGTCTGTAGTCCCAGCTACTCGGGAGGCTGAGGCAGGAGAATGGTGTGAACCTGGGAGGTGGAGGTTGCAGTGAGCCGAGATCATGCCACTGCACTCCAGCCTGGGCAACAGAACAAGACTCCATCTCAAAAAAAAAAAAAAAGAAGAAAGTCGTTAACTGTGAAGAAAACCACTGGGGGGAATTACCACATGCCATTTAATATCTAATTTAAGGGAAGCACTGAGATCTTGGATGAAAAATTACTTGGTGATATACTGAAATATCAACTCTAGGGACAATGCTTTTCTAGATTCTTCTGGATTCCTAAAAATTTCCTAGATCTTATTTGGTATCTGGCTTTTCCAAGGTACTCCTGGTATCCCGCATATTATAAGACTGAATCTTACACTATCTAATTTGAAATAAATTTTACTGTTTTCCTTTCCATTAAGTATTAAACCAAGTTGGTATTTTTGTAGAACTCCACTGAAATCTTTATACTGTGAAATCTTTATACTACATACTGTGAAATATAATCATAGATTATATTTCATCTGCTCTTTGATATTCCTGTAGCAGGTGAGTCTTGGCTGTACTTCTTATGTACTTCATAGGCTGTACTACTGTGATCAAGAACACTTAGAAAAGGTTGCTCAGTTTTTTGAGGTCAAGTTAATAAGTAAAGCAGACTAACTGAATTAGATAAAATGCATAATGGTTTTCACCACTACAGTGAAAGGTCTGGGAATGTCTCTGTGTTTGATGAACTATTATTAGATGATGATAATTTCAATACCAATACAACACTGGTGAAAGCATAATTTCCTATTCTTTTTATAAGCATTAAATTTAGGAGTTTTTCCAACATCTGTTATTGCTGAATTAATGCAAAATTATTGTCTCCCAACACAAAATTCTTATTTCCTTAGGCAAGCAATATTGTGTGTGCATTTTTCAAAGACGTTTTATACATATGCAGACAAACATGTACGTTCATTCTTTCTTCTTTTTATTACATGCAAAAGGTAGCATACGATATAGACAATATGTTCTGTACTGTGCCTTTTGGACTTAACAATACATCTGGGAGATCCTGCTGTATCAGTACATAAGGAGCAGCTGGGCACCGTGGCTTGGCACCTGTAATCTCAGCTACTTGGGAGGCTGAGGTGGGAGGATCGCTTGAGCCCAGGAGTTTGAGGCTACTATGTAGGACATGGACTGAGATCGTGTCCTTTAAAAAGAAAGAAACAAACAAAACCCATAAATAGCTTTCCAGTTTTTGTTATGGAAGCATAGTATTGGATAAATGAATAATCCTATTTACTTCCAGTCCCTACAAAAGTACATTTAGGTTATTTCCAATCTTTTGCAATTACAATGTTTGTTAATTTTGAAATTAAACCGAACAGTCAATAAGAAACTACAACTGACTGAGTAGTATTGCCTGTTTCCGCTCCCTACTCGAATTCTCTATAAGCAAAAAAATGGTGAAAAAAGAAATAATTTGGCTAATCAGCTTTTGGATAATTCAATATCTTATTTTTCTATCTGTTGCCAGTTAAGCAATTTTTTTTGGATGGGCTCAAAATAATAGACTCATTACTTCATTACTTTTCTTATTATTTCTGTAAGAGTTATATTTTAATGAGAAGAAAAGAGAGGCCGGGCGTGGTGGCTCACGCCTGTAATCACAGCACTTTGGGAGGCCAGGGCAGCTGGATCACCTGAAGTCAGGAGTTCAAGACCAGCCTGGCCAGTATGGTGAAACTCTGTCTCTACTAAAAATACAAAAATTAGCTGGACATGGTGGCAGGTGCCTGTAATCCCAGCTACTCGGGAGGCTGAGGCAAGGAGAATTGCTTGAACCCAGGAGGCAGAGGTTGCAGTGAGCCGAGATTGTGCCACTGCACTCCACCTGGGCGACAGAGCGAGATTTGAGACTCTGTTCCCTCCCCCCCCAAAAAAAAAAAAAAAAAGAAAAGCGATTAAAAAGGAAAACCTAAGCGATTCAGAGCCAGTTAGTGTGGCTGTAAAGCTACTCAGGTAATTGTGAGGAAGAAATTAGTAGAGCTTTAGTTTTTTAAAGGTCTTAATCTGTACTGGAGGTCAAGTTATCATCACTGTCATTTTCCTCAAAAACATTTAAACATTCACTTATACACAGCTTTATGCAATGAGCTTCCCAAAGCAAGCAAGATGCATAGAGAAACTTATCAGGACAGAGCTAAAACAAATGTAGGTGTGCCTCAATTTACAGAAGGGGATATGGGACACTATTTCTATGTTATTTATACATTTTATGATTTGAACATAAAGATTGCTAAAAGGATTTCTGTAGCAACTTTGTTGGGAGACAAAAATTTTGTATTCCTCAGTTTATCTTAGGGTATGATTTTCAGATTTCTATATGTTGCGCTGGCTTTATTTAAAGTGAAGATAACAATGTGCGTGTGTGTGTGTGTGTCTGTTTGCTTTGTTTTAATCTTTTGTTAAATTTTAAAATAACTTCAAACTTAAAATTTGCAAGAATACTACAAAAAATCTTTTACCCTTCACCCATATTCACCAGTTATTAAAATTTTTACCACTTTTGCATTTTATTCTCTTTCTACATATACACACATTTGTTTTTCTAAACCATCTGAGTAAGTTGCAGACATCATGTCCCTTTGCCTCTAAATATTACAATGTATTTTCCTAAGAATAAAGAAATTCACTTACTCCACAATGATCAAAATCAGGAAATGTATATAAGCACAACATTATGTTTCATCCCCACATTTTATTCAAATTTTACCAATTGTCCCAATACTGTTCTGTTTGCATTTCCTCCCCCGATCCAGGATCCAAATGAAAGAACCCACACATTTAGTTTTTATGTCTCTTTGGTTTCTTTTAATCTGAAATGGCTCAGCTTTATTTATGTGTTTCAGGATACTAACATTTTTGAAGAGTATCTTTTAGTTTAGGTTTGTCTGATATTTCCTTAATATTAAATTAATTATGCATATTTGGGGCAGGAATACCACAGAAATAACGTATCTTTCTCACTGCGTAATATCAAGAAGCACAAGATGTCAATTTGTTCTACTATTGATGATGGTAACTTTGATCACTTGGTTAAAGTGTCACTACCAGGCTTCTCTACTCCAAAACTACTATTTCCCATGATTATTAATAAGTAATTTGTGGAAAATTCTTTGAGATATGTAAATATCCTGTTCCTCACTGAACTTTTAAAAAATTGTTTCAGCAGCCATTGATACTTCTTAACTATTTGCAACTATGATGGCTGCAAAATGGTGGTTTTCTAATCTATATTTCTTCTACATTTATTAGTAGGCATTCTACTGTAAAGAATAACTTTTCTTTCTTACACATGTAGTATCTACCTATTATCACCATGAACAAACTCATGAATTCTTATTTTATTCAATGGGTCACCTTCCATTTTATAATTATTTCGCTCTTCAGGTTGTTTCAGATTAGGCCAGTGGCAGTCCTTTCAAGCCAACTCTGGTGTCCTTTTGACATGTCCTCATCATTTTTTGAGACTTCCTAACATCGTGGCATGAAAAGATGTTCCAGGCTCATCTTTTTTTTCCTCCAACAGCCCTGCAGTCAGCTACTTCTCCAAGAAGGCTTTGTTCCTCTTAGTGGGAAATGAGATGTAGAAGCTTTATGTGTTGCATGTGTTCATTGCTACAAGGTGTCATTGATTCTAGACCTTTTTAGTTGACAGAGCTAGGAAATTTTTCATGCCTTAGAAGACCTTCCTAAAAGTGGATTTAGGAACTACTATACCATAATTCCTTTTATATTAAGTTTATGCAATGTATAGAGATGGTACAGGGGTTTTTAGTTTTGGGTTCTATGTTACAATGGACTTATAATTACACTGACTACTAGTAAACATTATTATCCCAGAAGAATCTGATGAGATCCCTGAGAATAAGGACTATGTCTCATTCATCTTTTTATCCTCAGAGCCCAACAAAGTTCAAATCACATAATAGACCATCCATAGAAATTACATGTATGTGATTTGCTTTCAAAGAATCCAATGTGGGGGAAAGGAATAAAGATGTAACAAAGTTGGCCATGAGTTGATGACTGCTATAGCTCGTGATGAGCACATGGGGATTCTTTCTTTTCCATTTCTCTCTACATTTGAATTTTTCTATTACAATAAAATAAATTTAAAGGTAATCAAGAAATACCCCTATATCAGAATGATAAAAGTTTCTGCCTCTTCTATGGTTCAATTTCTTTAACAGTTTGGTGGGGTGAAAAAGGTCAAAGTGTTTGATTACTGGGAACCAGAGGGCATTAAAAAATTCAAGTAAATAATTCAGCTGTGTGCAGTGTCTCACGCCTGTAATTGCAGCACTTTGGGAGGCTGAGGCGGGTGGATCAGGAGTTCGAGACCAGCCTGGCCAACATGGTGAAACCCTGTCTCTACTAAAAATACCAAATTAGCTGGGCGTGGTGGCATGCGCCTGTAGTCCCAGCTACTCCGGAGGCTGAGGCAGGAGAATTGCTTGAACCCAGGAGGCGGGGGTTGCAGTGAGCCAAGATTGTGCCATTGAACTCCAGCCTGGGTGACAGAGTGAGACTGTGTCTCAAATAATAATAATAATACTAATAATTTAAGGAGGAATATGCGCACAGCATGGACATTCATTTATGAATTTAATTGTTTAAAATACATTTGGTTCAAGGGACTTGAAAATGTAGATGGCTTTCATCATCAAATTGCTAATAATCCTAGAAAGCACAAACTTGAAACACATACAATTTGGATAACAATTTCGAATATACATTTATGATAACAGATCAACCCTAAAAAATAACATAAGATAAACAGGTCTTCAAGCTATCTGGAGAGAACCCCCTAGCATTTTGCTGACTACATGGAGATAGCAAAATGGCTTTTTTCTTGACATCCCAAGTTGTTTTTTGATACTTAAACAACTGATAGTCAAAACATTAAAATAGGAAAGTGGACTACTGCAGTGATTGAGATATTCTACTGAGAAAAAACACCACAAACAAATATATTCGTATGTATATACCGTTTACTGATCAGAGTGGATATTCTCCTAAGGCTGCATATTTCATAGAAAGTCTAGGTTTAAAGCATGCCCCTCCTTCCCATTAGGAAAACTGACACTAATATTCTTTATCAACATTATTTCAAGCAGGTGTACTTTGAACTCTGAGGGTTCCCCATCATAAATCTAAACTCACTGTCTTACCTAAATACTAGACATTTGCTATCAGATTAAAAGTGTCTGCTTAGTTTTACTGATAAGGAAGCATGTTTAAATGACCAAAAGCAGCCAATTCAGATGGGATTTGAGGCCCCAAATAATTTCCTCTATTATTTAGGCAACACAAAGAACCTTTTGGATTACTGGAACGAAGTGGCTACCTTTTAACCAATGTTGATTCAAAAAGTGCATTCCTTACTAAAGCCAGTGTGAAAATGCTAGTGAATTCTTTCCATTACATCTGGCCATAATCAGAATGCTAACATTCTGCAGCCTGCACATTGTAAATAAATACAGACCAAATAACTTCTTACTGCTGCCATGAGTGTACATTTTCTCCAGACAATAAGTGGTACATTAGCACATATTTGTCCCCTGGCTGCAGCTTTTTCCCCCCATTCTGAGTTCCTGGATATACTTTTGAGACAGTCTAGAAAAACCAGTCTTGTGCTACACAGAGATCAGGAACTTTCCCCACAATGGAATTTAGTGTCCATAATCACCAACATCCAGTCTTGTCAATTTCAATGGATGATGATGCAAATTACTTCTTTTCTTAAGTGTATTAACGGGTCACTAATGTAAGCAAAATAACGCATGGCGGGTTGAATAATAGCACCATGTTTCTTCAATCAAATAACCATACTGTGTGTCTGGTTGTGGTTTCAAAGAAATCTGGATTAAATAATATGATTCATATATAAAAAGGCTGGCTAAGAACTGGATTTTGGTACTGCTCAGTTATACATAAAACAGTCACTTTTGTACTAGATGTTCACTTAGGAAAATAATATTGTTTCCTCTGAGACAGGTATACTGGATACTTGACCTCTAAATCCTAAAAACAATTCATGGAAAGAATAAAATTTAGAGGAGCAAGAACAGGGCTGAGTCACCACATATTTTCAATATATCAGGTTTTTTTTTAAAATCAATTCTGAATTGTCAAAGAGGCACTTTCTGAACTTATTAAGCTTTTTAATTTCCTACTGACCATTTAAAAAGCTCCCGTCCTAATATCTGCTTTTCAGGCTACTTTCCAGGGTAAGAATTTAAGAGTGCAGTTGAGGGGCAGTACATGATTTGGTGCAGGCAAGTTAACACAGAGTCCAACTTTAAGAATCCTGGTCTTGAAGACAGTGTTTGCTTAAGTTTTACAATGTTACAAACATTAGTCAAGACCTTCAAGAAGATAACACAAAGCTCTAGGAGCTGTGATTTTCAAAGGGGATTTGGGAATGAGGGTTTGATGGAAGCCTTCCAGAGCTGCAGCTGCTGAGCTTGTGGGTTTTCCATTGGCTGCCACTCGATAGAGGTGAGGCAGGAGGAAGAATTCTTTGAGGGCAAGTTCAGACAGTGAATAGTTCAAGGATGCAGCCTGCCTGGAAATTGCAAGCAGTCAATGGACACATAAACCACAAATGTTACAAGGCACAATTAGTTTGATTTTTTCTAAGGTTTTAAGGGGCCAAAATAATTCCATTACCATACAGTAACCACAGAGTAAAATTAATATTTATAAAGTAATGCTATCCAGCAATATAGTTGAAGATAGTTTTCCTGAATTCTTTTTTTTTTTTGGTTACCATGTCTCATCAATGGTAACAGTAGAGTGGAAACCACACTAACTTTCATGTGAGGGGGATATGGATTGCAGTTTGGCCCTGGTACTTGGTGTTTGTGTGACTGAACTTCAGCATCATTTTCAACAGGAGAATAATACCTACCTTGCAGGCTTGTTGCAGGGAATAAATGTAATAATGTATGTTAGGTGGCAGCAAATAGTAGCAGCTCAAAAAATAGTTAATTATGTTATCATTGTCATAAGTGTCATAATTAATGGTCCTTTGTTACACACAACTGCATTACCATTTATGCAATTGTTATAAGTGAGTTACCTACAAAGCAACAAAAGCTGTATTCAACTGCCCATAAATTATTCATACTATTTTAAAAAATGTTTCTTTATGGTTTTACATTTACAGGTTCTTTTTATTTTAAAGTTCGTCAATATAGCCTTTATGTCAAAAAATAGAGATTTTTATGTGTTCTTGTGATACAAAATGCATTTTCTGTGAGCTTTACAATGTTATGAATCAGTTTTTGCGAAAGGGGAATTCGGCTAGCTGTCTCCTCTCTGCCTCAGACAGACTTCACAATGATTCACAGATAACAGAAACCACCAGCTGCCATTCCGAATAAAATGTTCTGTTGGCTCTGCATACCTTATGGCAAGCTCTAAGTCACATGTCCTCTTCTTATTTCCACTTTTCTTCTCTAAAGCCAGCTATAACCTGCATTTCATAAATCTTAAGAGAGTAAATCAAAATAACCAATCTGGAATTTGACCTAGTACCAACTAAGATTACCTAAAACAGAATCAAGGGCCAACGCATCCATCTGCTCTCTCTGAAAGAGGCATACATATCAATAATTTCCTCTACCACATTTAAATAATTGTCTTTCAAGTATCATATTTTACTCCATGTTTTAACACCTACAATCTTCCTCATGTTTCATTATTTATTCCCATAGGGCAGGGTTTAGCAAACTATGGCTAATGGGCTAGATCTGGTCTGTAGCCTGTCTTTATATAATCTGAAAGCATAATTTTTACATTTTTAAACAGCTGAAAAAATTAAAAATTAGGATTTTTCATGATGCATGAAAAATACATAAAATTCAAATTTAACTGTCCAAAATATAGTTTTATGGAAACACAGCCATGCTCATTAATTTATGTATTGTCTTTGGCTGATTTTGACCTAGTTTAGTAGTTACTACACAGACCATATGGCCAGCAAGGCCTAAAATATTTCCTATTTTTGCTTTTACAAAAAAGTCTGTTGACACTGCCCTAGTGGGGTGTTTCCCTTTGGAGAAAGTGAGGCAAATAAACGTAAAATACAAGGTCCTCCCTCCCTGTCTTTGCCTTCTTGTCGTAGATCCTCAGCCTTAGAAGGAAAATTGGCTTAGCTTGACTTTTCCTTGAGGGGAGAGAATGCGTTAGTTAAAAAAAAAGAACACAGGAGGAGCCAAGGGATGCGGGTCTCAGGTCTTGTTTGGGTGTTGGGTTTTTATGCTCAGTTTGGACAATTACTTTTCTAGTTCTGTAACGTGGCTTCTTCCTTGTTGCGCTCTGAATTTCCTTTATATTTGAAAAAAGGAATCCTTCACTCACTTACTAGATCACCATGATGATAATGTGAACCCTACCACCAACTCCTTCCTCACTCCACTTCCCAAATCAATCCAGGATGAGTGGAAACGAGGGTAACAGGAACTTTGGAAACATTTCTATTGGACTGCTAGATGAAAGTTTAAAACCTACTGTTTTAAACCTATGGAGATAGGCCTCCATTGTGACCACATAACTAATACAATGAATAGCTCATCCTGATTTCCACTAGAGAATGGGGTACTTTGGGCATATGAGACTGAATCACTTGTTTTCTGGAAATTCCCTATTATAAATATGACATTTAAGTACATAGTCTAAAAATGCTGATGTCTAGGAAAATATGTTCTAAATTATAGCAGAAAAAAATAGAATCTGACAGCTGGACAAAGGAATAAAGGCAGAATGGGCAAAGATCATTTTATGTTAGGAAGAGAGTAACAGAGATGTTTATATTCACACAGATATTATCAGGTGGTAAATATATTTCTCATCAGACTTCATATCTCATAGATTTTATATTATAATGCAAATCTATATATTTTTCATTCTTAAGCCAAGAATATCTATATAGTTGCACAGTAAAGAAAATTTTACCACAGTGCACTTTAAAAACCACTTATACCTTATTAGGTTATAAATTGACCAAAGCTTTTGCCATACCACATCCTTGCTACAGGGAGGGAAAACGGATTGATTTCACTGCACCAATCTCCCTTTTGCTAACTATATAGCTGATTTGTGTTTATATGGTAGAGGAAAAGCAGCAGTTATTGGATACTGGTTTAATGTAGAAGGTTAAATTAGTTGTGGGGACAATGATTACTCATGATTCCAAATGGTGAACTGAACTTGGAGTCTTAGCCTGCTTTTTTAGTCACACTGCATTACTAAGCAACTTTGGAACAGGTGCTCTCAACGGGAAAACAGGTTCTGAGAAAAGACTAGAGTAGATGAGACATGCATGAATGAGAATGAGCAATAATGCCTTAAGTAGGGAGGACGAATCATTACCCTATTACAAATATGATGAAAATTATCAATACTCATTACAATTAGAGTTGGAAAAGCTCTTAGAGGACAATGAGTCCAAGTTTCTTTCATGGAAAACCAACACGCATGCCAGGGAGCCACTGTCTAGTTTTGGCCTGATCACTGACTTCTGGTGGCATAGATCCCTTTCTCATCCAAGCCAGCTCTTTTCCTTTTGGTACAACTCCAATACTATACAGTCAAAATGCCCAAAAAGAGTAGAGAAAATAATATTAAACTAGAAAATAGGAGTTCCAAATTCCAATTTCAGTCCTATGGTTAACTCTAGTTGTGTGACTTTAGGCAAGTGTTTGGTGCTCGTTGGGTCTCCGTTTCCTTATCTGTAAAACAAGGGTTTTAAGGTCCTTTCCAGTTCTGATTTTCTTCATTTCTATACTTTCCATTCCATGCTAGAGAAATGTGAAGCAGTTGTGAGAAAGTTACAAACAGCTGTGAAGTTTTTCTTCTTAGAGTCCTCACTCATGTCACACCTGGGCTGCTTCTAAACGTTCCAAGATCTCTTGGTCTTTATCTCAGCTTTCCAGATGACATATAGTTTGATTTTATTTTGACTGTTGACATCTCCTAGAATGTTATCATGACTCAGAATCTGCCCTTTTGGTCACTATATAGCGTAGTGACAGGCTCAGCTACAAAAGCCCTCTTAGTAGCAGTTTGTCTAGCAGAATTTTGAAGTTGCTGGTTTTTATTTTAAAAAAGAAACCATCAGAAATGTTGTACTGTTCTCACACACTTAAGTCTTATTCTATCTTCTATGGAATGTCAGTAAACTGCTCAGTATTTGCTTTTTTATTTTAGTGATTAGACTATTTAGGCTGGAATAAACCTTAAGCTCAAAGAAAAGCTATGTCTTTAATAAACTCCAATTAATGCACACTGGTATGGTCTATGTATATATAGGCTATATTTTTAGAAACAAAACCACTATTTAATGTGATAGTAACTTGGCAAAGGTTGCAAATGCAACAGTAAAATGAATGACTATTTAGCTTTTTATTTATGTAACTAAAGTGGATACAATTAAGAAGACTGTGCCTAGGGGACTTGACTTTATTGAACAATTATCATAATCAAAATCAATAGTGTTATGTGACTAAAACAAAGCTTTTCTGTACAAATAAGTAAATTTATTTTTGTAATATATTTTAAAATTAATTTTAATATTTTATTTATACATGTGAAAATAAAAAATAATTCTTTTTAGACAAATAAATCTGAAAAATTTTTAAAGTTTTTATTTACTTATTTTTTAAAGACGAGGTCTTGCTATGTTGCCCAGGCTGGCTTGGAACTCCTGAGCTCAAGCAATCCTTCTGCCTCAGCTCCCAGGGTAGCTTGGGACAATAGGCATGCACCACCATTCCAGGCTCAAAAAAATTTTTTTTAAAGAAAAATAATTGAATTGAGTTTAGGTGCTCAAGTAACTGCTCAAGTAACGGACTGACGAGCTTGTAAAACATCAACAGGATATATATGTATATGTTTATGTTTATATGTGTGTGTGTGTCTTTGTGTGTGTTACACACCTCAGTAAAAAGGTGTATTGAAACACATCACCATTGAATAGTTCACAGTAATGAGTTTGGAGTCTAGTACAGTTGGTGTGATAGCTTATCAGAGTCAACTCTTCTTAAGAAAACAAGAACTGACTCTTGGAAATGTGCTATTATCATTGACAAGGAACTAGAGATTATTTTCTAACTGGATAAATTATCATAAATACTTCCATCAATGGAAAAAAATGCTATTCCATTATTGTCTCTTTTAGCCTTATATTTATAATTTACATGTATTTATTAAGTGCCTACTAGGTAAATACATATTATTTTTAAAAAATAATGAAAAATTTTGTAATTAGTAATAAAATATATTACCTCAGTCTTTGCTAAGGCCTATTCTCCAACGTGAATTAAATCATACTCCATCTGTAAGAATGAATATTAAACTTACAAGGAACAACAGAAAAACCACCTTAGCAGAAAGGCCAAACAACCACCAGCTGTTGCCTGGAATATAGCAATAACCTCCTAAATGCTTATCTTGAATCCAGTACTGGAAGAAGAGTCAAAAGTAGTAAAGGTTAAGGGCTAAGTAAGAACAAAGGCTGAAAAATGACAGCCTGGGTTTGATAGGTTAGCTGTGTGACTTCAGGCAAATTACTTAGCTTCAGTGTGTCTGAGTTTCCTCATCTGCAAAACTGGGATAATGATATCATTTAACTCAATGGAATGATGTAAGAATTAACTAAAATAATCTGTATAAAGCAATTAGCATGCTGCCTGGCATTAGTGTTTAATAAATGTTAGTTGCATTTGCTTTGTCATTATTATTATTCGTCTCCTAAATTCCCAGAATAGCCAGAGTAAAATTTAATCAATATAAATCCAACCCCATCATTTCAGTACTTAGAAATTCTTTAACAGCTTCCCATTGGACCTAACAACAGCATTCAAACTCCTTACCATGGTCTGCAAGATTTGGCCCTGTCTACTCTCCAACATCTTTTCTGACCACTTTCCCTCTCACTCCCAACTCTAGTTTCACTTGTTCTCTTCCTAAGCATCATGGGTATTTTTACACCTGTCTTTACACATGCTTTTCCCTCTGAGATAATCTTCCTCTGACTTATTGCTTGCCCAGTTCTAAACTCTGTGTTGCAGAAAGCAAGTCAAACTGTTCAAATGTGTGCTACCTTCAGAGATTTGAAAGTTCACTCAGGAGGCTGAAATAATTCACACAACATTTTCCATATTCTAAACAGCAATACCTTGGGAAAAACAATGTTGAGGCACAAAACAATAAGCATGTATCGAAGTTGAGCAGGGTGGAAGTAGGAGGGTACATGTGGGAATGGAAGGGAAGAACTCATCTGTGGTTTCCTGAGCAGGGCAGGCATCATGATGCATTCATAAAGTCTGTTCCCAAGCTACAAGGAGCTGCTGGAGAAGCACTCATTCTTCTTTTTGACTCTAGGCCAAAAGAAGTACAGCCCAGGTTTGGCCTATTGAAGAGTTTTATTTGGCCCAAAGTTAAAAAAATTGTTTTTAAGATTCATTCATTCATCAAACATTTATTGAACACCTACCATGTGTGAGGCTCATTTCCAGATGTAAACAGCAGTGAACAAATACACAAAATCATATAAAGTCCCTATCCACGTGGAATCTACATTCTAGTGCAGAAAACAGGTAATAAAAAATTGATGGAGTGTACTAGACCATATGTGATAAGGAGAAACAAAAAGCAGAGAAGGTGGAGAGGAAGGATGTGTGTATTCATGTGTGTAAGTTTAGATAGCGTGTCCAAGGCAGGTTTCACTGAGAAGATGACATTTAAGCAAAGGGATGCAGGGGATGAATGGGCCGTAGAGATACCTGGAAAAATAGGGAACAGCAAGGACAAAGGTCACAAGGAGGAAATGAGCTGGCATATGTGAGGAACAGACAGGAGGCCAATGTAGCTGCAGAGATGAGGTCGGAGAGTCTTATGGGTTATTGGGAGGATCTTGGCTTTCATGCTGAGTAAGATGCGGAGACTTTGGAGGATTGTGGGCAGTGGGGCGATGTGATCTGACTTACAGTTCTGGCTGCAGGAGAGAAAGAATGGAAGCAGTGAGACCAGTTAGGAGGCTACTGCAACAATCTTGGAGAGAGACGGTGGTGGTTTGGACCACAGTAGTGCAACAGAAATCCGTAAGAAGTGATCAGATTCTGAATATATTTTGAGGATAGAGCCAACAGGATTTCCTGATGAATTAGATGTGGGTTTTGAAAGGAAGACAGGAGTGAAGGACAACTCCAAGTTTTCTGCTTTGAACAAGTAGAAGAAAAGAGTTGCCAACATTTAAAATCAGGAGATTTAATTTAATAATCCAGACTTCCAGCTCCTCTCAAAATACTGGAAGATCTGGTCAACTACATAACTGCATTTTTCACATGATAAAAAATGAACAGGAGCTGAGAAGCAGTTGCCCCATCGAGACAAGACACTGGCCCTTTGGTTCACTATCGACCTTGCTCCTTGTTTTATGTCTGGCCTTCTGAATAATAAATAGCTGTCCGTGCCTGTCTGTTTCCTGCAGACAGCTTGAGTTTAGGATCCCTGCCCAAAGTTCTACCATATACTCATGGCAGCAAAAATATAACATAAATTTGCCCACAATTTTGACTAAACGAAGGGCATTTTTGACAAAGTATTTTAAAACAGGCCATAAAAAGGATACCTGCTACAGCCTACTCTTCCAGATTTCTCCTCTATGGCAATTTGACAGCATCCTGATACAGAGGTCCAGCCTCGTCCAGCCTCGTGGTAAAAAGAAAAGCTTCTTGAAAAAAACTCCTCTTTCACATATTCTGATTTCATTAAGTCTAAATCCCAAGACTCAGGTCATAGTCTGTGTCCATATTGCCTGGGAGCGAGGTAAGGTACTTGACCATACCAGCTCTAATACCACATCTCACTACACCTGTGCTTTCCAAACAAGGGAGCTCCGAGGCCCAGGCTGGTACCAAGGCAAACTGGCTCTAAGCCTGTGTTATCACCACCAAGCCTGGTAACCGGCAAATTATTTATCTTCCCTGGGCTTACCAACAAAAAATGGAGGTCGACTACAGCAGAGCTTCTCAAACTCTAATGTATATGTGAATCCCCTATTCTAGATGATTATTTAGCTTCACTTACATGAAAATCACTGGCTTAGAATAAAGTGCCTGGTAACAATGTCTCTGTGGACGACCTGGTATGTTTCTCCTCAGCAAACAGAAATAACATGAACCCAAAGACTTGTTTCACTTTGTCTACCAGGAAGCTCAGAGCTAAATGCACTGCTCAATATAACAGCAAAGCCATCTTACCTCAGGGATTCGAGTATAACATCTTTCCCCGTTCCTTCGTATTCATCCTAATGGTTTTGATTTTATTTATCTATTTTAACCCTAGGCAACATCAAATCCTTTCTGAAAGTGGGTGGGGAAGGAAGACAACACTGGAAGGAAGGAAGAGAAGAAGGAAAGTGATTTAAAAAAAATCTTCCCAAGTTGGTATTAGGAAAGTTAGCAAATACGGTTTGTGAATGTGATCAAATAAATACAAACCTAATCATCTGGCTCAAACCCAAAAGCAGTTTTGTTTCAGAGGCCTGTGCCCTTTAGACCAACAAAAATAGCCACAAACAGTATGGGGCTGTGTAGTGGCAAGAAGGACGAGCCCTACTATAGGCATAGGAAAATTCTTCCACTCAGCCTTTCTCTCTTTTAGCTAAGTATGGTCATTGACAGAATTGGGAAATCTTACGGCCTCGATTAACTCCCTACAATAACAAAGAGTCTGTTTTATTATCAGGAAGAATTCAAAGAAAAATGCGTGTTAATTAGTAACACAAAAACTATGGGTAAAGTAAGCATCAAGACAGATATTTTGTGGTAATAAATCAAGCTCGATAAACTTGCATTTTTTACCTTTGGCAGCAGTCAGACAAGCACATTAAAAGCCCAGGATATCAGTCCTGCTCTGGTGCCCTGATAGCTTGAAAGTCAGGATAGCCTGCTTGGCTACGAATGTTTCTGACCTTGGGCAAGCCTTGTAACCACCCTGGACCCCCTCCATAAAATGAAGACAGTGTGGAGAGCACAGATTCAGAAGCCTCCGTAACTGAGCTCCACTTAACCAATTCTATCCCTGTGTTTCAACCAGGACTGAGCCCACACATGCTGAATAAGAGAGGCTAGAAGGTCACTCACTAGTATATCCCATGCATTTCTTCCAACTGTTTAGAGGTGTATTTGTTCTCAAACCTGCCTATGCCTGTTGGATTTGTTACTATAATTACATAATTTAATATGATGTAAACTGGTGAAATATAACCATGAAAGAAAACAGTTGCTTCCTATGAAAGGTACATTGAATAGTCTAAGGAGACCTGATAAAGGCAGGTGACTTAAACTGACTCTCAGGGCAGATGTAAATCAGACAATTGTGGAAGACAGGAAAACAATTTGTAAAAATCTAGAAGGATTCCTTCTACAGTCTGCTCTATAGGGGCCAAAATTTAACAAAATTGAAATGAGAAATCATAGAAAATGCAATCACTAAGGTATAATTAACATGAGAAAAATGTTAGGAAATTGTAATCGGCAAACCTATAATCAAAGAAAAGGCCTTGGCTCTACACCAAGGCTTCTACTGCAATGGGAAAGGGAGTAAGAACCATGGTGAAATATTACAGAGGCCCCATGGCTGTTATTTACAACCAGATGAAATAGGCGACCATGACACTGAAAGACCTTTCCAGGAAGGAGCTGAAGACGGAGTGTGGAAGATGTAGTTAGAGTTGTGGGAGGAAGGGACACACAGACACTACTCTTGATAGTCTGGCATATCCTTGCCAGTCTGTCAGCTGAAGGGGGAGTGAACCCACTTCTACTGAGAATCATAGGTTGGTATTTACTAAGTTCCCAGGAAGTAAAGATTTCTTTAACTGCTAGCATTTTTCTTCTACTCCTCTCTCCCCAGTTTTAAAAATGTTTGCTAAAATTATTTGATGAGTAATACTATATGTTGAGTTTACCTGGGCAATGAGCACTGTGAAGGAGAACATAGTATGCTTTGCTTTCCTGAGAGTAAGACATGCAGAGCAGGAGTAGTTCTAGGTAGAAATACTAGTTTGCAATGGCGAGACCAGGCCTGTAATTTTCTGCAGCATACCATGACATACATCATGGTTTATATGAGGCCAACTCCATAAATCAAGCCTTACCTAATTAGAGATTCTTCTGGAGATCTACATTATTAGAGCAAATAATTAAAACAGCCCAAGCAAAAATAAAAGCCAGATCTGTTTACAAAAATGTTCTCTCCCCCCAAGAAACTGTTTTAGTCTCATACCACTTACAGTTCTTTCACATTTAGTAAATTATAGACTCGGAGCATTTCTTTTTAGTCTGACTTCACTTTCAAGGAATTCTTCAATTAACTTTACGTTGCTTTAAGCTGTTCATCCAACGAGAAAACAATCTGTGGTTTCTGACTCCTTTGTGTGCCAATGGCTGCCATCCATGTTTGACTTTCAGACACACTGTCTCTTGAGAGCCAGGCTCTGTTTGCATAAAACCAGTCAGTTGTCATAGCATTTTGACAAGCACTATGGAAAAACAAAGAACAATACTTCGTGGTGGCTAAACTGGGAGAATTATCTCTGTAAGGGTTACTGCATTGGGGATACACACAACGTCCATCTACACCCAGCCACCTGGTCTGGGCCAGAAGGTAGCACATACTCCACTTTCAGCTGTGATCTTTCCATTCTCAGGCACCATCTCTTTACTACTGATTCATTTCTTTCTCCCTCCCCTCTTTTTCCTAAATGGTTAAAACACCTGAAACTCATGGAGAGGTGTGGCTACTCTAACAGCAGGCAAAAATGTCAGTAGAAATCTAAAAAGCAAGAGATTGCATGGCCTTTGCAATGGTTATGGTGCATCTAGTGTCAGATCTTCAGCCAAATGTAGTGTAATAAAAAAGCATGGCTCAGAGGTGAAACCTCAGTCCAAAACTTTGAATATTCTGACTCTAGTGTAGGACCTCAACTCTCTTTGCCTCTTGAGGCCCATGCACTGATGTTTTTAAATAAGTACAAATAACAACTGGGCAGCAGAAAATAACCATGGGAACAAATGATGGAAACATATGATGACTGCTGAAGAAAAAGAACCTTAGGTTTTCTACCTATCCCAGCTGAGTCAGGCAGAATGGAATCTCCCTCTTTCTTTTCCCCTGTGCTTGGCCAGTTTCTGGGTATCCCTCATCTATGTCCATTCCATGAATGTACTTGTGAAGCCAAAAGAATAATAAACCAAGGGTGTCTGAAACTGTCTTTGAATACTCAGGTCCAATATAAGATATATGTGTGATTTTTCCAAAATCATGCTCAATGCTGTTTCTGTAATGGGATGTGCAATTGTTGAACTGCAGGCCTTTCCAAAGAAATGGAATGAATACTGTAGCAGAGTTGTGCCGTAACAAGCATGAAGGCAGAGACAGTGGAACTAGAATGAATGCACAGGCCAGGTGAAGCCCAAGGGCTGATATTGGACATGGCACTGGCTCAACTTAGGGTGGTGGTGGAGTGGAGGACCAATGGAAGGTCTGCTCCTTTTCTTCAGGACAGAACTGTGTTTGACGTTTGACATCTCTCTCAATGCTACTGCAATTGCATCTGAAGCAAAAAACTTGCAGGATTCCCAAGAGACTCAACATTATTCTAATATCATTTCTTTTCCAAGGGCTTCCCTCTATTTTTATTTAAAATTTTAAAAATCCCTATGTAAATTTTATAATGTGTGTTGGTTACAAGCTACTGCAAATGCTTTATGGAAAAAGGAAATGGGTATAACTATGTCTGTCTTGGTGCCCCCCTCATATCTCTCTCTCTCTCTCTCTCTCTCTCTCTCTCTCACACACACACACACACACACACACACACACACACACACACACACAATGGGATCTAGCATCCAAGCTATTCTAAGAACAGTTTCATAAAGTATCAGCTATTCTTCCTTTAACCAGCAAATCACTGTTCTATTGAATTATAATCTATTCTTTAATCATTTAGGGGATATCTAAAGCACCTAGAAGTTCCTAGAATGCAAGTTAAGGGTAGGCTGAGGAAGGGGAGGTTCCCTTTACAAAGCTTTCACTGGCATCTGAATTTAGATCTTTTGAGATTTTAAAAATATAAGCAACCAAGACACTTGATTTAAAATTCACTGATTTGTTCAAAGTAGTGCTCTATGGAGGGCCAGTGATCTTCTAAAATGGGGTCACAGTACAGACTTTGCTTCAAATTCAAGAGCTCACGATAGCTCCTTTCTTGACTCTGTTCTTTCTGGCACTCAGATTTTTGAAGTAAAACAAAACATTACAGGAATTTTCTCTACAAGGAGACTTCTGAAATTCCGGGAAGGGTTCCTCCTCTCCCAAAGTGTCTTGCTTAATGCTGTGCATCATAAGCTTATTTCTTGAAATAAAAATGCTGAGATGCTGAACTTGGAAGGCAGCAATAAACCAAGGGGGATAAAGTTGAGGGCACAAAAACCTGAGCCTCACTTTTTAACAACTCCAAAGAAGAATGAACTTATTATATATAAGGAGAGCTCTATAGGGTGTCACTAGAAATTCAGCTACTTCCAATGGTTTTGCTTGCATGCCTGGAAAAGCAGTGACACTGGCACAAGTGTGTTCTATGTGAGAGCAGTAAGCTGGGGAATTTTGCGTCAGGATTTGAGGTCTTAGGCAATTGACCGGCCTTGAAAAGTACAGCACACTGGCACTAAGAAAATGCAAAATTAGGCTAGGCGTGGTGGCTCACGCCTGTAATCCTAGCACTTTGCGAGGCCAAGGCGGGCAGATCACAAGGTCAAGAGATCAGGACCATCTGGCCAACATGGTGAAACCCTGTCCCTACTAAAAATACAAAAATTAGCTGGGCATGATGGCGCATGCCTGTAGTCCCAGCTACTTGGGAGACTAAGGCAGGAGAATCACTTGAACCTGGGAGGCAGAGGTTGCAGTGAGCTGAGATCGTGCCACTGTACTCCAAACCTGGCAACAGAGCAAGACTCTGTCTCAAAAAAAAAAAAAAAAAAAAAAAAAGCTAATTATTCATTACTTTCTAAAAAATAGTTCTTAGTAAGTTAATAGTAACATGTATACTCGCTTTGCAATTTTTAAATGAAATCACTAAAAATAAACACTTTTTAAGAACTTTAAGACTATTTTAAAAATGTTATCAATTATTATTCATTTTCAATCTGCTGCTATTCCTTTTAGCTTATGGCAAAAGATATAACCCAATTGCAGTCCTCAAAACAGAATGGCCAAAGCAATGCTAAGTCTCGCAAGCCCTACCTGAGGCCTTCAAAACGATTAGAGCCTAAATGAATCAATTCTGTCTAGGCTGACAGCATGTATTTTCTTTTGGAAGTTCAGTGACTACAGAGGGAATATTTTGGCTTTCTAGTGCAAACATGTACAGATTTTGAACTTGGGGAACTTGCAACTTCTGGTTGTAAAGTTGTCTTCTACTAAGAAACCATGGCACCAAGTCCTAAATGCGAGAATACAGCTTTTAGAAAATCTGCAAATGATTTATTTGCAGAATAGTGAAGTAAATTGCAAAGAATTATGTGAAACAGAAAGAGGGTGTGGGAGCAATAAAATAAATGAAGATACAAGGCTTTTAAAAGGTTACATGGGGAAATGAAGACATTAAATGCCACTTAATTTTAGAAAATAAAATTACAAGGTATATGATATGCTAGCAAAGTTCTGGATTATAGTAAGGCTTTCCAGGGAACAAGAAAGCTTGTATGGCTACTACCCAGGGTAATTACTGAATCAGTGATATTACTCAGAAAATAAAATTGCACATAATACACACAGAGCTTTTAAGCCAGTTTCCTTGTGCCACATTCCCCCCTGCCCTCAATCTCATTCTAGCCACTTCCTTTAAGTGAAAAAAAGAGTCACTGTAGCTTTCTGGAATTCTCTTCCATACATGCCAAGTACATTAAAAAAATGAAAATAAGTCATGAAGTTGGATGACAATATGATGAAAAATTATCTTACTCCTTAATTTTGCTGTAATAGTTTGAAAGATGATAGTTCTGTAGAATGTGAATCGCAGTCTTACACAAACATACATCAGCATACATTCATACTGTTTAAAAAGAGAAGAGTTTTACATAGAAAAGGAATGGAAAGACAGTCAACAGCAATAGTCAAGATATCTAGAAATAATTTTAGAGGAAAAAAGTATCTACTACTGTCTTTAAATACATTAAAATAGAACAATTTTACGTATTTACTTTTCTCTTTTAAAAAATTACTTTAAAAATCTTTTTAGAAATTAAATCACTAAAAATAAATTTTTAAAGAACTTTAAGATTATTTTTTAAATGTCATCACTTATTATTAATTTTCAATCACCTGCTATTCCTTTCGGTAAGGGTAAGGTTTGAGAGGTTACTCTCCTGTCAATTCATATTTTTATGTCTTTTACCCCTTGGCTGTTTCACCCAGGCTGGAGTGCAGTGGCATGATCATAGCTTACTGCAGCCTCAGTCTCCTGGGCTGAAGAGATCCTCCTGCCTCAGCCTCCCGAGTAGCTGAAACTAGACATGTGCCACCATACCAGGCTACTTTTTGCTTTGACACTGATTTTCTTTTGGATATATGCCCAGAAATGGAATTGATGGATAATAAGGTAGACCTATTTTTATTTTCTGAGGAACCTCCATACTGCTGTATCAATTTACATTCCCTTGAACAATGTATAAGGGTTCTCTCTTCCTCACACTTTGCCAACACTTATCTTTGATCTTTTTGATAACAGTCATTCTAACAGCTGTGAGTGATGTTTCACTGTGGTTTTGATTTATATTTCCTTGATGATTAGTGAAGTTCAACACCTTTTTATATACCTCTTGGCTATTTATCTTCTTCTGAGAGATGTCTATTCAGGGCCTTTGACAATTTTTTAATGAGCTTATTTGTTTTTTGTTATTGAGTTGTAGGACAGTCTTATACATTAACCCCTTACCTGATACATGGTTTGCAAATACACTCTTCCATTTCATAGGCTGCCTTTTCACTCTGTTGATTTTTTTTTTTTTTTTTGCTATGCGGAAACTTTTAAGTTTGATGTAATTTCATTCATCTATTCTTGCTTTAGTTGCCTGTGCTTTGATATCATATCCAAAAAATCCCTACCCAGACTCATGTCAAGAAGCATTTTTTTTTGTTTTCTACTAGCAATTTTATGATTTCAGCCTTAAGTTTTAGTCTTTAATTCATTTCGAGTTGATTTTCGTAGATGGTGTGAGATAAAGGTCAAATTTCATTCTTCTGCATGTGGCTATCCATTTCCATTTTTGACAACACAAATGAGCCTCATCTGACTTTGAAGGGCCCTCTCAACTCCAGTGCACCTACAAAATATGCTGAAGTTTTGTGGCCACAACACTGCAGTTTAATTTCTCACACTTTAATCCTGCTTGCTTCACCTTTCTTTCTTTTTTTCTGTTTGGAGATGGAGTTTTGCTCTTGTCGCCTAGGCTGGAGTGCAATGGCACAATCTCAGCTCACTGTAACCTCTGCCTCCTGGGTTCAAGCAATTCTCCTGTCTCAGCCTCCTGAGTAGCTGGGATTACAGGGACATGCCACCACGCCCGGCTAATTTTTGTATTTTTAATAGAGACGAGATTTCACCATGTTGGCCAGATGGTCTCGATCTCTTGACCTGGTGATCTGCCCGCCTCGGCCTCCCAAAGTGCTGAGATTACAGGCGTGAGCCCCTGGACCTAGCCTTCACCTTTTATACATATTGGTCACTGTGCACAACTTAAAAATCCTCCTGAATACCCTTCTCAGAGTTTCAAAGTCTTTGCCTGGGAAGCTCCAGGCAATTATGGAGGCTGAGAAGTTCCACAATCTGCAATTTGCAAGCTACAGATCCAGGAAAACTGGCGATGTAGTTATGGGCCTGAGAAATAGAAAGCTGATGGTAGAGATTCCAGTCTGGATCTGAAGACCTGAAAACCAGGAGCACTGAAGGTCGGAGAAGACCAGTGTTTCTTTTTTTTGTATTATTTTTAGAGACAGTGTCTCACTTTGTTGCCTCGGCTGGTTTTGAACTCCTGGGCTCAAGGGATCCTCCCCGCTGGGCCTCCCAAAGTGCTGGGACTACAGGTGCATGCCACCACATCTGGCTCACAACTTTACATGTCAGATAATCCAAGGACTCTCAAATTTCATTAACTGACTCTTCAACAAAGATCTCAGGATACATGTTGCTGACAGCACAAAGTACATATACAATAATTTCACTCTTTGGTTACTATGGTGCTTACTCTCATTTGGTAGGTGCCAGGTATATCTGAGTATATAAATAGGACAGATGGTTAAAGAGGATAAAGTGGTGCTGAAGAAATGTGATGAGCTAACAAGTTACTAATAATGGGAGAGGTAACTGTGGTAGAGGAGTGATTAGCATGGTCATCAGGAGGTGCTACAAATCTCATCTAACTTCACTGCTCCAATCTACACTGGAGCCCCAAAAACCTTTGCTGATGTAACATGTTAGTGCTTTCCGCTCTGTATAATGGACCAACTGGATGGGACTTTTCTCCAGCACTCGATTCATTTTCAGCTTAATTGATAATCAGATACAGACATATACTTGATCAGATATTTTATAAATTCTGATTTTTGATGACAAACATTTTCAGGAAATATCATTTTGACAAGGAAAAATATCAAAATGAGGTGCTATAGAAGTCTTTATGAAGAATTATACACACATGTGAGAAACTGGTGAATTTGAAAAACTAACAAAAACCCATTTAAAGATCTCCATTACTGTTCAACAAAATTAAAGCAAATCTTATGTAAATATAAAATGATTCATAAGGAAGCTGTGAACTATAATTAGATGGAAATATTCTGATTGATATTTTGGACACAACTAATTCTCACTTTGCCATTAGATAACATAGACTAAGATGTCATGAAATCTGCATCTGTTCCTAGAAGCACTATTAAGAAAAGAGATAAAGGAAATGTCTGCTTTATAAGTTTATAGCAACTTTGCACATATCTAAAATGTTACAATTCAGATTCAAGAAATAAGTGAAAGGATAAAAAGGATTCAAGAGCAGCCAGTTTATGAATTGCATGGACTTTACATGTGAAAGAGCTTCCTAGTGTACTCCTATTTTATATGCATATTCATATGGCAAAGTATTTTAGTTTCAAGGTCACAGAAGATTAGGAGCATTCACATCAGGGAGGAAGTTTCAGCAAGGCACCCTCACAGAAGTCTGCCAGTCTTCACAGCCAAGAAATCAGAAAAGTTATAAACAGCTGACCCAGCTGGGTGTAGTAGCTCACACCTGTAATCCCAGCACTTTCCGAGGTGGGTGGATCACCTGAGGTCAGGAATTTGAGACCAGCCTGACCAACATGGAGATACCCTGCCTCTACTAAAGATACAAAATTAGCTGTGTGTGGTGCGCATGCCTGTAATCCCACCTACTCGGGAGGCTGAGGCAGGAGAATCACTTGAACCCAGGAGGCGGAGGTTGCAGTGAGCCGAGATCGCACCATTGCACTCCAGCCTGGGCAACAAGAGTGAAACTGCGTCTCAAAAACAAACAAACAAACAAAAGCTGACCCAATAGCCCCAATGCTCAGCACTCAGAAACTGTCTAGGAGAGTGATAAAGAGACCTCTAAATCCACAAAACGGCCTGCAAGGATCATCACACTTGCTGAAATGAAGTGTTGTGAATAATAATCTTGGGTCATCTAAAAAAGGTTAAATTATGGTCAGCACATGTTCTTTTAAGGTAAAGCAATGAAAATATTTTAGAAAATAAAAAAATTAAAAAGGCAATCTGTCTTTTTGTGAATTTGATTAGCATGGATCAGGTTTTTAAAAAAACAATTTTTGAGCAACAATTTTTGGGTTCTCCACATATATACATCGCCTCATTATTCCCTACAATGATCATATGTGATAGAGATTATTTTACATTCAGTAGTCCCTCCTCTCATTTATCAGATATTCAGTGAGTGCCTTCTGTGTACCAGGCTGTGTGACAAGTCCCTGACTTCAAGGAACTTACAGCTTGATGAAAGCAAAAACGATGAAGACACTGAAGCACAGAAAATTTAAGAGCAAGTTTCTCTTCTGTAATTTCAGTCACAGCTGTAGCTAACTTTTACTCAATAATCTTAGCATTCGGTTTCAAGGACCATCAGAATTCTAGAAGCAATGAACTTGAAACCAAGAATGTGTAAAAAATATTGTCCCACAAATAAATGGAAAGATATCCTGTGTTCATGAATTAGAAAAATGAATACTGTTAAAATTTCCATAGCACCCACAGCAATTTGTAGATTCAATGCAATACCTATCAAAATTCTAATGAGATTTTTCACAGAAATAGAAAAAGCAATCCTAAAATTCGTATGAAACCACCTCAAATACTCCAATCTCGAGCAAAAAGAACAAAGCTTGAAGCATCATACTACCTGATTTAAAAATACACTATAAAGCTATAGTAATCAAAACAGCATGGTACTGTCATGAAAACAAACATATAATCCAAGGGAACATAACAGAGAGCCCAGAAATTAATCCACATCTTTAGGGTCAAATGATCTACAACGAAGGTACCAAAAATGCAAAATAGGAAAAGGACAGCATCTTTAACAAATGGTGCAGGGAAAACTGGATATCTACATGAGGAAGAATGAAATTAGACCCTTATCTCGTACAATACACAAAATTCAACTCAAGATAGATTAAAGCCTTAAATGTAAAACCTGAAATTATAAAACTACTAGATGAAAAAACATGGGGAAAAAGCTTCTTGATATTGGTAGGGGAAATAATTTTTGGATATGATCCCCAAAACACAAGCAACAGGGGCAAAAAAAAAAAAAAAAAAAAAAAGAAAGAAAGAAAAAAAAAAAAGAAAAGAAAAAGACAAATGGTGTTGCATCAGATAAAAAGTTTTGACACAGCAAAAAAAAAAAAAAAATCAATAGAATGAAGATGCAACCTATGGAATGAGAGAAAACATTTGTGAACCAATCATCTGATAAAGGGTTAATATCCAATATCCAAAACATATAGGGAACTCAAAGAACTCAATAGCAAGAAAATAAACAACCCAATTAAAAATGAACCTGAAAAGACATTTCTCAAAAGAAGACATCCAAATGGCCAACAGGTATATGAAAAAATGTTTAACATCACTAGACATCAGGGAAACAAAATTTAAAACCACAATAAGATATCACCTCACATCTGTTAGAATGGTTATTATCAAACAGACAAAAGAAAAGTGTTGGTGAGGATGTGGAGAAAGGGAACTCTTATACACTGTTGGTGGGAATGTAAATTATAATAGCTATTACAGAAAATAAGTCTGCAGGTTTCTAAAAAAATAAAAAATAGAACTACCATATAATGCAACAATCCCATTTTTGGGTATATAGCCAAAAGAAATGAAATAAGTATCTTGAAAAGATATCTACATTCTCATATTCATTGCAGCATTATTCATAACAGTCAAGATGTGGAATCAACTTAGGTGTCCATTGACAGATGAATGGATAAAGAAAATGTGATATATATATAATATATATATACATATACAATGTAATACTACTATTCAGGGTTTACAAAGAAAGAAATTCTGTCATTTTCAACAATGTGGATGAACCTGGAGGACATTATGTTAAATGAAATAAGCCAGGGACAGAGAGACAAACATTGTATGATCTCACTTACATGCGGAATCTTAAAAAATCAAATTCATAGCAGCAGAGAGTAGAGTGGCAGTTGCCAGGAGCAAGGGGCAGTGGGAAGGGGGCGGCACAGAGGAACATGGGGAGATGTTGTTCAAAGGGTACACAGTTTCAGTTAGACAGGAATTCTGTTGATCTATTGTGAAGCACGGTGACTATAGTTAACAACATATTGTACACTTGAAAATTGCTAAAATAGCAGATTTTAAATTTTCTCACCACAAAATATGTGAGATGATGAATATGTTGATTAGCTGGATTTAATCATTTCACAAGGTATACATACATCAAACATTGCATTGTACACAGTCAATGTACACAATTTTTATTTGCCAACTAAACCTTAATAAAACTAGGAAAAAATATCATTTCACTGTTTAGAAGAAGCTTATTTTATAAAGAAAACAAAATGAATATGGTCATTCATTTTCTGTTATAAATATAATTTCAAACATTCTCTACATACTTTTTATCTAATAAAACTCACTGGCCAGCCGAGTGTGGTGGCTCATGCCTGTAATCCCAGCACTTTGGGAGGCCGAGGTGGATGGACCACCTGAGGTCAGGAGTTTGAGACCAGTCTGGCCAACATGGGGAAACCCGGTCTCTACTAAAAATATAAAAATTAGCTGGGCATGGTGGTATGTGACTGTAATCCCAGCTACTCAGGAGGCTGAGGCAGGAGAATCGCTTGAACCTGGGAAGTGGAGGATTCAGTGAGCTGAGATCGCACCACTGCACTCCAGCCTGGGTGACAGAGCAAGACTCCATCTCAAACAACAACAACAACAACAACAACAACAACAACAACAACAACAACACCTCACTGGCCTTGAAATGGGCTGCTGTCAGAATATGCAGTTGGGCATGGTAGCTCATGCCAACAATCCCAGCACTTTGGGAGGCCAAGGTGGGTGGACTGCTTGAGCCCAGGAGTTCAAGATCAGCCCGGACAACAAGACAAAACCCTGTCTCTCCAAACAAAACAAACAAACAAAAAAATTGGCTGGGTGTGGTGAAGATCAGCCCGGACAACATGACAAAACCCTGTCTCTCCAAATAAATAAATAAATACATACATACATAAAATAAAAAATTGGTTGGGTGTGGTGGCACAGTCTGTAATCCTAGCTACTTAGGAGGCTGAGATGGGAGGACTGCTTGAGCCTGGGAGGTGGAAGCTGCAGTGAGCTGGGGATCATGCTACTGCACTCCAGCCTTGGCAACAGAGAGAAAACCTGTCCCTCCCCCAACCCAAAAAAAAAAAAAAAAAAGAATATGCTTCCTGGATCCAGAAATCAATCCATCACTAGTGATTTAATCTGGAAAACTTGATGTCAACTGATTTTATAATTGGGGCAACCATGTATGTCTGCCTTTTATGATGGTAGTTTAGCTGAACTGAGTCTATGAAATAATTAGGCCCACGGTGGGGGAATCTGAAATCCTCCTGAAGCACTAGAACCTCTCCCAGCCTTCCCAATGTTAGAGAAAATTCTTATTCCCATAAGTTTCTACCCTTTACTAAGTGATATGTAGTCCTTAAGGCTCTTGATTTCCTCCAAAGTTAGAAAATACTACACTAGAAAGCTGGAGTTTCCTCTGGATAATCAATTTTTTGAAAAATACAAATAATATTTTGTTTCGTTTTGGGCTTTTAATGATATGATGAGAAAACTAGAGATTCTCAGGAAAGAAAATGGGGAAACAGCACTGAAATTATTTTTATACATCTCATATTTGGCAGGCCTTCTAATTGGTTGACAAAGTAATAATTCTACCAATCTTCTTTCTAGTATAAAGATATAAAACAAATAATTTTAGATATTTTATCCTTTTGGAATATAAAAGACAGATATAGACATTATAAATCCCACTCAAGTTTAGAATTAACAAATATTTCATTTTGCATTTTTTAGGTTGCTTTTTGAATACTTTTGAGTTCAATGATGATATTCATCCCTTGCTTACCACATACCACCCCCCTCACAAAGGTTTTCAAAAGAAATCCAATTCAGGTAAATGATAATTGATATGGGAATTATCATAATCGAAATATCAGAAAGCAGCCACACAATATCTTATATTGCCAAACAAGATAACTGTGACTAAAAGTGGAAGTTCTCTATTTTTAAAAGTTTTTAATATTATAATACTAAAACTTGAATTTTAACAGTCTGATATGAGTATCTATTTATTAAACCATTCAGCCACTCATCCTTCTATTCATTCATTCAACCAAAACACAGTGTTTTACAGAGCAGAGGTCATCCCTACCTGATGGGCTCTTGGACCTGTGAAGTGGAGCCTATGGGTAGAGATGGGACAGTCTTCTATTCAAGAAGGAACTTTGGTTTAATACATGAACTTTTTTGGCAGAACATCAATGACATCCTATCCACTGCTTCATCCAATATTCAAGAATTGTGAGTCTTCTCTCAATCAGCAACAATAAGTGCTAATATTCCATGATCTCAACAGGCTTTATAGATATAAATTGTCAGGTATTTAGTTTATAAAATTAAAACTGGAGGGAAGGAAGAGAAAATGGAGTCCAACTCCATTTTGGAGGAAGATGGCATCTAACTAGTCCTCTGGGTGTTTTAAATTATATCTTTTTATTAAGTTAGTCTCTAAAAGAAAACATACAATGCAAGTACTACTCAAGAAACACGCTGGGCATGGCATGATGCTGGGAGGAGGTTTTTAGGTTTTGGTTGCTTGATACTCAATAGATCAACACGTGTCGAGTTCTACAGAAAGAGAAACATTTCCCTGAGGAAAAAAGAATTCCTAAGTTCATAACCTACCTCACTTTTACAGAAAGTGTATCAAATATAGACATCCTTCTTACTAATGAAAGATCCAGAACCATTAGGGAAAAGTAATTTGCTGTCATGAAACGACTCCTTTGTCTCTGTCGTGCTTAATATCAGAAGCTTCAATCTTCTATTATCACAGACCACAAGCCCTGGTACCATCCTTGCACCACAGAATCCTGGGTTTGTACTTCCTAAATTGTGTATTTTTCTATTTCTTCTGTTAAATAACTGTTTTAAAAGGGGCAATTATTTGTAGACTTAAACTATGATGCAAAAGAAAAACTCTCAGCTGGGCGCGGTGGCTCACATCTGTAATCCCAGCACTTTGGGAGGCTGAAGCAGGCGGATCATGAGGTCAGGAGTTCGAGACCAGCCTGACCAACATGCTGAAACCCCCACCTCTACTAAAAATACAAAAAAAAAAAAAAAAAAAAATCCGGGCGTGGAGGCGCGCACCTGTAATCCCAGCTACTCAGGAGGCTGAGGCAGGAGAACTGCTTGAACCCGGGAGGTAGAAGTTGCAGTGGGCAGAGATCGAGCCACTGCACTCCAGCCTGGGTGACAGAGGGACACTCCATCTCCAAAAACAAAAAAAAAAAAAGAAAGAAAAACTCTCAGATGATATAGAATGCTTTAGCCAACATGTATAGAAACATGTTGAGGAATGCCAGATTGTCACCAAATACAACTGGAAGTCACTGCTCTTAGTTGGATTCTCTGAAGTAAGCATGGTCCTTTCTAAATACCATTAAATATAATAACTTCTCTACTTCTTGGAGCTCTAAAAGGCAAAATTGAGGACAATAGCTATAAAGAGGCAGGTTTCTTTCAATAAGTGTTTTTTGACATGTAAATATACTCAGTTACATGCCTTTTTTCTTGTTTCCAAACCTCCCCGCTCCCCAACTCATTTTTTTTTCCTTCCATGCAGAACACAGTATACTACTAAGGACAATGTTGTGGGGGGAAAAACATACTGAGAAATCACAAAAATGACAGTTTACATCATTTGATAAAAATAGCAATACTTTACCAAATGGAAAATTCCATCAAATGAAATGTGGCTCCAATCAGATGACTTACCTAAAAATAAGAGAGACAGAAAGAAAAAAGTGAGAACTTGGTATGGTACTCAACCCTCAATATACTAGTCTGTAAAACATATGGTAGATATCTTAACAACTGATGGACAATCCAAAACAAACAGAAACTATACCAGATCAGGAAACACCAATTCCTTTAGAAACAGTAACTAATGTTAGAAAGGAAATGGTAAACATGGAGCAAAAGCAATGGTGAAAGAAAGTGGTATTTACTTTCAAACCACTTGGCTCTCATACATATTTTAAGGGGTCAGTTTTGAAAACGTGGACACGTATACATATAAGGGCTACAGCTAAACCATACATTGCACTCTCTTTCTCAAGACCTCTGGTTACTAAGAGAGAGACAATCAAAGCTGCAGACTTTCAAATATCTTTGCCTCCTATGACTCAAGAAAAAGGTGCCAGTGTATCATGTGCTACTGTAATTTCCTCTGTTGACTTTCTTTCCCCTTAACACTTAGATGTTTTGGCTGTTTGCTTTTTTATTTTCCAAAGTGAATACTGATGTTCATGAAAGGTGCCAGATTAACAACCTGGGGAAATTAAGAGCTTGGTCTATCAAGTGAAAAGGCTCAGTGTAGTGGAGGTGACGAAAGTTTCCCCTATACCGTGCTTGCCTATGTGCATTAGCTCTGACCCACAGTCACCCCAGCCCTCTAGTCTTCATGGTCCATTAATGTCTTTGACTGCTCAGGTTGCTAACAGGAGCAGACAGTCTTGTTTCTGCTTTTAATGCTATCATTATTATTACCACTACTGCGAACTCTAACTCCCTCAGTGAAATTATGGGGAAATTTATATTGGCTGCCATTTTGTTTCAGGACAACAGGAAAATAAATTGAACTGAAGATAGATCTTATATTCTTGATAATACCGTAGGTTAAAATCCAAGAATTTCTTCAAACAGGAGGCAAAGCTTTGAGTGATCAAATTGAAACAGGCCTCAGTAAGTTCAGTCACTTGCACTCAATTTGAATTCTCATTCGGGAATATTCTAATATTTAAAGGCCAAAGAAGCTTTATTTTTCCTTTTAAGTCTACTGCAAACCAGTCATTTTTATTATTTCTTAGCAACTATGGTAAAGGTTTGGGTGGATGTTGAGGCTAAAACTATCGTTGCATATGAAATCTGAAAATCAATGTCAAACAGAAAAAAGTTTCTTTCCTATATTTATAGGTGTTCCAAGTTTCTGAACTATGTAGGCACTTTGTAATTATTAATTAATCCCACCCATGCCCAGGAATAAAATCACTTTGCTGCATCTAGTCAGATGACCAACAACTGTTTATTGATGACATTATGCTATTTCTGCACGCAAAATACAAGGGCCAGAGCAAGACAATACTCCTCCTAGTCTAGAGTTTATAACAGTAAGAGAAGCAAGGCTAGCAAACATATGCAAACATTAATGGTACAATGAAGTACAATGCTGAATGTTGCTGTGCAATAGACTTATAATTACTTAATAATTATTTGGAAAGATCATAGTATTAACCCCACCATTGTTCCCTGTCTTTGCTATTGTCCTTCTTTTTGTCAAAGACTATATTCTTTGCAGCTAGAGTAGATTTCCATCTTGACATCACCAGCACTTCCTCTAAATTCTAATCTCTAGAAGTCCTGGAGAATGAGAATTGCAGGATACCAATGACTACAGCAAACACATGGTAACACTTATATGAAGGGTACCCTGGCTGCAACTCATATGAAAATCTTGGAAAATTTTAGTTTGGGGAACTTTGGCTGCTTTTTTTCTTTGCCTTGCATAGCCTTTATCAAGCAAGTCCTTATGGTATTAAAACATTTGGCACTGGTTCAAGTCTATGCTATTGCTGGCAGGGAATCTAATTGGGAAGCAGGGGTGGAGTAGTTACCTTTATCAGGAATGACCTTAAAGTTATGGAAAGGCTCCTTCCTTCCCACTGCTTAGTAGCCTTACTGAAAGCTTTAAACCCAGATGTGAGAAAAGAGAATGTCTCCAACAGCAGCAGCAATTTATTGTAATTATGTTAGTAAAAACATTAGGAAGGTGGAAAATGTTATGTCAACTTGGAGGAGGGAAACACTTTGTGTACAGGTCCCAGGCAAGGTTGTGCTGGGGAAAACAACCATAACCTATAATTCCCAGGGAGCCCTCAGTTTCCAAATTTGCAAGAAAATTAGGAGTTAACTATTTTAAAAACTAGTAACTATATGCAATGCATTACCCAGTGGGTGAGAGACTATAAGAATCTGTTCACTAACAGACACCAATAGACACCTGTCTGTACTCCCTCAGTGGCTGGCAGTGGCCAATTCCCTGTTACCACTAGATAACTAATATATTTTTTCTATCAGTACTATATCACAATTGGTAACAGTGGCAGTCAAAGCAACAAGGCCCATTTTGCCTACACGATACTGTAGCTTCCATCAGTGACACACTTTTTTGGTTTAAGGCAATTTAAAGGTTGACCTTGAAATGCAATTAGAGCAAAATCTGTACACTTTCTGGGCCAATTCTGGGCCTCTCTGTGCCTCAGTCACATAACTGAGAGTTGGTTTTGTCCCTGACTCTCTTCTTCATTACATAACGGATCTCTTACTGTTTCTGCTGACTAGACTTTTGCATCTTTCATGATTTGATTTCTCTCATTTCATCTTCTCATTTTTTTCTGTGGTGGGAGATATACAAGCAAGGTTTCCAAAATTTGATATTTCACACAAAATGCATTAGCGAGCCATGGCAAAAATCTGTTTTGTGGGCAGACACATCATCAAAGCTCTCCTCTACATGGACTAGTTTTCTAGTCAAATAAAAATTTCAGGAAATAAGATATTTTCATCTCAAAAAATAAAAGCTAAAAAGAGTATGTCTGAGAGACTCAAACCATTTACTTTCATGGTCATGAAGAGAAAATAGAAAAAGCAATAAAAGCCTTAAGAGCAGAAAATGACAGGTGATTTCTCCTTTTCTTCCCATTTCAAACATTTACCAATAGGCTAATGAATGCCAAGGATGCAAGAAAAAGCGAGTCAGAAAACTGTAGGCCACAAGATGGTGTAAACCTCATGTGGAAAATACCAGCTAAGGCACTAAGAAAGCCAGTAAGTAATGAAAGATTTATAAAGATGAATATGCTCAAGTTTTGGACAAAGAATATACAGAACAAAACCAAACAAAAACACTTTTTAAAACAAGTTATTTTTTATCCTTCTCAATGCATATTAGAGATAGTTCAATTTTAAAAGCTTGCAGTGGTTTAGTAATCAAATAGCTTAAGACAATGCACAGTTCTACCCATCAAGAATGCTTGTTTACTTTGGCTGACATGCCGCAATTATTAATTTACTTATCTGATTCAAAACAGAGTAAGCTCTTACTTTTAATTTCCTAACTTAACTAGCAAACTCTGGGAGTCACTATGCTAAGGGCTGAGTGCAACCCAAGCTGGAATTTTTTTTTTTTTTTGGAAAGAAAAGATGTAAGATAAATGAGCTGAATTCTCATCATTCCAAAGCTGAGTTTTAACAGTACTAAACAAAAAGGGTAAAACTACAACTTCTGGGATTTGAATGATAGCCTTCATGACTATATAGAAAAAATACTTTTTTTAAAAGGAGACTTTGGGGCAGAAAATTATAGATGATAACCTCATGAAAAGCACTGAAAGATAGGAACCAAATTTATCCATTTGTGGGTAATAGTTATGATAATTATGGGGAAGGAGGAAAAAAGGCTGTTGGCAAAGGTATTCAAAGGAAGTACCTAACTATTCCACTCATGAAGAAATCTGGAGATTATTTAGGGAAATGACTTGTACAAAGGAAACAATTCAAAGACAACAAAAACAAAATTTAAATAAGAGCCAAAGATCAGTTGAGGGCTGGGGAAAACAGTTTGGGTTAGTTTCTGAGGTTATCTTAATGGGGTCAGCCTGTCTTACTGCCCCAGCCCCCAGAAACCACCAGTATACCTACCTGCATCCCACAGAGTTTTATAACTGCAACAAATTTTACCCAGAGGTCTACGGCTAAGGGCTTTCTGGTCTAATGCTTTAGGGCTTTCCAGAAACCTCTTTTCTATAAAACTTCTATCCCACTTCCTATCAAACTACCTTTCCCTTCTCTACCATTCTCCATTCTGGTTCTGGCATGTGTGGATTGAAAAAGCAATAGCGGAGGTGGGAATGAATGGGGACACAGCTGGTCTGTGGCAAAGAGATGGTGGGTAGCAAGCAGCTGCATTTTGGAGGATTAGGATCTTGGAAGCCAAAGAAAGCTTCTTCCAAGTTCTCTCCTTTCAGTTCTTTCCTCTCTTGGGCAATAATAGAAATTCCACAAAACACACAAACTTTCTGAATTCACAACACTCTTCCTCATAACCAAGTGTGTTTATTATGACTGCTAACATTTTCTGTGTGCCTTGTATTTAGATTTCTCTAAGAGTTTCAAAGAGGCTTATAAATTTCCATTAAAACAAATATTTCTGGCTATATTTTATAAATACAATTTAACTTTAGAATCATTGGAATTCAATTTGTTAAAAGGTTATTCTTGTAAAATTTGGTTTATTACACTACACTCACATTTCCTAAACCAGGGTTCTTAAAATCTAGACTTCATAAGAATTCTCAGGGATGCTATAAATATAGATTCATATTTAGTAGGTCTTGGGTGGAACCCTGGAATCTACATTTTTAATAAGCACCCAAGGAGATTCCTATACAGTGGGGGTAGAGGGACCCCACTCTGAGATCCCATCCTAATCTGAACCCCCTAACCTCCCAGCTTCACCTTTTTCAAGACAGCCTGTTTGAGTGACAGTAGTCAAGCAGTCACACTGAATATTGAGCCAAAAACACAAAGTGAGCAATCTGAGAAAAAGAAAATTATCACCAACAACCTTTCATTTTTAACAATACAAGGTGCTATACAAATACAGGAAAGAAAGGGAGGTTTCCTGGTTGTAACTCCACTTCCTTGAGTAAGATAAGGTTTGGTATTATGAATGAATTAGCTGGCTTTCCTATTCATAAGAGTTGAACCTTTACTGGCTTTCTGGTTACGTCCTGCTGCATTCTGGCACCCCTTTTCCCAGCATGATGACAGCCTTGTAGAGCCAGCCTTGATTTCTCAAATTGCAAGCAAATTAGAACCTAACTACTTAGAAAAGTAATGAAAGTGAAATCCAATATCTAATGGGTATGAGGCTATGAGAATCTGCTTGCCAACAGACACCAATAATTCTCCTGCCTCTAATCTCTCAGTGGCCAGATTTTCCCCACCTGCCCCATAGGGGGAAACTCAAACATTAAGAATCTCAGACTAGCTCAGAAGCCAGAATTCATTTTGATGACATTACGTGCTTCCACTTTTAAACCCACCAATCCTACCTTTTAGGTATTATCACTACCTAGTCCCAGTTCTCATTCCTCAACCCCCACCTATGGTGCTCTCTCTTCATGAAGCCGTCCTCTTTTGGTTTCATGACATCCTGTTGGCTACTCTGTCCTGATGATGATGATGTTTCTTAATTCCTTGTATCTTGGTTTTGACCTTATAATTGACTACAACTATTCTTTCAAACGTCACCTGCAACTAAATTTAATGGGATTTTCTTAATCCTTTTTCTCCACCACTCTGATGGGTGACCTCATTGGATTTTTCCTTCTGTTGGTTCTCCTCCCTTGGTTTCAGTGGTAACACAGTTCTCTTATGAACACAAAGAATATTTGATCTTCTCAGTATTAATCCTTCCAACCTGTCACAATACACAGAGAATAGAAGATATGTTCAGCTACCATTATACACAATGTTCTTGAGCCCAAGACAGTTTCAGTTCACTCTAAAGAAAAATCCCCTCCTTGATTATATGCAACCCACTATCATCCTACGGAAGCTGCATTTTACTTGGAGTTTAGGTTTCTTGGAGAATATGTAAGGGGGAAAAAACCCTCAATTTATGTCAAAATTACCTTGCAAATCCCCTAGGAAGGCATCATGCAGGAAGCCAATACTGTCTCTCAGTAGGCCGAATCAAGGTGGATTTTGCCTCCAGTTTTGGTAACCATCTGAGTAAGGCAAGATGCTTACCCTGAGAGAGGCAGGTGGGAACAGACATGTACAGAAAAATCAATATACACCGTCCATTTCAGGTTCATTCCCAGGCATAGACTCATTGAATACAACCTGAGAAGACTTGTTTGCACAATGTAAATTTTTATGCCTTCTCTCTTTATATTCATTTGCTGAGCAGGTGTAGTTGAACTCATGCAAAGTTAGTGTTTGTATGATACAACTTCAACATAGAACTTAATGGTTATTGCTCAATAAATATACATATGTCTATGCTCTTGACTTTTAGCATCTCAAGGGTAAACAAACAACAGAGGCAGACACTAGATCAAGTATGAAGATCATAGATCAAGTATGAAGATGACCTTAAGAAAACTGGAGAGTTTTCTTGCAAAAACTTCTCGAGTACACAAATCAAATATACTTGTGATGCACTGGAAAAAACACTGTACTTAGTGTCAAGGGACTGAGATTCTAATTCCAATTCTGACACACATTAGCTAAGTCACCTGGGCCATCTACAAAATGGATACTTCACAGGGTTGTTTTGAGATTCAAAAGAAAAAATGCATGTGAACGCATCTATCATAGTCACTTGCACATGGTAGGCACTTGCTACAGGTTTATTCTAGGTGCATTGGTTAAACTGAAGCTAAGAAGACAAAACAACCACGTAAGGGAAGAAAACCCTGACAGTGCTGGGCATATGGCAGGTGCTATGTAAGTATTTACTGCACTACACTGAGACAGAAATCAAGCTGGTTTGACTGAGTCAATGTGTAACTTGCCAGTTCTAACATTCTTTTATTTTCTCCACATGGTCATTGGTATGAAGTCCACTTATGGCTTCATAAACATGGGCTTACAACAAAAGTGCTTCTAATCAGATTTGGCAGGAAAAGGAGAGAAACACAGGGTGAGGTAAGTGTGAGGCTACAGTGCTGAATAATAGGGATGGCAGTACCTCAGTATGTGAGTCACACAGACATCAAGCAGTACACAGCTAGAGATAATTCGCAGGTAAATGCTGCACAATCCATTACGTCATCCCTCCTCTGCCCTTTCTTCATCAATCTTGTCGCCTGGACTCTGATGCAACCCAGCAAGAATGTCTGATTTGCAGACAGCAGAGAGAGCTTCAGAACATACACATACTCATCAGAGAAGGCAATATGAACCCAAACTGAAGTTTCTGGTACTTCCTTTTGTTTAAATCATGCTTTAGAGGGGAAGTCATAGGGGTGGGATGTATAACTAGAGATCAAGCCACCTGGTCTAAGGCCTAAGGGACTAGGCTTCATCATTTTGGACAAGTCACTCCAGGTCCACAGGCCCCGTTTCCACATGTACAATTAGATGAGCTTCAAGGTCTTTTTTAGCTATGTAATTTCATCATTAAAAATTGAGGTCAATCACACCCATATGATGGACAGATATGCATTTGGTTTTAAAAGCTAGGCATAAAATCAGCTTTACTTTTTATCAGCTATCTAGGTCACTCAAATTTTAGGCTACTTCCATCCTACTCGGAATTACTAGAAGAGTGTGTACCTGTGTGCAAATCTTGTAAAAGCAAGTAAGCAGTGGCAGGCAGAAACTGGTGGTTCTAGAAAATGTGAATATTCACTCCTGAGATTATAGAGATACTCCAGTCTAAGCCACAGAAGCTTGAAAGCAAATGTGTATCAGGGGATATAATGTATTAAGACCTATCTTCTGTATGGAGAATGTTTTGAACAACAAGAAGTTTTGAAGGTACAAAAAATTCATAATAATTCATAACTTAAAAGAGATGCTCTAACCTAACTCTAAACCAAAATCATGATCAGTCTGTGCGTGATTTACCCAGCAGCTTTTAAGTACAACACCATCAGCTCCAAATAAAGAAGAATTCATTAGAGACACAGGTCTGTACAGGAGGTGGTCAGTCCCAGTGAGCTTTGGGCATGTTTTCCACTTGCAGTGGCACCGCGCTTTTCCAGAGCTGCAAACAGTCACACACGCATCACCAGCAGATTTGTGATGGAATCTCCAGAGAGGGGCATTTCCAACAAAGCTTCAGAATTGGGGGGGATATGGACAAGCCCACTGGAGATGAAAACCAGATGTCTCATTGTGCTTCCCTCATAGGCGACACCGTGTTGGGTCCCCGACCTTCTATGCTGAGCAGCTTAGGGGAGGGTAAGTTGCCCCACCACACCTGGTGCAGCATTCAACAAGACACCCATCCCTTTAATTATTCAGCCAAATGATTTATGAGGCTTGGCAGCAAAGACTTGGCAGACTGGTTTAAATTCAAAGGATCCAACCTACAGGTATTTTGAAAACCTTGGCCACATCTGCAATGTGTACTGTTTCTTTTGGGAGAGGAAAGAAGAGAAAGGGAGAAGATGTGACCTGCCTGACAGGAAGACAAGACCCAACTAGATGGAACATGTCTCCCACTCCCTCCCCACCCTGTCATTTAACAATGTTCTGGCTGACTTTCTTCCTACGAAAAGCAATCAGATAGAGTTTTAAAGATGTAAAATCCCAGAACCACCAATACATTCTCATAAACTGGGCTCAGTTGGGTTGTTCTGATTGATTACTGATGGTATAATCTTTTTGATCAACTAGGGAAGTGGTCAGCCAACTTTTTCCCTAAAAAGCCAGATAGTAATATTTCAGATTTTGTGGGCTATGTGATCTCTGTCGCAGCTACTCACCTCTGACACTGCGTCACAGAAACAGCGATAGATAATATGTAAATGAAGGAGTATAGCCATGTTCCAATAAAACTTTATTTACAAAAACAGATTAAGGGTCTGATTTGATCTGCTGGTCATAGTATACTATTAAATAGGTGAACTGAGACAAAGTGAGAGGGTATGGCTACTACTACTAAATTTATCACCACTTAACCCTATTTAAATCTAAGCCAATTTTGGGAGGACAGCTAACCTCTAAAATAACTGCATTAATAAGTAGGCACAATAATATTTTTGGGAAGAGTGTGTGTGTGTGTGAAATATAGAACAATTCAAAGGGAATTGAACAGTTTTAAAAAATCTATCACCCAGTAACTAGGTTATCTTATAGAAAACATAGTTGGCATTAAATCAAGGAGCTACTCTTACAAGTGTCTTGCCGTAGGTCAACTACAGGCTTTGACTACACATTTATATACAACATAGTTACTGAGTAATATATTTGTTAAAGTGTTCCATTATTTGTAAACCAATCTGTATGTTATTTGTGTACACATTTCAATACACTTCAAACAATAAACACCAAACTGTAAACAGTGGCTACTCCTGGGGAATAGGGGTTAGAATTTTTATTAATTTTTTTAAGAGACAGAGTCTTGCGCTATCGCCCAGGTTGGAGTGCAATAGCACAATCATAGCTCACTCTGGCCTTGAACTCCTGGGCCCAAGCAATCCTCCTGCCTTGGCCTCCCAAAGTGCTGGAATTACAGCCATAAGCTACTGCGCCTGGTCAGAATTTTCACTTTTAGGAGTATTGTCTGAATTTTCACTTCCCATCAAATTTTCACCCGTTTTTACCCTTTCTTCCAGCTCCTTCTCCCCTTCCTTGATTTGGCCTAGCAGCAGTCACACATATTACTAGATCTACAGCTGACGACATTCACACAACAGCAGCTGCCAATAAATATATGATATTCCTCATTTAGTAGGAGGGATGGATAACAAACAAGAAAACAAATAAATACACAAGTTATTTTCAGGTTGTAGTAAATACTTTGAGGGACAAGGTGATAGAGGAGGCCCCTTTGGATGACTTTTTTCCTACAAAAAGCAAGGTCACCGGACAATATTACTGAGGAGGTGATAATTAGATAGAGACCTGAAGGATCAGAAGAAGGCAGGAAGAAATTTTTGTGGAACAAATTCCAGGCTAATTGTAAAGTGTTCTGGTCTTGACTCTAGGCCAGTGTTTCCAGTCCTGATTATATATTAGAATCAACTTGGGCGCTTTCAAAAAATAGAGATGCCTGGGCCCCATTACAGGCAAATAAGACTCTGGAGGTGGAGTCTGGTATTTCTTTTCTTTTTGTTTTTAAGCCAGGGCTGAGAATCACTGTTCTAGAGTCTAGAGATACCTTTATGTCAACACAAACAGAGGCCCATAGTCCAATATGGAGGGAATTGGACTATGTGTGAAACTGAACTATTAAATTTTAGCATGGCATGTTTTGTTTTGTTTTGTTTTTTTAAATCTAGCAGATTAACTGGATGCACTGTTTGGTGATGTGATGAAGCCTTGAGGAATCTCCCCTTGCCATTGAGCAAGAGACCATGAGAAACAACCCAGGGCTTTTAATTGGGACCTTTTGCCTGAACTTCTGGCAAATCATAAAGCAATGAACCATCAAGTGACAGACTTCTTTGATGTGTTTAGCAAAGCGCTGACTGAAAAGCCTATATCCCGAGATCCTCTCTAACAGATTCAAGACTCACTGAACCACAAGGAGAAGTTCCCAAGGCAAGGATTTAGCTTATACAGTGTAAGGATATATATGTTCCCATATTCATGCACCTCCCTTATCCAACTCTAAATAAAGTCTGTCGATAATCTACTAAACAATTTTAGGCAGTTGTTGCAATTTCCTCCCAACCACTCACCCACCCATCCATCCATCCAAAATACAACTACTATTGCACACCAACTCTATACTTATGACTCTGATGCAGGGAATATACACGCCTTCCATTCCAGTGGGAGAGAAACACAGTAATGATCACAAAAGAATGTGATATGTGCTATGAGACAGTGCCCCTCTTTTTCCTCCTTGCTACAGTGAGAGCTTATCACACTTTCTAAAATTTGCTTAAATATGCTTCCTCACCTAGAGATCATTAAAAAATAAAGGCTGCTTTACTCAGTATCTTCAACACTAAATACAATTCATGGCATAAAACTGGCATTCAACAACTGTAAATTGAATCAGTAACTGAGATATATATGACGGATATAGGTACATAGTACAAGTGCCTATGGGAGGCACGGAAGGCTTCACAGAGTAGCAACGTCAAAGCTAAGTATTAAAGAATAAACCAAAAATCTTGTGGTGGAGGTTTTCTCTGGGTGTGTGCTTGAATTTTATGCCAAAGATAGTGGAGAACTACTGAAAGTTTCTAGTTGGGGGAAAAGATTAGGTTAGAGTTTAAGAACCATGGCCGGGCGCGGTGGCTCACGCCTGTAATCCCATTACTTTGGGAGGCTAAGGCGGGCGGATCACGAGGTCAGGAGATCGAGACCATCCTGGCTAATACGGTGAAACCCGGTCTCTACTAAAAATACAAAAACAAAAAATTGGCTGGGGCATGGTGGCATGTGCTTGTAGTCCCAGCTACTGGGGAGGCTGAGGCGGGAGAATCGCGTGAACCCGGGAGGCGGAGCTTGCAGTGAGCCGAGATCGCACCACTGCACTCCAGCATGGGTGCTGGAAAGACTAAGTTTTGAGTTTTGTCTTTCTTTAATTAGCTCCAAAATACCTGCATTTTTCTCCTGCAAAAGTGGTACAACCCACAAGTCCTACTTCCCTACTTCCCTTTACCAAATTGTGCTTGGTAAAAATCTAATCTCAAAAATGTACATTCTTTGAGTACGTATATATAGTTTACCCCACTCAAAGAATGTGTTGGTATACAAACATTTAAACACATGCAAGATGGGTTGCTACACCAAACATTTAAACTCACTCTACTTAAAGATGTTTCTAACCCTGTAGTTAGAAAACATTCCAAGAAAGACATTTTCAGATCTAAATTAGGGATATCTAGGATAGATTTATCCTTTACAAATAGCTACTAATTTATAGAACTAAGTATTAGGTTGGTGCAAAAGTAATTGCAGTTTTTGCCATTAATAACTTTTCAGATGGTAACAGATCTTGCTGAGATTAGAAACTCTTTCAGTAGTACACTATGATTCTGAATTTCCGCACCAGTTAACTGGTTTTAACTCACAAGTTAAACTAAACACTAGTTAACTTGTGTTTCCACAAGTTTTCCACACCAGTTAACTGGTTTTAGCTCTATGCTCTAGCAGGAACCTGAAATGACTCTTCTGAATAATTTTATTCAACTTGATCTTGATTCTTGATGTAGAAATCCTAAGCCTACATTTGTAAAGCAGATTATCTTCAAAATGCATTATACTTTAGTTTACATTTTATTAAGGTTTGTGTAATAAGAGCATGACTTATGTGTTAAATTGCCAGATATTTGGTATTTGAGGGAAATCAAAACTCTATTACCTCATGCTATTCTTATTTTATCTTTTCATAAATATTCTTTATTTTCATAGCTCTGTGTACAAAGTTTTAAACTACTAATAAATCTGCTCTATTATTCACTTCAGAGGAAGTGACAGTAAGGATCACTGAAATATTCTTTTTACTTTTTCTGGAAGCACTTTTGTTGGTTTCTCTGCTATCCTTCCCACCCTGCCCCTACCATCTATTGTGAATATTACTGGTGAGTCAGGCTCTGGCAAAATTGAAAAAGCTTCCTACGTATTCTAATGCGTAGCCAAGATTGAGAACCACTGGGGTATCAGAAAGAACAATGGACTTGGAAGACTTAGCCTCAAAATCTGGATTTGTCACTTAATGGTGACATGTGACTCATTTTCCCAATAATACACTTGTGAGGATTAAAAAGATAGCATACAGCCATTTCCTCTAGGTTTTCTAGTTTGTGAGCACATAGTTGTTCCTAATAGTCTCTGGTGATCTTTTATATTTCTTGGTATCAGTTGTAAAAAATGCCTCCTTTTATCATTTCTGATTTTTATTTGGACCTTCTTCTTGGTTAGTCTAGCAAGCAGTTTATCCATTTTGTTTATCCTTTCAAAGAACCAACTTTTCATTTTGTCCATCCTTTGTATGGTTTTTCTTGTTTCTACTCCATTTAGTTCTGCTCTGATCTTTGTTATTTCTTTTCTTCTGCTAACTTTGGGTTTAGTTTGTGATGTTAGGTTGTTAATTTCAGATATTTTATTGATGTACGCATTTAATGCTATAAACTTTCCATTTAGCACTGCTTGTGCTGTATACCATAGGTTAAGGCATGTTGTGTTTTCATTTTCATTTGTTTCGAAAAAATTTTAAATTTCCATTATAATTTCTTCATTGACCCAGTGATATGGTTTGGCTGTGTCCCCACCCAAATCTCATCTTGAATTGTACTCCCATAATTCCCATGTGTTGTGGGAGGGACTCGGTGGGAGATAATTTGAATCATGGGGCCGGTTTTCCCCATACTGTTCTCATGGTAGTGAGTAAGTCTCACGAGATCTGATGGTTTTATCAGGAGTTTCCGCTTTTGCATCTTCCTCATTTTCTCTTGCCACCCCCATGTAAGAAGCGCCTTTTGCCTCCCACTATGATTCTGAGGACTCCCCAGACATGTGGAACTGTAAGTCCAATTAAACCTCTTTTTCTTCCCAGTCTTGGGTATGTCTTTATCAGCAGCATGAAAACTGACTAATACAGTCAATTGGTACTGGTGGAGTGGGGCATTGCTGAAAAGATACCCGAAAATGTGGAAGTGGCTTTGGAACTGGGTAAAAGGCAGAGGTTGGAACAGTTTGGAGGGCTCAGAAGAAGACAGGAAAATGTGGGAAAGTTGGAACTTCCTAGAGACTTGCTGAATGGCTTTGACCAAGGCCTGGCAGTGATATGGACAATAAGGTCCAGGCTGAGGTGGTCTCAGATGGAAATGAGGAACTTGTTGGGAACTGGAGCAAAGGTGACTCTTGTTATGTTTTAGCAAAGAGATTGGCAGCATTTTGCCCCTGCCCTAGAGATTTGTGAAACTTTGAACTTGAGAGAGATGATTTAGGGTATCTGGTGGAAGAAATTTCTAAGCAGCAAAGCATTCAAGAGGTGACCTGGGTGCTGTTATAGGCATTCAGTTTTGTAAGGGAAGCAGAGCATAAAATTTTGGAAAATTTGCAGCCTAACAATGTGATAGAAAAGAAAAACCCATTTTCTGAGGCGGAATTCAAGCCAGCTGCAGAAATTTACATAAGTAACAAGGAGCCGAATGTTAATCACCAAGACAATGGGGAAAATGTCTCCAGGGCATGTCAGAGGTCTTCACACAAGCCCCTCCAGTCATCAGCCCAGAGGCCTACGAGAAAATGGTTTCCTGGGCTGGGCCCAGGATCCCCATGCTGTGTGCAGCCCAGGGACTTGGTGCCCTGTGTCCCAGCTGCTCTGGCCATTGCTGAAAGGGGCCAACGCAGACCTTGAGCTGTGGCTTCAGAGGGTACAAGACCCAAGCCTTGGCAGCTTCCACGTGGTGTTGAACCTGTGAGTGCACAGAAGTCAAGGATTGGGGTTTGGGAACCTCTGCCTAGATGTCAGAAGATGTATGGAAACGCCTGGATGCCCAGGCAGAAGTTTGCTGCAGGGGAAGGGCGCTCATAGAGAACCTCTGCTAGGGCAGTGTGGAAGGCAAATGTGCTCTGAAGCCCTCAGAGTCCCTACTTGGGCACTGCCTAGTGGAGCTGTGAGAAGAGGGCCACCATCCTCCAGACCCCAGAATGGAAGATCCACCAACAGCTTGCACCATGCTCCTGGAAAAGCAGCAGATACTCAAGGCCAGCCAATGAAAGCAGCTGGGAGGGAGGCTGTACCCTGCAAAGCCACAGGGGCTGAGCTGCCTAAGACCATGGGAACCCACCTCTTACATCAGTGTGACCTGGATGTGAGACCTGGGGATAAAGGAGATCATTTTGGAGCTTTAAAATTTGACTGCCCCACTGAATTTCAGACTTGCATGGGCCCCGTAGCCCCTTTGTTTTGGCCAATTTCTTCCATTTGGAACAGCTGTATTTACCCAATACCTGTACCCACATTGTATCTAGGAAGTAACTAGCTTGCTTTTGATTTTACTGGCTCATAGGTGGAAGGGACTTGCCTTGTCTCAGATGAGACTTTGGACTGCGCGTTTTGGGTTAATGCTGAAATGAGTTAAGACTTTGGGTGCTGTTGGGAAGGCATGATTGGTTTTGAAATGTGAGGACATGAGATTTGGAGGGGCCAGGGGTGGAATGATAGGGTTTGGCTGTGTCCCCACCCAAATCTCAACTTGAATTGTACTCCCATAATTCCCATGTGTTGTGGGAGGGACCCGGTGGGAGATAATTTGAATCATGAAGGCAGTTTCTCCCATACTGTTCTCGTGGTAGTGAATAAGTCTCATGAGATCTGATGGTTTTATCAGGAGTTTCTGCTTTTGCATCTTCCTCATTTTCTCTTGCCACCCCCATGTAAGAAGTGCCTTTTGCCTCCCACCATGATTCTGAGGCCTCCCCAGCCACGTGGGAGTGCACTCTTTTTCTTTCCAGTCTCAGGTATGTCTTTATCAGCAGTGTGAAAATGGACTAATACACCCAGTGATTGTTCAGGAACATGCTGTTTAATTTCCATGTATTTGTATAGGTTCCAAAGTTCCTCTTGTATTGATTTCTAGCCTTTTTCCATTGTGTTCTGAGAAGATATTTGATATGATTTTGATTTTTAAAAATTTGCTAAGACTTGTTTTGTGGCCTAACATGTGATCGACCTCAGAGAATTTTCTATTTGCTGATGAAAATATATGTTCTGTAGTTACTGGTAAGAATGTTGTTGTAAATGTCTGTTAAGTCCATTTGGTTTAAAGTCCAATTTAAGTCCAATATTTCTTTGTTACTTTTCTGACTTGATGATCTGTCTAGTGCTGTGAGTGGGACAATAAAGTCCCCTACTATTATTGTATTGCCATCTATCTCTTTCTTTAGGTCTAGTAATCTTTGTTTTCTGATCTGAATGCTGGAAACACAAAACCTACTGAGACTGAGCCAGGAAGAAATAGTACTCCTGAACAGACCAATAATGAGTAGCAAGATTGAATCAGTAATAAAAAATCTCCCAGAAACAACAACAACAAAAAGCACAAGATCAAATGGATTCACAGCTGAATTCTACCAAATACACAAAGAACAAAATCCAATACTCCTGAAACTGTCCAAAAAATCAAGATGGAAGGAATTCTCCCTAACTTATTCTATGAGGCCAGTATCACCCTGATGCCAAAATCAGACAAGGACACACACTGAAAACTATAAACCAATATCCCTGATTAACATAGACACAAAAATCATCAACAAAATACTAGTAAATAAAATCAACCAGTACATCAGAAAGATAATATATCATGATCAAGTACGATTTATCCCAGGGATGCAAGGATGGTTCAACACATGTAAATCAATAAACATGATATGTCACATCAACAGAATTAAGGACAAAAACTGTATTATCTCAATATACACAGAAAAAGCATTTGATAAAATTCAGCATCCTTTTATGATAAAAATCCTCAACAAACTAGGCATAGAAGGAACACACATTAACATAATAAAGACCATATATGACAAACCCACACCCAATATCATACTTAATGGGGAAAAGTTAAAAGCATTCCCTCTAAGAACTGGAACAAGACAAGGATGCCCACTTTTACCACCCCTATTCAACACAGTATCAAAGTCTTCATCAGAGCAGTCAGGTAAGAGAAAGAAATAAGAGGCATTCAAATTGGAAAAGAGGAAGACAAATTTTTCCTGTTAGCTGCTGATATGATCTTATATCTAGAAAACCCTGAAGACTCCACCAAAAAACTCTTAGATTTGACAAATGAACTAGTGAAGTTCCAAGCTCCAAAACTGAAAGAAGTTGTAGATGACATAAACAAATGAAAAAACATCCATGCTCATAGATTGAAGAATCAATATTATTAAAATGTAATTTTAATAATATTCAATGTAATCTCTATCAGATCACCAATGTCATTTTTCACCAAAGTAGAAAAAACAATCCTAAAACTCATATGAAACCCAAAAAAAGCTCAAATAGCCAAAGAAATCCTAAGCAAAAAGAACAAAGCTGGAGGTATCACATTACCTTACTCAAATTATACAAGACTATAGCAACCAAAATAACATGGCACTGGTATAACAACAGTTACACAGATCAATGGAACAGAAGAGAGAACCCAGAAATACGGCCGCATACCTACAACCAAGTGATCTTTGACAAGGTCAACAAAAATATACATTAGGAAATGACAACCTGTTCAATAAATGGTGCTGGGAAAATTGGATAGTCACATGCAAAAGAATGAAACTGGGTTCATACTTCTTACCACATACAAAAATTAACCCAAGATGGATTAAAGATCTAAATGTAAGATCTGAAACCATAAAAACCTTAGAACAAAACCTAAGAAAAACTACTGTAGACATTGGCCTAGGCAAAGAATTTATGACCAAGTCCTCAAAAGCAAATGCAACCAAAAAAAAACTAGACAAATTGGACTTAATTAAACTAAAAAGCTTGTGTATACCAAAAGAAATAATCAACAGGGCAAAAAGACCATCTATAGAATGGGAAAAAATATTTGCAACTATGCATCTGACAAAGGGCTAATAACCAGAATCTACAAGGAACTCAAACAACTCAACAAGAAAAAAACCAAATAACCCCATTTAAAAGTAGGCAAAAAAATGGACATTTTTCAAAAGAAGACATACAAGCAGCCAACAAACATGAAAAAATTCTCAACATTACTAATTACCAGAGAACTGCAAATTAAAACCATAATAAGATACTCCCTTATATCAGTCAGAATGGCTATTATTAAAGAGTCAAAAAACAACAGATGTTGGCAAGGATGTAGAGAAAAGGAAACACTTATATACTGTTGATGGGAATGTAAATTAGTACAACCTTTATGCAAAACAGTGTGGAGGTTTCTCAAATAGCTAAAAATAGAACTACCATTTGATTCAGCAATTTCACTACTGGGATATATATCCAAAGGGAAAGAAATCATTATATCAAAAAGATAGCTGCACTTGTATTTTTATCACAGCACAATGCACAATAGCAAAGATACAGAATTAACCTAAGTGTCCATTAATGGAGGACTATATAAAGAAAGAGTGGTATATATATATACACGTATATATATATATACACACACACATATATATACGTATATATACACATATATGTGTGTATATATACACACATATATACACATATATACACATACATATGTGTGTATATATACCTATATATGTATATATATACACACATATATACATATATGTGTGTATATATATACACATACACACACACACACACACACATATATATATATACACACACCATGGAATACTATTTACTGGCTTTAGAAAAAGAATAAAATCATGTCTTTTTGCAGCAACATAGATGGAACTGGAGGCCATTATCCTCACTGAAATAACGCAGCAACAGTCAAATACAGCATGTTCTCACCTATAAGTGGGAGCTACACAATGGATATACATGGACATACAGAGTAGAATAACAGACACTGGAGAATACAAAAGGTGGGAAGGTGGCAGGGGGGTGAGGGTTGAAAAATTACCTATTGGGTACAATGTCTGTGATTTGGGTGATGGGTACACTAAAAGCCCAGACTTGACCATGATGCAATATATGCATGTAAGAAATGTGCATTTGTACCTCCTAAATATATAAACATAAAAAAGATAGATTTAAAATCAATTAAATTAAAAAATTATAAAATCACTTCATATATTTTCAACAATAGGAATATACCTTGGAACAATTACTATTATTACTCCTAAAACCTCACCAGCGACATTCACTGAGTGTTTTAAAACTTTTGGAAGGGTGTGTGCCCCTGCAGGTAGGCCTCACACTTCACAAACAGGTAGATCAGCCATTTGAAATGGTCATACATTTCTAATGAGAACATTCTCTCCTTAAAGAAGAATAGGCTGCTTATTTGTAAATTAGTGGGAATTTTCTACTGCAAATCGAATGAGAATGGGCATATTTCCTGTTATATTCCATTATGGGGGGAGATGGGAAGAATTTTTTTGGTCTTATGTCAGGACTGACCCCCAGTGACATTTGTCCTTACGGGAACTCATGGACCAGATTATGGGCATCTTTGTCATTTGTGGATATTTCTGGAGCACCTGTATTTTTATTTAATTCCCAAAAGGCAGAGACTTTTATTTCCAACCAAAGTTTAAGCTACTTGAGGGAAGGGGCAGACTTTATGCTTTTTTCATTTGCTCTCTGCATAGATGGGAGTCAACAAATATTTATCTGTTGGAGAAAATATGAAGGGAAATTAAATGTTTGCTTCTTCCACCTTCTTTATGGAATTCCAGAAAGGTATTTTTTTTTATTACAAATATAGGTAAATTTTTTTTCTTATATTTCTTTTTTTCCTCCCGTGGGCACTTGATAGGAAATGGGTTTTCAACTCTGGCTGCATATCAGAATTATACCAGGAGGCTTTGGAATGATACTGATGCCAGGACATCATCTCTAAGATTCTGATTTAATTGGTTTTAAGTGAAGCACAAGAATTGGTATTATTTAGAGGCTCTCCAGTAATTCTAATTGTGGCCATGACTGAAAACCACCACTGGAACACATAATAGATATTCATTTAATACACATTTGTTAGTTTGACTTTAAGTTGAGAGAAGGTGTAATTAGGGCTGGGGGCTGAACATTTAGTGTTCACTTTGTTATGTCCTCAGCACTCAGCAAGTGCCTAAGGGCATAGGGCTCTCAATGTAAGCTGTGAATAGAGAGATTGAACGGATCAATATTAAGTTCTCTGATGACTGGGTGCCATGGTTCAGTTGGCAATCTGTGGCTTCTGGTTCAAGCCCTGATATAGAAACAGAATGTCTATCTCTTTCTGTCTATCTTTGCCTCTCTCTCCTCTCTTGACTACCCTCTCTACCACCCAGTGAGAATTCTGTTAGGACTAGCCTTTCTGTTTTGTTCATTATTTTATTTCTAGAGCATAGGCAGTATCTGGCATACAATAGCTGCTGGGTAAATATAAGTTCAATATATTTCTCTTTCTCAAACAAACACAAAGCGGCAAACAGAGAATTGCAAAAATAGTCATTTTATGGGATTTAAAGACTCATACTTCTTAATATTATAGTCAGAAATAAACCACTGGCATTATTGCTTTGGGTGGGTATAACTCTCTCTTGCACTCTTAAGCACGTACCAGGTGTCTTGGAACTAAGGAAATAACTACTCCAGTTTTAAAATCCACTTGAAATCTTAACATTGACTACATACAGTAATGAGATTTTATGAAACTGATCTGAGTAAGTAAAAATTTATTTCCATTTTCCTTTCTATCAAATCAATATCTAACTTTTAATATTAACATGTTGATAACATATTAGCATACTAAATAGGATTACCTTACTTTGTTCCTTAGGTATTTTTCTGCAAAAAAAAGAAAAAAAATATATATATATATATATATAGAGGAAGATACTAAATTGAGTATTTTGAAAAAATTGCTTTGAATGTAATACTTCCACTCTCTGAAAATATTTCAAAATAAAGTCAGAGTAGCTTGCAAGAGCAGTGAAACTGCAGGAACAGGAGGACTAAGATAACAATGTCACAGCTCCAATAAGGAAATGGAGTCAAGGGTTGGAGTCAACTGAGGAAAACATCCAGAGTGCTGTAGTTTTGGGTCTCCAGAAAATGTGGGGGACACAGTAATTGGGTTATTAGATACTAGAATGGGAAGTGATAGTCTTCTTGTCTGGGGGATTTTCCTGTTTCCTCACTCTTGCCTCACCCCCACCTCTACATTTAGTACCTAGAATCCTAGACATGCAGTCAAGAGCCCCTGAGAAAGCAGAGCAGAACTCAGACCAGAGCATATAAAGCAGGAATCAGAACAGAGGTTGGCTTTGTGAGCTTTGGAGTCATAAGCCTCACTAAACTTACATTTAATTTATCTCCAAGAAAATTATAATACCCATGTCATACAGTTGTTGCTAGGTCCAAACAAGATAATGTATATGAAAGCACCCTATGAACTGTGAGTGAATCACAAAACAAATGCTAAGTAAGTTTATGAGATGGAAGAATTTGTTGAGAAAAATAATTCCTAATTTTTCCTTTGAAGTCCATAAAAAATGTACCTGCTCTAAAGGTATAGACACAGTCACACTACACTTCTGATAATTCCGTACAGAAATTTGAAAACAGAAAGTTCCCAATTACTCCGAGTGCTGAAAGAAGCTTTAATAGAAACCAAGGCAGAAGCCAGGAGAATGAAGGCACCTGCCAGATTTGGAATAAAAATTACCAATGAAAGAACAGCCCAAGAACAATGGGTCAATGGTGGAAGTTTAAGTGTTATTATACTATGTTTCTGTAAAAGTTATAGAGGCAATCCAGACAATGCTTTTTTTATGTTTAAAGGAAACAAATAGAAAGGGTTAATTTCTTTTTTGTTTGCATCATCTAACTACCAGTCAGAATCAAACCAAGAAAATACAACTGGACTTTGGAAATGGTCTTTAAAACAAAGTTTTTCTTATAAGAGAAACCTACAGAATTGAAGATATATTTCAGACTTTCTTTTTTTTTCCTTTTCTTTCTTTTTTTTTTTTTTTTTTTGAGATGGAGTCTCGCTCTGTCGCCCAGGCTGGAGTGCAGTGGCATGATCTCGGCTCACTGCAACCTCCGCCTCCCACATTCAAGCGATTCTCCTGTCTCAGCCTCTGAGTAGCTGGGACTACAGGCACATGCCACCATGCCTGGCTAATTTTTTTTTTTTTTTTTTTTTTGGATTTTTAGTAGAGGTGGGGTTTTGTCATGCTAACCAGGATGGTCTCCATCTCCCAACCTCGTGATTTGCCTGCCTAGGCCTCCCAAAGTGCTGGGATTACAGGCGTGAGGCACTGCGCCCGGCCAAATTTCAGACTTTCTAAAAAGAATATATGGTTGGATTAAAATAAAGATAAAAGATCCCACAATTCTTTTAGCTTTTGTTCACTTATAGAAAAAAAAGTTATTGAAACTGAAGAATATAAAAAGAAGATTCTTAAGAAGTATGTATTGACAAGCAATGAAATTACAGCTTAACCTTACATTTTGGTGTACCAGCTTCTTTTTTACTTTCATTTGATTAGAGAAAAAAGAGCTATTCTTAAGAAACAGAATGATGGCCTGGAAGAACAGTATCCTCAACATCTTTCAAGAATCCAACAGGATGAGAGACTGGCAGCTCTGTTCTAGAACTATGTGCATTATTGTTTGCCAGATCAAGTTAATGAAATGTTTACTGCTAGAATGTTATTTTTTAAGTTAATAAAAACATTTCTTTTTGCTGACTTGCTCATTGGACATATGCATGCAATTTAAAATGGAATTTCAAAAAAGTTTCATTACATGCACCTGTGAAGAAAATAACTGAGGTCTTGGGACTGTGCTAAACTAATTCTGACTTTGGGTCATGTTAATAACAGAATTGTTAGTCTTGTCAGACATGTGGCTTTCTATTTTAATAAGATTAAGGCCAGAGGGTTCAAACTCCCTTAGTTTAAATAATCTCTTGCACTTAAATATTTTTTCTTTCTTTCTTTTTTTTTTTTTTTTTTGAGACAGAATCTCGCTCTGTCACCCAGGCTGGAGTGCAGTGGCACAATCTTGGCTCACTGCAACCTCTGCCTCCCGGGTTCAAGAGAGTCTCCTGTCTCAGCCTCCCGAGTAGCTGAGATAACAGGTGTATGCCACCACACCCCGTTAATTTTTGTATTTTTAGTAGAGGCAAGGTTTCACCATCTTGCCCAAGCTGGTCTTGAACTCCTGACCTCAAATGATCCACCCACTTCAGCCTCCCAAAATGCTGGGATTACAGGAGTGAGCCACTGTGCCTGGCCTTTTTTTTTTCCCCTTAAGAGACAGGGTCTTACTCTGTCCCCCAGGCTGGAGTGCATGGCATGGCCTTGGCTCACTGAAGCCTCAACCTCCTGGGCTTAAGTGATCCTCCTGCCTCAGCCTCCTGAGTAGGTGGAACTACAGGTGCATGCCACCACGGTTGGCTAATTTTTGTATTTTTTTGTAGTGATGGGGTGTCACTATGTTGCCCAGGCTGGTCTCGAACTCCTGGGCTCAAGCAGTCCTCCTACCTCAGCCTCCCAAAGGGCTAGGATTATAGGCATGAGCCACTGTGCCTGGCCTAAATATTTCTTTGTATACTCTCCTAATATGTTCTTGTCCTCCTAACTAGATCAGGGTTTCTCCACCTTGGCACTATAGACATTTTGGTCTGAATAACTCTTTGCTGTGGAGGGTTGTCCTCTGTACTGCAGACATTTAGCAGAAACCCTGGCTTCTACTCACTAGATGCCATAATACTTCCTACCATCCCCTGGGGGTGGGGCAAAAGAATCCCCCGCTTAGGGCCACTAGACTAGAGGAAGAACCATTCTCCTCCTTCTACTTGAGTTCTTAGGCCCACACCCATCACCACTTCATTTAATCTTCATCAATTTCTTCAATTTCTTCTCTCCATGTGCAGTTGGTAATTCTCTTTGACAAACAAGTATCTTAATTCTCCCCATTAAAAAAATAAAAATATACCTACCAACCTCATATAAGCCCTGTAACTCCTGTTCTCGTCTATTTCTTTCACTATCAACTTTCAGAAAAACTAACCGTCACTAGTATGTCTAAAACTGTGTTGTTAAAAATAATGTATGCCAGTGATATACTTTTTCTTTATTTAAAAAATATGCAAAACCCCCTGAAGCACACATACTATTCTCTTTATTTTACAATGATATGTCTTTATGGCAATGGAGTGGAGGGCATATCTAATGCCACAAGCTTCATGAAAAAACACCTGTTCCTGGGACATATCCCATTCAATTTACAGATTGATGCATGAGCAACATCTACCAACCATTCTATTGATGTAAGCTATCTTTACATCTTATAATTTGAACATATTTGAGATATCTGGTTCTTATTAAAATAAAAACAATTTAGATTTTCTATCTTTTTTCCTCTTATAACAATGAAAACACAAGTGAAATAAATTTTAATATCTTATAGACATTAATTTATCTGTGAATAAACTTCTTGCTGTTGACTTGGGTCCACGTGCAAACTGTATCTCATTAAGTCCTATTAGTATCAAAGTATTGTGGTACAAATGTGTTCTGTGGTCATACTGACTTTAACCCCCAATGTGTTTTATGAATATATCCAACAGAACTTTAAAAAGCTTTTCTCAGGCCCGGTGCGGTGGCTCACGCCTGTAATCCCAGTACTTTGGGAGGCCGAGGTGGGTGGATCACCTGAGGTCAGGAGTTCGAGACCAGCCTGACCAACATGGGGAAACCCCATCTCTAGTAAAAATACAAAAACCAGCTGGGCATGGTAGCAGGTGCCTGTAATCCCATTTACTCAGGAGGCTGAGGCAGGAGAATTGCTTGAACCCAGGAGACGGAGGTTGCAGTGAGCCGAGATCATGCCATTGCACTCCAGCCTGGGCAACAGAGCGAGACTCTATCTCAAAAAAAAAAAAGCTTTTCTCATGATTATAAAAGAAATTCACAAGATTGAAGAGAAATATCAGACTTTAATTTTAAAAGTATGAATTGGCAAGCTCACCTTGTTTTTTTGAGACAGGGTCTTGCTGTCACCCAGGCTGAAGTATAGTGGTATGATCTTGGCTCAAGCTATCCTCCCACCTCAACCTCCCCAGTACCACAGGCGTGCACCACCATGCCCAGCTAATTTTTCTATTTGTTGTAGAGATGAGGTTTCGCCATGTTGTTCGGGCTGGTCTTGAACTCCTGGGCTCATGCAATCTGCCCACCTCAGCCTACCAAAGTGTTGGAATTACAGGCGTGAGCCACCATGATGGGCCCTAGATCACTTTCTTGAGACTAATTTTAGAGAACCAATTGCAGTTTTCTCAACCTTTTAAAACAACCTTTGACCCCCTAGGATGATTTTTTGTTCAATCTTCTCTTTACTCCAATTAACTTTTGAACTTTATTTCTAGTAGTCTGTGTTTTAAATTAAAAAAGGATAAGCAGAATATGCAACTTCTAACCATATATACCTGGTACCCTGCCCCTTATACCTTCCTCACGGCAACCCCTTTAAGTATTTATTTTTAACACGAGTTATCTCATTTCCACTAAATCTTTTCTTCTAAGAGCAATATCCTCAGTTTATTTAACCTGGGAATTCCAGTTGTCCAAGTTCCTTATTAACCTAATCCTGTGTTTGTTAATATCTATATACTGTGCTTTGGGGCTGATGTTTGGCAACAAAGAATGTACTCAATAAACATTAGCTGAATATGATCCTTGATTTTATCATATACTTATCTTACCTTCTCAACCAGGCAGAATTCTGAGTAAAACATAGATCTTTCTATTCTTACTACACATCTTCCTACATGCTAGGATTCCCTCCCCCACAGTAGCCAAAGTAATTGGCCAGAGAGGAGGCTTGGTAGATTTGGCAAAGGTGCTCATTCTTTCTAAAAAGCACTTGAAGGGGGAAATTTTGGGCAAAGATCTTCTAAGGGTAGATACCTCTTGGCAGTGTGCAGAATGAGTTTCAGTGACCAGGGGCTAGAGGACCACTGACCACATCAGAAATTTATCAGAAAGTTAATGCAAATGATAGAATTTCACAAATCTTTAGAGTTCACAAAAAAGTTATCCAGGCTCATGAGCTAATGCAGACTAACTGGTGCCTCCTGTTTCTGCTCTGTCATTATCTATCAGTAATAAATGGTTTAATCCTAAAAATATATTATGTGGTTTTCATTCTTGGCTCTAGATTACATGTGGAGAAGACAAAATATAGCCTTTCATTTTGTTTGACAGGACACTCTACATAATAAATACATGAATGGCTACTAGTAAAATTATACTCAAAGAATGCAGTTTTGGCTCTCAAACAATCACATTCCAATTTCACTTTTTAAAAATTCTGCTTAAGCCAATTTGTGATGGACTTCCAGAACTATGGATCAATTATTTCATACCTGAGCACCTGATATTCTTTTACCTTTGTAGCTGAACACACACACACACACAAACACACATACATATACATCCTTTTTCATGCTAATTAACATATCACAGAAGTTAGGAGATTAACCAATAAAACAAAACAACAAAAATCTGTTAGGTAACTGATTTATATCTTGTGGTATAGGACATTTTCCTCTCTTGGCCTTCCTCTAGGCTGTTTTGTGACCAAATCTGTGCTGTTACTTCTTCTGGCAAGTTATTCTACATTATAAGTTTATTTCATCAGATGGTCCATTCTCCTTTGCTTTCATCCTCTGATTTTACTTTTCTTGCTAGCTACAGGTAGAGTTACATGGAATATTGGGGTCTGAACAGTTGGAAACAGAGATTCTAGGTAAATAATGTGGTACTTCTCATTTCTTTTTTTTTTTTTTGAGACTGAGTCTTGCTCAGTCACCCAGGCTGGAGTGCAGTGGCACCATCTCAGCTCATGGCAACCTCCGCCTCCCCGGTTCAAGCAATTATCTTGCCTCAACCTCCCAAGTAGCTGGGATTACAGGTACCTGCCACCACACCTGGCTAATTTTTTTCTTTTTGTGTGTGTATATATATACATATATATATATATATATATATATATATATATATATATATATATACACACATATATATATATACATACATATATATACATACATACATACATATATATATATATATATATATATATATATTTATTTATTTATTTTTTAAGTAGAGACAGGGTTTCACCATGTTGGCCAGGCTGGTCTTGAACTCCTGACCTCAGGTGATCCGCCTGCCTTGGCCTCCCAAAGTGTTAGGATTACAGGCATGAGTCACTGTGCCCGGCTGGTACTTCCATTTCTTTATATCAGTGCTAGAGAGATTTCTTGGCTACTTCAGTAATTCAAAGAAGTTAGATAACAATATCCCTGAGAAATTTTTTTTCAAATGGCACTTAAGGCAAGTGAGATAATAGCTGTAAAAAGACTGCACCATCTGAAAGAAAGGCATTTTTAATATTTTCATCATTGCATGTGTTATTCCTGATGGGTACAGAACAATGACTTCCCTCATATTCACACAGTGGGTACAAAAGCACAGCTTATATGTGGGCACCTCAAAGACATTCGCCCTACACATTTTCGTACAGCACTGTATGTATTACTTTGATGTAACAGACTAAAAAACATGTTTAACACAGCTGTCTTCAGCTGCAAGCCTACATTATATGAATTTATTTATTTTTTATTGCTGCATAAATTACCATTTCATAGGGTTGGGCTGTTCAATTGTCATCACAAATTTTATAAGCACATTTTTGAAAAATGAGGAAGGATCATTCTATGAAATACTATATATGGCATTAACAGAATCATGCAAATGAATGGTGGTCTGGTTACTTCCATGATTAAGCACTTCAGTGATTCAAAAATACTTTAAAAAAGTTAGCTGAATGGGCCAGGCATAGTGGCTCATGCCTGTAATCCCAGCACTTTGGGACGCTGAGGTAGGCAGAATGCTTGAGCCCAGGGGTGAAAGACCAGCCTGGGCAACAGAGTGAGAGACTCTTATTCTATAAAAAAATAAAAAAATTAGCTGGGCGTGGTGGCATGTGCCTGTAGTCCCAGCCATTCAGGAGGCTGAGGTGGGAGGATCACTTGAGCCCAGGAGGCTGACGATGGGTTTGAGCCATGAATGCGCCACTACATGCTAGCCTGGTTGAAAGAGTGAGACCCTGTCTCAAAAAAAAAAAAGTAAAAAATTACCTAATGGTGAATGAAAGTTTGCTCTTCATTCATAAATACACAGCCCCAGATTAAATTGGTGGATGCAAAATGTATAAGCATGACAGGCATAAAAAAAGATGTGTACAAAGAGATAAGAAATGCATGCATATAGACAATACTATTAAAAAAACATATACTAAAATACATATACCGAAATATATAGCACTTATATTGTTTTAGTTTTTTAAACTAATTATAACATTATACAAAACCAAGACTAACAACCGTCACAAAAGTATAAACTTCTATTTATGCATATTTATAAACAACTAAAAGAGCATATTATGTTTATCAGAAAAATAAAATAGAAAAGTGATTATGCTTGGCTTTTATTTGTTGTTTAATTTTTTGTAGAGGCAGGATCTCACTATGTTATCCAGGCTGGTCGTGAATTCCTGGCCTCAAGCGATCCTCCCGCCTTGCTGGGATTACAGGTGTGAGCCACCATGCCTGGCCGTGGCTTGACTCTGCAATGTTGTCTCACGAACCTTCCCTAATATTTATGCATGTGCATGTGTGAATAAACACCTATACATATTTCTTCCTCTTTTGGGTAAAGATGAGAAAATAGCACGCAATTTGGAATCAGGCAGACCTGGTTTAAACACTAATTCCAACCAATTTTTTTCAAATGGTGCTGAAGGCACAATGTTGGACAAGTTATTGAAACTGTCAATTTTCCACTTGCAAAACGGGGATTCATACATACATTAAATCTGCATTAAATACCATATTTAGTATATAGGTATATAGATATACACTGTGTGATGATCAAATCAGGGTAATCACCTCAAACATTTATCATGTATCATTGTATCATTTATCATGTATCATTGTGAGTGCTAGGAATACTAATAAGAGTGGCCAGAGAAACAGGACATGCAAATAAGGAACTATAGCAAAGTGTTGGATGCTGTGACACACATGGATCCCACAGAAGCCAGATGGGTGGAGGGCCTGACTCTTCCTAAGTCATTTCAGGAAGGCTTCGCTTAAGATGTGACATCAGAGCTTAGTCCTGAGGATTAAGTAGGAGTTTGCCAGGAGGCCAGGGACAAGTTTAGCATTGGGGTAGTGGAAGCACCACAGTTAAAAGTTGGAAGGTATAAAATAACAAAAGTCAGGTGTCAAAGAACTATTGGCACCACATCCCAGCACAGGGTGTTTGTGAGGCTCAGTGGCACAATGCTCGGACAGAGTGTGAGTATGTAATCCCACACAAATGTGAGAGGTCCTTTGTTTCTAAAACCTTTGCCTCTTCCCTCACCCCTGTATTTCACTAGCAAGACCAATTGTCTCTTCATTCTCATTCTACCAAAGCTCACATCTTCATTATGCCTCATTTGGTTAAATGGGTCCCAATTGTCCAGCAAACATGGGTACATAGCCAGTATTGAAGGGTTTCAAGTACCCGATTCAAACCTAGCATAATGTTAAAGGAAGCAGCACTGGCCTAGAAGGCTCCTTGTCCTGTTCTGCCTCTGAATAGCTAGAACATGTCACTCACTCTCTCTCTGGCTCATTTTAAACAAGTCACACCTGTAACTAATAATAATGCAGAACGGATAACAGTGAGAACTTACCAAGTGCTAGGCAGGGTGCAAGCTCTGCCAATACGCTGTCCCATTTGATTCTCAAAACAATCTTATAAAAATGATACTACCATAAGCCCTCAATTCCTTATTCACAATTCTGAAATCTAAAAACTGCTGAAAGCCAGTAATTTTTAAATTTTTCTTAAGTTTGTAATAAACTCATTTGGATAAAACCTGAACTGAATGTATAAAAAAGTGTGTATCATTTTTATTCCACTTATTGTAAACTACCAGATGGTTTCTGTGGAAATAAAAATGTGCTGGTTATGAGGAACTGCCTCAGACCTTGATGGGGCAGTTACCTAACATATCTGATGTACTATACCATATTCCTTTCCCCAAACTGAAAAATTCTGAATTTCAAAACATCCAATGCAAGACTTCAGAGATTACGGGTGAGCAAACTGAGATACAGAGAGGTTAAGTAACTTGTCCAAAGTCACAGAGGTAAGATTAGTAGATCCAGGTCTCAAACCCAGGCCAATTTGGCACCAGCTCCTAGACTCTTAACCATTTAGCTAAACTTGCTCCGAGTGTCCAATAAACTACTCCAAATAGAGCTCTAAGGTACTACTGCATGTCTCACTATATAGTCCGTACTGTACTGCCTGAATTAGGCTTCTCATCATTTCTAAGGCACACCCTCTAATTTCCAGCTTCTAAGTAATCTTTGCTTAGAATTCTTTCCCCCCAGTGCTGCTTTAATAATTTCTGTCCATCTTTTAAAGCTCAACTTACATACCACCTCCTTCAAAATAATGTTCTTAATGTCCTTAACCACAAATTAGTTCTCCTACCTCACCCTTCACAGCACTTTGTCCCGCTCTCTCTCTTTTAAGACAATACACAAAATTCAACTTCATATTATACCTATATGTGAACTCATCTTGTCTCCCAACTAAATTGTGCCCTCTTTAAGGACTAGGAGGGACCCTGTCCCATTCCTCTTTATATCCTTACAATACTAGAGCAATGCCATGAATATTATCATTATTCCATAAATGTTGGTGTAAAAATAAAAAGCTAATGGTATTTTAATTAATGATTTTTGTATTGACATATAGAGGTAATACTTAACACTCATGTAATAACAGGTCTCATTTTATTCTTTAAAAAACCATTTTCTAGTGGAATTTTCATTAAGGAGTTTTATCCTGTTTCTCATTAGAACAAGTCTTTAAAAAAATCTGGGAAAGAAAAATAAACCATTTCTACCTATGAACAACCTGACTCCAATGCTGGTTCATCATCTTCAAAATTTAGTTCCCACATAGAAATTACTCCATTAGAAAAGTGGACATGATATAACATCTTTAGAATCATTCTACTGTGATATGCTTGGTTAACATCTCTTAACTCTGAGCCGTATATACAGACAAGCTTTTTATCTTTTTAGTGTTTCCCAAAAGAAGGCCATAAAGAGAGAACATAATAAAATTTTAGGTAGAGTCTCATTCAAAAAAATATTGTGGTTTTTGAAAATTTATTTATTTAAAACTGATAGGTAATTGTATATATTTATGGGGTACAGTGTGATATTCTGATATAGGTATACAGTGTGTAATGATCAAATCAGGGTAATCACCTCAAACATTTATCATTTCTTTGTGTTGGGGAAGTTAGAAATCCTGTCTTCTAGCTATTTGAAAATATACAGTAAATTGTTAACTACACCCTCTAGTCGCCCTACAGTGCCACAGACACTAGAACTTATTCCTTTTATCTAGCCGTAATTTTGTATCTGTTAACCAACCTCTCCATATCCACCTCCCTTTCCTCCCAGCCTCCAGTAATCACTGTTCTACTCCCTACTTCTGCTTCTTTTTTTTTTGTAAACAAGAGTCTCGCTCTGTTGCCCAGGCTGGAGTGCAGTGGTGTAATCTCAGCTCACTGCAGCCTCCGCCTCCTGGGTTCAAGTGACTCTCGTGCCTCAGCCACCCAAGTAGCTAGGATTACAGTCCTGCCTGGTTAATTTTTCTATTTTTAGAAGAGGCGGGGTTTTGCCATGTTAGCCAGGCTGGTATTGATCTCCTGGCCTCATGTGATTCACCCACCTTGGACACCCAAAGTCCTGGGATTACAGGGGAGAGCCCTGGTGCCCAGCCTCTACTCCCTACTTCTATGAGATCGACTTTTTTAGCTTCCACATATGAATGAGAATATGTGGTGTGTTCATCCTTCTGTGCCTGGCTTATTTCACTTAACAATATGCCCTCCAGGCTCATCCATGTGGCCTCAAATGACAAGATTTCATTCTTTTTTTATGGCTGACTAGTATTCCATTGTGTAGATATACCACATTTTCTTTATCCATTCATCTATTGATGAACACTTAGGTTGATTCCATATTTTGGCTATTGTGAATAGTGCTGCAATAAGCCTGGCAGTGTAGATGTCTCTTTGGCATATTGATTTCTTTTCCCTTGGATACATATCCAGTAGTGGGATTGCTGGATTCATTTTTTTAAAACTTAAATGGTTTTTTGGAGATGGTTGGATTTGAATTTTTTTGCTTCCATGAGGGAATTCCTGAAGATGACATTTTATTTTTATATACTACTCTTAGTCTATAAATTCTAAATGCTTTACTATTAAAATTTTATTTATAATACTTTCCAGAGGTAGAGCTTTAAAAATGTTTTCTTTTGAAACGTTCATTGCTTGTTTTATGTAAAGAATGACTTTAGGTGGAATTATGAGGAACTTCAAAACAGAATATTAATCTTAAAGAGGACCATCTGGCATAATAATTTGCTCATGGAAATTTTGGCCTGTTTCTATTTTTCCTGCAATTTTTTCTTTTAGGTTAATGGTGTATATATGCATATTATGTGCTTTGAACTGGCTTCCTAGTAATGGTAACAGATTTCTCTTATTGGATCCATACTTGTAAATGACTGCCTAGGTTTAGGCCATCAGACAAAGTAAGTTAACTAGTTTATGAAGGAACTGACCCAGTAGTCCTGATCTCAGCAGTGTCATGCTCCATCCAAATGATTCCATTCTCTTATTTTTCTGATAAAATTTAGAATTTAAATAATCTTGGTTAAGATATTATACTGTTTGTACTATACACTTTAGGGCCTGTATACTAAAAAAATCAACTAATTTTTTTGTTGTTGAAATTTATTTCATGGAGACACTAAAATAATTTTATTCTTTTTGGAGGTAATTACTTGCTTACATTCCCAGGAAAACAAGTAATTTAGGTATATTGGCTATCTTCCTTGACATCTCTCATAGCTACTCTATCCAACTCTGACTCCACTTCTATTGCCCATAGGCCCCCAGCATACCTTTCTGAACCACAGAAATACTCTTACTTTGTTTCCCTGCTTCAGATCTCTCTATTCTCCTAATTTGTCCTTCATTCAGCTACTAGATCAACCTTTCTAAGATGGAAAGCTGTTAATGTTATTTCCTGGTCTAAGTCTCTTTTCTGGCTTCCCCACTGCTCCTGGGATGAGGCATCAGCTCCACTGTGATATAGCCTTTCTTTGCAGGCTGTGCTGCCTGTCTGTTCCTCCAGCCTTATGCCTCTTACAAGGGAACTGTGTACAGTACATGCCAGGTTGCTTCATCCCTCCATGACAATGTTCGTGCTGTTCTATCCAAAAGACAAGAAAAAGCAGCAAATCCTAACATAGAGACACTAGGTGCTATTAGTAGTTAAGAAGGATTCCCCTATATATCTAAGAACTTGCTAAACGGTGATCATAGGCTAGAATAAGAGGATAGAATTCCTGCAAGGTGCAGTCACACAGGGAGTTCAAACTCACTCACAGACTCTTCTCCTTGGACCTACATCAGGCACTCATTAGAAAGACTGGGGGCAAGGTAGGAAGCCAGAGAAAATAACTGAACAGGAGGAAAGAACAGAAGAAATATTTGAAGAGATAATGGTCAAACATCTTCTAAAAAATAATCAAAGACATCAAACCACAGGTCCAAGAAACCTGAAGAACTCTGAGTAGGGTAAGTAACAACAATAAAATAAGATAATAAAATCCTATCATATTGAAACTACTGAAAACTAAAAATAAAGAATAAATCTTGAAGGTAAACAGTTTAAAAAAAAGATGCATATGCAGAGGAACAAAGATAAAAATTATGGCAAACTTCTTGCTGCAAATCATGCAAGCCACGAGAAAATAAAGTGGTATCTTCAATGTGGTGAAAGAAAAACCACTGGACTAGACTGCCAGTTACTGAAGTAACATGCAGGTCCACCATGGGTCCTACTAGTAGTAGTTTGGCTGCAATTCTCTTGGGGGGTTACTGTTTCTAAGTTCATGATATCTATGAATTTCTTTTGGACACAGTTTAATAACTTACTTACAACATCCAATAAAAATAGACATCCCTATCCAATTTTATTCTTTATGTATGAATTCTATATAATTATTTGGTTATAAGCAGGAACGCGTAGCATATGGGCCACAGTATCTTTTTACTCTCCTCAAGTAGACTAATAGCAGCATACACTATATGGACTTACTATGTTCCACCTTCTAAGTGCTTTATATCTATTAAAAGAGACACTGGGCCAGGTGCGGTGGCTTATGAGTACTTTGGGAGGCTGAGGCGGGCGAACCACCTGAGGTCAAAAGTTCGAGACCAGCCTGGAAAACATGGCGAAACCTCGTCTCTACTAAAAATACAAAAATTAGCTGGGCATAGTGGCACATGCCTGTAGTCCCAGCTACTTGGGAGGCTGAGGCAGGAGAATCGCTTGAACCCAGGAGGCGGAGGTTGCAGTGAGCCAAGATGGTGCCACTGCACTCCAGCCTGGACAACAGAGCGTGACTCTAACAACAACAACAAAAAGAGACATTTTATTACTGTTTGCTTGCTAGCCCAAAGAAAATATGCAATAATGGATGCTGTTGATTGTTCTAAACTTTCCTTCTACAACTCAACATATACACGACTTTTCAATTTGAGTAAGAATGTCACTATTAGAATGACCTTGATATGAGTATATACTCAGGACTTTGCTGAGATGTCCCTTTCCTAGACCAGTCTAAAACAGAACGCTCTCTTCCTCTGTGTTTCTCAGTTCTGTTGTTTACCCTAGTTTCTCTTTTTCATAGCACTTATTTCCACATGAAGTATCAATTTTTTTTTTTTTTGAGACGGAGTCTCATTTGCAGGCTGGAGTGCAATGGTGTGACCTCGGCTCACTGCAACGTCTGCCTCCCGGGTTCAAGCAATTCTCCTGCCTCAGCCTCCCGAGTAGCTGGGATTACAGGCGCCCGCCACCATACTCAGCTAATTTTTGTATTTTTAGCAGAGACAGAGTTTCACCATGTTGGTCAAGCTGGTCTTGAACTCCTTGAATTCACTGCCTGTCTGTTGTCAGTCTCCTGCACTAGAACATTTGACCATTGGAACTGTGTCTCTCCTGGTCATTGCTATATCCACAGCACTTACAACAGTTCCTCGAACTAGAAGGAGTTTAGTATGTATTTGTTGAATGGATGCATGAATGAAGGATGAAGTAATATGTGAACAAATAGAAATTCCTTTCACCTGAGGAATCTGGTAGATTGGAGCGGGGAGGAACAGAAGCAGGTGGAAGTTGAATGCCTGCTAGGTGAAAGGTACTTCACTGGGCTTAATCTAGATAATCTAAGATGCTCAGTATAGTTCCTGGAACATTAGCAGTCACTCAGAGTTATTAACTGTAATTAATGACTGTTGATCTTTTGTCATAAATGTGTCTTAATGAACTTGTGAAAATGGTATTATTTTCTAGCTTTGCACATTCAAAAAGATCAAATAACACGCCCAGGTTTACAGAGTTTGGACTGAATCCACCTGGTATGGCAAACACAAGAGCCCATGCCAAGGGGTAGGAAAGAGAATATGGAAATGTTCATCTCCTAAGGACTAAATTATTATCTTTATTTGAATATAAGTAAATGAATTTTAACTACATGTCATCAAACAACAGGTTTTTTCCACTCCAAACATGAGTTTTTGTTGTTGTTGTTGTTGTTGTTGTTTTGAGATGGAGTTTCGCTCTTGTTACTCAGGCTGGAGTGCAATGGCATGACCTTGGCTCATCACAACCTCCGCCTCCTGGGTTCAAGTGATTCTCCTGCCTCAGCCTCCCGAGTAGCTGGGATTACAGGCACACACCACCACCCGGCTAATTTTGTATTTTTAGTAGAGACGGGGTTTCTCCATGTTGGTCAGGCTGGTCTTGAACTCCTGACCTCAGGTGATCCACCTGCCTCGGCCTCCCAAAGTGCTGTGATTACAGGCGTGAGCCACTGCGCCCAGCCCAAATAATGAGTTTTTATTCCTGCTTTCTAAGTTTTTTGACCTGATAGTGACAGTCAACAAGGTAAGAAATGGGCTTTACTAAACTTACAAAGAAAAATCCTGTTGTGATCCCTTCTAAAAACTGCAGGTCCAAACCATAATAAATCAACCCGTGCTTGAAAGCACGAACTGTATATACTGGCACCCTATTCAGCTAAGATAAAAACGACAAGTCCTTCAATGATAAATTGTCCTCTCCATGTTATCCAATGGAAATACTCATATTGTCCAATACCTACAAGCAATTAGAAGGATTTAGTTTAACTTTCAAATTAAAAGACCATTAAAAAGAAACATAGTTCCCCAGTCTGCCTCTGAAAAATATTCAGAAAACCTTCTTGTTCTTAAACTTGGAAGGAATTGGTACTTAGTCTCAGATTTCCTTTTATCACACAGCAATTCAGCCAGCTATTTGGAACTGTGGGTTACAGGAAACAGTGGGATAAAACAGAAAACAATGCAAGATCTTTGAAAAGTTATTTATCAATTATATATTGTCTATCAAGAACACCTAAAACTTAGAGCAACCATCCCTCCACCCACCACCAACAACAAACACCAGGCCTAGGAATAGAGGTATTTAACATCTAACATGATACCTGCATCCCAATCTCTGCCTTCATTATAAAGCTACCCAAACTGGGGGAAAAAAGTGAGCTTAAATAGGTTTTTGAGTGCAGATCCATTTATTTTTCATCAAGTTTGAAGTGTGTTTATTATTCTTCTTACAGAAGTGGTTTTCCTCCTCAATCTATTTACTTACCTATAGGATGTGAGTATAAATTCTATAAGATCTGAAGGGAGGATGTTGATAACTTTCATGAAATAAAGCAACATTAGTTTTCTACCAATAAAACCTGGCAATAAAGCTTAAACTTTCAAAATAAGGAAAAAAAAGACAGAGGAATTTTCATATGTATTTATAACTGCATATTTTAGATTTCTATTTTATATGAATATGTGGTTTGATGTTTAGAAGAGGATTGAATTAATGATCATGAGACAAGAGTCACATAATTAAGGCATTAAAACATACCAGTTTTTGCAATTTTGCATACACACACAGAAAATCAGTGTTCTTATAACATGTATTCTCAAATGAATATTTAAAATTTGTTAACATCCACTAATGAGATCACAAGAAGAGAAAAAAAATTTTTATTCATTTTGTTTATGATGTTTCTATATAATGCTCCTAGTTTTTCAGAGAATTCACTGAGTTTTAAAGCAGATCATAAAATCTAAACCTTGGCTTTTATTATTCAGGTGGCCTCATTTTGCCCTTCATCTTTTTTAATAATTGTCATTCCATCCATTGTTCCTATAGTTCTGCACCTAATTTTGTGAACAGATAAAAGGGGAGCTTTTAGTGGTTTCTGTCCCAAATTCTCTGGCCTATTTCTGCTCTCAGCTTTTATTGCCAAAGGTGTGAAGATCAAAAGATGCTCTTTGCTGATGTGTTTACTTCCTTGTAACAAACCCTCTCACAACAAAGGAGTTCATTATTTACATCTAACATGAAAGAAAAAGTTCCAAAGCCAAAGGCCTGCATCAGACAGATGCCAAGTGATGGAATTTTCTTGCCTCACACTTATGGAAGTTAACATCATTAACACCCAGTTAATCTAAATGTCTTCAAGAGCAAAAAACATATCTTAGGGTAGGGGTAAAGCTCTGGCTTTCCCATGCAGTTCCTTGGCTTTGCCCATGCCTTCAATCTTTCCCAACAGGGTGGTGACATGGGCTCATTTCATAAGCACAGAAAGCTCTCGCGACAGCCCATGGAAACATGAACCGTTATTTACTCTGGAAAGAATGACTGGGAGCAGCTGTGCCCAGCAGCAGACAGCACTAGAGGCAGAAAATGAGGCCGTGTCACCAATCTGTTATTATTATAATAACTAATGGAGAGAAATAAAATGGATTACCAGCACTTACTCAAATGGGGACGGGGACGTTTCCGATGCTGCTGCAAGACAGAGGCTTCTCACGGTTTATGATATCATCAGACTTCTTAATGAATTTACAGTCTAGTAATCCTGCCATGGCATTAGTTTTCCACATGCAAATCCCTGGCATCTAAGTCAATTCGGCAAATGAACAAAACTAGGGTACTCTATTGGGTCAAGTTTATTTCAACCTAAGGGAAAGAGATGACTAGCTTTCTTCCTATTCCCTTATCAAATTTATTAAGCCCATAAAAAGACTGGTTTGAATGACATCTTTCCCCACACTTTGCATATCAGTCTATATTTTTATATGTCTGCAATATCACTACCTTATATCTGTCAGAACCAGGTTCCTCTCAATAATATTCGTACTGATTCACTTAACTGCTTAGTCAAACTATATTATAGATACTTAACCATCTTATCCATTTGCTGACTATACTCCATGTCAGTGTGCTAATTTTATGACTAATCCATGTTTCCCAACAAGACTACATATATCTAGGTCAGCAACCAGGTTTACATAATCCTACCTGTACCAAATCCTACCAAAAGAGTATATAGGTGCTTTTTAGAATGATCTATATCCAGAGGCCCCAACGTCATTATTCATTCATTCATTCAAGCTAGGAACCGACTCTGTTCTCTTTTATGGGAATGGTGTTGCAGGGAGAGGACTCCTTTCAGAAGTTTGAGGTTCCGTGTGTATCCTAGACCCTACCATACAGACTCCTGTGAGTCCACAGTGTGAGGTCCTGATGAAAGCAGGTCTAAAGCCACAGTTCACTCAGGTCTCTGTCCCTATACTCTGGTACCAACTTAGATCAGGGAGTGGCTACAAGACAAAAGCTGATGGAGGAAGTGGGAATTTTGGAAGTGAGGCTTAGAGAGGTTAAGCAATACTAACATATTTTCATCTGCATCTCCTGTGAGACCTCATTCCTGAGTCCCATACCAGTATTTCTACCCAGATTCTACAGACATCTCATATTCAACATGTAGAAAAGAGGACTCCTCATCTCTCCTTTCAAATGGACTTCTTTCCTTGTGTGGTGATCTCACTTATGGGTTCCAGCATCCCATATTCTCTTTTTTTTTTTTTTTTGAGATGGGCTCTGTCACCCAGGCTGGTGGGCAGTGGCACGATCTTGGCTCACTGCAAGCTCCGCGCCCCGGGTTCACGCCATTCTCCTGCCTCAGCCTCCCGAGTAGCTGGGACTACAGGCATCTGCCACCAGGCCCGGCTAATTATTTTTTGTATTTTTAGTAGAGACGGGGTTTCACCATGTTAGCCAGGATGGTCTCGATCTCCTGACCTAGTGATCCGCCCGCCTTGGCCTCCCAAAGTGCTGGGATTACAGGCGTGAGCCACCACGCCCAGCCCCCATATTCTCTTAAGAGACACCAAAACCTGCCAATCCTTGCTGTTAAATATCTTGTGAATACAGCCCCTCCTCTTCAATCACACAGGTAGGAGCACTGCCAAGCCCTATTCCTTCACATGAATGACTGCAACAGCTTCCTAACCCATCTTCCCACCTCTAGTCTTTTTCCCTTTAATTGCATCCACACCAACATTTATCTATAATATCCTCACAACATTTTGCTTCTTAAAATCTTTCTGTGGCTGGCTGTAGCAGATAGTATAATGTTTAAGGTCTTTAGAATGGTAAAAAGTCCTTTGAGGTCTATCGTAGCACGCTCTCTTAAGTACTCTACCTCTCTCCCAGCCCAGTTCATATCCCATATACAGAATGTCTTGTCATTTACTGAATGGTTTTCCTTGCTCTTTTTAAACTCTTGTGACCCTGTACATGCAAGGTCTAGAACTATTTTCCTACTTATCTACTAGTAAACTACAAGGAAAGCAGGGATATGCTAGGTTTCAGTTAGGCAAAATGTAGAGAAAGTGTTCTGCAATTAGGTAGAAGTAGTTTGGGAGTGAAAGCGAACACAAATAGGGTGGGGAAGCACAGAGTATGTGAGAATGAGACTTCAAAACTGACTAGTGAACCACATTCATTTCCTTTACAGCATTTATCTCAGTTATTACATGCTTAAGAGGAGTTTGGTCTCATCCACCTCACACACCAGAAGGCCTGAAGGGCAGTGAGGGTAAGGTGGGCATTCCCTATTCAGAGTGATTGCAGCCTCTAAAGCCAGACTGCCTGGGTCTGAAACTGAGCTCCAAAACTTATCAGATGACTTTGGGCAAATTACTTATTATTTCTATGCCTTCACTTTCTCAGCTGCAAAATGATAACCCATTTCAGAAGGTAGTTGTGAGAATGAATGATTTAATGCACGCAAAGTATGAGGTTGAACCATATGAAATTACTATTTTTATATGTCAAAATACTCAAATATCAACAAGTTTATATGGCTTATCCAAATTTTAAGCCAATGCCTAACTGATTATTCCTTTTTATAATGCTTCTAAACCATTACTCCCTAATGCCTCTGATGTAACAGCCTCATTTGTTGAATTTCATATTATCCAATTATCTTTTCTCATTGATGTCCCCCTGCTAATATCCTGGTCCCTCCATAACACTTATTCATGACTAGGGCACTTGGCAACAATCTTTAACATACCCTTTGTGACAATGAGTGACTTCAGTATCCATCTAGACAAGCCATCCAATAAACTATAAATTCCTCACCTTCTTCATCTCCATGGTCACAGATTTCCAAGGTCAAACCCTGCAACTAATTATCTAGTGGGGCTGCTTCCTATCCATTATGTGAAGATGACCACAATCTCTGATCCTTCCAGGCTCCCCGTGCCTTTGCCCTTACTACCTCTGCTCTCCAATCTCTGGAAAACCATAGTTCCTTGACCTCTTTCCTGGCCTCACTGCTTTACCCAGTTGGGATAGCACGGCTCATTACTTCAACCATTCTTTCACTAATATCTTTAGAATCAATTCAAACGTAGACTTCTGTATTTCTGTGACCAATCTGTTGAGCTCAGCTGGAAAAAAAAGTCAGCTTTCAGATTGACGCAACTATATAAATCTGCAGTCCTCAATCTCAAATAGGCCATCAACGTGGCTCAACCTCCTACTCATTCTTGCTTAGCTTGCTCTTATTTTACTAAGCAATGTTACCAAACTGTCATATTGCTCAAGAGCCCAAACAAGGCTACATCCTTCTCTGCAGATGACATCATTTTCTACTTCAATAAGAGAATTATACATACATTATCCCAATATTGTTCCCCTCCCCTTCTTAGATATGCCTGGACCTGTCCTTGTGCACTTTCTTTCAATGACAGGATGAGGTATTCTTACTCCAGGTCAAGATCCTGCCCTGCCCTCCACACATGGCCCCCCTTTTCAGCACTCCCAGGACCGAGCTCCATTAATTATCCCCTTTACTTCCTAAATCTTTAAATTCTCAGTGCCTATTTACTCTTTCCTCTAAGCCCAGAAACCCATTTAAATCTTTTATCAAATGAATTTTTTTTTCTTTTTGCTTCTTGAACCTGGGTTGCACCCCAGAAACCATACCCTTCCTTCTCTTCTAAGGCAAGTGACTTGAAAGAGAGGTTTGTGCTAACCCTTCTCAACTTTCTTACCCTACCCATTTACTTTAAAACAAGACACAATGTCATTCTGCCCTGGCCACTGGACTGAAACTTCTCTGATGAGACACCAGTGAACTCCATAATGCCACACCTGAGGAAAATGTATCAATTCTCTCCTCTCATTTTTTCTTATTTCTCTGTTTTTTCCTTTCCAGTCTCCCTCATGGGTTCCTTGTCTTTTGTTTGCTTCTTAAATGTCTGTATTACTCAAGGCTTCACCCATGGTAATTTGTTCATTCTATATATTCTCCTTGTGCAATTTCATTTGCTCTTGATTTTAAACACCACTGATATGGGGTGACTTCCAAATCTGTATTTCCAGCCCAGATTACCTCCCATCACCTTCCATGTTTATTTACCTGGATAGCCTGCCTGCAAGGACTTAAACCCAACATATCATTCAGTCTTTTTTTTTTTTTTCCCCCAAAAACATAGTTTTTCAGGACCTACTTCATACTACTATTCAACAGTAAACAAGACAGCAAAACAGGTCCTTTATCTTAATCCCTGTTTCTCACTCGTACCCCTAAGTACAATTTAGGCTACAATAAGACCAAACTTTCTGTAGTTTGCCATTTTTTTGTTCAAAGAAGGTTAAACACTGAGGGCGTATGAACATACTACTCTCCCAGCCTGGAATTCCCTTCCCATGTTCTTTTCAATTCTTAAGACTTTAGGAGAAGTCTCATCCTCCAAGGTACCTTCCCTAAATTGCCACGTAAGGCTAGGTGCCCTTGATCACTGCCTTTACTAGAATGTGCTAAAACTATCTCTTTGTACATGTTTTCCCCAAGGATCCCTAAGGCAGAGATTGTATCTCTCTGTGAACAGCATACTGCTTGGTACATGAGTAATACATGTTTGAGATTGCCCAAGTAGATGTGCTGAAGTACTGTGATGCTTTTCTGACACTCCCACATACCGTTGCACTTATCTATTTGTAAATCCTACTCCTTCTCCTTGCTAATACCAGGTTAACTTTCCTGAGCATGTTGTGTCTCTTTCATTCTCCACATCACTCAAAATCATGTATATAAAAGGCACTCAAGGAGTATTGGTTGAATTGAGGTGAAATAAACAGATAAAACACTCCACATCTACATTTCTATTTCTGGGATCCATTAGTGTCATTCTGTAGCTCTGAGCTAAGATTTCTCAGGTGTCTTTCAGCTACTACCAAGGCCCAAAGAACGTTATCAAAAAATGTCCAGACTGTTCTTCAATCTCTGCATGTGTCGTGAGAGACCATTCCAATTGCATATGTGGGATTTCCCATCCAGGTGTAGGGACTCACCATATTCCTCAATTCACAAAACAAGGAGCCAGGAGGGGACTCTTAGTGGAACAAAAAATTCAGTTGACCCACTGGATCACTATGTACCATATTTCTTCCTGCAATGCATTAAATTCAGGCTCTTATGGCCTAAGTTCATTTCCAAAAAGTGAACACTTCTATTTACTCTTCACGAGAAGCTTCTCTCTCAATGCATGTAAAGTGCTTTGAGCTCTCTGTGAAAGGAATGATGTAAACACAAGGCATTATTACCAACACTATCCTCTAAATAACCTCATGAGGTAAGTATTAATATCAGAGGGACTATTATTTTACAGGCAGAGAAATCAGCTGATTTGCTCAAAGTCAGAGGTGGGGCTAAGAGCCAAGAACACATTCCAAGAGTCCTTTGCTTATTATATCCATTGCCAGACCTAATCCAAGCTTTTCAGAAAGTTCTTCTTAGAGTGTGAAGAGAGTCTGAGAACTTTATCCTTTCTTTTTCAGACTGTTCTTGCCCCATATCCTTTCCCTCTCTTATCATTTCTTCTCAATAGGGATCCAAAAGAGAATGCAATGATCACCTAACAGCCATCCAATCCCCCACCTGTATAGCATGTGGGGCAGTACAGAGGTTCAGTCAGGCATACTCCATCTATTTTCACCCAGACTTTACAATCCAGGCTGCTCGGAGTTCTGCCAGCTTGAGTTAGTTCAGTTCGAGTAAATCTCTAAGTCGTTCAAGTACGGCATGCTCTGTTGAATTAATTTTCTTCAGTTACGTCTTGTATACGTGGCCCATATAACTTTACAGAGATCCTGCTCACCAAATGATTTTTCAAATCTGACACACTACATTTATTAGAATGATTCTATTTTCATCCACCTAGTTTTAAAATCTGCTAGAGTTTGAAGGTTGAAAATGCCATGTAAATGTGGCATCTTAAATCAAACTGTATATACAGAGCGAAGGGTTCTGAGTAACAGTAATAATAGTTGTCCTACTTGTTGAATGTTTATAAAGTTAATTGTTAGTGATGAGTGAACTCAGTCTAAGTCTCCGTACTATTTTGACGGGGCTCTGCACAAAAACAATCATTTCTGGGGAAGGAGAAATCTTCTAGACTGAATTATATCTAGTTCTAACCTCTAAAACTATATATAGCCGAAAAAAAAAATCTATCCATCAATTTTCTGGAAGGGTTCAGGCTTCAGATGGAGCAGTGGGGCTATGAAAGAAACAGAAAGGAAGGGCTACTGGTGGTGGAGGCTGCTTTGCCCCAGGAGATCTGCCTGGAGTTGACCATTTCAACTTCCAGCCATGACAAGCTCCCATGCCCAGCCTCTGCAGCCTGCTTAGGTTCCTTCCCAAACTCCTCCCAAGTTAAGAAACAACTTATCTAAGGAATTACTCACCTACAAGTTGTGAACATTTTATTTACCTTTCCTAAGAGATATTGTGAGAGAGATATCCCTGTAAATATCACTTTCTGTGTTACAACACTGTTGTGCTGTACCCCTATTAACCTCAGCAGGGAAGGCACTAGGTTCAAGAGGCTGAAGAAAAGACCCAGAGGCAGCAAATGAGACATGGGGTTTACTAGGGGCTTACATATGGGGAGAGAGTGGAGAACTGGTGGCAGGCGGGACAGGAGAACTGCCTTATGTACAGAAATGGTCCAGTGGCGGCAGGCTGGACAACATGACTGCATGGCCAGTGGCTGCGGGCTGGGCAGGAAAACTGCAACTGCTTGCAAACAGCATGCAGTTTATAAAGCATTTTCATTTAACACCCTCCCCCTAATGACCTCCATCTGGTAACCTTCATTTAACCTAAAACTCAGGGCCTTAATCCCCAATAAGCCCATGTTCCACAGGATGAGCAGGGGGCTCAGATATTTATCATAGTAAGGAATGAATCTCCGAGTTGGCCATTCCTGGATTCCCTACCTTGGAACACACATTCAGGTGCACTGGCCATACATGGTCATTCTAAGGGTATGCTTAAATTGCTGCTATCAGGTATGTTTACCCTACAAACAAACAAATGAAGAAAAGTATCTGGAAGAAATTCAGAGATAGCTACAAATTTAACATTTATCTCAATTCCAAAGGTCTGGAAAATCAGTCATGACCTTGAAGAACATGCTGGTACATCCACAGAGTACACTACGCCAGAAGCAGCACATGCCATAGCACCTGACTGGGCAACAGAGAGAAATGTGACAGCCTGCACCAGTAAGAACACAGGCCAACCTTTCATTCTTGATAAAAAATTATAAAACTCCCACATATACAAAGAACACAGGAAAGAAAGTCATAAACCACTTGGACTCAAAGGAAAAATACCTGACTCATATATTTGTTTCACAATTTAAGCACATATCCCTCATCTCACAGTGGGGACTAAGTGATATGCTTGGCTAGTAGGATTAACATTGCTTCAGAAAACATTTTCCTGGACCAATGTAATCTTTCAAGGTAATTACTAGAAAATAACACTTGTAAATTTCCTTTAAAACTTTATAAGGTATCATAATTTATTTACAGATACAGCAGTATCTAAGTATATCAGGTACTTCAAGAAATACAATGAAAAGGATCATGTTTCTTTTTGGTTTGAAGAACAATTTTTATACAGAGTCTTAAAGCCTGGGAAACTATTGTATCTGTGCACTATGGGACTGATGTTCAAGTGATCTAATATTAACTTAGGAAAGAGTTTTTCCACAGTTACAGGGAGCATAGTAGATGAGAGGTGTGTGAAGGTATGATCCCCCTTGGGTAGCCTGGAGGTTTCTGGGCATTAGTCTCCTAGGGGACCTCTTTCTTCGGCTGCCCTCCAAAGCCTCCTTTGTTTACCATACTGTTCTAGACAAATATTCCCAGCTTCTCTGTGAGCCATATTGAGAAACAGGTTGGGAAGCTCTAGCTTAGGAAACACATTTCCTTTTGGCCCTAGACACACAGAGAAGATCACTACAAGAACCTGATTCAATGTCAGAGTGATATGGTGCAAAGAACAGAGTGAGGAATGAGATTTGGGTTTTGGCACAGGCTTTCTCACTACCTAGCTCTGAGCCCTGAGCAGATCACTTACCTGTCAGGACCTTGACTGCCTCACTATAATGTAAGTGGTTTGGCCTTGATCCTGTTTAAGGACCCATCCTAAACATCACCTAGCCCAGTACAAGGCATATGGTACTCAAGAGACTTAGAAATCCCTAAGTCTCTGAGTACCATATGCCTTGTACTGGGCTAGGGAGAAACTAGACACAGACACTGTCCCTATTCTCATGGAACCTGTAACCTAGCTAGAGGTAAGATCATTAATCAAGATAAATATTGATAAATAAAAATTAAATCTAACTGAAGCGTAATGGATTTGGAAGATAGAATTATCACTGCTTATAAAAACTCAATGTACTTCCTACTGAGCATATAAGTCTATAGGGTAAATCTGCACCACAGAACGAGTCTATGCCCTCTGTTTTTATTTAATCACATAACAATTATTATGTTCAAATATTCAAACATGGGCTTGAAGATTATAAAGTCATGTGAAATCAGCTTCACCTTGGTTGTACCTGGGAGCTCCTGCCTGGCCTACTGATCATTTTCGTTATGACACATTTTAATTAAGTCATTAACAAATGGATGTGGCTGGGCGCGGTGGCTCACACCTGTAATCCCAGGACTTTGGGAGGCTGAGGCAGGCAGATCACAAGATGAGGAGTTCAAGACCAGCTTGGCCAACATGGTGAAACCCTGTCTCTGCTAAAAATACAAAAATTAGCTGAGCATGGTGGCGTGTGCCTGTAATCCCCAGCTACTCAGGAAGCTGAGACAGGAGAATTGCTCGAACCAGGACCCTGGAGGCGAGGCTGCAGTGAACCGAGATCACGCCACTGCACTCCAGCCTGGGCTACAGAGCGACACTCCGTCTAAAAAAAAAGAAAAAAAAAATGGATGCATATTCAGGTAACACCATCAAGGCAAAGAGGAGTGCTAAAAGTCTTCTCTGACACAAAATGTAAATATCCCGCTCAATCAACATTCTTTCTTATCCTTCTAATACTTTCAAGCAGTTGCTCCCACTTCACTTCTTTTTGGACCCACAGAGACCGTCAGCCCCTTACTTCTGTGCTATATCCTTATATAACAGCCCACTCTTATTTTTACTTCTTTTCCTATATAGCACAGGCTCCACGGATCATGACTTCAAACTTTCTCTTATTTATCTTCATCCCTTCTGTTCCCAAGAAGCACTTACCTGCATATATCCACCACATGGGATCAGTCAACACTAGGGTAAAATCACTGCTAGTGGAAAACCACACACTATTCTGGGGCAACTATACCTTCATGGTTGCTAGCATTAAGTGGCTTGATTTGGAAAGGTTTCCCTAAGAGTAAGAGCATTTCGAACTTTCTCTGGTGCACTGTTATCCTAATTATTTTACCCTCTGTAGGCAGGCTAAACCCTCTTTGACAGTGGCAGAAGGCAGGGAGAGAAACTAAGGCTGCAAGCAACCTCAACGGCTGGTAAAACCCAGGCTAGCTCCTAAAATCCATCAAGAGAGCAATCTCTTCCATGCAGCAATGCCTGTGAGTAACATGTGAAATATGGATGAATACTTGCTTTATTTATCTCGGCCATGAACATTCCAGTGAGTATGTAGTTGTGACCATAAACAGCAGGCTACAGCCATTGTCTTAAGGCACCCTCAGAGTACTTCATCTATGACTTAAATCTTTCCCAATTTGTTCTTAGGGGCTGCAGCCAAATCCTAGCTCTCCCACTTAGCTTTCTAACTTTTGGGAAGTTATTTAAACTAACTGTATCTGAGGATAATACCTACCTCATAGAGTTAATGTGGACATTCTATTTCTTACTGTAACAGGACCAGGCCTACAGTGCTATATGTGTTTGTTGCTGTTGTTGTTGTTATTATTAATTATAATCCTGTGTATAAAAGCCACCAAAGTTTCTCACAGTCATAAGAATGTTAAAACAATATTATCTCTTCCTCTTCTTTCTCCAAACATATTGTTGCTGGAGAAATGGTCATGCTACTGAAAGAGCTATATCTGTCTAACCCTAATGACTGAATATATCCTTTCTCTAACAACAAAAGATAATATACAAAATATTCCAAAACCTAAATGACCTCATGCAGAACCTTTTATGTTGCCCATAGTAATTATGTTCCCAAGAGAACAATAAATATCCTTCCTGATGAGGACTGCCCATCATCTTCCACTCTCCCATCACATGCGACCTCATCTTCCCACTGTTAGCCCTGGTTTCTGCCCTAGCATTTCTGCATCTGTTTTCCCCACTCCTCACCTCCCACTTAGTGCCTCAACCACAATGAACCACCCTCACTTCCCTGAACTCACCACGCATCCCCTCACCTTCAGCCTTTCCAGCAAGCCAGTCCTTCCTGGAATACCTTCCTCTCCTCATTCATCTCGCTTCCTTGGGTAACTCATAGTACTCTTCAGGACTTTGCTTGTGTGGTGTGTCCTGCAGAAAAATTTCCCCGACATCCCTAACCCCCAATCAGCAAGGCTAAATTTGGGGCCCCTATAATAGCCCTTGCCACTCTGCTATTAATAGATCAGAAGTTCCTGAAGGGCAGGAATCACAGACTACTTGGTCCCTCAGTGCTTCCCTAGTTTCTAGCTGTGTCTAATGCATACCCGGTTTGTGCTCTACAAATGTACAAACGAACTATGACATAAGAAAATAGGTTGGCAGACCTAAAGATGTTTGACATCTAGAAAGGGGGAAAGGCAAGATCGGTGTCATTATCTTTAAATATCTACAAATGTCTTGGAAGGAGAAGAATATTCTTAAAAAATTTTTTTTAGACTAAATCACTTATAAAAGAATATTCTAAGTAGCTTCAAAAAGAGGCACCAGGGCCAAAGGTATCGGTTCCCAGGAGCCTTTCCAGCTCCCCAAAATAATATGGCAAAGAATGTCCTAAAATGTAAAACATGGGATACTTTGACCAGTATTCAGCTGCACGTCACTGGATGGGTTCACACATGGGCTGGCAAAATGAACTACATAATGCCTGTCTCCTTGCAAAGTTAAGATTCTGATGAATTAAATTATACTTCTGGGCTCCTGGGTATGCATATATAGCATAAGAGTCATTGTAGATACATAAAGGGATGATCAAAGGTTACATTTTAAGGTATATATATAAGCTTGCCACCCCATGGAGTATTGGGGTTAAAAAAATACTCAGAGGATTTCAAACAAAACAAAACAAAATAATCCAACCCACAAACCCAGCATTCCAACACAGGGGATAACACCTGCAAGAGGCAAGTCCGGATCCCCTCGGGCATTCTCCGCACCACCTCCCTCATCCTGGAAGAGGCAATTTAACTTTACAACTTTCAAGAAACTTCCTATTAGAAGTGGTTTCCAACTTTAGATTTATTGCATTTTCCAAGGTTACGTCATTTGGGCTGTGCATAATCCAGAGGGACTCAAGGGGCACACTGTAAACTGTGACAATAAATATTAACGAATATGTTCCTGATAAAACCTGCGATCTGCACACACGCATGCACACACCCACACAAAAAGGGACTTTTCACCTTATATGGTTACTTTTAAAAATAGACTCTTTTTACATTTCACTTTGTTGGTCTGCCAAACACACAGAGTACATTTACTTTAGAAACACCAATTAAAAATATTAACAACGCAAAAATATATAACCAGAGCTTTAGAGCCAAGGGCACATAAATTAACAGTATTCAATTCAGACAGTAAGTAAACATAAAATCAATAACAGAAAATACTACTTCATACAAAGGAAAGCAAGAACAATAGCCCTGAAAGTGAAAGTGTTCCTCCCCTCAATCCCAGTACCAGGACTCTGGACTCCCCTACTTCTCCCCTACCTTGAGATGTCAATCTAATGATTAGGAAGCAGGTAAAAAGACTGTAGGAGGGAGGGATAGAAGAAGATGCTAAAGAATGATTTGGGCAAGACCTACAGGAGGTGAGGAGGGAGATTATTTCACTTCACGCTGTAATCTTTTATATTCCTAATCAGAATGTTGCTTCTACTAGTGTTCAAAATCTTTGATTTTTCCCCTGTGGGTAGGGACAAACACTTGGGCTGCCTAATTGAGGAGCAGCTGTGGTAAAGAGGGCTGGGCTGGGAGTTACAGTGTTTGATCTGACATCCAGGTTCTGCCACTTAACTTTTTGGAGCCCTCGTTTTCCTCATCTGTAAAATGGGGATCCTAAAACCTACCTCATAGTGTTGTTGAGAGGAATAACAAAAACTAGGTGTGTAAAGGTGGCTACTCTAACTAGAAAAACACACAGAAACTGCCGTTTCCAAGATGTCAAACATCTTGGAGAGAAAAGAACTACTTCTCTCCGGTACTTGGCAGGTTGTGAGCTACCACTAATTTTTCAATGTTAAACTTAACCCAGGTCGGGATGGAGCCAATCGTTATAACATTGAGAGGCATAATGCTATACACACTTTAGACAATTTATAAATGAAGGAGGGAGGCAGGAAAGGAGGAAAGGTGAAAGGAACAGCTAGGCCTAACTCCCATCTTTTTTTCTGCAAGTGACAGATGTTAGCCATCTGAATGCATTGAATGCATCTCCTTTGTACAATGGGAGTGGTCTGAGTTTTAGTCCTACTACACTGAGTGGGCTGGGGGGCTCAGTCAAGAACCATGCTCATAATCTTACTGTTGGGTAATTCTAAAAAAATTACATTAGTACAATCCCTTCCTTTAATTGTTTTCTATACAATTATCCCATGTCCTCTGGGAGCTAATGTGATAATCCAGTGGAGACTCATTATTGCTCTATTTATTGGAGTCTGTTAGAAAATAAGCATCTTTATTACAACTAATTTTGTTCCATCTCTAAAAGGCTATAGCATTTTGGTCTACAGATTACTAAATTCAATTTATCAGACTGCTAAAGAAATTATACACGTGGAAAACTAAGGCTCAGAAAATTGATACAACCCATGTAATGAATTAGAGCTACACACAAATTAAATGACTTAATTCCTCTTCTTTTTAATATTTATATAGAAAATAAAATATTTAAAGTTTGAGGAAAATGGCCAGGCCCGGTGGCTCACGCCTGTAATCCCAGCACTTTGGGAGTCTGAGTCAGGCAGATCACAAGAGGACAGGAGTTCGAGACCAGCCTGGCCAGCATGGCGAAACCCCGCCTCTGCTAAAAATACAAAAATTAGCTGGGCACAGTGCTGCACATCTGTAATCCCAACTACTCAGGAGGCTGAGGCATGAGAATCACTTGTAACCTGGGAGTTGGAGGTTGCAGTGAGCTGAAGTTGTGCCACTATACTCTAACCTGGGCAAGAGAGTGAGACTCTGCCTCAAAAAATAAAATAAAAATAAAGTTTGGGAAAAATGGAAACTACTTGAACATTTACACAATGAATTTTTTTTAAATTACCATCATATCCTGATGTGTTTTCAAATTCTGTTACATTTATAACCTATTTCAATAATTTATCGGATTAAAAAAATGAAGGAACAAATAGTTACCAAGGCATGATAATTTGCTGTTTTTACACACAAGAATCCAGTGGTATAGAGCTCATTATTTCCATTTTAGAGACAAGAAAACTTGCTTAGAGACAACTAATAGCTTCCCACTGCCTAAGTGTAAAGCCAAAATTCTTTAAGATGCCAAACTAGTACAGCTATCTCCAGTTCATTTTGACATCTCCTCTGGTCCCTTCTCTGCCTGTTCCACTACATCACCAGCCTCTCCAAAACCTCAAGCTCTAGCCCCATGATCCACACTGCTGTTCCCTGAAGGAGCCCTGCTGGCTCATGCCTCTATGCCTCACACTGCCTGCTCTGCCCCCAGCTCTCTTCTTCTCCTGCAAGAGTACCAAGATTCAAACCAAGCTTCACTGGAAGTGTATTCTGAAATGTTGTCTAATTCTACTAACCGTAGACCCATGTGACCATTTCCCCGTGGAATTCCTCCTACCCTTCTGTGGCACATACATGTTATAATTCTTGTTGGCTCTCAAATGTCTCCTTTCTTTGCATGGTCCTTGAAAGGTGGGCCTGAGTGCTATGTAAGCACTTTCCTGCTGGGCTCAGTCACACACTGCCCACTGTAGCAGCTTTTTCATGGCTGGCATTAACAGGCCCTAGTTCTCTCTCTTCATGGCTCTGCTCAAGCCGTGGCAGTTAAAAATAGACCCTGGGTGGCTGGTTATTTTCCCTTTCTGTTACTGTTCTCTTAAATTCAAACTAAACCTCCATGTTACCTTCAAATAATAATAATAATAATAATAATAATAATAATAATAATAATAATAATGCATGCAGGGCTTAATACCTAGGTGATGGGTTGATAGCTGCAGCAAACCACCACGGCACAGATTCACCTATGTAACAAACCTGCACATCCTGCACATGTATCCTGGAAATTAAAATTAAATTAATTTAAATTGAAAAAAAAAAAGAAGTGACATTTCTGAGCCCATTGAGCCTTTATATAAACATATGAATATCCAGCCCTAATAACTAAAAAGAGGCTATCTTGGAAAATGCTTTGTGATGTGCTGTTTCATATCACTGAAAGAAACCTGTGTTTTCATTAAACAGGTTCCAAACACAGGTTTTGTTGAATCTAAAAAATGACATTTCAGCTGTTATTAGGCCTATATTAAGAACATACAAATATCCAGGCCTAAGAACTAAAAACAAGCTATGTGTGAAAAAGCTTTGTGATGTGCTGCTTTATATCACTGAATGGAACCTGTGTTTTCATTAAACAAGTTCCAAACAAACACACACACCAAAAAAAAAAAAAAAAAAAAAAAAAAAAGAAAGAAAGAAAAGAGAAAAGGAGAAGTGCCAAGTAACTACTGATTAGCTTAATTTCCAGTCTGACGGCTGAACTACTCTGCAGAGGTTCATAGGAGGCCCCAGAGGGTGAAAATTCCAACTGTTTACGGTATTAAAGAAGTGATTAAGAGCACTGTTTTGTTCCTTAAAAGATGTCTGATGATATTACCACACAGAAACCTAATGAGGATCTTTCATGTCTCTCTCTCTATATATATATACACACATATGTGTAGATACATAATTTTGTGTTAGCATTTCAAAAATATCACAACTATTTGTGAAAAAAACAACATTCTGGCTTCAAGTCTTGGTTGGGTTGGCTTTCTTCAACTAAATACTTTCTGTTAATGCTTAGAATATGTGGAAATCAGAATTCTTAAGAATAGCTGCTATGCATACAATGCATGTGGTTCATTCGCTGCTGTTACTACTTTCCATGCTTTATCACCGGCTTGGCCCTTTCACTGCCAAATCAGATCACCCTGATGAATGTTTTGTCACTCCTCTACTTCATACAGTATTTTTTTTGCTGTATATCAAATAAAAAATAAATGTACAAACATAAACACAAGTATTTTTATTCTTACAGTATGTTAAGCAGGGTTAAGAGGAGGTACAAAATAGCATCAAGATTTCTAGCTTGGGCAGCTGGGAAAAAGACAGCATTATTAAATCCAGCTAGAGCCCTGGACAGAAATAGGTAGGAAGACCTCTTTAAGAAGAGGTTCCTGGATTTGGAAATTAGGAAGCCATTGGTGAGGGCAGAAGCTGGACTGTAAGTCGGGGGTGGGAAATTAGGAGATGAGTACAATGAATTCAGGCAATGTGAAGATGGAAGAGAAACTGGCAGAGTGGGGAGCAGGGAAAGGGAGATTTTATTAGAAAGTGGGACCACTGGGCGTGTTATAAAGTTGTGGAAAAAGAACCAATAGTGAGAAAGAAACTACAGCTACAGAAGGGAAGGGGGTATTTGATGGGCAAGATTTAAGAGGCGATGCTTATGATCCAAAGCTTACATGGAGGTGGCTGGGCGCGGGGGCTCACGCCTTTAATCCCAGCACTTTGGAAGGCCGAGGCAGGTGGATCATCTGAGGTCAGGAATTCGAGACTAGCCTGGCCAACGTGGTGAAACCCCATCTATAATCTCATCATTAGCCGAGTGTGGTAGTGGGTGCCTGTAATCCCAGCTACTAGGGAGGCTGAGACACAAGAATCACTTGAACCTAGGAGGCGTAGTTTGCAGTGAGCCAAGATCATGCCAGGGCACTCCAGCCTAGGTGACAGAGCAAAAGTCCATCTCACAAAAACAAACAAAGCTTAGATGGAGGGGACAGAATCGGAAACCAAGAGCAATACTTCCAAAGACAGGAAAAGGAGAACATGTGTAAAGATGTGAAGAGGTGTTGGGGGCAGAGGAAGGAAAGCAACAAAGAAGAAAGGTGAGGAAGGTGAAGGTGTTTGTGAAGGGTGAGAGTGGTTAAGGAATAAGTGGAAGAAAGGGCATGAAAAGAGTGTTAAAGCTTTGGAATCATGGCTTAGCAATGAGACAGAGGCAATAAGGAATGAATAAATCTATTATTGACAGGACCCATTTGAAGCTGGAAACTTAAAAACGTGTCAGTCAATGAACACTTACTGAATAACTCTGAAGTGGCAGGCACCTTACAACCTAGCCAAGGACTCCAAGGTCAAGTCCGGGAGTTAGGCAAGTAAATACGTCATAACAATGTGGTAAGCGCTATGTAAGAAGTCTACATAGGTTATATGGGAGAACAGAGAAGATGCGTTTAATTCAAGGGTGGGATGGGATGTAGTTTCCTGGAGGGGGAATATCTGTAATCTGTGAAAATGGAGAACAGGCCATTCGAAATTCCATCTTATTTCCTTCCAGGATACACTAATGTGGAAGGAAGGTACATGACCATACTCTATGTAAAATCAAGCAATTAAATACATTGGCACTGAAGGATCTTCATCATCAATGCTCCAGGAAGTTATTTCATTATCATCAAAGAGTTTGATAGGCAAGACTAACGGAGCTCCAGGAAAATATGATTAATTTTTTTCACAGTCTTTCACAAGTAAAAAAGTGTCTGGCTTTGGCTGTATATCTTGTTAGAGTTCTCAAGCATTGCTGGGAACTGTTCTGAGGAACTGGCTTCCTGATTCAACTTGGGCCACTAAATTCCGGTTTAATAATTACTTCTATTATCCCCCAGAGCCAAGCACAAAGCAAATATTTTCTTAAATGCCTTCGCTAAAAAAATCAATTATCTAGCCTTTGTTTTCATCTTTTAAAAATGTTGTAGGTATCTTTCCATGAGAAACAAATATTCCGTAGGTCTCTGTTTATACTCCTTGTCATTTACAACTCTGAAAATCAAAGTCTTTACTAAGTTTTGCTAATAGCTCTGTTCCATCCTCTGTGTGAGCATGCCACTTTATTACTACAGAGAAGACTTGAGTTCTGACCTGCAGGTTCTTAATAGAAAAAACAGCACCCCATTGCTAGAATGATACAGCCATAGAATTGAAAGGGGCCTTGAAACCACTTGTGTAATCACTTAGGTGATGAAAGACAAATTACCCAGCACTTGATCTAATTTTCTGTTTTAAGTGAGAGAAGATACCCTTTCATTTACCATTATATAATGGAATCTTTGTAAGAGGCAAAACAGATGAGAGGAGAATGGCAGGATTTTTCTATTCAAAGTGATTTTGCCTTTGCTAACATTTATTGTGGGCTTATTTTATGCCAGACGTGGTGCTTAGCACTTCAATTATTTCATTTTACCCTAACAATAATCCTAACAGTCTGTTGTGACTTTTTTTTTTCTTTTTTTTTGAGACAGAGTCTTGCTCTGTGGCTCAGGCTGGAGTGCAGTGGTGTGATCTCAGCTCACTGCAATCTCCACCTCCCGGGTTCAAGCGATTCTCCTGCCTCAGCCTCCTGAGTAGCTGGGATTACAGGTGGGCACCACCATGCTTGGCTAATTTTTGTATTTTTAGTAGAGACGGGGTTTCACCATGTTGGTCAGGCTGGTCTCGAACTCCTGACCTTAAGTAATCCACCTGCCTCCACCTCCCAAAGTGCTGGGATTACAGGTGTGAGCCACTGTGCCCAGCCCAGTTATTCTTATTTTATAATGAGGAAATTGAGGCTTAGAGAAACTGAGAGTCAAACAGAGGTTGAGTTCTTTTTCTGGTTTTGCCATTAACTGATGAGTGACTGTCATCAAGTTTCCTAATGTCCCTTGTTTGTGTTAAACTGGGAGCCATTATGATACCTATCTCACAGTGTGGCTGGATTATTATGTGAGATACTGGCCCAAAGTGTGTCTAGCATGAATATTATACTCCCTCTTGGCAGCAGGATGGGGTATCAGAGAGAACCTGGGCTGTGGAATTAGATGACCTGGGCTCAAAGCCCAGCTCTACTATTTCTTAGCTATGTGATGTTGGGCATGGACTTCAGCTTCCTGATCTTCAAGTTTGTCACCTGTGAAATATGAAGACCAATATTTGTACCTCACAGTTACTGAAGTGTTAAGTGAGATGAGCCCTCATACAGCTTGCTTAGCCTAAGGCTGCTACAAACTGAGATGCCACCACCTTCTCCTCCTTGAGGGTCACATGTACAACAAGGTAACTCTCTTAAGGGTGCAACAAAAATAAGGAATGCAACTTCTAAGAAGACTGCAGGGGAGCTTTAAGAGACTTACAATGTGGGAAGAGAGGCACTGGTCAACCACAGAGCAGGTCAGTGTGGGAGGTATGCCTTGGTGCCTTCTGCCTCCAGCATGGGCAGACTATTTGTGGATCAAGGAAGACAGGATTCCTCATGAAAGGGCACAACTGAATAAGCTAGCTAATTGCCTATGTGGACTGTTTGGGCAGTTCTCTGTCAGTATAGACTGAGTTTCTAGGAAAGGCCATCACTGTGGTTTCATTATCTATGAAAAGCACATTCCAGTAGAAATGACAAGTAATCAGTGTTTCAAATATATTTATAGCATCTTCCTATTAGCAAGACAATAGGAACAGCCCTCACAAAGTCATCTTAGAAAAGACTGGTTGGATTTTATTGAATTCTTTAAAAATGCAAGGATTTAGGACCCCATTCAAAGGTAAAATGGTCCAACGTGGCATGAAATAGAGACAGATCAACTGCCACCTTCCTAGGACATAATAATTATACAACTCCAGTCCAGACAAAGTGACATAAAGGCATCTGTACCTCAAACTGCACCCTCAGAACCTCTGCACTACTTCACTTCCTTAGAATTTCATTGGTTATCTGATTTCTCAGTCTAAGAAATTCTACTTCCTTAGAATTTCATTGGTTTGCCCTATGTCTAGAAGCAAAAACTAGACATAGGGTAGAAGGTAGAAGCAGGTCAGAGGAACAAAGAAACGATTGGTTATAGCTTAACCAATAACTTAACCAATATAAATAAATGATTGTTGACAACACAGAGGAAGTAGAAAATGAAATACAAAAAGATAATATTATTTAATACTTCATATGCTGTTTATATACATAGCATTGACCTTTAAGTATGCAGCTAAGTATGAATTACTTTAAAATATATTTTTATCAAGATGACAATTTTTAAAAAAGTTCTGGCACTTGATAGAGAAAAGGAACAGTCATGAGAAAATCCACCTTCAGAGACCACTCAGTTCAGTGACAAAAACCAAATCAATGAGAGGCTATATTCTGGGTTATTTCCAAAACTATCTACAATCCATTGCCCATTTTGGGGGTATACCTCTATAGCATTCTTTTTTTCATTATGCAGAAAAACAATCCAACATATAAAGATTGAAATTATCCTTAACTAATTCAAATAAAATCTGTAAGACACGTTTTCTTGTGTTTCTTCTTAGGAATATTCATGAGCAATTTAATAATAACTGTTTCTGTTTTTTCCCTTCTTCACTCAAAGCTAGTAAACTATAGATATTATTTAAAAATATAGGGTAGAAAGAGGAAATTCATGCTTCTTGAACAGTGCTCTCTTTCTCTCTGTGTGTATGTGTTTAAAAGCCGTGTATCTATGCCTATAAGAACCAAAGCATAGTGTTTTCTAGCACCAGAAGTTTAATAAACTGAGAATGTAAATGATCCATTCCTTGTGGCTTCTATTCCACAATGACTAAGCCAACCATGAATGAACTCCACACAGATCCTGAATTCTTTACACTGGTTCTCAGAGTTGGAATTTTTGGGGCTGGGGTAGGATCAGCCAGAAAATTATTCTGTTTCCTCAACTTGAACAGACATAATGACTGGCAGAAGAACAGCTGAGGAAAATGTTTGAATTGTATAGTGATAATTTGCTCATTATGAAAATACCTTAGATGTCTAGCTTAAGCCAAAATAATCCAATTGAAACTGCCCTAATTTGATTTAGGAGACAAATTTTGTGATCAGAGACTATATCAGATCTCAAATAGAAATTGACCCTTATTCCCCTTATTAAGTCAACGAAAAAAAAAAACACATCTATAGGAGACTGTGGTCTGTGCGACTCTTAACAACCTCTGGTGATGCCTGTGCCAAATCTATATATTCTCTTTAACAGCTTCAGAGTTGGCCCTAGGTCACATGTGCAGTTACATATGGTCCACTGGAATAAACAGTAATTTTTAAAATAAATTTCAACTAAGGGTGTGGGGGCAGGTATTCTTGCAGATTGACTTACTTATAGGTTCTCTCACTATTACTTCAGAACCTCATCTAAGGCAAGGGTCAGCAAAATATGGCTGTTTTGTAAATAAAGCTTTATTGGAACATAGCCACAGCCATTCACATGTATATCATTCCATAGCTGCTTTCTGGAAAGATAGAGTTTGAGTAGTTGTGGCAGAAACTGCAAAACCTAAAATATTTACTGTTTGGCTCCTTACTGAAAGAGTTTGCTGACCCATGATCTAAGGGTACCTATTGGGTCAATTAGTCACTGGATGTCATTAGGGAAGAGACATAAGGTGGCCAAGCCCAACATAGTGGGGACTGTGTATATGTGGTGGGGGAGGTGGTCAGGCAGCAATGATGGTACAAAAACACTTGCTTCATCACTATTTCTCATCTTTCTTAGTCTACTATCTCACAGAGTTGCAAATACATGAGCTCTACTAGGTCAAGTCCAAGCGATTTTTACCAGGGAGACTGGACTAAAACAAAATCTCATCATTTGATGACTTTCAAGACAACCTCATTCATTCAATCATTCATTCATTCGACAGAGTACATACTATGCGCAAGGTATCCGTGAGCAAACAGACCACGTCCTGTACCCACAGGACTAAGGGTTCAGTGGGGGAGGTTGAAATTCTTTAGATAATAATATAGATGTAAGTAAAATAGCTACTGTAATTACTGGTAGAAGAAGGAGGTCTTAGTGCTACTAGAGTGTATAATGTGGTTATGAAGTCAGGGAGGACTTCTCCAGGAAGTATCAGCTGAGGGCTGAAGGCTAAGTGGGAGTTAGCTGAGTGAACAGCTGAGGGAAGAGGCCCAAGCAGTGAGCACAGCACAGGCAAAGGCCTATGAGTGAGAGAGAAAATAGTTAAGTGTAAGTGACTTAACTCAAGGCCAGCACGTTAGGTGCAGAAAGAGTGACAAAGGGAGGGGCATGAGGTGAAACTGTGGGCCAAACCAAGCAGGGCTTGGATCCCTCTTAACAAGTTTTGAGTTATTCCAAGGGCAGAGTCAAACCCAATAATCCCTGGGTGACAGCCTTCCCCTCCCTCCAGCTACTACTGTCTCCGTGATCAGTTTTTCTCTCTTTCTTTCTCTCTCTCTCTCTTTATTTTTACTCTCCTTTTAATCTTGGGCCAAATACATAGCTCTGTTTTGAATATTTACCTAAGTCTCCAGCACCATATTCAATGAGCACAAAGCAAAAGGAAAACATAACAAAGAATTTAACACACAGCTTTTTCTGAATATATGAAACGTGTAAAGAGAATCGTGGGCTGCCTCCATTCCTCTTTCTGTCTGGGGAGGCGAATATTGGAAATGGTGAGTGGGGATAGTCATACAGCCATGGGCCACTTCCTGCTGGGAACAGCACATTTTAAAACTTCAAGTATACTATCCGATGAATGAAATTTTGTAGCTGAAAAGGAAGGAAAGTCACCAGGGGAGACTAGTGAAAACGGAAGATAATATAAAGAAGTGAAAAAATCTCAGGAATAGGACATGTGCATCATGGCCCTGCCACTTATTAACTTTGTGGCTTTGGGCAACTTACTTAACTTTTCTAAGTTCTGATTTCCCTACCCATAGAAATAAGAATAATCAGGCATCCATCACAGAATTGTTAGGATTAAATGAGATGCTGTAAAAATTTCTAACATTTAGTAAGAGCTCTGGTATAACTATCATCCTTTTCCAGTAATATAGTCTATTTCCGATACATAGCATGGACACAGAGAAACCAGGGCAAGTGGCAAGAGAAAATATAGATAAGGAAGTAAATAAGAAAAAAGTCCTATCTACAGTTACAGTAGGTGGCTCCTTGTGCTTTATAAACTTTACCTACTTTTGTTCTCTAACCTAATGGTTCCAAGTGACTAAGTGACACCTTAAAATGACCTTGTCCCCAATCCTCCTTAGCAGGTAGCCAAAAATACATATAAAGTCGAAGGTAGAAGCATACCTTTGATTATGAAAGTAAAGGTTATTCTGGGAAATAATTAATGATATCCAAGAATATGTATAAAGCAGCAACAGAACAACTCAGCCTGATACCTCCCTAACACACACACAGCTGATTAAGAATGTCCTTGGTAATAATTGTGATGGATTTTAAGGAAAATATGAACAAATCAAAGAATTATTTCTACATGTAAGTCTCATTCTGATTCTCAGAACTTAGAAGACCAAAAAGTAAAAATTCTACTTTAGATACATAATGGCTAAAAGAACCACTACAAATATTTCATTGTGCAACTCTAATCACCTTTTAAGTGTTGTTGTACCTTTCTGATTAGGAAATTATAACATAAGCACCATGCACTTCTTTGTCTTTCTTAGGAAAATATTAAGTACTTTGAAATACAGCCATGTTAGTGCCCTGAGAAAGATTCCAAGGTTGCTATAGAATTGTTTGTTTTTCCTTCTTTCAACTGATAAAACGTACTGCGAGTAAAATTGCCTGTTGAAAGGTGGGACTATACGTGGAAGCACAGACAGTTATGCATTCCTGACTTCCTCAAGTAAAGAACTACTATACAACTGACTTTTTAGACAGAGCTGAAGAACAAAAATCCTAAGTATATTTAAATATTTAACCAAGAAGCCAGTTGCCAACTATGGAGGGTTTTATTTAAATTTAGCTTATTAAAAACAAACAAACTGAATCATACAAATATGTCAAAATAAAAATTGAGGAAACCAGCCTAAAGTTTTTTTGTAGGCCTAGCCTCAGCATTTTTAGAACCAGGAGGTTACAAGGCAAGTTTTTCTTTAGTTATAATCTTAACAATAAATCACTCTGGCTACTTGCTCACAGATTTTTGGGAACTTTATCCTGCTTTCACATTTATGAAATATTCCTCCCAATTTTTTTTGGAATTTACTCACCAAAATTTATGTCAGGTGGCATTCAACTAACAGCTGTATGCTAGGAAATAAAATGGCTAAAGGATTCTGGATATATCTTGAAAGAATTGGCCACATTTTTAAGACCACACAGTTATGCAAAAAGACCCCTCATAGTATGGATGTGTGCTGGTTACAGTGTGCAGTTTACAATGAGGGTGTCCAGTCTCTAAGTCCTGCTGAGAGGGAGTGGGGCAAATCAATCTCCAGATCCTTCCAACCCTGATGATGTCTTATGATTCTGAGGCTCTCTTCTTTCTTCTCTTTTTCTTTCCTTTCTCTTTTTCTTTCCTTCCTTCCTTTTCCTCTTTTTTCCTTTCCTTCCCTTCCACTTCCCTTTCCCTTCCTCTCCCTTTCTCTCTCCTTTCTCCTCTTCTTCTTCCTCTTTCCCTTCCCTTCCCCTCTTTCTTTCTCCCTCCTCCTCCTCCTTCCTCTCTCTCTCCCTTCCCCTCCCCTCTCTTTCTCTCTCCCTCCTTTCTTCTCCTTCGCCTTCTCCTTCTTCTCCCCCTCCCCCTCCCTTCCCCTCCCCCTTCTCAGGCTGAAGTGCAGTGATGATATAATCATGGCTCACTGTAACCTCCAATTCTTGGACTTAGGTGATCCTGATCCTTCTGCCTCAGCCTCACGAGTAGATGGGACTACAGGTGTGCATCACCCTACCGAGCTAATTTTTTTTCTTTCTTATTTTTACTTAATTTTTAAAAAATTTTTTAATTTTTTTATTTTTTTGGAGAGACAGTCTCACTATGTTGCTAAGGCTGATCTCAAACTCCGGGGCTCAAGTGATCGGGTGTGAGACACCATGCCTGGCCTGAGACTCTCTTTTCTAAACAAACTTTGGTTCTTCTCTCCATGTCCTATACCATGCAATGTTTTAGTTTTTGGTATACTGTTTGGTAACCATGTTTCTAATGCACTACTGTTAACTACTTATTTTTTGGACATAAGACAGCATTAAAATGATGACATACTCTATAAATCAGAAACAGAATGTTATAGCTTTAGAATAAAAAATACTTATTATCTTACCACCACCATTGTCTACACAGCTCTGCTTTTAATTTTGTTTGAAATATGCTCTACAGGTCTGATTCTCATATTTTTTATTCAAGTCTATATGATGAGGTAATCTGTAAATATAATAACAGCTTCCTCCATGAAAGGAAAAAATGTGCAAATAAATGTCCTATTGTTAAAGATGAATTATTTGGACAAATATTCTAAATTCTTATTTCATTTTCAAATTCTCAACTTTCAGGGCCTAGAAAGGTAGTATAGTGGTCTACCCCAGCAGTATACATGCCTTCTATTTTTCTTTTTACCTTATTAAAAGTATTCAAAACAATTTTATATTTTTATTTGGTAAGGGAAAAAGAATTTAGAGGGGAGGTAGAATAATGATTATGAGTTGCGATTAAATCCTGCAGCCACTGTCATCATGACTTTAAAACAACGAACAGATATTTTTCTCAGCCGAGGACAGTTCTCATGGACTCCTGCCAGTTTTGTGAAGTCCAGACAAAGTCAAGGTTCCTTTTTAGCTCTGGGTCCCTTCTGGATCCATAGGGAAAAGGCCACTAAGGTGAAGGGGGTGGGGCAGGAAGGACTGGAGAGTGGTTAACTAAATATCCAATAATAGGAGAATGGTTACATAAATAATGGCACCTCCATACAATGAAATACTATGTAGCTATCAAATATCATGGTATGGAAGATTTATGACAATAGCTAATGTTCCCTAAACAATATGTATAGTATAACAGATACAAAGATAAGAAAGTCTATGGGAAACTATACAAAAGGTCAAGGGTATAAATCTCTGCGTGGTTGAATTAAAGGTAAATTTTAAAAATTCTTTGTGCCTGCTTCCCCATTTTTCAGTGCTGAATATATTATTACTTTTTTTTTTTTTTTTTTTTGAGACAGAGTCTTGCTCTGTCGCCCAGGCTGGAGTGCAGTGGCACAATCTCAGCTCATTGCAACCTCTACCTCCCAGCTGCAAGTGATTCTCCCTGCCTCAGCCTCCCGAGTATCTGGGATTACAGGTGCCTGCCACCACGCCCCGCTAATTTTTGTATTTTTTTAGTAGAGGCGGGGTTTTGCCATGTTGGCCAGGCTGGTCTTGAACTCCAGACCTCAGGAGATCCGCCCACCTCTGTTAGCACCTGTGCAACAAATGACTGTATCCTTGATGGAGACAGTGCCTATTGGCAATTTGGTACTTTGTAGTATAGAGCCAGCAAATCACTACTTTAAATACTGCAGCCAACATACTGGAAGAAGCAGTCCCTACTAAAGGCTAAAAATAAGAATACTGTGGATTCAGGCCTCCAGATGTAGCCACCACCACGTTAAACTACAATCATCCCTCAAATACCTTCAAGTAATTATGATGTGCATGGTAACTTGTACTGAAGAGAGTGGGTTAGATGCATAAAGTCTTAACACTAAAAAAAATGGCATCATTTGCTTTTTTCAGATTAACAGTCTGTAAGACCAAATGCCTTCAGCCCATTCTTTAGCTGCAGCTACATCAACAGGGCAGTTCTGATACAGACATGAAATCATTTGTGTCAGAAAACACTACCAAAAGGTTCAATAATAAGAAAGCAGTCTTTTGTTTAGCAGCCACACAGAAAAGACCTTTGGATACTGCTTACACACCCTTTCTAGGATGAAAACTCCTTTTCCGTAACAAAAAATTTCCAAATTCTCCATTGATAGTTGTAGCTTTTTCTATTCATTGACTGAGTGAAGACATAGTTATAAAAGCCTATAACAAATTCAGAAAACTTTAAAGCAGCTTATAAGCTATCAATCACAATAGTATCCAGGGCTATTCTGAAGATGTAATAGACATACCCAATTTTTTAAAATGCTTTTGCTATATGGATTGCAGGGCCCCTTTTGTCAACTCTGAAAGCTCCCAGGAGTTCTGGGCTTACAGGTTGAGAATGACTATCATAAAGCATATATTATCTGATGAACCAAGACCATAATTTCAAGAACTTTATCTTTTTATTGGTTATTACTAGAAATACATCTACCAACTGTCTGTATGCACACACTCACAAAAGAGCTGCTAGGCAGAGGATATGAAAACAGCTATGAATGAGTTGCACGCTGTGGACACAAAAGCATGTGTGGCACTTCTAAGCCCAAGGGCTTCTCCCACTGGCTCTGTGACAAGAGGTTTCGCATAAGAGGTGGGAACGTGAGAGCCCTGACAGGGTTTCTCTTTTTAAAAAAATTGGGGTTAAAGTTGACTTCTCTTTCCTTATGAAGGCTTCCTGTGTCAACAGGCTGCCAGCCCCCAACCCCTAGCAAAAACAGTGGCTGCTCCTAAATGCCAAAATAATTGTCTGGGTTTTGCATGCTGAAATTGACTTGGCAGGCTCTCTACCTTGCAAGGAACACAAAGAGCTTAGTTTAGTCTGTGTGTAAATGCTTCATAATCATTGCTAAAACATCCAAAGCAACATGCTTAAGGGAGAGTAATGATTCTTTGTTTCCCTCCTTAATTGTAAGCTTCTGACATCCATTTATTTACTTACAGTTCCTAGCAGCAGCCACCCTCCTTAGTCAACACGCACTCTTGGCTGCCCTGGGTGCTTTCTAACAAAGGGCTATATGGAACCACACACAGTGGGTGGAACCCCCAAGCTCAATCTATCCCCATTACCACAGACCTCAGAGAGTCTGAGGTCCAGATCTACGCAACAAGGCTGGGAAGCAGTCTGGGTAAGCCAACCTCACCTCATGAGGGAGTATGGGGAAAGCACTCCTTCGTAGCGATGAGTGGGACTTTGGAAAGGGTGGAGATGGCCCTTCTTAGAGGAAGACATGAGAAGAAACCTTTTATCAGTCTGAAGAACCCAGGACTTAACCCGAACTCATAGGGTCTAGTCACAGCCACATGACCACCAAAAAGCATCAGGGAGAGCACAGCAGGGTGACTGCTTGTTCTGTGTATTTTCCTTGATGCTTTTTGATGATTCTTGATGATTTTTGACTTAAGCAGAGTCTAAAAGCTGTTATAAGCTCCTGCTTTATAACAACTCCCTCCCTACTGCCTAGAATGAGCCGAATAATGAACAGTAGTGAAGAAGCTTGAATTTAATTCACTCTGTGCCTTCATCGCAGATTTGACCAAACCTAGGCTTTTTCCCTTTCTCCCTGGTGATCTATGTTTTTTTCTCTTCTCACCACTTTGTGATGCAGGTCTTTGGTGAAAGATACTGGCTACTTTAATTTTATTGATATAGTCAGTGCTGCACCATAATTGCTGAGATGTCTCTCCCAACTTTACACAGATAATTCTTCCTAAAGAGAAGGAATTCAGGCATTAGAAAGTAGGCTTGCAAAGACTGGGTGGGCTCTGAAGCCAGTTTGAATTCCTGTTCTGCCACTTGCCAGTTCTGTGGCTTGGGGCAGATTAACTTAACCTCTTTAGGTTTCGGTTACTTTAACCCATAAAGTGCAGATGAATCAGAGTACTACCTTACAGGGTTGTTTTCAGTGCCTAACGATTTAGTGTGCACAAAGTGCCTTAGCATTGTGCCTGCAGACAGTAAATTTTGTGTTGCTGTTGTGTTAGAGGATTAAAAAAGTCTTGCTTGGTGGAGAGACAGACGTGACAGCCTGGGTGAGTATCCCCCTCTGAATCAGCAGCCTTTGTCATCTTTTTTGGAACAGCTGTAGCCAGCTTGGACCAAGAAGTCATTTCATGTTACGTCCCTCCAAACTGGCAGGATCATAGTTCCCTATCACCTCTCTACTAAACAACAAGCACTGGTTCTTGGCCAAATCCCAATTTCTTCAGCTTGCCAATCTCCATCTCAGTTAGGCACAAAATAACACACACTCTTAAAATACTTGTTTAGCACTGACTAGAAGAACTCCCTCCCTTTGGTGAGGTAGGGCCTGAGTAATGTACTCTCCTCATGATGCTAAAAATCCACTAGTTATTTTCTTATCTCATTTGATGTTCTAAGAGGGAAGGCATGTCTGCTGAACCAAGAGATAAAGTTGTATCATTATGACATCTCCATTAGGATAAGCTATGAGTTCCTATCATGTTCTAGGTACCAGGCACAGCATCTTGTATGTGTCATCTCTAATCCTCCCAATAACCCTATAAAACACTGAGCCCTGAAGAAATGAAGTAGTTTGACCCAATTTGGACAGCAGAAGTTGCGAGGGAAGTAAGATTATAACTCGGCCAGGCCGACTCCAGAGCCTATGCTCTTTCCCCTGCTGTCTACCATGCTGTTTATTACTGCTTTGCTTATATTTGGATTATAGAAAATAGACTGAAGCTCCAAGACACCAAAGATGTAATTTTTTTTTTTTTGAGACGGAGTCTCATTCTGTTGCCCAGGCTGGAGTGCAGTGGCGTGATCTCGGATCACTGCAACCTCCACCTCCCGGGTTCAAGCGATTCTCCTGCCTCAGCCTCCCGAGTAGCTGGGACTACAGGCGCATGCCACCACGCCCGGCTAATTTTTGTAATTTTAGTAGAGATGGGGTTTCACCATATTGGTCAGGCTGGTCTCAAACTCCTGACCTCAGATGATCCACCTGCCTTGGCCTCTCAAAGTTTTGGGATTACAGTCATGAGCCACCATACCCGGCAAGATTTAACATTTAACCAAAGTAGATGGAATATGAAAAATAAAAGCCCGGAGTTATTAATCCAAATGTGTAATGTTATTGAAGGTTTTATCTTATGAAGCTTATTCTGAAAAAGTGTCAGGGCTGACACATTTTGGAAATGTCTTCAAACCTCCTTTGAAGGCCACACACAAAAGCCAGTCCCATTATTTTAATGTCATAATTGGTTCTTTTGACCAAAATAGGCATGAGCTGACCACTAGATTCACTAGATTTGTTTTTAAGGAACCTGTTCTTGTTATCAGAAATTAAGTTCGCCTTTAAAGAAACAGGCTTTGCCCCAGCTGAGGGATATTTCAAAGCAGATGACTCCAAAAGTGGAGGTCCAAAGTTGTTCTAAGCAGTGGTAATGTTGTTAAAATGAGGTCACAGCAGCTCTTTGCCCCTTGAAATAATTCTCTCTTGGCTCCTGGGACATAGTTTACTCTCCTGTTTCTCTGTCTATGCCTGATACCCAAGCTTGGTGCCTTCCTTCTTCTTTTCTCCCCTTTCCCCCATGGCACTCTCTTTTTTTCTTTTAAGAAAATCACCTCTTGTTTTTCAGTTTTTTTTTTTGAGACAGAGTCACACTCTGTCGCCGAGGCTAGAGTGCAGTGGCACTGTGTCGGCTCACTGCAACCTCTGTCTCCTGGGTCCAAGCAATTCTCCTGCCTCAGCCTCCAGAGTAGCTGGGATTACAGGCATCCACCACCATGCCCGGCTAGTTATATTTTTAGTAGAGACGGGGTTTCACCATGTTGGCCAGGCTGGTCTTGAACTCCTGACCTCAGGTGATCCGCCCGCCTCGGTCTCCCAAAGGGCTGGGATTACAGGCGTGAGCCACGGCGACTGGCAAGGAAACCACTTCTTAAAATGTTTATGTATCCAATATGTGCCTAGTGCTTTCTTTCAAATCTTTTATTATGAACATTTCCAAATATACAAAATGTAGAAAGAAGAATAAAACCCATGTTCTCTTTACCCATCTTCAGAGATCCTCAATATTTTGCCATATTTATTTCACCTCTATCCCCTGCCATTATTTTTTTCTGGAGTATTTAAAAGTAAATCCCAGGAGAACATGTCATTTCACATTTAAATACCTCATTATGCATCTGGAAAAATAAAAAGCACATTCTTCACATAAACACAATGCCATTAACACATCTAATAAGATTAACAGTAACTTCTTTTTTTTTTTTTGAGATGGAGTCTTGGTCTCTCACCCAGGCTGGAGTGCAGTGGCACGATCTCGGCTCACTACAAAGCTCCACCTCCCAGGTTCACGCCATTCTCCTGCCTCAGGACTACAGGCGCCCACCACCATGCCCCACTAATTTTTTTGTATTTTTAGTAGAGATACAGTTTCACCGTGTTAGCCAGGATGGTCTAGATCTCCTGAAAACAGTAAATTCTTAATATCACCTAATTTATAGTTCACATTCAAATTTCCTTAGTCTTCTTTTCCCACCTCATGGATAATCAAACCAGCTGCTATCAAGGCAACATGCTATTGCATTGTTGATCAATTTCAAGGTTTTATCTCATTCATCCCCTTTTCTCTTCTGAAAAACACCTCACAAATATGAAAACAATATAATAGATAAATCAATATATTTTTTCCAAATTTTTTAACTTATTACAAATTACAAATATTTTCCTACATTATTAAATACTCCTTGAAAACTTGACTTTTTCTGGCTGCTTCACTGGCCACAGAATATGTGCACTGATATTCTATGATCCATATAATTATTCCCTATTATTTGTTGGATACATGGTTGTTTCATCTCCCTTATTATAAACAGCCCTGTGATGCATACCCACAGTTGACCTTTCTGCCCTCACTTTTCACCATTGAACACCTCCTGTGCTTCAGCATAGGCACAATTTGATATTCCCCACATACTGTGTTTTTCATCCACCTTCTACCTATACATATGGCCTGGGAACCCTTTTTCATTCTCCAAGATAAAGCTTATCTCTGAGATGGCTTTACTAAGGCCCTTTGGCAGAATTAGTCATTCTTTCTCAAATCCTTCCAAAACACTTTGTGCATTGAACATTATTTACAGTATTTCCTAGTATTTTGTATTTACTCGTGAACCTGTATTTCTACTATTAATATAATAAGCTGTGAGCTTTATAACACTTCAGTTTTTTCATCAGTAGATTGAAGAGAATAATATCAACTCCGTGTGTCTAAAAAAAAAAGACGTAAGGAATAGGAAGAATGAATCGTATTATTTGGCAAAAACAGAAGCTTTAGAAAAGTTAGTTTCCCTCTCTTCCCCTAAAAAGAGAAAGTGCAAATGTTTCAGACTAAACTTATATGCTTCAGAGGCAAGAAGTTATTAAACTTTCTGCCAGTTATAGGAAGATAAATGGAGTATACCTGAGATGCTGGGAAAGGGGAGCCAAATGGCTTAGAAGTTAGGGGTAGCCCAAGGCGCTTTAAGAGTTGCAACATCTTCTCTACAACAACCCATCTCTATTCTAGTCACAGTTCCTTAGATGAAAGAAAGGGAAGACCTCACGTTGGAATGTAAAGATGGAAACTCTTGACCTCCTCTGAATCACCTGTTTACCTCAAGGTCCTTATTAGGCTGGGTTGGCCTAGGCAAGAGGAGGCCAAAAGGCACTCAGGGTGATCTATTGTTACCTAAAAGGTGAGGAAGATGGTTCACAAAAATAAAAATTTGTAGGAAATTTCGGGTTCTCTGAAAGGTGCATTTTTATCTTTTAGGATTCACATCTTCCTAGAGCTGGAGGAAACAGGGGTTGGCCTATGAACAAGAAGTGATACAATGGAAAGAACAACAGAGATGTAGGCAAGAGACCTGCCTTCTGGTGTTGGCTCAGGGCATGACCATAGGCACATCAGTTAACCTTGCTGGGATTTGGTTACAGTGTAAGGGGATTGGACAAAACTGGCTCCAAGGTCCAAACGGACAAAAATTCAAAGAAAATAGAAAGGTTAAGTGACTGGCTCATTATCACTGTATTTCTAAGAAAAACCAGAGCATGAAGTTGGAAGAAATATGGAAAGTGATGTAGTTTGAAAACTGTTAAAAGAATCATATGATTTTCAAGAGCTCTGATCTAGGGTTGGAAGTGTGGCATTTAAAAATGCATTTAAACCTAACTTGGACTACATAAAAATAATTTCCTTTTTCTGCTGTATTCCACAAAGATCTGGAAAACATTCTCAGCCCTGTTTCAACCTTAAATGAGAAAAGAATCTTTAAAGAGTCACTGATTTGTAATGGAAAACTTGGATAAATCACTATTTATACTTGAAGATTTTTATATTTCTTTTTGTCCTTTCTTCACAACACACAGCTAAGAAAAGCCATGATGTAAGTCTGCCCTACTGGACCTCATCAGTGGTTGTTTATTCTGTATCTACAGCCCAGCAGCTTCTCTGACTGCAGCACGTAGAAAACAAGAAACCAAAGAACACTTCCAAACTAAAAAGAGAGTAAATGTCAATTAATTTAGCATGAGCATAGAGAAAAAAAAGTCAGAATACCTAGCTTTTTATCTGTGGTCCACTGTTTGTAAACTAAAATTATTGAAGATTCCTGAATCTTGCAGACGAGGAATCTGCAAACTGGGGAAATAATACCCTGTCTCCTGATGTATCAAGAAACATGCATGTGAAAGGTATCATTACAAGCATTCACCTGATAAGCTAAACTGGAAGAAGTTTTCATTAAACACCTACTATCAAATTTTTGGATCCATACTTAAAATTCCAACTGGAACCACTATCAGAAAAGCTGCTAAGATCTTCCCTGAGTATATACCTTCACCAATTCACTGCTTTAGTTGTGTTTAATATCTGGGAAATTATACCCAATTCCATGCATATCTTTAAGAAAGACCCTGGGCTGAAGGGGCACAATCAAAATGTGTTTGTGAGTTGTGGGTGGAGGAGACTGAAACTAGGTGGTGTAAGAAATGAATAAAGAAACTGAGTGTTTCATTTGGAATAAAGAAGAATAGAGTCCTTTCGGTTAAAGGACTACACTGTGGCAAGAAGAGTAGCTTGGCTTGCTTTAGTTCTGGAGGCAGAACCAGGATACACGAACTAAAGTTCCTGGGAGCTGGATTTCAGCTCACAACAAGGAAGCACTTTTGGACACTCACAGGCATATAACAAGTGAGCAGGTGATGATGGAAAATACTAAGTGCCTGATACTATGGGTGATGGATGAGAGACTACTGCACCACCTTCTGAAGCTCTTATTTGATTTTCTCTCTGTGGCTTTGACTTTCTCTTAGGACTTAGAATCCTTGGGAATATGAACCTGAATCATACATCCCCACTTTCCAATCCCTTGTCTAAAGACTTGTCTATGCCCTACAAGGAAAAATATCACTAAGAAAATGTTTCAATGATTTTTACTGAAAATGGGAGAAAAAAGATAACGGAGGCCAATTACTAAATTAGGTTATCTTGTTTTCAATTGTCTTTTTTTAGCCATCAGATAGCTTTACTGCAGCTGGCTGAGTTTAGTGTCTTCAAATGTGGGTGAGTAGGGCAATAAAAGGAAACTTTTTTTTTTTGAAAGACCACATAAAATACCCAACAGGATTTTTTCCCCTAATCTGGCCATGTGAGCACAACCTGGCTGTTCTGCAACTGAGCGCTATTAACATCTATTTATAGCCACTATTTTCATAGATGAATCACATTTACCATAAGTCAGTTAATATTAAAGGGGCCAACCAGCTCTGCTGAGAACCCCATAATCTTAATACATCTCTTTCCATTCTTTCAGGGAACTAAATCTTAGCTTAAAGGTTCTGTGTAAAGATAGGGGGAAATGCAAGTGCAAATGTAAAGATAGCAGACAGTCTGCCCTCTAAACTCAGCAAAGTATGGGGTGTTAAATATATTCAAATTTAAAGCCTTGGATCACTCCCAGCTTTGTTCCTTGGCCATGAGTGTCGTACAGTTAGCACAGACTCACTCCGTGTTATGCAGTCTTCTTGCCATCAAAACAAACAATTTATGTCTAAAATTTCCCACTACACTAAGTTTAAATGACTGCCTTAATAAAATGTTACATGCTTAAAAACAGAACTAATGATGGTTAATGGTGCTGTCAAATTAAAAAATAGTGTAGTGCATACTCAGTTCATTTCATGCATGTGAGGGTGTCTGTGAGAGGGCTGGGGGTGAGGGATAGCAGATCAGGGTATTTATGATCGAAAGTTTACAAAATTCAGTGAAATTAAATGGAGATTTCCAGTAAGTTACGTGGATCTAACATTTCTTCCCCACCCAGCACGAGTGTGCATGCACGCGCGCGCGCGCGCGCACACACACACACACACACACACACTTCCTGAGCCTTTTGCAGGCACCAGTGCTGCCCTGAAATTGATATTAATTTATTTGTCTTTGCTATCTCTTATGAGAGTCTCCACCTTAATTCACCTTTACCAACTCCCTTCCTACAGGTTTTCTGTTTTTTTCATTTACTTCAGGCTAAAATTCTTTAAGATAAATAAGATAAATGAACTGAAGCACTTAAAACAGTGCCTGGCATGTGGTAAGAGGTCTATACACAGCTACTTCAGTAGATTCTCAGTACCCTTTTTCTAATTTCTAGCCAGTGGTTTGCAAATGAATCATCTTTACCATGAGGCAGCTCCTATTCAGAGCCAACCAGCTCTGCTGAGGACTGCATGATTCAATCACTCAATAAATCCCTGCTGAGGTCCAACTCTGTAGGACATGGGGATACACACATTAACAACAGGGGCCCTGTGCTAACCAAATATGAATAATAAACCCATTAGCAAGTACCATTATCTCCATTTTACATTTAAAGGCTCACTGACGCCCAAGGCCACAGAGCTAACATGTTGGAGCTGTGATTTAAGACCAGTTCTATTTGATTCCACAATCTCATACTCTTTCTATTAAGACATGTCTCCTGCCACTTCAATATGACAGCAGTGGTTGAGAAAAGCACATGAAAATTTAAAAATACATAGTTTTTGCACATAAACAATATATGAAAACAGAACATCTTTATTGAATAGACTCAAAGGCTAGGGGTTTGTGAATTTATGTTACTCACATTTTTGTATAATTTTGGATACTCAGAATTCAACAAATTGGAGATTGGTCCACATATGAAAATAAGCTAGGCTGGGCATGGTGGCTCATACCTGTAATCCCAGCACTTTGGGAGGCTGAGGCGGGTGGATCACCTGTGGTCAGGAGTTCGAGACCAGCCTGGCCAACATGGTGAAACTCCATCTCTACTAAAAATACAAAAAAATTAGCCACATGATGGCAGGCGCCTGTAATCCCAGCTACTTGGGAGGCTGAGGCAGGAAAATTGCTTGAACTCTGGAGGCAGAGGTTGCAGTGACCCGAGATCACGCCACTGCACTCCAGCCTGAGTAACAAGAGCAAAACTCCGTCTCAAAAAAAGAAAAGAAAGAAAAGAAAATAAGCTAGTTAAAACAAAATTGCGTAGCACAATACTTGACATAGTAGGGCTTCATTTCATAAATGTTTGTTGAATAAATTAATGTTAAACCAGGATTTTTCCTTTACTATGTATATCTTTTTATAAAAGCTAAGTAGATACAGCATAGTGATTTAGTAGGCTCTGGAGCCAGACTGCCTAAATTAGGGCCTGACTCTGACTCTGCCACTTTTTAGCAGTGTGACCTTTGGCAAGTGATTTAAAAAGGCTTCAAGCGGGCTGGGCGCAGGTGGCTCATGCCTGTAATCCCTGCATTTTGGGAGGCCGAGGCAGGCAGATCACAAGGTCAAGATCAAGACCATCCTGGCCAACACTGTGAAATTCCACCTCTAGTAAAAATACAAAAATTAGCTGGGTGTGGTGGTGCGCGCCTGTAGTCCCAGCTACTTGGGAGGCTGAGGCAGGAGAATTGCTTGAACCCAGGAGGTGGAGGTTGCAGTGAGCCGAGATCGTGCCACTGCACTCTAGCCTGGGCGACAGTGTGAGATGCTGTCACAAAAAAAAAAAAAAAAAAAAAAAAGGCTTCAAGCTTCAGTTCCTTCCTCTGCAAAATAAATGAGTTAATCAAAGGAAGGCATTTAGAATGGGCTTGTATATGATAAGTAATGAATACATGTTAGCTACCATTATTACTATTATTTTCTTTCTCTAAATTGGAGTAGTTTTGCTTGGCTACCTCGATACCATATTAAATGACCAAGACCAAAAATGATTTCTTTTTTGAGGCTTTTCACTTACTTGATACAAGCAAAAATATCCTCTAGTCACATCCACAATTCTAAAACAAAAATGAGTAAGAAAATGAAGACTAAAAAGTATGTCTAAGTAGCACCTAACTATGTAGAGTAATTTTTAATATACAACATTAATAAAGAATGATTTTTAAAATTTAAATTTTATAATAAGTAATTGGCTGAGGGGCTGCTGGAGGAAGGTAATGAGTAGAATAGACTTCTATTTACATTTGGCCATTTCCTGCAAATAAATTAAGTAAATAATTACAAACTCTCTTCTAGTCCTCTTGCATGGACACATCCTTACCAAGATACACCATGATTTCAACTAACTTAAGCCCAAGTAAAACTGACTAAAGGAACTACATAGGAAAACAAAGCAGGATCTACTTCTCACTGCCAACTGCACTGTATTTGTATCCATAGATACAAGACAACAGAGAGTCCCAGAATTCTAAAGCGGGAAATCCCGGGACTTCAAAGATCATCCAGTCTCAGGTCCTAACCCTGCTATCACGGGATCCATCAGGGGGTGAGGAACAGGGTAGAGGTCAAAGGAAACAATCCTTGGTCCTTGTTCCAGCCTGAGTGATCTCATGGGACAACCTATCCCAGTATTCTCATTTTATAAGCAACAACACAGACCCTGGCTAATTAAAGGCAGAGCTGGGATCAGAGGCTGGGTTTCCTGATTCCCAGCCTACACTCCTGAAGGTTATCGTTCTAGGGTTATGACAGTCACAGATAACAACACATTAGGCTGTGTTAAACTGACAACTAAGCAGGTTTTTTTCCCTTGTAAACTCACTAGGTACTAGGTCAGCACTTCATGAAGAGTAAAGTATCATTATTTGGCATACACAAAAAGCAACTTTCCTTTTTTTTTTTTTGGTACCCTGAAAATCCCAAACCACTGTTGCTATTACAAAATTTTTCTTTACCCTAGTATGCACCCCTGGGCCAAGCACAGATGCATTAAAAATTTGCCAAGAGAAACAATGAAGTCACTGATAATACAAAGCATGAGAGTATCATGAAATTCATGTCTTTGTTTTCTTCCTCTAGATACTTAATTATTTCTCATTACTGATCATTTTGTGGTTATTGGCAGAGGGGCAAGGAAACTCCACCACTGTAAACATGTAGAGACACATGCTCCTCAGTAGACCAGAAGTCTGCATATGATGGGTCTGTTCACAAATCCAATGTGAACACCACTTCATTAATCAGTGAGAATGTTGATGCTACTATCCCCAGCCTCCAAAGAGAATTGGTGGTCTCAGTAAAACTCTAATCTCTTTAGAAGAATAACAAACACAGTATAAAAATGTTTCAGGTCATTCCTTTTTTTACCACTTATGAATATCATCACTGGCAAATGATCTATGTTCTCCTACCAGATTTCATCTAACCCACTTTAAGAGTGAGGTGAGGAAGCTAGAATGTATACAGAGCTCCATTCAGTCTTCTGTTGCAGCTCAGGGCTGCCTTAAGCTAAAAGGGCACTACTTATGAACAATGTTTAGCAAATTACCCTGCTAAATAAAAGCTTACATTATCTTGGTATTCTGGAAGGGATATCCTAGATTAAGTTGATGAGGGCAGAGAAATTCTCATTGATTAGCAGCAGGATACAAGTTGATTCTTATCAGTAGACTATTGTTCCACACAGGACTATGTGGGCAAGAGGAAAACATAGGAATTCATCATGTAAAATGAAAAAAACAAAAACCAAACCCTATGTACTTCCAGGAAATGAAAAGAAGTAAAGAACCAAATATATTTCGCTCCTCTTTTAAACTAGACTTTTATTAGATTTTCACAGAAATCTGAATCTGTGGGTGTGGTGAACTTTTTCAAAGATGGCTGCAGTTAATTCCTTCCATTCCTTTGCAATGTGGCCTTGTATCTTCTTCCATGTAGAGGTGTAATCTATTTCCTCAATCTTGAATCTGGGCTGACATTGTGACATTCTTTCACAAATGAGATGTTGGGAGCTTCAACTCTCACGTTCTTGGAATGTTATCCTGAGACCACCATGTGGGGAAGCCTGGTCTAGCTTCTTGTAAGTTGAGAGTCACATACAGCTGAGATGAGATGACCCGGCTGAGGCTCTCCTAGTCCAACTAACCAACAGCCAAATACGTGAGAGCCCGTCTTAGACCATCCAGGCCCAGAATAGCTGTAAGAAAGCTGAAGCTGTGGAGTAACCCACAGAATTCTGAGCCATTGTTATTTAGCCTCCATCCAAGTTTTGGGGTTGTTTGTTAAACACTAACATGTACCTGAGACAGTTGGGCACAAAGTAAAAGGAGCAAGCCAGTCACCCTAATGCATGCCCATTATGTATGGAGCACCAGGTCAGATACGCCATGTGAGACATGAATGAAGAATAAAATTGTCTTAAAAATATAAGACAAAGGACATAGATGGCCCTATAATTAATCTGTGAACATACCTATAAATAAAGCAGAATGTAATATTTACCTATATTAAATATATTTATGTAACAACCTTCCATTATTTCTATAGCCCAGAGTAAGGATATTCCTAGGTGTTCAAGAAAATACAATAGGGGTGGGGAAAGATAATTAGAAATCCTGTTTATGTATAATTTTTCATTTTTGTCTTTTTTGAATGTTTTTTATAAAGCACATAATATACTGTGGTAGTACATGAATATTTTTATAAATAAATAGATATACACACAATGAGGTTTTTCCCAATCTCATCTCTTACACATCCCCAACCTCCCATTCCTACACAAAAATATCCCTTCTATGCCTTTGCTTTTCTCAAATAAATGAGCCTTTCCCTGGCTACCTAGGGAAGAGCCAGTGACAACTACTGTCACACATCATTGTTCATCTATACCGTATTTGTAAATAGTCTCTTCAGTAAGGCTATAGGCATTTTTCGGACAAGGTATTTGTACCAGTGTATATATGCATTTGTCTTAGGCAATACAGCATAATGACATTACGGCATGATTTTTAAGAGTGTGGGTCCCTGAGCCAGGTTTCCTAGACTCAAATCCCAGTTTTGCCACTTATTAGCTGTGCAACCTTCAATAAGTTTCCCGTGCTTCCATTTGTTCACTGTAAAATGGAGATAATAATATTCCCTACCTCATAGTGTTGTTGTGAGACTTGAATGAGCTAATACATGGAAAATGCTGAGAAGAATGCTTAGCACACATAGTAAGTGCTCCCTCACTTCCAGATCAGGTCATTGGACCTGAAGAGGGTGAATGTCCTTTTTGTTTTGAGACAGAGTCTTACTCTGTCACCCAGGCTGGAGTGCCGGGCGCGATCTTGGCTCAATGCAACCTCGGCCTCCTGTGTTGAAGCAATTCCTGGGCTTCAGCCTCCTGAGTAGCTGGGATTACAGGTGTGTGCCACCACACCTGGCTAATTTTTTGTATTTTTAGCAGAGATGGGGTTTCGCCATGTTGGCCAGGCTGGTCTTGAACTCCTGACCTCGGGTAATCCGCCTGCCTCGGCCTCCCAAAGTGTTGGCATTACAGGTGTGAGCCATTGTGCCTGGCAATGGGTCAATGTCTTAATCAAGTTCCACAGCTGATTTGTGACAGAATTCTTATCACCTAACACAAGGGAAAAAAATGTGCAAGAATGTTTGAAGTAGCATTTTTTTGAATACTGAAAAAAAAATATTCAAAAACAGTAAAATGAACAAGTAAATGATGGACTATATAATGAAATATTCTTACAGCAATCAAAATACATAAACTACAGTAAAATAGAACAAGGAAGAATCTCAAAAATATAATCTAGGATGAAAAAGCAAGTTTTAGAAAGATACATTCAATATGGTATTTACATAAGGTTTGAAAATGTAATACTATACATTGTTCAGCAATATATATGTACATGTTTTTAAAAAGTATGAAACATACAGGGGAATGATAAATACCAAATTCAAGATTACGTGGTTACTTCTGGAGTGGGAAGGGAGGAGAAGGGGTTTCAGAAGAGATACATACATTATAATACATCTATAATACAGTACTTAAAAACTGTTTTCTAATATACAGTAAATTATTAAAATTTTATAAATTTGTGTGGTAGCATATAGCAGTTTGTTATGGTTTCTATACTTTTCTGGACACTTGAGTTTTTCAGATTTTTAAAGAAATACTACAAACTAAAAGTAAGGTACTGGCGATGATGAAAGTTTCATGATTTGTAGGGACAAAGAGTAAAATTAATAATCTGCTTATATGCCATAGAGTCAATTATAAGTTCAACTGATATTTTCTCTCCTAGTTATAAACCTCAACAGTGGAAGAATTTTTCTTCCTATTATAAATTCATTTGGATGATTATATAATCAGATGTGGAGCTAATGTGTCCTTTAAACATTAATTTATTTTATATTGTTTCCAGAATGGCCAACTACGTTAGGTAGTAGTATCTCCGCTTTGAAGATGAGGGTCCTAAATATAAGCCCTTGACTTACCCAAGGATAGATCTAGAATTTTAGAAGAATGTCAGGAATACAGGAATACAGCCAGGGACCAAGCCTTCATTCCTTTAATACTAGACTTGGCCTTCAAAACAAAATAATGCAGTAATTCTGTAGCAGTAACTCTGCCATTTCTGTCCTAATGCACTTTTAAAGGCTAACAAATTTTAAAAACAAAACAAAAAACCCCATAAAAGCTCCCAACAATTTTAAAGGAAATACTATAAAGTAAATCTGAAGAAAGTTAGAAGAATTAGCAAAGTCACCATTTTACAATATTATAATTATGTTAAGTACGTCTTAAGCAAGCACTTAGGGTCATGGTTGGAGGTCTGACCTGGGTTCCTGAGGTGGAATGCTTGGGGGATGAAGTTCAAACACAGCCTGTTTACCCATGGACATAAGTGGCCTTAATCAAGACAGAACACCTTTTTTTAAATGTTTGCTTTAAAAGCAGAAGTGCAAATAAGACTGTGATTTATGAATCTGCTAATATCCTTCTCTGCTGTAGACATCAAAAAGATTGACTTTGGGGCTGTGGTAAATATAACAAGAATGTAGACTTGTTAAAGCAGTAATAGGTACTCTTATTAAAACTCCATTTCCATTAAGCTTTACAAATTTTCTTCCCTCCTTCCAGGCTTTAAAGAATGCGTTCCAGAGGCAGTGATACCGAGGGCTCAGCCCAAAAGAAATTTCCAAGACATACTAAAGGCCACAGTTTCCAAGGGCCTAAAAACATGAAGCATAGACAGCAAGACAAAGACTCCCCCAGTGAGTCGGATGTAATACTTCCGTGTCCCAAGGCAGAGAAGCCACACAGTGGTAATGGCCACCAAGCAGAAGACCTCTCAAGAGATGACCTGTTATTTCTCCTCAGCATTCTGGAGGGAGAACTGCAGGTCAGCTGGGTTGGAGTTATCCCCATCATGCTTCAAACAGAAGGCTGCTTGTGAATTTGGTGTTCCTGCTGCCACAGAAATAGATATCTGTGGTTCATACATGTGTGTACATGAAAGCAAAGCATAAGTATATATACAAAGAATTCTCCTCTGCCAACTCAAAGTGCAATTAATCCCATCTAAAGGGGCTGTCATGATGACATGTGATTGGCATACAGGTCGTGAAAGGTCACATCCTCTGCCCATGCTGCTCAGGAGCTTCAGTGCACATGCATGCATCAGTAGCAATAATGCCAGATGACTTCGGGATTGGTTTAAACAACAATAGGTGCTTTTGTACCCCAAGTGAACTGGCTCCTAGACTAGCCCTGGCATTATTAACCTACATGAAAATCTAAAAACAGCTGGTACACATATAGGAGAATTTTATTTCCTACCCCCTGAAAATCCAAATGCTAGTACATTGATGGATATCATGATATCTGCTTGTCAAACATAATAAAAAAAGTAGTCCTCCAATGTTGTATAGTAATCACTTTTTAAAACATTAATTGTGTAATTAGACTACAAGAAGGATGAAGGGATATAGTTTTGTTACCTTTTATAAAAGTGTGAAAATGAAATATGATTCATTTAGATTTGAAAGAGAAGAAAAAGCACTGCCAACTATCACAAAAATCACTTGCTGAGACTGCTGGTAGAGACAGCAGGCTTTCTGAAATACTTTTTGTTCCTACAGGCTCGAGATGAGGTCATAGGCATTTTAAAGGCTGAAAAAATGGACCTGGCTTTGCTGGAAGCTCAGTATGGGTTTGTCACTCCAAAAAAGGTGTTAGAGGCTCTCCAGAGAGATGCTTTTCAAGCGAAATCTACCCCTTGGCAGGAGGACATCTATGAGAAACCAATGAATGAGGTATGTACCACAATAGGGGTGTGTACCTGGGAGGCAGCCAAGCACTAGCCCTGCAGATGAGCATGATCTGTAACTCCTCTTTGATTCCTTACAGTTTTACTTTCTAACGCACTTAAAGCCTACACAAAACAGATAAATACGACAAGTTCAATAGGAAAGTTAAAAAGAATGAACCATAGACAGGATGCGTCCACTAGGTTTGTTGCTTGAATCAACCAAAATCTACCAAATGCCAGAGAATGCTCCCCACTCTCACGTGCATGTGCAGGCACATACACACACAAACACACACATGCACACACATACATGTGCTTACACACACACACACACACACACACACACTCTGGGAACTTGCAGGGTACCCAGGCTGTAATAAAAAACATAAAGTTCAACCATAGAGGTTAATTTTTGGAAAACACTGAGGTATTATGTCATAGAAATTTTGAACATGAATGGAAATAATCTAAAGAACTGTCCAAGAAATAGAGTTTTTAAAAACATATATTTTAGATGAGTGCATACCTTCTTTTTCCTTCAAAGTTTAATGACAGCAAAGACCTTTCCCTCACCAAGCGTACCTAGCAATTACAACGGCAAAGGTGGGCAGTCCCAACAGGGCCACCACTAGGGAGAAGGCAGTACTGCTTGCTCTTTTACTTGCTGACATTTCTGAAACCCTTTGGAATTCTTATTTTATTCTTTAATTTTCCTCTGAGACCTTCATGGAAAATTTCATAATTTTTCATTTTTATAGAAAAGAAACAACTAGGAACATGAGTTGAGGCTGGAGAGTGAAAGCAAGTTTCAGACAAATTTCCCTCAAATAAACTCTGGCAACCTACCTCAGGACTGACCTCTAATGTCCTTGCTATTCTCGTCTTTAGTATCTCATGAGAGAAGAGACTACTGTCTTGCCAAATAGTGAAGGAGTTTGGTCATATGTATCTGCTTCTCTACGGGGTGAGGATGAGACCACCCAAAGTCTGTTGATTTGCACTTTAATCCAAATTTTAAACAAAAGGAACCAGAGCTGCATTCAAGTGAATACTGTTAAAACTGTATCCTGGCTCCCAACATATTAACTATGAAACAGTGTCAGGCACAAATTCCCCAACCCCTGTGAGCTCAAATGCAAATTAATGATCTCTGAACATAACCCTAACAAAACTCTACAAATGGCATAACCTCTCAACACTTCAGTGTGAAATGGAACAGGATGATTCCAAACTTATGTTGAAATCGGTGGGAAAAAATTTAATTACAAAATAATTCTATTGTGCACATGCAAAATTGGAAATACCCCCCTTCTACAAATGCTTGCAGTCTTAACTCTGTAAGGTGCCCCTGAAAGTTACCCATAATCTGGCCCTACTTTACAAGTCCAGCCTTTTTTGATTACTCCTCCAACAGATACCCCTATATACATACACCTCTCACATTCCCACCTCCATGATCTGCCAATTTTCCTCTCTTTCCTCTACTTCCCCCTTATGGATTTCTCTGTCCTCAGATATCAGTTTATGCAATTCCTCGAAGCCAAAATAACTCCACGTACACAACCCAGTTGTCTATCCTTTTCCTCGGTCTAGGAAGTACTAGGTGAGAGGGGAATGCCCCGAAAATAAACAGTGAAGGGGAATTCTGCCTAGGATTTTCCTACACAGGGCTGAAGAAAATAAAGGGAGGGCAGTGCTCCTGCTGAGACCAGCTGTGACTGTATCCTAATTACATGAGAATAAGCATCTTGAATGCTAAAGTTATTCTTCTTTTGCATTCCCCCATCTTGAAGTGTTAACAGCCCCTTCTCCCTTTTATTTTCTTCATAATGTTCTTTTTGAAAAACCTAAAAAATCTCAATCATGTCTAGGGTAAACTAGAGGTGATTTATCTAATTCTTAAGGCAAAATAACTTAGAAGAACAAACAGCTCTCGGTTACATGACACGACAGGAACACTGACTTAAGATGAAAAACTGGTGGAAGCCTGTGAGCTGGAACATGCTTGGGGCTGGGGCTAGGAGCAGAGGTGTGGTCAAGAGGGCGGGAAGAGGCAAGGACTCAGTCCACAAGAGTTTTGACCTCCTATTCCTTTCCAGCCTAGGGTTCTATATCAGAACTTAATTTTAAAAAAAAATTAATAGCCTAAGGTATTCTTAGTTCTTCCAAAAAATATATTATAGAAAATATGGGCCGGGCGCAGTGGCTCATGCCTGTAATCCCAGCACTTTGGGAGGCCGAGGCAGGCAGATCACCTGAGGTCGGGAATTCGAGACCAGCCTGACCAACATGAAGAAAGCCCGTTTCTACTAAAAATACAAAATTAGCCGGGCGTGGTGGCACATGCCTGTAATCCCAGCTACTTGGGAGGCTGAGGCAGGTGAATCGCTTGAACCCAGGAGGCGGAGATCGCGATGAGCTGAGATCACGCCATTGCACTCCAGCCTGAACAACAAAAGCGAAACTCCGTCTCAAAAAAAAAAAAAACAGAAAGAAAATATAACAACATTTTGGATTTACCAAGGCACTATAATAAAAGAGTCTCAGTATTATTAGCATAACCTAGGGCAAATCTTAAAATACTTACCTTAAGCAATGGTATAATTAAGCTTTTAAATTTAATTTTATTCATTTAGTTAGTTAATATGTATTGAAAAGCTCATGTATAGGGAAAGTTTTGGTGAAAGAGGAAAAAAGATTTCCAGGTCTTGGCATTGAAAAAAGCAGTCTTGAAGCACCATGGTGAATTGTAAGAACTGCCTGAAGTCCAGTGTGGCTGAAAGTTGGGTAGGATCGGTGGGAAGATATGGAGTGAAGATGGGGCCAAGGTGGCAGGAGGTTCAGATGGTGAAGGGCCTTTTGGCCCCGAACAGGAGAGTGGAGTCCCAGTGGTGAAAAATCATGCTGTCAGTGATGAGGACAGACTGCAAGGAGGTAAGGCTAGAGGAAGGGAGACCACTTAGGGGGTCATGGAATAAATGAAGGGCACGGATTCCTTCTAGCCTTCTTTCCATTCCCTTCAAACAACCACGAACATATAAAGGGAAAAAAACAATGGAAAGCAAGAGTGGATTAAATAAACCTTCTATTTTCTCTCTTTGGTTTGTATAAAATTTAATATACATATCTTGACAATTACAACAAGCTCTCCAAGGAAATACTGTTTTTGGATTTAGAAAAGCCTCTTTTAGTAATTCATTTATGCTTTACTGAATACCTACTATAATTATTCATACATTAATTCTAATGTCAATCTTGTGACAAATTAAATTGAATGTATTTTCTAAGTCAACTAATAACTTCCCTAAAGTAAAGCTGATCCTATCACTATTTCACTCTCAAATTGCAAAAGGAGTTGATTTGAATTTTCCTTACAATGGACTCTAATGTTTGGGCAACTGAAGATAAAATTTTCAGAGGGCTGCAGTGGTTTGAAACACACTTCCATGACAATCAACACTAGAGCCTCCTCAGAAGATGCCTCTGCCAGCAGGCAATACAACATAGCAGTTTCAGCTTTCACAAAAGGACTGGCTACATTAAAAATCATCAACAATTGTATGGCATAATGAAGTATTTTGTGAATTTAAGCATTTAGAAGTCAGAGAGAATTTACTGGGTTCTATATGCTGGGACACCTCAGTTGTACTCTTTTTCTGAAATGACTTGGTCATTTTGTGCCCAGATTTCTAGTCAAGTACATTTCTAGTCAAGTACATGCTTTTTAGGATACACAACTTAAATTGGCTTTAAATTCACAATGAGTCACACATTCTAAATCTTTTATGACAAAGGCAAACTGTAAAAATCAATCAACATTATCACTTACTGCATCTGTATCTAATCTAGAAAGTCGGGTGTTTTCAAAACCAAGTTCTTAATAGATATTAATTTATCACTAGCAAAAGATCCCGAGTTAGCTCTTGCCAACATGTTTTTCTGGTGGCAGCTTACCCCGTGCTGGGCAAAATGGAGCTCAAGGCCAGGAGCTGATAAACCAGCCCAGTGAGCTTGGCTGTCTAACTCCATCTGACTGTGATGCTTTTGGCCACTGGCATGTTCTTTACTGCCTGGTTCTTCCTTTATGAGGTCACCTCCACTTCCACCAAGTGCACTTGGGATATCTGCCAAGAGCTCCTCATGTCCTTGGTGCTCTCACTCTTCCTAGGCTATGGAGTCCTGTCCTGCTGCTGTGGCTTAGCATCCACGTATAAGCCCCTAAGGGTACCAGCTGGACAGCTTCTCTGAATCCCTACTTTTGTTAATCAAAAATTTTTTTTAAACTACTGCTGGAAGTGTCCCACATGCTGCTCACAATAAAGGCAGATGTGTGACCAAACAAAACAAAACAAAAAAAATCTCAGTTTCCTTGCTTGCTTGTTTTGTTTCCAGTCTGTAAACTGGGCACCTCTTATAAGCAAGGCACTCTGTTAGATGCCAAGGATTAAAAATAAAATAAAAAAAGAAGGATGTAGGCCCAGCTTTCAGGGAGTTCACAGTCTAGCAGGGGAGACAAACACATGTATCAGCCACAGGTTGATCATTTTGTAAAAAAGATGTAAGTATAGTGCTGTGAAAATCTGAATGGACTTAGTACTTACATTTGGTGACATTCACACTATACACCAACACATAATAGATTATCTATTCATAGATCTATTTTAATGGAAATACCTTGATGTATAATAAAATGAAAATCATAGCATGTCCTGGTAGAGCGATCCAAGAGGCATATACTGGTACAGAGAACTATAGGGTGGGCTGGGGCAGAAGAGATCAGCTAGGGCAGCTGCGAATCCAGCACCGTGCAAGGATTCTCTTACTTCCTGTCATTTCTTTAATGTAGCTTCTCAGGAGAGAGACATAAGAGTGTCAGAAAGAGGTTATGTGGAAACAGTTGATACCCACAGGGACACAGATTATTCTGTCAAGAAAAATTTGATGGCAATAAAGAGACTACATTTGTATTGAAATGCACCCAAAAGTATCAATTAACAAGAGAATAAACACTAAACAAGGAGATAAAAAACCCACTGCTGGCCGGGCGCCGTGGCTCATGCCTGTAATCCCAGCACTTTGGGAGGCCGAAGCAGGCAGACCACTTGAGGTCAGGAGTTCAAGACCAGCCTGACCAACGTGGAGAAACCCTGTCTCTACTAAAAGTACAAAAAAAATTAGTTGGGCATGGTGGCGCATGCCTGTAATCCCAGCTACTTGGGAGGCTGAGGCAGAAGGATCGCTTAAACCCGGGAGGCGGAAGTTGCAGTGAGTCGAGATCGCGCCATTGCACTCCAGCCTGGGCAACGACAGCGAAAACTGTTTCAAAACAAACAAACAAAAAACCAAAAAAACCCACTGCCGAATTAATCAAAACAGGGACATTTCTAAAAGAGTGAAAGACAACAGTATATAAACAATTTGGTAACAGGCTATAAATGTTTTCTTTCGTAGTTGGACAAAGTTGTGGAAAAACATAAAGAATCTTACAGACGAATCCTGGGACAGCTTTTAGTGGCAGAAAAATCCCGTAGGCAAACCATATTGGAGTTGGAGGAAGAAAAGAGAAAACATAAAGAATACATGGAGAAGAGTGATGAATTCATATGCCTACTAGAACAGGAATGTGAAAGGTAAGGCTGCTTTGGGCAAACAATGTCCCATTCTGCAATCTATGAGCTGGCCACTGTACCAGGTCTCAGGGATACAAAGATAAATATGACACAGTCTCTGTTCTCAAAGATCTCATAGTCCAGGGTGAGGAAAAGGATATGTTTGAAGACATTATCAGTACAATGTATGGATAACCAGATGTGTGATAAGGACTGTGGAACCATAAATGTTAGGCCCCTAACTCTTGAAGGGAGTGCCCTGTGAAGGCTGCAAAGACCAGGCAACAGGGGTCTAGTCCCTAGGCAAACAAGAATGAAAACCATATTCATGGCAAGGGGTGAAATAAGTGTGTTAGTATAGAAGTGAGAAAAGAACCTGCATTTTGAGGGAACTCAAGCTTTTCACATGGCTACAGCATAGGGCATGATTGTAGGATGAGAAAAGGAAAGGCTTGCCTTGAGCAGCTGGACTTTATACTGTTGGCCTGAAGGAGCAAATGGAAAATTGTGAAAGGGAAAATAAGATGATCAGTTATGCTTTCCTAAAGAACGATTAAGGGAACATGGAGGAACAACTGGAGGAGCTTTAGACTGGGCGCAGGAAACTCACATAGGAGGCAAATATCCAGATGAGAAAGATGAGGGGATGTGTTCCAACAGCCATGAGGTTGGGAGGGGGGTGTGCGCATGAACTACTTATGATGTTTAGTCAATATGAATTAGTGACTGGTTAGACTGGAAAGAAGAGCAAGGAAAACAAGGAGTTACTGAGAAGCACTCCTGGCTATTCAGGAACATATGAAATATGGGAATGGGGCACAGTTTTCTGTGTTGTAGGATTTTGATCAGGCAGGATGGTTTCTACTTGGTGAGTAGGTAGGAGATGAGTCCTGGTTTAGACATGTTGAGTATGAGGTACCTTGGTATATTACAGTATCTGGTGTAAAGAATAATATGTATAAAGTCAACCCATGGTCAGAAATATAGGTCTGTAGAAGGATGGGCTGGTGATATGGACCTGCAGCAGGTGATAGCTGAAACTGTGGGTGTTGGTGTGGTGAGAAGAGAGAATGTTGAAAGGGAACCCTAGAATACATCAAGGCTTGGCAGTTTTCTGGAAGAAAAAGGGGGTTGAAAATGGAAGCTAAAAAAAAAAATGGTGGAAGCTTAGAAGAACCAGAAGACAAAGAAGGCAATGAAATGAAGTGAGCAAAGACTTTAAAAAGAGAGTGAACAGTCAAATAGCACCAAATAATGCAGAAAAGAATGAAATGTCCCAGGATTTGGCAATGAAGAAAATACTGAGGAACTTAATGAGCCATTTCAATAAAGTGGTAAGGGCAGAAGCCAAATTGCAATGCTTTAAAAAACAAAATAAGAAATAAGAATGTAGAAGCTTAAAATGTGAACTAGCATTTTGAGAAGCGTGGCTGCAAAAAAGGAGAGTTTGGTTGGTAAATATTTTCTAACCATATGTAGGGTAGATTATTTTGTTCTACTTTGACCCTCTATTCTGAACCACTGTAGACAGTATAAGCATCCATATGAAACTGAAAGGACAATTAACCCTCTCTATTGATACTGAAAAGATGGAAAGTAACCAATCTCAAATGGCTTATTCAACTACTTCCAATTCATACTTCAGCTAGGTAACTTAAGTTAGTTACCTCAATATCTAGGCTAATAGCAAACTTTCATTTATTTTCCATATACTTTATGGTAGGCATTTTTTCGGAGTGCCAGAGAATCCATGGCACTTATATTCACTCTATTTTTTCCAGGAGGTTTATTTTTCACTACACGGCAGAGAGGGGGCAGGGGAAAGGTCCTACTAACTTGCTCCTCATGAACTCTGAAATATCTACAGGGACAGATTAAAGGAGCACAAGAAATCTGGCACCAAAGAAACATTTGACTCAGACATTACAATATAAGATTTGTTATTCAATGAGACAATGTTATATTAAACATTATTTTGAACCCCTGTGGTTTGGCACTAGTGGCCTCATTTGGCCTCCATACTTATTTGGCACTAACTTGCTGAACACAGACACTTTCTTTCATCTTTCATTATTATGAACATTTACTGATCACGGTCAGAGTGTTGCCTGGCATAATACAAAGAGGTACAGACTGTCCCTGCCCAGGGGGCTTACCACATTAATGAAAAGGCAAGATGATACAGATTTATGGTGGGAATGTGAAGGGCTATTGGAGGAGAGTTCTGATATTCACTGTGTATCTCTACTATCTTCTGGAGGAAGGCTGGAGAGGGCTATCCTGAAGTTATACTGGAATGTTGGGAGGCAGATGGCAAAGATTATTTAAACCAAGAGAGCAAGAAGGAACAACACTGAGAAATGGGAACAAAAGATCAGTGGGGATAAAGGCCATGGGCTGGAGGAAAAGAAAAATTGTGGGAAAAATGTAAAGTGTATACTACTAAATCAATATATGAAGAATAGTATTTTGAAATATATAAAATGAATTTAAGAGAAAGAACTTAAGAGATTACTTTTAGCTTTATAGGATATAAAGTTTCCTTTATAGGATTCTTTACCTTGAAGAATAATTAAAGTGAACATGCCATTAACAAGAAGTAGGAAAAAGTGTCTATCACTCTGTTTAGCCATTCCAGAAGATATGAGAATATTCATCTATTTCTATATGCCAAGGAACACCTTCCAGATGGAATTCTTTGAATGTGACAATATTAAACCTATTCTCAACTCCCTTGATGCATATGTGACTTCCCTTGCTTTGCCTGAACATCACAATTCCAGTATCTTGGTAGTGTGGGCCCATTCACGTCCACCCTTCATGCTTTCCTGCCTTCTGCTGGGAGACTGCAGGCCTCATGAGGCATAACTGACTTCTATCTGCTTTAAGGCCATGTGCATCAAAGTAGTATTAAATGAATACCATCTAACGAAACAGGAAGTGGGGGAAACTAATGACTTCAGGTAAATAAACGCTCAGAGGAGGTGCTTACACACAAGAGTGTGAAATACCCGTAGTGTGCCTTGCTTTCAAGTGACATGGCAAAACACACCATGACTGAGTCCTTCCAACTTCACTGAGTGCTTTCTCTCAAGGACACAGCTGCCTCCCACAAAAGTGAGACTAACTTATCCTGAAGGGTCAAAGAACAATGTTTACTTCCTTCCTCAAACAAAGTGTTGTAAACCACTCCCAAACTAGCAACCCTCCCAGCAGTGAAACAAAGATATCATAACCCCAGTAAAAGGGAGGTTGGTTGAAAATAGATACAAAGGGGTATCTGGTTGAAACTCTGAAATAAACACGGTAAAGGTTTACTGCTCACATTCTAAGTGTTGGTTTGTATCTACCTGGAAATAAAACAAAAATTAAGAACTACGTGATTGAGGTAGTTAATGAGACCTCAGAGGATGTAATAATGGATTTCAAATTAAGGCTCAATTTCTGTGTTTTCTTTGGAGAATTTGTTTTATGTGGAAAACCCTAAAGGAGACTGATGTCACACATTGAGCTCAGGCCAAAATGTTTGCCAAGTGATGTCGCTGTCGTAATCAGTAAGCAATTGGCTTTCCCACTGAGGGTGGGTGGGGGCAGGGATCAGCTCAGGAAAGCCTGTTCCCAGGCATGTTAATGCAAAGTTTCCTTAGCTGTAATCTGTGCGGTTTGGTCTGTCCATATGGTAATATTCTATCCATGTTTCATGACAACGTTCACTGACCAGCTCCAACATGTGGATACGTGTGTCACCAATGACCTGAATTATGTACTTGGCTGAATTACAGGTGGAGTCTATGTAAAAGGTTTTTTACACAAAAGCAATGCCAATAATTTTTGGCCTTTCTGTGTGGCTTCACAGTACTTTTAGTCAATGTAATTTTGCAAAATTTTCCCATAAGTGAAATGCCAATTTTGTCTGTACTTTCAAAAAAGCTTGCATATTTTTTTTTCTTTTTCAGTTTCAATGGGGCAAAAGGCTCTGAAGAAAAAAAAGAGTTGCTTTTTTTTGAAACCATGCATTCTTTCTTAGAATTCTAAAACAAACTATGTATGCTATCCATATATGTTACTGCATTTCTGGTCTTGAAACAACAACTAAAGCAGGAAAGAAATATTGTTATGGCAGCTCTGTATAAAACTGTGGCTTCAACCATGGATTGTGTTAAAGCCTTAAATTACTTTTCATAAAATCTTGGCCTAGTAGGTTAGCACTGATAGTTCAGTTTTGTAAATCAGAAGTTCAAATGGTAGCTTCTCAAACACCACAAAGAAAGGAGTCAAGGTAGAATTAATCTCTTGTTCCTTTTCTGTCCAAGTTTGACTAGATAGAACAGTGGTGCAGAGGCCTTAGGGCCCTTTGGAGGAAAGTCACCAGGTGTCCAGCTTCAAGTGTTGTTGCCTTGACCACACCCTGGGAAGTTCTTTGCTGTTAAGTTTCAATGAAGAACAAAGCACTTCCACCTCTCCCTTTGGCTGAAACAACTTTATAAACAAGTATTTTCACCATCAATCCTTTTCTATTATGACAGGCCTATTTTTCCAGACTGCATCAGACAAGGTGACTAAAACACTGCTTGAGCCATATTTGACCCTACTGTTAACTGAGTAAATCAGACCACTTTTAAAGGCTTCTCTCAAAAACATCAAATTTTCTTTCTAGAGGATTTGGAAACCTCCTTGAAATACATACATGAATGAGTTAATTTATCTAATTTTTAGGTTAAACTCATTAGTTTGGAGCTAGTGCTACTTGCCATTCATTAACTGAAACAAAACAAAACAAAAACAATAATTGATTAAATATATATGTCTACTGCAAGCCAGGTCCCATACTAGATACTGGGCGAACAAGGTAGATGTGGTCCTCACCTATACAATCCTGAATATTTGTTCATTGTGTAAAACAAAGACACCACTGCAGGCTTTAAGACCTGATACTGATTCTTCTAAGGCATTATGAGTTCATGACGGGTAGAAAAAAAGGCACCACTATGGTAAACTAATGTAATAACATTAATGCTCATGAAGACAGAACATTCAGGAGAAATCAATAAACACATTAAACTAAAGTATTTTACTAGAGAATTCAATATCGTGCCATTAAGATTTTCAGTTTCTTTGGTCTTAAATCTCAGCTTTTAAGGGTATCCTACAAAGCAATACACAGTGGGTATAAAGCTTTAAAAAAATAAAGTCTACTTAAAAAAAATATTTTGAAAGCCAGCAGTTTTAAATTTCATACACACTAAACTATTGTTGTAGAATACATTGTACTCAAATGCAATCATTTCCTTTCAGTTTTTCTGGCAAGGAGCTATTTGTATTACATATTCTCAAGACTATGTCTTACAAGTATTGAAATGGATGCCAGATCTCCATTTGACCTTTGTCATGGGCATCTAGTTCTTTGACAGAACAAAATGGAGATCCACTGCAAACAAATATTTTGTTATTGTAATTCTATACAGAATTATGACATGATCAGCCTTGTGTTCATACATGCTGGACCTAACACAGGATCTGAAAAGGGATGCAGAGAGATTAATTACCTCATGTGGGTACTAAAAAACCATTTAGGACCGTCCATCATGACTTAACTTTCAACAGATGTCATAAAACCATACTCTTAAAACTGCACAATTCAGCGGTTTCCATACAATGCCTTTTAATTTCAGAGGTCAAAATTCAGATAGAGTGACAATGCTACCTGATTGCTTTTCCTTCCCAGAAATTTAGTTTTCTGAACTAAATTTTACAAATAATTTTGAATGTGTATTTGAACATACATGATAGTGAGTTTATTGCTTACAAAAGAATACTATGAATGCTAAAAAGAAAACATTAACAAGCCTAGTGAGGGATGAACCAGGAGCTTAGAGATAGTGGCAGTCTGGTCTGCAGACCTGATCTGCAGCTATGTATAACTTTTGGCAAATTCCATTCCTCAAATCTTTAGTTTTCTGGTATATAAAACAAGGGGCTGGGCGTGGTGGCTCACACCTGTAATCCTAGCACTTTGGGAAGCCAAGGCAGGGAGATAATGAGGTCAAGGGTTCGAGACCAGCCTGGCCAAAATGGTGAAACCCTGTCTCTACTAAAAATACAAAAATTAGCCGGGCGTGGTGCCGCGCGCCTGTAATCCCAGCTACTCAGGAGGCTGAGGCAGAAGGATCACTTGAACCCAAGAGGTGGAGGTTGCAGTGAGCCGAGATCACGCCACTGCACTCCAGCCTGGGCAACAGAGCAAGAATCTGTCTCAAAAAAAACAAAACAAAACAAAACAAAAAACAAACAAACAAGGGCAGGGCATATGATTATGATTTCTGTGTCTCTTTCACACCTAAAAATTTGTGATTATGTGATTGTCATGAACAAGTACCTTTTACCTCAAGCCTAGGATTCTAACTCCACTACCAAAAGAGGTCAGTGAGAATGACAGTGACTACCACCAACTTTAAATCCAAATCTGTACATCCATTCTTAAAGGACATCTAGATTTCGGTATACCCTACTGCTTCCACATATTTGAAACTTAACCTAATATCACCTTTGCACATCCAAGTCCACTCACAACTTTTTTATTCCTGTTAATACAACCACCATGAATCAATCTACCAGATAACTATAAAAAATTACAGAAATCTCAGAAGCCAAGAATTTAAGCTAGAAAAGACCTAGCAATCTAGACCAATGCTTTGATTTTTTGAATTGAGAAAAGTGAGGCCTCTCAAGCCCAAGATAAAAAAAAGTCACCAAATCTTCCAGCTAAATAGTTGCAGAGTCAGAGTAGAAGCCAGCTCTCCTGACAATATATTTGATGATATTCTAGAGAATATCCCTAGAATCATTCCTAGGTACTCAAACTATGTGCCTGGTGTTACGGGAGGTCCAAGATAAATTTTACACACAACTAAAATACAGGTGAAAAGACAAGGCACTCAAAATAATCTGTAGATAATTTAGGAAGAATGCAGGTGTTCATTCTGTGGCACAGACACCACTGTTGCAACACTGTGGAAGATCAGGCAAAAAGGAGATTAAACACAGTAATTATCCAACAGCCAGCACAGCCCTAGGAGAATGCAGGACATACAGTAAATACTCTATAATACATCTACTAACTAGCTGGTGGTTACTAGTTTAACAGCCCTATAAAACAGGTAGCCAAAAACTGAATGTGGAAAGGCAACCTCAAACTTCTGTTCCATTTGGACTAAAAAATATAAAGAGGAATAAGAGCCACTAAACCATATCAAAATAGAAATTTTTGCCTCATAAGTGAAAATCAAGGTGGGATATTAGAATTAAACTGTATCCTGAATTTGCAACTCATAGGTAAACTTTCCTGGCAAGTGTATTAATTCTTCAGATGAGAAGATGAAGCCAAACAGCTTTGGCCAGCCGTGAAGATGATGGCTGGCACAAGTGATGAGTGAGTATCACTGCACAGAAAGGCCTTATGGAAGAGCACAGGGTATCAGAGTTAAAAGCATAGACTCGAGTTAGAACAACAAACGTGGAGCATGGACCATGAAGCATGGTCCCATCCTCTCATCTGATCCTACTGGCTATTTGACCTTGGGCAAAGCATTTAATCTTGTTAAGTCTCCGATTCACCATCTGTTTAAAAAATGATAGAGATCTCATAGGTTCCTGTGATTACTAATTATATAATGCACAGCAAGTGCTAAGTAAGGTGTCTAGCACATAAAAAGCACTCAGTGACCATTAGCACTGTATTTGTCAGGGTCCTCCAGAGAAACAGAACGTGTGTGTGTGTGTGTGTGTGTGTGTGTGTGTGTGTGTGTGTGTGTGTATAAACCGTTATTATAAAGTGTTGGCTCACATGATCCTGAAGGCTGGGCAGTTGCATGAGCTGCTGTCTTCAAACTGGAGACCCAAGAAAGCCAGTCATGTAGCCGAAAGACCTGAAAGCTAGAAAATCAATGGTGTAGATTCTATTCCCAATCTAAAGCCCTAAGAATCAGGAGTGGCAAGGACAGAAGATTGATGTGCCAGTGCAATTAACCCAGGCAGTTAATTCAACCTGCCTTCAGCTTTCTGTTCCATTCTGGCTCTCAACAGATTGCAGGATGTCTACTCACACTGGGGAAGGCAGTCTACCAACTAAAATGCTAACCTCTTTGGAAACACTCTCACAGATACACCTCAAAATAATGTTTAACCAGCTATTCAGACATCCCATGGCCCAGTCAAGTTGACACATAAAATTAACCATTACACGTATCTTTCTTCAAATTTGCCTTTCTTCAAAGCAGTTTACTTATGTACTCTGCATGATACCAATAGGTATATTTTTGAGTTGCCAAGAAAGCATTTATGTAGACCCTATACTGGGTTCTAATAATGTGACAATTAATAAGAGTTTTCAAGTGGCATATTGTTTAGTATAGGGGAGACAGACATAACATCAATAAGTGCAATGCAAAGTTGCAGGCTAATGACAACAAAGGATACAGAGGAGGCAAAATAAGGGCTTATACTCAAGGCATGGTTGTATCCTATTTCCTTTAGTGTAGGAGAATTGCTGAATGTCCTAATGATCTAACACTGTATAACACTGAGCTGGGCAAGACAGTGCTCTGTGAACTTTTTTTTTTTTAAACCATTAAGACTCATTTCTTCTTTTTGGTAAATCACTCTACTTAGAGAAACAGAAATGTTAGTTTGGTGGTATTATGAAAAATGTAGCCTTCCAAATATGCGAAATCAAGACTGAACCAAAGTGAGGGTTTTTAAGTACATCCAAAGTCTCCAATGCTTCTCTGGCTTGCCACTGTCAAAAATCCTCACACTAATTGCATCTTCTTGTCTAAAGTTATTATGAAAAATCAAATATTCCCACTCTAAGGTAAGCGGGCTTACTTTTGATATATTTTGTTACACAGCCCCTTCCACAGGACCAAGAGTATGGGAGAGGTAAAATAAATATTTTTTTTGAATGAGTGAATGAAATGTAGGAAAAGTTGGCTACATTTTAATCTATTATTTTCCATTAATCTCTCATCATGAATTAGCTTCTGGATTCATTCCCTTCGGTTAGCATGGTCATGGGAGAATGGGATATAAGACAAGCCCATTTTGATGAGGAAAGCAGAATGAGCTTAAGAGCATTGGGACTATCCCCAAGAAGGCAGAATTAAGAGCATATGGTGCCCTTATCATGGAGCTAGAAGAAAAAAAATGATCCTAAAAGGGGATTTTAAGATTAAACACATCAGAGACATTAACTAATCACTAAAAACAACTCACTCAATTCATACATTGCAGTTTTTATATCCAATATTTTTTCACTAACAAAAACATCATGACCATTTTCCCAAATCACCAACTACTCTACATCACAATGAAAGTAGATGAATACTACTGTATCACACAGGTGCATCACAACTTATTTAGCAAATTCTCTGTTGTGGGCATTTATATTCCTCCTTTGTCACTAGTATAAAGAACTCTATCCTGAATGGCCTCACATTCCAATGAATTTTTATGCCTTTCTGATTATTGTTTTAGAATTCTTATATGTGAAATTGCTAAGTCAAAAGTTATGAACCTATTTAAGTTATAAAACCTATAGCTAAACTGCCTTCTGTAAAAGATATTTATACCATTACTAACAATGAAGAAGAGAACCAATTTCTTACTTTATAACTTTACCTGAGACTAGTCTTGAATCTGACCTCAATTTAAACATGATATGATGTTGTAAAGAGTATAAAGTGAATGTTAATGACATGAATCAGACTTTCCCACTGACTTGGGCTTTGTTTAGAGATGTGTTACTTCTGGAAAAAAAAATCTAACATATCAAAAACACACTTAAAGATTATAACATTTTATTGAAAGAGTATTTTCACCTTGTCAATATAATTTCAGTATATTTCCTTTTCCCTATCAAATTCAGGTTCTCATGGCCTAGCATCACTGGTCTTCCAAAAATAAAAAAACTTCCATTGCTCATTCTCTGAAATGTCTGAGGCTTCCTCCTTCATATATCCTATATCAAGTCTTAGAGTCCAAATCCAGGATCCTGGCTTACCTTTCTCACCACATGACATATTTGGCAACAGCTCACAACACTCAGTACTGGCCCTACATGGTCCTGAAAAGTCTGATTTGTTGAAAATAGTGGGATCTAAGGCCCACTTTGCCAAATTCCCTCTCTAATTTAAATTCAGTTAGTTTGGAGTGTTTGAGAATTCTTTATCAGTTTCCTATTTAACTCAATTTCTACTTGCCAATCCTCACTTCTTTAAATTTCCTCCCTACTTATCATACACATACACTCCATTTATTTCCATGAATTTCTCAGTAACACTCTGAAATATCCGAGATGCCTGACAAACTTGTAGCTTCAGAAGATGTTTCAGAAGAAACGCATTAGCAAGATTCATGAGACTGAATATGTGTTTTCTACGTTTTTTCTTTTCTTAAAAATAAGTAATTTCCAACTCACAGCTTTTTCACACTATATCTTGCATATATGCTTCAGGGTCACGCACATAGCCCTGCTCTCACTTCCTACTCCTCAAAGATAATCCACCATGAATAGTTTCTTGTATTTATCTTTAAAAAGATTATTACAAGCATATATCAGCAATTCATGAAGATCATACAATACTTTTTCTATTCTTTTTTTAAGTGGTTGCATATTATTCAATTTTATAGATGCAATTCATTTAGCCAGGCCACCTTATGAGCTTTAGATTGTATCCTTTTTATTTCCTATTAAACATTCTTTGGTTAATTGATTCTCAGTAACTTCAAATGCCTCTTACTTTCTACTTTCCTTTAGAAATAGGTTAATCACTGGTAACAGAGAGATACCACTTCATATCCACTACGATAACTTTAATCAAAAAGATAATAACAAGTATTGACAAGGATGTGAAACTGGAACCCTCATATGCTGCTGTGTAGTAATGTAAAATGGTGCATTGGAAAATAGTCTGTCAGTTCCTCAAAAAGTTAAGTGTAGAATTATTGCCTTAGTCCGCTGGGGCTGTGATGACAAAATACCAGAGATTGGGTGGCTTGTAAACAACAGAAATTTATTTCTCACAGTTCTGGAAGGTGGAAGTCAGAGATGAGGGTGCTAGAAGTATTCTGGTAAGGGCCCTCTTCTGGGTTGTAAACCGCTGTCGTCTCCTTGTTTCCTCACGTGGTGGAAAGTGGGTGAGAAAGTTCTTATGAGGGTCACTAATTCCATTCATGAATGCCCCTCTAACCTCAAAACCTAATTATCTCCCAAAGGCTCCACTTCCTAATACCATCACATTGGGAGTTATGATTTCAACATAAGAGTTTGGGGGGACACAAATATTCAGTCCATTGCAGTTACCATACAACTCAGCAATTCTACTCTTAGGTACACACCTAAGAAGATGAAAACACATGTCCACAAAAATCTGTACACAAATATTCACAGCAGCATTATTCATGATAGTCAAGAAGTGAAAACAACCCAAATGTCCATCAACTGAGGCATGGATAAACAAAACTGTGGTATATCCATGTAATGGAATACTACTTGTCAATTGAAAAGAAGCTCTGTGGGCCAGGTGCGGTGGCTCATGCCTGTAATGCCAGCACTTTGGGAGGCTGAGGCAGGTGGACTGCTTGAGCCCAGGAGTTTGAGACCAGCCTGGGCAACATGGCAAAACTTCATCTCTACAAAAAATACAAAATTTAGCTGGGTGTGCTGGCATGCACCTGCAGTCCCAGCTACCTGGGCGGCTGAGGTAGGAGGATCACCTGAGTCCAGGGAGGTCAAGGCTGCAGTAAGCCGAGATCACGCCATTATACTCCAGCCTGGGAAACAAAGCAAGACCCTGTCTCAAAAGAAAAACAGAAAAAAGAAGCAGCAGCCCTGTGCCCATTAAGCAGTGACACTACAGCCGCTAGAAACCACTGATCTCCTTTCTGTCTCTATGGTTTTGCCTATTCTGGGCATTTCACATAAATGGAATCATACAAGATGTAGCTATTTGTCCCTGTTTTCTTTCACTTAAAATAATGTTTTCAGGGTTCAGACATGTTGTAACATGTATCAGTATACTTCATTCCTTTTTATGGCTGAATAAAACCAAAAAGGTCAGTATGGATGTATAACTTGATTGATTTAAATGACCAACAAGATAGATATAAAACTATTGATGATAATGTAGATTTCTCATGAGATAAAGTTTCACTGTGTTCTTAACACTCTAAAAATTAAAACTTTTAATGTTATTAGGAAGCAAAGAATAAAGACTTGGAACTGAAAGCAAATGATTATTTGCTGGAAAAAAAAAGAGAGAACGAACATTTTGGTTATATGTGAAAAGAGAGAAAATGGGGGATATTTGTTATCCATTCTTTCATTTAACTTAACACTATGCTTGGAACTAGGAACTAGGAAAAAAAAATAATGAAGAAGACATGGATCCTGTCTTTGAGGCCCAGGTGGAAACATAAGTAGAATGAGTTAATTAATTGTGAGCTGTAACAGAGGCATGTACAAGAGTGCTCAAGGATCTGATTAGAAAGATGGATTAGCTCTGCAGGGAGCGAATGTGAAGGTTTCCCAGCAGGCAGCAATTAGCTTCAAGGCTGAGTAGACTTAGCAGGCAGAGAAATGCACTCACAGGTACATTAAAAAGATAAATTTATGGAGTTAAGCCTCGGGTGAGGATGAGTATTTTAGAGCCAGGGCATACAGACCCTGTATGCCACAACCTTGGATTTCCCCTTTATCCTGAGACCATGAGACATTCGTCATGCAGAAAAATCTCAACCCACCACTGGCAAGTTGTTAGAGAACCTAGAGTGTATACAGGCCTTGTGTTAAGTGTGTCTAGAGTCAAATTTGGAAACAACTTAACAATAATAATACTTATTATTTTGTTATAATAACATATAATATATATTATATAATATATAATAACAAAAACAACAACCAGAAAACTATTACGAGCAAAACACCCAAGAGAAATGGATTTCACATTATCCATTATTGTACAACTTCCTGATAAAAACTTACTTTACAGCCAAATAGGATTGAAGAAATACATTTCCATTTGGCTGAAGCAAATGGAAAAATAAATCTCATTTCATCCTAAATCCCAGAAAGGGAGATGTGGGTGTGTAATGCGCTACCTAATCCCTTTGCCTAGCCTAAAATTGGCTAATTACAGCAACATGTGAATGAACAAACGGCAATGAGATATAACCAACTGGAAAAGAGAAAGAAACAGGAGCGTCTATTTATTTCAACTGTAACCTGAGCTCTGCCAAGAAGACAGGCCAGTCTCCATCTCTTCATCCTTGAAAAGGGTTGCTCAGCTAACCTTACTTAGAGAATATAACTGCCTTTGGCCATTGTTTGAGTTTGGGCCCAAGTTTCTTGGGCAACATTAAAAAAAATAACACTAGTTATGTGTTGATGCTTCCATCTATAAAATGGGCATAAATATTCTAGTTATCTACTTTCTTGCATGAGGGTTCTGAGAAGAGTATGGGTAACTATTTGGGCAAAGAATTTGAGATCTATAGGCCAAAGGGAAAATATAAACCCCATAAAATGTTTATTTACATATGGAGATAATAGTTAGAATTATAGCGTATTACTTTTTTTCAGCCTAAGGGCTAAAACATAATACTCCCCAGGTTACCTACAAAAATTGTTTCCTTGGAAAGTGGTAAGGGGTACTGGATATAACAACATGCATCTGCCACTTCACCTAGCACCTAACAACTGTGAAGACATGTGTTTGTTTACTTTAAAAGCTCTCAGTGATAGGAAGATTTATTAAAGAAATGAAACATTTCACCTCTAAAAGCTCACAGAACCCTGTTTTTGTTACATTAGTCTTGCCAGGAGAATTCTGAATGTGTTTGCATTCTATCAGTCGACAGTGTGAGTCAGTGTGTCCCAAACCAGTTTTCTAACCAGAAAGCTGAGAAGTTTGATGACACATTTAGGTAAACATACTCACTGGATGAAGTTATTTAAATTTTTATAGCCTTTTAATCCTCTCTAAGCCTTTGAAATCCATACAGGTTTTTAGACAAGATTTAAGTTCTTGTAAGTCAAAGAATAGAAATTACGTATAAACCAACTCTATTAAGAATTTCACAGGTTCTGGACATCTAAGAATACCTAATATTATACTTGAAAGTGCAATGAGGGTGAGCTGACCCCACACTGAAGCCCTTCACTGTTAAGTAATCAGCCTTATTCTTAAACAAAATTTCAGCTCTGAATACACATTTTGCCCCGAGAACTGAAATTTCTCACTCATTTTGGTCAGATGACAACAGCTCTTGTTGACAATGATAAATGAACTCTGAATATGAAGGGTTCACTCAAGTGAAAGAACAGGAAAGGGGTTGCAGACTGTGACTTTCATCACCTACTCTCCATGCAATTTCAGAATTCAATAGGCAGTTGAATGGAAATGGAATAAAAATGTGGCAAAATATACACTGAGGTTATCTAAATTAACTATAACTGATAGCAACTTTAAGTTATTATGAGTTAAATAAAATTAGCAGTGTGATGGACTTTTTTCATCTGTATGATGAAAAACATGACACACTTGATACCCTATTATTAGCAGTATTATTATTTCTTTATGCAAAGATTTTTCAAGTAAATCTACTCATTCTCTTACTCTAGAGAGTTTCTGCTTCACCTAAAAGAAATCTTGCCCTTGCCATGAATGATTATGTCTGCAGGAAAATTTGACTTTTCATTATTCACAAATTTGTTAACAAGTAACTATTGTACAAGGGGTGGCTCTAACTCCTTTTGATACCATGACTCCACCCACACCCCAGACCCCCTCACCTGACCCAAGGCTTCCACATCATTCCTACATGGATATATATGAAACATACACAAGCACATGGTACAGTGTATACACACAATCAAAATTCAATTTATTTTGCAGGTAGCACCACCAAACCCTAGCTCAGAGTACCTCTGCTCCATTTTCTGTTTGGTATTGGATCAGACAGAAAATTAATTTTATGAGAAGAGGCCAGAACTTGAAACAGGTGTCTCCCTGCATGTCTTTCACCCATAGCCTCAACTTGAAGCTCCTAAATTATGACACTTTAGCCATCTACTTGTTCAAGAAATGCTGCACTAGAACATTTGGTTCTTACATTTTCCAGGTAAGCATTCCTTTGATGGCCTGTGCACACACACATGCACACACAAAGGTTCTCCAATAATTTTTTTAAGTATAGAGTTGTTAACTGGTAAATTATTCACAAAGAGTAAATGGGGTCAGAGTAATCTCACACAGAATTTTAACTAAATCCCTGAAGCTAATTAAGATTCCCATTAAAAGAAAGAACACACACACACACACAATAGGAATTTTTTTTTGTAGATGGTAGATTCTATTTTGTATATTCTATACAAAAAATACAAAGAAAGGTCTCTTGTAAATAACTTGATAATTAGTGATAATAACAATTACATTTAATTAAATATTTACTGTCAAACACTGTGCTAAGCACAGTAGATTATCTCATTTAATCCTCCTAACAACCTTTTAAAGGAGGTAATATTATTGTCCACATAATATTCAGATAATCACCCTGAAGAAGCTCAAAGACAGTAACTTTCCCAAGATCACACTGCTAGTAACTGGAGAGGAGAATTAGGCCTCAAGGACTCTCATATCTGAGCTCTTAACACTTCTTTGCCAGTGGTTCCCAAACCTAAGTGATCATCATTATTGCCTGGGGAGACACTTAAAAGTATAGATTCCTGGGCCCAACCCCAAACATACTGAATGAGAATCTCCAACAGTGGAACTTGCAGATAGGAACATAATGGTATTTCAAATATGGTTCAAATGTTCTTTTAAGATGCCAAGAGAACACGAGTGAAGCCAGTTGTCACATAGTTGTCTAAGTCAAATCATCTGCCTTCAATAGAAAATAGCATCTCTTTTTCCACATATACCTCTTCTCACTTTATAATAGAAAGGTCTTATTTGCTAAAAGGTCAAATTAGGTAATGGACATACTATGTCAGCAATTTGTACTGACATATCCAGCTGCATGGGCTATGTTATGGAAGATGAAAGTGATACAGCACAGAAATTCTGCTGATTCAGAACTGCCGAGTTAGAACTTCACTGACAGAGAAGACACAAAAACAATTGGACAGTTTAAAAATCCTTGGCCATGCTCATTGCATGACCAGATCAATATTTACAAATATTCAATACACAGTTTCAGTACCTGAAAAATTTACTTATCATCTAGTTCATTTATTCATTCATTTCAAAATGCTTACTGAGTTCCTTCCATGTGCCAGGCACTGGATCACACATATGGCCCTTGCCCTCAGGAGGAGAAAAGCATTCAGGTGGTGGAAAAAGAGGTGATCACTGATTAGGGGATCAGGAATGGCTTGATCTCCTAATGGATCCAGATAGCATTAGCGTTGCACATTAAAAGACAGACATAGTTCAGACAAGGAGAAAAAGAGAAGGGAACACAAAAATCATTATAGGTGGACTTAATAGCATAAGGGAAGGGGATTAGGGCAAAAAGAGCAATCAAATTCAGGAAAAAGCAAGGAATATGGTTTGGCTTAAGTACACATAATGTGAAAAAACAGTGGAAGCTATGGGTGCAATGTTATGTTCAGCAAAGAGCTGCAGATGTCAAAATAAAGGGGTACGCCAGGTGCGTTGGCTCACGTCTGTAATCCCAGCACTTTGGGAGGCCGAGGCGGGTGGATCATGAGGTCAGGAGATCAAGACCATCCTGGCTAACATGGTGAAACCCTGTCTCTACTAAAAATACAAAAAATTAGTTGGGCGTGGTGGTGGGCGCCTGTAGTCCCAGCTGTTGGGGAGGCTGAGGCAGGAGAATGGCATGAACCCGGGAGGTGGAGCTTGCAGTGAGCTGAGATTGCGCCACTGCACTCCAGCCTGGGCAACAGAGTGAGACTCTGTCTCAAAAAAAATAAAAAAGAAAATTAAAAGGGTAATAGGTAGTTAAGATAACTATTCCACACCATTCCATCAGCACTATGATAACGTGACAAAGTATTAAGAGTACAAGAAGCTGAAGATCTGAGTTGAAGGGCTGCTTCCAGTATATGCTAACCAACTCTGTGTATTTGTTGAAGTCTAAATAACAGTAAGAGTCCCAAAAATATGTTTATTTAGGTTTAAATATACTCTAATTATTCAAACAAGTTTTAAATTATCTAAACATTATTTAAATAAACTTAAATATTATTTAAATAAACTTAAAAGTCGTTCTGCTCCATGAAACCATTCAGAGTTGTCTTCATCCACATGATCAATACTGAAACTCTACCATATCTCTGTTATAGGGCATGGTAGGGAGTTAGGGCATGGGTGGGGAAAATGGCAAAATACATGAAAAGTGTCTTGCTTTCAAGTTAGGGATGACCATCTCTTCTACTTATAGTTCAATGATCCAATCCAAACTCACATAGCCACTTCTCAGTACTGGAAAAGCTAGAAATGTCTGGTTGGGCAGCCATATACCCAGGAAGAGGGGGACAATTAAAGTTTTGAGGAAAACTCAGTCTGCCACAATCTTAGTGCAAACCACTTAACCTTTCTGTGTTTCAGTTTTATCTTCATGACCTTGAAGAAGTTAAAAATTTCTTGAAAAGAACATAAAGTCACCAATCATAAAAGGTTAAAAAAGTAAGACTTTATTGAAATAAATAAGTTATGTTAATCAAAATACAACAACAGGATGAAAAGGCAAGTTACAGATTGGGAGAAGATATTTGCTTATGTATAACCAACAAAAGACTCACATACAGAATATATGAACAACTCCTATAAACCAATAATTTAATAAAAAATAAGACTGACAACCCAATATAAAAGAAACAGACTTGAAGGGGCCTTAAAGAGAATATGCAAATAAGCATGTGAAAGGGAGTTTCAACATTATAAATCATCAGGGAAATACAAATTAAATTTACAACGAGGGAGTACTACAGCCCTACCAGAAAGGCTAATATTTATTTACTTATTTAGAGACAAGGTCTTGGCCCTGTCACCCAGGGTGGATGGAGTACAGTGGTGCGATCTCCGCTCACTGCAACCTCTGCCTCCTGGGCTCAAGCGATCCTCCCACCTCAGCCCCCGCAGGTAGCTGGGACCACAGGCATGCACCACCATGCCCAGCTAATGTTTGTATTTTTTGTAGAGACAGGGTTTCTCCATGTTTTCTAGGCTGGCCTTGAACTTCTAAGTTCAAGTGATCTGCCTGCCTCAGCCTCCCAAACTGCTGGGACTACAAGCATGAGCCACTGCGCCTGGCCAGAAAGGCTAAATAAAAAGATATTACCAAATGTTAAAGAAGTGAAGCAACTAGAGTTTGCATACATTTCTGATGGCAATGTAAATTCCATTTATATGAAGTTGCATTTCCATTAATATGAGAGTCCACATGCATGCAGTCCAAAACAGACAGAATTAATCTACAGTAATAGACATCAAATGGTGGCAACCTCTCAGTAAGAAAGTGGATATCAACTGGAATGTGCCACAAAGGAGGCTAGTGGCAGAGTTGGAAATATTCTATAACTTAATCTGGATAGAGACTATATAGTACACACATATGTAAAAGTGTATCAATCTGTATGCTTAATATTTGTGCACATTTAGTAAAAATAAATTATACCTCAATAAACGAGAAAAATGGAGAAATAATGATTATGCTATAAGATGTAAAATGGAGTATGTTACATGTTCTAAAGATGCAAGACATACAAAGACTAGACCAGCAATTGCTGTGGGCCCTGATGACAAGAAGATTAGTCCTAGTAAGAGCAATTAGAAGACTGGTAGAGGACAAGAGAGTTTGGCTTTGGAATCCTGTGGTTGAGGAACTGGTGAGATATCTAGGAGTAAGTGCACACATGGGACTAGATGGAACTCAGGCCAGCAGTGGTGAAGGTAAAAATTTGGGAGTTTCAGCACAGAAGGGAAGTTGAAACAGTAGTAGATGATAGTCCCAGGGGAGAAATACTGTGGAAAGCAAAGAGTTGGCCTGTCCTGGCAAATGCCTACATTCAAAGGGGGATAAGCTATCTAGGAAGGTAGACAAGAAGCAGTCTATGAAACAGAAAGAGAACTTGGAAAGACCAGTGGGAGTCACCAGGCAGTCAACTATGTTAACTGGCATGGAGCAGTGGCAGAGGATGAAGTCAGAGTGAAGGCTTTTGGATCTGAGGATGCCACCAATGACCTCTGAGAGAACAATTTCTTCAGAATGGTAGACACTGAAACCTGACTTCAAGGACCCAAAGAAGGTGGTGAGGATGTAGACGTAAAGAGTGTAATAATACTCCTTCAAGAGGTTTGCCAAGGACTGGTAGGAAAGAGAGAGGCTGGTCACTTGTAGAAACAGTGAAATTAGGGGGAAAAGCCAACTGAGATTGAAGATTCTAGAGCAAAAGAGGATGGATAGAACGAAGTCTCGCAGAAGAGAAGTGGGTGTGGGAGGCAAGAAGGAGGTAGTTGCTACAGTGATAATGGGGTAAAATTAGCATGAATCTAAAATTGACTGGAAGGCAATAAGCAGCCATAAAGAAAAGTAAAAACAAACAAACAAAAAAACAAAAAAAAGAGAAAAGTAAGGAAACCTCAAGGCTTACTATGTTTGAAATAAAAAGATGTCAAAATAACAAGAATTAATGTTTGGAAGGCTCTTTGACCTCATTTTAATGGAATATCCTATTCTAAAGAAGCATAGTAAATATATTTTTAAAAAGCTCTATTTTAATTTGATAATTCAAAAATGCTAGGGCTGAAAACACTGCCTTCATAGAAACCAAATAAATTTTTGCCAGGCAGATTCTACTACTGAAAATGGTTACAAATACTTGATTGGATAGCAATGTTTTCTCTCCCTACTGAAAGATCTCTTCCAAGATTAGGAACAAAAATACTAGCAAATGATGAAAATAAAATAAGCACATTCTAATGGTGAAACAATCTGGCCTATGGCCCTTATAGACCTTTGTTTATTGTAATGAAAGCCATACACTTATCATTAAGAGCAATAATAACAAAAACATTCATCACACTCACTATTGCCAGAAATGTAAAGTGCTTGTCTGAAAATTGGGCAGCTTAAACCAGGTAAGCAGATTTTAAGGTCCAATCAGATTCTGAAATAGGAGTGTTTGCTTAGAAAAACAAGATGCATATCTCAACAGTTACTCTTCCTGGCCAGAGATCTTGCTTAACTCAATTAGCTTGGGCTTGTTTCTATTACTTGAAGCCATATTTTTCTATTACCAAATGAAGAGTTTTTTATTTAGGACAAATGAGTACCATTAAATGAAGCAGCAGGGGACGACAGCTCTATTATTTCTTATTTCTGCCTCAGAAATAAGAAAAGAGCATTGTGTAGTTTTCTATATGAAGCATCTTAGTAAAAAAAGACACACTTTTTTGGGGGCCACGTCACTGATCCAACCAGCCCAGGGTCCCAGTTTCTCATGGTAGCTACAAGGATGTTGTGTAGGGTCCTGTTAAGATGCAAGCTTAAAAAATGAATTACTCCTAACAGCCAATTTTTGGAATCATCCATAAATCTATCAAAATTCTTCTAAACCTACTTTTTTTTTGGTCCACCTAACCCATATGGAAAATTCTTTAAAACATGCATACATGGCCGGGCGCGGTGGCTCACGCCTGTAATCCCAGCACTTTGGGAGGCCGAGGCAGGTGGATCACGAGGTCAGGGGTTCGAGACCAGCCTGACCAACATGGTGAAACCCCGTCTCTACTAAAAATACAAAAATTAGCTGGGTGTGGTGGCAGGCGCCTGTAATCCCAGCTACTCAGGAGGCTGAGGCAGGAGAATTGCTTGAACCCGGGAGGCGGAGGTTGCAGTGAGCTGAGATCACGCCACTGCACTCCAGCCTGGGTGACAGAGCGAGATTCCGTCTCAAAAAAAAAAACATGCATATGTGTATACATATACACACATGTATGAATACACACAGATTTATGACGTGCCAGCTACTGTTTTAAGTGCTTCTCTCTTAAACTTTAATCCTCATAACAACCCTATGAGAGAGTTACTATTATAAGCAGCATTTTGCAGATGAAGAAACTGAGGCCTGAGATGATAAATAAGGTACCTAGGGACACAAAAGTATAAATGGGCAGGAAAGGAATTAAACCCAGAAGTTTGACCATTTGTTTATATCCTTAATCATGAAACCTCAGATTCTAACAGTTCTAGGTTTAGGTGAACAGGAGTATTTGTCCTGCCACACTGCTTATGATTTTATAGATTTTAGTTGCTTTAAATAAATCACTTTCATAGATTTTTTTCCTCTTTAATCTATCAATTTATCATCTAAATTTCAGACTATCTTCACATGGAAGTTACCCCATTACCATTCTGTCTGTGTAACCTCCAAATTCTGTTAAACCTTTTCCATGACAGGCAACTAGAATAGTAGAAAGCATAACATGGATATGCCTGATTTTTAATAAAAAATAAGATCACACTATTGATTTAGTGTGAATCTCTTCCTGACAAGCATTTTGTTGACTTGTTAATCTTTTTGGTTGTCCAGTGTCTACTGGTAACAATGGACTATAATCCAAGGTTTCTTCCCTGGATCAAAACTATAGTTTTCAGATATAGTTTGAATTACTACCCTTCACACCATTTCCTCAGAATGAGCTGACAGCTAGATACCCTTATATATCAAGATAACTTCCTATTACCATGCCATAGAATCAGAAGGTATTTCATTTTCACTACCTTTTTTCATGTCCTCCCATGGAAATGCATCTGAGAAACTGCTTCTTGTAAAACATGAGCAAATGAGAATGAGTTGAATATCTGTTCAATTCAGTTCAATTCAACAGATATCTATTCAGCACTGACTCTTTCCCAGGTGCTGGGTGTAATAGAAACTGTTATGAGTAACCTCATACTTTTGGTTGTCAAGAGACCATGCCCCCAAATTCCTACTCAAAAAAATGTCACATGGTACTAAGAATGTCTCGAATACTAAGAGTCAGTTACACTAATTTTATTGTCCTCCACAAATGTCTAATATAACATCATGAATATTTCTATTACTTAGGAGGTCAGTGAAAGCAAGCCAATCATTTAAATATTTTGTCTCTAAAAAATAAAACATAGTTGGCTTAACACTGATTCTTGTAAGACCTCATATATTACTGGCAGATTATAGGAAATTAATGAAAAAAACACTCTGTGTTTTGTTTTGTTTATTGGCATCATTATCAGCAACACATATTTTGTGTACCTACTACACAAAAAACATTATGCTGAGCTCTACTAGGGACAAGGCAGGTGGTACCACTCACAAAAAAATCAAATGTATAAATCTTAAAAATGTGTGTGTATGTGTGTGTGTTGAGACTCTTCCTAACCTAGCTGGAATCTGTGCTATTTATCAACAAGATAATGCAGAGAAAAATACCTTACCCATTACTTACATCCCGTCCAGAGTTAATAAAGGAAAAATCACTTGGCTGAGAGTAGAGTTACACAACTTGATTATGCAAAGAGACTGAACTTTGACTATTTAGCTTTAGAATACACATCGCTGATATTTAAGCAGTGTAAACTATGTAATATTATTGTCAGCACAAATCATAGGCCTTGATGTACAGTGAGCTTTCCCGACGAACATCTGGCTAATAGCCAAGCAAAAGTACATAATTTGAAACACTCAATCAGTTTCATTCTGAGGCATTTTGTTCAGTGTTTAATAGCTTCTCCAGGGACAGGAAAATTACAAAAGTGCATTGTTTTGACATGAGCTAAAATGAGTCATCGCTTGTCACTACATTTTTGAGGATTTGGCATTAATCTTCTGAGACAACAAACCATAAACATTAGAAATAAATATCAATTTTCCTAAACAGTTTAGTAAAGGGAGACTACTCTTCTCATTGGAGCAATTAAGTTGGCATCTCTAAAGGAAGGTACTATCCTATTTCAACGTGTAGCCATTTTGTTTTTCTAAACAACACTTTCCTGAAGATTTGTAATGACCATCTAAGACCCAATCCTTAAAGCAATACTAAAGCTTACTTGATTTGTATTAAATAACAAGTTAAAAGAATGTTGTATACAGTTTAATCCTTTGGTAAATTCCACACCAAATGTTATCCAGTATTTCCACCCAGTATTCCCTGCCTGCCTTCATAATTATCAATAAGAAGCAAAGCAAACTGGCTTGAGTTTCAACTCCTGGATTCTCCAGGGTCCAGATCCTACTACCATCATGCCCCTTCCCCTCAGGCATACTCTAGGGCCTAGGCCAATTTCATTTTCCTTTAGATCAGTGCTTCTAACACTTTGCTACATGTAAGAATCACCAGAGAAGCTTTTAAAAAACCTGATAACCGGGGCACATCAATTAGGTCAGAATCTCTGAGGCTGAAACAGCAACTGTGCTAAAAGCTCACACCAGGTAGTTCCAACGTGCAGCTCAGTTTGAGTATCAGCACTTAAGACTTGCGTGGAAAAGAAGAAAGAGGGAAGATTACACAATGATCAGCCCATTTGGTACTTTATGGAAGTTCTGATGAATATTAAGTGTGTGAAGAAATGGTTGGAACAAATAACTTTTATGAAATTACACCTTAGTTATAACATAGGGCTAAAGGTATGGCATTTGGGGCCAAACTTCCTTGGTTTGAAATCTTGTCTATGGCCATACCACCCTGAACGCACTCTATCTCATCTGAAATCTGGTTATTTATGACCTCTTAGAGACTCAGTTTCTTCATCTATTCAATGGGGATAACCCTTATAGGGCTGCTGTAAAGATTAAATGAATTAATTTATATCAATATAAAGGGTTAAAAATAGTGTTTAACATACAAGAAGCACCAGGTATGTGTTAGTTGTTATTAATATCCTCATCATCACCATCTTTGTTTTTTGCACCTCATCAATGTAGATGAGTTGAATATTCTGTCTCAAACTCAAGGAGGTTGAGTGGTTTTGACTTCCATCCTGTAGTCATAAATTTTACTAATGATATCACCATTATATATAATATTTTTAATTTTTAAATTAATTCATCCAATACATATTTACTGAATACCTGCTATGTGTGAAACACTGTTCTAGATATGTATTACATACTAACTTTTCAAATCGCTTTCACATACATTTATATTTATTTCATCCTAAAGTCCTGACAAGTTGGTTCTGACCTCAGAATTATACGATTTCAAAGATCCAGTAGAACCAGAACACCGTATTTAGCACCTTAGGAATGTACTAGTAACAGCTAACTAGTTAAGCCCTACTCTAAGCACTTAAAGTTTGTAACTCATTTAAATATAACAACCCTATGAGGAAGGTACTCTCACCATTCCCATTTTACAGATGAGAAAACGGTGGCACAGAGAAGTTATGCAATTCAACATGCAAACCCAGGGAGTCTGGTTCATCACCCTGGGAGTTAATGTGCATTAAGAAAAGATGCCCTGAAGGTGGACCATAATGGAATCACAATCAAGGAGGTGGGAGTCCAAAGCATCTATCATAACAATTTCAGGAACAGTGTACTTTATGTCAGATTCCTAGTACTTTGTCCTAGAAATAGTTTGCTGAAGAATGCAATAGGGGTTAGGAAACTGCTAGAAAAAAGCAACAACAGCAATCACAACAGCTACCATTTAGATCTCACAAAAAAACTAAATCCTTTATATACAATAACTTGTTTAGTTGTGTCATTAATATAATTCATGGAAAACTTTGTAAAAAGATTTAGGTAGAATAATTTCCAATATGATCTTAAAATATGAGATTTCCATTTTTAACTCTAGTGCATTAGTTATGCTCATTAAGGCTAAAGGAATGCATCATAATAAGAAATGACCAAAACACCCATAAAGTGTAATAACTTGGTATTGGAAACCAAAAATCTGCTTTTGAAAATTATAACCAAGTGTCCTGTTCAAAATAAAACTGAGCAGACTCTTTATATGATGCAAAATAAAGATCAACGAACATCAGAAACTACATTCTTTTAAAAGATATTTTTAGATAAAAAGAAATGAGTTCCCAGTTTAAGTCTCTAAATAAATGCACACATAAAATCTCCATCTAATATAATCAAAGCACATTCACTGTAGCTGTCTTTGAGGTCCTAATAAGGAGGAATAACCACATTTTTTTTTCAGTATGTGTGTTCCAGCCTTCTCAGGTGATGAAACTAGCAACAGAAATTTGATTGGTATTAATAAGTATCTAATAAGAGAGTAGTTTGAAATAAAGCTAAACTTCGATTAGAGCTTCAGAGTCAGTGTTCATGCAATATACCTCATTCAATTGTACCTTCTTCTGGTATTCATATGTAATAGTTCAAGCCTTATTAAAACAAAGCAAAAACAAAACTGCTAGGATGATGTGAAAAATGCACTTTTTTTTTTTTTTTTTTTTTAGATGGAGTCTAGCTCTGCTGCCGAGGCTGGAGTGCAATGGCATGATCTTGGCTCACTGCAATCTCTGCCTCCTGGGTTCAAGTGATTCTCCTGCCTCAGCATTCCAAGTAGCTGGGATTACAGGCACCCGCCATCATGCCCAGCTAGTTTTTGTATTTTTGTAGAGACAGAGTTTCACCATGTTGGCCAGGCTAGTCTTGAACCCCTGACCTCAGGTGATCCACCCACCTCGGCCTCCCAAAGTGCTGGGATAACAGGCATGAGCCAACGCGCTTGACTTGCACATATATTTTTAATGTGTGAGTGGGTGCATGTCATAATTCCAGATGGAAATTTGTCACCACAAAACATAATTTTTATTTAGCTGATCTTTCCAGGTTTCTATTTATAATGGAATGAAAAGATGAAGTTGGGCTTATGAATCAAGACAAACACAGGCCCTGGTCATTGTGTAATTCCATATAGTATAATTTGTTTGCAATCTTTCATTCCATACACCTACAATACAGCTCTAAAAATAATGCTACCTACAATATAAAGATATACTTTTTTTCCAAATAACCTTCAAAAATGTCAAAATATGCAACAAAAATATTGTATCATATCTAAACCCTCAAATAAGCTACATTTAAACCAAGCCTGCCTGCTTTTGAAAGTTTCCTTGAGAGTCTAATAACTTAGATAAGCCTATTTAAAAATAAATACATTCTGACGACTAACTGGAGAAAAAAAAACCAATGTGAGAAAATTAAATGTAACATTGGTATGAGGAATCAGAATTGGAGGTAGGATATCTTTTCTTAATAGAGTTGGTTCTCAATTATTCATGGTGACGAGAAACATGGAAAACTTCATTTAACTATGAACACTGGACATATTCGTGGTCATTTGTTTTACCACATATATTTCAGCAGAAAGCTTTGACACACTATAGGAGATTCTCTGTAGTGGAGTTCTCTTACAGAATCCCTCTATGATCACCATCATCCATCCTGGACATCCCCATCTGGTCAAGGTAAAATATGAGATAGTGGTATGACAAAAAATATAATAAACTAACCAGCTCAGAACCTCATTGCTTCCCAAATCTCAAAAACACAATTTTGGTTTTCTACTTTCAGTATTCTGGATTTCTCCTCAAATACACGATACCCCAGCACTCCATCATAAGGCATCCCATTGTCTTGGCAATAATATTAAGCCTTAGAGAATATAGACTACTCAAGATCTAAAAAAATAACTAGTAAAGAAAATTCAAAATTTGGTGTCAGGCAAATGAACACAAATTAGTTGAGGTATATAATGGCAAACTTTCACTTGTTTTTCTTAGCTTTGTTTTGAGCTGTATTTACTGTCAAAGGTATAGAACAAGTAAGCCAACTTTTTTTTTTTTTGAGACAAAGTCTAGCTCTTGTCCCCCAGGCTGGAGTGCAATGGTGCAATCTCGGCTCCCTGCAACCTCCTCCCGCGGAGGCCTCCTGGGTTCGAGCGATTCTCCTGCCCCAGTCTCCCAAGTAGCTGGGATTACAGGTGTGCACCACAACACCCGGTTAATTTTTGTATTTTTAGTAGAGATTGGGTTTCACTATGTTGGCTAGGCTGGTCTCGAACTTCTGGCCTCAAGTGATCTGCCCACCTCTGCCTCCCAAAATGCTGGGATTACAGGCGTGAGCCACCATGCTTGGCCAAAAGTTGACAATATTCTTAATCACAATCATTTCTATGCAAAGAAAGAAAAAAAAATTTGTTCTGAGAAACAAATCATTCTCTCTAGCACTTTTCTCCAATTGGCCATAATTAAATTTTGCGACTGAAAATACATTTTCTATTTATTAGCCATGTATGACAGGTGAGTGGAAATGGACTTCAGCACCCGTTGTATACACTGATTTGTTATGAAAATTATTTTTTCAAAGAAAATCACTGTGCTTTCAATTTATTAGTAGGCAACATTGCTTATGAATATATTGTGGAACAAAAACCGTTAAACCCTAGTCCTCTGGAACCTTATAGAATCTCAAAACTCTACTGAACAAAGGTTCGGTTGCTATGGCAACAAATGAATCAACACTATCATTGTAGAATTATAATTTAAATGAAGAGCACTCCAGAAGATAGTAATTTGGTGCCTGTTCCTTTGTTCTTAGCCCATCAAAATAGTTGTTGTTAACTACTTCCTCTCTTTTTGTTCTTACTACTTTAATAAAGGGTCCTATTTCCTGACTACGTTCTCTTTTGGGAACCTTTCTCTCAAAGGACTCTGTATGAAGCCTCAGTAGCTTAAGGTGACTACCATTCATGAAAAAAACCAAAATCCCCAAAGCCTAGAAAATATATACACTTCACACACAGAAATGCTGTACTAATGGGGCATGCAGACTGTTTAAAATGAAACAGCCTCTCTCTAGAAAAGCATACCAATTATGTGGCTAACATTAGGGCAACAAATTTTCCCTTGCCTTCCTTTTGCATATGCCTGTCATTTTCCTCCTATAGTTTCCATTCACTGTTTCAAACATATGTTGCCACTTATTTGCCAGGAAAGGAATCTCTGACCTACTCCCTTTATGTATCATGAAATAGCAGACGGAATGGAGCCAGTGAGAGCACCATTAGCAGTTATTCACACTTCTGTTTTCCCTTAACTTCCTTTTTTTTTTCTAAAAGTTTATTCCACATATGTGAAGAAGGATGTGTAATCACAAAGACATCCATGACTCATGCTTTATAATATGGAACCGTGGCAGTTCCCTGCAGAAGCAAATGGTTCCCTCCTCCAGTGAGCCACATGTCTCCTCTACAAAAAGACTATCTTTACAGCTTAGAGCTTGACCAAACATAGATGATGGGTTCCTTTGTCCAGCCCTGACCAAACATCAACATTGTTTTCTTTTCTAGCAATCACTGCTAGAGTTTAGCCAACATTTAACCAGTCTTTTAAGGAGGCACCTATTCTATGGGTGAAGGCTGCTAGGGTATTGTCCTGAGTCAACAGAAAACTTGATGGAGAGTAGTTAAAAGGAAGAGGTTTTCCATCAAAGATGAAGGAGATTAAGGAAGACAACATGTGGAAGTGTGGTATTACATGTACAGTGATAAGAAATGAATGTTTATTTCGATCTGCACTGATTATCCCCTTTTGGTATACGAAAACCAATCTATAGGTTAAAAAAAATTACCATGGGTTCATAGTTATGCTATTGTGAACTAAGTTCCCTAAACTATATCTAGCAAACACCACCAGGAACTTGGCCTCTTCTGCAAAAGGAGATCAGCCAAAAAATAAGCTCTTGCCCATGAGCGGAAGGAAATACAGTACCTTGAATAAGCCACAAATATTACCATTCATATGTTATGGGATACATAGTAAAAAAAAAAAAAAAAAAGTCCTGCTGACTGAAAGCTCACTAAATATATGAGACCAACTGCAAAGCTAGTTGGATTATGATTCATTCTTTAAAGAGGGATGTTTTCAGCTTTTCCAGCAGTGAACATGGGTGACTGCAAGTTGCCTAAAAGAACATGCTATCATGCTTGAACCTGAGACAGCTAAGAATAAAATATAGTTAAGTTTAACCATCCTGGCCACTATATATATATAAGCATTCTCTGGGTTATGAACACCTGAGTTGTGAACATTCTCTCTATATAAAAAGCCAGCCTACACCCTGTTCGAAGGATGGCACCTGGAGGGCAAGAGTATTTCCAGAGCTACTTTTCTTCAGGTTAGTTGGCCTGAGGCTGCCATGGATGTGACAGGGAGGTATTCACCTGGAATCCAAAGTGGGAACCTGGAACACATTTGTTAATTAAATATCATGTTTCGTGTAACACATAGGGTCCCAGCTAGTCCACAAAAAGCTAGCTGACCTAAATATAGCTTGAACTCTATACGTTTGCAAGAATATTGTTCTCTACTCCGTACTGTAATAATAGGAGTACATATAAACCTTGTGAATTATGCTATTATTGTGCTACAAAATCACCATACTATCACAGTTACCTAAATGGAGTTTTCAGCTTTATTATGGGTTGAGTAAGCTTCCTTGTGCTAGTCTGGGAATCAACTCCATAATTAATAATATCGTTTTTATGAGGAAATATCTTGAAACAGTCTTTCTGCAAGATAGTAAACTTCCTACATTTAAAAAATTAAAGTATTCACTTTCCTCCTTGCTGTAAGAAAGCAAATTGCCCTAAGATCTAAATTCAGAGTAAATTCAGCATTATCCTACATTTCTTCCATGAGCAAAAGAAATAATAAGCAACACAGACTTTAGAAGTATCAAAAAACCAACCCAAAACAAAAAGGTGACAACTAAAAGTGGAAACAAGAAAATAGCACACCAGCACACAAAGCTAATGGGGCCAGTGAATCCACCTCTGGCCAGACCTGGCACCAGACTAGCTCCTGTTAGGCACCCACAACAGATGAACAAATGGGGCAGATCTTCACCTGAACTCCTAAGTGCCACCTTCTCTTACACCTTTTCAGATACAGATCTTCTCCCTTAGCACTGAAAGAGTATTTTATTTATGTATCTTATGCAATCTACTTAGTTTTTAACCATCCTATCTCCTTTTCTATTAATACCTCTCCAACCAACTCCTAGCTGTAATTGTCTTAAAGCAGGAGATTTGTCTTACTTTCTGCAATATCACAAAAAAACTTTGAGTATCATAGCAGAGAGGAAAGAAAATTTACTGAAGCTATTATATGCTGGTTCTATGTTAACTGGCCTTCCTCCTCCAAAATGTATCTCACTTAACATAGCAGGTCCTTAATAAATGAATACTGAATATCTTGACACCCAGCTTCAAAAAGAAGAAAACTGTAGAGCAACTCACAGAAATATTTGTGGATTTGGCAAAGGGGGAGCCAGATTTTTTACCTTCAAAACGTCTTGGGTTGGGGTGGAGGGAAGTAAAACCTAAAGATATTTTTAAGTATCTCTATATTTGATAAAGGGATGCTGGCAAACAAAAATCATTCTCAATCAGCATGAAACTATTTCTGCTCATCACAGAAAAATAAATTATCTGTAGAGTATAAATGATTTGAGATTAAAGCAATTGAAGATTACTTTAAAATAGCTAACTTTAAAGGAATTAGCTATCTGCTTTTGTCAAACAAATGATGTAATTCTTAGATACCTACATGATAGTAAAAAGATCCATAAAACCTCATACCTTAAAAAACCAAAATCTAGTCTTAGATTGAGAAGACTTCAAATTCTATAAAATGAACAATAATATTTGTTACTGTTACTAAATGCCTATTAAAAAATGTCTAGATGCCGGCTGGGCGAGGTGGCTCAAGCCTGTAATCCCAGCACTTTGGGAGGCCGAGACAGGCGGATCACGAGGTCAGGAGATCGAGACCATTCTGGCTAATACAGTGAAACCCCGTCTCCACTAAAAATACAAAAAATTAGCCGGGCGTGGTGGCAGGCGCCTGTAGTCCCAGCTACTCAGGAGGCTGAGACAGGAGAATGGCGTGAACCCGGGAGGCGGAGGTTGCAGTGAGCCGAGATTGCGCCACTGCACTCCAGCCTGGGCAACAGAGTGAGACTCTATCTCAAAAAAAAAAAAAAAAAAAAAGTCTAGATGCCAATTTTGTTACTGGAAATAGAGATACCTGAAAGCAGAAAGGTGTCTTCTAAAAATCCCCAGATTTCTTCCCAGTAACACTTGAGAGAACAGACACACAGAGCATCATGCTTGCATCTTAGCAAGGCATTGCCACTCCTCCTCCAGTCACTGTCCTGATCACTTCTAATTCAGCTCTGTTTTGGGGGATCAGCACCAACAGGGGCCTCATCTTCTTTGTGAAGAAAAATACAGGCCAATAGTACGCTTAGAATTTATGTAAAAGATAACTTAGAATAATCCATTAAGCCCACATGATCGACATGAACTTGACCTATGTTTAGATCAAGGATAAAATCTGATTGATTTATAAGCTAGTTATGTCATTCTCTTTCCCTTTGGCAGTTCCAGACAATAAGGCATAAGGGCAAGCCTTTGAGGGTGGGTGAGATGGAGTAAGGAATTGGGGGAGAGTTATGGGAAAGGCTTACTGGCTCCTAAAGAGACACCAGAAGAGATGGCACCTTCTCCACCTCTGGGTGTTGCAGGTTTGGATGAGATGCCTGGAACTACTGAGGTCATCTTGCTACCAGTGTGACAATGAAGCCATCAAAGGGAAGAGATCAAAGCCACAAGAACCAGGGAGTCAGAGGCAACATGCTATGTCTAGAACCTGCCACAAGGCTGGATTTTTTGTTGTGTGGTGACATATTTCACTATTGTTTGAGCCAATGGGAGTTCAGGTTTTTGGATGATTACAGCTGGACACTTCCTAGACAAAGTATAATTTTTTGGTTACTCACATTCTAGACCACTTGGAGAAGCCAGGGCACTATTTTCATGACAGTTCTCAGTGAAGGTCAATAGTTTAAAGTTGCCATATCCTGGGAATTCTTCAAAGATGTGAAGCCCTCACATTACATGGTTCTCCATACAAAATTGGAGACTTGCCTAGTGCACTATGAAAAACTTCTTAATTCAAGATGCAGTTCTCAAAGTGGCATCATTCACATAAGAACAGTTTCCCTTTGAAGCATCTGGAATGAGACTCCAGTGATATTCTATTTCTCACAGAGGTTTGGTAAAAGCATAGCAGAAGCTCTTAGACCATCCCTCTTTACATCAGGCTCTGACTAATGTGTTTGCCTGAACTAAGAAGTAACAACTGTGAAAAAATCAGAAAAATTATTATATTGTATTTAATATAAATTTAACTAATAAGTGTTAGTGAATCATAGCTATTCTAGATAGCCGACTGATTCTTCTATTAATATGTAGACCTAAGAATGACTAGAACTTAAAAAGTGTAGTTTTGTTAATAGTTGGACCTTATCTTGGACACAATGTTTATACAATTAGGCAACTGAAAAATCACTGGTGGCTTATTAGTAAGCTGAGCAATGAATGGAAATGCTGTGATGTAAATCTGTACTGGGTTAAGCTAAAACTCCATTTCTTAATTTGAAATATTTCCTTTTAGACATAGTTTTCAGGCTGATTTTCGGTATGAGATTATTATTGTTCTAATGTCCATTGCTGATGGTGAAATGGATTAGCTACCCTAACCTAGTGTCTCACCAACAAAACAAAACAAACAAAAAAAACCCAAAAAATCCAACACATATTAAAAAGCAAAATAAAATATATACAATATTTCAAAAAATACATCTATAAGATGGCAAGTAATATTAGGAATATTCAAGGCCAAAGACTGAATAAAAGTGAAAACCTAGAAAGGTAAAGCAAAGCACAAAAGCTGGTTTTTGCTTTGAGAATGTTTTGTTAAACTCCATAAACTTAAATTTTAGTTTTCATGACATCATAGGGCATGTAGACAGAGTACAAAGCCCAGGGTCCTCCCAGCCCCACATAAAGCTGAGATTTCAAAGAGCTAAACTGTCAGAATGCCCAGATGGAAGTACCCACATTACCCAGACGAAAGGGTAATTTAGAAACAAAATCAACCTCTAAAGGACTGCAAGGAAAACTGCTTTCCATGAACTATGGCATTGGGAGTTAGAGGGAAAATAAACTCCACTGAGAAGGTATACTAACAAGCTAGCCCACACGAGAATTTGCAGATTCATACTAACTGGGTGGTCTGAAAAAAAAACAAAAACAAAACAAAAGAAAAAAATCCCAAAGATCCTAGGTCAAAAAATTCAGTTTAAAAAGATTTTAGGCTGAAAATACCCCTTTGGCATTTGGCACAAATGGAAATCCTCTCTAGAGGAAACTACCTTCAACTCAGGGCTCAAGGAATTCCTACATATAAAATTCTGAGATACGTGACTTCATATAAAAAAATCTGAAAGCATACAGAAAATAATATACAATTATTGAAAGCCAGTGACATTAAATGGCAGAATCAGAGCTGCAAAGACCTCAGATATTTAAATAATCAGACAGCATGTAAGACATACTTAATATGTCAGAAAAAAAAAAACAGCGGATTGGTATTTCTAGTTTAAAAAGTAAAAGACTATAGAAAATGGTCAAACTAGAAAAACAAATAGAAACTTTGGGAAATGAAATAGGTAACAACTGTAGATCAAGGAATGAGAATTAGTAAACTGGAAGAAAAATTCAAAGAAATTGCACAGAATATAGTCTGGAAAGCCAAACAGATGGAATAACTGAAGAGTAGTTAAGGGATGTGAAGATAAAGAAAGTCTAACATGTGTCTAATCTAGGTTATAAGAGATTAAGGAGAGAAAAAACTGTTCAGAAGCCATATTTGAAATGTTAATATAAACTAAGAATTTTCTAGAACTGAAGAAAGACACTAATCTACAGACTCAGGAAGCTCAATGAAACCTGGTAAGGACAAAATAAAAGAAATCTGCATTTAAGTACATACAAATGAAATAGTATAATATCAAAGACAAAGGGAAGATCATAAAAACAGCCAGGGAAAAAAGGAATGACAATTAGATAGATGATTTTTCAACAGTAAAATGGGAAACCAGAAGTTGGTGGAATAATATCTTCAATGTACTGACAGAAAACAAGTCTCAACCAAGCATTCTATACCCAGTAAAAATCCTCAAGAACGATGGTGAAATAAAGACAGATTCAAATAAATACAGTGTGCAAAGAGCAGACTTCCACTAAAGGAACTTCAAAAGGATGCATTTAGATTGAAGGAAAGTGGTCCCAGAGAGAAGTCTGGAATAAAAGAAGAAATAAGAGGCGAAGAAAGTGTTAAATATATTGGTATATCTAAACCAATAATTGCCTAATAGAACAATAATAGATTATAATGTCCTATGGAATTAAAGTTAGAACTAAAATATATAATAACAATAATATAAAAACTGGGAGGGTATGCTCAGAATTAAAAGTGTTTTGAAGTCCTTAGATTTTTTTGGAGGAGGATTAATATACTGAGTAGCTTTAGACTTTTGAGAATTTAACTTGTGAGATGGAATTTATAGGGTCATTAATCCCTAATAGAATAGGAATACAGTATGTATTACAAGGTAGAGAGAGAGAGGAAATAGATAAAAATAAAATTCAGAAGAAGCCAAGAAATGAGATAAAAGCAACAAAAAGGTGGTACAAATGGAATTATCAAATAAGACAGCAAATAATTACTATAAACATAGACAAAATGATCCTGCTAAAAGATAAAAATTGTAAAACTGGATTAAAGCAATTTTAACAATTATAATTCCTAGCTATACGTTATTTATATGAGACTCACCAGAACATAAGGGTATGGTAAAGCTGAAAGTAAAAGGTCAGAAAAGACATTAGTAACTACTAATTAAAAGAAAGATTATATAGCTATGTTAATATCAAACAAAATGAACTTAAAGTTAAAAACATCTATAAAGGGTTATTATATAATATGAAGAGATTCCATTTCCTAGGAACAGTTTGAATTTGTGTGCATCTAAAAATATGTAAAGCAAGAATTGCCAGAAACACAAGGACAAACTAATCCATCATCACAGTGGGAGAGTACAGCACATCCTTGTTAGTTATTAATAAACCAAGCAGATAAAAATCAGTAAGGTTACAGAAGATCTTAACAACACAATTAACAAGCTTTATTTATATACAGAAAACTGTTAAGTTTCATGAAACATAAATTATCTTCAAGCAGATAGAGAACCTGAACAAAAAGTAACCATGTAGTGAGGCCATGAAACAAACCTTAATGTCAAAGGATAGATAACATACTGATCAAATTCTCTGAATATAATGTAATCAATGACAAAAAAGATGCTCTTCCTCTACCTAAAAATATGTTTATAAAAATTAAGAAGCACAATTCTAAACAACTAAGTAAAGAGATGAAAGCCCAATAAGATCATGGAGAGAAAAGAGACAAGCTAAAGTTCTTAGCAGAGTTATTTTTTTGCAAGGAAATTTATGAAACATCAAAATGAATCAACAAAGATGGTTATAGAATTTCTTTTGCTGGAAGAGAGAAAAATGAAGATAAAGTGTTCATATCTCTACAAAAAGCAGTCTAAGAAGATTCTTTTCTCTACTTTACCTTCCACAGCCAGTATATAAAATTGTTGATAGGTTAAGCAGTTAGGAGGGTGTACCTAAAACATAAAGAGCCTCTCTCTATTTTCAGTGATGGATCAAACAGGCACCTCTACAAAACCAACCAACGAACCAACTCATTAATATTCAGGGGTGCTTTTGTTTTGTTTTGTTTTGTTTGTTGTAGCCTGGGAGATCTTTACCCAGCCACCAACTTTTCTCTGGGAAGAACCTTTGGTAAATCATAATTACTTATCAAGTAAATGGCTCAAAAACCATTCTCTAGCAGTCACTTTTTTTTTTTAAGCTATGGAGTCTCACTCTGTTGCCCAGGCTGAAGTGCAGTGGCATGATCATGGCTCACTGTAGCCTCAACCTTCCAGGTTCAAGTGATCCTCCCACCTCAGCCTCCCAAGTAGCAACAGGTGCACAACATAATGCCTGGCCCTCTGACAGCTATTCTAATATTTAATAAGTTCAAAATAAAGTCTCCTATTTAATTACAACTTCATAGACCCATTTTATTTTTATTCTCAGAGCAGACATTTAAAATTTTTCAATAGATGCTGCTCCACATCACCAATTGTCCGAAGATAGTACCTAAGAGAAGTATTAATATACAACAGGAGGCCAGGCACAGTGGCTCATGCCTGTAATCCCAGTACTTTGGGAGGCCAAGGTGGATGGATTGCTTGAACCTTCCCAGGAGTTCAAGATGAGCCTGGGCAACATGGCAAAACCCCATCTTTATGGAAAAAAAAAATTAGCCAGGTGTGGTGGTGCACACCTGTAGTCCCAGCTACTTGGGAGGCTGAGGTGGGAGTAGGGAGTATGAATTGAGCCCAAGAGGTCGAGGCTGCAGTGACCCGTGATTGTGCCACTGCACTCCAGCCTGGGTGACAGAATGAGGCCCTATCTCAATATCTACATCATATCCATATCTATATTATATGTATATCTGGGTATTCCCAGTTCCATTTCATATAAATATATTGTACTTATATAAGAAATTGAAAAAGAATTTTCTAACAATGCCATGATTCATTTAAAACTGCTTTCAACATGTTATTCAACTGCTCAAAAGCTGCTGATGGCACCCGACTGTCTGTAACATGAAGTTAAAACCCAGAACCCACTACTTAAATTTTAAGACCTATTCGTAGCCTGGATCCATCTTATGTGACCTCTCAGTCATGGCTGTGATAGCCACCACATGCACAATTGCCTGCAGAGGCCCAGCTCTGCTCCATGAGAGCCAACCAATGACTATAGTAAATCCAGGGTTCCTTTGTTCCACCATTCTCCTTCCTGGAATGCCTTACTCACCCTTCAAGGTCCAGATGAACTTTAACTTCTGATGAAGATCTACCAGATATTTCTAAGCCTGATACTTTTTTTTTTTTTGAGATGGAGTTTTGCTGTTGTTGCCCAGACTGGAGTGCAATGGCTCAATCTCGGCTAACCGCGACCTCCTCCTCCTGGGTTCAAGTGATTCTCCTGTTAGCCTCTCGAGTAGCTGGGATTACAGGCACGCCACCATGCCCGGCTAATTTTGTATTTTTAGTAGAGATGGGGTTTCTCCATGTTGGTCAGGCTGGTCTCAAACTCCCAATCTCAGGTGATCCACCCACCTCAGCCTCTCAAAGTGCTGGGATTACAGGCATGAGCCACCACACCCGGCCAGTACTTTTTTTTTTTTTTTGAGATGGAGTCTCCCTCTGCTGCCCAGGCTGGAGTGCAGTTGCATGATCTTGGCTCACTACAACCTCTGCCTCCCAGGTTCAAGCGATTCTCCTGCCTCAGCCTCCTGAGTAGCTGGGATTACAGGTGTCCACCACCATGCCTGGCTAATTTTTGTATTTTTGGTAGATACTGGTTTCTAGTAGGGATGGGTTTCACCATGTTGGCCAAGCTGGTCTCGAACTCCTAACCTCAAGTGATCTGCCTACCTCAGCTTCCCAAAGTGCTGGGATTACAGGCATGAGCCACCACGCTGGCCACCTAACTGATATTTTTAAAATATTCTTACTTCACCCAACTCAATATCTTAATTTAATGTTAATTTTTTTTTGGGCCTTTGTTCATTTGTTTGTTCTATCTACCCCCCCAAAATCTGGGCAGGAATGTGCTGTACACCAAACTTGTCCAAGCCGTGGTCCATGGGTTGCAAGTGACCCAGGACAGCTTTGAATGTAGCCCAACACAAATTCATAAACTTTCTTAAAACATGAGATTTTTTTTTTCCGATTTTTTTTTTTCTCATCAGGTATCATTAGTGTTAAGTGTATTTTATGTATGGTACAAGAGATTTCTTCTTCCAGTGTGGCCCAGGGAAGCCAAAAGATTGGACATCCCTGCTTTACACTCATTCCCCTCTCACCAGGAACTCAGCATAGTGATAACATCCCTGCTTTACACTCATTCCCCTCTCACCAGGAACTCAGCATAGTGATAAACACACAGAAGGTATTCAACAAATAGTTGCTGAATACCTCTTAAAAGAATACAGTAGGACTCTTCTATATCTATAAATCATCTCTCACTCACGTCCATGTGCACGTGTGCACACATAGAGTGTTCTGTTTGAATATTCCACCTTCCTTGATATAGAAAGGAAAGTGTAATACCTCTTTTATCCACTCAATTCCTTTACAGTGAACAAACATTATCAACAAAGGTGGATTTTTAGTCAGAAATATCCTCATGCACAAAGAGTGCTACTAGTTGTTGGAGGCTACCATGACTCGCTGAAAAGATACTGCATACAGCCTTTGGGAAATAGATTCCCCATTCTAGATTTACAGAGTTGAGCTGTATTGTTCTTCATTTCTTGTTGTTGTAGTAGTTGGTAAATGTACACAAAAGCCTTCAAGTCTCTGTGTGTACATGTGTGTGTTTGTGTGTGTGTCTTTTGGGCAGAGAGGAGGGAAGAAGAAGGGAGAAAGATATCTGTTCCACAAAGTTTCAACACATAGTAGCCACAAATAGATGACAGAGATATATAGACAAATATTGTTTTTAACTAAAAGTCAGTCAGCCACCTTTCAGAGGTCAAGTGAGCCCTAAGCCACTTTTACATTTTGAGTCTACTGATGTATTTTTAAAAAGGAAATGAAGAAGTATCAAAGTAAGTTTATGAACTTGTGCTAAATTTTAAATCCTTGAGTTTAACAAAGAAATTTTATTTTTTGCCAAAAAAGGGCACGACAATAAAATGTAATTGGGCTAGTCATAATTATAACTCTAAGGGGCATAGTCTAGTAATGGGACAAATTAGCAATAATAAGATAAGTTTGTACTTCTATAAATCTTAGAATGCATCAGCATTTGAAGATAAATCTCAGAGTCAAAGTGGAAGTCACTGAGAGTCAACACCAGGTCCCCATGAAATAGCCCTACAAGCATCCAATACAAATAAGTAGGCTGAAAGAGTCTCTTTGGTATTACTAGGGCAATAATAGCCTCAATGGTAACTGAAGGCTGCTTCTGTGTGTTTCCAAACTCAGCTGGAACAGTTTCCATTAGAATTGATTATGTTCAAAAAGAAATCAGCACTATTTTAACTTATGTTTTGTCAAGAAGTGACTGAGCCTATAGTTGACTGCTGAAAGGAAACTCTGCTCCTGCAGTTTTTTCCCTCAAGTCCACAGGCTGTCAGAACAGTATCGTAGCACAATTTTCCCCACTTGCATGGTTAAATACCACCCCAAAGAAGAAATTTCCTTAGCAAATAATATTTGTGGTCAAGGAAGTAAAGAAACCTGATTAAATGAAGGAAAAAAATAGTTTCTGGACACAGGCCTTATCAGTATTCAGCTGCTTCAAAAGTACAAGAACCAAAATCTATACCTGTAAACAGCATTCCATGGTATCCTGTATACACATTTGCCTCAATGGTTAAATTGTACAAAAATGAACTGAAAGCTAACAGTCAATAGGCAATAGCTGGGAGTAGTTCGCACATGATTGTTATCTCTTTCTTCTGCTGAATTCAAAGCACTTCCTTTCATTCATTTCCTCGTTCTTTAGGTTTGCAGAATGCTCACTTTGTGCAGGGTATTGTGCTGGTCCTCCTACAGAATCCCATAAAGTGGGAAGGAAGTTTGAGACATCAGAGACAGCAGGTAGGCAGAGTGACTGACAGACAGTAGGCTCTTAATAAATAACAGCAATTCCTTTCCCTTCCCTTTCCACTCCCTGGAACTTCTTTATAGAGGTTCCATATTTGAGCTATGAAACTTAAATCAATGTCATAATCTAACAAGATAACAGATTCAGAAATCAGCAATACATGAAAATAGTTTAAAACATGGTGTGGTAGGATTTTAAGTGATCTTTTCCATGTACTTTCTATTATTGTTGTTCTAACACTGATAGCACCATAAATAAAAAGGGAGAGAAGACAAGGAGAAAGAAGGGGAAAAAGGACAGAGAGAGGATATTATATGAAGCAGAAACATTTTAGAATTCTTCAGTAAAAAAGCACTCCATTCTGGCTTGAGCTTTTCCCATATGCATATCCCTGAACAGGCTACTGCACAGCCTGGGTCTTAGTTCCATGAACTATAAGGGCTGCTAACTAGATAATCTCCAAGATCCATTCTCACTCTCCTAGCCCATAGTTCAAGTCCAATGAACTAAATAGCAGATGAGAGAAGTACAAAGTTCTGTAACTCTCTGTTAGTACTGTTTACCCCCTAAATCCAAATCTTACTACAAAACACTGAGTGTGATTTTCCCCAGAAGTTGCTGGAGTCAGTATGCAGTTCAAACTCTGGTGCCATCATTCCCTAGCTCTGTGATCTTAGACAAATTACCTAACCTCTCTGTTCCTCAGTTATCTATCCCATAGGGTTATTATGTGGATTAAAGTTGTTACTATTTGTAAAGCGTGTAGTGTCTGACATCAATTAAACATTAAATGTGTCACCTATTATTGTTTTTGTTATTATTATAACAATGAAGTCATACAAACAAAACCAGTATAGAAGTGATTATCCTAGATTATCACAGAAGCAGTACATGATGACAACATTTGGGTGTGCAGTTGTTCATTAGAAGACTGATGATCAGTAAGCTCTTTGACTCAACAGTGTGATATGGTTGTCTAAAATGGTAAGAAAATCTGTTTATACAACACCCCCCAGCCAACACACACATTCACATAGCCTATAAAAGGGGAGGATAACTCTGATAATGCTGAAATAATCATGATGAAATAATCTGTTCATTCTAAGCACCAACCTTTTGGACACAGGGTGTGAAAAGACTAAAATGATATAATATAGGAATAACTGAAGACTCAAGACAAACTTTTCAAATATTTAAAAGACTTTTATGTCAAAGCAACGCATTTATTCAACATGGTGTCATGGAAAGATGAAGAACAATGAGTGGAAGTTAGAAGCAGCCAGTTCTCAGTTTGGAATGGAATGGACTTGCTGGGGAAGTAAAAAATCTCTGGAGCTGTTCGGCACTGATTAATAACAACTAGACTGTGCATGTACCAATTCTTAGATAAAACACTGAAGTTTTGAGAGATAATTCAATCTAAGCGTAGACACAAGACTTTTGACATATCTTCCAAACCTGCATTTTATGATGTAGACTGGATGCTTAGTGACATAAATTATAATAGAATTTCTCATGTACAGAACCCCCAATTGGCAAGCATGCAAGATAATGGTGTTACATGATAACACAGAAATTTATATTAAAAGTTCAGACATCTCCATTAGGGTTTTGACATGTGGCCAATCTTAGTGGCCTGAGATGATAAGCAGCAATCTATAAATCTCCAATTTAAAACAAATGCAACAAAAGAAAACATTTCTAATCCATAAAGTAGACAACTAGCTCATTAATGTTCCAAATTAGTTTTGCAGTTAGTATAAGCTAGGTAAATTACTCAATTATTAATTGGGATTTCAGATACTAATCACACTGTTTGTGCCATTTTTTCATGTTTCCCAAAAGAAACATTCAGTCCCAGAAAACACAGTGACTGGGTCACCAATTTACTGTGTGACCTTGGGGCAAGTCCCTTAACCTCTCTGAGCTCCAGTTATCTCATCTATTTAAAAATGGGAACAGAGAGTGGCAATAAGAAGATCAGATGTTTTCTAAGGCCTCTTATACCCTAAAATATGATTTTATGAAAGGATCATTCTTCTTAATAAAACTCTAAGCACACCTTTTACTCTTAATTTGTTCATTTTTCTCAGTGAATACATTTCCAGCCATTATATGAGGAAGTGGAAGATTTAGTCTTACCACCACCACTGACTGCTTATATGAGACAGTTTTATTTTGTCCTTCTAGAGTCTGGAAGAAGTTGCCAGACAAAAGGAAAGGATTTTACAATTAGAAGCCACCTTCATATCAAGCAATTAACTACATAAATAATGGACAAAGCAGAATTTGGAACCGAAAGGGACGTTTTAAAATGTAATTTTCATAAAAATAATCTTAGAAGAAATAGTTTTACTCTTATTTTTTTACTTCCTGGATGCTTTATTTTCTCAGGCTTTCTAGGACCATTTCAATGAGTCTTGAAGTTTATAATTAAAATTTATGCTCAGGAATTGCTCTATTTGAGTTCCAAAGATAAAAGAAAACATATAAATCCAATTTACCTAACTGTTCTACTCTTAGTTGGTCAACTATTCCAAAGACATCCTAAACTATTCCAATGACTTCAAACTAACAAAACTTGTTCAATTGTACTTTGAATCCACAGGTCTTTCTCTGCAAATACTTACCCTGAAATCAAGCTCCACATCTACATGGGAAAATCTGTCAGTGGTTTCTTTAAAAATGTATTACTTAAAAAAGAAATGGGTCAGTCACGGTGGCTCACGCCTATAATCCCAGCACTTTGGAAGGCCGAGGCGGGCAGATCACCTGAAGTCAGGAGTTCGAGACCAGCCTGGCCAACATGGTGAAACCCCGTCTTTACTAAAAATACAAAAATTAGCCAGGCGTGGTAGCACACATGTATAATCCCAGCTACTAGGGAGGCTGAGGCAGGAGAACTGTCTGAACCCAGGAGTCGGAGGTTGCAGTGAGCCGAGCTTGCACTACTGCACTCCAATCTGGGCAACAGAGTGAGACTGTGTCTCAAAAAAAAAAAAAGAGAGAGAGAGATGGGCTACAAATTATATGACAAGGTCCCTTTAAAAAATGGACTGAACAAAGCACTGAGAACAATCTGTACTGGCAAGGGACAGGGAAGATGACCTAATAGGTCTTTTCCGTCTCTAATTTCTGTGATTTGGGGGTTTTTTTTCACTTCTGCAGTAATACTTGTGAGTTCAACATTTTCTCAAAACTATTATTAGTTACCAAGGAAACACAAAATGTTTGTAGGAATAAATAAGCAAATGGACTGGACCTAAGTAACAGACTTTTCCTGCTTCCCATTTAATAATCTTACAGTGGCGTCACATTACCAATTCTTCATTCTTTCTAAGTCATTCTACTTACCTACTAGTATGCTCACTAGAGTCCATAGCCAACTTATGGCATCCCCTGTAAACCAAGGGTAGGAAGTCTCTTACCAACAGATGATTCCTTATTAAATAGACTTCCTTGCTTTGTTTGATGAGGAACAAGACCGTGGCAATGTTAGGGGGCCAACAGGCAGTAGTTGGCTTTGTGACCACCAATGCTAGGGAGAATATGTAAACATGCGCTTTTAAATAGCCCAATGTCTACAGAAAAGCCACTAACATGATTCAGAAATATATAATAAAGGCAAAAAGAAACATAATATACATACACATATACATACACATACAGGGTCCATCCACACTACGAAAATGATGCTTTATAAATGCTTAGAAAAAGACTAAAAGAAACACAGTACATTGAATTGTTAATAGTTGGCAGTATTCATGTGGTAGGACTACATGTAAAATTTTTTACTTTTATGCATTTTCCAAATTATGAAGGGTGCCTATTAATTTTAAAATAAAAAAAATTTTAAATTAATTTTAAAACAAAAAAATTTTAAATTAATTTTAAAACCACAAAATATCATCATTTTAATGTTTTAATAACAAAGGACTTCCCATTCCCTAGCATCACATGGACACTACTACTGTAATCACTTCTCAAGGTACATATGTCACTGTTCTAGAGTCATAGTCAGCTGAAGTATGAGCAGAATAATTGGAAGCCTTCTGGAAACTCTGCGGACCATATATAGGCCTGGGACCAGAGATTCAGGCTACAGATAAAAGTAAAGAGGGTCTATATATATAGACCTGCAGTTCATATATATATTCAGTTACTGCAGTTTATATGTATATTAAGGTCTGCTGGTTAAAGGCTCTTTTAAGTACAGTTTAAGTGCGGAGATATGGTATATTTCATGTGGGTATCTACATGTACAGAGCCAGACAGGTGGCACCCAAAGAACTGAAAGAAGAGTGAAAGAAGAGTGAAGAAATGAGGTTGATTAGAAAAATGATTGTCTAGGGCATGGAGAGAAGGTTCTTTTACCACAGACATCCCCTTTGGCTCCACATTCACAGTTGCCTACAGGTCCCTTCAGCCTTCGTCCTAAGTTGTGTAGCAGCAGAGGAGAAGGGATCGGAGAGTAGAAGCACAGGATCGGATCCATGGCAAGGTTATCCAGTGCTCAGTGGCAAAGCTGCTTTGCAAGAAGGCTGTGGGTAAGGTGGTAGAAGGTAGCGTGGGGTGCAATAAACACCGAAAGCTCATATTCTGGCCAATCCAACTGTAGTCTGAAGCAATGCAGGACCATGGAACTATACCTCTCCCTATGCAATCCTGGGTCTGTTCCCACTCTGTTCAGCTTCTTATACAGGACCAGGTCCATAAGACCAGGTCTTATACAGGTCTTGCTGTTTTTCTTTGTACATGACAGTGTTTCCATATATACTATCTCACAGAGGCAAAGAAGCAAACATGTCATATACAAAGTTAGCATTACCATCTCATAGCTCAAAGCAGAGCTCCTAGGGAGCAGAGCGTACCAACTGCTTAAATGACCAAAGGACCAGCAATGAAAATTTTGGGTAGCTGCAAGAAACATCCTATTAATTACTGCTTCTTTGGCACTTACTATACTTGGATGACTGAAAGACATGACCAGTCAAAAGAAGAAACAAAGGCAGGGAGAGAAGACATGAAAGAAAATAAGAGCAGTTACTTCAAAAAGAGGAACTGGCTTGATGTGATTAGCAGTATATTAATGGTATTTTTTAAAAGTTAAATAATGATGATGTTGTAATTATGGTCAGTAGCAACTGACTTCACTAATAACACCTGTTAATGTGGTCATTGTCATGGCCTCCTGACAATTAGCTCGAACCAGGGAAACTGGTGATATTAAGCTGTCTTTGACATAATATAATATGGCTAAATCTAGTTGGTATCTCCTTGTTTCTTGCCTTGTTACCTACAAACCCCTTCTCCCGCATTAGAAAGCAATGAACTTGGTAGAAAAATTTCTTTGTATCATTTCTAAATAACAGTTTAAAGCTAGTGCTGATTTAGATCATAAACTCAGATTACTAATTGTAGAAAGGACCTTGGTGTCTAGGTATGCTTATTTGTAGTAAATTCCTGATTAAAAAATGAAAAGAAAGTCACAAAAGTAATTGGACAGAACAAGGTTAGGAAGTAAAACTCTCTCATCCAATTTTGAGGCACAGTGATCATAACTCTACTATTTTCACAAATGAAACCAAGAGAATTTCACAAATGAAGAAAATTTCAGAAACCAAGAGAATAAAAATTACATCTCAGAAAGAATTTTGGTTGAAAGAGGGAAGGAAATAAAAGTCTACTCATCTACTTATGTGGCCAATGGCGCACAATGCCAACAGCTGGTTGGAGTTTGCAATACACCACCCAGGGTACTCTTGTATCAGTTAAAGGTCCTGCTCCCTCAAAACCCTTGACTTTCGTTTGAAGTGAAATGGTGATGATATTCTAATTTTACTAGAACAAGATACGTTGCTGCCACCTTCCAGAAAACTGTCAGTAAATCCACAAATCCACAAAAAAGAGGATGAGTCTTGGCTTTCCCAGTTCAAGATTCAGTCTAGAAAATAAACAGAAACTTCTCAGTTAAATCTGAACACTCCTTTACCAAACATACCTCTGAGAGATTCTGAACAAACTATTAGGAGAAGACAAGACTATTTATGTAGAAGAAGGCTATATATGTAAGACTATATATGTAGAAGGCTATATATGTAAACATTGCTTTAAATCCCTGTATCATTACTTTAGTAGCGGTGTGACCTTGGTCAAGCCACTTTAGCCTTCTAAATGTCTTTATCTGAAAAGAATGGATCATATCACATCAAAATGTGTTGTGAAGATTAAATGATGAAATGCTTGTAGAGCACTAAGTATGGTGGTAGGTATGATCTAAAAGCTCAACAAATGAGGGCTATTAATATTGGTTCCTGAAGACAGTGGTCACATAACTATGACCTCACTTGGAAAGCTGAGTCATAGCTGGGTCAAGAGACTGATGTTTCAGGAGTAACACATTAGTAATGTAACCAGGCAAGTAGTGTACCAGGCAAGGGCATACAAGGAGTAGAAGCCCTAATCCTCTTTCCTCTATTCTTCAGAATATAGCTAAAGAAAAGGAGGAAATAATACTAACATATTTCATGGGAACCAGCAAGTCAAAAGAATGAAAATAAATGCAAAACTTGAGTATGGATATGTGAGAAAGAAACAAATGGTAGTGTTAAATGTTAGGAAACATATTTGCCTATCAGAGGGAAAAAGATGCAAAACAAGCTACAAAACTGTTAGCTTTGGGGTAAAAGTATGCTATCAGTTTGGGGCTGAGATTCAGGTGTTTATGCATCATACAACTTTCATAAAAGTCATTTAATCTCATTTGTAATAAAAAATGCAGCATAAAAGTCTCAAAAAGGATATTTAATAAGTATGAGGTAAGCACAGGAGACTAAAAAGATTACAATGCAATTCACAAGTATAGGGCAGAAGAGTTAAAACCAACAAAACTACAAACTCAACATCCAAAATGTTAGTACACAATTGCAAATCAAATATTAAATTTTAAGTTCGGCTGAAGAGTATGTGTAATTCACATCTCTTAGTATACTGTATATGAAAAGCAAGAGTGAGTTTACTTTAGGTTTCTCAGTAGGTACTTAGAGTGATCTAGAATAATGATAAAGTGAACTCCCAATTTAGTGAAGAGGACATACATTTAATGTTGTGCCCTGCATCTTTATTCCACACCATTTCCACTAACAACTCTGCAAACATCCTTTCTCCACTCCACACTAAGAAAATGAAGCGAGCAGACTATTTTCGTCATTCTTGTTTGACAAAACATATGGAAACAATAATTCTACAGACATATGTACATCATAATAGGAAGCAATCCTATTTTAATGTAATTTTAAAAGAGGTTTTAAAAGGACTCAAGCTACTAAAATTACTCATCTGAAGCTTGCAAATAAGAATGCCACGTCCCTAATTTATTTAGCAGATTCATATAGTTGGGCTAGAACTTTAGGTATGACTTCTCTTATAATTCGGAGGTGAATTCTCATTCACAAGAAGTAGGATTTGTACAAGTAAATCTACCCCATACTAGAGGATAATATTCTTAATTCAATCACATTTGGCTAATTTCTTTTTTCTTCACGTGGTTATTTTTGGCTTTATTTTGTTTGCCGGTAGAAGAGAACAAACATTAAAACTGGCTCTAAAGTTCTAATTTTATACATTGTCTTGAAAGTACAGCACAAAACATTTAATTTCTTTAAAAATTTTTTCCCTGCCAAAAAATGATAGTTTTAACTGCTTTCGTTAAAACACAGGCATGCAGAAATGGGGAAAGAGGAAGTTCTTTCAGGAAAAACACTGAAAAAAATAAGATTTCATCTGGCCTTTCCATCATCACTTGAAGAATTGTTTGGTAGTTACATCATCAGGAAATAAAACACCATCCTCTGAGGACCCCTACTCATTACAAAGAGGAAAGAGAAGGTTTGAAGTCTAAATCACCCCCAGAGATGTCTCCACAAAACCCCAGACTTCTCCTTTCCCTCTCCCGCCTACCCCCAGCAACCAAAAATAAAAAGTATAATGAATTTACAAAAGTTTACATAAGAATAACAGGATGTGTATTGAAGTCCCTGAAGCAACAACAGCTTTAGGGACCCAGAGGGAAAAAAGTTACAAGCGGATCGACCCTGCCTCCCAATGACTTTGTTAGCCCGACAGGAGGGCGCCGGCGCCCCGGCCCACCGGCCCACCACTCATTCCCTCCGCTGGGAGCCGGGAACCACGGTCCGTTCACACGGCCGGAACATCCGCGGGAGCTGGGGTGTGTGGCTGCGCCGCCGCCGCGGCCGAGGGTCCCGCGGTCACCGGCGCCCCCGCCGACAGCGCCGCACACGCGGAGCGCCTTATAAGGCAGAACAGTGACGTAACGCCCATAGGCCGGGCGCGCTCAGCGCCCCGCTCGCATTGTTCGGGCGACTCTCGGAGCGCGCACAGTCGGCTCGCAGCGCGGCACTACAGCGGCCCCGGCCCGGCCCCCGCCCGGCCCCGGCGCAGGCAGTTCAGGTAAGCCCGGGAGAGCAACTTCGCTCCACCAAGGGGCACTGCTGTCAGACAGCCAGGTAGCAAGTCTGTGGGTGGCTGTTAAAGCTGTCTCAGCATCACAAACTGCAGACAGGTTTCGCAAAGCGCATCCAATGAATTCTAGGTTCAAAACCGTTTCCAACTCACACAAAACTTGAAAGTAGAAGTTTTCTCTGGAGGAGAAAACAGATTAGAGATTTAATTTTAAATGTTGAGAGGTGGGAGGTGACTGTATTACATACGCTTTCCAAGTGAGCTACACATTGAATCCTGCCCATATTGAGAAATCTTTGGGGAAAGGGTGGGGGAGACTATATTGTACTGCAGCAACCCTATCTCTCCTCCGGACTCAAACTCGCTTGTCTTACATGAGCAGAATGCGAAAATTTGTTAGTGCCAGGTTTTCCCCTCTTTTTGTAAATGTTAATATAAACGACTAGAAAAACACTGTTAGGAATACATCTTGGAATTAAGACGAATCTAACTTAAAAAGTAAAATCTTTTTAAGCTTCAAAAAATCGTACAAACGCTATTTTGTCGTAAAAGCATATGTCAATTTGTACAAGGAAGTAACTATCATAGTTTTGAGTTCTAACTTTCTGCTTCAAGTCCAGGCATTGGAAAAATGACAAACCTCACTTACAGCTATCATTTCTAGAGTAATATTTTGGATAGTAGTATATTATGTAAAAAATGCCAATTTAAAAGGTAAAACTTATAGAGTAACTGTATTAATCAGTAACATTTTAAACCATAATTAGTTACATCTAAATCCTGAAGAGGCTATTGCTACCAATGAACTCTTACAGTATGATAACTGAACACTTGGCAGAAAAATCTCCATAATATTTTACTTCATTTTTTCCAACTAAAAGTCAACGTAGGAATTAAAAATAAAAAGGTTATGTCAACTTTAGAACACTGGAATAGGAGATGAAAAATTGATTCATCATTCAATCCTTATCTGGTCTAAACATATATTGTAAAATAAAACTTTAACAACTATGTGACAGAATTGTCCCTTTTAAAACAGTCTCTATGTTTTATAAGTATATACAATTCAAACTCAGAATTCATAGGCTGCCATTTATATTTACTCTGAGATTTTAAAATGCTGGCATTTTAGTTGGCACTAAAATGACCATATAAGATAACTGTTTGGAGGTACAGTAAAAGTTTAACAGAGGAGCAGAGCACTATAACCACTGAGGTGTATGTGTGTGTTACAAACTCATGTTTTTATATTTAATTGTCAGAAGAAAATGTCAGATCCCAGATTTTATCATTGAAACACAGCATTTAAAAAATACTCAAAATGTGGGTTATATCTGTATATTTCTAATAATTTCTGTTGGATGGTTTTTAAAAGTATATGACATTGGTGCCTATCATTTTTGCCTCATAGCAGTTTTTTTGTTTTTGCTAATTTTGTTTGGAGCAATGCACGACTTTGGTTTTCATATTTTAAAAGAAAAATTATATGTTATTTGGCCTGAGGATAGGCTATATAAACTGCAGGTTAGTACTGAGAAGTAGGATTTTCCACAAACTATTATTTCAAACCTAGGGAAGCCCACCATAATGAGAAGAGCGGGGCCAACACCCATGTCACTGTGGAGAAGTACAGAATATGCAATGGAAGAGTTGTTTATCTGATATAAGCGGTAATTGGAAACTGAAAAATTCCTGCTCTGGAAAAAAGATATTCTGCTCTTCTGAATCTAACAGAGGAAGAGACAAACAGAAACCATCAATTATTGTTTCAGGTATACCCAGAGTACCATCTGTACCATAAACTACAACTCAACTGTTGAAAATCATAACTTCCATCAAAATTCTAACAGCTGTGTTTCCCAGTGTCTTTTATTTTTTTAAAGCAGGCAAGCATCGATTTTTTAAAATTTAAAAATAACACTCTTTAATATTCCACACTTTTTCCCATTTATTAACTTTAAAGCATGGTTCAAAGAACAATCACATAAGACCTCTTTTAAAACTGAAAGCTAAGTATGACTTATCATGGATACCCTATCTCACACTGGGCTCTTTGGATGAGCAATTTCTTAGTCCTTGGGACAATCTGTATGATGGGAAAATGTTTTTGATAGAATGAATGTGAATTTCTACACTTCCAAATAAAGCACATAATAATTTTATGCTTAGTAAGTTCATTTGCACTTTTGTGGTGATTAACCTTAACTGTTAAGCCCTGGTATTTTTGTGCTATTTTCCTAATGCTGTGATGGAGACTATAGTAACAGCCAGTATGAAAACACAAATCAAGCCTTGACTTAATTTTCCGGTTCTCTTGCAGTTCCCATTAATTTGCCTTCTCAAAAGGCTGTAAATTTTGTTTAAGGGTTCTCTGCTGTAATTTCCCCTCCAAAAAAGTGCCTTTGGTAATAAATGGATTTTGAGATTTAAGAAAAAAAACTGAAAATGTAGGAGGAAGAATAAGATTCCAATAATTCTGCTTAGGTCATGTTCTGTCCATGTCTAGTGCTTCAGGGCAAAGTGAACATTTTACAAGGTGAATAGAAAAAAAACATACAGCCCCTCCTATTTAAAGGAAAAAGGAAGAGGGGCAAGAAGAGAACTGTTTATAAAAGACTGGATATTGTGGATGTAAGGCAATATTGGTCTCAACCTGCTTCAGGAACTGAAATGGCCCCATCTGTTGTTCACAGAGCCTGTCATCTTTGAAAAATCTAATACACCCTACCTTATCTGTTGGACATATTAATTTTAAACGATTTTAAGGTCCATTTAATTTGTATTTGACCATGAATTCAGCTTCAATTTAAACTGATTGTTTAGTTTTTGTAAATTATATTTAAATAAGGATTTAAAGATGAAGAGACACTGCATATGCAGCCAGCATCACAAACCTTCAAAGCAATATTTCTGTGGTTGCTGCTGTCATCACCACAACATTTTCTAGCCACCAACCCAGTCACTTATGCTTAAAGTGTGCTGCAATGACTTTTAGAACCTCCTATGGCTGGTCATTTTCTACTTAAAATGAGGTAGGACATTCATGTTTTGAGTCATTTTGTTAGGTACACTAATTCCTAGCAGATTATCACCAACACTTATCAGCCTTTGCACATCCCTCCTTTTTTTAAAAAAAAAAAAAGACTTGAGATTCTCCTTGACCTTCATCTGCACTAACATCGTCTCTGCCTGGGAAAGCTGGGCAAACAAAAATGGGAAGGCTTACCAAGGAAAGTCCCTGGTTTCTTTTTCAGATATGAGAAACACTCCCTCTTCATGCTTGTTCTCTGAGATGCTTTAGCAGATTAAGATAGGACAGCAGCAGTTTTAATTCTGAGCCCAAGAACGAGAACACATTAGCAGTATTCTTTTTCCAGTCTGACCGTCCTCACATTTCTATGCTCTACTGGCTCCAAAATATGATAAATTGTTAAGTATAGAATTTTTTTTAAACAAGCTTGGGGAATGATGTGTTTGTGGGGGCAGGCAGGGGAGCAGTAGGGAGGTAAGTAGAGGAGTAGATAGGTAAGTGTATGATTGGGACAGACAGGATGCAGACATACCTCAACTCCTTGTGTCTGTTTATGATAACTACTTATTCTAGCCTAAAGGAGTTATTATCAGCAAAAGAAAGCATACATTACATCAGAACAGCAAACATTCAACTATGAATTTGAGAAGTACCTTGATAAGGTACTTGACTATATGGAAAATGGGATACCCCAGGCCCCACAGTCACACACACACACACACACACACACACACACACACACACACACACACACACACAGTCCTGGCACAGAATATCCACAGAATTTTACAGCTGGAAGGGGCAATGGAGGTCATCTGATCCAAATGCCTCACTTTACAGAAGAAACTGATGTCCACAGTGTGACTTGCCCCAGAGACACAGCTATGCAGAGGTAGGGCCAGGGCCCCCTGCATTCTTGGGCTACAGCTCACCAGTAGTTTTTCCTTAATTAGTGCTAGGAAGAGAGGAGAACAGAAGCCCCAGAAAAAGCCTCAGTACTGTAGGTGTTAATTTAGATATAAAATCCATTAAAAAAAGAAAGTAGAAAGGTTCAAAGTTCTTAAGTATAAGCAATAAAAAAGCAAAGGATAAGGAAGCATTGTGAAAATCAATACAATTTAATCAGGCTACAACAACAGAAGGGAGGTGATAAAGGGAGGAAAGAGAAAATAAAAAATAAGTGTATTTAAAGGTCCTCCGGCTGGCAAATCCCACTCTCTACTTGGAAGGTGAGAGGTGCCCTGGAAAGACTGTGTACTCTGTGGTCAAAGACATTTGGGTCTGAACCACTAACTTGACAAATGACCTTCTATTAGTATCTTCCAGCTAAGCATTTTGCACTCCTCAGACGTCCGCAGCTAGCAGGATCCCTTTCAAAATTCAAAGTGACTCAATGCCTTCAAAACAACCTCCCCCAAAACTGCAGAGGAAGTCACCTATGAAGGCTACAAGCTCCTGGTGGTACTTACCCTGCTTTATTTTCCTTCAAACTGTGCACTGTGATGTGACATTAAATTACTCATTAATGATTTATTTGCTTATTATCTGTCTCTTGGACTATAAACTCCTTCAGGGTCAGTTTTACAACCAGCTTTACCTCCAGTGCCTAGGAAAGTACCGAGGTACAATTAGTAGGTGTGTTGCTGGGACAGAAAAGGTGTTGGATAAATATATGAACAAATTACAACCTAGAAGCTGCTTATTTGATACAAAAAAAAAGTGTTTCTGCAAACAGTGGGCTGTGGAGGGCCCCTTCTTCTAGATTTTGTTTAGGAGCTGAAAACAAATCTCAGCCACTACTTAAAGCAACCATATGGAAGTGACTTACAGAAACCAGTTAGGCTCAGGTTAAGTCAAGGCAGTGAACTTAACTAGAAACCAAGTTAGGCTCAGCTTAAGTCAAGGCAGTGAAATCTGCTTTGTATGGCAGTGTATGTTATATAGGCAGACTAAGTCAGATGCTTTTCTGCCCATCTTCATCTACCTCAGTTTAATTCCCTCCCCAATAAAATGAGACTTTGTATACCTGGTGAAGGAGTATCAGGTGAGTCACCCGGGGGCATGGAATGGCCTTCAAGCAAAATATGGAAGAACACAGTGCAGTGGTTAATGAAGGGTGGACTCCTCTGAATTTCTCTAATCTCTGTGCCTCAGGTGAAGGCCTGGAAGATGCACTTACGGGGCACAAATGGCTTATCTTTGCCATGCAGCAGACTGCCTTTTCCCAAGCATGTACTTCATTCCAAAGTTTCTGTGGGTAAACCAGTGTATCTCCCAGATTTTACAGAAGAGTGATTTTTCTTTAATTTCAAAGTTACTCCAATGTCAACCTGTGAAGCTAGCCTAGGGCTTATAATTCTCCTCAGCAGTAGCAAACATTTACTGAGCTAAGCACAAGGCATGAAAACAGGCCCAGCAACTAAGTTCACCACACACCATACCATGTCACTAACCCAGCTATAGCTACTAGCATGGACTGGTACCACATTAATGACAAGGACTAAGATCACTAGCAGCTCTTGGACAACAACTTCAATTATGGTCCCATCCCTGCTCTATTTTAATTGACTGGTAATGCAATGAAGGTAGGAGAGATCAGCTACACATAAAAACTAAGTAAAGATAAACAATGTGGGAGAATGCTTATAAAAACTTCAACAGAATATAGTCAATGGCCAACCTTGCTGAATAGTGACACTGAATTGACAGGGATAAATGTTAGTGTCTCAACGGTGAGACTAAAAGAGTAAGAATAATGGGTGGATAAATCAGAGTTCTACTCTTCTTAGCTCTGCCATCCATTTACTGGGTGAGCCTCCTGTTCCCTTGGTTTCTACAAATTACAAAAAGGGAACAATGTCATCCACCCCAAGTATTTCTCAGTACTCAATAAAGATTGAATAATGAGCAATAACCCTCATGGGAACTCTGATCAAGTAGAGAAGAGACAATATAAAAATAAAAGCTACTGATTATATCACTACAGAGACAAATTAGCTAAAGAAAATGAGGGTAATTTGAGGGAAAGAGTCCACATGTAAATGGAGAAAAGATGAACACAGCTGTAGCACTTGGGCCTGTGAGAGCTCCAAATCACTGTATCTAAAGCAGCCTCAAGGCTGAGGTCAGTCCTCTAAGATGGGCTGCCCTGACAGAAGCAAATCTGCCAGATTTATTGTGTCTCATGGCCCACCAGTCCTGGAACAAAAGTTTAAAGGTGAAATATGTTTTTCTCTTTCTTTTTAAAATGCTTTTTTATGTGAATCAAAACAAAAACAAATCTCTGAGCAGAGATCATAAGTGGAATGTAAAACATCACATTTGGGCTCGCAAGACTTAAGTGTCTGCCTGTTAAATTTGAAGAAAAGGAAGGAGTTGCCTGGTCCAGGAGCCTAGAGAGAACATGAGAAAGTTGCTGGTTTCTTGCTGAAGACAAACACCCATTCAGTGAGATATTGTGGAAGTCCCTTAGTCTTAACTTGTTAGTCTGTTAATTGGGAATGGCAGAAGAAGTGAATTACTCTGTGGAATTTTGTGAAAATGAATCCACTGCTGCTAAAAGGAAAATTATCTACTTTTCAAACACTCATATTATTAAAATAAATACATTATGTTTGAAGTCGCATATTATTCTTGAGGCTTTCAAATAAAAGTGAGAGTAACTTTGCCAAGTGATTTGGGGCTCCACTAATCTCCCCCCAAATTCTGCCCCATAAAATTCTTTTTACAGTTCAATAAAATTCATTAGGCTGAACACAGATGCAAAGAATCACAGGCAAAGTTAAGATTCTCTGGCCAATTTTCCCCATCTGGACTTTAATTAAATTTGTCTCCAAGTGAATTCTTCTCTTCACTAAATGGTTCTCCTTCCAGAAGTGACAAGAACAAGAGGAACAAAACTCTACTTGTCCTTCTTCCATTCTAATAACAAGTCATTCTGAGAACTTTAGGTACCACTCAGCCTAAGGGATGGTTATACTCCCCTAGGAAGTGGTTCTTTTTACCTCTCTATCATTTGGTCAAGTATGCACAGAGTTCAACCCATATGAGGGATACAGAGGTATTATTCCTTTAAGGAGCTTACAGTTGGCTTAACGGCAAAAGTAATATACTAAAACAAATTAGAAAGCAGTACAAAATAATGTAGAATATTTAGGTAATAAAGCTGTAAGGGCTGTGGGGACTTAGAAAAGGAAAATCAGCCAGGGTTAGACAAGTTAAGAAACATTCATGGAAAAGATGGGAACTGAAATGTAAATGGAGATGACTGAATGCAGCATTCCAAAAAAGATGGCAGACTTATTCTTCAGAAGTCTATTATGAAAGGAGAACCTGAGGTTAAAAGACAAATAAGGCTTGTGCCAAGATCAGAGCACCCAAACTGTAAGTTTAAAAACCCATTATTTGGCCTTCAGAACAACCTGGACTTATGCAGAAAGGAAGGCAGCTTAAAGTAACATCACTTCTTAACCTGAAGCTTAAACGTGATGAAGCAGTTGGCACAGTGCCAAACCTATAGCAGCTACTGTTACTCTTCTGGTTATGCTAGTCTATCCATAGGGATGATGCTCCTTCATCATCTGGTGCTGCTGGGCTGACATATAGGGGGCTGTCTCAGGCCAAAGAGGAGGTCCTTTGTAGGATGCAGTCATGAAGAATTCCTGTTCTCAGACACCCAGCTGTGAAGTGGAGTAAAGGATTAAGCTTGTTGAAGATCTGTCTCTAGCGTGCCTAACCTTAGCCACTCTGTAAGGAGAGGTTACCCTTTACCTTGATTTCCCTGCTACAAGGCAGTCCCTCCTGTGAGAAACCCACAAGAACTTTCCTAAAAATGTCTTACTCATCTGAAGTAAGAAACAACTTCCTGAGCAGGTAAAGGACCGAAGAGAGCTGGTGACTGCAAAAGGCTTAAAAGCTAGTTTGGAATCTCCCTGTTTTACCATGCACCCACAAAAAACAAATCTGTAAGACAAATCTTTACAACCTGGGCTAAATGGCTTATATCAGATCCTAGCCACAAACAATAAAGAGTCTCTTTTGAAATTAACAGTCTAAATACTTTTTGCCTAGGTGTTAATTTTTCAGTTTAATTGTACTTTGAATTTAGTATAACATTTTAAGTACTTATTTGCTTTTACAGCATACTTACAACTTGTGAACTACAACAGACTCAAATAAATCTGAATCCCATGGAATTCCAATTACGGTTTTCCATTCTTTTGAACCATTGAGACTTGATGAGCCATAAAATCTCTTGACATGTGAATTTGTATACAGTGTTATATAGGAAAGAAGGGAGGAAAGGACTCTAAAGATTGTTGGGAGTATTTATTTTGTGGAACTGAGATTTGAGATTGCCAAAGGCTTTGTAGACCTTAGAGACAAAATTGCACTGCTCTTCCCATGTTGCAGCTAAGGTGACAAGCAGATGAGGTAAGGTCAGATAGTTAAGTCACTAGCAGATTTTGGTCCAACATTTCCTGTCCATCAGATATGTGGCTTTTCAATTGTTTAATACCTGGGGTTCTGCTTTCTTTGTTTTTAGCTGTGAATTAGTAAACTTTAAAAAGCGATGAATAGTGAAGCCAGAGCTTTTTTCAAAAACCTTTTTTTCAGCTACTAAAACCTGAGATAGTTTGCCTTCTCTTAAAATTCAAATCACAAGGTAAGATATGGTCAGGGCAAAAATGGATGGTATTCAAATAGCACATACATGAGGTATACTATAGCCATTTCTTTAACTGCCACAAACAGAACATTTCTCACATAGATAAACTAAATGGGTGAAACTCCTGCTCAGGGACAGTATAAGCAGCAGACCCAGGGCCAAGAGAAGTGGGGTACAGTCATTGCTCTCACCTCTAGCAGATATGCTGTTGACCACTGTCATATTTTGATGGAATTACTCCTTGCTATGCAAGCTTAATATCCTCTAGAACATGTTCATCTTAAAAGAACCCAACTTACAGGAAAGGAAGTATGATCAGACTGTTTATGCATTTTCTGTCTTCTCAGTATTCAGAAGTTGCTGAAAAGGAAAACATAACCCAAATGCTCTGGACTTACAGTCAAGGGAAAATTAAACAAGGCTCAGATAACCAAAATAATTTTAATTTGTACAAAGCATGCAAGAGGACAAGCAAAACACAGACCACAAGAAAAATGGTCATTCATGTTCCAGCAGATTACAGAATAAAACTTTTCCACCTGTCTGTAATTAGAGATGGCATATGGCCCAAACTCTCACTTTGCAAAAATCATGGAAAAGATATAAACCAATCATCCTCAGGAACTAGGAAGAGTGGGTAAAGGTAGAAGTAGGATGCTCACTGTGGCTCATGATTTAATTGTTTACTCAGCAGGAAGCCAAGCCACACATTAACCCTCATCCTCTAACTGCCTGAACCTCTAAGTACTCTTAAATGTATTAAATTTCCCTATTTTCCTTGCTCCTTGTTTACTGATTTATGACAGCTAAAATCGAGGACCCAAAAAAGTCCTCTAAGGATCAAAATGTTTCACATTTTATACTCTTCAGGCTGCTATCCATCCTGTTTCTATGGCAAACTGTGACTTCAGTAGTCACAGTAAAACATAGGCATCTGTTGTTGTGGTTTCTAAATTTCTGAAGTTTGAATTTCCCACTAACAAGTTAGGAAACGTTTGGTTTCCCAAGCATACCACTTTAGCCACTGCCTCTGTGTAGGCAGCCAGACTACAAGGAGGTGAAAACCAGTGAACTTATCCATTCTGGTACGTGACTGGCCCCTGCTTTGGCTTTTTATTAAATGTGGTGAACTGAACAACAATTAAGGTAAGAAAGCCACATAAAAAAGGAAAGCCTTTAAAAAAAAAAACACAGGCTTAAAAAAAGTTTTAACTTTTTGCTCAGAATAAGTTCTGGAAAAGGATACATGCTTTCTACAAAGGAGAGAATAAAGGAGAGAATAAAGGAAAGAAAAGCAGCCCAACGAAGAGTAGAGGTTAAGAGAAGGAATCATATTAAATCCTCCAAAATGCCCACGTGCAATATCTAAGTGAAAATAACCTGTGACCTGGGAAGAGAAAAAAGGGACTAATGGAGGTTAAAAACAAAATTTAACAGCTACATTGGAATGATTTTCTAAAGAACCATTCCTGGATTCTTTAATCTGCTAAAATACAAAAGGATCATTGAAATATAAATGGATTGTGAGCAATAAAAAAACATATAAATATTCTTAATAAGATAAAATACATACACACATATTTCTAAGGATATATATATATATATTTATTATTATGCCCTTGAAGTCTGTCAGAGAAATGGCTGCCTGTTAAAAATATTTTCCAAGAACTTTAGGTTCCTTGAAATGTTCTATGGAAATGGTATTTATGACAAACCCACCACCTCTGGGGAACATGAGATGTTATTACTGGCAAAGTCACAATTTTTTAAACCATCCAAAAATAATTATGAATTTATGCCAAATGACGAAACTTGCTATATTATTATAATGACTAAGAGAATATTTGCTAATGTCTCAAGATCAAGGCTCAAAGTAGCCATGAACCTATAGGAAATACTGTGACACAACACTGAATTGCTAGTGGTGGTGATTTGGGATCTTTGACAGGCAGAATATTACAGCACACAAATTCACTGGAGAGGATGGCTCATGAGATATAATATATGAGATAGGAAGTGTGGATGTATGTAATGGGGTGAGAAACAGGATTTGGAGTAAAAACTACACTGGCATTCTGGCTCTGCCAATTACTCACCAGGACCTGTGGCAAATTAACTTTTTTGAGCCTCAGTTCTTATTTGTAAAATAAGAAGACGGTAATACCTGCCTCCTATGACTGTTTGCAGGACTAACACGGTACATGGCATATAAAAATTGTTCAACTAGCTGTTATTCCTAGACTATAGAGAGGAGGGCCTACTATATGTCTATTGCTTAGTTATACCCATGCTTTCAAATATGGTACCTATTTCAAAAATAGAAGAGGTATTTGTTCAAATATTTATTGAATACCAATTAAGTACCAGGTACTGTTCCCTACCAGAAATATAGTATTAAACAAAATAGACCAATGATTGACTAATCATTGAATGAGATGCGTGTGTGCGCACATACACACACACCATTACCTGCATGTAGTTTACATTCTAGTAGGAGAGACAGTAATCAATAAATACATAAAATATAGTATGCCAGATGGTACTAATGAGGTGAGGGGGAATCCAGTGGTTCCTGGGGAGACAGCGAGCACAAAAGCACACCATGCCGTGTTCTGTTTGAGGAATAGCAAAGAAGCTGGTGAGTGGGCAGAGGAGCAGAGTGAGCAAAGAGGAGAACAGTAGAAGGGGTCAGGGAGCCAAGTGGGTGGAGCAGAAAGCATGGGAATGAACAAATGAACACCAAAAACATGGTATGGGATAAGAGGAAACTCTTCTGAGGTCAACATTTTTTGTCTGGGGTTTCCGGCATGTAGCCTGGTTGTTAGGTAGAAAGAACACAGACTTCGCAGCCAGTGAATTTTTATTCTGGTCTGTTACCTGTACTGTTTGGAAAATTATTTAACCTCTGTAAATTTTAGTTTTTTGGTTTCTCCTCCATCTGCAAAATGAGAATAATAATACTTAGCTCATACAGTTGCTATAAGTATTAAGTGAGATCTAGTGGCACAGAGTAGACCTTCAATATGCTTGTTTCCTTCTCTTTATAAGCCAAGTCTCACACTCTAGTACCAGTTCCAGGGCCACCATAATGATGGCCTTGCATAGTATTAATCTGCCTGGGCCTCAGTTTTTCAACTAAGAAAATAAATGCATGTGCTCTACACAGACATTATAAAGATAGATATACAACACTCAAGCTGTTGTTATAAGTCAAATAATCTTACTGTTACAATCTATCTTAATAATTTCAAAACAGCAAAAGTATATGTCTTCCATACCTCCTACATATTAATTCCATTAAAAATAGATCCTACAAAGTTTAATTTCTTTAGCATGAAGTTGTAAAGATGTATTTAGCAACCATGTTTATTTTTATTCCCTTTTCCTGCTCCTGCTTAAGAACACTGATCCAATGGAAAGATCTCCAAGAAATGTTTGGCTGCAAAAAACAAGATGCTGAGGAACAGTGTTTGTAAGCTACTTTTGTGTAAAAAGGGGAGAGCATAAGAATCTTTATTTATGTTTGCTTATGTACTCATAAAGAAACTCTACAAGTACATAAGAGAAACTAGTATCAGTGGTTACAGTTGGGGAGATGAACGATGTGGTAAGAGGAAGACTGTTCCTAGTATACGTTTTAATACACACATTTTGAAATATGTGTCAAATATTTAGGAATACTAATTTAATCTAAAAATCCATAATTGAAATTTAAAGAGTTAAAAGTACACAAAATAGACTGAAAAATTAATTATCCAACAATATGAAAACCCCAAATGACCTATTTCTCAGACAACTAGGGTATCTTTCAATCTGCTGCTTTGTATTTTCTTCTGAAGAGTCAAAAAAATTATAAAATATCCTTAATAGTCTACTTGACATTTTTGACTATGGAAACCAAGCCCAGGAATAGTATATACAGTGTACTAACCCAGTCAACCCACCCAGACTTTGAGTCCCCACGTACAGGAGTCCCCAACCCCAGGGCCGAAGACCAGTACCAGTTTGAGGCCTATTACCGGGTCACATAGCAGGAGGTGAGCAGCGGGATGAGGCAGCATTACTGCCTGAACTCTGCCTCCTGTTAGATCAGCAGCAGCATTAGGTTCTCATAGGAGTGTGAACCCTATTGTGAACTGTGCAGGTGAGGGATCTAGGTTGCATGCTCCTTATGAGAATCTAATGCCTGATGATCCGAGTGGGACAGTTTCATCCCAAAACCATCCACCACCACCACCCTCTCCCATGTCCATGGAAAAACTGTCTTTGACAAAACTGGTCCCTGGTGCCAAAAAGGTTGGGGACCGCTGCCTAAGTAGACCAAGTCTATGAGTATCTAAACCCAGCAGACAAAGTACACATTCACATCCAAAAAATGAAGAGCAGGAGTAAGATGAGCAGAGCATCAGTGAGGCTTTGGGAAGGTCAACTATTAGCATCCATTTTGATATGCTGGCATTTCATTGGATATTGGACATTCACAGCATCATTCTCTTCCAGGAAGGGAGAAGAGCTGTGGAGTAGATCTGTGAGCAAAAGAGAAATGGAAGACAGTGGCTGATCCCAAATACATTTGAGTAGCAGATAATTAAGAAGAGTTATACAGGCCAGAGACAACGAACACAAAGAATCTAACAGTCTACCCAAAAATTATGCCCTAAAACAGTGACTTCTCAACCAGACTCAATTTCTCTGCAATGTCTGGAGACATTCAGTAGTTGTCTGGAGACATTCAGTAGTTGTCACAACTGAGCTGGAGGTACTGTGTTGCTCCTGGCATTTAGTAGGTAGAGATCAGGGATGCTGCTAAACACCCTACAGTGTACAGGACAGCCCCTACAACAAAGAATTAACCAAAATGTCAACAATGCTAAGGCTGAGAAACTCTGACCTAAAATGACAATCATTATGACTAACCATGTGCATAGCTGAAAAGATCCATGAAAAGCCTTAAAATAGATCGCAATAAACATTATGTAGTCATATCTTTCATTCCAATGTGATTTGTGCTATTCTTCCCCCAGCTGACCCCTACTTTAGGTCAGCTCATTGTGACTGACGTTGTCTCACTGTGTTGTCTCACTGTCCTACTTTTTTTTCCAATATGCCAAGCAAGTAGCACTTATTTTTATTTGATTTGATTTTTTAAATGAAAATTAAAACTATATTTAGGGCCTATAACATGATGTTTTTATATATCTAGATATTGTGGAATGGCTAAATCAAGCTAATTAGCGTATTTGTTACCTTACATACTTATCATTTTTTTGTGGTGAGAACATCTAAAACCTACTCTTTTAGTACTCACCATCCTACTTCTAATGAGAACGGACATGTATTGTGCCAGGCACTATGATAAGGACTTTTTGTATGGATTGTTTTTTATTAATCTTCAGAACAACCCTATTGTGAGGGAGGCTCTAATATTATCCCCATTCTACAGATGAAGAAAATGAGACTTGTAGGGAGGTTAAATTGCTTGCTCAAGTCACACTAGACAGAAGTTGGAAAGCCGGGATTCAGCTGCAAAAACTGAACTCCAGAGTCTGAATTTCTCGCTCTGCACTGCCCTGCCCTGCCTCTCATAGTTTTCCACTGTCTCGTTCCTATTGGTGCTTCGGTACTAGAGAGTGTACATGCTGTCAGTCATTCCACCTGCCCTCTGCCACCTGCACTGTTTACTGCAATCTCTTGCTGGGGGTAATAGGGAACAGGCAGTAGGGAAGACATTATCCCTGTCTTAAAGAAGGCTACCTTGGGCAAACAGACAAGATACAGAAGAACGCAGATCACAGAGAGTACAAAATCAACTGCAGAGAGTGGGAGGAAGGAATGGAGACAATGATAAACAATGAAAGCATTAGGAACCTGAGGACAAGCCCAGGAGGAGCACCATCACAATGCTAGGTGTAAAGGCAGCTCTGTATGCCATGAACTAGGAGGCACTTTCAGGAATACACACACATCTGTGATAATACAAGGCATCACATGCTGAGTGGCTTTTTGGATACTTCTCCCTAGAGGGACAGGGCAGCCAGGGGAAGGCATCATGGCTGTGGAAGGCCCAGGTAGGCTTTGGAGGATTAAGGGGACATCTACCTGAAACTGTTAGTCTGACAAAGACCTAAAGTCTTAATCTGTTGGAAGACAGGTAATTTTTTTTGGGAGGGCGGGGGTGTATTAACAATCAAAATGGAAAGTATGGAAAAGAGGAAACTTTGATTTAAGGGATCTTTTCTAAATAATCAAGAACCCCAATTCAGAGTGGTGGTGGGAGCAGGGGGTGGGGGAGGAAAACAAAAAGAAAAGTGAGAAAAATGAGTAGACTCTCTAGCACAGCAGTGTATTCACAGTAATTAACTTTTTAAAAGCTCCTTCTTGATAGATGTCATCTGAGTAAACGGCATAAAGAAAACTTCATTTGAGTAGGTATTTTTAATAAGAAAAATTAAAAGAGTGATAGGAGAGGCACAATATTCACGGTATTAAATGAACATCCATTGTCCAAAGGTTCTTACTAGAAAGCTCCCTAACAATACAGTACTGCAGAAGTCAAAACACATTATTTAGGCAGTAATTATCCTGGTACAAATTTACATGTGCTGTACTTGTTGTCACTCCCCTGTCAGTTCCAGTTTCTTCTTCCAGGTCTAGCCTGAGCATCTTTTCAAGTCTCCACCTGGCCCTTTCATAGCAGCATGGACAGTGTCTTTTCTAGCCCAGAATCATGGGCACCTCCTTTGTTCTCAAGATGAAAATATTCTCCTTGTAGCTGCCTAACTACCCAAGTTCTGTGCCTGTGGACCCTCAGACTGGCCTTTTACTTGTTCTGGAACCTCACCTTTCAGAGACCCTTTTTCTCAGTTACTTTGCTCCTTTTTCTGCTCTTAAAAGAGTGAGATTTGCCTCAATTCCAGTCCTTGTGCTCAATTTGAGGATTTCAGTACCGCTTTTTAGAATCCTGATTCTCTGCTAAAAGCTACCAAGCTCCTTATAATTAATGGGTCATTTGACTATTTCCATCTTATTTCACTTCTCCTGACCTCTGGGGGGCCTAGTAAGATTAATCGTTCAGGTGATGAAGAGTAATGACTAACAGTATACCATTTTTACCATATATTCCTCTGACACCAAGCTAAAGCCTCCTTCTTAACTTCCTGCCCTAATTCTTATTTCACAATGAAGGAAAATAGTATTAACCCAAATTGCTGGGTCTGGACCCATTTATGGTATCTCTAAAGGATCTCAGTGATGATGACAGGATCTTCAGTAACAAGGACATAAAGCAGACATAGATGTACACTCATATTCAACTAGCAGATGCCAAAAAAAGTGTTACTGTTCTACTGATCTTGCTGACTAAGTCAAATGAATTGTACATTACATTATGGCTATGGTATGCTGTAGCTGTAATTTTTAGAAAACCTTTGACTTGTGAAATACAAGGAAGCAGCATACACAGAATAAAAAAGACGGGTCACAGCTATTTTTATGAGTGCTCTTAAAATTTAGACTAAACAGTGAAAAGTCCCATAGAAAAAGCAGGGAGGAAAGCAAGGAAACATAAATTATAGGCCTGATACCAAAATTTATCTCAAATAAAGAAGCTTTCCAATAAATTCCATGTAATTACTCTGCAAACTGCTAGAAATCCATGGTTATTTAACCATGAACACAGCTACTATCAACGCAACACAGTTAAAATTATGTATTAGACAAGAATTGCTAAAAGATAAAATGGGATATAATCATAATCAGGCTATCAAAGTCTAGCTGTGAGAGCAGATATAAAAATAAATAAAGGAGTGTGATGTATGCAGTTTTCTGCTTAGTAATCAACATATTAAATCAGGAAGAAAAAGTAATGTATTAAACTAGCTCTGGAATAATGAGAACAAATACAGGAATTTAAGCCCATCAAAATGAAGTTACATACTTAGGACTAGGGTGACTGTTACACTGTTTCAAACATCTTAAGACCAAACAAGCTTTGGTATCATCATACTATTTGGTTGTTACTGGGAGAATACTGTAAGTATGATCAGACTGATCTGTGCAAGAATACAGGCAGGTTTTGGGGAAAAAAGAACTGACAAATAGCAAGTACAGTGCCTTGCACATAGTAGCTGTCACTGTATTTGTCTCATCAAGGTCTGAAATGAATTAAATGTCAGCTGAACTGCATAGCACTATGGATGGACCCATTTATAAAAACCAGGCAACTTAGTGGTTTCCATACTCTTATTTCAAATTGGAGTTTCAAACAAAACACAATGTCTTATGAAAACAGTTTTGTCATTTAGGACTTTTCTGTGGACTGGGAGAGAACATTTGAAGGCAGAGAATCTCCCATCTATGTTTGACGGTTAGCAAGTGACTGGCTTTATTAATGATGGAAACATCAAAGCAGTGACTAAGCCAGTGAATTGGGGGACTTCATCAGGATGAAGCAAAAGGCTGACAGAAGAAGCACAAGGTGACAGCCCAAACCAGACGCTTTTCCAGAGAAAGACAAATTTGCCACTGATGTTTCAACTGTCTATCCTCTGGAGTAATGGTTCTTAAAGTGTGGCCCCCTTTGAGAGTGAAGAAGATATCTTCATAATAACACAACCTTTTTCTCTCTCATTCTCTCAGAAGTGTATATGGAGTTTTCCAGAGGCTCCATGACGTGTGATGATTTCTCTGACAGCTAATGGAATGTGTGAAACAGATCTGAGGATACAGCTGTCTTCAATTAAGCCAGACATTAGTTGCAGAAATGTAAAACAATGCAACTCTTCTCACTAAATAATTTTGTAAAAGTATTTTTTCATAAAAATATGTTATTTAGCAGATGATGGATTTATTATTATTTATTATTTTTAACAAATGATTTTTTTTAAATTTTATTTTTGAGACAGAGTCTTGCTGTGTCGCCCAGGCTGGAGTGCAGTGGTGTGATCTCAGCTCATTGCAACCTCTGCCTCACGGGTTCAAGCAATTCTCCTGCCTCAGCCTCCCAAGTAGCTGGGACCACAGGCACGTGCCACCATGCCCAGCTAATTTTTTGTATTTTTAGTGGAGACAGGGTTTCACCATGTTAGCCAGGATGGTCTCGATCTCCTCACCTCATGATCCGCCTGCCTCAGCCTCCCAAAGTGCTGGGATTATAGGTGTGAGCCACTGCATCTGGCACTAATGAGTATTTTTAAAATCTTAGTTTGAATTTCTAATACAGTAAAGAGATAGATACAGCCCATACACTCAAAAGCTCTTTAGGGTCCTCAAAATTTTTTGAGTGTAAAGGGGTCATGAGACCTAAAAGGTTACGAACTACTGCTCTGGAGCCTTTACTGAATTGTGCTGGAACTATCTCCTTTTTCTTTCCTAATTAGCCTATAAACACTTTGAGAATAGGATCCTCTATCCCCTGTTCATCTCAGGATAGCCTTAGTACTAATGATTGTCTTTGTTGTTTGTATATTAAATGAATAAAAGTCTTGCCATATTCATAACATCAGAAACATTAAATTCAAGATTTACATAGTGAACATAGTGAAAAATAGGTTTCCTTAAAGAGACAGATGAGAAGCTAAGCTGACTCTGAAGTTATTCTCTATTTACAGGCTGATTTCTGAAACTAATAGAAACAATACAGTACCATTAATGGCTTGTGGAATTCGTTTTATTGCTTGATGATCACCCTAAGTTTATTTCTATGGACCAAGCATCTGAAAAACTGCAAAACAATCTGTGAAAACAGAAACATAATTGATGTTTTAGGGTGGTCAGATTATAGATATTTCCTTTCCACTGTCACTGCTGTTGATACAATGTTGCTTATGTAATAAACAAACATATTTGTCCAGTAGATCTCTGGACTCTGAGGAAAACATAAAATAGTCACTCCTTTGTTAGCAGAGTTGATAAAGCCAAAGGAGACTGATGGGCTAGGATGTGGACGTTTACCACCTAACCCTGTTCTCCTCAAACAAGCAAGCACATACAGTTCTAATGCAGGGATCTGAAGAAAGGAGAGAAGGACCTGTTCCAACAGTGTTGATTCTTTCTAGAGGCTCTGTAGCTATGAAATAGAGAAAATAATGTTCTTGGAGAACACTGATGGGAAACCCACTCATACCTCATTTTCTTAAATGCCTAAAAACATGTACATGGTAAATATTAGAGCATCCTCTTAAATAGTGAATAAAACTACTTAGGACAGTGCTACAGTATTTTTCACAAAAGGGAGTATTTGTTCATTCTTTCATTTATTCAAAAAAAATTCATGTGGTTCCCTCTACATATAAGTGCTTTGTGGTAGACACTGTAGGACACAGAAATGAATCAGACAGTGATACTCATCCTGTTCTCAAGAAGTCTGTATTTTAGTAGGGTTGACTGTAATGTACAAAAAATAAGATAAAATCAAAAGCGGTAAGAATTATAATATAAGTTATTATGGGTATGACTGGTATTATAGCATTTAGATATACCATGTGTTTCATATGTGTATTATATGATGCATTATTACTAATACTCAGTGTCTCACAGAGGAGATAAAATATAGGCACACATCTGTGCTGACATATATTATATGTGTCTGCAAATAAAAACTGAAAAAACCCTCTGAGTGTATCATTTGTAATGAAGAACCAGAATTATGGTTAGTACCAAAGAATACTGAAGATGACAGATGTGATGTTTTTGAAAAAATAAGGAACTGGTATTGTACATAATAATAGTGATAAACCACAGTAAGTTATAACAATTCTGAGCCATAGTAGAAACTCTAACGGAAAGCTGTAATAAGATACTGCTTTAAGCCAGTTTGGATTTAATTACCTCACTTTTGTGTCCATAAAACCAGCTTCCACAACCCATTTTTATTGGAGCGGATTCACTGAATGTTCCTATAATGCTGTGGTGTCAGTACTAGAACATGAATATGAGTACTCCAAGACAATAGTCTTTAAACTGGGGTACATGTACCCCTGAGGGTACATAAAGACTTTCTATGGGTACAGGCATGGAGAGATTTAAGGGATCAACGTCTACGTCCACTATTCATACCTATACTCTTTGTGTTCTATGACTTCTCCTTTTCCAACAACACTTTCAAAACAAACTTCTTAGCAAACTCTTATCAAGTGCATCTTCCTGGGTTGGAAACCCCTCTGGGGCATCAGACAAAGGTACAACTATAGAAAGCCTTAATCCTGAGAGTCCTATGAGGACAGAGCAGAGCAGAGCAGAGCAGAGCAGAGCAGAGCAGAGCAGCAAGAGCAGCAGCAGCAACAGGTTCAGAACCAAACAATGGATGGAGCAGTGCCTTGTTTCTTCAGCTGAGGACAATGCAGGGCAAGTCCTCATGCCTTATCTTTTAGAAATGAGATGGGTACCAGAGGGATATGTATTTACAGATTTCGTTAGGTTGAAAAATGAAGTCAGACTTTTCCTGAATGACTGGTTTGGCTGTCCGATTTGTTAATGAGGACTTTTACATTAGATGGCAAATGTTAAAATATATCCTTTTACAACTATTTAAACATTGAATGAAAGAATCTAGATGCCAGTTAAAAATGTGAAAAGGAGTACTTAGTTTTTCAACATTCTTTTGGCAGATATAAGAACAAACATTTAAAAACCCCTGCTCTGAGAGATACACACTTTTTAAAAAGAATACAAATGCAATGTTAAGTAAGATTTTTTAAGTTGATAGTTCTCCATTCAGAGTGTTCTTGATAAAAATCCTTGTGTGTGGACCAGCCCTATGCAATGGTTTGTGTTCTTTGCAATATAATGTGGGGAAATCGCACAGGCTTTGCTCCTTCTTGACCTTTGTGAGCCTCAATTTTCACAGCTATAAAATGGAGATAATCCTAAACCCTGTAAATTTGTCATGAGAATTAGAACCGACAGATGTACAGACTCAGCTCACTGCTTGGCAACACATCACTGGCACTAAGTAAAGAATGGCAGCTATTATATATATATTTTAGTCTTTGTGCTGTGTGAGAAAAACCACAAATTGGAACTAAAATCATTTAACGCCCTTTTTGCATGAAAATGTAGCTACTGACCCACCAACTATGGTATGCATTTTGAGTCATTTTGTTCCCCAGAAATGTGGACAGATTTTAGTTAATTTAGCCATATTCTCTCACCTGGTATCTTCTTTGAAAAAAATGGGTGGTCATGTAGGTCAGGAATACAGGCTGTGGTACTGCAGACTGGGTATAAATCAATAATGAACAACAATTGGCAGAGTTAATATTCAAACAGTATCCCATTTCCAGGAAACATCTGACATGTAAATGGTAAAGCCTTGTTACCCACAGTCAGTCTAAGGGCCAGCAGACTTGACATCATCTGGGAGTTTGTTATAAGGCAAATTGTGAGGCCCACCCCAGACCTACTGAATTGGAGTCTGCAGTTTAACAAGATTCCTATGTGATTCAAATGCACTTTACACTGTGAGAAGCATTGGTAAAGAATAGGCCACTAGCAGGGAAGATAAAATCACCAGGTGTACATGTAATTCAGGTGGGAGCTCTCAGTTGCACCTGTTTAATTAAAGCTGAGTAAAGCAAAACGATGGAGTCTAACTTCTACTGACAGACTGACATACACACATGCCACAAACATACACATGCATAGATCAGTAGTTCTCAACTGGAGGTGACTGCCCCCCAGGAGACATTTGGCAATGTCTGGAAACATTTTTAATTCACAACAAAGGGATGCTGCTAAACATCTTGTAGTGCACAAGATGATCTCCACAATGAACAAATTATCTGGCCCCAAATATCAACAGTGCTGAAGATGGAGAAACCCTGGCATAGATTATCCCTGTATAAAGGCACATAAACTGGAACTATTAATGGAAAAAGGAGTCATAATTTGACTACACAGCTCTTAGGGAATGAATTTTAGATCTGCAGAGTTCTGCACCTCAAGGTCTATGCTACTTTGAAGATCATAAAAACCTGGTTAAAAGCAATCAAAATCATTGATCTGCTTTGGCTAGCAAACCGAGAGTTCATGATAACCTGCATTAGCATATAATGCAAGTATCAATGCTAAATCCTGTACATATGCAAAGAAAAATAATGGAGACAGAAAATTAAGTTACTGTGTTGTCTAAAATCCATTCCTACTCAAAGTAGGAAGCAGGCTTAGGAGGCTCAACTCCACACCCTCCTCACCCTATACCTTCTTCAAGACCAAAAACTAGCCTCAAACTTCAACCTTCAAATGCTCCTGGATACAAGGCAAGAAATAACGATTTAGGGTGGACCATTCATCACTATCAGAAGTGCTAATTCCTTCAAATTCAGTAGCATAACCAGCTGTCTTTCCCTCTCTCTGACACACATGTACAACCACACAATGTGTAACAGCATTACACGCAAGCAACTGGCTCTGAAAAGATTCCATCAGGGCCTCCTGCTCTCAGTTCTCACTGGTTCCTTGTCCTGAGCTCCCAAGTTGATGGCTATGGGTATAGTTTTTTCTGCATATAAATTCTTGTTTACCTTCCCGACAGGCTTTACTAGACTAGACAGCTGACTGTCCTATGGTGCGCTCATGAGAGTGGCCCAAGAAAATAGCAGGTTATTGGAAAACAAGTAGTAAGGAAATGCTTAGAGAAAATGCATTCAAATAATCAGACAGAACTTGGGGAACAGATGGGGATGCCAACTAATTTACAAAAACCATGAAAAAGATGCTTATGTTTGCATCATGCTGAAAAATACGCAACATGCCCCAGGCTGAAAAATATGCATCATGCCTACTCCAAAAACACTGAACAAAATGGAAGCAACTGAATTTTTTTCTAAACCTTTTTTGCAGGTTACTGCACTGCACTCACTAATCACCATTCCCTTTTAATACTCTTTTAATTATACTGCAAAACAATCTTCCCTCCCTTATATCCTAAGAAAACACACCCCCTTCTCATAAAAATGACATAGCACATGCTATAATTTAATAAGTTGAAAATAAATATTTAAAAGCTTTTGTGAAACTGTTCTCTAATAAAACTGTAAGAACTGTGGTGTAGAGAGGGGAAAAATATTTCACTGTAATTATGCTCAAGGCATTGTCAAAACCATTACATCGAATGAATTCTAATGCTAAGGCAGGAGAAAGAAGCACTTTGCCAAAGTTTTTTTTAACTATTTCACCACCAAAGCAGTTTACCCATGGACTCTGCCACTGGGTTGAGAAGTCCCATGACCATTTGAGAAGAAGCTGCTATGCTTATCTTTTCAGGCTCTCATGTGTCTCAGATAGGGATGGGGCATGGCCAGAAACCATGGGCAAGCCTTTTGCCAAGACCTTGGATGAGATCATCATCAACGACACCCCAGCATCCTGCCTAGCATCTTCTGAATTTTATAAGCCACAGCCCTTGGGCCAGCCTCCTGTTAAGTTCTCAAAACAGAAAAAACTAAAAGTGGACTCCCACAAAAAAGATGCAGAATTCTTATACAATTATTTTCAACATGTTCCTCCTATGGAATGTAATTACAGAAAATTACAGAAAAGAGCAGATTAGAATCTCAAAAAGAAGGACTCAATTTCCAAGACGATGACCCTAAATTAGTTTCCTTTTAAAATGTTCTCTCAGCCGGCACGGTGGCTCACACCTGTTATCTCAGCACTTTGGGAGGCCGAGGCAGGTGGATCACAAGGTCAGGAGATCGAGACCATCCTGGCCAACATGGTGAAACCCTGTCTCTACTAAAAATACAAAAATTAGCTGGGCGTGGTGGTGCGTGCCTATAATCCCAGCTACTCGGGAGGCTGAGACAGGAGAATTGCTTGAACCAGGGAGTCAGAGGTTGCAGTGAGTCGAGATCGCCCCACTGCACTCCAGCCTGGCGACAGAGTGAGACTCAATTTCAAAAAATAAAATAAAATAAAATAAATAAAAAGTTCTCTCAAATCCTTACACAACTTTCAAAAAGTAAGTTCTGTGATAAGGATGATAGACATGCATTTGATAATTAACTCATTCCTAATAGAAAAGATACATTAAAGTTTTATGAATTCTCTATACCTATCAGAATGTAAGTAGTCATAACTTCATCCATGACAAGTCCTTTGGTTCAATTCCTTAGGGATTCCATTCTATTTTAGCTTCTGTATAACAGTACTGCAAAGCTGTAATTACATCCTCTATAATCAGCCCATTCGCAGTATAATTGAGAGTGCCACAAATTTAAAACTTTGACCTCACTACTTAAGTGGAAGAGATAGTTTATACTACATGTAAAATACCCTCCTGTTATGCTGACAAATTTAAAACATAAAAGAAGAAAATAGCATGTCATAGTAGTCATCATTTAAGAGGGAATTATTATGTTCCTGATAACAGAGTTTCTCTTCTGTCATGTCTAGCATCAGACTCTCATCAATAAGCACTTTCCTACCAAACCGCATGCTCTTCTCAAATGTTATGAAAACACCAAACCCATACAGATGTCTCTCAATTCTCCTCATTTAATTGCTATCCACTATGAGGATAAGATATATGTGAAGTAGTTCCTAGAATAATGTTGTGCTAGTGCAAACCAAGTTTTAATTGGCACAGAGGTCTATCAGTGAAGTGCATAACTTCTAAGCAATGTGACTAAATTTTTTCTTAACTAAGAATCAAGGACTTGAACATCAAACATTAATTGAACACTTTGGTTCAAGCAAGCCATTTGATAAATATAATAACCATATTAATAAAGACAGCAGCAACAACTAATACCAAATGCTTACCATGTGCCAGGACAATGAGAATCTTAGATGAATTACCGCATTTAATTTTCATAAAAAGCCCCTGAAGTAAATAAAATTATTGCCCCCATTTTTCATATGAGGAAATTGAGGCTCAGAGATGTTAAATAACTGCCCAGATCAATTAGTTGGTAAGAGTAGGGTCGGCCTTGAAGCCAGGTCTAACTGCATCATCTCAAGCTTGTGGCTATTTTCACAGCCTTCAGGCCAGACTGCCTACTAATTACATGTTACCCAAGCAATTTAAACTAAATATTCTTGCCCTTACTCTTTTACTAAGGCTCCTGGTGAAATGCAGCTGTTACTGATCAATGGTAGTCAAATAAAAAAGCAAGATAACTTTATCAAGATTTTCCTCTGTCATCAAATTCAGGAACTCTTTTGCATATTGTATATGAACTGACACAGCTCATATAATTACATAATTTCTAAATTACATATATATTTAAGTACATTCGATGAGTTACTAAAGCATCAATCACAAAATAAAATGCACTTTACATTTTTCAGATTAAAGAAGCTAATTGATCAAGAAATCAAGTCTCAGGAGGAGAAGGAGCAAGAAAAGGAGAAAAGGGTCACCACCCTGAAAGAGGAGCTGACCAAGCTGAAGTCTTTTGCTTTGATGGTGGTGGATGAACAGCAAAGGCTGACGGCACAGCTCACCCTTCAAAGACAGAAAATCCAAGAGCTGACCACAAATGCAAAGGAAACACATACCAAACTAGCCCTTGCTGAAGCCAGAGTTCAGGAGGAAGAGCAGAAGGCAACCAGACTAGAGAAGGAACTGCAAACGCAGACCACAAAGTTTCACCAAGACCAAGACACAATTATGGCGAAGCTCACCAATGAGGACAGTCAAAATCGCCAGCTTCAACAAAAGCTGGCAGCACTCAGCCGGCAGATTGATGAGTTAGAAGAGACAAACAGGTCTTTACGAAAAGCAGAAGAGGAGCTGCAAGATATAAAAGAAAAAATCAGTAAGGGAGAATATGGAAACGCTGGTATCATGGCTGAAGTGGAAGAGCTCAGGAAACGTGTGCTAGATATGGAAGGGAAAGATGAAGAGCTCATAAAAATGGAGGAGCAGTGCAGAGATCTCAATAAGAGGCTTGAAAGGGAGACGTTACAGAGTAAAGACTTTAAACTAGAGGTTGAAAAACTCAGTAAAAGAATTATGGCTCTGGAAAAGTTAGAAGACGCTTTCAACAAAAGCAAACAAGAATGCTACTCTCTGAAATGCAATTTAGAAAAAGAAAGGATGACCACAAAGCAGTTGTCTCAAGAACTGGAGAGTTTAAAAGTAAGGATCAAAGAGCTAGAAGCCATTGAAAGTCGGCTAGAAAAGACAGAATTCACTCTAAAAGAGGATTTAACTAAACTGAAAACATTAACTGTGATGTTTGTAGATGAACGGAAAACAATGAGTGAAAAATTAAAGAAAACTGAAGATAAATTACAAGCTGCTTCTTCTCAGCTTCAAGTGGAGCAAAATAAAGTAACAACAGTTACTGAGAAGTTAATTGAGGAAACTAAAAGGGCGCTCAAGTCCAAAACCGATGTAGAAGAAAAGATGTACAGCGTAACCAAGGAGAGAGATGATTTAAAAAACAAATTGAAAGCGGAAGAAGAGAAAGGAAATGATCTCCTGTCAAGAGTTAATATGTTGAAAAATAGGCTTCAATCATTGGAAGCAATTGAGAAAGATTTCCTAAAAAACAAATTAAATCAAGACTCTGGGAAATCCACAACAGCATTACACCAAGAAAACAATAAGATTAAGGAGCTCTCTCAAGAAGTGGAAAGACTGAAACTGAAGCTAAAGGACATGAAAGCCATTGAGGATGACCTCATGAAAACAGAAGATGAATATGAGACTCTAGAACGAAGGTATGCTAATGAACGAGACAAAGCTCAATTTTTATCTAAAGAGCTAGAACATGTTAAAATGGAACTTGCTAAGTACAAGTTAGCAGAAAAGACAGAGACCAGCCATGAACAATGGCTTTTCAAAAGGCTTCAAGAAGAAGAAGCTAAGTCAGGGCACCTCTCAAGAGAAGTGGATGCATTAAAAGAGAAAATTCATGAATACATGGCAACTGAAGACCTAATATGTCACCTCCAGGGAGATCACTCAGTCCTGCAAAAAAAACTAAATCAACAAGAAAACAGGAACAGAGATTTAGGAAGAGAGATTGAAAACCTCACTAAGGAGTTAGAGAGGTACCGGCATTTCAGTAAGAGCCTCAGGCCTAGTCTCAATGGAAGAAGAATTTCCGATCCTCAAGTATTTTCTAAAGAAGTTCAGACAGAAGCAGTAGACAATGAACCACCTGATTACAAGAGCCTCATTCCTCTGGAACGTGCAGTCATCAATGGTCAGTTATATGAGGAGAGTGAGAATCAAGACGAGGACCCTAATGATGAGGGATCTGTGCTGTCCTTCAAATGCAGCCAGTCTACTCCATGTCCTGTTAACAGAAAGCTATGGATTCCCTGGATGAAATCCAAGGAGGGCCATCTTCAGAATGGAAAAATGCAAACTAAACCCAATGCCAACTTTGTGCAACCTGGAGATCTAGTCCTAAGCCACACACCTGGGCAGCCACTTCATATAAAGGTTACTCCAGACCATGTACAAAACACAGCCACTCTTGAAATCACAAGTCCAACCACAGAGAGTCCTCACTCTTACACGAGTACTGCAGTGATACCGAACTGTGGCACGCCAAAGCAAAGGATAACCATCCTCCAAAACGCCTCCATAACACCAGTAAAGTCCAAAACCTCTACCGAAGACCTCATGAATTTAGAACAAGGCATGTCCCCAATTACCATGGCAACCTTTGCCAGAGCACAGACCCCAGAGTCTTGTGGTTCTCTAACTCCAGAAAGGACAATGTCCCCTATTCAGGTTTTGGCTGTGACTGGTTCAGCTAGCTCTCCTGAGCAGGGACGCTCCCCAGAACCAACAGAAATCAGTGCCAAGCATGCGATATTCAGAGTCTCCCCAGACCGGCAGTCATCATGGCAGTTTCAGCGTTCAAACAGCAATAGCTCAAGTGTGATAACTACTGAGGATAATAAAATCCACATTCACTTAGGAAGTCCTTACATGCAAGCTGTAGCCAGCCCTGTGAGACCTGCCAGCCCTTCAGCACCACTGCAGGATAACCGAACTCAAGGCTTAATTAACGGGGCACTAAACAAAACAACCAATAAAGTCACCAGCAGTATTACTATCACACCAACAGCCACACCTCTTCCTCGACAATCACAAATTACAGTAAGTAATATATATAACTGACCACGCTCACCCTCATCCAGTCCATACTGATATTTTTGCAAGGAACTCAATCCTTTTTTAATCATCCCTCCATATCCCCCAAGACTGACTGAACTCGTACTTTGGGAAGGTTTGTGCATGAACTATACAAGAGTATCTGAAACTAACTGTTGCCTGCATAGTCATATCGAGTGTGCACTTACTGTATATCTTTTCATTTACATACTTGTATGGAAAATATTTAGTCTGCACTTGTATAAATACATCTTTATGTATTTCATTTTCCATAACTCACTTTAATTTGACTGCAACTTGTCTTGGTGAAATACTTTAACATTATAAAACAGTAAATAATTTGTTATTTTTACCATTGCTTGCTGAATTTTCTTTTGGTCATTCTGTGTTATATTTCTGCATGTACAATAGAATTTTGTCTTTTGCTTATAGTCTCTATTAATTCTTCCTTAAAAACAAACAGGACCTATGTCCCATTTATGGTCAACTTCTAATCACATATTAGAGGAGAGAAAAGTGGTTCAAATAAATAAAAATTACATCTCTTTGATTTCAAAGTGAACTATAAGATCTTTCAGAAGCAAACATAACTTCATGCTTGGGATATATTTCAGTATCTCTAAGAGCCCAGCACAGTGCTTAGACTACATTAGGAACTTAAATGTTTATAATAATGAAATAAAATACTACCGAATAATTTTGGTTTTCATGAGCACATAGAAGCAGATGATAAAATTAAAAAGCTCTGACATGTGATAGGAAGCCAGAGAAAGTACATTTGGAAATATAGTTACATTGACAAATCAAGAGTTGACTGTATTTCTACCAGAGATCAAACCTCCCATAGAACATGTATGTCTACAACCAAATCTGGAACCAGCCACTGTGACATAAACTCTTGAACACTCTACTTCAAAGCAAAAAAAAAAAAAGAAAATGTCATTCTTGTTTCTTTTTCCTATGGGGTTCCCAAAACAGTTTGAATTACTTAATGTAGGTGCTACCTACCCTGTTCATAAGGGGCCTGCATTCAAAAGCTTACAGTTTTTTTTTTTGTTTTAACCTCTTACAGTTTTTTTTAAACAAGCAAATAAAAGCCAAAGATAGTTATGAACATAAGCTATAGAAAAGGCATATTTAAAAAATACAGTATGTTAGTTGAAAGAAGTAATATAGTGTGAATTTCTTCTGTGATTATTATGCCATTTACAATATAGATGAGAATAACTCAGCCGAATCCTCCTAGAAATTCTGATATCTGCCTCATGGGAGTCCCTGGGGATAATCCATACTTCTGAGCAGAGAACAACAGCTTTCAGGGAACATTTAAATTACAAGTATGGTCCCCAAGTCACATTCCAAAACGACGATTTCAGACAAAGTAGCTTATTGCCATTTCCCTTTTTCTAACCTCATAATTGTTAATTTAGTGTGGTTAATTTTATTGCCAGTTATTGATTTTAAATACAATTCATTTAGACATCCAGGCAAACTGTGAAGATCTTTAAGAATAAAAGGAAGCTTTCACAATTATCCTCCTTTCCCCTACAAAATCAATTTCATGATAGTAAAGCGAGGATTTGTTGACAGAAACACTTCCATGGTGACGAACTGCAACACCAACGCTATGGGCTTGCATCATCATTAAATAAATTTGGATGAAAGCTGAGGCTGCTGATGAATGAGAAAGCTTCTGTTTAAACACATTTATCTTAGGAATCAACAGTGACCCAACTGTATTACAAAATACATGATGGTCTAAATGTTTATTAAAACTGTTTTTAAGTCACCTTGGGCCAGAACTCTAGAAGGAATGGCAAACTTAATTTTAGCTCTTTCAAAACAGACAATGATAATGCTGCTGCTTCATGAGATCTTTTTCTAGTTACTGAGAGTGGGTACATGTAATATTTTGGAAGGCATCGATCAACTGATCATAAAATTATGAACAATGGAAATCAGAATTTAAGAACAAAGTCTTCCCAACTTTGTCACATAATGGCATAAACAAAACACATGCTTGTGTGGCACTGGGGGAAACAGATAAAGAGGCAGAGATAACCAGCCAAGGGATTCCCATCACCCCAGGTTCCTCTTGGCTGTCCCAAGTGCTGGTGGGGGACGGGGGGAGGGAAGAAATCCATTCTTGGCACACTTGTAACTAATAGAGTTTGGGAGCCAAATTTGGGCTATTCATCAGCCCACCCATTTTGAAAGGATTCAATTTCTTATGTGAGCTACAGAAATTCTCTATAATAAAGTTAACACCATAAGTCTTGTGTTCTATTATGATAATGCACAAATTCTCATTTAATCATTTGTTCCAGATTTTAACTATATAGAGGCTTCCTAAGTAGTTAATCTAACATAACTGGAAATTTACCAAACTTTCAAGGAATACCTCTTTTAGAAGTACCTCTACTGGGAGGATTCCTTCAGTATAATAATTTGTATCAGCATCAAAATAAATTTTAGGAGACAGATTAATAACGTGTAGATTATTACAAGTGTTACTAATTAAAGTTCATAAAGGCAGCATAATTTCTGCAAAACATCTTTTTTTCTATAGAATTACACCTAAAATGACACAATGTAGATTTCTGGCCTTTAATTTTGAAAAGATTTCTTATATTTTTTTGTGTGCGTGTGAGAGAGGAGAGAGAGAAAGAGATTGGAAGATTACAGAACTTCCTTTTTCATTGACAGATAATCATAGAACTCCCCCAAAAACCAGGAAGGAAAGAGGAAGTGACACTGGAAAATCTTCAGAAATCTTCATATGAAATATGTGGGGGTGGAGGGTTGTATTCTTTGGTCCATGAGGGCTCACAGAAGATAGACTGTTTTTTCGTCTCTCTGAAAAACTCATACCATTCTTTCATTGGTCTAAGTCCTCGCTTCAGAACGAAGTTTCATTTTACTCACATTCCCACTATCTCTTTAACTCTTTAAAAGGTAGAATCCTATCACAGATTCGAATGATTTTATCATGTTTTTTCTATTTAAAAGCAATGGCAAAACTTTCCCCAGGAGGATGCCACTGCTCTCTAGGGGCACTGACAAAAATAAAATTGTCATCCTTACTAGAAGGACATTGTGCATTACTACACTTGAATCTGTACACATAAGAAAGAATCTTGATACTTGTTCAATCAAGATCATGATAAAATTACATACACTCTTTGTAAGGTCTCCACAACTATATTTTACAATGCTAAGACATTAGGCTTGGGGTCTTCATGACACCAGTTTTATTAGTCCATTTTTATACTGCTATAAAGAATACCTGAGACTGGGTAATTTATCAAGAAGAAAGGTTTTATTGACTCACCATTCCTCATGGCTGGGGGAGGCCTCAGGAAACTTACAATCATGGCAGGAGGCAAAGAAAAGCTAAGGCACATCTCACCTGGCAGCAAGAGAGCGAGAGAGTGCACAGGGGAAACTGCCACTTTTAAACCATCAGGTCTCATGAGAACTCCCTCAGTATCACAAGAACAGCAGGGGAAACCACCCCACGATCCAAACGGGGATTTCAGTTAGGAGATTTGGGTGAGGACACAGAGCTAAACCACATACATAACCCATAAAGGATAAAATTAGGGGAGCTGTGAGATGGTCATAGAAGGGATATTTTATCAAAAATTTTAGAGATTTGTAGTCTAAGGATTCTATGGTCTTTACTGGTTGAAGTAAAACTCCCAATAAAAACGTTTTAGTAGCTTCTTTGATTCTGAATATTTACAAAGTGAGTCTCCTTTGAAATATGTTAGACAAAGGCAGGGAAAGACCTTTAAATTAACCAACACTCTAGCTTTTTCCTATACCCTGGTTTCTGTTATTAAGATTTTTTTCCTCCAAATAATCATTTTGCTTTGTAATCCCAAGAGAAAAGATAGGCAAAAATGCATGCCCCAAAACTCTTATAGATCAGCGTATCTCAGAGTAAAATCCAAGATACCTGTGTGAGAATCCCCTGATATTAAGTTCCACTCAGAGCTATCCAATGAGAACCTCTGGGGGCGTAGGGCCCAGAAAGCTGCATTTTAACAAACTCTTCTGCTGGTTAATTGTGCCCTAAAACGGTACTTCAAATTTTGATCTTTTTCTGGGCTAGCAATATGCTGTAAGATACTCTCTCCCAGTGCTGGGTAGTGGCAGTGAGCCACAGCTCCCAGTCAGCCACACAATCATGAGGGTAAACAACCGATACTGTACAGCAGCAGTTCCCAATTTGGCACAAGGGACTGTTTTCATGGAAGACAATTTTTCCATGGGCGGGGGGTTGGGGGGATGGTTTCAGGATGAAACTGTCCACTCAGATCATTAGGCATTAGCTAGAGTCTCATAAAGAGTGCTCAGCCTAGACCCCTCGCATGTGCAGTTCACAATAGGGTTCGTGCTCCTATGAGAATCTAATGCCACTGCTGATCTGACAGGAGGCAGAGCTCAGGCAGTAATGCTCGCTTGCCTGCCACTCACCTTCTGCTTGCCGCTCGGCTCCTAACAAGCCATGGACTGCTACCAGTCCGTGGCCCAGGGTTTAGAGGCCCCTGCTCTACAGTGTGCTGTGTTGCTAGACAATTTTGCCCAATTGTAGATTTATGTAAGTGTTCTCTGAGCATGTTTAAGGTGGGCTAGGCAAAGCCATGATATTCAGTAGGTTAGGTGTATTAAACATATTTTCAACTTTTAATATTTTCAACTCACAGTGGGTTTATGTGGTTCTAACCCCATCATAAGTCAAAAAGCATCTGTATTGACAAGCACTGGCAAATGTATTCTGACCATAGTCCCTCTCTTTAAATTACATCTGTAGTAGGAAATGTGGCTATTCTACCCTCTAGTGGCTGGCATGACAAACAGAAGGTTTATTCTCCAAGTTTTCTTTTTATTTAAAAGGAAAGCTCAATAAAAACTTCCATTTTATTGGGTGGGAAGATTCCCGGTTTTATAACTGTAGCAAAGCATAGATGCCTAAATCTTTGGCTGAGCTAAAGTAGGCTGTCTGACACCTACAAGGTCTGTTTCTCTCTCAATCCCAGGCCCTCAACTTAAATCTGTAGCATTTCTTGGGAAGGGTCCAGAACACACATTAAATAAGGCAGTTAGATGAACCAAAACAAAGGACTCCATTCAACTTATGGCACAGTGAAGCAAATACAAGAAAGAGCAAGGAAGACAAGTAGTTTACTAAGGTTCTCAAACCTTAAACCCCATTTAAATTCATTTTACTTAAACTTCAAGCCCTTTCCTTTCCAGCAGATGGACCCTTTCCATTCCTCAAGGTACATCAAGAAGGGTAAGGCTTTTGGGCAGTCAATATATCAGAGCAGCCATCCCCCAAAGGCAATGCTGTAGGGTAAGGAATCTTGAGGGAGTCTAGCGAGTTAACTGGCCAACACCTCTAAGTACTTCATAATTTGATAATGAATTAACACCATTTACATGGGAGCACTTACAAATCTGTCAACATTCCATCAGGTACCAGGTTTTACAGTTAGAATGCCACCATAAAAATGTATTCAGGAATAACCTTTGGCATTGCAGTCAGCCATTCCAGGGATAATCACTTTTATTTGTGGCATCATTTAAAATTTCATTGTCAAAATTGTTGATCAAGAGAAATAAAACTTATCTTATTATTTGAGGCAATATTTTGAAAAACTGAAACTAGTTTTCTTATTTTAGTGAGTTCTTCTTCCTCCTCATAGCCAAATGGTCCTGGTATGATATTTGAGGGGTTACCTGAGACCATCTTTTTTTTTTTTTTTTGGCCTGTTTTAATTTATTTATTTCAATAGGTTTTTGGGGAACAAGTGGTGTTTGGTTACATGAATAAGTTCTTTAGTGCTGACTTCTGAGATTCTGGTGCAACCATCACTCGAGCAGTGTACACTGTACCCAATGTGTAGTCTTTTATCCCTTACACCCCTCCCACTCTTTCCCCTGAGTCCCCAGAGTGCACTGTATCATTCTTATGCCTCTGTGTCCTCATAGCTTAGCTCCTCCTTATGAGTGAGAACATACAATGTTTGGTTTTCCATTCCTGAGTTACTTCACTTAGAACAATAGTCTCCAATTCCATCCAGGTTGCTACGAATGCCATTATTTCATTCCTTTTCATGGCCGAGTAGTATTCCATGGTGTATATATACCACATTTTCTTTATCCGCTCATTGACTGATGGACATTTGAGCTGGTTCCATATTTTTGCAATTGCGAATTGTGCTGCCATAAACACACTTATATGCAAGTATCTTTTTCATATAATGACTTCTTTTCCTCTGGGCAGATACCCAGGAGTGGGACTGCTGGATCAAATGATAGATCTACTTTTAGTTCTTTAAGGAATCTCCACACTGTTTTCCATGCTCGTACTAGTTTACATTCTCACCAACAGTGTAAAAGTGTTCCCCTTTCACCACATCCACACCAACATCTATTATTTTTTAATTTTTTTGATTATGGCCATTCTTGCAGGAGTAAGGTGGTATTGCACTGTGGTTTTGATTTGCATTTCCCTGATAATTAGTGATGTTGAGCATTTTTTTATATGTGTGTTTGCCATTTGTATATCTTCTTTTGAGAATTGTCTATTCATGTCCTTAGCCCATTTTTATGATGGGATTGCGCCTGTTTTGTTCAGCTCTTTAAAGGCTAGCCATATTTGGACAACTACAATATACAAATATAAGCCCTACAGACCTACAAAGCCTACCTCGTCCTCAGCCATTCCTGAGGCTTTTGGATAGGTGGAGGTGAGGTTACTAATGAATATTCATGCCTGTGGTGGTTACAAGCTAATACAGAGGGAATTGAGACTTCCGAGAGAGGACCTTTTAGAAAGGTCTAAACAATAGAGGGAGTTATCTGCTGTTCCGGCAAAAGGCAAAGGTGGTTGGTTATCTACATTATTTTTCTGCCACAGGCATAGTAGAAATGGAAAGCTCCAGTTTATCTGAAAACTCTAGTTTATAATTTGATATATTTGAAAGAAACAAAGGTACAATGTATTAACACAAATATAATTGTTCAAATGTACATATACTCTGGGCCAATCTGTCAATCAAGTGAGTGGAAACGATCCTTATGCAACCAAACTTGTGTCTCAGTGACATGCGCAGTGTCTTAGTATGCAATATGTTTTCTTCAAAGCATCACATGTACACAATCGATCAATCCACTGATCATGACACATTAAACTGTGTACCTCTTACTTGCCACTGGGGCAGATATTATGGAGATGAAAGATTCACTGCCCTTGAAGAGCTTATTAACCTGGGCAAAGAAATGAAACAAGAGTATCAGACAACATTTAATCAAGTGGGAAACTGTCAATCTCTACCAATAAACTGGAGATTAAGGAAGACCACAGTAGATTAACAAAGCCTCAGTTAAGTGAAAAGATTGGGGGAAGGAGCACTGGAGGCAGGCAAATAGATCAGGTTCTAGTTTATGCCTTTTCTAGTCAGCTGTGAGGCCCTGGACAAGTCATTTAACCTTTGTGAAATAAGCGAATTGAACTTGGTGATCTTTAAGATCACATCTGGTTCTAACTTCCAATGACTTCTGAATTTGAAGTCTTGCCACCCTCCTTAAATCATTTAAAATTCCTTTTGGGAAATAAAGTTGGAGCATAAATAAGCCAACAACCTGCATGAGTTTCTTTCCTCCAGAAATTAAACTTCTTCCTCATTTTTCCACTTACAGATGTCAAAACTACTAGATGTTTCCTTCTCTAAGATTCTATGAATTGGCTGGGCATGGTAGCTCATGCCTGTAATCCCAGCACTTTGGGAGGCCAAAGCGGGCAGATCATGAGGTCAGGAGTTCAAGACCAGCCTGGCCAACATGGTGAAATCCCATCTCTACTAAAAATACAAAAATTAGCCGGGCATGGTGGTGGGCACCTGTAATCCCAGCTACTTGGGAGGCTGAGGCAGGAGAATCGCTTCAACCCGGGAGGCAGAGGTTGCAGTGATCTGAGATCACGCCACTGCACTCCAGCCTGGGCGACAGAGCAAGGCTGTCTCAAAAAAAAAAAAAAAAAAAAAAGATTCTACGAATTAATTTCTTTTACCCCTAATCCTATCAGCTTTTTCTCCCCATTATTCTTTCAACTTTAGGACTATTAATGGTTTTGGCCTGGTAACTCTTTGTTGTGGGGAAGAAAGAGGTGTTCATGCACTGTATAATGTTTAGGAGCATCCCTGGCTTCTACTTACACACCATGTAGCATCCCCCAACTGTGACAATAATATCTCCAGACATGGCTAAATATTCCCTGAAGGGCAAAATCGCCCTCTGGTTAAAAATCACCACATTAAAGAGATGGACCAAGTGACTCTATAAGAGTTCCACTCTTATATAACACTGTGGGAAAAATCTGACAACTCATATGAAAACTCTTATGTCTGGTGTCTAGAGATGAGAACCTTGAATCTGATGAAACATAAGCCTCAAAGCAACTTTAAAAACCTATACTGAAGAGTTTTGTTGCATAATTGTTTCCACTTACTTGACAGACTGGCTGAGAGCATGTTCATACTTGAACATCTATATTTGTATTATTACAGTATTTTATACTTCTGTCTCTTTCAAAGATACCTGAATTCTAAACTAGAATTTTCAGGTCAACTAGAGCTTTCCATTTTTCATGTGCCCTTGGGAGAAATAAGAGTCTAGAAACCAACCACCTTGGCTTTAAATGGAGTCGGGGGAGAAGGGAATTGGTTTTCAGCAGGAATCCCAAGAATTGAAGAGATAACTCTCTACTGTTTAGACCTTTCTAAAAGGTCCTCTCTGAGAAGCTGCAATTCCCTGTGTATTATTAGCTTATAACCACCACAGGCATGAATGTCTTCTATTAGGATACAGGCTTCCTTCATTCCTCAACCAATCACCTACAAGAATGAACCAACAAATATTTATGAAGCATGCAATATTGCTCATTATTGTGCCAGGCAGCTATGCAGATGTTAAAGTTTGGAATAAAAGGTGGGAGTTAAGGGGTAGCTTAAAAGGTAACTAAGAGCTCAACACAGAGAAGGAACTATATAGACAGTAAGTACTACAGGATTTTAGAGGAAGAGCAGGTTACTTTCAGGTGGGATTTGGGGATCAGGCTTCAGAAACAGATGAGAATTGAGCAGGGGATACAGGATGGGGAAGACTAGGATATAGAGAAAAAAGAAAGGTGCTCCAAAGAGGTGCCCACAAGGTAAAGGTGTGGGGGCAGGCAGGAGGGCAGATAATCAACATTCAAGGAACAGTGAGCAGTGCAATGTGGATGAAGTTGAGATGGTTGGGGCAGGGTAAGGCTTAAAGGGCAAAGACCTGTTGATTGTGAAGAACCATGAATACAGCACTAGGGAGTCTCTGTGTCTTCACAGAAGGTTTCTGCATAGTGAGGTAACATAAAAGAGAGGGCAAAAAACAAATCCATTATACAATATTATTTTATTTTACAACAACCCTAGAAAGTGGGTATTATGACAACTTTAGGGATAAGTAGATTAAAACTCTGACATATAAGGAAAGCTGTTCCAGGTCATTCTGTTAGTATGTCACAAAACTGAGGAGTGAAAACAGGTCTGATTCTGTTGCCCCATTCTCTTTCCGTGGCAACACACTGAGTTGCAAGGGGTTTTAAATTCATTATAAGTTGAATTTGATCCTTTCCACAATCTGTGGTGACAGACAGATTGTCTAATGTTACCTCCTTGTGCTCCACCTCACAGATCTGCCACTTCAGCCAGAACACTCAGAATGTCCCTAAACATATGCAGGGCTTTCTCCTCCCCACTTCTCTACATGGACACAATTTTCATCTCTTGTCAAGTGAAGTAAGACCCACACTGAAGGGTCTGTATCAATGCTCGCCTCTTCTGAAACCTCCCATGATCACCATAGCCAAGAGTGATTTGCCTCTCCTTCCAACTCCACCTGCTTCCCTGAAGCCACTGTTAGGGTGACAAGAGATAATGAATGTGAGAAGCCAAGCCCCACACAAATGGGCAGGCACGGGGAAGACTGACCTGGGATAGGAGATGTGAGAAAGCAAGTCCAAAGAGAAGCTCATGTTCTCATTAGGAGACTGTTCTCAGAACACAAAAGGTGCAGTCAGTGTCCACTTTATCCTAAGGTAAGATTCTATAAGCAAAGGGCACAAATGCCAAGCATGAAGAATGAGCTTGGACAGGCAATCAATATGTGCAGAGCAGGAGGTACCTGATTAGCCTCAGAGATGATGGGATAGAAAAGCATCAGAAGTGAGTGAAAATGATTCACGGAAGGAACATCACAACCATGCACATCTGAGCTTATAAGTAGGTGGCTGCCTTGACAGTTATGATAATGACCCAAGACTTTCAGAAAAGGCAATCAAGGGATCAAGGTCCAGCCACTATAAAGACAAGCACCACCAACTTAGGCCACATTTGGTGTGATTCTGCCTTTGCAGAAACAGAAAATTTTCCCAGATGGTACACTCTAAATCTGGATTTCTATTTCTCAAGGAACACTGTAACTTAATAAGACTGGCACTCCCAAAATCATTTTTTAGAAATAATCACTATGTATCTTCCCAGGTCAGAAGGAGAAGTGTTGGGGTTCAACCCTGTCAGTCTCCAAATTCAGGAGTACAAAACTGTAAACCAAGGAAGCATCCCAAGTAAAAACTGCCACTGCAAAGGAAAGTTGTCAAGTTGGCTCCTATGTCTCCCCTCACAATACAATAATCTGCATCAACACAGACACTCTTCAAACAACTCAAAGTAATTCCTCAAAAATGCATTATTATCCTTTACAATTAGTGGTTTGGCTGTTTTTTTTTTTTCTCTCTTCTCTTTAACTAGAAAAAGCTATTCTTCTTCTATTCTTATGCCTTTTCATGGTGTTCTTGCCTGAATTCACTGTGCCTGAGATCAGTCACTTTTGAAGCCTCAGAAAACCACTGTTTTATATAAACAGGAGCTAACTAAAAACTGCAAGAGGTCCTCAAAAGTTCCATAACACAAGAGGCAGATAGTTATTCCTTTAGGGCAACAGGGAGGGAATCAGTGAGTACGGATCATGCTGAGAAGAACAGCTCTCATAGTAATTTATATAAGCAGCCCATTTATTTCATATGAAATTTCCTGATTATAAGAGTATGTATTAATTACAGAAACTGAAAAATATAAATGCTTCTGAGGCTGCTGATTATAGCTTCTAAGGACAATGAGAAGACTAGGGAGAACAATGGACGATTATTACTATTTTTTTAGGCCAAACCTATCAAATATGGTCCTATTCCAGGTTTTTCTCAGACTGCCAATAAGGAAGGAAATACGCTTTAGGGAGGCTATCCTGTCCTTACTGCATGGCTCTGTGCCACAAAGTGGCAAACCTTTCTGCGAGTACAAGTTTATGTAATTTGTCTGATTGGTTCAGACACAATGGCTGAGGGGCCAGCCAGGTTACTGGAAGAGAGGTGCAGGATTTCCTTTCCCCTAGCAAGCCAATCACTCCCTGGATAGTGGTTCAATCACTATGTACTGTTCAAGTAATGGGAATAAATGCCTCCTTAGGTGGCTGTTCTCAGAACTAGTTATATTCTTATCATTAAGATAGAGTGGCCTTGTGCAGAGGATGTGGGCACATGGTAGGGTCCCACAAAATTCATCTCAGGCTCTGGGAAAGGGATGTAGAAGTACCTATGGTGGGAGAAGAAAAGAGCGGCAGTTGAGTGGGAATTACATTTTTCTCTCTGGCTGTCTCAGGCACTTGAGTAGTATCAACAATTTCTCTACCACGATCCTCAAAGCAACATCTCCAAAATTTCAACTCTACCAAACAGTTCCACATGGAAGGCCCAACTATACACTTCAAACTTAGCATGCGCCCATAACCCAATATACTATCTTTCTTGAACTGCTCTTTGTCTCGCCTCTATTGATGGTCCATCACCTTCCCCACTGCTCAGGTTCAACATCTGGGAACTATTCTCCACTTCTCTGCTCATCCTCCACTCTGTCATATTATTTCTTTCTCTGTCCTCCCCACTTATTTGTACTACTACTCCCCAAGCCCAGAATTTAGGACAGATGGTACTGTAAGATAGTTAATCTACTACACTTAAATCCTCACCTCTATAATCCAGCCTTAAATACCATTCTGATCACAGCAATTCTCCAGCCTCCCAGAAAACAGCACTTAAAATTGCTTAGTGCCCAAAGTCCAAACCTTCTACCATGGCCTTCATCTTTCGTTTCATCTCCCTTTGAAACTCTGGACATACCCTCACATCTTCACCAGGACACCATACTAACTATCCTCCCACATACTACTGGGCCTTCTTACCTTTGATCATGCTGTTTGTAGGGCTGAAATACTCTTCTTCCTTTGTTCCTCATACTAAAATCCTACTCATCCCTCATGTGTCACTTCCTCTGGAAAACCTTCCTTACTTTTTAGTTTTCCACTGAGTTTCCAAAACTGCTGTCTGTAATTCTATTATTGCACGTCATTCTACCTCATAATTATTTGTTACCCCTCCTATGCTATCATCTCAAAAGCAAGAATCAGCTATCATTTATTTTTGAACTCCTTATATCAATGTTTCTTAAAATGCAGTCATTGACCACCTTCATCAGAATCACATATGACTTTGCAGAGTTTCACATTCCCAGACCTATTAATTCCCACTGCAGGGATTCTGCATCCTAACAGGCTCTCTGGGCATATAAAATTTAAGAACCATGGTCCTATTCTACCCAGGACTTAAATAGTGCTCATAGTAGGTGCTCAACAAAAGCTCATATGGCTAATAAAGGCACCTGGTAGCCATAGCTGGCCTGCATTTGTCCTTTTCACAGAATCACAGAATGTCAAAGCCAAAGGACTTTACAGGTGATCTAAAAGAACTACTGCATTTTTCAAACAAAAGACATGAAAACAGGAAAGAACAGATAATGTCTCTGGGTGAACTCTAAAAAAGAAAGATTCACAAGGACCAGACAAAGTAGCATAAGGAGGATAAAGGACATGTGAGTGGGCCTTTTCTGGGTCAAAGGTGATTAGAAGTATAGCCCAGGAATCAGTGCTGCTTATTCAGCTGCCTTAACTCCCACCCTTAGCAACATATTGCCTATAAATAATTGGAGAGAGAGGAAAGTTGAGAGATAAAGCAGGAAAACAAGAAAGGTAAAACAATCAAAGAAGTTAGGATTATGACCAAGAAATAGGCATCTTAAGAAGTGATATAAGGAAAAAGACAAAGATGATGCTGATGATGATCACAACAGGAACACCTAACACCCGAAACTTTAGATGGGCCAGGGACTTTATTACACAATATCTCTACTCCCCAAAGAAAACTTACAAGTAGGTATTTCAATCCCCAGATGAAGATTACAAAAGAGGAAACTGAGGTTTACATGGGTAAAGTGTTTGCTCAAAGAGACACAGCTAGTTAGTGCCAAAACTAGAATGAAGACCCAAGACTGGCTCCACGGCTTGTGCTCTAGATACTACCCAAAGGCTGTTATAAGATGTAAGCCTGAGAATGACTAAAACAATTAAGTGGGTGCAAATGAAGAAATGAGAAAGACACAGGAGAGGGGAGGGAGGAAAGGGTACAAAAAAAGAAAAGCTGAGTAAAAGGAAAAAAGTTCACAGATGGATAAAAAGAGAACAAATGAGGAAGACAAGTATTTAAGGTTAGTATATTTTATTTTAACAAAGTATTGCTACATCTGATGCTTGGTCTGACACAAAGTGGGGGCAACTGGGTTTGGAGCGATTTTGAAAACTTTATTTCAATGTTTATTCTTGGATTGCCCCCACTGCTGACTGTATAATTTCCACAGAAAGAGAGATTGAGAGGTGACTAGGTACAACCACAAACCATGATACATTACAGAATAAAGGCACCTATTTACTCTAACCTTTGCATCAGATATTGGACAACTCTTTAATATAAGCCATAGAAGTAGAACACTATTCAAAACCAAATGATCTCTCATAGGAGGTTAATGAGAATGAGCTAATAAAATCAAACAGCTTTCCTTTGAAAGACCCTTTCCTGTATAAAGCGTAAAACTTGTAGTGATAAAGTTTCATTGTTTAATAGGGGAGCTCTGAGAAAAATCAAGAGAAAAAAGCCAAAGCATCATTATGAAATTTTGGGCTAGCTGCCAGATTCATTATCTCTTATTTCCATTCCACCACTCCCCATAAATTAGCAGTGATTTGTCAAACAATATAAAAGACAAAAGAAAAGAAGGCAATAATATTTCAAATATATTTTTCTTCAGTTTAGCATTTCCTTCTTTTCATCACCATATCCATCATCATTGCTTATATACTTTCCCATTAAACACTGAGATAAAAACAAAACTACAAAAACACTGTCAATTCTGATAACACATGGCCTTGGCCAAGCATTCCACAGCTAAGTCCCCAAGGGAGTGAGCAGCCCTGAATCCAACCACCGTCCCACACCACCTCAATTACCACATATCAAAATGACCAGAGGTCTCTGGGAGTCTTCAACTTCTCAACCTCTAGAGCTAAGGTGTGATGCAGTCCCTGGAGTCAGGACCGCTCCTGAGAAAACACTGCTTTCTTACACAACACGTTGTCAATACAGATCAAAAAGTTCAAAGCACTTACAAAATTAATTTCCTTTAGAGAAAAGGAAACATCCTGACTCCAGCTGTCTGAGATCTGATAGTTTCTCCATAAATGCTGATTTTGTTCTGGTATATTTGTGCTCCATGATAAAGTGGAAGAACAAAAGAGTCATGTAGAAATTGGGCTATAGAACTGAGACTTTGAATACAACTGAAAACACTTCACCTTTCCATACTTCTTTTGCTCATTATGACTCAATGCCTTCTAATAACTCACTGTAACCAGGGAGTCTTCTAGATTGCTAGGTTTCTTTTGAGAATCTATGGATAAAACAAACCAACACTTTTAGAATTTAATATATTCCACAAATTTACTCCTCTTCTTTCTACTGCTCCCTAGGTGGAACCACTTCTTCTGCCTCATTGAACTCAACATCCTTCAGACTTTTAAGGCATTCCAAATCCCAGTCTTCATGTTGAACTGGGTTAAGCATTTATTAAAAAATCGTTTTCTTCTATGAATGAGCTTTCCAACTTGCTTAATCTCCTCCAAGACATCTGCTCTTTGATGAAACCCAGGAGCCTCCAACTCTGAGTAGAACATTCACTGTGTGGTCTTAAAAGAGCCATATGCATGTATTTCTCTTGCAATATGCATTCCAAATTTGGACAAAACTTTCTTGGAGCTATTTGACATAACGCTCTATAAAAATGATCCAAGAGATGACACATTTTAATGCTCCATACCTCATTTACTGAAACATGTCCAAGGATAAGTCATACAAGAAAAAAAAAAAAAACAACTTTTTTTTTTTTTTTTTTGAGACAGAGTCTTGCTCTGTGGCCCAGGCTGGAGTGCAATGCTATGATCTCGGCTCACTGCAACCTCCGCCTCGTGGGTTCAAGCGATTCTCCTGCCTTAGCCTCCAAGTAGCTGGGATTACAGGAGTGCGCCACGACGCCCGGCTGTTTTGTATTTTCAGTAGAGACAGGGTTTCACCGTGTTGGCCAGGCTGGTCTCGAACTCCTGACCTCAAGTGATCCGCCCGCCTCAGCCTCGCAAAGTGCTGGGATTACAGGTATGAGCCACTGCGCTAGGCCTTTTTTTTTTTTTTTTTAAAGATTTGGGAATGGCTGGGCGCAGTGGCTCACACCTGTAATCCCAGCACTTTGGGAGGCCAAGGCGGGCGGATCATGAGGTCAGGAGATCGAGATCATCCTGGCTAACACAGTGAAACCCCGTCTCTACTAAAAATACAAAAAATTAGCCGGGCGTGGTGGCGGTCGCCTGTGGTCCCAGCTACTGGGGAGGCTGAGGCAGGAGAATGGCGGGAGCCCGGGAGGCGGAGCTTGCAGTGAGCCGATATCGCGCCACTGCACTCCAGTCTGGGTGATACAGCGAGACTCCGTCTCAAAAAAAAAAAAAAAAAGATTTAGGAATGACAATTGGGGTTGTTCTGATAAAATAACAAGCCTTTGCTGCCATCTAGAGGTAAAAACTACGTAATGAAAATGGAGTTACCTAGAAAACAAAAGCTTGCACATCAATGGTGTAGAAACAAGTAGGAGCCCAGTAACCTTCAGGCAGCTGGGCCTGAAAGTATCAGTGACCACCATTCCAAGCCACATTTTCTTCACCAACACGTATCAGTGTTGCTCAAAAGAAACGAGCTCCACCAATACTGTGTGTCATACCAATCTGTCTCGGCCTTTCACAGTATTGAACTATGCATACCCAGGTAGGCTAGAGTTCCAGGTGAAGAAAAAATAAAGCTTACATCTAAAGGAAGTTCAATTATGGCAGCACTTTTCCAAGTGTGGTAGGCCAACCACCTGAGTTGAAGAAATCACTCTGAGAGTTTATTAAAAATGTGAATTGCTGGACATATCCACAAACCAATGAATTACAATGCATAGGAGTAAGATTCAGAAATCTACAATTTAAAGACGATCCCAACATAGATTTTTGAACACTAAATTGGAGACCCAATCTAAATCTTGATAAAGTTACAGGACATCACAGAAATCCATCTTGGGAAGGCTATTATTAATGCTATAGTCACAATATTAGCAGACTTGATTAGTCTGTCACTGACTTCAACTGCAGCTTCTACTGCTCATGGCTTGGATAATATGGTTGTTCACAGAAATGTCCTGATCTCCAAGTTGTTTCCTTCCTTTTTCGTCTTTTAAAACAATTTAGTGTTCCTTTTTCTCATAGCATACTTACTATAAAATATGTGGAGAACACAGAAAATGTAAGAAAAATCAAAAGTACCTGTAAGTCCACTAATCAGGGTTAACAACCAATAGCATGGGTGCATTTTCTTTTAGTATTTTTCTCTTCACATGTAAATAATTAAAGCATGTACACAGTTTTAAATTCTACTTTTAACATATCTAAGTAAACGTTTTCCTGAAGCTTTGGCCTCATTAACAAAGCATGTTGTCATAATTATACTATAATTCATTTAACACATCCTATTCATTTAACTGTCCATTTTTCATCATTATAAACAATGCTAAAATCAAATATCCTTGACTGCCTCTCTACATCCTAGAAAAGATTCATAAGGCTCTTGATACATACTACCAAGCTGTTCCACTAATCATCATTGGAGCTGCCCATCTCACTCATACTGTGAAAACTTTTAAAAGTCTGAAGGCCCAAGTCAAATGCCATATTCTTCATGAAGCACTCTTAAAGACAATCTCATTCGAAATTAACCTTTCTCTGGCAATCTCATGGCTCTTTGAGATTAATTTGGGACACTACTCTTGTATATGTCCTACTACACCGTGATTGCCAAATATCTATTCATCTCTGTATCTACCACTATCTCTATCAAGAACTGTGCACACAGCACACATTCAACACACACCAGATTACTTTACTGACATTCTTTTCTTCAACCTGACGATCTTTGATCTGATACATCCCCAGAAACTGGTGCTTTCAAAGCCAAATCCTCCAAACTGACTCCATGTCCTAAACAATTTCTACTTCTCCACCAACTGTACCATTAATTACCTTTTGTTCTCTTGTTTAATTCAAGATCAAGGAGGTATGCAAGCAGAGAATCCCAGCACGGATCCCTAAACCGAAATCTACAGGCATCACCAAGATTTCCACTAAAGCCCCCACAGTGCCTATGGATAAGCCTATTTACCAAAATGGCTGTGGGAAGCTACACATCGTGAGAACTGTCACCTCCAACACCTTCCTCCACGTGGGAGGGAGAAGGTAACTCATACCAATGCACTGCCTGGATACATTCATCTACAGAAATATGTGGAAAGCTAAAATTACCACTATGAAAGGCCAAAGGACCATCTCTCCAGGAAATGGTGAAGCAGCTTTGTGGACCTGATGAAGATCATCCCCCAAAAAGCAGCACGTCTACAATTATTTTACTTCTATATGTGTATATGCACACACAAACACTCGCAGGCCTAGACCCACACCCAAATCTACCCATTTCCTCATCCGACATATAATCTAACCCAAAGATGAACTATCTAGAATCAGCCTGGGATAGGACTGAATTCACTAGAACAGTTCAAGAGTTTTCTGGTGAAAACAGAAGTAATTCTTCATTCTACAGAACTTTGCTGATTAATCATATTTTGCTAAGAAAAGGTGATAGCAAAAATTCCTAATCTGAGTCAAGAAAATCAGATTATTTCCATCAAGATGACAGGACAATTAAAATCACACTTTAAGGTCTAAAACTATGATTTCTTTATGACCAGGAGGGAAAAAGCAAAGTGATAATTCTTAAAGGAGGAAAAGCATAACAAAAGTGAATAACAGCCGAATATATCCTTTGTGCAGAATACCTGACAATCACTGGTGTAGTAAGCATACCTGACCACTGGCACTTAGTCTCAGTAACATTGAGATATTTTAGGGAGACATGAATCAATATTCCAGGTGCTTGAAAAAATACAGAATTTATCATCTCACAGGACATTGTTTATTCATATCTCTTCTCTGAATAAACACTATCGAAAATCAGTTGATTCAACAAAAGCTTGGGGTTAGGAGACTCAAATTCCAATCCTAGATTTTCATTCATGTGACAACGAGCTTTGCATTCATCAATCTAAGCCTTGAGTTTCCACATGTAAAACAGGAAAGTGAAATAATTCCTCAGGTCCCTTCCAGTTCTGATAACCTATGAATATGCCCAACTATTAATACAAAATGTTGAATTCAAACAGTCATCTATAAGGGTAGACACAGTCCCCTGGCAGAAAGCTAAAGCAATTCTTTACATCACACTGAAAACTCTCTCATTGAATTGAGAGAAAGGTGTGCCTGTAATTCAGTGTGGACAGAGTAATACAGGACATTTTAAGACAAGGCATGTTTGACACAAAAGGCAGTTCAAAAAACATTTCAAAAAGCTTCAATCGAGGGGGGAAAAAAATCAATGGAACGACACTAAACATTTTTTGTGATCCTTCACTAAAAACTGGAAGCATGACCCTGGAAGAAATCCTCATGGTTAAGGACTGCTTTAGCCAGCTGCCCTGGGTTGGAGCCAGCAGAGCAAGAGTAAAGGAACTCCCATTCCCCATACTTATCTAACTAAGTCCACCTCATTGCACTAATGCCACTGTACAAACACCCCCAGGCCCCTGCAATTTCAAGGAGGAGAAGGAGCTAGAGGCCTGGGCAGCATTGAAAGGGATGATGGGCAGCATTGAGAGGGATGATGGGCAGCATTGAGAGGGATGATAGGCAGCATTGAGAGGGATGATGGGCAGCAGTCCCAGCAGGCAAGTGGCAGAGGGCAGTAGGGGGAGGTCAAGTGAATTAAAAGCCTGAAATGGAAAAGTCGAAGTGAAAGGAAAGCAGGAAGAGAATAGTAGAAGGGGATGGACTACAAAAGAAGGTGAAGACTGGGCATGGTGGCTCACGCCAGTAACCCCAGCACTTTGGGAGGCTGAGGTGAGAGGATTTCTTGAGGCCAGGAGCTCAAGACCAGTCTGGGCAACTTGGCAAGACCTTGTCTCTCCGAAAAGAAAAAAAAAAAAAAAAGCCAGGTGTGGTGGTGCACACCTGTAGTCCTAGCTAATTAGGAGGAAGAGGCAAGAGGACTGTTTGAGCCCAGAAGTCCGAGGCTGCAGTGAGCATGATCACACCACTGCACTCCAGACTGACTGACAGAGCAAGACCTTGTTTGTGGGGAAAAAAAAAAAAAAGGGTGCAGTGATGAAGCTCTAACATCAAAAAAAAAAAAATACACGTATGTACAGAGTGCTTAGTATTGTGCCTCACATAGAGCAGGTATTTGATAAATCTAGAGTGAATAGAGAATGAGTAAATGAAGAAGAGAAGGCCATTCAGTCAAGACATTTTCTCACTTGAGAAAACATGCTAAGAGATAGCAATGGTATGACAGGGTTAGGAAAAGTAGTTATGCCCAGGTGACATTCAACATTGGTAATTATGCTAATAGAAAAAAAACCCATTGGAATCCCTTAGTGAAAACCAAACAGGTTGAAAAGAAGCATAAAACAGGAAAAACAACATGCACTAACAATAGTCCCAGAAAAACAAAATACCTTGGGAAAAATTTTACTCTGAAATGAAGCACAAAATACGTTGTATGTTGAAGCTTTCAAAATTGTTTTCTCCCATGTCAGGAGACTTCCTAAAGTACATTTTTATCCAAGCTAGCATAAGTTTAAGAGGAAGCACAAAAAGAGGGACAAGATAGTATACAAAGTACTAAAAAATTTAGGTAGAAGCCAGGCACGGTGGCTCACGCCTGTAATCCCAGCACTTTGGGAGTCCGAGGCGGTGGATCACCTGAGGTTGGGAGTTCGAGACCAGCTTCACCAACGTGGAGAAACCTCGTCTCTACTAAAAATGCAAAATTAGCCGGGCATGGTGGCGCATGCCTGTAATCCCAGCTACTCCGGAGGCTGAGGCAGAAGAATCTGCTTGAACCTGGGAGGCGGAGGTTGCAGTGAGCCGAGATTGCGCCATTGCACTCCAGCCTGGGCAGTAAGAGCAAAACTCCGTCTCAAATTAAAAAAAGAAAAAATTTGCGTAGAAAAATGTTGACACTTCTATGGGAACCAGCAGAAACTCATCTTTAAATGGTAATGCAGTTCTAATCCCATTAAGACAAAAGTCTTCAAAGTAAAGTTACATTTGCCGGGTGCGGTGACTCACACCTGTAATCCCAGCACTTTGGGAGGCCAAGGCGGGCAGATCACATGAGGCCAGGAGTTTGAGGCCAGTCTGGTCAACATGGCGAAATTCCATCTCTATTAAAAACACAAAAATTAGCTGGGCTTGGTGGTGCATGGCTGTAATCCCAGCTACTCAGGAGGCTGAGGCACGAGAATCGCTTGAGTCTGGGAGGCAGAGGGTGCAGTAGGCCAAGATCATGCCACTGCACTATAGCCTTGGTGACAGAGTGAGACTCTGTCTCAAAATAATAACAATAAATAAAGTTATATTTTAACAAAAGGATTGACAACCAAAAACCATGCTTGTTTCAAGCAATATGTATTAATAATATAATAAAAATGCAAATACAACTATAAAGTGAGAATACTATTTGGAGTTCAAAACAGTAATGTCTGACCTATATGTAACACAACTGAAATATAAAGCATCTTTCCTCCTGGGCATGTTGTTTCCGCAGAAGTGTGGCCTCTGAAGAAAAATGAAAATAAAAGAAGCTGACCTAATAATTCTAGAGTGATTTCACCTGATGAACTGTTTCAAAGTAAGCAGATAAAAATCCAAGTGAGTGAAAACAAATCCAATTTGTAACAAAAATGTTAAAAACCTGATACTTTTAAGCTGAAGTCTTTTCCTGGTCCTTCATTTATTTACCTTCAAGGTTTCTGAACTAATCTTGAGATATTTTAGAATCAAATATCTGATTTTAACAGATATGTGACTGGTCTAATACATAGCTGATAACTACTAAGTAACGGAGTAACTAAGGTAAAACACAATTCTCTCTGGATTTGTTTCAAATTTCTTCTCCTGAAGACACGTGACATACAATTCACGATGTGACTTTGAGTTTGGGGCAGCGTTTGCAAACTGCGGTTCACAGGCCAAATTCAACCCACTGTGAAAGTTGAAAAACAATCAAAATAAGACTATTTTGTGACGTGAAAATTACATAAAATTCAAATATTGTTGTCCATAAATAAAATTTTATTGGAACACAGCCATACTCATTCGTTTACACATTTATTTTCTATGACTGCTTTTACACTGCAACAGCAGTTATGACGGTGATGACTGGACCCACACAACCTAAAATATTTATTATCTGGATTTATATGAAAAAAGTTTGCTGACCTCTGGTCTAGTGTGAACTAGAACAAGGAACTCAGAAATAGGAATTTAAGAGCTTGATCAACTACTTTTTATAAGCAATATTAGCCATTTAAAAATCAATTAAGAATTCTATGAAAGCTGATAAAAATGGGGAAACTATATTTCAAGCTGTGATATATTTAGTAAAATGTATAATTCTATGAATGCATCTGAAGTGTTCCACTAAATAACATCAGATTAACAACAGATAAAAGACTTGTGCTGGGCCGGGCTCCGTGGCTCACACCTGTAAATCCTAGCACTTTGGGAGGCGGAGGCAGGCGGATCATGAGGACAGGAGATCAAGACCATCCTGCCTAACGTGGTGAAACCCCCCTCTACTAAAAATACAAAAAATTAGCCAGGCATGGTGGCATGCACCTGTAGTCCCAGCTACTTAGGAGGCTGAGGCAGGAGAATCGCTTCAACTCAGGAGGCGGAGGTTGCAGTGTGCCAAGATTGCGCCACTGCACTCCAGCCTGGGGGACAAGAGCAAAACTCTGTCTCAAAAAAAAAAAAAAAAAAAGAAAAAGAAAAAAAGAAAAAAAGATTTGTGCCACAAAATGATATATTATTATTGAATCTGAGGGAGGAAATGGAAGTTATGTATAGGCCTTCCACATTTATGAGTTGTATTTTTCAAGAGATTCATGGACATTTAGCAAAATTATAGCAGGAACTACCTGACATGCAATTTAGGGAAATATGCATAAATTTCCACCTTTAAATGTTCGTAATTGTTGTCAAGAACCACTCATTTAATCATCTGAAAGAACTGTGGAAATTATATGCAGTAAATTAAACCAGACCATGAAGGTTATCTAAGTGTCCATCTGTTACAGCCTTCAAGTGTAGAGCAATGACTAATAACATAGTCATTTTTCTCCCTCCTCTTTCTTCTTTCCTTCCCCTTGCTTTTTAAATTCATCCTGCCCCTGTGTTTTGCCCCTGAATATCTGTCAATACTATTTGCATTTTGACTGAACCACATCAATGTGTAAATCCTGTAATGTAAGCTGATTATGTTTTTTCCCTCTAATTCTGGTACAGTGTCTAAAACAAGGCTAAGCATGAGAGCTTGACGAATGATTATGAAAACAACATGCCCAGAAGTCGATCCTCTGTTGTGTGTTATTAACATCTCCTACAAATATTCCAAGTCTGAATTTTATATGTAGAGACAATGCCTTACAACATCTACAATGCAAGACTGTCTATATGTAAAACTAATACTGTAAAGGTTTAACTTTGGTGTGAAAATAGAAAAAACACAGAACAAAAAAACCTGGGTACTTGGGTTTAAAGAAAAGATCCAAGGTGCTCCCCTACTCCATTTCCAGAAGGAATTCACCATGGATAAAGCAATATAATTTGAAGAATATACCATAAAATGATATTACAACAAAAATATTTACAAAGCTCATTTCAGCAATCTCAAAAAGAATAAGCACATTGATTCTAGGTGACAAAAGCTGTCACCAGTAAAAATTACAGGCTTATTTACAAAGAGTCTCTTGTCCTCTTTCCAAACGTAATTTATAAAATTAAATCCAAATATGGTTACAATAAAATGTTAGACACAGTTTTACAAGGACTACTAATGTAATTTTGAAAAGAGAAAAGCGGCATTTGCCAAATCTGTCAAAAGCCTGGACAGGAGTTTGACAAATCTGCCAGCAGATCAAGGTTCTTTTGATAAAGATCTCCTAGGTTGAGGTCTTCAAGGTGTGACTACGAAATATTAATAATTAATTGGTTAACTAACAAATACTTAATGAGTGCCTTCGCTGTATCCAGATACTACTCTAGGCCCTGAAACTAAAGCAAACAAGACAAACAAAATACCTGCTCACATGGAGCTCTTACAGTCTACTGCTGGGAAAAAGTAATTAATTTAACAAGGAAAAATAATAGTTGGTGCTAAGTGCTCTGCTGAGAATTATAATAACATAATAATTTAATAGATATTGTGATAATGTAATAGAGCACCTAGATAGTTACTCTAGACTGCCTGATCAGGAAGCGCCACTCTGAGTAGGTGACGTTTGAACTGAGTACTTAATGTTAAGACAGAGCCAGCTGGCCGGGCCTGGTGGCTCATGCCTGTAATCCCAGTGTTTTGGGAGGCTGAGGCGGGCGGATCAAGAGCTCAGGAGTTCGAGATCAGCCTGGTCAACATGGTGAAATCCCGTCTCTGCTAAATATACAAAAGTTAGCTGGGTGTGGTGGCAGGCGCCTGTAATCCCAGCTACTCAGAAGGCTGAGACAGGAGAATCATTTGAACTCAGGAGGTGGAGGATGCAGTGAGCTGAGATCGCACCACTGCACTCTAGCCTGGGTGACAGGGCGAGACTCCAGCTCAAAAAAAAAAAAAAAGAAAGAAAGAAAGCCAGCCAATCAGAAGGACAGGACAGAAAGGAAAAGAACAGCTAACACAAACGGCTAAGTAAGACAGAATGAGTGTGGCCTACTGAGGAACAGAATGAAGGCTGGTGTGGGTGGGGCAGCATAAACTATAGGGGAGTAAATAGTAGAAGACCTGGTGGCCACCAGCCATGGTAAGTAATCTGAATTTCATTCTATGTGCCAGGGAAAAAGCTATTGGAAGATTTAAGCAGGAAAGTGGCCTGACTTCTTTTCAAAAGGCCTCTAGCTGGTGAGTGAGGGACAAGGTGGAAACTCTGAGCCCTGTTAGAAGCTTATGGCAGTAAGGATGAAAATGTATACTCCAATGGAGGCAGAGCGAAGAAAAATGCAAAGAAAGAATCAGGATATGTTTTCGAGGTAGTGACAACAGGACTTGATGGATGAGATATAGGGGTGAAAAAAATAAATAAATCAGAATACTGCTAGGCCTTTGTGAAATTGGGTAGTTGGTGGTTTAATTTATGGAGACAGGAAAGTTTGGAGAAAAAGCAGGTTTGGAGAATAATTCAGTAGCTGGGTCTTGTTTACATTTGACATCCCTATTAAATAACTAAGTAAAGATTTAAAGAAGGCAGCCACATATGTTAAGCTTTGAGCTCCAGGATCAGGTTTGAGTTACTGGCAGAAATGGTTCTCAAAGCCCAAATGGAAAAGCTGCTTATTTGTAGCTCCAAGTAACCAGTGTTCTTTAAAAGAGTAAACTTTGGAAAACTAATAGACACAATTTCATAATGATATATAAACAAAAGACTTTCTAAATTATGAGTCTCTTTAAGCCGATAACAGATTATTCCTTTAGAGATGAGATTCTTACCACTGATAATGAGAATGCGAAATATAAGCACACAGGCTCTGGTTTCAGACTGCCTGCATATGAATCACAGCTCCCCTATTTACCAATTAAATAGATAGTATTGGGTGAATTAAATTAAATAGTATTAAGTAAATCACTTAATTTCTCAGTGTCTCAACTTCCTCATCAGTAAAATAAAGATAACAACAGTAACTACCGCTGGTGTACTTGGGAAGATTAAATTAACTAGAACATGTAAAGCAATCAAAACAGCATCTGGCAGGTAGTTAAGTGCTCAACAAATGCAAGCTGGTATTATTACTATTATTATTATTATCATTATTATTTTGAGATGGAGTTTTGTTCTTATTGCCCAGGCTGGAGTGCAGTGGCACGACCTCGGCTCACTGCAACCCCCGCCTCCTGGGTTCAAGCAATTCTCCTGCCTCAGTCTCCTGAGTAGCTGGGATTACAGGTGCGTGCCACCACGCCCAGCTAATTTTTTGTAGTTTTAGTAGAGACAGGGTTTCATCACATTGGCCAGGCTGTTCTCAAACTCCTGACCTCAGGTGATCCACCTGCCTCAGCCTCCCAAAGTGTAGGGACTACAGGCGTGAGCCACTGCGCCTGGCCGCAAGCTGGTATTATTACCTGCAGTCTCCTGGCACTGTACATAGCAGTGTCTTAACACTTCAGTTTTCTAGTTAGGTGCTTGGGAAGAGATGTCATCAAAGATTCAGAATGAGTTGGGGAGGCATATGAAAGACCCTCCTTAAAAGACATGGAGGCTCAATGTTACAGACTGCTAAGAACATGCTCTTTAAAAATAACCTATCTGTATGCCAGTTATTCCTAAATCTGTATCTCAGCCTGGATCTGGCCCTGGGGCTCCAGACTCACATACTTAGCTGCCTACTGGGTACTCGACTTGGTAATTTAATAGGTATGTCATTGAAATAAAAAGGGAAAGCAATTAGTATTCTCTTCATCTTCAGTGAGTAAATGATCAAGTAACATTTTCTTTTTTCTTTTTTTTGAGACAGAGTCTCAGTCTGTAGCACAGGCTGGAGTGCAGTGGTGCGATCTTGGCTCGTCGCAAGCTCCACCTCCTGGGTTCAAGCAATACTCCTGCCTCAGCCTCCTGAGTAGCTGGGACTACAAGTGCCTGCTACCACACCTGGCTAATTTTTGTCTTTTTAGTAGAGACAGGTTTTCTCCATGTTGGCCAGGCTGGTCTCAAACTCCTGGACTCAGGTGATCTGCCCACCTTGGCCTCCCAAAGTGCTGGGATTACAGGCCCTCAAGTGACATTTTCAACTGCAGAATCCCTTGGCTCTCTTCCTTAAGTCACGAAATCCATGCTGTGATTGACATTCTCTCAGTTTTCAGCTTCACACTGAGAAAGTACCCAGACCGGTCAACTACATTAAAATCTCAGGCATTGTGTTTGCTCATTTCAGCATTAATATTTTCACATCATTATTCTACTGAATGTATTACTTACTATAAGTCACTTCAAACAGTTGCTGAAGGTTTACAGGGAATAAGGAAATAAATCAAATATTAGATGCCATTAGATGATTCCTGGGGTCTTATGCCTAAGGCATCCTGGGCTGCACACTCAGCACTGTAACTCCCAGCTGTCTTATGTTGGGCCATGACTCCAATTGCCACCAATGGAGTGACTAGACATCCCTTAAGGACCAGGAGAGTCCCTGCAAAATTCTAATTGCATAGCCTTCCACTCACAAAAGTGTCTAGATTGGATGAGAAATTATATGTCTGCCTACATACTCTGTAGCAGGTAACACGCATACACACATATATTTATTCTGCCAACATCCACCAAACACCAATTAAGTGCCAGGTCCCATGTTGAGCTCCAGTGCAATGTAGAACTCTAGCACAAAAATGACAGGTTTTAAAGAGCCATGAAAACTTTGTTACATACCACATCTAAGAAGACATGATAACAGCCAAAAAATAGTACAGTTCCTTAGACAGACAACAAACAGATAGGCACATTAGATAGATGTTATAAACCATGTACAACCAACAAGTATTTGTAAGTGACTGAAATCTTCCACTGCCTTGCTACCATGGATGTCAAGTGGGAACAGATTATAGCAAAAATGTTTATTTTTATAGGCAGGTAGCATAATCCACAACAGGAATAAAAGCACCAATACAACTATCTTTCCTTTCTCTGATTTAACATATTATTTCTCCTTCAACTTTCAAAACAAAACATAATTCACATACTTTAGGCTGAAACAACAATTGAATACATTTGACATCCCTATCAAATAACTTAAGTAAAGACTTCAAGAAGGCAGCCAGGTAAGTAAGCCTTGTGCTCTAGGATCAAGGCTAGATCCCATCAACAAAAGAAGAATCAGGAAATCTGTGGTTCAGCTGTGATTTCTTTTGAATTAGAAACGCTGTACAGATTACAATTAGGCAAATTGCCAGTGAATAATCAAGGATATTTCAAATAAAGGCATATACTTACTTTGCTTAAGAGCAGCGAACAAAGCAAAGGCCTCTGATAAATTTAATGCCAGCAATTTTCAAAGCTTAGTCTTGGCCGGGTGCGGTGATTCACACCTGTAATCCCAGCACTTTGGGAGGCCAAGGCGAGCAGATCACTTCAGGTCAGGAGCTCAAGACCAGCCTGGCCAACATGGTGAAACCCCATCTCTACTAAAAATACAAAAATTAGCTGGGGGTGGTGGCAGGCTCCTGTAATCCCAACTACTCGGGAGGCTGAGGCAGGAGAATCGCTTGAACCCAGGAGGTGGAGGTTGCAGTGAACTGAGATCGCACCACTGTACTCCAGACTGGGGGACAAGAGTGAGACTTCGTCTCAAAAAAAAAAAAAGGGTTAGTCTTATGGCTAGAAGGAATGTAAGAAGTAGAGCAATCTTAGGCACTCCAACACACTGTCTTCATGAGAATTCTGGCAACTTAGATGAAGGAGGCTGTAGCGATTTAAAGTTTTACTAGATTCAGTGTTTAAAACTGTTGGGGGCCAGGCACGGTGGCTCACGCCTGTAATCCCAGCACTTTGGGAGGCCGAGGTGGGCAGATCACGAGGTCAAGAGATCAAGACCAGCCTGGCCAACATGGTGAAACCCCGTCTCTACTAAAAATACAAAAATTAGCTGGGTGTGGTGGCGGGCACCTGTAATCCCAGTTACTTGGGAGGCTGAGGCAGGAGAATCGCTTGAACCCAGGAGGCAGAGGTTGCAGTGAGCCGAGATCGTGCCACTGCACTCCAGCCTGGGCGACAGAGGGAGACTCCGTGTCAAAAAAAAAAAAAAAGAAAAAAAAAACTGTTGGTTGGTAAAACCCTAAAAAAGATGATCTTTAAGGGCTCTTTACAGATTATGATACAAAGGCCCAGAGAAGTCACAAAGTAGTAGCGGGAAAAGCGTGACTTTCAAAATCAATCACACTTGACTAAACTCTTCCCAGACCTCTTCTTCAATGTGTGTTCCTAAGAACACGACTTAACTTTTTTCTGTTTCTTCACCTATACAAATGAAGAGAATACTTACCTTTTCGGGATGTTATGAAAGTTAAATCAATTCATATTTATGAAGACATTTGTCACATAATAGATACTCAATACATGTTGACTGCCTTTCTTCCAACGGATGAATAACTTGAAAGTCACACAGCTAGTGAGGACTAGAACCAAGAATTGGGATCCCCTTCACCACTCAAACAGAATTCAACTATTTCTTAAATGGCCTCTGTTCATCTTCAATCATATCATAAAATAGAGCTTTTTAACACCTGAGTTGGGAGGGGTAGTTATTAAAGTAAATGTGGAACACCACAGGGCTGCAAAAGAGTCAGGAAGTTTAATCAAGGAAATGTTGTATTGGCTACCTTTCTAAAAATGACATCTGCTTAGTTTGTACCTGAAGGCTTGACCTTCCGGAAACAATGCAACAAATGAAGTTGGTTATTTTTAATGGATATTTCACAACTAGTATTTCAAGATTGTTTGCAGCAAATAGGTATCAAGTGTCTAACATGTGCAGGGCCCTGTGGATGACAGAAGTATGAATCTGACTTTGGCCCTGTCTTCTCTTGTAGAGAAAAGAGGCAGACCTTGAGGAGTGATAAAAACCAACCAACCAATAATTGCATGGTAGGTGTGATGGAACTTAAAAAGTTCAAGGCTAGCCTGACATGGGGGGTCACTTAACGCTACTCTACTTGGGGATGAAATGCCCACTGCATCAGGAGTTGGTAAACACAGCAGAGCATAGTAGAAACTATTCAAATTGTGTTAACTGAATTCTAGTATTGTTTCTGAAAGGAGCTAGCTTTGTGAACTTGTCAAGTTACTTGACATCTTTAGGTTATGTTTCTCATCTGTAAAATAAGTGAGTTCAAAGGATGATCTCTATTTAAGCCTCCTTCCAGTTCTACTATTCCAAATTCCATGATAATGATGATGACCACAAGAAATACAGTAACTTATATTTACCACACATTATATGTCAAGCACTATGCTAAAGTGCATTACTGTACTAACTTCACTTAATCTTCACAACTTTACGAAATGGACATTATTGTTATCATTATTTTACAGATGAGGAAAAGGAGGCTAAACAGTATCAGAATACTGGAGTCGTGATTTGAATGGAGGGAGTCTGAAGCAGCAACCCCTGCTTCTGACCTCAGTCTGAATTGAAAGCAGTTCATGGGTCACCCTTAACCATCATACAAAGTTGCCTCTCTTCACAAAAACTGTCTTATCCATTCTCAAGAAATAAGGAAAAGAGAAAGCTTGTGGAAAGGATCCTTCCTGGCTGGCAGACAGATCTGAGTTAATGTCACAGCTGTCTGTTTCACGTGTTAAAGAATCTCTTGCACCATTTTCCCCGAGATGCTTGCGCGCTCCCAAGGCGGTGCACACCCCTGCTGGGCAAACACCGCGATCGCCAGAAGCGACCAGGGCTGAGGCGCACGGAAGGGCTCCGGGAGAGGCCCCGTAGGAGCGCGGGCACAGAGTGGGTACCTGGGCTGCTGCCTGCTCCAGTCGGCTGGTTCTCCCACCACTCGTCTCCGAGATCGTCTGCCATTTCAGCTCAGGTCTCGACGTGGGCAGAACATCACGGGTAGGCGACCAGCTGCGGAGAATCACGTTGTCTCAAAGCCAGGCGGCCGGCGTAGCTACACGCGGAGCTCCCGCTAGACACTGTCGCCTCCGCCCCGCGGCGATGACGTCACACCTCTGCCCCGCCTCTCCGGCAGCCGCTCCCAGACTCGTCGCAGTTTCCACACAGGCGCCGACAGGCAGAAGCAGTTTGGAAACGCAACATAAATCCCCCCAAAGCTTAAAGACAAAAAGGAACATAAGACGAAAGGGATTGTCATCGTTTTTGATAATGCATTTTAAAAAATTTTGTTTACGTGTTACGTTTCCCGATAAGATTGTGTCGAAAGTGTGAGACACCATGTGAAGACGATTTTTCTCCGCTCAGTTTCAAAGAACTTGCGCAGCGGGAGAAGACCCAAACATGTGCGTGTGTTTTCGCTTGTGCGTCAGTGTTTCAGAGTTTATGTGTTTGTACAGTTTGCTCTTAGAAAACATGCGCAAGGATCCATGACCATGAATGTCGGGCCTTTGTGGTAAATGTAGTTCTGCTATTTATGCAATATGAGTAAAGAAAATGTAATTGGCCTGGAAAGGCTCGCCCACAGAAAGACGCAAGTGGCTCGAAGACCCGCAAGTTGTTTTCCTCATACTCCCTCGGTTGTGTGTCCCACCCCCTATTTGGGAAACGAAGTAATAAGGGAGTCCATTGCTTCGTAACTATAGGTAAGAGACCCGCAGTGCCTCTTGTCTCAGTCCCAACGTGATTTGGCAGGGAGGGACTAGGAAAACCCGCTGGGCGCCAAGTGCTGGGGCTAGCTGTGAAGTAATTGTGGACGGTATTTTTCAGGACATCAAACACAGACGTAAAAATTATACAAAATGTAGTAAAAGCACGCAACGTGCCTGGTACTATGCATGGAATAGTAAGATGAGTCCATTCAGATGTTAGCCTACAGTAGTGGAAATTCAATTTGTAGGAATAAAGGGCTAGACTTCTAATAGGATACATCCTCGGAAATGACAAGACAGGGAAACTTAATCTGATGAGGCTAGGATTAGCCATATGTGGAAAATTACCCCGTGTGCACCCAACTCATAGATGTTTTATAAATGCATTACTGCCTAGACTTTGTCCGCACACTCTAAATGCCCCAAAAGGGAAGATATTATGTATAAATATGGCAAATGTAAAATAATCTATAAAGATCAAAAGTAATATGGCTTTTGTGAAGAAATGTAGATGACGAGATTTTCGTGATTAATAGATTTTTGAAAAAGATAAGAAATGCCAGTGTGGAAGAGGAGTTGCTATGGCTAATAAACATGAAAAGAATTCAGTCTGATTATTAATCTGGGAAATACAAAAAAAACACCACAGCGAGACCGTTTTTCAGGCAATAAATCACAAAATTAAGAAGTATGGGCCGGGCGCGGTGGCTCAAGCCTGTAATCCCAACGCTTTGGGAGGCCGAGGTGGGTGAATCACCTGAGGTCAAGAATTCCAGACCAGCCTGGCCAAAATGGCGAAACCCATCTCTACTAAAAATACAAAAATTAGCCGGGCATGGTGGCAGGCGCCTGTAATTCCAGCTACTTGAGAGTCTGAGGTAGGCGAATTGCTTAAACCCGGGAAGTGGAGGTTGCGGTGAGCCGAGATGGTGCCATTACACTCCAGCCTGGTTGACAAAAGCGAAACTCGGTCTCAAAAAAAAAAAAAAAAAAAAAAAAAAGAAGTCTGGCAATACTAAATTATGGAGTGTCTATGCATTAATGGGAATTGATACCTGTTTTGTACCATGAACTATGAATGGTCTTACATTATATTCCACCTCGCCTCAGCCTCCCGAGTAGCTGGGACTACAGGCACATGCCACCATTCTTGGTTATTTTGTTGTTGTTTTTGTTTTTTGTAGATATGGCGTCTCATTTTGCTGCCCAGGCTGGTCTTTAACACCTGGCTTCAAGCAGTCCTCCCACTCCAGCCTGCCAAAGTGTTGGTATTAGAGGCCTAAGCCACTGTGTCCAGCCATTTTTTACATTTTTAAAGCATTGTAAGAAACAGAACAAAACAACAACGACAACAACAAAAACGTAAAGAAAAATATGCAGCAGAGACTGTAGCCCTCATATATTTACTATTTATTACTATTCCCTCATATATTTGCTCTAACTTTACAGAAAAAAGTTTACTGACCCCAGATTATATTGAATAGCCAACCTAAGTTGTAGCATCCATTTCTGTTCTGTTTGTTCTGTTATTAGTGAATTGGTTATTAGTGAATAGGCATCCTGGTTTATAAATCAGTGTATTGTAAAACCGTACTCTCCAGTATCTGATCATATCATCTAACACAGGGAAGCTCAGGCTGAAATAACTATTAGGTCTTTTTCTGCTCCCTCTTACTGTTCAGTATCTGAATGAGTATTATTAGAGTTTAAAGGAGGAAGCATTCATTTCCCAATGGGGCGAACTGGGAGGTAGCACTTGACAATGGATGTCTGTCGGCAAAAATGGATAGGGTAAATGATAGTTCCTTGGCAGAAAGATTGCAATGTTGCTTTGAATAAGTTATTAAACTTTGCTGGGCATTTCTTTGTGAGTCTGTAAAATAAAGGGGAGCAATTTCATGATTCCTGTGGTCTCTTCCAACTCCATGCCTTAATCTTGAGTATCAGACCAAGAATTCTGGATTTTTGTCGTTGTTATTAGAGGCAAAGGACATGATGGAAGTATTGTTTTAGGAAAGCTAAATTGGTATTACTGTGCAGGATGAATAATGGATTTGAGCAGAGCTTCCCACCTGGCATGGGTGGGCTGAAGACTGACCCCTGCAGTCTTTGGAGGAAGCAGTGACCTTGGGGCAGTTGCCTCAGGTTGAGGGTATCATCATCTTTTCACTCTAGTGTTGTACAGATATTACCATTTTCTATGGATGCCATGATGTGAAAGGTTGGCAAAAACTGAATTAGTAAGAGAGCGATAAAGTTTGAAGGCTGTTTCGTGAATGCTCACCACACAATGAAAAGGTCTTAATCAGTGCAGAGGTTCTTAGTCAATAAGCCCAGCCTATAAGTGTACTTCAGGAACCATCATAATGCATTCAAACTTTTGCATCATGTAGACAATAATGGTAGTAACAATATCAACAATAGCATGTTGTATGTACCTCTCTATGCCTCTTATATCTTAATTCATTTAATCATAACTCCATGAGATACTGTGCTGGGACTAGGGTGAGGCAAGCAGAGACCTAGGATACCAGATTTAAGGAGGCAGTCACTCTCAGGCTGACACTGACACCGACCTGAGAATGCTTGTCTCACTTGAGTCCTGACGCTGGTCCCTTTACTGAAGGCCACAGCTCTAGTTCAGCAGCTCTCCTCAATTCTTTCTTCTGAGTCTAGTAACTTGCCTTTGTCTCTTCAGACTTAGGAGTGGTAACTGCTCCCCACCATTACTAGTCCTGGGGTTCTACACCACGTTTCATTTCCCTAACCTGACCTCATGTTCAGAAATACTCCCCTTACTAAATTATTTTCAGTTTTCCAGCTTAAATGGGTCATCTTTTGCATGGTAGGACCCCAACTGATAAAATCAACTGCCTACTTAGGGTTCCCCTCAAAGCAGAGCCTGTGACAAAGGCTTGGGTGCAAATAGTTTATTTGGGAGGTGATACCAGGATGCAGGAATAAAGGCAGAGAGAATGAGACAAAGAAGGAGGATTGATATTAAACTGGTTTTGATGTAGACAATGACTGGCTCTTTATCCTCTTGAAGACCCTCTGAAAAAAATAGGATATACCCCAGAATTAGCCTCACAAAGTGATACAGGAGTTAAGAAGAAATTACTTAGACACATAGTAAGGGTATGGGAGTCCTCAGTAAGGCTTTTCTTTTTAATGAAAAGCAGCCCCAAATAATTTTCTAACAAAGAGCAGCCTGCAAGCTGGGAGCTTACACGAATGAATGCTGGCAGGAACTAAGGACTAGACATGTTCAAATGGCGCCTCCGTTTTCCCTTCTCTGCCAGCCACGTGTACTGCAAGGAGCAGGCAAGATGGCACTGATCAACTGGAAAGTCCATTTGCATAATAAGATTAGGGTGGAGTGACCAGCCTTCCCCGTGTGCTATGAAAACATCATACCTGGTCGAACCAATCTGTGAGCCCTATGTAAATCAGACACCACCTCCTCAAACTGGACTAGAAAATTCGGCACTTTCCGCCACCAGCCAGTCTTTTCTGCTTGGAGACCCCTTTCTCTATATAAAGAAGAGACCTCTTTTTCTTCTCTTCTGCCTGTTAAATGTACGCTCCTAAACTCCTCGTGTGTGCCCAGGTCCTAAATTTTTCTGGTGCACAACGATGAACCCCAGGGTATACACCCCAGACAACATAGCATCTTCAAAAGGACAGAAGGCTAGGACACTTATCCACTGACTGTCATCTACCATTGAGTGAGGGTTGTTGCCAGGGTTATGAATTGGCAGATATTCCCAGGCTGTGCTGCTGTTGGAGAAAGCCCTGAGGCAGAAGAGTAGAGCAGTATACCTCAGCTCACTTGAGGTGGGATAATGACAGTGTGCCCAGAACTTTCCTCCATGGCTGAGCCAATTTCAAAATGAGCTAAGGGGCATAAAAAGCATCTGCTCCAGGTTTATACTGTTTTTCTTTCCATTTTATAGATGGTGAAACTAAGGCACAGAAAATTAAGTAACTTGCTGAGTTACTAGTAAGTGATTTCCCATCTGCCCCATGACCTTCATACACTCCCAATGTGGTCTGTGTCCCCAAAATAACCCACAGTCACTGCACTAGGGTAACAATAGTATAGAAAAAAAGGAAGAACCAAAATGAGGAGCATTACCATCAATTTGTGCTAATATTTTGGAAATAGGATGGTGAGGAAAACAGAAGTCAAAAAAATCTAAAGGTTCAAATCTTAAAAACTAAAAAAAAAAAAAAATCTTAGACGGGACTAGTAAAACGAGGAGGGAACAGTTTAGGGGGTAAAATGATGAGGTAGGCCTTAGACAAGGACAAAACAGACCATAAACAATAAGGACAAAATAGACAAAAGACAACTAAATGAATAAATAAATTCAGATAAAAATGATAAATTCAGCTAAAAGATAGAAGTGCTATAAAGGAACTACATAGCAATTGTGACCTAGGTGGGAGGGTTAGTGGAGGACCGTGGCAAGAGATGATGATGGAGAAGTAGATGGGGGCCATACCTGAAAGAGCTTCTCAGCAATCATAAGGATTTCAAGCAGGAAACCATTGGGGAATTTTTAGGCTGTGAGATCTGCTTATGTTTTTTAAGCTGGATGATGTCTAGTAATAGTACAAACAGAAAGACTAGGTTGGAGGCTCTTGTAGTCATCAAAGCTAGATAGCAGTGTCTTGGAATTTGATAGTAGAAATGGAAATGAAGAGAAGTGGAACTAGATGAGATTACTTAGGGAGACAGTGTAGAGAGCAGAAAAGAGTTCCCGGGCCTCCACTGTTTAGATGTCAGGTGTAGGAGGAGAGGCCAAAGAGCCCAGGAGAAAATAGCCAGAGGGAGGAGGAGAGCGACACAAATATGATCCCTTCGAATCAAGAAAGAAGAGTAGTCCCAAGACAAGGGTGCACTGCTGAGAGTCAAGGAAAAGGGGATAATTGCAAGAGTCAAGTTCTTGCAAAGGGGAAGCAGAGGGAGATTCAGAGCCACATGGAGGAGATGCCATCTGATAGGAGCAGGGTCACTTCATTTTAAGAAGATTCCTGAGATGGCAGGACGATGAAGCCATTCCTATCTTGTGACTTTTATTTTCTCAGTGAACTTTGAAACCCAATAATTTAGGACAATGGTTCTCAATTCTGGTTGCTTGGTGGAATTTCCTGGAAAGATTTGTATGTATATGTAAAGATTTGGATTCTATTAAAATCCTCCTGGTTTTTTTCATACCGTCCTCTTCTTTCATTATGACTTTGAAGCAATACTGTTGATAACCTGCTCCATTTTCCTTTGACCCGTGTCTGAGCTGCTCTGCAGCTGTGATTGACCATTTCCATCATGCTGATAGCTTCCTTCTCTGAGCACCTCACAAACATGTTGTTTTTGTTGTCTCATTGTCTTAGGATCTGCTTTCACCTCTCTAAACTTCCTCTTCACCAAGAACTAGGGTTAAATCTTGGCATAGACAGAGTGGAAAGTATAGTACCTACTAGAGGAGAAAATTACTTATTCATGAGAAAAGCTATAGGTTTTCTCTATGTCAGCAAGAACCAACAATTTTGTGAGGTAACTTGAAGCTTAGACACAATGGTGATCTATGGTAAATGAGATGGAGACGTCAGAACTGCCTTGGCAGATTATTAAGGAAAGAGTCAGAAGGCTCAGAGCCCTGGACTTTTTTTTAGAATGTATTTGTTTTTTTAAGACCAAAGAACCTGTCAGCTCACTGTGTTCCCTGGGAGGGCCAGAGGACAATCTTTTCACTAACGCAATAAGATTGCAGTAGTGATTGAGTACCAACTTGGCTGAGAGTCTTAATGGCGACTGTCCTGTGCAGGCTAGGAATGACAGCAGGAGATGCTCTAGTATCAATAGGTACCATAGAATCCTAGAATAGCAAAGGCATTTGGCAGTGCAGAATCATCAGAAGGAAAATGGATGTAATTACAGTCACAGGTCCTTGATATTCAGGGTATCTGTGGTGTTCCATAGACTATGATATTCCTAGGGGCAAGATAGATAGAAAGCTAATGAAAGTGTTGATTGAATTATATAACAGCAATAACAATGAACTTGAGCTGGTGAACAGAAGGTACATGTCAACTGCCAAAATGGAATAGTATGATCTCTGGACCGGTTTCCAGATGTGAGCCAGTTTGGAAACCCAGAGCTCATCAATTAAAGAGAATCTGGATCCCCCTGAGGAAGACCCCCTGCAACACCACAAATATATATAGTATTTACCCATACTTTTTCCACAGGAACCTGTGGCCATTTTTTCAGAGGAACCATACCGGAGAAATTAGGAATTCCTAGTTCTTTCAAGGGCTGTCAGATACAGGGTGAACTACATCGATATCAGGGAGTCTAAGGTGCACCATAAACCCCTGTTAGAATGGGGCATGCAGTGGCTGGGTGATAGGATACTTTTTCTAATCTGTTTCACACTGGCTGTCATGGGTCCATAAACTTATGGTCATTCCCCAGTTGCTGTGTCCATAATTATGATAGCAGCTAATAGAACCATTACACTGGTCCTTTGACCAATGAAATATGAATCATTATGGTAGGAAGGGCCTAGTGGAAGTCCCTGAAACTTTATCCCTCTCCCTTACTCCTTGGCAAAGATAATAAATCATAGGCCATACCTCAGTCCAGTGGAATTGCAGAGATTAATGCCAACTTGAAAGACTAATGGTGACTAAGGAGTTCAGTTAACCAGTATGATCCCTTCGAAGCCAGGTGGACCATGGCAAATAATAGTAGACTACTGTAAACTGAATCAAATGGTATCCCTAATCAGAGAAGCTGTAACAGATAATGTATTTTTGGTTGAATCAATTAACATAGCCGCTAGCACTTCATATGTGATTTTGATCTGGCAGGTATGTTCAGTTCAATCTCTGTGAGGAAGGAAGATCAAAAGCAATTTGCATTCACTTGGGCAGATTGAGTTCAGATTAACTGAAGGCTGTGGATATTTTGCTGTGAACATTCTCAGGGCTGGTTAACTCTCCTGTTCTCCATCATCATATAGTTCAAAAAGACTCTGTTTTTTTCTCAAAACAAAACATTGATCCATTGTATTGATGACATAGTGTTAATTGGATCTAGAGAGCAGGTAATGGCAAGTATTCTGGATGCCCTAGTAAAATACATGCATGCCAAAGGGTGAGAGAGAAATTACAAATGTTCAGGGAACTGCAATGTTGGTTATATTTTTAGGAGTTTGGTGATCTGAAGCATGCCTGGGAATCCCCTTCAATGTAAAGGAAAATTTTTTGTATCTCTCATCTTCCCCTAAGAGAAACAGTATTTTGTGCAGATAGCCTATGCCACATTTGGAAATAGTGTTCTAACTCATTTATCAGGTGACTCAAAAGGCTGCCATTTTTGAATAGGGTCAAGAGAAGGGAGGGCTCAGCAGCAAGTCTTGGCTACGACACAAGCTGCCCTGCCACTCAGGCCATAATGACATGGCAGATCCAAAGGTGCTGAGTGATAGATAATGATGCTGGATGGAATCTCTGGCAGATCCTAAAGAGAGAATCACGGTGCCTGCTCCAAGGATTTTCTAGTACAGCTTTGCCTTCTACAGCCAAACCATTTGAAAAGCAGCTGTGGGCAAAATGTAGAGTCCTAGCAGAAACAGGCACTTGACTATGGAATATCAAATGACTATATGACCAGAACTGCCCTTCAGGAATTGGCTCTTGTAAGGTTGGGTGCTCACAGTAACAATCCACTGAACAACAGAAATGGTATACATGCGAGCACATGTAAGCAAGTCCAAAAGTCACAAGATACATGAACAGATGGCTCAGAGCTCCTTGCCTTTTGTGTTCCTCAGCTCACACCTATGTCCTCTGGGTTATTCTCTATGACCAGCTGATAATGTTGGAAAATGCTCAAAGCTGGTTAAGCTTGGTATGTTGGTAGAACTGAAAATGGATTGCTACTACACTGCGGTTCCACTCAGGGAGGATCCTTAAAGGACAGAGGTGAACAGAATCCTGGTTGGCAGAGCTTCAGTACATGCATTCATCTCCTTTGAATGGAGAAAATAGTCTGAGGTCAGTGTAAATGTAGGGCCTTGAGCAACAGTGAATGGTATGGTTGATTGGGTGAAAGGTCTCTAAGATAGAATATGTGAAGTTCAATAATAAAGAGACCTGAGGAAGAGGCATGTGGAGGGACCTAAAGGAGTGAGCACAAAGTGTGTGTGTCTTTGTGGCACATGTGTGTGTCCACCAGAGAGTATCCACTACAAGTGAAGCATTGACCAACCAGGTGGACAATGCGGTAGATTGTATTTTTCAAAGATGGCCACCAATATCCTCCATCTCACCTACTCTTCTTGTAATCTGACCTTGACAGTTCTCCCATTGAGTGGTGGGATCTGTGTTCCCTTTCCTTGAACCTTGGCAGAACTTTATCATGTCAACCAAGAGAACATGGTAGAAATGATATTCGGTGACTTCTGAGGCTAGATCCCTAAAATTCTGTGCATTTCCACCTTGCTCCCTTGGGATGCTCACTTGGAACCCAGGCATCACTCTGAGAAAGCTCAAAGTAGCCCACACAGAGAAACCCTGTGGAAAGAACACGTGTAGCTATTCTGGTCCACAGCTCAGCTAAGGTCCCTGCTGACAGCATCCACAGCCAGACCTATAAATAAAGATACCCCCAGGTGATTCCAGTCACCAGCTGTTGATTGATCCCAAGCTGTGGTCCAAGACATCATGGAGCAGAGGCTAGCCATTCCCACTATGACCTTTCTGAATGTCTGACATAACAGAATTCCTGTAAGAAGAAAATGACTGAAACCTGCTTCTTGAACTGCTGTTTCTATCATGGCCACGAGAGGGAGACCTTGTTCCTTAGGGACCTGCAAGCTGCCAAAACCGTATTCCTTTGTTGGTCCCTGCCTAGATTGGCAGTGGATTTTCCTTCCTTCTCCTGACAGGGCCTGCTGAGGTCAGGTGGCTGAATTAAAGCTTCCTTTTTCTAATCTTATGTCTTCAGTATGTATGGACTCTGTAAAGATCCTCTCATTTAGGGGAAGAAAAACCTGATTGTTAACTTTGCTTTTGTAATAAGAGAATTAGCATGCAGATTGCATATTTGGGCCTGAGGAAAAGGAAATCCAGTCATTTGGGTTTGTACTTTGAAGTTAATGGGTGAAGGCAGAGCATCTGCGTCCAGCAGCCAGGTCTTAAGGTCTCTAGAAGGTAACATCCACTGAAGTAGAGGAGGCACAGAAAGTGGCAGTTTCCATAATGGTCTGCAGAAGTGTTCCTGGGAGAGCTGGGATTTGTGGTTTTTGGACCACCAAAATGTTGCTGCTTAGGCCCCTGATGCATTATTGGTGAGAAGTGCAGTGAACTTGGAGGTAAGGGAGGCTGCTGGAAGTCATTTCCAATTGCCTCCTATGGTTTATTCCTATTGATAAATAGTTTACCCTTTAGTTTTACTTTTTAACATCATTTTTTGAAATTGTAAAATATACATAATATAAAATTTATTATCTTAACCATTTTTAAGTATATTAAGTACAGTTTAGTTCAGTGGCATTACGTACATTCACATTGTTGTGCAACCATCACCACCATTCATCCTCAGAACTCTTTTTATCTTGCAAAACTGAAACTCTGTGCCCATTATACAAAAACCCCCCTCACTCGAGCCACTGGCAACCACCATTCTGCTTGCTACCTCTATGAATTTGACTACTCTAGGTACTGCATATAAGTACAGTCATACAATATTTGTTATTTTGTGACTGGCATAATGTCCTCAAGGTTCATCCATGTTATAGCATGTGTCAAAATATTCTTCCTTTTTAAGGCTGAATAATAGTCCATTGCATTATAGGCCACATTTTGTTTATTCATTCATCCATTAGTGGCCTCTTGGGTTAATTCCACCTTTTAGATATTGTGAATAATGCTGCTATGAACATGAATATACACATGTATGTTTGAGTTCATGCTTTCAATTCTTTTGGGTATATACCAGAAGTGGAAATGCTTGATCATATGGTAACTCTATTTTTAATTTTTTGAGAAACCACCATACTGTTTTTCACAGTGGTCCAGTTTCACATTCCCCCCAAGCAGTGCACAAGGGTTCCAGTTTCTCCACATCCTTGCCAATACTTGTTATTATCTGGTTTTTGTTTGTTTTGATAGTAGTCTTCCTAATAAGTATGAGGTAGGTCCCTTTCCTTTTCAAAACCTGCTGCCTTTATATATTCTAAGGGATGGGAATGTCACCATGACATCTGTCATAGTCTTTTTGTAGCTGACTATATCTGTTGTCTCTGGTAAGCACAATAATCAAGAAACAACAGAGAGCCCTGTCATCTCCTGAACCCTCACTGGCAGTTGTTTGCTTCTTAGATAGCTAAGAACTTTTGTCTCCTTCCTTGAGGAGGCGATCTGGCATAATACCTGAGAGCATGGACTGTGAAGCCAGATATCTGCATTAAAATCATGGCATTGTCATTTATTAGATCTTGGACAAGTTACTATGTCTCTGCTTCTTGTCTTGTCTTTTCTCTCTCTTTCTTTCTGTCTTTCTCTCTTCCTTTCTTTCTTTCTTTTTTTTTCCCCCAGGGTCTCACTCTGTTGCCTAGGCTGGAGTGCAGGCACAGTCATAGCTCACTGAAGGTTTGAACTCCTAGGCTCAAGGGATCCTTCCTCCCCAGCCTCCCAAGTAGCTGGTACTACAGGTGCACACCACCACACTGGCTAATTTTTAAATATTTTTTGTAGAGACAGGGTCTTACTATGTTACCCAGGCTGGTCTTGAACTCTGGGGCTCAAGTCATCCTTGTGCCTTCGCCTCCCAAAATGCTGGGATTACCAGTGTGAGCCACCATGCCCAGTGCCTCCATTTCTTTAGCTGTAAAATGGAGCTAATAATAGAGTTATTATGAGGAGTAACTAAGTCAATACATAAAAACATTTAAAGCAGTTTGTGGCACATGGTTGGCACTCACTAAATGGTAGCAGTTGTTACCCCTCTGGAAGCTCCCTGAGGCCTCCCCAGAATCTAATGCCCCAGTGCTTCCTGTACAGCCTGCAGAACTGTGAGTCAATTAAATCTCTTTACTTTGTAGATTACCCAGTCTCAGGTATTTCTTGATAGCAGTGCAAGAACAGACTAATTCAGAAAATTGATACTGAAGAGTAGGGCATTGCTATAAAGATACCTGAAAATGTGAAATCAGCTTTGGAACTGGGTAACAGGCAGAGGTTTGAACAATTTGGTGGGCTCAGAAGAAGACAGGAAGATGAGGGAAAATTTGGAAATTCTCAGAGACTTGTTAAACTGTTATGACCAAAATGCTGTTAATGATATGGACAATGAGGTCCAGGGTAATGAGATCTCAGATGAAAGTGAGGAACTTATTGGGAACTGGAGCAAAGGTTACTTTTGTTATGTGTTAGCAAAGAACCTGGTGGCATTGTACCCCTGCCCTAGGAATCTATGGAACTTTGAACTTGAGAGTGATGATTTGGGGTATCTGGCAGAAGAAATTTCTAAGCACCAATGTGTTGAAGATGTGGCCTGGCTGCTTCTAACAACCTATGCTAATAATGTATGAGCAAAGAAAGGACATAAAACTAGAACTTACGTTTAAAGGGGAAGCAAAACATAAACGTTTGAAAAATTTGCAAACTAGTCATGTGGTAGAGAAGAAAAGCCCATTTTCCGGGGAGCAGTTCAGACTGGCTGCAGAAATTTGTATAGCTAAAAGGAAGGCACATGCTGATAGCCATGACAATGGGGGAAATGCCTCCAAGGCATTTCAGAGATCTTTGTGGCAGCCCCTCCCATCACAGGCCTGGAGGCCTGGGAGGACAGAATGGTTTTGTGGGCCTCACTTAGAGCCTGACTACCCTGTGCAGGCTTGGGACACTGCTCCCTGCATCCCAGCCATTCTCGCTCCAGCTGTGGCTCAAAGGGGCCCAGGTACAGCTTGGGCCACTGCTTCAGAAGGTGCAAACCATAAGCCTTGGTGGTTTCCACATGCTGTTAAGCCTGTGGGTATGCAGAGTGCAAGAGTTGAGGCTTGGGAACCTCCACCTGGATTTCAGAGGATGTGTGGAAAAGCCTGGATGTCCAGACAGTAGCCTGCTGAAGGGGCAGAGCCCTCATGGAGAACCCCTACCAGGGCATTGCAGAGGGGAAACGTGGGACTGTAGCTCCCACACAGAGTCTCCACTGGAGTGTTGCCTAGTGAAGCTGTGAGAAGAGGGCCACCTTCCTCAAGACTCTGGAATGGTAGATACACTAACAGCTTGCACCTGTTGCCTGGAAGAGCTACAAGCACTCAACATCAGCCTTTGAGAGCAGCTCTGGGAGCTGAACCCTGCAAAGCTGTAGGGGTGGAACTGCCCAAGATCTTGGGAGCCCATCCGTTGAATCAGTGTGCCCTGGATGTGAGACATGGAGTCAAAGGAGATTGTTTTGGATCTTTAAGATTTCAGGACTGCCCTACTGAGTTTCAGACTTGCATGGGGCCTCTAGCCCAATTGTTTTGGCCAATTTCTCCCTTTTGGAATGGGAGTATTTACCCAATGCCTATACCTCCATTGTATCTTGGAAGTAACTAACTTGTTTTTTATTTTATAGGCTCATAGATGGAAGGGGCTAGCTTTGTCTCAGATGAGACTTTGGACTTTAGACTTTCGAGTTAACGTTGGAATGAGTTAAGACTTTGGGGGGCTGTTGGGAAGGCATGATTGGATTTTGCAGTGTGAGAAGGACATGAGATTTGGGAGGGGCCAAGAGTGGAATGATAGGATTCGGATCTGTGTCCCCACCCAAATCTTATGTCAAAATGTAGCACTAATGTGGGAGGTGGGGCATGGGAGGTGATTGGATCATGGAGGCAGTTTTTCATAAATGATTTAGCACTGTCCCCATGCAGTGGTTCTCATGATAGTGAGTGAGTTCTCATGAGATGGGGTTGTTTTAAAGTGTGTAGCACCTCCCCCCTTTCTCTCTTCCTCCTGCTCCAGCCATGAGAAGATGCCTGCTCTGACTTTGCCTTCCACTGTGAATAAAAGCTTCCTGAGGCCTCCTCAGAAGCAGATGCTGCCATGCTTCCTGTACAGCCTGTGGAACTGTGAGCCAATTAAACTTTTCTTTATAAATTATCCAGTCTCTAGCCAGGTGTGGTGGTGTGTGCCTGTAGTCCCAGCTACTTGGGAGGCTGAGGCAGGAGGATTGCTTGAGCTCAGGAGTTCGAGGCTGCAGTGAGTTATAATTGCACCACTGTACTTCAGCCAGGGCAACAGAGCAAGACCCTGTCTCAAAAATAAATAAATAAATAATAAATTACCCAATCACAGGTATTTCTTTGTAGCAGTGAGAGAATGGACTAATACACCCTCCATACCACACCCTACTACTTCACCTCCCTTTCCAACTACTGTAGAAGATACTCACTGTTATCATTTACTATCTTATAAGTGCAAAAACTAAAGTTTAAAGAGGTTAAGTAATTGGCTCAAGGTATCACAGCTGGTAAACAGAGGCACTGAGATTTGTTCTCTTTTGGTTTGACCCTAGAACCCTCTCCTAACATTTTTTTTTTATTTTGACTCTTGTTTGGCAGAATAAGTAGCAAGGACACCATCATCTTTGCTGAGGAAAGATGACTATTATTAGTAGTAGGCAAGTGGAGAGTCGTCAGTGTTCCATCAGCTTTTCCCCTGTGTCTCTCATCCCATGAATGAAGAGCAGATGTGAAAATTGCTGCCAGCCACTCACTTGTCAGATGAGAACTGACTTGGCTGTGCTCATTACAAAATTAATTTTTAGGCTTATTACAAAATTAATAAGGCATGTGAAATATAGATGTCCTCAAGATTTATAAACTTTAATTTAGAAGTGTCTTTGATTCTAATACAAATCTATTTTTACTTACAGTAAGATAGCAAAGAAAAAAGTCTCTGGAAAGATTCTGGATATGTCTAAGGAAAATTTGATTAGATGGGCCAGTGTTTCAGTAACACACACAAGAAGCTTCTGAATAACTTGTAAAAGTGAGATGATGTGCCCCACTTTGATTTAAATTCCATTACATGTATCCTCAGGAATTAGCAAAAAAATTTTTTTTTCATAATAAAACTCATTAGATGATTTTGACTTATAAAGAATAACTTGTTTGAGAATAAAATTTGTCTGGACACAAGTATTGGTTCTGTAAAATGAAAGGAAATATCTAAACTTCTGTGCAACTCTCCGTTAAAGATAATCCTAAGGCTACTTCAGATATATTTTTGTTATTCAGGATATGGAATGAGCATGAACGTTTGCATTTTAATGGTCAAAAGAACCATTAAGGAGAGAAGCTCCCAAAATATAATAAGACATGACTAGTTTCAACTCTATGTTGCCTCTGTATGTTTGGAATTCCTTGTAATTCCATATGTATTTGGATGATGTTTACCTTTGCTGTATCTTTGATGAAATGATGTGTTAAACTAACTTCCTGCAGTAAATAAAGGAGGAAATTGTAAAGCAATTTATTTTGTTCTGCAAATGGTGTTACTAATTACTGGTCAGTCTTTTTTCTCCCTCTTATTACAAGAGGCCATGAGGCCTCTACCCATGCTCACAGTTCTACCCTTCATCTTCCTGCCAAAAACACATCTTTGGAGCACAGGCATCTTCCACTCTTACGCACTGAGTTGAGTCCCCCCCAAAATGCATATGTTGAAGTCCTAATCTGCAGGACCTCAGGACCTCAGAATGTGACATATATGGAAATAGGGCCTTTAAGCAATTAAGTTGAGGTCACAAAGGTAAACCCTAATCCAGTATGACTGGTGTCTTTATAAAAAGCAGAGATAAGGACACAGATAGAGGGAAGATCATGTGAAGACATAGATAAATCATGGCCATCTGTGAGCCAAGGAGAGAGGCCTCAGAAGAAACCAACCCTGCTGACACCTTGGTCTTGAACTTCTAGCCCCAGGACTGTGATAAAGTGTGTTATTTAAGCCTACCCAGTCTGTGACACTTTGTTAATGGTAGCCCTAGCAAACTAAAAAACCCACCATCAGGTCAGATTCAACGAGTCTATAAACAAACTGGTGTCTTCCCCTGTATCCTGCCTGGCATGGGTTCTACTAATGGCCTACCCATTTCTGTTGATGGCACCATCCCTGTTTTCCAAGTTTGCCAATGGGAGGAAACTGCCATTTGGGGCCAAGTTTCCTTCTTTTGGGGCCAAGCTTCCTTCTGTCTTATAAGGCCATCTAGTATTGTCCCCAAGTCCAATTCAGTCTTTCAGCTAGCTCTTCAGTTTTTCCATTCTTCATCATCCCAGTTCTGAGGCCCTGAAACAGCTTCATTGTCATGCAGCCCTTAAACCTTGACACCTGAACCTACCTGCTTCTACCTCCTTACTTGCAAGGTCTATTTAGGGTCCTTCACCATCACCCAACATTTCACTTCTGCATAAAAGATGGCCTGGTCTTTTAATTGGTTTTACTACGTATAACCTGCCTTCTTCAGTGTCAGCTTCATAGCATCGTTGAAATAATTTTTCCAAAATACCTATTTTATGCCATTTTCCCACTTAAGGACCTATAGTATCTTATTGCATATTAAAAATAGAAATGTCTCTTCCTTGTATGTAAAGCACTGTGTCACTTGACCTTCCTTTAGTTACTAAATTAATTTCCTTTACTAGTCCTTGGGTAGATGCTCTGATCTAGTCAGACCATTTCCCTGAGCTCAACTTCCTTTCCTCCTGCCACTCAAGACACATACACGTACACGCCTAGTTTTTCTCCTCTTGATTAGAGGAGGAGAAGCTGTTTCTCTTGGGATACTTTCATGATCCCTCCATCCAAATTCTACATTTCTTTAAAAGTCAGCTCTCCAAAAAGCAGTTGAAATTTTTATCGCATAGTTAGCTTTTACACAATCTTGAATACCTGAGCTAGAAGAGAGTTTCCTGCCATTCAGTCTAACCTCACATCCAGTTTAGGACTCCCTGCCCCCACCCCTTACCCCACAGCATTCTTCAGAGATTCATTCTTTCCTCATCCTGGTATTAGACCACTACTCTATGATGGGCTGTGGATGAAAAAATGAAAGAACTAGCCTGCTCACAAGAAGCTTATACTATAATAGGAAAGACAAGGGTTCAGTTACAAAGCAGACAAAGTGAAGGGACAGAGGAAAGTATGAGGCAGGTTGGTGATGTGGGGGAGAAAATGACCCTGAAGGGTGAGGAGTTTACCCAGCAGACAGGTCAGAGAAGGTATTCCCTGGAAGAGGGCAGCATGGAACTGTCTTTCTCTTTCTGAATTTCTTTAGCACGTATGAATCCAGTCAACATCACACCACCCTGCTCTGTGCAGGTTCTGCTCTTGGACATCAATTTTCTGTTTAACAAACATCTTGATATCCTCCAACCAGAAGATACTTTTTTTTTTTTTTTTTTTTTACAGAGTCTTGCTCTGTCGCCAGGCTGGAGTGCAGTGGATCCATCTTGGCTCACTGCAACCTCTGCCTCCTGGGTTCAAGCGATTCTCCTGCCTCAGCCTCCTGAGTAACTGGGACTACAGGTGCGCACCACCACACCCAGCTAATTTTTGTATTTTTAGTAGAGATGGGGTTGGGGTTTCACCAGGTTGGCCAGGATGGTCTCGATCTCTTGACCTCGTGATCTGCCCACCTCAGCCTCCCAAAGTGCTGGGATTATAGGTGTGAGCCACCACGCCTGGCCCAGAAGATAATTTTTTAAGGAGAAGAGATGTTTTCTCTCCTTTTGTATGCCTCACATTGCTTAGTAGTATCAGGCACCAAGTAGGGGCTACCTTATTTGTGTTCTGTTTTAATATAAAGGGGTACTATACACCCATTGTAAGATGTATTTTGATTTCCTTTATTTAGTAACAGTAATGATAGATTTGCCCTGCTCTTCAGAATTCCAAATTCTAACCATTTATTCTTCCTTGCCTCCATTTCCTCTATCTGTTCTTCCATTCACTTTTGTGACAACACTCTATGCCTGTAAGATGACTGTGAGGGAAGTGTATTTGGCTGTGAAATAAAACCAAACCAACTGGGCTGTATGGGAATGGAAGTTGTAGTCTTGCGTTTCCAGCCTGATGGTTTAAACAAGTAAGTTAACCAGCCATAGACTGGTGGTACATCTTGCTTATTGAATGATTTGAATAATCCCTTTATAATATTTTAGACATGGTAAGTTATGATCATTCTGGGATTGGTAAGTCATCACAAAATAATTCTTTCTTCTCAGGGTCTTACTAAGACCCTCAGGCTCTTCAAACGGGTCTGCTTCTTCCCTTTACCTCCACTCACCACTATCTCCCCTCAAAATATTTGGCTTTTTTGTGGCAGAGTGAAATAGAATGGAGTATTTGAAGATTGGTCTCTTGTGGGAAAAGAGAAGTCCGTGGCCATTTTTTCTTTTTTGATGGAAGTGGAAGATGCAGCAGCTAATTATTCCCTAATATTGATTCTCTCTTCTCCCATACTACTAGAACCCCTGATTTTTAGCTGGGCATATGGTTACATAGACTATTCAATTTCCCACACTTCCTTACAGCTTCTTGTGGTCACGTGACTAAATTTGGAGCCACGGGATGTGGGAGACAGTGATCCAAGCAGCTGCTAGGTTGAGTCCTTTAAGACAAAAAGCATGTCCTGTCCTTCCTGCTTTGTTCATCCTCCCCGGGGATAGAATGTGACTGATGGTTAGTATCCTGGACCATGGAGATGAGGGCAACACCCTTGATGTAGAAGAGCAATAAGATGGAAGGAGCCTGGGGCTGTGATTGGAATTACCATGTGAGTCCTAGACTGCTTATCCTAGGAGCTCTTAAGTCAAAGAGGAATAAATTGTTCTGTATAAGCTATGCTTATTTTAGGTCTCTATTTCAGCAGCTAATTCATGAGAGTACGAATTTAAAAATACTTGTGAGGTTCAGTGTCAACTGAATGATACGAACAAGATGAGAAACATACTTTTAAAGATATTTAATGATGTTTTTCAAATCAGTACAAAAATTTAAATACAAAAATGATTTGCTATTGACAAGTCTCAAATCTGTCATGGGAACTCAAACAAGTTACCAGTCTGTTCACCGTTCATTGTATTCTATAAAATATTTGATAACAGTCACCCACTACAGACATTCTTTTCCCCTGTGGGATGTCATACTGCATTAAAACTCTGTATTTACATAACAATAATATGAGTTTGGTCCATTTCACATGGAAGAATTCTGGTTAATTTTGAACTAAATAGGGATTATAGCACAATCCCTAGACTTTAGAACACGTGGTTGTTTCATCTGCTTTTACACTAATATGTTAACATGTTGTGCAGCACTCAAAAGGGAAATACAGGCACATAGATAATTATTTAAAACTCTTTTTTAAATTAAATGGAGTATCATTTAGGTCTGAGATTAGCACCATTGTAGAATGCACAGTATTTGGCATAGATGTTGCTCCTCTTCTATCTAAAAGTTAGAAACCTATGTCTGATAATACACATACACACACATGCGCACGCATACACACACGTGCGCTCACGCGCACACACACACACACACACATATATATATATATATAGGCAATTGAGTGACAACCAATAAATAAGTTGGAAGATATTTTGAAAAGTGAAATTTGGTTTTAACTAAAAAGATAATTTCTCTCTTTCTTGGTGGGAATTAAAAGCCCATACATGTACAGATAAATACAATTTTACAAATCACCTGATCTGACTTGCTTTTAAACCATTTCAATGTGGCTGTTTAGCAGAAGGAGCCCAATGGATCCATGCTGCCCACCATAGTCATCAGCCCAAAACCAGTATCCTCAAGAACAACCCAAAGTATATTTGGCCACATAGATGCTGTCTGCTTTGAAAACAAAGGTTGTGGAGGACATCTTTTTGTTGGGAAAAGATTGTTGTATAATTAGTAGTGACAAGAACCCCTGTGGTAATGGACTAATTTCTCTTCTTAAAAATTGAGAAGAAATGGTGCTTGTATACTATATAGGGAAATGAGATATTGGCCAAGAGAAGAATTTTTGTGATGGTAATAATGATTCAGATTTGACAAAGACACATTTCCATGTGTTTTCATACCGTATTTATTTGTGTATTTTTCCATCTATATCTATCCCCTTAACTCATGGTTTTATTTTTGACAAAAATATACAAGATTCCACCACCATAACCCCACATTATTGCTCCAAGTGATAGAGTCAGCAGCAGGCTAATAGCAGGCTCGAAATGGGTCTTTGGTGTTTGGAGACCAGATTAGAATGCCCAAAGCAGTTAGTATGTGCCCAAGCAAAAACCTGGAAAAATATTTATTTCTGCTTTTCAGACTTGTATTGGCCTTTGATTTGTGCCGAGTACAGGATGACATTAAAAACACAGGCTCTTGTTGCCCTTTGACATTCTACATAGCCCTTCCACAGTCCGCTTCTAAGGAAACAGTTCTTTTCCTATACTTTTACTACCTACACCCAGAAGCAGCACATCTGTTTTTAAATTCGAAATTTCAGAATTATTTTTTCAAATATTAATTTTTCTATGTAATTCTGAAACTCCCCCCTCACCAATTATGGCTTGGATTTTGAAAGCTGACTTTGGCCGGGCACGGTGGCTCATGCCTGTAATCCCAGCACTTTGGAAGGCTGAGGCAGGTGCATCACTTGAGGCCAGGAGTTTGAGACCAGCCTGGCCAACATGGCGAAAACCCATCTTTACTAAATATACAAAAATTAGCCAGGCATGGTGGCGCAAGACAGTAGTCCCAGTACTCGGGAGGCTGAGACAGGACAATTGCTTGAACCTAGGAGGTAGAGGTTGCAGTAAGCCAAGATCGTGCTACTGCACTCCAGCCTGGGTGACAGAGTAAGACTCCATCTCAAAAAAAAAAGAAAAAAATTGACTTTGGAACCTCAGATTACATATCAGTTTGCATACATGCTAAACAGAGAAATGTCCTCAAAATTCAGTTACTAAAAATTACTGATATCTCCATGATTAGAACCACACTGTGGTTGTGTGTGTAGTCAAAGGAGGAGAATTTTTAATGCTATATAAGCATAACTGATAACTGCTATTACAAATAAATATTCCACAAATTTGGAAAGTTATTAGAGGAAGAATTTTTTTTCCTTGTAATTTCCAGGTGTTTATATTAGTTGGGCCATAGTGAAAATTACATGGAGGAAAGAAAATAGGAAAATAAGTCACAGAAAAAGAAAATCAAAACAAATAGAAACTCTGGGGAACAAGTGAGTTAATTACTGCTCATGTCTCCCATCCGGTTCTCTAGCTCCTTGAGGGTTACTGTCTAATGCTCCACAAAAGTGCCTTACCCAGTGCTTGGTACAGAGAAGGCACTGAATAAATTCACAAAGGCCGATTGGTTCACCCATTCTTTTAGAGACAACAGACACGCAATTCTGACGAGGACTCCTGTTACTAAAAGACACAGCCTCTGATACAAGAGAGATATCCCTTTGACTAAAGCATTACCAGGGTCCCCAGGGCCCCCTCCCACTGGGGCGGTAACACTACGGGTCTCCCCACCATATATTCCATGTCAAAGTATCTACACAAATACAGAGGAAATTAAGCAAGTAAATACGGTATGTAATTGTTATCATTTGTATTTCTTTAAGGCATATTTATAAATATTTTAAAGTAAACAATATGAGTGAGTGCCTTTCATTAGCTATGATCTTTCATACTGATATATTTTGACTGATCTGAATAAGCAGGTTACTGTGGAAGCATATAACATAAAACAGCTAATATGATTCCAGTGGGTACAACCAAGTGTCAGTACTTGATACATAACTCTATCCCATCATTCGCAATTACAGGCTGCTGTGTGGAGTATTAAACATGCATCTTAGTTTTTATTTGTACACAATGGTCCAAATTTTCACTTACATATAACTTTCCAACTGTGTAAGTGTTTTGAAGCAATTATGTTTTTCATTTGGATTTTTTGGTGTGTCATTTTCTTCTATAAAATCTCTTTCTTTTCTTTGTTTTTTGTTTTTTTGTTTTTACATGGGATACAATAAATATCCTGAAAAGGAGGAGTGGACATACTGCCCGGCATACAGTCCTGCAGCCTGTTCTGAGGGCATCTGGAGGAACACCCGGTCTCCGGGCCTGAGCAGCAGCACTGCACTCCCAGATGCCTGGTCCAGGAAGCCCTTTTTGTACTCGTCGTACGTGTACATCACGGGCTCGTTGTTCTTGAATAGAGCAACCCACACGTTGCCCCCCTTGCAGTGAACGTGGTATGCAAAGTAGTAGACACCAGGGACCTCACAGGTGAAGATGCCTGTCTGCGGGTTGTAGTTCTGTCTGCCGTTATACAGCAGTTTGTTAAACTTCACTGGGGCCCCCACCGGTGGGAAAGGTGCGGTTAGCTCGGCGGTAAATGCAGGCATCTCATAGGCTGGCCCTCCATTCTTGCCTTTCTTAGCCCCGTAGGCATGGGGGGGTTTCACGCCATCAATTCCCAGCCCCATATCTGGCAGATACTCTCCCTGGGGTGGTGGTGTAGGGGGCATCACAGCTGGGGGTCCTGGAGGTCCTGGAGGGCCTGGGGGTCCTGGAAGGCCAGGCTGGCCTTGAGGACCAAGGGCACCAGGCTTCCCTGGGGGGCCATGAAGTCCTGCCACTCCGGGTTTCCCTATACCAGGGAACCCAGGGGGCCCTGGGAGGCCCGGCTCCCCTTTGGGGCCTGGAATCCCAGGTGGTCCAATGGGGCCACTAGGGCCCCCAATCCCTGGGATACCTGGGGGGCCCTGTAAACCCTGATCCCCTGGGATTCCTGGCTCTCCCTTAGGTCCGAGAAGCCCTGGAACACCAGGGAGTCCTGGTACACCTTTTTGCCCAGCTTCCCCCTTGGGCCCTATGGGACCTGGCAAACCCCTCATGCCAGGAGGCCCTACTTCACCAAGGAAACCTGGCTTTCCTGGGAAGCCTTGAAGCCCTGGCTCACCCTTGGGACCTGGTGGCCCCTGTGGCCCTACAATCCCACCTTCTCCTTTGGGTCCAGGAAAACCAATAGCACCTGGAGGGCCCATAGGACCTGGGATTCCAGGCAGGCCTGGCTCTCCTGGAGGACCCCCTATTCCTGGGGCACCTATTGGTCCTTTCTCCCCTCTTGGTCCAAGAGCCCCAGGAACACCTCCCATGCCCCGGTCACCTTTGGGTCCTGGGAAGCCTGGTTTCCCAATCCCTGGAAGGCCTGGGGGTCCTGGTAGCCCTGGCAGTCCTTGCTCCCCTTTGCCACCTGGAAATCCTGGCTGGCCTGGGATCCCATCCTGGCCTGGCTTTCCAATTCCGGGTATCCCAGGAGGTCCTTGAACCCCCGGTACCCCAATAGGGCCTTGTGGCCCAGGTTCTCCTGGAGCCCCTGGCTTTCCCAGGGGGCCCTGGGGCCCAGGGAAGCCTGTCACTCCTGGTTTGCCCACTCCTGGCAGTCCAACAGGGCCGGGAGGGCCGTGCATCCCTGGAGGCCCCTTTACACCTGGCGCACCTGGCATCCCGAAGCCCTTGTCTCCTTTAGGACCCCGAAGGCCTTGAGGTCCTGGTAGTCCTTTGGGTCCTCGATCACCCTTTGGTCCTGGTTGCCCTGGTAACCCTGGCCCACCTGGCTTCCCAATGCCAGGAAGTCCATGAGGCCCTGGAGGTCCTTGTGGTCCTGGGATCCCCATAGGCCCAATTTCCCCTTTCTGTCCAATTTCTCCTTTTGCCCCAGGCATGCCCATGGCTCCTGGCTTCCCTGGCATTCCAGGCATACCTGGCTTTCCAACTCCTGGATATCCCTGTGGCCCTGGTTTTCCTTTAATTCCAGGTATCCCATGACCTGGCAAACCAGGGGGCCCAGGTGGTCCTCTTGGGCCAGGCTCTCCACGGGGACCTTGTTCCCCTCGTAAACTGGCTAATGGTATTTCTACTGGGAAGAGAAGAGAGAGAAGGGGTATGGGGGGAGAGAGAGAGATTGATTAGTAGATTGTCTCTCACATCAATGAAGTACTGACAACCATTATTTAGTTCTGACACATTTGCCTAATACTTATCAAGAGAAAAGACTAGGAATAATATGCTCATCTTCTAGACCTTAAAAATCAGGCCTGGCATGGTGGCTCGTGCCTGTAATCCTACAACTTTGGGAGGCCCAGGCAGATGCATCACCTGAAGTCAGGAGTTCGAGACCAGCTTGGCCAACACAGTGAAACCGCGTCTCTACTAAAAATACAAAAATTAGCCGGGTGTGGTGGCACATGCCTGTAGTCCCAGCTACTTGGGAGGCTGAGGCAGGAGAATCACTTGAACCCAGGAGGCAGAGGTTGCAGTGAGCTGAGATCACACCACTGCACTCCAGCCTGGGTGAAAGAGCGAAACTCCATCTCCAAAAGGAAAAAAATAAATAAATAAGAAAGAAAAATCAAGCTGACAATTTTTTTTTATGTATTTGAGGTATTTTTTTGATAACTGATATGTGAAGCTGCTTGTATCAACATTGGTTAAGTAAAGAAGCTAAAAAGTAATGAAGAAGAAACATTTTTCCAAGTATAAAACTTGGAGATATTATGGTGTGTTTATTATAGTGAATTTGGAAGATTCAAAGATGTATAAAGAAAAATCAAATTTGCCTATAAGCCCACTACTCAGAGATAACCACTTAACATGTATATATATTTTCATCTCATTTGTTCTATCTGTGTGTGTGTGTGTGTGTGTGTATTTTAAACAATATTGGAGTTGTTATCCAAATTATAGTTGTATTTTATTTATGGGGTACAAAGTGATACTATGATTCATGAATACAATGTGGAATAATTAAATCAAGCTAAATATATCTATCACTTCAAATACTTATTTTTATCTCGTGAGAAATTTGAAATTTACTCTTTCAGTGATTTTGAAGTGTGTAATACATTATTATTAACTATACTCGCTATTCTATGCAATAGATATCCAAAAAACAACTTATTTCTCCTGCCTAACTGAGGCTTTAAACCTTTCATCATCATCTCTCCATTCTCTCCCTCCTGCCCCACCCCAAGGCCTCTGGTAACCACCATTCTCCTCTGGGTTTCTATGAGTTCGATTGTTTTAGATTCCACATTTAAGAGAGAATATGCAGGATTTTTCTTCCTGTGCCTGGCAAAGTTTTTAAATATAATAATTTATGGCCAAGATATTTCCTCTTATGCTTAAATACAGTATGATGTGAAATAGGAAAGAATAGAGTTATTTTTTGTGTGGTTCAATAACATCTTTCCACATCTCTCCTTTAGAATTAGTAGATTTGCTTAATTTCTTGAAGGTGCTGTGGGATTTCCTAAGCCTCAAATATTAGTTCATTAATTTAACAAATAATTTCTCATATACAAATCTGGCTTTTAAGTAGGAGAGATGAATAAGATATTTTAGAATGATAAACAGTATGGATGAAGTCGAGAGCTTGACTTAGGAACAAGAAGCTCTGCTTATCTTTCTGGTCTTGGCGTGAGATTGTGACTGGGTCCCTTAAGCTGTCAGCATCTCTGCTTGCCTATCTGTACAGCAAGAATAAGAATAATACAGCCACACTACAAGATTAGAGAATAGATGTGAAAGGTGTCACCGTTTCTCAAATTGTTATTGAAATACACAGCACGTGCTGTTATAATGAACATGCTGTGCCTTTCAGATGAACACAACTCTGGATCTCCCATGCTGCTGGGACTAATGGATAACATGGAGAAATGAAATATATGGTCCCAATATCTTCTTGGCATAATACTTATGTCACTAGTAGCACCTTAATCCTGACCATTGTACTTTTTGCTGAGCTACTGTCAGAGAATAAAATACAAACAGAGAACTCATTTCGAGATATGAGGATCCATCAGAGTAAGTACAAGAAGTGCCAAAGGCAAGGCAAGCCATTCAATAAAGGAAGGAAAAGAAATGTCTGAGATAATCTTCTAAGTATAATACTAGCTCCTAAAGAGAAGAAAGTCAGGAATACTTTCTTTACATGAATAGATATGATTATAGTACTATTCAGGCATGCTATTTCTAACCAGCGAATTGTGTAGTTACTGTATTGAGGAGTTATCTGGGGAAGAGTAGGAGAGATGAATCAGGAATCCCTGGTGTCTAGCACAGAGCCTGGAACACACTCTGTTCTTACTGAGGATTTGTTGAATGAGCAGTTGTAGCAACTCCAATTTCCTATGGTGCTTTAGCATTTACTCAGCACTTTACTTACTATGTATGTCACTGATTCTCTCAACAATCTTATTTTACAAATGAAGAAAAATAGGCTCTGAAAGGTCAAATGACTAGGTCTCTCTCATTTCTGGCATCCAGGCATCTAGGCCTCTAAGTTCCAAATCCAGTAGTTCTCCAGAGGTGGAGCTTCCTGCCATTGTAGGGACTAGTGGGACTGGCTCCACTTCCTCAAAGGTAATTGCTGCTCTGATGCAGCAAGTACTAGGTTTCTGAGAACTCCAGACAAACCAAATGAATTTATCGTCAAGTGTCTGTCACACTGAGGGGCATTTTGTTGGTGCTAAATAAATACGCCAAGAAAGCAACAGGAGAGATTTTCAGGTGTCATCCCTAGATGCAGTCTATACTCTTAGTTTCCTTCTGTTGATCTATTGATTGACATATGTAATTAGAGTAGTATTAAGAACACTTGCACCTGTCTAATACTTAGTTCGCAAAATGCTTTCCTGTGACTTTTCTTTTAACACAGCAGGTCCTTACAACATTGCTCTCTTAGTTCAGAAGACTGACTTGTCACCTTTCTTTTTTTTCACTGCTTTAGCTCCCAGCATCTGGCCCAGAGCCTGACACAAATAGGTGCTCACTATAGATAGTTGCTGAATGTTTGAATAAATAAACAATAAGGGGATAGACTATTTGTGATTTAATATATTTTATTTCATCTGATGCTAGTTAAAATAATAAAGCAAAACATAAATGGTAGTCTTATCTGTGTCTTTAAGGCTTGAAGTTTTCAAGAATATGGTTAGAACACAGTAGGCATTTTAAAAATGCCAGTAACAAATTCTAAAACTAAAGCTTCTAAAATTTATCTTCCCCCTCTGATCCCATAATTTAGAGATTTGGAAAGCTGTTGTTTTATAACAGCCTGGGAGTATGATGTTACCTTTGCCTTTCTTGGGTACGGCTTCCTTGCCCATTCTTGGCGCCGGTTGAATTTCCTTCATATATTGGGGTAGGTGTGGATACTCTTTGCCATACTGCAAGTGGGGCATCTCCTTGCCCATGGCAAGGCCATCTTTGGCCAAAGGCATGTGAGGTACTTGCTGACCCAGGGGCTGGTATTGTGGAATTTGTGGTGGCATCTGAGGAGGAATTTGAGGTGGCAGCGGCTTGATCCCATAGTAGGCACCAGCCTGAATGAGCCTGATGGAACTCAGGGAAATGGTAAGCAGCACTCCCAGCAGCTGCAGAGGGCCAGGCAGCACAGCCATCACCTGTGGGAGGAACCAATGCACCAACTTGGTGAAACTCTGCAAGGCCAAGTGACTTGAGTTTATTTAGAGATAGAATGGGGAAAAAAAAGGGAAACAGTCTTTAACATCAGAACTTCATGATAGAAGTCAAATGAAAAGGAAAATGCTACTTTCTATAGAAAACAAACAAACAAAAAATAGAGAATAGTGGAATCTGTCAAATAAAGGCAATTGGTAGGAACATAGACTATGGGAGAGACTACTGGTTGTCCCCCATATCGATTCTGCCTTTCTTGCCCTGTTTTCCCGTCTTCACCTGGGAATAGAGCAGCCCAGAATGAAGACATTTCAGCCAGGCAGGGCCATTTCAGCCATTCTTGCCAATTGTGTATAGTTGTCATGGGTGTACCTTCCAGGAAGAATCCTAAAAAGGAGTGGATATGTCTTCCCCTTCCTCCTTCCTTCTGGCTGGATTGCTGATATGTTACTGGAAACAGACCACACATCTTGGACCATGAGGCGAATGCAGTGCACAGAGAATGATAAAACGAGCTAGAATAAACCTCAGTCCTGGTTAGGCTTTGTTAATAAGTGCCAAAATTATATTCTAAATGGAAACAGTTGATAATTTATAGGCTTTATGCTACAGTAGAGATTTTTCATCTGCCAGATGAGGGCTGCTTTGATGTAGTCACAAATAAATGTAAATGTAAAGAGCAAACAGGAACAAAGCCTGCAGAAGTCTTCTGAGTTGAAGAGAAAATGCTTCTTCATGTAATAGTATGAAATATTTTAAAAATCACTATCATAATTATGCACCTTTATTTCTTGTATTAAAATACTATGAATTCATTAGTTTAGAAATTGGTTAATTGGACCATTAAAGTCTATCTTTGTCCTTTTGTGAAAGAAAGTTTACAAAGCAAGAGTTGTATGAATAAGAGGGAGATGTTTAACTATTAATAAGAATACGCTGCTTCTAAGCCCATTAATAGCACTCTTTACAAATTAGCAGTAAACAGAATTAATATAAATGGGGCTTATCTGTTTATAAAAACCAGCTTGAAAAGACCTCTGTTTGGAAACGCCCTAGGCTTAAAACCAGACAGCCCAGAGAAGTGCATTGTTGGCAAATGCACACTAGAGGGCAAGTGTGATACACACTTAGGTCTGTTCAATATTCTGCCTGCCCACTCCCTGCCCTCTGTAGTTCTAATGCTGGGCATACACGAACTCCATGCTCACAATGTATAAAGGGACTTAATGAAAATTTGAATCTTAAGGGACATGTCATCATAATGCTGGAGAGAGAGAGAGAGAAGTGGCAAATTTCTCACAATTTTTAATGTAAGTATCTTCTGGAAAACTTTGAAGAAACTTCTGTCTGTAAATAATTCAATTTCCATCTTCTTGAGAGTTGTTTTCTTTGCTTTTGCCTTACTTAATTCTGGATCATAGTTTTCTACTTCTTAGAAAATGTGCGTTGATTTTGCAATATCCTATTCCAGGGTAATGCCAAGAGTGTATACAGGCTACAAAAGGATTGGTTAATAAAACACCTAATAAAATATTTAAAATGAATCCCTATCACAAAATTCAAGCTTTACAATCTTTCTAAATACACTAACAAATCATTTTTTCCCTGGAAAAAATGAAGAAACAGTTGCTAGGCCCATTTTGGATTACTAAGATGAATATAATATGGCTGGTGGGCCTTACCATCAAGGAGTTTGTACTCTTAGTGGGGGTGACAGATGTGTAAACTGTTATTGAGTAGCAAAGGATATCTAGTAAAAAGTAAATTTTCCTCCTACTTCTGTTCTCCAGTATCTAAAATCCCTTATGTTTGAAGCAACAATTTTTCCTCATATTTTTCAGATAGTCTGTGGATATGCACATATCATATACATCCCTTTCAAACATAAATTGCAGTATACTATACACACTTCTATTTTTTGCTTTTTTCACTCAAAGATCAGTACTTATTCCTTGTCTAGTTATGTGCATCTAAACAAATTTCTTTAAGTTCTTCATTTATTAAAATATGACTTGGATGTTCCCTTAAGTCTTTTCTAGCTCTAACATTCAATGTCTGTAAGACAGTTACTAGAGATCTGAAAGTGTTAATCCATACCAGAAATGTGTGGTAATATCTGGTAATGTATAAGCTGGTACTTAATTCTACTTTTGGGGATGAATGAATTTAATTATGGAACCCCAGACTTGTGGTGAAGTCTTTAATAATAAGCTAGCATGTTTGGCCCTTCAGCCTTCCATCAATTCAGTGGATATGTTGGATTATACTTCATAATCTTTAAACCAGGACAATCTAATGAAATACTGGAAAACTGGAAGGAGATGAAATGCCTGGAAGAATACCAGTTGAATTATTTCCTCTCATAGGCTCAGCATATCTGTCCTGTAAACCAGCTCTTTAGGTCTGCCTTCTGCCATTTCTCTGGCTCTTTATCTAAATAAACTTTGTTCAGTTTTAACGTGAATATTTATATAAGGGCCCTGGTTAGAATTTACTGCTTTACTTATTCCTACTAATTTTTCTCCTGTCCCTGAGGATATTTTTGGTGGTCAAAGTGGTATGGGGGTTCTCCCAAATCACTCAAAAGAACATCAAATTTGGGTAACTTTATACAAACACCTGGCAAGAAAGAAGGAGCCTTGGAATTTTTGCTGGGAAGAAATTGTGATAGTGGGTTTTCATGCCTCTCTTTCTGAGAATGTGGGACACAATAATATTGTGAGTTCTCCTTAATATTTTCTTTGATTTCTATTTGTTTGACAGCTGGTGTGTGTGTGTGTGGGTGTGGGTGTGTGTGTGTGTGTGTATTTGTGTTCTTGAACATAAGCATATCTAATGTGTGTGAACATTGAATCTTTGCCAGCCAGGCTGGCTTAGTGATGGGTGTCATGTCATATGACAAAAGCACTGTCAAAGAAGTCAAAAGACTTTTATTTAAGTTTTGGCTCTGCCATTCTTCATGCCTATGACCTTGGACAAGTCCTTTATCTTCACTAAGCCTCAGTTTTCTTACCTGTAAAATAGCAATTATAATCTCTGCCCATCCCTCAGAGCTGTTCAGGGGTACAAATGATAATATGAATTCTTCATAAGCCAAAAAGGACTATTCAGATTTAAGTTATTATTAATGGAGTGTGACCAGAAAGACAAATCAAAACCAACTAAAATGTCAAAGATTTTCAAAGAAAGATACTAGCAAAGTAAATGTGAGGTTAACTGCAATAATGATAACCTAACATGAATAAAACAGTAATGGCCATTAAAATGCACTTGTTAAAAATGATTTAGAAAAAGAACAGCTGAACCAAGGCAGTCATTCATTCATGTGTCAAGAATAACCAATCCTAGATACTTTGAACAGCCCTAAATGGCTTCCTATATTTGAGCAGGGCTGCAGAGAATTTCAGATTCCTCATATGACCTGTAATGTACATAACAGAGTAATGTGATACATATATTAACAGAATAATGTGATAGATATTTTAAATGCTCATCAGCATTCTATTTGTACGTTTATCCTCATTGGCTTACTATACAGAAGAATGTTTAAATATTTAATCTGTTGGTCCTTGCCTTGAATCCAACTTTCCCTTTCACATAGGCTAACACAGCATGTCTTTGTGTATGTATGTGTGTCTCTGTTGTGTGTGGTGTGTATAAGCCTCTCTAATCAGTTCCTGGGCTGGTCCTCTGTGCCTCCTACTTGTACAAGATTTGTAGTCTCTCAAGACCCTCAGATTTGCCACCCTAAAGCAAGGGAAAGTCAGGCAGAATCCTCTTCCAGTGTTCACCAGAATTGCCTTCCTGGTTTTTCCATGCCTCTCAAAGAAAATTCTCTCTTGATTGCATTTCTCAGGGCAATTCATTCATTAGATATACCTATTGAACACCTATTGAACACTCAGAACAGGAAATGTTCTGAGTATTGGAGATACAGTGGTGAATTAGAGAGTGGAGGTATTATCTTATTGAACTCACAGTCTAGTGTGGAGAGACAGGTGATAAATGTTAAAAATACATTTTATAATTTGAGATTTGAGTGCTTTGAAAAAGCAATGCAGGTGTCTTAGTCATTAGGGCTGCTGTAGCAAAATACCATAGGTTGAGTGGTTTATAAAGAACAGCAATTTCTCAGTGTTCATGAGGCTGGGAAGTTCAAGATCAAGGTGCCAGCAGATTGGTTGTCTAGTGAAGACCCACTTTCTGGTTCATAGATGACACCATTTTGCTGTATCCTTACATGATAAAAGGGGCAAGGGAGCTCTCTGGAGTCTCTTTTATATGAGCACTAATTCTGTTCATGAGGACTTTGCACTCATGATCTAATTATCTCCCATAGGCCCCACCTCCTAATACCATCACTTTCGGAGGGGGGTGTCATATTTTAACATATGAATTTGGGGACATAAACATTCAATGTATAGCAGCAGGATAAAGGGTTCAATAATGACAGAGTGGAAGAGCTCCGATGTTTTGGAAAGAACGGTAGGGAATGACATCTGAGGAAGTAAATTTTGGATAGAGATGTGAAGGTTGAGAGATGTATCTTTCTTAAGACAACGTATGGGGAAAAAAGGAAAGAGTCCTGTTTACTACAATGTTAGTTGAAGGTACCTTTCACTAATATAGACTCATTTCAAAAGTATGTTCTTCATCCATGCCTGACCTCATTTTGAATTCTTTATTTACGATATTCTTTTTTCCTGGAAGATAATTATTTTCCTTTTATTTCTCTGTAGATTTCAGTCCTACCATATAGTTTTCTCTGGTTGTCATAACAAAGTATCTCAGACTGGGTGGCTCAATAGAAATTAATTTTCTCACAGTTCTAGAGACATTGAAGTTCAAGATCAAGATATTGGCAGAGTTGGATTCTGCTGGAGCCTCTCGCCTTGGCTTGTAGATGGCAGTCACCTCCCTGCGTCTTCACACAGTCTTTCTTCCATGTGTCTGTGTCCTAATTGCCTCTTCTTATTTACCAGCCACACTGGTCACCCTAGTGACCTCATTTTAACTTAATTTCCTCTTTAAAGGCCCTATTTTCAAATATGCTTAAATTCTGAGGTACTTGAGGTTCAACATATGCATTCTGGGGGATGCAACTCAGCCCATAACACCTTCTTTCCTCCAGACCAGTTCTATTCCTGCCTCCTCTGTGAAGCCTTCCCCACCTTCTCCATCATTGTTATTCTCCTAAAGTTTAATACAAAGTCAAATGTAATTGTAACCAAGCTTATGTTTTTTTCTTGTTGTTTTTTGTCCATTAGACTAAACATGATTGTAAGCTTTCTGAGGACAAGAATAATTTGACTTCTCAATATTTACTGATGGATCCTCATCATCAAAAGTCTTAGTGTGTTGATAGGGGCTTTCAAAAATACCTAATTCAGCTTCACTCCCCATTGAAAATTCTACCTACAGAGGTTGTTGACAGAAAGCCCTCATATTTTTGACTTGGATATTAATAATGATGGGAACATTTAAAAAGCAGCTCAGTATTTTGTACAATTTTGTTGCTTTTTAAATTATCTAAACAACTTTTAGAGAGACTTACCTTTCTTGATTCACATATGGAGGTGCACATGCAGTTTACTATTAGTGGTGGAGGAAGGGAGGGCATGTTGAGAAAATGAATCCCAAAACTTGGTCATAACATAAAAGATGGGCACATGACCTTTTATTGTTGTGCTAAGATCATTTTAAATAAGCCCACCTTAGGGTCATCTGATCAAGGATATGTACCTTTGTTGCAAAATTGATTAGTATTAAGAGATATTAATGACTCTAACTATATTGATCTATGACCCTCAGGTAAGTAACTCAGCATTATCTCAACATTGTTTTTTATTTACTGGAAAAAAGTCCCAGGTACTATGTAGTCATGAGGTGCATAATGATGCTTCAGTCAGCAAAGGACCATATTTATACTAGTGGTCCCATGAGAATATAATGGAGCTGAAAAATTCCTGTCACCTAGTGAGGTCTTAGCCATCATAATGACTGTGGTGCAATGCATTATCTTTTCTATGTTTAGATATATTTAGATACACAAATACTTACCATTGTGTTACAGTTGCCTACAGCACTCAGTACAGTAACATGCTGTATAAGTTTGTAGCTTAGGATTAATAGGCTATGCCATGTAGCCAAGGTGTGTAGCAAGTGGTACCATCTAGGTTTGTGTAAGTACACTCCATGATGTTTGTACAATGACAAAATCAGTTAATGGTGCATCTCTCAGAACATATTCCTGTTGTTAAATGACACATAACTATACTTCAAATACTTTATATCATTAATCCCATATCCATTTCTTAGGTCTTTTTTGACATTACAGTTTCTAATTGATAATATCCCCATCCTATATTTATATGATTGATTATTTTACTGAAATTCAAGACTGTATACAGTTATTCCTGTTACATTCCTAGTCAAAAATTGAAAATTGTTATTTAATTATGTGTAGGAGCTGCCATCCAATATATTAGCTAACAAAGTTCCAGCTTTGTTTTACAAGGTACAGATCCATCTAACTGTACAGTCAGTTTTCTCCATCTTGTCTTCCAAATATCAAGGCCCTCCTTTTGCATGAAATAAGGAATTCTTCTCTTACATAAGACAAGCTCTTAGACAGGCTTTCTTACTCTTTGGTTTTCTGACTAGGAATACAAGCTTAAAGTATTCATTAAGTCACAAAGCCACTGGCAAGGTAAATATGCTGAGATGGAGCCTGATATAGTTTGGCTCTGTGGCCCCACCGAAATCTCATCTCAAATTGTAATCCCCATATGTCAAGGGAGGGACCTAGAGAGAGGTGATTGGATCATGGGAGTGGATTACCCTGTGCTATTCTCATGATAGTGAGTTCTCATGAGATCTGATGGTTTAAAAGTGTTTGGCAGATCCCCCCAAACCCCGCACCTTGCGCGCACGTGCTCTCTCTCTCCTGCTACCTTGTGAAGAAAGTTCTTGCTTCTCCTTCTCCTTCCATCATGATTATAAGTTTCTTGAGGCCTCCCCAGCCATGTGGAACTGTGAGTCAATTAAACCTCCTTTCTTTATAAATTACCCAGTCTCAGGTAGTTCTTTATAGCAGTGTGAAAATGGACTAATAGCCCAAATAAATAAGCCTGTCAGATTCTGGTCAATCAATCACATGGAGGCAGTGGGCAAGACCATCCAATGAACATTTACTGGTTTTGGTCAATCTGCTCATTTACATCTACTGGGATGGCTATAAATGTAAAACAGCCTAAATTATATGCTTCACTAACAAATTCTGAATTCTGTAATTAAGAGCAGCCAATCATCCCCATGTACTAGCTATAGGCAGATAATGACCTCATGGGACCAACGAAACTTGAGAAGTCAATTAGGTTGTGCCCCCAGCGCTAGAAATGAACCACACACATAATGCCTCTGAAATGAGTGGCCAACCACCACATTCCAAAGGTTCTCCAGAGGAGATTTTACAACATTCCCTAGTAACCAATTGTAGGATTTCACATTAGATTTCCTAATATCTAATCCGAATCTCTTCTGCCGAACTGTAAGTTCATTGCCTTTTTTCCACTCTCAAAGGAGTTGGGAAACATCTGGAGAATATTTTTCTTAAAATAATAGCTCACGTATTTGAAGTTTGCAATTAATTTTTTTTTTGTTTCTCTAACTGGAATAGTGTCAGCTGCTAAACAGTTTATAAAACACTTGGGAAAACCCCTAAAAAGAAATTCTAAAGTAGAATATATATTTTTTCTTTCCTTAATATGAAAGCATCATTGCTTTCAGAGCAGAAAATACCTAAGTTTTAGTTCGGACCCAAGTAAGTCACCTATTCTGACTAGGCATTAGTTCCCTCATTTGCAGAATGAGAACATTAGCTATATGACTTTGAGGTCCCTTCTACTTCTAAAGTTTTTTGTAATTGTGAATGTGAAGAACATATCCACACTTATAAATAAATAATGTCAGGGGCCGGGTGCGGTGGCTCACGCTGGTAATCCTAGCACTTTGAGAGGCTGAGGCGGGCGGATCACCTGAGGTCAGGTGTTCGAGACCAGCCAGGCCAACATGGCAAAACCCTGTCTCTACTAAAAATACAAAAATTAGCCGGGCATGGTGGCACATGCCTGTAATCCCAGCTATTCGGGAGGCTGAGGCAGGAGAATTGCTTGAACCCAGGAGGTGGAGGTTGCAGTGAGCTGAGATGATGCCACTGCACTCCATCCTGGGCAACAGAGCGAGACTCCATCTCAAACATAAATAAATAAATAATAATAATAATTTTAGGAACTTAGGTACTCAAGCCTTTGTATGTCAGAAAGTTAGATCAATCTCATACTTGCAGTTACTTTTCAATATTGCACTCTCCCTTCTTACAGTTGGCGATGGAATAATGATGGAGAGTTTGTACACCCCCTACCCCCCTTAAATATTCCTCTGGTCAAATAAGCTATACTTGTCCAGAAACCAAAGGAAGAAATAAGAAACGTGGTTTAGGGACAATAATGATAATAATCCATGGTTTTTTTTTCTTACCACATTCAAAGGTTGAATACAAATGTGAAGCTTACTGAGAAACCTTTAAAAAGTGGCTATAAAAGATAAAAACTTCATACAATGTGTGTGCTCAAAAATTCCTGCAGTCATTCAGCAAATATTGATGTAGGTTTCCAGTCATAAGAATGACAAGTACAAAGTATGCACATTGGAAAGGGGAAATTCGTGGTTAATGAGTGTGACATAGTCATGTTTTAGGAACAACAACAATTTTGTAAGAAAAATGGAAGATCTAAAATCCAGAGGCAGCTCTACAGTAAAGTAGGGCATTGGTAGGGCTCTGCAAGAATAAGGTCCTTGCCATTCCGTGGACCTGGCGATACACAGCAAGGTGAGTTCCTTCTTAGTATGGCTCTAGAAGGACTGCAGAACACTGTTACTTACATGAACAGCTTTCTGTTCATGTGCTAGTACATGCACTAGTACAGTTTGTGTAGCCAACACAATGTAAAATAAGTGTTTTAAGGCCTTTTGCAAGGGAGAGATGTGGGGAAATTTCATCTAATGTAATCCATTAAAGTGGACATCGTAAAAATGTTTATTTAGAGCACACAACTATAATGTATTACATAAAATATAAATTTTATAGTACATTTCTTGGGGATCCAATTGTTGAAGTTTTGTTTAGCTAAGGTTATTTTGAATCATATAACCCTGAATGACTTGATATTAAAAGTTAAGCCAAAGTTAAGTTTCTATCTTACATGGGGAGAATATTAAATCATATCAATAGCACTTGGAAAATAAAAATAATTAATCAATGTTTTCTAAAATTGGTTCCTCCTACCCCCTCACCCACCACCACACACAAAGACACCATTCAGTCAGAATGGCAATCCTACTAAAGTTGCAATATTTAGTCCTGACAATTTCTGAATTATAAAAGAACTAAAACATCTTGACAATTTCTTGGTCAGTGAAAATGTGGATTTGTTCTTTCCTTGGTGCATGGTTCAGGAGTAGCAGAAATCATTCCACAGGACTGTTCCCAACAATGAATTTAAACTGAAAAACATTTAGTTCTAAACCTGGGGCTCAGCCTAAAATACTCAATTGTGATAAATCGTCAGCCACAGAGAGGGCAGTCTCTAAAATCCACCACTTTTCAACCACAGCCCCATCTAGATAATTAGCCTGCGTGGTAACATCCTGCCCTTTGAACAAAGGCAAAGCTCGGAGAGCAACCAAACCACAGCTATCTTGGTATTGGAAATTCCATTTATTTAAGGGGTGGAATTTATTTTGAGGGATAGAGAGATGGATGTGGTGTCTGGGAGGAAAAATCATAAGGTTTTCACAGTTAATCCACTGAACATTTTTCAAAGAAAAATGGAAGTGGAGAAAGGAAAGGGCAGAGTATTATGTAACAGATGCCAGGTCTTCAGGATATATCAGTTAAGGAGGCTGAGAGTGTAAAGGACTTTTCTTTTTATGAGCAAAACTCATTATAAGGCACCAGAACTTACAAGAACATATGGAATTTCGTTGATAAACATGGATCACAAATGTTATTTCTTAGGACTTAGAGTGTGAGTAGGGCACTGAGCTGGAGATGGGACACTCAGAGTCTTCTCTGTAAACTTCTCTATCATGATATCCTTGTAAACCTTTCAGGGCCTCCTTTACTAAACTGTAAAATGAAGGGAGTGAATTAGATGGGGTTTGGGGGTTGTAGAAGCCCAGTGCCTAAAGGAAGTAGCGAGGGGCATGAATGAGTCCAGCTGGCTGACTAGAGTTTGTGATGAAGTTAGCAAGAGCAGAAAGTATGAGCTAAATTGCCTGAATTAAATCCTGATTCCATCACTTATTAGCTGTGTAATCTTAAGCAAGTTACTTAACCTGTCTGTGCCTTGGTTTCTTTTTGATAAATTGCTGCTGATGATAACATTATCTGTCTTATGAGGTTGTTGAGAAGATTAAGGGAATTAATACAATAAAGTGCTTACAACAGTGTCTAATATAGATACTAAGCACTTTATAAGTGTTAGCTATTATTTAAATTAAAAAAAAGAAAACAGGGGTGGTGGTGGAGGAGGAGCAGTGGTAATAATAGATGGGATCTTGAGCACACGTTCCGTGACACTTTGCTTCACTGCAGTCTCATCTGGAAGAATTTGTAAGGTAATGGTTTTTGTTTTCACACTGCTCCAGACCTGTTTCGAAAACTAGGCTGACCAATTGTCCCCTGGCTCAATGTTCTTGAGATCGATGATAACTTTTACTCATTTTCAGGATGCTTGTAAGATTCTATTTATACCTATGTTAAAGGTCTTAGGCTTAGCTTGACCTGAATGCAGGATCATGGAGGCATTTTTCTAAATCCCCAGTCTGAGTATGCAATTTAAGACTTCTCATTGCAAGGAAAAATCTCTGAAGTTCTCTTTGTCTGAAGAAAGGCAAGGTAAAGACAGTTTCTAATAAGTGAGTAACAAATATTATATCTGCTTGCCCACTTCAGTGCGGCGCGTCTCCTACCTGTTAGCCACATGGAAACACTAGTTCAAAGGCTGGATCTCGTCCTGCTCCCTTTCCCCCAGAAAACTGGCCACTCTGAGGAGCCTTCTTTGTATTGACTGCAAAGGGCTTTGGCTTTGAAATTCAGAGAACTGAAGACATTTCTGCCAGGTGATAGCAGCAGGTTGCCCTTGTGGGAGTGACTACAGAATTTAGGCTATCTTTTACTGCTGAAGGAAGTAAAATCCACAAGTAATACATATATAAACCTTTAGGTCAGCAAAATCATCAGCTTACAATCACTTTTTTAGCTTTATCTTTCCATGCTGTTTTGGGGGACTTGAATAATAATATTGCTACAACAAACATTTATTTATTGTTTACCATATTTAAACAGTTATGTCTAAAAAATTCATTCCTTACCCATAGACCTCTACATAATTTTGTGTATGAAAAAACACAGACTTAATTCAGTATATACTTCTTTTTATACATAGTGAAAAGTAGTATCCTCACATCTAAAATGCCAAATAAATCTCAAACAATATTTAGCCATAGGCATTTGTTGAAATACAAAAGGTTAATTTCCCCCTAAGTGAAGCAAATCTGTAATGCATTTTATTTTGAAAAACTAATTCTTGGTGATAAATTCTAGAAGCTGGTTTGGGGAGGGACATGCCATGTAACAGCTCACTCAAGTGTCTGGGGGAATAGAATCAAACCTTTATCTTTGGGAATTCTCTTTGCACTTAGTTCATAACTGTGCAGAAAGTAGTCTTGAGAAATGCTTGTCAAATGGCACCATTTTCATCCTGCCTACCCCTTTTCTAAGTGTTGAAATACCATCTTGGTAGTATGATGACTGAGAGAGCACCCGAACACTGGATCGATGTTACTCTTCCCCATGCCTACTGTTTTCATTCTTACTCTCCTGATTTTGTGTGCTGAGGTCTCCTGCCAGCTTACAAGAATGGAAAATCCTATATAATAGCCATTCTTCCTTAGAAATTAATAAAGAGTGCCTTTTTTTTTTTATTTTAAAAGCCCTGTAAAGAATGATGAAGGGTTGACCGATGGTAAAATATTCTTGAGATCAGTGATAACTTTTACTCATTTTCAGGATACTTGTAAGATTCTCTTTATACCTATGATAAATTTCTTAGGCTTAGCTTGAGCTGAATGACAAGATCGTAGAGGCATTTTTCTAAATCTCCAGTCTGAATATGCAATTTAAGACTTCTCATTGCAAGGAAAAAGCTCTGAAGTTCTCTCTCTCTCTACAAAAGTAACCTCTAAGACCCATTTCCTTGTTCGTAAAACCAAGATTGTTGGACTAAGTGACCCCAGTGTTACTTTTAGGTCTAAAAACTCACTGTCGTTGGCCCTCCCCATCTTAGTTATTTTTGTTGTTGTTGTTGTCTTTAATCATGCCAGGGACTGGACAGAGTCAGGCAGTAGGCTATTGGAGTCGAGTATTAACATGAAATGGGATAGGTGTTGAGAAAAAGGAGGGGAGATGAGCATTTTATTATTTTATTATTTCATATTCATGTGAACTCTTCAACAGCACTTTGCAAAGTTCCACAATTCTTTTCTCTGTGATAGTCTGTTTTGTGGGCCACATCCTTGCCATGAATTTCTGTCTCTTGCTGTGGAAACCAGCCAAGGATACATTATTGACCACCTGCTCACTTTCTTACACAAGATGTCTCCCCAGACTTATTTTCTTTGCTTTCCTCTCCTGCTGGTTTATAGCTTTCCCTTATGTAGCAATAAAACTCTTTGAGAGTTCTCTTCAGGATGAATTAATGCCACTTAAGTGTATTTCCGTTAGCTGCCCTTTGATGGTTCTGTTTAAAAATAAAGGGAGAATTGGGGCAGCTTGGTTCTTATTGAAATTTTCCTTCGTTTTGCTTTAAAGTTACCACTCCTCAGAAACAGTTACACTCCAAGAGAGCTTTGTTAACACTAGAAAAACGTCTGGGAAATATTGTCAGAAGACAAACTTACCATCTTTCAGTAATTTTTTTTCCCATTGGAAAGATATTTACACTATAAAGAGACCCAGCTCAGTCTGTGTGAGCTTTCCTTGTATTCCTTTAAATACCAGAAAGTGTGTCTGAATTCCAGAGGAGCAGAATGCCATCTTGTTCTCCACCCTAATAGCAAACAGATTAAGGATTGGTTGTCATGATTCCAGTTCAACTTTGTGCAGTCTGCAATTTATTTTACTTTCCCCATCTTTTATATTTTATTCATCCATCTGAATCTCACAGTTCTAACTCTGAGAGCTGGGAAATGTGGTGTCTGTCCTGAGCTCGCCACCAGCCTCTGTGACTCAGCTTCTATAGGTTTCTGGCTTCTCTGCTGTAAAACGGTAATAGAATCTGGGTATTGAGGAAAAGATTCCCCCAAGACAGGCACTACTCTCTAGTGGAGTATTTTTCTCAAAGGCATTCAAACCAGAGCAACTCCATCTTGAATAGGGGCTGAGTGAAATAAGGCTGAGACCTACTGGGCTGCATTCCCAGGAGGTTAAGGCATTCTTAGTCACAGGATGAGATAGGAGACCGGCACAAGATACAGGTCACAAAGATGTTGCTGATAAAACAGGTTGTGGTGAAGAAGCTGGCCAAAATCCACCAAAACCAAGATGGTGATGAAAGTGCCCTCTGGCCCTCCTCTCTGCTCGTTACATGCTAGTTATAATGCATTAGCATGATAAAGGACACTCCCACGAGCACCATGAGTTTACAAATGCCATGGCAATTTCAGAAAGTTACACTATACGGTCTAAAAAGGGGAGGAACCCTCAGTTCTGGGAATTGCCTACCCCTTTCCCAGAAAACTCATGAATCCACCCCTTGTTTAGCATATAATCAAGAAACAATTATAAGTATTCTTAGCTAAGCAGCCCAAGCTGCTGCACTGCCTATGGAGTAGCCATTCTTTTATTCCTTTACTTTCTTAATAAACTTGCTTTCACTTTATGGGTTTTCCTCAAATTCTTTCTTGTGTGAGATCCAAGAAACCTCTCTTGGGGTCTGGATTGGGACCCCTTTCCGGTAACATTTTCATTTATTCCTAATTTTTTTTGCTTACAAAGTGAAACTAACCAGGGGACATTCAGTGAAGTTTGGGGCAGTGTTGATGACCCATTCCCCTGAGCTCATGACCACACACCACTTTAGATTTCTTGTTTATCCCATTCAACAAACATTTTTGAACTACCATGCTAGGAGCTGTAGAGGATTCAGGCACAACTTAAAGGTCACTTCTGCCTCAATGTCAATCCAAGGCAAAGACAGACATGAAAAAAAATACAAAGAACCCAGTCCTGCTTCCTTTCCTTATCAGACTTTCTGTTTTTTCCCCTTTTCTCTTTTACCTGTGGTTTCCCTGATTCTTTGCCCTTTCCCAGGTTTCTGAGTCCCATCTGGTGCTTACAATCTCATCAGATCACTTTGAACTTGAAACACAGTAAAGACTAATGTCCTTCAGAGGCCACAGTGGGACACTGAATCAAAATCATCTTCTTCCTCACTGGTTCAGGGGCCAACTTCTTGTAAGCAAGAAGGAAATGCCAATGTGATATAAGTAGGGTGGCATTAAAACTCAAAATACCTCCTCCATAGGTCTGCTGTGTGCCTGAAATTTCTATTAAAGTTCCAGAATTGTAAGCAAACAAAATAAGGAATAAATGAAAATAGTCCACTAGATGGTAGTGCCTCTTTTGGAGGGATCTTTTCCTCAATACCCAGATTTTGTGACTATCTTGCAGCAGAAAAGCCAGAAGCCTACAGAAGCTAAGTGACTTACCCACAGTCCAAAGATTTGTATGACAGATGATTGATCTATAATGGAGAACAGGACCCAAGGAACTGGGACTGAGGAAATTTAGGAGTATTGGGCCTGGGACAGTCTGGGAGGTATAGGTGGATTGCCCTGGCTGGGAATAGGTAGAGAGTAACATGGAGGTACAAGGTAACAGGAACCCTAGAGAAGCCTAGCCTCATCACAAAGCCTCTCTCACAGTTTCTGGGAAGAGAGGCTGGCCATCATGGCACGATTAATTTGTGTCTATCACATCACCACTTAGAGACAAGAGTTAATGTATTCAAGAGGAATCTCCTGCAGCCTGGCCTCCCAGGAAAGGAACTGACCTCCACCAAAGCTCCACGGAAACTGGCTACAGTTTACGCATAAGACAAAAAATCCTGGTCATTGGCAAGGCTTGGACCCCAGCCCTCTTTTCCCATATCTTGCCAAAAGAGGGTCTCGTGCTTCCCAAACATGCACATGGATGGGGCAAATCCTGCCACTAGCCCACCATGTTAAATAGCTAAGTTATAAGACTTGAACCTCATATGCCAGATGGGAGAGCACCAGACAGCCTGGTGCTTTCTTTAGCCATGATTGATGAGTGGCCAGGAGAGACTGGAGCCCAGGTTCTGCTGTGTCATATTGGTATTTTATCCCTGATCACATCAGGGGAAGGGCTGATGCTTCTCTAATCATGTAGTTTAAATGCTTTATAATCCAAGGGGCAGGAGACCTCTTGTGGTGTCTGTCTTTCAGGCCTGCTGGATCGTTGTGTATGACCCTAGCCAGGAATGTGCCAACATAACAAGGGATCCTCACACCTACCACTGTTTCTTCCTCTATACATTTTCCCTAATAAACATTGCTTGGCCATTTACTTTGGTTTGCTCAACAACCTCCAGATCATTCTAGTGTTCAACTTGAAGATTGGAGGTCTAAGACTAGAGGAATGCAGAGAAATGCTTTCACCTATTAATTAATTCATTGATCACCTTTTTTAGTACTTAGCAAGTGCTGAGACACAACAAGTGCTGGAGACTCACTAATGAGTGGAGAATGAGGCTCCTGTCCTGGAATGACTCACAGTCTAGAGGCGTTGCCTAGCTGAGGAGTTCACTGCTCAGACTCCTTCCCTCTGTCAGTTTCAATCTCTGTGAAATGAGTAACAGGGAAACATTAAACTCTTGTTCACGTGTGTTGGGCTGGATATGAACAGCCCAACACACATGTTGGGCTTGGGTAATAGTTGCCAACATTTTTACAATCTCATGCTGGCTTCTCTCCATCTCCCAGCATGTGATTAGGCTTCTTCTGCTCTCCAATCCTTGATGTGTATCCATAAAAAACAAACTTATTTTAATATCAGTCTGAACAAGACTTGCAAAAGAATGCAAATGGAAGACATTGCGTAGCAAACATAAATAGCTTTTGAATGATCTCTATGAGTACCTGGCCTTATACAGGTGCACACTGAAAAAAATGATGAGTTATTCATAAGAACTCTGAGTCAGGCTAAGAATGACTAAATATACATATTTTTTGGCATATAATGATATTCTGGATTTTTTTAGAGGAACCATACTAGATTCTTACTGCTGGGTTCTACTTGTTCCGGCTTCTAACACAATCAAATAGCATCATAACTTGTGAAGAAAATTCTTTTTTAAAAAATATATGTCTATCGGGTTGGGCGTGGTGGCTCAAGCCTGTAATCCCAGCACTTTGGGAGGCCAAGGCAGGTGGATTGCCTGAGATCGGGAGTTTGAGACCAGCCTGGCCAACATGGCAAACCCCCATCTCTACTAAAAATACAAAAATTAGCTGGGCGTGGTGGTGGGCGCCTGTAATCCCAGCTACTCAGGAAGCTGAGGCAGGAGAATCACTTGAACTTGGTAGGCGGAGGTTGCAGTGGGCCAAGATTGCATCACTACATTCCCGCCTGGGTGACACAGTGAAACTCGGTCTCAAAAAAAAAAAAAAAAAAAAAAAAATATATATATATATATATATATACACACATATATATAATCATCTACTTACCCATCTATTCATTTTCTAACCTATCATTTCTCTCCCCTGCATAGTTATCAATGCAGGCATAGTGGTACAGAAACACAGGGTAAGCTACATAGGGTAAGCTATGCGTGATCCTGAGTTCTGATTGGATATAGAAATAAACATTTCCAGCATTCGTTAAAGTACCTTTTGGATTAAACACATAAAATGTAATTATATATTATAATTTACCTAAAGCTTTTCCTTTAAAGACCTCAAGTTAATACAAAGTTAGTTTTAAAATAAAGATCCCCACAATAAAGATTCTACATGAATAGAAATAATAGCAGCTGAGGCTTCATTTTATCTTGTCCTACTCATGAAACATATAGGTGTAGATCACAATCAGAGGAGAAACTTCGTACTAAAATGCAGTGATAATAGGTTAGAGGAGGGTTTGGCTCACTCTTGGCTGCCATTCCCCTTAAAAACCCAGAAGAGCCTGCTCACTATGACGTGGAAGCCAGGCATTAAACTGGAACTGCCATGGCCTAATTGAAGTCTTGTTATTATTAACAATTCAAACAACACATATTTTGTGAGGGCTTAGACTGTTTTCAAACACTATTACGCTCTACTAATAATGGCTATATTCAGTCACATCACAAATTTTGATTGAAGGTTTACCAAGTTCTGACACTGCGCTAGATGCTTTACAAATAAGTTATCCCATTTAATACAATCCCAGTAACCCTGGGAGGCAGTTGCTATTATTATAATCATTTTGAAGACAAGGAAATGAGGGCCCAAAGAGGTTAAACCACTTGCCTGAGGTCATCACACAGCTAATAGGTAGCATAGTAGGATTTGAATCTGCTGGTCTGTCTCCAAAGGCCTCATTCGTTAGGACTACTCTGGATTCAAGACACTGGAAGACTACATGGCATCAATGCCTCATTGTTATGTATGGGTTATTTGTTCCCATTAGTACAGACATCTTCAGGCTGGCAATATCCTCTCCAGGAGGCCACAAAACACACTCCCTATGAGTTCTGGCCATTGTTTGGTGAGCCCTGGATCCTTTGGCATCCCCATCATGCTGCTTGGGGTTACTCCTTGAGATCCTCCACATAAACCTGCTCCCCATTTTTAATAAGATCTAATTTTATTTCATTCTGCCGTGTATCACTTAATTTCTAAAAACTGACTTTATGTTTTAGAGCAGTTTTAGGTTTACAGGAATATATGGGAGAGTACAAAGTTCCCATATATTCCTCCTACCCCCACACTGGCACAACCTCCCCCATTATGAACATCCTGCTCCGCAATGTTGCATTTATTGCAAATGATGAACCTACACTGAAACCTCATTATCACCCAAAGTCCATTTTACATTAGTGTTCACTCTTGGTGTTGTACATTCTATGAGTTTTGACAAATGCATAATGACATGTATTGTACTGGGTAGTTTCACCGCTCCAAGAATCCTTTGTGCTCTGCCTGTTCTTTCTTCTCTACTCACCCTCCCCAACCGCTGAAAACTCCCCATCTTTTTACTGTCTCCATAGTTTTGCCTTTTCCAGAATTATACAGTATGTAGCTTTTTCAGATTAGCTTCTTTATTTAGTAATATGCACTTAAGATTCCTACATGTCTTTTCATGGCTTGATAACTCCTTTGATTTTAGCACTCAATAATATTCCATTGTCTGGATGTACTATTATTTATTTATGGATGTGATCTTAAAGCCACAGTTTGGGCTTCCTGGAATTCTGACTTAAGAAAAAATGCATGTGGGCTTTGCTAGGTAGTAACTGGATACTTTAACAGACCAACATTGGAAGGTATTCATGACTGACAATGGTATCATTGGATTACTCCTTCAGAATAAAACAGTTGTCTTTTACTAGAGTTCTGGTCACCCAAGGAGGAATTTGTGATGGGGAAGCCAGGAGTCTGAGGCTCACTCAGAGGACCTTTGAGGGAAGGTGGCTTCTTAATGTCCCCATATGGCACCATATGGACACCTCATCCTACAGAGGGGGTGAGCTAAGATCCCTTGAAAACCTAGCCATGCCTAGTATTACACTTTTGGTCCATTAGCATCTTCACAGTTAGCATTATGGGATTTTCATGAAAGCAAAACACAGAAGAGATGCTGGCTTATTCTTAGCTGCACAGAATTAACATCACAAAACTAGCTTGATGAGCTAGAAAGGCTCCCGCTCAACCATGACTGTTTTGCAGAAAGCACATTAGGCTTGAGGGGCATTAATTTCAAGTGGAGTTTACGTTGCCTGGTATCTTCTTGGCCAGAATTTAAAAGACACCTTTTTCCTCACACCTAATAAATGATGGTCATTATAGACCTCCAGGTCACTGAAATATCCTCAAATGACTTCTCAGTCATTGCATTTAACCTAGTGATGCTAAAATTAAACTTCTAGTTAGAATTAGTATATTTTAATTTGCAATTGTTCAAAAATGGTCATCAGTCTTTTCATGAATGTATTTAACTTTGTTAGAGTGGGATTATATGAATATTCTCTCTTATTTAACAAATGTAAATTAGGTCACAGCATTCTTTTAAAAACCCTCCAATACCTTCCAATTATTCTTTGAATAACATCCAGACTCCCTTTGGTGACTTACAGATCCCTATCTTGTCTGATTCTTTCCTGTCCCTAATTCCATTTCCACCTGTTGAATAAGCATCGGCCACACTGACCTTCTCTCTGTTCTTTGGATTCACCAAGTTGGTTCTGCCAGGGCCTTTGGGCAAGCTGTTTTTCTGCCCAAAAGGTCTTCTTCCAGCTCTGCACATGAATGGCCCCTTTTCATGTCATGCAGGTTTTGGGGAAATGCTGTCCCCTCAGACAAGACTTCCTTGACCACTCTGGCGAAGGCAGTGCGCAAACCCAGTCACTCTCTATCACATGGCCTCATTCATAGCATTCTCAATAGCTGAAATTATCCTGCTTATTTAATTTATTCATTGCCTATCTCCTCTGCCATGTTTTTAAACTCTGCAAGAGAAGGGACCTGGCCTATCTTATCACCGCGCTGTTTCCCCAGTGGCTGGCAAATAGTAGGTGCTCCAAAAAGTGTGGAAAAAAATGATTGAATGGATGACACCATGGATGTTAATCACTGTCCTTTGAGTATGATTCTGTGTCTTGTGAGTATATATGTATATGCATATATGTGTGTACCTCTTGGTAGAACACCTCTTTTCCATTCTCTCTTTTATTGTCACCTGTGCTATCAGGAAACCCAATTCACTGGCTGTCATTTACTTCTGCACTCTTAAGTGCTTAGCACAACATTTGACACATGGTAGTTGATGAATACATGTTTTTGAGTGAATAAATAAATTTGTAGGCAATGCAGATGAATCTCTTTAAAAAGCAGGCTAGGCCATTTTGGCATTGATATCGTGAAGGACACACTACCCTACAATATGATACCTTGGCATACTGAGTATTTTAAGGTGAAGGTAATTGAGAAAACCTCAGAAGCAAGAAGGTCACGCTTTGACCTTCTCCTGCCTTTCTCTCCTGAAATGAGCCTGAAAAGAATTCTCTGACCTACCTGTCCTGAAAGTAGGTCATACAACCCTCATTCCAAACATGTCCTGCCCTATACCCAGGGGCCACGAAGAATCTGAACAAACAGGCCTTGCTAAGTTCCCATTTACCCCCAGTTAATTAACACTAGACCATACCCTTTTGTTCTCTAATCATACTTCTGCACAACTGTTCATAAAAAAGTTTGTCCTGGGTCTTTGGGTCTTCATTTCTGAAGGCTCCCATGTCACATATAACTTATATTAAATAAATTTGTCTGTAGAAGCTTGAATCAAAACAAGAAATTGTATGATTTTCTCTTGTCAATCTGTCTTTTGTAATTTTTTTTTGGATGGAATCTAACTCTGTTGCCCAGGCTGGAGTGCAATGGCGCCATTTCAGCTCACTGCAACCTCCATCTCCCGGGTTCAAGCAATTCTCCTGCCTCAGCCTCTTGAGTAGCTGGGACTGCAAGTGCGTACCACCACACCCAGCTAATTTTTGTATTTTTAATAGAGACACGGTTTCACCATGTTGGCCAGGCTGGTCTCAATCTCCTGACCTCGTGATCCACCCGCCTTGGCCTCCCAAAGTGCTGGGATTACAGGCGTGAGCCATCGCGCCTGGCCCAATCTGTCTTTTGTTACAGGGGTCCCAGTGAAACTTACAATGGGTAAAGAAAAGATAGTACTTTGTCTCCTTTATAGCATATAGCAACATGATGCTAATATTGGGAATGCCAATCTCCAGTGAAGCTTTAATGACAGGACACTGTCTCACCAGCCCTCTGAAGTCCCTGCCTTTTGGAAAAGTTTCCTTTTCCAAGAAGCACATGAATAGTTGGCAGGCTACCAAGGAGGCAGATAGCAGAATGTCTGCACTTATCAACAACTAGAAACCTTGTCAATCCAATGTCCCTGGTAAAATGATGGCAGTCTATGTCAGGGGTTAGCCCCATGGCTCTTGTCCTTCGGGAAATGGTTGGAGGATAGGATAAGGACTGACATTTATTAGATGCCCTTCATATGCCAGGCAGTGTGTTTGGTGCCAGACATACATCATCTTATTTAATTGTGACAACACTACTATGAAGAGTTGTCAACTTAAAAATAAGATGAGGAACCAGAGATTCAGAATATTGAGTTATTTGCACAATTTTACATACCTGATATTGACAGAGCTAGGATTTCAGCTTCTTTCTGACTCCATATGCTGTGCTCTTTATACCACAGGCACCACAAAAGCAACCAAATAACAACAAAATCCTTTCCTGTATGATTCATTTGAGTTAACAAAACCCTCTTCTGAAATGCAAGTACTCTCTGATAGAGTTATCCTACGAAGTCACTCACACACATGAATAACCTAGAATTCACATGTGTGTGAATAACTTTGATAAGATTAACCTTTACCTATTCTCTAATGGAGACCATTGTCCCAGTTAGAAGGTACCAGTTGGAATGAAGGACTGGGCAGATGGAGAGTTTCTGAGAGTATAGCTTCTCAGGGAGGAAGACCTCCGGTAGAGTTAGAGACTGGGGACACTAGGAAGGGTGAGGATGGTGTCCAAGGACTGCACCAACCTGGCTCTGTACTAACATTTTCTATCAGGTACTCAGAAAGCTGTTTACTGAGAATTCTGACTGGTAAGATGGTAAGTGTATGACAACCAGCATAGCAGGAAAGTTATGTGTATGAGATCTAAAGGAGACCCTTAAGCTTCAGTGCTGTCTCTGACCCTCATGGTCTATGTGACCTTGGTCAAATCACTTACCCCATGCTCTTCACCTGTAAAATGGTGATATCTAGAAATACATATTACATTTGGGTGCTGTTAAGGGTAAATGAGATTTCTCCATATACAGTACTCTGAAAAGTATCTGGTAGCTAGTGATTCATAAATGAGAGCTCTTAGTGTGCAATAGCCCATACCATCTGACAGTCCTATTTGCTATCAACAGATTACAAACTTTGAGTCCCATGTGATCCTTCTAGTACATGTAAAATCAGACCAGGTGATTTGGAGCTTGATTGTAGGAACAACTGTGCAAAAAAGAAAATGTCTTTCGGTATTCCTTAACTTTCAAGAGTTTGAGTTTATGGGAGCCCCTTATCCAGGAATGTAGGACCTTTCTGAGAAAAAGAATGTTTACTTTGCCCTTACAACTCTGCCAATAATTTGCCTTACTGTCGCCAATTTTGATTTTATTTTCAATTTGAAATGGGATTAGTTATGTACCGATCTCAATCAAATGTTACTTTTATGCAGACAAGCTTCCATTGTATTTTACTGTTCATGACAATCTCCTTATATCACCTTCAACAGGAGAATGGGCAATATTCTCGTTCCAGGCCCAGGAAATTGATATAATTCTTCTAGTATTAGTTTCTCATGCTAACTCATTCTGAAAAATATGACTTTATTATCATTAGTATTATCTTTACTTCTCACTCCTTTATTTTGGGGCATTTGCTTTGTCTTTTATAATATCTTACACCTCTATACCTTGCTGCATGTTAAGACTCAGAGGTTCAGTGGCAGGATGCCTTATATGTTGATCCACTTTTTGGTAATCAACTGAAAGGGTGATGATGGGCTACAATATAGTTGGGTTGCGGCAAAACATTCATCCTAATGAAATGTGACTTTATGAAAGAAATGCTCCTAATCCTCTCAAGGACTGAGCCAGGTCATCACGGGTGAATGAAAGGTATTTGAGGTTTCTTTCTTTTTCCAAAAAAACATGTTGGGTCCACCAGCTGTTACCAAGAATATTAATAAAAATCTTGTCAGCTTAGAGTTATTGCTGTTCCTGAAGAAAAGATAAATGTATGTAGTTTTAAATCTGGACATATGAGGTTTTAAAAACATTGTTGTAGAGTTCTCCTGGCTACATTTCCTTAGCTCTTTTCCAAGACTTGGGCTGGAGAAACTTAAAAATGTCTCTGGGCCAAAGTTAAATATTAAATGAAAACCTTGTGTCTGAGGAGCTCTAAGATTAATAAATGGTGGCAAAATAGGTAAGATCCCAAATCTTCAGAGAAAGCAAGCTCTAAAATGAATGAAGTTGTATTGTAAAAAGTGTCACCTTCTGAGCCGTAGGATCAAACTCATAGGGAAAAGATGAACCACAGAGTATTTCAGGCTTGGAGGAGGCACCATGTCTTTGAAGGTGTCACAGTACTACACTTATTATTGTTAAGGTAGAATGCAACAACATATCTGAAGGAACCAAAAAGAGTTAATGCTTTATACAAATTTGTGATGCAATATCATGAGAGTCCCCCTCCCCTAGAGGACATCATTTTTTTTTTTTCAAGACAGAGTTTCGCTCTTGTTGCTGAGGCTGGAGTGCAATGGCACGATATTGGCTCACTGCAACCTCTGCCTCATGAGTTCAAGCGATTCTCCTGCCTCAGACTCCCGAGTAGCTGGGATTGCAGGTGCCTGCCACCACACTTGGCTAATTTTGTATTTTTAGTAGAGATGGGGTTTCTCCATGTTGGTCAGGCTGGTCTCGAACTCCTGACCTCAGGTGATCCACTGGCCTTGGCCTCCCAAAGTGCTGGGATTACAGGCGTGAGCCACTGCATCTGGCCAGGACATCAACTTTAACTGTCAGTGGTACTGGCTTCTGAGAGTCAAGTCCAATTATTATGGTGAATATTAATTTTAATAGCTTCACATTTTTCCTTGAGGTTGATTATATTCTTTCTCAAAGAAAACACTAGGGGAAAATGAAGTATTGTTAAAGGATTATATTAATGAGGAAAGAATATAAAAGTTTACTTTTCCTTCTCCAGATAATTGTAGTGATAATTTGCTTCCCAGCCTTAAGTGCATGGATTGAGTGAGCTGTTAAGTCTCAGTTCTTCTTTCCCAAGTATGCCTCAGTGATTGGGGATCATGTGCTGTCAGGTGGCCTGCAAGGTGGAAAGAGCCTATGGGCTGCAGGGTCCTAGCCACCTGGATTTGGATCCTGGCTTTGTCACTGATCAGCTGTGTAACCTTAGGGAATACACAGCCATATCTTAGCATGAAAAATGGGAATAATAATCCCTATGGGGATCGTATTTGGTAACAAATGGTGATGCCTGACAATTAGCAGAAACTCAATAAAGGGTAGCTTGACTAATATACAGTATATAGCCTTTGTATTCTTGCCATTACTGTGGTTCCAGGATCCAATAGGATATTAATATTCTTTTTACCAACCAGCTCTGGTACCTTCGGCATATCTATGAACAAAATTGTCCTTAAAAGAAGTAATATCTCCTGGGTTTGTTGAGCTAACATTTGATATATAAATACTATATATTAGCCTAAGAAAGAAAATACCTGTGGTCACAGCCACTTTATGTTGCATTGAATGGTATTTAGTACACTTTTCTGAAATTGGAATGTAATTTTAGTAATTTTGATAAGGCATCAGAAGATAAATCTGTTGTGTTAGAGAAGAGAATGGTATTAAAAACATCTAGTAACCACAAAATGTTAACATTCTTAGGTTGGGTGCCAAGAACATAGATTTGACCAAAAGGAGTTAAAGGAGCAATTGAGCATTACTCTGGTTACAGGGATCCCTGACTTATGTGAATGATATTGAGAAAATACCACATCCTAATGATGTAAACTAGAACTAGATGTAGAATAAGAAGTGTTCCAAGCTTTACATTGAAGAAGGCCTGGGGACGAATTTGGGAGGGTTTGTACAGCAAATGTTAACATCACAAAAGAAGGAATTTGGCCTCCAAAAAGGATTAGACTGGTGCATATACTTTGAAACATCTTGGATACAGCAGTCCTGCTATAATTCCCTCTGGCTTCATTGTAGAGTGTAAACAAAACACGACATTATTGTGGATTCTCATTGTATTCCCTGTTCTACTAGATACCCTTTGCTGAATGGATGGGATGTTGGCTGGGGATTGTGAAGTTCATTCTCTTGCTGTTGGTTGGTGTGAGTTTGAGCAGTTTACCAGACTGGAGCTAAGATTGAAGTCTCTGCTTCCTGTTATTCTGAGAAGGGTGAAGCTTCCTTTAAGACAGAGGGGAATAGTGAATCAGCTGATAATGTTGATAGCCAAGACCATGTCTCTGTGAGCCATTTCATAATGTAACTTGTTACATTGCCTACACTTGGTGGCCAATGCAGCATGTATTATATTCTGTTATTCCTTGTTGTATCATCTTTGTTATTTTTTTCTGTTAACTATTATTATTAATAACTGTTCTCTTAATAACCATAAAGAGAAAGTATGGTTAACAACTTCATCAATCCCTTAAAAAATGCAACTATTTTATGTGTTGAATGGTACCATATTTATACTTGAATTATGGGATGGTTTGACATGACAGCTAACATTTATGGAGAACTTACTATTGGCCAGACACTGTTAAAAGCACTTTACATTGATTAATTGATTTAAGCACCTATATTGGTTAACTTATTTAATTCTTAGAAAAATCTGCCTGACTGCAGAGGTTGCAGATGAACCAAGATCTCGCCACTGCACTCCGGCCTGGGCGACAGAGGGAGACTCCATCTCAAAAAAAAAAAAAAAAGAAAAAAAAGAAAAAAAAGAAAAATCTGCCTGACTGAAAGCTACTACCATAATTATTCTTACTTATCTATGTGGCATTCAAGGCACAGAGGTTTTAAATAGCATGTCAAAAATCCTACAGTCAGTAAGTAACAGGACTGGAATTTGAGCTCAGGGAATCTACCTCCAGGTTCTAAGCACTTAACTACTAACAACATATTACTTGTTTGAATGGGAACTTTGAATATTGAATAGATCGTGGTGTACACGCACACACATATATGTACAGGGGCACAAAAATACTTTTCATATTCATGTAACTCATAATTGAATTTGAAATTTATACTAATGTTGTTCTGCTCTTTATATTCATTGAGCTGCCAGATTAAAACTCAGAGTTATTGAAGAATACAGCAGGACTTTATTTATTAAGAAATCTCTGGATACCTCTTACATGCAAAGAACTCTACTGTAAATTGGAAACAAAAATAAGGCACAATCTCTAATGTTTTGTGAACCTTAAGAAAATAAGAAAATTCTTATGCACAAAGCTTCTATATAAAAAGTTCAGTTAGGTGTTAAGAGAATTTGGGCGTGATATGGTTTTCCAGGCCTCTGGTGGGTGATAGTCACTGGGCCTGAGGAGGAGGAGGCTGTTCTTACCACAGAGAAAGCAAGAAATCCTGGGTCAGCCAACGAAACAGTTCTTCTAGGTCAAGCCTCCAACTACTGGAGTCAAATGCATGGTTACTTGGGGAAGCCTGGCGGAGTAGATGGTGACCAATTGGCTGAGCTGGCTAGTCCTTGGGTGGTAGATCACCCCAGGTGAAAGCAAGAAATCTCAGGTCAGCCAAAGAGACAGTTTTTCTAGGTGAGGCCTCCAACTACTGGGGTCAAATGCATGGTTACTTGGGGAATCACGGCAGAGTAGATGGTGACCAATTGGCTGAGCTGGCTAGTCCTTGGGTGGTAGACCACCTCAGGAAGCAGAACATGGTACTGGGTGCATGGATTGTAGAGCCACACTGCCTGGGTTAAAACCCCAGCTCTGAACACTATTACCTACATGACTTTAGGGAAAGTTTGTTTTTTTTTTCCAAAAATGTTTTTGTGCCTCATTTTCCTTTTCCAGAAAATGAGGATAATAATAATAATACCGACCTCATAGGACTTTAATGCAGATTAAATAAGTATATGCATGTAAAGTGTTTAGAATGATGTCCGGCATGAAGTAAGTGCGATGTAGGTATTAACTGTTATTATTATTGTTATCATTACTGGTAGAGGCAGGAGTGGATTCAGAGGTTTAGACAGGCAGGAGGTGCACAGCCTATCTTACTTAGAACAAATGTAAACCCAAGGAACCCATCCTTCCCTCTCATCTCCCAGAGTACATTTCTCTGACTTCTGCTTATTTTGTCTTCTAAAGAAATTTATGACAATGAAATATGAGCTTGTATTCTCTCCTCTTAATTAAAGTTATTTCTATGTTAGATAATAATTCATTGTTATGATGTCTCCTTTGGAATATATAACAGGCTCTGTTTCTTCATTGGCTTTGGACCATTGGAAACTGGGGCAGGAAATCAGATGACTGCACTTGCAATTCAAAGAGCAAGTTACATAATCCTTAGTGATACCAAGGTGCAGATATCTTGCCTTATATGAAGCTAGGGATCTTGAATTTCTAGTTCCAAATCTCTTTTGAAATACCTTTCTCTGCCACCTAGAAGGTATGAATGAAAAGCGTGCAGTTAAAGAGGTTGATTCCCACTTATTCATTACAACAAAGGGGACATTAACTCCAAGTACTACCCAGGTTGGGCCAAGAGGAGCCTTTGGTCTGACTGTCCTCCAGCCATGTCTCCCCCAGCTGCCATGGGGTGAGAAGCCAAAGGATTGTGCCATGCAGAGCCCACACTCCTCGACCATGCTCTGGATGCACAGGATCCTGGAATTCTCTATGCAGATGATCTTAAACCCTTTCCAGTGTCTGCACAGGCTTTTGTTCAGGGTCCTGCCTCTTGACATACACTGTATCACTGGGGTGCAAGCCTAGGACCAACGTGGGGCTAGGGAACAGCTGTTTGCTGGAGGCTGTGGATAGAGTTTTGCTCTGTGAATGGGATGTTCACATGCATGGCTGTGAAATCTGTTGTGGTCCATGGCAGAGTTGAGGGTGGGAACAAAAGAACTCAGCAGCAGGCTGGTCTCCCTGCATCTTCGCATTCAGAACTCCAAAGAGTCTGAAAATTTGAACTTTACCTCCCAGCTTGATATGAAGACATACTGACAAGGCAGAAGGATAGAACATAATTTTTTTTAGCAGTTTGTTAACTCAACTGATAACTTTTAAGTATTTAAGTACGGTATCTCGACCTTTATTTGTACTTTTGCCCAAAGCATGACAAATGTTAGGAGTGGGCCTGATTAACATAGATACACATTAAAAAGCCCACACTAAAATGTGCGTGATTTTCTTTGTTGGTATCAAAGTGCTCAAGAAACAGAGCAGCCAGTTCAAATACAAGAGCAGAGGAGAGCCAACAAAATACCAGCGATGACTATCTATTACCATTTTTATTATTTCCTTATCTCAAAAATGATATTTCTGAGAAGGGAAAATATGATCATATTAATAAAAACCAATAACAGGACAGTTTCACTAGAAGAAAAAGCAGAAGAAAGCAGAGAGAAAAATCCCTCGAGGTCAGTTGTACCAAACATGGTATGTATCGCCTCTCTGTCAGCCAAAGCTGTGGTGTCTAAAATTTATTGCTGGAATAGCTGGAATTCTTAATAAAAATTCCACGAAACCTGGGGGCTTCTGAGCAGCATATGTGAAATTAAGAGAAAAGAAGTATTTCATCTTCTGTAAAAGTCACAAGTACAAAGAACAAGGTGTTAACAAGATAACAACTAGATATGAGAGGGTGTCTGTTTTCTTCTTTTCATGTTCCACGTGTTTTCTCTAGATATCTAAAGCCAGAGATATCTAGATATCTAAAGTCAGAGAGTATTGGAGAGAGGGAAGGACTCCATTTTTGTCCCCTTATTGTTCCTGGGGAAACTTGTGCACAGGCTGCTCCTGCTTGGCGAGGTAGCATTCCTGACATACACACAACTGCCTGACTAATCCTAACCTAGTAGTTACAGCTTCAACACAGGCTGCGAATTTATTCCTGTATCATGTGCAAGGAGGTGCAAACTAGCAATAGCAAGTAGAGAAGAAACTTAGTCTTAGAAATCTGATTCTTTCCATTTCAATTTCAACTCCGAGAATCAGCTGGGGACTGCTTTGAGGAGTCAATCTCAGTCTCTTCATTTACAATCATTGTGTCCTCTGCCAAGTTACAGAATCACCATAAACCTCAGTTTCTTTAGGTGTACCATGAAAATAATAACTAGCATTTGAGGTTTGCAAAAATTGCCAAGACAGTGCCAGGTCCACAATAGATGGTAAGTGTTTTGGAGCTCCTTCAAAATCAGTATAGTATTTTAAGAGAAATTGGTATATATTTATATCAGACGTATAGTGTTTCTTTTTTTATTTCAATAAGAAAAAGTCTACCCCTCAAGTTTATTCAATCATTGTTTCTATATACATGTCATGTGGGTATAGTTCTGGAGAGTAAGTCTATTGGGAGAGCAAATGTGAAACTAGAAGACGTTCTTTGACTATTTTCTACCTCTCTTCCAAGGAACTCCTGAGTTAAAAATTCATCTGGCTCCTATTTTCTGCAGAATTTTGCTTATTTGAAATGTTCAAGAAATCAATTGATCTGACTTCAAACAGACGAGGCTTTGCTGGCTATGTAAAAGCCCTGTTTGTGTTACTCCCAAGTCTGGACTTTGCAAGCAGCCAATTCCCTTCATACCTTAGCAGAGGACTTCTTTTTGGCTGCCTACCCTCTGTGCTGAGCCAAATGTCAGGCTGGGAATGGAGGCGATAAATCTCTGTGAGTCTTCATAGTTAGAATTTCTCCTGTTGCTTCTGATAAGGAAATGACAGTCTCTCAGGTCTACACATGAATGTCAGAGAAATTTGTAATCCAAATCATGTTTAGCTCAGAAAATGGTAAGCAAAATGTGCTAAACCTGGCTTTGAGTTAACTCAGATGGTTTTGAGGGTTTGGGTTGTGGACATAGAATTTATGTTCATTCTCGACTAGATTGTCCTTGGACATTTTTAGAATAAAAAAATTCCTATCTATCTTTTAAAATATTCTGACTAAATATTTAATATTTCTCTATGGGAGAGGGGGCAGCAAAATTCTTTCTAGCTGAAGTTCTTTGCAAAGAAAATATCTTTTCTTTGCCTAGTAGAGCCACCTCACTGTTTGTACTCCTCCCTCTGCCTCTTTTTCTCCATTTATTTTGGTACTTCCAAGTTTCATGCTAAGCCTCAATGACTGACTGAAATGAATGTGATTGGAGACCAGGAATTCCTCAAAGATGGAAAGATTTTTCTATGATGTATTCACGTGCTCTGAGATGGCTAATGAAGCCAACCCAGGTCTGGCCAACTCCCTCATGAGCACAGTGAAAAGACATTCTCAAAATAAAACAAGGAAAACTTTTTTTTTTTGAGTCTCTAGTTGATTTTGAGTGTTTTCTATCCAACAACATCACTGACAATATTCACTGTCTGACATTTTAGTAGAAGTGGTAAAAATTGCTTCATATAGCAGCAATTCCTAGGCCTTACTCTCATTTGCCTGAGACTCAAAAACATATATAAAGAAGAGGAAGAGAGTGATGTGATTGTCCATGGTAGAAATACTACATGGGTTTGGTTAGCCAAGTGGCCCCTTTCAAAGAACCATGATCACACGGTAGGAGAAACCCATTTAAAATGTTCTCTCCCAAGCCTACAGCCAGTCAGCTCCTGAGGGTGATTTTGTTGGCACAAAGCAATACAATCAATGAGTTTGGCACAGTCATCATTTGAAGTGAATTGTTCTATCTATTCTTTTTACGGTTGAAACAACTGGCTTGAGTTTTATTGATTTAACTAGCTCTTTTGGTGTCATGTAGATACAGCTTTTCAAACTAATAAAGCAGAGTCATTGTGTGTCTAAAAAAACATTGGTTAATCTGAAAATCTTGTACATTTGATCTTGGCATGTGTTTTTTACTTATGTTTGAACATGGATGTGTCTGACATCCTAAGAGTTCATTTCAAGCAAAATATTGAATCATAGAATGAAAAATCTACCCAGATATTTTAGCCCTTATGTAGTTTTCCCTTTTTCTCATGTTTATGCTATGACTTGGGACAGGGTAGTTTAGGAAATCATTTCGAGGATATTTCTAGGATAGAAGTCTTTCTGTCGCTTTTTAGCCTTATAAATTTTAGAAGCTCTGAGAGAACTGAGAAATTACATAGCAAATACAACTCCTTTGCTTTTCATTTGTTATGCATTTGCTAAATGCATTAATTTAACAAATATTTTCTTACCGTCTACTGTGATTCAGGCACTGTACTTCTAGACAGTGACAAATAAGATTGGTGAGATTCCTGTTCTCATGGAGCTTGTATTTTAGTGAAGGGAGCAAGACAATAAACCAAACAAAATAATTTTAGATAGAGGTAACTGCTTAAAAAAAAAAAAAAGGAACAGGCTCTTGTGATGGGTTGGGAGTAGGATCGATGCAACTTTAGATGGGCTGTCAAGAAGGGTTTTCCTGAGGAGGTGGCAGCTGAAAGAAGCCAGCCATATGACTCTCTGGACAGTGTACAGGCAGAGTGTTCAACAAGTGTCAAGGCCAATAATAGTCCTTTATTATAAGGACTAAATGAGCTAGTATGTGTAGAGTGCTTAGAACAGTGCCTGGCATCTATAAAGGCTAATTGTTTTGAATTCACTAAATATTCATTGAGTGTCTACCAGGTTCCAGTCTCAGTGGTAGGTGCAGGGAATTAAGGTTTATAAAGAGAGAGACCTGACTTCAAGGTGCTCAAATCAGACTTCAGTGAAGTATTTCTCAATGTGTGGTTTACAGACGACTTGTATCTTACTCACTTGCCTTCCTGGTTCCCAGTCTTCTCTACATGGAACGTGATTAGAAAGGCTTGGGGAGTGGACCAGACATCTGCATTTTCTACAAGCATGCTCTAGTTGATTTTTATGTCCCATAAAGATTGAGAACCACAGTCCTAATGAACAGCTTGTGATTAAACTGTGGTTCTTTTCAATAAAGTATCTGTTACAGCATCCAGTATAACCAATTGCCCGCACTGCAAAGAACACCTCATAATATTCAAGAGGAGCTCTGCTCAGTTTATACAGCCATAAATGTAATGGAATTATGTTTCACAATTAACATCCTGAACTCCTCAGGGCTAACTTTTTCATTGATCTTGAGCTGGCTGGGGGAAGTTGGATTAACCTGCTTTTGGCTATGGTTTGGAGAGTTTCCCTTTCAAGTGTCATTTAAAACCTGACAAAGAAAAAAAAGGTTTTTACCTTTTAGTAAGAATGTGCTAACTAATGTTTGCCAAAAGTTCTTGAATCCTGGAAGACATTCTACTTGTAAGCCGATTAGCCTAACTGAAATTCCTCCTTTGGGCTCCTGCTCATACCTATTTTTAAAGTGTGATGTCACCAAAAGGCGAGATGAGAAAGATTTATTTTATCTCTCTGTAATGTTCTACTATGAGCTTGATGCAAAAGTAAGTTTTTGCCATTGAAAGTAGTGGCAAAAACCATGATTACTTTGGTATCAACCTAAAAGAATGTATTCTATTCTATTTATTTTCTCACTTTAGAATAACTTATACAAATTTTAAAAGGTTTTAGATTCAAAGATCTCAAGGAACACTTGATACAAGGATAGATTCATGCTGATCAGGCTGAGTGACAGTAGCCTCTAAAATCCAGTCTAGATTCTATGCTGTAAAAATGTGAGGCTTCTGTTTTCTCATTAAATACTTTCTGAAAAGGGCCTTAGTTTGGGAACAGATGTATCCCATTCAATTCCTTCTTCATTTCTCATTTTTATTTCTTTACTAGTTTTCATCCATAGGTACTCAATAGCTACGGCAGATAAAATGATGGTGATGGAAAAAAGGCCAGCCCTGAGCATGAGGTCAGAACTGATAAAGGTAAATGAACTGATATAAGTTTAAGTCAGGCTAGAATCTTAGACATGGATCTTAGAAGATTAGACAGAATTAATACGGCAGTCAAAAGAAGTCATCTTTTGGGGCTACCAGCCTGACAATTATGTAGTTATTTGTTTAACTTTTCAGGTCGGCAGTGCTCCCCAGCAAAGAGTATGAAGAATGGGTGAGAAATGTAGACCCCATAAAATCTGTAGGAACCTAAGATAAAAATCTGTTAATGCTTAGTCAATGTCATGAATGGTCAACAAGAGGTTAACTGTGACACCAGAGAAAGAGTGTATTAGACAAGAGTTGCACCCCGAGGAAGAAAAGTTTCTGCCAACATTTTTATTAGGTTTCACCTGACAAAATGAATTTTGATATAAAAACAAGTAGAAAGAAAAGATTCCTGTCTAATTTATTTTTCCCCTTTAAATTCAGCAATTTATTCAAGCTTTTCTTTATTCATTTCTTTATTCAACAAAGATTTGCTGAATGCCAACTATTTGCCAGGTGCAGTTCTAATTGCTGGGGATACAGCAAGAAGACAGAAAAGTCCCTGTCTTTCTAGAGTTTATATGCCATTAGAATTTCGTTTCTTCTTCATCTACAAAAATGACCATAGCTAATTCAGATCCATCAGAGAAGCTAAAATATTTAAAAGGAGCATTCTCTGTAAAAAGTAGGGACTGAAAAAGAAACCACATTTCCTTGGAATTTAGTGATCCTTCAGTTTTCTCTGCATATGGATCTTTACACTACTGTTTACATAGTTTTGGCTCTATGCTGGATTTACTGCTGATTTTGGCTAAGACGTTTGTATCCCCAAAGTGAGTGTTTTCTTGATCATGCTTAGGTGACGTGATGGTACTGTCCCCAAATCTTTGAGTCCAAGTTCAGCACAGCGTAGCTGCCTGGAAATTGAAGACCCTGGTTCCCATAAAAGAACCACTGGCTCAGAGACCAAGCACATTTCTTCCCATTTCTACTGTAACATTTATTTCTCAAGAGTATAAATCTCAGGCCGATATTTAACATTCTTTTTAACTGAACTGTGGACGTTTTCCTTGTACTTCTTGAAATAGTTAGGAGCTAAGCTTCTATTATTCATATTTATAAACATGTCCTAAACAGGAGGCATGATTTTATAATTCATGAGTCTTTGAAACTATTTTTACAAAGGAACACTTAGAAATATTACATCATATCAGGACCATGGTCTGGTTCAGAATTCTAAGAGTGGAATACTCCATGTGGCAGAATATAATTATTGCTATACATGGCTTATCCTAAAACAGGTGGTGACATTTTCTAAAGATTCTTGGACTAAAAGTCTTTTTCACTTTCAAAAATGAATTCTCAAATTGAGTTCACTGGTACAATTGGAGGATTATAAGATTCAGAAAATGATTCTACCCCAAGCTCCCCTATTTTGATAAATGGTATTCGTACTTATCTAGTTGCTCAGGCTCAAAGTGCAGGAGACATTCTCGATATCTCTTCTTCTCACACATCCAATCCATCTGCAAGTTTTATGATCTCTTTAATGAAAATGTATCCTGAGTCACTGGGCACCGATCATGTTTTGCCTGGACCAGTGCCTTACCTCCCTGTCTCCATTCATGTGCGGAGTCCAATCTCCTCAGAGAAACCAGAGTAATGATTTAAAGAAGTAGACCAGATCCTGTCACTCTGTTCAAAATCCACCTGTGGCTCCCCACCCCAGTTCATGTAAACTCTGAACTCCCCTCCACAGCCTGCAAGACCTAAGCGATCTGGCTCCGCTCTCTTCTTTGACACCATCTGCTCTTTAGTTACCAGGCTCTGGCCAGTGGTCTTCTTGCCATCTTGCAACAAGCCAAACTGGTTCTCAGCCTTGGGACTTCCCATTTGCCTGAACTGTCTTCCAGATCATTGTGTTGCATGGCCTTGCCTTCTTCAGATCTCAGATCACATGTCACCTCCTCAGAGTGGCTTGTGTTGACCATTCAATTTTAAACAGCATCCCTCATCCTATCATTCTCTATCCCTTTCCCTTATTTGATTTTTCTTCATGATCAACATGGTATTAAATATTTATTTATATTCACATTTATCAACTCTTCTCCAACTAGACAGAATGTAAGCTTTAAGGGTAGAATGGCATTTTTGCCCTCATTCACTGCTAAACTCCCCAACCTAAAACAGTGCCAGCCACATAGCAGATTCTCAACACATATTGGTTGAGTGAATTAATGGAGTGTTTACTATCCTTGAAGTCTAATTATTCATTTACTTCTACTATATTTGTATAAAGAACTTTTAAAAAACTCAACTATCAGAGGGAGTCATCTTATTTCAGGATTTGATTGTTAAACTATAATTGTGGGGCCAAGCATAGGCCTAATAACTAGGATATATGAACCCTCACTTATTTTTTCAAGTTGTTTAAAGTTTCTTTGCTTCAATTTCCTTTGTTTTTCTTTACACTTCTGTGTGTCAATATCTTTATTTCTCAAATGGTGTTGATAATAAGCTTATCTAGCCTAATTTTAGGGTTGCTTTGGTGACTAAATATGTGCAAATACTTGAAATGACATCAAGAAATCTACTAAAATGAGGTACTGATAGTTTACCCTACTGTATTTTAATTGTTACCCATTATTCCTCTGACTCTATGTTTATTTTTCCTTCATTACCATGAATTTGATGCCAGCAAGTCTTAGCATGTTACACATATACAGGTGCAAAGAAACCTAGTACTGTAGTACTTTGGTTTGATAACTCTGGTTTGGTCTATTGAGATAAATTATTTGGTAACTGAGATGTTTTAGATAAGGAGCTAAAAGGATTATCAGGGACCTGGTTTTTAAATCCAAGAAGATCTCTGGTAAGAGAAGGTTGGAGTGAGAGGGGGTTGAACCTCAATCCACTGGCAAATATGTGATCTTTCTGTAGGAGTTCTTTGGTGAGGACCCTTGGGAGGCAGAGAACAGGCAGGGATGCAGAGCTCAGGTGCACAGGCCAAGTACAGTATTCAGAAAAATAAAGGAAATGTGTATCTTTCTTATTGAGCTCTTTAATTCTCCCACAAACACCATGAGTGTTATTGTTTACTGCTAGCACTTATGGACGATAGACCAGGAGATCAAACCTCTTGTCCTGGCTTCTTTCACACATGAGAGACAATTTGAAAAAAAAAAACAGTATAGTTATTATCCATGATCTCCCTCTTTGCTCTTGTGATCGCATTCAGTGGATAACTTGAGCAGCTACTCTAAAATTTAATCTGACTTTACAGAACCCCTAAACCACATTTTTGGGAATTACATAGCTATGTAAACTATGGTTTTATTTTTTCTACTTCATAGATGAAAAAGTGGATCTAAGTGACTTGTCTAAGATTGTATAGCAGGTGGAAAAATGATTCCAAATCTTAATCCAAGTTGGTGCTCATTTTGTTGCATTTGGCTTTCTGTAGGTAGAAACATTTCTTTAATTATTGGATATAAGCTGATTTCATTTGGAAGGATCAGAAAAAAATTATTTATTCAGTGTATACTTAATAAAATTTTGCAGACCCATATCTGTAACTGACAACAGTTTACAAGTACTAATTGTTTCAGCAACTATGTTTTAAATTGATATAAGAGAAACTGGTTAGTGTAGTTATCTTCCCAGTAGCTGTCTAGGTTCAGTCCAAGCTCTACCATTTTACTGACTGGGCAACCTCAAGCAAGTCTTTTCATTGCTTTGTACATTTGTAGTTTTATTTCTTGTCTCCAAACTGGGAAAATTTGTATTATCTCATGGGTTTGCTGTGAATAATTGAACATATATAAAGCATAGAACCATGCCTAGCACATAGTAAGTACTATATATGTATTTATTTTCATAGTACTGAGATACAAATGTAGATAAGACCGGAGCACATTAGACTTTATCCTTAAGGGATCTCATTTTGAACATAGTTTTGTGTAAAAAAAAAGCAGTTTCTAAATGAAAAAGCAGCATTTCATTCTGTAGTCTCTTGATGCAGTAATTCAAAGTCATCACTAGATGGCAATTGTGATCCATGTGACTTCAGCTGCAGCGGTACTAACTGATGGGTCCAACCCTGGCGTCAGTGTTTTCTATACCCTATAGCATTGAGAAGTCAGGCAGTTTCTTTCCCACAAAGTGAGCCTTTAACAAAACTCCAGTCAGCAAAGCTTTCATTCTGTGGTCACCCTTGGGGCTCACCCATAGGCACCTAGTCCTTGTGATGGCAGCCTCACAGAAGTGTGGGTTTACTTGCCTGCATCTTATCATATCAGGAGTGCCTTTCACCAGATAACAACAGGACAGTGTCAGGATCCTGTGTCAAGAAGATCAGTTAGTGGTTCTTAAAGTGTGGTCCCCCTGCCAGTAGCCTCACCATCATCTGGCAATTTGTTAAAAATGCAAGTTCTTGGGCCCCATCAGATCTGCTGACCAGTATTTTAATAAGCCTTCCAGATGATTCTGATGTCTGCTAAAGTTTGAGAACCATTGAGATAAACCAGTGCATAGCATCATATATAAAGGTTGGTGCTGGAAGGGTCCTCAGATAACATTTTGCCCAGTCCTCCCATTTTGCTGAGAAGGAAAACTGAGGTCCAGGGAAGTTAAATGATTTACCACAAGTCATAGCAGTAGGCATGTGGCAGAGCCGGGCTCCAGGGCTGGTGAGTTGCATGTCCCAGCTTTCCTCATATACCCATCTCCCCTTCTCCCCCTCTAAACTGAGGCCACTAGGTGCACATTCTAGCCTGATACCTACTCATGAAATTAAAAAGTCATTTATTTATGCGGGAGTTTGTTCATTTCAATAGACATTTCTATGATGATACAAAATTGAGTATGATGAATTCACTGTAGTCCAGAGTGTGTGCATATGTGTACATGCATGTGTGTGTGGGGGGGCATGTGGGGGGCGTGAGGGAGAATCAAGTAAAAGTCCTCATCTCAATTGATAGGAGAGGGATATATGCAGAGAACCATGGGAAATAGGTGAGTGCAATCAGGGATTAGGTAACGCAGGTAAGAGGAAAAAACTTTGGAGCTGACCTTGGGTGATAAGTAGGAGTTCAGCAGATATAGAAGTCAGGATAGGGCATTTGGGGAGAGGGATCAGAATATACAAGCACATGGCGCCATAAAATAGTGTAGGGGAATCACAAGAGTTTTGCTTGAAGGGAAGGGAGTAGTAGAAGAGTGATCATGTTATAAATAATAATAATATTACTACCACTACTACTAATAGCTGGGACTTATTAAATGTTAACTATGACCAAACCCTGTACTAACCATTTTATATCTATTATTGATTTAATTCTTAAATGATTTTGCAAGAGTCTACTCTTATTTCTACTTTACAGATGACAATGAACATGTCCACACTGTGCTAGTTTCCTTAAAACCAAGTGTTACTATTTTCCATTTCTTAGATCAACATTAAACTTAGAAAAAGAGCTTTCATGTTTACTTCTTCCAGGATGTCCATAATGCAAAGTAAGTATCTATTTGCAGGGGATGAGGAGTATATTCTTAATATATATAATTTTATTATAAGCATATTTTCATAAATGCATTAAATCAGGAGGATTTTGGCAATAATTTGGATTTTTTAACTCAAAGAATGAATGTCCCATTATTCTTCAGCATATCAGCAACTTTAGAAGTAGCCAATTTTTCATGATAATAGAAGAATTGTGTCTTAAAAGTGGCTAAGAACGCTCATTTCAATTGCTTGACTCACTAAAGAAAGGAAGCTGAGTAATGAATGAATAACCTGGTCTGAAATCATTGGTCTGTTTTATTTTTAGTTTTAACTTTATAAGTGTTCATTGTGAATGTGCTTTCCACAGTCACTGTTAGCGTCTTTCCTTCATTGCGTAGGACTGCCCACAACCAAACTAAAAATTCGAGTTATAATTAAAGTTCTAGTAGGATTCAAAATACCTAATTTTTCGTCAGTAAGATTCAAGATGTTTCTGGATTCTTTAAGATATTTTTGAGTGATTTTACTTTTTCCTGAGAAGATAAATTTTCTTTTCTTTTTTTCAGTCTCACTCTGTTGCCCAAGCTGGAGTGCAGTGGTGCGATCTCAGCTTACTGCAACCTCCACCTGCCTGGTTCAAGCAATTCTCCCTGCGTCAGCCTCCCAAGTAGCTGGGATTACAGGCACCCACCACCACACCTGGCTAATTTTTGTATTTGTAGTAGAGGCAGGGTTTCGCCATGTTGGCCAGGCTGGTCTCAAACTCCTGACCTCAGGTGATCTGCCCGCTTTGGCCTCCTATATTGCTGGGATTACAGGTGTGAGCCACCATGCTTAACCCTGAGAAAATAAATTTTCTGTTCCTACTTTCTCATCTGCAAAATATTGGCATTGGAGGAGGTAATCTAGAAGGCCCCTTCCAGCTCTAATGGTCTGTGGATTTATGATTTAATGATTAAATGGCACAAATAACTCATTTCTGAATTTTCTTTGTAGTAAAATTTTAGTATTCATGAAAGAAATTATAAGACCAAATCTCTCTCCATAAATTTTTAAATGGCATCTCTAAAATAGCTCTATATTTCACTTTTTAGGATCACTGAGACTCTATCCAGCTCAAAGATGTGTTTATGTATTTCCACCTGACATTTTACACACTTAGGAGCCAATCATAAGGCCAGTTTTAAGTAGATGCCATTAGAAATGATTGATGGCCAGTTTATGTTTTAAGGTGAAAGAGGTACACTTTAATGATGCTCTACTTTTCTGATTGCCACAATAACAACTTTCAGCTTTACCAGCCCGTATTACAACTTTGATCTTTACACTCATGTTCATAGCTGCAGGTGAAATGCTTTCTCAAGAAAATCTTGAAAATTCAATCCAATTTTTAACCTTTCTTGTCTAGAGAAGTTGAATAGCCTACAGGTTGCTTTATCTTGAATCAAAGAAAGGGCAATAACACCTGGAAGGAAGAACCTATTACATTTATTATTATTTTTTAAAAATTTTGTGATTGAGAGCAAAATTTGCATTTTACTCCCCCTGGACAATTTTGTCTTTATCACCTATCGATTTTGGAGTCAATTACAATATTTTTTCTGTTTACCAATTATAAAAGCAATATATGTTTTTTTGAAAAATTTACAAAAGAGTATACATGAGGGCACAAAACTGTCTAAAATTCTGCCACCCAGAGTTGGCTATTAATATTTTCTTTTTATTTAATTCTAGGTAAACATGAACATTAGGAAACTGGGGCCAGGTGTAGTGGCTCACGCCTGTAATCCCAGCACTTTGGGAGGCTGAGGTGGGCGGATTCCTGGAGATCAGGAGTTCAAGACCAGCCTGGCCAACATGGCGAAACCCTGTCTCTACTAAAAATACAAAAATTAGCCAGGTGTGGTGGTGTGCACCTGTAGTTCCAGCTACTCAGGAGGCTGAGCCAGGAGAATTGCTTGAACCCAGGAGGTGGAGGTTGCAGTAAGCCAAGATCATGCCACTGCACTCCAGCCGTGGCAACAGAGCAAGAATCTGTCTCAAAAAAAAAAAAAAAAAAAAAAAAAGAAGAAAAAAAGAAAAAGAAGTTGGCAACAAGTTATACATTCTATTTTGAAATATTCTTTAAACAATTAATATATAGTTAACTCATGCATAATTTTAAATCTCTACCTTCAAAGATAACTTATCACTATTATTGTATAAAAGTTTATAAAACTCTTTAGTTTTCATTATTTTGTGATTTTCTTAGAGCCATTTTGATTTAGGTTCCTTTTGTTTGTTTGCTTTCATCTCTCCTTGTTCTAGAAAATATTTATGGTAATTTCAGCACCTCTTCTTCCAAGTGAGTATAATGGAGGAAAGCAAACCTCTGAAATTCAAACTATGTAGTTTATTTTTTAATTTTTTTTTACATAAGACCTTTGCTTTATGAACAATAGGTAAATTTTAACAAACAGGAATAGCACTATAAAGATTTCTATTGGAACATAAAGAAACCCTTTAGAACATGAATAGTGACTCCCCTTCTATTTAGTCATAAGTATGCATTTTTCAAAAGCATGTTCATAAACCTATCAATCAGTGTTCTCTTTGAGAGTAGAGCTCTGGTCTTACTGCTCAATATTCCCTCAGTGTCTAGAACTGTTCCTGATCCATTGCATTTTCTAGGTAGATGCTTGTGGAGCTTAAATGAATAAAATAAAATCAATTCCAAATATTCTTACACTGTCATGATAGGTTGAGTTATGATTTTAAATTGCTTTGAAATAAGAAGCAGTAGTGGTTAAGACCTTTGGTTCTGTTCCCTCTTGCTGATTTTCAAAGCCCTGTAAAGATGAAGTGAGAGAACCTTGGTGTAACTCTTAGCATGGTACTTGAGCCCACATAATAACTGCCAAATAGATGCTAGTTTTTAGTTATCTGAGCTATTTTTTACTATACATATTTTTTCTTCTAAATAAGAACTCATTTTTCCTGAGGACTTTCAGTTAGATTGTTCCATAACAGAAATAAGCTATTTATTTAGGGATTGTATGTAAAATATCTTAATGACTTTGTAGGTAGAATAAAACATACTGTACAACAAAGTTATATATAATTATTATTTTACATAGTATATATCAGCCTAACAGTTTAATGTCTCATTCATTCATAATGTTTAATGGGAACATATTTGAAAATAAAGAGTGCTATAGAGCCATACTAATTTATAGTTCTTGCCATAGCACTTTTACTTCGAAGTCTCTCAAGTATTCAACGGTATAAAATGGACCCTTTTAATGAATGAGCAATTTGGGGCATCAACTAATGAAGCCAGATTTTTTCCTGCATGTGGAAGATGTGTGAGAATGCCCAAATCATTGCTGCTAATCTACCTTGCCCTCTATTTGACAGCATCTTAGGGAATTTGTATCAGCTACATCAAGCCAGGTACATAAACAAGTCCAGTACTGTGAAATTAGTATGTGGGCTCTGAACAGTGGAATCCTCTGGTCAGTGCTGTCGCATAGGGACAATGTGAGTCAAATATCAACTTTATGTTTTTTATTATCATATTAATAAGTAAAAAGAAACAGGTGAAATTAATTTTATTAAACCATATTTGGTAATATTTATTAATATATTTATACTTATTACTTTTATTTAACTCAAAATATTAAAAATATCATTTCAACATGCAATCAATATATAAAGTATTGATGAGACATTTTACATTCTGTTTTTCATTCCAAGTCTTAGAAATTTGGTGTATATTTCACACTCACAGCACATCTCAATTGGGACTAGCCACATTTCATATGCTCAGTACCAGAATGTGGTTAGTGGCTATCATATTGAACAGTGCAGCTATAGTCATTCCTGCTTTGCCACCATTGGAGGTGCCAGAGGGTGGCAATGTGGTGTAGAGGAAAGACAAAGACCAGCCGGGAATCTTAGACTATGACTGTTCCTGACTTGAAAAAGTGATTTAGTTTCACTGGGTCTCAAATTCCTCCTCTTTATAATGGGGATCGTTAATAACTGCCATACTCTTTTCAGGAAGCTGCGGGGAAGATTAAATAAGATATTGTATGTGAAAGTGCTCTGTTAGATCATAAAACACCATACACATGTAAAGCATTATTAGCTCTTTTGTTGTAGATTTACTCTCATGACTTGCCCAAGGCCACATTCCAAGTTGGTAGGAGAATGAAGGATAGAATCTGGGGCTTCTGACTTCCAGCCATCTGCTTCAGCTAAAGGCTATTCATACCAAGCTAGTTTTAAAATTTCTTTTTATTTTTAAAAGTCTTTTTATTTTAAAAAATTGAGGAAGGAAGACAGTGGCAGTAACAAGTAAATTCCATATTGAACAGTAAGGGTCTTCTTGGCCACAGTCATAATGTTCTGCAGTAAAATTATATGTACAGAATATTTATATACTTATATACTCAGAATTACAGTCATCAAAAATTGGAGTTTATTGCTGTCGTATAATATAAAATCCCGTGTTCTTCAAAGTTTCAAACAACTTTTAAAATGAACTGTGGTTTCCCCACTCTATTTATTTCCAAAGTGTAGTACAACCACAAGAAAGCCCTTCCGTAGTGGGCTTGATTAATAAAACAGATATGGATCAATTCAACAGGTTTTCCGTGGATATTTTTGGTTACAGATGTAGCTCATTAATTCCCATGTGTGGGACACCACCTCTCTAGTGTAAATCCAAGAGACACATTAATAGCTGAACAAAAAATGGGAATAATTCAGTTCAACCCATATTATTTAGTACATACTATGTGTAAGGCACATTAGGTATCTTAATGAGCAAAAAGCTTGTTTTTATGATGATTGTTGCTTAGAGGTATATGTTATTTAACTTGAGGAAAATATATAATCTGTCTACCAAAATGTCTATGTTCTATCATTCAGGAATCTATATTTTTGGAAGGTAAAAGGATCAGAAAGAAAACTCTAGATTATTAAAAATAATTAAAAAAGTTACATTCTGTGCTTTTGGAGGGCATGCAAAAGATTAGTTATCATGATCTATTTCCATTTTCTTAATTGTATGCCTATCATGGTGTTCATATTTAAGCTTTTTTGGTCATTATCTACATTTGTTTCAAATACATTTCTTCATAGAACTTAATAAACTACATAAAACATTAAGAGTTTTATACTATGTCAAGTTAAACCAAGTCCATTTTCACTAAGAAAAAGGTGTACATTCAAAAAATTCTTTATTATTTTTTCAATCAAAATTCATTTAAAAATACTTTCAGCTGGTTATTTTCACTGACAAACTTATCATTTGTAAGCTTCAGGCCTGCCTGAATTGATGACCATGTTGAATAAATGTGATTTTTATTTTTACTGCTGAATCATTGCTGATGACCATTGAATGAAATAGTTTATTGAATGGCCTTTAAGTTTTATTGCTTTTGCACCCTAGTTTAAAAACAAAGAGCTTAATTTCTTAAAAGTTCAATAAAATGTATTTTTGATATTTCCACCAGAACTTTACAAGCAATTTCTCTCCTCTGCCCTTTAATAACCACCTTCTGCATTTTTATGATTTAGTTTAACATTATTATTATACTTTTTTTACTGGGAGAGCTCATCAATGCCCTTGGCAGTAAGATTTTGTTACAAGAAATCCAGAAGCCGAGCCTATCACTGGTTGCAACAATTACAAAGTTTCTCTGGGTTGAGTTCAGAGGCTTACTCTGACATTATGGCTGTTACCCACATCATGCCTCTTTCCTCAGTTTTTCTAATATCCACGAGTCCTATAATCTGCTGCTTCAATGAGCATGTATTTTTTTATTCCCTGGGTTTGCATTATAAATATTTCATTTGGAGAACATCTGGCTTTGATGGAATCCAGCCAAAATAATTAGTGGTACCTATATTAAAAATGTAATGCCTTAGTAAAATCATTAATGTATTTGCATTTCTCCAGGAACTCTAAATGGATGCATTCTAGACAGGATGCAGTCAATGAGGGATTAATGATAGGGCTAAATGCTGTGCTTTTCCTTTCGTTCAGGTGTCCACCCTGTCCCAAAAAGAACAAGAAAAATCTGGGGAATCTTAGCAATTCATTCTTTTAATTATGAAATAAAATTAAATAGACTATAAAAACCATTGTACTATTATATATCAGGAAATATTGAGTCGTGTGTCCAAAAGTCACACTTAAGACCAGGCAATAGTAATAAGCATAGGATGGCTGTGGATACTATGAGATAATGTCTACTTGTCAGAAATGGACGGTATGTTGTGGTTTTTTTTTTTTCCATCAAGGTTTGAAAGTTAATGATGTACTTTATGTTTTTATTGCTTCTGCTGAGAGATCAATTAAGGAATAAAAGGGATTCTGGCATGCTGTTATTATTTTTTGCTGTGAGTATATTCAATACCACATACAAAGAAAACCATTTCCATCATATCATGCTCTGTTTCATTCATCCTAGATTGTTTTTAGGAAAATTTAGTACATATCACTTCAGTCGTCTGAAAGGAATCATTTCTTCATTACAGCTCATAACTTAAAACTATAAAATATCAGCCAGAAAAAAAGTTGCCCCAATTAAGAGAAATATGATAATGGTATAAAAACATATATAGACATGACTGAGAGATGATAAGATTATTTTAATTTTCCCATTTGCACTGGAATTATTTATGTTACAAATCTCCAGATCTTTTATTACTTAAAACCCTCTGCTGAATCATGAAAAGAAGCTTAAGTTCACAATTTTCCTCTGCAAAATCTAACTCCTAGCATCTGGTGAACATTTGGATACCTAGTCAAGTTCTATGGAAATGATTATTTTAAGACTCTATTCAACATGCCTAGACTTAAAAATCAGCTAGGATCACACTCTGCACATGTATTTTACTACAGGGGATTTGAAAACCTAATATTAGTAGCAATGTTCTCAAGGCTTTTGCAACGATGGGGATAGGGATGGGAGTCAGGACATGCAGGCAGGCTAGACACTGAGCATCTGCCAAGGGCCCTTGTGCTCCTGGACAGCGATCTGCGGCTTTACCTGTGGACCACCCAGACCACTGCCCTGCCCTCTGTTGCTCCTCACACTTACATTTATACTTGACAGGACTGCTGAATCAAATCAAAGACCAATGTCCTTGCTGGTGCCTTCCTGTGACACCTCTGGGGCTGGTTTCTGTCTCTTCAGCAGATGCTGCTCTGCCTTCACAACAGCTTCTAAAGTAGAAAAAAGAGGATACTTTTACTCAAGGCAATTAAAAGTGCATTATCAAAGTATTATTCTGGATCATAGGAGAACTTGCATAATAGGAATGTATAAATACATAAAATGCTATTAGTTTATTTTTCTGCTATACTATATGTAGTTTTTGTTCAAATAAACAACAAATTGTATATCTTTATTGCTTTTCATGGTTATATTATATGGTAAGTTCTCACCAGTTCAATTTCCATTAATACATATTGGAGATAATTGGAAAGACTTTGGGCATTTGCCATAGATAATGCAAATTTATGAAGAAATATTAATAATACCTCAGGGAAAAAAGTTAATTTTACTTAAGAAGGGTCAACTTTTTAAACAATACATTTCCTGTCAATTTACATATAGCAGTATTTGAGTTATAAATTATTCTTGGTTATTTATCAAATCACTTGTGATGGGGCTTTAATATGGTGACACTTTTATGTTTTCATATGAGTTTTTGGCACAATTTAACTAGTTGAATAAACTTTGTAAGTTCTCTCTACCCTAGACTTTTTACAAAGCATATGGGACTTGTCTCCAATTAAAATGTATTTCAGAAATTTAACTCTGTTTTGGGTAATAGATACTCTCTATTTTATTTTCGTGTGTTTCACAGGAACTTGTTTAAGAAATATCGGCCAGGCACGGTGGCTGACGCCTGTAATCCCAGCACTTTGGGAGGCCGAGGCAGGTGGATCACGAGGTCAGGAGATTGAGACCATCCTGGCTAACACGGTGAAACCCCGTCTCTACTAAAAAAATACAAAAAATTAGCCAGGTGTGGTGGCGGGTGCCTGTAGTCCCAGCTACTTGGGAGGCTGAGGCAGGAGAATGGCGTGAACCTGGGAGGCGGAGCTTGCGGTGAGCCGAGATCGCGCCACTGCACTCCAGCCTGGGCGTCAGAGTGAGACTACGTCTCAAAAAAAAAAAAAAAAGAATTATCTACATTTGCTGTTCAAAAAATATTTTAAGAGGAACAACTTCAGTCATTTAGATAAATACATCAGTTTGAAAGCCAGTATTTGTTATAAATGCAGAACTGGGTATCAAATTTAGTAAGTTCGAAATGTGATTTAAGTGGTATATTCTAGAGTAGTACTGTCCAATAAAACTTTCTGTAATTATGAAAATTTTCCATCTTTACACTATTCAGTATGGTGGCTACTAGTCAAGTGTGCTACTGAGCACTTGAAATATGGCTAGTGTGATGGAGGAACTTAATTTTTAGTTTTACTTAATTTTAAGTAATTTGAGTTAATTAATTTACCTGTGGATAGTGGCTCTAATATTAGAGAGTGTAGTTCTAGATTTTCTCTGTATTTGGTACTCAACACAAAATGAGGAAGTACTTGAATGTCTTCTATCTGCGAAATGACTGTAAAAAAGCAGTAATGTTCCTAAAGTACAAGGCCCAGGCTCTGACATGTGGCTTTCCCTACAGAGGCTACACAATGTGTGTTCAGGCCTGAAGGGTGGATACAGCAGCACCCTGCACTTTGGCTCAACTTGTAGATATTTAGACATAAACTTTGGTTTAGCCATAGGTGATTTGAGAAACTTTGCCTCTGGAAAGCCATGGGATTTCAAATTATCTTTAGTAATAAAGTTTAGTGATAGTAAATGGACTCAAGAGCTTGACTTTCTAGTCCACTCTCATGTAGTATGACATCTTGCAGAAGACTGGCAGGAAATACAGACAGATATGAAAGGAGATATACAACAAAGGTAATTGCTTCCATGAAAAAAACTCTCCAGATTCAGACTGGATATCAGGAAAAGGCCTATAAGTAATTTTTGTGCCTCTCTTATATCATTCTTCAATAAATATTTATTGAGCACCTACTATGTGCAAAGTATAATGCTTAGTGTTGGGGATACAATGTTGAAGAAATGAATTAGATTCCACTCTTCCCTCATGGTGCTGAACTGCATTAGACAATAAGATTTTTTTCAATTTTTCTTCTTCTTCTAAAAATTCATTTTTTTTCTTTCTAGTTATGGTGAAAATAAAACAAGGGGAAGATACATAGCATAATACAAATGCTGAAGATCACTGTTATGTACATGTCATGTATCTTATTCAGTTTAACTCTCTTTGAACAACTTTCCCAGACCCACACCTTGGTAGCTGATGAAACTGCTTTTTGAAATGCAATAGTGGAAGCAGAGAAAAAACAGTGAAGATGCCTAAATTGCCGTTTTTCAACCCTGAGACTAAGGATCATTTAACATTGAGTGCTTACCACATATTTTTAAAAGAGGTTCTTTTCTCTCTATGATCCAGAAGAATGTCCTTTAAAATAATTTCTAATTAAAAGACATTTTTGTTGCTATTAATGTGATGACACTTTTTTACTTTGTTATTCATAATACTGTGAGAAAGAGTGCTACAATTACTGTTTATGAAATGAATCAAATTATTTAATATTCAAGCACCATTGCAGGAACTAAAGGGAACCATTAGCTACACAGGCAATGTGTAACTCATTGTATTTCAGTTAATTTTTGAAGAATGAGCCAGAAATTTGGCACAGTACTAAGCAAGAATTATTTAGTTAGATTTGTTTTTTCTTCTCCACACAGCAGCTGCATAATTAAATGTATGGTCTGACCTGCATTTATAAAGTGAATTTTCAAATATGTCACTGATGGAAATCTAAGGATGAAAAGAATTAAGAATCAAATTAAATTAATGCAACTACAATACTTAGTACTTAAAGTATTTGAAGATCAAAAAATTATTGTTCTAAATATATTAATTGGTAATGTCCTTGATGTTGTAGACAGATGCTTAAAAATAATTTTTAAAAATGAATTATGAAGCAATGAAAGAAACCAAAAGATAGATAAGCATATATAAATACTTAAAAACCAGTTGCAGGTGAAAATATCATGAACAAAATTAAAAGGTGAAGGGGAGTTTGCTTTATTCCTTAAAAAATGTTATACCTTATGGAGGTTTTAAAACATGGCCAGATTCTTTGTTTCTCCTCTGTGTTCTCTCCCATTGAATCTGGGAGAGCTTATGAACTGACCAATTGAGCACAGTGGAGCAGGCATTATGTAACTTCTGCAGCAGGATCACAAAAGGCCGTGAGGCTGACCTTTTTTGCTGGAACATTGTTTTTTGGAGCCCTGAGTCTCCAAGTGAGAAGTCTGGCTACCTAGAGACCACTACGCAGGAGAAGCCATTTGTAGGCACTCCTGTTGACAATGCCAGCAAATCTCAGCCTTCCTTTTATCACTGCCAGGGTACTAAACATGTGAGTAAAACCATGTTGGGCTCTTCAATTAACCAGTTGCCAGATGAGTAAGTCATGAGAGCAGAAAAAGCTTCTAGACCTACCTCAATTCCTGACTACTAAAATTGTAATATAAAATGTTTGTTGTTTTATGCTGCTAAACTCTGATGTGGTTTATTATGCAGCAAAGATAGCTGGAGCATACCCTCTTGTATTTATTATATTTTTACAACAGAAAGTTGGAAAACTGAATGTGGAATACACTCTGGGAAAAGTTGTTTGCAAGAATTAAAAAACAGTCTTAGTATCCTTCCAATATAAAGAGCTCTTACAAATCACCAAGAAAAAAATACTAACACCATATAGGAAAATAGCCAATTAAATTTACAAAAGAAGATATTAAAAAGCTAATAAACATATTAGAAAGCCTTCAATCTCATTAGTAATGAAAGGAAATGCAAATTAATCTATGAAATTAAAATTTCAGTTATCAAATCAGCCAAGATGAAAATATATTTAATGTTGGTTGGGTTAAGTGAGAGTATAAATGGCACAGACTTACTGGAAAATAAATTGACATTATATACCCAGAGTTTTAAAAATATTTATATTATTTGATGCTTCTAGGAATTCAGATAAGGAACTAATCAGAAATAAGGTAAATAATATAGAAAATGTTTACTACAGTTCTATTTATAGGAGTAAAGATATGGAAACAAGCTAAAAATCAATACAGTTAAATAAATTATGTATTTTATATTATAGAATATTGTTTTATTATTTAGAATGGAATTTTCAGTATTTTTCCTTTGTTAATTCTGGTCTGGGCACATGATAGCAGAACAGAAAAATCTTGGTATGGACACATAGACTGAGCTTTGAATCCTAGATTTGCCATTTACTTTTCCTGGTGATATGGTTTGGCTGTGTCCTCACCCAAATCTCATCTTGAATTGTAGTTTCCATAATCCCCACATGTTGTGGGAGGTACCCAGTGGGAGGTAAGTGAATCATGGGGGCGGTTACCCTCATGCTGTTCTTGTGACAGTGAGTGAGTTCTCACAGGATCTGATGGTTTTGTAAGAGGCTTCTCCCTGTTTCACTTATACTTCTCCCTGCTGCCACCATGTGAAGAAAGACATGTTTGCTTCCCATTCCGCCATGATGGTAAGTTTTATGAGGCCTCCCCAGCCATGCTGAACTGTGAGTCAATTAAACCTCTTGCCTTTATATATTACCCAGCCTTGGGTATGTCTTATTAGCAGCATGGGAACAGACTAATACAGTAAGTTGGTACTGGTACTGGGGTGCTGCTATGAAAATACCTGAAAATGTGGAAGCGACTTTGGAACTGGGAAACAGGCAGAGGTGGGAACAGTTTGGAGGGCTCAGAGAAAGACAGGAAAATGTGGGAAAGCTTGGAACTTCCTAGAGACTTGTTGAATGGCTTTGACCAAAATGCTGATAGTAATATGGATAATGAAGTCCAGGCTGAGGTGGTCTCAGATGGAGATCAGGAACTTGTTGGAAACTGGAATAAAGGTCACTCTTGCTATGTTTCAGCAAAGAGACTGGCACATTTTGCCCCTGCCCTAGAGATTTGTGGAACTTTGAACTTAAGAGAGATGATTTAGGGTATCTGGTGGAAGAAATTTCTAAGTGGCAAAGTGTTCAAGAGGAAGCAGAGGATAAAGATTTGGAAAATTTGCAGCTTGATGATGCGATAGAAAAGAAAAAACAAATTTTCTGGGGAGAAATTCAAGCCTGCTGCAGAAATTTGCATAAGCAATGAGGAGCCAGATGTTAATACCAAGACAATGGGGAAAATATCTCCAGAGTATGTCAGAGACCTTCATGGCAGCCTCTCCCATCACAGGCCCAGAGGCCTGGGAAGAAAAAATGGTTTTGTGGGCTGGCTGTTTGCACCCTAGGGACTTGGTGCCCTGTGTTCCAGCCTCTCCAGCTATGGCTGAAAGGGGCCAAGGTACAGCTTGGGCCGTGGCTTCAGAGGGTGCAAACCCCAAGCTTTGGCAGCTTCCATGTGATGTTGAGTCTGTGGGTACACAGCAGTCAAGAATTGTGGTTTGAGAACTTCTGCCTAGATTTTGAAGGATGTATGCAAATGCCTGGATATCCAGGCAGAAGCCTGCTGCAGGGGCGAGGCCCTCATGGAGAATGTCTGCTGGGGCAGTGCAGAAGGAAAATGTGGGGTTGGTCCCCCCACACATAGTCCCCACTAGGGCACTGCCTGGTGGAGCTGTGAGAAGAGGACCATTGTCCTCCAGACCCCGCAATGGTAGATCCACCGACAGCTTGCATTGTGCACCTGGAAAAGCCACAGATACTCAATGCCAGTCATGAAAGAAGCTGGGAGAGGAGGAGCCAAGATGGCCGAATAGGAACAGCTCTGGTCTACAGCTCCCAGCGTGAGCAATGCAGAAGACGGGTGATTTCTGCATTTCCATCTGAGGTACTGAGTTCATCTCACTAGGGATTGCCAGACAGTGGGCACAGGTCAGTGGGTGCGCGCACCGTGCACGAGCCAAAGCAGGGCGAGGCATTGCCTCACTTGGGAAGCGCAAGGGGTCAGGGAGTTCCCTTTCTGAGTCAAAGAAAGGGGTGACGGACAGCACCTGGAAAATTGGGTCACTCCCACCCAAATACTGCGCTTTTCTGACGGGCTTAAAAAACGGCGCACCAAGAGATTATATCCCACATCTGGCTCAGAGGGTCCTACGCCCACGGAATCTCGCTGATTGCTAGCACAGCAGTCTGAGATCAAACTGCAAGGCAGCAGCGAGGCTGGGGGAGGGGTGCCCGCCATTGCTCAGGCTTGATTAGGTAAACAAAGCAGCCAGGAAGCTCGAACTGGGTGGAGCCCACCACAGCTCAAGGAGGCCTGCCTGCCTCTGTAGGCTCCACCTCTGGGGGCAGGGCACAGACAAACAAAAAGACAGCAGTAACTCCTGCAGACTTAAATGTCCCTGTCTGACAGCTTTAAAGAGAGCAGTGGTTCTCCCATCACGCAGCTGGAGATCTGAGAACGGGCAGACTGCCTCCTCAAGTGGGTCCCTGACCCCTGAACCCCGAGCAGCCTAACTAGGAGGCACCCCCAGCAGGGGCACACTGACACCTCACACGGCAGCGTATTCCAACAGACCTGCAGCTGAGGGTCCTGTCTGTTAGAAGGAAAACTAACAAACAGAAAGGACATCCACACCAAAAACCCATCTGTACATCACCATCATTAAAGACCAAAAGCAGATAAAACCACAAAGATGGGGAAAAAACAGAACAGAAAAACTGGAAACTCTAAAAATCAGAGTGCCTCTCCTCCTCCAAAGGAACGCAGTTCCTCACCAGCGATGGAACAAAGCTGGATGGAGAATGACTTTGAGGAGCTGAGAGAAGAAGGCTTCAGATGATCAAATTACTCTGAGCTATGGGAGGACATTCAAACCAAAGGCAAAGAAGTTGAAAACTTTGAAAAAATTTAGAAGAATGTAAAACTAGAATAACCAATACAGAGAAGTGCTTAAAGGACCTGATGGAGCTGAAAACCAAGGCTCGAGAACTACATGAAGAATGCAGAAGCCTCAGGAGCCGATGCGATCAACTGGAAGAAAGGGTATCAGCAATGGAAGATGAAATGAATGAAATGAAGCGAGAAGGGAAGTTTAGAGAAAAAAGAATAAAAAGAAATGAGCAAAGCCTCCAAGAAATATGGGACTATGTGAAAAGACCAAATCTACGTCTGATTGGTGTACCTGAAAGTGATGGGGAGAATGGAACCAAGTTGGAAAACACTCTGCAGGATATTATCCAGGAGAACTTCCCCAACCTAGCAAGGCAGGCCAACGTTCAGATTCAGGAAATACAGAGAATGCCACAAAGATACTCCTTGAGAAGAGCAACTCCGAGACACATAATTGTCAGATTCACCAAAGTTGAATGAAGGAAAAAATGTTAAGGGCAGCCAGAGAGAAAGGTCGGGTTACCCTCAAAGGGAAGCCCATCAGACTGACAGCGGATCTCTTGGCAGAAACCCTACAAGCCAGAAGAGAGTGGGGGCCAATATTCAACATTCTTAAAGAAAAGAATTTTCAACCCAGAATTTCATATCCAGCCAAACTAAGCTTCATAAGTGAAGGAGAAATAAAATACTTTACAGACAAGCAAATGCTGGAGATTTTGTCACCACCAGGCCTGCCCTAAAAGAGCTCCTGAAGGAAGCACTAAATATGGAATGGAACAACCGGTACCAGCCGCTGCAAAATCATGCCAAAATGTAAAGACCATCGAGACTAGGAAGAAACTGCATCAACTAATGAGCAACATAACCAGCTAACATCATAATGACAGGATCAAATTCACATATTATTAACTTTAAATGTAAATGGACTAAATGCTCCAATTAAAAGACACAGACTGGCAAACTGGATAAAGAGTCAAGTCGCATCAGTGTGCTGTGTTCAGGAAACCCATCTCACGTGCAGAGACACACATAGGCTCAAAATAAAAGGATGGAGGAAGATCTACCAAGCAAATGGAAAACAAAAAAAGACAAGGGTTGCAATCCTAGTCTCTGATAAAACAGACTTTAAACCAACAAAGATCAAAAGAGACAAAGAAGGCCATTACATAATGGTAAAGGGATCAATTCAACAAGAAGAGCTAACTATCCTAAATATATATGCACCCAATACAGGAGGACCAAGATTCATAAAGCAAGTCCTGAATGACCTACAAAGAGACTTAGACTCCCACACATTAATAATGGGAGACTTTAACACCCCACTGTCAACATTAGACAGATCAACGAGACAGAAAGTCAACAAGGATACCCAGGAATTGAACTCAGCTCTGCACCAAGCGGACCTAATAGACATCTACAGAACTCTCCACCCCAAATCAACAGAATATACATTCTTTTCAGCACCACACCACACCTATTCCAAAATTGACCACATACTTGGAAGTAAAGCTCTCCTCAGCAAATGTAAAAGAACAGAAATTATAACAAACTTATCTCTCAGACCACAGTGCAATCAAACTAGAACTCAGGATTAAGAATCTCACTCAAAACCGCTCAACTACATGGAAACTGAACAACCTGCTCCTGAATGACTACTGGGTACATAACGAAATGAAGGCAGAAATATGGCGCATGTATACATATGTAACTAACCTGCACAATGTGCACATGTACCCTAAAACTTAAAGTATAATAATAAAAAAAAAAGATGTTCTTTGAAACCAATGAGAACAAAGACACAACATACCAGAATCTCTGGGACGCATTCAAAGCAGTGTGTAGAGGGAAATTTATAGCACTAAATGTCCACAAGAGAAAGCAGGAAAGATCCAAAATTGACACCCTAACATCACAATTAAAGGAACTAGAAAAGCAAGAGCAAACACATTCAAAAGCTAGCAGAAGGCAAGAAATAACTAAAATCGGAGCAGAACTGAAGGAAATAGAGACACAAAAAACCCTTCAAAAAATTAATGAATCTAGGAGCTGGGTTTTTGAAAGGATCAACAAAATTGATAGACCGCTAGCAAGACTAATAAAGAAAAAAAGAGAGAAGAATCAAATAGATGCAATAAAAAATGATAAAGGGGATATCACCACCAATCCCACAGAAATACAAACTACCATCAGAGAATACTACAAACACCTCTATGCAAATAAACTAGAAAATCTAGAAGAAATGGATAAATTCCTTGACACATACACCCTCCCAAGACTAAACCAGGAAGAAGTTGAATCTCTGAATAGACCAATAACAGGATCTGAAATTGTGGCAATAATCAATAGCTTACCAAGCAAAAAGAGTCCAGGACCAGATGGATTCACAGCCGAATTCTACCAGAGGTACAAGGAGGAGCTGGTACCATTCCTTCTGAAACTATTCCAATCAATAGAAAAAGAGGGAATCCTCCCTAACTCATTTTATGAGGCCAGCATCATTCTGATACCAAAGCCAGGCAGAGACACAACAAAAAAAGAGAATTTTAGACCAATATCCTTGATGAACATTGATGCAAAAATCCTCAATAAAATACTGGCAAACTGAATCCAGCAGCACATCCAAAAGCTTATCCACCATGATCAAGTGGGCTTCATCCCTGAGATGCAAGGCTGGTTCAATATATGCAAATCAATAAATGTAATCCAGCATATAAACAGAACCAACGACAAAAACCACATGATTATCTCAATAGATGCAGAAAAGGCCTTTGACAAAATTTAACAGCCCTTCATGCTAAAAACTCTCAATAAATTAGGTATTGATGGGACGTATTTCAAAATAATAAGAGCTATCTATGACAAACCCACAGCCAATGTCATACTGAATGGGCAAAAACTGGAAGCATTCCCTTTGAAAACTGGCACAAGACAGGGATGCCCTCTCTCACCACTCCTATTCAACATAGTGTTGGAAGTTCTGGCCAGGGCAATTAGGCAGGAGAAGGAAATAAAGGGTATTCAATTAGGAAAAGAGGAAGTCAAATTGTCCCTGTTTGCAGATGACATGATTGTATATCTAGAAAACCCCATTATCTCAGCCCAAAATCTCCTTAAGCTGATAAGCAACTTCAGCAAAGTCTCAGGATACAAAATCAATGTACAAAAATCACAAGCATTCTTATACAGCAACAGCAGACAAACAGAGAACCAAATCATGAGTGAACTCCCATTCACAATTGCTTCAAAGAGAATAAAATACCTAGGAATCCAACTTACAAGGGATGTGAAGGACCTCTTCAAGGAGAACTGCAAACCACTTCTCAAGGAAATAAAAGAGGATACAAACAAATGGAAGAACATTCCATGCTCATGGGTAGGAAGAATCAATATCGTGAAAATGGCCATACTGCCCAAGGTAATTTACAGATTCAATGCCATCCCCATCAAGCTACCAATGCCTTTCTTCACAGAATTGGAAAAAACTACTTTAAAGTTCATATGGAACCAAAAAAAAGCCCGCATCGCCAAGTCAATCCTAAGCCAAAAGAGCAAAGCTGGAGGCATCACACTACCTGACTTCAAACTATACTACAAGGCTACAGTAACCAAAACAGCATGGTACTGGTACCAAAACAGAGATATAGTTCAATGGAAGAGAACAGAGCCCTCAGAAATAATACCACATATCTACAACTATCTGATCTTTGACAAACCTGAGAAAAACAAGCAATGGGGAAAGGATTCCCTATTTAATAAATGGTGCTGGGAAAACTGGCTAGCCATATGTAGAAAGCTGAAACTGGATCCCTTCCTTACACCTTATACAAAAATTAATTCAAGATGGATTGAAGACTTAAATGTTAGACCTAAAACCCTAAAAACCCTAGAAGAAAACCTAGGCAATACTATTCAGGACATAGGCATGGGCAAGGACTTCATGTCTAAAACACCAAAAGCAATGGCAACAAAAGACAAAATTGACAAATGGGATCTAATTAAACTAAAGAGCTTCTGCACAGCAAAAGAAACTACCATCAGAGTTAACAGGCAGCCTACAAAATGGGAGAAAATTTTCACAACCTACTCATGTGACAAAGGGCTAATATCCAGAATCTACAATGAACTCAAACAAATTTACAAGAAAGAAACAAACAACCCCATCAAAAAGTGGGCGAAGGACATGAACAGACACTTCTCAAAAGAAGACATTTATGCAGCCAAAAAACACATGAGAAAATGCTCATCATCACTGGCCATCAGAGAAATGCAAATCAAAACCACATTGAGATACCATCTCACACCAGTTAGAATGGCAATCATTAAAAAGTCAGGAAACAACAGGTGCTGGAGAGGATGTGGAGAAATAGGAACACTTTTACACTGTTGGTGGGACTGTAAACTAGTTCAACCCTTGTGGAAGTCAGTGTGGCGATTCCTCAGGGATCTAGAACTGGAAATACCATTTGACCCAGCCATCCCATTACTGGGTATATACCCAAAGGACTATAAATCATGCTGCTATAAAGACACATACACACGTATGTTTATTGCGGCATTATTCACAATAGCAAAGACTTGGACCCAACCCAAACGTCCAACAATGATAGACTGGATTAAGAAAATGTGGCACATATACACCATGGAATACTATGCAGCCATAAAAAATGATGAGTTCATGTCCTTTGTAGGGACATGGATGAAATTGGAAATCATCATTCTCAGTAAACTATCGCAAGAACAAAAAACCAAACACCACATATTCTCACTGAGAGGTGGGAATTGAACAATGAGATCACATGGACACAGGAAGGGGAATATCACACTCTGGGGACTGTTGTGGGGTGTGGGGAGGGGGGAGGGATAGCATTGGGAGATATACCTAATGCTAGATGATGAGTTAGTGGGTGCAGCACACCAGCATGGCACATGTATACATATGTAACTAACCTGCACAATGTGCACATGTACCCTAAAACTTAAAAGTATAATAATAATAATAAAAAAAAGAAAGTTTAAAAAAAAAAAAAAAAGAAAAAAGCTGGGAGAGAGGCTGTACCCTGCAAAGCCACAGGAGTAGAGTTGCCCAAGGCCGTGGGAGCTGACATTTTGCATCGGCATGACCCGGATATGAGACATTGAGACAAAGGAGATCATTCTGGAGCTTTAATATTTGGCTACCCTGCTGTATTTTTGACTTGCATGCGGCCTGTAGTCCTTTCGTTTTGGCCAATTTCTGCCATTTGGAAAGGGTGTATTTTCCCAATACCTGTACCCCCATTGTATCTTGAAAGTAACTAACTTGCTTTTGATTTTATAGGCTCATAGGTGGGAGGGACTTGCCTTGTCTTAGATGAGACTTTGGACTTGGACTTTTGAGTTACTGCTGGAATGAGTTAAGACTTTGGGAGACTGTTGGGAAGGCATGATTGTGTTTTGAAATGTGAGGACATGAGATTTGGGAGGGGCCAGGGGCAGAATGATATGGTTTGGCTGTGTCCCCACCCAAATCTCATCTTGAATTATAGTTCCCGTAATCCCCATGTGTCATGGGAGGGACCCAGGGGAAGGTAATTTAATCATGAGGGTGGTTACCCTTATGCTGTTCTCAGGATAGTGAGTGAGTGCTCATGAGATCTGATGGTTTTATAAGGGCCTTTTCCCCCTTTTGCTTGGCACTTCTCCTTGCTGCTGCCATGTGAAGAAGGATGTGTTTGCTTCCCGTTTCACCATGATTGTAGTAAGTTTCCTTAGGCCTCCCCAGCCATGCTGAACTGTGAATCAATTAAATCTCTTTCCTTTATAAATTACCAAGTCTTGGGTATGTCTTTATTAGCAGCATGAGAAGGGACTAATACACCTGGATATTTGGAAACTTGATTTACCACTTTGACTTGGATTCTTCATATAAGGAAAATGAGCTGAGTACCTATTCCATTGAATATGGTGATGATTAAAAGAATTTATGTATTTATAAATAAGAATGCATTAATCGTTTTATTTATTTATTAGTTTTTGCCTTAAAACAACAAAAATATATTCTCTCCAAGTCTGAAGTCTGGAGTCTGGAAGTCCGAAATCAAGATATTGGCAGGGCTATGCCCCCTCTGAGGGTTCTAGAAAAGAATTCTTCTGCCCCTTCCAGCTCTGGTGTTTGTTAACAAGCCTTGCTGTCTCTCAGCTTGTAGAGGCATCACTCTCATTTTGTTATGTGGCCTTAATAGTTTTATACTTATATTTGTGTGTTTATAAATAATAAGCATAATAATTGTTCATGAGTGTTGTCTCTTCTTATAACCCAAGGACACCATCTGACCTCCATATCTGAATTCACACCACTTTCCAAATTTACTGAAAGTTCTTTCACTCTGGCTCCTTTGATACCTCCGTTTCTACCATAGTCCAGTTTCTATACCATAGTCAGATCTTGAGAACAAAAACCAAAACAAATGAGTCAGTTTTCTTGCTTACATCCCTTCAGTGGTTGCAATTGCCTTAAACACACCTCTACTCTTGCTCTACTCTGTGCACAGCAGATGAGGTGCACTTTGAAAAATGTAGATCAGATCATGGCATTCTCCTGCTTCTGTACCCCAGTCCCCATACCCAATAGCTCCCCATGGCACTGAGAATGAATCTAAACTTATTTCCTGGCTGCTATGCCCCACATTATTCCCACTCTGGCTTCTTTCCAACCTTGACCTCTCCCTTCTTATCCTCCACCCTGGCCACACTGGCCTTCAACTTATGAAAAACAGAGAGCTGATCCTTACTTATAGGGCTTTGCCATTCCTCTGTCTATAATGCTCTTCCTCCAGAGCACTGCATGGCTGTCTGGACGCTTCACCATTTCAATCTCCTCTTGAATATCACTTCCTCAAAAAGGTTTTTCTTGAACATCCAATCTAAAGTTAAGCACTCATTTTTATATATATTTAATTCTCTTTAATTCTGTAGTAGCAGTGATAGCTTCCTTACTTAATTATACATTTTGTTTATTTTCAGTCTGTCTCAACCCCTATCGTTCTTCTCTCCCCAACTACTCCAAAGCAGGAAACTTGCTTTGTGTACTGTAACATCTTTTGCAACCAGAACCAGGCCTGGCACATGGTAGGCATTCCATAAATATTTACTAGACTCCTTACAAATAAATATTCTTTGTGCTTTTGAAACACAGAACTTAGCACTACAAAAGAAACGTCATGACATGATTTTTAAAAAAGAACAGAAATTGTAAACTATATGGGCATTTTAAAAGACTTTAATGGTTCTGATTAGAGTTAAGTACATAGCTTCAATTTTGAAAAAAGAAAAGGCCACAAACAAAAATTACAAAAGCATAAAATTATTTCATGAGTTCGCTGAGAGCTCTTTTGTCAAATCAGTATTTTAAAAACTGTACCACCACTCAACAGGCTCCTTGCTTTGAAATGAATAACGTTCACTTCTCACCAATATTTTTATTGCTGCCAAATATGTGATTTATTTACTGAGTAAGGAACAAGTCTTAATAAAAAGACTTTCCTTTCACACTGAAAGTGTTGAAAAAAGTGTTTCATTTTTGGAGGCTAGTTTAATACAAGCCTCCAGAATGAGACGTCTTAATGACTCCATTGAGTGCATGGGAGTTCAAGCTGTTTCTCTATCATTCACTCTGGGGTGCAGGAAACTTAGTGGCTGGGCTTCAGTGGCCAGGTATGATAACAAGACTCAAAATCTAAATTGTCATTTACAGATATGTCATAACATTTCAAAAAATATATAGTATTCTCTCAGATGATCAGGCAGGAGTTTTGATATGCATTTCAACATAGCCTATCTTCACCAGTTTTGAATTTCCTTCACAAAACAGGCTTACCACATTCTTATGGTTCCTGAAGGAAGAGGAAACACATATTTGTTAAACATGTCCTTTGAGCCAGTCTCCTTCCTAATTGTGTTATCTGCACAGTCTCATTTAATCCTTACGACTGTGCAGTAAATGAATAAAGGCAATGGAAATAAAGATTCTATTCTTTCATGCAATGTTGAAGGAGAAGATTGGTGAAGAGGAATCAGGAAAAGAAAGGAACTGCCTATTCTTATCCCATTGACATCATCCCAGAGTTTGGTTTCAAGTTTTTTAAGGGATGCTGTATTTTATTTTACTGATTCATGGCAGTTGTCTGGAGCATGACAAATGTTCATTGATCAACAATGCTATTAAATTGGGCACAAGGTTTCCATAGGGACTGCACATTTGTGTTGTATTAAAGTGCCAGGATTTAGAAAAAGACAATTGGGTGAGGCATCTTGAGGTTCCTTTAAGCTATTCTTACCTTCTCATAGAGTAGTACATCTGATTTGGTTTCATGCTTCTTATCATGCTTGGAGAGCTAGAGGAAGGGGTGGGGAGAGATAATTTCCCTTTCTTTACCCATCTGAAGGAACTCTTTAAGCCTTTGGCTGATTTTTTACAAAAACTAAAGGTTGTAGAGTCTCATAAAACTCTAGGATTATGACATCCATTTCTAAAGAAATAGGATCAATTCTGAACTAACAGCTAATCATGATAAATTAGAAGAGAGGAAAAAATTCCCTAAGGATGTACTAAGGCACCATCGAGTGTCTAGATTGGTAGATCACTGGCTTTCTTTTGAGTACATTATGTTTAGAGAGACCTTAATTTTCCTTTTCTTTTTTTAAAAAAAATAAAACCCATGCAATGGTCTCATGACCATATTTAATGGTTTCAAAGTTCAAAGAAGCCAAACCTAAATAATCTGGTAAAGGAAAACACTGAAAAGATCTAAATAACTGAAGTTTGTATGAAATCTTTGGATTCTATTAGTTTGGAATAAAGAAGGTAGGTGTGAGAAATTAACACTTCAATATGTAAGTAAATTTGAGAAAAAGCAACATCAGCTTAGAGAGCTGGAGAACAGAAGCTTCCATAGTTGGAAGCTAAAGTTAGGCCCTCATACTATAATTTAAGTGGCAATGTTTGACAGAAGATACCTATAAGATTTTCATTCTAGTGCATCCTTCTGATACTTTTGAAATAGATGGAAATATATCAAATGTTTCCCAGAATTCCTCATTCTTGTTGAGGAAATATGGAAGGTGAAATACTAGCTTTTTTTCAAATGAAACAACTGGATGAACCTTCAGTCAGGAAAACATATTGAGAATATAATGGTGATGCAGGACATGGTCAGAGGTCTTCTAAATAACAGAGGTCAGGAAAAGACAGGCTTTTTCTAATGGTAAATATTAAAGAAGAACATGGCAGGAAGTCTTCTTTTACTTATCCAGATATTTGAGAGTATAGAGCAAATCTTAAATTGAACCAAAAAGAGTGAAGTAAGTGGATTCCTTTGCTTGGGCTAATAATATTATGAGATACTTGTATTCAATTATCTTGACATTTACATGATGATCCATTCATATATTTAACCATACAATTAATTAATTGAATAATTGATTAATTAAATACTATAGGTAAGCTAAGATGGCCAGTGAAGCCATTTGTATTGGGCAAGTTTAAAAAAGAAATTCACTGGGTGACTACAATTTGACTTAGTTTTTCCTGAGGTTAAAAGTTGTATTATTCCTGTTTAAGATTAATTGTTGATATGTATTCAGTAAGAGCTAAATCATTAAAATGATGCTCTGTAAAATCATTTTATGTAACTTTAAAATAAATGTGAAAAATTTCAAGTGTATTTTGGTAGTCACTTGCCCTGCAGAACAACCATAATCTAGACCATGGTAGGAGGAAGCAGGAAGGAGAAAAATATGTGCTGTGTGTGTTTGGGATATGATCCAGGTTCTGAAATGCTCTAGAATCTTGGTAGAACGAGCAGGTAGATCCTGAGACTTTGCTGAAGTTGCTTATCAGCTTAAGGAGATTTTGGGCTGAGACAATGGGGTTTTCTAGATATACAATCATGTCATCTGCAAACAGGGACAATTTGACTTCCTCTTTTCCTAATTGAATACCCTTTAATTCCTTCTCCTGCCTAATTGCCCTGGCCAGAACTTCCAACACTACGTTGAATAGGAGTGGTGAGAGAGGGTATCCCTGTCTTGTGCCAGTTTTCAAAGGGAATGCTTCCAGTTTTTGCCCATTCAGTATGACATTGGCTGTGGGTTTGTCATAGATAGCTCTTATTATTTTGAAATATGTCCCATCAATACCTAATTTATTGAGAGTTTTTAGCATGAAGGGTTGTTGAATTTTGTCAAAGGCCTTTTCTGCATCTATTGAGATAATCATGTGGTTTTTTTCTTTGGTTCTGTTTATATGCTGGATTACATTTATTGATTTGTGTATGTTGAACCAGCCTTGCATCCCAGGGATGAAGCCCATTTGATCATGGTGGATAAGCTTTTGGATGTGCTGCTGGATTCGGTTTGCCAGTATTTTATTGAGGATTTTTGCATCAATGTTCATCAAGGATATTGGTCTAAAATTCTCTTTTTTTGTTGTGTCTCTGCCAGGCTTTGGTATCAGGATGACGTTAGCCTCAGAAATAATGCCGCATATCTACAACCATCTGATCTTTGACAAACCTGACAAAAAACAAGCAATGGGGAAAGGATTCCCTATTTAATAAATGGTGCTGGGAAAACTGGCTAGCCATATGTAGAAAGCTGAAACTGGATCCCTTCCTTACACCTTATACAAAAATTAATTCAAGAATCACCACTCCTATTCAACATACTGTTGGAAGTTCTGGCCAGGGCAATTAGGCAGGAGAAGGAAATAAAGGGTATTCAATTAGGAAAAGAGGAAGTCAAATTGTCCCTGTTTGCAGATGACATGACTGTATATCTAGAAAAGCCCATCGTCTCAGCCCAAAATCTCCTTAAGCTGATAGGCAACTTCAGCAAAGTCTCAGGATACAAAATCAATGTGCAAAAATCACAAGCATTCTTATACACCAATAACAGACAAACAGAGAGCCAAATCATGAGTGAACTCCCATTCACAATTGCTTCAAAGAGAATAAAATACCTAGGAATTCAACTGACAAGGGAAGTGAAGGACCTCTTCAAGGAGAACTACAAACCACTGCTCAATGAAATAAAAGAGGATACAAAGAAATGGAAGAACATTCCATGCTCATGGGTAGGAAGAATCAATATCATGAAAATGGCCATACTGCCCAAGGTAATTTAAAGATTCAATGCCATCCCTATAAAGCTACCAATGACTTTCTTTACAGAATTTGAAAAAAACTACTTTAAAATTCATGTGGAACCAAAAAAGAGCCCGCATCGCCAAGTCAATCCTAAGCCAAAAGAACAAAGCTGGAGGCATCACACTACCTGACTTCAAACTATACTACAAGGCTACAGTAACCAAAACAACATGGTACTGGTACCAAAACAGAGATATAGATCAATGGAACAGAACAGAGCCCTCAGAAATAACGCCGCATATCTACAACTATCTGATCTTTGACAAACCTGAGAAAAACAAGCAATGGGGAAAGGATTCCCTATTTAATAAATGGTGCTGGGAAAACTGGATAGCCATAGGTAGAAAGCTGAAACTGGATCCCTTCCTTACACCTTATACAAAAATCAATTCAAGATGCATTAAAGACTTAAACGTTAGACCTAAAACCATTAAAACCCTAGAAGAAAACCTAGGCAATACCATTCAGGACATAGGCATGGGCAAGGACTTCATGTCTAAAACATCAAAAGCAATGGCAACAAAAGCCAAAATTGACAAATGGGATCTAATTAAACTAAAGAGCTTCTGCACAGCAAAAGAAACTACCATCAGAGTGAACAGGTAGCCTACAAAATGGGAGAAAATTTTCACAACCTACTCATATGACAAAGGGCTAATATCCAGAATCTACAATGAACTCAAACAAATTTACAAGAAAAGAACAACCCCATCAAAAAGTGGGTGCAGGATACGAACAGATACTTCTCAAAAGAAGACATTTATGCAGCCAAAAAACACATGAAAAAGTACTCATCATCACTGGCCATCAGAGAAATGCAAATCAAAACCACAATGAGATACCATCTCACACCAGTTAGAATGGCAATCATTAAAAAGTCAGAAAACAACAGGTACTGGAGAGGATGTGGAGAAATAGGAACACTTTTACATTGCTGGTGAGACTGTAAACTAGTTCAACAACTGTGGAAGTTAGTGTGGCGATTCCTCAAGGATCTAGAAATAGAAATACCATTTGACCCAGCCATCCCATTACTGGGTATATACCCAAAGGATTATAAATCATGCTGCTATAAAGACATATGCACACGTATGTTTATTGCGGCACTATTCACAATAGCAAAGACTTGGAACCAACCCAAATGTCCAACAATGATAGACTGGATTAAGAAAATGTTGCACATATGCACCATGGAATAGTATGCAGCCATAAAAAATGATGAGTTCATGTCCTTTGTAGGGACATGGATGAAACTGGAAAGCATCATTCTCAGCAAACTATTGCAAGGAAAGAAACCAAACACCACATGTTCTCACTTATAGGTGGGAATTGAACGATGAGAACACATGGACACAGGAAGGGGAACATCACAGTCTTGGGACTGTTGTAGGGTGGGGGGAGGGGGGAGGGATAGCATTAGGCGATATACCTAATGCTAAATGACAAGTTAATGGGTGCAGCACACCAACATGGCACATGTATACATATGTAACAAACCTGCACATTGTGCACATGTACCCTAAAACTTAAAGTATATAATAATAAAATTAAAAAAAAAGATGAGCAGGTAGAATGAGCTCTGTGCCAAAACACTTTATGATGTGCTGCTTCTTTCAGGAAATGTAACATTTTACAGTAAGAAAAGTTTTCAAACAGACGTTTAAAAGAAGCTAAGAGAAGAACTTTCTTATGGCAGTGGGTGAACTCAGCAATGTCCTGCTGTCCAGGGAGAGTTCGGTGAGAATCCAACTCTTGGATGATTCCTCTTCTTCCCATAACAATCAAAATACATTGCCCTTAATCCAAGGTAAAATTTGATTTCCAGAGAGAGCACTCCCCCCAGAATTGCTCTAAATTAAGCCTCTTTCAGTAATAGTAACAGCTGTTGTTTATTGAGGATGTCTTACATGCCAGGCTCTGTGTCAAGTATACTTTAACTATATTATACATCATTTAATCCTTACCACAATCCAAAATAAAGCAATCTTATTATATTTAAGATCACGTAATAAAATCTTAAATTGACTATTACACACACATAGACACATACACCTCCAAATATATTATATGAAGCCAGAGTCTATGTTTTGTTCCCTTTTCTTTCCCCAATACACAGTGAGTGGCTCATAATTGGTGCCTAGAAAATATTTGTTGAATTAAATGAAATGTCATTTCCTGTGCTTTCTGTGAGAAACAGGTTTTCATCAATCATTTTGTTCTCTGAAAACCTAACTTTGAAGACCCTAGATATGAAAAAGCATTGGAATTTTTTAACCTAACTAAGAAATGTGGATTGACTTATCTCTGTCTTCTTGGGTCAGTGAGGAAGACTGATGTAAAGGAAGGTTGGAAGGGGTTGTGTGGGAATTGGTGGGAAAGAAGAAATATTAATCTTTGTAAAAATGAGTTCTGTTCCCTCTAGACTATAAACACAAAGAAATAAGAAAAACAAGTTACTGTGAACTTGATAGTCTTCCAGGGTGTGTCTGAGATTTAACAGCCTGGTATGGCAATGGGCAATGGCAGACTGCTCTGAGCTGAGAACTCCAGCAAGACTGGATTTATACACAAGAGAAGGACGGGTCATGGTGAAAGGAAAGCATGCAAATAAATGCAGTTTTGATTTCTGTGCATTTTAGGCTAGACTTAGATTTTCTAGCTGCTGATTGGGCCCTTGTCCACAGTGCTCACTGCCCTGATGACTCCTGACAGACAGTTATCACCTTGGTATGTGACATATAGGAGGACCAACCAATGACACAGATTCTGCAAACTGAGTCCTCTCTCTCCAACTTTAGCTAATCCATGGGATTATTTTTTGAGCATCCAGTCATGTCAGAAACCATTATTGTCAAGGACGGTCACATGGTGTCCACCTGCATGTACACACAGTGTCGTGCAAAGCAAGTCAAACAGACTCCATCCTTCACCTTCAGGAGCTTGCAATAAAAACCAAACAATAGTTGTGGCAAACACAATGGGGTAAACAGACACACAGCTGTATAAGCAGAGAAGTACAGCAAATTAGTGAATTTTGGTATGAACTGTTAGTGTATATGCTGTTTGTGGGTTGGAAATGAGAAGAAATAATTCTGCAAGATGAAGAGAATTTGTGTGGACTCTGTGAAGGTAAGGAAGAAGAGGGCTGATGGTGTTGGGATAATCATTCTGCTCCTTTCAATTAGGAGAGAAAGTTTTCCTTTGGAGTTAAGGGAGAGGGTATTTCCTTCAGAGGAATTTACTCAGAGGGTACATGTATTGCTACTTAGGTTTAGGTTTTTCTAAGAGATTTGCTTGTAACCAACTGACAGAAGGAAAATAAAAATTGTAGTAAGCAGGGCATAGCCTGCCAGAGAAATTTCATAAGGCTTCTTTCCATTGGAAACTAGGCTAAAAAGAAAATAAAACAAGAATGTATTACAATTGAACATTTCACTTATAACCAACTACCATATGCCAATTAACTTTCCAAGGAAATGATTACTTTGGTGAGTTTTGTTTTTGTTTTTGTTTTAAGGGGCAATATTGCTTGCCACTGTCTAGCATTTACAGTCTTTGACATCCTGAGCATTGTCAGGAACTAATCTGGACTTGCAGAGAATTCAGCTGAAAGCAACTTCCAGGCAGGTCTCTACCTCAACCACCCTGAGCCGATAGGTATCTCTCTTCTTTTAAGTACATTCAGATAGAGAATTTGAAAACCTCTCCAGGAATCTTTTCCAGGGTTTATAAAATCTTCACTGCCAATAAGATCTTTCCATCTAACTTAAATTCCTTTGGTTCTAATTTAAATTCATTTCCTCTTTTTTGCTTGTTAGAGAGCAGAATACTACTCACCAATAGGCATTTCTCAAAATACATCTGCTAAACACACAACTTAGGCTTCCTTCCTGAATGTATATGACTTCATTTCAGAAGTCATCTATTTATTACACACACACACACACACACACACACACACAACTTTGGTCTCTGATTTTTTTCTCAAGATAAGATAACCCACTACAGATCCCTTAAAATTGTGTTTCCATAAGTAATTTCATGAGGTTTATTCTACAAATATTAACAGGTAAATGTGTTCTGTTTCTCTAGTTCCAATCGACGTTATTTATTAAATCATAATAGTCTATAAGAATGTTGGAATTTATAGTTTATGCTTCCTTGGAATGGGTGGACGATAGTCTCAAGATAGTGATGGTCACTTCCTAGCTCTTAACACTTCGGGCAAGAACATTACCTCTAGATATCATGATGAGAGGAATGCCTTGTTTTGCAACTATAAAATGAAGAGATGGACAAAAAAGTTAGGTTTTATTCACCTTTAATACTCAACAATTCTATGAATATGTTCTAAGTATTCCTTTGGCCAAAAAGAGCAGCTATTTTCTTTTAATTTTACCCACAATGGTCAATGTGTGTCACATTATCACTGATTTCTCAAGCGAGAACTTCTAAATTAATTTTCAATTGTTTTACTGAGGCATAACTTACATATTTTAATATAAGTCTTGTCAGGTACCTACTCCTGCTTATATGACAGATTAATGTCAAAGGGTGTAAGTTTACAGCTTGGTGGGTTTTTGCACATGCTAAATCACTTTGCAGTTTATTATTGCCTAAATGTCTTTGCAAGGCCATTGATATCATATATAAGAGTTTTTATTAAAGAGATTTTATGCCACTGGAAAGGAGTCTGTAATTCTCAACCTCTCTTATTCACATGGATGTGTTTCCTGTCTTTCATGTCCTGGAATCTTTTAAAGCACATGGTAACAAAATGAGCCTTTTGAAAATATGACACGGAGAATTCCCTTTAGCAGGTAATTCCTTTATTTCAAAAACTTAAGTACTAGGGAATAAAAAAATTATATGATCAAAAGAATCCTCAAAAGTAGGGCATTGAAAAAAGTTCATAGCATTGAAAAAAGTCCACAGCAGCAACATGTTGATCTTTTTCTCCTGTGATTATCTATTGAGTATCAATTTTCACTTCATTTCCTTTTAAACTTTTGCTGAACTTTGAATTAAGCAGAAAAGGGCACATCACAGTTAGCCACATCACCACCCGCATAAAAAAAAAAACCCAGTGCTGCAATCTTCTCAGGGGTTCTATAATAAAGGCAGATAGACTCTTCCGTCCTTTTGTTTTTTCACATATCAGCCTGACTTTCCTCTGCCCTTTCACTTGCAGACATACCTTTCTTTAAAGTCATTTTCTGCTTGACTTGAAAATGTACTTCATCAAACCTAATGGCTAATTAAACAAAGGAAGTTTGAATTTAATTATACTCCAGATATCAAAATAGGATGAATAATTGTTATAAAATTTAAGCCATTCTTCTTCTATTACAACTGTATAAGCATTTTATTTTCTGCCTCAAACAACAAATCTGTCCGGGTTTCCAGCCGTTTCCTTTGGCCTCCTGTGGGCATCCCCAGGGTCCCTGTCTCCTCTCTCTCTCAGCCCTGACCATCCAGGCTTCCCTTCCCCTCCCTTCCCTTCCCTGTCCTTCCCTTCCCCTTCCCCTTCCCCTTTCCCTTTCCCTTTCCCCTTTCCCCTTTTCCTTTTTCCTTTCCTTTCTTTTTTTTTTTTTTTGTCTAAATTGTGGCTTCTGTGCCACTGAGTGCAAAACAGGTGTTCTGCTCTCTGGCTGGCTGATGGGTGTGCTGAGCCATCCGCTGACATTTTAAACGTCTTTTCATGTTTTTGACCCATATTACATTACACAACTCACATTAATTGTTCCCTGAGTAACATTTGCACTTTTTGACGACTGGGAGTGCCTGCCTGGCAGTCGCCCAACTTCGTGCTGGAGTTGGCAGTGAGCAAAGGGGATGGCATGTTTGCTCTTTTGTGCTTCACTATCTGTAGTGGTACTCCCCAAATTCTGAGTGGCTTGGAGAATGCTCTCCATCAGCCCTTTCATCTTTTCCTCCCCTTCTTTCCTTTGGTTCACCTGTCTTCTTTGGCCCATTCTCCGTTTCTACTCGCCACACTGAAATCAACAAAGCACTGAGGGAAAAGTGAGGGTAAGGGGATCACTATGAAGGTCTTTCCTCCCATTCACTTTAGTTCTCAGAAACTCCTCACCATCCTTCTAAAATCTTGCTTTAAATTAATTCTTCCCCACTTTTGATTCCAAAACCAAAGATTGTCTTTTCTTAATCTCTAATCCAGTACTTGGTTCTGGTTTTTGAATACATGACAGTTCTTCCATTTTCTCAATGCACTGACCACTAAGAAGCTCATTTTGCTATGATGAGCCAATTCACACAGAGCTCAGAGCAATAGAAAACATTGTTTTCATTTAGGTTCACTTAGGTGTTTATGTCAGCTTGCATGATATGTTTATATGAAAGGCTGCCTTTTGGTGAATGTAATTCCCTTGAAATATCCTATTGAGGATCTATAACTATTATTTTTATAATGTTATCGCCTTGAATTCTGAGAAAGAAAAATTCAGATTGGCAGAATTCTAACCATATAGGAAGTTACCCATGGTAATATATTGTTATTTAATATACATTAAATATTGATACAATAACATATTAAATGAAAGGTCTATAGGAATCTGGAACTTTTTTGTTCCATATCTATCTTACCACCTACCTCCTTCCCTGAAAATTTTCCATCTGTCATTCAATATTAGAAAATAATATAAAATGTTCTGAGGCTGGGTCAGCCAATGCGCAAAAAGTTAACTCTCCTTCTTTGCTCTAACCTTAGCAGAGAGAGATCTACTAGTTCAGTCATAATATGGTGTTGGGAAGGTAGCCAAGTGAGAAATTTTGAGAAATTCTATGACACAATTAACAGATCTAATTGGATCTACTTTTGATAAGAACTGCCTACCCACAGAGTATGGGTTCATAAGGTTCAGGATAGTTTTGGTCTTAGAGACCACTGCCACAAAGATGGGTCTGTGTCTCAAAACCATAAATGACTATAATTCTAGTAATGTGGACTAAAAAATTTACCAATATGCAAATGAATACCAAAGTTGATCTAGCTCAAGGCAAGTGTTAGAATTCTGGGAGTCCACTGAAATGGAAGAAATGACCAGAGTGATCATTCCGAAGCCCATGTCACTCACTCACTTAAATAATTTACATTGCCTCACTGCTGTTAGAATCTAAGTCCAGGTCCCCAGTACTGTACTCATAGTCCTACTGACATCTACATCTTCTTTTCTCCTCTCTTCACCTCTCACTTCATCTATACAGAACTACATTCATTTAAATGAAGTCACCATACTTTCTTAACTTCTGGATTTGCCATACATTGTTACCTCTGATTTGCCTGGCTAACACTTACTCATGCTTCACATTTCAGCCTGGATGTCATTTCCTCCAGAAAGTCTTACCTGTTCCCTTGAGTTCGGATTAAGTGTTTCTCATATCTGCTCCCAAAAGCCCTGTACTACCTTAGCAGAGCAATCACTCTGGACAGGAATTGCCTGTTGATTTATCACACCAGACCTGAAAATTAGGACTCTGTCTTGCTCACTGTTATATTCTGAGTGCCTGTTACATTTTAAGGCTGTTGTGAGGAGTAAATGAAATTTCTTATTCATTCAACAGTTATTTTCTGAGTGCCTACTATGGGCTAGGAACTCCTTTTGGTTGAAATATATTAGTGAACACACACAAATTGTAAAAAATATTTGTATCTGCTAAAAATATGCATATATAAGTTGCCCAGCACAGAGCCTGAACTATGGAGAGTCTTTTTAAGTCTTTAATGATAATAATAATAGTAATGATCAAAAGCTAATATTACTGAATGTCTACTATGTGCTAGATACTTATTTAAATATTTTTTCACATATTTCTCAGTTTAATCCTTACAACAAATCTCTGAGCTAGTGCTATTAATATCTCTACTTAGTAGACAAGGAAAGTGAGACACAGGAATGGTAAGTAACTTGCCCACACAGAGTTATAGAATCAGAATGCAAACCCAGAGTGTTTAACATTTGAACCTGGACTCTTAACGTTTTTATTATTTTTGTTCAATATTTAATATTCTATTATTATCATCTTCATGATTGTTACTGTCATGAGGCACTCAATAAATTCATGCTAAATAAGATGAAGCTGGAATATGAAATCTTTTCCTAAGATGTTCCCAATGCCACTTCCTTGTATAATGATGCTGTGGCATTCTGGTACACGTAAGTATGCAACTGAATTTTATTTTTTTAAACTAATTTTGGCTCATAACATTCCATATCATTTATCTTTCATCACATGGATTCAGTAAAGCTTTTCTTACCCCAGAAAAAAGGTTAACTTCTAAGGACAGGACTTAGTGCCAGAAATCAATGCTGCAGAAGTAGAAATCTCATTTAGAAACAACTATCAGTCACTTGGGCAGTTTCAAGTGGATTTCCTCTACATTTCAAAGAAAGGATTGTAGGATGGGATTAGAAGTAGCCTATCTTCTGTCCTTCCCTGCCCTCTCTAATTAGTTCTAATTAGTTCAAAACCTCAATCAAACTTGCCAGTTTTCAGTTTTTGTATTAGCATTGAGGATTCCCAGAACTTAACTAAGAATGGTTGGAGAAACAAGAAAATGTTTGTTCTCCTCTCTGGCCCCCCTGCCTAATCAACTGAGTATTACTTGAATACCTACTCTGAGCTCATTCATCACAATGTTCTGCTCCACAACAATTTGGTAAGCCTAAGCCATGGTACTTGTCTTCAAGGGGCCATCATCTAATTGGGAAGATAAGATGTGCACAAGAAATAATAGGGATAACATCATACACAGTGGACTACTGTGTTCTCAATTGTGTGGACTAGTCTTGGGGACTACAGGTGCTCAGAAGAAAGGGAATTTGATTAAGGCCAGAAAAGTGAGGGAAGATATTATGGAGGAGATGGGAAGCTGGGTCTTGCAGAGTGAATGGGAATTGGATAAACAGAGGGAGATTATTGTGCATTTGGGGAAAAATTTGGCAATGGAATGGACGTTTGTGAGATTGCAAAGACCCTTGTCTGTTTAGAAGACAAAAAACATTTTAGAGACTGATGAACAATATGTGTCCATGTAAAGGGTAACCTTGAATAGCAAGAAGAACAATAATAAAATATTTAGAGCTGGATGAGCCCTCAGAGAGTATCTGAATTGAGCAATTCCATGACAACAAAAAATGTAGCTCCAACTTTATCTACAGCCCTAGTTTGGGCAAGTCAAGGTCTCTGAAAGATCATCATTAGTTAAAAAAATAAGAGCCATCACTAGAGTAAGAGAGGTTTTAAGTTATATACCTAATTGGGGTTTGGGCTCAGTCTGATGTTAGCTCATTACTAAGTTGCATGACCTTGTAAAAGCTACTTAATTCGGTGAGGGCTCAGTTTTCAACATCTAGAAATAAGTTTCGACCATTTTATTTCTAGTGGCACTCTGAGCAGTTAAGATTTGTGATTTAATGATTTATTTTGCATTTTTGAACCTATATAATCTTTTATCATGTAACTAGATTTTCAGACTAAACTCAACTAACAGCCTAGATTCTCTTAGATTATTCTAAGTGGTGTGTTGGATGTGTCGTGTCTTTGAAGGGCCATGAACACTCCAAACATCAGATCAAAGATTTTAAGGCTAAAATACGCCCTGCCAAGCATAGGCTGAAAGGGAAAATGGTGCTTTGTTAGTTACTTTACATAAATTTGTGGTGGTGTTGCTGATGATATAATGAGTAATATTTGTTATTTACTAAATGCCTATTTTGTGCCAATAATTTTACATAAAATATATGTCATATAATAACCCCTCATATAAATATTATCTTCTATATATAGCACAAAACAGAGATATTACGACTTTCTTAAATTCACTTAACTTATCAGTGGCAAGACTGAGATTCGGTTCCAGGACTGCCCATATACAAACTTATGCACTTTTTGATAGGAAGCATTGTCTCCATGCTCAGTGAAGAATTCAGAGGTATAACATTGCTAACATTTAACACAGGCCTTGATTCCATATGAAGCTGGGAAAATTCAAAGTGAATGCTGAAGAATTAGACCCCTTGGAAATAATTAGGATTTTGAGTTCCCTATTATGTTTAGGCCAGAGAGTCAAATGCCATGGCTGGAATTTAAACGGGACTGAACAACCTTATGACTAATAATAGCATTTGTAGTCATGAGGATTGAGACAAAAAAGGAGCAAACAGCAAGCTTTAGGGTCAAATATTCAGCACCAAAGGGTTAGAAAAATACTTTTTTCCTCAGTTCAAGTGTCATGCAAAGAAGTGCTGAGGGTTAGCTGTAATTGTGGCTTGTGTCACTAATAGGGCTTTTGAGGAGGGGGATCATGAGTCATCCGATGTAACAGGAAGGACACCTACTACGTTTTCTGTCTGGGTTTTGATTTTGTTTGGAATTGTTGACAGACTATGCTGATTGAAATTCTTATTATTTAATAAGCTTCCTTTTTGTAGCACATTTTAGAACATGCATATAAAAATTTCACTGTCAATATTATTAAATGAATCTATGTATTATCTTCAGGTAGTCAATGAATTTGCATTTTGGTGCTAATCATTCTGATGGAATGCTTGTCTTACAAGTATTTTTTTCCAGTGCAACTGCCTCGATGTTTAAGATGCTGGTCTGATGGGTGAGGTTTCATAGGCTGTAAGAATTCAGATAAAAAAGTGCTACCCCACCAATGTGAGAATTAGATTGCTCAAGAGAATCTTTTGCGTTATGTTCATGCATCAACAAGTTTTAGTAAATAATTCTACTAAAATGACTATTACTCTGTACTCTCCTGGTTAATTCTGGCCCTGTAATTACCCACTTGTGTATGATGGAGTATGGCAAACTGAGATGTGGTGCACCAAGTTTTAATTTGGACTCAAATGTGTATCACATAGCAATCAGTTTGCTGATTGCAAATTCTTCTACCTTTGGACGAAAAGGGTTATACCACTGTAAAATATACTTATTGTAATAAAGGCATTCTGAGAAATAATAGCCCAGAGTGAAGGCGTAAGACCTTTTAATTCTCTGTCACAGACTCCATGAAATAGGGAAATCCAATAGAGTGTTCAGAGTCATCTCCAGGAGTCCACTAGTCTTTGCAGAATGGTCTAGAGAGTAAACACTTCAAGACTTTACCCCAACCCCACTTTAGTATTCCCACTTGCGAGTGATGCAATAAAATCATTCATTTCGAGGGGAGGACTGCAAAATAAAAAGCCATGTCTTTGCTTGTTCTCTCATGTTTTTATATTCTAGAAAAAAAATTATTCTTTCTTTGCTGACAGCTTATGTAGCTCCGGCTCCAACAAATTTTTGCTTGTTCTGAGATAAATGCAGAAAAAAGGATTGGGAGGTTGGGAACTGTCATTACAGGTACAAGTTCTGATACATAAAGAGCCTCCTGCTTCTCAGGACAACATGGATAAAATGGAGAACAGTTAACTCATTCTACCTCTCTGGATTAGGGTTATTCATGGGGAGCCAGTCTCAGGAAAGAGCACTACAACCTACCCAAGGGCAAAAGCCCAGTACTTCAAATCATTCTTCATTCTCCTCTTTCCCTTGTTTCTCACATCTGAACGGTCTGTAAGACCTGTCAGCTCTATCTTTAAAACAAATCCCTAATATATTCACCTCTTACTGTCTTCACTAATAGTCCAAGCCACCATCATTTCTCATTTGTTTACTGCAACAGTCTCTTAAATGTTCTTCCTGTGACCACTCTTGTATCCTGCCTCCCTCCTGACCTCTCACTCTCCACCCAGCAGCCATATAGATTCATTACAATTATACATCAGATCATGTCACCTCTCTTCCCTCAAATCTTTCAATGACATTTTGGTGGTTTTAGAATGACACACAAAGTTCCCTTAGGCTAGACGTCCTATGTGAATCTCCAACTCCATCATAACCTGACTATACTGTGCTTGTTTTCCTACAACCACAAAGACCTTGCTATTCCCGAAACACACCAAGCTTATTGCTCCCTAAGGACTTCGCATTTACAATGCCTTTGGTTTAGAATATTATTCTTTCAATTTTTTAAATTATTCCTAAATAAAATAGCTAAAGTGTTATTTCCTCAGAGGGGCTTTCCCTATGTAAAGTGGTTCCTTCTCCCTCTATGGCACACCTCTGTTTATTCTTTATGGCACTCGTCATCTGAAAAATTTTATTTATTTGTTTTCTTATTCAATATCTGTCTTTCCACTAGAGTGTGAGCACTTTTAGATAAGGAATTTTGCCTGCCTTGTACTTTACTTTATTCCCAGAGCCTAAGATCATGGCTTAAATATTTGTTGAATGAATGAAGAATGGATGGATAAATGAATGATGGATAAATGGATGGAAACAGGTCCCTGGGACTATTGTCAATGAACATAAAGGGAGCTGCTCACAGGTGGCCAGTAGGATGCAGAGTATATTTAAGTTGTAATAGCCCCAGAACAAAGGTCAGTTTCTCAGATAGATTCCATTTCATCATTCTTCTGTTAACACTGTGGAAGCACTAGCTACCTAAATCAAGAGCTCCATGAGTCACTTGTTTCCTTGAGAATCTGGGAACTTTATGGGATAGGCTTCAGAAATTGCTGCCTTCCAGCCAGCCTGTCCAAATGCTTATGCTTTTCTTTCATAGTGGAGGGCACCCTTGGGGAAAATAGAATGTAATCTCTGGTCATGACGTTGAGGTAGGTCAGGTTTTAGGAAGTCCAGTACAGCACTAAGTTGAAAACAGATGGTCTGAATACAAAAAAGATAGAGCTACTTGCATTACAGCCACAATTGTGTGGTGGTGGACTCTGGCCCACTAATCATAAATACATGTGTTTTTAGACACGTCCAGGGAGAGCTATGTCAGGGGCTCTCATTTAAAACATGGAAGTCTGAATTTGTCATCCAAGTGCATCTATGGTTAAACTCCCGGGTTGGTTGTGTTTTTCATTTGCCTTGATTTTTAAGTGTTAACCTGGAGATACAACCATAATGTCTTTTTCTCCTCCCCTCTCATCAGAGCCACAGGCTCCTGGCATTCTGTTTTTATATAGGAAACCAGATTAAGTAAAACAGCTTCTTCTATAAGATAAATCCTCCAGTGGCCAGCCTGGGGCAAGTTGGCTCCTCTTGTGCAACTACATACTCAATAGAACACTGTTAAAATTTGTTTTAATTGTATTTTTTTTTTCACAAATCCATTCCCAGAACTTATAATACTCTTAAACGGTAAGCCAAGCAATTACAGTGGCAACTTTATTGAAACAATACCACTGCTCCTTGAGAGAAGGATTAAACAGGGCTCATGACAGCCGTCTGGCAAGGTGCTTAGCTCACCAGAGGTTGCCCAATGCCCAGGATCAACGGTTGAAAGAATGCTTTAGAGGGAAGGCACTGAACGTCTTACTGATGCAGGTTTCAAGTAACCTTGCTGTAAGAGTTTGTAGCTTTATTCCATAGAAGCTCGTGGATTCTGTTTTAGGAGGTGCTAAACCAATTGCCATTTAACAAGTGTGAGCTTTACTGGTTTCTCTTTTTCTTAATCTGTTGCTTGAGGGAGCATCTGGCATCTAGCAAGTTCTTGGGGTAGCAAAAATAAGACTATGTCCTGTTCTAATTCCATCTTAAAATTTAAAGAGACTGCACGTGGGGCATGAGAAGACTAAGTGGTGGAAGATTGAAGGGGTTGTTCTTGGTTAAGTTCAATGTACTTCATGACATTAACTCTGGCTTTATCTTTACTACTTGTGTGAACTTGGGCAAGTTACTTGAATTTCTCTGTTCCTCAGCCTCCTTATCTGTAAACTGGGGACAATAAGAAGAAGTAACTCTCAGGACTGTAATCAGGATTAACTGAGATAATGTTTGTAAAGCACACAGCAGAGGCCTGACACAAATCAAGGACTACATGAATATTAGCTACTATTATCAGAATTTTTGTTACTCTTTTCCACCTTGCTCACATTGCACAAACTGTTCTCAACTTTGTGAAAACCTTCCTTTCTCTACTTTTGAGTCTATAAAAGACTTGAGACGACTTTCTGGCTCAAATGTAGAGAAAAAGAGAAATGTAGAGAAAGAAAGGCATCTCAAGTCTGTTATAGACTTCAGTTGCCTTTATGGCTCAATTTTCCCAGTTTGCCTGAAACTGAGGGGTTTCCAGGGATGCAAGACGTTCAGCAATAAAACAAGGAGAGACCTGGGCAAGCCAGGGTGATAAGTCACTCCACTTTTGGAAAGCTTCCATGTCTGTCTAATTCTCAGTTCTGGGATTTCTTCCTTAGACTAAGTAATCCTTCAAAAAACAGCCACTTCTGAGGCTTTTTCAAATTCACCTTGTTTCTGGAAAATCTTTAGCTGTTTCCTTTTATGCCATCATCTCTGCAGATATGGGGCAGAAAAGGAAATGTTGTGTTTCATATGCCAAGAGAAAGTCATATTTGTTAGGCATCCTCAGCTGCCTTTGGTTTTCAATTCAGGGCCTATAAATCATGAGCCCGGATGTCCGACAGGCTGGGAGGTGGACTATGGAAAAGAATCACAATAAACTGAAATGACTTTTTGCCATTGGCTTGGCCAACATGCCTTGCCAAGCGGTTTTCCCCTCAATTTTAAACAAATCAGTTTTATAAAGGGAAATGTACTCCATATGTTGCTGATGCCTTTATCCTCAATTCACAAAAATGCCATCTTCTTAGAGAGGTAGAGTTTCCAGGAATTGTTTGGAATCTTTTTCCTCAAAGAAAGTACCACTTGAACCGTCACAAATAACTAAGTTTCTTTTCATGGTTGTTGGTGAGGATAATAACACCTGATTTTGGTTTCTGCCACAAATGGCCCCAAATGCATTCTCTTCTAACCTTTTAAAACCTTTCAATTTCAAAGTATGACTTTATTGCTTTCCAAGAACTACAGGTTTTCTGTTTTGCTCACTTCCAAGTTTACCTGAATTTAATAGAGGTCAACAAAACCCTGAAAGGCTCAAGTATTTTTATTAGTGGAAAGAAAGTCACAAACCAAGAGTATTACTTCTATTTACTGATAGCATCAAAATGCTTTTTTTCCCCCACCAGCCTTGGTTTGATAGACATAAATCATCATTAGGAAGATAGAGAGGTAGAAAATATTATCCCTATGTTGCTGACTATTTTTATAAAATCATTCTGTTAAAAAGAATACAACTACTTAGTTTGACCTTATAATTCTCTGTATCCCATATACTCTCTCTCTACTCTCAAAGTAAAATTCACCTTTTTCCTATGATTGCATCAATTTGCTGCTAAGCCGTGATGTGATTCTGTTTGTCAATGGTCTGAGGACCAGATAGGCCTGAAATCCTTTGCCATTTATCAGTCGAGGCCCCACTCCCACATCCCCCAGGTATTAGGTCACTTCCATTTGTTTGTCTGGTGAGAACTGGCTTCGTTTTCCAAGGCTGGAGGCCAGATTGGTTCAACACCAGAATAGGAACCTGGAACTGACATTGGTTTTGCAGATGTGCAAAAGAATCCCAGGAGTTTTGAAAAAGAAAGGCGAGAATGGGTTTTGAGAAGAGAAAAGAAAGGGTTTTCAGAAGGCTGAAAACAAAACAATTAATCATATGGTGACTATTACATTTGTTTCTATTAGTGACTTACTTTCCCTGTGTTTTCAGACTCTAGTTCAATTCCCTTTTTATGTAACTACTGAATAACGATCACCTTTTGGGGGGCTTTCTCTTGTTTGTTGTTTCTTCAAGTCTGAGGCTTTCAAATTGTCTTCTTACTTCTAAACCAGAAAAGGAAGTGATTTCATATGTGAGGTAATGAGGTGAAAAGCAGGACTGACCACTGTGAAGATTTGCAATTGAAAAAAATAATTTAGAAAATAGTCTTGGAATTGTCACAATAAATTGCCTATAGTGATAGTTTTTTCAAGACCCTCTCCTCCACCATTTATAGTTTGAGAACATATTTGCCTTTTGGTACCCATTAAGAGTTCCAAAATGGTGGATTTCATCACCTTTGGGTAAGGCCCTGGAGTGGAGCCAGAACTTCCATCAAGAAAATAAAGTATATATTTTTTCTACCTCACATTTACCTACTTCTTCAAGATATTATGATTTTAAGCAGAAGTTTCCAGATTCTTAATAGTGCAGGGAGCATTGACCTGGGACTCATATAATCTGATTTTGGATGTTAACTTTACCACTTAGCCATTTGTGTGAATGTGGGCTAGTGATTTAATGTCTCTAACCCTGTCTCATCTATAAAATAGGAATAATGATAATAATATTAATAACACACATGCCTGGTCCACATGTTAGCACACCTGTGCCTGGCACAAACATTATTATTCACAGCCAACAGACTGGCTGCTCCTCCTGACAGTAGCTGACCAAGTGGATTAAACTCATGGAAGGTTTGTGAAAAACCTCTTTCTTTATGCTCGAATTTCCACAGCTTTGGTTCATTAAATGTTATTTGGAATTTTGCTTATGGGCCACTGGCAACTTAGCTTAGTTTAACAATGTCCCTTTTATTTGGACATAACTGACATTCCTTAAAATATACATAACTTTATTATTTTTCTGTATTAAATCCTCCTATTGGTGCTTGGAGGGGACGGAGATAGTGGAGTGGGCTTATTTTCTATGCCCTGTGATTTTTGCTGTGTCACAACCTGTTCCTCCCCATGATGCCATTTCCTTTGTGGGTGGGGCAAAGAGAATATTTGGTGAGTAGCGCAGGCAAAAGTCTGGGAAATATCCCAGTTCCATGGATGACAGTGTTGCTGCTCTGCTCTGGGATTTCCAGGTCATCTTCTTCTAGTTTAACATATAACTCAGAATTTTATTTCAGCGATACAGCCTTTTTAGTGTTAAATGTGTGTGCACATGCACACATACATGCATGCATACTCTTGATGAAATGCAGAGTTAAATGGCATTTGAATGAGTGTATGGTTTAAAAAATTTATACTGGCTATTTAAATAGCAAGTATAATTCTGAGATTCCCCTGTCCCCTCCAACAAAATAAATAGCCTGATAGCTAGGTTCTCCTCACACATGAGAAGAAGGGAGTTGGCTCTTAAAAGGAATTTCCTTATGCGTCACTATCTCTCTTTAGCTGTATCTTGATAGGAAAATTCTTTGCATCTTAAGCTTTGTTCTTAAAAACATTTCAAAAAACATTACACCATAACACTCATCTTCTGGGAAGAAATTAATTTTAATCACTGATAATGCCTCTGTTGCTATTCACAACATTGATGTGATCACACAGGTCAAACCAAATAGATATGGAGTCAGATTCAATATGGAGAGGCATGTGACATTCTGTGGGTACTAGTTTTTGGTTAAATTCCTCATAGAAACATCTTTTGATTGCTTTATTGCCTTCTTTAAAAAGTGGAGTGAGATTAGTTCCTGAAACACAGGATTTCTTTTAAAAAATAGCTCTGCAAAATTTATTTGCTGTAATTTGGGTCAATAAATATTTATTGAGCACCAACTGTAAGCCAGAGACTGCCAAGCTTTGAAAACCCAACTATGTCCCTGTACTGAGAGAGTTTATGTTCTGATGTAGAAGATAGACATTAAAAAGGTCATTACCAGTATGATGCAGGGTTAGACAGGGACTATGGAAGGGTGGAGTGTGAGACTGAACTCAGTATAGAGCAGACGTTCTCCAACTTTCATGTGTATATGAATTTCATGGGAGTTTGTTAAAATTCAGGTCCCTAGGCCCTGGGTAATTCTGATATGGGTGGTCCACAGGCCACATTTGGGGAACACTGATATAGTGGGTCAGGGAAGGCTGCCTTGAGAGTGAAAAAGGTCGAAAGGATGAGAAGTAGTTGTGTTTCTAACTGGTGGTTGGAGGACAAGATGTCTAGGCAGACAGAAAGAGCAAAAAGGGCCAAGATGGCCAGAAGGGTAGACTACATTCCTTGGTCGGGGCGGGGGTGGGGGTGTTAAGCCTGCTTGTCCAGGGGCAGAGCCTTGGTGTTGTTGCTTCCAGGGGTTAGTCTAAGGAAGGTAACATTTAGGGTTGCATTCTCAGGTGAGCATTTGGAAAGCAAGGCCTAGTTTTCCAGGAAATACTTCCTAATACCAAAAAGGAAAGAAAAAAATAGAAAGAAAGAAAAGTATGCACCCCGGGTCTAATTTCACCCTCAGACTATTCCCACTACTGGAAATGAAGTGGTTGGAAAATGCCTTTATAAGCAAAATTTGGTGTTATAATTAGAAAATTATCTCTCCCTAGAACATTTTGTGAAATTCTGCTGTGAGGTGTCAACAGGTCCTTGTGGGGCCCTATCCAGCAGAGATCAACTAACATGTAAAATACAACAGGGTTCCAAGAAAGCCACTGTAAAATCTCAAGTATGTGAAGGAGTTTGGTGTGCTTGCCAGTATGGTTTTTCCGAAAAAGAAAAATTCTTCAGAGATCAAAGAAGGGCGGAGGAAGTGGGCTCCAGCCTCGGGTGGAAGGTTTTATCATCAGAATGATTCAAGCTGGTGATTTTCTGGCAAGGCAAGCCAATGGGCCAAGTTAGAGAAGTGAGTGTCTTAGCTTTTGATGTGGAGCAAAGAGGAATGGAGACCCAACAATGAAGGAGAAATGAGGAATTAGGGACAGGCACTCCCCCTGAGTTATGTCTCTGACCACAGTCTGTCTTGAGGCATCTGGCATCTTCTTCAGTTTCCAGTTCTATGACAGAATTCAGTGCATGCACCCTTGGATGCCTGCTCACCACATAAGCAGTGACGTCTTTGAGAAGTGGTTGAGGATGATGTAGGGGTAGCACCATAAACACTCTGTGATTTTCCCTTAATTTTTTTCAAATGGAGGGGAAATCATGCTAAACCAAAGAAAAAAGAAATCAGACACAGTAGTCTCTGGAATGTGTGTTGTTGAAGGGTGAAGGATGAGGCAAAGAAGGTGCTGGATGGAGTTCACAGCTAAGAGGGGAGCTCTGGAGTAAGACTTTTAGGTCAAAATCCTAACTGTCCCACTTAGTGGCTGTGTGATTTTGAAGCGGTCACCTAACCTCTCCCTGCCTCTGCAAAAAATAAATAATAATAATAATAAAAACACTATCTGTCTCATGGGGTTATTGGTGGGATTACTTGAATGAAATGTAAGGCTCTTAGAGCAGTATCTGCACATAGTGCTCAATTAAGGTTAACTATTATTTTATTAAACATATATACATGGACAGAGACTAGCAGGTTTTTAATCTTATTACTTTTCTTACTTGTTTTATTTATTTTATGTGTTTGTTACTAGATGGCACTTTCTGCAGTTTTGTCTCTGGAAGTGCCCCAAGTTCGGCAGGGCGTGGGCCCAATCATGTAGATCCTCTGTCTTCCCTAAACTCTTACCTAGCGAATAGGGACCAAAATCAAGAGGACGCAAGGGACAGCCCAGTGACCTTTTCCTAAACACACCTGCCATGCTTGTCAGGGAGAGTTGAACACCTGCACTCCCTCGGGAGTGATGGCTAGTTACAGGCAGAAGCAAGGAGGACAATAGTTAGCTAACTGAGGGTTTGAAGCTCCTTGGTTTTACCACTAACATGAAGCAGACAGCTCTTTAGTTGGATGTGAGTTCAAACCAACACCTGGTGCCCTCTGAGGGCTTGAGAGCCTGGTTATTCAGCTCAGAAAGTGCTGTACTGCATCTTTTCTCAGACCAGTGAAGCTCTACCCTCTTAGTGTGTCAGCAATGGTGGTGAGAAGTGGGTTAATTTACTGTGTGTCTTTTGATAATTGAACATGTTTCCCTTATCACAGGGCCTGCTAGAGAGACCGGGGCCTTACCTGTGGCCTCTGTTTCACAACTCCGTCTCACAACAGCATGTCTTCATACATATTCAGGGTATCCTCTTCACCATACTGCATTTCACTTTTCTGTCCTTAGTTCCAATTTAACTCATCTTCTTTACTTATTTTTCATCTATTTTATCTTACTATGTTATTTGTATCATTGTAAGTTGATCCAGATCCTTTCAGAACAAGGAGAGCTAAACATTTGAAAACATGTATATAAAACAATCCAAGGCACTGTTCATCAAACTAGATTGGTGTAGCTCCTTTACTTACATTTAGCTCTCTTCCCGGGTGCTCTATGAGAATGTCCCTTTTGCGGTGATTTCAAGAAAACCTAATATTATTCATGAACAGTAAAGTTTATAAACCTTTCTTAAGTAGTTACTAAAATCTACCATTGCAGAGCTGTAAAGGACAGAGCTGAGTTAATTATTTAGAAATGATATGAAAACATGCACATCAAGATGACTGAATTGATGTCATTTAAGTTTTATGGTGAAGGCAGCCGACAAACTCTGGACTTAACCAGTCCTAACCAGCCAAGGAGTCAGAACTGTTTATTATGATCAAAGATAAAGGGCATTTGGTAACAACACAAGGTTGTCAGTCTGAAAACATGTTTAAAGTTTTGGAATTCTAGTGCTGGAACTCTTTTTAGGGTTTGGCAATGTTTCTCTATTTTTTCTTAGGAGAATGACTGCCTCAGATATGGTTAGCACCTTCTGTTTCAGAAAATGACTGAACATCCAGTTCTCCTGAGCTGGGTTCTAGGTAAGGAATAAATAATAGAAAAAAACCACTCTGGGAACAAAGCTGGTTTTCATTGAGAAAATTTCCTCTGCTTTTAAAAATAAGATTATGTTAGGAAAATAGAAGACCTGAACCAGAGATTAACATCCATTCCTACTGTCAAAAGTTCACACTATCACTATTTTTCCAGTACTGAGGAGGGCAGGCACAAACACAAACCTGTGTGGTCTTTTTTGTGGGGTGTATAGTGGAGTAGGGTGAGGTTGTACAGAAGGTGAGACGATGTTGCCCTCTCCTTTTCCAAAGTGTGTATACAGGCTACATATTTTTCCTGACCTAACAGTAATTTATTTACCTGTCACTCAGTTCACTGTAGTTATAATTAAGGACCATACGACTTGGATCTTTTTCTAAAAATACCTAAGATATTTATGAAAGTGTAGAATAGAAAGATACAAAAATGTAATGTATGCTAAGAAAAAAATTGACATTTAAAAGTAGGTATTATTACTTATTTATCATCATATTTGTTCTATGCTGGGAAAATGTTAAACTTGGATGAATTAAATTAATAAAATAATTATTTATCTTTTATTGTGTTCATTATGACTCCCCCAAAAAATATCATACCGGGGGGGCAGGAGTTTATTCATCCCCAAAACAAGAGCAAAGTCTCCCTGCTTCTTATAAATCAGTGAACTTTTGAGATCTTCTCATTTTAGGAACATGAATCATTGTCTTTTTGTGCTGACTGTTATATAAATTGATCTGTCATGTATTAGACTTTTATCAACCAGTATTATGATAGATACCTCTCTTGGAACCTTTAGAAAAATTGTACCATGAGGCTTTCTTAGCATGCAAATAATTCAAGTACAAAGAAAGGGAGAGAAATAAATAAAATCAAGGGGTCTGCTGTCCCTTCTTCTGGATTCCAGTGCTCTCTTTACATTAAGGTGAAGGCAGCATGTAAATTCTAATAGAGAAAGAATACAAATAACCTTTCTATTTGCCACTGGGACGAGTTCCCAATGGCATAAATCAGTAGTTAGAAGCTCAGAACATAGATTGCCTATAGAAATGGTGGAAGTTGGACATTAGGCTGGCCCTCAGAGGCCTACTTAATTCATAACAGAGGCTCCATAAATTTGTTAAATGAATAAATTAACTTCTACATGATTCACTAACCTGGACGTACGTCAGAACTACTTGGGGATTCGAATGGGAAACTGGGTTTTTGAATTAAATAACTCTACCATTACTTTGTTTTGCGGGGGCTGGAAGGAGAACAACATATAGGCCAGAAGAAAAAAAGGTGTAGAGAAAGTTGTCATCTATTTCTGAGGTACGGAGTCACACCTGTCAAATTTGAAAGGTACATTTCTTGCTGGGCTCCTCTTCTGCCTTGCAATATATTATTTCCCAAACTTCTGGACATCTAGTCCCTTCCTGCTGCCCTACACTGCCTGCAGGGAACTTCCCCTAGGTCTGCCACCCTGTTCATGGGATCCATGTTCAAAATTGCCTGGCTCAGCCTCTCCTCTCTCAAATCAATTAAAACTCCAGCTTTATCAGTGGCTCTCCAAGTGGGTGAAAGAAAGAAAAGCCTGCAGCACTCCTAGAGGTGCACTTTGTAAGACTTACAAAGTATGCACTTTATAAGACTCAGATTGGTACTTTGGAAGTGTAATAATGCAAAGTAACCCAGATTGTTCAGAGTCTGCAGGGCTTGGAGAATGGACCAAACCTGACAGCAGGATGGAGTGAGGACTCAGCCGGCCAGTGCTGGCAGGAAGCTGACCCCAAGACTGCTCCAAAGAGCAGGGGCTGCTGCTCTGTGTAATTCGACCCTGATATTAACTACTATCTTTGCAATTTTTTCTTTTCAGTATAAAAGATATAAGCCTTCACACCAACATGGCACATGTATACATATGTAACAAACCTGCATGTTGTGCACATGTACCCTAAAACTTAAAGTTTAATAAAAAAAAAACAGAAAAAAAAAGATATAAGCCTTGTCCTTCTGACAAGGTTGCAAAATCTTTGAGTGTAGGAAAATCCTACGTGTAGTACCGCTTTTGCTTTCCCTTTAAAGTGTTAAGGCACTAAATAGATTCTCTTTGAGCTGAATTTGTTTCTTGGTTATCTGTTGGGATTCATTCTATTCATTCAATTTTTAGACAATCTTTAAAAAAAGTGAACGAGAAAAAAATCATTCTTAAAGTATTATTTTTAGTACATAATTATTTATGTATCTGTAGTTACATTTTACCTAATTATATATGTAAACATTTTACATAATTGTGTAAAAAGTACAGCTTTTTATTAACATTACACATCTAATTTTAAGGGTTCTAAAATTCTGGCACATCATGAAAGAAGCTAATTTAGTTATGCTTCTTTTTGTTTTAAGATAGTGTTCAAAGCATTTAATGACAACTTTCTCTTAGAACTTTTGGCAACAAGGCATTGAATTAAAAAAAACCATAGATGAGAAGTGAGTAAAAAATATATCCACTGTGGAGAATTTCTTTATAAGTTTTAAATAATTAGAGAAACACAGGTTGTCTAGGAGTGAGGGTTGAAAATCTTGAATGGGTAATATCAACAGAGAGATCACTGAAAGCAAACTTTGGCTCTTTCCACATGCCTCTTAACTTTGTGCTGGGCAGGCCTGGCAAAGAAATGTGCAAGGCCCTCTTCCAGTATTGCAGTTGACAGTTCTGGTAACCGAAACAAAGTCAATATGAAATTCTACTAATAACTCCGATATTGCTGCCTTGTAATAGACTTTCTCCTTTTGAACAATGTGACACAGTCAAGTATTTCTGACTTATTTTCTACAAAGTGCAACATGGTCTGTGAAATAATGACAATAGAATGAGGAAAAATGATGTTTCTTCTCCCTATTAGGACAACCCCTAGTGATCTCATTCCAATGATATTTGCACCAATTTTCCTTGCCTCTGCATTTAACATCTTTCTTCAGGAGGGGTAGAGTGTAAAGGTTAATAGCATGACCTCCAGAGCCGGCTGCCAGGGCTGTTCTCCTGGCTCTGCAATTCACCGTCTGTGTGACTTCTCCGTTTCAGTTTTGTCATCTGTAAAATGGGAAACAGCGCAAATCTCATAGCTTGTGAGACGTAAATCAGTTAATACAGCACCTGCATATGTTTCCTTGGAGTCTAATCTAAACAGAGCAGCCAGACTGATTCTCTTAAAATATGACTCAGATCACATCACTTTTCTGCTCAATACCCTCACTAGTTCCTTATCTTCATTAGTGTGAAAACCAAGGTCTTGCTGATGCATTATGAGGTCCTGCATATTGAGGATTCCTCTTTGACTTCAGCTTCTGCCATTCTTCCCCCTTGCTTACTAAGCCCCAGCCTCACCAGCTTCCTTGCTTCAAACACACCAAACATGCCCCCCATTCAAAATATTTGCATGGGCTTTTCTCTTGTCTTGAAATCCTTATAGCTCACTCCCTCATTTCCTTTAGGTCTTACCCTGAAGCCTTCCTTGACCATGTCTATAAAAAAGCAACTCCACCTAACAACACGTTTTCTTCAGCTTCCTATATTTTTCTCCACAGCACTTTACACCATCAGACACATTCTGCATATACTTGCTTGCTTGCTAACTCTGACTGCTTACTAGAATGTGAGCTTCATGAAGGCTCAGCAACTGAAACAATGCCTCACCCATAGCAGGTACTGAGTAAGCATGTGTTGGATAAATGAATGAATTGATAAATGAATGAATAAAAGTACTTAGAATAGTACCTGATACACCTGACATTAGCTGTCATTGTCATCATGTTGATCATCACTCACAGGAATTGAAATCTCCCCTGTATTGCCCCTGGAATACTAGTAGTCAAAAACATGTTGATTTAATTGGAAATGATAACTTATCTTTATTTATGTTCTCTTTGGACACTAGTCAGTCCTTAGCTACAGTTACTAGAGGCAACTAGACTCTAAGTGAATTTTGCTACTTGTATTTTATTGCATGACAATAATGGTTAAGACCTGGCTTAAGCAAAAGTGTGATGCAAGTTAAGTTCGGCATACTTCATCTCTCTTTTCTGCACTTTTCTCCTTTTTGTGGGCTTTCTGATACTCAGACCAAGGCTCTATTTCTCCCATTATGGGGAGAAGTGTCTTATAGACAAACTCAGAGTTGTTTGTTAATGACTTTAAGTATCATTTCTCAGGAATGTTTAAATTTCATGACAGGGTACTAGAGAGGGTAATGCTTAGCCCGAAATTCAGAATATCTAAGAGTGGATGCTGTTGATGTGTGGTAGGGCTGGGAGACAGTTAGCAGAAGTCTTTCTATTGCCTTTTAAATAACATTACGAAGGAGACAACTTCTTAGGTTCATGCATAGTTAGTGGCTTATATTACCTCATTCTTCATCATAGGCTCCTTCTGAACAACAAAAATATGAGAGGGTAGAGGAGAGTAATGGGTCCCAATAATATCAAAGTACTTTCTAATTAAGTTTTTCATTCTTTCATGTAAACTTGACATAGTTTTCCATATTATAACTATGTGAAAAGAGCATGGGATTGTGAATCAGAAGTCCTGGCCCTGTCTCCAATTAAGAAATATTAATATTTCCCTGAAAAGGCCTCAGTGAGGCATGCATGGAGGATGATCTTCCAGATCTAAAATTAATGATTTCTAGAGTTATATAACTCCAGAAGTTGGAAGTTGATAGCTGAGAGATTCAGAAACAGACTGGAAAAGGACTCCACAATTCAAGAAAATAATTAAACTACTTTCAAGAGGACAAAATTAGGAGGATAACACCTCTCACTCAATGAAACCTCTGCTTACTCTAATTTCCATTTTTGTATTACAGACTCTGGGGTTCTAAGAAGTGGAGGAGAATGCAGATCCCTGCAGGCATGTGTTGTGTCTCATTGATAACAAAATACTCCACTGCCAAAGGACATGCCTCTCTTTCTCTAGTAAGGAAAATTCTCACCCATTATGTGTAGGGGTAAAGCTTTCTAAGGGAAAGTTTGTACTGTGACCACCCATATTTTGTTTGGCTCTAGTTAGCACCATTATTTTTCTCCTTTCATGTTTTAAATGGGATGAAATTTGCAAGCAGAAAGGAAAACACAAACCCAAGATCTTTTACTACATATGTGTTTTGTGAAAAGTAAATTGAAACCAAATGAATTCAAGACTGATCTTTTTCTTAATAGACTAAACTAAAAATGAGTGTGTTTCCCAGTTGCCTCAGCCGGGGCCTTGCTATGATTTTAGATGCTCTCTCAGTGAGCTGTGAGTGACCTCTGGTCCTTATCAGAGGAAAAGAAATTCATGCTATTGTCTGGATATTCCTCTTGTTTTGCTTTTCATGTTGTAAACAACACCTTCTGACCTTAGGAGCCTGACGCAAAATCACGAAGCTACGGGGGTAAGAGTGAGAAAGCCTATACGTGGGAAGCTACTAGAACTTACCAAGTGTAAGTCAGGCAGCCCACGTGTAGAGACGGAACTTCCAGAAAGTAACCAGAACGTGGTCCAAAAGTCCAGCATACACATGGCCAGGGTGTGTGTATGTATGCAAACACATGCATGCACACAACACAACTTAAAGGATGACTCAGCCATGTTTTGGTAGTGACAGCATGTCTAAGTCTGGGCCTTTCAGATTTCATAATCAGCTGATTTAAGAAATTTCAAAAACAGTCATCTTTTCTCTTGAGATTTTGGTAAAGGTGGTAAAAATGGAAAAAAGGCAGCCAAATGGGTTTGGCAGAATTAGGAGTTTTCTTTCTGATTCTCAGTTTTGGTGGTTTGGAGGTTAAGCCCACTGAGACAAGTAAGTAACAAAGATGATACATGAAGACTTCTCTCCTCTCACAGTAGAAGGTGGTGAGAAACTTGCTGCTCATCTAAAAGGTGACTTCACGTACCAAGTGGGGCCAGAAGAGCGTGAGGGTGCATGTCTCTATGCGGTGGGAGGGTGAGCCTGTGACTCCCAGTGGAGTGTTTGTCTGTCTGTGCTTGTCCCTTTTCTGTGAGCACCAGCTGTGAAACCCGGAGCACACCATTTCACGCGAGTTCTTTTTTTTTTTTCTTCTAAAAAAATAAAAAAAGCAACAGGATACACGTGCAGAACGTGCAGGTTTGTTACATAGGTATACGTGCATTTCACGCTATTTCATGCTCTGCATCTATAAAAATGAGCGAGTTTCCACCAGGATCTCTGAGCTTCCCTGTGCCCTCGTACCTTGTTGTTAGCATCTTGGTTCTCAGAGCAGCAGTTTCTATATTACTTGGGGGTTAGAAATGCAGAGTCTCCGGTCTCAGTCCAGACCGACTGCATTGGAGTCTGCCTTTTCGTGACATCCCTAGATGACTCATGCGCACATTAGCACTGGGGAGGCACTGCTCTCTAATCTTGTTTTTTATTCATCTAATTATTTCATCAACAGTCAGGAATTTCAGCACACATTATGAGCAGGACTCTGTATTAATTATCACTAGACTGCTTGATCTGTACTTAAAATGTTAAAAAAGACGGTATGTTTGTGTAAGAGTGTGTGTGTCTGTGTCTGTGTATGTGTATGTGTATGTGAGGTGGGACGGGGGAGAGAGAAAGAGGATGTCAATATTTATTCAGAATGGAGAATTTACTTGATTCTTAAAATTTTGTGATTAAAAAGTTTTAGCTCGGTTTTTTCCCTAGAATGGAAAATTAACTATATTTTTGGTTAGAATGGAGAAAGCCCTGTGCTCAGAGTGCAAATGTATTTGAGAGAGTAAAATAAAGCCTAAGAAAGAAATGTCTCTAAAAGGTCTTTGAGTTGAAGCTCTTAGATAATTTCTCTTAGTATTATCTGGTGTTAATTATATCCATGTAAAATAACCTTTGATCATCTGTCTGTCCAAAGTGCAGTGCTAGGTTCTGCAGAGGACAGAAACATCATAAAATTCTATGATGTGAGAGCAGGAAGAGGAAGGTGGACAGATTTAGTCCCTCTAAGCTCCTCACTGTACAGATGAGAAGACTAAGGCAGAGACAGGCTGTGATTTACAAGTGCAGTGTTTGCTTTTAGATAACCTAAAGTAAATGTTAATGAGGGCTGGTTCAAATGTTGATGGTGTGAGTGGAGGAGAGTATACAGATGAGAGAGAAATGGCTGGAGTAGAGTCTCTAGAACTTGGACAATTCTTGGCTGTTGGGTAGTAGCAAAGTAGGGAAGTGGCTGTAGAGTTTGGATACATGTGATGGAGAGAATGGAATTTTAATGAACATATGCAGTGGGTGTGGTGAGAGGAAGTTTTAGTTTTGAATTTATCACGTGGAGAAACCCAGGAGCTAGCCTATAACTATTCTACCAGTGGCACTTGTTTCTGCTTTTCACATCCTCCTTCATTTTGGTGGTCCTTCTCTACTTCTTCAAATTTGACTTATCTTCCCCGCTTCTATGGAGCATTCCTTGACTATAAAACTTCACTGTACTCCTCCTCTAATGCTTAGAGCTCACGTTATTGGCATCACTTTTGAGTACCTTGATATACAGCTGCAGGTGATCTATTTTATTCAACGTTAACACTGACATTCGTCATTCAACAGTCTCAGTCTCTCCTATGGAGCATACATTCTAATAGGAAAGACATGTCATAAATAAGAAATATACATACAGTACATACACAGAGCAATTTCAGATGGTGACAAGTGCTGTGATGGAGCCTGGGGGCTACTATTGTATTACTTTTTTAATGGAGTGGTTTAGCTTCTAATTGTGTATATTTTCTCTCTCCAACTAGAACATAAGGAAATTGAGGGCAGAGATCCAGCTTTCTGTTACTTTGGCATCCTTCATAATTTCCTTTCAAATCAGTGAATGACTTGAACACTTACTCTAGATCCTTCTCTGACATCAATTCTGCTATTTCTCTTACATAAATATTTGTATTCTGAGCTGGCCAGGTAGCACTAGTGCTATCAGTAAGAAGAAAAATACACATTGTGGAAGACAGTGTGGCGATTCCTCAAGGATCTAGAACTAGAAATACCATTTGATCCAGCCATCCCATTACTGGGTATATACCCAAAGGATTATAAATCATGCTGCTATAAAGACACATGCACACATATGTTTATTGTGGCACCATTCACTATAGCAAAGACTTGGAAGCAACCCAAATGTCCACCAATGATAGACCGGATTAAGAAAATGTGGCACATATACACCATGGAATACTATGCAGTCATAAAAAATGATGAGTTCCTGTCCTTTGCAGGGACATGGATGAAGCTGGAAACCATCATTCTCAGCAAACTATCAAAAGGACAGAAAACCAAACACCACATGTTCTCACTCATAGGTGGGAATTGAACAATGAGAACACATAGACACAGGGCAGGGAACATCACACACCGGGGCCTATCAGTGGGTGAGGGGGTGGGGGAGGGATAGCATTAGGAGAAATACCTGATGTAAATGACGAGTTGATGGGTGCAGCACACCAACATGGCACATGTATACCTATGTAACAAACCTGCACATTGTGCAGACATACCCCAGAACTTAAAGTATTATTAAAAAAAGAAGAAAAATACAATTTGGTCTGAACTGGGTTATAAATTAGGAAGTGAAGAAGAAATGCTCGAATGTGTATCCACAAATTTTTCCAAAGAAATTGGTCTTCCAAGATGTAAGCAGGTGCACTGAATCTTGAGTATCTCATGTCTTTTAACTATCTTTGGTCAGTGAGAATTTGTAGTCCTCATTGTTAGAATTGTGTATTTTTCAAGCTAGAGTCACTCCTAGGTGCTGAAAGAGTCTCAAGTCACCTTTCTAGTGCCAGAGCATTTTCAGTTAACTCCCTAAAACATGCTTTTATCTCAGCTTCCCCCATCTCTTTAGGCAATTCCAGCATTTTAAACAATTTGGTTGTTTTCCTTTTAACTTCCTAATCTGACTAATTTAATTCTGAGTCATAAACTTATAAAGTTTATTAGCAGATCTAATCATTCCAAAGCTTTCTTTGTAGCAGCTACGCCTTTAATATCTCCTGTAGTTAACAGGAAACATTTGATAGCTGAAATATACACTCAAGTTCTTTGTGTTATTTTAAATTTTGTGCCGGGCGCGGTGGCTCACGCCTGTAATCCCAGCACTTTGGGAGGCCGAGGCGGGCGGATCACGAGGTCAGGAGATCGAGACCATCCCGGCTAAAACGGTGAAACCCCGTCTCTACTAAAAATACAAAAAATTAGCCGGGCGTAGTGGCGGGCGCCTGTAGTCCCAGCTACTCGGGAGGCTGAGGCAGGAGAATGGCGTGAACCCGGGAGGCGGAGCTTGCAGTGAGCCGAGATCCCGCCACTGCACTCCAGCCTGGGCGACAGAGCGAGACTCCGTCTCAAAAAAAAAAAAAAAAAAAAAAAAAAAATTTGTGTATATTTCCGGTGGGGATTATAGCAAATGGACTAAATTACAACAAGTTATTTTTGTTAAATGTGAAAACTCAAGAAAAAAGTGGGTTTAAGAGGTTGGTGGTGAAAGTATGACAAAGTAGAGCTGAATCGGTTATACCTAAATCTGTTTCATGAATTACAAACTAATGCCTCTATTTCTGAAACTTCGGTTACAACCTTAAACTCTGGTAGTCAGAATCTGGTGTGGGCATGCCTGGTCTTCGTTTCTGTTATGATGCTGCATTAATTGCGTAACCCCGGGGACTGATGAATGGCTGCCCAGTCTCTCTTTGCTGGAGCCCTGGTAGATGGAATCTCCCACCAGTGGCTGGCCATATGCAAACAGGCCTCCAACACCTTTGGTGCTGTGCTGTCTGCCTGTCCCCTCAGAGGGATGTTCCCTCCAATCTGCTCTTCCATCTTTGGTTTCCCTCCTTGGCCCTGTTTCAAGCTCTCTTTCTGCCTTAGCCGCTGTTGGTTGCTCTAGGTGAAAATATCCCAACTGTCAGACTTGTCCTCTTCGGTCCAGGCTTCTCCTGGTAGGGGCCCCTAGCAGATCCTTCCTGCCCTTGAGGATAGGACCTGGAGAAGCTCTAAATCCTGCTAATCTTGAGAATATTTGAAATAAGTTGTTCTTAAATATCCAGGAATGGAAAGTGCTACAGAAGTTGAAACTTTTGATATCTTCACTCTTTCTGTTTAGTCTATCAGATGTCAGGATAAACAATATTTAGAATTCTAGAGTTTTTAATGAAAAAACGATTTACCTTTATACTCACCTAGCTGATACTCCTTACTTTGTTTTTTTAATTGTTTTTGAGGTGGAGCCTCACTCTGTCGCCCAGGCCGGAGTGCAGTGGTGCAATCTTGGCTCATTGCAACCTCTGCCTCCCGGCTTCAAGCAATTCTCCTGCCTCAGCCTCCTGAGTAGCTGGGATTACAGGCACCTGCCACCATGCCTGGCTAAGTTTTGTATTTGTAGTAGAGACAGGGTTTCACTATTTTGGCCAGGCTGGTCTCAAACTCCTGACCTCTAGTGATCTGCCCACCTCAGCCTCCCAGCTTGCTGGGATTCCAGGTGTGAGCCACCACTCCCAGCCTGTTTTTTAATTCTTTAACAAATTTTCAGTGATTCTTATGTGCCAGGCTTGGGGGCAAGTATTCTAGATATAACGAGGAACAAAACCTTTGGTTCCTGCTCTACAGAGCCTATATTTTGTGCAATACATGTTAAAAAGAAGGAAAACAACAAATAAATGAATGATGAAAAATTGTGGCAATGCTATGATAGAAAGAAAAGTAGGAGGGAGAGAGGACCGGAAAAGCAGGAAAAGAGAAGGAGGGAAAGACGGAGAGAGAGAGAGAGAGTAAGAGAAAGAGGGAGGGAAGGAGAAGAAAGAACATCCAATCCAGCTGGTCTTCTGATTTTTAATTATTTTTATTTTTTATGGAGAAACCTGACCACTAACTGCAAATCTCACCCATGATGGTGAAAAAATTCTTCAGTTTTCTCTTGGAATTTTTTGATACAAAAAACAAGAGACCATGACAATTCAATTATCTTAAGACTTAAATGCTGGTTTATTACCAAAAATGGCTTTTAAATTGTTTAAAAATCATTTATGCTTTTCTCTTAAATTTACCATTTTCTTCTAACCTCTTAAGATTAACATGTTTTGTGGGGACTACTATGACTAATGTAAAATACCTCTTGAGTAATTTTTATTTTGATTACATGTTGAAATGACAATATTTGAGAAATATTGGCTAAATAAAATATATTATTGAAATTAACCTGTTTCATTTTACTTTTTAAATATGACTGCTAGATAATTTATAATTATATATGTAGCTCTCATATTTCCATTAAGTAGTACTCCTATAGGATCTTGGTAGGAAAATTTATTTATTATTTGGTTGGATTGTGGTTTAAGATGAGTACTCTTAACTATTACTAAACAAAAGAAAATATTTGCTCACAGAGGATGTTAATTATATTCCCTAACATCTGTCTTTTATAAGAGTTTACTGCAGCTTTTACTCCTGCCAGTAGTAAAAAACTTCTTGAGAACCAAGAAGGTATGCATTTTGCTCAGTTCTTAGCTTCCTTTCATGCTAGACATTTTTATTATTTGGCTAAACTTTGTAAATCACCTAATCTTGTCACACTGAAGAATGCTGATCTATCAATAAAGCCCTGCAATCTTATATAAGATGAAGAGGTTAAGAACAAAGAATCCCTCAAAGGTACAAAGATTTGCAGGTAGCAAAGAATTGAAGAATGAGGAAGATAATTGATAATTTAGATTTATCAGGCATAAAACAAACACTGAAATTAACTTTTGATTTGACACATTTAGTTTGACAATTCTCTGATGTGATGATCATGTTAAATGCTATGAGGGAGGAGAAAAAGATCATTTTCAAAGCGTGCACATGGCACCATGCAGTTCTTTTTTTCTTTTCTTTTTTTTTTGAGATGGAGTCTCACTTTGTTGCCCAGACTGGAGTGGAGTGGTGCGATCTCGGCTCTCTGCAACCTCCGCCTCCCAGGTTCAAGTGATTCTCTTGCTTCAGCCTCCTGAGTAACTGGGGCTACAGGCACCATGACCAGCTGATTTTTATATTTTTAGTAGAGATGGGGTTTCATCATGTTGGCCAGGCTGGTCTCGAACTCCTGACCTCAAATGATCTGCCTGCCTCAGTCTCCCAAAGTGCTGGGATTACAGGTGTGAGCCACTGCACCCAGCCACTTTTTCTTTGTTCTAAGTACAATTATCTGTCACATGATAGTGATGTGTTTTGAGAAATGCGTCATTAGGCAGTTTTGTCACTGTGTGAACATCATAGAGCGTACTTACACAAGCCTAGATCGTAGAGCCTACTACACACCTAGGCTATAGGTATAGCCTGTTGCTCCTAGGCTACAAACTTGTACAGCAAGTTTCTGTGCTGAATACTGTTGGCAATTGTAACACAGTACTATTTGTGTATCTAAACATAGAAAAGCTACAGTAAAAATACGGTATAAAAGTTTAAAAATAGTATACCTGTATAGGGCACTTTACATGAATGGAGCCTGTAGGACTTGAAGTTGCTCTGGGTGAGTCAGTGAGTGAGTGGTGAGTGAATGTGAACACCCAGGACACTACTGCACATTATTGTAGACTTTATAAACATTGTATACTTTGGCTTCATTAAATTTATAAACATTATTTTTCTTCAATAATAAATTAACCTTAGCTTATTGTAACATTTCTTCCTTTTAATTTTTTAACGTTTTGAGTCTTTTAAAATAACAGCTTAAAACAAACATTGTACAGCACTACAAAAATGTTTCTTTCTTTGTATCCTTATACTATAAGCGTTTTTCTATTTTTATATTCTTTTATCTTTTTACTTTTTAGACTTTTCTTTTGTTAAAAACACAAACACACACATTGGCCTAGGCCTACACAGGGTCAAGATCATCAATATCACTGTTCTCCACACCCACATCTTCACATCTTGTCCCACTGGAAGAACTTCAGGGACAGTAATACACATGGAACTGTCATATCCTATGCCTTCTTTTGGAAAACCTGCCTGAGGCTGTTTTACAGTTAACTTTTTTAAATATATTTAGAAGGAGTACACTCTAAAATAATGATAAAAATATGGTATAGTAAATACATAAGCAATAGCATAGTCATTTACCATCATCAAATTTTATGAACTGTACATAATTACATGTGCGATACTTTTGTTTTTATTTTTGTTTTTTTAGACAGAGTCTCGCTCTGTCGCCCAGGCTGGAGTGCATGGCACAATCCTGGCTCACTGCAACCTCCACCTCCCAGGTTCAAACGATTCTCCTGCCTCAGCCTCTCCAGTAGCTGGGATTACAAACACGCGCCTCTCAAGTAGCTGGGATTACAAACACACGCCACCACGCCTGGCTAATTTTTATATTTTGAGTAGAGACAAGGTTTCACCATGTTGGTCAGGTTTGTCTTGAACTCCTGACCTCAAATGATCTGCCTGCCTTGGCCTCCCAAAGTGTTGGGATTACAGGCGTGAGCCACGCGTCCAGCCATGTGCAATACTTTTATACCGCTGGCAGTGCAGTAGGTTTGTTTATACCAGCCTTGCCACAAACACCTGAGTAATATGTTGTGTTATGATGTTACAATGGCTACAACTTGACTAGGCTACAGACTTCAGCTCTATGGTGATCTTACGGAACTACTGTAATATATGCGGTCTGTGGTTGACCAAAACGTCTTTATATAGCTCATGACTGTATAGTACCTAGGACTTTTTCCCAGGCAAAACCTAGAATAGTCTTGAGGCAAATTGAAGAACACATTTGACTTGCTAAGGCCAAATGCAGTGTGATCAATTGTTCATTCAAATGGTTTTGTTACTCTTCCTGATTTTGATAGTACTAACTTGCCTTTTTTCTTGGTCACTGTCAGTGACAAGAATGAAAAAAGGAGTGGGAACAAAATGGAAAAGAAAAGATTGCCCCAAGGCAAAAGAGACTTGTTACCAGGGAATATACAAATGTCCATTAAACTCAATATTAGTTTAGATATGGCCATAATATTATTTTCTCAGCCTACTATCCATTTTTCTGTGGTTGTTTGAGACATACTTGGTTTTTTGAGCTACAGAAGGTTTCAGTTGTTTTAGACAAGGTAAATGCAGGTTGCTGAGGAGTTATTGATTAAAACTGGGCTTGTGAGCATCTTGTACCATGGATGTATGTAGTTTCTGCCAGTTTTCATAATTGAATTACACTTGGTGGTGGTGGTGGTTGTGGTTGGTGTGTGTGAGTAGGGGTTGGTGGTGAGAGACAGAGGAAAGAGGAGAGTAAACATCTGGCCCAAGTATTGAGGCTTTGCTACCACCTGGAAGAGGAATGAGGTACCCTGTAACTCAACTCTTCTCTAAGTATCTCCAGGAATAACGTGATTTCATTAAAAAGTAGTCATTTTTAGGCTTAAAAAAGGGCTTTTCTGCAAGAAGAAAGCATTGGTATTCATTTGTTGTAACATTAACACTTGGCAATTTGATCCTATCCCTTTGGTACCATTCTCTTGAAACGTTATAATAAAGCACACTGGAAAACTAATAACAAAATCTGGGTTCTGTTCCTAATTAGCTGTTTGGTTTCAGGAAATCAACTTTACCTCTCTGGGCCTCAGTTACCTTACCTGTTGAAAGAGAGGGCTTGGATTACTAGAGGCTTTTTTTTTTTTTTTTTTAAAAAAAAAAAAAGCTCACTGCTAATTCTTCCCTTAGAATGAAGCCCCATGAGGGTGGCTGGGTGGCAGTGAGGTAGGTAGAGAGTGGTCTGAGGGGCCAGGAAGAGAGTTAGCAAACCTGTGTACTGGCCCACCTGGGGGTCTTATAAAAAGGCAGATTCTGGGGTGAGGCCTGAGTTTCTACATTTCTTCCAAGAAGATCCCAGGTGATGCTGATGCTGCTGGTCCATGGACCACACTTTGAGTAGCAAGACGCTAGATGACTTCTTCCCCAACTTTCTCATTCCATAGGTGAAACTGGATCCTAGAAAAGCAAAGTGATTTACCCAAGCTCACACAACAGTTGGGTAGTACACCCTATATAAGAATTCATGGTATCATGACTATCAGTTTGATGACAATATCACTTGCTACATCTCTCATATGGCTTCTGCTGCTAAAAGCCATTTGAGGATGACATTTTGTGGTTCACCTGTCTTAGAAGGCGTTCTGGGCTCAGTATTTTGGCCACATTATCTCATTCACTTTCACAATTTCACCTCAAACATAGGCAACACAGTCATCCCTTGGTATACCCAGGGGATTGGTTCTAGAAATTCGTGCATGCTCAAGCCCGCCATCAGCCCTGCAGAACTTGCATACAGGAAAAGTCAGCCTTTTGGTATCCTGTGAATACTGAATTTTCAAGCTGTGCTTGGTTGAAAAAAATTCATGTGTAAGCAGACCCTTGCAATTCAAATCCACATTGTTCAGGGGTCAACTGTGGTTGTTAGGAAAATTAGATTTGTTGCATTAACTAATTTCATGGCTTTAATCTCCATCTAGAATTCCCCTTGCAGGTTTGTGCATTGTGCACAGAGAGGAAGTCAGAGTCCTCCAGGGAAAATATCCTGTTTGCTAATTCCGTGAATTTTAACAGCTGTCCATTCATGCTCCTCAGGTGATATCAGCTACAACAAAGATTGTTTTTAGATGACTAGGGCCCACATTCTGTGGAACATTATGAGTTAAGATAAAATGAAAGTTAATTACTTCTCAAAGCAAAGGGGTAGCCAATACAAACCATGCTACCACCAGTAAAATAACTGCCACATTGTCTTTCATGTTCATCATCCACATCCAATAATATTTTTTGAGTCCCTGGGGGTGCAAGGCAGTGATTAACAAAGTTAATCAAGAAAAGAGAGCCTGTACCTCTAGGGACTTTAAAAACTAAGGTAGAATGCATTTTAAAATATCCATTACCCTAGAATTTGTTCCCACCTTCATCTGAGGAAAATAAAATTTTTTCTAATCTAGATAGATCAGGATTTCCCAAAATACATTCCTTAGGACATTAGTCTCATGAAATGCTCTTAGAGAAAAAAATGTTTTTTATCACATAAATTTAGGACTGACTGATTAATATATATTTTCCTTTAAGTTTCACAAAGCACAGAAGAATATTAAAGTATCAGAAGTTTTATAATGTCATTTTAACTTTGTTTAATAACATTTCCTAATCCTATTTGACCACAGATCTTACCCCATTCTCCACCCACTCTTCCTCATGTAATGCCTATTAAGATCCTGTAGAACTAACAAACAGTGGCATACACTTTGGGAAATGCTAATTTCTCAGTTTGCTTTGTCTATAGTTATCGGGCTGATGTCTTATGTGGAATGTGTCAGTACAAATTGTTTGGAAATGCTGTTTTTTAAGGGCATGCATTTTAACTGTCATATTTTAAAGAAAAATAAAAAGGAAGATTTTTAGGTAAAGTGTGTAAACAGTAGCCCGAGTTTGTCTTTCTGGGTGTGACCGCTTTCAGCATTTCTCCATGAGCAGTTTGGTTCACTGTCCTTTGCTGTTCTCTCGTCTGTGAGGAAGTTGAATAGATGGGAAGACATTTTTAGAGTTCAAAGTTAAAAATTCAGGCTTTGCTGATGTTGGTTGCATCCAGGTCTGTGTTTTTCAAAGTATCATATGTGCATCTAATATTGAGAAACTTTTAAATGGCACATGGATGAATGTTAAATAATTTATAGCCATATATTTAATTTAATGTGTTGTAGAAGAATTACATATTGCTAAAGTAGTATCTATGTTTAAAAAAGTAAGTCAATTTAAAGATAAATTCCAAATAAATAATGGCAAAAATTATGAAAAGAAGTGTACAAATGACTAAAGCTTGGGAATTAATGCCTAGGGGATTAACCAAGAAATGGGTTCCAGGGCCTGGTCTGTATCTTTTTAGAGATGCTATCACCTCTGTGCCTGAGAACAATCACAGTATAATGGAAATAATGCTGGGTTAAGATTGAGGAGATTATGGTCTGTGGAAACAAAGACAGTATGACTTGATTCCTGCCACTAAGGGCTCACAGCTTTTGGAGATGTTGCATACTAAGTTTCTACTCTTAGTCTGATATCCAAGTAATTAAATGCCTCATATGTAACCCTACACTCGAACAGGCCATGTAGATGAGTTAGTGTCAGTGAATAAAACTCAACTCTGACTTCCTTGGACAAATAAAATTAGTAGTAAATTTAGCCAAAAATGCTGAGATAAATGACTTACACTTGCCCTTTTAAATTAGTCATTAATTAATATCGCTGGATCTTTTGCTTTCTAAGAGTTATTGCCTTAAAGGGGCCATTACAATAATTTGGCTGCTTTCTGTGTAGAATAGTGGTTCTCTACTGAGGGTGATTTTTGTCCATCTATGGGACATTTGGCTATGTGTGGAGACACTTTTGATTGTCACAGCTGGGGAGGGGAGAATGTCTATGGGCATCTAGTAAAAGTCCAGGGATGTTTCTAAAACTCTCACAATGCACAGGTCAGCCTCCTACAGCAAAGAAATATCTGGTCCAAATTTCAATAGTGCTGAGGGTGAGAAATCCTGAGTTGGACTGACTTAGGCAGGAAGAATTGAACATGATGATGACGGAGCTCAATCACACGGGCTCACTGGGCATATTTGAACAAAATTTTTAATGCTGCCAATGCATTATTTTCCTTCAGAGATGAAGTAATAATAATACAGTAAACTAGCCGTGGTATGCTGAATAATGAACCTCCCAAAATGTTCATGTCTCAATCCCCAGAATCTATGAATATATTGTTTTCCATGGCAAAGGGGACTTTGCAGGTGTATTAAGTTAAGGATCTTGAGATCCTGAGATGGGGTGACTATCCTGGATTGCTTGGGTGGGCCCAATCTGATCACCAGGGTTCTTATAGAGGGAGGGTAAAAGTCAGAAAGGAAGATGTGCTGCCGAAAGCAGAGGTTGGAACGATGCGCTCTGAAGTTGGAAGAAGAGTCCACAAGATAAGAAATGCAGGCAGCTTCAGAAGCTGGAAAGACAAGGAAACATTTGCCCCAGGAGCCACCAGAAGGAATGCAGCCCTATTGACACCTTGGTTTTAGCTCTGTAAAACTTTTGTGGATTTCTGATCTCCAGAATGGTAAGATACTAAATTTGTGTTGTTCGATGACACTAAATTTGTGGTGGTTTGTTACAACAGTAAGCAAGAAATACATTATCATTTGGCATAATTTGAGAGCAGATATGTGTTTCCACATATAACATAAATAGATTTCATATTTTCACTGTATTAAAACACAAAACACAGCTAAACCTATAGCTATTTGGAACATTTTATTCCAATGTTTGGGAGGCATTTTGGGATTTTGCATGAATATTGATGATCATACGGGTGAAGTGCTGGTGGATGTAACAGCTGGTTGATAGAATCCTAAATAAGCCAACTCTCTTGTGCTGCTTTCTTTTACGGGCACTTTATGGGGATAATAATCCATCAAGTATGTTGGAAGATGCAGAGTACAAGGAACTATTGTGACAGTAGCTGAACAACTATTTGCAAAATTGCCAAAATGATAAACATTTATTATGCTCTTGCTTAAATGGTTTCATTAATTTTTACAACTATGTTAAGCTGGTTGTTATTATAATGTTATTAGTATAATACATTTCTCACCAAATCCTCAGTGAAATGCTGCTTTTCAGTTTGAACCCTGAATAAAGATGGTGTCAGTTTTCCCTGGTCTGTATCAGCTACGTGTGCAAGCAATTGGATGATATTAAGAGCACAGCAGAGTCTTCTACTGCCAGCACCTAGTGTATATATTCCTAGGTGCTCTGGTGTGCACATCCGCAGCTTCCTGCCCAGGCATAGCTCCCCACTCTCAACCTCATCGCATGGAGTGCAATTCTCTCATCTACTCCTCTCCATTTGTGACATGTGAAAGTTTTACACACACACACACGTGAACAGATAAGGATAAGTAACATTTGCATGATGCCTAACAGCACACAAAGTGCATTTTGCCTCCATTATCATACAATCCTTAGCACAAACACTGTTATTATCAATATTTTGCAGATTAGGAAATATGGGCTAAAAGAGTTTCAGTGACTTGTCTAATGTCAAAAAGGCAATAAGTAGTTGAGGAAAGACTTGAATTTTAATTCTTTGACCTGGAAACCATTGGTTGGTCTGCCGCTAGGTGGCTCCACATTGCCTTTGGATTTTCAGAGATGGACAGTTACAGGCCGGATGCCGTGGCTCCTGCCTGTAATCCCAGCACTTTGGGAGACTAAGGCAGGAGGATCGCTTGAGTGCAGGAGTTCAAGACCAGCCTGGGCAACATAGCGAAACTCCCTACTCTATAAAAAACAAAAAAATTGGCTGGGTGTAATGGCTCATGCCTGTAATCCCAGCACTTTGGGAGGGAGGCAGGGGTTGCAGTGAGCCAAGATCGTGTCATTGCTCTGCAGCCTGGGCAGCAAGAGTGAGACTCTGTCTCAAAAACAAACAAACAGAACCCCCCCCAAAAACAAACAAACAAAAATTAGCCAGGCATGGTGGCATGTGCCTGTAGTCCCACCTACTTGGGAGGCTGAGATGGGAGGATCACCTAAGGCTAGGGAGGCTGAGGCCACAGTGAGCTGTGATCACGCCACTGGGTGACAGAGTGAGGCCCTGTCTTAAAAAAGAAAAAAAGTAATAAGAGATGAGCAGTTATAGAGCTCAGCTAAAGTCATTGTGATGATCACACTGAGCACTTATAGCAGGAGTGCCCACTGTGTGGTCCAGTCCACTTGCTCCTAATGTTCTCTTGCTCTGAAGACTGTATTCCTTTGCCTCTGGGCCTTGAGAGACCTCCTACTGAATCTTCACTGTTCTTCTTAGGATAGGATAAGGAAGGCATTTCTTTGACTTCTGGTTTTCATAAGACCCTCTCCCCAGGGTCTTTCCTCCTTTGTGAATTCAATCTTTCTCTAAATTTACTCTCTCTGAAATCTATTAAATAAAGCAACTTGGAGTGTAATAAATGATTAGCTACTTTATTGTTCTCTTTTCTTTGTTTTCATACATTGTTAACAAGGTTTATACTAAATTGAATGAAATGTATCATTAGTATTACATAGTGTATTGTAGTAAATTATATTAAAAGATGTCTGCAGGTCTTTGGTAAAAAATGTAACTAATGGTAAAAAATGGTTCTATTATTATTTTGAGGATGCGACATGTTGTTTAAATTTACTGTGCATTGTCTGGGAAATTTTAGGACTTATTTAGGGCTATGTGATTAGTTCTGATGAAGTGAGTTGATGCTTGGTTACAATTGATTACAATGATTTTGGTTTTGTGTGGATTTTTCAAAACTAGCTACCTCTAGGAGATTTTGTCCTACTACTTGATGAGGGAGATAATATTAAGATTTATTAGAGCCAAAAGTATTTTATGTAATATTGAAAACAACAAAGATAAAAATAAAACCTCTCATATGGTTAAAAATGTTGCCAACTCCCTTGCTATGTGCCTCACATGGGTAAAGTAGTCTGACTATTATATTCATATTTATTTAATCACAGAGAACTGCCATGGTAAATAAACTAGCACTCTTATTAAGAACTTACTCTATTTATTACCATATTGTAGACTTAAATAAATAAAATCAACATGATTTGGCCATAGGCTTTTAGTATCCAGAGGAAAGTTCTGTATGTATGGATTGAAAACAAAATCATTTACACTATGTGGAAAGGTATCAGAAGAAGAATTCTAAATGGAAAACCAACATAGGAGAATTAATAAAAAGACTCTACAATTCCATAACATGAGACAGAGAGAAAAGGTAGAAAAAATACCTATTGCGAAAGGGCATAGTATAGACTGTGCAGGGACGGGTGAGTCTCACTTCTTAACTTCACGTTGACACGTTTATGTTTGGCAAATTTCTAAGATCATGCAGAAACTAAAAAAGACATAAGATTAGCAAGGATAGAAATAATATATTAACTTTACTATCCAGTATAATGTGACTAATAATATTATTTCATGATTCTACATAGAAAATTAAAAGTAGAAGCCTGAAATGTATGGCATTTGGAAGATATTAAGATTTGGGGCATACCAAAAGCATGTAAATTCTTATTCCTTCTCATTGCTTTTGATGATGGTAAGACAGTGTTAAGAAGTATTCCTTTCCATTAGCTTCCAATGCTGTATTTTGCATCATCTGCATTTGTTTTCTTAGAGTCTGAGCTTTCATTTTAGTTGGTTGATGTCATTTTTTTCTGAGTTTTTATTATATTAAGAATAAATTTATTCCTCAGAATGAGGTACTAAAATGGTATATTAACATTTTTAAAGACGGTAAAATCTGCAAACTACTCAGAAAGATTTACTTTATGAATAGCATAGTTCAGTTTTAAGTATCACTGGAGGAAGTGGGTAGAAAAGCAATGCCTTTCATTCTCCCCTCCCAACTGCAATTACGCCAGCAAATAGGATGATAATTCAGTCATGCTAATCCAGTCCAAAAATATTTCCATTTCTTTTAAGAGTGAGACCTTGAGATCCACTTGAATTCTTGTACCGCCTCTTCTTCCCAGTGCCTTTTTAAATTTTGGCAACTTTTTGCAATTAGGTAATGGAAGCACAATTCCCGTTCAGAAAATTACTCTACAAGGAGCCAAATTCAGACATTATAAAGTAAACATACAACTCTACCTTAAGAAATGATTCCATCATTAAAATAAATACTGACAATTCACAAATAGCAATGGGAAACGGGTTATTGAGATCTGACTACTGTCCATTTCAGCAGGAAAAAGATGAACAACTGGGTTGAATTGAGTGATAAACTCTTAATAAAGATTAACAATTGCTCATTCAATATGCCTTATGTATACTGTTCTATCTTTTTACAGCTTTCAGGACCAAATGCCAATAAATGATGCCAGTACCCCAACCCTCCTGCTTTAGGAAGGCAGGCAGAGAGATACATTTGAGTCTGAATCCTGACTCTAACTTGGTAGCTAGACAGATAGCCTTAGGAAATTTGTCCAATTTTACACATTTAAAATAGAAATAATGACCCTTGCCTTACAAGATTGTTTTTAGGGATATAGAGAATATATATAAAATGTCCAGTACAGTACTAGGCACCCAGGAGGAGCTCATTACACAGTGACTAAATTTGAGAAGAGAGCCCTTCTTGTAAATTCATGCTCTAAATTTGATTCGGTGGCATGGTGGCCTTCCATCACCTGCTACATGACAGGCCTAAACAAGTCCAGAACATCATGGGATTTCAGACCCGAGAGCACTGAGCACTGAAGTAGTGTCCAAGAATCAGAACCTGGACCTGCTTGACCGCTCTGAACAGTGTACATAGTCAATTCACTAAAACTGAACAAAACAAACAAACAAACTAAAACTTCATCTCAGTTTTTGGCCCCAAAACCTAATTTCATGAAATGTTGGTTTTTTTTTAGCTTATTGTTTTGGTCTTATAGAGACAAAGTCCAGTCACAGCACTTCTGTTGGGCTGAAAGCATGCACTTAGGTAAAAACAGAATGTTTGCAATATGACAATATTGGGTTAAATATTTGGGCTTTTCTTTCAATGTGAGCTTGTTTGTGGCACAGTCAGGGTAACTGGAAAGAATCATTTGATTGAGAGGATTCCTGAGGGTTCATTTAGAATTACTGAGTCACTGAAGCTCAGGCTGGAAGAAATCTTGTGGTCCTATCCACCTGCTTCCCAGAAGGACAACCCACTCCTTTGAAAAAAAAAACCCTAAAATTTATCGTGTCCCTCAAGAGCTGCCAAAAAGAGAGTTCTGAAGTTTTAAACAATCATGAGGGATGCTTACACATTGTGCCTAATTATAGGTCTTTCTACATCTAAATGAAACAAAAACTTATTTCCATTTTCAATGAAAAGTCTTATTTTCAATGAAATACGTCTTAGTTTGTGAAATAAGTTCCAGTTTATATATTATCTCCTGTGATTTTCTTTTCCTTCTTTTCCAGCTGAGAACTTTCATTTATTTATTTTTTATTCAATCATTCTTTAACAGATATTTTATTGGTAGCTATTATGTGCCAAGCCCTGGCTGGGTAAAATTTTGGTAAATATGGAAAGGAGCAAAGGACAGACTTTGACTTGTAGAATATAGAGTCTTATGGGGGAGAAAGGCATGTAAAAATAATTAAAATATGATAAGTACTATAATAAAACTATGAAAAAATTCTATGAGAATTCTACAACTCCAAACCACTTAAGACACTTCTTTTTAAAAAATTTCACATACATGTTATTTAATTCTGAACATACAAAGGAGAAAGCAAACAATGACCCTACTGGTGATTTTTCTCTCTGGACTTTCAAAAAGTTCATACAGAAGATAATGATTCTCTATTCTATTTTTTCTACACTTCGTGGCATATTTCACACTTAATGTCAGCGAGTTCTTTCCTCTGCAACCCAAATCCCTTATTCAGAAGGTAAAGTGGGGAGGGAGCTCGTGCTCCACTGAGTGCTAAACACAACAATGCTGTGTGGTTGTTATTATTTTTCTGATTTTTCAGATTTTATTTACCATTGAATTTCTGATGTGAGAGTGTACATGCTCAACAGATACTGTTCAATAGGTAAGAGAGGAAATTGAGCATTGGAGAGCTTAACGGAGATGCCTGAGGTCACAAAGCTGGTGAGAGCTTATATGTTCTATGATCTTTCTACAACTCTAAACCACTTAAGGCACTTCTTTTTTTTTTTTTTAATTTCACATTCCTTTTACTTAATTCTGAACATAAAAGTCAGACCAGAAGTACCCCAACCTTATAAGGATTTAAAATATTTATAATACAGAATCATGATGTAACATGTTTCATGTCCTTGTTAGTGAGCAGGTGATTATAATACTGTGACAAAAGCATGCTTAAGACACTTCTAATTATTATCATTATTATTATTATTGAGACAGGGCCTTGCTCTGTCATCCAGGCTGGAGTGCAGTGGCACAATCTTGGCTCACTGCAGCCTTGACCACCCAGGGCTCAAGCCATTCTGCCATCTCAGACTCCCGAGTAGCTGGGATTACAGGCGTGCACCGCCAGGCCCAGCTAATTCTTTTTGTTTTTTAGTAGAGACAAGGTTTCACCATGTTGCCCAAGCTGGTCTTGAACTCCTGCCCTCAAGTCATCCTCCCGCCTTGGCCTCCGAAAGTGCTGGGATTACAGGCATGACCCACCGAACCCGGCCGGCACTTCTAGTTATTTCACAGTTGGTAGAGATGGAGAACTTCGGATTTGTATAAAAGGCCTTCCTAGATTTGAAAGTTAAATTCAATAGTTTCCCTTTCTTATTCCAAAGAAAACTGCAGCTAATTATGTGAGACTCAGGGCAGCAGAGCCTCATGGTGAAGAGAGCTGGCTCTGGAGTCCAACACCCTGGTTGCATATCACACTCTGCTGCTTGCTAGCCATATGGTGACTCTTAGTCTTCTCATCTCCAAAATGAGAATAGTGGTAACACTTTTTTTACAGGGCTGTTGTGAATGAAAGATGATAACCAATGTAATATACTTAGCACAAGCCTCAGTATAGAAGCCCTTCATACACATGAGCTAATATTAGCCTCATATCTGTCTTAGTCTTAAAGTGGTGAAAATCTCCCTTAGTGACTTGTTTCGGGTACCCAACCAGAAAATAATTTGGGTCTAACCCAAAGCACCACCTGCTGTTGTAATTGAAAGCAGTCTTCTTGTGTTTTAGTCTTTGAGGAAATAGAGAGCAGCTGGTCTTTCATATTCTTGATGACTTTTATTAAGCCACACTTCATAGTTTTTGTTTCTAGACTAAATACACTCCCCACTCAAACTCTTTCTACCTCCTTTAAACTTTCTTCATAAATCTTTTTTTTAATTCCTCCCTCCAATCTTTCAGTCTCCTTTGGACCCTATGGAACAAGGCCACTGGTGTGAAAATTTTACGGATGGAAAATACAAGAGATTTTTCTCAGCAAATAAGTAAGGTCTGCTTTTGAGAAGTGTCTGTTCATATCCTTCGCCCACTTTTTGATGGGGTTGTTTGATTTTTTTTCTTGTAAATTTGTTTAAGTTCTTTGCAGATTCTGGATATTAGCCCTTTGTCAGATGGATAGATTGTAAAAATTTTCTCCCATTCTGTAGGTTGCCTGTTCACTCTGATGGTAGTTTATTTTGCTGTGCAGAAGCTCTTTAGTTTAATTAGATCTCATTTGTCAATTTTGGCTTTTGTTGCCATTGCTTTTGGTGTTTTAGTCATGAAGTCCTTGCCCATGCCTATGTCCTGAATAGTATTGCCTAGGTTTTCTTCTAGGGTTTTTAGGGTTTTAGGTCTAACATTTAAGTCTTCAATCCATCTTGAATTAATTTTTGTATAAGGTGTAAGGAAGGGATCCAGTTTCAGCTTTCTACATATGGCTAGCCAGTTTTTCTAGCATCATTTATTAAATAGGAAATCCTTTCTCCATTTCTTGTTTCTGTAAGGTTTGTCAGAGATCAGATGGTTGTAGATGTGTGGTATTATTTCTGAGGGCTCTGTTCTGTTCCATTGGTCTATATCTCTGTTTTGGTACCAGTACCATGCTGTTTTGGTTACTGGAGCCTTATAGTATACAGAAATGCAAATCAAAACCACAATGAGATACCATCTCACACCAGTTAGAATGGCAATCATTAAAAAGTCAGGAAACAACAGGTGCTGGAGAGGATGTGGAGAAATAGGAATACTTTTACACTGTTGGTGGGACTGTAAACTAGCTCAACCATTGTGGAAGACAGTGTGGCGATTCCTCAAGGATCTAGAACTAGAAATACCATTTGACCCAGCCATCCCATTACTGGGTATATACCCAAAGGATTATAAATCATGCTGCTATGAAGACACATGCACATGTATGTTTATTGCGGCACTATTCACAATAGCAAAGACTTGGAACCAACCCAAATGTCCATCAATGGTAGACTGGATTAAGAAAATGTGGCACATATACACCATGGAATACTATGCAGCCATAAAAAAGAATGAGTTCATGTCCTTTGTAGGGACATAGATGAAGCTGGAAACCATCATTCTGAGCAAACTATCGCAAAGACAGAAAACCAAACACCGCCTGTTCTCACTCATAGGTGGGAATTGAACAATGAGAACACTTGGACACAGGAAGGGGAACGTCACACACCGGGGCCTGTCATGGGGTTGGGGGAGGTGGGAGGGATAGCATTAGGAGATATACCTAATGTAAATGATGAGTTAATGGGTGCAGCACACCAACATGGCACATGTATACATATGTAACAGACCTGCACATTGTGCACATGTACCCTAGAACTTAAAGTATAATAAAAAAAAGAAAATAAGTAGGGTCCATAATTGCTGACCTAGAATTACTGGAAAACCTCAACCTAGATGGTTGAAGTAACAGTTGCTAATGAAGTAACTCAGGAATGGAAGTTTTTGTGGTATTAAAAATACACCCCAATCCATATTTATGTATCTTTCAGCTACAGTAATTAATCTTGTTAATGTGTTTTTCTCATCTCCCAAATAGAAATTCTGACTTGGTCACTGCCATGCCAGAAACAGATTGAACCTTTTCTACAAATATAAACCAATTTCCAAAAAGACTAGAATAGTTCTGAAAATGCCTGTGGAGATAATTTATCTCATCTCTCTTGTTTGACAGATGAGGCAAGCAAACTTAGAGAGGTTAAATGACTTGCTCAAGATCATACACCAAGTTAGTGAAAGAGTAAAGTATTTTGACTTCCATTGCAAGACTCTTTATTTGATATTAACAACTGTTTCTCCTGTTGATGATTTCAATAGGCCACTATTGGTGAATGAAATGCAGTTGTCTAACAATGACTGGAAACTCTATTATAGAAGGACAGAGGGAGACTTTCCACAACTTATTGGATAGATATACTTTTTCTATTTTCTGGGGATTATAGAGAGCAAACAGTAATGAGATCCTATAAAGAGAACATAGGTGTGAAGGGTTTTGCTTTCTTGTTCTCTGTTCTTTTCTTTGCTATTATACAAACGTCACTTCTCATGTGTCCAGCTTCCATCTGGATTGAACACAAAAAGAGAAGTCAGTAGTAATATTATTTCATATTCTTAAACTGGTCTTCCTAGGCTTTGACAATTACCTAATGAGTATTTTCAAGCACATCTTGGACTTGGAAGATTGCAACCTTGGCTCAGAAAGAAACAATCTTATTCTTCAGGCTATTTTTCTCAAGCTCTGAAAGCTTTAGTGAAATAATGCACATATGGTGCTCATCTCAGATGACTGCTAGAAGTTGCCGAGTTCTTTATCCATAACAGATAGCTATGTGGATAGAGTGAGTATGTGTGTCAATATTTATACGGATAATCATCTGTGCTTTTCATCCCTCAATATATAGGACAATTTAATTTCTAGTGCAAGAAAGAAAAATCTAAACATATTTTTAAGTGTAAGATAATAAAATGAATCCTAAGGAGTTGGTTTTTGAATGAATTGTCTTATATTCCCAATGTGAAAAATACTATCTAATACATTTTTGCTATTTTACTACTATCTTTCCCATTGACTTCACCTCAACAACATTAGTAACTATTTTTGTAACTACTAGTAACTATTAGTAACACCTCAACAACAATAGTAACTATTTTTGTGGAGAATAGACCATTCTGTCATGGATTTTTTTTTATAGCACACATAAGGGAGTCTTGAGAGGCAGCATAGTGCAGAAAATGACAACAACAAACAACAACAACAAACAACCCAGAAAAATGGAGATCTACGCTACTATCTGGGAGAACTTCTAGATGCCCAATATGCTCACATTTCTTGGTCTCAAAGCTTCTCTTCGGCTGAGCACAATGCTGGCAACATATCTTTCTAGTGCATTCATCTCCCCTTCCGTATTCACCATTGTCTTTCCTTCTAAAAGTCTTCTCTGGGCCAAGGAGGAAAATATCCCAGGCACTTTTATTACATGCTGTATTGTGTCCAAGTCAGCATGGCCAAGCAGTGGTTGAGAAACAAACCAGCAGTTGTTTGAAAACTATCACTGGCCAATGACTCAGCCCCCAACATTTCAGACAAGTTGTTTTGGGAATTGTATGGCCTCAAGCAGGGAAAAGGCAGACTTGCTCACCCGCATGTTAAAGGGTCAAAAGCAAGGAAGATGGTAATTTGTTCCCCTGTTTAAATGTGTTCCACCCACTCACAGCCACAAGTGGGAGTGAAGGATGGGCTTTTGACCTAAGGGTGGAGCCATACTGGTCCCCCTCATTTCCTTGTAGGGATGTTGGGGAGACCAGTGAGATCATGTCTATAAAGTGGATTGACTGGAATGTGCTCATGTTGTCCAATGTGAATTATGCTAGTAAGATTTTCTTTAATTTTTCTTTTCTTTTCTCACAGTCACAAACCATTGGCAACCTGTGTAGATTTTCCCATGTCCTTACATTCAAGTCTCTCTGCCAGCACACTCTGGGTAATTCACTTTTGGTTTTGTGTAAATGGCCAAGTCCTAGCTCTTTGTCTTGTGAAGCCTTCCCATAGACAGCTGAAGCTGTTCTGAGCGAGGAACTGTATGGAAACGTCTGGAGGAGTAAAAAGAGGATTTCAAGTTGGCCCTGAAGTCTAGCAAATTCATCATAAATTCACACATTATTTGAGTACTTTCCACCTTGCCTGACGTAGTATTCAGAAATTCTCTATTAGTTCAAAATTGCTTCCGTAAACACTTTGTATATTTTCATGTGACATACTATAAGATGTTCTGCATTAAGAAGCTATCTGATTTCATGTAAGATTATGCCTTTAAGAGACTTTGGACTATTGTGTATTAATTTATCCTTATTTTTCACTCTCCCTGTAAATAAAATCAATTTAAAACCAAGGCTTCTGTGGAAAGTTTCCTGAAGGCCATTCCTGTTATCTGGTGTTAGGTAATGACTGGTGAATTTTCAAATAGCTGTGATATTTTGCATTTGAGAAATCTAGAAGCTAACAGATGAGAGCAAGAATAAGAAAGATTTGGACACTGGATTATTAAAAATGAGTTATATTTATGTATTGATTTTGGTTGTATTTTCAAGCACCTGTCACATCAAATTGTAACTCTTAAAACAGTCATTTCTTGATGTTCATTCTTTAAATTCCTTTGCTTACACCTGCTAAAATTGATGTGCTTATATATATATATGTAATTGATGTGTTTATATATAATTATATATATAGGTTACATATATATAATTTCTTTCTCCCTCTCTCTCTCTCTCTCTCTTTTTCTTTTTGTACAGACAGGGTTTTGCCATGTTGCCTAGGCTTGTCTCAAACTCTTGGGCTTAAGTGATCCACCTGCCTTGGCCTCCCAAAGTGGTGGCATTACAGGTGTAAGCCACTGCACCCAGCATAAAATTGATGTTTTAATTGCTACTGTAAATGGTATCTTTCAAAAAGTTTCATTTTTCTATTTGTTTATTCCTTATATAGAGAAGTTAATGGATTTTTGAATATTGATATTATATCCAATGGGCTAGATAAATGCAGTTATTAATTCTAACAATAAATAATGAAAATTATATTTTTCCTTTCCAATTCCAATTCCTTATGCCTCTTATTTCTCTTTCTTACCTTAATACACACAATAGGACCTCTAGCATAATTTGAATAACAGTGGTGATAGTGGGCATTCTTGTCTTCTTCCAAAAGTTATAATTAACTATAATGTTTGCACAGAAATTTTGTATTCACTTTGTCATGTCAAGGAAGTCTTCTTGGTTTGCTAGGCACTTTTTGTCATGAATGTGTATTAAATGTTATCAAACCCCTTTTCTGAATCTATTGAATTTATTTTGTGATTTTCTTTTTTATTAATGTGGTAAATTACATTGATTGATTTTTGAATCCTAAACCATTCTTCTAGTCCTGGAAAAAAGCCTACTTGATCATTTTGCAACCATGTATCTGCTATTTTCCTTTCTTGTAATGTTCTTGCCAGGTTTTGGGATCAAGATTATGCTGTGCTAATAAATAAGAGGAAAATACCTATTATCACTTTTTATTATTCTTTGGGAATGTTGTGTGAAATTGGTGTTATTTCATCTTCAAATTCACTGGCGAAGCTACCTGGATGTGGAGTTTTCTTTGTAAGAAGGTTTACAAAAATGATTTAGTTTTTTAAAAGTAATATAGGACTATTTATATTTTCCATTCCTTTCTGTGTAGTTTGGTAATAATTTCACATAAATTGTCATATTTACTGGTATAAAGTGTTTTATAATATAGCTTAATGGTCTTTTTAATGTCAGATGATAGTTTACAATGCTATTAATATTATTCCTGTATGCAATGATAACACCAGATATGATTATTCATTCTTTTAAGTTCGCCAAGACATTTCACATAGATTATCACATTTATTTATGTCATTGAAGAGATGAAATAATGCTGACATGAATCACACACTCTTTTTTATCTCTATGACTTCAAATGCTCACACTAATGTGTGAGTATTTATTCAGCCTTAGAGGGGGTCAAAATTCTACTTACATTTGTGTTTAAAGGCTTATGGGTTGGGTGAACTGAGGCACACCGCAAATATCTAATTAATATTTGAAATATTACCTTTCAGTTGTCTTTTGTTCTTGAGATGACTTCAAGGGTGAGTTGGTGAACGTGTGAGCTCCCTGGATGAAGAGGATGATGTTCAGTGGAGATAGTAAGGAAAGTTACAAACTAAAAAATACCTGGTGTCAGACATTTTAACTTCAAGCAGTGTAGCTTAGTAATTCTGTCACAAAATTGAGTATCTTTGGCTTCATTAGCAATCTGCTGGATGATTTTGGCAAGTAACCAAATTAACTTATAGTGCACTTTTCCAGTAGATGAAGTAGAGCCAATATGGTTTTCCCTTTATTGCATCACTGGCGCTCATAACAAATAACAAAATATTGTATAAAGTGCTTTATGCCTCAGAAAACATCCAGAAAGAAGGTCCTAACTTATAAAATTGTTAGAGGCACTCCTAATCTTCTATAATAATTTTTCTCATGGCCAAAAATAAGGAAGGAAAGATAGCCATTGAAAGAGATCTCTGAGGGAGCTTCAAAATATCAGTTTACTATGGCTCTAGCTTTCTGTGTCATACCCACCAAGACAGTCATGCCAGCCCAACTGTGAAGCTTCACATGGAGCTATGTGAGAAACTAATGCTAGAAGCACACAGTTTCTCAGATTATGGATGAAATGAGAAAATCAGAAATAACCAAACCAGAGGGCTTATCTCTAGTTATTCCTAGACTGCCTTAGTTAGACATAGTGAATTTCAAGTTGGAAGGAACTGCAGAGGTCATTGAATCTCATCCCCTAGTATTCCCCGAAAGAAAACTGAGCACCCAAAGCTTAGATGACACATGTAGTGGAGAAACTAATGCTATGGGTGTGTCTTGCTTTAAAGAAAACTAGATTTCAAAATTCTAAATGTGAAAAATAGATAAAAAGGATCACTATTACTTTATCATTATTCAATAAATAAGTCTCTGTAGCATTCATTAAGTAGCAAATTCCCAATGCACTTAAGAAATGATCCAACTTCAAACATTTGATTTTCATGCAGACTTTCAGCAACACAGTTGTTGAGGAAAGCAATTCTTTCTGTGCTGGCCATTGTGAGCTCAATTACATTCCTGGGTGTTTGCCAGGGACAATTTCTAGCATTTTTTCCAGGTGGTGAGGTATGTGAGTGTTGTTGCTTTTACCGAACAAAATGTAGAGCCTGAGCTGCATAGCCAGAATAGAGAGTCAAGTCATGATCTGGGGCTGGAAGACTTTTCATGTGTGAGCCAGTGGCAGGGTATTGCTTTCCTTCTTGTCAGCCACACCTTCAAGGCTTTTTTTTTTTTAAAAAAGGAGACAATACACTTTATCTCAAAGGTATATTAAAAATGGAACAGAAGTTGGGTGGAGTAGCAATACCACAGTCCAAAACCTTTACCTCCTAGTTGACAGGGTGGAGTAAGCAAGGCATTCCTTGCCAGGCATGTTTATCTTGGCCCATAGGACCAGCAGGGAGGTATGAAGGCACACTCTGGCCACAAAGCTGAAAGGTTCTTATGTTACCTCAACTCCCTCCATTCCCGAGAGATTTCCTATAAATAGTCTCAATGAAAGTATTGATTGAAAAAAGGAAGGGTTATTTGGATTCATAATTTTCAAAGCACCCATTCATGAAAAAGCAAGAGATCATAAAAGTTGATAGCATAGGATTGTTTCTTTCCACATGCCTTGAAAATTTCCCAAAATTCATGAAATCATTGGGCTAGGTTATGGAGATGTCTGTGCAAAAAGACCTCATGAAAATTTGAAATATAATAATATGTAACATGTATGGGGAACTATTCTAAATGCGTTATGTGTAATAACTTATTTAGCCCTTTTTATAAACTTATGTGGTAGGCACTATTAATAACATCATCATCCTTATTGTTCAGATATGGAAACTGAGGTACACAGAGGTTAAAAATCTTCCCCACGTCACACAATCAGTAGTAATTGGCTGAATTCAAACCCAGGCAGTCTGACTCCAGAACTGGGAATTGAATCTTAATACCTATGCTCTGCTACCTCTATTAAAATGGCACATAAAATGATATTCTAAAAGAAATCCTCCAAAACTAATAATTATCTTACAATCAGAGTGAAAGGCAGGAAAATAAAATAATAAAAAACAAGAAAAAGAATTTCCTCCCCAAAATATTGTTCTTCAAAATTTACTTTTATGTAAATGTAAAGACTAATACTGTTTAATGCAGTGAATAAGAAAATCATACTATTCATACCAAAGGCAAGAAACTGTTTTAATATATAAAGAGGTACAGAATGATTTAGACAAACTCATGGGTGATAGTCCCATAATGGATTTTGAAAGGAAGCACAATGTCCCTAATATCCAAGTCTGAAAAGTCTTTTGAGTCTTTTTAGCTAGAAAATTTAAGGACTTTTACTCTTGATCAAGGAGGGCAACCAAGCCCCTCTTCCTCACATTTTGGCATCAAAGTAAGTGATACTGAGCTATGTGTTGCCCATTCAGTAATCACATGTAGTGATTTTGATAAAATTATGACCTTGTGTCAGTTTTACTTACAAAGCATTTCTTAATTGTTAAAAAAAAATCCACAAAAATGAGAGTCTACATGTCTAAATCGTAGGTCAAAAGTTCTTTGTACACTTGAGGTATATATCTGGAAATAGTCTGTCCCATTCATGAAGGGAGCTAGAAAATCTGGTTCAGAGACAGTCCTGGGATATAGCATGGGGATATGGAATGGAAAGAGATGATCTTCCCTGGGCCATGGGTGGAGAGACTCTTGCAGAAATTGAAAGTCTAAATCTGAGCTACTCATGGGATCTTAATCATAATCCAAGCAGTGCACGAACACAAGTCTAAGGTAAAAATTGTCTGGAACTGGTGAAATGTATAGAGCTCCACAAAAGAAAATGGAGAACTACTCCAAAAGGAATTTCCACAGTTCATGGAATAATCAGCATACAGGTGTGAGACAACTCTCTGAAGATGAGCTCATAGACCAAAATTATAAAGTAATAGCAGAGACTCCCTGCTTAAGGAAGTTAGTTAATGCAACAAATGGAAGAATTCTATTAGATAAATTAAATTACTGGTAGTATAATTATCTTTAAAAGACTTAAAAATAAGTGTAAGAATGATCAATGATAATGGAGTGAATAAAGTTTATGAGAAAACAAGGGCACACTAAAAAAAAGCATTTTTTAAATAAAGGAACCAAATATAAATTCTAGAAATAAAATATATTTATTAAAAAGAAAATGTTTTATAAAATTTTTAAAAAACCTCAAGAGATGAATTAAAGGACTAGATAAGCTGACTACATAAAGAAAGCACTCAGAATGTAATCCAATGAGATAAAAAGATGGAAAATACAGGAGAAGTTAGAAAAACATGGAAGATAGCTATGAGTAGTTCCAATTGACATGGAAGTACCAAAATATGAATCAAAGTAATAGTTATTTTTTTCCAAAAAAGAAGAAACGATGTTGCCTACATATAAGAAATTTAGAAATTGAAACAGAGAATAGGTGTTCTACCTCTCTTTTCGATAGCTTTTCTGAAAACAAGGACGTTAATTAATTCTTACTGCTCTGAGCTGTGGAAACTTCCTATGGATGAGTTTTGTGTTTGCCCCTGTGGAGCCCTTCAGGTTTCACCAGTTCTAGATTGCTTGTGTCTGTTCTCTGTTAAAAGCTGTCAGGCTCTAAAGTGGTTAACTCAGCATAATTCAATAGTGTGTTCTACAGAAGACAATAAAATTGAATGAAGTTTCCAAACACCTGCTTTTTTCTCTTGTAGCAGGTTGGGTATATTCTACATAATTGAATACTTGCTTTTCTCAAAATTTGATGTCTATATCTTGGCTAGTTTGAGTTATTCTGTAATGAACATGGGGGTGCAGATATCTTGACATACTGATCTCATTCTCTTTGGATATATACACCCAGTGGTAGATTACTGGGTCATATGGTAGGTCTATTTTTAATTATGTGAAGAACCTTCTTACTGTTTCCCATAATGGTTGTACCAATTTACATTCCCACCAACAATGTACAATGGTTCCATTTTCTCCACATCCTTCGTAACACTTGTTACATGGAGTATAAAAAAGTCAAACTCATAGAAACAGAGTAAAATAGTGGTTACTATGGGGTAGGTGGTGGGGGACTGGGAAGATGTTGGTGAAAAGACACACCATTTCAAGTACAAGGGATCTATTGTACATCATAATGACTACAGTTAACATATTGTATACTTGAAGATTACTGAGAGATTTTAAGTGTTCTCCACAAAAAATATGAGGTAATGAATATGTTAAGTAGCTTGATTTGGTTATTCCACAATGTATGTTAATATCAAAACATCATGTTGGAAACCACAAATATATGTAACTTTTTTGTTAGTTAAAAAAACTGATGTACACATCAAGAGCATTAAGTTTTCTACCTTAGAACATCCTCTCATCAAAGACATTAAAAAATGTTTTTGAGCCTTACCACATCTGAAGAATTATCTTCTCTACAGTCCTCTCAAACAATGTTTTGAAATCACATAAACTTACTTGTTACTTGTATTTTTCATATTTGTTTTAATAATTTTATTCCTATTCCTTTGAGATCATCTTCCTTCCCATTAGTTCATGCTCCATATTCTTTTAAAAATTTTTTTCCTTGAGGATTTTGATTCAGTTGTAGATTTATAGAGAATTTGCAGAAAGGAGTTATACTTTTAAATAACCCCCCCAACACACACATCTCTAACACACACACACATTACTCAAATTCACACACACAAACACACACACACACACACACCCCGGATGAGCCTGAATGTGCTACAACTGGGGAAGGAAAGAAGGCAAATAATACACCATCTCAAGAGGCAGTGAATGGGAGTACCTTAAACCAGCCATAGATATATATGTGGACTCTAAAAAAGTTGAACTCATGCAAGTAGAGAATAGAATAATAGTTAGCAGGGGCTGAGGGTATGGGGAGGGAGGAAATGAGGGCTTGTTGATGAAAAGGGCACAGACAGGAGGAAGAGGTTTTGAGATTAGCTGTACAGCAGGGTGACTATTTTCAATAACAATGTGTTGTATAGTTCAAAATAACTAAGAAAGCGAAGTTCAAATATCTCACCACAAAAAGTGACAACTAAATGAAGTGATGGGTATGTTAATTATTTTGGTTTAATCATTCCACACTGTATACATATATCAAAAAATCACATTGTACCACATAAATGTTTATAATTATGATTTATCAATCAAAACTAATATTAATAATAAGAAAAAGGGTATCTTTACAGGCTCTAAGACTCACCAGCTTTCTCTCCAAAAAACTGGTTCCAAGTATGTTTACTCATCAACCTAGCAAAGGATGACTAAATTTGACTATTATTAGGTCTGACTTCACATGAATGGAAGAATCGTGAATGTGTAGTTCTATTCAATGTATTTCATGCAAACATACTTGAGATGAAAAAAGAGATATGGCTGTTACTACTAAATTCATTTTTGGCTCAAAAAACTTCCCATAATGGTTCTTACTTAAAAATATTTTTCTTTTTAGTGATTACTGCTAGTGTCAGTTTAATGCTACCTTGTCTTTACCTCATTGCAAAATAAACTCTTTAGCTAAATACAAGAATATGTATATATTTCACACCAAGGCAAAAATGCTGAGTCAGATATGAATCTACAGAAATATAAACCATCTCTTCTTTGGGTCCTGGAGGTGATGTATTGCCTGTTTTTGAGTCAGAAATTATACAGAATTTTGTAGTTCAAGAAGGCTCTAGAAAACATTTTTTCCGCTGGAATGAAGTGAGAGAACTAGTTGTAAAAATTTCATCATTACTCTATGTATCTATAAAGCAGTTTCTCCTCCCAAGCCCACCCCTCAAAGAGCAGGGATCACACCATGGCAATTAGATATTAGAAATGAAATATAAACTTTGTTTCTGCTCCGTCAGGTTCTGGTTGTGACATAGCTTCCCTCTGTCGATCTCTTTAGCACTTGTAATTTTGTCTCTCCTATCTTTCTTAAAGAGATAGAGGTTGACTTATATGGTTATTATGTAGGATATGGAAGTGGAATTCCATTTCTAGTACTACAAAGGCAGTTCATTCTTTCATTCATTTATTTATTCATCATTTATTGAATATATATCATTTGCTAGACCTATTATCTCTGAGCCTTAGTTTCTCCCTTTATAGTCTTAAACTCTAAAATTTGCTGATTCTAAGCAAACATAATTCTTCTCAATTATCTCAGTTAATGGATATTATGCCATTCCAATTTAACTACAGACATTAACAATGCTTGCTTTTTAATGACTCAATGCATTTACAGACCCTGCTCCTGTCTGGAATGACCTTCATTTTTCCATTGATCTAATGAGTTTTCATTCTTTAAAATTCAACTCAAATGACAACCTCCTTAGTTTGGTTTACAGTGTATCTCCTGTGATTCTACTGCCCCTGTGCTTTTCTCTGTCACAGCATTGATCATGTTTTACTGTAAATTTATGTGGCAGATAAATTCTAACATATCCCCCAATTATCCCTTTGTCCCTCTCTCTCTCTCTCTCTCTCTCTCTCTCTCCCTCTATATATATATATATATATATATAATTTTTTTAAGACAAGGTCTTAAAAAGCCATATGGGCTTGAAGGTGAATCTTTCTCCAGTTGAATTTTCAGATGATACCTCAGCTTCAGTAACACCTTGGATTGCAGCCTTGTGAGGGACCCTGAAGCAGAGGATCCAGTTAAGCTATGCCCAATTTCTGACCTACTAAAGCTGCGATATAATAAATGTGTATTGTTTTATGCTGTTAAGTTTGTAAGTAATGTGTTATGCAGTAATTTACTTGTCAATTTGTTTATTTTACTCTTCTTTAGATTCTAACTTCTTTAGACCTGACACCCTGTGTTATTCATCATTGTATCAACAGAAGCTGATACTGTGCCTGGCATATTACTATACAGCTACTTATTAAATTTTTTCTGAACAGTATGGTAGTAAAGTAAGTTCACTGGATTTGCAGAAAGGAAATCATCTGCCACCAACTTTATAAACTTCTTTTCATTCAAGTTCTGAGGGTCAGGTTTTTTTAATGTGAAAAATTAGAGTTAGACTTAATTAGAGCTCAGCTCTAGTAGTTTCCATATCTCAGTTTTTCTCCTTAAAAGTAAATATTAAAGATACATGTGAAATGGCATTATGTTTTAGAAGATGACTTGATCTTCGATATGTTTCTATATTCTTTTTAAGTCTGGTATATTTTTAAGTCTGATGTGTAGTTATGGCAAGAATAGTGTATTTTTCACTTGTAAAAATGACGACTTTACTTAAAAGAAATCCCCAAGGGGGATTAAATAATGAAAACACAAAAGTTGGAATAAACTTATGAAAAATTGAAATCATTTTTTAAAAGGGCATTTGATGACATGTAGCATGACATTTAACAGCTTTCCTAATTAAATGGACCGAAAACCTGATAACACAATTTTAGTCAGGAATTTCTTTTTCCACACTGACAGGAAACATTTGTTTTGTTTTAGCCAGACAGTTTTTAAAAATGCTATTTATAATAGCATTGCCAAAGTTTAAAAAAAGGGAGGTCTACAAATTCTCATTTCTATTTTTTTAAATTTGCTGTGTTATCTTTTCAAATATTTCTTCCCTTTTACTGAATGCTTAGCTGATAGGAAAATCATTATTAACTCAAATGCTGATGGACATTTTTCACATTCTGGTCCAGCTCATATGGAGAAAATAGTTCTTATTAAGCATATTAGATAATTTTTTTTATGAAATCAGTGTATCTATCAGTTGGAGCTAATTTCTTATGCATTATTTCTACAAGGAGATAAAAACCTAGGCAGAGATGATACTGAATATTTGTTATTTGAAAGAGGAGTAAATGAGGAAGTGCACTTGTTTTTCTTTTATGTAAGACTTGAGCTACCCACCTGCCCATTTATGGACATTTTATTTCTTCTATTTTTAATCTGTGAAGACAGACAACCACTGAAACACTAATTACAAGAAAGAATTAACATTCCTTGTGCTTTCTCAACACAATACTTCTGTATCTTCCCTTAAGCGCATCCTGTCTTATTAGTTCCTGTCTTAAGAAAGGAACAGGAAAAAGTGATCAAATTCACTCTAAAGTACTGACAATACGTTAGAATAGAAGAGAGCCACATCAGACAGAGAAAAATTCTTCCTCCTAATTGTAAGCGACAGATGATCTTCTAAGGAAAGCTGTACAACCTGTATCTGAGGGAATCTCTAACATACACAACAACAACAAAACCCCACTTGTTTAAGTAGAGTATTTTTGAGTCCTAAGGTCAAAGAAGATAAATCTTCCTGATATTTCTTTTATTTCCATCACTCACAACACAAAAGTGTTGCAAAAATTAAGGTATGCTATTTTTTATTACGTATGGAACCAGCAACAAAAAATGCTTAATGATGCCTCTTACAAGAAAATAAAATAGTTCCATGGCTCAAAACAAGGAACCCAAAGGAATAGTTTAGGAAGCTCAGAGCTCATTTGATAGGAAACTGTAGGAGTTAAGAACTAGGGTTTGGAACTAAATAAATGAGGGTTTGGATTTAGGTTTTGTCATTGACTAGCCAAAACCACATGCCGTGCAAGTTATTTAACCTTCCTGAATCTGTTTCTTCATGTACAAAATGCAGATTATTATTCTTTTCATATACATATAATGAATACAAAATAAAATAATAACATATAATAAATGCTCTCCACAGAACATGCTGCAGAATAAATAATAAATGGACAATAAATTATCCTGGTCCTGTATTGATAGAAAAGGAAAATAAAGACTAGAGGTTAAGGCTTGCCAAATGTCATGTATTTAGTTTGAGAACTTGTTGGTAGAGCAAAGGGAATTTCTTCCATAAACTTGAAAGTTCATTACACAAATATTTTTCTACTTAGTTCCTATAGCATTTCTTTGAGAAAAGTAGATATTACCCCTTAATAGTGAGGGAACAAAGGAAGGACAGAGAGGGAAGTGGGTTGTATAAGCATATGAGACAAATTTCAACAGAAAGTGGAAACAAACAAAATTAGATTAATCCACTCTCCCCCACCTTAACTTTCCACACTAGTCTAAATTTTTGTTCCCTGGATGTATATTACAGATACATGTGTCTAATGTGTTTGAGGAGGATCCCAAAAAGTTGGTGAAACTGTGAATGTGAAAGCAAAACCATATCAACTGTCCCACTTTATCTGAGTGTGGAAGAAAGACAACCCAGTGACAAGACCCAGGATATGAATCAAATCTCAAGAAGGAGGATTATGCAACAAATGTTCTGCTTCAGTATTCTGATGGCATTCGATGCCAGGAGCTGAGACATTTTGAAGCTCAAGGAGCTCAAGGACCTTGCAGCAAGCAGAGATGAAAGACTGTCTCATTATCAAACAGTTTCATTTTTAATTTCCTTCTAAGTATGGATTTAATTTTTAAAATATTGTCCCTGTTATTTCCTCACATGGGAGATATTTTGATGATTAGAGCACCTTGGAAGCCATGCAGCCAAGAACCTTGTGAAGGTTCAGAGTGGGGTTTAGATATTCATGCAGTGGTCTGAAGTCTCCAAGATTTCATCAGGATTCCAGACATCACACCTACAGGTTTCTTCCAGAAGATTTCAGCTGGAAGCCTGGAATTTCTGATCAACATCTCAGGCACCTACTGCTCTATCAATAATTAATTCAGGCTGGGCGTGGTGGCTCACACCTGTAATCCCAGCACTTTAGGAGTCCGAGGCGGGCAGATCACTTGAGGTTAGAAGTTCGAGACCAGCCTGGCCAACATGGCGAAACCCCATCTCTACTAAGTAAAAAAAAAAAAAAAAAATTAGCTAAGTGTGGCAGCGGGCACCTGTAATCCCAGCTACCTGGGAAGCTGAGGCAGGAGAATTGCTTGAACCCGGGAGGCGGAGGTTGCAGTGAGCCGAGATTGTGCCATTGCCCTCCAGCCCGGGCAAAAAGAGTGAAACTGTGTCTCAAAAAAAAAAAAAAAAAAAAAAAAAGAATTAATTCAACAAGTATTTTTTGTCTCCCCACTGCTTCCAAAACAAGGCACTATGCTAGCCCCTGAGAGAGGAGTGAATATAAAAGGCAATATTTTATGTGGCATAAGTAACTGGATGCTGATGGGACTTTTCCTGTTGCACTGAAATTGGTGTGTGTGGTCCCAGTTGAAAACAGAAAGGTGATCAAGTCTAAAAAGATTCACCAATCGCTCCTTATACCCAAAGGTAGATGTACTAAGAGACCCCAGAAGAACCAGCCCTATGGCAAAGACACCTAACACTTTCCCTCTCCTCCATGTTATCTGAGAAAGGACATAAAGATGGGGGAAAGTTGGAGACTAAAACCATCTGCCTGTAGAGAAGTCAGCGATCATGGTGAGAAGCTTTTCTGTGAGAGGGAGGAGATGGTGAGTACTTTCTATTTCTCAAAGCCAAGTGAGAGGCTGGGAGTAGAGAGGCAGGCAGCTGCAAGAAGCTCTCTTGTGAGAGTTGAGAATACATGCAAGAAGGAGAGAGCCTGGCACCTGCTCCTTGGACTTCTAGTCTGAGAAATGGCAACATGGAAGGGGATGAGGGAGCATGGAGAAGCTCACATCCCACTTTTGGATGTGATGAGGATGTGTGAGTTTCTTGGGAGTCAAGTGGACTTTAGAGATGGTAGCTGGACTGAAATTCCCAGGAGAGAGCAAGAAGCTGCAGGTGGGACCTGGCATCTGAAGGACGTTGGAAGCTAAGTTTCTGCTTCAAGGAAAAATGCAGTGGAGAGGCGCACTCCTCCCCTTCATTCCCTCCAGCATTCTCCAAAGAACTCCCACTTATGTCCTGGAGAGAAGCAGCACTGGGGCTGCATGGCCATGCATAAATATTTGACAGCCAGTTGATACTATGCAATTAAGATTCTTCAGTCGATGGAAAGCAGGTTGAAGATAGCAGGTTGAATACAATTTTTAAAAAGCTAGTCCCTTTCTTCTCTCCCCTCCCATCCCCAAACACTTGAGGACCTAGGTCTCCACACAGGGAAGTGGGAAGAGGGATGTCAGAGTCGGGACATGCCCAGCATCTGCAACAGGGCACTGAGCTGGGAGGAGGAGTAAAAGAGCAGGGTACAAATATAGCTGTTGGTGGGAGAGAAGAAAGATTTGCATTGAATTTGAGGTTGAAGTTTTTTTTTTATTTTATTTTTTTTTTATTATACTTTAAGTTTTAGGGTACATGTGCAGTTTTAAACGGGATTGAGCCTTTAATTGCTGAAAGTGACCACGAAGTTATAGAATCTACCTAAGATGTCATTAAAGGACAGCAAAAGATGGCTTAGTAGAGCCAGTCTGAAAGCTGTGATTGGAGAAAAATATCTTGTTACATTAATTCATTCAACAAATAGTAGTTGAGGCCCTAAGTTGTGCCTGGCATTGCTCCAGGCCTTGGGGAAACAGAAAGCAGGGAACAAAAACAAAGTCCCTGCTCTTGAGAGCTTCCATTCAAGTGAGGGAAGACCAATAGTGAACAACAAACAATTGTATAGTTGCACAGTGGATTCTGTTTAACCATGTCCTTTCTATGATGGGAGAATGTACTTAGAAATTCCACTTTGGTCCCATGGATAGACTCAGTGCTAACGTTGCTGTTATGCACACTGAGTATTTGGTAACTAGGGTTAGGCCTTTTGTGTTGGAACTCCTTCCCAACCCCCAAATCAATGAATTGTGAGGGAGTGTCCATTGTGTGCAGGAAACTGTGGTAGGGGAGTTTATTAGTGGTAGGGCAGGACATAATTTGATAGAACTCATAGATTTAATCAAAGATAGTATGCATTAAAAAATAACCTACATTAATCATTTTTCTTAGATGTGTGGAGAAATTTTACAAAAATTTAAGATTAAAAATATTCTCCCCAAAAAACAAAACCTGGCTTCAATAAGGGATGCAGATCTCTCTCTCTCCATGGGAAAAATTTTACCATCTTCACTACTTTCTTTCATAGTTTGTTTCCTCTAGTATAGATTTCTCATAATTTCAGAAATCAATTAAATAGGGAAAATGACAGTAAGTATTGTTGGAAAATATGATTTAAAGGTCAAAGAGTTAGACATCAGCTTGCATTGGAATTTGGTAAATTTATAGAGCTTACCACAGCGAAAAGACAAAACAAAACACTGCCACTAACGCTTGGATTAGAATTCCTTTAAAAAAAAAATCCCCAAACAACTGGTATTTGCTTGAATTTTGCAGCCCAACATTAGCAAAACATAGAGCAGGAAACGACAATTTTGAGAGGCCCTAGAGCAAACAGCAAAGGGAGTGAGCCCTGTTCTGGCACCGGGTTAGTAAAAGTGAGGAGTGAGCTGGGCTTGGTGGCCTGCACCTGTAGTTTCAGCTGCTCGGGAGGCTGAGGTGAGAGGACTGCTTGAGCCTAGGAGTTCGAGGCTGCAGTGAGCTCTGATTGCACCACTGCACTTTAGCCTGGGCAACAACAGAGTGAGACCTCACCTCTCAAAAAACAATAAAACAAAATTTAAAAACATTATTTTTTTAAAGTAAGGAGTGGGCTATAATAGGTGTTGACTCTGTTGAGGAATACTTAGTCATTCTCTATAAGCATTCCTCATTATTCTCAGGACTTGTGATCAAATATCCGAAATCCTTTTACACCTGCATTTGTCAGAGTGGAGTCATCTACCGGGAGTGAAAACATGATATCTTTGAGAAAGTCGAAAGAATGCATCCGGATCAGAGATACCATTGTTTTTCTTCCTTAAGCAGCCCCTACTCCAATATGATTGGGGTCCTTATAAAAAGGGGAAATTTGGGGACAGAGACAAATATGCACACAGGGAGAACTCCATGTGAAGATGAAGGCAGAGATTGGGGTGATGCATTATCTACAAGCCACAGAGCACTAAAGATTGCCAGCAAACCATCAGAAGCTAGTGGAGGCATGGAACAGATATTTTCTCTCAGCCCTCCACAGAAACTAACCCTTCCGGCCTATTGGTCTTGAACTTCTGGCCTCCAGAACTGTTGCAAGTCACCCAGTTTGTTGCATTTTGTCGTGCTAGCCTTAGTAATCTGATAGTCATTATAAGTACATTGTTATGAAAATTGCTTTTCAAGTCAAAAGATAGATCAAATATATCCTTCCAAGTTCATACATGCATATGTACAGCATCTTTTCAGTGACTGCATGGGATTCTACACAATGGCTATTTCTCATTTGAAAGACTTGCATGTTTTCTCTATCTTTTCACTATTACTGTAATTAACAACATTATTGTATTTTTTTTTTTTTTTTGAGACAAAGTCTCGCCCTGTCGCCCAGGCTGGAGTGCAGTGGCGTGATGTCGGCTCAGGGCAACCTCCGTCTCCTGGGTTCAAGCGATTCTCCTGCCTCCGCCTCCCCAGTAGCTGGGATTATAGGCACTCACCACCACGCCTGGCTAATTTTTAAAATAATTTTTGTAGCCATGGGGTTTCACCATGTTGGCCAGGCTGGTCTCACACTCCTGACCTCAAGTGATCTGCCCACCTTGGCCTCCCAGAGTGCTGGGATTATAGGCACGTGCCACCGTGCTCGGCCCATATTAACCATTTTTAAGTGTACAGTTCAATGGTGATAAATATATTAATATAGCTGTGCAACCAAGCTCCAGAACTCTTCATCTTCCAAAATTAAAACTCTATGCCCATTTAAAAATAACTCCCCATTTCCTCCTTCCCTCATCCCCTGGCACATCATTCTACTTTCTCTATCCATAAATTTGACTACTCTAGGTATCTCAAATAAATGGAATCATACAGTATTTGTCATTTTGTGACTGGCCTATTTCACTTTGCATAATGTCCTCAAGCTGTTGTAGCACGTGTTACAATTTTCTTCCTTTCTTCGGTTGAATAATATTTAATACAATATATATGCCACATTTTGTTTATCCATTCATCCATCAGTGAATATTTGCATTGCTTCTACCTTTTGGCTACTGTGAATAATCCTGCCATGAACATGGATTGTAAAAATATCTCTTGGAGACCTCGCTTTCAGTTCTTTGGAGCATATAACCAGAAATGAAATTGCTGGATAATATGCTAATTCTATTTTTATTTTTTTAAGGAGCTGCCATAATGTCTTTCGTAGCAGCTGTACCATTTTATATTCTCATCAACAGTGCACAAGTTTTCAATTTCTCCATATCCTCACTAAAAATTGTCATTTTCTGGTTTTTGTTTTTTGTTTTGATACTAGTCATCCTAGTCGGTGTGAGGTAGACATCTCATGGCAGTTTTGATTTACATTTTCCCTAATGATTAGTGAAGTTGAACATATTTTCATGTGCTTGTTGACCATTTGTATATCTTCTTTGGAGAAATATCTATTTAAGTCTTTTGTTCGTTTTGAATTGTGTTTCTTTTTGTTGTTGTTGTTGAGTTGTAGGAGTTTTTAAAAAATATTCTGGATATTAACTCTTTATCAAATATATGTTTTGTAAGAATTTTCTCCAATTCTATCATCTGTCTTGTTATTCTGTGGATTGTATCCTTTGATGAACACCATTATTTTTATATCCTAAGACATACATATTCATCTTTGCACGTTTATCTTACATGTGAGAAGGATAGCTTCTTAGGGTGGAATTACTAATTCACCGTCTAACACCCATGCCAATTTAGCCTCTTACCAACAGTATATGATCATTACCCCATTTCCATTCCCTTTCCAGCACTGCATGAGGTGTATTTTAAAAATTGACATAGACATTGAAAATGATGTTTTTATACATGCCACTCTGTTTTTCAAACAGTAAAAGCCTGTGACATTATGGTTAGCTATTAAACAAATTTGGGCCAGATCATGTTCCCTGGAGTTTAACATGTACATAAAGTAAAAACCTATAATTTAGAAATTGGTTCTGCCCCCAGCCCTAGGGTAAAAAGCTCTTACTTTATTTCTATTTTAAGCTTTCTAATTAGTTCTTATACCTCAGGTGATTTACTTTAATGATTAATGAATGGTGCCATTTTATAAATGTGTAAATAAGTCCACCCCAATTCATAGCTAGAGAAATTATAGGAGAAGCCCATATGCCAGAACAATTAAGTGTAAGCCAAGGATTCAGTCTCAGCCCAGAATCCTTCTACCTATTGCCAGCCCCCTTGCACCACCACAGACTTCCGGTTTTAGGGGCTGGAAAGGCTAGGCTGACTGCAAGGATGTAACAACGATGATGGGAGATGATGTCCCACTGATCTGGTGGGAGTTATGTCACTGCAATTGAGAAAAGGACCTGTCTCAGGAGGATATTTCTTTTATGGCTATATTTAAAAAATAATAGTTATAGGAAGATAATCATGATTTCAGGTCTTGGGACCAGAAGTAGAAAAAGGCATGCTTTCCCCCTTCAATCATACCACCTGTATAAAGGCATATGAGGTCCCTACACTGACTTTGGAGAGCTTATGCAAAGCCACAGTGCCCTTAGGAATTTCCTCTTCTTTCCCCGCTGGAACTTTCTGTACAGAGCACTTGTGACGCACCACACTCACTTGTCCTGCGTGATTCCGGGTTGGAATGTAAATGTCTTCCTGTTCCTAAGGTTCTCTACTGCAGTTTATTAAAAACCAGAGAAGCTGGGCTTGGTGCTTCCACACAGTTTTTCTAGTTTATTGGCTCTATTTGCTTGTAAAAATATGTTTTCAATTACACCTAAAAGGTTTGATTCAAACTACTCTGGGAAAAGCAATATGTATTGTTTTTCCTGCCCACATCACATATATTCTGGTTCATAGGGAATTTAAGGTGCAGTACGCTGACTTCAAATGGCCAGCAATAGAACAGAGTCTCGGGAGGAAGGTAAAGGATAACCGTAAGCTATAAATAATAGCAGATAAACAGAAATCGAGTGTTTATTCTGGACTCATTTTGAGCATGGCAGATTATGGACATGATCATAAAGGACAAAAAGATATACCAAACCCAGGAGAAAAAATGAGACTGCTTGGAACACAAGATCAAAACAAGGAATACTAATTTCAGGTGAACCTCTTTTTTTGCCATAGAACTTTCTAGATGCTTTTGTGAGCCAGCCATATCTACTTATTTTTCTTTGTCAATAATACAAAATTAGGGCTTTAAAACCACAGTCTCAGTGGGGCTAAACGGGACATTATTGTTTTCCTCAGAGGAGTATTCCCTTAGAATGATGTGATAGTTATTATTATTAGCAATTTATCCAGGTCCTGGACAAGGGAATATTGTTTTATTCACTGCTGATTAAATATTCATCTGCCCAGAGAGAATGCACAGATGGATTATACTGGCCCATGCCACAAACAGGGAAGGGGAGGCAGCCGTGAGAAGTTAAGTGGGAGTTGTGACTAATGTGCCGTGAAAGCACTGGCTCCTCCACGTACACATGACCCTTGTTGAAACTTCTAAGGTCCAACCACGAGCCAGCTAGGCGTTAGCTCATCATAGATGAATCAGGGTGAACGTGGCCTTATCCATGAGTCACATACTACATGTGAAGCAACTGGGGGCTCACAGGGCTGAACTAACCACCATCAGGGAAAGGCATCTGCTTTCTGGTCTTGTTCTTCCTAGTCAACTAGCTATTGTTTTTGTCTCCAGTTCCAGCCTGAAGACCTTAGGATGCGTAAGAATCACCTAGAATGCTGGCTTGAAATGCAGATTTCTGGCCTCAACCCATGAGACTGATTCAGTAGAGCTAGTGGGGATGTGGAATCATGACGCAGGTAGTCCTTAGACTACACTTTAAAACACTCTGGGAAACTTTGCCCACAATGAGAATGAGAGGGACTGATTGAGTGATGTGATTATCAAGTTTGCTTACCATTATTGCTAAGGGCCTGTCTTAGATTTGTTCTTCCCGCCTTGCACTGTTGGTTGCTAAAGACGTCTTGTTTTCTGACTTCTTTGATTAGACTTTTGGCCACTCACTTTTCCTAGACCCTTGGTTGACCTTTGTATCTGCCAGTTTGTCTCTGATATCTGCTTCTCTGAATATCATTTGTTATCCTTCCTTCATTCTTTCATTAACAGCACTGAGTACCTGCACTTGGTTTCAGGCTCTGTGCTGGGGACAGACTGGTTGGTAAGGCAGACTCAAATCAGGCTGTAACTTGGTTTACAGGCTAGCCATGGAGACAGTTAGTTAAACAGAAACAGTGAGAGTATTAGATGCCATAGAAGGATGCTGGCAATGTGAGAGCACAGGGCAGGGCCACTTTATCTAGGCCAGAAGGTCAAAGGAGACTTCTGGGAATGCTTGGGGAGTTAAGAGGCGATGAGAAGGCAGGGTGTTCTGGGCGGAGAGAACAAAACATTGTAAATAAAAGCCCTAAAAATTAAGAGATCTGACAATTTCAAAGAGAGCTGTAACTGTAGTGCAGGGTGGGGCTGGTGACAGCAGATGGTATAGCAAGGAATGGAGCTGAGAAGACGGGCAGGCCCAGATGATGAAGGCCTGAGATGGTTTCAGGACTCCAGTGGAAGGCTATGAAATGTCTTTGAAAGGTGTTTTTTTTTTTTTGTTTTTTGTTTTTTTGAGATGGAGTCTTGCTCTGGGGTGCAGTGGTGCGATCTCGGCTCACTGCAGCCTCCGCCTCCTGGGTTCAAGTGATTCTCCTGCCTCAGCCTCCTGAGTAACTGGGATTACAAGAGCATGCCATCACACCCGGCTAATTTTTGTATTTTTAGTAGAGACGTGGTTTCACCATGTTGGTCAGGCTGTCTCAAACTCCTGACCTTGTGATCCGCCTGCCTTGGCCTCCCAAAGTGCTGGGATTACAGGTGTGAGCCACCGTGCCCGGTCCTCTGAAAGGTTTTAAACAGGGGTGAGTCACAATCTGGTGTGTACCAAGAAAGAACACTATGTGTGGCAGATGGTGCAAACAATTAAGAGTAAAGTCTCCAGAGGGTAGGAGGCATGGGATGAGGGGCACTTAGAGAAGAGGTGAGGGAAAATGAATGAAGATAAATAGCTCCTCTACTGTATCAGGAGGGAAGGCATAAGAGACAGGATGGCCTGAAGCTAAGATGCGTTAAGTTGAGGGTGTTTCATCCTCGCGGGGAGAAAAGAGTAAAGACACTTTTGAAACATTCCTGAGAGCATTTTAGGTAATGAGATTTTAGTACTGAAATAAATTATTCAACTGGGTGATATGTAGGCTATACCAGCTACTCAGTCTTATCAGCTAAAAGATGCCGCTAGCCATTTAGAAATGTAACAATACTATTATTATTTTTCAGACTGTGAGTGTCTTTAAAAATTAGAATCAAAACCAAGAAACAACTGTAAAATAATTAAGAAGTCAGGTGCATGCTAGGTCTAATAAATGAGTTAACACCCATGAAAGCCCTTAGTACACTAGAGTCACATGACTATGTTAGATTGTGACAACGTCTAAGAAAACAAAAGCCATGACATCTGATCAAGCTTGGGATGCGATCATCAATTTTACTGTAGGAAATGCCTTAGTGAAGATTCTCAGTACATCTTTGGCTTTCTGAAGCATATAGATCTTTTCCTCCCATAAAAGGATGAAGTCAGTTTTTTAGGTACAAAGCTATACCATTTTCCTATTTGTCCTAAAAGCAAGTTCAAGCTGAGAAACCATCTTAAGGTTTGAATGAGGAAGTTCTGATAAAAGAAAGTACAGAAAAACCAACTCGAAATTCTACTGAAAGGCAATGTTCAGCCATTTCTTTGTCAAGAAAGTTCTGACAACACAAAAGGGCTTCAATGGGGATGGCATGCCCAAGTGGACTTTTCTCACAAATGCATAACAACGGACAGATTTGGAATGTGCTGTTCTTTCTGCTAAAGATATTTTTCCACTCTTGGCCTTCCAAAACCCAGAGTTCAAAGCTTAACTACTAGTTTTTTATGCAGGAGCAAATTGACCACAACACTATTAGAAAAAGACGTGAGTCAGTGTGTTTGGCTCTTTGTTTCTTTATTGTGTTCTTTGGAAAAGAAAGATTGTAAGGAAAGAAAAGCAGGGAAAGACTGACTGCCTTTGCATCTTTTCCTTGACGGGTGTTTGCTTAAAAAATAATAACCCTAAACTGAGCTATTATTGAGATTTATATTAAGGATTTTCAAGTTTTGAAATAGGAACAAAGTCCAACAGACCCCTGTGAGGAAAGCTTTTTTTTTTTTTTTCTTCTTATACAAATAGATAAATTGAGTTACTGACCAGTGAAGTAACTTCCCTGGTCTTGGTTGCATTCAATGAAAAGAAAGCACAAACTTAAGGTTTGGGATTTTAGATAACCACTTTGATCATGTCAAGCTGACAACCAAAAAGTTAATAATGTGTTCTACTGTGTGTTAGGGAGATGAGGTTTTCTAGCTTAACAGGAATTCTATTTCATATAATTTATATGCATTTATGCATGTGTGTTTGCATAGACACACACATATTAGAATAAACTCAACTTTCCACAATCTTTAGGAAATGAGACGGTTTGGATAATTAAAATTTTCCCAATAGCTGATATTTTATACCTTTAAGGATCAAAATATACTTCTTTTGATATATACTTAAAATACATAATGTTTTTCATTTTTAAAAGATGCTACCAAATATGTCAATAAATTTATAATTAGCTGTGATTCAGTGATTCTTTTAAAGATGTCCTCAAATCGTACAACTATTTGTGTCCACAGTGAATGCCATTTTGCTTTCTAAATTCTTGTGTTTGTATAGCTTCTTTTTTTCTTACTTTCTTGTTAGGCCTCCATACTTTTCTTTCTTCCTTCTGTCAGTGCACTTACTTGTTGCAGCTCCTCTCCTTTTTCTAGGTCAGTGCTTCAAGTTGGCTATGTTCTGAGAACTCAGAGAACCACGTGTGTTAACATTATTCATGAAGTAAAGGTAAATAGGCTCAAAGTGAAGACTCCACATGACTGCTTACAAATATAAACCTTAATGACCATTGTCTTTTATTCTCTGAGCACTTTTGATTTACTTTTTGTCCTCAATTGTGTACTATGAAGTTGAAATTGTCAAAAGTTAGAATTTTAGATAAATGAAATATCACTTTAAATATATTTTACTTCTAAAACTCAACTTGCAATAATTTAGTTTTTCTCCAGCGAGTCAGATACTGTTTACCCAATGAGCGTTTACTGAATGCTGTGTGCCTCTGTCTGCTGCAGGGCCTCAGGACCTCACAGTATTTCAGGGTCATCCCTGGGACCACCAGTTTTCATTGTATAGTACCTTGATGGCAACAAATTTAAGATCTTGTAACCATTTTAGTTGAAAGACTACCATGTAAAGACAGTTTCCTGTTTTGTATATTTTAAATCTATGTGTGTTGAATGTCTCAAAAGACACCTATTAGGTAGCTGACTTGCTAGCTTTTTGGCACCTAGTGGGTGGGATGGGTCTTGAATTAGTTATCCTTGACAGTCCTTGAGTGAGAGCCTTCTGCTGGGTAGAGATGGGTATGATGTGAGAGGACACTTGCCCCAGGGAGGGCTCAGAGAAATGCAGAAAAAGTGGCCTCTCTTCCATACTAAAAGGAAGAAAGGGGTTTTCACATTCCCCGTGCATTTGTTCTCTAAGTGGCTTTTTACTGGTTTCTGTGCCTTTCAACTGCAACCTATGGGTGCAGTAGAAACCATCCTTCATGGCATCTAGCACAGGGCTTGGCACATGGTGGGTCTCAATAACTATTGAATGAATGAATAAATGAGGTTGGCATGGAAGTCCTAACCAAACAAAACTGAGATAATAGAACTTGAGAAGATAAGTCTTAAAAAAAACCTCTTATGGTCCTTCTTCCTTTGTTTTTATGAACTAAAATATCTTCCACTATAGCTTGTAATTTCCTTTATTCTCACATTGTGCTTTTTTTTTTTGAGACAGGGTCTTACTCTGTTGTCCAGGCTGGAGTGTAGTGGCACAATTACAGCTCACTGCAGCCTCCACCTCCCGGGCTAAAGTGATCCTCCCACTTCAGCTTCTTGAGTGGCTGGGACTACAGGCATGCACCACCACACCTGGCTAGTCTTTGTACATTTTGTAGAGATGGAGTTTCGCCATGTTGCCCGGGCTGGTCTCAAACTCCTAGGCTCAAGTGATCTACCTGTCTTCATCTCCCAAAGTGCTGGGATTACAGGTGTGAGCCAATGTTCCCAGACACATTGGGCTTCTTAGAGCCATTTTCTTAAGATAACCTGGACTGATTCTTGGTAATTAAGACACACAGGTAAAAAAGTCAGGACATTTCTGACAGGAAAATGGAAATCAAGTAAGGTAGAATTGTGATAGTTAATATTGAGTGTCAACTCGATTGGATTGAAGGATGCCAAGTATTGTTCCTGGGTGTGTCTGTGAGGGTGTTGCCAAAGGAGATTAACATTTGAGTCACTGGACTGGGAAAGGCAGATCCACCCTCAATCTGGGTGGGCACCATCTAATCAACTGCCAGCACGGCTAGAATAAAGCAGGCGGAAGAAGGTGGAAAGAGCAGACTTGCTGAGTCTGCCGGTCTTCATTTTTCTCCTGTGTTGGATGCTTTCTGCCCTCAAACATTGGACTTCAAGTTCTTCAGCTTTTGGAGTCTTGGACTTACACCAGTGGTTTGCCAGGGGCTCTCAGGCCCTCGGCCACAGACTGAAGGCTGCACTGTCCGCCTCCCTACTTTTGAGGTTTTGGGACTTGGACTGGCTTCCTTGCTCCCCAGCTTGCAGACGGCCTATTGGGGGACTTCACCTTGTGATCATGTGAGCCAGTAATCCTTAATAAACTCCCTTTCATAAATACATCTATCCTATTAGCTCTGTCCCTCTAGAGAACCCTGACTAATACAAGGACTCTGGTACACTGACATTAAATATGGCAGGGAATATGCACAGGGCTTAAGGAGATTTATTGATGCATCAAAATACAGGGGCCAGGATGCATCTAGGATGCTGGCAGCCTCAAGGAGAGTGTTGTAGAGCACAGCAGCACAAAACTCCAGAAACTCACGGGATGAGGTAAGATCTTAGATGAGACACTCAGAACAGCCACATTTTTCCTGGTGATGCCACAGCTGCCCACCACACACACACAGACACATACACAACCCACACGTGGACTCTATATATACTGTGCATTGACATGGTGAAGGGAGAGAGATGCCCGTGAACTGGACAGGCATTGTGCAACCAGGAAAATTTCCTTTTAGGGGAACTGGTGGGGAGATTGAACTGTTGCCATTTGGTATAAACAAAGAACAATTAAACAAAACACAACCCCCCACCCAAACCAAACCAAAACCAAAAAAAAGACCAAAAATGTCAATCAGCCCATAAATAGTTTACACTGCCACCATGACCAATGCACAGCAGGACTCTGGCATAGTAAAGAGTTCATTAAATGAGCTACAAGGCACAGAGATTCTTAGTGCCCTTATTTGCAACACGTAGACAGCGACACTTGAAGCTGCTGCTCACCTAAATGACCGCTGTGCTGGCACTTAATTAAACATTCAATAATTGGTTTTCATTAGTATTAAATAAACTTTTATTGAGCACCTTCTGACTAGCAGACACTTTCTTACATGTTATCTTATTTAACTTTCACATCAATCCTGAGAGGTAAGTTTATTTTAGAGCAGAGGAAGCAAAGACTTGGCAAGACTTACTGTCTTGCCCAGGATGGCTGCGTTGTTCAGTGGTAAAAGTGGGACTTCATCTCAGGGCTTCTTATGCTAACTTCAGTGCTTTTTATTCAGGTCATGGTAGTAGCTTCCCATAGATAATTTAAGGTATTTTATTTTGTCTGCATAAATTACACACATTTGGGCATTAAATAAAAAGGGGGATTTAAAACTATCATTTAAAAATTTACAGACAGGTTTAAAATGGGTGTCCTTTAAAATCATAAACTATACAGAAGATAACCTACAAAACTATTCCTGCTGACTAGCCCATCAAGACATGTTAGCTGCCATATTATTGAGGAGAGTTTGGGTTCTCTTCTTGAAAAGCACATTCTCAATCACTTTTCCCTAAGCAAACCTTGCAGGTCAGTCCGCTTTCTTTTGCTGCACTTTCTTTTTTCTGCTACCAGGATGCTCCAAACTATTTCTGGATGTGATTTTGTTAAGATTCAGCCTGGATTAGTAGAAAGAAGAGGACTTCAGGGATGGGATGATCCAGATTTATATTCCAGCCCCAACACTCACGATATTAATGATATAAAGAAATTGACTTAATCTCTCTAAGCCTCTACTGCCTTATGTGTAAATTGTAGATAAAACCCCTCCCTACCAAATTCAAATGAAGGAATGTACATAAAATAAATGTAGCAAACTGTTTCTCCACAAAGGTTATTATCATCATTAATTATAGATTATTTTCATGTTTCAAAGTTCCCAAATTAAGATCCTTGCAACACTCTTTTGCTGATGTGGTGACAATGAATTCTATTTCATAAATATGAGAAGCTAAACATCTCCAGTGTACTTTCTCTGTGGAAAAGGAGTCATGGATTCTTCCTTTAGCCACTGGCTCATGTCTGCAGATGAGAATTTTATTTATATGTATTCAAATGTGATTTAAACACATGGTGATTCTTTTATGGCTAGATATAAAAAATTTACAAGTTAAATGTTATTGCTATCTTTACCATTGACTCTAGAGCTTTCTTATGATACAATTTGTAAACATTTTACAAGGCAGAGGAAAATACACACCCATAATTATTTCTTGATGTTGTCTGGCTCATGACAGCAGGATAAAGTCTTTTATTATTTTAGAAAGAGTTTTCATTGAAGGTTTTTCCAGTCATTCCAAGTAAACTTAGCTGCGAATGGAAAAGATACAGCTGATTGCCCTGGCTTCTGGAGTGGCTCTCCTGCCCTTGTCCTGCTCTGTGCTGAGTCAGAAGGAAAGCACGTAGGGTGGCCGACCTCTGACATCATTAAACATCTCTGTAAACTATTGCTGTTAGAGATTCACTCTGGCTTATTTTCTGAAGGCTTATTAATAGGTTAGAATCTAATCTGCAGACAGAATGTTTGATCACTTTGCTCATGGCTTTGCCAGGTACAGGATTTTATTGCATGGTTGGCCTGTTGGCATGATGATTCCTGAAGGGCTGTTGGTAAGCCAGCAAGTGCCAGGGGCACATCATTGTCAAATTCCAAGACATGCTACCTCCGCTGACCTGCTGGCGGAGAGCTTAGCCTTCTTCGCAGTGTTTCAGGTTGTCCACTGCAGAACACAGAAATAGAGACAAAAATGCTCTGGGAAAATCTATGATAAAGAACTACTTTTCTTTAAAAGGTGGTGAGGTTTCAGGAGGAAAGAAAAGCAAAAATCTGTGAGCTGAATTTGTTTCCGATACCCAGGTATAGTCTGTCTCTGTAGAAATGGTCATATTGAAGACTGAAGCAATTGTATGTCTCAGCAGGTATTTAAACCATGCTTTTTCCCCAAAGGGAAAAGAAATGAGATGGTAATGAATAATGGAACTTTTTCATTCCTCATCCCATTTTGTTTATATAGTGATAAAGAATCCAGGCAGTGATAGGGTGTCATTCTGAGGGATTTTAAGCCACTAAAATAAAGGAAAAAAAGGAGGCAAACACCATTTGTACAATATTATTAAAATTACAGATATAGGGAAGAAGACTTCTTTAAAATAACATAACACTTGGCAAAAGACCCTGTAGTCAGGCAATGCATTGAACATGACATTTAATGAACACTACTGCAGTCATAGCATTCACTGGGGATAGAAAAAAGCATATCTTATTCAATTTTTTCAGTAGTTTATATGCTCACCAAGGGACCTAAACCATAGCATATAAAAAGTTAAATAGTTTCTTGTTCAATATAGTATCCATTAGCCACATGTGGTTATTTAATTTTAAATTTAAAGAGATTAAAATAAAATGTAAAAAATCCAGTACCTCATTTGTGTTAGCCACATTTAAAGTGCTTAGTAGTCCTAGCACTTTGGGAGGCCGAGGTGGGGAGAGCACCTTAGCTCAGGAGTTCGAGACTATCTTAGGCAACATGGTGAAACCCTGTCTCTATTAAAATACAAAAATTAGCTGGGTGTGGTGGCGTGCACCTGTAGTCCCAGCTACTCGGGAGGCTGAGGCAGGAGAATAACTTGAACCCGGGAGGTGAAGGTCACAGTGAGCCAAGATCATGCCGCTGCACTCCAGCTTGGGCTACAGAGTGAGACTCTGTCTCAAAAAAAAAATTAAAAATAAAAATAAAGTCCTTAGTAGCCATACATGGCTAGTGGCTATCATATTGGAGAGCTCAGCTGTAGAAGGCAGAATGATTCCATCATTGCAGAAAGTTCTATTAGACAGTCCTGACTTATTCAATACAGTGCATAGGTGACATATTACTGACATTTAGAGTAACTGCTTGTTAGTTGAGAATAGGGAAGGATCAGTGCTTGTTATAATATTGATGAAGGCTTTAATAGGATTTTGAAATTATGGTTATTCTGACAGGTTGAAAGGAGAATGGGGGACATTTTCTGTAGAGAAAGGAAAAAGGAATGTTTGGGGGAGTAGTAGCCCATCAGATTTAATTCCTGTTTATAGACTTGAGGGAGGTGAAGATGAAAAGAAGCTTTGGGGTGAGATAGGTTGTGAGACTCGACTGTCAAGCTAAAGTGTTTGTTCTACATTTCATAATGCCATTAAATCCTTTTGAGCAGGGTACTAACAATCCTGGGACAATGGTCACATGGGAAATAATTTTTCTTTGTGTAACCTGGTATATGGAGCACCAATATTAATATTAGAATACCATTAGGCATTCATCTTATGCCCCATGTTTAGCTGCAGAGTTCAGTCAAAGCCTAGTAACACTGTGTATGTGTATGTGTGTGTGTGTGTGTGACAGAGAGAGAAAGAGTGAGCAAGAGAGAGCACATATTTATGCTATGGGATGGGGAGGAAAGGGAGATGTGGAATGTGGAAGCGCGGTTCTTGGTTCTCTCAGAAAACCACACGGAAGACTGGGGTAGTGTTGGTCATTTCATGAAGTCCTAAAGAAATCAGGATATTCTAAATTTTATTCAGAACTTTTATTCTTTCTAAGATGTTCATTTTCATCAAGGAATATTTCAGAATGGAAAGGAGTTTCTACCATATCTAGATATACCCCAATCACATCAAGGCTTCAAGAATGAACTTAGGCCAAATTGTCCCTTTTTAGAACAATTTATGGGGACAGAGAGTAGCACAATTAAAATCTTTATTCACCGTCAACTTATTTTATTCCCCTACCTCTATTTTTTTCTTTTCTTTTCACATTTATTAAGCCCTTATTATGTGCCAAGCATTGAGGTTGCAGAGGTAAATAAGACACAAATCTTTCTGCAAGGAGCTCACAGTCTTTATGGAGGTGGATACACAAATTAAACTCATGCCATTATAGAATGGAGACAACTGTGGCAGGGCTTGTACAGAGAGTTCTAGGGAGTCTGAAGGAGATCCACGAGGCAGCTTGGGTTAGGCTGGTTTCAGGCATGTTCTCACAGAGGGGAAGATACTTACTTAATCTGAATCTTGGAAGAGGAGTATAAATTAATCTAGTAGATTAAGTGAGAAATACTACAAGCAGAGAGGGAAGATCAAGAACAAAAGCCAAAAAGCATAACAGAATGTGAGCATGGGGGAAAAAGCTAGGCTTTGTTTCCTTTTTTGTCTTTGGCACAGGATAAAGGAAGGGCTTGAGGTATATTTATTTCTATATATACTCTCACTGCAGGCTAAGCAGCAGGTGTAGACAACATAGACATTTTCCTAGGTGACTCTCATGGCTTGGGGGAAACATTTAAGTCATGTTTACTGTCATCATCTGGCTACGGTTTATGGTAAAAGTCGTGCCAAAGAGAATAATCTGGGGAGCTAGATACAAGTTCATTTAATGTGCCGAAGTGCCTTTGCTCTAGTGTTTCTCATAGAATCATGGAAATTTCTATTGCCTTAAGAATGACATGCTAGACTGTCATTCTTTTTACCGGATTGGTGCCAAGCAACTTGTCTTCACTTGGGGAGAGTTTATGGACTAACTTTTAGCCCTTAAAAATTACCCTAGGGAGAAATGATGTTTTTTGTTTTGTTTTGTTTTTTGTTTGTTTGTTTTTTCTTTTCTAATTACACAGTCCTTACTTTTTTGGCTCTGAAATGACAGCATGCTTTTAGATTAAAAAAAACAAAAAAGAAAAAGAAATTAAAATCACTGTATTAAACAAGAAACAGAGCCAGTAAGCAGTGTCTAGGAACAGAGCCACTAGAATTCTCTCACTTTCTTTATGAGTCAGAGGCGTTGTCATAGGAAGTTTATTTTTATTTTTTTCCTCCATGATAGGACAAGACATCATGAGAAGCAGCACAGGCGGGCAGGAAGACCATGGACTTTGGACTGTGACCTGGATAGAAGAACCTGCTCTGCCTCTTCCTAGCTGTGTGGCCCTAGGCAATTTGCTTAACGAGTGGAGGCTTAGTTTTTCTCATCGTTAAATTGGGAATAATAACACCCTTCTTGTAGGGTTGACATGGGGAATATAGATAACGGGACTAGCACAATATCTGGTCCTGTTAGATAACAAATAGCTTTTATTATTATAACCATTAATGATGTGTTTGAATTTCTCCCTTCTCCTTTAGATGACTATGAGCTACTTATTTTCTGAAAGCAGAGGGTGCTCAACTGTGCCACTTACGGGATACTGACCTCCAGGCACTAACTTTGTGAAGTGGAAAGATAATTCCCAGAGTAATGTCCTAAGAGAAATAGTAAATTGTATGGAGTGGGAGGTCTGAGTGTCATAGATAAACTAAGTAATTCCTCATTCAGTAAATTACACCAGAATATCAGTGTGTTCCTCCTACAGAAATTAGCTCCCTATTGATGGTGAGAAAGCAAATGCTCAAAGAAAATATTTGGCCAACGATCTTGGTTAGTTAATGATAGTAAAGATAAAGCAGGAAATTAACAGCTCAGAGACTGATGAGCTAGTTCAAAGAATTATCTAGGCTCCTTGTTTATTGAACTTATTGCTCATTGTTGGCCGCTTCTCTCTATACAGTATCCAGAGAGTGGGATGGAAAGGAAGAGACAACTTCAATTTGTCCAGTGTTCTAAAGATTTTTTGGGTAGAAGTGGAGGTTGAAGATATGAGAGAGAGAGAGAGAGAGAGAGACTTGAATAATATTTCTGGCATTCTTGCTATTATTGTAATAAAGAATTGAGCCATAGAACAAAGGCATGTTATCTGCTTCTTTTGTTCCTGTTTCCCCTGGGTTTTAGAAATCTCTCTACATATCTTAGAGTGACATTCAGTATGTATTACTTAACAACTAGCAAGACTGAAAATACCATGTTCTGACTGATCTTGAAATAATGCTGCAGGAAGTGATTCTTAAACTATTCTTAAGCTGTTCCGTAGAATATCAGTCCCAGGAGATGCGCTCAGGCAGGGTAGATATGTCATCAAATGTTTAAGGAACACTCGATTGTAACATCTTTGAAGGATGAAAATATATATAGCATATAAAAATTTCTGTGAAGCCATACAGTGAATAAAAATGTTTAATATTGTTTCATTGAGTGTTTCTAAAGCTTATTTGACCACAGAACTTTTTTCTGTATAAACACTGATGAATCCCAGGTAGCAGTGTTTTGAAATGCACTTTGGAAAATGTTGAAGCAAGGGATGCAGAGATTTTATACAAAAGTCATTATTAAACAGTTATCTTTCTCCAGTTAAAATAGAGTTTTTAGATCAGAAACCCTGTATTGTATGTGAGAAATTCCCCTTTGGCTGGTCTCAAAATACAGATTGGTAAGAATATAAGCCTTTTAAGACTCTTTAAGCCATTTTCTAATTATTATTTGTTTTTTTACTTTCCACTTACCCTTGATCTTGTTTGGCCTTTTGAGATATGTGGGATTGACCTCTGTATTCTGAGAAACAAAAATGCTCTTGCTATATCTTGGAAGGTTATGTGGCTACTTGACATTTTATCCCATTTTGACTGATTTTGTATAAATACTTTGAGCCCTTCCTAGTTATTGTAAGTATAATCCATTTACCGTACTAAATTAGTAACCGTAAAATGCATGCTTAATTAGTATCTTTCTGAAAAATACTTGACAGGACCTCACATGTCTCTAAGTGGTAAAGAAGGTAGTTATTTAAAAATTGTTCTGCTTAAGATAAATAAATTAAGGCACAGAGACGATCAGTGACACGCCCCTTGCCCCAGAGAGAGTCAAGGTGTTTTTGAAATTAAAACACTGAAGATTTTCTGGTGATTCACAAGTCACATGCACACCAACTCCATAGCTTCATCTCTATGGACACAAAAAATGATCTTAGAGGATTGCTGTTTTGCTGTGAATGTCATAATTTTTACTAAGCAAGCAGCTCTCCTCTGGTGTGCCAAGGATTTTTTTTATGGTCCTAATTGATCTCTATCCCCCAAAGGGTTCTGAATTATGCAAGTGTCTCAAGTCTTAACAAGCCATCCCCACACAGCTGTGCAATGGAAATGTTCAACAGAAAGGTATTCACTTCAGTCTAGGCAAGACCCTGGCTGCTCCCTGGAGAGACCCAGATTTAGGGGAGCAGGTTCTGGACCCTCTGGGTGGAGAAGCCTATTTGGCCCATTTCTGTCTTTTTTTCTCCCAGCTCCCTTCCCCTTACTCCACTGACAGGGAGGGTCTAGTCACCGCAGGCTTCCTCAGTCTTTGTGCTTGTCTCTCACTGACCCCCAGCTGCCAGGCTTTGTTTATTACTGAATTGAGCATTTAGATTCAGTCTTGGCTGGTGGTAGCCTTGGAAAGAACATTTTCTAAGATTGTTTTAGTTTTCTTTCAAATAAACTTCCACAAGCCCGGACATTTCAGGCATTGCTAATGCCAGAAATGTGGGTGATTTATTCTTAGAGGCTTAAATTAGGATTTTTTTTTTTTTTTTAAAAAGAAAACTAACAATGTGATCTACTACAATGGCATACATTTTAGCCATTGGTTGTAAGGGACACTTTGCTCTGCCTTCGATCCGAAAAACTTAAATCTAAAGGCCCCTTCTGGGACCAGATCAGTTTCTATTGAGACACCCAGCCCCTGGCTCCCTCTACTGGTGAACAACCTCCCTCTCCATTTGGGCAGCAGGGGATTGTAATTAACTGGGGGCTGGAAAAGGGACTAGACATGTCCTTAAACTAGAACTGTGGATCCAATAGCATATTTTTGCCACAGATCCCCTTTCTTTCCTCATTCTTCCAACCTCAACAATCTTGGCTACCTAACTCACAAATTCTTAGCTCCCCCTAGTGCCCTCCTTCATGTACTTTTTGGCTTTAATCTTATGTCTGCCATTTAACAAGAAGTCGCTTGTTTGGATTGATAGCATTGATGAACACCATGACTCCTGGACTTTAAGACTGGGCAATCGCTAAGTAGATCATTAAAGAAATACAATAATGTACAATCATCACTGAATTTATGAATGAAGTTTAGGCTTATCGTCAGAGTGTAGACACCATGCTAGTTGGAAGAAGATCCTAAATGGGATGTTGGCTTGAAAATGCGTCCCACCTGCCCCATCACAGTGCTCTTCGGTCAGCTGTTAATATTTGAAATCCTCCTACTGAACTGAAGGCAGCTGCAACTTAACCCCTCTGCTGCCATAAACTAGCCATAATTGCCTTAGAACACAAAGCCTCAATTATGCAGGCCATTGGCCCAGACTTCCAAAAAGCAGCTGTTTTATCTAGCTAACAGAGGGGACTAGAGAAGCTCCCCAATAGGCTAGATACATGTTATTTCCTAGAGAAGTTGACAGCTGACACCCACACCCAGGCCTATTTAGTTAGAGTTGGAAAAGTAGCACATGAAGTGATTGTCTTCAGTCTCAGCACATCAAATGATCCAATGCCTAAATATCCTGTGATGTAAACACATCAATTGGAAGCTTAAGAGGGACAGTCTTCAAGAAAGACTTACTTAAAAGAATGTTTTCACAGTGATGCTTAGCCATAGACTGTGTTAAATTTAACATATAATAGATCGATTTTAGAAACACACTTACTATTTCGGAGATATGGAAATAATTGTCAGGCATGCTTCAGAGGAAAGTGAAGAAGCATCTGGGCTAACATCTGTCTGCTTATTCAGGGTAAATTGTTTACAGAAACAATACAAGAATATTCTTTCCTGCCTTCGTCACTTTCTATGATGGAGTGACTTTATGTGTTACCAATAATTGTGTTGTTATTTTAGCAGAGAACATTTCAATGACTTGACATCCATGGAGTTATTATCCTGGGTCAGAGTCAAGTCTAAAAGGAGGTGAAATGAGGTTCCTTTCCCACTTGAGGGCCAGTCAAATGATAAGAAGAGTTTTAATAGATATGGTACTTATAAAGCTTTCACACCTGTGTCATCCAGGCTTCAATTAGTGTTGTATTTAAAGAACCCTGACTCAAACAGAAAGTCATCTCTCAAGCATTTGAGAGGGTCTGGTTTTGGACAATGCTATTAAAATCTCTTGTAGCATTTCAAAACTCTTGGAGATTCTCCCTCCTCTGTTTCAGAGGAATAAACTCTCTTAGCTTCACTGTCTTGTCTCTATACTCTTAGTCCCTTGATCACCTCTCCCCTCTGCCCCTCTGTTACAACAAATCTCATACCTACACATTCTGACTGATGTGTCCCTTAATGTTTTTCCTGATTATCCATTATGGGTATTTTGCTCTTTCTCTCATTAGAGGCCGAGGAAGGTACAAAATGGTTAAATTGGCAACACTTTGTCTGTTGGGTGGAAGAGGAGAGTTACGCTGTAAATCTCACATTCTAATTCATTTGTTCTCTCAAATGAATATTGGAACTAGATCTTAAGCCTCCTGTAAAAAATAATACAGTTTCTAGAACTCAAGTAAATATGGGAAGAACTAGTGAGAATATTGCAGACAGGAAAACGGCTTAGCCATTGCTAAGGCTAAAATGAACTCTTCTAGATTTCCCAAAGCAAGGGAGAATCTTAAACTCAATACATTTGAGACCTGAGTCACTGTATGTCTGTATAGACTGTTTTCTACGAAGTAAAATTTACTTTGTAAATCCATTACTTTGTAGAAAGTAGTTTTATAGACTATATTTTCTACAAGTAAGAAAGGAGTTTAGGAAAATGGATATTTTATACTTAGCTTTTTTCCCCATTCATTCACCCACTCAACACAGATTTACTGAGCAGCTACTATGTACCATATCCTGGGCTGGTTAAAAACATACCATCCCTGTGATGGTGATGACCATTGACTTCACTCTTCACAAGAATTTATGTCAACGTGTCCTAGACATTTGGTAGTAGAGGTATAGCTGTAGTCCAAACCTCTACCAAGCTATGGTTTCTGAGAGCCCTGTATGTTAAGTGCCTACGGAATGCTCAGCATAGTCAAAGACACCTTAGATTCACATTATACGAGGAGCCACACTGCAGTTATTCAAGATTAAGCACTGGCTGGAGAAACTGGCTGTATGAACTCCAGCCTTGGGTGTGCTGTACTCATCTGGGTGGCCTGGGGAAAGACATTAATCTTTCTGATCTTTTGCACCTGTAAAATTAACTTTTAGTTACAATTAGCTCCAAGGTCTTTTCCAGCATTTATCTTTTATGATTCTCTAAAGTTTTTTTAATTTCCAAGAAGTTATAATAAGTACTGGATAAGTAAAATGGCTTTGAAACCTCATCTCAGATATTCTGTTGGAGGCAAGTAGCAATTTTAAATTACTTTCTTCTAGGTATGTGAATTAAAGTTTAGAAAAATGTGAAGCTTTTACATTTGATAGGGTGAAAATTTATATCCTATTTAAGAGAAGTATGAGGAAATTTTTGGTAATGAGAGAAGCCACAAGTATGAGTGGTTCTTTAGAAACTTGTTCTATGAGAATTAAAAAGAGATTTTTTCCAGGGAAAGAACAAAGGAAATGTCACAGAGGGACTATGACTGCATCTGCACATCCTGAAAGGTTTGCTGAAGGAGAGAAGGGTCAGTTTTTGTTGTCCAGGAGGGACGATGGAAGTGAGCCCCAAATAAATAGAGGACACCGAAGGTGAATTGTCAGGTGTGTGTTCATATTTTACATAGTCAGCTAAAGTTGTTGCTTTTGCTCTTATCCTACATTGAGAAGTTAGAATTCATTATTTTTATTTTTATTGATTACTCTGTGATCAGTTTTGGTGAACACTTTTTGTTTTATTCACTTCAGTTTGATCTGATGCAATTTCAATGGCTTCATGAATTTGAGTACACACGACTTCAGGCTTGTAGACATTCTAACCTTGTGTGACTCCCTTTAACCCCATTCCTGCAAATCTGCTTGAGGAAAAACTATGAAGAACCTTCTCCCTCAAACAACAAATGGAGTTACTAAAGTGATAGAGGGATCTCTCATTAGCAGCTTTTCTCTGTTTGTGTTGAAATGTGGTTAATGCTCATACTTCTCACTCCTTATCTCTCTAGAAAGGGGAAGTTTAATAGAGCTATAATTTAGTAGTGTGGGGTGTAACCTGCTGTTAATATCTGCCAGGTCACTGGAAGATCTTCTTCATTATATTCTTAGCATTTTGTGACAACTTTTGAACAGGTTCTTTAAATAAATGTGTATTCCCAGATGCTTTAGGGATTGAGATATCCTTTTCACACAATGCTAAAAAGAAAGATTCTCTAAATTCCAAAGGGCATTCATTCTCCCCTTAATTCTCCTCTCCTCTCCTTTTGGTTTTCTTTTCACTCAATAGTTAGACCAGTGCACCTTTCACAAGAATACACTCAAGTTTCAAGATCTGTACCTTCTTTAACTTATGTACATGTATGTTTATAGGGGTCTGGTTGAAGAGAAGGAGGTCAAGGCAGAAACACCTAGCTCCCAGAGGGTTACTTGGAGGACCAGAGGTTTTAGGAAATACGGTGTGTCTCAATCTGTCTGCAAGTTTCCATACCAAAGTGAGTAACCATGGATAAGGAGTAAATTGCTGTTTCTAACTTTTAACTTACAAATAAGCACTCAACATTACACTTTTCAGGAGACTTAGGGTTGGTTTTGTTGACGTGACCCATCTGTTAGTTAAAAACATGTTTTAAGGAGTTTTTTATTTTAACTCATAGTATAGCTTTTAGAATTATGACTAGCAAATTACTGTGGGTTTTTAAATATGGGGCAAACCTGAAATCATTTTCATCATTAGAACCAAGCTGTTCTTTTCTGCTAAAGAAGGAGGGCTAAGAAGAAGGGCATAGTAGAGATGGATCTTATACTCTCATTGATTAAAAAACAACAAACAAATAAAAAGACAAGAGCAGACATGGATTTTTGCTCTTCCCCATCCCCTCATGTTCACATAAATGAGGGTTGGGAGAAGTTGCGTTTCGTAACAGAGCTCCTAATCTTGCTTTTCTCCTAGGGCACTTCTGTGATTCCTCCAGCTTCTCTTTCAAGTCCCTTTTCACCCCAATCCTCTTCTCCTTGATTTTTATTTCATAAATAGGAATAAAGTGGCATATGTTTTCTGATCATGAAAAGGATATCATTTTATAATTTTGACAGTAGTAGAACATCTAAAATGCACATTTCTGTAGGATCAGCAAGCCCTCAAAATCAGTAGAGCTCCCTTCTTGTGTCTCTAGTGAAAGCGGCAGCTTCTCATCTTATCTTTTCTGAGAAACATTAAGAAGTCCTCCCAAGTCTGCCTCAATGGCATTGGTTGGGTATAGTCATGGACTTGATCAAGAGGCAGCTATATAATGGCAAAAAGAGGAGACTCACGTGAAGTATCCACATCCCATGCAGAAGGGGAGATTTGGGGGCGACTACATGAAACTTCGACACTGATTTTTCTAAAAGCTTAAGAAGAGCAGTGTCATCTTGCTTGGTATGTACCCTATGGAGAAAGGATAGCTTTGCTCCTGGGAAACTTAGATCATGAGCAATCTAAGATGATCTCACTCAGTTATTTAGGGGCTTGAACTTGATGGGACATAGGGAAGGCAGTTACTGTTTAACGGTCCATAGCTGGTCCGGTGGATTAATTGCCAGAGAAAGCAGAAGTAAACCCTTGGAGAATACTTTTATCCCCAAACTTAGGAATAACTGGAAGCTCATTTAAACTGGGAGCATTTCCCCCTCCACCCCAAGAAAAGATAACTTCCCTCAAGGGGATCTGGTGAATGAAGCAGCGTATTTTCATCCTTGTGATAATGGGTGTGAGTCAGGCACTACCATAAAAGAAGAATTAACTTGAATGTGCCACATACTTGGTCTGGCCTTGTCCCATACCTGTACTCTTGTCATGGTTGATTACCTATGTGCATCAGATATAAAGCAAGCAGTCTGCATTGTGGCATGAGATAAAAGGTATGTTAATATGCTCAGGTCACATACTATCTTGGCCAATAGTAATTTTATATAATTTGCTTAAAGGAAACTGCACTTCTTGCAATATTTTTTTCCAATGAAGAAAAATTTAACGTGACAGAAGCTTTATATATAACTCTTGCATTTGAGTAACAGCATTGAATCCTCTCCATCTCAAGCAGAACTTTTAAATATTTTTATTACTTTTGATATGCAAAAGCTAAGGAGAAATGGTTTGGAAGACCTAAGTTAAATTTCTAATGAGTCTTGTTTCTTTAATAGGGGAGAATTTCATACAGCTTCGGTGAGTTTTTTCTTTCCACATGAGATAATATAAACAAACAAAAAAATAAAAAAGTGAAACATTTCTCTTCTTACTTTAAGAACCTTAAGGGCTAAAAGAGTGGTTTGGTTTCCTGACTGGTACTTTTGGTTTGCCTTCTCTAAGTGGTCTTGAGCAATTCCCCAGAGGAAACATTTGAAGAGGGTTTTTCTCCCACTTGAGAGAGTTTCATCCCACACAACCCACAGAATTTGATGGCAAACTTCATGGACCAAGTGTCTGGTTTTACAGAAGTGGCTGTGGAGTATGTTTTTCCTTTCACAGGTGCACATTTATTCTACCTTAGGAATAAGAAGAGATCATTTTCTTTTAAAGAGGGTAGCTTAAACACTGAATATCTCTGATAATTGGATGCCAGTCAGGTAGGTTGTGATTTACTAAATGCGGGGGAAAAAAGGTGGAAAGAAGGATTAAAACTTCCAAAGCCTTTCTCGCTGATCTTTCTTTACAACCATCTGGTGTGCACAGAAGTATTGTATAATCTGGCCTGTATTATTCTCTTACTGTGAAACATATTGAAACACTTTATGTTTAGGTGTGTGTACAGAAATTCATGAAGTTCTTTTATACACTTTCTTAGTTCCATCGTAATTCTCATTTTAGGATGTCGTGAAAAGATAGCCTGGTGAGAGAGCACATTCTACCCTGGCTTGTGAATTTGGATTTGTTCCTTCCTATCTACCAGCCACCTGATTACTTACTGTCCCCGTGCAAAGGGCACCCGTTCACATCATTTTTTTCCAAGCGCTAAAACCTGGAAAGATATTTTTTTAAAGGACTCACAGAAGCTGTCTTGGGGGTTTGGAAAACATCACAAAATTGTTAGCAGACCTTTTGACTGTGCTATTTTTAGGAAGTTAACTGTGTTCTTTTAAAGTACATTTTTGACAATGGGACAACGTTTTCCTTGCCCCCACTGATGTGTGAAATATGTACAGTGAAAAACGTCAGTACAACACCCCAAACAGATACATTTTAACCTAAGCAACAGTCAGCAACAGGAGAAAAAGTGATTTAAAAAGAGAAAGGTTTCGCAATATTTATGCTGCTGTTTCTTCCCTGAAGGAGCTTTTATTTTACCATTCAAACAGAAGTTTGTTTTCAAACCAGTTGCTAGTTAAAGGAGCAGCGGATCGCGCATCCGTAAGAATCAGCTCTAACCAAACAGCAAACGCGTTGGCCAGAGGGTGACTTATTCCCCCATAGCAACCCCTGGTAGGTGAGCTGCCTGCAGAAGTGCTGTCTTACCTTGAGCACGTAAGATCAGGGAGAGAGGCTCGCTGGCTCCCACGGAGAGGATCGGGGAAGGGCTGTGATCCGCTGCTGGTAACATGCACTTGGCTTTTATGGGCAGGTGGGAGGAGCTGCTCCTCATAGTAGGTGGGCAGGGAAGGAGCGGCGGGCGGGCAGCCTCTGGAGGAGCTGGACACTCTTCTCTGGGGAGGGGCGGGCAGAGACTGGAGCCCGCAAGGCGGAGGAGAGACGACGGGGCGGGGGGAGGGGGAGCGCGGTCACAACGGAGGAAGGAGTGGAAAAGGGAGAGAGAGGGAGAAGGGAAAAAAGAGAGGGAACTAGAAATAGTGAAAGGGATCTTGACCACAGATGGGGAAAGGTGGGGGAGAAAATGAATAGCAGAGACAGAGAGAGAGAGAGTGTCTGGGAGGAAAGGGGAATCGGAGTATTTTCCGTTTTTGCATGACATTTTTTGGCAGAGGGAGTTGTGGGTGATTGTGACTTTTGAAGGTGTTTTCTGTGAATTTGGGAATTTGAAAAGCTACATAGCGGTCCGGGAGAACTGAAGGGTTTCTAAGCGAGGCAAGGGAGGTGAAGCTGGGCGTCCGGGCAGCAGAGCCAAAGTTCAGGGTGGACCCGGACCTGGAGCTGGAGGCACTGACATGGCCTGGAGCCAGGCAGCCCCCAGCCCTCAGCCCCGTCCCACCGCCCGCGGGTGAAAATCGCCCCATCCCTCTCCCTCCAGGCAAGGCTTATTTGACAAGGAAGTTCCTGCGCTGCCTGTCCTCTGAGCATCCAGAGGCCCCTTTTGAGACTTCGGCAGCATTAAAGTAAATCCAGCAACGGGGAGGATTCGCGTGGACTTGCTTGTGGAGACAGGAACCTCAGAACCAGCCTGGGTCTTCCAGCATCTGCTTATGTAACGTAGGATTTCAGAGCTCTCTGCCCTCTGGTTATTTTCGGTATTTAAAACACTCTCATTCCTAACAATCGGAAAACGTCTTGGTGCCACAGTTCTTTCTCAGTGTGTCTTAAACATTAAGAGAGGATTCAACCAACAAGTGGCTAAAGGATCAGTCTGAAATTACTAAGAAATGCATTCAGAGAAAGAAAAACAAGCTCCTTTCGCTGCTGAGTGGTGACTCACTTCCTAGCCCAAGCCTGATTTTTGCCACCAAAGGAATTAAAGCATTTTAAAAGAGAACCTGAGACTTGGGGTGGGAGATACAGTACCGGGAGGGGGAAAAGGCGGGAATGGGAGGGGGGAGGGATGGGTAGGCTGGAAATAATAAAGGAACGAACTTGTACTGAATATGTATATATGTACTTCATTCAGTGTTCACCGCAACCTTATGAGGTAGGTATGATTCATATTGTGCAGATTTATTTATTTTTTTTTTAATTTAAAGAAAGGCATCTCTAAGGGTTTAAATAACTAGCTCAAGCTAGCGAGAGGGGGAGCCACAGCTAGCGAGCTTGCAAACCTTAGGCACTCTTCAGTACACCAGGCTGCCGTATAGAACACCTAGGTTCGTCTCAGGTTAGATCCTGATGTCATTGGCTGGTAGCAGGCTCCAAGAGAAGGAAACTTGATGGTGAAGAGCAGAATTACTCAAACTTAGCACTACTGAAACTTTCGGGAGAATATTTCTCTGTTGTAGGGACCTCTCCTGTGCACTGTAGAATGTTAAGCAGTGTCCGTGGCCTCTACCCACCAGATGCCAGTAGCAGTACCCACTCCGCACTCGCCACCCAGCTGTGAAAATAAAAAATGTCTCTAGATTTAGCCAAATGTCGCTGAGGGACAAAATCCCCTCCTCTTCTTAAGAACTATTCGTCTAAAAAAGGCCCACAACTATAAAAAAGCATTTTAAAAGAATCTATTAAGAAAATACCCAGTAGTGCCATTTGGATAATAATAATACCTACGTCCATATGTGCCGAGTTTACACAGCACTTAGGTTTTTACATACGTATTTCCATCTGTTAGCTTCAAGAGCTCAAAGCCTCAATTACTTCCTTTGTAACTAAGCTTATTCTCAATTGGTTACGTCTGGGAGTCAACGAAATAAACTCCCATGTGCCCGGGATATGAGGCAAGAACAATCATATATGAAATAAAAAATTTAAAATTTTTATCGTAAACACAAATTTGACACCAGAGTTTTCAAATTTACTCACGATGTTTTGCATTATTGATTATTCGCCTTTTTATAATTTTTTATCTCTATGTTCCCTATTCAAATTATATTCAATAATTTTTTGGCTGCACAAAGTTATAACTAGTGGCTTACTAGCTAGTAAAAAATAAGTGCTCAATAAATATGTATAGTCTCGCTAATTGAATAAACAGCAATATTGAGGACTGACAATAGAGAATGGTCAGCATTTGTTAGTTTAATGAATGCTTAGAAAGCTAAAACTTTCACATCAACTTTCTGCCCGTTTGCTGTTTGGTTTTACTCTCTTCTTACCCTCCATAACTCAGTTTTCCTCTTCCCAAATAGTATGTCTTTTGAGGATGTGGCCAAATCTACTGAGTGAAGTCTGTCAAACGAGTAACACTTGTTACTAGACCTAGAAATAGGACTGCATTATCTATTCTTGGACATAACGCTGAAATCAGATGTGATTTTACAAGCACAATACCACTTTTGGAACTTTTTAATTTAGCAAAGAAATGTGTTCTGGGGAAACAAAATGGGACTTTTAGAGGAGAAGCTGGGTGATAAAGTATGTTAGTAAATACCCTTATCAGATTACAACAAATCATCTTTTCTATCCTAAGTTAATTCTTCTCAAACATTCCAGTTCCATCACATACGTATGAAAAAAAAAAAATACCAGAAAGGCAAGAAAAGCACATTTGAAGAAAAGACAATTGATGGCTGTAGGCTGAATTTCTCTTCTTATTTTTAATTCTTTCTTCCTTTCAAACCAGCCAACATAACAAAAGCACTGCTTTCATTTTTTTGGATGGCACTAATAATTAGTTCATTTCTCCCATTCACACTTACCTGAATCTGATTCAGTAGCAGATCTGGACAACAAGTCAGGAATCCAGGAATGTCGTCTCTTTGCTGACTCTTAGTGTGCCCTTCCTAGAATCTCTCTGAAGGTGACTGAGGTTTGAAATGACCTAGTTTGGTCTTCTGTGGAAGGAAAGGAATCCAATGACAACATACTAGATGCTCTGAAGTTTCCATTGTGTGGCTATAACAGCTACAGATCATTACCTTACTTTTGAGAGCTTTGCAAATGTAACCCTTTTTTGGAGTTTATTTAGAATTAATCAGTTAACAAATATTTATTAAGAATGGATATCAGACAATGTGAGGTATTCAAAGCAGAGGAAAATATGACATCTTTTCTCACAGAGGAAGAAAAGCATGAAATCCTGATAGTTGAATTTTAGTAAAGAGACTTCAGGGAGGAGGTGGCATTTGAGCTGAGCCATGGAAAGTAGCATTTGAATAGACGAGTGATGGACAGTAGTACATTCCAGGCAAGGGAGGATATGTGTGCAACCAGGGAAATCACAGGAATATTCAGAAGGTGGTGAATTGGCCAGCATGACTGTATAGAAAGGTCCATGTGGTAGAACAATGAGGCTGAGAAATGGAGAGGAGGGATGAGGAGGGATGAGGTCACCTCAGTAGTCTGAAGTATAAACTATATTCTGTAGGCAATGCAGAATCAATGAAGACTTTTGAGCAATAGAATGGCATGGTGAAAGTGGCATATTTTCAAGATTTCATTTTTCTTTGAATATAGGGTCTTTATTGTGGCTTTGCAGATAAATGCTTGCCTGTGCATCTCAGACTGATAGCATACTTAGAAATAGAGAAAACAGAGTGTCTGCATCCTGCAGACTTGGAGGCCTGAGCAAGGTGGCAGAAACAGTAGTGGTTCTAGCCCAGTTTTCCCTGGAGTGTCCTGTATGGTTGTAGGAAGGGGGTAGGAAGGCAGGACCCTCTCACGGTGTGGCCAGGGTGACATATGGGATTCACATAAAGAGTGATGTCTTCTCTGTGTGTCCGAGGAGCCCAGTGTCTTTCTCACCTGCTGTAGCTTTACATTATCCCTAAATAATATACCTGATCCATGAGATCCTTGAGTTTTCAAGGATTTCTGGATTGGAAAACAGTGTGATCTGGCTTTAAAAACTGCACATTCACATCTATGTTCTCAAATAGTTAATTTTTAACTATTTGTTTGTGCTGCCCATGCCAGATTTCAAGCTCTGATTCTTCCTTTCACTCCTTAGAGCTTTAAAATGCAAATGAATGTGGCTTTGGCCTAAGCAAAAGTCACAGACAGGTGTGCTCACTTGAAGTAAATCTGACAATTTGAAATACGGTGTACAGAAATTTGCTCTCCATCTATCAAATGACTCATCAGTCAATCAGTCTTAGCCCATGCTAAGCATGACCAAATATGATCGTAGTCCGTAAGGCACTTAAAATTGCCAGCTCTCCTAGGACATTTAAAATGGGGTTTTATTTACAAAAATGGAAAACGCTTTATAGCACAGAAGAAAGGCACACCTCTTACGCATTCCAAAGGACCGTTGGATTTTGTGAGTCACTGTTTTCCTGTTGGCCCATAGGGTAGAGCTGACTGATGCAGGTGACCCCACAGATGACTGCCTCACAGCTCCTGCTGGCTTTGTAAAGAGCAGTGCATGGAGAGTCAGGAAATCTGGAGTTTAGTCCCCGCTCTGCCACTAACTACCCAGGTGAAAACTTGGGGCAGGTGTTTTATCCTTTTTGGACTCAGTGTTTGCATTTGTAAAAGTGTCTGCATTTGTAAAATAAGAAGGCTTAACCAGACCCTCTCTAAAGTTCTTTCCACCTTCCAGATGCCTGCTGTGTGCCAGTTGGTGGGCACTCCACTCACTCAACATCCCCATGAAGTCAGCTCAACATACAATGATACACATGCTCAATTTAGGTATGTGTATTAGGGTTCTCCAGAGGAACAGAACCAGTAGGAGATACACACACACACACACACACACACACACACACACACACCACACACACACACACATACCAGTAGGATATATATGAGTTTATTAGGGATAATTGAATCACATGATTACAAGGCGAAGTCCCCTGCAAGCTGGGGAAAGAGAGAAGCAGGTAATGGCTCAGTCAAAGTCTGAAAGCCTCAAAACCAGGGAAGCTGACAGTGCAGCCCTCACTCAGTCTGAGGCCGAAGGCCCGAGAGCCCCTAGGGGGATGCTGGTGCAACTCCCAGAGTCCAAAGGCTGAAGAACCTGGAGTTTGATGTCCAAGGACAGAAGGAGAAGCTGAGTTTCCAGCACCACACAGGAAGAGAGAAAGAGAAATCTGACTTAGAAAGCAAGCTACTTATCCCCATTCTTCCACCTGCTTTGTTCTAGCTGCCCTGGCAGCTGATTGGATGGTGCCCACCTGCACTGAGGGTGGGTCTTCCTCTCCTAGTCCACTGATTCAAATGTCCATCTCCTCTGGCAACACCCTCACAGACCCACCCAGAAACAATGCTTCATCAGCAATCTAGGCATCCCTCAATCCAGCAAGTTGATGCCTAATATTAACCATCACAGCATGGAAGAGCTCCTAATTAATTACTCCAGTGTTTGCTACAAGGAGAGTACCCCTTAATATTAAACCTTATTTGTATCCTAGGTACAGAATCCCAAAAGGTGGGGCTTACCATTGTTCCTTAAGTAGATCTTGACTGCAACCATTGCCTCTCTAAGTTTCAGGGCTTGGTAAGCATCTCCTAGGCTCAGCCATTAGCCTTTTAACTCTTTTTTTCTGAAGCAAGCAGTATTGTCCTTTTGATGGATGAAAATGTAACCACACCACACAAATCTCTGGTTTCTGAAAATTTTCCCTATTGTGCCAGATTTACTTGATGTCTGAACACATTAGCTTGATTTCCTAAGAAACTCTCTACTCTTACTGTAAACAGTTCCTTTTCCCCAGTGCTGTACCCCTTTATTTAATTAGGAAAAATTTGATCACCCTTTTTGCTATAGACTAAATTACTGTAGCTCTTTCTAGTTTTCCAAACTATTAGACTTTTATTACGGTCTCTGAACCCTTTTTCCAGCTTTCACTCTCCCTATTACCAATGTCAACTAAAGCCACTTCAACCTTTTTTAATTCCTTAAGAAATTTAATTGTTGAGATTCTCTCATGGGGGCAGAGCAAGGGAGGGAGAGCAATGTAGCCCAAGTATTTTTTTTCCCACTCAAGGAGAGAAAACTAAAAAGCCTTCCAGGGCAGTAGAAATAAAATTCACTCCCGCTATGTGCTATCTTGAACCCTAGCTACCATACGACAATTGTCTTGATCCTAGACTTCCCTGATGAATAATTATCTCTGCTTTATCTTCTATCTTCTGCTCCTTCTACTCATGGTTTAGTCTCTTATGTTCTTATTATTTACCTCATGTTCGATTTTAGTAAATCCAGTATTTTCTGCTCGGAGTTATCATATCTTATACAGCCTGAGATTTTTCATGATATGAAAACTCTGATTTGAAAGGCAAAAATGAAAGTCTGAGATGAGAGATCTAACAGGTGTGCTGGCCTGGGACTGGCATGTCCTATTCCCAGATCACTTCCCATGTTGCCTCCAGAGTCATCACCGTAAACCTGGCAAAAATTATGTGATACCCTTGTTCAAACCCTGTTGATGGCATCACACCATTCACAAAAAACCCTAAATTTGTGTTTGGCATTCAAAGCCCCTTTCCAAGGTTCAGGCCCAGTCTTTATGTCCGGTCTGATTTACATAATTTATGCTTCAGTCAGGGGAAACAATCTGCTTTTCAAAATGTTATTAACTTCTCAGCTCCTGCATGGTCGCTAATGGAGCTCCTGCTGCTGGGTCCACCTACAGACACATGCTCAAATCCTTTATTACTTCCATGCCACCTTCAGGAAATGCTTCCTGGTTAGTTTTCTGAACTGCCCAGGAAAATTGGTACTTCTCTTATGCAATTTTTTATAGTCTACCTTGTCTTATACATATGCTAACCTCTTTTCTTTGCAATTTTACTGCTCTTTCCTTGAGAGCCTAACCCTTTTTCCTGACACTAAGCCTAGCATAGAGTAAGGTGGTCAATATGAATCTGTGGATTGCAGAGATTAAAAAATAATTAAATACTCTCTTATCTTTCCCCATTCCCAGCCCCCTTTACCCCATTTGGCTCAAAACAAAACAAAACAAAAACAAACATTTAGAGTTTCCTGGTACATTTCTTGCAGGGTCATAGAAATGAGTTCTGAAGATCAATATGACTGGCTTCCCATTTTTGAGGATTTTAAACAGTCTGGTAGGGGAGAGAGGAAGAGAAATAGATAATTTCCCTTCACTGAGGTAGATTCTATGGGCAAGATAAGTATGGGGCTGTATAGGAGATCTAATGGAGTCTACTCATTGGAGGGAGCTTTGAGGTGGTTACTGAGAATGCCAGGTGTAAGACAGAGAATATCTTTAAGTAACACACAGAAAAGAAAAGCTTGGTTCATCTCTGTGCTTTTTGGGGATGAAAAGACAATGATATGCTTTATATATTTTGGTTGAATATCGGGAGGGTCTGGCTGCCTGTTGGCCAGGAAACTAACTCTTCTTGCCAGGTGAGTCAGTCAAGGTGGGAGGGTTATTTGAACAGATGTGTTTCAACATTGCTTTGAAATATAAAGGGTCAGAATATACTCTTTTGTAAATACCACTGCACACTAAGAGTTTTGCCTGACTGACTGAGCAAAAGTTGCACCTAATGCTGAATGCACTTGAGAACTGGAGCACTTATTTTTGGACCCTCTATGATGGCTTGACACCCTCATGGTGACTAGTTCCCATTTATTTCCCTTAAAGACAAATAATCTTCTAAGATATCCTTAGCGAGTCTCTGTGACATTGAGGGGGAAAATTTAGAGCCCCATATACCTTGGCTTCTATATTATTTATGAATTTATTCCCTAAGTGTGGACATATAATGGTTGGCCCTTGTCATTTCGGCTTAGAACCACCATATGGTTTTGTGAGCACATTGAGCGTGCCAATACCAGATCTCTTCATTTCTGGCAGCTGGTTTGTTTTCCTAGAAGGAAAGTCAAACTCCTGGAGTTTCATTTTATGTATAAGGAAATAGGTAAGTCTCTTTGCCAGAACATCACAGCTATTGCACATGACTAAATGAATTTTAGATCACTAGGTAAGGGAGTGGGAAGAGAAATGACCTGTTAAGAAATGAGACTTAAATTCTTGTGCAAAAAAAGTTGTCAGATCCCATGAAGCTCTGTAAGTTGTAGCTCATAGTTTTGGCCTTCTTGGATTTTACAGAAGGAATTTGTGTCATTCTGTCTTGGTTTCATTTTATTTTTCTTAGTCTCATTTCTTCTGTTTTCTAATTTCCTTATTCTCTTACATTTTCAATTGATCCTTTCTGCATGTTGCATTCTTTCTGGAACACTTCATTTATATGTCTTTATTAGACTTTCTGTGCTGTATTTATTATCATAGGGTATAGAGTTTTTTTTGTTTTGTTTTGTTTTGTTTTTTAGACAGGTTCTCCCGGTGTCACCCAGGCTATAGTGCAGTGGTGAAATCTCATCTCACTGTGACCTCCACCTCCTAGGCTCAGGCAATCCTCACATCTCAGCCTCCCAAGTTGCTGGGACCACAGGCACGTGCCACCACTCCCAGCTATTTTTTTTTTTTGTATTTTTAGTAGAGATGGGGTTTCACTATGTTGCCCAGGCTGATCTCGAACTCTTGGGATCAAGCAATCCTCCCAACTCGGCCTCCCAAAGTGTTGGGATTGCAGACATGTGCCACCAAGCCTGACTTATCACAGAGTTTTAGGAGGGTATTGGGATCTCATCTGGCCACATGGCAAAGGAAGGACACTGTTCAGGATCAGATGGGCATCTTCATTCCCCACTCTCTCTGTAGCTGGGCCAGGAGGGTTTCTCACAGCTGGTGACATTTATCAACATAACTTATGTTTATATCTGAACAAATGCCTATTAACTATTATTTTAATTTTTGTTATCTTGTGCTTCCTTCTACCTTCTAGAACATATATTTCTCAAATAGAGGGGTCCAAAAGACTGCGGGCTCCTTGAAAGCAGGAAATGCTGTGTTATGCAAAGCCCTAGTATAGGGCTAACCTGTTCATAAACATGTATTGATTTATTTTCATTTTGAGACGAGGGCTATATACGTCTTTAAAATCCATGAATATATTTTCCTTTGATTTTTTCTCTTTGTGACAAAAATACTACAGGCACATGTAAATGATAGGCATTTGGGATATTGTTTTTAGGTCCCAAACTTGGATTTTAATTTTTGAAGAGGATGCCAGTATCAGTGGTTTTCTCATAAATTAAGAATCCCACCTTGCATGCTGCTAGTATAGGCAAGAATTTGGGGTTTCATGAAGGGAAGGAGTTGGCCTATTATGATAAGCATTTGATTCAGTTGAACATTTCATTCTATGTTCCTTCTAAATAATAATGATTCTCTGTGGAACTCTAATGCCTTGGAATATTAACAGATGTTATGTAGCAAAAAATATTTCTAATCCATTTATGTCTTAGAAATTCTGCATTATTAAAATTAAACATAGTTCTTTATTGTAAGGCTATTCTAATCCTTGAATGGCTAATGTCCTTTTCAAATTTCAAAAGTTAAATGTCATATATAGGGTTTTCTGAGGTTATTTGACTGCAAAACCAACCCCACACTCTGCCTGCCATCCGAGGGGCTTCTCACGGAACTAATGCTCTGTGGGCCTTAAATGAGGGAGACTGTAAAAAAAATGGCTACAATGGGAGGCCAAGGACGGTGGATCACGAGGTCAGAAGATCGAGACCATCCTGGCTAACATGGTGAAACCCTGTCTACTAAAAATACAAAAAATTAGCTGGGAGTGGTGGTGGGCGCCTGTAGTCCCAGCTACTCAGGAGGCTGAGGCAGGAGAATCACTTGAACCTGGGAGGCAGGGGTTGCAGTGAGCCGAGATCATGCCATTGCACTCCAGCCTGGTGACAAAGCGAGACTCTGTCTCAAAAAAAAAAAAAAAAAAAAGAAAAAAAAAAGGCTACACTTCCACCACTGGTGCTACCACCAATACCAACATCACCACTCTCTCTTAAATACAGAAAGGCCTTGAGGCTTTTCAAAGAAATTCCATATGTATCATCTCATTCCATTTTCATTGGCTATGATTAGTATAGGGCAAGTAGTATTTTAAAACTTGGTAGATGAGAAATGAGACACATTATATCAATAGTCGTGACTTAGTATGTCAAAAAATTTAATGAGTTTCAGTGATCTGTGTAAAGAGAACACAGATCCATGACCGAGTAATTCTTATATAGAGTTTTTCTGTTTTTTATTTTGTAAACATTTTTCTCCATTTCAGCACTCTGTCCAGAGGAAGTGTTTTTAATGTGTGTAGTGATTTCTGCATGATTTCAGATACTGTCCCATATGGACAGAAATATGCTTCAGACTCAGCATTAACATGCCAAATGCATTTATTTGCCTGTGTAAAACAGATTAATTCAATGTTAGATCATAATGGAATTAGGAGAAAAAGAGTCCTTATTGAAAACCAGCCAAAACATCTCATTTATAGCAGAGAATTTGGTACAGATTTATTAGAAATTCTGCATATAGGCAACTCATTTTGAATGGTTTGAAAACTTTCCTCCGCCCCCACTTTTTATATGGGAAAGGAGTGAGTGGTACCAAACAGATTCATTTCCTGATGTCCTTGAATGACACAGATTTATATAAAGTTGTTAGGTGCAGAAATAAAAATAACCAAAGTAAAAAAAAAATAAATAAGATATATAGAAATCTTCAACTGTAAACACTGACCTTTAAGCAATTGCAGGCTGAGAGGCTTCAAGGGTGTTGTAGCATCTGCCCTGACACCAGGAAGAGACAGGACAGTGTGGTGGGATGCTGAAGTGCCGCTCTAAGACAGAGGCTCTGACATTGTACAGATATCCTCTTTCCCCCTGCTGGAGGATCAGTGTCAATTTGGCTGAAATGTTTACCTAATGATTAATGCCAGCTAGCGGGCCAAGGGGTCATCTTGGAGCACTGAACTATTCAAGACTCAGGAGACATAGCTGGAGAAACAAGACTGAGACTTGATCTGTTAGGAAGAGCTGAGAGTCAAATATCAGTGTCTTCTCCATTACATCTTCAGTGCCTACCATGGTGCTTGGAACACAAAATAGTGTTCAATAAATATGTGTGGAAAATATGAGTGATGGACACAATGACAGTGGTACTAAGTCTGATGGGGACAGGCAGGATGGAAATTGGGGTGTAGTGTTGAGTCAGCGAGAGCATCAAGGGTGAAGAGATAAAACCTCATGGTGCCAGGTTCTGGATTAAAAATGACATAGTGGTTGGAAACAGGAAAAGGAGAAAACCAAGAATGTGTAGAGTATATGACTCAAGCTGTCCTTATTAAAGGAGAAGCAGATTGGTAGTAAATTTCACATATACACCCTCATGGTTGTATGTCATACGTATTGTATACTGGCAAATTCTTGTTAACCTTTTAATAGTATAGAATCAGTTCTTCTTGACTAGTCTTTATAAAAATCTGAATTATGCAAAACTTTTAAGGAGTTGGCAAAGAAGTAGGAAGACCCAATGGGGATTTCAAATCTGGTTTCATCTCCTATCTGGAGAAACTAGGTAAGCCCCACACTCATACACAAATACACAGTAAACAGGATGTATTGGGTAGCAAAGAGGGTCAGCACATGTTGTAAGTTTAACTAGAGACAATCTACATTATCAGGATAATCAACGTGGAGATGTGGAATAACCCATATTTCAAGTGACAGTCTGAATGGATTTTTTCTGGTCCTTGTTTATCATTGTTTGTCAAATCCCTAGAGTAAGCTTCAACAAGCAAGAGGTTTAAGACTTGTGTCGTTCTTATTAACTTTCACATTGCATTAGCAGTGGTTAAAGCTCTGGTTTCTATTTATGCCATGGTTCTGTTTTTAGCAAATTTGACTTGTGGCAGTTTGCCCATTATTGACATGTTGGTTTAAAGCAAATTGGCAATAGAGAATGAGTGGCTTGATTTTCAAGAGATGAGAATGTAAATGTAAATGTCTGAGTTATCATGGGACTGATCATGCACACACTTCACTTGTCACCATCTCATTAAGTCAATTTCAAAAAAAAAAAAAAAAAAAGAATTGCCAGACTTCTTAGCGTGCATATCTATTGTCCATATATGGGAATCATTAGACTATGTAAATGTTGCCTTTTTGTACTCATCTGTTCTTCATGTTCACTGGGTGGAGTTATTCAGTAATATAAATATAAGTCACAGACAAAAGTCCTAGACAAAGAGTTCTTTGGGCTGGGGAATAACATATGATTTAAAAAAATGTGTTTGTTGCTTCCATATGAGTTTTTGTTTATGTTCTGGATTATAGCCATTGCCACCATTGTGCAAAAGCCAGAATGAAATTTAATCGGGTGTTGCTCATAGGAGTTGAGATTTATTATAGTTTTCAGTTTTCACTACATCTTACTGAGTCAATGAATCCAAAGGCAGCATACCTCCACTGCAGAGGTCTAAGGCAGGCACTTTCAAAACGATTGTTTCATAATTCTTTAAAATTATTTCAGTCTCTTTGTTAAGTTTGTCTGACAGAATTCCGAATTCCTTCTCTGTGTTATCTTGAATTTCTTTGAGTTTCCTCAAAACAGCTATTTTGAATTCTCTGTTTGAAAGGTCACATTATCTCTGTTTCTCCAGGAGTGATCCCTGGTGCCTTACTTAGTTCATTTGATGAAGTCATGTTTCCCTGGATGGCCCTGATACTTGTAGATGGTTCATCTGTGTCTGGGCATTGAAGACTTGGGTGTTTATTGTAGTCTTGTCAGTCTGGATTTGTTTGTACCTGTCCTTCTTGGGAAGGCTTTCCAGATATTCAAAGGAACTTGGATGTTGTGATCTAAGCTGTATCTGCTTTAGTGGCCACCCCATGTTCAGTGACACTGGTTCTTTCAGACTCATAAACGTACTTACCCTGATGGTATTGGGCATGATCCGGGAGGATTCTCTTAATCACCAGGAAGAATCTTTTGCTCTCTTCTCCTACTTTCTCCCAAACAAACAGAGTCTGTCTGTTCTGAGCCACCTAGTGCTGGGGGGTGGAGTGACACAAGTATCCCTGTGGCCACCACCACTGTGACTGCCCTGGGTCAAACCATAAACCAGCACAGTGCTGGGCTTGCCTAAGGCCTGCTGTAACCACTTCCTAGCTACTGCCTATGTTTTCTCAAGGCTCTGGGGCTCTACAATCAGCAAGTGGCAAAGCCAGCCATGCCTTTGTCCTTCACTTCAGGGTGGTGAGGTCCTCCAGGCCCCAGGTAAGTCCAGAGGTGCTGTCTGGGAGCCAGGGACTCCCAGAAGTCTACCTAGTGTTCTATTGTACTGCAGTTGAGTTGACATCGAACCACAAAATACAGTCCTTCCCACTCTTCCCTCCCCTTTCTAAAGGCAGAGGAGCCTCACCCTGTGGCCACTGCCACCACAGGCCCACAGGGAGTACCGCCAGACTACTGCTGATGTTTCCTTGAGGCCCAAGGACTCTTCAGTCAGCTTGTGGTGAATGCTGCTTGCCCTGGGACTCACCCTTCAGGGCAGTGGGCTCCTCTCTGGCCCAGAGAAGGTCCAGAAATACTGTCCAAAAGCCAAGTCCTGGAATCAGGGACCCCAAGAAACTTCTTGACACCTTACCCCACTGTGGCTGAGCTGGTACCTAAGATGCAAGACAAAGTCCCCTTTACTTTTCCCTCTGCTTTTCTTAAGTGGAAGGAGCCTCACCCTACAGCCACCATAGCTGACAATGTGCTGAGTCTTACCTGAAACTAGCAAGTCTCAGAGTCTTACCTGAAACTAGCAAGTCTCAGAGTCTTACCCAAAGTCCTGACATAGTACCTGAGTTTCACTGCTGATTATTCAGGGCCAAAGGGCACTTCAGTTGGCAGGTGATGAATCCTGCCAGGATTGGGTCCTTCCCTTCAAGGCAGCAGGTTCCCTTCTGGCCTGGGATGTGTCTAGAAATGTTGTCTGGAGCTAGGGCCTCATGAATCTGATTGGTGCCCTATCCTGCTGTGGCTGAGCTAGTAACCAAGAGGCAAGACAAAGTCCTCCCCACTCTTCCCTCTCCTTTCCTCAAGAGGAAGGAAGGGGCCTTTTTTGGAGTCTTGAGCTGTACAGCCTGGGGTTGGGGAGGGATGATGCCAGCACTTCCTTAGCCAGCCTGGCTGGTGTCGCAGTGGGTCATGTCCTCCCTGGCCCCCCTACAACCCACCAGCCAGGTCCACTGACTCTGGGCCCAGTTCAGCACTAGGTTTTGCCTAGGACTTGCAGTCCTTGTGGCCTAGACTGCCTTTCAAGTTTAGGACTCCAGGGCACTGTAGCCCATGGTGGCAAAGCTTGCAGGAACTCAAGTTCCAACCACTGGGATCTGGATTCCTTTCTAGCTAGGGCTGGTTTAAATGCTCCTCCTGTGGGCAGTTGCCGGCTGAATTTGGTCTGGTTTTGTGTTCTGCTATAATAAGGTGGCACTGAGTTCAATGCCTCACAGTTGCTGTGATCTCCCTCTCTGTGCCAAACCACCACTGCCAGGTGCGGGAACAGAGGGGTGGGTGTCAGCAATTTAAGACTGATTTTCCTACCTCTTCAGCGCCTTTTACAGCAATATGAAGTTAAAACCAGGCACCGCGAGTGCTCACCCTATCTTTGGTTCTTATGAAGGTGCTTTTTTTTTTTTTTTTTTTTTTTTTTTTTGGTGTAGATAGTTGTTAAATTGGTGTCCTGGGTGGGGATGGGAGCAATTTGTAGTGCCTTCTATTCCACTGTCTTGCTCCATCCCAAGTCTCCTGTTTCATAATTAAAACATGGTCTTATCCATTCAGATTTATTCACAGATAAAAATGCATTTAAAAATGATCTTACTCTCCTAATTAAAAGTTCCCTCAATCCTTTTTTATGTCTAGTTTCCCTATGTCTAGTTTTTGGTTTCCTGCAAAACATCTGGCCGATGATCCTTTTCTAAGTGTATAATTCATACAATTATTTTACATTTCTCTAGCTTATATCTATTTGACAGTGTATTCCCTTCATCTATGTAAAATAAATTAAATTCTGAAAGAAGTGCCACTTTCAGAACTCAGTTAAGAAATTCCATCCTTCGCTCTTCCATGTTTTTTTTAGTATCTAGCCTTGTACCTCTCCTAGCTGCTTCATTGACTGTTAAAGTTTCTAAAAATCCTTTCCCCTTTTCTGCCTTCTGTATCCAGACTGTTGTTCAGTCCTGTTTATTTGATTGACATCTCACTCATCAATTCATTCATTCAGCTTGCACTTATTGAGGCAAAGGAATAGTCAGTCTCAGGGCACCATGGGCACTGCTGTCTATAATATTCCATTCCCCATTACTGGCAGAGTTCAGGCCAGTGAATCACTTCTCATTTAGACCACTGAACTTGCCCTTTACGGGCCTTAAGACAAGAGCCATTGTACACAGGTCTGACCCACAGTAGTTCAGAATACATTAGAACTGAGCATTCCCCTGTCCAGTACCATACTTTTGTTTCTTGATATTTTGAGTGTGTTCCTCATTCCTAATGCTTGGCTATGATGGCAGGCAGAATAATGGCCTCCTAAGGGTGGCCACATCCTAACCCTTAGATCCCTTGATACATATGTTACCTTTGCAGATGAGATTGAGTTATAAGTCTTAAAGTGGGAGTTTATCTGGGATTCTCCAGATGGACACAATCTCATCACCATTATCCCTTCAAAATATTTCCACTCCACCCCATTCTTAGCTGTAGTCAAAGAAGTTGTCAAAAATGAAGACGGTCAGAGAGATTCCGCCTTGCTGACTTTAAAGATGGAGAAAAGGTTCCATGAGCCAAGTAATGCAGGTGGCCTTAAGAAACTAGAAGAGGCAAGGAAATGGATTACTCCCTAGAGTCTTGAGAAATACAGCTTTGTTGATGCCTTCATTTTAGCCAGTGAGATGCATGTCAGACTGCTAATTTACAGCCCTGTAAGATAATGTTTATGTTGTTTTAAGCCACCAAGCTTGTAATAATTTGATATAGCAGCAAGAGAAAACTAATACAACTTTCCTCCTAGCCATGGGCTTTAAGCAGCTTCCTGATTGGTTATGGCATTTCCTGCCTAGTGGCCTCTCTGTTTTGACCTCATTATCTACTTTCAACCCTGTCGCTTGGATCTCAAAATGAAGACATCATCCATGCCTCAATATCTGATATTAACTGAGAATTTTTTTGTTTTTTGTTTCTTTCCTGACACATTTCTTTGGGCTTACCAACCTAATTGTTTTTTTCCATCTGTAGTACCTTCCTCCTGCAATATATCTTCTAGACTAGTCTGGATTTCAAGGGTTTGTATTATCTGACCTCCAGTTCTCTTTCTGATTTTATCTCCTCTAGCTCCTCATGGCCTAGCATGTTCTAGTTAAATTGTACTGCTCACCATTTTCACATACAACTTGTCCTTTGGAGATTTGGATGTCAGGGAAGGCTAGGTTTTGCTGTAGAAACAGAAACAACAATATATCCATGTGGGTCAACTGAGGACTCATGTACCTGACGAAGCAGCTACCATCTCAGCAGTTGCTGGTCACTGTGCAGTGGAAAAGAGAGAAGTGCATGAAGTCAGCAATTATACTTGGCCTGGAAGAAACATCTGTCCCTTTGGTTCTCAACCCACTATTCAAAGCAAGTCATATGGCCCCACCCAAGAGGACTATGGAGTATAAGTGTATCATTATGTGGAAGATAGCACTGCCATCAGTCTATAACCTGCTGTAAGAAGCATTGGGGAATAGCTTCACATCTACCAAGTCTGTCCACAGGTTTACTCTCCTGTAAAGAGGCTTCCTGGGGTATACCTGGTTTTGAAATGGTTAATATTACTGTGTCTTCATCTTACGTGTCCTATGTATAATGAGCATTTTAAGGGAGATAACATGTTTGTTCATTCAATCACCACAATCACGCATTGAAGTCCTACTGAATGCAAAGTAGCTTTGAGTGCTTTGGAGACTGTAATGATGAACCTGAATGCTGCAGGGTTACAGTGTCCACTAGGTGTAGGCAAGGGCTTTGGGAAAATGCTCTCCTCAACTTTGGTGGTCATGAAGGAGGTGGTCAGGAAGGCAGGTGGGATGAATACAAAAGCATGTTGGGCTTATCAGTTTTGTCAAGCACTTGCATAGGCATTTGAAGATGTTTGTCTAGTTTACTTCACAACTTCTGAAGGAACTTGCAATGAACCAAGTTTCATGGAATTTCCTTCTAAGGATTATTGTTATTGCAATAAAATAAACACGGTTTATTGGTTATTGCAATAAACCAAGTTTTATGGAAAAATCTCTAAGGAAGTATTGTGCAAGAGTGGAAAGAACACATGCTTTGGAATTAGGCATCTGAACTAGATTCCCAGATCTGTCTTAGATTACTGTGCGATTTGGGAAAATTACTTAACCTTTCTGACATTTGGTCTCCTTATCTGTAAAATGAGTAATAGATTCCTCAAAAGATTAATGAGAAGATACAGAAAATGCATTTATTCAGAGTGTAGACTAGGCTCTAAATAAACATTGGTTTCCTTCAATCTTCCTCATGGGACATATTAGGTACTAATATTTCATTTCACTTCATACCAGGTTCTACATAGCACTGTTTAAAACTTGTTCTTTAAAGACATTTGTTTTGTATAAGTTTGACTGTTTTATGTAGATTTCTTTCCTTTATGGTACTTTTTATTGAGATGTAACTCACCACAAAATTCATGCTTTTGAAGAGCACATTAAATGATTTTAGTATATTTGCAAAGTTGTACCAATTTTATAAAATTTCATATCCATTAGCAGCCACTCCCTTTCCCCTGGTTCCTGGCAACCATTAAACTACTTTCTATCTCTATGAATTTTCCTGTTCTGAATATTTCACATAAATTGAATTACATAATATGTGGCCTTTTGTGACTGAATTCTTTCACTTACCATGATGTTTACAAGGCTCACTCTTGTTGTTACATGTATTTCATACATTTTTATTGCTGAATAATATTTCATTGCATGAATATATGGACACTTCAGCTGTTTTCACTGTTTGGCTATTATGAATAATTCTACTTTGAATGTTCATGTACAGTTTTTATGTGGCCATATGTTTTCATTTCTCTTGGGTATATCCTAGGAATGAAATACAGTATCTCTATGTTAACTATCTAAGGAATTGCCATTGTTTCCCAGAGTGGCTGTGCTATTTACATTCCTACCAGCAGTGGATGAGGGTTCCATTTCTCCAAATCCTTGTCAACATGGGTTACTGCCCATATTCCTGATTATAGCCTTATTGTCTGTCTTTCTGATTATATCTCTCCTAGTGGGTATCAAATTGTATCTCATTGTCGCTTTGATTTGCATTTCCTTGATGACTAATGGTGTTGAACATCTTTTCTTGTGTATCTTAGCCTTTTATATATTTTCTTGTCTTTGGAGAAATGTCTATTCAAATCAGTTTTCTTTCTTTTTGCATGATTTCCTCTTGTTTTAAAATTTTACTTCTTTAACTTTTATTTTAAGTTCAGGGGTACAAGTGCAGGTTTGTTACATAGGTAAACTTGTGTCATGGGGTTTGTTGTACAGATTATTTCATTACCTAGGTATTAAGCCTAGTACCCATTAGTTATTTTTCCTGATCCTCTTCCTCCTCCCACTCTCCACCCTACGAAAGGCCCCAGTGTATGTTGTTTCCCTCTATGTGCCCATGTGTTCTCATCATTTGGCTATCTTTTATAAGTGAGAACATGCAATATTTGATTTTCTGTTCCTGTGTTAGTTTGCTAAGGATAATGGCCTCCAGCTCCATCCATGTCCCTGCAAAGGACATGATCTTGTTCTTTTTATGGCTGCGTAATATTTCATGGTGTATATGTACTATATTTTCTTTATCTAATCTATCATTGATGGGCATTTAGGTTGATTCCATGTCTTTGCTATTGTGAACAGTGCTACAATGAACAAACATGTGCATCTGTCTTTATAATAGATGGATTTATATTCCTTTGAGTATATACCTAGTAATGGGATTGCTGGGTCAAATGGTATTTCTTTCTTTAGGTCTTTTTTTTCAAGATGGGGTCTCACTCTGTTGTCCAGGCTGGGGTATAGTGATGTGATCATGGCTTGAACTCCTGGGCTGAAGTGATCCTCATGTCTTAGCCTCTTGAGTAGCTGGGATTACAGACACCATGCTTGGCTAATATTTTTTTTCTTTTTTTTTGTAGAGACAGGTTCTCACTATGTTGCACAGGCTGATCTTGAATTCCTGGCATCAAGTAATCCTGCCACCCCAGCCTCCCAAAGTGTTGGGATTACACATATGAGCCACTATGCCTGGCCTGCTTCTTTGTTTATACTGCTAGGCTTTCTTATTACTTCAAGGAAACACACATTCGAAGTCCAAGTGAGGTACCAGCTCCTTAATTGCAAGCTATTCAAGGAAAGAACACTAAACTGTGAGCCTGAGATCTGGGGCCTAGCTCTGGCCCTGTCACATCAGACTGTGCCTGTGAGACCTTGAACAAGTAGCTACAAACCTTAGCCTCCTCATCCAGTTTATCTAGTTCAGTTAAGATGATCCTAAGTCCACAAAATGTAGTATTGAGCATCAGTTATTAATCAAATGTGGTGCAAGTTCCTGGGAAATGAATAAGGCTTGGTTCCTCTGCCTGATGCCCCTTGATATCTAGAAATATTTAAATAGATATTACAACATAAGAAGATGCAGTTGCAAGGAAGAGAATCAAATCGTGTGCAAGCTCCAATAAGGGAGCAGCTTGCTGTCCCCAAAGCCATTTGAAGAGGCTTCAGGGAAGAAAGTCTCTGAAATGTCTTTCACATGAAAATTTCCTGAATCTATGACATCCTGCCTCTTCGGTGTGCGCATTTTGTTGTATTAAATGGAGACATTATATAGCTTATGAAGATATGAAGCCCTATAGTTAATTATGCTTATTGAGATCATGTTTATTGAGATTACTAGAAAAACTCTGTCAAATAGTGTTCCCTAGTTTTTGAATCTAAGGGGCAGGGGCAACTTTGCTTTGTCTTTGCATCTCAGTCCCTAGTATATGTTGAATGAATGAATGCTTTTAGACAGAAGGGGAAATTACAGAGTACATTTGAAAGGCCTCAGCTATATTTTTTTCTATCATACTTGAGCTCCAGTAAGAATATCTACTTTGAGAATACTTTAATCCTTAACAGGAAAAATTCAGTTTCCTTATGGAGAATTCTGTAATGCTCTTGGTTAGGAGGCAGTTATTGTTCCCTTTTTACCTTGTTCCAAAGTTCTTTACACAGTCAACCAAATTGAGTACATATCTGTTCCTTTTCCTCCAATATTAAATTAAAAGATTTGGAGAATTCTATAGATGGAGAGGATATTTGGGGATCATTTAAAATTTCAATCCTTTATTTTTTGAGACAGGAGTCTATGTTGCTCAGGCTGGACTTAAACTCCTGGAATCAAGCGATCCTCCATCCTCAGCCTCTCAAGTAACTGGGACTACAGGTGCACACCAGCATACTTTGCAACCTTTTATTTTATGAAAGAGGAACTTTGCATCAGTTATGTCAAATGATGTTGTTTAGTCCAAGTCCAGGATTCAGGCAGGCAGTCACCATCTTTGTAGGTTTCCTTCCTCTTCTACATTCTGTTTGGTCTCTTAAAAAAATAAGATTAAGTAGTCTGAACAGAAATGAATCCACAACATCTTTTAAATTGTAGGCATTAAGTTGAAGTAGGCAATAAAGTATTTTGAGCTCTGATAAACTTTTTGATAGACTTTCAAAAAAGTCTTCTTAAGACTGACTGTGTTAGTCAGCCCAGGCTGTCATCGCAAAATACCATAGACTGGGTGGTTCAAACAACAGAAATTTATTTTCTCACGGTCTGGAGGTTGGAAATCCAAGATTGGGGTGCCAGTATGGTTGAGTTCTGGTGAGAGCCCTCTTCCTGGCTTGCAGGTGGCCAAATTCTTGCTGTGTCCTCACATGCTGGTTGGGCAGACGATGATGGTAAATACACTAATAGATTGATTCTTCAGTTTAACAGTTTCCTCCCTCCTTCCCATCCTTCCTGCCTGACTCATAGGGAATATTGGGGTGAGGTATTTATAACGTAATACTTTGGAAGAATTTATCTTCATTTGCCTGATAAACATTATGTATGTGTATGTAATAACTAGAATACATAATACATATGGCTATTCCTTAGCCAAATTTAAATATTGTTTCCAACCACCCCTCAGAGCTTCTATTTGAACTGCAAACATGGAAAAGACTGTAACATTTACTAGTGGAGTAACTGGGAATTTGATCTGTTATTATTCAAAGTGCTCAAGCAGAATCTGGCTTGTGTAAATATCTGTTGGGGATAGGATAGAGGAGATTCTAGCACTGAGTGGGAATTTAAATAGATAACACTGGAGATTACTTCCAATTTTAAGATTTTATGACCATCATCAGGATATTACATGGGCTTGAGATTTGCCTCCTCTTTTCTACTGAACACTCTTGACAGAGGCGATAACAAGCAATGAAATGCCCCTAAATGCAAGTGGCTGAAGGGTGCAAGGACCAAAGCCAGATTTCTGGAATCCACCATCAAAATTGAGAGCTGGCTGCATTATTAGTATGGTGGATGTGTTATAATGATTTTGGAGTATTAATACACTAATGTTGAAAAGGGAAGATATTACCGTTACCCAAAGAGCATATGGTTAATACAGTGAGAATAACAGAGAAACAGCTACTCATGAAAGAGTGCTTTATATTAATAGGTATTCCTAGCAACATTCATTATATTTATTTAATATTTTGATGTAAAGAAAAATGCAAGGAGCATTAATTACCATCTCGGAAACAAATACCATAGCTTACTTTACCCAGTGATGCGTGTCTGTTATTTCACAAATCTGTGAAGTCCTTGGGAAGACAAGTCATGTTGTAGAAATATTTCTGCTGCCAGCATCCGGCACAATGATTAGCACATACGAGCCATGCAGTAGTTGTTGACTGAATGAATTAATGACTATATCTGAGTGATATGGGTTACTTATTTCCTATACTTATTTTAAAAATTTCCTTTTATGTTTGTTTATTTTAAAGAGTGTTGGTGGGAGTATAAATCAGTTCAGCCATTGTAGAAGACAGCATGGCATCTTCAAAGACCTAAAGACAGAACTACCATTCGACCCAGCAAATCCAATTACTGGGTATATACCCAAAGGAATATACATCATTCTATTATAAAGATATATGCACATGTTTGTTCATTGCAGCACTATTCACAGTAGCAAAGACATGCAATCAACCTAAATGCCCATCAATGACAGACTGGATAGAGAAAATGTGGTACAACTACACCATGGAATACTATGCAGCCATAAAAAAGAACAAGATCATGTCCTTTGCAGGGACATGGGTGGAGCTGGAGGCCATTACCCTTAGCAAACTACCATAGGAACAGAAAACTAAATACCACATGTTCTCACTTATAAATGGGAGCTAAAGGATGAGAACGCATGGACACATAAAGAGGAACAACATACACTGGGGCCTTTCAGAAGGTAGAGGGTGGGAGGAGGGAGAGGATCAGGAAAAATAACTAATGGGTACTAGGCTTAATACCTGGAAAATGAAATAATCTGTACAACAAACCCCTATGATTCAAGTTTACCTATGTAGGAAACCTGCACTTGTACCCCTGAACTTAAAATAAAAGTTAAAAAATTAAAAATAAAATAACTTTGGTTTTGGTGAAAAAAAAACTGTGCTGTGAGTTATAATAGACTGTAATAACCTACATGTGTTTAAAGCATATGATTTGATAAGTTTAGAAAACATTCTCACAATCAAGATAGTGAACATAGACATTACCCCCAAAAGTTTCTCCATTCTTCCTTTTAATTACCTTTCCTGCCCATACCATATATCTTTTCCCTAAGAAACCACCATCTTTTTGTCACTATCAATGAGTTTTCATTTTCTTGAATTTTATATAAAAGCTATCATACAGTGTATACTCTTTTTTGTATTGCTTCTTTCAATTGGTGCAATTATTTTGAGATTCATCTATGTTGTGTTGTTGCATGTATCAGTAGTTCATTCCTTATTTTTTAAAGCTCATTAGTTGTTATTGAGGAGTAGTACTACATTGTATGGACATACCATAATTGTTTATTCATTCACTTATTGATGATTTGCATTTTTTTCTAGCTTTTGGCTAGGATGAATAAAGCTGTCAAGAATACTCATGTACAAGTCTCTATATGGACATATGCTTTAATTTTTCTTGGATAAATATATAGGAATAGAATGGCAAGATCATATTATTTGAGGTTTAAATATGGTATGTTTTAAAATTTTTAAGAAACTGCCGAACTTTTTTGAAAAGTGATTGTACCATTTAAAATTTTCACTTGCAGTTTATGGGGATTCTAGTTCCTCAATTTCCTTACCAACATTTGGTATGGACAATCTTTTAAATTTTAGCCATTCTAATGGGTATGTAGTGGTATCTCATTGTGGTTTTAATTTTCACTTCTGAAATGACTAATTCTGTGATGAACATTTTTTCATGTGTTTATTTGCCATGTATATATCTTCTTTGGTAAAGTAACCATTCAAAACTTTTGCATATATACATTATATATATAGTATGTAATATATTTATGTATTTTAAAATAATATATTTTAAATATATATGATATTATATATATTATATTTAAATTGAATTGCCTGTTTACTTATTACTGAGTTTTTACATTTAAAAACATAAATCATACTTTTTTTCTTTTGAGACAAGGTTTCACCCTATCTCTCAGGCTGGAGTGTAGTGGCATGATCATGGCTCACTGCAGCCTCGACCTCCCAGGCTCAGGTGATTCTCTCACCTCAGTGTCCTGAAGAGCTGGGACCATAGGCATGTGCCATCATGCCCAGCTAATTTCTTTTGTTTTTTTTTTTTTTTTTGTAGAGATGGGGTTTCTCCATGTTGCGCAGGCTGCTCTCAGACTTCTGGGCTCAAGTGATCCACCTGCCTGGGCCTTCCAAAATGTAGGGGTTACAGGCATGAGCCACCGCACCCAGCCCTTAAAATGTATATTATTGATTCAAGTCATTTATCAGATATTCTTCTTATATTCTTCTGTGCATTTTGATTCGTAAAGTTAGAAATACAGTCCTAAGCACTTTATGTTCTACATACTTTATGTATGTACAAATATATAAAACAGTACTTAGTTAATTCTACTTCAAACCAAGCATATAAAAATAAGACAAATGACGATTGTGCTATTGTAAGCATAGGAAGTAATGATGGGGTCAAAGCAAGGTTTCCAGCTTCTCATTTGTATTACTTTTGCTTTTTCGACTCGCTAAACACTTGCCTCACATGTTCCTTCTTAGCATGCCAAAAATTATCTGTCTTAGCTATATAGAGAAGCTAGAAATGTGAAACACATTTTTGTTATTGCACAATATATTATTTCCTTAATTTAATATTTAAATTTTTAATCAAGGTAATGCATACCTATTGGTACATAATATAATATTTACAGAGAAGGCTTATAAAAAGTCAGTAATTCTCTGATACATCCCTCACTATGCTCAGATACAATCACTATCAACTCTGTTAGCTGCCTTTTCTGGAATTGCCTCCATTTTTCTAAATGATAGTCCTTTGTGTGTGTGGGGGGGGGGCGGGTGGGGAGGGGTGGGGGAGATTGTCCCATTTTACTTTATTTAATTTTTAATTTTTATTTTTATTTCAATAGTTTTTGGGGTACAGGTGGTCTTTTAGTTACATGGATAAGTTCTTTAGTGGTGATTTCTGAGATTTTAGTGCACCCATCACCTAAGCAGTGTGTACTGCACCCAATATGTAGTTTTTTATCCCTCACCCCTTCCCAGCCTTCCCCCCGAGTCCCTGGGTTATCCATTTTAGACTTCATCAATTGACTTGCTTTTAGGATAGAGGAAAATTTGGATCTTCTAAATGCCTTTGTTTATATATCCTCTCAATTTTAGTTAAATCAATAGACAGTAGTCATAATAATAATAGTGCAAATAGTCCCACATATAGCTACAATGTATTATGATTCCATTCTTTTCTTGTATATCTATTTTGCCTGGAGTTAATTATTTATTTCAATTTTATGTGGCACAATTTTCTTTGTATCTATTCTTACTATTTCCCATTTGCTCTATCAGATGGGTCATATACCCATAGTATTTTTGTCTCACATGATCAAGTGTTTTGGTTAACATATTAATTATTTTTTTCCCTTGAGATCTTTCCTGTTGAAGTCCTTATTCTTCTGCTCCATTGCAAACACACTGCTCTTTGAGCCTTCTGCATAGCTGTTACTCTGGGCTTAACATTCATACTTGTTTTCCTCTGTTAAATGTCCCATAGCCTGGATCTTGTCTTTTCCTCTTTGGCTGGAACACATACTTTAGCGGCTTTCCAATAAAGAATGCAAAGAAAACAGCATTTACTTTTCCCTCATCTTTGATTGACAGTTTAGCTAGATATGGAATTTTAGGTTGAAAATAATCTTCCATCAGAACTTGAAAGGAATTTCCCATCATATTTTATCATCTAATGGTGCTCTTAAGAATTCTAATACAATTCTAATTCTCTTGAATGCAACTTTTCCCTTTCTGGAAACTTCTGCACTCTGTATCCTGGTTGCTTATGGATATTTGTGATGATGTGTGTGCAACAGGTCTTTTCATTGTGTGAGCATTTAGTCGATTTTCTTAGTCTGTGGAGGCATGTCTTGATGGGGAAATTTTCTTGAATAATTTAACTGATGATTTTCTTTCCCCCATTTCTTCTGTTTCTAGAACTCCTGTCAAATGTTGGAATATTCTAAACTTATTATTCTCTCTCTCCTATTTTTCAATTTTTAAAATATTTTAATTCTATTTTTGAGAGATAGCTTTGATTTATCTTTTAATCACTCTACTGAATTTTTTATTTTATTACATTTCTATTTTCTAAAAGTTCTTCATTACTTTTGGATGTTTCTTTATCCGAGCACCCTCTCTAGTACATCTTTCTATTTTGTAATGCTGTTTCTTACTAGTCTTTTTGAAAATTTAAACTTATTGATGATTTTTTGTTTCTGTTGCCTGTATTACCTGTATTCTGTAGAATTCTTAGCCTTTTTGCGTTCTGAAGTATGAAACAGCTTAATTTTAAATTCTGGTTGATCTTCCTGTAGCAGATGCTGTTGGTGTCCTGCAAGATTCTTTTTACTAGGCTGCTGCACACATTCCTCTGCTTCAGGGAATGGTGCTTGCTAATAGCTTACATCTGCAGCCTTCTTTGGAAGCTGCTGTCCTGATAGAGCATTGGAATGATCTCTTGGTGGTATAATTGAGGGATCCACTGACACCTGCCAATCTTGGGCACTGCTCGTCAGGATACTGTATTTGCTCAAAACCAATGACCTTTGTATGTTTTATTGTCCCCAGTAGGTAGACTATATGGATCTAGAAACTAAGGAATATCTCAATAAACTCAGAATTGAAGGTATATACTTCAAAATAACAAGAGCCCATGACAAACCCACAGCCACCCTCATACTCAATGGGCAAAAGTTGGAAGCATTCCCCTTGAAAACTGGCATAAGACAAGGATGCCCTCTCTCACCACTCCTATTCAACATAGTATTGGAAGTCCTGGTCAGAGCAATCAGGCAAGAGAAAGAAATAAAAGACATACAAATAGGAAGAGAGGAAGTCAATTATCCCTGTTGGCAGATGACATGATTCTATATCTGGAAAACCCCAGAGTCGCTGACCAAAATCTCCTTGATCTGGTAAACAACTTGAGCAAAGTTTCAGGATACAAAATCAATGTACAAAATCACTAGCATTCCTATACACCAACGACAGCCAAGCGGAGAACCAAATCAAGAAGGCAATTCCATTCACAATTGCCACACAAAAAAATACCTAGAAATACAGTTAACCAGGGATGTGAAAGGTCTCTACAACAAGAATTACAGCGCTTCTCAAAGAAATCAGATGACACAAACAAATAGATAAACATTCCATGATCATAGATAGGAAGAATCAATATTGTTAAAATGACCATACTGCCCAAAGCAATGTACAGGTTCAGTGCTATTCCTATCACATTCCCAATAACATTCTTCACAGAATTAGATACAACTATTTTAAAATTCATATGGAACCAAAAAAGAGCCAGAATAGCCAAGGCAATGTTAAGCAAAAAGAGCAAAGCTGGAGGCATCACTTATCCAACTTCAAACTATGTTATAGGGCTGCAGTAACCAAAACAGCATGGTACTGGTACAAAAACAGACACATAGACCAATTAAACAGGATAGACGAGTCAGAAATAATGCCATATACCTACAACCATCTGATCTTCGACAAAGCTGGCAAAAGCAAACAATGGGGAAAGGACTCCTCATTCAGTAAATGGTGTTTAGATAACTGGTTAGCCACATACAGAAGAATGAAACTGGACCCTTACCTTATACCATATACAAAGGTCAACTCAAGATGGATTAAAGACTTAAATGTAAAACCTCAAACTATAAAAACTCTGGAAGATAACCTAGGAAATTCTATCTTGACTTAGGACTTGGCAAAGATTTTAGGATGAAGACATCGAAAACAATTGCAGCAAACACAAAAATTGAGAGATAGGCTCTAATTAAACTAAAGAGCTTCTGCACATCAAAAGAAACCATTAACAAAGTAGAGAGAAAACCTACAGAATGGGAGAACATATTTGTAAACTATGCATCTGACAAAAGTCTGATATCCAGCCTCTATAAAGAACTTAAACAAATTTACAAGCTAAAAACAACTCCATTAAGAAGTGGGCAAAGGACATGAACACACACTTTTCAAAAGAAGACATACATGCATCTAACAAGCATATGAAAAAGTCCGATATCACTGATCACTAGAGAAATGCAAATCAAAACCACAATGAGATGCCAGCTCACACTATTCACAGTGGCCATTAGAAAAAGGCCAAAGAATAACAGATGCTGGCAAGTTTGGGGAGAAGAGGAAACACTTATACATTGCTGGTGGGGGTTCAGCCTCTATGGAAAGCAGTGTGGCAATTCCTCAAAGAATTTAAAACAGGATTACCATTTGACCCAGTAATCCCATTATTGGATACACACTCAAAGGAAAATAAATTGTTCTACCATAAAGACACATGCAGGCATATATTCATTGCAGTACTGTTCACAATAGAAAAGATGTAGAATCGCTTACAGTGAGCCGAGATTGCGCCACTGCACTCCAGCCTGGGCGACAGAGCAAGACTCCGTCTCAAAAAAGAGAAAGAAAAGATGTAGAATCAACCTAAATGCCCATCAGTGGTAGACTGGATAAAGTGGCACGTATACACCATGGAATACTATGCAGCCGTAAAAATGAATGAGATAATATCCTTTGCAGCAACATGGATAGAACTGCAGGCCATCATCCTAAGCAAACTAACACAGGAACAGAAAACCAAATACAGCATATTCTCACTTATAAGTGGGAACTAAATAATGAGAACTCAGGGATATTAGGGGGTGAACAACAGACACTGGGGCCTACTTGAGGGTGGAGAGTGGGAGGAGAGAGATGATCAAAAAAATACCTATCAGGTACTATGTTTATTACTAGGGATGATGAAATTATCTGTACATCAAACCACTGTGACATGCAGCTTACCTATATAACAAACCTGCACACATACCCCTGAACCTAAATAAAAGGTAATAATAAAAAGAGAAATTAAGGGATATAAGTAAGCATGATCTGATTCACATTACCATGAAGCTCTAGCTCCGTGAGTCTAGAGATCCTGGTTCCCACAAGGGAAATTCTTTCACCTGGGATCACAGAAAGCGTTCAACCTAATTTAAAACTACATCCCTGGTGGCCTAGTGGCTAAGAGAAACCAAATAAAAACAAAACTATAGCTGACACCTGGCATTGTGGCCTACCAGCAGGCAAAGAAAGGAATTGTCTATTGGGAAGGCTAATTTTGACCCTTTTCACCACTGAAGTGGTAAAATTACTGCCATATGAAAAGGCAGGGAGGAATACGTTTGGCACTTAGATGATCCACTGGGCCAGTGGGATATCTCTTGATAAAGTGACACCCAATCTCAATTGTAAACTGGCAAATGAAACAATAAAGGCTTGCTAACAAGGGGCTTTGACTACTCAAGGATGAAGGCCTGTGTCTTCCCAATAGCTAAGTCACCTAAATTATCAGAAGTGTTATCAGAAGGGGAGGAAATCTAGAAAGGATGGAAGAAGAGGAAGATGTATATTAGTTAAGGTCTTGAAACCTATTTCAGCAGGGAGGCAGAAGCTCATCCCCAGTAACTCTCCTCCTGTAAATTTTACTGGAAATTGCAACCAACCAGAACCCTGAAGAAGCAGTGACCAGATGGAGTATATTTAAAGTGAGAAGCAAGTGGACTAAGCTGTGTAAGTGATGGCTAGAGAAGATACTGTTGGTACCTTGCCCAGATTCCCTTTACTAAGGGAGTACACCCAGCCTCCAGCTGTTGGAGATGCTTGCTGCTCTAGTGGCTCACACCTGTACACTTCCTTGAAAGATTGTCCTTGGCAAAGGGGAGCTTGTTGGTTCAGAGATACATGGGAGATCACACTTCTCTCCCTCTGCCTGGGGCAGACCTGTAACTGACTGATGCAGTGGTGTAATAGCCCGGCATTCTTTTGTCTGGAAGGGATAACTTTTTGGTACTATTTATCCTCCAGCACTCTTTGTGGGATCGGGCTGAAGCTAGACTTCTCTGAAATCACATTTTTGCCTAGCCTTTTCTTATGCTCTAGCCAACATCCTTCATTTTCCTATGAGTTTCTCCTGAGGGTATTTCATCAATACGTCATTTACGCAGGAATCTCCATTTCAGGCTCTGCTTCTAAGGAACCTGACCTAAGACCTTTCGAGGCACTTGAGATTGTATTCCTCCATAAGCTTAGTTACCACCACTCCATTAGTTATCCAAAAATTTGCTGAAATTTCTCATACTCTGATGTTGTCTTTCTCATAATTTTTTTGTTTTTTAGAACTGATATCTTTTTATTCCTCTACTGACATTGTAGCACATTTTTTGGAGAGAATAGTTACATGCATATGGTCAATCTCATAAGGAAGTTTAAGTTGTCTGTATATAAGAATTTAGGTTTATTCTGTATTTTCTACTAAATATACCATTTCCACTAAAGATACGAAGGACTCCATTAAAAATTTTTTTTGATAAGAAGACAATGAAACAGTATTAAACAAGACTGTCAGAAATTCCAAGAATAGCATGTTGGGGTGAGGTCATCCATTTTGCTTTTGGTTTAGTGTTTTCAAAAACACATTTCATTTAATAGAGTGACATGTATGAAATGTCTACTTTGATCAGATTTACTAATCTCTAAAACACCAAATTCCAATACCTTTGTTAATGGGATAGAACTAGAGTTATAATTACAAACCTCGCTAAATTTTCACCAACTTTGTTTAATTTGTTATTGTTTTCTTAAAATGTTTAATTGCCATGGTCATATTTCTTGGCTTGCAACCAGTGTGTATGTGTATAAATATCTTTAATGATTATGTGATGTAGGTCAAAATGACTCGATGATGACCAGCCAAAAACCTACTTTGATTCTTAAAGAATGTTGTCTCCATTATTTGTAGGCCCATCCCTACTGCATTGTGTTGTATCTATTTGTGTATGTCTTATTTCCCCTACAGAGTTGAAGGCAAGAGCTATGGCTTATTCATCTTTCTATCTCCACAGTGTTTATTACTATTCGGATACATTGTAGATACTCAACTGGGTATTGGTTTAAAACAAAACAACACAAAACAAAAAACAAAATACTCAGCAAATATTTCTGTTTTGAGAAATTTCTTATAATCACCAATGACTTGCAAATTGGTTGTGGTATCTCTATCTTTAATCTCTTGCAGGCAAATAAATGTTTTCCCTTGGGTCTCCATACACATTCTTGTTGCAAATAAGACTGGATCAAGGATTGTGGCACAGCTGGTTTGAGAACCAGCTACCAACTCATAGCTCAATTGAAGTCATTCTTGGTGCAGCTGGCTGGCTCACAGTCACTCAGTTTCACTTTGCAGAGGTGCACACTATTTATGTTCTTCCTCTCACATCTGCAGAACTGCTTTTAGAGTCAATGAGAATTACAGGGTTTTAGCACACTGGAGAGGTTGTATAGGATTTTATTTTGTGCTTTTTTTTCTTTTATTGCCAGAGGACAGGATTAATATTCGGGTGATACACAAATAGTGTTATAGAATCCACATAATCAAATAACTTCACAGTTGGGAAGGACTTTAAAACTCACTTAGCTGAATGCTCACCAGCTCTATTTTAAGCCTAAGAAAGGTGATACTTAAAGACTTGAAGTTACTTGACTAGGTATAACTACTGTTGAATGTAGGATTAGTGATGTTATCTCAATGCAGGTGTACTTTAGGAAACTGATGCTCAGTTGTTAGACATACTAAAGATCGTAATGGATTTCTATTGTATTCAATATCTTAAAATCTCGGTTTATTGGAATATTAGAAGTTAGTATTGTTTGGTTAATTTTTGCTGTAATGTTAAGGGACAAAGCTTTTAGTATTGAAAATCATTCTAACATACATCAATGTATGCTCCTACTTTGGTATCCATGAGGCTATGGGGGCCATTTTAATCCTTAATCAGTAAATAATAGACTATCCTTGGTTTAGAATTGTTTGTGTGAGATTTGAATACATAGAATCCTGATCCCAGGACATACAGGAATACCTTTAGAGCAAATTCCTTATGTAAGTTTGTTTTAATGACTTAATTTGTCTGACAGAAAGTTGAAAAAGTTTAAAAAGTTTGGACTATTTGAAAGCTAGAGCTAAGTAGGTTCTGCTAATTTAACAGCTGTTCTAAAAAAAAAACCCGTTCTTTATTTAATTATTTATTTTAGAGATGGGGTCTCGCTCTGTTGCCTAGGCTGGAATATAGTGGTGTGCTGATAGTTCGCTATGTTGCCCAGGCAGATCTCAAACTCCTGGCCTCAGCCTCCCAAGAATCCAAGATTAAGATGCAAACCACCATGCCCAGTCACATCAATCAGAATGGCTATTACTAAAAAGTCAAAAAATAACAGATGCTGTATCCTGATACCAAAGCCTGGCAGAGACACAACAAAAAAAGAGAATTTTAGACCAATATCCCTGATGAACATCGATGCAAAAATCCTCAATAAAATACTGGCAAACCGAATCCAGCAACACATCAAAAAGCTTATCCACCATGATCAAGTGGGCTTCATCCCTGGAATGCAAGACTGATTCAACATATGCAAATCAATAAACATAATCCAGCATATAAACAGAACCAACGACAAAAACCACATGATTATCTCAATAGATGCAGAAAAGGCCTTTGACAAAATTTAACAGCCCTTCATGCTAAAAACTCTCAATAAATTAGGTATTGATGGGACATATCTCAAAATAATAAGAGCTATTTATGACAAACCCACAGCCAGTATCATACTGAATGGGCAAAAACTGGAAGCATTCCCTTTGAAAATGGGCACAAGACAGGGATGCCCTCTCTCACCACTCCTATTCAACATAGTGTTGGAAGTTCTGGCCAGGGCTATCAGGCAGGAGAAGGAAATAAAGGGTATTCAATTAGGAAAAGAGGAAGTCAAATTGTCCCTGTTTGCAGATGACATGATTGTATATCTAGAAAAGCCCATCATCTCAGCCCAAAATCTCCTTAAGCTGATAGGCAACTTCAGCAAAGTCTCAGGATACAAAATCAATGTGCAAAAATCACAAGCATTCTTATACACCAATAGCAGACAAACAGAGAGCCAAATCATGAGTGAACTCCCATTCACAATTACTTCAAAGAGAATAAAATACCTAGGAATCTAACTTACAAGGGATGTGAAGGACCTCTTCAAGGAGAACTACAAACCACTGCTCAAGGAAATAAAAGAGGATACAAACAACTGGAAGAACATTCCATGCTCATTGGTAGGAGGAATCAATATTGTGAAAATGGCCATATTGCCTAAGGTAATTTATAGATTCAATGCCATCCCCATCAAGCTACCAATGACTTTCTTCATAGAATTGGAAAAAACTACTTTAAAGTTCATATGGAACCAAAAAAGAGCCTCATAGCCAAGTCAATCCTAAGCCAAAAGAACAAAGCTGGAGGCATCATGCTACCTGACTTCAAATTATACTACAAGGCTACAGTAACCAAAACAGCATGGTACTGGTACCAAAACAGAGGTATAGACCAATGGAACAGAATAGAGCCCTCAGAAATAATGCCACACATCTAACAACTATCTCATCTTTGACAAATCTGACAAAAACAAATGGGGAAAGGATTCCCTATTTAATAAATGGTGCTGGGAAAACTCGCTAGCCATAGGTAGAAAGCTGAAACTGGATCCCTTCCTTACACTTTATACAAAAATTAATTCAAGATGTATTAAAGACCTAAATGTTAGACCTAAAACCATAAAAACCCTAGAAGAAAACCTAGGCAATACCATTCAGGACATAGGCATGGACAAGGACTTCATGTCTAAAACACCAAAAGCAATGGCAACAAAAGCCAAAATTGACAAATGGGATCTAATTAAACTAAAGAGCTTCTGCACAGCAAAAGAAACTACCATCAGAGTGAACAGGCAACCTACAGAATGGGAGAAAATTTTTGCAATCTACTCATCTGACAAAGGGCTAATATCCAGAATCTACAAGGAACTCAAACAAATTTACAAGAAAAGGACAAAAAACCCCATCAACAAGTGGGCAAATCATTTGAACAGACACTTCTCAAAAGAAGACATTTATGCAGCCAAAAGACACATGAAAAAATGCTCATCATCACTGGCCATCAGAGAAATGCAAATCAAAACCACAATGAGATACCATCTCACACGAGTTAGAATGGCAATCATTAAAAAGTCAGGAAACAACAGTTGCTGGAGAGGATGTGGAGAAATAGGGACACTTTTACACTGTTGGTGGGACTGTAAACTAGTTCAACCCTTGTGGAAGTCAGTGTGGCCATTCCTCAGGGATCTAGAACTAGAAATACCAGTTGACCCAGCCATCCCATTACTGGGTATATACCCAAAGGATTATAAATCATGCTGCTATAAAGACACATGAACACGTATGTTTATTGTGGCACTATTCACAATAGCAAAGTCTTGGAACCAACCCAAATGCCCAACAGTGATAGACTGGATTAAGAAAATGTGGCACATATACACCATGGAATACTATGCAGCCATAAAAAATGATGAGTTCATGTCCTTTGCAGGGATATGGATGAAGCTGGAAACCATCATTCTCAGCAAACTATCGCAAGGACAAAAAAACCAAACACCGCATGTTCTCACTCATAGGTGGGAATTGAACAGTGAGAACACATGGACACAGGAAGGGGAACATCACACACTGAGGCCTGTTGTGGGGTGGGGTACAGGGGAGGGATAGCATTAGGAGACATACCTAATGTAAATGAAGAGTTAATGGGTGCAGCACACCAACATGGGACATGTATACATATGTAACAAAGCTGCACTTTGTGCACATGTACCCTAAAACTTAAAGTATATATAAAAAAAATAACAGATGCTGGTGTGGTTGCAGAGCAAAGGGAATGTTTATACACTGCTTGTGGGAGTGTAAATTTGTTCAGGTATATTGGAAAGCAGTTGGCGATTTCTGAAAGAACTCAAAACAGAATTATCATTCCACATAGCAATCCCATTATTGGGTATATGCCCCCCAAATATAAATCATAGGGTACTACCATAAAGACACAGGTATATTTATTGCAGAACTATTCACAATACCAAAGACAGGGAATCCACCTAAATGCCCATCAATGGTAGACTGGATAAAGAAAATATGCTACATATATACTATAGAATATTACATAGCCATAACAATGAATGAGATCATGTCCTTTGCAGCAACAAGGATGGAGCTGGAGGCCATTATCCTAAGTGAACTAACACAGGAACAGAAAAACCAAATACCACATGTTCTCATTTACAAGTGTGAGCTCATCTTTGAGTACACATGGACACAAAGTGGGGAATAACAGACACCGGGACCTACTTGAGGGTGGAGGGCGGGAGATCAGTGAGGACCGAAACACTGTCTGTCAGCTGCTATACTTATTACCTGGGTGATGGAATAATCTATACACCACCCCCCTGTGACACAAAATTTACCTATATTACAAACCTATACATGCATCACTGAACCTAGAATAAAAGTTAAAAAAACAAAAGAGTTACCACATTTCAATTCTTACATATGGTCCTTCTCACAGGCTTCCTGACATATGCAGTTCTGTATTCACTGAGGCCACTGCTAACTTGTGTGTTACTTTGTAACCCTTGCAGAATTGTTGATAGTGATTTTTTATGACCCGTGAGGTCAGTGAGAATTTGAATAACAAAAAATGGAAAGAACTCATTACCTTTCTCTTTAGAGCTTGGTTTTGTGGAAAATCTTAGGAAGATGAGGCATTAATAAACATTTTCAAACAGGGTAGATTTTTCTGACTAGAGGGGACCATATAAGTGTACAGGGAAATGTTTTTGGGTTATGATGTTCTGGAATTTGTCATTTCAACTAATTGAAAGACTTATGAATCTGTGAAAGTCCAGGAGTTGTGGTAAGAACTGTTTTCTTATTCCAGTCCCACCACGATATTATAGAATGACTTGAAAAAATTATTTCTCTGGATCTCAATTTCATTGTTGGGAGACAAGAAAATTTTAGACTAAAGCTTTAGGGTATTTTTCAGCTCTGTTCATGTTTATTTTTTGTTTCTCACACACAGTTTTGGCCCATAATGGGTACTCATTCAAAAAACACTGACTGATCCTGGCCTTCACAAAACCATGTGTTTCTAAGAAAGAGAAGTGGTCCCACGGGTTGGGCAAACAAGCAGAGAAGGATATGGATGAATAAACCTACAAATTGAGCGTCTTGCTGAAGTGTATCATAAAGAAGATCTGCCTGGCTCCAGACATTTGATAGCATGCCTAATTACTTTTGACAAGTAGAATTGCTGGTGAAAAAAGTTATGTCAACATCTGAGTGAGGCGTAGAATAGCAGTACCTAACTTCTTAGGGAAGGCTTATAACTGAGACACAAGAAAAATAAGGCCAATAGGAAGGGTATCCAAGTAAATTAGAATAAAGTCCAACCTACAGAATGTTCTCAGCTGAGGTGTAAAAGATTCAATTGTAATTGGCAGAGAAAGTATTTTCTTTCTACATGAGAAGAGCCAGCGAGAACAATGGAAAGGACCCAGCAAATAAATGAGACATTCCAAAAAGATGGAGAGACTGATGTGGCTATGTAGCTCAAACTGACTCCTTCCTACTACGTTTTATATTATCTTACCTCTTCTTTTCTCAAAAACAGTTTCCTCTTTTTCTCTCCCTTGTGTCTTCCTGTCACTTCTTGAAAGACTTGTTATTTAGATTACGGCTTCTGTATACCAATGAAAACTTGTACTTGAACCATTAAGTTGAAAGATTCTTACTCAAAGGCCCCTGAGAGATTCTGACAACAGAACTGCTTCTAGGGACTTGAGAAATGACCAGTCTCTTTGATTTCCCAAGGGAAGCCACCACAACAAAGTCCTCAAGGTCAAAGCTCAGTTTTACACTGAACAAGAAATTGCAAATTTTGACTTTTTGGTGGGTTCACAGGGAGGTCACCAGGACTAGTTCCTACACACATTGCCAGTAACAACAGACTTGTCAACAATGAAAAAAAAATCCTTGGAATATTGTTGCAAAGTCTCTGTGGATGGATTTAAAAATTTGATGAAGACTGGGCATGGTGGCTCATGCCTATAATCCTGGCACTTTGGGTGACCCAGGCAGGCTGATTGCCTGAGCTCAGGAGTTCGAGACCAGCCTGGGCAACGTGGTGAAACCCTGTCTCTACTAAAATACAAAAAATTAGCTGGGCATAGTGGCATGCGCCTGTAGTCCCAGCTACTCAGGAGGCTGAGGCAGGAGAATTACCTGAACCCAGAAGGCGGAGGTTGCAGTGATCTGAGATCACGCCACTGCACTCCAGCCTGGGCGACAGAACAAGACTCTGTCTCCAAAAACAAACAAACAAACAAACAAACAAACAAACAAACAAACACTTGATGAAATGATTGATCAACTGGATGTAAAATATGATTAAGTGGATCAAAGAGTAAAGAGTGACTTAGAGTGCAACTGTAAACACATAAACTTAGGTATAGTAAGGCAAAATTTCTCATTTCTGTGACTTTTGCAAGGTTAAACTTATAGTCTTGTTGTCTTTTTCCAAGTCAAGGCACATTGACTCAGGCTTCTCCCTGTGTCCCCTCTCCCCACAAAAGTGATTTGATGTTCTTCTGCTCTTTTGAATCTCTATTCACTCTATTAACTCTTCTCTGATATTTCAGGCAATAATCTCAACGAACTTTGGAAATCGGGTCTAAGCTTGCATAGGCAGACTGTCTGCAAAGCTAATAATGTTGCTGCAAATCCAGGTCATCATTGCTAAACATGGGGTTCTTTCTTGACCTGGCAAAGCATCACAGCTATGTCTGTGTTTGGAGAACCCGGGTTGTCTGAAAAGAAGCATTATTCATTTACAGCATTTTCTGCACTCTTCATTTAAAGTATCCTTTTTGGAAAGATTGTACCAGGGGTCTCTAGACCCTTTCCAATGATAACTCCTAGATAGGAGAGTGAAAGTTTTGTCCATAAGAAATTTGACACTTCACTCAAGAAAAAACACTTTTCTTCTAAAAATTGGGGGGCACATCTGAAACAAAAGAGACTTAATTCAAAGACAATTATTGTTTTATAGCAGTGACGAGAATGTACTAAGACAAAACTCAGTTGAAAGGTCTATCTTGGATTGGAAAGTGAACTATCCAAGAAAAAGGACTTGGGCTCTTGAAAAGCCTGATTGCTGCAGAAAACCCTTCATACTGCTCAGTCACTTTAATGTAAGTTTTGGGGAGAAAGAATTTTTGCTTTCCATCGTAGTTTTCAGGCTTGTTGCTTTAATATATCATTGTTTTTAATGTAAACATTTCTAAAATGTTTAAATCCTATTTGAGTCCCTGGAGCTGTAAGCTCCTTTTGCATTGATTAGGGACTGACTATAGACTGAGTCCTTGGTTTTGTTTTTCCTCTAGGTAGAGTTGTAATAAATTTTTCCCCATAGTTTGGACTTTGGAAGTTGGCCCACTGAGCTCAGTGGCTATTCTACCCTTGCTTTCTCAGGAAGGACAGCAGATAGCACTGCTGTGGAGTGCTGCTGAGAACTGCAGGACAGCCCACTGAGAAAGCCCTTCCGAGGGTCAGTTTGGCAAGAGCCACAAGAAAAGAGGGTGAGGGTTAATGACTCCCTTCGTGCAGCTTGCTGGCAGCGGTACTTTACCTCAAATGGAAATTTCAGAAGTTTCGGTACTGCTCACAAGAGCATTCCTGGAGTCGAGTAGTAGAAAGCAAGGCCAAACATAATGTAGTGACTCTGCTGAACACTGCTCTGTCTCCAAGAACTCATCATCATCATCAAACAGCATTTATTAAAAGCCCACACGCATATGGTGCAGAACAAACCACATTAAACAAGCACAGTTGGACTGCTCGTCCTCTGGAGGGCCACAATTTAAAACACTAAAAAATCAACTCTGCTTCTGTTAGGCTTTGTTCTTACAACCCAAGAACATTGAGAAAGATCAGTTACACGTTGAAAAACATTAATACAAATAACAATTATTGTTACGCTAAAAATAATATTAAATTAATATAGATAAAAGTTATTTAGTACTTTCTCGGTGCCAGTACTATGCTATTTGCTCATATTATTGCAAAACTCCATGAAGTAGGTGGCATTGATATATGTATTATATGAAACAGGCAACTGAAGCTTAGAGAAGTTAATCATTTGCTTATGAAAACAAAGCTACCAGGTAGCAGAGCCAGGACTTGAACCTGGGTTTATTGAAATCCCAAGATCATATGGGCCATATTACCAGATCTCATTAGAGTTGACAATTGGCCTTGGGCTGCTGAGTAGAATAGTTATATTCACAATATAATAATTTCTAACTTTCATAGCATAGTAATTTATCTATGACTTCAATAAAGTTCATTAGCTCTTTATTTGAAATGGTGCTGATTCATTCATTAATGGGATTAAAAATTTTCTTTGTCATGGCAAACCGGTGGGTCTCAAGGGTCTTGACTAGAATACTTTACACACTAAATTGAATGAGGAAGATTAATCTAGATAACTTGTCAGAATCACCTAGACCACAGAATTTTGAAATTCATGCTTCCTACAATAATCTATGCTGATTAATAATCTTCATATTGGAGGTAAGAGGATTCAACTAATTTCAACCTCTTCTCCTTACTATATTTTTTTCTAGTTAAAGCAGAGAGCTGACTGAAAAGTAGTTAGTGGAATTGCACAAAATGAAATCTATTTTGGGAACCATGCCCTCTCTTCTTTACCACTGTTCCTTGCCTATGAGGCTGAGCATAATGAGTGGCAGCATGGAAGTCAGGCAGATAAAAATTTGTATAAACAAATTTTATAGATGGCACAGCAACTCAAAGGTGGAGAAAAATCCGGGAGTGGAGAGGATGTGTAACTTACAGAACACACCTTGTGCTATAAAGAAAGCTTATTTCTTGGCCAAAGAGTTTGGTCCCTCCCTATTTTTATTTACTATTGGCTATATACTATTAATTTCTCTATATTATAAAATAATTATTATCCTACCTGTTTATATATTGATGTTTATGAACATCTTCCCCAACTTTAATATTCAAACTACATTTTTGCTTAAGTGTATTGATTTACCTGTTTAAAACATCATTTGTTCTCTTACCTGAACATTATGCTGACTTTTACAGACACATCTTCGAACTATTAAGCTAAGTAATATCCAAACTATTTTTTATTGTTGTGGAAGCATGTGGTGGATGCTGTGGTATGCCTTCTGCGTTGCCCCTTCAGGTCTGAAGCGTGCATTTCCACACCTGCGAGAAGTATTGGCTGTAGACATTTCATGGCTGAGTACCACTTTGGAGATTGCTCTAGAATAAAGGGAGCTGCTTTGCTCAAGGTTATACCCTCTTACTGGAGTTAGCTCACATCAAAGAACTGGTCTATGCAGATGTACGAAGACCTGGCCTTTTTGTCTCAATTCTGGAAAACTTGGAAGAGCCATTCTAGCTCCTGGGCTCTTGAAGGACTGGCTAAGACCTGTTAGAATTGCACACTGACGTTCAACTTCCCCCTCTGTCCAATTCTTATTTCTCATTCTTTTATAAGTATTGTTCCATCTTAGAATCTGTTTCCTAGGGAACCCAATTTAAACACCAGTTAGAATGTCTGAGGAAGCAGAATCTAAAATGCAACTTTGAAGCTGGATCCCTTGCTGGCTGCAGGGAAATGAGAACCCTGCCACTGGTATTAGGTGGGGAAATGATAGCCCCTAGCATGCTATAGCAGTGCAGTTGTTAGAACTTTTACAAGTTCTGAGCTGGAATAGGACACGAGTGGAAGGTAATGCACTGGCAGGAGCAATATCTCAGGCATTTGAGCGGTTCTAGGGAAGTAGTAATTACCAGGCCAAGGGAATCAGATTGCTTTTCCTAGATACTAGCAATGCACTGGAGAAGAAAGACAAGGAAAGGCTGAGGGTGATTAATCCCCACTTTAAGGCAAAGTATGAAAGCCAGGGGGCTTTCTTGGCAGCATACAAAATGAATTTTATCTTCTATAAACAGAAGAAAAAGTCGAAGATCAATTCCAGGACTTAATTATGGGAACAGTGGAACTGCAGAGAAGGTTGTCATTTCAACCTCAGCAAGTCTACTATACCAAGATCAGGGCCTAGGTAGGAAGCAGAAGGACTCTTGAGATTTGAAATGGGGACATCTAGGTTAATTTCCTCAAAAATCTTGTACCTGCCTGTTTCTTTGAATCCTCTGGGCCCACATAAGTAGCCCACTCCCCAATAAATCCTGTTTGAAGATGACACACAGGCTTTGAAAGACAACACATGCTCTTTTCAGGAACTCTCCTTACCTGCACTTCTGGGCACCAGCTAAAAAAACTAGAGTTAATTTACAATATAACCCAGCCAGAGATGTGCTGGGCTATATTATTTCAAATATCAAATTAGAAGAGGTTTACAAAAGGTAATAAAATCTGGTTAAGGCCAGATTTGTAGAGCTATAAGTTGGTGTAATATTTTTGAAAGGTATTTTGTAAAATATATTAGCCTTAAACATACACCTATATTGATCCAGAAATTCTCCTTCTTAGAAACTATTCTGAAGAAATTATATATATAATATTACACACACATATATAATATACATAGACAAAAATGCCAATTGGAAGGGATTTTTATGACAGAATCCATTTGAAAACAACCAAATTTTCTATAATAGAAAAATGTCCAGGTAAATTATGGCACATAGTAGAATGTATTATGTAGGTATATAGTGTTAATATGAAGCACCTTAAGGATAATTATGACATGAAAATAGTCAAGATAAAGCTAAATATCATATGATGTCAAAACACAAAGACAGAGACTTTGACAAAATATTAAAAATGGTTTTCTCCCCCTGGTAAAGTAATAAATATATTATTTTCATTTTATCTTTTTAAATGTATATTTCAACACTTTCCAAGAGAGAATTTTTAAATTTTACAATGTGGCAAATTTTTATTTTAGGAAGTAGACCTTGTGGTCTAATCTTTTACTTCTGATGCTGAGCTACAGAGGCAGAGGTGAAGGGTGGATAAGTAGGGGATGGTTCCTTTTCCTGCTTGTCCCCAGAAACGCCTGGTCCTTTAAATGAATCGTTTGGTTACTTTGACTAGTAGGAAGCAGAGTCAGTGTCCATTATTAGAACTCTCACCCAGTCTCACAATTGTCTCAAACTTTGTAAAAAATGAGGTTCATTTGGGAGGCTGAGGCAGGCGGATCATCTGAGGTGAGGAGTTCGAGACCAACCTTGCCAACATGGTGAAACCCTCTCTCTGCTAAAAATACAAAAATTAGCTGTGTGTGGTGTCACATGCCTGTAGTTCCAGCTACTAGGGAGGCTGAGGCAGGAGAATAGCTTGAACCTGGGGGGCAGAGGTTGATGTGAGCCTCGATTGCACCACTGCACTCCATCCTGGATGACAGAGTGAGACTCCATCTCAGAAAAAGAAAAAAAAATTAGGTTCAGGGTGTGGGACTGGATTGTCTTCTCTGAGGTTGTGAAAATGGAAAATATCTTAAAATTATTAAAGCTGTTTGGGATGCAATCTGTTAGCATCTTAAAAAAATCCATTAGCCCCTATCCTGGAAATCTAACTCATAGGAATGAAAGCATTGGCATATAATGACACATATATAGTCAATAGTGCTGTAACACTTGACTTTTAAAATGTGAATTTGCTAGAGTGAAGCTGATATATTAGGGAACACATTGAACATAGTGTGGATTTTGCTTTTGCTTCTGCATTATTTTTTCTGTAAGAAATACTAGAGGATGGCAGGAAACTGCATCCGTCTGAACCAAGCTGCCTGGCAAAACACAAAACAGACACCACTAATATCTCCAGTTACCTCAGTTCACTGCATAATGAGCCGTACCTATCCACATCTAGTATTCCAATGTTCCATCTGATTTCAGATAACCATCCATCTACCACTTCACAATAACTCACAAATTGCAAACCTACTTCTGCCCAGTTCTTCATGCAAATTTCAGGTTTTCTTCAAGGTTAAGTGCCATATTTATTATAGTATTTATGTATTTCTTAATGTGTATTTAACACATGTATTACCATTTTAAACCATTTTTTAGGTTCCTATCTTTTTTATATGTTGCTGTTTTGGGAGACTTTTTGAATGTTGAGTCCGCAACCCATTTTTCTCCAGAAGCTCTGTGGTTTTTATTGCACAATTTTGCATTGCATAGTGATTTTCAGGATGCATATATTATCTTAGAGCAAAATTGAGTATATAAGATTATTTACTGCAGCTGAGTATATAAGACTATTTATTCTGTTTGTAATGGCCGAAAACAAGAAACAAAGTAAATGTCTTACATAGGTTATGATTGAATAAAATGGGTTTATTCGGGCCATGGAATAGTGCAGTCTTTAAAAAGAGTGCATTAATGCTATAAAAGCACCTTAGAAAGATTTTCATAATGTAGTGCAGCTATATATATATTTTAGTACCTACTATATGTCAGACACGATGTTATGCTCTTTGGTATGTAATTTACGTAAAATTATGTTTGGGCATACAAATGTAAATGAGTGCAATGGGAGTTTTAAAAATTTTTTAAACATTATTATTATTATTATTATTATTTTATTGTACTTTAAGTCCTAGGGTACATGTGCACAAGGTGCAGGTTTGATACATAGGTATACATGTGCCACATTGGTTTGCTGTACCCATCAACTCGTCATTTACATTAGGTATTTCTCCTAATGCTATATCTCCCCCAGCGCCCCACCCCCTGACAGGCCTCAGTGTGTGATGTTCCCTGCCCTGTGTCCAAGTGATCTCATTGTTCAATTCCCACCTATGAGTGAGAACATGTGGTGTTTGGTTTTCTGTCCTTGTGATAGTTTGCTGAGAATGATGGTTTACAGCTTCATCCATGTACCTGCAAAGGACATGAACTCATCATTTTTTATGGCTGCATAGTATTCCATGGTGTATATGTGCCACATTTTCTTTATCCAGTCTATCATTGATAGACATTTGGGTAGGTTCCAAGTCTTTGCTATTGTGAATAGTGCTGCAATAAACATATGTGTGTATGTGTCTTTATAGTTGCATGATTTATAATCCTTTGGGTATATACCCAGTAATGGGATCACTGGGTCAAATGGTATTTCTAGTTCTAGATCCTTGAGGGATCGCCACACTGTCTTCCACAATGGTTGAACTAATGCATTCCTACCAACAGTGTAAAAGAGTTCCTATTTCTCCACATCCTCTCCAGCATCTGTTGTTTCCTAATTTTTTAATGATTGCTATTCTAACTGGTGTGAGATTGTATCTCATTGTGGTTTTGATTTGCATTTCTCTGATGACCAGTGATGATGAGCATTTTTTCATGTGTCTGTTGGTTGCACAGATGTCTTCTTTAGAGAAGTGTCTGTTCATATCCTTTGCCCAATTTTTGATAGGGTTTTTTTTTCTTGTAAATTTGTTTGAGTTCTTTGTAGATTCTGGATATTAGCCCTTTGTCAGATGAGTGGATTGCAAAAATTTTCTCCCATTCTGTAGGTTGCCTGTTCACTCTGATGGTAGTTTCTTTTGTGGTGCAGAAGCTCTTTAGTTTAATTAGATCCCATTTTTCATTTTGGCTTTTGTTGCCATTGCTTTTGGTGTTTTAGTCACGAAGTCCTTGCCCATGCCTATGTCCTGAATGGTATTGCCTAGGTTTTCTTCTAGGGTTTTTATGGTTTTAGGTCTAACATTTAAGTCTTCAATCCATCTTGAATTAATTTTTGTATAAGGTGTAAGGAAGGGATCCAGTTTTAGCTTTCTACATAAGGCTAGCCAGTTTTCCCAGCACCATTTATTAAATAGGGAATCCTTTCCCCATTTCTTGTTTTTGTCAGGTTTGTCAAAGATCAGATGGTTGTAGATGTGTGGTTTTATTTCTGAGGCCTATGTTCTGTTCCATTGGTCTATATCTCTGTTTTGGTACCAGTACCATGCTGTTTTGGTTACTGTAGCCTTGAGAGTTTGAAGTCAGGTAGCATGATGCTTCCAGCTTTGTTCTTTTTGCTTAGGATTGTCTTGGCAGTGTGGGCTCTTTTTGGTTCTATATGAACTTTAAAGTAGGTTTTTTCCAGTTCTGTAAAGAAAGTCATTGGTAGCTTGATGGAGAAGCCATTGAATCTATAAATTACCTTGGGCAGTGTGGCCATTTTCACGATATTGATTCTTCCTTTCCATGAGCATGGAATGTTCTTCCATTTATTTGTGTCCTCTTTTATTTCGTTGAGGAATGGTTTGTAGTTCTCCTTGAAGAGGTCCTTCACATCACTTGTAAGTTGGATTCCTAGGTATTTTATTCTCTGTAGCAATTGTGAATGGGAGTTCACTCTTGATTTGGCTATTTGTCTGTTATTGGTGTATAGGAATGCTTGTGATTTTTGCACATTGATTTTGTATCCTGAGACTTTGCTGAAGTTGCTTATCAGCTTAAGGAGAGTTTGGGCTGAGACGATGGGGCTTTCTAAATATACAATCATGTCATCTGCAAACAGGAATAATTTGACTTCCTCTTTTCCTAATTGAATACCCTTTATTTCTTTCTCTTGCCTGATTGCCCTGGCCAGAACTTCCAACACTATGTTGAATAGCAGTGGTGAGAGAGGGCATCCTCATCTTGTGCCAGTTTTCAAAAGGAATGCTTCCAGTTTTTGCCCATTCAGTATGATATTGGCTGTGGGTTTGTCATAAATAGCTCTTATTATTTTGAGATACGTTCTGTCAATACCTAGTTTTTTGAGAGTTTTTAGCATGAAGGGCTGTTGAATTTTTTCGAACACCTTTTCTGCATCTATTGAGATAATCATGTGGTTTTTGTCATTGGTTCTGTTTATGTGATGAATTATGTTTGTTGATTTGTGTATGTTGAACCAGTCTTGCATCCCAGGGATGAAGCCGACTTGATCATGCTGGATAAGCTTTTTGATGGGCTGCTGGATTCAGTTTGCCAGTATTTTATTGAGGATTTTCATATTGAGTTCATCAGGGATAATGGTCTAAAATTCTCTTGTTTCATTGTGTCTCTGCCAGGTTTTGGTATCAGGATGATGACCTCATAAAATGAGTTAGGGAGGATTCCTTCTTTTTGTATTGATTGGAACAGTTTTAGAAGGAATGGTACCAGCTCCACTTTGTATCTCTGGTAGAATTCGGCTGTGAATCCATCTGGTCCTGGACTTTTTTTGGTTGGTAGGCTATTAATTATTGCCTCAATTTCAGAGCCTGTTTTTGGTGTATTCAGGGATTCAACTTCTTCCTGGTTTAGTCTTGGGAGAGTGTATGTGTCCAGGAATTTATCCATTTCTTCTAGATTTTCTAGTTTATTTGCATAGAGGTGTTTATAGTATTCTCTGATGGTAGTTTGTATTTCTGTGGGATCAGTGGTGATATCTCCTTTATCACTTTTTATGGCATCTATTTTGATTCTTCTCTGTTTTCTTCTTTATTGGTCTTGCTAGCAGTCTACCAATTTTGTTAATCCTTTAAAAAAAAGCAGCTCCTGGATTCATTGATTTTTTGCAGGGCTTTTGTGTCTCTATCTCTTTCAGTTCTGCTCTGATCTTAGTTATTTCTTGCCTTCTGCTACCTTTCGAATTTCTTTGCTCTTGCTTGCCTAGTTCTTTTAAGTGTGATGTTAGGGTGTCAATTGCAGATCTTTCCTGCTTTTCCTTGTGGGCATTTAGTGTTCCCTCTACACACTGCTTTAAATGTGTCCCAGAGATTCTTGTATGTTGTGTCTGTTCTCACTGGTTTCAAAGAACACTTTTATTTCTGCCTTCATTTCATTATGTACCCAGTAGTCATTCAGGAAGAAGTTGTTGAGTTTCCATGTAGTTGTGCAGTTTTGAGTGAGTTTCTCAATCCTGAGTTCTAATGTGATTGCACTGTGTTCTGAGAGACAGTTTGTTGTGATTTCTGTTCTTTTACATTTGCTAAGGAGTGCTTTACTTCCAATTATGTGGCCAATTTTAGAATAAGTGCGATGTGGTGCTGAGAAGAATGTATATTCTATTGATTCCTGGTAGAGAGTTCTGTAGATGTCTATCAGGTCTGCTTGGTGCAGAGCTGAGTTCAAGTCCTGTATATCCTTGTTAACCGTCTGTCTCGTTGATCTGTCTAATATTGACAGTAGGGTGTTAAAGTCTCCCATTATTATTGTGTGGGAGTCTAAGTCTCCTTGTAGGTCTATAAGGACTTACTTTATGAATCTGGGTCCTCCTGTATTGGGTGCATATATATTTAGGGTTGTTAGCTCTTCTTGTTGAATTGATCCCTTTACCATTATGTAATGGCCTTCTTTGTCTCTTTCAATCTTTGTTGGTTTAAAGTCTGCTTTATCAGAGACTAGGATTGCAATCCCTGCTTTTTTTGCTTTCCATTTGCTTGGTAGATCTTCCTCCATCCCTTTATTTTGAGTCTATGTGAATCTTTGCATGTGAGATGGGTCTTCTGAATACTACACACTGATGGGTCTTGACTCTTTATCCAATTTGCTAGTCTGTGTCCTTTAATTGGGGCATTTAGCCCATTTGCATTTAAGTTTAATATTGTTGTGTGTGCATTTGATCCTGTCATTATGATGTTAGCTGGTTATTTTGCCCATTAGTTGATGCAGTTTCTTCATAGCGTCGATGGTCTTTACAATTTGGCATGTTTTTGCAGTGGCTGGTATTGGTTGTTTCTTTCCATGTTTAGTGCTTCCTTCAGGAGCTCTTGTAAGGCAGGCCTGGTGGTGACAAAATCTCTCAGCATTTGCTTGTCTGTAAAGGATTTTATTTCTCCTTCACTTATGAAGCTTAGTTTGGCTGGATATGAAATTCTGGGTTGAAAATTATTTTCTTTAAGAATGTTGAATATTGGCCCTCATTCTCTTCTGGCTTGCAGGGTTTCTGCTGAGAGATCTGCTGTTAGTCTGATGGACTTCCCTTTGTGGGTAACCCGACCTTTCTCTCTGGCTGCCCTTAACATTTTTTCCTTCATTTCAACCTTGGTGAATGTGACAATTATGTGTCTTCGGGTTGCTCTTCTCGAGGAGTATCTTTGTGGTGTTCTCTGTATTTCCTGAATTTGAATGTTGGCCTGCCTTGCTAGGTTGGGGAAGTTCTCCTGGATAATATCCTGAAGAGTGTTTTCCAACTTGGTTCCATTCTCCCCATCACTTTCAGGTACACCAATCAGACATAGATTTGGCCTTTTCACATAGTCCCATATTTCTTGGAGGCTTTGTTCATTTCTTTTTACTCTTTTTTGTCTAACCTTGTCTTCTCCCTTTATTTCATTCATTTGATCTTCAATCACTGATACCCTTTCTTCCACTTAATTCAATCGTCTATTGAAGCTTGTGCATGCATCATGAAGTTCTTGTGCCATGATTTTCAGCTCCATCAAGTCATTTAAGGTCTACTCTACACTGTTTATTCTAGTTAGCCATTCATTTAACCTTTTTTCAAGGTTTTTAGCTTCCTTGCAGTGGGTTTGAACATGCTCTTTTAGCTTGGATAAGTTTTTTATTACCGATCTTCTGAAGCCTACTTCCATCAACTTGTTAAAGTCATTTTCCATCCAGCTTTGTTCTGTTGCTGGCGAGGAGCTGCCATCCTCTGGAGGAGAAGAGGCGCTTTGATTTTCAGAATTTTCAGCTTTTCTGCTCTGGTTTCTCCCCATCTTTGTGGTTTTATCTAACTTTGGTCTTTGATGTTGGTGACCTACAGATGGGGTTTTGGTGTGGATGTCCTTTTTGTTGATGTTGATGCTATTCCTTTCTGTTTGTTAGTTTTCCTCCTAACAGTCAGGTCCTTCAGCTGCAGGTCTGTTGGAGTTTGCTGGAGGTCCACTCCAGACCCTGTTTGCCTGGGTATCACCAGTGGAGGCTGTGGAACAGCAAATATTGCAGAACAGAAAATACTGCTGCCTGATCCTTCCTCTGGAAACTTCGTCCTAGAGTGGCACCCACCTACATGAGGTATCTGTTGGCCCCTACTTGGAGGTGTCTCCCAGTTTGGCTACACAGGGGTCAGGGACCCACTTGAGGAGGCAGTCTGTCTGTTCTCAGAGCTCAAACACCATGTTGGGAGAACCACTGCTCTCTTCAGAGCTGTCAGACAGGGACGCTTAAGTCTGCAGAAGTTGTCTGCCACCTTTTGTTCAGCTAAGCCCTGACCACAGAGGTGGAGTCTAGAGGCAGTAGGCCTTGCTGAGCTGCGGTGGGCTCCACCCAGTTCAAGATTCCTGGCTGCTTTGTTTACCTACTCAAGCCTCAGCAATGGAGGACGCCCCTCGCCCAGCCAGGCTGCCACCTTGCAGTTTGATTTCAGACTGCTGCACCAGCAGTGAGCAAGGCTCCATGGGCATGGGACCTGTTGAGCCAGGCATGGGAGAATCTCCTTGTCTGCCTGTTGCTAAGACCTTGGGAAAAGTGCAGTATTTGGGTGGGAGTGTCCCGTTTTTCCAGGTACAGTCTGTCACAGCTTCCCTTGGCTAGAAAGGGAAATCCCCTGACCCCTTGTGTTTCCTGGGTGAGGCAACGCCCCACATACTATGGGAATTTTTAAGAACAAACAGGTAAACAAACGTAAACATAGAAAATTGGTGCTTCCCAATTTGTTGCAGGATCCAGATTCATAAATAATTCACTATAATACAAGTCAAACAGTGACCCCAAAAGGCTGATGGGGTTTTCCAAAAGACAAATGTTACATGTTAGTAATATAGCTGAGGGAGAAACACCATCCTGACTTAAACTCTAAGCATTTTAGACATGATGAGTCAGGTAAAATATATATGTATCTATATGTACTAATGGAGTTTTTAAGATGCTGACAGATTGCATCCCAAACATATATATATAATATATATATATGTTTTTATATGTGCTATTTTATGTTTACCTTTTAACTTTCCTGAACTATGGGCTCTTATGAGCAGATTTATTTGGTATAAAGGAACAGTTATCAAATGGAGTCTCTTGTTTAGGTGAAGGATCCATGGCTAGCGTGTTCTAGCATGTCAGCTTATGCTTATGAATTCTATGCACTCCCTCTGCAAGAAGAAAGCATAGCCAATGGGTATTATTTATACTACATTCACTATAACCACTCAGAACTTTTTTTTTTTTTGAGACAGAGTCTCTCTCTTTGCCCAGGCTGGAGTGCAGTGGCGTGATCTTGGCTCACTGCAACCTCTGCCTCCTGGGTTCAAGAGGTTCTCCTGCCTCAGCCTCCCGAGTAGCTGGGGTTACAGGCGTGCACCACCACGCCCAGCTAAGTTTTGTAGTTTTAGTAGAGATGGGGTTTCACCATGTTGCTCAGGCTGGTCTCGAATTCCTGACCTCAGGTGATCCACCCACCTTGGCCTCCCAAATTGCTGAGATTATAGGCAGGAGCCATCATGCCTGGTCCAACCCCTCAGAAATTTGATGACTTTTTTTCCCCTTGAAATATCACAATGATTTCAACAGTGAACATTCATTACATGCAGCCAGGAATACAAATCTTTGTTCTCTTCAAACACCAAAAAGAGGCAGCTACTTGTATTTACTCTATGCTCATGATAGTTCTTAAAAATACACACATCACACACACCTTTGAAAAACATATTTTAAGGTATAGGAAAGTAGAAAAGAAGGTATAAAAATTATAATTATAAAGAACTTGCTGTGTACATGTGGCTTCTGATATTTAAGGAGCAAGTTACAGGATGTCAAATCTGATTTCTTTTTTTTTTCTTTTAGAATTAATGAGAAAGGACAGGAATATGCCTTTAAATAGAAGAGCAAGATTCTGCAATATGTTTTTTATAAGCCATCAGCAACTTGCTAATAGATTTCTTTTCTCTTTGAAACTGTCAGATTGAAGGCTGAGCAACCCAGTCTCATTTTCTACTGAAGGGATGGTAACTTGTGGCTTCTCCACTTTGGCTTATTAGGTTTATGATCCTGTCATCTCTATGGACAGCTTCCTTTTAAAAAAAATCACACACTTGTAACAGATAGAATGCAGGTGTGTGTGTGTGTGTGTGTATATATATATATATATATATATATATATATATATATATATGTAAACAGTCAATTTCTTTGAATGGCTCTCAAGTTAGATTTGTCTTTGGGTTGTATATAATTTATTTTTGCTTAATTTAACTTGCCAAGAATTATTGAGTGATTCAAAAGACTTTGCTATTCAAAACATTTTCAAAATTACCCTTCAACTGAGGAAGAACTTGTCATAAAAACATAACAAGGCAAACATAAAATTGTACTTATGTAGTAACAAACTGCTGAAAAGGAAGAAGAGTCTCTGAGCTAGAAAGTTAAGATTTTTATCTCTATTGCTATTATTTTCACCGACTTACAATCAATCTCTGTGACACTGTTATTTATATCTTTTTCTAATTCTCACCTCATATAATAATTGTTGAAGCAGAAACAGTTTCTCGAGTTTGGAATTAAAAAGAATTGCCATTTCCTGAGTGCACATTGCTACCAATGTTGCTGTAAGAAATAAATAACTTTTGAATCAAAACATAGGAATCTGTAGCAGTTGCCACAAACCAAAGAATCCTCAAAATTTAATATTTTCTTGTTTTTGTTCCAACTTCTTATTCCGGGATAGAGGAATGCTGGGATATCCTATTTTCTGCTTATGATTTCTGTGGTCCTTTTTGTTTTTGTTTTGTGTTTTCTCAATACAGAAAATGTCTGATTAAGTACTTTGTTGACTCATTCTTGTTTAAAGGGAGGTGGCAGCATCTTCCCACTAAGCTCTGTTCACTAGGCAGCAGCCTCCGTTTCAGACCGAGTCAGGTATCTACAGTCCTGGTGGGAAAGCTAGAAGAGGGAGGGACATGATACCTGGGGTTCTTTGCCCAATCTCAAAAAGAGGGCTTCTCCTCAATTATTTTATGCTACAACTTTGTTATTTGCTTTATCCAGGCCAAGTCAAAAGCATCTCATGATTCTATTATTGTTTATTTTGATTTGTTTTGGCGTGAGACACATGTTGAAGATTTTTATTTTTTTTTCTGTTGAATGGTTGAATGTTTGCATTTTAGAATTTTACTGTTAGAATTGTCATGTAGCGTGAGCCAAGTTTCTTTGGTTTCTACTAGATTTTGATTTCACTCATACCAATTAGAGGGAGTTCCAGCAGTCATAAAAAGCAGTAAGTTGTTTGTCATAATTCTGGTCATACCAACAGCAAGGTCTTCTAAGGCAGCTCTAGAAAACAATTATAGGAAAAGGAATTTTGAAACTTGATTTCTGTTGCTGGACTCAATCACTGAATATTCTAAATCAAGGTTTTCCCATTTCTGCCTCAGTTTCTCCCCCTGGAATATACAAATGGTGTTGTATAGGGTATAATATAGGAACGATGCTTTATTGGGCCATAAATCTAAATAATTATAAGACCTTGGCAAATCCTTCAAGTCCTCTTTTAGAAGATGCACATTTGAAGCTACACTTAATTAAGCAAAAATTATTTAAGAGGTTTGCCCCCCAAAGCACTATTAGAATATATAAATCTATAATCATGCTTGAAAACATTATTCTTAAAAAGCCAACGGCAAACTGTGTAGAAAACATATTCAAGTATAATGCACATGAAGAATTCTCATCAGACCAGCTGAATTAAATGGCAGATGGATATGTAACATCTTGGTATGTGGGCAGATTTAAAATCTAAGTGTTCACATTTATTAATTCTAAAAAAGCATAAATTTCCATTGATTTGAATCAGTGCAAACACACAATGTCTACATTATTCTACTTTTCCAATGTTTCTAATAAGGAGATTTTTTTTCTCTGATATGAGCAGAAGCATATCAAGTTTAGGGCTAGAAATTTGGGTCTCCAAATAAAAATCTTTGCAGGAGTCATGATACTCTTTTGGCTATTTCTTTTGCATATGCTTTTGTTTCGTGAGCCTTCCTGCTTCTTGATCCGACCTTTTCAGTAATACATTAAACTGTCAGTTTCTAGTGCTTATTTGGATTATTTTCAGACCGAGCACATAGATTTTATAGTAAGTTGTTATAACACCATTTTGACTCCTTAGTAACTCTTTCTCATCATAATAATATTCGCATTATATGGAATCATATGTATTTTGCTGGGCCAGGATAAGATGAAGGTGTAATACAGAGAACGTGTTTTAAAGCCATTTATGTAAAAATGAGAATCTGGATGAATGCCATTGCCGTCCAGCTATTGACCTGCAGGATATATAACGTATACCACTGGCATGGAACATAATCTGAAGTGATTTAGTAGGAAGGTTAAAACATCTTTACTGAGGTCTGAGGGGCAAAGGAATACTTTTCATAATAGTTTTCCTGAACTTAAGCAAAGAATATTAATATTTATGTACATTCTTGTGAAATACATATACTTTGTTATATCATTTAATACAGCCTCTCCAAAAGTAATGTAATAGAATACATGAAACTGACAATGCAATTAGGATTTATCTCTCAATTTTTATCTTTGAAAACAGCTCTGGAGTACTAATTACCAGGAGAGCTGTCAGGAACAAGGTGAACACAGATTTGACTTGGTTTCAATTCATTCATGCTCCACTTGTTGCTGGATTTGGGCAATGGAAGGTCTGCCCGAATGCTGGATGATGGTCAGTTGAGGACCACACAACTGTTAGTATAACTTAGGCAAGGGTCATCAAAGGACCCCCTACAACAGCAATCCTATTCAGTAACTCCTGCACAGTGCCTTGGATTTGTAAAATGCTTTCACATCTATTTTCCTTTTTGAGCCTCACAAAAATCCTTTTGTCTAAGTAAGGTAGATGAAAATATTCCAGTTTTATAGATGGGAGAGCTCCAGTTTGGAGGGACTAAGAAACTTGCCCAAAGTTACAAAGTAGTAAGTGATAGCTGGGGTTCAATTACAGTTCTTGGAACTTAAGTCCAGCAGTCAGCCTCTATAGGCTGCAAGTAAGGTGAGACAGGGAATAAATCTATACATTGTGGAAATCACTCCTTTGATGGTCTGTGCTTAACAACAGACTGAAATGCTCTGGGCCATCTTAATTACTGAAATATCCAGATGCTATAAATTCTCTTTAGTGCTAATTACTGATGTAACTACTTGTGTTTCTGTCTGAGGGTTTGAAAATTCTTTCAATATTCCAGGTCATTAATAACACCAGATGTGCCAGGAAAAGCACATGGTAGCTTTAACTTATAGAGGGCAATTCCCAGGCAAAAACAGCCCCTGTTGTATTTATCTTTAATAAGGATTATGGTTTGTTTCTTAATCAGGATAACATCTAAGGAAGAGAAAAGCAGTCAGTATAGAAAGATTTCCTTAAACACCTTCCCTCTTCCTGTCCTGACTCTCCTATCCATCCTTCTCCAAATATTCTGGGCATGAAACAAAACAGGCAAATGTTGTTTGTGGACTGAGAATTGCTTCCCAGATGTCTCCTTAAATCTTGATCAGTTCTGTCTCAGATTTGGAATGTTTTAACCTTACTACTATAATCTTGAGTTCTTCCAGTGACAATCCTGAATAACCACCTTGAAAGGCCAGTCCACATAATCTTGGGGAATGTCTCTTGAAGCTCAACTATTCCTCAGACAATTCTCATCTCCACCCTTCTTGGTAAATCCGCATTTTCTTCCAGCCATTTGTCTCACAGAAACCAGGAAATCCACAGCCTTTTGACCCAATCTGAAAGGGAAATTTCCCAGGAAGACTTAACGAAAGAAAGCAAGCCACAAAAGAGGAGGAAATAAAAAATGACTCAAAATGGCTTCAGAGCAAAAATAATCAGTTAATAATTCTGTGGTCACATAGACTTTTTGTCCCAGAAATATAATAACGAAGATTGTTCATTTTACATGTCTGTATGCTTTTATAGAAAAGATCTTTTTGAATTTTTGAAATTCTCTTTTAATACTTTGGTCATCAATCAGTTGTCTAGAAGGTAAAAGTAATTGATTATTTTTCTGGGGCATCTAATTTTTATTACCTATTTATTGATCTTCTCTACTTAGTGCAAACTATTGTGTATGTTGCTGGGAGGGGTGGTTTGGGTACAGTGAGGAAATACACTGATTCTTACCCTCAAGGAGCTATATTAAACTATTAAACAAATTTTCTAATTTTTGTGGGTACATAGTAGGTTAATATATTTATAGGGTACATGAGATATTTTGATATAGGCAAGCAATGTGAAATAAGCACATCATGGAGAATGGGATATCCATTCCTTCAAGCATTTATCTTTTGAGTTACAAACAGTCCAATTATACTTTTTAAGTTATTTAAAAATGTATGATTGAGTGATTATTGACTATAGTCACCCTATCGTCCAATCAAATAGTAGGATTTATTTACTCTTTCTATTTTTTTGGTACCCATGAACCTTCCCAACCTTTCCCTGAGCCCCCCACTACCCTTCCTAGACTCTGGTAACCACCCTTCTACTCTTTATTCATGAGTTCAATTGTTTTGATTTTTAGGTCCCACAAATAAGTGAGAAAATGCAATATTTGTCTTTCTGTGCCTGGCTTATTTTCACTTAACCTAATTATCTCCGGTTCCATCCATGTTGTTGCAAATGACTGGATTTCATTCTTTTCTTATGGCTGAATAGTACTCCATTGTGCATATGTGGTACATTTTCTTTATCTGTTAATCTGTTGATGGACACTTAGGTTGCTTCCAAATCTTAGCTATTGTAAACAGTGTTGCAACAAACACAGGGGGGTGCAGATATCTCTTCAATATACTGATTTCCTATCTTTTGGGTATATACCCAGCAGCGGGATTGCTGAATCATAACGGTGGCTCAATTTTTAGTTTTTTTAAGGAACCTCCAAACTGTTCTCTGTAGTGGTTGTACTAAGTTACATTCTAACCAACAGCGTACAAGTGTTCCCTTTTCACATTTTTCATTGTTGGCATATAGAAATGCTACTGATTTTTGTATGCTGATTTTGTATCCTGCAATTCTGTTGAGTTTGTTTATCAGTTCTAAAATTTTTCTTGTAGAGTCTTTAGGTTTTTCCAAATATAAGATCATATCATTGGAAAACAAGGGTAATTTGACTTTTCCCTTTCCAATTCGGATGCCCTTTATATCTCTCTCTTGTCTGATTGCACTAGCTAGGACTTCCAGTACTACGTTGAATAACAGTGGTGAAAGTGTGCACTCTTATCAAGTTCCAAATCTTAGAGGAAAGGCTTTCAGTTTTTCCCTACTCAGTATGATACTAGCTGTGGGTCTGTCATATATGGCTTTTACTATGTTGAGGTATGTTCCTTCTATCTCCAATTTTTCGAGGGTGTTTATCATGAAGTGATATTGAATTTTATAATCTCAAATGCTTTTTCAGCATCAACTGAAATGATCATATGGTTTTTTTATCCTTTATTTTGTTGATGTGATGTATCACAATGATGGATTTGCGTATGTTGAGCCATCCTTGCAGTCCAGGGATTAAATCCTACTTAGTCATGATAAATATTCTTTCTAATGTATTGTTGAATGTGGTTTGCTAGTATTTTGTTGAGAATTTTTGCATCAATATCCAAGGAGTTACATTAAAGGAAGATAAGAACAGCACATTTAAAATAAATTGGGTTAAATTTTACACCAAGACAGTGAAGATTTTAAAGCTACAGAGAAGGGACACATGGCTCTGTAAAAAGGACAGACTCTTCTTGAGCCCTAATAAAGTTTATATAAAATTGACTAGAAATAGCTATTTCACTCATTTTATTGAGTCTTGGATACCTTCTTATTTTTCTTCTACTTTTTGTTAAGAGTTATTTACAAATAAGAGCAATTATTTGGGGGTGTCTGAAATGTAAGGTAGAGAGGATTCTGACCCTCAGCTGTATTGGTGTCCTGAATGATTTCTGGTGGGAATTTCCACCAGGCAGTTGATGGAGGACGCTGATAAGTCAAGCTTGGTGAGGAGATGACTTGGAATTGATGTTTTATTGAGTTCTTGTCAGAATACATGCTGGGATTCTCAGAATCAGTGAGACGATATAAATATAACAACTGAAAACATCTGGCCACAAAGTTTAGAGACCCTTAGAAAAGCAGAGACTTTCTCCATTAACCTCTTGCTTAAATTGCATAGACTAAGGGTGAACATGGTGGCTCATGCCTGTAATCCCAGGACTTCGGGAGGCTGAGCTGGGTGGATAACTTGAGCCCAGGAGTCCAGGAGTTTGAGATCAATCAGCCTGTGCAACATGGCAAAACCCTGTCTCTAAACAAACAAACAAAAACCCAGAAAACAAAAAGCGTAGACTGTTTTAAGCAAGCAGGGGCCTCCTGCTAGTTGGGAAAACATCTGAAAGCTTTGGAGGCTCCCTGTTTCCTTCAGGTAATAGTTTGATAAGTTTATTTTTTTTCAATAACACACCAATGCGCCTAAGTTGATAAATCACTTGAATCACTCAGTAAACTAACTTAGCGTAACTGGAATTCATGATCTATCTCTATACTTATTATCCTATCTCCTGAGTGATTAATTAGTTGCTATACACCACATGCTTGTTAAAAAAAATCGTTGTGTTTCTTTTTTTTGGACTTCATGGCTTAACAAAAGTCCATAACTGCCTTAAGTAAGAAAATGGTAGAAAATTGGAATTGTCTTTCATTTCTTAATTCTTTAACTTGTGCAAGATGTGTTTCAGACCTGACAACAAAAGCAACTAGAATTATTTCTCTCTGTGTGTGTCTGTCTCTTTATATATTTCACATATACCCCAAAATGTATTATGAGGAAAGAAAATAAAGCTGGTCAAATATCTGCATAAGAACATTTTAGGAGACCCTTCTTTTTGGGAAGTGGAATGGGGTAGGGGGATGTACCATAGTAGTCTGTTACATAAATTAAAAGAATGCTTTAGACCAGTGGCTTTGTTGCTAACTTTATCTGCCTCAGAGAAAAGGAAGACTTCCTGAGTGCAAACATATTTTGTGAAAAGGAGTGGGGTCTTTGTTGGAAAAAAAAAAAAGCAACAGTGGAAAGACTGGGATGCTTGGAAAAAACATATTTTAAACAGTTGGACAAAGACAGGTGGTTCATTTTTTTTCTTCCTGCCAAGCCATTTCTACTTAGGATTAAAAAAAAAAAACCACAGTTCGATATTGAATTCAGAACCAAATTTTCAAAGAAATTCATTGCCAGGGGACATACATGGAATTCCCACCAATGATAGCATAAAACATGAAAGGATAACAGTCTGACCTCCCAGTGTGGTCTCTTCTTCTGGAACACCAGGTAACCAGCTAACAGTGTATCTTTGTACATAGGGTAGGGTCTTTCCTCTTTCTTCATATACCCCTGGCTGGCTGTCTTTTGCAGGTCTAAGTTAGGCACCCCTTGTGGTCTTACTTCATGACGCCATTAACCTCTCTTTTGAAATGACTGGCAGTTCACAGAGCACACTTTCTCATCACCGCAGTCCAGTCACTCTCCTTCCTCTCAGGTGCCAAAAACACCCAGCACAAGGAACACAAGGCCAAGTTGAGGGTGGGGTGTGACTCCCTGGCCAATATTTAGTCGTAGAAAAAACAGAAAATATGAATCAGATGTTCTTGTTCAATACTTACTACTTTGACTATTTCGGGCAAGTCTCTACCTCACTCAGGCTCATCTGTAAAATGGGGCTATTGTTAAAACCCAACTTGTATTATAGCTGTCTTTATATGTAGACATGCTATGTAAACTGGAATTTACTATGTAAAGCTAGTTGTAATTAACATGAACTATGTAGTAAAACCACTATTTTTTTCAGTTTGTCTGTTTCCTTGTTGCCTTTTGACAGATAGTAAACACTTTGGGGAATTTACCTCTGTGCAATTGATCCATTCATATTTATTGAGCTTCTGCTTTGTGCAAAGCCTTATGCCATATGTTATGGAATATATAAAGGTGACTAGCACATGGCCCTGGCTCTCAGATTATACAGACTAGTCAGAAATTTGTGACTCTCGAAAATAACTACTAGTGAAATAGACTATAATGCTATTTTTTTCCTACCTTTCCCAACACAACCTTCTTTCCCACTCCGTATGGCCCTAGTGGGGTTGTGACCATGCACCAGAGTCCTCAGTATCAAGAATGAGTTATCATGGTATTGGAATGAATGAGTCACAACCATTTACCCACTACTGGAACACTGCTTAAATTCAAAGTCCAGGCAGCGGGGCTCTGATTTGACATTGCAAGAGAAAAGCTTTTTTTTTTTTTTTTCCTTTCTTTCTTTTTTTTTTTTCGGTGGGTCACTAATCTGGAAATAAACAAAATTGGAATTAAAGAAAATTAGTCTGCCCTTGGAGAGAATAAGGCCACACAGAGGGGAGCAGAGATGAAAGATTAAAAAAAAGTCAGAGACTGAGATCTGATAATGTCTTCAGGCATGATTGTATTCATGGTAAAGATGCATCACTCCTTTACTTCCCATTTGCCTAATACATTCTCTTTTGACTCTCTTTTGGTGTAAACCACTTAGGGCAGTTTTATATCACTTGCAATTAAATGGGCTGTGGTAGGCAGAAATTTGGCTCCCTTGTGTTCCTCCTGTGAATATGTTATGTTAAATGGCACAAGGAACTTAGCAGGTATAATTGGGGTTACTTATCCTGGATTATCTGGGCAGGTCTAATCTAATAACATAAGCACTGAAAAGCTGAGTTCTTTATTTGGCTAGTAACAGAAGGGGAAGTCAGGGAATTAAGGTACTATTGTTGGCTTGATGAAGGGGTCATGTGTAAAGGAAATGGAGGCCTTAGTTCTATAACCACAGAGAAATGAATGTTACTCAGAAGCAGAATCTTTCCCAGAGCATCCAGATAAGAGCCCATCCCAGCCAACATCTTGATTTATTCCTTATGATTCCCCAAGTAGAAGACCCAGTTAAGGCAGGCTGTACCTGGACTTCTGACGCACAAAACTGTGAGATAATAAGTGGCTGTTGTTTAAGTCACTAACTTTGTGTTTATTTGTTATGGCAGCAAGAGGAAACTAATATGTAAGTCACATAAGTGGTATTTTTCCATTTAGTAAGATTTATGGAGCCCCTGCCTCATGTCCAATGTCTAGAGCCACATGGACACAAACACTAAGTAAATATCAAAAATAATTACACAAAGTTCTCTTCAAAGGCTTTATGGCCTTTTTATAAAGAATGCTTGGAAGAAAAGAGAATGCTTGGTACAGTGGCAAGGACAATGTCTTATTTATCTCTCTGTCCCCTGACACCTTCCTGGCACATAATAGGAGCTCAACTTCTATTTGTCCCACTAGACTGAAAGGTTTTACAATACTGTTGATTCAACAGCACATGGTACTGGGGAGTCAAGAGCCAAAGACTTTGGTGTGGTTTGGAAGTTATGCTTTAGGGAATGTTTTCTGCTCTGGTCTTCAACTTACATGTGAAGAAGGAAAAACTTTAAATGCTTAGGTTTACTTCTTTCTCTTTAAAATATAGATCTGCTTGGTCTTCACAATGATTCATATTTTGATTCATTACTAAGATTAATTGTGATTATTTATGGCTTACGGTTTAAGTGCCCCAACCATCAGCACATTTAAGGCTTAATGTCTGGAGCAGATTCAGGAATCAGCAAATTCAGCAATTATACCTGCTTCTCAAAAATTTAATGTGAGTAGGCTTAGTTAGCATTTTCTCCTTGGTGACTACCATCAGTGTCCAATCTAGTTACCAGTATTTGTCCTTTGTCATGGTTCCAGGTTGTGCAGGGTGCGCTGGCCCTCCCTTTGCATGTTCATACTCCAGGGTAAAGTTCCTCTATACACCAGTCAGATGTCTGAATTCTGTCCCCCTCACTCCTTTGATCCCTGCAAGTCCCAGTTATTAGTTCCTCTCCCAGGGCTTGTTTGAGATTTGCAAACAACTTGTCCTCTACACTTTCCACTACCTCCAAACTGCCTCCTTACTGGCTTACTTCCCCCTATTTTACTGCTTATCTCTTACTCAGGAATGGGGATGCAACTTATGTGACCCCACATTTACTTTCCTTATGATTCTGATACCTAACAGGAAATATCCACATACTCTTAAATTCTGATATGCTTCTGTAGGATGGCTAATGAATACTTTGCATTTCTGAGCTGTGAGAGTTTAGAGTTTCAGTAACTTTGATCCATAGAAAATATCTGGGCAAAACTAAACAAATAAAATAACTATTCTGTCATGATTGACTCTGTTCTACAGATGTGCTGTTCTTGACGTCCTTACTTCTGTCCTCAGAATCATATCTTCGCATCTGAAAGAAGGCAACAGCATTGAGCAACAATCTGGGACTCTATTTGATATCTTCCCTTGAGAAGTGTTAAATGTTGCCATAATCTTGACAGTTCAAAAGTTAGTCATGTGGTTGATATTTTACCAATGAGATGAATGTGGTGAGTATCACTTTTCCTTTAATTAGTTTTGTCAGTACAAACTTGGCAAGAGATAATAGTAAAGAGATATTGGCATTTAGGCGTGTTCATACTTACTTTTATGATTTAGGATTATGACAGCTTTCATGGTCAGTATCCTAAGAGCAACCCTGTCTGGTTTATAAATTCTGAAATTACAGTGTTTTACTTCTTTCCAGTCCTGCAGACAGAAGCAGCAACACTCATCAAACACTGCAGTTTTGATCAGATACGGTCATGTAGGCATGAAAACATTTTATTTTATATTAATCAACTGATATTTATGATTCATGTGGAAAAATAGGTCTTTCATTTTCTCTTTTTCTGACAAAGTTTGCTGTATAGTTTAATCTGTTTGAGTGCTTTTTTTTTCAACTCTTCACTGTGTTTTGCATGATCAAAGTTATTGTCTTCAAAACTAAAATAAAGAGAGTTGTTTGTCTTTTCCTTATTATTATTACAGAGCCTTGGAACACATGTATGACCATGCTTTTTACTTTTCTGGTTCAAATTATTAGAATTCAGAACTTGTCCTTGACATTCTACTAATAGAAAAACAAATGAAGAATTATTCCCTTAATGATTAAAAAACCTATCATTTTTTTCCATGCATGACATTTTCATGAACGAAAGAAGATAACAGACAGAAGCTGGTTAGGCTAGTAGAATAAACAATAATAACAATAGCTACTGTTTATTAAATGCCTAACCCCTGCCTGATAATTTATATAAATAATATCACCTTCTATTTCTGATAATATGGTGGGACAGATACTCAAATAAACTTTCCCAATGAAAACCATTAAAAAATGCTATCTAATAGTGCTTAAAAGCATCAATGAGCAGGCAATAAGGTAGATAACTATCTGGCTAAAATCTAGTTCGATAAAACAGAAGTCCAGACAGCTAAACTACTGCTAAATTTTACTTTATCCAGAGGACATTTACTGAACATAGTAGCCTTCAGATTCAATTTCCTCACAGAGTTATGAGACAAGAAACAGAGATCATGGGACACTGGGACAAAAACACTCTCCCTTCAACGGAGAGAGTGAACAACAGGGAGGGTGAACTATAAATTCCACACCCTCCACTAAGAAAGATAAATATTTGGAAAATATGAAAGAGCTTAAAAGTCACACAGGAGAGGATGAGATATCTAATGTAAGTATAATTTGAGTTTCAACAAAAAAAATAAAGAGTATGGGAAAAGGTAATATCCAAAGAGATGATGGCTGAGGATTTCCCAAAATTATTGAAAGACATAAATCCTCAGATACATAAATTCCAATAAATCCAGAGCAGACGTTAAAAATGAAATCCTTACCAAAATACATGAGTAAGCTACAAAACACCAAAGACAAAGAAAATATCTTTAAAGCAGTCAGAAGGAATAAACTGATCACCTACAGAGGAATGGTTGACAGCTGGTCTCTCGCAGCAACAATGAAAACCAGAACAAGAGAAATAGTATATTCCATATGGTAAGAGACAATAATTGCTGATTAGGAAGGTTTAACTGAGTGAAACTATCTATAAATCAAAGGCAAAATGACAACATTTTCAGGCAAACCTAAAGTGAAACTCAACTGACTACCCAAAGATCATCATTAAAGTACTTTCCAAAGGATAAATTTCTTTTTATTTTTTATTTTTCAATTTACATCATAGTATTATATTTTCCCCCTTCTCTCCAACTTTATTTTAGGTTCAGTGGGTACATGTGTAGGTTTGTTATGTGGGTAAATTGCATGTTGCTGAGATTTGGTGTACAGATTATTTTGTCACCCAGGTAATGAGCATAGTACTAGGATAGTTATTTTTACATCTTCACCCTCCGTTCTCAAGTAGGCCACAGTGTCCATCATTCCCTTCTTTGGGTCCACGTGTTCTCAGTGTTTAGCTCCCATTTATAATGAAAAGATGTGGTATTTGGTTTTCTGTTCCTGTATTAATTCACTTAGGTTAATGGCCTGCAGCTTCACCCATGTTGCTGCAAAGGACATGATCTTGTGCTTTTTTTATGGCTGCATAGTATTTCATGCTGTATATGTACCACATTTTCTTTATCAGTGAACCATTGATGAACATCTAGGTTGATTCCATGCCTTTCCTAATTATGAATAGTGCTTTTATGAACATATGTGTTCATGTGTTTTTATTTTCCTTTGGCATATACCCAGTAATGGGGATTGCTGGGTCCAATGGTAGTTTCGTTTTATTAATAAGTTCTTTGAAAAATCTCCAAACCGCTTTCCACAGAGGCTGAACGAATTTACATTTCCACAAAAAGTGTATAAGCATTCCCTTTTCTCCACAACCTCACCAACATCTGTTATTTTTTGTCCTTTTAGTAATAGCTATTCTGACTGGTGTGAGATGATAGCTCATTGTGGTTTTGATTTGCATTTCTTTAATCATTAGTGATGCTGAGCATTTTTTCATATATTGGTTGGCCACATATATGTCTTTTTTTAAAGAAGTGTCTGTTCATGTCCTTTGTCCATTTTCTACTACAGTTGTTTATTTTTTGCTTGCTAATTTAAGTTTCTTATATTAACAGATTCTAGATATGAGACCTATGTTGGATGCATAGTTTGCAAATATTTTCTCCCATTCTGTAGGTTGTCTGTATACTCGTCGATAGTTTCTTATGCTGTGCAGAAGCTCTTTAGTTTAATTAGGTCTCCTTTGTCAATTTTTGTTTTTGTTGCAATTGATTTTGGAGCTTTGTTGTAAAATCTTTGCCAAGGCTGACATCCAGAATGGCATTTCCTAGGTTTTCTTATAGGTTTTTTGTAGTTCGAGGTTTTATATTTAAGTATTTAATCCATTTTGAGTTTATTTTTGTATATGCTGAAAGGAAGGGGTCCAGTTTCAATCTTTTGCATCTGGCTAACCTAACCAGTTATACCAGCACCATTTATTGAATAAGGGGTTCTTTTCCCCATTGCTTGGTTTGTTGATGTTGTCAAAGATTAGATTATTATAGGTGTGTGCCTTTATATATGATTTCTCTAATTTGTTCCATTGGTCTACATGTCTGTTTTTGTACCTTAACCATGTTGTTTTGGCTATTGTAGCCTTGTAGTATAGTTTGAAGTTGAGTAGTGTGATGTCTCCAGCTTTGTTCTTTTTGTTTAGGATGACTTTGGATATTCTGGCTCTTTTTTAATTCCATACGAATTTTACAATAGTGTTTTTTTTTCTACTTTTGTGAAAAGTGTCATTGGTAGTTTGATAGAACAGCATTGAAACCATCAATTGCTTTGAGCAGTATGGCCATTTTAATGACTTTGAATCCTCCTATCCATGAGCATGGAATGTTTTTCCATTTGTTTGTATCATCTTTGATTTCTTTCAGCAGTGTTTTGTAATTCTCATTGTAGAGATCTTTCACCTCCCTTGTTAGCTGTATTCCAAAGTATTTTATTTTATTTTTCTGTGTGGCTATTGTGAATGGGATTGCATTCTTGATATGGCTCTCAGCTTGGATGTTGTTGGTGTATAGAAATGCTATTGATTTTTGTACGTTGATTTTGTATCAAAGGATATATTTCTAAAGAATATACTTCAAGAAGGATGAAAATGATCCTAGATGGGAAATCTGAGATGCAGTAAGAAATGCTGAGCAAAGATTATGGTAAATTTAAATAAAGATGGCCAAGGCAGGTGAATCACCTGAGGTCTAGAGTTCAAGACCAGCCTGGGCAACATGATGAAATCCTGTCTCTACGAAAAGTATAAAAATTAGCCGGGCAAGGTGGTGTGCACCTGTAATCCCAGCTACTCAGGAGGCTGAGGTATGAGAATTGCTTGAACCCTGGAGGCAGAGGTTGCAGTGAGCCGAGATGATGCCATTGCACTCCAGCCTGGGCAACAGAACAAGACTCTGTCTCAAAAAAATGAAGGAAAGAAAGAAAGAAAGAAGAAAGAAAGAGAAAGAAAGAGAAAGAAAGAAGGGAATGAGGAATAGGTCAAAAGTAAAATACTGAAAAAAAAGGCAGAACTAAAATACTGGAAAATCATAGCACTTAAATTGGGAAGGGAATGAATAAAGTTAAAATTGTGTTGTTCAAGACAGAAATGAAGATATTTCTATGGTATGAATGTTATAATTTCTAGGAAGACCATTAAAATAGTAAAAATGGTACATGTCTTTGAAACTAGTAGAGGAAAAAAGGTGATAAAAAATAACCAATTTTAAAAAGGCAAGAAATGAGAGAAAAAAGGAATCAGAAAAAGGCAAGATAAATAGAACCTAATAGCATATCTCAAAATTAATGAAACAAAAATGGACAGAAATTAAAGATAAATAAATAAATTCTCAATTATAAAGGAGGTTTTAAGATATCTATCAGAAGAGAAGTGATGGAGCAGATAAGGAATCAGTAAGGAAAATGAAGATTTAAACAATACAATTTACCAAATATATCCTAATAGACTTGTGTAGTATTGTACTCACACAATGCAGAATACAAATTCTGTACAAGAACACAAAGGACATTTGCAAAAATTGACCATATAGCGAGTCTCAATAATTTTCAAAGTTACCTGTCATTCTTTGAACACAGTTCAGTTAAACTAGAAATCAATAACCAACAGATAACCAATAAAACTTCATGTATTGGGAAGTTAAGAAATACATTTCTACATAAACCACAAGTCAAAGAAAATAATCATAGTAAAGCCAGAAAATATTTAGAATGGAATGATGGTGAAAATACTACCGTTAAAACTTATAAGATGCAGATAAAGCAGCAATTAGAAAGAATTCTAGCTTCTAATGATTATATTAAAACAAAAACAAAGATTGAAAATTAATGACTGATACAGCCATCTTAAGAGGATAGGAAAAGAAAACTGAAGTAAATGCAGAGAATCTGGGACAAAGGAAATAATGAAGATATGAGCAGAAATTAATATAATGGAAAATAAGCATAGAGTAGAAAGGATGAACAAAAACAAAAGTTGGTTGTTTGGAATGACTAATAAATTTGACAAATCTTTGATCATGGAAAAAGAGCTATCCCAAGTAAATAATATGAGGAAAAAAAAGAGAATATAGCTGCCACTATTAAGGAGAAAATAAAATGATAGAATGAATAATTTCATGCCAGTTACTTTGAAAATTTATATGAAATGGACAAATTCCTAGGAAAATGCTACAAAAATTGATTTTAAAAAATAGGACACATGAAAGGTCATAATCATTAAAGAAATTGAACAGGTAGTTAAATATCTTCCCACAGAGGATAACTCCAGGCCTAGATAATTTACCATGCTGTCCAACCAAACATTCAGAGAGCAAATAATTTCAACTTTATAGAAACAATTTCAAAATAGAGTAAAAGAGGGAACATTTTAGAGTGAAAGAGAATTCATTTTATTTTATTTATTTATTTATTTTTTCAGACACAGTCTCATTCTGTTGCCCAGGCTGGTGTGCAGTGTCATGATCACTGCTCACTGCAGCCTCAACCTCCCGGGATCAATTGATGATCCTGCCTCTGCCTCCAGAGTAGCTGGGAATACAGGTGCATGCTGCTGTGTCTGGCTAATTTTTGTATTTTTTGTAGAGATGAGTTTTTGCCATGTTGAGGCAGGTCTTGAACTCCTGGGCTCAATTGAACTTCCCACTTCAGCCTCTCAAAGTGCTGGGATTAAAGCATGAGCCACCATGCCTGGCCATTCATTTTATGAGGCTGTTGTAACCTTGATACCAAAAACCAAATGTGGACAGTACAAGAAAGGAAAATTCAAGGCAAATCTTATTTAGGAGCATAGATAAAAATAATCTTAAGCAAAGTATTCTCAAAGCCAACCCGGCAATATATGAAAAGAATAATGCATTATACTGAAGTTGTGTTTATTGCAGGAATGAAAAGTTTTTAAGAAACATTAGAAAAGTCAATAGTTTTCTCCATATTGACAGATAAAAGCAAAAAGCAATATGTCAATAGATGTTGAAAATCATTTCATAAAACTCAAAATACATTCATGATACAAATTCAGAACACTAGAAATAAAAAAGAACTTAACTTGAAAAGAAGCAACTAACAAAACCTTATTACAGAAATAAAACTTAATGGTGAAACTGAAAACTTCTCCTTTGATACCAGAAATAAAAGTTTGCCTATTTAATTGCATTAATTAACAGAAGAAAGGAAAAAAAATGCTAGCATAAAAATATAAACTATAATAAACTGGATATAAATCTAGGAAAGGAAAGACCTTTCTGGAGGAAATCATGTTATCTCTAGCTTTTATAGCAGCTCTGCAAGGATATTAGTATCATCCATCAAAGCGGTAAAGCAGCTTACACAGATTTCACATAGCTGGGAAGTAGAGATGTGAGGATTTGAATCTAGGAGCATTCAACTCCAAGATCTGTGCTTTTTCCCAAATAGTGGCCCTAATTTTGGGCATCCCCAAATGTGCTCAGCCCTACGTGACTCCTGAGCCTTAGCTGCTTGTCCCTTTTCCTAGCTAGAGAACAGTGACAGGTTGTGTCATTTCTAAGGTCATTTCTAAGGTCATAAGCACTAGCTGTATGACCAGTCCCTAATCTTAGGTTGTCTCAGCCTCCCTTGAGGGTAAAACCTGGCCATTGGCATTGTTTCCAAGGGCAGGTGTTTCCAAGGTGAGCCTTGGCACAGGTCTCACCTCATTTGAGGAGTCTCTGCCCAGAAGGACTGAGTGATGCAATCTAGAAATAGTGGGGAAAGGAGTTGAGTTGGGATGAAGTTTGACCAATGAGAGACTGCAGATGAGAAGGAGCTAGTAGTCAATAGCTTGCCCTTCCTCATCCACCCTCTACAAAGGACTCTTCTAGGATGTAATGGTGCCATGTGGCCACTCTGGGGATGTCCCTCCCTTGTGACTGAGCAACCAGCTGTTTGTTCTTATAAAGCTGTGGCCAGCTGAATAATGCACCATTTTATATGTGATCTTCGTTTTGCCTGACTCACTCTTCCTTTTACTCTTGCTTTCCTGAGATAAAGCCCCCCAACACTAAAACCTTACCATGGGGTCTGATTTCCAGGAAATCTGAACTTGGACATCTCTTAAGTTTCAACTTCTCCAAAGTTTACACAGTACATCACAGTCTGTTAGTAGTTTATGCAATCATTTTCAGTGCATCACCATCAGCATTTGAAAACATAATGAAATAGAACAGAAGCAAAGTATCAGGGTATATCTTATATACTGAAGATAAGCACCATTTCCTAAAACTGTTGATTCATGTATGTGTGTATGTTTGAGGTTATGAGTATGTGCGTACTGAGTTGTGATGTTAAATGTGTATTTTGCTGTGTGTCATTGTCAGAAATGTTTGAAAGTCACTGGTCGAGGCAGCAGCTACATGAGGTGAAGAGTTCATGTTATAGCTATGACATCCAGTTGTGCATTCACAATGTCCTATCAGTGGAAACTTTTGGTGCCCTAATTTCTCACTTTGAAAAGTATTAAAATGTCTTAAAAGCCCTCACATGATTTTCCTAAATGGAAAAAGCTTACATTTGCCTAGCAGTCATCTTAGAGGAAGAATCTTTTGCAGTATTATTTCTTTCCCTGGAAGCTAGATGGCATACCTTATTTAGAAAAATAAAGGGGATTATCTAGTGAATGGGGTTTTATTCAATCATGTCTAAATGTGTTTATTTATTTATATGCTTTTGTGAGACTATGGTTAAATAGGCAGATACATTTTCCAGTAGCAGTCATTGACAATCCAGGCAACCAAAGTAATATGCATCTTACTTTTTCTTAATGGTGTTTATATTTTGAAAAATATATTCACTTTTTCAAGTATGATGACTTATTGATACTCCTTGAAACATCCTGATTTGGAGAATGCTGGAAATGCTGGGGGTTGGGAGAGGGAATACAAGTCTCAAAGCTGTGAATGCACTTGCTAACTTTAAAAACAAAACATGCAGGGCAAGTTTTAGTTTATAGTGTGTGTACTGATTTAACCTGAAGATAATAACTAAGAACAGCTGCTGAGTTGCATGTGGTTAAATTTTCTGAGATAAAATACTCTGGCAAGACACTTGAAAAACAAACAAGAAAGTTTGTGAAGACAGATGACAATCTTGTAAGTATGATCCAAAAATCAAATAAATGGCAAATGTTGTGTTAATCTCTCTGATTCTAAAAAATATTTTCACTATCACCAGGGAGGGTAATTTGAATGGATTCACACCCTCTTCAAAATGCAAGGACATAGTTAAGTTGCCAAAGCCTTATCGAATTCCTTTTAATGTTATTGTAATTCCTAAGTAGCAGATGGGTGGACCTAGCTTTCTCACTTGATAGTCATAACACAATCTACAATTACTGCCAAGCCTACTGAGAATTTAATACATTTAGAAATCTCTGAAGAGAAATTTTGAAGTTCATGCTATCTACACCCAGATGGTCAAATCATTAAAGCTTGGTAAAGACTATGAGAGGTTATCTCTTCCCCATTAGTTATTATGGAATAACTAGTGAGCACCACTCTGTGTCCAAATAATATGGGATTTATAAACTACTTTGGATATTTTTACTTATTCATAAGTATTAGTGATATGCTTAGTAAATCTAAAGAATAGTATTTAAGGGGAAGAATGAGTATTCATTTCATTTTTGTAGAGCTATTTCAGAAGGTATGTATTGACCAGAGTAGATTTGATTCAATATTCATTATTCTTATTGTGGATTCAATAGTAACAAAGGCCAACTATCACATAAAGGGAGCACACTTTGCAGAAGTAGCCTTGGCCTAAGATGACGGGTCTGCTGGTCATCTTCATATCTGTACAGAAGTCCCATTTATCGTCTGCTTGTTATTTGGTCTGCTTGTTGACCACCTCTGTGGCAGATCACAATTCCATTCTCTCCCCTATATTCATCTTCTTTGCCATGTGACTGTTCAGTTTCCCTCATTAAAAGGCTACAGTTTATTTCCTCACCCTTGACTTTGGGGATTGGTCACAAGCCTTGTTTTGGCCAATAGAATTAGATGCAAGTCTAGGGTGCCAGTTATGAACCTAGGCCCTAGAGACTTTGTGTGTATCGACTTGCTGTCTTGTGCTTCTGCAATCCATGAGAATAACATTCCCAGGCTAGTCTGTTAGTCTTAAGAGAAAGCTGAGAGACATATGGGTGTGGGGTGGGGGGTAAGTATTCAGTCAAGTCCAGCTGGGATTAGCTACCTCTAGTAGACCTGCACTGCAAGAGCTAAATAAGTGCTTATTGTTGTTTGCCAATAATGTTTAGTAGATTTTGTTATGCAGCATTATTGTAGCGATAATTGATTGATAGGCCCTCCAAATCCACATGTGATTTTCAGGAAATTTCTTGGCCCCATCAGATTTTAGAAGTTGATCTTTGTCTTGTGGATTAAATAAGGAATTAATTCGACCTCTGCAGAAACAGAAAATTAAAAACTGTATGTTATCACTTATAAGTGGGAGCTAAACAATGGGTATATATGGACATATGGAGTGGAATAATAGATATTGGAAACACCAGATGTTGGAAGATTGGAAGAGAGGTGAGAGATAAAATGTCACCTGTGGGGTACAATGTACACTATCAGGATCATGAGTGTACTAAAAGCTCAGATTTCACAACTATCTAAGATATGCATGTAACACAACTGCACTTGTACCTCTAAGTCCAGAAAAATAAAAAAATAAATAAAATGTGGCTTTTCAGGAATATACACATTTGAGTTAAGAGAATAAAGCAATTTGCAGAACAACAACAACAAAAAAATGGATTCCTGGCTTTATTCTTGAGCTCTAGATCCATGTACTTACTCTTTCTGGGCTCACAAAAACATCAAACAGCAGTCAAGTTTGTCAGGATATCACTTGACCTCTACACACCGTATACTAAAATATTACATATGTTCAGCTGCTCTGGCCGAGACCTTCTCTGTATTTAGTCAGGTTCCAAAAATCACATCTCCACTAGTTCTTTTCCTTTCTCTTCATGTGCAAGGTTATAGGAGGCTTCATGTTGGAACCCGACTGAGTTATGAAAGCATTCAAAGACACCATTACCTCAAGTAATTTTGATATAACGAGGAGTTATCACTGGGTACATTGAAAATGTTAAAATTATTAGTACAATTGCTGCAGACTAAACTTCTTTCCCTAGGTATTATTTCTGGAATCTCCTAGGAGTTTATTGAGTAAAAAGTCTAGGATTACAATCACCGTGCTGTACAGTTCCTACCTTATAATAAGTTAATGGCTTCCTACAGAAAGAACTCATATGTGACTATGCCATGCCTTGTCCAGCTGCAGATGTAATGCTTCAGTAAAGATTTCTAAAGGAGGTCCTAGCCAGAGCAATCAGGCAAGAAAAGGAAATAAAAGGCATTCAAATAGGAAAAAAAAAGAAGTTAAATTATCTGTCTTTACTGATGATATAATTCTATACCTAGAAAACCCCAAAAACTCCACCAAAAGGCTCCTGGAACAAATACATGACTTCAGTAAAGTCTCAGGATACAAAAATTAATGTACAAAAATAAGTAGCATTTCTACACACAAATAACATTCAAGTTGAGAGCCAAATCAGGAAGACAATTCTATTTACGATAGTCACACATGCAAAATACTTGGAATATGTCTAACCGGGGAAGTGAAAGACTTCTACAAGGAGGACTATAAAACACTGCTGAAAGAAATCATAGATGATAAAAACCAATGGAAAAGCATCTCACGCTCATGGATTGGAAGAATCAATATCATTAAAATAACGATACTGCCTAAAGCAATTTATGAACTAACAATGTTATTTTTCACTTAATTAGAGACATCTATTTTAATTCATATAAAACCAAAACAGAACCTAATTAGGCAAAGCAATCCAAGGCATCACACTACCTGATTTTAAACCATACTGCAAGGCTACAGTAACCAAAACAGTATGGTATTGATATAAAAATACAAAGCAGTGTAACAGGATAGACAAACCAGGAATAAAATCACACACCTACAAGCATCTGATCTTCAACAATGTTGATAATAACAAGCAAAGAGGAAAGGACTCTCCTTTTAATACATGGTGCTGGGATGACTGGCTAACCATATGCAGAAGAATGAAACTGGACCCCTACCTCTTATCATATACAAAAATAACTCAAGATTCAAATATAAGACTTAAAATTATAAAAATCCTAGAAGAAAACCTAGGAAATACCCTTGTAGACATCTACCTTGGCAAAAAATTTGTGATTAAGTCTCCAAAAGCAACTGCAACAAAAACAAAAATAGACAAGTGGGACATAACTGAACTAAAGAACTTCTACACAGCAAAAGAAGCTAACAGAATAAACAGACAACCTACAGAATGGAGGAAAATATTTGTAAGCTGTGCATCTAACAAAAGTCTAACATTCATAGTCTGTAAGGAACTTAAACAATTGAACAAGTAAAAAACAAAAAATTCAATTAAAAATGGGCAAAGGACTAAACAGATACTTCTCAAAATAAGACATACGCATGGCCAACAAATACATGAAAAACTGCTCAACATCACTAATCATCAGAGAAATGAAAATCAAAACCACAATGAGATGCCATCTCACATCCGTCAGAATGGCTATTAATAAAAAGCCAAAAAAAAAAAAAAAGAAAGAAAAAAAAAACAGATGTTGGTGAGTGTGGAGAAAAGAGAACGCTTATACACTGTTGGTGGGAATGCAAGCTTGTTTTAAGTTCTTTGAGAAATCTCCAAACTGTTTTCCACAGGGGCTGAGCAGTTTGGAGATTTCTCAAAAAACTTAAAACAGAACTACAATTAGACCCAGTGATTCCATTACTGGTTATATACCTAAAAGAAAATAAATGGTTCTACCAAAAGACACATGCACTTGTATGTTCACTGGAGCACTATTCACAATAACAAAGACATTGAATCAACTGAGATGCCCATCAATGGTTGACTAGATAAAGAAAGTGTCATACATATGTGCCATGGACTACTGTATAGCCATAAAAAGAATGAAATCATGTCCTTTGCAACAACATGGATGAAGCTGGAAGCCATTATCCTAAGTGAATTAGTACAGGAACAGAAGCCCAAATACCACAGGTTCTCACTTATAACTGGGGGCTAAACATCGAGTACACATGGACATAATATGGGAACAATAGATACTGAAGACCACCTGGGGTACGGGTAGGAGGGGAGTAAGGGTTGAAAACTACTTTTCAGGTACTATGCTCACAACCTGGGTGACAGGATCATTTATTTGTACACCAAACTCAGTGACACGCAATTTACCCATGTAACAAATATGCACATGTACCCCAGGAACCTAAAATAAAAGTTGAAGAAAAATCAGGAAATTCCATTTCCATAGGAAAAAAAAAGTTCTTGAAAAGAGAGGTCTTTCTCATCTACTGGGATCTCTGTAGCTTCTGGGTCGCTCCTAAAATTTCCTAGACACGTTTTACTTCTGCTCTCTCATCAAACAGAAGTGGGTGAATTTAGTACTAGGGTAATGTGTGTCTTCTGCCATATACAGTCAAAATGGCACCTCTGGAATACTTGTAAAATATCTATTACATTTCAGTTAATTTTGTTGGATATAATGAAGCCCAGACCAAGCTCTCATCATCAAGAGAACGTGTACATATGAAACTAGCATAATATTATTATGAATGCCTAGAAATTGTAGATAAATTGTCCTGTGAGACACAGGATGGAATAAGATACTATCTATTACTTCCACCATCGAAATGACTGCCTTAAAACTGAAATGTTTAGAAAAATTCACACTTTCTACCTCTATTTGAAGCACTCCCTTCAATATAGGTTCTCTGAGTATTTGATTGAGTTTAGACTTGGGCTTCTGGGTGTTCCCAGGGAACAAGGCTATTCTAGAGATGGCCCGAAGATAGCTAGCCAGTGCTCTGTATTTATTTCCTATGAAGACCAATGCAATTATGCTCCTAGTTCTAGGACTAGGGACCAGTCACATTTTTGGAGAGATTAGTTTGGTACATCTCAAATTACAAACCACTTTAAATTCACCTCATTGGAGGCTTGCTAAAAAGAAATTCTAAAGCCCCACTCTAGGAGATATATTGAATCAGAAGCTTTGGGCAGAGGTCTGAGAATATTCAGTTTAACAAGCTTCCTGAATGATCTTAATACTCGGAAAGTATCCTGAGAAACAGGCCATATCTGGCTCTCCTGAAGCTTTAAGCCTCCTTTGGCCATATATGTCAAGCTTATTGGGCATTTTAATTGTGTTCTGGATTCCCTTACCAATCCGTTAATACATATTCTTGCCAGGCATGTTATAGGATCTAGTGATTCAATAGTAAACAACAGAGACAAAGGCCTCCCCTCAAGGAGTTGACACAGTTTCCTGCAAAATGTCTTGATCCACTAGCAACGTTAACTCTTTCTAAAATCACATTTATGTAGGTCAGGACAATCCAGTGGCTCCTTAGAGTTCAAGAGTTTGATAAATGTGTCTCCTCAACTTAAAGATGGCCCACTCTTATAGCTACACTCATACCACTAGCAGCCCAGTGTCTTTGAGCCTATAACTACAAACTCATTTAGCTCTCTTGAGCTGAGGTACCCAGCTTCTCATTTTCTGAATTCCTTGAAACATGCTCACTGAACTTAAGGGCAAGTGTCAAGCTGCCTACTTAGAACTTTCTGGCATAGTCACAGCTGAACATATTGAATCTCAGAAAGTTATTTGTTGTAGAAAGTTTTTTTTAGCTTAGAAAACTCATACCAACTGTTCTTGCTTATTTCTTCCTAGAAATATATGCTGAGGTGCTAGACCCCCACATGAGAAATATGAAAAGAATCCTCAAATGTTTTATTACTCTGATAACACATGGGAAAAATATGTGCTTGAAATTCCATTAATATAGGTCATAAATTTCTCTGTGAGTTAGATCAGGTAGGTTGGAGAATATAGGGACTACTCTGTAATAAATCAGTACTCTGTATTAGATCTGGGGGAACCTGCTTTCCCAGACAAGAGTACCTTATGTGGCTTCCCTGAAGAGACTTAATTGGCTCTATAAGTTTCCTCCAGGGCACGCTGACTCCCCAAAATGTAACAGTCCTTGTCTCTGAACCATATTCCAACTCAGTCTCTGTGGATGCCTACAGAGAACATATGAACCTGAGTTGGAACTCCAAGCGATTGTCTAAAATATCCCAGAGCACATGGGCTATGTCATGAAATGTGCTAAAATTATACTAGAATTGCCATTTAAAGCTTGTTAGGTCTGTCTGAACAGTGCTGCCACTCGTGAGAGCTTGTGGAGGCATCAACAGAGCTTGCTGAGGCCCTAAAAGCAAAGAGGTGTTTCAGGAGCCCAGCCTAGCAAGTTCAACTCAGGCCAGAAGGGACCCTGAAATACTGATGCAGAGGTTATATTATTCCTCACCCATACCATACCCTCCATGATTCCGAATGTACCTAAGCATCCATCTGAGACTTGGCCCTTCACAAATGCCAGTAGAGTCTGATTTGTGAATGCTGACTTTAGACTGGACTGTGATAAAATATGCTTCCTGTGAGCCTTTGCTGTCTCCATTTATCTACCACTAGACCTTGAGAGCTAAGAAAATATTGCAGCAGATACACTTAATGCTTCAGCCAGACTCTGGTATTAAAAACTACAATGAGGGTGGGAGATTGAAGAATCTTCTAGCTACAAATGTCAGCCTTGCAATAAAAATCACAATTGGGAACCTAACCTGACGGGGAAGCCCTAGGGAAAGGAGCTGTCCCTGGTATTGGTGCTGATTGGCCACAGCTTGTTTGCCCTATCAGGAACAGGAAAAAACATGTGGGAATAGGTTGATGGTCTTAGTGAGTCCCATCTGGAAAGGCATGAGGAAAGGAGAGAACAGAAGAAAGGAGGAGAAGAAAGGAGGAGAAGAGGAAAGAGAAGAGGAAAGGAGAGGATGAAAAACAGCATTGATATAAATACAAACTAGATAAAGATGATCTGTTTGAAGGGCTGCTGTTTCTCTAGGCCCTTTGCAGGTAATCATGGAAGAATCTCAACACCTACTTTACAATATGAGGGAAACCAGATACAACCTAATCGTAGGGTTGTTTTATCATATCTCCAGTAGTCCATTGTTGGAAATAAACTTTTGAGACGTCAGAATTATAGTATAAGCAAGTTTAATTACAAATTTACAATGTCAAGCTACCGCCCAGTTTAAGGAGAGGGCCGTTTAAGTAGAGGTTATGCAAAAGGGTGCAGACCCTTAGAGGTCTAAAAAAAGAAGCCTTTGACCAGCATAATGTTTTCTGTTTAATCTGGAACCATGAGTCATGCTTCTGTTAAGCAAAATCAGCAAAGTGTATCCAGACTGATATTCTAAGTCTATAACCATCATCAAGTGTCCATCAATAGGAAAAAAGTATAAAATACCCTGCTGATTATGAGAGAGGTCTCAACAAATCCATCCTACTTTATGGGAGGTGCCCTGGAAATAGATGGTGCTTGTTCTTGCTTTGATTTTTCTTTCTTTATGGTCTGTGGTTGTCTTTTGTGCACCATGTTATTTCCCTCACCAATTAAACTTAGAGTTTAGGGCAATGAAGGGGAGAACTGGCACTCTATAGCCTGTAGTGGAAGTGTTAGCTACATCTCTATACCCTGCTTTGAAGCGTTGCTCTATGAACACTAGACACCAGACAGCAGCTGGTTCCCTCCTACATTCTTCATCTTTCCTGGTTCTTGTCCTAGTGTCTGATGTCTATCTTTCTATGGGCATATCGGACATAAGAGCAAGTTCTGCCTGTTTGGATCCTAATGCTAGATTTTGTCGGGCATCATTGTTGCTATGTCTTCCACTTTTCCATCTAGTGACTAATTTCAATCACTATCTTAACGCTCATTTCAACAAAGAACTATGAAAGGCAGTGTTGTGTAGCAAACCAATCCAAGAACAGAAAAAACTGGATATTTTGCTTATCCAATCTATCTTTCTCTGGTTAGGAAGAGAGATTCCAAAGCCAGATTGCCTGGGGTTAGATTATATCTCTGGCCCTGCCTGGCTATATTCTTGAGCAAGCTACTCAAACTCTCTGTGCTTTGGTTTCTTTATCTATAAAACAGAGATGGTTACAATGGAGCCTACCTCATGGGACTTTTTTGAGCATTCACTGAGATCCATTTCCTCGTCTATAAACTGAATCAATGAAAGCTTAACTCATGCTTTGTATGCTAGTTGCCTTATGTCTTATTGGCTCTGCGCTGCTATAACAAAATACCACAGACTGGGTAATTTATAATGAACAAAATTAATTTTCTCACAGTTCTGGAGGCTGGGAAGTCCAAGATTGAGGGGCTGGCATTAGACAAGGGCCTTCTTGCTTTGTCATCCAATAGTGGAAGGTGGAAGGGCAAGAGAGGCCAAGAGTTACCAACCCCACCCATGAGAGTGAAGACCTCATGGCCTTATCACCTCTTAAAAGTCCCATCTCTTAATACTGTTATAGTGGCAATTAAATTGCAACATGAGTTTTGGAGGGGACAAACATTCAAACTGTATAGCGCCTTACATCATCATATCTTTTGATCCTTACAAGCCTTTGAGGTAGGGCCATTATTATTCCCATTGTATAGTTCAGGCCAGAGAAACTAAGTACATTTTTTGAAGATTAAACACCCACTAAATTGTGTGGCTAGATCTTAAACATAGGTCTAACTTCAAAGACTGAGCTTTTGACATTATATGACCTTAGATTGGCTAATTGTTCCAATCCAGGCCCTTTTCTGTAACTCCTAGGCTCCCAAGCCTTTATCTTACTTAGCCCTGGTTCTCAGCCCTCAGATTATGCAGTTACTTGGGTATAGCAACATAGATAGAAGGGATTGATCGGCCGGGCACGGTGGCTCATGCCTGTAATCCCAGCACTTTGGGAGGCCGAGGTGGGCAGATCACGAGGTCAGGAGATCGAGACCATCCTGGCTAACATGGTGAAACCCCATCTCTACTAAAAATACAAAAAAAAAAAAAAAAAAAAATTAGCGGGGCATGGTGGTGGGTGCCTGTAGCCCCAGCTACTCGGGAGGCTGAGGCAGGAGAATGGCGTGAACCCAGGAGGCAGAGCTTGCTGTGAGCCGAGATCTCACCACTGCACTCCAGCCTGTGCGACAGAGCGAGACTCTGTCTCAAAGAAAAAAAAGGGATTGATCGTAGCAGGAATGAACACTGTAGAGCAATGACCCTTTTGTCTTTCCTTTCTACTGAGTTCAGCTCATTCAAAAAAGTAGCCATCTAGCTGTGGTCTTGACTGGTGGGGCCAGAGGGCTTCTGCTTCACACGAAGAAATCCAAATGGGCATATGCAGGTGTATCTTGTGTTCATAGTGACATTCCTCCAGAAACTCAGTGTGAATGTAGCTCAGCAAAATATGTAAAAGGAGCTTATGAAAAAATAAAGAAGAATTTTTTTGAAAGTCAGAAGGGTTTTAACTTAGAAGAATATGTTGAGTTAATCACTTTGAAAATATTCTGTTCAACATCAAATTAGCAAAATGCAAGATATTTCAAATAGAAAGTTCATTTTAAATTCAAATAAAAACAAAAGAAAATTAACTATGAGAACATTTCCTTACAATGAAATCTAAATGCCATGCAAAGACTTTCCCTAAATTTGAGTTTGAAATAAAGTTTGTGTGTGTGTGTGTGTATTTGTGTTATGTGCATGTTTTGGAGATCCTCTTTCCCAACAAAGTGATGCAAGAACCCAGTTTGAAAATAACAATGTTATGGTTCCTTTAACCCAAAGAAATTCCAAGCTTGCTAAGCTGTTTTTTTTTTATATTGCTTTTTTTGGATCTTTCATGTTGGAATTTATGTGCTTTAGAAGTTTTAAAGGAAAAAGGAAACCCTCAAACTACTCAAAGATTTGAATCTCACTGTCATCTAAAACTGTAGTTAAGAGAAAGATTAATAAAACAACAGGCCCCAGTGTGTGGGGTCGGGGGAGGGGGGAGGGATAGCATTAGGAGATATACCTAATGTAAATGATGAGTTAATGGGTGCAGCACACCAACATGGCACATGTATACAAACGTAACAAACCTGCATGTTGTGCACATGTACCCTAGAACTTAAAGTATAATAAAAAATATATATAAAAAAGATTAATGAAACAATAAAAGGAATTAATTAAAACCTTCCATAAAAACGAAGCATCTAAAAATAAAAACCACCATAGAGAATAAATAATAGAACTATTCAGATTAAATGAGTAAGTCTTTCCAATTATTATACTCTCAAGCACACTGAAGGAAAATATAATTCTGTAATTGTTACTATTATTTTTCTTAGGTAATTAACTTACATTATTAATCTTTCCTATACAGAATGCTTTACTGTGTAATTAAATGTCATAGTATTCATGGATCCTACTTCATGGACCTACAGAGTCAGTGTGATTGTTGACTCAGAGTGTGACTATATTTTTTCATTTTGAGGTATTCAAATGAAAGAACTAATACTTTTAGGTGATAAATGCTTTCCTCCTTTATTCAGAAAAAATATTTTATTACTTTTTAATATTTTCATATCCATAATGAGCAAGATTTATCTATTCCATCTTGATGTTCTCTTTAATTTTTTTATAATTTCAATTTTTATTATAGATTACAGGATACACATGCAGGTTTGTTACATAGTAAATTAAATGATGTTGAGGTGTGGAGTTCCAATGATCCCATCACCCAGGCAGTAAGCTTAGTACCCAACACGTGGTTCTTCAGTTTATACCTTCCTCCCTCCTTCCCCCATCTACTGTCCCAGTATCTGTGGTTCCCCTCTTTACATTCATGTGTATTCAAAGTTTAACTCCCACTTATAAATGACAATATGTGGTATTTGGTTTTCTGCTCTTGGGTTAACTTGCTTAGGATAATGGCCTCCAACTCCATCCGTATTGCTGCAAAGAACATGATTTCATTCTTTTTTATGGGGCTGCATAGTATTCCATGGTATATATGTACCATATTTTGTTTATCCAGTCTATTGTTAATGGGTACTTAGGTTGATTCTGTGTCTTTGCTAATGAATAGTGCTGCAATGAATACATATATGTGTCTTTTTGACAGGATGAATTATTTTCCTTTTGGTATATACTCAGTAGTGGGATTGCTTGGTTGAATGCTAGTTCTGTTTTAAGTTCTTTGAGAAATCTCCAAACTGCTTTCCACAGGGACTGAACTAAATAGTGGGAGTTTACATTCCCACTAACAATTTGTAAGCATGTCCTTTTCTCCACAGCCTCACCAGCATTTGTTATTTAATAATCACCACTCTTGACTGGTGTGAGGTGATATCACATTGTGGTTTCGATTGGCATTTCTCTGATGATTAGTGATGTTGTTGAGTAATTTTTCATGTTTGTTGGCCATATACATGTCTTCTTTTGAGAAGTGTCTGTTCATGTCCTTTGCTCATTTATTATTGGATTTTTTGGGTTTTGCTTGTGGATTAGTTTAAATTCTGTATAGATTCTGGATATAAGAACTTTGTCAGGTGCATAGTTTGTAAATATTTTCTCCGATTGTGTAGGCTGTCTGTTTACTCTATTGGTAATATCTTCTGCTGTGCAGAAGCTGTTTAGTTTAATTAGGTTCCATTTGTCTATTTTTGTTTTTGTTGCAATTGTTTTTGGAAAGAGTCATAAATTATTTGCCAAAACCTATGTCAAAAAGGGTATTCCTGGGTTTTCTTCTAGGATTTTTATAGTTTTGGGTTTTACATTTAAATCTTTAATACATCTTGAGTAATTTTTGTATATGGGGAGAGGTAGCAGTCCAGTTTCATTCTTCTGCATATGGCTAGCCTGTTATTCCAACACCATTTATTGAACAGGGGGTCCTTTCCTTATTGGTTACTTTTGTTGATTTTGTCAAAGATCAGATGGTTGTAGGTGTGCAGGTTTATTTGTGGGTTCTCTATTCTGTTCCACTGGTCTACATGTCTTTTTTTTTTTTCTAGTACCATAGTGTTTTGATTACTGTGGCCTTGTAGTATAGTTTGAAGTCAGGCAATGTGATGCCTCAGACTTTGTTCTTTTTGCTTAGAATTGCTTTGGCTCTGTTTTCATTCCCAACTAATTTTAGAATAGGTTTTTCTAATTTGTGAAAAATGATATTGGTATTTTTATAGGGATAGTGTTGAATCTGAAAATTGCACTGGGCAATATGGCCATTTTAATTTTATTAATTCTTCCAGTCCATGAGCATGGAATATTTTTCCATTTTATTTGTGTCATCTCTGATTTCTTTCAGTAGTGTTTTGTAGTTCTCATTGTAGAGATCTTTCACCCCTTTGTTAGAGAAATTCTTAGATATTTAATTTTCCTTTTTTCTTCTCTTGTTGCTTAGGCTGGAGTGCAATGGCACGATCTTGGCTCACTGCAACTTCACTGGCTATAGACAGGCAAAACTCAATAGCTTTGTTGACTATGCTAACAGTAATGATCTAAGTTTTTACCCTAGATGCAACTAAAAGCCACTAAAAGGATATAAGGTAGGGGATAGGAAAATAAAATAACAGTTACACTTTTTTTTTTTCTTGAGATGAAGTCTTGCTCTGTCACCCAGGCTGGAATGCAGTGGTGTGATCTTGGCTCACTGCAACATCTGCCTCCCGGGTTCAAGCGATTCTCCTGCCTCGGCTCCCCGAGTAGCTAGGATTACAGGCACCCACCATCACGCCCGGCTAATTTTTGTATTTTTAGTAGAGATGGGGTTTCACCATGTTGGTCAGGCTGGTCTCGAACTCCTGACCTCAGGAGATCCACCCGTCTCAGCCTCCCAAAGTGCTGGGATTACATGCGTGAGCCACCGCGACCAGCCAGTATTTATTTTTTGTGGCTGTTGAAAATGCGATTGTGTTCTTGATTTGGTTCTCAGCTAGAACACTATTGATGTATAAAAATATTACTGATTTTTGTACATTTATTTTGTATCCTGAAACTTTGTGTCATTTATCAGTTCCAGAAGCCTTTTGGCAGTGTCTTTAGGGTTTTCTATGTATTGAGTCATAACATTGGCAAAAAGAGACAGTTTGACTTCTTTTCCAATTTTGCTCTGGCTAGGACTTCCTTTTTTTTTTTTTTTTTTTTTTGTTTTTGAGATGGAGTCTTACTCTGTCACCTAGGTTGGAGTGCAGTGGCACAATCTTGGCTCACTGCAACCTCCACCTCCCGGGTTCAAGCAATTCTCCTGCCTCAGCCTCCGGAGTAGCTGGGATTCGAGCATGAGCCACCATGCCCAGCTAATTTTTGTGTTTTTAGTACAGATGGGATTCTGCCATGTTGGCCAGATTGGTATCAAACTCCTGACCTCAGGTGATCTGCATGCCTCTGCCTCCCAAAGTACTGGGATTACAGGCATAAGCCACCACACCTGGCCATGGCTAGGACTTCTATTACATTGTTGAATAGAAGTGGTGAGAGTGGACATCTTTGTCTTGTTCCAGTTCTCAAGGGGAGGATTCCAGCTTTTGCTCATTCAGCATGATGTTGGCTGTGGGTTTGCCATAGATGGCTCTTAATATTTTGAGGTATGTTCCTTTGATGCTAGTCTGTTGAGGGTTTTTTGTCATGAGGGATATTGGATTTTATTGAAGGCTTTTTCTGCACCTACTCTAATGATTGTATGGTTTTTGGTTTTAATTCTTTCATGTGGTAAATCACATTTATTGATTTGCATATGTTGAACCGATCTTGCATCCCAGAAATAAAGCCTTCTTCATTAAGATGAATTAACTTTTTGACGTGCTGCTGAATTTTGTTTGCTAGTATTTTGTTAAGGATGTTTATGTCCATGTTCATCAAGGATATTGGCCTGAAGTTTTCTTGGTTCATTGTGTCTCTTCCAGATTTTGATATCAGGCTGATGCTGGCTTCAAAGAATGAGTTAGGGACAAGCCCCTCCTCGATTTTTCAGTAGGATTGGTATCATTTGCTATTTCTATGTGTGGTAGAATTTGGCTGTGAATCCATCTGGTTCAGGGCTCTTTTTGGTTGATAGGTTTCTTATTACTGATTCCATTTTTACACTTATTATTTGTCTCTTTCCACTTTCCTCCTGATTCAATCTTGGGAGTTTGTGTATTTCCAGAAATTTATGAATTCCTCTAGATTTTCTAATTTGTGTGCATAGAGATGTTTATAATAGTCTCTGAGGATCTTTTATATTTCTGTGGGATCAGTTGTAATATCATCTTTTTCATTTCTGATTGTGCTTATTTGGATCGTCTCTGTTAATCAAGCTAATGATCTATCAATTTTGCTTATTTTTTCAAAGAACGAACTCCTGATTTTATTGATCTTTTTAATGGACTTTTGGGTCTCAATTTCATTTAGTTCTTTTCTGATTTTAGTTATTTCCTTTCTTCTACTAGCTTTGCAGCTGGATTTGAAGTAGGTAGAAATTGTCTAAAACAACTCCTGCCTCTTTTTTCTTAATTTTTTTTTTCTTATTTGGAGCCCACCTCTCCCCCTTATATGTGCACACCTGGCCCCACAGATGTTCCCCATTCTTTGGCCACTTAATGACTGCGTTTGATGTTTTCCGATGCTATTTCACTCTCTGCTGCTGCTACCTAGAGTATCTTGCCAGAAATCAATGTCCTACACATTTTCTCACTTTCTCCCTTTTCTTCATATCTCAGCTACTCTTTCCTTCCCATTGTTCTCAGTTGATGACCTTTTTGTTATTCAGTTTGTCTTCAAATGTTCGTGGGAAATGCATATTACAAAAAAACTATGCATGGATTTCAAAATTTTGTACCAAAATAAACTTGTACTAACTTATTGTAACATGACTGAATGGAATCTAGTTGAAGACACTAACAAGGATAAGAAATCAATTTAAAAAGAGCTCCTGTCAGTGTAACACGAATCCTGCTAAAATTGAAGTCAGAACAACAAATTTATGGTGAAGCTTGCATAAAAGAATGATGAAATTATTGATGCTTTATGAAAAGTTTATGGGGGAAAACCCCCAAAGAAATCAGCAGTTTAAAAATGGATATCTCATTTTGAGAAAGGATGAGACAATGTTGGAGATGAAGCCCACGGTGGCAAACCAACCCCATCAATTTGTGAGGAAAAAAATTAATCTCATTTGCACAAATTGAAGAGGATTGATGATTAACAGCAGAAACAATTTTCAACACCATAGCCATCTCAGCTGGCCCAGCTTACACAATTCTGATGGAAAAATTAAAGTTGAGTAAACTTTGTACTCAACTAGGGTCAAAATCATTACACCCAGATCAGCTGCAGATAAGAGCGAAGCTTTTGATGGAAATTTTAAAGCAGTGAGATTAAGATCCTGAAGAAGTTCTCTGAAGTATTGTTAACAGGAGGTTGAAAGTGGCTTCACTAATATGATCCTGAATACAAAGTACAATCAAAGCAATGGCTACTAAGCAGTGGAATTGGTCCAGTCAAAGCAAAAATGGACCAGTCAAGAACCAAGTTCATGGAATCAGTTTTTTGGGGATGCTTAAGATATTTTGCTTGTTGACTTTCTGGAATGCCAAAGAATGATAACATTATTAAAGTGTTTTGAGAATGTTAGTCAAAGCTTTGCAGAAAAATGCCTCGGAAAGCTTCACCAGAGAGTCCTTCTCCTCCATGAAAGTGCTCCTGCTCATTCCTCTCATCAAAGAACAATTTTGGGATTTAAATGGGGCACAATTAACATCCTAATTTGCCTCTTCTAACTTCTTTTTGTTTCCCAATCTTAAAAAATCTGTAAAAGGTGCCCATTTTCTTTTCAGTGAATACTGTAAAAAAGTCTCCAGTGACATGGTTAAATTCCCAAGACCCTCAGTTCTTTAGCGATAGACCATGGCTGATTTCATTGGTTACAAAAGCATCTTGAACTTGATGGGGCTTATGGTAAGAAATACTTCATAGTTTTTATCTTTCAATTCCATGTCCATGGGCTTTTTGAAGTTCCCTATCACTGGAGAAAAAGAAGCAAGTAGAAAAGGACTTTCTTTTCTACCACTAAATAATATCTGTACCAGTATATTGTACCTTTAGTCCCTTTCAGATATACTGTGTCTACTCTTTTCTACTGTTAAGTCCTCCACTTGTGCACTGGATCTTGTTTTCTGTTGTCTAACCTAGATTTTTCTCTTGCCCATTTCTTTCCAACATGAATTCCTTCAGTTCTACTGGATCTTCCTATCAGCATGTAAACATGCTGTAATGTCTTGCACTTAAAAAAAAAAAAAGCCCATAAAACCCTCCTTTGATCTCCTTGTTATTTTCCAGCTGTTTCTCCATTTCTTTACTCCCTTTATATGAGGCAAAATTTCTGCAAAGATTGCCTGTTATTGTCTCCCTTTTTTTTTCTTTCATTTCCTCTTGAACTCACTCAGTGAGGTTTGTCCTCATCATGCCATGAAAACTGAATACCAGTGCTCTAGGTGTTCCCAAATTCTGTGGTCAATTCTCAGTCTTTATCTTGACCTTTTGGGAGCAACTAAAAGTGTTTATCACTCCTTTTTAAAATGCACTTTCACACTTGGCTTCTAGCACACCACAATTTTTGGTGTTTCTTTTTTTCAGGCTTCTTCATCTGTATTATTTTGTGTTAATCAAAAATCCTTTGTTGGTCCTTTCATTACTGACCTGTAAATGTTGGAATGACAAGAGTTTCTTGGACTTTATCAATTTCCCATCACACTTATTCTTTGGGTCATCTTATTATGTTCAATGATTTTAAACACTATCCACTTATGTCTCCAATCTTAATCTCTCCTCTGAGCTCCAGACATCTTAATTCAACTTCTTACTCAATATTTTCATTTTAAAGACAAGTATATAGCTCAAATGTAACATGATCAGAATTCTTAATTTCTCCCACTGACCTGAGAAGTCAATGCTATTCACCTGGTGGGCTTAGACTATAAACCTAGGAGTCAATCTTAAGTTCTTTCTTACAAAATATTCACATTTAATCTTGAAACTGTTCTTGTCACTTCTACTTTCAAAACATACTTCCACCCAAAAATTTCTTATTGTTTTTACTGCTATTATCCTCGTCCAAGCCACTATCAACTTTCTCCTTAGCTCCATCTCTCAGGTGTCCATTTGTTCAGCAAAGACTTAGAAGGTGCTTGTAATGTATCAGGCACTATTCTTGGTGCTAATTTTGCAACAATGAGTAAGTCAAATAAAAGCCCCTTCTCTCAAGAACTTAACTTCTGCTTTAGGGAGATGCTTCCTCATTGGCCTCTTGGATCTCCTCTTATTCTTTCCCCCATTCTTCACATAACAGCCAGAATAATCTTATAAAAAGCTGAATAAGGTCATTGTTTCCCTGCTGAAAGCCCTCTAGTGGCCTCTCTGCCCTCCTCTTCACTCCTCCTCACCTTCATTTATTCCATGACAGCCATACAAAAACACGCTAAGCTCATTCCAGCTTCCTGGACTTTGCACATATTGTTCTCTCAGTGAGACAGTTCTTCCCACATTGCTTGTGTGGCTTGCACCCTTACTTCATTCAGAGTCTGCTTAAATATCACTTGGAGACAGTTCCTTTGATTAACCCTCACCTCTCTCTCTTTTTTTAGACACAAGATCTTGTTCTATCACCCAGGCTGGAGTACACTGGAGCTATCATAGCTCATTGCAGCCTCAAATTCCCAATTTGAGTGATGCTCTCAGCTCAGCTTCCTGAGTAGCTGGCATTACAGGTTCCTGCCACTCCACCTGCCTAATTTTTTATTTATAGAGATGGGATCTTGCTATGTTGCTCAGGCAGGTCTCAAACTTCTGACCTCAAGCAATTCTCCCACTTCAGTCTCCCAAAGTGCTGGGATTACAGACATGAGCCACCATGCCCAGGCTGATTAATCTCTTTTGTATAGCATCCCCTCATCATTCTCTATCCTTTGACCTTCATTTATTCTCCTTGCAGCATTTACCCACCTGACATGATACTATCTATTTGTTGATCTAAATTTTGTTCATCTCTTCCACAAGAATGTAAACTAATTGAGGTAGAACTTTTATCTGTCTTGTTGCTTGTTCTTTGTCCAGAACTCAGAATATAGCTTGCCATATGGTGGACAATGAATTGATGAATGAAAAAAAAATCAATGTCATAATGGGGAAAAAGCTTACTAAACTTGGAATCAAGAGGGATCAAGACAACTGGGTTCTAATCCTGGTTCCCTCATTGACTAATTATGAATCATTTGACTTTCTTGGATCTCAGTTTCTGTACAATGAGAAGTTTGGATTGTGAACTTTTAAGACCCCAATTCCACCATTCTCAAATTCTGTGTGTGTGATGTTTTCACTTAGAGACCATCTCTATGTCTCAACCCTAGGCCCAAACAGGATTTATGGCATTTTTTTTTCTAGAGCTCTTGGGAAATAAGCACAGGACTTTTCTTCCCTCTATATCCTGTCAAGGTTGAAATCCCCTCCAGGAGGGAAGTCACAATATTTGCACCTGCACAAACATTTCAGTGGAGAATCTCCCCAAGTTGCCTACTGAAAGGAAGAAGCCAGAGTTGTGAATTCCACATGGAAAGAGATTCAATTGTGCTTTGATCAGAAAGTTCATTACATTTGCTTCAGATTGCAATGCATATTCACTCAGGCCTGCAATCACTTACTCTGTGTTAGGCAGAAATCTTAGTGGAAAAAAAATAGCATGTGTGTACAACTCCATCTGTGTGAGTGCCTGCCAGAAACATTTATGAATCACTTGTCTCCTGATAGACAACTTGCCTTCTTAGTTTGCAACCATATTTCCCACAGATGTTGCCTTTGAATTAGCCATTGTCTCATTTAGTTTTGAATGTTTTCTCTGATTTCAGACTGTAATATGGGCAAATCCCACCTACCATAAAAGCTGGCAATACTTGCCTAATATTGAAGGAAGGAGACATTTAGAGCAAGCCAGGAAGCTGGAACACCGGATCAGGAACAGACACTTCTCCGCAAGTTTAGAGTTTGGTATTTCTCAAGTCCTGGCCTGAGGGATGTTTACTCTCAGGTTATACAAAGTCCCAGCTTGGGTTCTGGAAAAATTGAACTGACAACTTTGCCTGAAAGAAGTTTCTTGCTAACTCCTAGGTACATCTTGATTTTATTAGACCATGGCTATTATTGTGAGGTTTATTCAGAGCAATGAAGATGTCACTCACCGTGTCAAATTCATAGGTATGGTGGCCTTTATTACCTGGCAACATGCATTTTGTTATACATCAAATCCATGTAGGGCCATATTATCTGGATCTCAGATGTTACTGAGAAATGTTGTAAGGTAAATAGATTTTTTGGGGAATATCTTGGACTTAGCACACTTTACTTAATAGAAATATATTTATTGTCTTCACTTTTAAGTTACTCTGCCACTTTGCCATTCAACCTCTATTGGCTCTTTATTAACTTCAATTAGATTTTTCCTTCTCTTTTCCTTTAGAGATAAAATTAAATAAAAATAAAAACTTCTAAAGCAAACTCTATTCCTTTATAAATACTGTCTAAACGTGCCAGTGGTGTGTCCAATTTTAGACACAAGAGCTTAAAGTTGAATGCAAATTTTGATTTTCTTTATAAATGAGATGATGAAAATCTATTGTGAAAAGGTTATGAGAAAAAAGCTTATCTTGTAATTGCAGCCAAGATCCAAGCCATTATTTAAGACGTGAAGCATTTGGCAACAAAGAGATTGTTGTCATTAAAAAGGAAGCCCAACGCATTATTCTTGGGCTGAGAAAAAATAATTTAGCTGTCATTGTTATTTAAGGAGTAACACCGGAAGATGGGAGACATTAAAATAAGCAGCTTTACCTCAAGAAGTGTAATATCTTCTTTTCCCTCTAAGATGCAGAGGTAGTTAATAAACATTTGATGATTGATTTAAACATATTAGAGAGAGATTCACTTGTTAGTATTTATCATCTAGCTAAATTGTATTTTTTTAATGTATACAACTGAGATGAAGCCAATAGAACTTTACCACAGTGGTTGTAAAGAGATAAGAAATTATTATTTCTCATTATACCATCAGCAGACTGAGGTCTGTAACTTGATACTTATGCAAAAGATTACTAAATTGGTAGCTATTCTTATAAAATATTCACTTTAGGAAAGAAGGTGAGAATGAGGCCACTGACGTCATCTTGGCTTGGTTTACTTAAGCCTGGGCAAAGAGGGAAAAGGGCACTGGAGATTTGCATAGGTAAGTATTTAGAAGGCACTATTGTTTTTAAAGGCTACAGAAATGTTCAATGTGCTTATCTTCAACTCCTCCCAAATAGTTCCTCCAAATGCCCCATCCCTCAGGGGTTATTGTGAATCACAGTCCAAAATAGTTTGGCTGTCTCTTTTTTCATTTGCTTCTAATGTGGTGTTCTCTCTCTTCTTGGTATGAGAGGAAAACAATGGACATCTCTCAAAGATGTTTTCAAATGGGTTTCTTAATCTAACATACTATCTCATAAATATACCTTTTCTTTGTCTATCATCATTGCCTTAACCTTGCATTGCACTTCTTTTTCCATTTTTGGGGGTGAGGAAAGAGATGGCACATTAAGCTTAGGCCATTAAGGAGAGATTAATGCAGGACTATTTTTGAGGGTGTGAGCAGCCTTAGTGGAAACCACCCAGGGAAGGTAGAGTACATTAATCTCATAGGTCTCTCATTCTCTTATCTCCTACTGGTGCTTCCCATTGACCACACCCAATTGAAAGCTCAAGGGGCTCCTTGATGCAGGTCAACCTTTGGAGCACAGAGCAGGGTGGAAAAGATTGATGTGTGTATAGAGGTGGACAAATAGAGGTTATTCAGTGCATGGATTACTTCTGGAAAGCTATCAGTTTCTTCCTTTCCTAGCACTCAATGGGCAGCTTTCTTATTCTGTCAGTTGGTGTCTTCAGCAATCCAAAACAAAAGCATAATTTTTAAAGTGAATTGGGAATTCACATTCAAAGGGAAGGGAAAATAATCCAGGATTCTACTGTATTTTTGCTTCCCATACATAGTCTTAACCAACTTAAGCAAAACATAGGAAAGTGAATCTGCTCAAATATGTAATCTTCCCTTGTAGTCCCAAGTGCAGTATAAATGAATATGGAATGATATGTTGTAAATTATTCCAGCCACGTGCAAGTAATTGAGAGCTCATCATAGTAAAATTTTTAGTTTTTCTTACTATAATTCTATTTAATTTAGAGTATTCCTCCCTTTTCTCTATTTTTATTCCTTCTCCAATCAGTTTTTTCAATCTGTACTTTCTTGTCTTATGCGCTTTTAAATACATACCCTACTTTTTTTCCCTGATGCTGATGAAACCATTATTGCAATTAGCTAAGATACCATCAGTAGTGTGTTGCTTTCACCCTCCTTCCAGAATAGGCAGTTATAAACTAGGTTCTTCAGAGTGAGAATTCTTGACCAAGGAAAATGTTTTAAAGATTGACTTTTTATATATTAACCTCTTCTCTTTCAAAACCTCTACCTTGTAGTAGGTTATGGAAAACTCCTTCATCTCATGGGGGATGTAAATTTTGCTTAAGTTTGTGAATGTCTCCTAGTCCTCATGCCATTTCTCCATCAGACTAATGGCATTCCTTCAGGTATCATCTAAATGCCATTTTTTTTTTCAGGGAAGGTGCCTGTAAGTCCCAAGACAAGGATAAATCTTCTGTTGTGAAACTACACTATAATTCATCTCTTATATCTGTCTTGGTCTGATTGTAAGCTTCAGAAGAGCAGAAACAACCAGTGTTCTGTCTACTTCCACATCTCCTGACACCAATCATGTAGTAGACACTGATTAAAGACTTACTGAGTGGAAATTGAATCTGACCTAGTTAAAGACCAACCAAGCTGCAACCAGGCTGGTTTGGAAGCTCAAGAGCTTTATCAGTCATGGTAGGCTACACCACACTGTCAGGCTTTTTAACAGAGACATTTTTTTTTGTTTTTTTTAACAAAAAGACATGGTTTGGTCAGTAGCAGGATTAAATGTAGAATTTTGCATTTAGCTGCAAATACAGTGGAATTGCAAGTTTATTGCAATTTACAAAATTCCAAAAGATATGGCAAATATTTTTGCCTATTGCATTTTTGTAAGTATTTATTTTGGGAAGAGGCTGAAAATTTAACCTTCTTTTCATGGTCTCTTTCTTGTCTTATTTATGTCTAAAAGAAACTGATATGAAATGAACTGGAAACTTTAGGATTCTCTTTGTTCTTTTTAAACTCTTATTAAAACAATATGGAGAGAACACTGAAATTGGTCTCATAAGCTCCAGATTCCAGTTCCCAATCAACCATGTTTTCTCTTCTATAAAACACAGACAATAATAATGCCAATTGCATAGAATTGTTGTGAAGATTAACTGAGATGATTCATATAAGACATTGAGTGCAGGGCCTAGCAAATAGTAAGTGCTCATTAAATGATGATGATGGTGATGATAATGGTGATGGATGCTAAATTACTTAATATATCTGAATACTTCCTGTTTAATCTACATCACAGTATTGGGAAGTCATGTAAAAATGAGAAAAAAATATATGAAAGCACTCTGGAAACTACTTAATTCTAATGTACAACATTAATAATAGTAACAATGGGAGTGGTAAGTAATGGTAAGCATAAATGTTTCACGTGGATCTAACTCCTAAGTCATGCAAGGAGCACTCAGTTCTGTTCAGAACATACTGTGTTCTCTTTCTCTTTCTGTTTCCTTGCTTGGGAAATCAAGAGTTATGACTGGGAATGTAGTTTAAATGAGCCAGCAAAACACTCATCAAACGGTTTATTTTCCTAATCTTGGTGTATCAATTTCAAAACCTGAAAAGTTCATTTCATATTTCACAGGCTCTTTTATATATAGTGTCATAAATGCCAAGAAAGTTGTTGACTTAACTTTACATTTGTGAAAAGTAACCCTTAGTTGGCAAACAAATACTCCTGAACTGAAGGAGATAAGCTTCCTGTATACTTGCAAGTCGCTGCTTTTTGTTTTGTTTCATTTTCAAAAAACAAAAGACTTTTGGTTGCTTAAATTCTTATCACAAATAGCACAAATTTCCAGATTCTCAGCTGTGTTGAGGTCTCTAGCAGAAGTTCATTGCATTTTCTGCCAGCATTCTCCTTTAGAGGTGCTTTTACAACCAATCTTTAAGCTTGCTAAGGTTCAAATCACAGCTAACTCTTCCTGTTCAAAGCCACTGAAGAAAGACATATTTCAGAGAATCTAAACGTGGGAAAATTCTGTGCATAATCTCAGAACTTCAACTTTCTATCCCATCAAATTTGACTTAATAAAACTTCTCTTTCTCTCCTCTTTGTTTAGCAATATTAATGAAAAATGAATACAGGGTAAGAAACAGAAGGAAAAGAGGCAAAAATAGAGTATGGAGTACTTAAAATTTGTAACTAGCCTTTGAAGCATTTTTATTCATGTTATTCGGCAGATGCCTTCTGAAAAGTTTTCTGTTCAACAGAGTCATAAAATGTTAGCCCTAGAAGGTGCCTTGAAGACCACGATGAGTTAACTTTCTTCCTTTGCCAAGGAAGAAGCGATTACTTCAGCAACTGGTGGGTATCTCTTATATACGAGTGTTATGCTCACTGTGCTTTTCTGCATCTCTCTTGTTAGGTCTTGGTTATCACATAAACACTTGCCAGCAATCAGTATAATCAGTGTTGGCAAAACACAAATGTTAATGCCTTTTAATCAGCTAGGCTTTTAGAAAACTTGGGCTGAAAGCCCGGAATAATCCTACTTAGCTCTACAGATGAATGGTGCAGCAAGTTTTAAGAATTTTCATTCTTAATTAATGATGGTGACAGAAATGGCAGTTGTGTTCACAGTGATAGAAAAAAACCACATAGTCATGTGTTGTGTGGGCATGTGGGTGTGTGTGTCCTGACCTCACCACATGTTTCACATTCCCAACTTTCTTCTTACATTTCCTTCTAGCTTCTGTATTATTTAGCAATAAGCCTGGGGCAAGACACTGCCTCTGCTACCAAATGTTAGTGGAGCAAATACACCATTAATATTTCTTTGGCACGTGGGGAGGCGGGACATCTATGCAGTTTGTCCTTCCCAGATATCCTCATGTAGACCAAGTTGACCAATTTCTTTTCATAACTCAGGCCCTTTTGGCCGTGGGCCTATCTCTGTTCCTTCCATTTCCTTTCACTGCTTCCTGATAAGAAGTATAAGATTTGATGCCCTGAGTCAGAGGGTGAGGATATTTCTACTGCTAGCACATGCAGGTCAAAATCTGCTAGCACTTCTGCGGTTCCACACCCATGGATTCAACCAAATGCAGATTGAAAATATTCGGAAAAATAATTGCATCTGTACTGAATAGTACAGACTTTTTTTCTTGTCATTATCCCCTAAGTAGTACAGTATAATAGCTACTTACATAGCATTTATGTGTATTAGATATTATAACTACTCTAGAGGTGACTTAAAGATTATGAGAGAATGTACATAGGCTATATGCGAATACTATCTCATTTTATATCAGGGACTTGAGCATCCTCGAATTTTGGTATCTGTGGGGGCTACTGAAACCAATCCCCCACTGATAACAAGAGAGGACTGAAACCTTGGAACCTAGTAGTTGACACCTTAGAACCTAGGCATTTAATAACAACAAAAAAAGCCATTTATTCACTTAAGCTTGTGATTTTGGAACAAATTTTTGATGAGTAATCAGGATGAATAATAAAATTTACTTGATTATAAGAAAAGAGCTGCATTTCAAGAACTATGTTCACCTAAACATATTCTCCATAATTAGAACACTTTGGATTTAAAATCTTACCCTGAAGTACGTGCCAGTGATTGCCCTAAAAACCTTTCTATGGACAGTTACATATCCTTGATGAAATGAGCACTATAGGGACACCACTGTCTAGTTTCACCCTAATACTTCTGCTGAGGCTTTTCCTCCACACCTCCACAGCCTCTCTGCCTGTCAAGAACTCTACTCTTTGGGAGGGGCTTAAAGTACCCTAAGCTGTAGAACACAATGAGGGGTCTATGTAGTGTCTCTGATGGAGAGCAGCATACTCCAGGCATGAGTGAGCATCTTTTTGCTGGCACTTCCACCGTGGCTTGCCAGCAGCTGTTGATGCATGGTGTTTTCTGAGAGAGATGAGCAGCTAATGTGATCCTTTAGCATAAGCAGATGAGGAACTCAAGCAAGGGACCTTGAGGTGGGAGAGGATGTGGGGATGGGCTGCAAAAAGTGGTTTTGCTTTGACTTCCAAGAGGATCCCTGTGCTGGACAGACAGACTGTTTTCTAATACATCAGCTTCTTCTAGTCATAGATCCCTCCCCCACATCAGGGTTCTCCTCTACCCAAAGTTGTTTAATTGGTATTCTTTGAGAAACACTTTTATTGTCTGAGATTATGACCTTTCCCCATTTTTAAACTTAAAATGCTTGTTGTTCACAAAATGAGGGTGATGATAGATGGTATTTCTTATTTTTGATGGGCCAACTTGGCAAAATTGACACTTGGCAGTTTTCTGACAATTCTCTACATTTTACAAAAAATTTACTGGTTGTTGAATTCCCAAAGTTGCGAAACTAGGGTGTTCAGGTCTTCGGAACAAGGGTAGCCAGGAAAGCTTGGAGGGGAAAAGGAAGATCTTGCAGACACTATAAATAAGGCAGACAAGGACATTGAGTGCCAGAGGAAGGGAGGAGCAAACAGGTACTAGACAGGAAATGGGTTAAGTCAGAGGAAGTGAGATTAAGCAGCAAGGAATGGGCCTTGCAAAATCGATAGAAAGGAATGTGAAAAAGAAGTGACCTCAGGGGCAGGGTTGCAGCACAGGTGCTGGTGCATGTGGTAGTCTTGGAACTGGAATAAATGCCAGGTAAGTCAGACCTTGAAACCCCACTGCTACTTTGTCACAATGAAGGAGTAGAGGTTGCTAGAGGCTTCTGATTCAGTAGAAAGGGAACTCAGATGTGATATCTTCCTTCAACTTAGAACACACATAGTGGGGCTAGCCATGGGGTTTTCTGTGTTAGCAGAGGGAGGGAAATGTGATAACAGTGTCACAGGCTGCCAGGACAAGGGGAGACAGGCACCTCTCCAAAATCTCCAGAACATAACAGGAAATAGCAAGATCAGCATCTTCACCCAAAACAGATATTGTTAATGTTTTTAACACTTACATCCAAATATAATGGATGATAAAACAGATAATACATTGCTGTTTCAATTCATATTTTCCTGATTAGTAGAGATTCGACAGCTTTTCTGACTTTCAGAGTCATTTGTACTTCTTTTCAAATTGCCTATTTGAAATTGACCATTTAGTTTTCTGGCTATTAGAATGTATTAAGGGATAGAATATGGTGTGGTTTTGTTTTTGCTTTTTTAGAGACAGTGTTTCACTCTGTTGCCTAGGCTGGAGTGTAGTGGCAAGATCATAACACGTTGCAGCCTTGAACTCCTGAGTTTTTTAAATTTTTACCTACCTATTTACATATGAGATTAAGATCTTGACCTTGGACTCAGAGAGCCTGGGTTCAACTCTTGGCTTTGCTACTTATGTGTGATCTACTTCTTAGAGCTTCAAGTACATAATCATTAATGAGGAAATTCTATGTAAAGGGCTTAGCACAAGATTTGGCACCGTACATGAATGGTTGTGATTGTATTTAATAAAAAAAAATTCAGATCACTAATAATAAAGACCAACTCCACTCATCCACTCTAGTCAGTTAATTCTGCTTCAACCTGAAACTTAGGCTGGGGTTCACACTGGGGTTTCTATTCTGAGTTGTGCTGTTAACTGCTATTCCTGAGATACAGGATAAACACTATAGATATAGATATGGATGAGATATTATTGCACCTCATCTGCTCACTTTATTATGTATTAGTTACCTCTTATAAATAGTTTAGAAACTAATGATTAATGATATTCATATATAATCATATCTAAGATCTATATCTGGTATAACTATTCTTGTTTTATATTTTATTATACTGGAACAGCTCGTGTCCTTGGTCTCTTGCCTCGGCGCCTGGGTGGCTTGCTGCCCACAACAATCGTTATTGAGTTGTAAGTTATGATAGCAATAACTGAAGTGAATGATGCTTTGAGTATATGAAAAAGGGAATAAAGTTCCAGTTTTCCGCTAGAATATTTTGGAGAATTATTTGTCATTATTATCAATAACTATAATATGAAACTGTTAATATAATTTAAAATATCCTTATACCAAAGGTATAACTAAGGTCATTTCATGAAAATTGATAATTTCTCTTAAGAATTCTATTAAGAATATATGTGACTAAATAATTTTGAGAGAAAATATGGAATGTTTCTTCTTTTTCCTCTTATTACTGAATTATGTGTAAAGCTATAAAATGTTACATAAAGGACTTATAAATGTCACCCCAGTCTCTCTTACCAATAATTTTTATTTTATGAAACTGGAATTTCTATTAAAATGAAATAGGTAGAATTAGGAATTTACAGTAATAATCTTGATAGCTCTGTGCTTCAGAGACTATTTCCCATTGATCTCTACAAATTACATGGAACTTTTGAGAGGAAGCAGATGTTATGTCCTCTTGGTGGATATCAAATGCATGTGGTCATGAAGGGGCTTGTTGAGTGAAAGCATGCAAGAAACCAGACTGGCATCACAATCTAAGTCTGTCAGTTCCCAAAAGTGGACCCCTGGGGCTCAAACAAAGCCAAGGGTTGAGGCAATTAGGCTGATGATTACTTCAACTGCCCTGCTTCTTGCATCTCTAAATGGTGCTTCTATCAATTCTAGGAAAATGAACAATTATGAAACAGTGTTTGGATTTACTTCTAACTCAGGTGGCTTTCCTCATTATAATCCTATAGGCTGTGGCGAATGGCATAATGTCTATTCATCTCCAGGTTTTGCAGAATGAAAGAGATAAAGTAAATGGGACATAATTCTTTATTTTAGAAGGAATTTGTTTTCTAAATGAGAATGTAAATGGGATGATACGTATGAACATGGACATGACAGTATCAGGTCATCACTGAGAACAACCAAGCATCTGCTGGTAGCCTGTGTGATAAAACTTCAGCTGAATGGACAGAAATATCATCAGAAACAAAGTTTGTGTTGGTGGACTGACACCATCAGGATTGACCTTTCTGGTTTGGTGACTGATGGGATTACAGGATTAGGTGCACCAAAGAAGTCATCTCAAGTCTTTACAGGTTACTTGTTACACCAGAGTTTTGTCTTTCTGACTCTCATATGTGCTGCTCTATCATGGAATTTTCATGCTCCATTAAAAATTAGATGTGATTTTTTTTGAAAGAGGATGAAGGCAAGGGATTGAGAGAGAATTCTTTTCAGACAATGGCAAATATAGTGAATTTTACTACTCAGAAAAAAATAACTCTTAGATAAGTTTCTTAGAGATCTCTATTATATAATAGCACAAAATATACATGGCCATGATGTGTTTGATGCAGGCTGTCATGAGTGAATGACACAATTGAAAATAAACTAAACTCCCACATGCCCAACAAAGTCCAGGCAATGGTGTTGATAACCACAATACACAGACTCAAGGGCATTTGGTGCCAGGTTCCAAGGGAGCTGCATTGTATCTTCAAGTTAAAGCCAGTCACAGAACTATCACCAGAGGCTGAGTATGCCATGCTACTGAGCAAGATCTCCTAAGAGTGGCACAAGGCAGCATTGCAGCTGGACTGCATGGAACAATGAAACACATCTGGACTACAAATGGAACACCTGGGTCCTAGTCTCAGCTTTGTCCTTCAGTAGTTGTGATTTCATGGATAAATCATTGTACTTTTTACTATCCCCATTTATTTGTTTGTGAAACCAGAAGATAGGAATAGATTATTGTATTAGTCAGGGTTCTCTAGAGGGACAGAACTAATAGGATGGGAGTTTATTAAGTTACACGAACACATGATCTCACAATAGGCTGTCTGCAAGGTGAGGAGCAAGGAGAGCCAGTCCAAGTAACAAAACGGAAGAACTTGGAATCCAATGTTCAAGGGCAGGAAGCATCCAGCATGGGAGAAAGATGTAGGCTGGGAGGCTATGCCAATCTAGTCTTTTCATGTTTTTCCTGCCTGCTTTTTATTCTGGCCACAATGGTGGGTGACTAGATGGTGCCCACCCAGATCGAGGGTCCATCTAACTTTCCCAGTCCACTGACTCAAATGCTAATCTCCTTTGGCAGCACCCTCACAGAGACACCCAGAATCTATACTTTGCGTCCTTCAATCCAATCAAGTTGACACTCAGTATTAACCACAATTATTTTCAAGGTTTTTTTTTAGCTCTAAAATGTTAATGATTTGCCAGTATAACTGGCAATCAATTGTCACCCTCTTTCTTTTGTTTGTTTTTCATTTTTAAAGTGAAGGGTTTAAATGTATAATGTTTTCTCTTGGTTTATCCATATGTACTTTTATTTCAGTGAATGGAGAAACACAATTGACATTTAAATTAAGGACTATTGCAAATACGATATCTGTCTTTCTTGAGGCTATAGTTCTGTAGGAATAAATAATATTCTTTGATAGCTGGGATATGACCAAAATTCCACAGAAATAGGACAAAACAATGCTTACCCTAGTTGCCAGAAAGTTGGCTTTCAACAAATGCATAATTTTCTGGTATTTTTGATCTCAAACTCCACCCTACTGCAAAAATGCAATTTGAGCCAAATACCATACACCATATCCAGGGATGAGGTAAATTTAATCTCTTTTGGTTCTGGATGAAATTCAACTGATTTTTTTTTTTTTTTTTTTACTATTTTGGTACAGTCTTCAATAGGAATCATTATCCTATTTAATAGACTATATTTTTCAAAAATATGTGGGCAGTAAAGATAGTATCATAAAAATTATATCCACCAAAGTCAATCTTTCTAATAAATAGTTGGCAGCTCTAAATTATAATGAGAACCTCTAATTTATTTTGAGCCCCCAATTTATTAAAAATGCTTTAAAGAGATATCATCTATATTTTATTCAACCATTTTCCATTAAATGTACAGTTTTGTCAGATTAATTTTAGTTAGATTAAAGCAGAGATTCCTTCTTCCTTTAAAAATGCAATGTTTACAGTCTAGTCTGCACTCATTTAGGTATTTCGTCAAGTATGATGTTTGTTTTCTATCAACTCACAATTATGGAAAACAGTCTCCATAATAAAATAAAATAAAAGCATACATTCACGATAGAGTCACAGTAAACATATATGGCATGCATGTGATACATACACATGACAGAATTAACTCTTTACTAAATAGTGACTGAATGTCTGCTGTAGTCAGGCACTTTATTATACACTGGAGGTACAGCAGTGAGCCCAAGAGACACAATTCCTAACTGACATAGCTTATTATCAACAGGGAATGATTGCTCCAAAGGCACATTAACTTCTTTCTCACACAAGTGTAGGAAGTGCAGCAAGCCCTGTTGCTGCCTGATGTGGCACAGCAATACTGAGTCTATGAACCAGAAGGAACTGAAAGATGCCTTTTGTACCTTTTGTGGAGTCCTGTGCACCCACCATGGACCCCAGAAAGAGATATTGGATATTTCTAGATTCCTGTAAGAGCAATTACCAGTACTTTAAGAGAAATTTCTGCCTCCAAACTGGATTTTCATTTTTCTGTTTGACTTTTTATGCTTTGGTAAGCATGAGAGGCAATATGATCTGATAGCTAAGAATCTGAGTTCTGGAACTAGGCAACATGGGTTCAAGTCCCAGCTCTGCTATTTTGTAGTTCTGGGACCTTAGACATGTGACATACCCCATTTCCCTCACCTGTGAGATAAAGATGATACTGTTATCTACCCCGCTGATTTATTGTGGCTTACCGTGAGTACTACATTAATTAATAAATGTAAAATACTTAGAGTACTGCTTGGCATATAGGAGGCACCCAGAAGATATTATTATACATAATAAAAATCTCACCCAAAATATATACATTTGGGAATTATTTTCTGTATATTTTTGTTATAATCATTATTTTGGAGGTCTTTTTTTCCTTTTCGTTTTGAGAGAAACCTTTGTTAATGACCAAAAAAAAAAAAAAAAAAAAAAAAAGACCCAATTTTGATAAATATGAAGATACAGGCTATGTTTTAGGGGCTTCTCTCCCTGAAGCCTCTCCATGACTTGGTTCTGGTCCCCTCACTTTCATCCTGTGGGCTTCAGGTTCCCTATACAACAAAAACACAGAACAGATGTTATGAGGCTGAGCTAATGGCCGCCCATGGCACCAAGCTCTTTGACTGATGGGTTCAAAAGCTTTTCCTCAGCAATTCAAGAGTGCCAAGAATGAGTGGGCCAAGAAGGAGAGTTATGGCTCTTTGCAAACCCAGAAAGAGCAGTTCTCAGTCTGCATTTGACATGTCTGAGGCTTTAGAAGACCGTTTTGTGGTACAGTTGAATCCCCAGTGTGCTATGTTCCCAGGGAAGAAAACCAATAACAACAGATCACACAACTCATACCATTTACTAAATGGGCTTCCTCGCAAGTGGGGCTCTGGGAGGAATCTTACAATTTCCTGCTGCTTTGTCTCTGAAGGGTAAGCAAGGAGAGTTGTTCCCATTTCAGCTGCTTTTGTTTCTTGAGACTGTGTGGAAAGCGTGGCTATGTATTTGATTATCGTTTTTGCTTCCATTCTGCTTGCCTTTTTGTCAGCTTTGCCTTTTATGCTGCCTGATAACCCTCAAATTTGAGATAAAATTTAAGCCAAACTTCTAATTTCACCTGTTTGGGGTTTTGGATTAGAAGAATTCTCATATCTTTCAGTCTCAAAGAAGACAGAAAGTGGAGGGAGCATGATGACAATATGAGGCAGGACATCTCATCCAGCTGAAGTGTTACAGAAACACCACAGACACACATGAGACTCACACCAGAGTCTCCAAAGAGCCATTTGTTATCTGATTTAACTAACATTAACTTTTTTCACTTAAATATGCTTTCATGTAACTAGAATAAACAGAACTTAATAATTCCCTAGGGATCAGATTCCTGTTTCTGGCAGGATTTTGTAATCAAGTCCTTGAAACACATTCTGTCTGACAAACACTGATGTTCTAAAAACCTGATTTACCACATTTTTGAAGTGCAAAACGGCGCAGTTTCATCCTTCAAAATGCAGAAATTCATATTCAATAGTCCTTGACCTTAACCAGTTGATCTTTGATGTTAGTTTTAATATTTTTGTGTCCCACTCACCATTTGAATGAATCCTTGTGGCTTGTTGGCTTACCCAGAAGGGAACAGCTTGGAGACTGAAGGACTTGAGCTAATAACTGTCTTAGTCATGAGAGTGCAATATCATGCTTTGGGTGTCCTCACCTCTTGGGTACCTTATATTCTCTCCCTGAAGAGAAATGATTTGGCTGAAGTAAGAAATGATTGAGCTGTCACTTCTAAGAAATCAGGACTGTAATACATTAATAACTAAATTAGGGAAATTCTTATTATTTATTACCAATTACCTGTAAAGAACTAGAGAAATGATCTTGAAAATTTCTCCTTTTGATAGGTGAGAAAACTGATTAGAAGGGCTTTTATGTTGGTGACAGCGATGTTTTTAAAAATTTTTAATTTTAAATATATTTTTAGGGATTTGAAATGACCTTTCAGTTTTAGTGAAGGATAAGAAGTGTTTGAAGAAAAGGTTGTTATAAAGAAAATAAGAAAACAAGGATTTTAATAAACCCAGTGAAAGAATAGTAGAATGGATAAAGGGAGGAAGTGGCCAGGGTTGCATGAGACTGTGATCAGTGGATAGAAAAGTGGCAGGCATTTGGGTCTAGACTCTAGGGCACTGAGAGGTCTTGACACATGATGACATCAAATTAATCAATTAAAACTGAACCCAAGCTGAATATGTTCTAGGTGTTTAACCTATATTTGCTCTATTCCTCTTGTTTCACTACCACCCTCTGCCGAAAACATATTTTTTGCTTCCTATACATGTTCAGTAATGCTCAAACTGGAAGGAAAAGGAATGGGTAGAATTAGAATGGGCAGATTTGATGAAGAGGGTGTTGAGAATGGCATGAACACTGAATGTGGCAAAAAACAAGATATGCTTGTGCAAGAAGAGTAAATATGCCAGCAGGGTGGGAAAAATAGGAGCTACAACTAGGAAAATGACAGTTACTTTCTACATAAGTTCTAAAAAAAGTCAAATCTGCTTTTTGTTTCAGAAGCTGAGAAACACTGGAATCTTGAGAGCTGTGTAGTTCTCTGGCACTGTGTTTTCTACATATTTCCTGGGTGCGCTTCCATTAACTGTAATAAAGACATATAACACTCTAAATAGTGAATTTAACTCCACCACTTTTATTTAGTTAGTTTTCATCCAAGATCTAGTGTTTTCTTAAATGCTGGATTGCTGGGCTTCTGCTTATTATAATATGATGTAAAGAAAGTATACTCTCAAGTGTCATCTTGCATGCTGGTGCTTTGAAGACTGAAATAGGAGAATGTCTGAGTCATTGCCATAGCCAGTGGTTATTTTCCAGTTCCCTCTCTGTTAACATGTGGTCATTAATATGTTGTGATAAAACATATGGTTCCATAGTTTAGCATAGTTCCTTGTTGTTAAAGAGGCCAGGGTGTCTGAGCATACCTCAAACTCCGCAGCACATTCCGGCCCCAGCCTGCATTCCTGCCTGATCTCCTCCCATTATGCATACACAATTATGTTCCAGAAATCATACTAAACTTTTCTCATTTCTTTCCAAACATGCCTCAGTGCCTTTGTACTTGCTATTTTCTCTTCCTGGAATACATTTTCCTTCTTCTAAGACTGGTAATCTACATTTCATCCTTCAGAATTGATTTAAAATTTGGCTTCTTATGTAAAATCTTTCCTGACTCTCCTGGGCTGACTTCATGAATCACTTTTTTGGGGATTGCCAATTCTATGTCCTCACAGTACTCTTTAGCTTCTCTAGCTCAATAATATGCTACTGAAACATAGCTCAGCTAATTTTTATAATTCCTCAATGCAACTATTCATTTAATGTCATCTTTCCAAAACATTATATTTAATGTATAAATAATTTCTAAAGGAAGGGTAGCTTATTGTTAAAAGCAAATAGACTTACCACTTTTTTCAACACCCCAAAGTTGAGTCTGTACATTTTTAATATTGCTCCCCTAAAGACTTTTCAGGACCTTTGTCCTTTGGCAGTGGTGTTTGAAGACATGAGAACTCTTTGTTTTTCATAATACATCCTGCAGATTTAGGCAGTTCCACTTTTAGAACTGATAAAATAATTCTAAGATGTGTTCAAGAATAGCAGAGTTTTAAGTTCGTTTCCTATTTGATGAAACTTTTAATTTTTTTTCCCTTAACTGAATTACATGTCACTGAAAATTAAACATCTTCCTTACAAATTTTCTGAAAACTTTAAGTGGCCAAGTATTTAGAATTTTCCTGGTAGTAGTCTGTCAGGACCTATGTATTCCCACTAAACTCTTTTAACTTTAAAAATTCTATGATCTTTCCTCAAATTTGGAATCTTTTATTGCCTTAATTTCATGACTTGTCATGTTACAGTGGTTGACTGAGTATAGAACTTTCATTTTAAGGTTGTATCATAATTTATTCTCTTTGAAGATAGTAAAAGCAACAGCAGTCTGAATTTATGGGAATGTTCAACAGTTTCGTTCTCTTACTCCCTCCAATATTTTATTCTTCTAATTTTCTTCCTGGGAGGAAACTTGTGGAAGCTCCAGTGCTTCACAAGAATCAAGGGGAGAATACAGGGATTACAGAGAAAGATCAATGTGAATTTTTTTTTTTTTTTTTTTGAGATGGAGTCTCACTCTTGTTGCCCAGCCTGGAGTGCAGTGGTATGATCTCCACTCACTGCAACCTCCACCTCCTGGGTTTAAGTAATTCTCCTACCTCAGCCTCCTGAGTAGCTGGGATTATAGGCACCTGCCACTACGCCCAGCTAATTTTTGTGCTTTCAGTAGAGATGTGGTTTCGCCATGTTGGCCAGGCTGATCTTGAACCCCTGACCTCAGGGGATCCTCCCACCTCAGCCTCCCAAAGTGTTGGGATTACAGGCGTGAGCCACAGCGCCCGGCCCCATTGTGAAAATTTTAAATTATTTGAGAATGGGCTTCAAACTCTCCTCTCTTTAAGGGGAGGGGATTTTGTCCACTCTTTTTTTTTTTTTTTTTGACAGGGTCTGGCTCTGTCTCACAGGTTGGAGTCCAGTGGCACAATCTTGGCTCACTGCAACCTCCACCTCCTGGGCTCAAGCCATCCTTCTATCTCAGCCTCCCAAGTAACTGGGACTACAGGTGCATGCCACCATACTTGACTAATTTTTTTATTTTTTATATTTTGTGCACACAAGGCTTCACCATGTTATCCAGGCTGGTCTTGAACTCCTGAGCTCAAGCTATCTGTCCGCCTCAGCCTCCCAAAGTGCTAAGATTATAAGCGTGAGCCACCATGCCCGGCCTGCTCTTTCTTTTCTCTTGAAAATGTGATAGTCAGAGCTGGGACAAGTAGAATTGTTGAATTTGTAAGAGCAGGATAGATTAAGATGACACTTTCATTTTAATGAGGAAACTGAGGGCCACAGAGATTAGGGCCTTGTCCAAGGTTACACAATTAAGCAATCTCAAAAACCTGAAAAATTTCAGAGGCAAGTGAATAGGCCTGGCTAAAACAGAGGGGATCAGGTTTTATTTAGTTTTGGGAGAATAAAAACATTGGTACGTGCAATTGCCTTGGGGGTAAAGATACACATATTGGTTACATCTGCATGTCCTTCCAAACATTCACAAACATATGGGAATGAATTATAAGTAACAATGAATGTGAGATAGCTCCATGTTTTAGTGACTTACTTTCAAATCCCATATCCCACTTATGTTCTTCTTTTAGCTGTATTGCCCCTGGCCCAACACACGCTAACTGGATTGTTTCAAATACCAGACATGTAAAGACACTAGCCAAATAATTTTATCAGTACTCCTTTACTTTTGTGATATATTCTCTATAATAAAAAAACCTTGAAATGGCCTATTTATGCATCAAATGGAGACTTTTAAAAATAAATTATGACAAGGTTTCCAACATACATACCTAAGTGGAAAAAAACCAGATAGAATAATAGGTATTTTGTGCTTGTGGACATTTAAAAATATTCATGCGTGTATATGGGAAATTTCCAGAAGAATACACAAAATAAGTAACAGTGGCTATGCTGTGTAGAGGGATTGGGGGTATGAAGTGAGAGATAAACTTGTTTTTTATTGTATAGAATTTGTATACAATATATGTGGGTTTTTCCCCTCATATTTTAAAATAATTAAATAAACACATGCGTTGCCCATAACACAATTCCTATCAAGGACCTTTAGGTGAAGTATGGGAAATAGATCTAATTTTCTCTCTCTTTTCTTCTTTTTCTTTTGCTTGCTGTGCCAATGGTCTTTTTTCTGTTTGCTTTCAATTCCATCTCCCTCCCTTTCCCTGTAGGTTACAAGAGAACACCATGTGAACTGCATTCCCAGGCTCCCTTGCCGGGTGACTTTCATCTAAAGTTAGCCAGTAGGGGGCACTGGGAAGATGCTGGAAGGAAGGAGCACGGAAGAAGGGAGGCTACTTCTACCCAGCCCTCTGCTCCTGGTGGAAGCTCTGGTCCAGTCTCCTCTGTGCTTTAACTCCCTCTTTAGTCCCAGCTTTCAAGAGGCAGTACTGTCAGAGTTCCAGCATTTTTGGTGGGCCCAGTGCTTAGACCCTAGGAATATCATCCTCTCCTTTTGTCCTTCCAGCTTAGGGATATTAGCAACTTTCCACTGTTAATAATTTTTTGATGGCACCTTCCTTCATTTACTCTTTCAGCTATTCTAATACCTTTATAATTAGTTCCCACATTAAATTATCTTATTTAATTATTATATGTCAGGACTCTGTATTGCTAGCTGGGCCCTGACCGATAGAGTCACTATTGAAAGTGAGATATTTCTAGCTCCTATATTTTAAAAGTTATTATTTGTGTATAGGATAACAATTAATTTTATGTATGATTTTTATTATTTATAATCTTATGTATTCCCTTATTTTCTTTTTGAAGTTATTTCTAAAGGTTTAACCTGATGGCCTTGGCTGGAAATTAAAACCAAGATCCCTCAAGCCTTCAACCTCCTAATATGGCTGTTTCAGTTTGATTTCCTGTTTGACTTGAATTGTTTGAGAATGTTTCAGTTCTTGGTTTGTTGGCCTTAATTGTTATTGCAAATTTCTTATGTCTGGCATCATAATTAAAAACTATTATCTATGTGTGGCTCTTACGGAAAATCTTAATACATTTGCTAGTGTGAAATAGTATAGGTGACATTCTTTAATTATAATACAAAATTTATGGAAATTTTCTTTATGGGCTATTACCTGCCAACTTTAACACATTTTCCATTTGTCTTTAAAAGTTGCTTCATTTGATTTTATATATGTGTGTATGTATATAACATCCATATTATTATGTTACTTATTTTTTTCTGTATTGGTACTTATTTTATTTTATTATTTTTTTTGAGACTGAGTTTCGCTCTTGTTGCCCAGGCTGGAGTGCAGTGGCATGATCTCAGCTCACCGCAACCTCCACCTCCCAGGTTCAAGCAATTCTCCTGCCTCAGCCTCCCGAGTAGCTGGGATTACAGGCATGCACCACCATGCCCGGCTAATTTTGTATTTTTAGTAGAGACAGGGTTTCTCCATGTTGAGGCTGGTCTTGAACTCCTGACCTCAGGTGACCCACCCGCCTCTGCCTCCCAAAGTGCTGGGATTACAGGCGTGAGCCACTGCGCCCAGCCGGTACTTATTTTAAATCTATATCATTTGTCAAAGATTGTGTGTATGTTTTGTATTACTATCCATTTATGTCTACTTCCAGTTTTTGGCATTATGCATTTTTATGTTATATTATTTGGTGCATAGATATTAAGGATAGCTAGGTAGCTAGGTCTTCATTATGGAGTATATACTTCATCATTATCAAGTCCCATTCTTTGACAAATTTAATAACTTTTGCCTTGAAATTGTAACTTGCTTTTTAATTAAAATGTCCTGGAATGTTTTTCTCTAATACATCTTTGAATTTGTTTCTAATTCATTTACTTCTCTTCATGGATATGCATATTGGATCTTATTTATTTGTCTTCCATATTAATTTTAATTTATCTTTAATTTTTCTTTCCAATGATTTCGAATTATTTTTCTCTCGTTCATTTTACTCGGTGTTCTCAAGTCTAACTTCCATAATTAAGTCTGTATTTTTGGTGACATCCATTAAAAGATGTCTGCTTCTAAAGTGGATTTTATTTCTGAATTAATCATATTTATTTCTTTTATTTCCTTGCTAAATTCTGCTAGCTTACTTTTATTGTCCTTCTATTGGCTTGTCTTTTCTTCTTTGAGCCATTCTGTCTTGTTCTAAATATTTCTTCAAAAAGGCTTTATTTAAAATTTTTTTCAATATCATTGAAAATTATTTGAGGAAATAATATATTTCTTCTATAATTGTTACATTTAATTTGTGTGCCTCTTTTGTATAATTTTTTAATTTTTTTCTTGTAGTATCTCTATATGTTGTTTTTATTCCAGCTTCTTTCTGATATTTTTCTCATCTTTAAATGGGGCCATTGTTTCGGGGGTAGCTAGCTATTTGCTAAACAATAGTCTGAAAAAGGGCTGGGGAAGTAAGTTGGGGCAGAAGATAGCTTTATTATGGTTCTGCTGTTTCAATTCTTTTCCCAAAGTTTCTGCTAGGGGACAGATTTTTGCTCACTTCTTTCACAGATGTGCCCTTTCAGTTTGCTTATCTTGCAATGGAGCAATGTGTTGGAATTCGTATTTATTAGTTTTACTTTAGCAATTTTGAACAGCAACTGTTACCCACCATCTCTCCTTGCCATACTGCCAGCCTAGTAGTTTGAAAGATGGTGTGTCTGCCTCCTTCATCATTTGGCCCCACATTGCCTGTCACTCTACAATTTGCTGTTTCAAATAAAAAAATCCCTGGTCAGGCACCTTAGGGCTGTGTCTCTTTCCTTTGTAGAATTCCATGCTCTGCCTGAGGTCTGTTAAGGTATGCATCTATTATGCTCAATTGAATCCAAATCTCACTGTATTCCTCACAGTTTTTGGTTTGGTATTGTAGTAGCTAATATAATTTAAAATGGAATTTCCTTGTTTTTATTTTTTTCTTATTGTTATTTTCAGCCAATTTCAGAGAAGAGAATAGACGTAGAAGCATCTTTACTTTGCAATCTGTAACTGTAAGTCTGTAGGCCAGTTGCTGTCAGAATGGTAACAAACATTGCTGGGTTCACTCCCAACAGTTTCTGATAAAGCAGTTCTCTGGGAGGGTCCTAGAATTTGCATTTCTACAAGTTCCCAGGTAATGATGAGGTTGTTTGACTATGGGTCATACTTTGAGAACCCCAGCTTTAGGTTATTTATATAATAGCAGCACCATCTCTAGGCTTACCTAGTAAGAGATAGATTTGAATCACAAGTCATAAATGTCAGATGGAATTTTACTGAGTTCTTAATCACTATGTGTTTTGTAAGACTGCTGTGTATAGACTTTCTTAAAGGTCAGTGAAAATGTCTAGGGCTATTGACTCGGTGGAAATAGTTTTGTTCATTTTTTTCCTCAAATAACCAATTTTACTCAAGATTGAGCTAACTCTTTTCCTGGCTGGTCTCAAGTTTTCTAAATGTAATTAACACTCAGACTCATGTGTTTAAAGTATATTTAAACAGGTACTTCTTTGCTCTGAACTTCTATCCATAGTTTTTAGCTTTGAACTACTCAGTAGATAGCTGACATATTGAACTGAGCTCTACCCATGTATTCCACCTGAATGCTTTTCACTCTGGCCAATGTATTTTCAGGTTTGACAATTTGATGACTTGCTCATCTCTATCTCAATTTTCCTATCTTTCCCAACATAGGACAGAGATTGGCCCAGTAAATGCCATGTTTCAAGCAGCAGAAAGCCCAAACACACTTAAAACTCAATGATTCAGGTTAATCTAGAGAAAACTAGAGATTCGATAGAGGTAATGAATTTTCTGGCTATGTATTAATAATGAAACCTCTGTAGTTATAATAAGCTTTAATTGGGTGAAAGATTTACTTAAAACTTAAAAATTCAGAAGCTGCATCTGGGGAAACAATTTAATCTTTTGTTGGTGGTTCATGTTAACTTTTTTCAATGGTGTCATTTCTGCTGCCCATAAATTGTAAGCTGCTCTACATACAGAGTTCAAACCTGAATCTATGCTGTGAGCTGAAGGATAATTCTGGCATTTGTTAATCTACACCAGAAATGCCGATCTGTAATAATGGGAAGCTTTGATGACTGGAAAGTACTATAATCTCCTTTAAAAAAAGTAATGCTGTCAATTAGAGGAAGGCATAATGGGTCCTTAATTTTAGCAGGGGTTCCAGAAGCATTTACTGAGTTTAAACCAAGTTCAGAGCCATGTGCCTGGGAAAACTATTTGAAGATATGCACAGTTGTCAAAAGAGCCAAAAGAGCAAGGGCATCATAGCATTTTCAGGTCTTTTACACTGTTTTTTCTCTTTACAATCCCTGTCTGATAGACCCAGCCCACAACTACATAGATAGCTATAAGTGATTTACCCATTAAGATGAAGAAGAAAAATAATTAAGGATCAAGTAAGAGGGTTGCTTTAAAAATCAGCCAGAATAAATTTAAAAAAGAAAAAATTGGCTAAATAACAAGATGACAACTGTCAGGCCTCCCAAAATACTGTTGTTCTTTAGGGCCTGACCCCATGGTTTTGGATGTAGCCTGGGTTATGAGTGCTGCTGAGTGTTTGCTACTACAGACTTACTCTATACCCTGGCCAGCCACCACAGCCTCTGTCACTTACATGGGAAAGACACTTTTCTCCTTTATTTAGTGAAAGACTGCTGTGGCACTCACTTGGTGAAACTAGATTAAAGCTGTACAGTTATGTGATAGTTACCTTCCCTAACTTCCTGGCATGTCATTTCAACAGTGTGCCTCCCTCCAGGGGGGCTATAGGCTTCTCAACACATGGCCGTAGAATTTCTGCTTGTGCCTGGGTGAAGCCCCCAGGCCGTGATATTTGTCCATTTTATATTCCCATGTGCATATTTTCTTTTCTCAGTTGTGCCATTATCTAATAGAAGTCTGTTTGTGTTTCTCACTGAAAACACACTATTAATATTAATAACAGTAGCAACTGCTTTACTTACTGTTTGTCATCTCTAATTTCCATAACAATTTCAGTAGCACAGTTCTTAATATCTCCACTTCACAGATAAGAAACTAAGGTTTTGAGACAAGATCTTGTAGCTAGTATCTGGTGTTACCAGCGTTCAAAATTAGCTTTTTCTGAATCCAAAAACCCATAGTTTCTTCCCTATACCCCTCTATGATATTGCTTTGTCTTGCTTTATATTATATGGGAAAAGTAGAAGCAGAAATTACTTTCCTTTGCATTTCTAATGCAATACTGTGGTCTATAGCAGGAGGTTAGTGTAGCAGGATGACTTGCTAATTTCCAGAAACCAAAGTGAAGAATGGGCTAACTCAGAGATTCAAAGTAGCCTTGGGATGATTTTTCAAACCCTCAGTCCAAGAAGAATGACAGAGATTGAGCCCACATAAACCTGGTTGACAGAAAGCTGCCCATAGTGTAGGTGGTTAATTTTGTACAACTGAACTTAGAGCTTAGGATAGGAACATCTGACTCCAAAAAGGGGCTGACCAGTTGAAAAAGTCCACAGTCCTTACAAATCTCAGAGATTTGACCAGGGAAGCAGAAAGCGGATTTAGCTTGGCATGTGAAGCTGCCGAATGAAAACATTTCAAGTATGCAACCTAGACTTGTTTTTTCCCCCCTGAAAAGGACTAATATGGAAATCTCAGCTCATAGAGACCCCTCCGGAAGTTCTTCACATTACTGTGAGTATCATTCTTTCTCATAAGCTAAATGTACATGCAGCTAAGGAATAAAGCATTCTAGCTATGTATTTGTTAAAGATTAGGTCTGCACTGGAATTTTATAGCATCAATGAGAGAGAGAGAACGAAACAAAACCCCAAAAAGATAACATTGAATTAAAGTGCAGGTACTAGTCTGTGAGTGCTAAGTCTCAAGATTAACTGACCAGTCAAAAACTAAGACCAATTTGCTTTCCAAGGCCTGGATGTCTAGGCTACTCTATCTAATCAACACAGCCAGTAGTTATTTATAAATATTGATGCCTTTATTTAAAAAGTAGAGAAAAAACTCACCAGAAAAAAAAAGGAATCAGAGTATTTCATAAAAGCTTTGCAAAATACAAATATAAGAATAATTATTAGGCCCGTGAACTCATAATTAACTTCTCTTTTCCCACCTCCTTCTACTTTGTAGTACTTCTCACAGTAAGAAATTTTGGCAACAAGAGCATTTATTTACAGCAAACAGAATTTGTTCACAGAACACAGATTTTTATGAAAAATGAACAGAAACAACAACAACAGCAATAAAAGCCCAAAGGGGGAAACAAGAAAAATAAAAGAGTAACTGAATTCCTTTAATCCCTATATTCTCTGTGTCCTCCCTGAATTCATATGTTGAAATTCTAACCTCCAATATAAGGGTATTAGGAGTAGGAGGTGGGGCCTTTGGAAGATGATTAGGTCATGAGGGTGGAGCCCTCATGAATGAAATTAGTGCCCTTATAAAAGGGACTCCAGGGAGCTTTCTAGTCCTCTCTCTGCCATGTGAGGACAAAGGAGAAGCTGGCAGTCTGCAGCCCAGAAAAGGGTTCTTACTGGAAATGACCATGCTGGCACCTTGATCTCATACTTCTAGTCTCCAAAACTGTGAGAAGTAAAATTTTCTTACTTATAAGCCACCCAGTGTATGATACTTTGTAATGGCAAGCTGAACTGACTAAGGTACTATAGCCAAAGTGAATGTGATTTTTGACGCTTGTGTTCTTGATCTGTTGGCTGCGGCAGGAGTGTGGACAGAGGCTCATCTTTAATGCCTCTGAAGCAGGCTTGGCTTCTCTCTTCCATGTTGTCCCATGGCACTTTGTACATAGAGTGATGTCACTCATATGTACACACTCATTTTTCTCAGAACGCAGAAATATATGGAGGTCTGAGGTTGAATCTCATATGACTTCCTAAAGAAGGTCTGTCCTTTATAGTTGCTTTACTCATTACTGCTAAGGAACTTTTTACATTTCTTGATATCCCCTGTCATTTTTGTTTTGTTTTGGCGTTGGGGGAAAGCAGATGTAGGATTGAACAGGGAAGGCGGAAGCAAGAAGATGAGGATGGCCACTCTCATTTGCTTCAGTTGACTGTTTTCAATTCCTATTGTTAGAGAAGTGAGTGTGAAAGAACTGGCTATTCAAGAGAGTGTTGGAGATTCTGGCAAGCAGAGATTCTTCGGAGCCCAGGTGGAAAGTGAAGCGCTGAGTTGGGGAGAAATGCTCATGCCTTCTGCAGACTGTAAGTTTTGGGAGCTTCTGGAGGCAACTCCCTTGGCAGGCGTGTTGGAGTTCTCCGGGCCAGCAGTGCCAGAAATGAGGATTCTCAGGCCTGAGTCTGTGCATCATAGGATATCATGCTGCTGCTTTAAGCAACTGAGCTTCTTCAATTTTTTGAGGAGTCCTTGGCCACTCCAGGCTCTTGCTTCTCCATGACAAGGGGCAGAGCAGAGATAGCTTCTGACTTAGAACCTCAGATGGATCAGTCAGCCATGGACTATTCCCATCTTTGCTATGAGAAGTGGCTTTCTGGTGGGGATTGTGTTGAGGGTTGGGTTGTTCTGATTACAAGAAGAGCAGAGACTCTGCAGAGGGGTGGAGAATGTTTTAGCCAATATTGTCCAAATCCATTCCATTTCGAGGTAAATGGGGAAGAAACAAAAAGACCCACATAGTAATCTCCACAGAGAACCACACTGAACCTTTGTAGGCAGGTAGGAAGAGAGTTATCTCCCCTTTCCTTTACTCCTCCCCTCTCCTCTCCACCCTCCCTTTTTCTCTTCCATTCTCTCCTCTCCTTTTTTTTCTTCTTCACCTCTTCTCTCCTTTCTTTTTTTACTTTCTCTCACAGTTTATGTTTCTAAGAAGCAAATGTTAAAAGTAACAGAAAACAGTGAACTATAATCCTTGTCAGCTTTGATTGAAACTATATTAGTCAGTTTCCAAGGAGGAACACAGGAAACTCCCTGAGTATGTAAAATAGTGGAAGCTTAATAGAAGGACTTGATTATATGCATGATGAGAGATCTGAGAAATGAAACAGAAGATAGAGAGGCAACCCAGAGATTAGCAACAAAGAAAGCCATGCCAAGAGAGACTAAGGGAGGGACATTTTTATGGGATCCCAGGGATTGAGGGTCATCCAGTGGAATTTGGAACTGTGGCTTGGCCTTTCCTGCCATGAAGGCATGCTGGAGACACAGCCTGAAGAAAACAGAGAGGTAGAAATATCGGGCATTTCCTTTTTTCCTGCTCTCCAATTTCCCCACAAGTTACCTCTCTTTAGCAAATGCCAGAGGCCCACTGGGAACTTGGGGAAGGCAGCCTGCAGGAGTCAGCACATCCTTGTTACAGAGCAAAACATGGTGCCAGGGAAGAATAGATTTGAGAACAAACACACAAAGGAGCATCCTGCTCTACTTTATAGGAGGAGGCTTCTAGGTAATGTGACAGAGGGTGTGTGTGTGTGTGTGCGTGTGTGCACGTGTGTGTGTGTGTGTGTGTGTGTGTTATGAGTGGTGGTGGTGGTGCGGTGGGAGTTTCTCAAATTGAGAGAAATTTATAACTTTACTGCTAGAAGAGTTTATGCTGGCTTGATACTCAACTTTCAGACCAAGAGATCATATTCAAAGTGAATTCATTTCACAGACTTCAATAAACATTACACTCTGCCACCAGTTCAACTGAGCTTATCTAAGATTGTATTCAAAATGAGTGATAGAAGATAGAATTTTTTTTCTAAAATGCGGAAACAGCCAAACAGTTGAATCAAATGATGCTTGGTCTTTACACTGAAATGGTAATACTCATTTCTCTTTATAGTAATTGTGCAAGAATTAAACTTAGAGGAAGCAGATGTGTTTAATGTATTCATGATGTTGTCACCAAGGATAGCAAATTCATTTGGATAAAATACAAATTTGCATAAAGGTTAACATAAAAATCAACTATTTAAGCATTGAAAATATTTAATTAATCTTTTTTTCTTTTTTATTTTTATGTGTCTCTTGCTTTTTCTGTTTTCAGCCAAGAGAGACAGTACTGAAATGTCATTTTAAAAATGTTGATTTTGCAGTATTTCTCTGCCCTTGGGAACAGGAAATACCTAGAATTCTGCTAGTAAGATGGTTCTCATGAAATGTCTAGTGTAATTTTTATAATGAGGGGGATTAAATATGTTTGGATGAATATCCAACTTTGAGAACTTTGTCACCCTGATACTTCAGACCCATTGACGTTTTCCCAAAATGTTCCCTCTTCCATATGTTAGGGAATTACATTTAAGAGCGAGTAATGAGGATAATTGAGTCTGTGCTGGTTTTGGATTTCATACTCCTTATGAATGTGAAATAGATTAAATAAAGGACACTTGAGAAGTAATGAATTCCAAAAATAATATCAATTGTTGTACCAAAAGCTGAGCAAGTGACTTTTCTACAGCATTAAAGTGGTGTTGACCTTTTCTCTTCAGAAAGAGAGAAGTTGGGGCTAGGTAGTAAGTAACAGTCAGCTGTCTAAAGGCCTCTCAGGCTACCTAGATAGCATTTTGGCTTGCATAGTGATCTGGCCATCTGCGCCATCAAACTGATTTAGCAATAAATTCATAAAACAATGTTACATAAAGGCCAAAATTGAAAAAAAATTATGCTCGTCTCCTGTCTTTCTTGTATCATGGAAAAGAATTTTCTATCTTTTTGGTATTTAGTTACTTGAGATCCATTCCTTATGCCTACAGTTATTCTTCCTATAGATGATTTGATTGGCTTAGTCAACATTTGAGAGGTGAAAAAAGCAAATTAATGGTCAGTGTGCCCACAGTGTTCTAGTCACTATGTGAGGTGCTTGGTAATGCTTAAGATACAGAAAAGGCATTGTGATATTGGCAAATGGATAGCTTGTTTTTGTCACAGCTGCAGGCTACACTCAGTTAACACTACTGGAAGTAAATGTTGGAGTGTAGGCGACATAGCTTAATGAGGTTAACATGAGCTTTGGAGTTGAGTGAGCCTTTGCCTGTTTATTCTCAAGTTCCTTCCCTTGTATCCCTATCTGTATTGGAGAGAAGCTATTCTTGTGAATTAGTTCCAAGACTTCCTTGCTAATCAGCTTCTCCCTAGAAGTGGCATTGGAGGGCACTGGTAGGAGATAGGAGGGTGGGAGGAAGAGATAACCTAGGGTGCTTGCCTCCATATCTCTTTGCTTTTAGTAGTGACTGTGTCTCTTGTGAAGCTCCAGCTCCTGCCAGGCAGCTTGTTCTTCCATGGCCTCAACTCCCACCGTGTGAGTCTGTTTCATTTCAGCTTCTACGGCATATACATCCTGAGCTTTAGTAACCTCATCTCTTCCTTTGTTTGTCCAACTCTGGGGATGATAGAGCCTCCAGTTGAAAATTCTTGGTTGCTTCCTCTTCCAATATTTACTCTTTGGGATCTTCTAACACCTTTGTGACTAATACCCTATGGTAAACTCCCTCTTGAATTTCTGAGTTAAAAAACACAGGCATTATGTTCTTGGCTACACCATGAATGATACAGAGTCTGATAGATTCAAGTTAAAGTCTGTGTTTGACCTGTCATGAGCAACACATTTGGACAAGTTATTTAAACTGTCCAAGGCTGTTTTCTCATCCATATAGTGGGGTTAATACTAACCTCCAAAAATTGTAATGGAGCTTAAATGAAATTTTTATCATGGTACCTGGCACATTGCAGCATCCAATGAATCTTAGTTCTTAATCCTATAATTAAAAAACTGGGGCACTGTTCTCTAAACTAATACAGAGACTCATAGGGGAACAAGAAAAGCATCATGATCGTATGAGTAAAACATCCATTTAAGAGGGTGTGTGGGTTGTTGGAAAGGTCATGGAATACAAATTGGAGTTGTTTGGACATACTGACTATGGAGAAGAGCAGATTGTCTGGGAGAAATAGATGAGACAAGGGTGTATTCCAGGGAAAGGGTCAACTGGGAGGCAAAAGTAAATGTTGGCTAAAAGACCTTAAGGCGTGCCTGTGGAACAAGAAGAGTGGGTAGCAAGTAGTTACAAAAGCTGAGGGCACATAAGGATAGCTTCTCACTGTGGGAACCATAAGAAGATTAATGTAAACCCAAAGTATCAGGGGAGGGTATTCCCTTATGTAAAAGGAAGTAATGCTCTTTATACAGTTTTGATAATGTATTTGCAACATGACATAAGAACTCTCTTATGGCATATTTAGTAATTGGAAATGGGAAGCTATTTAAGCAGAAAAAACTTTTAAATTTACCCCAACTTATGGAACCACATTCAAGGAAAACCTTTGATAGTTGTCCAAATCTTAATTGTCTTAGATGTGTTCTTAACCTCCTTTCTTTTACTGGAAACATCATGTAGAGTAATATAGTTTATTCATGTGACAGACATGGGATTTACGATATGTTCCATTTGTCTGAGGCTGCAATGGAAGAACATTTGTAAATATGTTTACAGGGTGACATGAGGTTGAAAGGTAGGTGCTCAATTAATGAAGGTTTATTTAATTAAATGTGTATTAAATAAAATCATTCGCAACATGAGATGACACATTTTTCAAAGATTTAACAAGAGAATTACACAGAAACTGCACCTGCATTATGAAATAATGAACTTGAGACTACAAAATTTGACACAAATGTAAGATATTGTTGTTATTCGAAAAGTAGCTTGAGTAACATGACAAGAGTTCTTGGCATTAAATAATAATCATAATTTCGATCTGGTAGAGAAGGGAGTGTAAGGTGTTTGTATCTTTGATTCATATTTCAGTAAACCATGGTACAAGTGTAGTGGGCCTGGAAAATACAAATCCAAAGCAGACTTGAGTCTGCTTTTGATGATCCAACATTTGGGTGGGATGCAAACATTCCAGTTCAAGGTATGTAACAGACTGTAATAGCAACACAATAAAATATACACATTAGGTCTTTCTCTCTACAAGGCTTGCCCTTTTCCTGGCTGCAGAGAGCAAGAGGATTAACCTGCCCCTCCCCTAAACTGGCTCACACTATCTTTATCCTCAGGCTAAATCTGATACCAAGGAGACTGCATATACAGTTGCTTTGGGTCCACTGCTTGACAAAGGAAGCCCCATTCTTTGTATGTAGAGGGATATAGTACTTACTTCTGTTAGCTACCATGAGGGACACCTGTTGCCTTTGCTATTTGGGAAAACTAGAGATAACTTCTCACTCATAAGGTTGTACTCTTCAAGAGTATTGGGAATACTTAGGAATATATATTTGGGGATAAAGACATGGAAATTTAAAGCCAGAAGAAAAATTCCGGTGACTCAGTCTTATTTACACAGAGATTGAAGTTAATATGTTTAGTTAACCTATAATAAACTATATAACCTGTATAACCTATAAAACTTCATGAAATTTTCCTTTTTATGAATTTACACTTTTTCATAGGATTCTTTGCTGATGCTCCTACCTTATCTTTTTCAATATTTCAAATCAACTTTCCCTGATAATTTTGTATGTTGCCTAGACACAGCTGTTGTTTTGTTTTGGGGAAAACAACACAGAAATTCCTAAATGAAGACAGAATGGAGCTTCTTTCAAATATAACAATATGCTGAGATTTTTATTTTTATTTCAGCAATATGCTGAAAAATAAATAAAGTTTCAAATAGCCACTCCGAGAATCCTAAAATGCTCAAAGACATTTTGGCACCATTGATAGAAAATTAATTTGTGGTTTATTCAAATTATGCTATGTGAGGAGAAAATAGCTCAATAAATGAGTGGAAACCAATTTCTTAATGTTTCTCACTTGCCTAATTGTTTTCCAAAGAAATAAATAAAAAAAACTCAAATAGAAAGTTCATAAAAATATACAAAACATGCTTATGGCCACAGACTTCTCCTCATGCTTTCAGAGCTTTACATTTTATTTTTGAACCCATTGCATATATTGCTCCTGAACATTATCAACATTAATAAAACACAATAGTCAACCTTTCCAATTGTTTTCCCCTTCTCCTACTCTTTCTTTTTATATCCCCCCTATACCCCTCCTCCTTTTCCTCCTCTTTCTTCTACCCTCCTCCTCTGCCTTCCCCTTTTCAACAAAAGAATCTTTATTAAGCATTTTCTGGGCATAGGATACTGTGGGCTCAAAGGTGGGCTGTAAAGAGTTCACTGAAAGAATAAAGAGGGTTTCAGAAATTAGAGTTCATTGTGGAGAGTCTTTGGGGAGGATGGATAGTGGAGGAATGTTCAAGAAACAATGAATCCATGTCTGACTGGGGAGAAAAGAAGTAGAGGAAGTAATGAGAGGAAGGTAAGTGTTGGCCAGATTATAAAAGCCCTTGAATGCTGTTTGGATTTCATTCTGTAGGCAATAGAGAACTGTCAATGGTATCTAAATGTCAACATATGTTAAAGAGTGATTAGGGAAGATAAACGTATTAATTAAAGGTTCAGCTGGTCTAACAGAAACCATCAGTAAGAGTGGCTTAAACAAGATAAAAGTTTATTTCTCAGTTTATTAACAGTCTAGGCTGGTAGATTGGCTCCACAGAGTCAGGGCTTTGGTATCTTCCCATCTTATTACTTCACCATCCCCAGGGCTCATTCTTGTTCACATGGTCCATGACAGCTTGCTTCTGTTTCCATATGACTGCTACAGGAAAGCAGGATGGAGAGGGCAGGTGTCTAGCTAAAATACAGAGGTTCTATTCGTATAAAAATACTAAGAAACAAGGGTCAAACATAATTAACCTGGCAGGCAGCAGTGTGCAGAATACACTGGGACAGGGAATCTATCTTTGTCCCTTTCAGTCCCATAACTATCCTAGAACCAGCTTACAATATATAGGGTTCTGAATCATATGTTTCCTGACTCCTTGGGGAAAATTAAACTATTTCATGGATATATTTGGTTACAAGGAGATGCAGAATGGTGCAGTGGAAGAAGTAGCAGACTGATTGTCAAGTGAGCTGGGTTTAAGTCTCAACTTATAACTTCAGCGACCTTGGGCAGGTTGCCCAAAATTTCAATTTCAATTTGTTGTCTATGTATAAGGTTATAAATACTTTTTCCTTCTTGTCACAGTATTTGAAAAAGAGAAAGTTACTATCATTCCCTTGCTGCTAGTACAGAATGTAGATGTAAATATTTATCTATGTATAAGTATGTGTCTGTATTCGTTAGATTTTAAAAGGAATAATAGAATAATATAATCAGGAACAAGCATGAAGATGGCTATGATTATGACTTTGATTTTTATTTATTTCTTTATCCTCAGTGCCTGGCATATGATAGGCCCAAGACATTTTGGTTGAGTTTATTTATTGATAAATTGCAAGTTTTACCTTAAAACATCACATCCAGATGTTTTTAGGGAAATTATTTCTATTTATTTATAGTTTGTCAAGCCTTTTTCCATTTTATGTCTCTTTATTAACTCTTTATAGTAGACTACATGGTAGAAAATAAGTGTGGCTTAATACAAAATTTCTTTTTTTATATTATCAGAAATCTAAAAGTGTATCAATTAAAAAATACTTATCAGTTACATTTTTCATTCTCTCTCTCTCTCTTTTTTTTTTTTTGAGACAAGTTTTGCTCTTGTTGCCCAGGCTGGAGTGCAGTGGCTCTATCTCGGCTCACTGTAACCTCTGCTTCCTGGATTCAAGTGATTTTCCTGCCTCAACCTCCCGAGTAGCTGGGATTACAGGCACCCACCACCATACCTGGCTAATTTTTTGTATTTTTAGTAGAGACAGGGTTTCAGCATGTTGGCCCAGGTTGGTCTCCAACTCCTGACCTCAAGTGATCCCTCCGCCTTGGCCTCCCAAAGCGCAGGGATTACAGGAGTGAGCCACTGTGCCCGACCTCATTCACTCTTAAATGATCTTTTCCTTTAGGCCTCCTCTCATTAAGACTAAGCCAAGGCATGGTGGCTCATATCTGTAATCCAAGCACTTTGGGAGGCTGAAGCAGGTGGATCACTTAAGGTCAGGAGTTGGAGACCAGCCTGGCCAACATGGTGAAACCCTGTCTCTATCAAAAAATACAAAAATTAGCTAGACATAGTGGCGTGCACCAGTAGCCCCAGCTACTTGGGGAGGCTGAGGTGAGAGGATTGCTTGAACCTGGGGGCAGAGGTTGCAGTGAGTTGAGATCCTGCCACTGCACTCCAGCCTGGGCAACAGAATGAGACCCTGTCTTTAAAAAAAAAAAAAAAAAAAAAGATTAAGCCAAGAAGGTTTTTGCCTTGGAAATGAGTCTCAAAGATGAGTTTTTGAGTCCACGGTATTAGAATGGTTTTGATACCTAGTTTTTTTTTTTTGAGAAAGAAAAGAATTTATTAAATGTCTAACTCTCTCCCACAGTAAATATCAAAAACCAATCCTGGCATACTTCCTTCAGAGAGTTTTGTTGTAAGCCATTGTATGGAAATATTGGAGTCTGTTTTAAGGAAAGTTCTCATCAAGGTACTTCAGTTTTTGTTTTTACTTGTTTTGTTTTCCCATAAAGAGAAAAAGGTAAGAGGAAGAGAAACAAGAAATCAGATGTTATTGTCCTACTTTTCCTCTCTTGGCCAAAACCCTAAGGAGTGGGAGTGAAAGGCAGAAATACCCAGATAGTTTTGGGAAACTCCCAGCATAGGGAGGCTTGCTCCTCACTTCTCAAACAGGGAACACTGAAGTCAGCCCTTTATAGAATTTGTTTCTTTCCATATGTATTGGAGTCTTATGATGGCAGCCAGGTTAGATAGGCCACACGTGATGTGCTGGTAACCTGTTGTCTGAGTGTGGCCTTTAGGGATTCTAAATATTTCTGTATCCCTTGGCAAGTAGACACCTAAGCACTAAAAACAGGACAAGGAAGTGGCAGAAGGTGTTAAACTGATCTATGCCAGGCACTGGTTTCATTTCAACAGATACCAAGGAAGGATTCCTAAGGGCAAGACCAGATCTACTGCTATATGGTAGACAGGGAAGAAAACAGCCATGGAGGATATGCAGAGTCTCCCCACTATGTAGATGCCATCTTTCGAAGATGGAGCAGAAGGGAGAAACTCCTAAATAAGTGAGACACAGTTGACTGAATTAACTCAAAGGAAGTAATTCTAATTTGAAAAAGAAGGGTTTTGTTTTCCCTCCTGCCTAAAAAGATGTTCTAGAAAAAAAGTTATAGACAATGGCAAAAAAGTGTAGGATATTTCCGAATTGTCATATATACTACAAGTTTCAGTCCTGCTACATTTCAGTCCTACTACAAGTACTTAAAGTATCTAGTACCATCCAAAAGTGAACACTGACATTTGTTGACACTTAAAGTATATACTATTTTAGTCAGAGATTGCATGGTAAGATATTCTCTTTTATATAAAAAAGAAGCCATTGATTCCAGAAGCTTAATAATTTCTGAATTTCTTCATGAATAGGTGGTAGGGTGGAAAAATTTAAACCCTTTAAGAGAAATCCAACTGGCCATGATGAGCATTTGCCAAAGAACTTGGAAGCTCCATGAGAGGTTACTGAGCATCCTGTGGAAGGCGCAGGATGCAGAGGTAGAAAATGCTTATTGCCAAAGGTAGGGCCTGGAGGCAGAGCCAGGGCCCCAGCTGCATTTACTTTTGTGCCTGCTATTTGGCTTGGCAGAAGCAGCCTCTTTTCCGGGAGGGAAATGATTTTTACATCGGTCCGTAGACTTAGAGGATATAAACTCAAAAGAAAGGAGGATTGAGTTGTTCTGACTAACTAGGTTTGGTTCATTTCCTTGGGACCTCCCCAAACACATTGATATTTCTGTAAGAATTAAATGAAGGCAGTGATGGAAAGAAGACATTTTAATTGCTGCCTGAATTTCCAGTTAGTGTAATATCTGCTTGTTAATGTTTCTGAAATGGTTCTGTGTAGGAAAATCCCAGAGAAGTCATCTAATCCATCTTCCTGGTGGTGCAGGATCACTACCTACTATTTATCAAAGATAAGGTAGTTACATCTGACCCAAAAGAGATACTTTGGAGGAAGCATCACTGTTGAACAGGCCTGTTCTATAATTAAGGGTATATGCCAAGGAGCTCATAGTCAGGGAGATAGTAAAAGAACACACATTTACAATGTAACAAGTATTTTGGTAGTTGATCATTCATGTGTCACACTGTTGTTAAACACCGTCCTTGTGCCAGGTTCTGGGCTAGGTGCTGGGAACATCAAAGAGATTGTTTTCTAACTGGAGTGGTAAGTTTAAATGTTAAATACCATGAAAAAAGTTCTAATGGAAGAGCTAACAGAGCCCTCAAGTAGCATGAAGAGTGATGATTGGGGATCTGGGTTGGGGAATCAGAGAAAGCTTCATGGAGAAGGTGATATTTGTGAGAAATTTTTATAGATTGCCACATGAAATCACCTCTGTAATACAACAGGTGCATTGATGAATATGCCAGTTTGGGGTTGTTCTTAAAAAACAAGTGAGGCTGGGTGCGGTGGCTTGCTCCTATAATCCTAACAGTTTGAGAGGCCAAGGAGGGAGGATCGCTTGAGGTCAGGAGTTCAAGACTAGCCTGGGCAACATAGTAAGACCTTGTCTTTACAAAAATTCAGAAAAAAAAAATAGCTGGCTGGCTGCATTGGCATGCACCTGTAGTCCCATCTACTTGGGAGTCTGAGGTAAGAAGAGTACTAGCGCCTGGAAGGTCAAGGCTGCAGTGAGCCTGAATGACAGAGTGAGACCCTGTCTCCAAAAACAACAACAAGAACAACAAACAAAACAAAAAAACAAAAAACAAGAGAATAAAAGTGAATTGATCAACAGGAGGAATTATCTTTAGAATGCTTTTTAAAGTTAATCTGAAATGAAAAGATTAAGCCATTTTTCATAGCTTGGTTTATTTTGATTATTGCTAAGGTATAACCAGCTCTATCATGTTGCATTGTGCTTGATGACTTGGGGAATGATCATTATGACGGTCAGAATCTGCTGGAGCAAAGGTATGAAGGGAAGTGAAGTTTGTCAGAGATATTTTCTATTTACTTCATCTTCTCACGCCCTTTATCTCTTAGACCCTTCTCTTCTTTCCCTTGACAATTGTCACGTATAACTGGGGTTCACCCATTCTTCTCTCTCTTTGCTGGTTAGGAAAGAAATTGATAATCAAATTGACATTTAGCTTTTAGAACTTAATGATTTAACCCATACTTTAGGAACTTTGATTTTCTTTTTTTTTTTTATTATAGTTTAAGTTTTAGGGTACATGTGCACAACGTGCAGGTTAGTTACATATGTATACATGTGCCATGCTGGTGTGCTGCACCCATTAACTCGTCATTTAACATTAGGTATATCTCCTAATGCTATCTCTTTGATTTTCAAAGAAATTTATAGGAGGAAGACAATGCTTAGCTTAAAAAGAATGATAATGACAAAATGTCTGATATGAAGACATTTAGATGGTAGGGAATATACTTTTACCAAGTGTCCTTCCAAATCCCTGGAGGAAATGCTTCCCCCTTTGCTTAGGTGACTACCTTGACTTACAGCCCTCCCTGAATATTCCCCAGAAGGATTTTTAGATTTAGTTAAGCTATAATGACAGAGCCCATAAGACTGTTAACTTCTAGTGTAGTTATGATATATTTGCACTTTGTAAACTCATGAATGAATTCCATGACTGAAGGCTTACTTATGTATGTGCAAGATCTACATTTTTATTCCCAGTGTAGACTTGAGTGGTGAGGCTAAAGAAAAAGGAATTGGCAGAAAAAAGTATGTGCATGTGTTTACATATAGCCCTATACACATGTTTGTGTATGTATTTATGTGTGTGTATGTGTGTATGTATACGTGCATGATATATCACACAGCATATCATTGCACTACATGATGTTGATTGTGGCACCAAGAATCACAAGGTCTGGGAAATTTTAATTGAGTTCTTTTTGTGTCTGGCACTCTCATTTTCTACCCGCAGGGCATGTGAACTTTTCAGCTTAAGAATTGATTGCTTATTTTTAGCTGTTTAACCAGTTGGGCTCTATCAGTCCAGAGCAATCTGATTCTGGGATGATTTCCTGGCAATACTGAGTGCCGATCCTTTTTAGAGAAGGCGTGCAATCAATTGTTATTGACAAGATTTTGATGGTCTTCAGTTTCCTTACCATGCAGTTCTATACACGTTTTTGTATCAATGTACATTTCCTTTGTTATTTTAGTTTATTATCTTGTTTTATATGCTAACTATTACACTATTTAAGGTGATTTTTTTCCATCTTAATTTTCCAAAATAATCAGTGGAGAATTCTCACTGATTTTCCACTGATTATTCTGGAGAATTATCAATATGTTGATCAGTATTGAGCCCAACTACCAGTATACTCTCTTTTTCCCCCTTCCAAATTTTAATTTATTTTCTCTTCCTAAATTTCAACAAAATTCTAAAGCTCCCACTATGTCTAATGAGAAATTCTCACTGTATTTAACATTGTATTTGTTTATTAGTTTCATTTCAGTTGCTTATCATTTCTTATGAATGTCAAGTGGAAGAAACAATGTAAAAAATTTAATATCCCTGCAACTCATAAAATCATAAAATCTAATCTTCAGTTTGATGCAAAGTTAAAAAACAACCCAAACTGTCCAAATGTAACTTCTTGGAAGCACTTCCAAATTGATTCCAAATATTCTTTTGTAGCTGTGGGTCTTATTTCCCTCTACATATTTGTTAATTTTCCTTCCCCCACCCCAAGTTTCAGCAAAATGAGAGTTCAAACAAGTACCATATGATCATGGAATCACATAGTGATTAGGTTACATAAGACTTTCATGGTTATTTTATTCATCTATGCATTGTGTTTTTAAATCTCCTTCATATACAGACATCCCCTCTGAGAGATAATCTGGCTTATTCTTGAATTCCTCTTAAGAGAATTATTAACTTTCAAAACAATGTAGCTCATATTTCAACAACTATGTCAGAAATATTCTCCTTTCAGGACCTTTCTGCTCCTAGCCTTAGTTCTAGAGTTATCTTAGAGTTATAACCTTTTTGGAGTTATCTCGAACAAGTCTGATTCTTTGATCCCATGCAAACCTTTAACTGTTGTATGTCAACAACTATGGGTCCCAAAGTCTTTTTCTCTCCTCATGTGTCCATCATTTCCTATTTCCTTGATCATTGCTTACATCATATGGTAGACTATTGTTCTCAGGACATGCTCAGTTTATAGGCTTCCTAGAGTGTAGTGCCCTAAATTGGACACAAAACTCTGGGTTTGGCCAAATAGAACTATCATCCTTCTTCACTCTAAAATGATAAACGTTCGTCAACATATCCCAAGATTGCATATTAGGAATTTTGGACATTGTATTTCACTGTTGATTTATCTCAGGCTTGCTGTTGATTTAAACCATAAGTCATGTTTTCACCTTTCATGCTGAGCCCTGTGTCCTTCACTACCCAGAACTCAAACTGTTTTTGGACTTCAGTGAAATATTTTAAAATTGTCTCCTTTAAATTTCATCTCATTGTATTCAGGCTGGCTTGAGAAGATGTTTTTGGTCTTTATTTGGTCCTAAATCATTCATAATAATTTCCAGCTTTCTACCATCTACAAATTTGGGATATCTATCTTTCACATTTTTATATGAATTATTAATAAAATTATGTTATGATATAATTAAGAAAATTTCTCTCTAGGTTGCCACTGATACATAGATAAATGACTATTGCATAGTGTACAGTTATTCAAAAATTACAAATGCAACTAGTCAAATGGTCATCTCCCTTGTTTTCCCATATTATCAACTAAGCTATTTAGAGAGACTTTGTAAAATGCAGCTGTCACATGTTCCATAGCTATTACACGTGGCCTTTTGGTCTGCCAAATAGGAAAAACAGGTTAATCTCATGTGACCTATTAATGAACTCATGCTAACTACTAGTAGAAACTAGTTTCCCTCTTCTGAGTGAGGATAGCTCACTGTCCTTTGGTGGGTGCTATTTCCATCTCTCTCTCTCTGTTTTGGAATAAGAAAGACATTTGGTGGGTCTGCAATACTCCTGATCCTCTATTGGTTTTCCCATTTCCTCATGGGCACACATCACATTTGCATTTCTCTCAGCCACAGACATTAAAATTCTCCCTGATAGCATTATAGAGCTTGTTTAGAGAATGTAAATGTTCTCTTGGCACTTATGTAAATTTTAATACGTTTAATAAACTTAATTCCCTCCTGCTGTGTTTGTAGCACAATATCCATTCTGAAGAACATTCTCCACAGAGAAGATGGAGAGCAAACGAGAGATATGGGCTTTCACCGTCTCTCCATTTTCTATCAACTCTCAAAAGTGGGCTTCAAAGTGGTCTATAGGTCTTCAACATTCACTCTTAGAGGAATAAAAGGATAGGCTGGAGGAAATACTTTCAAATCACATATCTGATAAGAAACTTATGTCCAGAATACAAAAGAACATTTGAAAGGCAATAGTAAAATAGCCCAATAAAAAGTAGGCAAAAGATTTGAGTAGACACTTTACCAAAGAAATAAATGGATGGAAATAAGCATATGAAATGATGCTCAACATCATTAATTAGCAAGGAAAGGCAAATTAGAGCCACATGAGATGTCAATGCACACTTATTAGAAAAGCTTAAAGAGAAAACTGTTCATATCCAGTGTGGGTGAGGCTGGAGAAGAACTTGACCTCTTACATTGTTGGTGGGAATGCCAATGGTTTGGTCACTTTAGGAAACAATTTGGCAGTTTCTTATAAAGTTAAATTTACACTTAGCATACAAACCTAGGAATGTCCCTCCCTAAGTATTTACCATAGGCAAATGAAAACTTACATTCCCACAAAAACCTGTATGGGGATGCTCACAGTGGCTTTATTTGTAATTGTCAACAACTGGAAATAGCCCAAATGTTTCCCAAATGTGATAAAGTCATACAATAGTGTAATACACAGCTACAAAAAGGACAAACTATTGATATATGCAATAACATGGATGTATCTCAGATGTATTATGCTAATGAAAACACCAGGTCTAAAAGGCTGAATACTGTCCCATGTAAATGACCTTCTTTCAAAGGAAAACTGTAGAGACAGAACAGGTAGGTGGCTGCCAGGGGCCGGCATGGGGAGTTTTTTTGGATGGTGGAACTGTTCTTTATCTTGACTGTGGTGCTAGTTACACATGATCATATGTGTTTGTCAACCCATAGAACTGTGTACTAAGAAGGGTGAATTTTACTGGATCTAAGCTAAACCTCAGTTTAAAAAATGAATATGTAATTTTTTGTTCTTGTTATCTAAATATGTTTTGTTTTTGCAAACAAAACCATTTTAGTTTTTCTAACATATTGTTAGCTCAGCCAAAAGATCTTTAATAATAGCTGGACATAACTTCAAGCCTGTCTTGGTCTGTTCAGGCTGCCGTAACAAAATACTCCTATAATTGGTGGCTTATAAACAATAGGAATTTATTTCTCCCAGTTCTGAAGGCTGGGAAGTCTAAGATCAAGGTGCTGACAGATTCTTGCTTCTCCATAGATGTGTCTTCTCTGTGTAACTTCACATAGTGGAAGGAGTCAGGAACCTCTCTGAGGTCTCTTCTATAAGAGGACTAATCCCATTCATAAGGTATCTGTCCTCATAACCTAATCATCTCCCAAAGGCCCCACCTCCTACCATCACCTTGGTGGTTAGGATTTCAACATACGAATGGGGGCGGGTGAATACATATTTAGTTCATTACAGACACTGACCATTCAGATCTCCCTTTCCAAACCCTTCTCTCAAGGATTTTTTTTTCATCATAGAGTTCTTTAGTGTATATCTGATTATAGCCCTCAGGATCACAGCCCCCTAAGAATCTTTGCTGTTTTTCCCATAGATTAATATAGCACAAACCTAAAGGCCAGATTTTTAAAAAAATTTTTTTCAAATACCCTTGAACCCTAGCCCCAGTTTAACATTTGGGAAGGGCTCTGCAATGATGAAATACACACATATTAAATATGTCTGGTATGATCACATATTCCTGGTATTTTATAGAATCGTGAGGTTTTAAAAACCACCACCAGTCCAGATCGGATTTTCCTTGTTTGTCAATGAATATGGCACGTGGGGTGGAAGCATAGAATCACAGAATGTTCAAGCTGGAAGACACTTAGAGTTCGTCTAGTCCCATTCTCTATTTTACAGAATCAAAAGCTTCGTTGCCTCTTGGCCATTATCTGGTAACTTCAGGCACTCTCTGATCTTGCATTCCTTGGGCTCCATCCAGACCCAGGTCCAAGATACGCTGTGCTCCTAGAGAAATGCATTCCACTTGGATAAAGCAAAACAAAACAAAAGCCCAGCCACCTATTCTACTAGCAGACAAGAGTATAAATATGCAATTCTGAGGGTGCATCAGCGATCAGCTATGCTGTGGTTCAGTAAAACGAGGCTTCTTTAAGTGGCCTTGGGTCTCCTCTAAGGTTATACATTTTGGGTTCCTTTAAGGTTTCTGGTGGTCTAATAGTAATGTCTTTAGATGATATATTTTATGTATTTATTTATTGAAATTTAACTGCAGTTCAGGCTGAATATCATCCTGGATGTTCAGAAGTCTGTTTTTTCTTTCTTTTCTTTTTTCTTTTTTTTTTTTTTAAAAAACCACCTACCTCCAAGCCTACTCTACATTGTTTGGTAAATTTCTGAGAAGGAAGTTCAAGGCTCTTTCAAAAAGGAAAACATAAAGTTAGGTTTTCTGCTGCTCTTGGCTTCTCAAGAATAAAGTCTGTGGCAAAAGTACAGAACCACCAAGGTTTGGAGTTGTCACTGCTGAGGATGGATGTGTGATATTTGAGGAGACAGTCTCAATGGGAGGAAAACAAGGCTACCCAGCTCAGTTGTTTATTTCCCTTTCTCTCAACCAATTTACTAAGAGAAGTGTCTGGATCCTCAGTATATTTGTCCTGTTGATTATTTTCCTTACAATGATGTTTCCAAAACATGATACTGTCACTTTTAATTTTCACCTCTCTCTTACCAGAGCCCTTCCACTCTATTCTGGGCACTAGCAAAGTCACTATCCCTGGGGCATAAACTTCTACTTGAATTGAATTGGCAACAGTTCAGGTATATGGAACCTCTGATTGTTGAGAAAATGTGTGCTTTTGTGTCATTCTCTCTAAAATCTTGTCCTTCTTGTGTCCAGAACATGGAAGAGCTATATTGTTAAAGTGACTTAGGTTTGCTGTTTTCCCTTTTTGTTTCCTTGCTTGAGAGTGTGGATACTGTTTGGACTGGAAGAACTCTCATTAGAGCTTGATTTGGGGGCTGGGCAGGGCTTGCTGGGGAAGCACTTATTTCCCTGTGAAGCTGGCCACCTTCCTGTTCAGAGTTCCCTTTTGGAATTTCTCTTTGACATACTCTTCTAACTTCTTCACTCCTGCTCTGGTTGGCAAGGCCCCATGAAATGTGAATATCCTGTGGGCTGCCCTTGTGTCTAGTCCTTGCCACTCTCTGCCACCCAGGTCCTATCAGGATCCAATCTCATGCCCCATAATAATGCTCCTTAGACGTGGTCTCATTTTCTTAGTTCTTCTGAAAGGACAGTTTAATCTGATAAGTAAATGTAAGGTAAGAAACTCTTGTAGATTTTAACAGCAGCCATCCAGAGACAGAGAATCTGCTATTGCTCTCTAAACTAACAGAGTATCTCCAAGAGGAAAATGGGGAGAGCTGGGGAGGGTATCCCACATTGAAGGAGCCTCCTTTGCCCACCCTGGCCTTGGGACTGCCCATAGCAGTTCCAGAACAGTGAAATTTAGACCTTGGGCTTGGGCTGCGTGTGGCTTTTTGTGTTCACTTGGGCCTCTAATGTCTGTATTTCATATCCCATTATCCTGAGCCTTGCAAGCATCAGCAGTTCTGTGGCTCTTCTGGTGAATGCTACTTGTGAATAAGCCTCTCAAATCACAAAATGGGAGGAACTTTCACTAAGGGAAAAAGCATGGGCAATATTTAGCCACTTCCCAAAGCCACTTGGAATATATGTTGATTTATTCTTAGGAAAAACAAGACTAGAACAAGAAGTTTATTGAACATTAAAATTATTTAAAAAGTTAATGAATAGCTGTTTATTAACATGCTTACCTCCTTCTTCACTTCTCCAAAAACAAAGGAGCGGTATTTATACCCCAGCAGGACTTGCTTGAATACAAGGAACGCCATCTAATGAAAATCCCATGCCGCAGGCTGAGCTGGAGGGAGCATCGTGAGTGGCTCAGACCCAGGCCTTCAAGGCAAGGGACAGACACCGTCTTACTTGGTTTGCGGTGGAATATCTGGAAAAAGCATTGGTTACATTTTTTGTAACCCTTGGCTAATGAGTCCCAGTCAGTGGAGGCTGAGCTAAACACCACACAGGCAGCAGACCATCAGCTCGCTTCTCATGAATGCAAAGAAGATGTCATGGAATCAGGTCTTATCTTTTCATGTAACCTGGCAGCTAATTTCTCCCTTAATTAGTTGTAACACCGTTTATGCAAAACAAAGGATTTTCTTATTTCCTTAAACAAAAATTGTGCTGGAATTCTAGAATTTATTTTCTAAGTATGTAATTAAGCACATTACAAAAAGACATAATTGCAGGTCAGAGATTTTCTAGTGGAGACTGTTACCCATGTTCTCAGGGTGTTGACAGGATACGCTTCATCTCCCTGGTCCTGCCCCCATGTTATAATAGCTAACAGTTTTTTGGTATTTTTAAGTTTGCAAAGAGTTTGGATATGCAGAATCTCATGTGGAGCTCCTTATTAGGATTAAAGGGGGAAGAAAAGAATCAGAGAGTAAAATTTTAGAATATTAATGCTTGGAGGCCTTTGGGGATCACTTAGTCTAGCATTTTCCAAATTGTAACCAGTAGAATACGAGTTCTAGAAAATGATATTTGAAAATAGAGTTCCAGCTGGGTGCGGTGGCTCATGCCTGTAATCCTAGCACTTTGGGAGGCCGAGGTGGGTGGATCACAAGGTCAGGAGTTTAAGATCAGCCTGGTAAACATGGTGAAACCCTGTCTCTATTAAAAATACAAAAATTAGCTGGGCATGGTGGCACGTGCCTGTAGTCCCAGCTACTTGGGAGGCTGAGGCAGGAGAATCACTGGAACCTGGGAGGCTGAGGTTGCAGTGAGCCAAGATCCCGCCACTGCACTCCAGCCTGGGTGAAAGAGTGAGACTTCATCTCAAAAAAAAAAAAAAAAAAAAAAGAAAAAAGAAAATAGGGTTCCAAAATGAAATGAGGTTGGGAAACCTGGGACACTGTTTCCCCTCCTGGAGATTTGCAGTTCATATTAACATATTATAGGCTTTGGGGATTCCCAAAATAAAAAAAAAAAAGTATTAAGTTTCTTTTAATGAAGCATTTCCTACTTTTATTTGATTATGCAGTATCTCCCCTCCCCTCATATATATATATATATTTAACATTTAAGGAAACCAAAGCCTTACAGTTACACGGTTAATTGGTGGCAAATCCTCGATTTCACAATTCTCGGGCTCCAGATTATTACATCACTTGCTAAGGTCTGTGAAGTACTCTGACTGTGACTCACAACCGAGGACTTGTGGAATAGTGACTGGGCCACGCGACTGCACTCTCTTAAGATTTTGGTTTGCCAAGTCATTCTGAATCTAATGATCTTTGGGTGATTCCCCAGACTGAGGAGGAAGCAACAGCAGCTGTGCATTGGGCCCACAGAAAGAATGGTTGAAGACTGCAGTGTATTTTGAGTTTCTGCTTTGGAGGGGAGGGTTGGTCCTGATGCCCACAGACGAATGGCCTCCTGGTTCCAATCAAGGCCAGCCCAAAGTAAGTCAGTGAAGAGGTGAAATGTGACTTCAGAAAAACTCTGCTCTTTTTTCATTTTACTATATAATCCTTGATATAAGTGTAACTACACTTTCACATCCTCAGTGCTTTTGATAAAAATTCTGCTCTGAGAGCTTTTATTCATATTACATTATAAGTGATTGATAACTACAGTTAAAGGTTAAAGTGTTTCCTATCCCACAGGGATTTCCATTCCACCCTAAACACTGTGCTAAAAAAAATAAAGCTCTAAGGGTGGGTCTCGAGGCGAGTGGTGAGGGAGAATTTTTTCCCCTACATGGGGACATAGGCTCTGAAAACCACATTGGATGGATACATATCCTTTTCATGCTTGAATAAAAAATATACATTTCTGGTCCAACCGAGTTTAATACACATCTTGACATTTTATTTTAATATTTCTAGTAAGATATCTTTTTTTTTGCAAGATGGAGTAGCCTTATTGAGTCCCTAGGGTACAATGTCACTTGATTCTTCACACATGAAGAATGTGGTTTCATTTTCTCAGTTCTCTGATAAGTAAATGTAAGGGTTCTCTCTCTTCTTTGAGGAGATAGGAGAACATGCTCAGTGCTGCATAGTACTATAGACTCATTAATTCCTTGACAGTGAGTAGCTGTCATATTCCAGACCTGGGGAAAGAGAGACACCTAGGTCATGGCTTCTGTCCTCAAAGAGATTACCTTCAAGAGGAAGCATTCATAAATTTATATAAACAGATAATAATAATTTGATAATTTCTATAATGGAGATCTATCCCAAGAATGTGGGAATAAATCTTCATGTTAAAATGTTTTGAGTTCTTTGACAAAGTCAAATCTGTCTGAAAAGTACTTTAATAGAACACAAATTTTATGCTAATTTTCAGGCCTTAAATCTAGGCCAAAGTCATGGGTAGTGCTTAACACATAAATAAGTTTCCTGTATGATGTGTGTGTGAGGTGAAAACCTTTTCACCCTTAACCTACTCCCCTCACTGCCATCATAAATGGTACAAGCTTTTAAGGTGACATTTGTGTTTAGTGTGGTCTGAAGGCCTTTGTTATTGGAGACAGGCAGCACACTAAGTTAGGGAAAACCTTGGATTTAAAAAATATTAAGAATTACTTGGACAGCCAGCAAATTCCTTAGTAACTTGCAATAGAAAAGAAAGGCTTAAAAAAAAAGAAAAAAAGGAAAATGTGGTCTTTAGGCCTTGACATCTCAATTAGCTTTTTCTAAAGCTAATCCACCCAACTAAGTTTACAACATATTGGTTAGGCACATCATCAGGAATTGAGATGGCAGGAATCATCTAAACTTGCTTAATCAGGGCCTTGTTGAATATCCCAGCAATGCAAAACCCTAGATGGCGGATGCAGGTGGTAACCAGTGTCCCTAGGAGTTGTGCAATGTGGAGACAGTATCCTGTCTATGAATGTCTTTGTTTACTCTGTGTCCCTCTTTTCTTACATCTGCCACATGTGAACTCATAGGGCATGAGTTCAAACAGTTGAATTCCAGAGCTATAAATGACGTGGATTCCCTCTGGGAAGCAGTATTGGAACAGTTTAACACCCAGTTTTTGAAACTGACATGTTTAGGTTTAAACCATGGCTCTGCCCTTTACTAGCTTGTGTGACCTATGAAATGGGGAGATTTATAACACTAACTTGTAATGAGATCATCTAGGCTAACCACTTAGCACCTGGCACAGTATAAATATACAAATACATGTTAATTGTTATTATAACCTTATCTCCTATCCCTCCATTTAAAAAGCAGCTTGGGACTCAGTAATGTGAAAAGATTTGTCTTACGTCTTTTGTGGCTAGTCAGTAACAGTCAGAATTAATTTAGTGTTGGCCTTAATTGAGCCATGTGATTTGCTCAATAGAATTTTATATTTTAAGCCACCTTTGAACAACCATATAGTAAGGGTCCATTTGATCTTTCTCCTTCAACTACTTTTCACACTTACACCATGACATTCTTTTTGCAAACATTTCAGTAGTTTTGGTATTGGGCTTTGAATTGGTAGCCTTAATATTCTGTTTTTCAAAGTCTGTTTTCTGTAAAGCTAAACCCACAGTGGACTGTGCTATTACTCTGCCCAGATTCCCTCAAATCCCTTTTACTGTTTATGTCTGTGAGCTTCCCCTCTTTTGTTTGTTTGATTTTCTCCTAACAGTCCTCACTTGCAACTCTTCTGGAGCTGTGCAGACAGCCAGAAGTGTCCGGGATTTTGTGTTCCCCGATCACTCCACTCCATTCCCCTAAGCCCTTAGCCCATGAGTGTATCTTCAGGAATATGAAGGCCCAGCCCCTGTGCTACTGGTCAGGACAAACTCTAAAGTGTGGCTTATATTCCAGATTCCCTTTGGGGATCAGGCTGAAGCTAGGACTTTGCCTGAAATCCCGCCTTTGCTTGGCTGCTTTTCCTTCCCTGTCCCAATTTCCTGGTTAGGAGTGAATCACTCCCACATTTGTTCACATTTTATCTCTTTATTATTTTTTTTTGTTCCATCAGAGTCTGCTTCTGGAACCCAAACCTAAGGGACTCAGCTATGTTTGTGTTGACCTACTATCAATAAAGAAGATCCTTATTTAAGAACAGGCCACCTTCTGTTTTACACATATACTTTCTGACCCTAGAAATTGTTCAGAAGGTGGAATGTTTTGCTGTTTCAATGAGATCACATGTGTAAAGGCTCTTTGTACACTGCAGGAGCTATAGAAATGTGAGTTATGATTGCTCAAATTTCATTCCCTTTGCTCTAATTTTGAGTTAGGGGAGAGAAAGCCGGCCTGTAAAGTACATATCACAGTTTCTCTTTCTCAGCTTTCAACTGCATGGGAGTTTGTATTTCTGTTTCTACTACTCCATTTCCTCTGCTGATACCCTGCCAGGGAGGTGAATGTATCAAGTCAGGAAGTAGACTTCTCAGAATAAAGAATGCAGAATTAGAATGTTTAGTGCACCCAAGGTTAGGTGTAGAGTGTGTCATATGAAAGTAATAGGTATACTTTTTTCATAGCATTTAATATGCCTTTATCCTTAAATTTTTAATAGGTTTTGATATATCAAAGTATATAAAAGTATACACTTTATTATAATTGTCAACTGTATTTTTGTAGTTTTCTTCTCTCACTTTTCAGAGAGGGGAGAATTTAGCCCTTACTGTGAAAACAAATACACAAGGAAGAAACAAGCTTATTACAAACAAGAATGTTCCTCTATTACATGTACTGATCTAAAAACCTTAGTCTAGTTACTCCTCCTGAAGCTCATGTTTAATATTTGGAATAGAAAATACTTTTCTATTAAAAAATCCAGAAGAAATTAAGATATTGATTTTTCCCCATAAGATCTCTGTTGTGGTGACTGCAGTGACTGTAATATCTTCTGTCGTTGCATTTGTAATGGCTTCATCAAGAATGAGATTGCCTCCCAAAGGGTGGGTTAGAAGTTTCCCATCTGCAGGCATTGCTTGGCCAGCATCTATCCTCTATTTCCACAACCCACCATGTTTTTTGGAATAATATGGGTGCTCTTAGTAACTCATGCAAGGGTGGTCATTTTGCTTCTGTATGATATTGATTCTATAACTTGCAACCAGTGGCAGAGCTCAGTGGAGGACTTTCCACCTTCCACCCACCCTGCTCTTTTCTGGCCACAGCCAAGAGCTCCAGATTACAGAGATTCTGACTGGTGAATTTGGAAGTAATCACTTCATTTCCCAGGAGGTCCAATTCAGGATATACCTCTAGTTTAGAGTTGGTTGCGAGAGTTATGCAAACCAACAATAAAACTGGGAGACTCCAGACGCCATTGCCCTCAAGGCCTTGGGCACAGCCCAGGGAGTGCCTGGCTGTGTGGACTTGGAGCCAAGGGCCCTGGGACTGCATGCGACACCACTACTCAACACACAAGAGATTCCCAGCTTAGCACAAAATAGGTTTTTGTTTGATTCCTTCCCAGTGTTTACCTAATTTAAACTCTGTACTCTAATTTGAACAATTGTTATGTTTGCTCTCAATAAATCAAAATGAGATGTTCTGAATAATCCATTTGGTACCAATGGAAAAAAAAACCCACTGTTGAAATGTATGATTGTTATTTTGGTGAAAACATGAAGAATAAAATTATTCTATTTATGACAACCCTGACTGTGGTTCTCTTTTCTCTCATTTCGAACTTATAATTTTGGCTTTAAAATTCCAGATGAGTTTCCTGCCAAAATGTACAGTCTCTGTTTGTGCCTGAATATCTCAAAATATTTTTTTCGTATAAAGGAGAATTCCCTTATTCCATCCAAAGGATTATAAGACCTCAGTGTGTATGTTGCTGCTGAGCTCAAGATCCTTAAAAGCCAGTTTTGGTTTGCTGCGACTTATCGGAGGTTTTTCACTACGTCCAACTCCACCCTTATTTTGTACATATTCTTAGAAGTGAATGTTTTAGAAGAGTGCAAACGCCATGAACACTCCTTGGATGGGGTTGTCTCTCAGCCCCTGGGCATCTTGAAATACTCAAGACTGCTTTTGCTTGCATGAGCAGGTTTTATTGGATTAGGTTCTGATTTCTTGATGAAGGACCTCATCTGCATTGTATTTGCCATAAGCAATGCAATTGATACCAACTGGGCACATCCACAGACTGTAGGCCATGTGATATTGGCCTTTAGGTAAGTCAGAATTGAAATATTACATTTTTCCACTGAGGCATACCTGACTGAGCTCTTGGCACAGAGCTCAACTTATCAATTAGAGAGAAAGATGGTGACCAGGGAACTCCAATCATTTGTGGACCATTGTGGGCAACATGAAGCCAGGAATCAAAATGCAGCCGTTTCATCTTTGTTCACATTTTATCACACACGTTTACAGGAAATTTGTAAGATGCTTCATCTAATGCTCCAAAACCACATACACTTGCCTCTTCTGCTGGATGGGATGGGATTCAGAGAAGGGAGGGGCTTGTACACTTCTGGCTCCATCTTCTTCTCCATAGTTTTATCATAGATCTGGATAAGAAAGCCAGCTGTCAGTAAGCCTTTCCTCATACTTAGCAACACTGTTGTAGCTAACAGCACAGCACAGCTAACACAGCACAGCACAGCTAACAATACCATTGTAGCTTCAACAGCACAGTACACTCTTTCTCTGCTTAGTGAGGTGTTGAGGGCGGCAGAGAATAAAGATAGAAACATGTCCTTGGAGACAGGAAACTTATTATCTAGTTGGAGCGAGTCCTCATATGACCTCTCGGCACTACAGTTTCCCTTGAGTAAAATGAAAGTACTGGACACCCTCACGCAGGAGGCAGGATGGAGAGTGGAGAAAGATAGACTCACCTGGATTCACATTCTGGTTCTACTGTTTGTTTCCAGCTCTTAGACCTCGGGCCACTTTCCCAGTTTCTCTAAAATGAGGCAAATAATATGTAACTTATAAAGATAGTAGGATCAGAGGTAGTATTTACAGAACATCTAATTTTTCCTAGGAACTTAAAAAGCAGTAGCTATTATTATCATTACCTATTTCAGTGTGTGTGTTAGAAACTTTGTGCATCCAAAGAGCATCATCTACTCATTTTCTGAGTGCCTATCTTTTGATTACCTTATGTTTCTTTTCCAGCAATATCTCCTGTTATCTTTAGGGAGATGTGTAGGCACAAATGAACCTAAATGCAATTCTTTTGCCTCACTATTATTTGGAGTTTAGTTCTGCCAATATTTTTTGAACTTAAGTTATGTTTATTAAGTCTATTTTGTGCCAGGCAGTGTGTGCCATGTGCTGGGAATACAAGAATGACTGGGTGTCTCTGTCTGCCAAGTGCTATTAATTCTGGCGAAAGAGAAGAGAGAGAAAGAAACAGAATATTTCAATGCAATTTGATCAGTGCTATGCACAGGGTGTGGCAGACACTGTTGGTTTCCTCCCCAGTAATAGTTCCGTCTTCTTTGTAGTTGATAGAACTCTGATTTTTTTCTGACTGACAGGGTGTCCAGTTAGGTTCTCACATCCTTAGGCTCCCTTTATGCTAGGTGTGGCTGTGTGATGGAGATCTGACCAGTAGGGCACATGCAGAGGTCTGATGGAGATTCTGATACAATTGCAGTCCTGATAATTTGGGATTAACACAGGGGACTCTGCCCTTCTACTTTTTTCCTATCTTCAACATGAGCATAGTGCCCACTGATGCAGCAGCCATCTTGTGATTATGAGAGAGACAAGCCTGAGGGAAAGTGAGAGAATTCCAGAGATACTAGCCCTGATGCCACTGAGCTACTGAACCAATGCCAGCTGCTATCTAGATCCAAAATCTTGTTATGTGAGAAAAATACACTTGTATTTGTTTGAGCGACTGTGAAGCAAGATTTCTGCTACTTGCAACCAAAGACATCCCTAAATGTCTACAGGCATAAGGAAGAAAAAGTCATATTTCTTGTAAAATACAAAGTAGCTTGGAGGAAGCAGCCACTTTAGCCAGAACATCTGCCCTCTGGTGGATGAAGAGTGCTGGGCAAATGGCCTCTCCTTTGGCAATGAGGAATTTCTTATCCATCGTGTACTGTTTAAAACACTTCTCAGGCTGTAATTGATAGAGTCAAAAAAAAAAAAAAAAAAAAAACCTTGTAGGAACCTGCCTCCTGAGAGACTTCTGTCTAATTGGAGACATGTTCCTGTACAATCTTTAATGCAATTAGTCACAATATCACCTGAGTGACCCCTTGTGCTGAGGGACCTCACGGTTCCCTCTGACTTAGATCACGCCAGAGCCATCTACGGTCCACGTTTCAGGTTAAACCCTTTCTGCATTTTCCAGAAGTAGGGCCTTGGAAACCCTGACCATGGCCGGATTCACAGACATGCAGCTGCCAAGACTAACAGACTGGTAGACAGTCTTTTCGCTGCCCTCACAAACTCCCAAAGAGATACCTATTTTTTCCAGTAATTCACTTTTCTCTCTCTCTCTCTCTCTCTCTCTGTCTCGCCCTTTTATTTTTCAGGCACAAGTTGAGAGTCTCACAGATGGCTTTGGGGAAAATAACTGCTTGTTCTCAAACATGCTGTTGGGAGACACATTCCTCTCCCTCCCTCCCTCCCTCCTGCACAGTTCCTGGCCTGCCTCAGTCCTGTCTCCAGGAGATCATGATGCTGCAGCCTCATTCTGCAAGTCCCCATACCTTCCAGCAGTCTTGCTGGCGGTCTGGGCTGCTGGCATTTATATTTTTCTTCTAAGTAGCTTGGCACATAGGAGGCTTTGCCTCTCTGTTTTGAGCCTGGCTTTTAATTGTTGGGCTGAAGGGAACATTTAGCTTTGTGCCCACAAACACTCAGACTTCAGGGAGCCCTTCCATCTCTTCCTCCCATGCCTACCTGTAATTGCTGAGGTGTGGCTCAGGGTGCAAAACAAACAACCACAGAGTGAGCTGGTTTGAATTAGAGCCTCATTTGTGAGGAGGTGAGACAGGATCAGCTGGGCATCCATAGGTTGTGAGTTGGCATTGAGGGCTGGAAAAGAAGCCTTAGGGGCCCGTGAGAATGCTGTAGCTATGATCCAAAGTAAGGACAAGCACAGTGTGAGTTCCCAGGTTTAGTTTTGGTGAATTCCAGGCAGGTGAGGAGACCAGGAACTGTAAGCAAACACTTAGAGAAAGTGAATTCAGACGTCACCAGTGACAATAACCATTGGCATAAAAGGCAAGTGGCAGCTGACATTTAGAAGAGACAAGGTATGTGTTAAAGTATGGTCTTGTCTGAGTTTTCAAAGGCCCTGAAATAAGTAAAACTGCCCCTAACTAACACTCATTCCTGCCTCTGCCTTAAACTTTCTTTATGTAAACTTCTGAGTCTTGGTTTCTTCACCTGTAACTTAGGTGAAGTATGTAAGTTCTTCTCACAGGATTGTTTTGAAACTTACATAAATTGACATTTTCAAAAGAACTTTATAATCTGTATTATTCCTCACAAGTTAATTTTTTAATTTCTTTTATAATTTTTAATGATTTTTATTAAGGTATAGTTGACATAAAATGTGTATATATTTACACTATACAACATGATGTTTTGATGTGTGTATACATTGTGAAATGATTAGCTTAGTAACACATCTGTAACCTCACATGCTTATCATTTTTGTTGTGAGAACATTTATCTACTCTCTTGGCAATATTCAAGTCTACAATGCATTATTATCAACTACAGTCATCATGCCCTATAATACATCTCTAGAAATTATTTATCCTGCTTAACTGAAGTTTTGTATTCTTTGACCAACATCTCTCCATCCCTCTACCTTCTTCCCCCTGAAAAATCACCACTCTACTCTCTGCATTAATAAGTTCACAACTTTTTTAGATTCCATGTGTAAGTGAGCTCATGCAGTATTTGTTTTTCTGTTCCTGGCTTATTCTACTTAGCATAATGCCTTTTAGGTTTATCTGTGTATTTCCCGCTTTTTAAAGACTCAATGGTATTCCATTGTGTGTGTGTGTGTGTATGTGTGTGTGTGTATCACATTTTCTTTATCCATTCATCTGTAGATTAACACACATGGTTCGATTCCATGTCTTGGCCATTGCGTGTGTGTGTGTGTGTGTGTGTGTGTATCACTTTTTTTTATTCATTCATCTGTAGATTAACACACATAGGTTGATTCCATGTCTTGGTTATGGGGAATATATATACACATACCCAAAAGTGGGGTTGCTGAATCACATGGTAGTTCAGTTTTTATTTTTTTGAGGAATGTTAATATTGTTTTCCCTAATGACTTAATTTACATTCCCACCAACAAGTGTGCAAGGGTTCCTCTATCTTTGCATCCTTGTTAATGCTTATATTTTGTCTTTTTTGGTAGCAGCCATTCTAAGAGGCGTGAGGTGATATCTCACTGTACTTTTGATGAGTGATGTTGAGGATTTTAAAAATATAACTGTTGGCCATTTCTACGTCTTCTTTTGAGAAATGTTTATTCAAGTCCTTTGCCTATTTTTTAACCTTATCATTTTCTTGCTATTGAATTGTTTGAGTTCCTTATAAATTTTGGAAATTAATCCCTGATCAGAAGAATGCTGTGCAAATATTTTCTTCCATTTCATGGGCTGCCTTTTCACTCTGTAGATTGTCTCCTTTGCTGTAAAGAAGCTTTTTAGTTGAATAAAATCCCTTTTGTCTATTTTTGCTTTTGCTGCCTGAGCTTTTGAAGTCATACCCAAAAATATCATTGCCCAGACCAATGTCACGGTGATTTCCCCCTATGTTGTCTTCTAATAGTTTTACAGTTTCAGGTCTTATGTTTAAGTCTTTAATCCATTTTGAGTTGATTTTTGTACATGGCATGAGATGAGGGTCCAATTTCAATTTTTTTTTGCTTGTGGATATTTAGTGTTCCCAACACCATTTATTGAAGAGATTGTTCTTTCTTCATTGCATGTTCCTGGCACCTTGTCAAAGATCAGTTAACTGTAATTGTGTAGATTTATTTCTGGCTTTGCCATTCAATTAAATTGTTTCATGTACCTCTTTTTATTCCAGTACCATGCTGCTTTGATTATTATAGCTTTGAAGTATTTTTTAAAACCAGGTAGTGTGATGTTTCCAGATTTGCTCTTTTTGCTCCAGACTGCCTTGGTTATGCAGAGTCTCTTGTGATTCCATATAAAGGATTGTTTTCTGTTTCTGTGAAAAATGTTATTGGAATTTTGATTGCATTGAATCTGGATCACTTTGGGTAGTATGAACATTTTAACAATATGAATTCCTCCAATTCATGAATTTGGGATACCTTTCCATTTTTTTTGTCTTCAATTTTATCAATGTTTTATGGTCTTCAGTGTACAGGTATTTTACCTCTATTTCTACATATTTTACACATATTTTAAAGCTATTGTAAATGGAATTGTTTTCTTAAATTATTTTGCAAATGGTTTGTTGTTAATGTATACAAATCTACTGACTTTTGTATGTTGATTTAGTATCCTTCGCCTTTACTGAATTTATCAGTTCTGAAAGTTTTTGGATGGAGTCTTTGGAATTTTCCATATATAAGATTACATCATCTGCAAACAGAGACAATTTTACTTTTTTCTTGTCCAATTTGGATGGCTTGTGTTTATTTTTTTAAATATAATTGTGGTAACTAGCACTACCATACTATATTGAATAGAAGTGATGAGAGTGGGCATCCATCTTGTTCCTGATTTTAGAATAAAAGCTTTCTGCTTTTCACCATTTAGTATAATGTTAAATGTGGGCTTGTTATAAATGGCTCTTATTATGTGGAGGTATATTCCTTCTATACCTAATTCGTTGAAGAGTTTTTATAGTGAAAAGATGTTGAATTTTATCAAATGCTTTCTCTACATCTCTTGGGATGAGCATATGATTTTTATCATTCGTTTTATCAATGTAGTGTGTTACATTTATTGAGTTGCATATGTTGAGCTATCTTTGCATCCCCCCCAAACAAAATATACATTTCATTTAATCATGATATGTAATCCTTTTTATGGGCTATTAAATTCAGTTTGCCAGTGTTTTTTAAGGATTTTTGCATATATCTTTATCTGAAACATTGACCTGTAATTTTCTTTTCTTATAATGTCTTTGTCTGGCTTTGATATCAGAGTAATGCTAGACTTGTAAGATGAGTTTGGAAGTGTTCTCACCACTTCAATATTTTAGAAGAGTTTGAGAAGGATTGGCATGAATTCTTTTTTAAATGTTTGGTAGAAATTACCAGGGAAGCCATCAATCACTGAACTTTTCGTTGGGAGGTTTTTGATTACTGATTTAGTCTCTTTACTTGTTATTGGTCTGTTCAGATTTTCTATTTCTTTATGACTCAGCCTTAGTGGGTTGTATGTTTCTAGGAATTTATCCATTTTTCTGGGTTATCCAATTTGTTGATGTATAATTGTTCAGAGTAGTCTTATAATTTTTTTTTGTAGCATCAGTTGTAATGTATCCTAATTTATATGTAATTTTAATTATATGTGTCTTCTCTCTTTTTTCCTTAGGTTTGTCAGTTTTGTTTATTTTGCCAAAATATTAACTCTTCAGTCTCCTTGATATTTTTTATTGTTTTCCTAGTCTCTGTTTTGCTAATAATAATTTTTATTATTTCCATCTTTCTGATGACTTTGGGCTTAGATTGTTTTTCTTTTTCTAGTTCCTTGAGGTATAAAGTTAGGTTGCTTATTTGAGATCTTTATTCTTTTTTTTTTTTGACAGAGTCTCGCTCTGTCGCCCAGGCTGAGTGCAACGGCGCGATCTCGGCTCACACCAAGCTCCGCCTCCCGGGTTCATGCCATTCTCCTGCCTCAGCCTCCCGAGTAGCTGGAACTACAGGCGCCTTCCACCACGCCTGGCTAATTTTTTGTATTTTTAGTAGAGACAGGGTTTCACTGTGTTAGCCAGGATGGTCTGGATCTTCTGACCTCGTGATCCGCCCACCTCGGCCTCCCAAAGTGTTGGGATTACAGGCGTGAGCCACTGCGCCCGGCCTATTCTTTCTTAATGTAGGAACTTATGGCTATAAATTTCCGTCTTAAAAGTGATTTTTGTTGTGTCTCATAAGTCTTGGTATATTGTGTTTCCATTTTTCTTTGTCTCAACATATCTTTTGATTTCCGTTTTGATTTCTTCTTTAACCCATTGGCTCTTCCAAAGTGTGTTGTTTAATTTCCACATATTTGTGTATTTCTAATTTTTCTTTCTGTTACTTATTTCTAGTTTAACAGCATTGTGGTCAGAAGAGATACTTGCTATGATTCGAATCTTCTTGAATTTGTTAAGACTTCTTCTGTGGCCTAAAATAATCTATGCTAGAGAATGTTCTGAGTGCAATTGAAAAGAACGTATATTGTACTGCTTTTAAAAGGAATGTTCTGTATATGTCTTTTAAATTTTTAAAATTTTTGTGGGTACATAGTAGTATGTATATTTACAGGGTACATGAGATGTTTTGATACAGGCAAGCAATATGAAATAAGCACATCATGAAGAATGCATATCCATTCCCTCAAGCATTTATCCACTGAGTTGCAAACAATCCAATTACTGACTTTAAGTTATTTTAAAATACACAGTTATTATGGACTATAGTCACCCTGTTGTGCTATCAAATTCATTCATTCTTATTCAGTCTCATTCATTCTTTCTATTTTTTTGTACCTATTAACCATCCCTACCTACTCTCCAGCCCCCCAAACCTTTCATAGCCTTTAGTAACCATCCTTCTACTCTATGTGTTCATGAGTTCATTTTTTTTTTATTTTTAGATCTCACAAATAAGTGAGAACACGCAATGTTTGTCTTTCTGTGCTTGGTTTATTTCTCTAAACATAATGAGCTCCAGTTTCATCTGTGTTGCAAATGACTGCATCTCATTCTTTCTTATGTCTGAATAGTACTTCATTGTATATATGTACCACATTTTCTTTATCTACTTGTTAACGGACACTTAGCTTGCTTCCAAATCTTAGCTATTTGTAATAGCTTCCAAATCTTAGCTTTACTGCACTCCTAAACAAACATAGGAGTGCAGACATCTCTTTGATATACTGATTTCCTATATTTTGGGTATACAACCAGCAGCGTGATTGCTGAATCACATGGTAGCTCAATTTTTAGTGTTTTAAGAAGCCTCCAAACTCTTCTCCACAATTGTTGTACTAATTTACATCCCCACCAACAGTGTACAAGGTTTCCCTCTTCTCCACATCCTCCCCAGCATTTGTTATTGCCTATGTTTTGAATATAAGCTCTTTTAACTGGGTGAGATGATATCCCATCGTAGCTTTGATTTTCATTTCTCTGATGGTCAGTGATGTTGAGCACCTTTTCATAAGTGTGATTTCCATTTGTTTGTTTTCTTTTGAAAAAATGTCTACTTAATTTTTTTTCCCATTTTTTGATCGAATTATTAGATATTTTCCTGCAGAGATGTTTGATCTCCTTATATATTCTGGTTATTAATCCCTTATCAGATGAGTAGTTTCCAAATATTTTCTCCAATTCTTGGATTGCCTCTTCACTTTGTTGATTGTATCCTTTGCTATGCAGCAGCTTTTTGATGTGATCCCATTTGTCCGTGTTTGCTTTGGTTGCCTGTGCTTGTGGGGTATTGCTCAAGAAATTTTCACCCACACCAATGTCCTGGAGATTTTTCTCCATCATTTTCTTGTAGGAATTTCATGGTTTGATGCCTTAGACTTAAATCTTTAATCCATTTTGATTTGATTTTTGTATATGGCAAGAGACAGGGCTCTGGTTTCATTCTTCTGCATATGGATATTCAGTTTTCCCAGTATCATTTATTGAAGACATTTTCTTTTCCCCAGTGTATGTTCTTGATACCTTTGTCAAAAATGAGTTCACTGTAGGTGTATGGATTTGATTCTGGTTTCTCTATTCTGTTCCCATTGGTCTATGTGTCTGTTTTGTGCTAGTACCATGTTGTTGGGTTACTATAGCTCTGTAGTATAAATTGAAGTTAGTTATATAGTTTGCCTTTGTCCCCACCCAAATCTCATGTTAAATTGTAGTTCCCATAATCCCCATGTGTCATGGGATGGACGTGGTGGAGGTAATTGAATCATGAGGGCACTTACCCTCATGCTGTCCTTGTGATACTGAGTGAGTTCTCATGAGATCTGATGGTTTTATAAGGGGCTTTTTCCCCCTTGGCTTATACTTCTCCTTGCTGCTGCCATGTGAAGAAGGCCATGTTTGCTTCCCCTTTTGCAATGATTGTAAGTTTTCTGAGGCCTCCCCAGCCATGGTGAACTGTGAGTCAATTAAACTTCTTTCCTTTATAAATTACCCAGTCTTGAATATATCTTTATTCGCAGTGTGGGCATGGATTGATAAAGTCAGGTAATGTGTTTCCTCCAGTTTTGTTCTTTTTGCTTAGGATAGCCTTGGCTATTCTGGGTCTTTTGTGGTTCCATATAAATTTTAGTTTTTTTTTAATTTCTATGAAGAATGTCATTGGTATTTTGATAGAGATTCCATAGGATAGTATGGGCATTATAACAATACTGATTCTTCCAATCCATGAATATGGAATACTCTCCCATTTTTTGGGTCCTCTTCAATTTCTTTTAACAGTGTTTTATAGTTTTCATTATAGACATCTTTTATTTCTTTGGTTAAGTTAATTTCTAGGTATTTAATTTTATTTGTGGCCATTGTAAATGGAATTAGGTTTTTATGTCTTTTTCACATTGTTGACTGTTGGTATATAGAAATGCTACTGATTTTTATGTTGATTTGTATCCTACAACTTTACTGAATTTAGTTATCTGTTCAAATGGTTTTCTTGTGGAGTCTTTAGGTTTTTCCAAATATAAGATTATATCATTGGCAAACAAGGATAATATGAATTATTCCTTTCCAATTTGGATGTCTTTATATTTTTCTCTACTCTGATTACTCTAACTAGGGCTTCCAGTACTATGCTAAATAACAGTGGTGACAGTGGGCATCTTTGTCATGTTCCTGATGTTAGAGAAAAAGCTTTCAGTTTTTCTCCATTCAGTATGATACTAGCTGTGGGTCTGTCATATATGGCCTTTATTATGTTGATGTATGTTATTCAATTCCAAGTTTTTTTTAGGGTTTTTAAAATAAAGGGATGTTAAATCTTATCAAATGCTTTTTAGCATCAACTGAAATGATCATATGGTTTTTAATCCTTCTTTCTGTGAATATGAGGCATCACATTGATTGATTTGCTTATGTTGAATCATCCTTACATCCCAGGGATATATCTCACGTGGTTGTGATGAATACTCTTTCTAAAGTATTGTTCAATTCAGGTTTGCTAGTATTTTGTTGAGGATTTTTTTGCATCAATATTAATCAGAAATATCGACCCATAGTTGTCCTTTTTGATGTGTCTTTGTCTCGTTTTGGTATCAGGGTAAAACTGCCATCATAGAATGAGTTCAGAAGTATCCCTCCTCTCTGTTTTTCACAATAGTTTGAGTATAATTGGTATGAGTTCTTCTTTAAATGTTTAGTAGAATTCATCAGTGAAGCCATCAGGTCCCAGGCTTTTCTTTACTAGAAGACTTTTTATTACAGCTTCAATCTCATTACTTGTCATTGGTTTGTTCAGGTTTTGGATTTTTTTCCTGGTTCAAGCTTGTTATATTGCATATATCTAGGAATTCATACTTTTTTTTCTAGATTTCCTAATTTATTGGCATATAGTTGCTCATAACAGTCACTAATGATCATTTGAATTTCTGTAGTATCTGTTGTAATGTTTCCTTTCTCATCTGTGATTTTATTTATTTGGATCTTCTCCCTTTTCTCTTAGTCTGGCTAAAAGTTTGTCAATTATGTTTACCTTTTCAAAAATTCAACTTTTTGTTTTATTGATCTTTGGTATTTTTAATTTCAGTTTCATTTGTTTCTGCTTTATTATTATTATTTTTCTTCTACTAATTTTAGGTGTGGTTTGCTCTTTCTTTTCTAGTTTTATATGATATGTTGTTAGATTGTTTATTTGGAGTGTTTCTTCTTTTTCTATGTAGACATTTATAGCTATAATATTTCCTCTTAGTATTGTTTTTGCTCTATCCCATAGGTTTTGGTGTGTTGTGCTTCCATTATCATTTGTTTAAAAATATTTTTCAATTTCCTTCTTAATTTCTTTATTGACCCACTGGTCATTCAGAAGCATATTGTTTAATTTCCGTGTATTTGTATAGCTTCCAAAATTACTCTTGTTATTAATTGTTAGTTTTATTTCATTTTGGTCAGATAAGATGCTTGATATTATGTCAATTTTTTAAATGTTTTCAAACTTGTTTTATGACCTAATGTGTGATCTATCCTTGAGAATGATACATATGCTAGGGAAAATAATGTATTCTGCAGGTCTTGGATGAAATATTCTGTAAATATCTATTAGATCCATTTGGTCTATGGTGCAGATTAAGCCTGATGTTTCTTTGTTGATTTTCTATCTAGAAGATCTGTTCAATGCTGAAAGTGAGGTATTGAAGTCTCCAGTTATTATAGAGTTGAGGTCTATCTCTCTCTTTAGCTCTAATATTTCCTTTATATATCTGGGTACTCCAGTGTTGGGTGCATGTATATTTAACATTGTTATATCTCCTTGCTGAATTGACCCCTTTATTATTGTATAGCAAGACTTTTTGTCTCTTCCTATAGTTTTTGTCCTGAAATCTATTTTCTCTGGTATAAGTATAGCTGAATTTGGTCTTGTTTTCTTTTCTGTTCTAACAGAACGGCACTGAGGTCCATGCCTCACAATTGCTCTGTTCTTCCTCCTCAGAACCCAGAGATACTCTCTGAACCACAGCACCACTGTTGGGGGTTAGGGAGGGGTGGTATTGGTGTTTCAGAACAGTTTTTTCTATCTCTTCAGTGCCTCTTTCAGCAATATGAAGTTCAAACCAGGTACTATGAGTGCTCACCTGACTTTTGGTTCTTATGAAGGTGTTTTTTTTTTTTTTTTTTCTGTGTAGATTGTTGTTAACTTTATGTCCTTGCAGGGCAGGTGGGAGGGGGAAGGGACAATCAGTGGAGCTTTCTATTCCACCATCTTGCTCTGCATCTCTTCCCGTATATATCTTATATGTCCATTGGTCATCCGTTATTCAAGTTTGCTGTTTCCTTATTGATTTTCTGTCTGGATGATCTATCCATTGTTGAATATGGGATATTAAAGCTCCCTGCCATTATTGTATTTTTGTCTATTCCTTCTTTTAGTTCTGTCAATATTTGCTTTATATATTTAGGTGCTTCAATGTTGGGTGCATATATATTTACATTTGTTATATCCTCTTGATGAATTGACCCTTTTATCATTATATGATAACTTTCTTTGTTTTGTTTTACACTTTTTGACTCAATGTCTATTTTTTTCTGGTATAAGAATAGGTACCTTTGCCTTTTTTGGTTTCTATTTTTATGGATTATTATTTTCCATCTCTTACCTTTTAGTAGATATGTGAAAGCTGAAGTGAGCCTCTTGTACACAGCATGTAGTCAGATCTTCTTTCTGTATCCATTCAACCATGCTATGTCTTTTGATTGGAAAATTTAATACATTTACAATTAGTGTGATCATTCATAGCTAAGGACTTAGGATGCCATTTTGTTGTTTTCTGATTTTATTGTTCTTCCTTTCTTGCTGTCTTCTTTTGTGATTTAATTATTTTCTGAAGTAGGGAGCTTTGATCTTTTGTGAACCTAGTACAGGACTTTTCTTTGTGGATACCATGAGGCTAACACTTTATAACATCCAATTTTAAGCTGATAATAAGTTAATTTTGATCCCATAGAAAACACTGCACTGTTACTTCTTATCCCCACATTTTATGTTATTAATATCAACATGTACATATTTTATATATTGTGTATCCATTAAGAAAGTATCATCATCATTTTAATACTATTGTCTTTTAACTTTTATTCTAGAGTCAGAAGTGATTTATGCACTATCATTAAAGTATTCTGAATTTTACCATATTCTTGCCTTTACAATGAGTTTTCTAGTTTCATATGTTTTCATGTTTCTAGTCAGTATACTTTCATGTCAACTCAAAGAACTTCCTGTAGCATTCTTGAAGACAGTTTTAGCAGTGATAAACTCCCACAGCTTTTGTTTGTCTGGGAAAGTCCTTATCTCTCCTTCATTTCTGAAGGATGGTCTTGCCAGGCATATTATTCTTGATTGGCAGATTTCTCCTTCAGAATATTAAATTTATTATCCCACTCTCTCCTGTACTGCAAGATTGCTGCTGAAAAATCTGCTGTTTGTCTTCAAGTGTTTCTATTTTATGTTTCAAGTTGGTTTTCTCTTGCTGCTTTCACAATTCTTTTTTTTTTTGTCTTTGACCTTCGAAAATTTTATTATAATGTGTCTTGGACAAGATCTCTTTATATTTAATCTATTTGGTGCTCTGAGAACTTATGGATTTGAATGTTCATTTTCTTCTCCAGATTTGGAAAGCTTTCTCTGATTATGTCTTTAAATAAACTTTCTGCTCCTGTTTCTTTCTTTATCTGTTTCTTCTTGGATTCTCATATTGCATAAATTGGTTAACTTGATGGTGTCCCATAATTCCTATAAACTTTATTCACTCATTTACATTGTCTTTTCTTATTGTTCCTGACACTGGGTAATTTTGAATGAACTGTCTTAAGCTCATTGACTATTTCTTCTGCTTGATTGAGTCTGCTGTTGAATCTCTCTATGAAGTTTTTAAAGTTAGTCATTGTGTTCTTTAGCTCAAACCAGAATTCCTTCTTGTTTTTTTATGTTTTCTATCTATTTGTTGAACTTCCCAGTTTATTTATGTATTGTTCATGATTTCAATTAATTGTCCTCTTGTAGCTCATTGAACTTCTTCAAAATGATTATTTTGAATTCTTTGTCAGATAGTTAATATTGATTTAATTAGGGCTGGCCACAGGTGCTTTATTTTCTTTCTTTGATGGTGTCATGTTTCCCTGATTGTTCATAATCCTTGTGGCCCTGCATTGCTGTCTGTGCATTTGAAGAATTAGGAATTTATTGCAGTCTTTAAAGACTGGATTTGGCAGAAAAAGCTCTTCACCAATCAGTCTGTCCAGAGATTCTGGGCAGGCTTTCTAGCATGGTCCCCAGGAAGGCTTTCTGTTGTAGCCCTTGGCCAGGCTGTCCTGATGCCTGGGTCAGCAGGTGGGTGGTCCTGGCCCTTGGATATGTGAGATTAAGCCTGGATTCTGGGTCCACAGAGGCTAGTCTGGCACCAGGATTATCCACCAGGGTGAACTTGTTGACTGGGTTCACAGGGTTGAGCCTAGAGTCTAGGTCCATAAAGGTGATCCTGAAGCCTGAGTCTATGGGGGCAAGCTTGGGTCCTAGGTCTTCATGGGACAATATGGCACTAGGGTCCACTGGGATGGGCCTGTTAACTGGGTCCCAAGAGGGGTCCTAGATCTTGGGTCCACAGGGGTGGGCCTGGATCTCGTATCAGCAGGAACTGACCTAGAGCCTGAATCTTCAGGGGCTGGCCTGGCAGTGAGATTGGCCTGAAGCCTGAATCCATGGGGGATGGCCTGTTGGGTGGGAGAGTGGGGAGTGGGCCTAGAGCCTGAATCTGTAGGGACAAGCCTAAGTCCTGGGTTCACAGAGGTGTTGGCCTGGGCTATGGAGGCTGTCCTGATATTCAGTTGGACTGGGTTCTTTGTCAGTAGGGGTTAGTGTGGAGCTAGGATTATGGGTACTAGCATAATGTTGGGAAGGGTCTAAAGACTCGGTTGGTGAGTCCTTGCCTAGAGTCTGGAGCTAAGGGGGAAGCCTAGAGCTGGGTAGATAGGGGCTGGCCTGCTGCTGGGGGGTGGTTTGCAGCCTGGGGCTGTTGGTGCCTGCCTTTTGGTAGGGTGGACCTGCAGTCCTGAGCAGGTCTACAGCCTGAGTTTTCAGGAGGTGGCCTAGGGCCTGGTGCCACTGGGACTAGCCTAATCATGGGTCAGGCTCTGAGACTGAGTCTGAGGGGGCTGAACTGGTAATGGAGTGGGCTGGAGACTGGAGCCCACTGGCCTGGAGTGGGACTGGCCTGGAGACGGGTTGTGGTGTCCTGACTGGTGCTGGGTCTTACTGGGGTGTGCCCCTTGCTGGAGTCTGAGGCAATGTTCCATGCTGACGTCACTCTTCTCCCCCCAGTTAGAAGGGTATCTCTCTCTGATCTGTGGGAGGGGTGACACGGATAAAGCAAAACTCTCCTTTCTACCCTTTTCAATGCTTTTGTTATTTCTGTGCTATATCCAAGTCCTTTAATCAATCACCTGGCTTCCTTAGCTCTTGGAAAGCTGGAAAGCTGAGGCTACTTAGAACTAGAACTTAATTTTAGGAGTTCAGAAGATAAGGGCTGTAAATATCTAGTTCTCCTCCACTTCCAGATATACAGGGACTATGATTCCTCTGTTCCTTGAGATCAGGCATTGCCTAGAAGTGACTAGAGATGGCCAGCAAAATGCAAGCAGGAATGACATATCTTTTGTAGTCCCCATTAGTTCCCATCACTCGTATGGGATTTCCTGCTGTCTCCCACTGCCACAACTGCCAAAGGGGCCGTGTGTTTCGGATCGTGCAATGTGTTGGGGGGGTGGTGGGGGGTAGGAGTAGAGGTCAGGGCAGCCTCTGAAAGCCTGAGTTTTGTGGAGTTTCCATGGCAGGGACAGTTGCCCTGGAGAGTATCCTGAACTGCAGAGGATTATTGCGTGAATGAGAAGTAAACCTTTATGGTACTGGGTGAGGTAGCACAACAGCATAAAGCAGCCCATGCTGAACGGTACAGATACATGGAGATGAGACTTTTGTTCTCCTCTTGGTGGCTTTCCTTGTGCTTTGCCTACATCTAAGCAGCCAAACCACTGCAGAGTTTCCCACTTCTCTTTTGTTCTTCCTCTATCCAAAACCCAGAATAACAGATGTGTGAAGGATTTCAGCTATTGGAACTGCAGGGAGGAAATGATTGCTCCTTTTCTCTTCAAAATTAGTCTTGTCAAACTGGTGGTCTCCACAGATGCCAGGTCTGTGTTCTCAGGTACTTCTCCCATTCCACACACGGCCAATCCCAACTTTATCCCAATGCTTCAATTCTCTGAGCAGAACAGTGGAAAAAGAGAAAGTGGCATCCACAGGAGCCAGGGACCCCCCACAGAGTCAGGAGGCATTGTGACACTTTAGGGGGTCCAGATTCCTCTTTGGAAACAAACAGACCTGATGTGTGCCACCCACAAATCCAGCTATTGAGGAAGGAAGGGATGTAGCCACAAACAAAAAATCTGCAGAACTATTTCCTGGCAAGAAATAATGAATGTGGTTTGGTGTTCCCTTGAGCTCCCCCAGGGCCCCAGTGGTATGAAAACAGTATATCTCAAGTGACTTAGAAAGGAAGTGTGTCTGAAATGTACTTTAAATTATTCCTGTGGGTTTGTGTGCCATCATGTCTTCACTCTACATTTTTTTCCAAGTATACTTTATTCCTGAAGCTTTTGGAATTTGCATCCCAAAACCCATATGCACATTATTTTGATTTTATTTAATTAGGTGTAATCATAGATTAATATAATTGTCCATAGCATTTACTAAAGAAACTATTGCCACATTTTAAAAAATACTGTAAAATGTAATGGTTACATTTTGCACACTGATTAAAAGTTGTTAGTATTTCAAACAAATATGTCCAAATCAAAAATGGAAATAACTTATATTAACAAAAAATACCTTCCCAGGAACATCTGGCCCTTTATTTCTTTTGCTTTAACTGTGCAATAGGGATAATGACAAGAAACCTTAGAGTATGCCACCGTATCTAAACCATTGGCTGTTAAGAAGTATTGATGATCATTATATTAGTTAAATACAATTAGGAAGTAAACAGGACCTATTGAAATCACGTTCAATTTTGTGACTTGTATTAATTCAACAGATAAAAAATTTGGTTAGCTTTGTTTTATTTGAACTCACTCCAGTTAATAAATTTTAAAGATTTTTCTTCTCTCCTATTAACTAAATCACATTTCTTAATTTCTAGTACAAAATCCTAACTTCACATTTCTGAACTAGGGGGAGAAAATCTAACTAGAAGTCAAAGGATGGGAACATTCTAAACTCAAATTGAGTCTAATTAAGTTTTCTATTACATGTGATAACCCAGCATTGATTGTGGTGATAAGCATAACCACTGTGGCAGGGTTTGGGCAGATCTTGTTTTCTTTGAACTGAGAGAGATAAAAGCACATCTCTGTGTCCAGCTTTTGTTTACTCAGATCTCATCTTTGGATACTCATTTCTGACCCTTTAGAGTCAATTCCAGATAAAAATTATGACACAGATATCAAGTTAAAACACAGATTTTGGGCAAACCCTGTCCTCAGCTGTGCTCATACAGTCCTTATGGCCTTGGTAGGAAACCTTGCAGGCAAACCTGCAGACAAGATTTGGCCTGGGGTGGCTAGATCTGAATGGCTGTCATGCACAGAATTAGAAATTGCTTAGTTCATTGTGAATTCTCAAATTATTCATCGTGAGCATCTTTTTGCTGGAGCTGCCAGCTGAAACTAAAAAGTCAAAAGGGACTCCGTAATCTGTTAAATGATTTTAAGCTTAAGGAGAAGCATCCAACTTCTTAAGTTGGATGGGAATCTAGTTGTAAAAACAGGGTATGTCTCAACCTATGTCTATTCTTAGAGTCTGCTAAGATTAGTACCTGTCTGAAGTCTCTAAAGGAAGGATTGTCAGTTTTGTCTGAATAAAAAGAATTGGTCCTGAAACTATGATCTTTGGAGGCAATTGAGGCTGGGGGAGGAGAAAAAAATTAGCTTCTCATAAACACAGCCATTCCTAGTCTTCTTGGATCCCCTTACACAGATGGCTATCCATGAAATTGTTTCTTCCACTGGTTTATTTTTCAGTGTCATAGACGAAAACACCTGTTCAAAAAGCTTATTAACAATAAGCTGCCAATGGGCCTTTGAATGTTTTAGACAACAGTGTAAGGAAGAAAAAGCAACATCTTTTTTTCACACATCACAAGGTTAATGGCTGAAAAAAATACAAATTAACAAGACAAAAGTATACAAATGTATTTAATGTAAGTTTTATGTGACATGGAACCTTCACAAATGAAGACCCAGTGAAACCTAGAAACCTGTGTATTTTTATGCTTAGGTTTGATGAACAGTGGATAGTCATGGGGAAGTCTGATTGAACAGAGGGGTTATCACCTAATGGTAATAAACTGGGGTCAGGGAACTTAGCAAGTCCTGTTCATAATCTTCTTTGTGATCCTGTGTCTTCAAAGATAAGAACATTCCTATCTTCCAAGTATTGGCTGGGCACCTTTCAAATAAGGTGCATGAAAACTTCCTCTATTTTAGAGGAAGGTTGAAGAACTCTTTTATGTCCTTCTTTAGGGGAAAAGGGTAGGAGTATGTGAGAGAGACATTCCAGCTTCAGCTGTTTTCTCAAAATGCCATGGTGCCACATTTTGGGGTAGTGTGTCCTAAACTCCATCAATATTCTTAAAGAGAATTCTTAATTAAGAGCAGTCTGCACTAACATTTTATAGATTCAAAAACGTTTCCATTGACCTATTCCATTGGGCACTACTACTGGATTGAAATAATATATTAAGGTAAGTGTACCAGTTAAGATAGTCTAAGTAATGCTTGGTTAGAAAAAAGCAACAACTAAAATTGTAAAGGTTTAAAACATTTGCTAGTACCTCATGTCCATGGTGGGTTGGCTTGTGGGGGTGGGAGGGTGGGAAAGAAGGATGTGTTCTACATTGTCTTTTGTCAAGAACCCTGATAGGAGAAACTAAATGTCCACACTGCCATAATGTCAAGTCAAAAAAAAAAAAAAAAAAAAAAAAAGAAAGAAAGTCAGGGTGGGAGGAAATGATGCAGAGCAGAAAGGAAGAAAGCAGATGACATAGTGATTCATAAAGCTTCCTCTCAGAAGTGACACACATCACTTCTGCTCACATATCATTGGCCAAAGATATTTATATGGTTACACCTAACTTCAAGGAGCAGGGAAGTGTAGCCCTGTCAATTTCTAAGAAAGAAAACTAAGTACTTTGGTGAACAATGTTAATGACTACCAGACTGAACTTTAATTCATGTGAACCCCACTAAATTCTTACGTGTATTTAATTAAGAGTTTATCTGTCAAGTCCCTATGTCTTACAAAGACAGCTAGAGGCAGCTAGTCTTACACCCATACTTCTGGTAAATTGTCCTCTCCATAGACATGGAAATTAGCTTCAGTGTAGCAGCAAAGCTTAAAGGAGCAGGTGAGTAGTTAGCTAGGAGTATGCCACCATATCTAAGCCATTGGCTATAGAGTATCATCTATGGGATCATGCATAGAAGGGGCCAGGGAATGAGTTAAGTACAAGAAGGCACCCTAGTATAGTAAAAAATAAGACAGGGGTTGAAGTCAGAAGACCAGCTTTAGCCTCTAACTTTGCAGTTTACTGCATGACTGATTATGTGTCCATTGTTTGTCCTCTAGGAGCCTTAGTGTCCCCATATGAAAGATAAAAAATCAAATGGATATTACATGCAAAATACCTTGTGACTCATAATCACTATGTAACCATCACAGAAAGGAAGAATACATTATTCTGAACCCTGGGCTTGTCTGAGCTGTGCACAGATTTTAATGAATCCCTGATTCTGTCTCAGAAAATAGAATTACTATTTGGCATGGTACCAATCCATTTCTTTCTTTTTTTGAGACAGAGTCTCGCTCCGTCACCCAGGCTGGAGTGCAGTGGCTCAATCTTGGCTCACTGCAACCTCTGCCTCCCAGGTTCAAGCAATTCTCCTGCCTTAGCCTCCCGAGTAGCTGAGACTACAGGCGCGTACCATCTCATTCAGCTATTTTTTTGTATTTTTAGTGGAGACGGGGTTTCACCGTGTTAGCCAGGGTGGTCTTGGTTTCCTGACCTCGTGATCCACCTGCCTCAGCCTCCAAAAGTATTGAGATTATAGGAGTGAGCCACCACACCTGGCCTCCATTTCATTTTTATGTAAGTCAGCAACTCTAATTTTAAAAGTACAAAATGTAATACTAATAAAATGATATTTTATGATACTTTACAGAATTATTTCGTACCATAGCACCCAGAACCCATATCAACTGCCATCATCAAACAGAGAAAAAGACCCTAAGAAACTCAGTGAGTGATAAAATAACAGAACAGAAAACAAACTTCCTGAACACAGAAAATGAAGTCTCCCTGAAGGAAGGCAAAAGATAAAACAGAGAGACTAAAATGTAAATTGTTATATCTTTATGCCTGATGTTATAACATTAGAAGCCTATACATTATGTGCAACCACCTCCCTTTATTATATCACACATTTTCAGTATTCAGGAGCTCTTTTCTCATTCAGTAAATATTATTGTGAGCTTAGCAACTGTAAATTTAGGTTTGGAAATATTTTTGGTCGTTTTAAAAGCTTTAAGTCTTCCTTTCTTTCCTTCCTCCTTTCTCTCCCTTCCTCTCTTAGTTCTTTGTACATTTATTAACCATAGAGCTGCTTCGTGTCACGTGGAGTGCTGCTCTTAGGGATATCAATGTGCTTAGTGTATTTCCCTGCCCTAGAAGGATGCAGAAGCTAGAGATGGTAATGAGGTAGAGGCTGTAATATATGTATAAATAGGATGTTACAGGACCAAGAAAAAGAAAGTAACTGTGTTTAGGGAGGTCAGGAAGGGATTCACAGAAAAGGTGGCATTTGAGTTGAGTTTACTATGTGTGAAAGGTAGGGTAAGAACTTCTGTGTAGAGAAAACAGCTTGTGCTAAAGCACAACGATGAGAAATAGCCTCATGCATCTTGAACCTCACCTGATTAAAAGTAGCTCATACAGAGGATATTTGTGACAAGATGAGATTACACAGATAGGCAAGAGTCTGACCATGGTGGTCTTTATGGGCAATAGCCAAGGAGTTTATGGGGTGTTCTAAGTGGACTTTAAATAGGCAGATTTTAGAAAGAATACTAACATTGTTACTTAGTAAAAATGCACACATTACCCACAAGTGGGAAAAATACTGTTTACTTTCAAGTTTATAAATTTGTGAATTACTATATTAATCTATGTGTTGATATCTAAAATAACCTTTTACTTTGTCTCAACAACATTAGCAATATTACCTTCATAAAGCAGGAAATATCCTGTCCTGATCTCCTTTGGAGTAATTTCATAAAAAACATTGGTCTCTTTTAGGGAACCTAATCTACATACCCAGTATTTTAACTCCAAAGCATTTGAGTGTGATTCGTTTATTGGAGTTGTGCTTGACTTTAGTGTAATCATTACAAACACAGACACAGGGAATGTTCTTGAGATTTTTCCATTGTGTAACTCAGTGCTAAAAGCTTTCAAACAAATAAAGCTGGCATGCAATTTCTTTCTCTTTCCCATGCCATCTCAGTGGTGCCAACAACCCTAAGTGCTTAACAAGCTAATTTTTGATAGTCGAATAACCAAAAGTAATAGTTCTATGGTCTTAATTTTTCACAGTGAGTTCAACTTTGTTGCATGTTGTGACAATAAAGACCTTTGGAAAAAAGTAAGCATAAACTAATGACCATGATTCAGATACACTTGCAAGCTGGAAACATTTTGGTCATTGTAGCTGGATGCCTTAAAAGAAAACTCAGTAATACATGCTCTCTTTTCTGTAAGTGTAACATTTACACATTTATATCAGACTCATAGATTAGAAAATGCTTATAGTAAATTTAAATTGAATATAAACTATACTACTGGGATATTTTATTTGAGTATGCAACCAAATATCTTGATTATCTGTATGACTACGATAGTAACATGCACTCTATTTTTAAATTAAAAATGGATAAGACCAATAAGATGGGTAATATTTTCTGAGCAAAACATCAAATGATTGTCCTTGGATTCTGACATCACTAGGACATTATACCTGGTTCTATGGAATGGTATATAAAAAGCAAAATCTGATTTAGTGAGTAGAGAAAGAACACTTGAAAGTAAAGTTTAGTTGAATATAGGCCGAAGCAGATCAAAATGCTGTACGATGATGACATAAGCTTAACCTGACTTTTTCTTATCTCTGTAAGGCTTTTGTTTACTTCACCCTTACCGTGTTCATATTAAATGTTGGTCTCTTGGCCACAGCTAAAGTGCAAAATGGTTAATTCTTAGCACTTAAAATTCTAAGGGCTGGAATTCTGGTTTACATAATAGATTGGAAAAATACTTAGCTAGTCAGTTCACTAATGGTGTTCCTTGTGCTCCCCTCCTCCCTGCCAGCCATGGGGAAAACAGATGAAGGCTCTAAGATGGGTGATAACACTTCCAAGGTGAGGAGAAATGTTTCCTGTGGATATTTGCTGAATCCTGGATATTTTGTCCTTTGGAAAATGTAATTAATTAAAGGCACAGCCTACAGATTGGGCTTGGTTTAGGCATTGAGCCACTTCCAGGGAGAAAGAGAAACCAGCAAAGTTTTTGTTGGTTTGTTTGTTTTAGCCATTGTAGGAGGCCGGTGAGGGAAACTGGAAATTTTAGGGGCTTCTTCAAATGCTAATTTACCCCATATGACCTTGGCAAAATTATGGACATCTGCAGCCACACTGGAGGTTGAGAAAGTCATCTAAAAGCTTCAAAAAGACATACTGGAGGAGTACCTTAGGCACTCAATTAGTCTCTAAATAAGACATGTGCTAGACTATTAAGATGCCTGAATTGACAGGCTAAAGAACTGGGCTGGAAACTTATGAACGATAGAGCTGGAAATTCTGAAGTCTTTCAGAACTGCAGAGAAAGAAACCAATTAGGCTCTTAATTAAAAGCTTGAGATGGTCATTTTCAAGAAGATGACTGAAACAGATGTATACTGGGACTTATACAATCTATAGTCCAGCTCTAACCTATATCAATTCCTGACTCTGCAAAATGGTCAGCTGCTTAACTGAGTGACATAACAGAAGAAAGGGGAAACACTGTCTGGTGAAACATCACATTATTTGGAATCTCTTTATTTCTTTTATGCTTAATGTCTGACATACAATAAAATATTACTATACATGCCAAAAGACAGGAAAATTTTTATTAGTAATGAAGAAGAAAAAGATAGAAATAGTAGCAGACTAATAAATGATCCAGATATCAGAGTTACCAGTCAAAGCCTTTGTAATAACAATAATTAATATATTAAATAAATTAGAAAAAAGATAAAAAGAATAGGTGAAAGTATGGAGATTTTCTCCAGAGAATTATATTCTGTTAAATAAAAAGAAATAGATAATATACAATTGAAAAATACAATCTCCGCAATTAAGAACTCAATAGATGGATTTAACAGTAGATTAGAAACAGAAGTATACAGGACAAGTGAATTAAAATATAAGTCAATAAAAACACATAAAATTAAGATTAGGAAAAAATTAAAAGAAAAAATGAATAGAGATGTATAGGATGATCCAAAGGTCTAACATACATATAATAGGTATCACAGAAGTAAAAAGAGAAAATGGGTGGAATCACTATTTATATTTTCCAAACTGATGAAAGATAACAACTGAGAGATTCAAAAAGCTTTGAGAACCACAATTTGAAGATAAACAAAGCAAACTACACCACAGTATATCAAAGAATCTTCTGAAAACCAAATATAAAGAGAAAAGCTTACAGTTGTTGACTTAAAAAGAGAAACACTAAGACTGAAATCTAACTTCTTAACCAAAATGATGGAAACTAGAAAACAATAAAATGACATCTTAAAAATGTTAAAATAACTGCCAACCTATAATTTCACACACAATATTTTTATATCCTTCAAAAAATGAAGATAAAGATAGTTTTAGTCAAATAAAAAATAAAGAATTTGTCACTAGTAGGCCCACCTTTGTAAAATTAAATGAACTACTCTCAAGCTGAAAAATGATTCCAGACAACCTACAAAATGGGAGAAAATTTTTGCAATCTATCCATCGGACAAAAGGCTAATATCCAGAATCTACAAGGAACTTAAATAAATTTACAAGAAAAAAAAACCATCAAAAAGTGAGTGAAGGATATGAACAGACACTTCTCAAAAGAAGACATGTATGTGGTCAACAAAAATGTGAAAAAATGCTCATCGTCACTGGTAGTTAGAAAAATGCAAATCAAAACCACAATGAGATACCATCTCACACCAGTTAGAATGGCAATCATTAAAAAGTCAGGAAACAACAGATGCTGGAGAGGATGTCAAGAAATAGTAATGCTTTTACACTGTTGGTGGGAGTTTAAATTAGTTCAACCATTGTGGAAGACAGTGTGGCTATTCCTCAAGGATCTAGAACCAGAAATACCATTTGACCCAGCAATCCCATTACTGTGTATATACCCAAAGGATTATAAATCATTCTACTATAAAGACACACACCTGTATATTTATTGCTGCACTATTCACAATAGCAAAGACTTGGAACCAACCCAAATGCCCATCAATGATAGACTGGATAAAGAAAATGTGGCACATATACACCATGGACTACTATGAAGCCATAAAAAAGGATGAGTTCATGTCCTTTGTAGGGACATGGGTGAAGCTGGCAACTATCATTCTCAGCAAACTAACACAGGAACAGAAAACCAAATATTGCATGCTCTCACTCATAAGTGCGAGTTGATCAATGAGAACACATGGACAAAGGGAGGGGAACATCACACACCGGGGCCTATTTGGGGGTGGGGTACTAGAGGAGGGATAGCATTAGGAGAAATACCTAATGTAGATGACGGGTTAATGGGTGCAGCAAACCACCATGGCATGTGTATACCTATATAAGAAACCTGCACGTTCTGCACATGTACCCCAGAAATTAAAATATAATAAAAATAAATAAATAAAAAGAAAAAGAAAAAAAAGAAAAATGATTCCAGATGCAACATGAAAATATAGGAGAAAATTTCAAACTTCAGGAGAGTAATTATGTGGATAAATACAAATGACTAGTGGCTGTATGTATGAAACAAGAATTGTAATGTCATATATATTTGCGTATAGTATATATTATATATGAAAAAACCAGAATTACAGTGGAAACATATTATTATATTGCTGCAGGTAATGTAGTACTTAGAGAGAAACTGCAGCACTACAATTCTGATTTGGCATGTTTCTATTTTATTTTAGTTCAAAATGTTTTCTAATTTCTAGCTTAATGCTGTTGTGGTCAGAGAATATGCTGCATATATTAGACAAGAAGAAAGACTGAAAATCAATTATTTAAACTTACAACTCAAGAAGCTACATAGTAAAAAGCACATCAAAACTAAAGAAAACCTAAGAAAATAAATAAAAAAACAGAAATAAACAATGAAAAGGAGAAAAATTAACAACATTGAGGCTTGAGACTTAAAGTTGATAAAGTTTTAATAGGATTGATCAAGAAAAAATAAAGAATCCATAAGTTTTCAGAATTGAAAGTACACAGATCACAATACATTCAGTCAGATAATATTATGAACACTTTCTCCAATAAAATTACTGATTTGGATGAAATGGATTCATGACTCAAAAAACTCAACAACTTACTAATTTTGCCATAAGAAGAAATAGAAAATGTAAACAATCAGATATATGTGTTTAAAAAATTGGATTCTTAATCAAAACTTTTTCATGTTCAAATTCTTTCAAACATTTAAGAAAGACATAACAGCAATGTTGTACAAATTCTTCCGGAGGAAAGAAAAAGAAGAAACACTTTCTAATCCTTTTAAAGAGGCACCATAATATGGATTATAAAATTGACAAAGGCAGAATAACAAAGGGACATTATATACCAAGTTTTCTGATGAACATTGATGCAAAATTCTCAAGAAAACATTAACAAACTCGTGTGAGCAATACATAAAAAATGATGATACATCACCATTAAGAAGAGTTTATTTCAAGTATGCAAAAGTAGTTTAACATCAGAAATTACTCAATGTACTTCATTACATTAACTGAGTATAGGAAAAGAATAAGAATTCATAAGTAGATTTAGCAACATCACTGAATACAAGGTTAATCTGCATAATTTAGTAAGTCTTTCTAATAATCTAATAATCTAATAATCTGTATAATTTAATAAGTCAGAAACACTTGAAAAAAATAAATTTTAAACATTATCACTTACCAAAGTATCAAAAATCACATCCCTAGTATGTTAGTCCATTTTGTGTTGCTATAACAGAATACTTGAAACTGGGTAAATTATAAAGACAAGAATTTATTTAGCTATAGTTATGCCAGCTGGCAAGTATGGGAAGCATAGCACTGGCATCTGCTCAGCTTCTGCTGAGGGCCACATGCTAAGTCAAACTATGGCAGACAGGGTCAAAGGGGAAGTAAACACATGGGAAGAGATACCAACAGTGAGGAGGAACCTTGCTTTATTGCAACCCCTTCTTGCAGAAACAAATTCATTCCTGAGGAATGAATCTAGTCTCAGTAAAGCAAGAACTTATTACCATGAGAAAGGTACCAGGCCATTCATGAGGAATCTGCTGCCATGACCCAACACTTCTCCCACTAGGCCCCATCTCCCAATACTGCCACATTGGGGATCAAACCTCAACATGAGTTTTGGTGGGGACAAACAAGACTGAAATCATAGCACATAGGAACTAATGCAATGAAACATGTGCAAACACCTCTACAGTCAAATTACAAAACATTATTGAGAAAAGTGAAAGAGGATCTAAACACATGGTGAGATATTCCATGTTCATAGATGGAAGACTCAATGCTGTTAAAATATTAATTCTGCTAAATTAGTCTATGTATTTAGTGTAATTCTAATTTTTAAAACCAGCATACTTTTTATTAATGAAAATTGGAACTGCAAAAGGCCAAGGATATCCAAGGTATTCTTGGAGAAGAACATAGCTAGAGGGCTTTTTTGACCAGCTATCAAAATTTATTATAAAATTACAGTAGTCAAGATCGACATCAAAATTTATTATAAAATTATAGTAGTCAAGACAGTGTGGTGTTTGTAGGACAGAAAAACTGACCATCAGGACAGAAGATGTCCAAAGAAGAGAGAGTCCAGAGCCAGACTAACATAGTCACTGGATTTGTGACAAACAGTAGAAGTTGCAATGCAGCGCAGCAAAGAGATAATAGTCTTTTCAATAAATGATGCTTAGTCCTACTAAATAGAAAATAGTCAAATTCAGATGGATTATAGATTTAAATGTAAAAGGCAAAACAATAAAGCTTTTAGAGGAGAAGCTTGATGATCATCTTTATGATCTTGGAGCAGGTAAAGACTTTAAAATGGGACACCAAAAGAACTATTTCTAAAACAAAAATAATGATAATTCAGTTTATATCAAAATTAATAACTGCTTTAAGAACCTCAAGGTACATGTATCCAGAATACATAAATAACTAAAAATCAATAAGAAAAAGGCATATAACCAGTAGAGAAATAAACAAGACTGAAGTAGACAGTTTAATAGAGAATATTCAATCTCATTAGTTATCAGGAAAATACAAACAAAAAAACCCCACTATACAACAATACTGTACATTCACTAGAATAGCTAAAACAGAAAGGGCGGAGAATCCTGAGTGTTAGTAAGGATGTGAAGCCATAGAAATTGTTGGCTGTGAGTCACTGCTGGTAGAAGTCTAAATTGGTACAACTACATTGGCAAACAGTTTGGCAATATCTTCCAAGCAATATGATGCCTAGGTATATAACTCAACATAAATGTCAGCATAGCTTTATCAAAAGACATGTCCTGGTTGATCTTAGAAGGACTATTTATAAAAGTACAAAACTGAAAATTGCTTGAGTGCCTGTCAAGGGTAGAATGGATTAATGAATTGTGGTATCATCACAAAGTGAAACACTGTACAGCTGCATACCGTGGACAAATATTTTCCTCAGAACTCATCATTGAGAAATGTGTAGCTGCTTCCAGAGTGTGTCTAATACTATTGGAACAGACATTTCAGAATGAAACAAGAGGCTCAATGGGGTTAACTCCATGGAGGGCTCTATGAGCCTCTGGTGAGAGGTTTGGCCTGTGAGAGGCAACGTTTCTATCATTTTGCGATTCCACCCTCATTATTCCTGTGTGGCTCAGCAGTATCTGAGCAGCTTGAGTTGGTGAAGGCATCCCTTAGGATGCACAGTTATAGAGTGACTAAAAGTGGTCAGTCCTTTCAACCACTTTAATGGCATTTGCCCAGTGGGATAGAGTTAAAGTATGTTTAGATCTTGAAAGTCATCTTCTTTTTTTGCTGGTTGTTTTTTGATGGGAAGATAGAACTGGACAATATACCCACAGGTGTTTGACAAAAGTACACTCATGTGAGGAGTCTTGCATTACAAATCTGTCCCTGAGGCTGAACTTGCTATTTTGATATGTTTTCATATGACATCTAATGTGCAGTGAGAAGAAAAAACAAGTGGAGGGTTGGTTGTGTTTTCCTAACAATGAATAAGACAGAAACCCTTGATAGCTAAATTCATCTGCAGTCAAACTAAGTTTTGCAGTGTCTTTTTAAGAGCCAGGCAATTCTACCACAAAATAAAATATATTTTTTAAATCCACATTACTATACCACTGACAAGTCTTTACTTCAGAACTCATCATTCAGAAATGTGTAGCTGCTTCCAGAGTGTGTCTAATACTGTTGGAACAGGCGTTTCAGAAAGAAATGAGAGGCCCAGTCTCAGTAACTCCATGAAGGGTGCCGAGCTCCTCTGTTGAGGATTTGGCTTGTGAGAGGCAATGTTCCTATCATTTGCCAATTTGGCCTTTGTTATTCCCACGTGGCTCACCAATAGCTGAGCAGAGTTTGGCCTCCTGTCAGCTGGGCATTTAGGTAGTATGTCCCTTGAGTCACAGTGTGACTAAAAGTGATCAGTTCCTCTAGTCACTTTAATGGTGTTTTGGTACTGAAAGAAAAAAAAAGCAATTTTCAAGAACATTGATCATATTAACTCTTTTATATTATTATTATTATTATTATTATTTTTACATTCCCTAGCCTGAAATGGAAATGTCACTACTGGGCACCAGCCATCACAGACTTGGCTATTTAAGCAAAGTTGGGAGAGAACAGAGCTGGTGGCCAAGTGAGTTGCCTGAATCATTAAGAGTTGGAGTGAGTCCGGACACAGTCAGGGTTCTGCTCTTGCTACTTACCACTGTTCCTGGCAACACTGATCATTGTGGCTGCGCCATGGGCCTCCGGGACTCAGGAATCTGAGCCTGTGATGGAAGAAGGGAAGTCCAAGTTCTCCCAGAAAGGAGAAGCCTCAGAGTAACCTCATGTGGCCTACATGTGCCTGGCCTCTGTGCCAGTCTGCACTCGGCTGGAGTACCAGATAATCCTTCCCGAGTCTGTATGGAGTCCCTTGGCCTCCACAGGGAAGGCACATTCAGGACACTGGGGCTATTTATCATGTTTTCAGAGCAGGCTCAGCTGTCTTCACTTCCCACTTATTATGTAACTCCCACAGAAGTAAGAGGATAGTTTCTATCTAAGAATATAGAGGGTGTGAGGAAGTGGGGAGAGAACTTAAGAGAAATAGAGCTACTTCCAGGTAGAATATTCTTGGCAGAGAAACATGGGAGGTCAAAGAATTTTAGAGATGGAGAGACACCTTGGATGTAAACTTATCTAAATCCTTTGGTTTACATAGAAGAAACGAAGCTTCAAATAAGTCAAGTGACTTATCCAAGGTCATAGGTATATAGATAGCAAGGTCAAGATTAAGCCTTTTTTTTCAAAGGTTGAGATTTTTGTCTTTCTTTCACTTTCTGCATAGCTGTAATTATACACTCTCACATACACCTTCATGTTTCAGTTAAGAAAATCGTATTTTTTCTTAAAATCTCCATTGTGTACTCATACTTCTGAAGTTATATAATATTGAGTAACCTTTTTTTCCACACTTATTTATTAGGTCCAAGGATTGCTTCCTCTTGGCAATAGCAAATTCATCGTTCTCTAGTTTCCCTACCTTAAAAATTAAGGGGTTTTCTTCTCCTTCCCTCCATTTGTCTGGCAGCATCCTCAATAAAAAACAAACAAGCTGTGAATTGGTTAAAAAGGGGGCAGGGGGCAGTCTTTAGAAATTGTGTTTAGCCCCATTTGGCCTTAGGCAAACATAAGAATTGGTGATCAAGTACATTCAGCAGGATGGCTGCCTTTCAAGGGAAACAATATCTGGATATTTCTATGTCTAGACCACAGAGGAAAAATGTTTCCTTGGTAATTAACCCACTGAAAGCAGAATAGGCCCATGTGGCTCTAAGAGATAGAGATAGAGAGGAGTTAGACAGATGAAGTTACTGAAGATTCATCCTACAGATGGCATTGTTGGTGATACATTTATAAAAGCTTGTTCACAAGTCTGTATTTCAGCATTTTAAATCCAGAGTCTCCCTAGAGTGAAAAATAAATAGGGGGTGGTAAGAAGTTATTTGTTTTCTTAACCAGACAACGGTATTTTTTCATTTTACTGTTTTCATTTCACTCTCTGTTTGCATGCTACTGGTGAGGGTCTTGTGAGAAACCTTCCTTCCTCAGGAGTATGAAGCAGGGGCCCTATAATTAAGACCTTCAAGACATTTTTTTTTGGGAATTAAGACGTTAAAAGGTTGCTTAGACAAGTAGTTTGTCTGGGTTCTGAAGATGAATCTGTCTGAATCTGGGTAGAATTATGAATCTCATTTGATTTGATAATCATAGTCTTTGGGTCTTGCGTCATCATTTACAAAAGCTAAATATAAGTTGATGTGTATTATTATCTAACTAAATAATTTATTTAAAAATATTCTCTGCAGGGATAGGCCATGAAATAGCACAGATTGCAGTGAAATATTTTGAACCTTTTATGTGGATACTATACATTAGCAATCATAGAAAAGGGAAAGGTTTCTTTTACATTTAAGTTTCCTAAGTATGACCTTATATTTTCCTTCCATAACCACTTATAAAATGCTACTGCGGGCTTACCGAGATGTTTAAAATCATGGGGATCTGAACTGACAGAACACACAGGGTCTGTTTGAGAAATGCAGTCTACAGAGAGAAATAAGATAAAACAAAAACAAGTGTACTTGTAATTAATATTACATAAATGATATAGCAGTGCCGAGAAATACACAATACAAGCATGGCCACTGTGTGCGGTGAAGATAGTTAGGGGAGATTTTTACAAATCTCAGTTAATTGATGAAATAATGTTACAAGGGATGTTTAAATAGCTATGAAGGAAATAAAAAATAAAATACCTCAAACTAATCTCTTAGCTTGATTTTTTTTCCCACATTTCCTTCTAAGCCTTTTCCATATGCAGGCATAATTTTAGGAATCTCCAGTGGAGCATGAGTCCAGGCCTTTGCCTTCCTTCCCAGCTCCCCCATGCCTGCTCCATCTCTCCTGCTTCCCTCTTGTGAAAGCTCCCCCTCCCTCCACCAGGCTGCTCATCACTGTGGGACCTTTCTCCTTTGCCTGGAATCATCTTTTTCAACACGATCCCTCATCACTCTTCCTTTCACCTATCAGACTTCTGCTCACACTTTGAAGCGCTGGCATTGCATTTTCCAAGAATTCTTCCTAGTATGTTTCCTACTCCTCCACTCACCTGTTTTTCTACTTTTTTTAAGCCTCACCTCCCTTTCCCTGCAGATTATATTAGGTGCTCCTTCTCTGTGAGCTTATAAGAACCCTTTGCAATTTTTATGAATGTATTTACCATATTAGATTTTAATGATTTATTCCTCCAACTACGATGTGAGCACTTTGAGAGGAGGAATTGTATCTTATTGAGGCTGTATTATTAGTGCCTGTGTTAGTGTCTACCACACAGAAATGGTTCCATAAACTTTACTGAATCAATGGACTGGGGGCCTGATATCCATTGCTGAAAGAATAATTCAGAGTCCCTTTCCTCAAGGAGAGTATAATCTGGTAGACAGACAGACACCACACACACAGACACACCCCTCCCTGATCTCCCCCCATCCACTATAAGTTGTGATAATACAATAAAGGAAACAAAAAGTGTTTTATGATAGAGAATAATAGACTAAATATGCCTTAGACGGGAGCTTATAAATGTTAGGTTGTAGTTCCAAACAATGGAATCCACTGTGGTTTGTTCTAGCAGAAAATTAATTCATCAACGTATAAGAGGTGACTCACAGGGTGTCTGAGAAGATTGGGGAACCAGGAACAATGTCCACACATAATCCAGGGTCTGCTCCAGTAAAAGCAGCATAGCCACCACCCCTTGGCTCTGAAACTACACCTTACACAAATCCCCACCCCACCAGTGATGCTCAGGGTGAGCTGTCAGAATCTCTACCCTTACTGCCCAGAATAGCTTGTCATCTCCGCCACCTGCTTTCTGAAAAGTGAGTACTAGTAAGACTAGGTTGTCATGTTAGCCCCTTCTCAGTGGAAGGCTAACTCTGGTGCAGCTGACTGGCTGATCATGGATCACAGACCTGTATTCCAGCTGCAGTGGAGCAATGGAGCTGGGAAGTTGAGTTCTGGTATTTACTTTGGGGAAGCAGGATTCACAATGCAAGTATTATTATGTTATTGGAATTTCTATTAATATAAAACAATATTAAAGAGATGCTAGCCAGCCACAAAAGAAGGTCACTGTAGCTTATGAAGAAGCTCTCTGAGAAGGTAACATTAACATTGATATCTGAAGGATGATAAAGAACTTGCCAGGCAAAAGCCAGTTGTTTGACAGAAATGGTGAATGTTTTATTTATGGCAGGGAAATGCTTAGCAGCTTCCAGGAACTGAAAGAATTCCACCATGGCTAAAGAGTGATGAGTGATAGAGAGAGGGCCTGTGCTGAGACTGGAGATGACCTTGTAGGAGACGTGAAGGTGTTTGTATTTAATTTGAAATGTAGTGGGAATCCCTTAAGGGTTTGAAGCCAGGGGGGTTGAGGAGATTTAATTTGTATTTCACAAATTTTATAATGACTGGTATGGAAAATAGATTGGAAAAGGGCAAGAGAGAGAACAGAGCAATGAGCAAGGAGACTATGGAGTTTTCCAAATGAGATAATTGTAGCTTAGACAGGGGTGGTGGGTGGCTGTGGCGACAAATAGGCGAAATATGAAATATAAGTTGAAGAAAAAATGGCTGGACTTAACACTTGTCTATATTGTGAATGCCTGGTTAAAAAAAAAGAGAGATTAGGAAGGACTTCTAGGTTTCTAATTTTAAAACTGGTGGGTAGATTCCTGAAATGGAGAAGACTGAAGAAGGGTCATATTTAGGGGTGGAGGGTGTTGGTTGATTTTACAAGTTTGGTTTGGGACATTGCAGTGGATACTGAGACTCACCACCCAGATCTGTGGGTATTACCCAGATAACAGAAGTCACAGAAATGTAGGTTATACTTACCTATGAACCTGACTCCTCAAGGAAGATGTCAGACATGCAGAGCTTATTGCCCCAGCTGTGAGAGTGCTGTCAGCAGACAGGCTTCAGCTGTCAGCCCCATCAGGAATGCCCTCAGCAAGCCACTTCACACAATGTCATGCTGCCTCCAGGGGTGGGAAATGGGCAAATCTGATGACTGATAAAGGCCTGGCCATCTTGTTCCAACAGACGGTCTTAAAGGTGTACCAGTTCCAGAGCTCCTCATGGCTTAGCGAACACTGTTGTTGGTCCTATTTCTCCCTCTTCTCACTTCTGCTTTCTACAAATACTGATTTCAAGCATACACTTTAGTAAACATCTAAACCCTGTCTTAGGATCTGTTTTCCAGGAAACCCAACCTGTAAAGTTGATACCAAGAGCGGTTTAAGAAAACAAGTGCTCAAATGGAGTTTTGGAGCCAGATTACCTGCTACTTTGCCAACAATGAAGACACCATCCCTGGTAGTAGGTGAAGCACAGAGAGCCCTGCTACAACTGTCCAGTTGTCAAAGGTTTTACTGGTGGTACATCGGGTTGGTATAGCAGTATAAGGGAATCCACTAGTTGGTTCCATATATCAGGCATTTGAGGAATATGGGTGAAATAGAAAAAAAACAACAAAAAATTGAGCGTCTATTGCTAAGCCTAACTGATGCCCTGAATACAGATTATGAAAAACTAAGATTATGTAGAGAGCTTATATGGAGTCACACAAGGAGGTTCTAACCTTTGGGGGTAGGGTAAAAAAAATTGAGAACTTGGCTGAGAGCTTGAATGACTGAGTTTAAACTCCCAGTTGAGGCAGGTCTCCTCTGCCATTGAGTTCTCTGGTGAGAAAAGAATCTTAATATATTGGATGGGAATATTTAGATTTATGCACCTGAAAATCTTGAGTCTCAGATTTCCCTAAACCCTTTGGGCCTGTATAATTGGCCCACCACTTTTTCATAAGAATCAGAATTCTCTTGTTGCCAGGGATTTGAGATGAAGCAGAAGACTCCCTCCAGCCAGCATGTGTCTTCCTTGGAATCTACTCTACCCTCCTTCCTGGGCATTTGATCAATAATTAGCATTGTTACAACAAAGCCCACCTGATGAGTGCTGGTCTTAATGAGATAAAAAATGGACTATACACTAAAGAAGCTACAAGACCTAGCCAGCAGATATCTTCAGCAACTGGGGGGAAACACATCAGATTGTTGAAGGGGGCCAGAAAAAAATGATAATTTTCTGGGTTACAGAAATTATTAATAACACCCTGGCAAGAACTCCAGGAGACGGTGAATCATGAATCATGTCTACCTAATGAAACCTCCATAAAACCCCCTAAACTAGGGGTTTGGAGAGCTTCCAGGCTGGTGAACATGTGGAAGTGATAGGAGGGTGGCTCACACAAACAGCATGTAAGCTCTGCAGCCCTTCCTACATACCTTGCCCTATGTCTCTTTCATTTGCTCTTCCTGAGTTGTATTATTTATCATAAACCAGAATAGAGAGTAAGGAATAGAAAGTCGTCATTCTAGCAAATTCTTTAGCATAAGGAAGGAGGTGTCAGAGCCTCTTGAATTTGTAGTTGGTTGGAAAAAAGCCCCAGGGTCTGGGACTTGTGACTGGCATCGGAAGCGGAGGCGGTCTTGCAGTACTGAGTCCTTAACTTGTGGGATCTGATGCTAACTTCAGGAAGTTAGCATCAGAATTGAATTAAATTGTAGGACACCCAGCTAGTGTACAGAGAGTTGGAGAATTGATTGTGGGAGGAAAACCTCCTTGCCCACTTGGTGTCAGAAGTAGGCCAGATGTGGTAGCTCACGTCCGTAATCTCAGTGCTTTGAGAGGCTGAGGCAGGGGAATCACTCAAGGCCAGGAGTTTGAGAAAAGCCTGGGTAGTATAGCAGGACCCTGTCTCTAAAAAATGTATTTTTTTAGTTAGCTGGGCATGGTGGCATGAACTTGTTATCCTGTCTACTCAGGAGGCTGAGGTGGGAGGACAGCTTGAGGCCAGGAGTTCAAGGCCGCAGGGAGCTGTGATCGCATCACTGCATTCGAACTTCAGCCTGGGAGATCTCATGTCTAAAAAAGAAGTGTTCTATGGGTAGAAACAAATCATAGTTGTCAATATGTTTGGCACAGAGGTGAACTACTTGGCTACTTGTTGGTACTCCCTTGCCAACAATTGAAGGTAAATGAATGAATGCAGCACCCTAGTCTTAGAAGGACATGAAGGCCATGGACCCAGATCTCTTAGGGCTGAAGTCCGGATCATGTCATAGGTTAAGGTATCAAGAACAGGACAGGTGCTAGCCGAAGGTAAGGGGGATCTAGAATTGATAGTAAAGAATGAGATAAGAAGTACCATTTGCAACCTGGAGACCAGCAGTAGTGTAGAGGCTGTCATTCATCTAAGTAATCTTCTAGGTTTGCCCCAGGAAGAGAGCTCTACCGAAATCTTGAAAAAGCTGCTTCTAGAACATGCAAGAAAAAGTAGATATGAGAAGCTCACAGGGTAGACTCCTTTCTTCATGAAATTTCAATTACACTTGGTTAGACCTTTTTGTTTGTGCCACAACGCTAATATGTTCTGTCACTCCCCTACCTTTCTTAAAAATTCTCTCTTTTAAAATTGTGTTTAGTTCGGGTAAATTTTATTGATCTGTCAAGATCACTGATTCTATAGTTGTGTTGACTGATGAGCCTTTTGAAGGCTTTCTTATAGTGATAATGCAGATGTTTAATAAACAGCTGTATTGAATGTAATATTTTCTCTACTGATACATTAAAAATGAGATTACTCTATGACTTTCTTTTATTGTACTGTCCCAACTGGGTGTTGACATTAAAGTCTTCTAGCCTCATAAAATACATTTGTAGTTTTTCCTCCTTATTCAATGAATTAGTTTTTATTATACAGAGATTACTTATTGTATTTTTTAAGTGTTTCTTGTAAAGTTAACTTTTTCTGGTGTTTCTATGGGGAAGGTTCCTTTTTTTCAGGTGAAAGCCGCATAACATACAATTAACCATTTTAAAGTACAATTTAGTAGTATTTAGGGTACAATTCAGTGGTGTTTAGTGTATTCACAATGTTGTACAACAACTAGTTCTCTTTAGCTTCAAAAAATTTTTATTGTCCCATAAAAACACCCCATATCCATTAAGTAATTACTCCCCATTTCCCTCTCCCGAAATCCCCTAGTAATCTCTAATACGCTTTCTGTTTTCATGGATTTTCCTAGAATGGATAGATCCTATAAAAGGAATCATATAGTATGTGACCTTTTGTGTCTGGATTTTTTCACTTAGCATAATGTTTTAGAGGTTTATCAAGTTGCAGCATGTGTCAGTACTTTATTCCTTTTTATGATTAGGTAATGTTTTATTCTTTGTAATATACCCCAGTTTGTTTAGCCATTTATTCATTGATGGGCATTTGGGCTTTGCTGTTTTCAGGCTATTATGGATAATGCTGTTACAAGTTTCTGTATGGACATATATTTTCTTTGTTTCTTTCTCTTTTTTAAAGAGTGATGGGGTCTTGCTCTGTCACCCAAGCTGGAGCACAGTGGCATGAACATAAGTCACTGCAGCCTCAAACTTCTGGGCTCAAGTGATCCTTCTGCCTCAGCCTCTTGAGTAGTTAGGACTACACATGAATACTGTGTGCACATATATTTTCATTTCTCTTGTGCATATACTTACGAATAGAATTGCTGGGTCATATGGTAATTGTATGTTTTACTTTTTCAGGAACAGCCAATATGTTATCCACAGCAATGACATCCTTATATTATATGTTACTATCAGCAATGTATAAAGGTTTCAATTTTTCCAAATCCTTGCTAACACTTGTTATTTTCCTTTTTTTTGATTAAAGTCATCCTAGTGAGTGGTATCACATCTTGGTTTTGATTTGCATTTCTTTAATGGAGGATGATGCTGAACAACTTTTCATGTCCTTGTTGTCTATTTGTATATCATTTTGGGATAAATATTAAAGGAATCTTTGGTCCATTTTAAAATTAGGTTGTTCATTTTTGTTGTTGAGTTTTAAGAGTTCTTCATATATTCCAGATATTAAACCATTATCAGATATATGACTTGCAAATATCTTCCTCCATTCTATAGGTTGTTGAGGAGACTTTTGACTAACGATTAATGATTATTTTCTTTAGTGCTATATACTTTTCAAGTTCTCTGTATCTTCTTTAGTCAATTTCATATTTTTATAATAGTACCAGTTTTATTTATAAAATATATTTCTGTAAGTTTTATGTTTTTCTCTGCTTGTAGCTTTAATGTCTGTTCTATCTGTTTCACTGACCTTTTAATATTCCATATATATATATATTTGAGACAGAGTATCACTCTACTTCCCAGGTTGGAGTGGAGTGGTGTGATCTCGGCTCACTGCAATCTCCACCTCCTGGGTTCAAGCGATTCTCCTGCCTCCTAAGTAGCTAGGATTACAGGCGCCCACCAACATGCCTGGCTAATTTTTTTATATTTTTAGTAGAGATGGGGTTACACCATGTTGGCCAGGCTGGTCTCGAACTCCTAACCTCAAGTGGTCCACCTGCCTTGGCCTCCCAAAGTGCTGGGATTACAGGTGTGAGCCTGGCCAATATTTGTAATATTTTATTTGTCTATTTTTTATTGGGTAATACATTATTGGTTTATAAATCTTCTCTCTTGTGCCTTTGTTTTCTATTTTATTATTCTCTACACTTAGTTACATAATTTCTTTTCTTTTACTTCATTTAAGTACTGTCTGTTTTTCTTTCAGTCTCTTAATTTGAATATCTAACCCATTATTTTCAAACACTCTTGTTTTATAGTAGAAATATTTCAAGGCTTAAGGTTTATCTACATGTACTACCTTAGCAACATCCTAAAACTTTTAAATGTAGTACTTTTATTTTCCAAGTCTAAATGTTTTGTCACTTCCAATGTGATTTCCTCTTTATCCCATGAATTACTTAGAACTATAGTTCTTAGTGCACAAACATAAATTTAAAAAACTATTTTAAAATCATTGGGAACTGTTTTATTTCATTTTTACTTTTAAAAATGTTTTAATTTTTAATTTTTGTGGTACCTAGTAGGTGTATATATTTATGGGCTACATGAGATATTTTGGTACAGGCATGTAGTGTATAATAATTACATCATGGAAAATTGGGTATCCATTCCCTCAAGCATTTTTTCTTTGTGTTACAAACCAATTTTACTCTTTATTTTAAAATGTACAATTAAATTAATATTGATTATTATTATAGTCTCTCTGTTGTGCTATCAAATACTAGGTCTTATGCATTCTTTTTACTTTTTTGTACCCATTAATTCTTCCCACTTACCCCACAGCCCCCCATTACCTTTCTCAGCCTCTGGTAACCATCCTCCTATTTATTCTCTATCTCCATGAGTTCAATTTTTTTATATTTATTTTTAAATTTTAATTTAATTTTTAAAAAATATAGATGGGGTTTCACCATGTTGCCCAGGCTAGTCTCTAACTCCTTGGCTCAAGCAATCCATCCACCTCAGCCTCCCATAGTGCTGGGTCTACAGATAATGAGCCACCACACCCAAACCTGTTTTGATTTTTAGATCCTACAAATAATTAAGAACATCTTTTAACTGGGTTTAGAGAACGTTGTTCATATAATATCATTTCTTTGATAGTTGTTGATTCTTGTTGACCTAGTCAATTTTAGAAAACATTCAATGTTGAAAAGACTACATATTCCCTGTTGGGTACAGAGATTTTTAGTTGATCAATTATATTTTGACATTCAAAAATTCTGTAATTTTACTAATTTTTAATGTGCTTGGTATATTAATTTCTGACAAGTGTTCAAAAATATGCCACCATGATTTGGGATTTGTAATATTTATTTTTAATTCTGAGAGTTTTCATTTAATGAAATGTCAGGACTTTTATAGGTTAATATTTGTATTAGTTCATTCTCATACTGCTAAAAAGAACTACCTTAGACTGGGTAATTTAAGAAAAAAGAAGTTTAATTGACTCAGTTTCACAGGCTTAACAGGAAGCATGACTAGGAGGCCTCAGGAAACTTACAATCATGGTGGAAGGTGAAGGAGAAGCAAGAAACTTCTTCACATTGCAGCAGGAGAGAGCACAAGTGAGGGGGGAAGTGCCACACACTTTTAAACCATCAGATCTCCTGAGAACTCACTATCACCAGAACAGCATGGGGAAAATCACCCCCATGATCCAATCACCTCCAACCAGGTTTCTCCCCCAACATTGGGAATTACAAGTTAACATGGGATTTGAGTAGAGATACAGAGAAAAACCACATCAATATTAAATGCTTGTTGTATCTTCCTGTTAGATTATTCCTTTTATTATATAGTACTTAATTTCCCATGATGTTTGTGCATTTAATTCAATTATATTTGATGTTGAGTTGTTATACCAGCTTTATTTTGGTCAATAAATATCTGAAATATCTTTTTTTGTAACTTTATTCTCTGTGACTTTATCATGTGTCACTTTTAGTAGCTTACAGCGGTATTATTTTTTTCTTAGATCCCAATCAGATCATCTCTGTTATTTAATAGATAGCAATATTTCATTTACATTTATTACTATTAATATTTTAGACTTTTAAATCTAATTTTATTTTCACTTTTGTTTAAAAAAATCTTTATTTTTGTCTCTCTGTTTATCTTTTTCTGCTGCTTTGTTAACTCTTTTCCTAATTTGTTACGGATTGATAACATTAAATTTTTTTTCTTTCCCGTTTTTTTTGTTTTCAAGTAATATATTTCTATATTTTTAATGGTTAGCCTTGTATTTTAAACTTTCATGTTTAACTAGAACACTGAAAAGTAAATGTATAGTTATTAAATATTCATATCCTCTTCCTGAATATGACAATCTTATTTATCCTTTACTACCTATTATATATTGTGCCTCTAGATCTTGTTATTTTTCTTTAGGATGCAGGTTTTAATTTATTTTAAAACCAAAAAAGTTAATATTATATGTATTAGTTTATTAAGTTTATCAGAATATTTTATTATTGTCTGCGCTCCCCAATGTTTATTTTAAACTTTGCTTTCCTTACAGATTTACTTTTCTAATTGCTTAATTATGTCCTAATGTAATATCCTAATTCAGTTAGGAGCAGGGTAGGAATAAACACTCTTACTCTTTGTATTTCTGAAGTTGTCTTTGTTTTGCCCTCACAATTGAAGGTACAATTGAAGCTTATATCAGTCTAAATACCATTTTTCTGGAGATTCAATTAGGAATGTGCTCAAGTCTTTCAATCTCTCCTTTACATATTTTAACAACTCTTTCACATTTTTAAGGTTTCTTTCTGTAGTGCATTCTGAATGAGTTCCTCAGAACAATCTATCATTTTTCTAATTTTCACTTTGACTGTATTCAGGCTACATTCTACCCTATCTACTGAAATTAAAAACTAAATGTTTTTAAATTTTATTTTAAAGGTGTCTAGTTTAACTTTTCCAAGCTCCTTAATTTTAATCAGACTGCTTTGTAACATTATTTTATCCAGTCAATTTATATTAAATTTTTTTGCCTTTCTCTGCATTAAAATTTTTCAAGTGTTTTGCTTTGTAGGCCCTTTTTGAATGAGACTTTTTCCTTTTTGCTCTTTCTAATAGTTTGTAATTTTCTCCACCTGGAGTTTTGGACCATTTGTTCAGAACCAAGTCTTACAATGGCATTTTGGAATTCATTTTCTGTGGTTTGAATTGCAATATAATTTATAATTTTATTGTTGTGTCTGTGACCTCAGTAATCCATAGACCTGAAACTTCATTTAATTTGTAGCCTTAGACTGCCTTTGAACAACTTTATTTTCAGCCTCTTTTTACAAATACAGCAGCCCCTCCCTAGTTCTTGGCTTCAAGTAGTAAACCTGGCTCAGGTTCTCTACAATTTTGTGTGGAACACATTTTGTTTCTGTACCTTGCAGGGCCAGATGCTTCATTCCCAGAGCTTACTTCCATCACCAAATCCAACAGGCCTTTGGCGTGAACCCCTCTCTGCTTTAAGGGGGTTCTGTTTCTGATCAGCAAAGATGTTTACGTATACATACACACATATAATATTAAAAATACGCATATATAAAACACTGTATATATATGCATGTATGCAGTTACATATATATGTGAGATATACAGATATATATTTTAAATAAACCAATACATATTTTTAAAATATCTCAATGTATTTAGAATAAAAGGATTTTATAAAGCATTAGCTTACATCTTAAATTAAATTTCATTTATTATCAGTGATTTGGTTAAAGTTTAAACATGTGGAGAAAAAGTTCAAAATTAAATTACACTAACGACTTAACCCCTAAATGTTGTCATATTTCTGTCCCAATTTTTAACAGTAAGTACTACAGATGAAGCTAATATTTGCTTAAACTATGACCCCAGGTTTATATATTTTCTTTTTCTGTAAATATAGCCACTATCGTGGCTTTGTGTGTGCCTATCCATTCCATATGTATATGCATTATAAAAACAGTTTTATTTTCTGCTTTTAAGTGTACTTAAATAGTACTACACTGTTGATTTGCTTCTGTGTCTCTAGGATTTATCCTTACTGATTCCTATCAGAATCAATACCTTTATTTTTTTTAATATAATTTCACTATATTGATAAAATATATTTTTCTCTAACTTACAATAAGTCTGCTTTAATTTTTCATTATTACAACACAGGTACAATTAATATTCTTGTATGTGTGTTCTTGTGCAGATATCTGTAGCTTTTCTAGGGCATATACCTTGAAGTAGAATATCTGGATTGTAGAATATACACACTTGTAATTTTATCATGAATTGTAATTTTATCATGAATGCTCCTCTCCAAACGATAATATAAATGTGGCCTCTCACCAGTGGTAAATGAGTGTATCATATTCTCAATATTTTCCCCAATGGAGTATTGTTAGACTTTTAAAATTTTGCCAATGCTATCAGAAAACAAAACAAAACAAAACAAAACAAAACAAAACAAAAAACAAACCATTGCTTCTTTTAGTTTGCGTTTCCCTGATTATAATAGAAATTGACTTTTTTTCAAATATTTATTGCCATTTAGATTTCCTCTTCTGTGAATGGTCCACTGATTTTCTTTGCCCACATTTCATTATGTATATATTTTTAAGTCAGGAAGTGATAGATGGATGTTCTTAGTGAGATGTGGGTCCAGACAAGAGAAAAAACAAATGAGACACAGAGGAACCAGTAAGGAGATTATTCACCAATTTAGGCACGGAATGATGAAGTTATGCATATGGGTAGTGGAAATGGGTAGAAAAAAGGGTCAAATTTTGAAGTACTGTGGAGAAAGAATTATCAACCGTGGAAAATGAAGACATTAAGTATATTTTAAAATTTATGTTTTAGGGGCTGGCATCTGTGGAGGTGGAACAAGATGGTGAACTAGAAAGCTCCACCACTCACCCCTCCTCCTCTCCCCTGCAGGGAGTTTTTGACACCAAGTCAACAAGTATCTACACAGAAAAAAACAGCTTCATAAGAACAAGAAATCAAGTGAACACTCATAGTACGTGGTTTTAACTTCATATCACTTAAAAAGGAACTGAAGACATAGAAGAAACAATCCTGAATCACTGCTGCTGGTCTCACTCATCTCCAGCAGTAACAGTGTGGTCCTGAGAGCATCTCTGTGGGCTGGGGGAGGAGAACACAGCAATTGTGAGGCACTGAGCTCAGTGCTGTCCTGTTAGAGCAGGAAGGAAAACCAGACCAAACTCAGTGGATGCTCGCCCACAGAGGGAGCATTTAAACCAGCCCTAGCCAGAGGGGAATCGCCAGTCCCAGTGGTCTGAACTTGAGTGCCTGCAAACCTCCTCACCCACAGCCAAAGTACTCTGGGTCTCTAAGTAAACTTGAAAGGCAGTCTAGGAGAGTCCTAGGGCTGAACGAGGCCCAGAGACAGTGGACTGGGGAAGCATGCAACATACTGAGACACAAGCTGGGGAAGCCAAGAGAATGCTGGCATCACCCCTCCTCTAACCCCAGGCTGCACATCTAGTGGCTTCAAAAGAGACCCCCTTCCTTCTGCTTGAGAAGAGAAGAGGGAAGAGTGGGAGGACTTTGTCTTGTGGTTTGGATGCCAGCTCAGCTGCAATACAATAGAATCCCAGGTGGACTTCTAAGATTTTGACTGTAGTCCCTCACTTCAGGATGGTACTTCTGGACCCACTTGAGCCTGTAAGACCTCAATGCCTTGAAGGGAAGGATACAGGCCTGGATGACTTTGCCACCTGCTAATTGTAGAGTCTCAGGGCCTTGATCAGAAAGGTCTGACCCAGCAAGGTCCTAGTAGTGGTGGCCACAGGGATGACTGTGTCACTCCATGCCCAGCTTTAGGTGGCTCAGAACAGAGAGAGGGAGACTCTGTATGTTTGGGAGAAAGTAAAAGAAGAGAACACGATTCTCAGCCTGGTAATCCAGAGAATTCTCCTGGATTTTTTCCAAGACCATCAAGGTGGTACCTCTACAAGTCTGCAAGAACCACAGTGTTACTGTGCTTGGGGTGTCCCTAAAGCCGAAACAGCTTAGATCAGGGCACCTAAGTCCTTTCAAATGTCTAGAAAGCCTTTCCAAGAAGGACGGCTACAAATAAGCCCAGACAGTGAAGACTACACTAAATGCCTAACTCCTCAATGCCAGACTAAGAATAAAAGAGAGAAGATCAAAATACATACAATCAGAAATGAAAAAGAGGAGGCATTACAACTGATACTACAGAAACTCAAAGGATCATTAGTGGCTACTGTGAGCAACTATATGCCAATAAATTGGAAAATCTAGAAGAAATGGACAAATTCCTAGATACATACAACATACCAATATTGAACCAGGAAGAAATCCAAAACCTGAACAGACCAATAACAAGTAACAAGATTGAAGCTGTAATAAAAATTCTCCCAGTAAAGAAAAGCCTGGGACCTGATGGCTTCACTGCTGAATTCTACCAAACATTTAAAGAAAAACTAATGCCAATCTTACACAATATATTCCAAAAAATAGAGAAGGGAGTATGTCCAAACTTATTTTACAAGTCCAGTATTACCCTGATACCCAAACCAGACAAAAACAGAAAAAAAAAAACCCTACAGGCCAATATCTCTGATGAATATTGATGCAAAAATTTTCAACAAAATAATAGCAAACAGAATTGAACAATACATCAGAAAGATCATTCATTATGATCAAATAGGACGTATCTGTGGGATGCAAAAATGGGTCAATATATTCAAATCAATCAATGTGATACATCACAGCAACAAAATGAAGGATAAAAACTATATAATCATTTCAGTTGATGCTGAAAAAGCATTTTTAAAAATTCAACATCCCTTCATGATAGTAACTCTAAAAAAACTGGGGATAGAAGGAACATACCTCAACATAATAAAAACCATATATGATACACCCACAGCTAGTATCATACTGAATGGAGAAAAACTGAAAACCTTTCCTCTAACATTGAGAACACAACAAGGATGCCCACTATGTTAGTCAGCATAGTACCAGAAGTCCTAGCTAGAGAAATAAAAGAAGAGAAAGATAAAAAGAGCATCTAAATTGGAAAGGAAGAAGTGAAATTATTCTTGTTTGCAGGTATGATCTTATATTTATTTATTTTTATTATACTTTAAGATTTAGGGTACATGTGCACAATGTGCAGGTTTGTTACATATGTATACATGTGCCACGTTGGTGTGCTGCACTCATTAACTCGTCATTTAACATTAGGTATATCTCCTAATGCTATCCCTCCCCCCTCACCCCAACCCACAACAGGCCCCGGTGTGTGATATTCCCCTTCCTGTGTCCGTGTGTTCTCATTGTTCAATTCCCACCTATGAGTGAGAACATGCAGTGTTTGGTTTTTTTGTCCTTGTGATAGTTTGCTGAGAATGATGGTTTCCAGCTTCATCCATGTCCCTACAAAGGAAATGAACTCATCCTTTTTTATGGCTGCATAGTATTCCATGGTGTATATGTGCCACATTTTCTTAATCCAGTCTATCATTGTTGGACATTTGGGTTGGCTCCAAGTCTTTGCTATTGTGAATAGTGTTGCAATAAACATATGTGTGCATGTGTCTTTATAGCAGCATGATTTATAGTCCTTTGGGTATATACCCAGTAATGGGATGGCTGGGTCAAATGGTATTTCTAGTTCTAGATCCCTGAGGAATGGCCACACTGACTTCCACAAGGGTTGAACTAGTTTACAGTCCCACCAACAGTGTAAAAGTGTTCCTATTTCTCCACATCCTCTGCAGCACCTGTTGTTTCCTGACTTTTTAATGATTGCCATTCTAACTGGTATGAGATGGTATCTCATTGTGGTTTTGATTTGCATTTCTCTGATGGCCAGTGATGATGAGCATTTTTTCATTTGTCTGTTGGCTGCATAAATGTCTTCTTTTGAGAAGTGTCTGTTCATATCCTTCGCCCACTTTTTGATGGGTTTGTTTGTTTTTTTCTTGTAAATTTGTTTGAGTTCATTGTAGATTCTGGGTATTAGCCCTTTGTCAGATGAGTAGATTGCAAAAATTTTCTCCCATTCTGTAGGTTGCCTGCTCACTCTGATGGTAGTTTCTTTTGCTGTGCAGAAGCTCTTTAGTTTAATTAGATCCCATTTATCAATTTTGGCTTTTGTTGCCATTGCTTTTGGTGTTTTAGACATGAAGTCCTTGCCCATGCCTATGTCCCGAATGGTAGTGCCTAGGTTTTCTTCTAGGGTTTTTATGGTTTAGGTCTAACATTTAAGTCTTTAATCCATCTTGAATTAATTTTTGTATAAGGTATAAGGAAGGGATCCAGTTTCAGCTTTCTAAATATTGCTAGCCAGTTTTCCCAGAACCATTTATTAAATATGGAATCCTTTCCCCATTGCTTGTTTTTGTCAGGTTTGTCAAAGATCAGATAGTTGTAGATATGTGGCATTATTTTTGAGGGTTCTGTTCTGTTCCATTGGTCTATATCTCTGTTTTGGTACCAGTACCATGCTGTTTTGATTACTGTAGCCTTGCAGTATAGTTTGAAGTCAGGTAGTGTGATGCCTCCAGCTTTGTTCTTTTGGCTTAGGATTGACTTGGCAATGTGGGCTCTTTTTTGGTTCCATATGAACTTTAAAGTAGTTTTTTCCAATTCAGTGAAGAAATTCTTTGGTAGCTTGATGGGGATGGCATTGAATCTATAAATTACCTTGGGCAGTATGGCCATATTCATGATATTGATTCTTCCTATCCATGAGCATGGAATGTTCTTCCATTTGTTTGTATTCTCTTTTATTTCATTGAGCAGTGGTTTGTAGTTCTCCTTGAAGAGGTCCTTCACATCCCTTGTAAGTTGCGTTCCTAGGTATAGAAGCCCATTCTTATTCTCTTTGAAGCAATTGTGAATGGGAGCTCACTCATGATTTGGCTCTCTGTTTGACTGCTATTGGTGTATAAGAATGCTTGTGAGTTTTGCACATTCATTTTGTATCATGAGACTTTGCTGAAGTTGCTTATCAGCTTAAGGAGATTTTGGGCTGAGATGATGGGCTTTTCTAGATATACAATCATGTCATCTGCAAACAGGGACAATTTGACTTCATCTTTTCCTAATTGAATACCCTTTAATTCCTTCTCCTGCCTAATTGCCCTGGCCAGAACTTCCAACACTATGTTGAATAGGAGTGGTGAGAGAGGGCATCCCTGTCTTGTGCCAGTTTTCAAAGGGAATGCTTCCAGTTTTTGCCCATTCAGTATGATATTGGCTGTGGGTTTGTCGTAGATAGCTCTTATTATTTTGAGATATGTCTCATCAATACCTAATTTATTGAGAGTTTTTAGCATGGAGGGCTGTTGAATTTTGTCAAAGGCCTTTTCTGCATCTATTGAGATAATCATGTGGTTTTTGTCGTTGGTTCTGTTTATACACTGGATTACGTTTATTGATTTGCATAAGTTGAACCAGCCTTGCATCCCAGGGATGAAACCCACTTGATCATGGTGGATAAGCTTTTTGATATGTTGCTGGATTTGGTTTGCCAGTATTTTATTGAGGATTTTTGCATTGATGTTCATCAGGGATATTGGTCTAAAATTCTCTTTTTTTGTTGTGTCTCTGCCAGGCTTTGGTATCAGGATGATGCTAGCCTCATAAAATGAGTTAGGGAGGATTCTCTATTTTTCTATTGATTGGAATAGTTTCAGAAGGAATGGTACCAGCTCCTCCTTGTACCTCTGGTAGAATTCAGCTGTGAATCCATCTGGTCCTGGACTTTTTTTGCTTGGTAAGCTATTAATTATTGCCTCAATTTCAGATCCTGTTATTGGTCTATTCAGAGATTCAACTTCTTCCTGGTTTAGTCTTGGGAGGGTGTATGTGTCCAGGAATTTATCCATTTCTTCTAGATTTTCTAGTTTATTTGCATAGAGGTGTGTTTATAGTAGTCTCTGATGGTAGTTTGTATTTCTGTGGGATCGGTGGTGATATCCCTTTTATCATTTTTTATTGTGTCTATTTGATTTTTCTCTCTTTTCTTCTTTATTAGTCTTGCTAGAAGTCTATCAATTTTGTTGATCTTTTCAAAAAACCAGCTCCTGGATTCATTGATTTTTTGAAGGGTTTTTTGTGTCCCTATTTCCTTCAGTTCTGCTCTGATCTTAGTTATTTCTTGCCTTCTGCTAGCTTTTGAATGTGTTTGCTCTTGCTTCTCTAGTTCTTTTAATTGTGATGTTATTGTGTCAATTTTAGATCTTTCCTGCTTTCTCTTGTCGGCATTTAGTGCTATAAATTTCCCTCTACGCACTGCTTTAAATGTGTCCCAGAGATTGTGGTATGTTGCATCTTTGTTGTGGTTGGTTTCAAAGAACATCTTTATTTATGCCTTCATTTCGTTATGTACCCAGTAGTCATTCAGGAGTAGGTTGTTCAGTTTCCATGTAGTTGAGCGGTTTTGAGTGAGTTTCTTAATCCTGAGTTCTAGTTTGATTGCACTGTGGTCTGAAAGACAGTTTGTTATAATTTCTGCTCTTTTACATTTGCTGAGGAGTGCTTTACTTCCAACTATGTGGTCAATTTTGGAATAGGTGTGGTGTGGTGCTGAGAAGAATGTAAATTCTGTTGATTTGGGGTGGAGAGTTCTGTAGGTGTCTAGTAGGTCCACTTGGAGCAGAGCTGAGTTCAGTTTCTGGATATCCTGTTAACTTTTTGTCTCGTTGATCTGTTTAATGTTGACAGTGGGGTGTTAAAGTCTCCCAATATTAATGTGTGGGAGTCTAAGTCTCTTTGTAGGTCACTCAGGACTTGCTTTATGAATCTGGGTGCTCCTGTATTGGGTGCATATATATTTAGGATAGGTAGCTCTTCTTGTTGAATTGATCCCTTTACCGTTATGTAATGGCCTTCTTTGTCTCTTTTGATTTTTTTTGGTTTAAAGTCTGTTTTATCAGAGAGTAGGATTGCAACCCCTGCCTTTTTTTGTTTTCCATTTGCTTGGTAGATCTTCCTCCATCCTTTTATTTTGAGCCTATGTGTGTCTCTGCATGTGAGATGGGTTTCCTGAATACAGCACACTGATGGGTCTTGACTCTTTATCCAATTTGCCAGTCTGCATCTTTTAATTGGAGCATTTAGCCCATTTAAATTTAAGGTTAATATTGTTATGTGTGAATTTGATCCTGTCATTAAGATGTTAGCTGGTTATTTTGCTTGATAGTTGATGCAGTTTCTTCCTAGCCTTGATGGTCTTTACAATTTGGCATGTTTTTGCAGGGGCTGGTACCGGTTGTTCCTTTCCATGTCTAGTGCTTCCTTCAGGAGCTCTCTTAGGGCAGGCCTGGTGTTGACAAAATCTCTCAGCATTTGCTTGTCTGTAAAGGATTTTATTTCTCCTTCACTTATGAAGCTTAGTTTGGGTGGATATGAAATTCTGGATCGAAAATTCTTTTCTTTAAGAATGTTGAATATTGGCCCCCAATTTCTTCTGGCTTGTAGAGTTTCTGCTGAGAGATCAGCTGTTAGTCTGATGGGCTTCCCTTTGTGGGTAACCTGACCTTTCTCTCTGGCTGCCCTTAACATTTTTTCCCTCATTTTGACTTTGGTGAATCTGACAATTATGTGTCGTGGAGTTGCTCTTCTCGAGGAGTATCTTTATCATGTTCTCTGTATTTCCTGAATTTGAATGTTGGCCTGCCTTTCTAGATTGGGGAAGTTCTCCTGGATAATATCCTGCAGAGTGTTTTCCAACTTGGTTCCATTCTCCCCGTCACTTTCAGGTACACCAATCAGACGTAGATTTGGTCTTTTCACATATTCCCATATTGGAGGCTTTGTTCATTTCTTTTTATTCTTTTTTCTCTAAGCTTCTCTTCTCACTTCATTTCATTCATTTGATCTTCAATCACTGATACCCTTTCTTCCAGTTGATCAAATCAGCTACTGAGGCTTGTGCATTAATCACGTAGTTCTCGTGTCATGGTTTTCAGCTCCATCAGGTCCTTTAAGGACTTCTCTGCATTGGTTATTCTAGCTAGCCATTCGTCTAATCTTTTTTCAAGGTTTTTAACTTCTTTGTCGTGGGTTCGAACTTCCTCCTTTAGCTCGGAGTAGTTTGATCATCTGAAGCCTTCTTCTCTCAACTCATCAAAGTCATTCTCCCTCCAGCTTTGTTCCATTTGCTGGTGAGGAGCTGCGTTCCTTTGGAGGATCAGAGGCACTCTGATTTTTAGGATTTTCAGTTTTTCTGCTCTGTTTTTTCCCCATCTTCATGGTTTTATCTACCTTTAGTCTTTGATGATGGTGACATACAGATGGGGTTTTGGTGTGGATGTCCTTTCTGTTTGTTAGTTTTCCTTCTAACAGACAGGACCCTCAGCTGCAGGTCTGTTGGAGTTTGCCAGAGGTCCATTCCAGACCCTGTTTGCCTGGGTATCAGCAGTGGAGGCTGCAGAACAGCAGATATTGGTGAACAGCAAATGTTGCTGCTTGATCGCTCCTCTGGAAGTTTTGTCTCAGAGGAGTACCTGGCCGTGTGAGGTGTCAGTCTGCCCCCACTGGGGGGTGCCTCCCAGTTAGGCTACTTGGGGGTCAGGGATGGTAAGATCTTATATTTGATAAAACCCGAAGACTCCACAGAAAACTATTAGAACTGATAAACAAATTCAGTAGAGTTGCAGGATACAAAATCTACATACAAAATCAGTAGCATTTCTACATGCAAACAGTGAACAATGTGAAAAAGAATTTAAAAAGTAATCCCACTTACAGTAGCCACAAATAAAATTAAATATCTAGGAATTAACTTACCCAAAGAAGTGAAAGATCTCTATAATGAAAATTATAAAACACTGGTGAATGAAATTGAAGAGAACACCAGAAAAAAAAAAAAGAAGGAACATATTACTATTTATGGATTGGAAGAATTAATATTGTTAAAATGTTTATACTACCCAAGCAATCTACAGATTCAATGCAGTCCCTCTCAAAATACCAATGAAATTAATAACAGAAGAAAAGAAATATTAAAATTTATATGGAACCACAAAAGACCCAGAATAGCCAAAACTCTCCCAAGCAAAAAGAAAAAAAGAAGTGGAGGAATCACATTACCTGACTTCAATTTATACTACAGAGCTTTAGTAACCGAAACAGTGTAGTACTGGCCTAAAAACAGACACAAAGACCAATGGAACAGAACAGAGAACCCAGAAACAAATACATACAGCTACAATAAATGCATTTTTGACAGAGGCATGAAGAACTTACTCTGTGGAAAAGACAGACTCCTCAATAAATTGTGCTGGGAAAACTGGATATTCATCTGTAGAGGAGTGAAACTAGAGCCCTATCTCTCAACATATACAAAAATCAAATAAAAATGGATTAAAGACCTAAATCTAAGACCTCAAATTATGAAACTACTACAAGAAAGCATTGGAGAAAACCTCCAGGGGGAGGGAGAGCATCAGCAAAAATAGCTAATGCATGCTGGGATTAATACTTAGGTGATGGGTTGATAGGTGCAGCACACCACTGTGGCACATATTTGCCTATGTAACAAACCTGCACATCCTGCACATGTACCCTGGAACTTAAAATAAAACAAAACAAAAAGTAGGCTAAGGATGTGAATAGACAATTCTTAAAGAAGATATACAAATGGTCAACGTTACTAGTTATCAGGGAAATGCAAAACCAAAACCACAATGCAATAACACCTTACTCCTGAAAGAATGGCCATAATAAAAAAATCAAAAAATAATAGATGTTGTTGTGGATGTGGTAAAAAGGGAATACTTTTTCACGGTTGGTAGGAATGTAAAGTAGTACAACCACTATGGAAATCAGTGTGGTGATTCCTTAAAGAACTAAGAGTAGATCTATCATTTGATACAGCAATCCCACTCCTGCGTATCTACCCAGAGGAAAAGAAGTCACGGTATGAAAAAGATACGTGCACACGCATGTTTATGGCAGCACAATTCACAATTGCAGAAATATGAAACCAGCCCAAACGTCCATCAATCAACAAGTGGATAAAGAAAATGTGGTATATATATATACCATGGACTACCACTCAGCCATAAAAAGGAATGAAATAATGACATGCACAGTAACCTGGATGGAATTGGAGACCATTATTGTAAGTGAAGTAACTCATGAATGAAAAACCAAACATCATATGTTGTCATTAATAATTGGGAGCTAAGCTATGAGATGCAAAGGCATTAGAATGATATAATGGACTTTGGGGACTCAGGGGAAAGGGCGGGAGAGGGTGAGGGATAAAAAACTACACGTTGGGTGCAACATATACTGCTCGGTTGATGGGTACACCAAAATATTACAAATCACCACTAAAGAACTTATTCGTGTAACCAAATACCACCTGTTCCCCCAAAAAACTATCGAAATAAAAAAAAGATTGATAAAAAAAGAGAATCATCATTAAAAATTTATATTAGAATACACACTCACAGGTTGGTAGATGATATGGAGAAGTACATGATGCTAATCAAAGAGAAAGAAGAGAAGGAATTTGTAGTCTCAGAGAATGAGATAAGGATAGAACATCTGTATTTCAGATGTAAGAAATAAACTAGGAAAACAGGGGATTAATCAAGCTCCAACAGCACCCGGTGCTCATTTCTTCTTGTGCCTAGTTCTTACTATCTTCTCTCGCTGTGCTTAACTTTTGCTGTACTCTAGTGAAATGACACTAGTGAACCTATAATTGTCTCCCCCTTAACAAAAATATAAAAACCAGAACACTAATAAAACCTTGAAAAACATTGGTGGAACATAAAAAAGGGAAAAAAGGAGGAAAGAGAGGGAGAGTTTAATAGTGCCAAATGGCTTTATTTAATTTTAGGGTTTATATAGTACCTTGTTTCAGAAATAATTTAGAGTAGCACAGAGTTGAATATTAGAATGGCTGAAGAGGATGGAGAAGGGGAAGCAATAAATTAAGAGACCACAGTTCTTTATAGCTGTATCAGGTAAAATTTATGGCTTTAAAAGGGGAGGGATTTAGAATATGAGAATATATGTACATTATACAACCCTTGTAAAGAATGCATTCACAAAAATTATTGCATTTTTATTTAAATAGACTACCATGAACCATAAATACTCTACTAGAAACCAAGATATTTAGATTGTGGTTTTTGGGTTGTAACAAACTGTACACTAGAGCAAGAAACAAGCCTTTCTGTTGTCAGAGTTATTGTTTATGAAATAAGGAGTTTGGAATATAGAATTTTGAAGATTGCTTACTGCTGTGAAATTGTATGATTCTGACTGCAGGTATGGACTGATTTAAAGCCTGATTGTAGTAAGTGACCTTTGAAGCTTTTTTTTTTTTTAAATAATGTATCCAAATAAAGTCAATATAATATAGTGACAAGCATTTTCTACCATTTTCTTTTAGGGAATACTGAAGCCCTGCCACTTATTTGCTAAGTTGTTTTCTTCTATTCCCCTCATTAGATATTCTCCCACTTTTTATCTCCCCTTTGCAGCAAACATTTTGAAAGATTCCTTGATTTTCAGTGTCTCCAATGTCTTTAAATTTCCACCTCTTTGTTCTCTCTTAAACTCATTCCAGTCAAGCTTATACTGCCCTAATCCTCTAAAACTGCTCTTGCCAACATCACCAATGATCTCTGACTGTTAAATGCGGAGGTCAACTTCCAGTTCTTATCTTATGTAACCTATCACAGTGATCACTCCTTTTTGTGTGTGTGTGTGTGTTTTTGAGATGGAGTCTCGTGCTGTCACCCAGGTTGGAGTGCAGTGGCGTGATCTTGGCTCACTGCAACCTCTGCCTCCTGGGTTCATGCCATTCTCCTGCCTCAGCCTCCTGAGTAGCTGGGACTACAGGTGCCCACCACCATGCCCAGCTAATTTTTTGTATTTTTAGTACAGACAGGGTTTCACCATGTTAGCCAGGATGGTCTCGATCTCCTGACCTCATGATCTGCCTTCTTTGGCCTCCTAAAGTGCTGGGATTACAGATCACTCCTTCTTAACATACTTTCTTCACTTAACTTCCAGTTCCCAACATAGTCTTGGATTTTTTTCTATGTCACTGATTGCTTCTTCAAAGATTCCATCACAGTTTTTCCTCTTCTTCCTATCTCTTAATGCTGTAACACTTCAGTGTATCTCTTTGGTCCTCCTCTTTTCTCCATTTAAATTGACTTTTTATGTAGTATTATTCAATCCTGTTAAAAAATTACCATCTGTGTGCTGAAAACCCCTACATTTTTATCTCCAGGCCAAATTTCACTGTAAAATACCAGATTTATATACACATTTGCCTACCTGGCATCTCAAGTTGTATGTCTAATGGACATCTGTATTAGTCTGTTTTCATGCTGCTGAAAAAGACATACCCAAGACTGGGTAGTTTATAAAGAAAAAAAGGTTTATTGAACTTGCAGTTCCACATGGCTTGAGAGAACTCACAATCATGGTAGAAGGTGACACATCTTACATGGTGGCAGGTAAGAGAGAATGATGATCAAGCAAAAGAAGAAACCCGATCTAAAACCATCAGATCTTTTTTTTTTTTTTTTTGAGATGGAGTCTTGCTCTGTTGCCCAGGCTAGAGTGCAGTGGCGCAATCTTGGCTCAAGGCAAGCTCCGCCTCCCAGGTTCACGCCATTCTCCTGCCTCAGCCTCCTGAGCAGCTGGGACTACAGGCACCCACCACCACGCCTGGCAAATTTTTTTGTATTTTTAGTAGAGACGGGGTTTTACCGTGTTAGCCAGGATAGTCTCTATCTCCTGACCTTGTGATCCACTGGCCTCGGCCTCCCAAAGTCCTGGGATTACAGGCATGAGCCATCGCACCCAGCCTATAACCATCAGAGCTTGTGAGACTTATTCTCTACCATGAGAACAGTATGGGGGAAACCATTCCCATGATTCAATTATCTCCCACTGGGTTCCTCTCACAACATGTGGGAATTATGGGAGCTACAATTCAAGATGAGACTTGGGTGGGGAAACAGCCAAACCATATCATTTTGCCCCAGCCCCTCCCATATCTCATGACCTCACATTTCCATATCAATCATGCCTTCCCAATAGCCCACCGAAGTCTTAACTCATTTCAGCATTAACTCAAAAGTCCACACTCCAAAGTCTCATCTGAGACAAGGCAAGTCCCTTCGGACTGTGAGCTTGTAAAATCAAAAGCAAGTTATTTACTTCCTAGATACAATAGGGGTACAGGCATTGGAGAAATGCAGCTATTCCGAATGGGAGAAATTGGTTAAAACAAAAGGGCTACAGCACCCATGCAAGTTCAAAGTCCACAAGGGCATTCAAATCTTACAGCTCCAAATGATCTCCTTTGACTTTATGTCTCACATTCAGGTCACACTGATGCAAGAGTTGGGTTCCTATGATTTTGGATAGCTCTTCCTCTGTGGCTTTGCAGGGTATAGCCTCCCTCCTGGCTGCATTCATAGGCTGGTGTTGAGTGTCTGTGGAAAGCCACATGGTGCAAGCTGCCAGTGCATCTACCATTCCAGGGTTTGGAGGAAAATGGCACTCTTCTCACATCTCCACTAGGCAGTACCCCCAGTGGGGATTCTTTGAGGGGGCTTCAACCCCACATTCCCCTTCCACACTGCCCTAGCAGAGGTTCTCCATGAGGGCTACACACCTGTAGCAAACTTCTGCCTGTACATCCAGGTGTTTCCATACAGACTCTGAAATCTAGGTGGAGGTTCCCAAACCTCAATTCTTGTCATCTCTGTACCCACAGGCTCAAACTAAGTGGAAGCTGCTAAGGCTTTGTGCTTGCACCCTCTGAAGCCATGGCCTGAGCTATACCATGGCCCCTTTTAGCCATGGTACCTGGCTCTGGATTCTAAGCCCACCTTTCCACCTTTGCACTCCTGATACCCTTTTAGCCTTTAGCTTGGCCCCTGGAGCAGCTGGGAGGCAGGGCACCAAGGCCGTAGGCTGCACACAGCAGGGGTGTCCTGGGCCTGCCCCAGGAAACCATTTTTTCCTCCTAGGCTCTGGGCCTGTGGTGGGAGAAACTGCTGCAAAGGTCTCTGACATGAGCTCTGACATGTCTCCAGGAGCCATTTTCTCCATTGTCTTGGGGTTTAATATTTGGCTTCTGGTTACTTATGAAATTTCTGCAGCTGGCTTGAATTTCTCCTCAGAAAATGGGTTTTTCTTTTCTATCACATAGTCAAGCTATAAATTTTTCAAACTTTTATGCTCTATTTCCCTTTTAAAATTGAATGCTTTTAACAGCACCCAAGTCACCTCTTGAATGCTTTGCTGCTTAGAAATTTCTTCTGCCAGATACCCTAAATCATCTCCCTCAAGTTCAAAGTTCCACAAATCTCTAGGGCAGGGGCAAAATGCTGCCCGTCTCTTTGCTAAGACATAGCAAGAGTTGCCTTTACTCCAGTTTCCAACAGTTTCCTCATCTTGATCTGAGACCTCCTCAGCCTGGACCTTATTGTCCATATTACCGTGAGTATTTTGGTCAAAGCCATTCAGCAGGTCTCTAGGAAGTTCCAAACTTTCCCATGTCTTCCTATGTTCTGAGCCCTCCAAGTTTCTAGGAAGTTTCAAACTTTTCCATATTTTCCTATCTTCTTCTGAGCCCTCCAAACTGTTCCAACCTCTGCTTGTTACCCAGTTCCAAAGTTGCTTCCACATTTTCAGGTATCTTTACAGCAGTGCCCCACTCTACCAGTACCAATTTACTGTGTTAGTGTGTTTTAACACTGCTGAATAGTGCTTTCACACTGCTGATAAAGACATACCTGAGACTCAGTAATTTATATAGAAAAAGAGTTTTAATGGACTTACAGTTCCATTGTGGCTTGGGAGGCCTCACAATCATGGCAGAAGGTGAAAACATGTCTTACATGGCAGCAGACAAGAGAGAATGAGAACCAAGCAAAAGGGGTTTCCCCTTGTAAAACCATCAGATCACATGAGACTCACTATCATGAGAACAGTATGGGGGAAACCACCCCCATGATTAAATTATCTTTCACTGGGTCCCTCCCACAACACGTGGAAATTATGGGAGCTACAATTCAAGATGAGATTTGGGTGGGGACACATCCAAACATTATCAACATCTGACACCCAACATGTCTAAAAATGAACTTTTGTTTCTTCCCTTCATATCTGTTCTGTTGACAGCCTTCCTTATTTTGGCTGATAGCAGCTTTAGAACCTTAGCACCATCCTTGAACCCTCTCCTTCTTTCATACTCTATAGACATTTCTCAGGAAATTCTGTTGGGACAAGCCTCAAAACATGTGTAACATGACCACTTCTTACCACTTCCTTTTCTATCTCAATGGTCTCAGCTATCATCATCTCTAACTTGGATAATTACAATGCCTTCCCAACTGCATTTCTTGCTTCCATCTTTGTCCCTCTACATTCATGATTTATATAATTTGAAAGAGTAAGGCAAGTAAAAAAAGTAACTTTTTGCTCAAAATCCTCTCATGGATCCCCATTTCACTCAGACAAAGCCAAAGTTATTAAAAGTACTACAAAGCACTATATGAGCAGACTCTCCATTATTTCTTCAACCTTATCATCTAGTGTGTTTGTCACTGGTCATACTGCCATAGTTATATTGGCCCTCATAATTTTCTTCTAGCCTATCAGCATGTTCCTACCTTTGGAACTCTACCATAGTCTAAAATACTTTCTCTCCAATAACTGCATAGCTAACATTTACCACTTTGAATGTCATCTTCACAATGAGGCTCACCCTAATGATTCTAAGCCTACCTTTTCACCCTTGCACTCTTGATACCCCTTAACATGGTTTGCTTTTTCTTTTTCCTTGCATAGCACTTATTGCTTTCTAAAATACTACATAATTTACTTAGTGCCTTATAACATAATACATAATTTATATACTATATATTTGTTATGCTTATTGTCTGTTTCCTTCCTCTAGAATGCAAGGGCCTGGTATAAATATTTGTTGAATAAATAAATAATGTATAAAATAGATGTGATGTTTTCTAATGTATAAACTAAAGATTTGGAAAGCAAAATAGAATTTTCATAAAGACATTTAAAACTTATCTTAAAGACCTCCCCCTAAGACATGTACTTCTCTTTGAAAGAGAAATCAATGTTAATGCATAAATACAGATTACTTAATTTTCATTTTATGATGTTATATTTTACGAGTTGATATTTTGCATTATTTTACATCTTTGTAGTGACAGTCAAAAATATGTAATTTACATTTACTGTTTGTCTGCTTTCTGTGACCTCATTCATGTTATTCCTTTCTTCTCTATTTTATTTCGTAAATACATGAGCACCAATTACGCACTGACTATGGACTAAGCACAGTGCTAGGCTCAAGGAACACTGCTAGGTACTGGAATGTTGATAAGCATCTGGGAAAAACATCCCTTTTCATAAATTCAGCAGGCTGGCAATAAATTTCCCCAGCAAATGCTTGTGTAAAGAGAATCCCTGAAAGAAGTGACGCTGCCTGTCTGGGGGATCAGTGATGCTTTAGACAAGATACATAAGGTTTAGGTATTCTATGTTGCACTATTGTTTTGATGCTGTAACAAGCTACAGATGGTAAACTGTGAAAGACTGTTTTCTAAATAACTCTCATACCTCTGTATATATAGTTGAGTGTAGGCAAACACACACAGAGAAGCAATCTTAATTACCAATGCACTATGTTCAGATCTGGGTCCAGGAATGGACTAATTATAACTGCAAAAAAAAAACCCAAATAGAACAAAAATGTAAGAAATACTTTCTTTAACATCGCCCTCTGTTTTGGCCAGAGACATAAATTAATAGATAAATCCAAAATGTATACTTTTTTATTAATGTAACATTAGTTTTTCTTTGCTCCTGTAAATGAATGAACAAGAAACATCTTAAAACTATAATTTTGAATTGGCACTGGGATAGGGAGAATAATTGCCCAAATATGTTCACATCTTAATTTCCAGAACCTGTGAATATGTTACATCACATGGCAAATGGGACTTTGCAGATGTTATTAATGTTACAGACTACAAAATAGAGAGATTTTCCTATATTATCTAGCCAGCCTCAATCTAATCAGATGAGTCCTTAAAACGGAGAAGCTTGTCTGGCTAGAAGGAAAAGAAAAGTGCAGCACAAGAGGAAGAAAAGAAATGGCAGAAGTACAAATCATAAGAGCTCCCAAGTGTGAGAAGGATTTAACATGCTTTGCTGGTCTGAGATTCAGAGACCACATGCAAGTCTCAGAGAGAGACTTCTAAAAGCTAACAGTAATCTCTGGCTGACAGTCGGCAAGGGAACAAGGACCTCAGTCCCAATCTGAAAGGAGCTGACTTCTACCAGCAACCTAAATGAGCTTTGAATGGGACTACTTATTTCTCTCTTCTCCTGATAATAGCTCACCTAGCCAACATCTTGATTTAAACCTTGTGAAACATGGAGCAAAGAAACTAGTTACTTGTGTTGTTACATTTGTGTTGTTTTAAGCTGCTAATATAGACATCCATTAATTAAAATTTCCAAGGCACCCAGCTTGGTTGAATTATGAAAATTCAATTTGCTCTCAGTTTCTGAAGTCTTATAATCCATTTACCATAGAGATACAGGCTTATTGAATGTCCATATCTCCACATGTGCTCATAAAGCTTCAGTTTAACCTACAGCATGGCTTAAGTAGAGCATTTATATTTTAACCATGCCTATCCATCCTGTATACCATGATTTCTGTCAATAAATTTATCCCAGCTCCTAATACATCTTTATTTTACTCTGAAGAGCAACAGTTTTCCTGAAAGAGGCATTGGCGAGAAGGAGCTCCATTACTACTATGCTGGGGTAGTAATTCCTGGTTACAAAAAGGATCTCCTGAGAAAATATACTTTCTTGGCATTCTAAATGTCCAATTAAGAATTAAATGTCCAATAAACAGGACAACTACTTTTGCACAAGAGGTATATTCCCTTGATGGTTCACTAATCTGTTATTCATTAACTATCTATTACATGTTAGGAATTATTCTAGGAATTGAAGGGACAAAGATATAACAATCCTGGTCTGTCTGTACATTGTTACTGCCTTCATAGAGGTTATAGCCTGGGTGAAAGAGTTTATGAGCCCCTAGGGAGTGCTTATGGAAGGCTTCTCAGAGGAGGTGGCTATTCAACTCAGACTTGAAGGATGATAAGGCTATGACCCATGAGAAGAGGATTTAGGTTTGTTCTAGCTAAGGTGAGGATCATGTTCAAAGGCAAGCAGAGGAGAGGTGTTACAAGCAGCTCAGTATTTCTATAGTGTGAAGTATGAAGGGGGAAAGGGGTGGAGAAGAGAGTGGATAAGTAGGCAGATGCCAGATCATGAAGAGTCTTGTATATTATGCAAAGGGCTTGGTAGAAGTTTTGAAATTTAGAAGCTGAGTTCTCACAAGTTGAAGATTCTCTGTGTCTTTGTGTATGCACATATACACATCTGTATATAATCATGTATATGTTAGTGTGCAGACTTGATGCTCAATACATTTTTGAAAGATTGGCTGGGAACAAAAATAAGATGAAGTCTGAAAACAGAGAGGAAAAAGGAAGAAGAAAAAGTTAAGACTGGATTTGAAAGGAAAACAAAGTGCCTGATTCAGAGAAACAATGCAGGGAGAAATGGGATCAGAAGTAGACTTTGATTAAATAAACACAATACAAACCAAAAGAGAAAAGATCACAAAAGCAAATAATGAGAACTGGCTGTATATTTATCTTTTCCTGACATAGGCACAATAATTTATGTATGTGTGTGTGTCTGTGTGTGTGTGTGTGTGTGTGTGTGTGTGTATGAATTAATATGTAGTTCATATTAGACTCATTTAGTTTTGCTTTTTGGAATTTGACATTAATGTAAATACTATTCTATAAGAAACAATAGACAAGGTCAATACTAAGTCTTTTCAAGCTGTTAAGCAATCACCTCATTTTCAAATATGTAGAGTTTTATGACTTTGTTTCAATGTAAAACTTGGCTCCAATTTATTTTAACACTTAGATTTAGTATGCCAGAAAATCAAACTGTAGCTGAACAACATTAAACTGTCTGAATATGATGATTTATATCATCTGACCTAAAAGAGCAAACTAAAAACAAAAATTACAGCCAGTCAGGACAGATGCACTTATGCAAGAGTAACTAACTTCCTTTCTTATCATTCTAAAAGCAATTATTTCTTGGTGGAAAACCTGCCATTTTCTCCCTTGGGGAAGGTTCCACAAATGTAGTGGATTACCTCAGCATCCCATTCCCTGGAAAACAAAGGAGCTTTTTGTTTTCTGATCCAAAACCTGTTTACCTCTTTTGTGAAGCAAATCCTAAAACAGCTATAATTGAGACAACGGGCAGAGCAGACACAAATGACCTTGTTTCACCAGACATATATATTAAGCTTTGGAAGACAGCATATAAAAAGGTTTGTTGTTAAAAAATGTTGATTTTCTTTCCCATTATGACCTTTGGAACAGAGATTTAGAGGAGAATCTTTACCTGCTGTCACTTCCGCATTTCCTAAAGCTTCTGAGACAACTCCTACAGTTTGCTCTTAGTTTAATTTATGTCCTTTGGGGTGGACACTCACAAAAATGGGTAACTAGGTTTCCTTGGGTTCAGCTACCCAAAGCTATCTCATGTAACTCTCCCTTTTTCATAAATAAGTGATTTTAAAAATGTATCTCTTTCTAAATTTAGAATGTAGGGAACATCAGTGGAAGGAAAGAACAAGTAGGAGGAAGAGTCAGAGGAGTTTAGTTGGTTGACAAAATTGTATCATTCAAAGAAGTGGGACTATTAGCCATCCTCTCTGTGAGGCCATTTTTCTGATATCCTGATACCAAGATTTTTTTTAAAATTCTTCATTTTTTTTTAAACTTTTCTTTCTTTTCTTTTTCTTTCTTTATTTTATTTATTTGTTTATTTTGAATTGGGTCTCACTTTGTTGTTGTCCATGCTAGTTTCAAATTCCTAGCTTCAATCCCTGCCTTGGCCTTCCAAAGTGTTGGGATTACAGGCATGAGCCACCACCACATCAGCCAAATTCTGCCCTTCTAATCACCATGCCCCTGGAAGTGACATGGACTTTCCTCCTGAGTTTTTAACAATGCTATATTTCTAGAATTGGGTACCCGGCTTTCTTTTCACTGATTGAACTTGGAGCTTCATGTCTCTGAGCCTTCAATTCTTTAATTGAAAAATGAGTTGAAAAAAAGGGAAATGCTTCATGTCTTTTCCAGCTCTGTGAGTTTTTGTCTAATTAAAATCCTTAAAACTGAGATTATTGAAAAAAGTTCTTAAGAGATAAAACTTTATACTGCCCTACTTTCCTTTTTTCCTTATTTCCCTCCCTCCCTCCTTCCTTCTTCTGCTTTAAATTTTATGCCACAAGTATTCATTTGCTAGGGCTGCTAAACAAAGTATTGTAACTAACAGAATTTATTTTCTTACTGTTCTGGAGGCTAAAAGTCTGAGATCAAGGGGTTGGCAGAGTTTGTTTCTTCTGAGGCCTCTCTGCTTGGCTTGCAGATGGCTGTCTTTTCCTAGTGTCTTTACGTGGTCTTTCCTCTGTACATGTACATGTCTGTGTCCTAATTTCCTCTTCTTTTAAGGACATCAGTTATATCGGATTAGAGGCCACCCTAATTACCTTATTTAACTAAGAGTTAGAACTTCAACATATGAATTTGGGGGTGGGGACATAATTCAGCCCACAAAACCACACATTGATTCTATATTTTGTCTCCTTTTTTGTATATTAAAATGTCTTAGCTGAGAACAAATTGAAGACTATGATTGAGTTGTGAGCTCCTGAGAATTTCCTTGAATATAATGTGCATACGAACTTTTGTAGATGTTGCTGACAAAGAAAGTGTTTGTGTAAAGGAGGGTATGAGAAGAAGAAAGGTGAATATAAAAGCAATAAAAGGGGGAAACATAAAATTTCCTTTACCCTATCTTCAGTTGTGATCAAGTACTTTTGAACCCATAATAAGAGAGTTTCATGCTAAACTGCGTAAGGCTTTGTATTAGTTCCTTTTTATGCTGCTGATAAAGACATACCTGAGACTGGGCAATTTACAAAAGAAAGACGTTTATTGGACTTACAGTTCCACATGGCTGAGGAGGCCTCACAATCATGGTGGAAGGTGAAAGGCATATCTCACATGGCAGCAGATAAGAGAAGAGAGCTTGTGCAGGAAAACTCTCCTTATAATAACTATCAGATCTCATGAGATTTACTCACCATCATGAGAACAGAATGGGAAAGACCTGTCCCCATGATTCAACTACTTCCCACCTGGCCCCTCCCACCACACATGGGAATTCAAGATGAGTTTTGGGCAGGGACACAGCCAAACCATATCATTCTGCCCTGGCCCCTCCCAAATGTCATGTTCTCACCTTTCAAATCCAATCATGCCTTCCCAACAGTCCCCCGAAGTCTTAACTCATTTCAGCATTAACTGAAAAGTACACAGTCCAAAGTCACATCCGAGACAAGGCAAGTCCCGTCTGCCTATAAGCCTGTAAAGTCAAAAGCAAGTTAGCTACTTCCTAGATACAGTGGGAGTAGAGGCATTGGATAAATACAACAATTCGAAATGGGAGAGATTGGTCAAACCAAAGGGGCTATAGGCCCCATGCAAGTTCAAAATCCAGCAGGGCAGTCAAATCTTAAAGCTTCAAAATGATCTCCTTTGACTCCATATTGCGTGTTCAAGTCACATTAATGCAAGAGATGGATTCCCATGGTCTCTAGCAGCTCTGCCCCTGTGGCTCTGCAGGGCATAGCCCTCCTCCTGGCTGCTTTCATGGGTTGGCAGTGAGTGTCTGTGGCTTTTCCAGGGGCATGGTGCAAGCTATTGGTGGATCTAGTATTCCAGTGTCTGGAGGACAATGGCTGTCTTCTCACAGCTCCACTAGGTGGTCCCCCAGTAGGGACTTTTTGTGGGGGCTCTGACACCACATTTCACTTCTGCACTGCCCTAGCAGAGGTTCTCCATGAGGACCCCACCCCTGCAGCAAACTTTTTCCTGTGCATCCAGCCATTTCCATACATCTTCTGAAATCTAGATGGAGGTTCCCAAACCTCAGTTCTTGACTTCTGTGCACCCACAGGCTCAACACCACATGGAAGCTGCCAAGGCTTGGGACTTCCACCCTCTGAAGCAACAGCCTGAGCTGTACCTTGGCTCCTTTTAGTCATGTCTGGAGTGGCTGGGATGCAGGGCACCAAGTCCCTAAACTGCACACAGCACGGGGACCCTGGGCCCGACACATGAAACCATTTTCTCCTAGGCCTCTGGGCCTGTGATGGGAGGGGCTACCATGAAGACTTCTGACATGCCCTGGAGCCATTTTCCCCATTGTATTGGGGATTAATATTTGGCTCCTGGTTACTTATGCAAATTTCTGCAGCCAGCTTGAATTTCTCCTCAGAAAATGGGTTTTTCTTTTCTATCACATTGTTAGGCTGCAAATTTTCATGCTCTGCTTTCCTTATAAAACTGAATGCCTTTAGCAGCACCCAAGTCACCTCTTGAATGCTTTGCTGCTTAGAAATTTTTTCTGCCAGATACCCTAAATCATCTCTCTCAAGTTAAAAGTTTCACAAATATCTAGGGCAGGGGCAAAATGCTGCCAGTCTCTTTGCTAAAACATTACAAGAGTCGCCTTTGCTCCAGTTCCCAGCAAGTTCCTTATCTCCTTCTGAGACCACTTCAGCCTAGACCTTATTGTCCATATCACTATCAGGCTTTTGGTCAAAGCCATTCAATAAGTCTCCAGGAAGTTTCAAACTTTCCCACATTTTCCTGTCTTCTTCTGAGCCCTCCAAACTGTTCCAACCTCTGCCTGTTACCCAGTTCCAAAGTTGCTTCCATATTTATGGGTATCCTTTCAGCAATGCCCCACTCTATGGGTACCAATTCACTGTATTATTCTGTTTTCATGCCACTGATAAAGACATACTGAAGACTGGGCAATTTACAAAAGAAAGAGGTTTATTTGAGTTACAATTCCACGTGGCTGGGGAAGCTTCACAATCATGGTGGAAAGTGAAAGGCACATCTCACATGGCAGCAGATAAAAGAAGACAGGTTGTGCAGGAAAACTCCCCCTTATAATAACCATCAGGTCTCATGAGACGTATTTACTATAATGAGAATATCACAGGAAAGACCTGCTTCCATGATTCAATTACCTCCCATCTGGTCCCTCTCACCACACGTGGCAATTCAAGATGAGATTTGTGTGGGGACACAGCCAAACCATATCAGACATAGATAAATTTATCTTCTTTTGAAGGCATGAAAACAAAAATGCAACATATTTTTGGGGGAATAGTGTTTCTTCTTCTTAACATTCCCCCACCCACAATCAGACTACTCTGACACAGACGACAGGACAGCATTGGTAGACTGGGAGCTTAGTATAGTGTAGCCACTGTCTTAGTCCATTTTATGTTGCTGTGAAGGAATACCTGAGATTGAGCAATTTATAAAGAAAGAAGGTTTATTTGGCTTATGTTTCTGATGTCTGGAAAAGCTCAGGATTAGACATCCGGTGAGGGTCTCAGACTGTTTCCACTCGTGGAAGAAGGGGAAGGGAAGCTGATATGTGCATCATGGAAGACGGGGAAGGGGAATTGATATGCGCAGACATCACACAGGAATAGAGGAAGCAAGAGAGAGAGAGAACAGAGGGGCATGCTCCTTTTAACAACCGGATGTCATGGAAACTAATAAAGTAAGAACTCACACATTAACAGGAGGGAGGATGTCACCCAGCAGTTTATAAAATCTGTCCCCATGATCCAAATACCTCCTGTTAGGCCCTAACTCCAACACTGAGATCAAATTTCAAGATGAGGTTGGAGGGTCACATATCCAAATGATAGCCGCCACCAATAGAAAATATCTGTGGAAATTGTGATTGATAGAGGAAGACAATTAAAGCAGAGGCAGTGTCATGGCTGCTGAATGGGAGACCACAGTGAAAAAAAATGGAAACAACCTGAAACCTCAGGTGGCTTATTAAGGGATGGTGTTGAATTCATTAATTAGAAAGTTCTGGAGTCTACTCAGAATTGTGCACATGTACCCTAAAACTTAAAGTATATATAAAAAAAAAAAAAAAGAAATCGTAACTAGTGAAGAAAATTATTTCAGGTAAAAGAAGTTGCTGAGAATAATTATAATTTCACTGAGAACAGTATTTTTTGACCAGTATATACTCTAGTAACAAACACTTTCACTGTCTAGGAAACAATGGAGTACTACATACACTAGATTTTTTTCTGGATGGATTGTGGTTTGTTTTTTTCCACATTCATTGTGCTGAGCATACTTAAACTCTTTAATCTATGGTTTTATGTCCTTCAATTATGGATGTTTTTCTTCTATTATTTCTTTGATAATTTACTTCTTCTTTTTTTTTAATGGAGTTTCGCTCTGTCACCCAGGCTGGAGTGTAGTGGCACGATCTCAGCTCACTGCAACCTCTGCTTCCCAGGTTTAAGCGATTCTCCTGCCTCAGCCTCCCGAATAGCTGGGACTATAGGCGCATGCCTCCATGCCCGGCTAATTTTTGTATTTTTAGTAGAGACGGGGTTTCACCATGTTGGCCAGGGTGGTCTCAATCTCCTGATCTCGTGATCCGCCCGCCTCGACCTCCCAAAGTGCTGGGATAACAGGCATAAGTTTTTCACTCAATTCCTACTAGTTGTATACTGATGTCCCATATCCATATCTGTTTTATTTCAATATTCCTTCTCTTTGGCTTTTAAGGCTGCTTTCTGGGTCATCTTCTTGATCTTCTCTTTTAAATATTCTAGGAATTTTCTTTAAAATTTCAGCTGTTTTACACCAAGGCATACAGTGATATAATGGACCTTGGTGACTCAGAAGGAGAAGGGTGGGAGGAAAGTGAAGGATAAAAAAACTACATATTGGATACAATGTACACCATTTGGTTGTTGGGTGGACTAAAACCTCAGACTTCACTACTGCTCAATTCATCCATGTAATCCATGTAACCCCAAACCACTTGTACCCCAAAAGCTATTGAAATAGAAAATATTTAAAAAAATAAAAATTCAGCTGTTTTAACTTCAATTTCTTTTTTATTTTATTTTATTTTTTACTTTTTCTGTTTTTATCACGTCTTTATTTCAAGGCAACAACATCTTCATTATCTGAAAGTATTAAGTGCTACTGTATTTAAATTTTTTTTCTCTGCATTATCTCTGTTTCCTCCAAGTTCCTTTTATTAGGTTTGTTGTGCTTTGTTTGACCTTTCTCTCCTACAGTAGTGGATTTCCTTCAATATGTGATCATCTTTGTCTTCCGCAAGAGTCAGGAACCAAAAAAGCTGATTGGAGTTCTGTGTGCATAGATACGGCATGCCAGTCAGTGAGCTTTCTTAAAAGCAATTGGATTTAAAAAGCGGTATTTTACTTTCAGATGTTACAAATGTCAATACCTGTATATCAATTTTATGTCTCCTCTAACCTTTCTCCTGGAGGCTCCTCACTGCTAATGGTCAGGTGGTAGGTTTGAGAAGAATTTAGGGTTTCACTAGTTACTGTGTAGACTTACACGTAATATCTTCATTTTCAATCCATTGCCTTGTGGCTGTCCTCCTTTGGGTTTGGTGCTTCAGCATCTGGAGCCTTGCTGATTCACTGTCTCAAAGCAAATTCCTCCCGGAGTTGTAGAAGGGAAGCAGCCACCTGATGCTGCGTTAGAGTGGGCACCTGGGTCCTAATAACTCCATAAACGGGCTTTCAAATCTCTATTTTCAGCCACCTGCCTAACTTACACCTTTTGCAGTTCTTCATGCTCCTAATTGTTGAGCCTTTCTTGAAATCCTATGTGGTGAATTGGTTTACTTTTTATCGGTTATCTCCACTTTCTCCACCATATACAGGAACTTGAATTTGACCTTTTCTTTTTTTTCCTGCTAAGATCTTCATAATTCCTCTATCTGTTTTCTTTCTTTAAATGTTATAATTTAGGATTGTAGATGTCTTTGTGTTTGATTAAGCATGGGGTTTATGTTACTGTTTCTTTAACTCTTTGATTTTTGTGTTGTAACTTTCAACAGAAAAAGGGGATGGAAAGATCTCTACTGCCCTGTCTTAGCATTACCAAGTCAATTTTCTTCTCACTTGCACAGACAAACTTCCTGACTTTTCTACAATCACTCTTTTTACTTCCTCACTTCTCACTCACTCTTCAACCACTTAGGTCTGGTTTCACACTTATCACTCTATAGAAACTATTCTCATTAAAAGGAAAAAAGTTTTAAAAATGGTTTCACTGTAGCCAAATTCAATAGACATTATTTAGTCCTGTAGTCATTAACTGCTCTTCAACATTTAGTGTTACTAATCAATTCTTGATTCCAGAAACACTCTTTCTTTGGTTTTCAGTCAGGAAGAGTTCGCTTACACTGCAATAAAAAAAATCCTTTATATTTATAGAAAATTGACCTGGGGCTCCAATCTGACTTCTCTTCACTCCTAGACATGGCTGATGAAACAGCCAGTATCTAGAACATGGCAAAATATTAAGGCAAAGGAAGAGAGAAAGCATGGCAAGTCATACACTAGCCCTTTAGCCTCCATCAGAAATAAATACATGCCTGTTAAGTTTATATTCCCTTGCCAAAGCATCTCACACCACACCACCTATCTACAAGGGAGCCTGGAAGTACAGACCTACCAAGTGCTTAAGAGAACTAAAAATAATTTGGGAAACACACTAAGGACAATCATAAGCACCTTTACCACAAACTACCTTAGTATTCAAATTGAGGCAAGCAATATGAAACAAAATACACAATGTTTGGAAATGTTATTTTATCCATTTTACCAACGGAATGAATCAATCAATTATAGCCACATACAACAGGAATAAAAATGGCTAAAATGACCACCTAGATTGTACTGAAAACTAAATGTATAAGTCCATTCTGTATTAGTAACTATCTTTGTCCATTTGTGCTGCTATAACATAATACCCAAGACTGCATAATTTATAAATAATAAAAATTTATTTTCTCATAGTTCTAAAGGCTGGGAAGTCCAAAATCAAGGCACTGGCAGGATTAGTGTCTGGTGAAGGACCATTCCTCATAGATAGGGGCCTTCTAGATGTTTTCACATGGAAGAAGCGGGGGAAGAGAACAAACCAACTCCCTGAAGTCCTCTTATAGAGGCCGTAAACCCATCCATGAGAGCTCTGCTCTCATGACTTAACCACCTCTTAAAGACTCTACCTCTTAATACTGTCACATTGCTCATTAAGTCTCAATATATGAATTTTGGGGGGCACACTCGACCATAGTAGTCTTCTTGGGCTGATATAAGAAAATTACCACAAACTGGCTGGCCTAGGAATAAGAAACACGTATTTCTTACAGTTCTGGAGGCTGCAAATTTCAGGATTAAGACATCAGCAGATTCCCTCATAGATGCTGCCTTCATGTTGCATCCCCACTTGGTGAAAGAAGCAAACAAGCTCCCTTAGGCCTCTTTTATAACACCCCTAATCCCATTCATAAGGGCTCCACCCTCATGACTAATTACCCCCAATTAGGCCCCATCTCCTAATATCATCACTTTGGGGGTTAAGTGAATTTTTTGGAGCACAAACATTTAGGTCATAGCACATCCATTTATTCAATAAATACTAAGTATTTACTCTATTTCCCATAAGTACTTTATACTTGGCACAGTGCTACATGATGGAGATTAAACAAAACATAACAGAAGTAGGGAAAAGCCATATAAAATTTGTAATTTTTAATTCTGCTTCCTAGTCATCAGTGAATTACTTTACATATGTAAAAAGCGAATCTGAACATAATGTTTCCTACAAAATAGAAATTTGAATATTTGCAAATCTGAAATAGCTATTAAGAAGAAAGTAGAACTCTTTTAGTTTAATTGCTTCATAGACTACACCAATTAATTAAGTATATTCTGGTCCTTAGAGATAGGTTATTAGGATCCCTCTTCCTTTTATTACCTAAATCAAAATCTTTCTTCAAATTAGCAATCTTATAAAAATTCTCCAAGATAGCAGTTGGCAATTTCCAAGGGAGCACAATTTTCATTTGGAAAGAACTCTCTGGTGAGGTCATTAACATTTATTAATCTCTCAAAAAAATATCACCAGGTAAACATTCACAAGAGAGGAGGTTTAGAATGACTAGGATTATATCCAGTCAGTGAATTCATATTTGGAGTGACCACCTGAAGTTCTAGACTAATTTCAAGCAATGCGTAGGAGTCTGAAACTGGAAACACAAATGCTGAGCTGCCACTCCATTCCTACTTCTTGTATACACTTGCTCTTTTTCTGACAGAAAGGAGCATGTGAACAAATGAGATAATAGCTGGAAACGTGAAGCCCTAGCCACCAAGAACAGAGAGCTCTCCAATTGTAAGAATTCTTCTAAGTATCTTTTTTTTTTAATCACAAGATTTTTCAAGTGCTTCCTAGGAATATGCTGAGATGCAAAGAAAGTTAGATGAAAGATAGTGACTGGGAGCAGACAGTTACTTAGAAGTCTTGTTATGAAATATTTTTTAAGGTGGAAAAACCATGCTAGCACTTCCCAAATCAGGCCAAATTTATTTTAGCTTATGCAGTTGTTTCCTATTGAGTCAGTGCACTATAGAAGGCAGAGACACCCAACACTTCCGTATTAGGTCAAAGAAAAGAATCTGTGACTGGAGGAGAGAGAGTGCATGAGGCTCACTACAGCATGTCAGGGCTGCCCCAAGAATCATTGTGCATGGAGATCTTACAGGGTGACTTTTTAATCTCAAGGGCAGGAAACATATGTATGAGTCAATTTACATAAATGCAAATTCATTTAAATGGTCTGTATTTGGTTACTTTCTGAAGGTTTGTGATTATTTTAGTTGGATCTTTAGGACTACAGGTGCCCTTCAAATGTAGGGCATTTTAAAAAGTGAAATATTAACACCTATTAAACAAAAAAAAGGCAAACAGAGTTAGGGCATACATATATGGTATAGGAAACTCCAATTGTCTTCAAGATATATGTGACTATAATGTTAAACTAAGATGTGTTCATTAGCATGCTCCCTAATCTAATATGCCTGAGATTCTCCTGAAGGCTTAGATTGAGATTCTAAGCAAAAGTCTAGTTTGCTAGTTAGACTGAGACTCTGGCTGAGTCCTCCTTCTAAGATAAGTCCATAATCTCACCCCTGTCCGTTATTCAGGAATATCTCTGGCTCTGTCATTAGTAGACCATCACATTTCATTAAGAGAACCAGAGGAACATAGCAAATGTCCCACCTAGACCTATTTCTTTGGTTATTCAATTTTGTTGGGGGAAGTGCAAAGGCATAAACTCCTGTGAGGAGACCGGAGACTCCAAAGGCATAAGACTTGGCCCATGATAAGTAGAAGAAAATATCCATATTAGGAAAGGGAGAGTTGCAAAGTCCAAGTTAAATATGACACCTTTGCCCCTTAAGGCTTCCACATGTGGATATGCATGCTTGATTAAGATGAAGACATTACTGGTTTCACATGGTTTAACTTGGCACTTATGAGCACCATTTCGCTTCTCAGTTTGGTTGCATGTCTGGCCAGGTTCCAATGATCTCACAGTACAAATTTTTGACATTAAATTTGTGCCTGTAAAGCATTTTAGAGATTTTTGAAAAAATATTTTTATTTTAAGAAAAATATTCAACATGAAATAAAGCACTAGCATATCTATTAATAACTTGAACTGAAACATACATACAATATAGATGATACAGAATTTCAGCTAACAGCCCCTACTATGACGTTTGCACTCAACACCTCTTTGTGTTTACAGTATGGTATTTCTCACATGTACATTTAGAGTGGGCATTTGCAATGTAACTGGCCATGCATTTTGTCTACAAATAAAACATTTAAATGAAGATAATAACATCAAAATATATTTTCAATTCAAATAAAAAATTTTACAAAACTTCAATAAACATAATACGTTCCTTAAGAAGGTGTACAAGTGTAGTGATTGAGAGGACAAGCTGCTACCAGTAACTACTTTTGTGAGCTGGGGCAAGATACTTCACCTTCTACCTCTCATTTCCTCCTTTGTAAATAGGGCAATGTAACTCCTGGAGGTCTTGTGAGGATTAATTGAGTTCATATGTATGAGAATTGCTTACAACAAGGCCTGACACATAAGTAGGGCTTCATAAATTTTGGTTGTTGCTGTTATTGGTCTATTGCAAGCACTGCCCTTGGTGTACCAGTGCAAACAAAGGGAAAGGAGCAGTAGTCCTTACCTTCAAGATGCAGAAACCTGAAATATATACAGAGAGTTATAATTCAACTCAGGCTGCAGGAAGAGTTATAACAGAGACATAAACTGCAGTTAGTAGTACTCAGGGAGGGCAGGTTTATAACAAGGGGTACATTTGATATGGGTCTTAAGGAATGAGTAAGATTTTGACAGGTAGAAGGGAAAATGAGAGAACAATAAACTATTTTGGACAGATGAAGCAGAAGATAAATTTATGGATGTAGGAGATACAAGGGACCACATGTATTACAAATTAGCTACAATGTAGTATACAGTATCAGTACAACTAACACTCTTTTCTGTGCCCAATGGCAGACTCTGCAAATCTATTTCAACATTGTTTCCTGCTGAGTCTGATTTGCTTAGAATCCTTCTTAGTGTAGGGCTCAAGAAACAAACATTACCTCTTCACCAATTTGGTTTGGGTAATGAAATCTGTTTGCTACCTCAGGTATAGGATAGCTCCAAGGTGCGGGGCAGTGGGTGGTGATAGGAGTAGATGAAGTCAAAAAGTTAAAAAATAGTAATGATTGCTATATATTCAATGTTTATTATATACCTTTATGTAGGTTATCTAATTTAATTGTCACAAAAAATATGTAAGGTAGGCATTTTTCTTTCCATTTTCAATAAATATATAAAGAAACAGATTGCAGAAGTTAAGAACCATTTCCAAGGTCCCTTAGCTCGAAAATGTGGGAGTAAGAGTTTAAACTTAGGGCTTTTAAAATCTAAAACCTGCATTCTTAATCACATTATGATACTAAATCTCATTTAAAACAACATGGAGGTAAACTGAAATCAGTCACAAGCCAGGTCTTAATTTCATGTTAATAATTTTTTAAATTTATTCTGTACATAAAGGGAAGCTATTGGAGGTTTTTGAGCAGAACAGTTTGATTAGATTTGCCTTGTAGGAAGAAAACTCTGGTGGCAGGATGAAAAATATATGAAAACTAAGGAGACTGGAGATGGGACAATCAATTTGTTGGCAGAGAAGTGGGAGTATGAGTAAAAAGGAGATAATGGAATCAAATTATAGCTTCAAAATGAAATTCATAGGACTTGCTGACTGTATGAAAAGAGGTAACATTTCTGAAATTCTGAGTTTGGCCCCTTGGCAATTGACATGAGCAGGAAGAGAGTGAGTTAAGTTTGAGACACTTATGGAATATACAGATGGAGATTATCTATCAATTTGTATATATAAGGTTTAACCTACTAAGTTTTGGTCTAGTCAAAAAAAACAATAAACAATGGGCTAATGGAACTCTAGACAGTTCCAGGATATAACAAAAATGGGCACATTTCCCAATGACATTGAAATGTGTGTACAGTGGAGGGGAGAAAATGAGAAAAAAGTTACAAGATTTAAGTTAAAAGAACAATGTGATGTTATCAGAGATATACTCCTTTTTTTCATTAACTCACTTCTTTATAAGCACAAGGTAGATTTATTGTCGTTTTCATTCTTTCATGGTAGAGAATTCTTGCCCAGTCATAAATAAACTTAGTGCTAGGGCTCTCAGCAGTCTGACCTACTTAGCTAAGTTATTATTACTATTATTATTATTGAATTTGTAGTTTAATTCTGATGAGAAAGTGTCAGAATGATAGCCCCTGGGGCTGATACACAGTAGAATACTCAATTTGTTGGAAAGCATGTAGGTTAGCAAATTTCAATTCCTGTGTTCTTTTAATCATATTGAAATTCTTGAGCATGGCAAGGTGTGAAAGGTATTTCATGTTTTTATTCCAACTCTAACCATCAATTAGAATTTATATTATAGTAATACCCAGTAAATGTTATCATTCTGAAGAATATTTCTGTGTAGCTGGCAGGTAATGCATGTATCTCCTTGTAGAACTTTAGTAAAGTAGCCAAGGCAGATAAGGAGACATAAAAAAGAGGGTAATTAGACACTAAAACCAAAAGTAGCCTACAGACATGAAAATAGATGGTGAGAAAGCAACACCCACTAATTCTTATAATAAGATCAAACTGTGGTAGTTAATAGACTTATTAATCTCTATATTACGAATACTAAATTTTCTAATAATTCAATGTAGTATCTTGCATTAAAATAATTACAGTCTTTCATAATGCAGTGAGAGTAAAAAAGTGATTTGTGTTCAACAGCCAATAGACCTTAAGATAAATTATTAACCAAATGTTGAACATGTTTCTAGGCTCTTATGGCTTATACTAGAGAACATGTTCACTAGTCTTTAGAAGTTTAGAGCGTAATAAAGTCATGGGAGATATATAATAATCATGAATGCATTCATCTGAGCAGTTGTTAAAGGGAACAGGAGATACAGCAAGCAAATTTTTTTTATTTAGAGATGATGCAAGTATTTATTACAAAGAAAGGCCTCCCTTAAAAAGTAGGTCTTGATCTTTATGCTAAAAGAATAAAGAAAAGAGAAACTCATTCAACCTCCTAAAGGACCAAGATTTGAAAATTAATCAGTGCTGTTAGTACTGTTGAATTTTTTGCATAATATCAACAAAACCTTAACTGAAATATCCTTTATTTAAAAAGTTTAAGTAAATTAATGATTAAAGATTGAGTAAAATTGGCTGGCAATAATTTTATGTTATATAAGCTCAGATAAATATGATTACTGATTCAAAACTGCAGGGAAAAGTGACAAATAATCAGGGTCTCGGCTGTAATTTTGATGCTTGGGTTGGGAGCCAGCTTCCTCAGAAATCAGCTCGGTAGATCCCTCTCCTTTCATGTCCTTGGCATGCAGAGCATCTGCTTGTCTCCAGAGTCCAGCTGTGAAGAATTTAAGGGAGGCCTCTCCCAAGGGTGTCAGTCCAAGGTATGTTCTCCATGCAGATTTCTACCAGAATCTCAATACAGCAAAGCTTACAATGTGACCATCTTTCTATTTGGACTTCTCAATAATGTTAAAGTATTTGTCATGCTCTTTCCACCTCTGCTACTATTTATTTAGTCTTTGCCTCTGAAAAGTAATGCCAAGAGGAAAATTTCCCGCATTTATTTTATTTCTAGTGTGACATCTTGCTTTGAAACCTGAGCATGTAGTATAGGCAGGAAAAGAAAAAAGAGGCTTCACACTTTTCCTCTTTGCATTAATACACAGTCTTGGGAGGAAACTCAGGATAAATGATAAAAGTCATGGGCTTAAAAGATCTTGTGGAGTGAGTTAATATGCAGTCTTAATAATAGAGGTTTTATTGTACCTTCAAAGAGAGTCTTACTAAATAATTAAAAAGAAAGTAACGAACAAAAACTGGAGTTTGAGTTCTTTATTCAGAAATTGAAAAGAAAATCTAAATTTTTATGCATTTTTTGGTTGTTGGGGCACAAAGAAAGCAGTAAGAGGTGTCAGAGACTTTTTGTTTTTAATTTTTGTACCCAAGAGGATAAAATTCAGTTATAGGTTACAAAAGAATGCATCCGGTTTAATGTTGAATAATCTTTTGGGAATGAAGGAACTGGGTATCTTGGTATAAAGTAAAGGGAGGATACTATCATGTGCTGGGATTTGACATAACAAATATATCAGAAAAAGTCATTAAAATGGAGATACACTTAAACCTGGTGAGAAAAAGGCAATAATGGGCCTTCCAAATACCACTTAAAATTCCCCATCATGACAAGAAGCTCTACATAAAAAAAAATGCTATGACCTCACTAATTTTAAAACCTACACTTTTAGAAAACTAGTGGATTTTAGTAAGGAGAAACTGAATAGCTTAAGAATGTGACAACCATGATAAGGTATCGAAAAGTCAATTTTCCTAAGGTGGTTAGCATTGACTCTGTAATGAACTAAATACTTGGAAATTTAATTTGAATTTTCCAAACCGTATGCCCAAGTGTGCATGACTGAAATGTATTTTCAGAAAGCTATAAAATAATAGTATTTCTTGACAAGGACTAATAGTCTGCTTACACAAAGATCTTTAAAAAAAATCTGAGGACTTCGAAGAATAAGTATAGAGTCAAGTATAATGCCACCATTTACAATTAGGGAGGGTTAGGAGTGGCCATTGGGAAATGATGAATCTGCAAGTTATATTGAGTCATGGTTCATATTGTTTTTTCATTTTAAATCTAGAATTCTGCACTTTTCTTTGCTTTTTTTTTTTTTAAGTTAGAAAAACTAGAAAGTCTTCCACAATTTCATTCAAAGAATATCCCCAATGTTTAAAGACTGGTATTTTATTTCAAATATCAAAAATATTTTCAAATTGTATGTATTTTTAAAATTTCTAAATAATAAAATTCCAAGACAGCTCACTTAGTGAGCACTAGGGCCATAATTCTTTGTTACTGAAAAATCTCGTGAATAGAATAAGAAAAGAGAACTGAACTTACCCTCAGAGGACTGACTGGTCAATAGGCGTAGCAGGTGGTGTGTTCAAACAGAACCTGGGGACCATAGAAGATAGGAGAGTGAAGTCCTAAAGAGGGTTGTATGGGACATGCTGCATAAAACTCCAAGACTGTAAAGAAGGTTGGGGAAAAGGGAGTCTGGGATATGAAATCTAATTTTGGAAGGAGCAAGAGAAGAACATTAAAGACAAGCGTTGCCTGCTTTACAACTTTGTATAGGCCCAGTGTTCATGATGTGCTCATGTTAACATTACAGGAAGCCAGAATGGACTGAATGTCACAGCCTTTATAACCCACACTGTGGCCGCAAGAAGAGATTCAAAGAAAAGAAGATCCTCCCTGCCATTCCTCAGTGGCTGAAGTGCGTGGCCAGTCATCATTCGCTGAGCCCTTACTAGTGTAAGACATGCTGCGGAACCATTAAGATATGCTCTCATTTAATCCTCATGCTAACCTAAGAGACAGCTAATAGTATCTATACCTCATCTCCACTTTTTTTTTTTTTCTTACAGAAGATACTGAGAATCCGACAGGTTAAATTACTTCAAAATCAAACAAAAAAAATCGTAGAACTGGGATTTAACCCTCAAAGCGTCAATTCTGAAGTTAAAGCTTTACCCCAGGGCCTTAAGACACAGGAACTAGCATCAGAAATGTCTCAAAAACATGATGCTATTTGGTTTCTACGTGCTTTAACTCAGCCCACATCAGCAGCCTCTGTTCTGGAGCAGAAATGGAAGGAAAATTCCTGGGACTTTAGTGCTTCCTGCAGCCAGCCTCAGGCCCTTTTCTTCTACAGATTCTGGGATGCAAAAATCCTACTTCTGCTCTAAAAGGAGAAAATGTGATTTGCAAGGAGAATGTAAGTCTCAAAGAGGTAAAGATGTGAATCTCTCACTAGTTTCTGCCTCTCCCCATCCTCCTCACTCACTTCCTACTTCCCAGCATCAAAGAGCATGTAAGAAAGGACAACATTTGGAGGGGCAGGGCTCTTCAGCCCCTGCTTTGCTCTTTTCTAGGTACCTCTTCTTCTTCCTTGAGAGCCATTGCCCCTTTTATCAATGTGACACAGCCCTTCGGAAACAGGCTCCTTGTTCTTGGAGCTTGGCAGGGAAAAAAAACCAAGAATTCATTTGAAGGTGAGCTAATTATTGTATCCTGTAAGGATGGCTACACTACAGTGCTGACTGTGGCATTTGCTGCTTATTAAGTATGACAGTTTATAAATGACACTAATTGGAATGAAGTAACTTATAAAGCATGTCTCAAAACAGAAGGATTTTATCCCAGATAGATAAGATAGTTAATTCCCCTTCCTCTTATTACTTTCCCCTGTGTCTATGAACACACTGACTAACTTTTCCCTATGGCTTGGCACAATACATGAGTAGAGGAGGCGATGTGGAAGGATAAAAACATTACTCAGGCACATGCTACGAAACTTTCTAACAGTTGGCAAGACTCAGTCTGACCTTCATGTTGAATTTTGCTGTAGTTTTAATCACTTTACCATCACTTGCAGGAGAGAAAGCATCGTTAAAAATGCCCTATTTAGGGAAAACTTCAGAGCCAAGACTAGATGTATGTTCTCATTATTTCACATGTTGTCAGAGTAACCAGTACAGTGAAAAGACAGCCTTTTGAAGAAAACAAGTTTGTGGAAAGTGCTTAATTAAGGTAGGAGGACATTTTATTGCAATTATTTATATTTGTTATTAATATTTTTGACATTTCATATTTATGCAGCAATAAATACAATATATGTGAGTTTATTGCATCCAAAACTTTACTTCTAATTTTCTACCACTGTATACCAAAGCCCTTGTAAATTCTATGTCTTTTGCAAGAATTTTTGGACTATCTACTGTATTCTTTATGTTTCTGTGTAGTTGGCAGATTTTTTTTTACTATAACTGGGATCCCATTTGCAAAAATTATTAACTCACATATAGCATGTTAAAAGATTTTCTAATGTGTTTGTTGATCAAAGGTAAGCTTAACTTTTTCTCTGTATGACGACTAACACCCATAGGATAAAGCATTTGATTTTATAGTGATCATTACTACCGTCATTCATTTTATTTACTGTTCTTTTTCCTAATTTTGAAAATATCAAGCCTGTAGAAAAGTTGCAATAAAGGCCCTTCAATTAGATTTACTAGTTGTTAACATTCAGTTGTTTGGAAGTTAATTGCAGACATCATGACACTCACTGCCAAATACTTCAGCATTTCACTCCTTAAAGGAGAACATTCTCCCACAAATCACAATATAATTATCACTACAATAATTAACATTGATATAATGCAATTATCTAAACCCAGTACATATTCAAATTTCCAGAGTTGTCCCAAAGAAATCTTTCTTTCATGCCCCTCCTTTCAGAATCCAATAAAGAATCATACATTGCACTTAGTTTTCAAGTCTGTCTATCCCCCTTTAATCTAAAGTAGTTCCTAGCTTTTAAAAAATTTCATGATACTAATATTTTTAGAGTCCAAACCTTTTTTCTACACACTATACCCTAAAATGAGTATTTTCTCATAATTAAATTCAGGTGAAACATTTATGGCAGGACTAATACACAGGTGATGCTGTGTCCTTCACAGAACAGCCTATCAGAAGTACACGATGTCAGTGTGTCCCAGTTTGGAGAATTTAGCTTGATTACTTGGTTAAGGCATGTCTGCTGAATTTCTTCATTGTAAAGATGCTCTTTTCTTTTTGTGATTAAGTAATCTGTGGGATAATACTTTGAGACTGTGCAAATATCTTGCTCTCCAATGATTCTAACCCTGATGGTTTTGGCATCCATGAATTCATACTGCTTGAATCAATCGTTACTACAGTGTCAGCAAATGATTTTCTAATTTCATCATTTCTTCCATATTTACTAGTTATGTTTCTATAAAAAGGAGCTTTTCATTCATTATCTCTTCAACATTTGAAATTACTATTTTGAGGTATCATTAAGAGCTATTAATTGCAAAGGAGTACAGTTGAGTTTTCACTTGTTATGTAACCGGGTTCAGAATAAATTCTGTGAAACTATTGGCCCAGTTTATTAGAGATTCCTTCTTTGTTTAAAGTATTGTAATTTACTCCACTTATTATTTGTTATAGTGCACAAATTGTCCCAAATTTGGCAGTGGAAGCCCTGCTAAGCTCTGCTATTCATTTCAATTGCCCTATCCACTTAACTTCATCATTGGAAATTGGTTTTCAAGACATTTTTAAATAAACTGTAGTCCAATTGTTTGTAGTGATGCTTCAACCCCCTTATCAAATTTATTTTTACCTGTGAAATGTCATATAATGTTTCAGCTCCAACATGTCAAGAAATTGGAAGTTTTCACTCCTGTCATTATAAGATAAAAATTAAACATACTGAACCCCATGACCTTTCTCAGGCCCAGTAGAGGCCTGAGGTCACATGTTGAATTGTCACCTGCAAACCAGGTAAATTCAGAGTTACTACCAAGATCTGCTTGCCTGGAGCAGAAGTCCCAGCAATAAATTTATAGCAACACTTATATGGCAAACTTGATGAATTGTACATGCTGAGTGTGGATAAGCATATGGATGAGAAACTCCTAAGGAATACAGTGTTAGCTCCACCACCCTCCAACCACTTTCTTGGGCTTTACCTTCAGGAACTCCACTAGACTCTTACGGTAGAGTCAAGAAAGATCCCCTTGTAGCTTTGGCACAAGGGGAAAAAAGTGACTTACCCAAAGCAATCACCATACAAAGGCTCACCCTCCAAGGTAAAAGATATTACTAGAGCCTTATCCCAACTGGGAAAAAAGCATCTACTCCTCTCTAGCTCTTTCTAGCCACCTTGTTTCATATAAGTGGCGAGTAAAGCTAAGAAATACTTGTTAAGGTCACAGCTGAGTGACACAGGCCCATGTAAAGACTGAGATTTAATTGTAAAATTATAGAATGGTCCTTCCCCCTCCCCAACACCTTACCAACACACCAACACACCAACAGAACACAGTATAACAAAGAATTATAGCTGAAAGAGGCACAAGACACAGACTCTCTCTGAGGAGGAGTTCTTACGGAAACCAAAAAAAAAAAAAAAAAAAAAACACAGGGGAGACAAGCAATATATATAGAGGGGTTTGCGACCTCTGGTATGTACAAGTACAGAAAACATTAAACACAGCCCAACCCCTAGCCAGATTAGCCTAAAATCTTACACTAAAGGCCAATTACAAAGCATGCTAAAAGAAATGTAAAATGAAGATGAAGGGGGGGGTGGCCTGCCCCTCCACACCTGTGGGTCTTTCTCGTTGGGTGGGACGAGAGACTGAGAAAAGAAAGAGACACAGAGACAAAGTATAGAGAAAGAAAAGTGGGCCCAGGGGACCGGCGCTCAGCATACGGAAGACCCGCGCTGTGCGCTGGCACCGGTCTCTGAGCTCCCTCAGTATTTATTGATCATTATCTCCACCATCTCGGAGAGGGGGATGTGGCAGGACAATAGGGTAATAGTGGGGATAAGGTCAGCAGGAAAACACGTGAACAAATGTCTCTGTGTCATAAACAAGGTTAAGAAAAAGGTGCTGTGTTTTGATGTGCACAGACATAAACATCTCGACGCATTAAAGAGCAGTATTGCCGCCAGCATCTCACCTCCAGCCTTAAGGTGGTTTTCTCCTATCTCAGTAGATGGAAAATATAATCGGGTTTTACACCTAGACATTCCATTGCACAGGGACGAGCAGGAGACAGATGCCTTCCTGTTATCTCAACTGCAAAGAGGCCTTCCTCTTTTACATGCAAGAGAAAAACCCATATAACAAAGAGTCCTCTTTTTATGAAGACATTTTCCACCTTCAGTTGAATTAAGATGAAATTACACAGAAAAATCATTTGTTATATTTGTGCTATAAAATGTCATATGTAACATCTGATTTATGACTACAAAGATCAATACAATGGCTCATTTAACATGAGGAAAATTTAATTAATAATTCAGTACTAGAGCAAACAAGAAGTATAATTAAAGAAATACCATTAAAAAGACTTGTCAATTGAACAAAAAGCTGACTGTTTTCCTTAGGAATGGAGAAACTAAAATGAAACATTTGCATTGAAGGGACCTGCTGGCTTTATAATCACATCTGCTAACCAGTCTGCATCCTTGGCTCACAAAGATCCCCATGACTGCTAAAAAAATAAAAGCAATGCTTTCAAAAACATTTCCCCTTCATGTAACCTAGCATATTTCAGCAGTCCGTGTTCCCAAAACTTGTGGTTGAAAAAATCTCAACTTCATGCCTACATTTCCTGAAAAGAAGATCAGCCCAGGGGTGAATCAGTAACACATGAAGCTTGCTCTCCAGACACAAATAGAAATACACATCAGAAAAAAACACTGGCATAAAGATGACAGAAACCTCATCATGTTGAGTTGAGAAGTCAATCCTATTATTAGTTAACAGAGATTGAGCGTCCTTTGGCACTGGATGGTGCCAACACCATTGCTAGGTGCTGTAGAGAACATAGAATTAGGCAAAGTCTTGCCCAGGGGGTTCATAATCACATCAGACAAACCAGACACTAACACAGTCCAGCAGTCTGGAGTGGAGAGAGCTGAGCTTACATGGGGAACCTAAGGTCAATCTGTCCATGAGAATTCTCAGTTTCACTCCAACTCTCTTGTGTCAGAAAAATCTGGGGAAAAACCTTTGACATACTATCATGTGATTTCCATTTCAACGTCACCCAGGAAGCCTGTTTTGCAAAGGAGTACAGTTGAGTTTTCACTTGTCATGTAACCGGGTTCAGAATAAATTCAGTGAAACTATTGGCTTAGTTTATTAGAGAAGGAAGGAAAAACTCACAAGGCCAGAGTTATTAGGAGGAGAAGTAAAGTTATGTAGGTGAACATCCCACAGAGAAGCCTGGGGGCCAGACTTCTGCTGAGCCTGTATTACATACTGTATAGATGACCATTTGGTGGTGGGTCTATTCTTACCTCCACTCTGTCATGAAAAGTCAAGGTTACATAAACGATATTGACAAGTGAGCTGGGCTGCTTGGCACCAGGTAGTCTGAATTTGACTTGTCAGTTGTTAACAGAAGATTTCTGGATGTATCAGTAACCCAGCTATTAGAAACACTGGAACCCGTCTGATATTCATAACATGAAAAACAGGATGTTGCTGTTCACATGGGAGTCTGAGATTAAAAAGCAGTAGTATGCATGTGAAAACTCTTCTCAAGGTTGGGTTAGATCATTTCCTGTCCTCCTATAGCACTTTAGTACTCACCACCATCATAGAATTAATACTCTGTGTTAAGGTAATTGCCTATTTGTATCTCTCCTTAGCACTTAGACAGTACATGATACATGGCAGGTTCCAATACAAATTTATAATAAATAAATGCTGTAACGAATGTAAGCAAGCTGTAACTCTGCATACTCTTTGAATTTCTGAAAAGAATTCAAGTATGATAAGTTTCAAAAATCTTCACACAGTCCTCCAATATCCTAACTTTTTTTTTTTAAAGACAGCCCATGGGCCCCAGTTTTACATTTAAAATGTAGGATGTTTTTCATAGTTGGTTGGAATAACAAGAGTATCAATTTCCTCATCTAGTCCATAGTTCCATGTATACATAACCAGGTATGCATTGTATACATGGAATTCCTTCATGCTATTTTTTTTGTATATAACAGTGCCTATGTAATTTGAACTCAGAATAGTAACTGTTTGTGAATTTAAGAGCCATGTGGTATTTAAATAACAATTCTACTTCTTTAAAGTTCCTTCAAGATATTTTGCAGATTTTTAATAGAGAAAATGACTTTTAAGAAACCATGTGTGAAGGTAATATAGACAGACTAGCTTCCAGTAAGAGTAATGGATTCTTATCCAGACTGCCTCGGAGTCCATCAGCTGGTGACAGACAGAAGAGCAGAAGTGTGCCCCAAATGTCATGTAAACATGTTAGTTCTAACAACTAAGCCAAACCCAACATTGCTGAAGCTAAAGTGAATTAAAGGACCTGCCATACATATGTGGGTTATTCCCCCTCCCTGAGAAATAGGGCATGGGAAAAGTTTGGCTTTCTGAAAACATCAAAAATAGCTAGAAAGGAAATATTTCTTTAGTTCTCTAATGGGCTGAAAAGGTAGAGGTTTATAATTTAATCTTAAACCAGTCTCTCATATCTAATATTTTGGGAAAATGCTGTCTTGTGCTGGGTTGAAGACCCTTTTTAGAGATTTTTTCATTAATAAGCAAACAGATTGGTCTTTTTTAAGTGCAAGATCTTTACGCTTGGGTATGACTGTTTTCCTGGATTTAAAATAATTCCCATGTACTTTATTTCAGTTGTGTGGAGAAAAGTATATTTTACAGAAACACTCTTTTCTAGGAAATAAAATACCATGGAAGAATTATATAACTGGAACACAATTTCAAAAATCAACTTATCTAATCTACACGTTTAGACATTAGAAATCTTTGGTTGTGAAAGTTAATACCCAAGGTCATATGGCTTCTGAGTGGTGTTACTGGACAAGAACTTATGTCCAATGCTGTACTCCTTTCTTTAAAAATAATTATTCTTTGGGAGGCCAAGGCGTGTAGATCATGAGGTCAGGAGATTGAGACCATCCTGGCCAACATGGTGAAACCCCGTCTCTACTAAAATACAAAAAATTAGCCAGGCGTGGTGGCGCTCGACTGTAGTTTCAGTTACCCCAGAGGCTGAGGCAGGAGAATGGCATGAACCAGGGAGGCGGAGGTTGCAGTGAGCCGAGATCACACCTCTGCACTCCAGCCTGGCAAGACTGTCTCAAAAAAAAAAAAAAAATTGTTCTATTGTTTCTTAAACTTTTAATGTTGAGATAATTATAGATTCGTGTGTGGTTGTAACAAATGACACAGAGAAGTTCAATCTACCCTTTATCCAGTTTTCCCCAATGTTAACATCTCACAAAACTATACTGTAATATCACAATCAGAATACTGACATTGATACAATAGACATATAGAACATTTACATCACAACAGGGATTCCTCATGTTGCTTCTTACAGCCACACCCACTTCCCTCTTACCCCATTCAACTCCTTAATCCCTGAAAAGTAATTATAGTAATTTGTTCTTTATTTCTATTGTATTGTCATTTTAAAAATGTTATATGAATGGAGTCATACAGTATATAACCTTAGAAACTGATTTTTTTTCACTTGGTTTAATTTTCTGGAGATTCATTGAGACTGTCATGTGTATCAGCAATGTTCCCCCCACCTCCTTTTTTTTTCTTCTGAGTACTCTGTGCTATGATTGTATCACAGTTTGTTTAACCATTTACCTGTTGAGGGAACATCTAGGTTGTTTCCAGTTTTGGGTTAATATGAATATATTTGTGGTAAACATTCAGTAGAGGTTTTTTGTGTACATAAGTCTTTATTTCTTTGGGATAAATTCCCAAAAGGTTCCCAAAGGTATAACTTATGGGTTGTATGATAAGCACATTTTTAATTTTAGAAGAAACTGTCAAACTTTTTCGTAGTGGCTGGACAATTTTACATTCCCACCAGCAATACGTGAGTGATCTAGTTTCTCTATACCCTTGCCAGCATTTTGCATTGTCACTACTCTTATATTTTTATAATTCTAAGAGGCAGGTAGTGATATCTCATTGTGGCTTTAATTTGTATTTCCCTAATGACAAATGAAGTCGAATATTTTTCCATGTGATTATTTTCCATCTGTGTATCTTTGTATCTTCAGTGAATGGGTCTTTATACCCTTTGCCCATGTTCTAACTGGATTTTTTGGTTTGTTTGTTTATTTATTTATTACTGTTTAGTTTTGAGGGTTATTTATACATGTAGATATGGATCCTTTGTCAGATATGTGGCTTACACATATTTTCTCCCAGTCTCTAGTAGGTCTTTTCATCCTCTTTACAAGGTCTTTCACAGAACAAAAGTTTTGAACATTGGTGAGGTACAGTGTACCAGTGGTTTCCTTTATAAATTGTGATTTTGGTATCAAGTCTAAGAACTCTTTGTCTAGGTTTAGATTCCAAAGATTTCCTTCTATGTTTTTATATAATTCTTATAATTTTATGTTTTAATTTATGGCCATGATCTATTTTAAGTTTATTTTTATATAAGGTATGAGACTTAGGTTGAGGTTTATTTTCTTCCTAAAAATATCCAACTGCTCCGGGACTATTTTTTGAAAACACTGTCTTTCCTCCATTGAAATAGTTAGCACATTTAGCAAAAGTCAATTGGCCATATTTGTATGAGTCTATTTCTGGGTTTTCTATTCTGTTTCAATTTATCTATCTATCCTCTACATTACTCACAGTCATGATTATTATAGGTATAGAATATGTCTTAAAATTGGGTAGACCAATTCCTCTCATTTTATTTATCTTTTTCAACACTGCTGTAGCTATTCCAATTCTTTTGCCATTTCATATTCATATTTCATAATAATCTCTATTTTTACAAAAAAACTTGTTAGTGTTTTTATTTTTTATTTTTTTAATTTTAATTTTATTTTATCTTATTGTTTTCGAGATGGAGTCTCTATCGCCCAGGGTGGAGTGCAGTGGCGCGATCTCGGCTCACCGCAATCTCTGCTGCCTGGGTTCAAGCAATTCTCCCTCAGCCTCCCCAGCAGCTGGGACTACAAGCCTGCGCCCCCAGGCCCGGGTAGTTTTTTGGTATTTTTTAGTAGAGATGGGGTTTCACCATGTTGGCCAGGCTGGTCCCGAACTCCTGACCTCAAGTGATTCGCCCGCCTCGACCTCCCCAAGTGCCGAGATTACAAGCATGAGCCACAGTGCCCAGCCAGGGTTTTTATTATAATGGTTTTTCTTTAAAACTGCACATCAATGCGGGAGAAATGAATCTTCCAATGCACGAACAAAGTATGTCTTTCTGTGTAAGTCATTGATTTATTTCATCTGAATTTTTAAATTTTCAGCATAAAAAAAATTCCTTTCAATGGCAAAAACCACAATTACTTTTGCACCAACCTAATAGATCCTGTGCATGTCTTGTTAATTGTATACTTAAGTATATAATTTTCACTGGAGTGCAATGTAAATGGTATTGTTTAATTTCAGCGTTCATTGATAGAACATAGAAATATACTTGATTATGTACTTTTACCCTTTAGCTTATAACCTTGCCTAACTCACTTATTAGTTTAGGAGTTTATTTTGGGGAGAATTTCTCGGGATTTTCTATTATTAGCAAACCAACCTTTGGAATACAGAAAATTCAGTTCCTTCCCAAAGTGAACCGGCACTCTTCTCAGTCCATTCTTTCTAGGTAGTCACTTTATTTGGAAAAGGAAATTCTATGGAGTTGCGATCATGCCTTTAACTTCTTTGTAGTTCGCTCAATGCCTGCTACTGCTATAGGAATTATAGCATAGTGACTAAAAGTTAGGCTCTGAAATCAGACTGGGATTTCAAAGCCTATTAAGGGATCAAATCCTGACCTAATCCTATACTGATCTATCTGACCTTGTGTATGCTTCCTAAATTCTGTATGTTTTCTCAGCTGTAAATAAAGATAATAATAATATATCTCTCACTAGATTATGTAGGGTTAAATGGAATAAAGCATTTAGCATGAGGACTAACATGGAGTAAGTGTGTGGTACAGATTTAGCTGGTTACTAATATAATATGCTAATATATTTTACATGATTAATATAGATACAGACATTAATAAATACTTATTGAATAGCTCTTATATATTTTCCACTATGCTTTGGCTTTAAGCATTGCCTTGGAATTCATTTAAAACTTGCTTGGTATTTCCTGTCACAGAGAGAGAACTCAAGTAGTTTTGAGTGGTGAAGATTCTTCCACTATGTGTCACCATATTTTTCAATGTATTATTTCGGTCAACAGATTCCAACTAAATGGGGGGTTTTAAAAAACAAATTCAGTTGGTTTTCTGAAACACAAAGATGTGCAAATGAACAATTTCTGATAATTCAAGTAATTTTAGACAGACAAGGAAACCTATTTTAGAAGTTTCCAGAGGAGCTGTCTGTACTACTCAGATTTATCCAAAGTTCTTTCTCACTTTGGCAGTATAGACCTGATTCTAAACATACCATGAAATAAGCTGTACATTTGGCTTAAAGGTTATTCTATTCAGTCCAAAATGGTCTCAAAATTATTAGCTAAATACACATTGACTTGGAAGGAAGAAGAAAAAGAACTCAAGTAAAACATGTTTTTTATTGCCAAAATCTGAGTTTTCTTTCAGTGCCTGCTATAACCTCAGTAATACCCAGGGCAGGCAAGAGGCAGGTGTTCTTTACACTATAAGTGCTAGTGATGATGTAAGTTGTAGTGGGAAACAATACAGTACTTTTTAAAGCTCTCATTGGTTTTAAAAAACGAAGAAAAGGGTTTTCAATATTGAGTCTTAAAAATATTTATTTGCAAATTATCCTATTTTTTCTTGCTTCTTTTGTTTTGAATTACATCTTGTAGTTACAACTGTAGGTTTTCAAAATGTTCTCACTATCATGGTTTCTACTTGCATGCTTTCAGGACACTGGCATTTATTTTTGACATTTATGAGACGAGAAATGGTCACAGAAAACTAGATGACTTTGCTTCACAAACATACTGAAAACAAACAAGGAGCATCATTCCCACCAAGTGCTGAAGCAGCATATACTTTAATGCCTTATTTTGGTCGAGCCAATATTTTGGTCAAGTGATAATGGGTAAAAAATAATTTAATACTATACCATTGATTTTACTGATAAGACAAAGCAAGAGGCTACAAGCAAATGCTGATAGTACTCCAAGGAAAAATGATTCCACGGACCATGTTAGCACGGTAATTTCTAGTGTCATCATGATGCCTTTCTAGTCTCTTTTTATTCAGTGATTCATATAGTAAAGAACTGCTGCCATGTTTCTAAGTTTAGGAAAATATTAACTTATCCACAGAAACTTCCCAAGAGACTCAATATAATTTAAAGGTCCTATATGTTATAAATGTTAAGACCTAGATACTACTTCTATATAAAATATTTTTTCATAGTCTATTAAGTTTTTAAAATAGATTTATTATTATGGAAAATAATTGGACATCATAAAATGTTTTTAAAACACCAAAGTATAAAGAAAATAAAGGTAAACTATAATCCTATAGCCAAATAATAACAGGAGTTGATATTTTGTAGGATATCTTTTCAAGTGCTTTTCTGTTCTATACATAAAAATAATTATTTTTAGGAAAAATTAGATTATACTATAAATTATTTTATAACAATTTTAAACAAATAACCCTTCGTAAGCATTTTAATGTCAATGTTTATCTACATATCATTTTTAGTGTCTATAAAATATTTATCATTTATTTAGCCAAGTCTCAAATGATTAACAGTTGAGCTTTTGTGTGTGTGTGTGTGTGTGTGTGTGTGTGTGTGTGTGTGTGTGGGAGCAGGTATTGTTAGAAACAATCCAAAAATGAGAAACTCATATATATATCTTTGTGAAACTCTTTTGTTATTTTCTTAGGGTGAGCTCCTAGAAATGGAATTATTGGATCTAATGGGAAATGTTTCTAAAGAGTTTGGCAGTTATTGAGAAACTGTCCTCCAAATAGTTTGTATCTATTTATGCCTCCAACAATACTGTATTAGAAAGCACATTTCCATATACATTATTGTTATCAAAAGCTATTATTCAGCTTTTTATTTTTTGCCAAACTTGTGAATGGAAAATAACAACAGTAAGTTGCATTGGAATAAAAGTTTATATTTAATTCTAAAATTTTACTTATTCATTCACTATTTAACTACTTGGTGATTACCCTTAATGATTAAATTCTGTAGCTTATGCTTGGTAATGGTGGTGGGAATGGCTTGCTAGAACTACACATATTTTAAATATAGAATAATTACTTTTTGAAGTTCCTCAATTTCTTCCAAATTCAGAACATCATCAGATAGATTTTTCTTGTGCAGACAATTTATGTTTATTTAGACTACTTGGTTTTTATGGGAGGGGCGGGGGAGAAAAAACATAGATTAGATAATAAAATAGTAATTTTATATTTTATTAGTATTTATTGAGAGCTCTGTGGTCCAAGTGCTAAATTAAACATTTCACATGAACTGTCTATGTTTTCCTTACATAACCTCATGTAGTGGTAGTAAAATGTTCCTGTTGTAAAAGGTGTCATGGCCCTAAATGATAACAACCATAATTTGAGTCCAGGTCTGTGTGGAATCCAGAGCTTGAACGATTAATTACAGCAACATCCTGCTTTCTCTGAAGTGGTCTCACGCTAACGATGATATGAATTGATTCTTTCTTGATGATGGAAGAATGAGATAATTAATGCCAGCACATGCTACATCTGGTAGCAGCATTTTATTCTCTCATCAGAAAGTTAAAGAATGAAAAGGGAGGAGATTGCCTGCTATTTTTTTTTAACTTCCTTTAGTTCCCTCTCTTGCTGCCAGATTTCTGTTTAAGCCAGTCACGCAGGGCACGGTGGTTGTGTGAGAGCCGATACACTTCTTTTCCCACAGGCACTCATTCATCCTTGTTCTGTTTTCTTCATCTCAGGGGCACTGTATAATCTGCCGGGCCTAACTCATTACTCATCCTGGAGCCTGTCAATCCTCCAGAGGTCAGATCATTGGCTTTGGTGGTTATGTGGTCCTTGGTCTCTGCCCTCTGGGAGCTGAGGGTGAGAGAGTCTGTCACACCTGAAAACACAAATCCTGCTGCCTTTCAAGCCACCAGTCCTGCTGTGATAGACAAGCTACATTTTCTTCCCATTCTATAGAAAGCAGCGGAACACCAGCTAAGATGTGGTATAAACTCCTGATTGTTTACAGGCTTACAGAGCCTGTGGAATGAATGCATAACTGTCCACAAATATCTTCTAGTATTTAACCTTCATTTATTTTCCTTCATGGTTTAAATTTTCCATTGTGAGGGGGAAACTCCTGGATCTCTAGCAGTGCTTGCTGAAAAATGTTAATTTCCCCTCATATTTTCACATCCTCAAGACTAGCACAGAACAGGAATTTCTCATAGCTAGAATTATATTGACTTATACGAGAGAGACTTTGTTTGCTCATTTAACAAATATTAAATGAGAGCTGACTGTATGCCAGACACTACTGAAGGCATAGAGGACTAAACCATGCAGACTAGATCCCCTCTCAAGGGATGGCATTGGGATAAGGAGGCAGCGATAATCAAATAACTGAATAAATAAGATTAGTGGTGCATGCTATGAAATAAGACAGAGTGTTGTAATAGAAAGTGTTGGGGAGGCCAGTGAGGAAGGGCTACTTATAAGTGAATGTCAGTGAGGAGGTGACCTCTGAGCTAAGGCTTAGTGACTAGAGGAACCAGCTATGCAAAGGCCTGGAGGAAGAGAATTCCAGCATGAGGGATCAACAGGAGCAAAGGCCTCAAGAAAGGAAATATCTTAACCTACTCTAGAAGGGCAATGTGGCAAGAGCATAGAGAGATGGGGTAAAGCTGGGAGAAGTCATAGATAAGAATAGGGTCAATCATGTAGAACCTAATGGACCATGAAAAAGAGTGAATTTTGTTCTAAATGCAGTAGGAGGCTACTGGAGATTTTGATATGGAGATTTAAACAACCCATTTCATATTTTCATAGCACTACTCTGAGTTTTTTATAAATTATAGAGGAGCTCAAGTAGAACAAGATTTCATAATAATCAAAGCTAGAGATAACAGTGGCTTAGACCAAGGTGAAAAATGGTAGAAATGAAAAGAAGTAAACAGATGTGAAATATATTTTTTAAATGGAGCCAAGAGTTTTTGTTGATGGATTGATGACGTCTACTAACACGAGGAAGACTCCGGAAAGAATAATTGGCAGGGGGTGGGATTTAAGACCTCTCTTAGGTAGAACTAAAATTGATAGGTGCTTTAGAAATTCAAGTGAGAATGTCAATCGTGTAGCTGGGCTAAATGGTACTTAGTTAAGGTTAGAGTTTGGAGAACATCTTTCAATTAATTAAATCCAAAATGAAGAGAATCTCAAATGAAAACATGCATAAGTTTGGTATGGGGAAAAAACTTCTCAATCTAACATCTCTGTTTCTGTCACTGACACCATTTTTCTCATTATCCATATTCAAAAAGTTATATTGAATTCCTTTTCTCCCCTTCACTTCCATATTTAGACACAGTATTTATCATCATGGTATTTATCTGCTCCAAGATCTTTGATGACTCTCGATTGGATAAATTATTTAGCCTTCTAGACCTGCATCTTTATCTATTTTCCAGCTTTCTTTCTTCTATCCCCTATCATGAACTCTTGGCTTCAACTGAATGTATCTCTCCAACTGGAATCTACTTGTGCCATATCTGCTTCCTTGTCTGAGGTGGCTTTTCCACTCCTCTTAGCTGAGTCTTACCTGCCTTTTGAGGTCCAGATAAAATTCTACCTCCTCCAAAAAATACTCCTTGGGTTCTCTCAAACCTATAGACAATGTTTGTCTTATCATTTGGACCATCGTTTTCATGATCACTCTGTAATTAAGTGTGTGGTATTGATAACTGTCCATTACTCTCTTCCATGTCATGTCTATTCAGGAAATCATATGCTTCTTTAGGCTAGAAATTTGACATATCTCTTGATAATTAACAATTGCTGGCCAAGTGAATTTGAAATTCAACTTAACCATGTAGTTTCCTTTGAAACATAGCTGAGACTATATATTTAAAATACAGTCACCTCTTGATATCCTCGGGGGATTGCTTCTAGGACGCCCCTCATGTACCAAATTCCTCTGATGCTTAAGTCTGTTATACGATATATGCAGGTTATATACAAATACTTTGACATTTTATATAACAGACTTAAGCATCAGAATCGTTTTTTTTCTGAATATTTTTGATCTGGATTTGGTTGAATCCACAGATGTGGAACCCATGGATATAAAGGGCTGACAGTACTTCATTAAAGAACAAAGCAAAACAAGTAAATCTTAGGTGGGGATTGAATGAAAGAGCATGTAATTTGAACACAGAAGGCTCACAGAAATTTTATGAGGTTTTACTAAGAAAATGTATATAAAAATCCTTTGTACCTGGCCGGGCGCAGTGGCTCATGCCTGTAATCCCAGCACTTTGGGAGGCCGAGGCTGGCGGATCACAAGGTCAGGAGATCGAGACCATCCTGGCTAACATGGTGAAACCCCGTCTCTAGTAAAAATATAAAATATTAGCCGGGCATGGTGGCAGGTGCCTGTAGTCCCAGGTACTCGGGAGGCTGAGGCAGGAGAATGGCGTCAACCTGGGAAGCAGAGGTTGCAGTGAGCTGAGATCACGCCACTGCACTCCAGCCTGGGCGACACAGTGAGACTCCGTCTCAAAAAAAAAAAAATCCTTTGTACCTATAAATTACCATCTCAAATTATTCTTAGCATGAAGGATTCATGAAGTGAAACACTTGGGCATCCATATTGCAAATTTTAATGGCTTGGCTGGCACTATACCTTTGTCTCTGGCTCCATAGGACATTTTTCTTATACTCTGAACTCCTTTCATTTTTAATTAAAATGTTTAGAATTAAATAGCTGAAGTTTATCACCATTGAATTAATGTTTATTACTATCTCCTTGTGTTGTTTTATTCATCCCGTTTGAATTGGAAAAAAATGCAGATATTAATTAGTGGCAAGCACATTTAACACACTCTGAAATATGCATCCTCTAACTCTTTTCTGAATCAATCCACCAAACTCTCAACCAGATTTTGAAGAAGCCTGATTGAGAAGACATGCTGCACCCCTTAATCATAAAAATTCACACATCAGCTTTGGTCTCTTTGAAGTTTTCTGCAGAAGCCAGAGGTAGAAAAACCACCTTTCATACTTTCTTGTTTGTTCACAAGTAATGAAACACTTAAGAATTGAGATAACATATATACATGCTTCCTTCAGTTTATGCTGACAGTATACGCAAGGCGAAAGCAAAATATATAGCATCTGTGTTAAGAATGTAAGCTGGCCCTCCAGCAACGTGGAGTCAGACCGAGCTTGACAGCATGGGCCAGAGGGAACCACATCCTGTGGGAAACCCTAACAGCATCCACTGCTCTGACAGCATTTCACTTCCACCCTATTGCTGTTTGACTAAACAATCTCTTAAATGTTAATGGCCTTCTCCAGAGCTGCAGAGGAATTGCTAGTATACTGAGGGTAATTTTTAAAAAGTCATTATAATAAACTGTACTTGAGTCTGTTTCAGGTTTTTAACTGTGTGCTAAGGGACAAAGGGAGCTATCAATAAAGTGAAATAACATAACAGAACGACAGACAAAATCACTTGGCTATCTCAATAGATGCAGAAAAGGCTTTCAATAAAATTCAGCACCATGGAATACTATGCAGTCATAAAAATAACAAGATCATGTCTTTTGCAGGAACGTGGATGGAACTGGAAGCCATTATCTTTAGCAAAGTAACACAGGGACAAAAAATCAAATACCACATGTTCTCACTTATAAGTGGGAGTTAAATATCCACATGGACACATAGAGGGGAGCAACACACCTTGGGGCCTATCAGAAGGTGGAGGTTGGGAGGAGGGAGAGGATCAGGAAAAATAGCTAATGGGTACTAGGCCTCATACCTGAGTGATGAAATAAGCTGTACAACAAACCCTCATGACACAAGTTTACCTCTGTAATAAACCTGCACATGTACTCCTGAACTTAAAATAAAAGTTTAAAAACAAAGAAATTATCATTTGTTTTACCTGTGAGAGTGTCATTATGGCTACGGATTTTTAAAGTGCTCAAATATGAGAACTTTTCCTCTCAAAATTTGGTTTCAGGATTGCTTATACTTTTAAAAATTATTGAGAATTCTAAGGTTATTAAATTGTTTTATTTTTAATTATTATGTATACATATTAACTGTACATATTTATGATTGGGCTATCTGTCACCTCAAGCATTTATCATTTCTTTGTGGTAGGAACATTCCAATTTCACTCTTTTAGTTATTTAAAAATATGTAATAAATTGATGTTAATTATAGTCACCCTATTGTGCTTCTCACTACTAGATCTTATTCATTCCAACTGTTTTCTGTGCCTATTAACCATCCCTTCTTTATGCTCCACTCCCCACTATCTTTCTCAGCTTCTGGTAAGCATCATTCTAGTGTCTAGCTCACTGAGTTCATTTTGTTTTATCTTTTAGCTCCTACATATGAGTGACAGCGCGTGATATTTGTCTTTTCGTGCCTGGCTTATTTCACTTAACAGGATGGCCTCAAGTTCCACCATGTTGTTGTGGGTGACAGGATTTCATTTATTTCGTGTGTGAATAATATTTCGTTGTTTATATGCTCTGCTTTTTCTTTACCCTCTCATTGATGGCTACTTAGGTTGATTTCTACTTGGCTATTGTGAAAAGTGCTGTAATAAACATGGGAGTACAGATATCTTTTCAATATACTGATTTCCTTCTCTTTGAAGATATATACTCAGCAGTGGGATTGATGGATAACATGGTAGTTCTATTTTTAGTTTTTTGAGGAACCTCCATACTGTTCTCCATAGTGGATGTATTAATTTATATTCCCACCAACAGTGTAAAAGGGTTCCCTTTTCTCAACATCCTCACCAGCATTTGTTATTGCCCGTCTTGTGGATTAAAGCCATTTTAACTGGGGTAAGATGATATCTCATTGTAGTTTTGACTTGCATTTCTCTGATGATTTGTGATGTTGAGCAGTTTTTCTTATACTTTTTGGCCATTTGCATGCTTCCTTTGGGAAATGTCTGTTTATATCTTTTGGATTATACTGATTGATATGCATGTATTCAAATATTTTAAAACTCAAATTAAAACAAAACATTTGTTTATGAATTTATTTAAAATTATGATAAGAATCCAATTACATGTTAACATATTTTTACAAAAAGAAGTACATTTTCCAAAGCAAGAAAAAAAAAAGATAAGTGTGGCATTATTTCATGTTTACAAATCTTTAAGAGTTTTTTTAGTAGAAGACAAATGGAGTCTCATATTTTCTTTTATATTCAATCCTTTGTGATATCACAGGTCATGTAGCCTCTGGAAAACTTCACAAGAATGGAGATAAAAAGGCAACCGCATCTTAGTATTATTATAATAATAATCCCCCTGAAAGGGTCTTAGGGACCACCAGTAGTCAACCAGAGCATGCAAAAAACAACTATATTAGAGATAGATTCTGATATATTTAAAAATGAAAAACAAGATTTTCGGTACTAACTTTACTATAGCTAGGGGTTGGAGAAAGTGATTGAATATGTATTTGACACAATATTTTCCACAATTTAAGAATGGTTTAAACTAGGTGATGAGTACATGGGGTTCATAATACAAATTTCTTTCTGATGTTTAAATTTCCCATTAATAAAAATTTTAAAAAATAAAGTTTGCTTAAAGGAAATAAAGTAAATAACAATACAAGTGTTTTGCAAATGAGGAAGATATTGGACTGTAATACAACTATGATTACAGTATTGAAAATTTTGGATAAGAAAAATAATAATCTTAGTCTGGGAGAATTACCTTAGGAAAATATGAATGAACATATTATGAGCAATATTATATTATTGTAACATTTAAACTTTTTGGAAAGACACACAGTTTTAATTCTTTAATTGAAATTTGGTGAGTTTTTGCCATGAAAGCATCAACAGATATAAAGTTAATATAAATTTTTAAAGTTGGATGAAATGGAGTTAAGAGATGGTTTGTGCTTCAGTTTCCTAGACTATTTGTTTCTTACAGTAGTAATAGTAGTAATTAATAGTTAACAGTTGGCAAGCAAGTCTTCCCTCAGAGAAAACATCAATCTTAAATGATTTTACAGGTAAGTTTTAACAAGCTTTAAGAGATGTCATCATCTAATCTTATGTAAAGTCTTTTAAAGTGTTGAGAAGTATTAGCAAGGGTCATCATTTTATTCTACAAGAATAATGTAAACTCTTTACCCAAACCAGAGAAGAGCAAAAGAAGAAATAAAAAGTATTGGCTCATTTCACCCCTGGATATAGCTGCAAAAATCCTGAACAAAAAATTAGCAAACTGTATTTTAAAATGTATAAAATGCATGATATATCATATATGATGAAATTAAGCTTAATACCTAGAATTCAAGGAAGATTTGTTAAACAGGCTTTATTATATCAGTAGATTAAAGAAGAAACCTGGAAAATTGTGCCAATAGATGAAGGGGAAAAAACATGACAAAATTCTTAGTAAACTAAAATTGAAAGAGAATTTCCTAAATCTGATAAAGACATTCATAAAAAACCTAAATTAACATAATTCAAAATTTGAAAATATTAGAAGCATTTCCTGTAGAACCAGCAACCATATAAAAATACTTGTTATACCACTTCTGTGAGAAATTATATTTGAGGTCCTAGTTAGTACAATAAGCAAATAAAAGCCTAATGATGGGGAAGGAGGAAAAAAACTGCTATGATTTGCAAATGAAGTGAATGTCAACAGAAAAACCTGGTGGAACCTATAGGTGAGTTATTAAAAATTATAAGAGACCTTAGTCAGGTTATTGGATATAAATTCAGCATTCAAAAGTCAAGTGCATTTCTGTATGCTAGGTACAAAACTTAGAGAATGAAATTTTAAAGGGGTAATATTTGCAATAAGAAAAAGAGCTATAAAGAATTTACGGATCAACCAAATAAAAATTTGCAAGATTTATTTACTGAAACTAACAAAACTTTACCAAACAGTACAAAGGAAGATACATGTAAATTGCAAGATATCCTATAGATGAAAAGATAGATCCAATATTGTCAGAATGTCAATTTTCTCCTAAATTATCTCTACGTTCAGTATAATATGACAAGCCTATTCTAAAATTAATTTGGAATAACAAATGGTTGATATATATTTAAATAAGAATATTAAGGCATGGAGGATAGCCAGATGTAATACTTATTGTCGAGCTATAGCAATTAAGGGAGTGGAATATTAATGAAGAAATAGGCAAATTAACCAATGGAAGGGCACACAGAGCCTATAAACACAAATATTTGAACTTTCATGAATGACAAAAGTGAAATGGCTAGTCACTGGGAAAAGAAAGAGGTATTCAATAAATGAAGATTGAAAAATCAGTTATCTGTATGGGAAAAAAAGGAACTTAGTAGATTAAGAAATGTGAAAAGAAAATCCTCATTATTTTAGGTTAAAATATAGCTGAAAGGTTTTCTAAAGAAGACAAATATGTTAACCATAAAAAACTAGTTAAGTTAATTGGGCTACAATTTTAAAATTAAGTTTAAGAAAAAACTCTTAAACATGCTTTCCAGGTACAAACTGGTAGTAGATATCTGTGACAAAAAAGATTACTCTCAAAAACATATCAAGAATGCTTACAATAATAAAAGAAGAAACCTCAAAAGAAAAATCAGTAAAAGACATAAAGAGACCTATTACAGAGAAGGAAACACATGATCACACATGAAGAGATGTTCAGAACTTAAGAAAATAAAACCAAAACCAACATGAGATACCGCTTTACACCCACTTGGCAGAACCTAAGAAAATCTGACAGTACCAAGGCTTGGAGAGAATGTAGATCAGTGGAAACTCATTTACATTGCTGGTGAATGTAAATTGTTACAATGACTTTGGCCAGATTTGTGACTTTTCTTGGTATATTAAATGAACAAATTGTATATCCCAGAAATTCAGAAAAAAAGTTATTTCTGGGCCAGGCACGGTGGCTCACACCTGTAATCCCAGCACTTTGGGAGGCTGAGGAAGGTGGATCACCTGAAGTCAGGAGTTTGAGACCAGCGTGACCAACATGGTGAAACCCTGTCTCTACTAAAAATACAAAAATTAGCCTGGTGTGGTGCACACCTATAATCCCTGCTACTTGGGATTCTGAGACAGGAGAATCTCTTGAACCCAGAAGGCAGAGGTCACAGTAAGCCGAGATTGCACCACTGCACTCCAGCCTGGGCAACAGAGTGAGACTCTGTCTCAAAAAAAAAAAAAATATATATATATATATATATATATATATATATATTTTATATATATATGTATTTCTGTACATACTTAAGAGAAACTTTGAATATGTACTGAAGATATACCAGAAATGTTTTTAGCAAAACTGTTTGTAATAACACAAAATTTGAAAAAAAACAAAATGTTTATTGACAACAGAATGGATTAGTAAATTGGGGCATATTCTTATAGTGCAATACCATAGATGAAAGAATGCAGTTCTATACAATAATATGGATAAATCTTGGTAAAAAATGCTAAGAAAACAACTGACAAGTACTAGCACACTCTGCAAAAGTATGTTTTTTTATGACATTAAAAAATAAGCAATATCCAAAGTATCCATAAATACATATTCAAATACATATCTTCTTATACACATGTTTACACACATATATTTATAGATACATCTATACATATATTTATGTATACATATATTATTTTATATACAGATACACATATATTTATATATGCATGATTAAAACTATTTTCACAAAGAAAGAAAATTATAAATGTACAATTCATTGTGACTTTTTTTTTTGAGACCGAGTCTCGCTCTGTTGCCAAGCTGGAGTGCAGTGGTGCGATCTCAGCTCACTACAATCTCCGCCTCCTGGGTTCAAGCTACTCTCCTGCCTCAGCCTCTCAAGTAGCTGGGACTACAGGCATGCACCACCACGCCCAGCTAAATTTTGTATTTTTAGTAGAGACGGGGTTTCAGCATATTCACCAGGATGGTCTTGATCTCTTGACTTTGTGATTCACCCACCTCAGCCTCCCAAAGTGCTAGGATTACAGGCATGAGCCATTGCACCTGGCCTTTGTGAATATTTTTAATAGGTAATGGGATTCAGTATTCATTTTCTTATTTAACAATGAATGAATGAATGAATGAATACAAATGAGTGGTGCATAGACCAAGGATGATAGTGTGTCATGAGCCAAGAATTATTATTAAATCCATTCTGTTCAGCTTAGTTCCAAAAGTGACAAGAAGAAAACATAATAAAAAATAAAACTGTACAAAACTAGAAAAATATGTAACTAACTGGTCTTGGGATAACGTATGGCTTTTCAAGCATAAGAACATTAAGAAATCATTAGGGAATTATTGGTAAATCTTACTATACATAATTAATATTTGCAAATACCAAAATTGCTGTAAACGTAGTGTAAGAACAAATATTGACCTAGAGGAAAACATTTGCAAATAAGACACATGGTTAAAACTTTACATATGTTAAGAGCACTTATTAATAAGAAACACATTAGCACCACAATAGAAGTGTGAACAATGACCATATAGAGGATTTGGAGAAAAACTATGAAACCCCAGTATGAATTTTTAAATCATGTTTTATTTAAATGAATAGAAACAAAATAACAGTGGTATACTATTTCAAGTCAAGTAAATAAGTCAGAATTCCTTATAAAGGGTAAAGATGATACTGATAAAAAGATGCTCCTACTATATTGCTGGTATAAAAATAAATTTTGACAAGCTGCCAAAATGATGTGATTATGCTTGAAAATTATGCTTGAAAATTCTTCTAGAAATCGGTTTATTTTATAAATATTCATCATGTGACTTTTATGTGCCAATTATTGCAAAGCAGTAGCAATACCATGAAAAATGATCTTAGTTGCTGATCTAATTGACCTTATTGTATAGGGAAGAATGTAAGCATTAATAAAATAATTACACAGAATTGGTAATTACCAAATGTAATTACTTCTGTGAATGTAATGTACACATGTCATGTAAACATATAACAGGAAATCAGAGTTCTGGACATAAGAAGTTTCCCTTGAAAAGTGGTAATTGTCCTGAAACTTAAGGAACACTGAAGAATTAAATAGGCTAAATCAGACATGGTGCAACATGCCTGTAGTCTTAGCTATTTGGCAGGCTGAGGTGGGAGGATCGCTTTAGTTCAAGTCCAGTCTGGTTAAAATAGTGAGACCTTGTTTCTAAATAAATAAATACAGTGAAAAAGGTGAATTCTAAGAAGATTTAGAATAAGATTGGTGATTGAGGCAGTGATGAGATGATCTAGGGATTTGGGGTCCGTAGTAAAGTCTCTGGTCTTTATTCCAAGAGTAACCATTTAGTTTTATAGATTGTGTTGGCTGCTGCATGAGACTAGATTGAAGGAAATTAAGAAGAATTGTAGGAGCTCATTAAAGAGACTGTTTAAAGTATCTAAAAAATAGGTGATTGTAATTTGACTAGGGAAATGAACAGAAAAGTTTGTTGTAGTTTTATTTTATTCAAGTAAACAATGTCTGATATGGTTTGGCTGTGTTCCCAACCAAATCTCTGCTGTTTCCCCACTCAAATCTCATCTGGATTATAATACCCATGTATCATGGGAGGGACCCAGTGGGAGGTAATTTAATCATGGAGATGGTTACCCTCATGCTGCTCTTGCTGTTCTCATGATAGTGAATGACATCTCACGAGATTTGATGGTTTTATAAGGGGCTTCCACCTTTGCTAGGCTCTCATTCTTCTCACTCCTGCTGCCATGTGAAGAAGCATGTTTTTGGTTCCCCTTCCACCATGATTTTAATTTTCCTGAGGCCTTTCCAGCCATCCTGTGCTGTGAGTCAATTAAACCTCTTTTCTTTATAAATTACCCAGCCTTGGGTATTTCTTCATAGCAGTGTGAAAATGAACCAATACTGTAAATTGGTACCATGTATTGGGGTACTGCTATAAGAATACCCCAAAATGTGGAAGTGACTTTGGAACTGGGTAACAGGCAGAAGTTGGAACCATTTGTAGAGCTCAGAAGAAGACAGAAAAATATGGGAAGGTTTTGAACTTCTTAGAGACTTGGAAGGCTCAGAATACAGAAAGAAGCAGCACAGTCTGAAACTTCCTAGAGACTTGTTGAATGGCTTTGACAAAAATGCTGATAGTGATATGGACAATGAAGTCTAGGCTGAGGTGGACTGAGATGGAGATGAGGAACTTGTTGGGAAGTGGAATTAATGTGACTCTTGTTATGCTGTAGCAAAGAGACTGGTGACATTTTGTTCCTGCCCTAGAGATCTGTGGAACTTTGAATTTGAGGGAGATGATTTAGGGAATCTGGCAGAAGAAATTTCTAAGTGGCACAGCATTCAAGATGTGACATGGGTGCTTTTAAAATTGTTGAGTTTTATTCATTCATAAAGATATGGCTTGGAATTGGAACTTATGCTTAAAAGGGAAGGAGAGCATAAAAGTTTGGAAAATTTGTAGCCTGATGATGCAATAGTAAAGAAAAGCCCCATTTCCTGGGGAGAAATTCAAGCCTGCTGCAGAAATTTGCATAAGTAATGAGGAGCCGAATGTTAATCACAAAGACAATGGGGAAAATGTCTCCAGGGCATGTCAGAGAACTTTGCAGCAGCACCTCCCATCACAGGCCTGGAGACCTAGGAGGAAACAATGGTTTTGTGGGCTGGGCCCAGGTACCCCCTGCTGTGTGCAGCCTAGTGACTTGGTGACCAGCTTCTCAGCCACTCCAGCCCTGGCTAAAAGAGGCCAAAGCACAGCTTGGGCTGTGGATTCAGGAGGTTCAAGCCTCAAGCCTTGGCAACTTCCATGTGGTGTTGAGCCTGCAGGTGCACAGAAGTCAAGAACTGAGATTTAGGAACCTCTGCTTAGATTTCAGAGGATGTATAGAAATGCCTGGATGTCCAGGCAGAAGTTTGCTGCAGGGGTGGAGCCCTCATGAAGAACCTCTGCTATGGCAGTGAGGAAGAGAAATGTGGTGTCAGAGGCCCCACACAGAGTCTCCACTGGGGCACTGCCTAGTGAAGCTGTGGTAAGAGGCCACCATCCTCCAGACCCAAGAATGGTAGATCCACCTACAGCTTGCCTGGAAAAGCTGCAGGCACTCAAAACCAGCCCATTGAAGAAGCCTAGAGGGGAGTTATGCCCTGCAAAGTGAAAGGAGCAGAGCTTCCCAAGGCCATCAGAGCCTACCTCTTGCATCATCATGACCTGGATGTGAGACATAGAGTCAAAGGAGATAATTTCACAATTTTAATATTTAATTACTGCCTTGGTGGATTTCAGACTTTCATGGGGCCTGCAGCTTCTTTGTTTTGGCCAATTTCTCCCATTTGGAATGCCTGTATTTACACAATGCCTGTACCCCCATTGTATCTAGGAAGTAACTAACTTGCCTTTGATTTTACAGGCTCATAGGTGGAAGGGACTTGCCTTGTCTCAGATAAGACTTTGAACTTGGACTTTTGAGTTAATGCTGGAATGACTTGAGACTTTGGAGGACTGTTGGAAGTGCATGATTGTGTTTTGAAATGCAAGGGCATGAGATATGGGAGGGGCCAGGGGCAGAATGATATGGTTTGACTGTGTCCCCACCCAAATCTCATCTTGAATTGTACTCTCCATAATCCCCACATGTCATGGGAGGGACCTGGTGGAAGGTAGTTAAATCATGGGGGTGGTTACCTTTATGCTGCTCATGCTATTCTCCTGATAGTGAGTGATAATGAGTGAGTTCTCACAAGATCTGATGGTTTTATAAGAGGCTTCCCTCTTTGCTTGACAGCATGAAAATTAACTAATACAATGTCCAAATGTCCTTTAAGCTGTGTCCATGTAATATGGTATTATTCAGTCACCCACTGAAATTTGCTTTTGAAGAATAGTTAATGACTAAGACAAATATAGAGTGATATAAAGTAGAATGGAAAGCCACACCTGCAGGATGTACTTTTATTGAAAAGCTAAAAGAAGGAGAAGGAAGAGAAAGAGGAGGAGGGAGAAAAGTCTATGAAAATATTACTAGTTTCTTTGTTATGTAAGAGTATAAATGAAGTGTATCTTCAATTGTATGTATTTCACTTTTTAGTAAATTTTAACAGTAAGTGTATATTGTATTTAAAAACAGAAAAAAAGAGATATGATAATATAATTTATTTCATATTTCTATTTAGAAAATTATAGCCAAAACATGAATTAAAGAGACTCAAGAAGCACATCTGATAGATTTGCATGCGTGATTCATTTTGTAGATTAGTTAGCTGTCAAAGCAAATATGCCACTGGGATAACTCGGAGCTTTAAAAGCAGCGGTCTGGGTAACAGTATTTTCAAACACCACTATGATAACTTAACTGGGCTATGAAATGCACAGATAGCTGATAAAAAATTATTTCTGGGTGGGGCTGTGGGGGTATTTCTAAAAGAGATCAGCACTTGAATCTGTAGACTGAGTAAAGCAGATGGCTCTCACCAATGTAGATGGGCATTACCCAATCTGTTGAGAGCCCCAGTGGAACAAAAGGCAGAAGTTTTGGGTGAGACATCCATCTTCTCCTGCCCTCAAATATTAACACTCGTCATTCTCAAGCCTTTGGAAGTGGGCTAAATTACAATACCAGGTTTCCTGGTTCTCCAGCCTGCAGGCAGCATATTATGCAATTCCTTAGCCCCTATAATCATGTCAGCCAATCCTATAATAAATCTACCCTTATACCTCTATCTCTATTTCTGTCTCTATATCTATATATCCTATCGGTACTCTTTCTCTGTAAAACTCTGACTAATAAAACTACCAAAACCAAAGTTATTCATCCTGTTTCTTTTAAGTATCAGGAACATTTGTTGATCCATTGAGAGTCATAATTCTTGTGAAGATTTGCAAATCAAATGCAGATGCCTGACTGACTGGGTAACAAACCGAATCAAATGGGGTAATCAGCTTCAACAGTATGATTTATTTATATTTTCATTTCTGTTTCTCCTCAAATTCTCCTGGTTTTATTAATATTGTTAATAAATAATGTGAGCAGAAGTCAGCATTGCCAAGTAATTAAACCCACAAGTTCTTCAAGCAAACTGCCTGGGTTTGAATTATGTCTCCCTTCTTACTGGCTTTATGACTTGGAGCAAGACATTTCACATCTCTGTGCTTCAGAATCTTTATCTATGAAATGGGGATAATGGTAACACCTTCACAGGATTTTAATGAGTGGTGATGTGACTTGCATAGTGACAAAGAACATGGTTATACAGCCTAGAAAATTCTCAGTGTCTCTTCTGTATAGAAGGAAGACAGGAAGTGCCATTTCCAGGTTGCTTTGTGACCAGGGAAAGGTTGAAACTCCTGTACCATCTCAAGTGTTTCCTAGGAATATGGGATCCATATTTCCAGACTTGTACTAAGAAAAGTCTGAGGCATTGGCATAAGATGGCCTACTGACTTTCCAGCTGTAATACTGAAAATATTTTCATTTTCCCAAATGCACTGTAAGTACCAAGTGAAGAATGCACTGTACATAAAACTAGGCTCCCTAAAGTGTTTGCTATTTATAAACAACTTAATGTGAATTCACATACTTATACTGACTTATTTCCTTATATAGGTTTTATACTAAATCTATTTAAATAGCATTTTGGTTAAGTCCTCAAATTTAGCATCCTTTAAAGTACTTAAACATTGCTGACAGCTAAAATGTTTAGTTTTCTTCTCAATCCCATGACCAGCTCCCATGATTTAATGATTGACAGCAATGCACAATTATTTTCTTCTTTCTTCACCAAGAAAGATATCCTACAAGGATCATCAGAAATCAACAAGAGTAGATATTAGGGGCTTACTGGTTCTCTTTGAAGATTCCAGGGATTTAGATCTCAGTTGAACTGAGTTCAGATGATGAAGTAGAGCAACGAATTTGCTTCTGAACCTCGTTAATTTTTTAGTTCTAGGAAGTTGATGTGTCAATGATTACCATAATTCTTACCAGCTTAAAAAATATGCACAGTGAAAAGTCATAAAAGTCACTTCACCACATTAAATGTTGATGAAAGAAATTGCATCCTTAACCTTTGAGTCATTGATGTTGCAACAGCCCCATATCTTATAGTTCTTGCTAAAGGCACACAGTAGTTTAACAAATATTTTGCTTAACTGTATAATGTCTTGATTATAAAGGGTAAAAGGGAATTCTAATCCTGAAAGGTTATACGTGTGCAGGCTCATAGGCCAAACTCAGAGGATGATGGGAGGACTTTGATTCTGTCGGCCATTTATTCACAGGAAGATCTGTTTAACAAGAAGTTCACTTGTAGGATTGGCTTTGCTGCAAGCATACCAACTCATTCTATTATTCTAAATATTATGACATTCTTTCCTCACTTGTAAAATTGGAAGAGATTTTTTGGGGAAGAAATAAGTGAGTAATTGTCTTGGATCTTTGGAAACAATTGTGAATTATACTGAAGGCAGCTGTGGTAATGTAAAATTTTTGGACACTTAAGATGAGCCGTTTCTTGTGCAGATCCCATTTACTGAAAGCATCTGATCACACATCCAAAAACTCTCCCGGCTCCAAGTATCTTTGCCACCATGGTGATGTTGAAAGATATCTAGTGTTCTAGACTCACTAAAAAGTGAATTCAATAGTGATGATTCAGTGAATGTTATGGAGTGCAATACAGATCCTTGCTTTCAGGACCAGGACACTCATTATCCCAGGTTACAGGCGTTGGTTGCCAATAGCTCTGAGTTTCTCTCTGGGAATTCCCCTCAGGTACAGGAAGCCACCTCTTCTAAAGTTGTATTTCTTTCCCTGGGGCAGTCTGCACCCAGTGACTGACTGTTGATGAAGGTACAATGGCCCAACATTATTGCCTCCATTTGGGACTACTCTGAAGGCCTTTCCCAGCTCCAGAGCTTCCTGGAGGACTGGCTGAGACCTATGTTTGATTCTGTTGCAGTTCCACTTGTCCCTCTCCCTAATACTGCAGTTTTTCCATCATTTACTGGTGTTGTTCCCAAGAGCTCTCTCCCACAAAAATCTCCTGCATACAAATCTTTATCTTAGAGTATCTCTCACAGGGAACCTATCCTCTGACAGATGAAGTCAGGAGCGACTCCAGGAAATAGATTATAAAGTGAAAGTCTGGGAGCTGTATCTCCCTCTGGCCAACTTGTAATGAGGACCCCATCATAGAAGGTGAGCAGAGTACTCATAGCCCCCAGCGTGTTATAGTGGTTATTGTGAAAACTTTCACTAATGGTGAACTGGAACAAGATACCTGGTGAAAAGAAATGCACAAGTATGAGAGTGTCTTAGGCATTTGAAAGATTCTGAGGAAATAGTAATCATAAGGGCAGTGGAATCAATCAGACAACCTTCGCTGGCTGCTACTGAGTCATTGAAGAAATACTTTAAAATGCTGATGATAATTAACAATTAAATATTAGCTCTGAAAGCTGAAGAGCTTTTTTGGTAGCAGAAAAGAGACTCAATTCTTGGAACTTGAAGGGAAGAAAAGAATGATGTAAGACTCAGACAGTTCCAGAGAAAGTTGACTTGTCAACCATGGCAAATCTGACATGCAGGGATCAGAAGCCTATTATGAAGGCAGAGAATCCTGAGTCAGAGATGGGGCCATTATGGGTCAAATCATCAAAAATCCTGGATTTCCAGATACCGTGTTCCCTTTGGGCCTGCAGGAATGGCCCACACATCCCTTTAAAAGGCCAGTGCTTCCCCATCCTGCTTTAAAAGACAGTATGCACTCCTCTCAGGATCTGTCCCCATCTCCTATCCTGACCACCAGACCAATATGTAGGGTTAATTCATAATATATCCCAACCAGAGAAGTGGTGGATCTGCCAAAAAAGGAAAAGAAATGTATTCCAAAGGATCAGTGAGACCCAGTCAACAGACAGTAGCAGGAGCCAGGAGTGTTTTTTGAAATTTGTTCCTGAGGTGCTGGATCAGGGGGCAGAATATAAAGTTGGATAACAAGAATTTATTTGCTGCTTTTCTGGGATATAGGATTTAACCTCTTGGTAAGACTTTAGAAGAAAGTATTAATATACTGCTAGTATGCTCCTTGGAAGCTTGAAAAAAACAAAGAGCGCTCTAAATGAAGTAAGAATACTAGAACTACAGTGGCAAACAGCTGACAGAGGGATCAACAGGAAGACAGAAGTGAACATGTTAGAAAGGATACACTACATATGGCTAGAAAACTTACCAGCTGACAATGTTTGTGGGAGGTCTAGGCAGACAATCTTTTTACCGAGGGAACAAGGATTGCACTTGGGAGAGGGATACCAGTGTCAATGGGAAGCTCAATGGGTGCTTTCCCTTGCAGACCAGGAAATGCCGTCACAAAACAGGCAATGAGGATGAAAGAGGGCAGGTGCTTAATCATCAGAAGCAAGCTGTGCACAATTACTGTAATGAGAGGCAAAACTGGAGTGGCAATTCGGGGTCTGACCTGCACAGAGCTATAAAATGATTAATATAATACAAAATTCCTGGGGATAAAGATACACAGGCAGCAAACAGGGATATTGCTTAATTTATACTACCAAATACATGAAAAATTAATAATTAGGAGGCTGAGAGCACCTCCCTCAATAATATATCACAATCATTGGCCCAGTTTCCAGACTTGAGCCAAATCTTGGGCCCAGAACCTGCTGACTGAAGGGGAGAAAGACTGGGTGCTCAGGACAAGGGGGCTCTGCAACTCTATGGTAAATATATACAGGAATAATTCCCCGAGTTATTTCCCCAAAGGAAACTTAACTATTTACACATAACACCATACACTGGAAAAAGAGGAATTTCCAGAAATTTCAGGGACTCTTGTATATAGGCTCTGAGTTGGCACTGATACTCAGAAACATGAAGCATTTTCATGGATGTCCTTCTTACGATGGTGATTATGAAAGCCAGGTAATAAGTGGAGCTCTGGCCCAGGGATGGTTCATAGGTAAGTTCTTATTCCTATCTCCAAATGTGTGATTCATTATGGGCACAACTCTCACATTGATTCCTTGGCCTGTGGAATAAGCATTATCACAGTATGAAAGATGGAAGCTATTGAAGCTGCCCACTCCATGCCCAGTCAAAATGATAAATAAAAACAATATTGCATTTCAACAAGAATGGTAGAAATTAAGACCTAAAGGAGGCAGAGATGATTGATGCTATCATTTAATTTACCAGTCTGGCCCCTGTGAAAATGTTGGGGTTCTGTTGGATAACAGTATACTGCTGCAGACTCAACAAACAATTAAACTAGTCCCAATTGCAGCTTCTATGCCAAGTGTGGTATCATCAATAGAGCAGATTACCATGGACTCGGGTAGATGGCATTTGGCCATTGACTTAGCAGATGTGTTATTTTCCATCTCTGTCAAGAAAGAGGCTTAAAACCAGTTTTCATTCACATGGAACAGAAAATAATAAATATATACAGTCTTGGCCTAAGCTATATTAAATCTCCAACTCTGTCTTGTAATATATTTCCAAGAGACCTCAACTGTCTGGATATTCTGCAGTATGTCATATTATTCTACTATATTGATGACCCATGTTAATTGGAACAAATAAGCAAAAAGTGGCAAGTATGTTCGAGGCTCTGATAAGATATATGTGCTCCTTGGAAAATCATGTATAGTCCACAGGTGGAAGATACACCCTGTGAAGATTCAAGGACTGCTGCATCAGTGAATTTTACAGTGGTCAGGGGCATGCATGTAAATCCCCTCCAAAATAAGGAATAAACTATTAAAACTTATAACTCCTATCATTAGAAAGGTAGCACAATGCCTTGTAAACCCCTTCAGGTTCCTGGTGAGAAAATATTACATACTTGGGAATACTTCTTAAACCCACTAACCAAGTGATACAAAAGCTATCTGCTCTTAGCAGGGCTCAACAAAGATAAGAGGTCTGCAGGACGTCCAGGCTATAATTCAGGCAGCTCTACCATCTGGGCCATAAGGCCCAGCAGACCTTATGTTACCAGAGATTCTGTGGTGAGGAAAAGCACAATGTTGAACTTATGAGCCAACTGATATCAGATAGCATCTGTCATCTACCACCTCACTGCTGAGACAATAGGCTTATGAGAGGAGTAACCAGAATGGCAAGAATAGAGGATATCTCCTATTTGTTCCCACTTACCAAAACTTATCTAGCTACTGCCACTTCTAAATATTCAGCATCCAGCAAAGGATACTAATACTGAGCCCCTAATATAGCAGAAGGGTAAGCAGCCTATTGATAGTAAACTGATTACATGGAATCACTCTTATTCTGAAGAAGACAGCAATTCATTTTGTCTTTCCTGCTGACATAGTCTTGGTTAGCACTACCATCTGAGGGCTACAGAATATTAAATCAACTGAACAGATAATAAGATATCCTTCATAATAACAAATAAGACCCAAAATGCCACCTACAACAATGAAACGGTTATAGTTGCGGGTTCTGTCACATGACAGCCCACTACTTAGAAGCTGCCCACCCAGTAGAGTGATGGATTTGCCTTTTGAATATTCAGTTCTGGCATCAGTGGGATATGTTACTCTGCAAGAATGGAATGCCATTCCCTACAAAGCACTACACACTCTAAATCAGGAATCAACAAACTACAGTCCAAGGACCTGCCACCTTTGTTGTAAATAATGTTTTAATAGAACATGGCCACTTTCCTTCATTTACATATTGCCTATGGCTGCTTTCACAGTAAAGCAGCAGAATTAAGAGTTGCAACAAAGATCATATTGCCTGCAAAGCCCAAACTATTTACTGTTTGGCCTTTTACAAAAAAAAAAAATATGCTGACACCTGCTCTAAGTCAATGACTATCATATGGTGCAGGGTTCCCCGTAGGTTAAATACATTGGTTCTTGAACCAAATTGTGGAAATCAGAATATCCCCACATATCATCACCTCCAATGGTCCACATATGTGCTTTCCAGCCCAGAAACTTTATGTTTTTTGAGGCTAGGAGTTCTAGTTAACTGAGAAGGATAATGCTTCCTTTACAGAACACAGTGAAAACCCCATTAAACTCTAAGGTACGGTTTCCATCCAGTTACTTTGGGATCTCCATGCAAAGAGGTCAGCACAAAGGGTAATAGGCTCTGAAGACCAGAAGGAAGCAGGATAGCTACTATACAATGAAAATAGGAAGTAATATGTTTGACAACTAGGTGATACAATAGGGAATCTTTTAGTATGCTCCTGCAGCCCTTCTGAATTTTGACTGTAGTAGTAAAGTGCAGTAGTCATGGCCTAGAACAACATGGTGACCTGAAGCTTATATTCCACGTGAGGGTCTGGATCACCTCACTAAATAAGCCACCTGGACCAGCGGAAGTGCTGAAGTTGAAGGAATTCTAGAATTGGTAGCAGAGAAGAAAGATGAGCATTAGTTGCAATCTTGAGACAGCAATATGGTGGGGTTTGTGGTTTATCCCACTAACCTTCCTTAGTATAGTTCCCCAGAAAAAGATACCAACCATAATTCTGGAAAAGCGGATGGGATGAATTTATAATAGAAAGCAAATGGATCCAAGAAGTACAAGGGGTGAAATGGAACTTCATTTCTTTTCTCTTCAATATATTCCATATCAGTTCGTACCATTCCTCTCTCATGACATTCCAGTTACATTGATCTCCTTTATAAAAACATTCCAAGTCTTTCAAATTTCTAGGTCATTGGGATTTTTCTTCCTTCTGCCAGGAATGCTCTTCTTCTGGCTGTTATCATAGTAGTCTCAATTTCTTCAAGTCTCAACTCATATGTCATCTCCCCTGAACGTATTCACCAAACCGCCCTATCTAAAGTGGCCTTTTCAGGTTGTTCTGTATCATCAACATGCTTACTATGTAACATTTAACACAATCTGTTAATTATGTTATTTATTTACTGTGTCTTCCCCATTAGAATGTAAATTCTGTAAGGGCAGGGAACTTGTTTGTCATATTCATCATTTTATTTCCAGTACTGTGACTGGCATATACCAAGTGTGCAGAAATACTTGTTGATTCATTCAACAGATAAATAAATTCAAAAAATTAAGTACATCTGGGTGTGAGTTAGAAATGAGCATTTTTCACAAGTAGCCCACGCTGTGATATTGATGCAAATTTTCCTCATACCACATTCGCAGAAAGAATTATTTAGTGGTTAAAGAGTATAAAAAATTAACTTTCATTTACTCCTTATAAGGTATTCTGATAGTGATATAATCTACAATTTTTTTGACTTTGTTATATATCCATTCTCCACTTACCACTATATGTGTATTACCCCATTTAATATATGCAACAACCCTGTTATTGTTCCCATTTCACTTAGGAGGAAGCTAAAACTCAGAGTACTCAGAAACTCAGCCAAGGTTTATACATATGGTAAACAGATTCAGAACCAGGACTTGGGTTTGTCTGACAGCAAAACCAATGTTTCCTAACCTCTCCTCTATCACATTTGATATACAAATGGCTCCCCTCATCTGTTGCTTGGAGTTTATTTAGGAATACCATTCTCTAGTCTTCTTCACTTTTTTTCTTTTTGCTTGTCACTAACCAAGAAAGAAGCCATTACTTTAGCCAGATGGCAGTAAAATCACACCTCTTTGAGAAAGAACCAACTGCCTTTACTTTAAATGGCACATAAATCTTAATGTTTAAATTATCCTTTCAACATAGTGCCAGGAAAAATATAGGGGAAATGACTGAATGTATCAGAAATAGTCATAAATCCCTTAGTGTAGAAAGGTTTGAAGCTTTCAACAATGGAAAGGATATTTCAGGCTGTTACACATCTTGCCTCAGACTGCTGATTGAAAGACAATGCTTTCTCAGAAAAAGTAGATTTGAGGAGTTTTAGGTAGTACTGTCAAGAATTTCTGATACCAAATTGATTTGGGAACCTTGCCAAAGCAGCATTTTCCTAGGATATAAACTTGTAGTCTCCTATTTGTAATCATGGATATATATTTGCTCCATAAATGTACATGTGTTGGATGCTTTCTTGTAATGATGATTATCCACTCCCAAATAGCATCCTGTTTTGTTCTTAGAGTGATTCCTTTTTACCTGTTGGACTTATTTAGCCTAAACAACTGTATCATTGGAGAACATAGAGCATGTCTTTGTAGCCTGGATTTTCACCAAAAGACTCAACCAAAATAAAGAGTTGTAGGATTGTTAATTAAATTCAGGACTTAAATGCAAATAATATACAGATGTTCCTTGGTTTACAATAGGGTTATATCCAATAAACCCATCATAAGTAAAATATACCCTGTCAGAAATGTATTTAATATCCCAATAAACACATTGTAAAGTTGAAAAATTGTAAGCCAAACTATCCTAAGTCAGGGACTGTATGGACTTTGTTGTCTGTTATCACTGTTGTAGTAGCAGATATCAGAAAAGGAGAGATGGCGACTGATTGTTAACTGTGTTGCTTAGATACAAAAGTAGAATAAAACACACCAAAGAAGCTTCCATTTTATTTCTAAAAAGTACATAGAGAGCTGTGGGTGAAAGAACTTTTGTTATTTAAGTCATAAGCTTTATCACTTGTTCTGCAGAAAGACTACTTAAATTAACTTCAGTAGCAGTGAACAAAGGGTTTATTGAATTTTACATTGAGAAATAAAATTAAAAATTATAAAAATATACTTATTAAACCAATAATTAGGTTATTAAATGAAATATGGTTATGCTTGCAACTACATGCCAATAATAGGAAGAAACAAAATATAAATCAAGATCTCTCTTTTTTTTGTGGTGAAATCATACAAAATTAATTAGCCCTATCTCTAAATACAATCACATTGAGGGTTAGGTTATCAACATATGAATCGGGAGGGACACAACTCAGTCGATGGCAACATGTGCTCATATCACAGCTCCATTGCTTCCTTCCTGTTTGAATTTGGACAAGTTATAAACATCTCTAAGCCTCAATTTGAAAATCTATAAAATATGGGTAATTCTACTACTCAAAACATAGGATGCTGACATGGATTAAAATAAACATTGCGTTTTAAGGACCCATTATAGTATCTGGGCATAGAATAAGCAAAAAATAAATGTGATATTGTTAAGAGTTTCCATTGCTATTCCAATACTGATTAAATGCGAAAAAGGGAAAAGCCCTCATTTCTCTTCTTCACGGTAGTAAGAAATGGTAAAGCTGAGGTTTGCGGAAAGGAGAAAGAGTGGGAAGAAGCAGCCACGCAGAGAAGAGAAAAGCAGGATGAGTCCCTGAGACTTTGAGTGGGAGTAAGAAGAACATTTCTGTCCAAGAAGGAGCCTTGGTGCTTAGTTGCCCAAAGACATGTTACGTTTCCCATCAGACTGTCTTTTCCAATAGACTCTCATCCCAAGGGGTAAAATGACAAAGTTTTATAAACCTTTGTAACCCTTACATTATCTGAAATTGTGCTTTGCCTGTGGTCGATGCTCAATATTTTTATATAGTTTATATGATATTTAATAATTTAATTATATATTATTTAATTGGGATCATTCTATCTCTTTGCCTAACCAGTATTTCTGGGGTCTGGCCACTATAGAGGATCAGATCATCCAGATTGCTCTGAAGCATGCACATTTGCTGGGGTACTAAAGAAGCACAACCATGTTAGCCTAACTGAAATAATCAATGACAGTCCTTCAGTTACTTAAGAGGAATGTTGAGATTTTGATATTTTATTATGAATAGAAAAACAGAAACCCTTAAATAAATTCCTAACTCCCTTTGAAGTCATTCCTTCTTTAGCCATGTTTTAAGTTTTTACATATTTATTGAAAGTGGTGTGTTTTAGTGGGTTTTCTCTTACCATTTGTTTGTTTCACTTACCATTGTTATTCTGTGGTTTCTAGATTATTTTTGTTTTTCTCCAAGTTATTCTACTAGGTTTCTTCCTTATCTTCATTTTTTTCCTCTTCCGAAAATATAGAAGTTAAAGATGGAAAAGACACATTGCTCGTCCTCAAGCCTCTCTTCTTCCATGGTTGGATAATACTCTTAATAGAGCAATTTTTCCAGCTTAGCTGAAAATGATTTCAAGTGATGGGGTTTCCACCACCTCCTTTGAATGACTATTTCACAGACTGACAGATCTCATTACGTGGTCATTTTCCCCCTCATTCTCTGCCTACATTTTCTTTGCTCAATTTAATCCTGTTTCTCTTAGTTATACCCCTTTGGATAACTCAGAAATTCCTCTCCCCTTCTTGCTCCCTATTTTCCTAAAATATTTACAGATGGTTATTTTTTCTCCTTAGTCATTATTTGGCCCAGTCATTTGAATTAGATCTTTCATCTTTCTCTGTTATCCAGTGCCCCTAACTTATTCAATATTTTGATGTTTGTGCTCAGAACTTGTCATTTTAAAAAGTTTTCTGACTACTTCAGAATGAAAAGTTCCAAACCTCAGCATGAGACTTTTTTTTTTGCCAGAAACTTCAAGATAATATCCACACTCCTTGCAGGACAGAAACAATTCAGGGCCACGGTTGCTGTTAGCTTCAGTTGTAACATTAAGCAATGTGCTTCTGCCTGGATAAAATTCTCCTTGTTCAAGTCCTGTCTTTTCCATGAAACTTCATTCACAGCACTTGGCACCATTAGGGGGAAGGCCAATACTGCATTGTCTGAAAGAAAAGGAATACTTTTGCCACAGAACATTTAGAAACATCCTGAAAGAGGCACCCTTCTTCTGAAGGAAGGATACAATTTTTCAAAAAATGAAATTTTAATTAGAAAAGAGAATTTTCTTTCAAATTTCTCTAAAAATCAAACTCACTCTCACTACATGCTCTGAGATCTCCAAAATAATTTCTTTTTCCAGGTGCAAAGTTTTTTTAAATTTCAATATCTTTTGGGTACAAGTGGTTTTGGTTACATGGATGAATTGTATAGTGGTAAGGTCTGAGATTTTAGTGTGCCTATCACTCAAATAGTGTATATTGCACCAGATACATAAGTTTTTATACCTTGTCCCTCTCCCACCCTCTCTGCTGTGAGTCTCCATATTTTATTATATCACTCTGTATGCCTTTGCATACCCATAGCTTAATTTGGTTTTCCACTTCTGAGTTACTTCACTTGGAATAATGGCCTCCAGCTCCATCCAAGTTGCTGCAAAACACATAATTTCATTCTTTTTTATGGCTGAGTAATATTCTGTGGTGTGTATATATACCATATTTTATTTATTTACTCATTGGTTGATGGGCACTTAGGTTGGTTTCATATCTTTGCAATTGTAAATTGTGCTGCAATAAACATAACCATGCAGGTGTCTTTTTGATATAATGACTTATTTTCCTTTTGGTAGATAACCAGTGGTGGGATTGCTAGATTAAACAGTAGGTCTACTTTTATTTCTTTAAGCAGCCTCCAGACTGTTTTCCTTAGAGATTATACTGATTTACATAACCATCAGCAGGGTATAAGTGTTCCCTTTTCACCATGCCCATGTCAACATCTACTGTTTTTTGACTTTTTAATAAGGCCATTCTTGCAGAAGTGAAGTTGTATTTTATTGTGATCTTAATTTGCATTTTCCTAATGATTAGTGATGTTGAGCATTTTTAAAATAAGTTTATTGGCCATCCAAATTCATTTTTGTTAGGGCTCTTTACAAGCCAGTGTTGTAAGATCATTTGAACATGATATTCTAAGAAATAGATGATTTCTTTAAAACTGCTATGTATTGTTATTTTATTAGTAACATAAATAAGGATGATGAGAAAAAAATATATTGCAAATATTATCTTTGGAGTTCCTAGACACCACCAATTCTGAGTCTCTTCCTTCTTGATCTCCTGGGTGGTCACTGAATGAGTCAGATGTCCTTTACTCATATCTAACTCATTTTTCCTTTTATGAATGACTATTCTCTTTTTTTTTTCCTGTTGCTACTTACTCCAGATATTTTGCAGTACCAAATTAAGCTACTAGGGTAAGTTGTTAACATTTGCTTTGTTCACTGATCTTGGAAATGATGAAAACATGGGACAGATACTTGTTAACCTGGAAAGTCTTCAGTATAAACCTGTTAGAATCATAAATAGAGGCCACATAATAGAGTAGAAATACATGGACTTTGGAGCCAGATGGACCTAGTGTAGACATTTCTGCATCTCTGTGTAATCTAAAGCAAGAACCTTAATCTCTATAAGCCAGTTTTATCATATTCCTTTTCAAATATTCTTTTTGTCTGCCTCCTAATTTGGAAGTATAATCTGGCATCTACTTTTTACTAGTGATTGCTTTTTTATCTTTAAAATCTTACCCGTAACAGTTACATCTACATCATTTACTAAAATTAAATGACGTTATGATCTCCACCCACTGTATTTACTTGGCCAAATCTATCCATTATCTCCACAGGAACTAGACCTTTAGGATAGTTATACTCTCCCAATGAATCCTTCACTTCTCTTCCAACCCTTGGGTTTGCTAAAATAGTTCTGTATTTTGCTTCCTTGTTAATATATATTTTTTTCTTCACAGGATGTCTGTTTTATGACATGAATTCTCACTTACCTATAATTTTTAATTACATTAAAAGCATGTATTCAGAATTCACTGTGAGTATTACCAAATTAATTGTGCACAATGATCTATTACAGGCACTGTTTTTATCTAGAGAGTTTGTACACAATTTTCTTGGTGAATCAGCCTCCTTTCTCAGGTAATTGCTTCAGTCATAATGCATGGAGAGAGTAGCTGAATAATTTTTGTATCTTTTTGATGTCTGAAAATGAAAGATATCTTGGGGAGGTATAAGAATCTTCTATGATAGCACTTTTTTTTCTCATTAGTCAATAAATCTTGTAGTTATCTCTTGCATTTTCCATTGGTGAAGATGAGATATTTGATGCCAGATGGATGGCTTTCCCAAAGTGAATAATCCATGGAAAAGTAAGGTAGAAACTACAATGTCTTTTATGAGCTATACAAAGGCTGAGTACTGGGGATAAGTGGGAATCCCAGGATCAGGGAGAGCTGTCTTGGAGGCTTACTAACACAGTAGTCTACCTTTTGTTTTATTGAGATTTGCACTGAAATAATTATAGATGTTTATGTAGCTGTAAGAACCAATACAGAAAGATCCAATGCACTCTTTGTCTAATTTTTCCCAATGGTAACATTTTGAAAAACTATAGTAAAACATTGTTAAAACCAGAAGATTGGCATTGATATAATCCACCCAATTTCTATTAGCTTTACTAGTTTTACTCCTGCTAATCTCTGTGTGCATGTATGTACTTGTGTCTGCATGTATATATTGAGTTCTATACAATTAAATCACATGCATTGGTTTGTGCATCCAACACCTCAGTCAAGATACTGCAACACAAGTTTCCAACACCACACGTATTCCTCCTGTTATCTTTTCATAACTACACCCTCCTTCCTCTTGCATCACCTCTCACCCTCTCTTCAACCCTAACTCCTAGTAGTCACTAATCTATCTTTCCTTTCTGCAGGTGAATGCTTAAACAAAATTTAGTAAAAGTATACCATGAAATACCACTTATCAATAAAAAAGAAGAGATAATTTATACAAACAACTTGATGACTCTCCAGGGAATTATTCTGATTGAAAACAAAACCCCGAGGTTCTCTTCTTTCCTTCTTTCTTTTCTTCTTTCCTCTTTCTTTTCTTCCTCCCTCCTTCCCTCCCTCGCTATCTTTCTTTCCATCTTTCATTCTTTCATTTCACTTCAGCTGGAAGAATTTCCTTTAGCTAATAATTAAGAATATGTTTGCTAGTGTCAAGTTATTTTAGTTTTTTTATTTCAGAATGTTTTTATTTCCCCTTTATTCATAAGTAATAGTTTTTTTAGATACAGAATTCTCAGTTGACAGATTTTTTTTTTAATCAGTTGAAAAATATAGTGCTACATCCTATGGCTTTCATGATTTCCAGTGATAAATCTACTGTTATTTGAATTGTGACTCCTCTATGGGTAATATGTTACTTCTGCCTGGTTGCTTCCAAGATTTTTTCTTTGCCTTTAGTTTTCAAAAGTTTATGTGTTTTGGTGTAGATTTCATTGAGTTTATTTATTTATTTATTTAATTTTTGGTGGTGGGAGAGGCTTTGCTCAGCCTCTTGGATCTGTAGGTCTTTGTCTTTAACATATATAATTTGGAAAATTTTTAGGCATTATTTCCTCAAATACTCTTTTTGTCTCCTTTTCTCTTCCCTCTCCTTCTGGGATGCCAATGATATGAACATTTTTTCATTGTTAACATTAACTAGGTCTCTAAAACACCAACAGTGTATAAGAGTTCCCTTTTCTCTATATCCTCACCAGAATCTGATTTTTTTTGTCTTTTTAATAATAACCATTCTAACTGGTGTGAGATGATGTCTTATTGTGGTTTTGATTTGCATTTATTTGATGATTAGTGATGTTAAGCATTTTCTCATGTACCTGTTAATCATTTGTACATCTTATTTTGATATTCACGTCCTTTGTGTACGTTTTAATGAGATTATTTGTTTTTTACTGTTGAGTTGTTTGAATTCATCATACATTCTGGATATTAGTCCCTTGTGGGTGAATAGTTTATAGATATTTTCTCATTCAACAGGTTGTCTCCTTACTCTGTTGATTGTTTCCTTTGCTGTGTGGAAGCTGTTTATTTTAGTATAGCCCCATCTGTCTATTTTTCTTTTTGTTGCCTGCATTTTTGAATTCTTAGCCATAAAATCTTTGCCTACACCAATGTTCTGAAGAATTTTCTCTATGTTTTCTGCCAGTAGTTTTATAGTTTCAGCTCTTAAATTTAAGCCTGTAATCCATCTTGAATTTTTTTTGCATATGATGGGAGATTGATGTCTAATTTTATTCTTCTGCATATGGATATCCAGTTTTTTCAGTACCAATTGTTGAAGAAGAGGTCTTTTCCTCACTGTATTTTCTTGGTGACTTTGTTGAAAAACAGTTGGTTGTAAATGCATGGATGTGTTTCTGGTTCTCTATTCTGTTCTCCATTGGTCTATGTGTCTGTTTTTATACCAATACCATGCTGTTTTGGTTACTATAGCCTTGTAATATATTTTGAAGTCAGGAAGTGTGATCCCTCCAGCTTTGTTGTTTTTCACTCAGGACTGCTTTGGGTATTTGGGCCCTTTCTTTCACCCAAATGAATTTTATAATTGTTATTTGTTTTTCTGTGAAAAATGACATTGATATTGTAATAGGGATAGCATTAAATCTGTAGATTGCTTTGTACAGCATGGTCATTTTAATATTAATATTTTCAATTCATGAACATGTGATTCCTTTTCATTTGTTTGTGTCATTTTCATTTTTCAATTTATTTCATCACAGTGTTTTTCTTTTTGTTATTATACTTTAATTTCAGGGATACATGTACAGAATGTGCAGGTTTGTTACATAGGTATACATGTGCTATGGTGGTTTGCTGCACCCATCAACCGGTCACCTACATTAGGTATTTCTCCTAAAGCTATTCCTCCTCTTGCCCCCACCCCTCGAAAGGCCCCAGTGTGTGATATTCCCCTCTCTGTGTCCATGTGTTCTCATTATTCAACTCCCACTGATGAGTGAGAACATACAGTGTTTGGTTTTCTGTTCCTGTGTTAGTTTGCTGAGCATGATGGTTTCCAGCTTCATCCATGTCCCTGCAAAGGACATGAATTCATCCTTTTTATGGCTGCATTGTATTCTATGCTATATATGTGCCACATTTTGTTTATCCCGTCTATCATTGATGGGCATTTGGGTTGTTTCCAAGTATTTGCTATTGTGAACAGTGCTGCAATAAACATATGTGTGCATGTGTCTTTATAGTAGAATGATTCATAATCCTTTTGGTATATATCCAGTAATGGAATCGTTGTGTCAAATGGTATTTCTGGTTCTAGATCCTTGAGGAATTACCACACTGTCTTCCACAATGGTTGAACTAATTTACACTCCCACCAACAGTGCAAAAGCATTCCTATTTCTCCACATCCTCTCCAGCGTCTGTTGTTTCCTGACTTTTAAATGATCGCCATTCTAACTGGCATGAGATGGTATCTCATTGTGGTTTTGATTTGTATTTTTCTAGTGACCAGTGATGATGAGCTCTTTTTCATATGTTTGTTGGCCGCATAAATGTCAGAGCTTTTTTATATGTTATTTGCTGACTTGTTTCTCTTCTCTTATTGCTTCCATGATCCTTTTTTTCTCTTGACCATTGAAGTGAACTTTGATCTACAGCAGCTAAAGAATCAAAAGATATATATGGATTTTTATAGATAATGCTTTCAGACATTGAATTTCTTTCAGTCATCCCTAAAATGTGACTGTCTAGCAATTATGCTGATTACAGTGGGATTTTTTTTATTATACTTTAAGTTCTAGGGTACATGTGCACAATGTGCAGGTTTGTTACATATGTACACATGTGCCATGTTGGTGTGCTGCACCCATTAACTCGTCATTTACATTAGGTATTTCTCCTAATGTTATCCCTCCCCCCTCCCCCCACCCCAAGAGAGGTCCCAGTGTGTGATATTCCCCACCCTGTGTCCAAGTGTTCTCATTGTTCAATTCTACAGTGGGATATTTTTAAGAAGCTGTTTTTTCTACCACTTCTGGCTCTACATTTTGAAATCACAGGAAATAAGTGAGTAACACCCTCTGGGGCACAAGAAAATTGATAGATTGAGTAATAATAGAAAAAAATAATATATTAATAATACAGGTTTATTCTAAAATGTTTTTGTGTAAATATGGTATAATCTTTTCCTAAAAAATAAGATTTATCCAAAAACAGTTCATAACTTGCTTCTAGAAGATAAAGTTGACAATTATATATAAGGTCTTTTAATGTCCACTCCTCAGTTTAATGAAATTTTGTATACTATCATTATTTTTAAGATGACTTTTAAATAAAATTATGTGTAAGAAATATAAGAAATTTATAAAAATAAAAGAGAGTGAAATACACTGTCACATAATATTATGCTATCAAAATTAACAACTTTTAAACAAAGTAACTATTTTAAGTATGCCAGCAAATATCTGTACAGATAATAGATTATACTGTATCTTCCCTTATTTTTTCTTGGTCAGTAAAGCTAGTGGTTTCTTGGTTTCGCTTACCTTTTGAAAAACAGCTTTTCATTTCATTAATTCTTAGTAGCCTTTTAGTTTCTATTTTTTTATTTCTGCATGAACTTTATTATTTCTTTCCTTCTACTAATTGTGGTTCAGATTCCTTCTTGTTTCTCTAGTTCTTTGAGGTGCATCATTAGGTTGTTTATTTGAAATCGTTCTGATTTTTTGATATAAGTGTTTATTGTTATAAACTTCCCTGTTAGCACTGCTGTTTCTGTATCCCATCAGTTTGGGCATGTTGTGTTTCAATATTCATTTATTTCAAGAAGTATTTTGATTTACTCTTTAGGTTTTTTTTTTTTCTTGACCCAATTGCCATTCAGGAGCATGTTGTTTAATTTCTGTATACTTGTACAGTTCCTCTTTCTATTGATTTCTAGTTTTATTCCATTGTGGACTGAGAAGATGCTTAATATGATCTAATTTTTAAAAATGTGTTGAGATTTATTTTATGTCCTATCATATAATCTATCCTGGAGAAATTTCCAGGATAGATTACATGTTGAGTGCTAATGAGAAGAATCTGTCTTCTTTAACTGTTGGATGAAATGTTCTGTATATATCTGTCTGTTATGTCCATTTGGCCTATGGTGCCGTTTAAATCCAGTATTTCTTTATTAAAGTTTCTGTCTAGATGATCTGCCAAATGCTGAAAGTGAGTGTGGAAGTACCCAACTATTATTGTATTGGAATCCATCTCTCCCTTTAGTTCAAATAATATTTGCTTTATATATATCTGGGTACTCTAACGTTGAGTGCATGTATATTTAGAATTCTTATATTTTCTTGATAATTTGATCTCTTTATCATTATATAATGGCCTTCCTAGTCTCTTTTTGCTATTTTTGACTTAGAGCCTGTTTCTTTCTGCCTTCAGAATTCTTTGTCTTTGACCTTGGACAGTTTGACTATAATATGCCTTAAAGAAGATCTTTTTGAAATGTATCTGTTTGGGTATACGTAAGCCTCCTGTTGTATCTGGACGTCTAAATCTCTTGCTAGACTTGGAAAGTTTTTATCTATTATTTTGTTAAATGGTTTTTCTGTCTTTTTAATTTTCTCTTTGGCTTCTGGGACCCTGAAAATTAAAAAATTTGGTCACTTGGTGGTGTCCCATATGTCACAAACATTGTGTTCATTTTAAAAAATTATTTTCTTTTTATTTTTGCCTGACTGGGTTATTTTAAAACGCTAAAGTTCAAGTTTTGAAATTCTTTCATCTGCTTGATTTAATCTGTTGTTGAAGTTTTGAATGCATTTTGTATTTCATTTAATAAATGTTGTGATTTTGGAATTTCTGTTTTGTTCTTTTTCATGATATGTATCTCATAAATTTGTCATTTATATCCTGAAATGTTCTCTGATTTCTTTGTATTGTTTCTCTGTATTCTCTTCTATTATTAAATTGTTGAGCTTCTTTAATATTATATTTTGAATTCTTTTTCTGAGATTTCATAAATGTCTTTTTGATTGGAATATGTTGCTGGAGAATTATTATGTTCCTTTGGAGGTGTCATGTTTCCTTGCTTTTTTATGTTTCCTGTGTCCTTATGTTGATATCCATGCATTGGATTTAACAGCCGCTTCTTCCAATATTTTGAATTTCCTTTTGTTGTGCAATGGGGGAGGGGCTTTTTTGTGGAGATATGCCTATGGAGTTGGTTGGTTAGGGCACTTTGGTTTTTGATTCTGGGTGTTTGCAGTAGTGTAGTCTCTGTATAATTTCTTCAGCTGTAAATAGTATCAATGATATCTGTACTTTCCTTAGTGGCTTAGGGTGCAGTTGTTAGTGGAGGCAGTGGTGAAGTTTTGCTGGAAATGGGGATGCTAGTTGGGCCTGTCCTCAGGCCTCAGTGGTGGCATTGGCAAGCTGAGCAAGCCTATCCTTGGACGCCAGTGAGCCATACGTTGGCACTAGTGTTAGTGGGTCCAGACAGGCCAATTTCTGGGCTTCCAGGTGGTTTGGTTGGGTGCCAGTAATGGCTTTGGTGGCTTGGGCTGGTGGGCAAATTCTGAGGCTTCTGGGTAGTGAGTGTGGCAATGGGAGTGGTGGGTTAACCCTCTGGCTCTTGAGAGATTTGTACTGGTGTTGGTGGTGACTGTGACGAGCTGGACAGGCCAATCCTGAGGCCTACAGGAGCTGACATATATGGGTGAGTGTCAGCTCTGCTGAAAGCAGCAGGTTGGGTGGGCCTGACCTCTGGCCCCCTGAAGGAGTGCTCAGGTGCCATTGGTGGTAGACTGGGCTGGATGGTTTCCAGGTCCCTAGATAGCATACCGGGACACTGGAGGGGTAAAGACAGGTTGGGCAGACCTGTTCTGAAGTCCCCTGATGGTGTGTGTAGGCACTGGCCGTGGTTAGGCAAGAGTGAGGTGATATCCAGCACACTGGCCGAATGCTTGAGTAGGGGAGGCAGCAGCACTGCAGCCCTGCTACTGAGGACAGCAGGGTTGCTCTCAGTGGCAGTAACTGTATTCAGGCATTTGGGAAGCCTGTACTTCACTTCTGCTTTGGCCCCAGCAGTGGCAGCCCACAGTGGTAGTGGCTGTGGGTCAGGGACTTTGCCCTTGGGGCATGTGAAAATTCATGATGTCTTTGCTGCTGGGGGCAGCGGGGTCATTGCCAATGGCTCATGCTTTAGCCCTAGCAGCAGCAGAACCAACTGTGGTAGGCTCCAAGGCAAGATACAGTCTAGTGGGGACTGGGCTCTCAATATGAGCCTTGCTGTAGCTGCTTAAAGCTTACAGGTGTATGGGACCCAGTGTGAGTTCTCTCCCTCTAGCAATGCCTTTATGTGATCTCCAGACACTCCTGTGATCTCCAGACACTCCCTATGTTAGTCTTAGGGCCTGCAAGGGTCTGGACACTCTACTGTGGCTAGGATTGTAGGAATCTGTGGTGGGAATATGGACCCCTGGGGGTCACTCACTTCCCTTTTCCCACATTAGGAAGTCTCTCCAGTCTCCCCAGCCAATCCTTGTCAAGCGGGCTGACTCCGTTTCCTCTTTCTCCTTGTGCTGGGTCTTTTCTGTTACTTTTCTGTTGAATTCAAGTGTTCTCTTGGGGAGCCTCACTCCCCAGCTCCAGGCCCCTTCCCTGCTGCGCCAGGGGCTAAAGGCACTGGCACTTTGATGATCCATTTGAAGTGTGATTATCTACTCACTCTTGTGGTTTTTCTTTGTGGAGGAGGACAGCGAGTATCAGATGCCTCTAGTCAGCAGCCATCTTGAAGTATCTTCCTGATTATCACTTTTAATCTATTTTTCATCTATATATTTCTTAAGATTCCATTTATGAATTTCCTTTGCAGTTTGCAATTTATACTTTAAATTACACACATAATTTTTATTGGTAGCCAACTTATTTTCAATTTCTCTAATTTTTAAGTTTGGATTCTTCTTTATTTTGGTCCAAATACTCTTTGTGTGTGTGTGTGTGTGTGTGTGTGTCTGTGTGTATGTGTTCTAATTTGTCTCCTTCATAAGGCTTTTATTAGCGTCTCCTGTTTCTTCCATTAGTTCTGCTTACAGTGTCTTGATTATTTGGTGCCATCATCTTCTCATAAGCTATTATGTCCCTTAAATAGACCCATTGCCTTTTCTTATCAATAAATGCTTGTGGGAAAGTGAATAATGGCATAGGGAGGTTTTTCTCCAGGTGGTGATAAGTTTGGCAAGTTGATGCTTTTCTCTTGAGGCATTTCAGAGGAACGGTTTTTCTTCTTCCGGGTGAAATGGAAGGAGCTTGAAATTTACTGCTGGGGCTGTTGCATTAAGGAAATGGCCTGCTTTTTCTAGAGCGACACATAGCAAGCTGTATTTTTTTTTCCCATTCCAATAAATTCACCTTAGTAACTGGCCAGATATCCCATGTGATTTCCATCCCAGGACACTTGGAATTGTGGCATCTGTCTTTGCACAGAAGCAACCCTCTTTCGAAGTCACTGGGCTCTCAGTAACACCCCATTCATGCACCTCATTCATGAGTATATAAGATTTAATGTATGTCTGAATTCTTCTCAGCCATGATTATTTAGGATTTTTGTTCTTTAATAGAAAATTGTCAGGCAGAGTACTATCTGGCTTATTCTGCCTCTGCTAATTGGGGGAAGGTGAGAGACAAAAATTGGAGAAATTGTAGAAGACGGCTAAGTTCACACTGGAACAGACAAAGGGTTATTCGCAGAAATAAATGAAGGTTACACTAAGAGTGAGAAAATGAAGGGGTATGAGTGTCTATGTGGATGAGACTTAGGGAATTTGTGTTTTAGGTGTGGAAAGAGGAGAGATGTGGGAAACAGCTTATAAGTGTAGGTATCATTGAGACCAAAAGAGGCAAAAAGGAGGATATAAAGCTTTACTTGAAATATGAATAGAACCTCCTTCCATCCTGGAAATTTCCTGAGGCACAGTAGTATATATGTAATCTTTAAAAAATCATGTTTAAATGTTGGATCAATGTCTCTCTGAATGCAACAGTTGATCAAGATAAGGCCACCCAGCGGCTAGGTTTTATGTGAGTTAGAAGACAGGCCATAACATACAAAGTAAAAGTCAGAGATTTTGGAGCCAGGCAGCGATTGTTTAAAAATCTGGTTTGACCAATTTCTCACTGAATAAACAAAAGCATATTTAACCTCTCTATGCTAATTCTTTATCTGATAAGTGAAGATAATACTATTTGTCCATGTAGTATAGTATCTATCTATCTGTGGTTTAAGGATAAATTCTAAAATCCAAAACATACTTTATGAAGGTTTTCATAATTTAGCCACTGCTTATGACCTCCTTTCATTGCACAACTTAGGAAAACCAGGACTCATTTCCATTCCTTGAATATGCTATAATCTTTCTTTTGGCTTATATTCTTCCTAAAGGCTATTTCCATTGCCTGCAAATCACTCATCCCCTCTCTTTTCTTCGGCATAACTCTCAGTCATCCTTTAGGTTTCAGCTTAAATATAATTTTCTGTCTCCACATCCCTTAGTCTAGTTCTCCTTTTGTTCTCTTTTTCTTTATTATAATAAATAAATAGTGTCCTTTTTTATTATAACATCCAAAACATTTTCTTGTGATTATCTGCTTGTTATCTTTCTGGTTCTGTCTTTCCCACTGGTTAAGGACTGTCTATGTCTTGCCATTATAGCCTCAGTTTTTGTCAAAATGCCTGACATATATTAAGTACTCAATAAATATTTGTTAAATGCATAAATGAGTGAACAAATGATGCAGTGCCTGAAATGAAGTAAGTGCCCAACAAATGGTTTCATTATAGGATCCTCTGAGTTTCATAATTTAGAAGATAATTATTAGTCATAAAAATGGCTATAAAAAGAAAATACTAGAGTTCCCTTAATTTCAATACATCCCTAGTTACAGATCTTCAAATCTACAAAGTAAAATAAAAAAGCACAGTATTTTTTATTAACACACATAGTAACCCACATAACATGTAAGGAATGAGCATCCCTTTTGTTAATATTTATCCCATGTGTCTAGTCAACAGTAAGTCACATACCAATATTTTCTAGTTGACCTAAAAGAAAACCTAGCAGTTATTCTAAACAGCATGAAATTGATGATGTGGAGAGAAAAAGCACGGCTTGTCATATTTGAAATCCCCGGAGTCAATCAGATTTGCCATATAATTTTTCCTTCACAATCCTTCCTGCCCATACATATTTTTTAAAAAAGATTTCTCTTCTGTAACAGTGCACAAAAATAACCATAAAAAATTCAACTGTTTCCCACAAACCAGAACTAAGGTAGCTAAGTCCCATTTATCATAGTACTGGGTAAGTTGCCAGGAGTCAAAATACATTCCAAGTACTTAACTCAAGGGGCAAGTTCAAGAGCCCACCAGATCCTCTTGAGATGTTGAGAAAATAATTAATGAGGACAATTCCTGTCATGGTTACTTTTGTTTCAGCTCATTATTCTCACTGCCGAATTAGGAAAGACATTGAACAGTTCCTCAGAAATCTAGTGTGAAGAACATTATTCTCTCAGAGCCATACATTTTTGAGTGAAGTCCTGGCCAAAAAGATGGGTCTGGATATGCCAGACAAATTTAAATTAAGTCAATCTTGCTTAAATAAAAAGAGTGAGGGCCTGGACACACTGTGAGTTAGAAAATAGCTTTTGTAAGCAAGAGACCTCGTGTTTCTTGCAGACAGTGGAGACTTAGCCTGAGAAAATCTTCTCAACTGGGAGATAAGAAACAATGAACTACACATTCCACGTAACCAGGCTCTGTCTGACATGCAGATGATCCAAAGTTTTATTTCGGTAAGGCTACTAAAATCTCAGACTCACAATTTTTTTATAATTGTTGTTTGTTTTTTGCCCTTCCCACTGTACTGTAAGCTCTGTGAGGTCATGGACTGTCTGCATCTTGCTTGTCACCATAGCCTTGGAGGCTTCTTAGGTCCATGCCATTGCATGAGGCTCTGACGTCTCTTTTAGTCCTTGGTAGGCTTGCCAAGTACCTGGGTACTAGTGCACATCTCATTCTCCCATTTAAAAGTAATTTTTCACAATCCACAGAGGTTACAAAAGAAAAATTTGAAATTTTCCCATTAAGCTGAAGTACAGACTCTCTCTCCAATGGAGGGCATGTAATATCTTCCCCATAGGGGAGACGTGAAACTTAGTACTCTTCCAATCTCTTGTAAAAGGATCACAACTATTCTGCTCTAAGAATTGAATTTGATTTGTGAAATGTCCTTTTGGGGGCTCTCTTTATATTTTATAAAGTGTTGTTTTTAAAGGTGTTTGAAGATCTTAATGTTAATAGAGATGACTGTTATGTTAACATGGCATGCTCTTCCACAATGGCAAGTGCAGAAGGCTCTCTAGGGATAAAGTAGAAACCCTCTTGAACAAGTGGGATTGCATGTGGACCATTCAAATGAGAAGGATGTAGGCTCAATTTAGTTTAAACACTCCTATACTAACCATATGGTCCAGAAATCCTATGTCTAGAAATGTAACCTAGAAAAGTTCTCACATAAGTCTGAAATGGTATTTTTTGTGGCATTGGAGTATTACAGCCAAACTTGGTGTCTGCCACTGGGGGATGTGGTTTATGTGCACTATGGAATATGTGCAACAATAGAAGAAATACTTAATGTTCACAGAGTAGCACAAGCAGATTTACAAAAATTAATATTGAATGAAAAAGTTAGAAACATATTCATCATACCATGCATGTGCGCGCACACACACACACACACACACACACACACACAATCAATATAGCTATTCCAAGTAAATAAGGGCTAGTTTGAAAATATTTTGGAATGAGACCCCAGGGAAGTATAATAATAACTGAAGTGAGGAAGTGAAATATTAGGTTGGTATAAATGTAATTGCAGTTTTTGCATTGTTGGAATTTGCCGTTTGATATTGGAATACATTCTTAAATAACTATGGTTATGTTATGCAGTGTTTTAATGGGCTTTTCTCACTTTATGTATTTTTGCTAATGACTTATTACTTGCTGTTTATTTTATGTTTATTTTAGACTATGGAAATGATGTTAGAGAAAAAGCAAATTTGGGCAATTTTCTTATTCGAGTTCAAAATGTGTCATAAAGCAGTGGAGACAACTCCCAACATCAACAATGCATTTGGCCCAGGAACTGCTACTGACCATACAATACAATGGTGGTTCAAGAAGTTTTGCAAAGGAGAGGAGAGCCTTGAAGATGAGGAGCATAGCGTGGCATTTGAAACAAATTGGTAAGGTGAAAAATATTAATAAGTTGGTGCCTCGTGAGCTGAGCAAAATTTTTAAAAATTCGTCACCATTGTGGAAGTCAGTGTGGCGATTCCTCAGGGATCTAGAACTAGAAATACCATTTGACCCAGCCATCCCACTACTGGGTATATACCCAAAGGACTATAAATCATGCTGCTATAAAGACACATGCACACGTATGTTTATTGCGGCATTATTCACAATAGCAAAGACTTGGAACCAACCCAAATGTCCAACAATGATAGACTGGATTAAGAAAATGTGGCACATATACACCATGGAATACTATGCAGCCTTAAAAAATGATGAGTTCATGTCCTTTGTAGGGACATGGATGAAATTGGAAATCATCATTCTCAGTAAACTATCGCAAGAACAAAAAACCAAACACCGCATATTCTCACTCATAGGTGGGAATTGAACAATGAGATCACATGGACACAGGAAGGGGAATATCACACTCTGGGGACTGTTGTGGGGTGGGGGGAGGGGGGAGGGATAGCATTGGGAGATATACCTAATGCTAGATGACGAGTTAGTGGGTGCAGTGCACCAGCATGGCACATGTATACATATGTAACTAACCTGCACAATGTGCACATGTACCCTAAAACTTAAAGTATAATAATAAATAAATAAATAAATAAAAAATAAAAAAAAAGAAATATGAGTGAAGAAGAGTTGAGAAAGCTTCAGCCCAAGCCACCAACTCACTGTAGCACCATGAAAGATTTTGAGCAGGAACATTCCTTGCTGAGCCAAGCCAACCTGGAGAAGCATAGGTAATAATAATATATTATTTTAAGGTAGTCAGTTTGGAAATATTTCTTCATGTACCAATCGATAACTGGAATACACTTCAAAATCAAATAATATATAATAGTTTTCTATTATATATTTTATAAATCCCAGACAAATAGAGGAAAGTTTTTTTCCAAAGAGTTCCTAGAAAACAGCCTGAAGGAACACACTTTACATATTGCATTACATTATACATTAATCACAACATTTGATTGATCTTTAGTGATATAAGTTATGCAACTCTGTATCTTGTGTAAGTATTAAACAAAAGTCAGGTCACCTATGTATGTGTGTTTGATTTTTGTTACAGCTTAAAACAAGATTTCATCAGGTAGAAATTTAAAAAAAAATCGTCATTTTGAAGCATTGTCACCTCTTATTCAACACAACAACAAACTATTTCTTGATCCCATTGTAATGGGCAATGAAAAGTGGATTTTATACGACAATCAATGATGACCAGCTCAGTGGTTTGACTGAGAAGAGGCTCCAAAGCACTTTCCAAATCCAAACTCGCACCAAAAAAAGGTCATGGTCACTGTTTGGTGGTCTGCTGCTGGTCTGATCCACTACAGATTTCTGAGAAGTATGCTCAGCAAATCGATGAGATGCACTGAAAACTGCAATGCCTGCAGCCAGCATTGGTCAACAGAAAGCCCAATTCTCCATGACAACACCCAACTGCACATTGCACAACCAGTGCTTCAAAAGTTGAATGAATTGGGCTACAAAGTTTTGCCTCATTCACCATATTCACCTGACCTCTTGCCAACTGCCTACCACTTCTCCAAGCATCTCGACAACTTATTGCAGGGAAAACACTTCCACAACCAGCAGCATGCAGAAAATGCTTTCCAAGAGTTAATCAAGCCCCAAAATATGGATTTTTATACTGCAGGAATAAACAAACTTATTTCTCTTTGGCAAAAATGTGTTGATTGTAATTGTTCCTATTTTAATTAATAAAGAGGTATTTGAGCCTAGTTATAATTATTTAAAATTCACCGTCCACAACTACAATTATTTGTGCACCAATGTGATGAATGATAATTTTAAAAAATGAATAATAAAGTGAGAAGTGAGATGAATCTTGCATGAATAGAAATGCACTCAACCTGAACCCCTCTCCCCATCTGAAATGGGGAGAGGAATTGCACACACCTGCAACACTTGCACACATAAATACACACATACAGTAACTGAGAATTTCTCAATGGTTCGAACCTCCTAAAGACAGCTGCAAGTGTCAAAAACCTTTGTGGAATCAAATACACAATCTAATGGGGGTAGGAGAGGAAGGTAGCCCAAGAAAAGCTCACTAATAAAGGTTGCCTAAAATCAATCTTTTAATCTTGGCTCAGTCACTTCCTCTCTATTACATTAAATAGATTATTACACTCCCTAGGTACCAATTTTCTCAAAATGAGCATATTAACACCCATTGCATATGTAGTTATTACTGAGATAACATATTTGTGAAGAACTTCACACAATGTTTGACATATAGTGGGCATTCAAATAACATCCGTATTCTTTCTTCTTTTTCCATCTACTTCCATTCTTTTTTTCTGCTTTCTTTTTCTACTTAAAGTGAGATAGTGGCCTATTTTTTCGGGTGGAAATAATAATGATCAATTTTGGAACACTCTCATATTCCATCCATTATGCTCCATATACATAATTCCATAAATTAGATGTAGCTATCCTAATGATCTTGAAGCTTGATGCTAATATTATGTTTTTCCAGATGAAAAGACTGAGGCTCTGAAAGGCTAAGCAACTCAACCAAGTCTATACATTAGTCCAGGCATTACCTAGAATACAACTACATTTTCCCAACTCTCACAGAGAATCAAAAGTGTTTGAACAGTTAATTCTTTTGGGAAATAATCCTCAAACTTCAGCTACTGTCTGGCTAACAGTGTGCTATGAAATGGATACAGTACAACATTAGCATTTTTCTTATGTTTGAGTGTTTCAAAAGTGACCACAAAGTGAAAAAGACATAGGATGGGAGCAATAAAAGGAAGGAAAGAATCCAACATACCTCTGCAGACACATCGACCAATGGAATAGAATGGAGAGCCCAGAAATAAGGCCACACACCTACAACCATCTGATCTTTGACCAAGCCAACAAAAAGAATCAAAGGGGAAAGGACTCCCTATTCAATGAATAGGGAAGTAAATGGTATGCAGTAAATGGCGCTGGGATAACTGGCTAGCCATATGCAGAAGATTGAAGCTGGACCCCTTTCTTACACCATATACAAAAATCAACTCAAGATGCATTAAAGACTTAAATGTAAAACCCAAAACTATGAAAACCCTGGAAGACAACCTACGCAATATCATTCTAGGCAGAGGAACTAGAAACGATTTCATGATGAAGACCCTAAAAACAATCATAACAAAAGAAAAATTGACAAATTAGATCTAATTAAACTAAAGAGCTTCTGCACAGCAAAACAAACTATCAACAGAGTAAACAGGCAACCCACAGAATGGTAGAAAATATTTGCAAACTATGTGTCCAACAAAGGTCTAATATCCAGAATCTATAAGGGACTTAAACCAATTTACAAGAAAAAAGGAATAAGCTTGTTAAAAAGTGGGCAAAGGACATGAACAGACACTTTTTGAAAGAAGACATACATGCGGCCTATAAACATATGACGAAAAGCTCACTGATCATTAGAGAAATGCAAATCAAAACCACAACGAGATACCATCTCATACCAGTCAGAATGGCTATTAGTTAAAAAGTAAAAAAAGTAGATGCTGGCAAGGTTGTGGAGAAAAGGGAAAGCTTATACCCTGTTGGTGGGAGTGTAAATTAGTTCAACCATTGTGAAAAGCTGTGTGGCAATTCCTCAAAGAGGTAAAAACAGAGCTACCACCCCACCCAGCAATCCCATTACTGGGTATATCCCCAAAGGAATATAAAGCATTCTACCATAAAGACATATGCAATGTATGTTCGTTGCAGCACTAATCACAATGGCAACAACATGGAATAAACCTAAATGGTCATCAGTGGTAAACTAGATAAAGAAAAAGTGGTACATATACACCATGAAATACTTCACAGCTCTGAAAAAGAATGAGATCATACCCTTTGCAGGAACATGGATGGAGCTGGAGAACATCATCCTTAGCAAACTAACACAGGAACAGAAAACCAAATACTACATTGTTCTCACTTATAACTGGGAGCTAAATGATGAGAACACATGGACACATAGAAGGGAACACACACAACTGGGGCCTACTTGGTGGGGGAGGGTGGAAGGAAGGAGAGGATCAAAAAAATAACTATTGGATACTAGGATTAATATATGGATGATGAAATAATCTGTACAACAAGCTCCTGTGACATGAGTACCTATATAAGAAACCCGCACAGGTACCCCGAAAGTAAAAGTTTAAATGTTTTTAAGAAATTATGAGACAATTATAAAAATATTTCCACTCTTTTCATGGGTTTAGACTGTACAGTCTCTGAGAATAAATATTTATTCTTGGAAGTCATGTATATATTTTGTTCAGCAACTACTCATTGGTCAATCAAAGGAAGAAACAGGTTTGTCTGAAATCCACCCTGGTGGAGAGATCTTAAGGAAACTTGTTCAACATGACTCTTTCCATGTGAGAGGAAGCAATAGCCTATCAAGTGGCCAGTACCTAAGAGTCCTGTGTGGGGCTCAAAACAGGGAAAGTAATGATGGCATTTGGCCAGAAGTGGGAGCAGTTTTGAGAAACACAGGAGGCTGAGGAGCAATATTCAAGCAGAAATAAGTCAGAAACCATTTCAAATAAGTAAATCCAAAATTTCTTCTTATTTTAGATGAAAGCTGAGATTATATTGGCAAAATCAGAATTCAGTCTCAAAACCCATGTTCATTCCATCAGACTACAGTCTTTTTCTATGATTCTTGTGACTTAAATATAGACTTTTCGATTCCAACGGTCAAGCAGATATACCGATTTCCTTATACCCGCTGAGCTTTTTCATGTCTCTCAGTTAGTTCCACATGCTAGTATTAGCTTGGTGCACAAGTAATTGCGGTTTTTGCCATTACTTTTAATTGTGAAAACTGCAATTACTTGTGCATCAACCTAATAGTTAACACCTTCCACTTCTACTCCATTCATCAAGATCCAGATCAAGTCCCTAACTTCCCTCTGAGGTTTGTCTCAACATAACCTAGTTGTACTGATACCTCCCATTACAGAAATCATATCACATCACACTTCCTATTGGCATCATATAGACAATTATTACTTAATGTCTGAATATGCACAAATTCCACTTAGGTTTTAAGTTTTGTGTGAATAGACATCGTGTTTTACTTCTTTTGTGGATCTTATATTTCTTAGCACAGTACCAGAAACATAGGAGGTACAACTGAAATATGTGATCAAGTGATGGATTACTGATATTATTATTGATAATAACAATAACCCTTAATATTTCTGAGGAAGAAGTATAAAAAGCAAGCAAGACAGATTCTAAAGAGGGAATATGATAAAGAAGGAATTATTATGTTAAACTTGATAAATGAAACTTTTTAGTGGGTGTTGCATCTTTTTTGTGTACCCCTGTTTAACAATGTGTAATCAGATATAAGCACAAGACACCCACCCCCAACTTAACATTTAGACACAATATCATTGTTTCCTATGACTCAGAGTATTTGACCATTCGACTATCCAAGACTATTTATTTCAGTTTTCTTTTCCTTTTTTAACCACTTCCCTGACCTTCCCCCTTGTTTGAAAGCCATGGCTTTGATATATTGTCTTCATTACTGGAAATTCTAACTCTAAATTTCCCACTGCAAATCTGTAGTTTGAGAGAGCTTCTGGGGCATTGAGATAATTTTTCCCTGTTTTCCAAAAGCCAAGTTTATTCTCCCACATTTTCCCAAGTCCCACAGCCAATTATGACCTGAATACCTCAATGAATTCCAAGGAAAAATGCCACTTTGCTTGACTGACCTCATCGTTGGGACTGTCTTGCAAAAGGGATACTTAAACATTTGTTTTTCTCCTTTTGAGAAAATTCTGCCATTAGACCTTTTAAAATAATTTGTTATTTCTCCAATTCTTTTCAGCTACAATTTCAAAAGTTTGTTTTAAAATACTACTCTTCCTAGATTTCAACAGTTTCTTTCTTTGTATTTAGGAGACTTGAAAAGAGTAACTTCATTAAGACAATGGAGGGAGTGTAGATTCAAGGATTAGACCCATTTTATGATGAATTTATGAAGGGTTTGGCATGGTTTACCTACATGAGTAGTTGGGGTTTTGATTACAGAACATTGGTCATCAATTCTGGTGTGCATCCAAATGACCTATGGACATCTTTCAAGAATCTCTGTGTCTGGCCCATCCCCTGGGATAGACTTAAAAGAACTCTGTACTGCATCAGGTAATAATTTATCCTTTTTAAGAAAACAAGTGGGTTCAATAAACTGACCATTGTTCTTAACTCACCCAGATCTCTGTGCCCTCCTGCTGAAAATAAACAAGATGCTACAATAAGAGAGAACATATAATGTTTGCAGAGTTCCCATTTCAAACTTTAGCTCTATTCAGAATTATGAGTGCTCACTGTTTTAGGTTTGTATTAAGAGAAAAACAGGTCCCTCAGAGTAAAGAATGAGGTAAGAGCATTATGATATAATATTCTCGTTATTTCTGGCTATATGTACAAGCGTATAGACCTCTCCAACATACCAAAAACAGTTTTTCTTTTTCTTTTAGTTTTAGGTTTTGGGATACATGTGCAGGATGTGCAGGTTTGTTACATAGGTAAATGTATGTCATGGTGGTTTGCTGCACCTATCAACCTGTCACCTAGGTATTAAGCTGCACATGCAGTAGCTATTTATCCTGATGCTCCCCCTTTCCCACTACGGGCCCAAGTGTGTGTTGTTACCCTCCATGTGCCAAGAATAGTTTTTCAATTGCCCATTGCTCTCCCTCCACCAACAGAATTTGGTTGTCAGCTGCAAGCGAAACTCATCTGGGTGCACTTCATTACTAAGGAATCCAGGCCTGCTCAGGGTTCAGCACTGTACTTACTTATATCAGGAGTCTGGAAAGATTTAGGTGTCATTTGCTTGTTAATACCTTGTTTAAATAAGGAAAAAAAAAGAAACAACAGAACCATTTGGTTTCTGCTCTGTCCTGACTCAAAACTTGTGTTTCAATAGCAAAGATTCAGTGAGACCTAGCTCTAGAGGGTCTCATTTAGATCTTACGCTAGCACGTCTAGGGTGTGGCCAGGATGTTTGAATTTTTAAAATCTCCACAGGTGATTCAAATATGTGCCAAAGGCTTAAAAGTTCTGCCTAAAATCACTTGAGAAGGTTGTCCTAAGGTGTGCTATCTTGTCTTCTTTTCCAGGGCTGTCTGGTAAAGGAGTATGCAGAGAGTACTGTCACTCACCAGACTGCACTCCTTCATTTCACAGTCACTTTTGAAACCCTCCTATGTGCAGGTATTGTGCCAAGTGTTGGGAGTATCCAGAGCCCTTGCTCTCCTGGAGTCTATAGTCTACTATCTTTCTCTTACACTAGGGCAGTGAATAAAAGAGGTCTGGATTTCTACTTACTCCTAGGTGTGAATCTGTGCTCTGCTACTTAATAATAAGCCATCAAAGCTCTGGGACCTTGGCTTCCTCATCAGTAAAAGCAAGGATTATAAGACCTTAACAGCATTGTTGTCATTTATAAATTGTGTACATAAATAATACGGCTTGTTCTTATGATCTGATTACACATTGTTAAACAGGGGTACTCAAAAAAGATGCAACACCCACTAAAAAGTTTCATTTATCAAGTTTAACATAATAATTCCTTCTTTATCATATTCCCTCTTTAGAATCTGTCTTGCTTGCTTTTTATATTCCTTCCTTAGAAATATTAAGGGTTATTGTTATTATCAATAATAATATCAGTAATCCATCACTTGATCACATATTTCAGTTGTACCTACTATGTGTCTGGTACTGTGTTAAGAAATATAAGATCCACAAAAGAAGTAAAACACGATGTCTATTCACACAAAACTTAAAACCAAGTTGTGTACATAAATATGCTCTGCATGTGCAAGTATAGAGTATTATTTCTATTGACTCTCATACAGATTCCTTCCCCCCCCGTTTTTTTTTTACAATATAGCATCAATATCTTTAATTCATATTTCGTGTTGAAATGAAAATGATTTATATATGGAAAAGCTAAACAGAGAACATATTTAAATGAACTTATCACATATCTCATATATCCATTTACATATATTTCTGAAAAACTCAGGAAAAATAATTTAAAAACTCATTAACTTTGGCTTTGTTTGCGCCTTTTTTTAATTTTTTTTTTATTATTATACTTTAAGTTTTAGGGTACATGTGCACAATGTGCAGGTTAGTTACATATGTATACATCTGCCATGCTGGTGCGCTGCACCCACTAACTCGTCATCTAAGTATATTTCCCAATGCTATCCCTCCCCCCTCCCCTCACCCCACAACAGTCCCCAGAGTGTGATGTTCCCCTTCCTGTGTCCATGTGTTCTCCTTGTTCAGTTCCCACCTATAAGTGAGAATATGCAGTGTTTGGTTTTTTGTTCTTGTGATAGTTTACTGAGAATGATGATTTCCAATTTCATCCATGCCCCTACAAAGGACATGAACTCATCCTTTTTTATGGCTGCATAGTATTCCATGGTGTATATGTGCCACATTTTCTTAATCCAGTCTATCATTGTTGGACATTTGGGTTGGTTCCAAGTCTTTGCTATTGTGAATAATGCCGCAATAAACATACGTGTGCATGTGTCTTTATAGCAGCATGATTTATAGTCCTTTGGGTATATACCCAGTAGTGGGATGGCTGGGTCAAATGGTATTTCTAGTTCTAGATCCCTGAGGAATCGCCACACTGACTTCCACAATGGTTGAACTAGTTTACAGTCCCACCAACAGTGTAAAAGTGTTCCTATTTCTCCACATCCTCTCCAGCACCTGTTGTTTCCTGACTTTTTAATGATTGCCATTCTAACTGGTGTGAGATGGTATCTCATTGTGGTTTTGATTTGCATTTCTCTGATGGCCAGTGATGGTGAGCATTTTTTCATGTGTTTTTTGGCTGCATAAATGTCTTTTGGCTTAGGACTGACTTGGCGATGCGGGCTCTTTTTTGGTTCCATATGAACTTTAAAGTAGTTTTTTCCAATTCTGTGAACAAAGTCATTGGTAGCTTGATGGGGATGGCATTGAATCTATAAATTACCTTAGGCAGTATGGCCATTTTCAGGATATTGATTCTTCCTACCCATGAGCATGGAATGTTCTTCCATTTGTTTGTATTCTCTTTTATTTCATTGAGCAGTGGTTTGAAGTTCTCCTTGAAGAGGTCCCTCACATCCCTTGTAAGTTAGATTCCTAGGTATTTTATTCTCTTTGAAGCAATTGTGAATGGGAGTTCACTCATGATTTGGCTTTCTGTTTGTCTGTTATTGGTGTATAAGAATGCTTGTGATTTTTGCACACTGATTTTGTATCCTGAGACTTTGCTGAAGTTGCTTATCAGCTTAAGGAGATTTTGGGCTGAGACAATGGGGTTTTCTAGATATACAATCATGTCATCTGCAAACAGGGACAATTTGACTTCCTCTTTTCCTAATTGAATACCCTTTATTTCCTTCTCATGCCTCATTGCCCTGGCCAGAACTTCCAACACTATGTTGAATAGGAGTGGTGAGAGAGGGCATCCCTGTCTTGTGCCAGTTTTCAAAGGGAATGCTTCCAGTTTTTGCCCATTCAGTATGATATTGGCTGTGGGTTTGTCATAAATAGCAGTGTGTAGAGGGAAATTTATAGCACTAAATGCCCACAAGAGAAAGCAGGAAAGATCCAAAATTGACACCCTAACATCACAATTAAAAGAACTGGAAAAGCAAGAGCAAACACATTCAAAAGCTAGCAGAAGGCAAGAAATAACTAAAATCAGAGCAGAACTGAAGGACATAGAGACACAAAAAACCCTTCAAAAAATTAATGAATCCAGGAGCTGGTTTTTTGAAAGGATCAACACAATTGATAAACCGCTAGCAAGACTAATAAAGAAAAAAAGAGGGAAGAATCAAATAGACGCAATAAAAAATGATAAAGGAGATATCACCACCAATCCCACAGAAATACAAACTACCATCAGAGAATACTACAAACACCTCTATGCAAATAAACTAGAAAATCTAGAAGAAATGGATAAATTCCTGGACACATACACTCTCCCAAGACTAAACCAGGAAGAAGTTGAATCTCTGAATAGACTAATAACAGGATCTGAAATTGTGGCAATAATCAATAGCTTACCAACCAAAAAGAGTCCAGGACCAGATGGATTCACAGCCGAATTCTACCAAAGGTAAAAGGAGGAGCTGGTACCATTCCTTCTGAAACTATTCCAATCAATAGAAAAAGAGGGAATCCTCCCTAACTCATTTTATGAGGCCAGCATCATCCTGATACCAAAGGCTGGCAGAGACACAACCAAAAAAGAGAATTTTAGACCAATATCCTTGATGAACATTGATGCAAAAATCCTCAATAAAATACTGGCAAACCGAATTCAGCAGCGCATCAAAAAGCTTATCCACCATGATCAAGTGGGCTTCATCCCTGGGATGCAAGGCTGGTTGAATATACGCAAATCAATAAATGTAATCCAGCATATAAACAGAACCAAAGAAAAAAACCACATGATTATCTCAATAGATGCAGAAAAGGCCTTTGACAAAATTCAACAACACTTCATGCTAAAAACTCTCAGTAAATTAGGTATTGATGGGACATATTTCAAAATAATAAGAGCTATCCCCCCCCTTTTTGTTTTTGATTTTCTCTTTAATTTAGTCAAAAACATTTTATGAATTTGAACTCCATCTTTGACTCACCATGCAGACTACAGCAAAGGAGTTGTTATTTGGAGCTAGTTTCTTTATCTTGCTAAAGTGGGTATCACATTCTGGAAATTCTATAAGAATAATTTGTTTTTTAATGAAAAAGTCTTAGGTAGCAATAGCATTTGATGCCACTGTGATCCTACCATAAATCTACCTTTGTGATCTCAGAAACTTACTTTGGGCTGCATTAGACATGGCTTTGGAAACTTTTTCTTGGATGTGAATTTTGTTCAGTGCAGGAATAGCCAATTTTGCTAACTTCTCATCTTGTAAAAGTCATTCATCCCATTTGCACGATTTCCTTAGTTTTATGCTGCAGAGTTCCCAGGAAGATGGGGAGGACATTACAATGTTGTTTTGATATGGATGTTATTTGTTACAAATCCAAGAGTCATAGAGTCAAGAAAGATAAAGGTCAGAGAGAAGATAGACAGTTAATTTTGCCATGCTAACCTTCATCTAAGATCTCCTTCACTTTATATCTCTTCTACAGCAATTGACACATTCTAATTTGTATGCAAGTTACACATTGTATTAGTTTTGTGTTGCTACATTAATAGATTACCACAAACTCACTGGTTTAAAACAACACAAAGTTTGTTAGCTTATAGTTCTGGGGGTGAAAAATGTGACATGGGTGTCACTTGGCTCAGATCAAGATGTTAGCAGGGCTGAGTTCTGTTTTGGAAAATTTTCTAGGGGAAAATTCGTTTTCTTGCTTCTTCCAGCTTTTCAAGCCACCCACATTCCTTGGCTCATGGGCCCCTTTCATCTTCAATGATAGCAATATTGTATTTCTCTGACCATTTACATCTTTCTCTGCTTATGAATAGTCTCTCATTTTAAGGAATCATGTGATTATGGTGGGCCCACCCAGATAATCCAGGATAATCTCTCCCATCACAAGAAGCTTAATTTTAATCACATCTGCAAAGTACTTTTTGCCATGTAAGGTGATATATTCACAGGTTCCTGAGTGTAGGGCACAAACATCTTTATGATGGCTATCAATCTGCTGAACACATGTATATATGTCTTATTTCTTTTTACTAGATTGTAAACTCCTTGGAGCCTCAAATCTGTGTCCCGTGTATTGTTGTATTCCGCACAGAATCTATCCAAGTCTACTGCTTACAACAAAGGTTTAGATCACAGCATTTGCTGAATGCGTCAGAAGAACTGAAGCAATTTCAAAGACTCATTCGAGAAAATGGCATACTCGTGGGACTTTAAAAATCCCTGAAAGAATGATTTTTGAAATATTTCTAAATCTACTGAGAAATTCCTGATTCCTGAACATTTAAATAATTTTATAAGTATATTATTACAAAAATTATTGTTTATTTTTGGTGCTTGTACATGACTATAGTTATGTAACCTTATCACATATTCCATGATGCTTTGATGGTGTTACTTTCCAGCTGGATTTCCCGCTATCAGTAGAATTCATGCCTTAGTGTTTTGCAGTGATGATAAGTACAGGTCAACAATTGGAAAACAGGTGCCATCGGAAAGACTCAGCACTGCATATCAGATGTCAGCCATGGAATGGTCAAGGGGAAATTAAACATTACAGGGCTGGTTTGAATTCTTTCCTTGGGCAGTTAACTTGCTGATGATTTTTCAAAGTTCATGTCTAGTAGAATTGAATGTGATGTGTGGCTAGACTCCCCAAAAAAGTGACTTTTAAGAAACATACCTTATATAGTTTGTATCACAAAGAGTTCTGCAAGTTGTGCAAGGCAGCCTTTGAAATCTACAGCTGGCAAAAGAAATAAATATTTCCGTATTGCATTTAGCAATTGCTATGTATTAAGGCAATTTTGTTTAAAAATTATTAAGGGCTTTGTAGCACAAAGACACTGTTAAATTATACAGAAATAATTCGATGTAGGAGATGGGGTAGACTGGGGGATATTAGATATGCAAACGCAGATGGTCTTGATTGACTCAAGAACACACCAGAGCCAAGCAGAAATATATGTTTTGCATGGTTCCATATGTTGTAAAGAAAATTGCCCCAGCATCTTTCCCGTAAGAAAGAATGACAAGGGAAGAGAAGGGGCAAGAATAAGATCATGTGGGGAAAGGTGAAGCAGAAACAACAGCAGCATATGTAGCAGATGTCTGGCTGACAGGAGCCAGGCAGGGAGGCAGGAGAACCAAATTTCTTCCCTGGCATGTGAGTGACTGAAGAGAGGAGGGATCTTCTGTGCCAAGGCTCAGGAGCACTGGGTGGATGTCTGTTCTGTGGACAGTTGCCTTGGAATATAGGTGTAACTCCCGAACCACCCTGCCTGATTTGGCATAAACACTGTTCTCGCATGAGGAATAGGTGCTTCTAATCCACCCGATTCCTTCCTTTTCCACAAAAATTCAAGACATCTGAGAAGGGCCTGGACAACCTCAGTTACTCTCAACTCTATTCTGAGCTTTTTATAGAACTTAACTCATATTACCCTTACAAGAACACTACTATGAGGTAGGTTTTAGAGTGTTTCCCTCTTTTATAGATGAGGAAACCTAAGCACAAAGAGGTTCAGGAACTGGCCCAAGGTCATACAGCTAGTTGATATTGGGGCCAGGATTTGAACTCAGGCAATTTGGTTCCATGGTGCCTGCTTTTAGACCTTCCCTCCCTTCATCAACACACTATGGACTGATATCTTTAAACAAATGAGCCCCTTGAAAGCCGTGATTGCAGATTTTCATATTTATAGTCTTCACAGAACCTGTGGGAGCACCAACCCACAAAATAGATATTTCATTTTAGTAAATGAATTATTTACCTAAGGTTTCAATGTCTTTTGTCAGAAAGTGGAAAAAGCCCTACTCTTGTGTTTTAGTTAGTGAGGATGTGTTGTAAGGGGAATAAAGGAGGGCAGGGTGTAACCTCAAGTACTCCACAGTCAAACTTACAGAGGACTGGGCAGCTGGTCAGAATGCATCCGTTTCTCTAATATCTCAGCTGTGGTGGTGTGTGGCAACCCCCATTGATACTCTGCCATGTTCATGGTTTAGTTTCCCCTCTGCCTTGTTCTCTACCTATTTTCTCTTCGAAACCTTCTACCACTAATAAATCTTTCTATTCTCTCTCCTTCCTTCCATTTCACAACTTCTGCTTGAGAACTAAATCTGCAACTTATGGGTTGTGCTTCCTTCAGGCTTCTACCCCTTGTTTGCACCTTCTATCTTATTTCATTTATCTCTCAAATTCGTTCCCACTACTCACTCTGAGTTTGTACATCTCTCAGTCAGATCTCTCAGTGAGAGATCTGATGGTATCAGTCATTCCATTATGTTATTGAGTGGAGTTTTCCAGCTGGACTTCTTGTGGTTCTTGCCCAGTCTGTGGATGCTGCATTTGGATTGGCCATGCATTATCTGGACAGAGATGTTGCAACCACAGTTGAAGGGTAAGGGGTGAAGATTATAAGACATAAAGTGCAGCAATCTATGAATGGAGAACCACCCTGAAGGGAGCCATGGTCTCAGAAGAGACTCCAAGGTTTCTCAGAAGGATACATTACTTGGCGTGTCTAGCAGAGTCAAATTTGTAAGAGTGGACAAAGTTACAGCCTTAAGAGTGTTTGAAAGTCCATGAGAATGTGGTATTCCCAGTATGCAGTGTGAAATAATGAGGTAAGCCTTGCAAAGAATGCTCAGTGTCTTAGACTTTAAAATTGTGCTAATTCTGCTTTGAAAGACTTGAAATAAAGCTTAGATGATTTATCCTTCTTCAAGACTCATTTATAGAGTCAATCAAACTTCAAAACATAGCAAAAATGCAAACCAAAAGCCTACAACAAATTATACATATATAAGCGTTCCAGTTGCCAAGAATATATGTATTTTTGTTTTTGTTTTAAATCACAATCCAGTAATAAACCTAGTATTCAGTCTTGGCAAAATATGAGTCAAACTCATTTACAAAGCTTAGAAAATACAGAAATAGTTACAAAGAACATTCTTTTTTGTCACAATCTTAAATTTGTAATCCCTTGTTCCCTTTTAGAATGCCATATGGAAAGGAAACAACATCTTAAACGGGTTTCTGAAGAACTGCAGTTGACATGAATCCCAAAAACCTTCACAAAACCACCAAATACTTGGCTAGCATTGAGTCTATTAGAGATTTTTAAAAGTCTGAAAACAAATTGTTATGTTAAAAGAAAAAGTCTTCAAACCATGGCTGACCTATCAACTGACCAATAACTTTCCTCACGGAGTATTTACATCACTCATTCTCCAGAACTAGCAACTTCCCTAATCAAACAGCATTTCCCCAATGCTTAGGAATGGCCCAGTGTATTGCTTTGCCTTCCTTGAAACAGGGATGCACTATGTCTGGCCTGGCCAACTATCCAAACCACTTTTCTATATATCAAGGATCCAAAATAATTCCAGCAGACACTAAAGTGCAATGTCAATTTGCCTATTCCCATCTCACATATCTTCCTAGGAAATTGAGATCAACACAGAATACATGATATTTTTGCTCAAACATGGACCTTGGCAGATGTCTCAGAAATGCAGGAATGGATATACCGCTAGCTATAGTGCTAAATGAAACATCTTTCATATTGGTCATTGGTATACAATTATAAAATGAATAATAAAGACAAAGGAGGTTTATGTTTGGGATTATAGTTTGAACCTTTTTGAAAAGCCTTCTAGATTTAAGAATATAGTGAATTCAAACAGGTAGTCAATATGGCATTACTGTAATAGAGATATAAAGAGCTTTCCTGAAGCCATAGTCCCTGTAAAATTTTCAAATGAAACATCTTTGCATTTCAAACTCTAAGTCAGCCGTTTCAGTAAAATTGTATATGTCAAAAGAAAATATATCAACGGTGGGTTCATATTCTGATTTCCTTGGACTTTGCAGTGGTGAGAATTAAGCTGTTCTCTTTAGAATGCTGGCCAAGGCTGAAAAATACTTGTTATAGAATTTCAGGTGGTAGGTAACAAAGCCTGCCTCGTTTATTCATAACAAGTGCTATGAGGGTTGAAAAAATGGCACTTAAACTGCATGGAGAAAAATGGAGCATCTTTCTGAACATCAATGGTGATATCTGAAAACACTTTGCTGTTCCTCAACCTGAGGTCATGTGTGTGCATTAGACCTCATTCTACCTTTTGTGAAAAGATCTGTTTGTCTTTGGGGCATAAAGGGAATAAGCCAGATCAATATCTGATGGTCACTCACATCCTCTGACTGCATGGAAGCTGCCCAGGGTTGAACTTCCCTTCTACTCATGCATCCGCTGATGAAAGCTTGGGCTCAGCAGCTGTTCAGAGAACAGGAAGTCTAGGGCCACTGTCAGGTCCTGACTCTGTTCAGCCATTCAAGCAGCAGCCTTGCCTCACATGACTCATTGCCCCGTCTCTAGGGGTTGGAAGTACCAGGCTCTGTTGGCCTGCTGTACAACTGACATTTCTAGCATCAGCATCTTTTGGAACCTAGCTGCATTTTATCTGATTAAGGATTTTGGTGAGGTGAGAAGCTACAAGCTAAAGCTGGTGCCTAATAAATAATAGGGTCCACAAATGTTTGTGGAAGAGTACATGAAGTTGATGTGATGACTATTAGTTAGTAAGTCTAGAGGGGAAAGGAACTTATTTCTTGGGGAAAAACATTCCTTGTAGTAGTTAATAGTGTGAAGCCTTGGATAAAGATGGATAGCATAAAGACATTTATTAAATATGGCAAAAGATAGTGAGGAGGCAGCTGAGCAGTAGTGTGGGGGTGGCAGTAAGAATGGGAATGGGCAGAATGTTTCCAGGAATAAACTTCATTCTACTTCATGGCTACCTCTGTTGCCCCAATCAACTCTCATCTCGGACTAAGCAAAAACCCCCATCATGGAGGGGAGCAATGGAAGTAGATAAGTGAATCCCTCTCCATTCTGCATTCTTCCCAATTGTGTGATAAAGTGTTCTGGAAATACAAATACACGTATTTTCAACTCTCTAATAGCTGCCAGGGTAGCAGATAATAATTTACCTTATTCTATATTTTGCAGCTAGATTACCTGTCAAGGCCACTTTTCAACTTTATCAACCCATTACTTTATAGCTCTTCATGCTGTAGAGAGTGTCCCTTTCATTTTGCTCATTTGTATTCCTCATAGCATGCTGGTTTATCAGAACTTACTTCTACCTAGAAGATGAAAATTGGGCCTGGAGAATTTTGGTGAATTGAGCAATTCATCTCAATAAACAGGATAGGACCAGAGAGTAAGCTTAGAAGTTTTTTGAACACATGCTGTTGTAGAAGCCACTAGGCCCCGAAAGAGTCTCCTCATCTAAGTCTCTACTTTTTATTTCGTTTGTATTCATTTAAGGTCTTTTGCTTTTGTGATCACTCTGGCCTGTGGTTATTTTGAAGTGGAGTTCTATTTTTTTTTTTTTTTTGAGATGGAGTTTTGCTCTTGTTGCCCAGGTTGGAGGGCAGTGGCAGGATCTTGGCTCACTGAAAACTCCTCCTTCCAGGTTCAAGAGATTCTCCTGCCTCAGCCTGCCAAGTAGCTGGGATTACAGGCATGCACCACCAAGCCCAGCTAATTTTGTATTTTTAATAGAGATGGAGTTTCTCCATGTTGGTCAGGCCGGTCTCAAACTCCAGACCTCAGCTGATCCGCTTGCCTCGGCCTCCCAAAGTGCTGAGGATTACAGGCATGAGCCACTCTCCTAGCCGTGAAGTGGAGTTCTTAAGCCTTATTCTTTTTAAGCTTGACAGAGTGGCTGCTTTAAGATAATAAAGTATGTTCTGTTATGTAACTGTTGTTGAAGAAGAGACACAGGACTGGAAGCCAGGAGTTTTGTGCCATACATAAGCCCATGACTTGGGTGAAGCCTCGGGTGCCTTAGCTTGTCCATCTGTAATCTCTGCTTCTCTGAACCTCACAGGGATATTACGTGGCCAAATAAAATCAAATTATTTTGGCCTACTTGGACTTGATGAACTCTGAGTTCTCTTCCAGTTCTGAAATACTATATAGCTCTTTACTGTGGGTGAAGTTGAAAAAGACAGCACAACTGAGATTTTTAGAGGATCTACATTTTTTATTTCTACCAGTAAATGAGTGATGACAGTACTTCAGCTCCTATCTTATCCTTGTCAAATAACAGTCATTTTATTCCTAGAGATATTTATTAGGATAAAAATCATTGATTTTCTCAGTCTAGCTACCAATGATGTATGCTGTGTTTGAGGATTTGACACAGTATCTTGGGTAATTCCTTACTTTCTGCAGGACAGATGTAGTTGTCTCTGTTTCTCAGTGTTAGTTACTTCTTTCTCTACTTTCCTCTTTTATTCCCTCTCACCCTATAAACTTTCTCTGTTCCTCTCTCAGTTTGAGTTGACCTATGAGTTCCATTGTCTACAGATCATTGACCTCTTAGTTCAAATTCTTACCACATGGGGCCAGGCGCAGTGGCTCACGCCTGTAATCCCAGCACTTTGAGAGACTGAGGCAGGTGGATCACGAGGTCAAGAATTTGAGACCAGCCTGGCCAACATGGTGAAACCCTGTCTCTACTAAAAACACAAAAACTAGCCGGGCATGGTGGCACATGGCTGTAATCTCAGCTACTGAGGAGGCTGAGGCAGGAGAATTGCTTGAATCACTGGGAGGTGGAGGTTGCAGTGAGCCAAGATCATGCCACTGCACTCCAGCCTGGGTGGCAGAGCAAGACTCTGTCTCAAAACAAACAAAAAAAACAAAAAACAAGTTTTTACCAGATGGAACCTGGGCTGCTCACCCAAGTCTTTGGATGCCTCTTCCTTTTGGGTTAGGAGTTATATTTTAACCCTCTGGTTAAAATCTGAGGGAAAGAGGACATGAGTAGAAGACACAAATACGGGCTTCCACTCGGGGGCCATAAATAGGGCAGGTCTACTTCAGTTTACAACCCATAATAAAAGAGCTCCTCTGCGAACTTCAATACCTCTATTTGGTTATAGATGGCAAATATTGTGTTTTGAGCACATGTTATATTTGGAGTCAGGAAGTCTTTGTTCATGATCCTGGTTATGCCTCTTACAATCTATGTGAATTTTTTATTAACAGTTTACTTTGTAGGGGAAGAGGATAAAATTAACACCTTCTATCCACTTCACAAAATTGTGTAAATAATGCGCAAAAAAGTTTATATTTGTGAATTTAGATAATGTCATGCATTTTACTGTCTTTAAATTCATGCTATCTTCTACAATAAAATAAAATAAAATAATACTCTATGCTCTTAACCCTTGTTTGATTGTTCAAATTACTTCTCCCACATACACACGCAGATCAAGGAGGCTTCCTCTGAAGGCACATCTAAAGTGCACCTGGATTGTAGCTCCATCTTTTGCTTTATTATGCTTTTCAGCACTTACAGTACATGACATTATATCATATTTTTATGTGTTTACAAGTTTATATTATGTTGCTGTTTTTGGAAGTCGAGCTCCTATAGGGCTGTGCTCTTCATTTCTGTATCCTCAGTGCTTTGTCTAGGGCATATAGAAGAGGCTTAAAAATATTTGTGGAATTAATACATTAATCGAATAAATAACCATTGTTGAATTCTCTGTCTGCCTCTGGTTCTATTCTTGAGCCCAAGTGAAGTATTTTGCAGAAATATCAGTAGGGACTAAGGTGGCAAATAATTCTACAGTCAGCTAGCGTTCAAATTCTATCTACCAGTTCCATCTCCAACTGACAAGTGTATGGTTATTAGTCACTCTTCTTGTGCTTCATGGTCTGGTGGCAAGCAATCAGAATTCATACCCTACACATACAATGTATGATAAGATATCTCTTTCCAACCAGAGCAAAGCTATTTTCCATAGGGAAAATAGCAGGCATAAGTCTTTGGTCAGGGCATGAGTATTTGATTTTCTAGTTTTTGACAGGCATGTGTAGAGAGAAGAACAGGAAGGGAAATGAAAGCCATGTTGTCACATGTAGGCTGCTCTAGAAATGAAGCAAAGCAAATAGTGTCCTCTCTGGAGAACTTGCCACTGTCTGAACAACATGGCTTTTTTGCCATCTAGGACCAGATGTCTTAGAAGATCGGTGCTATGAAAATCATTCCTAAATTCACACACACACACGCACACACAAAAGAAAAAAAAAAACAGAAAAATATAAACTCCAGGAGATGAAATGTATTCAATGAACATCTGAATGTCAACCTTATTCATCCATGATAGCTTTTTCTTCTAACTCAGAGCAGATGCCAATCATATTCTACGAGGTCATGTGACATGTCTCAACACAAGAGATATAATAAAATGTGTTTTTAAAACACCTAAATAAGAAAGTGATTTTCCTGTAAAAGGAAAAGAAAAACATATTCTTCCATTTCCTGTAAAAGGAAAAGAAAAACATATTGGATACAAGAGAGTGTTTCTTTCTATTCCCCTCTCCTGCACTTCCTTTTGCAGCTCCATTGAATTTTTTTGCCTGCTAGGAGCTAGATTTGTGGAGGTCATATAGATTTCAGCAAGCAGTTGTGTAGAGCCATCAGTCTCTGCCCTGGTTGGAGAATTTACTCCGAAGCATTTACTGCTTCTCAGCTCCCACGTGGATTGACATTGCACACATTCCTGCAATGATTATTGCCATATATTTAATTATTGATGTGGTTGATATTCCTTACACATTGCACAACAGTTTGTGAAAGAGAGTCCAGAGTTTGCAGTGCATGAGCCAAAAAGTCTGTGTACTACAGTGGCTGGGTCTGAAAGATGACTGCACCTGAGTACACCTGAGTACTGAAGAGAGCGGAAGGGCTGGGAAGAGTCCACAAGTACATGGAGATTTTTTTCTTGTTGGATTACAGATCTCTTTGGCAATAGTAAACTTGGGAACACATCAGGAGATCAAGGCTTTTTCATATCTTCTCCCCAAGTATAGGAAGGGAATACTTATGTAAATGGATAAGGAGGATTATATTTCCCAAGGGATTCCTACCTGCCAATAAACAGTCCTGGTTTTCTCAGGGACAGTCTGCTTGATAGTTACAGCATAACATACTAGCTTCATATAGTTATTGATTTAAACATAGGTGGTTCCTAGGAGATCTTACTTGTTTATGGGTTCTACTCCAAGGGGAAAAAGAGCCAGTGCACCAGCAGGATTGCTCTTTATAATATGCAACTTAGAGCAAGCAATGCCACTTGACAAGGGATGCTTTTTGTGTTATTAGGTCACATTTCTGCAATGGAGTTTATTCCAGGAGTGTTATTCAAAATATGTAACAATCATAATGGCAGAGGCACATCAATCAAAAGAAGTGCCTAACCAATAAGAATGGTCAGCCCCCATCCCCAAGAAAAACCCAGGGGGTCATACCATGATGGGCAGGTAGACATCAGCTGTGTTTATTCCCCACAAACAGCTAAGTTCTTCTAAACTCCTAGACCTTATCTTAATATAACCAATCTATACTAGAGCCCTCTGATCAGACATTGCAGATGTGCGGTCTTTAAAAATATTTGATTGCATTTATCCTTAAAATTACTCAACATTAAAAATTCAGGTAGCATAGATAACTGAAGTGGTTTCTCACCTTGTTCCCCAGATAGTCTCATTAAAGATTAACTATCTCTTATATATATATATATATATACCACTTGGACATATCTCATACTAATTTTCCTTTATCAGTATGTGGGTATATTAGTCTGTTCTTGCACTGCTATAAAGAAATACCTGAGACTGGGTAATTTATAAAGATACGAGGTTTAATTGGTTCATGATTCCCCAGGCTGTACAGGAAGCATGGCTGGAGAAGACTGAAAAAACTTACTTTAATGGTGGAAGGCAAAAAGGAAGCATGCGCATCTCACATGGTCAGAGCAAAAGGAAGAGAGAGAAGGGGGAGGTGCTACACACTTTTAAACATCCAGATCTTATGAGAACTCACTCACTATCACAAGAACAGTAAGGGGGAAATCCACCCCCATAATCCAATCACCTCCCACCAAGCCCATCCTCCAACACTGGGGATTACAATTTGACATGAGATTTGGGCGGGGACACAGACCCAAACCACATCAGTAGGTATAGCCTCAGCTTAGGACGTGACTTCAATTTGCTGCTCACTTAGGCTTCTGAACACAGGCTCCCTTTCCCTCTTTGAGACTGAGACATACTTAGGATTTCCCTTTTACATACACTTTGGCACTCTTAGACTCATTACTTTACCATTTATTATCCTTCCTCCCTTCAATCATGTCAAATGTCCCCACTATTTGCCACAGTGTCCTTTATATAATTATAATTTTAATTAATTCATTCATTCTTTTTATTGATACAGAGTCTCACCTTATCGCCCAGGCTAGAGTGTAGTGGTGTGATCATGGCTCACTGCAGTCTTGACCTTCCAGGCTCAAGGGATCCTCCCACCTCAGTCTCTGAGTAGCTGAAAATACAGGCACATACCCACATCTGGCTAATTTTTGTATTTTTTTTTTGTAGAAATGAGGTTTCACCATGTTTACCAGTCTGGTCTCCACCTCCTGAGGTCAAGTGATCTGCCTGCCTTGGCCTCCTAAAGTGCTAGGATTACAGGTGTAAACCACCTCATCCAGCTTATAATTATAAATTTTAAACTACTGAAATCATTGATTGATTGACTGATTCATTGGCTTATCAATTGTCATTGAGTGTACTAGAACTGAATTAGACTATTAGATTAAGAAATATTTATTTGACTTGTTTCTTTGTATCTCTGCTAAAAGTTTTCTTCAAGAAGGATGTCAGAATGCTTCAAAAATAAAGAAAAGAAGTAAAAGAAGAAAGAACAGACAGACAAAATCCTATCGATAGTAAAAGTACATCTTGCTTACTTGCACCAAGTTTCTAAAATTTTTGCCTTCTACATGGCTTAAAATCTCTGCTCCTCATCTTTTCTGTCTGTTTGTATTTATTTTCCCCTCTCTTTCCCTCAACCAGAGTCTCATCATTCTTGTATTTTATTTGTGTACTTTTTCTTATGCCCCAGGGTCACTGATTTGTGCCTGACCTTTCCGATGAATCTGGAAATATTTGAGAGACAGAAGGAAGTAGTGAAGTGGCTGTACAGACTCACCTTAGGCAATCCTTCCTACAACACCTCAATGGAAGATGATGGAAAGCCCTCCCCACTCCACCCTTTTGCTTCCAGGTTGCTTGTATACTCCTTTCGCTTTAAATTTGTCTCAATGCTGACTTCATCTATATGTTAAAAAATATTTTGGAAGGGGAAAGGGGAGCACCAACTCTTTCCACGCCCCATTTTCCATCTTGTTCCCAGCCAACTTACAGTGGTACTGGTGCCATTTCAGTGGAAACAGGTGTTTCCTCTTCCTCCAATGTTTAGTGTTGCTACAAGATCTGGGTCTTTTTTTATATGTTATGACATTTCCCCAGGAAGGCTTCCCTAGACATCTCAGAGCATTAAACATATAGCATTAAAATATAGCTTTGCAACTGGGCTGTTTCACTGAACGTAAGCACTTTGAGATCATAATTTATTTCATTGTATTATTACTTTTAAAATCTCTTTCCCTACATATATTCCAGAGCTCAGCTTATCATAGTTTCTTAGTAAATATTTTGGTGAATGTATGAATGCGTCAATTTTTCAAAAAGAGAATGGGGTATGAACATTTTTTAAGAGTTCAGTAAAGCTCTTTGTACCCTGATCGTGGGATTTTTTTTTCTCTTGTTTGGAAGATTGGGGTTGAGGAAAACGGTAAACTCCAGTTGTCTATCAGCTGTGTGGGGTTGAGGAAAAGGGTAAACTCCAGTTGTCTATCAGCTGTGTGGGGTTGATTTGAAGAATCCAAGAAATACTGAAAAGGAAGTTCATGGAAACTCACAATATAAAACGTGAAGTTGTATGTTAATTGAGATTCTCCCTTATGGGAAAGGGTCAAGAGGATTTGGGAGAAAGACAGTAAACAATCATTTTTCATTCCTCTTGGTTACAAATATAACTGGATAAACTATAAAGCAATATAAGTTACATTAATACATTTTCTCCAAGTAATTTTACAGCCCTATTTTTGCATTTTTACCTGAAGCTAAGAAAATTCAAATTTTCAGGTGAGGCACAGTGGCTCACACCTGTAATCCCAGCACTGTGAGAGGCTGAGGCAGGAGGATCACTTGAGCCTAGGGGTTTAAGACCAGCCTGGACAACATAGTAAGACTCTGTTTCTACAGAAAAAAAAAATAGCCAGGCATGGTGGCCCACATCTGTAGTCTTACATACTTGAGAGGCTGAGGTGGGAGGATTCCTTGAACACAGGAGTTCAAGGCTGCAGTGAGCTGTAATTATGCCACTGCACTGTGTCTCTGAAAAATTTAAAAAAATATTCAGCAATGAAGATTAGAAAGAGAAGGGGTTTGAGGGCCAGCCAAACTTGGATTAGTCCCATTTTTGCTGTGAAAAGGTGATTGAATAAAAACATTTTATGTCTTTAATCCACAGTTTACTCATTAAAAAATGAGGATAAAGACAACTGCTTTTTTTGTGAGGTTATATGCAAACAATAGGTGTAAAAGTGACTTTTGAAAAAAGTCTTTGTAAAACATTACAGAAGCAAAAATAAGGTATGGAATGAAGACAATTATCTTCAAGGCTATTCCCAGTCAAACCGGGCCCTCCTCTTTCAACTATGAAGGTAGATGTGAACTTTCTGACTTTTCGTGTAAAGAAAAGGGAATACAAAATTTCCCTATCGAGAGAAGGAAACATAACTGAGTGATTTAAGGCAACATGTCTAGTCTGTCTAAATTCCTACCACTTTCTTTTTTTCTTTTTCGAGACAGAGTCTTGCTGTGTTGCCCAGGCTGGAGTGCAAAGGTGCCATCTCGGCTTACTGCAACACCACCTCCCTGGTTCAAACAATTCTCCTGCTTCAGCCTCACAAGTAGCTGGGATTACAGGTGCCCACCACCACGCTTGGCTAATTTTTTGTATTTTTAGTAGAGACGGGGTTTCGCCATGTTGGCCAGGCTGGTCTTGAACTCCTGACCTCAGGTGATCCACCCGCCTCAGCCTCCAACAGTGCTGGGATTACAGGCGTGAGCCACAGCGCCCAACCATTTCCTACCACTTTCAAGCAGTGTGGCACTGATGGTTATATCTGAAAATCTCGGGACATTGAATAAATTAATCTGCATGTCTTCTTCAGGAAGAAAGAAGCAGTGATGTATACAGGCCTCCCTTGGCTAATTGAGGCTTCAGCCTCATAAAACTAGCACATTCAAACATGATTTTAGTATTTCGACATAGGTTGTCAGCCTCCGGATGTGAAGGCTTCTTAACCCTTTAAAGTAACTCTGTTTTCTTTCTCAAAGAAATGGAGGATTAGGCCATTTTTTTCAAATAACTTATTCCAATGCCTTCTGGGCACACTCAACCTATCTGTACTCTGCTTGATTTGGACTCTTTCATTCAGCAACCATGAACTTCCAGTTGCAGGGCACTGTGCTGCTCTATCATTCCCAAATTATATTACCATGTAGGAGAAGATCAGCTACTTGATGGTAGAAACCAGAAATGATAGCAAATGCTTACACAATGCTTATACAAATCCTTGTATTTGAAATAATAGTGAAAACTTACATGATGCTTACCAGCAGGGACTATACTAGAAATAATATGAAGATACTTAATTTTCACTGTAATCCCATGGAAAAATTTAGAAATATACCACCTTACAAATTAGGAAAGTGAGGCACAAAGAGGTGAGGTAATTTGCCCAAGGTCACATACCTAATAAAGTCAAAACATGAGTGCAGACACTCCAGCTGCAGCGTTTGTATGCTTAACCTCTGTGTTCCACTCTCTGGGGTGATAGTTTCAGATTTAGTTTTACTGGAAAGGGTTCAGCTTTAGCAGTTTAAATAAGTGAGATAATTTCTTAGTAACTGTGTGGATAACCAATGAAGATTACTTTTGAATATCACTAATAGAAAAATTAAAATTGACTCTATATAACAATATAACACAATCTATTCTCTTTTTTGAATATCTATTATACTTACTATAGGCATCTCTGAGTTTATTATACTTTTGCTGTTTTAAGTGGGTAAATTTTGCCTCCACAAGATTACAAGCAAGTGAAAAGAGTGACTATGTCTTAAACTCTTATTGTACTTATTGATTATACACACACGCACACACTTCACTGGTATATTTAAACTCCTGCAGACACAGTGTAAGGCAGGAAGAGGGTGCTCATAAGCAACGTTGATTGGTTCCGTCACATTTATACTTTTATTTTGATACTTTTAATTTTGTTTCCTTCTTGCTTTAAAGATATTTATGGGGCTGTAAAGATGTAAAGAATTGTTTCCTCTGCACCCCACATTTACCTCTTGGAGCAGCATTCTCATCAGACTACAGTAGGAAAGCATCAGCTACCCTTAGGAAATGTGCTATCTTGGAGGTAAGGAAATAAAAGGCAACTTTGGGAAAGTGGAGGTAGAGTAGTATGGACAAGCCATGGTGGGGTATGTTTCTCATGTCTTAAAGGATCAGATACTGAAAGACAAATAGCCTCTCAAAATAATATTCCATAAGACTGTTGTTGATAGGGGTGGGACTAGCGTCTGAGTTATGTGGGTCTCTCTTCATCAGGCTCATTTGTGCAGTAGCTTGGCTCATGAACACCTGACTACGCTGGATGTTAATTTTAAATATGGAAAACCATATACTTACATGAGATTTGGGATTAGGATGACTCTTTAAATTACTATGTTTTCCCTTAAGCATACCTTGTCTGTATTCAAACTTACGCGGAGTGGCAAAGAGAAATATATACACGTATAACACAGGCAAGTCAGGAGGCAATTCTGTTTTAATATGCCAGGTTTTATGAAAACCCTCTTGATTTCCTAGGTTTCGTGAAAAAAAGAAGATACTTTTATGAATGAAATAAACAATTTTATGTTGAAGATTAAGATGTAAAATATACTTCTTTTGGGCCTTTCTGTTCCTTATTAGCAGGGAACAAATAAAGTAATTTTGTGTCCCTTTTATTAATAATTCCAAAGTTTAGTTTTAACTTCTGAAATTAATTTGGTTGTAACAGATGGTAAAACAGAGTACAGCTGAGAGATAGAATACAAATTGTTGTAAAGAACTATTAATTTTTTATTTTAAGGTTATTGATTTACTTATTAAACATACATATGATGGACATTATGCTAGCACTGAGAGTATAGTGATGAACTCCATGTGTTTTAAGCATATATCTCAAAGCACCAATTAAATTGACAAGTAGAGGCAGTTGAAATACAGGTTTCTGCCTCCCTATGTTGATATTTTATATTCCTTATAAACTGCATTTGTGGAAGTCATTTGATGGAGCTGAGGATGCGTAGATGTGATAATATTGTATGGGACAGAGAAACACAGCCTGCTATTTTGAGGGCTCAACACAAATCTGATCTACCTCAACAAAAATACCATCAGAGAGGATGGTAGTGACTCACATTGCATGAAGGCCTTAGTATGGGAATGGAGGAGTAGGACTCATTCTTAAGGACTCCAAAATGAGCAAAACTGAGCTAAGGCTCTAATAGGCATATCCGAAACCATATGTGAGCCAGAGCTCTCCAGTAGGACAGGAATATGTGACTTTTGTGTACACTTAATGTATCCAGGGAATTATAATATAATCACTTTTTTCACTGGAACTAAATTGATTTCACTGCTAAAGGTATACTGAACCTAGATCAAGAGAGCTTGTTAATAAATTTTTGGGAAGAATGGAATGTGGTGGATGTATTTAGCTAACTTTTAAAAGTTAATTCATAATTAAAAGCAGTTGTGATGAGCTTTAATACTGGTATTTGTTTGTGGATTAACTTTTTTTTTTTCACTTCTAACCAAGTAGCCCAAATAAGTGTTGTAAGTATATATATTTGTACCAAACACAGCCTCATGCCCATCCTGTATGCTAGGTTTTATTTTTGTTATGTCCATTTATTCAGTCTTACAAACCAAAGAACAAGGATAAATACCACATGTATGCCCATTCTTCCCTTGGCTATGCTACAAACTACTTGATCACTCCAGAAACAGATCAAGCATAGGTTTAAAGCGGATGTCCTTCTCTTTGCTAAGATTTTTTTTCATGGCAAACATCACTTGGATACTTTGTAAGAAGTTTACATTAATATCATCTTGATTAACAGGATCATAACCTATGTTTGTTCACCTTTTGTGTGCATAGAAATGAGAGACTTGGAGGACTACTACTGAGTAATTTACAGTCTCATATCAGAAAGAAGGCAAATATACAGGTAACATGTCTTAGCAGTTCCCCCACACACATTCATTTAAATTTCTTATTCACTTATGCTTCTAGAGTGACTACAGATATTATAGAGTAAGTGAAATGGTTTGGTCCTCCAAGGCCTAACTATAAAATGCATTTTGATCTATATTTTGAATTAGGTAAAATATATTCGGGAGAAAATGTCAATAAACTATGGGCTATAGATCAAATCTGAATTATTGTTTTTGTAAATTAAGTTTTATTGGAATACAGCCACACATATTTGCTTATGTATTGTATATGGCTGCTTTGACACTAAAATAGCAGAGTTAAGTATTTGCAACAGAGAACCTTTAGCCTGCAAAACCTGAAATATTTGCTCTCTGGCCCCTTTTAGAAGTTTGTGAATGCCCATGTAGCAGAAAAAGAAGAGAGGACACTCCAGTCAAGATTGTAACCCTGTATATAGCAAACATTAAAGCATTTAGAAAATCAAAAATAATTTATAGATGGCTCTGAGGTTATTTTCTAGGACTATTGATTTTCAGTAATAACTGATATCTGGAAGAGACTTCTGAGAAAGAAAATAAACCAAAATAATTCTTGAATTTTGTGCAGAATGGAACAGAGAGTCTAGATTCATGTTTATTTTCTTGTGTTTTTTTAAATAGCTTCCATTTGTCTACTAAAATTTATCTGCTAATTTGTCACAAACTTTTTTTCTATTTAGCATAGTAATAATAGCTGCTCTAAGGTCCTTTCTGTTTATTCTATCTTGGAGTCTGCTGATTACCTTTTCTCTTGAGAATAAGTCATATTTTCCTGTCACTTCACTATTGAGTAATTTTGTATCAATTTTTGATATTATTGATGTCATGTAGTAGGGACTCTGGATTCTGCCATGTTATTCCCAAAATAGCACTTATTTTGTTTGTTTTAGCTGGCAATTACCTTGGTTGAACTTAGACTTCAAATTCTGCTTTTGCATAGCAACTCAACTCTAAGTTTAATTCTTTTGCTTTTAGTTAAATAGCTTGAAGTCTGTGCTACGCATTCATAGCTTACAGACTTTGGCAGACTGTGTCACAGAATCTGTGACTCCCTCTGTCTAGTGCTGTCTCCTCCTACATGGCCCCTTCACTTAACAGAAGATATACTCCAGGTTTTTTGGCTGAAAAATATAGTGTGGTTTTAACATTATTATTATTAGGTTTTAACTCCTTTACATGGTGCCAAGTAGAGCTTTCTCAGCTGAAAGATGAAAAAACAAAAACAAAACAACAACAACAACAACAACACCTGCTTTTCTTCCAAGTTCCAGAATCTGCCTGCTGTTTTGCACTATCCAGTTCTTTCAGATAATTTCCTTTGCATTTTGTCCAGAGCTTATGATTGTTATCTGCAAGAAAGTCAATCTAGTAAGAATTGTTTTGGCTATTCCAGAAAGAGAATTACTTCTATGCATGTCAGCAAAGACTCAATGGAACCCCTATGTAAGCATTTGTACACGTAGATGTCTACTTTCAAGAATTTTGACTCATAATTTCTAGCTGGCTCAACCTCTCAAAATTTGATCCACATGACCTCAACTCAGGGAAGCCTACTGAATTCTCTTTGTATTCCCCAACTGTTTATTTATGATTTGGTAATTAAATCCAGGTAGAAAGCCAGTATATGTACGGTACTCATGTCAGTTTGTTATCTTCTCTTAGGAATCAAAGTTTTGCATTTCCTGCTTTTACTATGTCTGGAAGCAGTTGTTTCATATATTTTCCCCAGATTTTTGGTTGTTTACAGCAGGAACCTAAGCTCAATATTTGTTATTTCATCATGGCTAGAAGTCCTGTGGATTTATTTTTTTTAATAATATTTAAGGAATACAACAAATAATTAGATGCATACATATTTATTTTAAAGTATTTTTCTAAGTTTAAACATAAAAAATCTTATTATAGGATATTTAGAAAACATGGAAAAGAAAGAAATAAAAACATTCTAAAACCTAATCAACAACGCACAATAGCTCATAACGTATTGAATTCTGTTGCCAAGATGACAGCAGAGGTGCCTATGCCCCAGGTACCAGTGCCATTACTTCTCCAAAGCCCAAAGCCATAGTCTTTCCACTCATGTGCATGCTTCAGGCTTCAGCTCCATGACCACTGCATAAGCACCACCCACCAAACACTAGTGCCACAACCACTGCAAACAAGTTTATAAACTGAGGGGAATCTCCTCAGTTACAAGTTCCCAAGAGATCAGTAAAGCCTTAGCAGTTATTACTATCAAAGACCCCAACAACCCTCACCACCACTCACTGCAGACATGCATAGCTTTGACCCCTAAGGACACCTGCACTCTTCATCAACACTGATCTCAGCTGACAGAGTTGGATAGAGACTACACAGCTGCATTCTCACTGATGCCAGAACTGCTGTACACCACCTAGAAAATGGCCTTGCAACCCCTTACCCATACATAGGGGAAGGTCTTTTTATAGTAAAACTACCCTTTAAAGTTTGGAAGAGGTGACTACTCTACAAAATGTGCAGACATCAATGTAAGGCAGCAAGAAACATGAAAAACCGAGATATAAAACCTCAAAATAATACAATAATATTCAAAGAGCTGATTCCAAAGAAATGGGGTTTAAAAATTGACTGACAAATAATTCAAAATAATTGTTTTAAGGAAGTTTAGTGAACTTCAAGAAAATACAGAAAAACAACTCAATGGAATCAGGAAAGCAATAAATAACCAAAAATATAACTTTAACAGAGATTGAAATTATACAAAAAATCAAACAAAAATTCTGGAGCTGAAAATTACAATTAATGAAATAAAAATACAATAGGATTAATAGCCAAATTGATGCAACAGAACAAAGAATCTGTGAACTCAAAGACAAGTTATTTGACGATATACAGTTGAAAGAGAAAAAAAGAAAAAAAAAGAAAAAGAATAAGGAAAGCTTACATGATTTATATATTTAATTTAAAAAACTGAATTTTTGAGTTACAGGTTCAAGAAGAAAGGGACAAAGGAGTAGGAAGCTTATTTAAAGAAATAATAGCATAAAAATTTCCAAATCTGGGAAAATATATCAATATCAAGGTACTAAAAGTCAAATGTTTCCAATAACTTTCAATCCAAACAAAACTATGCTAAAATACGTTATAACCAAACTGTCAAAAATCAGAGACAAAGAGAGGATCCTGAAAGCAACAAGATAAATAAAGCAAATCACATGCAAGGAAGTTTTAGTAAAGCTAGCCACTGGTTTCTCAGGAAAAAACAAAACAAAACAAACAAAAAAAACTTATAGGCCAGAGAGAGTGGAATGATATAGTCAAAGTGCTAACTGCATCTTTTGAGAATAAAGAAGTGATAAAAACTTTCCCAGACAAACTAAAGCTAAGGGAGTTCATCATCACCAGACCTGTCTTGCAAGAAATGCTAAAGAAAGTTCTTCAGGCTAAAACAAAGGATACTAATTATTAACACAGAAACATATTAAAATATAAAACTTGCTGGTAAAAGTAAGTACGCAGTCAAATTCAGAATACTTTAATACTGTGTGGATGTTGTGTAAACCACTTATATCTTTAGAACAAAGATCGAAAGACAAAACTATTAAAAATAATGACTACAATAATTTATTAAGAGATATACAATATAAAAATGTAAATTTTAATATCAAAAACATAACGTGGGAACGAGGTGGAGAAAACATGTAAAGTTACATTATGCAATTGAAGTTAAGTTGTTATCAGCTTGAAATAGCCTTAAAAAAACCACCATATGGTGTTTAATGTAAGGCTCATCATAACCACAAAGCAAAGACCTACTGTAGATACACAAAAGATAAAAAGGAATCAAAATATACCATTAGAGAAAATTATTCAATCACAAAGGAAGACAGTCTCAGCATGGTGGCTCATGCCTATAATCTCAGCACTTTGTGAGGCCATGGCAGGAGGATCACTTGAACCCAGGAGTTTAAGACCAGCCTGAGCAATTTGGTGAGACCTCATCTCTACAAAATATTTAAAAATAAAAAAATTAGCCTGGCATGGTGACATACGCCTGAAGTCCCAGCTATTCAGGAGGCTGAGGCAAGATCACCTGAGCCTGGGAGTTCAAGGCTGCTGTGAGATGTAAATCTGTCACTGCACTCCAGCCTGGGCAACAGAACAAGAACCCGTCCCAAAATAAATAAATAAATAAATAAATAAATAAATAAATAAATAAATAAATAAAGTCAGCCAGCAAGAGAGAAAGACAGGAACAAAGGATACACCAATCAGAAAACAACAAAACGGCAGTTGTAAGTTCCTACCTATCAATAATTACCTTAAATATAAATGGATTAAATTATTTAATCAAAAGACATAGAGTAGCTGTGAAACCACTAGATGAAAACATAGACGGAAAGCTCCATGACATTGGGCAACGATTTTTTTGGATATACCGCTAAAAGCATAAGCAATAAAAGCAAAACCAGTCAAACAGAATGGCAACAACTAAAAATCTTTTGCAAAGCAAAGGAAACAACGAACAAAATGAAGAGACAACCTACAAAATGGTAGGAAATATTTGCAAACCATACATCTGATAAGGGATTAATATCCAAGATATGTAAGGAACACAAAAAATATCAAGAAAACAAATAACCATATTTAAAAATGGGCAAAAACATAACTAGATAGTTCCCAAAAAAGACATACAAATAGTCAACAGGTACATGAAAATATGATCAACACCTCTAATCATTAGGAAAATGCAAATTAAAACCACAATAAGATATCACCTTATACCTGTTAGAATGACTTTCATCAAAAAAAAGATAAATATTGGCAAAGATAGAGATAATAAGGGAACTCTTTTACATTGTTTGTTGGAACATAAATTACTACAATCATTATGGAAAATGATAAGTAAAAAACTAAAGGTAGAACTACCATATGATCCAGTAATCCCACTTCTGGGCATTTATACAAAGGAACTGAATCAATATGTCGAAGAGACACTTGCACTCTCAGTTTCATTGCAGTGTTACCCACAATAGCCAACATATGGAATCAACCTACATGTCCATCAATAGATAAAGAAATAAAGAATATGTGGTATATATACACAACGGAATGCTATTCAGCTTTAAAAAGTGGGGAAATCCTGTCATTTGTGCCAGTGTGGCTGAATCTGCAGGACGTTGTTAAGTGGAATAAGCCAAGCACAGAAGGACACATGCCACTTGTTTTCACTTATTTATGGAATGTAAAAAAGTCAAACTCATAGAAACAGAGAGAAAAATGATAGTTACCAGAGGCTGAGGGTGGGAGGATTGGGGAGATATTGGCACAAAACACAAAATTTCAGTTAGAAAAACTAAGTTTAAGAGATCTATTGTATATTATGGTGACTACAGTTAATAACAATATATTGTATAACCCAAAAATTGCAGAGAGTAGGTTTTAAGTATTCTCACCATAAAAATAATAAATTTGTGAAGTAATGCATAAATAGGTTATTTTAGCAATTCCACTTGTGTGTGTATATATATATATCTCAAAACATCATGCTATATTTGATAAATATATACATTTACTTGTCAATTTAAACAATTATTAATAAAAAGACTAACAGTTAAAGGATCATTCACAGCTCCTAGGTAGAAGATAATAGATCCAAGGCATGATGACAGCTAATATCCTCTTTTGGTGGCTTTTTGGTCGTTCTTAATTGAACAAAATTACACAAGCCATTCTAGTATGAGCTTCGACCATGCAAAAAAATACTTCCTCAAGTACTTGTCAATGTAGTTGGCATGGTATTGCTCTTTTGGCTCTATAATGTAGAGATAGACAAGGAGCTTTTACTGGCAGAGTGCTTCATGAAAATAGTTTAGGTTTTTTTTCAAGTGCTAAATAAAAATAGCAGAAAAATGCATTCTTTTTATAAAAAAATAATGAGACTCCAGCTTAACTCTGGGATAAGCTATTTGGTGATAGACACAGTACCTGGACCGGGCAGAGGAGTGGAATCCAAAGATAAAGTTAGGAGAACGTACTTCAAGGGTGAGCTTTCCTCCTGGGCTGCAGAATTTATCCAGTAGCACATAAACCAACTGGAATCAATTGAAGTTCAAAATATATTACAGGAGAGTTTTCATGTTTTAACTTCAATTGCTGATTTACTTTCTGCCCTTTCTATTTTATTCCTTTCTACCTCTTATTTTATTTCCCTCTTCTCTTCTCTTTCTTCTATCCTTTTCATCTCATCTTCCAGTCAAATTATCTCATATTTTTCTCTGATGATTCTCTGCATCTGCTAAAATGAAAATATATTCTTATATTTTAAAGAGGACTGCAAAATGTTATAAAAATTTCTTTCTGTTTCTATAATGTGTTATTTTCAGGGGTGTATTTAGTTTATTCTTCTCTTCATTATCTAGGGAAATTTGTCCTTTCACTTGTGGTATCATAGTCTTTCATGGATCCCATGCTGTTGTCTGTTTATTTCTCCTTAAACAAGGAAAAATATACCCAGACCCAGTTTTCATCAACAGACCAGGTAAGCAAACTGCTTTTGGCTCTGCATGTTCTCTGGTTGGATGGTGGTCAAACTCTCTTCTAAGATCTACAGCCAAAGAGAGGTGATAAGTATGAACTGCAGTCCTACACCTAGTGTCTTTCAGTTTCTTGGACTGATTTGGGACTTTTCTCAATGTATAATATATGGCTAAAAGGGCTCAGAACATATAAAAGAACAAAAAGAACAAAAAACCTAAAGTTTTAAGTTTACATTGTTATTTGGGATCTTTTTGCTGGGAGTTAGATGGCAATGTGGTTTTTAAAATGTAGTCACGGGCCAGTTAGCACCAGATTGCAGAGCCTTGGGACTAATCCCAGATCCCCTGCATCACAATCTTTAGTGTGAGGAGGAGGAAGACCTAGAAACCTATATTATGTACAGGCTCCCAGGTGATTTATGTCTACATTGAGAACATCTGCAATAATGCTTTACATGTGGAGACTTCACTACCTGGGAGGCAGCTCAGTACTTCTTGCCCATCCCAGCTTCTCATTCAGTGAGTCCTCTCAATAGATGAGCTGTAGACCAAGAAATACTGATGATTGAAGGTATAAAGAGAGCCTGCATTTGGCCATCACAAAAAACTAGCATCACAGTGAAGAGAGCTGCCAGCTCTTCTGTCTGGTAAGGTATTTTGTTCCCTCCCTGGACCAATGAACAGACTACAGGGAGAGCTAAGGGGATTTTTAAATTATTGTCTGGTGAGTAGGTTTGCTTTATTTCTAGTTCCCCTCCTTTAAGCATTCCACAGATTGTAATTTTTCCTTCAATTCCTTTGGTCTAAAAATTAAAGGAAATTCTGCCCAGATTGTCACTGTGTTTCTGGAAGCTTTTACCTTTTTGGTGTCTACATCCTTAATTTTCATAAAAGGTTGGAAGTGGTTATGTTAAGTCTTATTAGCTCAGAAATCCTGATAGGTATATACAACTATTTGCTTGTCTTGGAGTAGAGTTGTAAAAAATTCACTTATACTTCTCACAATTTCATTTATATTTACAGATCTTTTTTAAATTACAGAAAAATACAAAAAATATATGAAGCTATGCCTATTCATTGAAATTAATGTTAACATTTTGCCATACTTATCAATTCTGCATAAAGTAAATAAAATATTAGAGATAAAGTTAAAGTTGCTTTTATTCCCCCTAACCATTCCCCTCTGCTCTCCCTATAAGCAACAAATATTATACCTGTAATAGTCTAATCTATTTAAATATACATATTATGTTATTTGTAATTTTATTAATATAATTTATTGCATGCTCTATATTCTGCCAGTTGATTGTTTTTCTCCTTAAACTTGTGGTTTGAGATCTAGCCATGTTGATATATTAAAATCTGCTAAATTTCTTTTATCTACTTGACAGTATTCCTTCCTTTGTATATACCTCATATTTTTCAACTCTCTGATTGCTTCCAATTCTTAAAATATTACAACAATGCTGTGATAAACATTATTGTTATATTTACTTGTGTACTTGTGTAAGAGTCCTTTTAGGTTGTATACTCATAAGTGTAATTTTTGGGTAATAGGCCTTGCCTGTTTAATACTACAAGATACTATCAAGATTCTGAGTTTTTGTTTGTTTGTTTTAATTTTGAACTACTTTTTACTTCTACCATTAAGGCATAGAATATTCTGTTCTTCTAAATCTTTGCCAAGAGTTGCTAAAATCCGATATTTAATGTTTGCCCAAATGATGTCATACTTGCAATAATTTTACCTCCATACAAACACGCCTCCATATTTAGTTCCCTCATGTATCCCAAGCACCTAGAACAGTGCCTATCTCAGAAAGACTCCATAAATATTTTGTTGAATGCTGCATATATTTACTTGAAATTCAGCATTTTCTTCAGCAAGTACGTATTTACTTGCTATTCAGAATTTTTCTGTGTATTTCCTGATTAATTTCCTTTGCTCATTTTCTATTGCATTGTCTTTTTCTTATTGATTTGAGGAGCTTGTTTATATATTCCATCCACTAATTTCTTGCTGTATATGTTGCAGACATCTTTATCCTATTGTTCTTTTTTTAATCAATAGATTATTTAGCTGTTTTAGGCTTACACAAAAACAGAGAGCTCCCCTATACCCTCTCAACCTATCCTCTACTCAAGTTTTCTTTATTATTAACATGTGGCATTAGTGTGGTATATTTATTATGGTTGATGAACCGATGCGGATACATTATTATTGACTAAAGTCCATAGTTTACATTAAGAATCACTCTTTATGTTGTACTTTCTATGGATTTTGAAAAATGTATAATAAGATGTATCTGCCATTGCAGTATTATGCAGAACAGTTTCACTATCCAGAAGTCCTCTGTGCTCTTATTTGTCCTTCCCTACCTCTCTCCAAACCCTTGGCAATTACTGATCTTTTTACTCTTTCCATAGTTTTGCCTTTTTCCAGAATGTCATATTGTTGAAATCACATATCATGTAGACTTTTCAGACAGGCGTCTTTCACTTAGCAATGTACATTTAAGGTTCATCCATGTCTTTTTGTGGCTTATTAGCTTATTTCTTTGTATTGCTGAATAATATTCCATTTTATAGATGTACCACGTTTTTTTTTTAATCCATTCACCTATTGAAGGACATTTTGGTACAAGTTTTGGCAATTATCATAAAAGCTGCTTTAAATATTCATATCCAGTTTTTTTTGTTTCTTTTTTCTTCATGACACGAGTTTAAGGTAAATATCAAGAAGAATTATTGCTGGATCTTTGGGTAAGTATGTTTAGTTTTATAAGAAGCTGCCAAATTATCTTCCAAAGTACTGTACCATCCATCATCTTTTAATTTTTATCATAAGGAAGTTTTACATTTTGACTTAGTTGCATTTTCTTCATGGTTTATAATATTTGCTTTATAAAAAATTTATATTAAGCTGGGTTCAGTGGCTCACACTTGTAATCTCAGCACTTTGTGAGGCCAAAGTTGGAGGATTGCTTGAGCCCAGGAGTTCAAGACCAGACTGGGCAACAAAGTGAGATTTGTCTCTAACAAAAAAATTAGCCAAGTGTGGTGGCGTGTGCCTATGGTCTCAGCTACATGGGCGACTGAGGCAGGAGGATTGCTTGGACCCAGAAGGTCGAGCTGAAGTGAGCCGTGTTCATGTCACTGCACTCCAGCCTGGGTGACAGAGCAAGACCATATACTACTGCCTGCAAAACAACCCTAAAAAATAAAATGATGTTATAAAATTATAAAGTACCCTGTGAAATCTCTATGAGTAACAGTTTTAAATTTTATTTTTATAATAATTTCTTGAAACTGGTATTCCCAGCCTTCTACATCCTGTCCTGAATCTAATGCTTCCTTCTTGTCTTCATCATAACTTTTCTATTTAGGCTACATCAGTCTTCCAATTGACACCAAAATACATCATAAGGAGCCTCACTTCTTGCCTCTGATCATGCTTGTTCCCTTGCCTGAAGAGTTCATCTTTGTTTCCAAGTTCAAATTTTATTTCTCCTTAAAAATTGAAATAAGTTCAAGATTCCCACTTATGGATTCTCTTAAATACCTGAAAGGACCAGTCATGGAGAAAAATGCTTCATCTTTGGGATTTTCTCCATGGTAATTCATTTGTTTATATGTATACATATATATATATATACACACACACACACACACACATATACATATACATACATATATATAATGTATATATATATAAAAGTATATATAAAGTATATATATATACTTTTAAAAGTTTAATTTTTTGGCACTGCAACACAGGTATCATTTGTTTATATATTGTAGGAACTCTTGTTTTTCACATCTCTCCTAATTTATTCCTCCCTTGTAAGTCATGTGGTATACTGCCTAACTATTCTGGAAAAGCAAAACTCCACATTTTATCTCTTATTAAAAATCATGCTTGGTTTAGACATTTATAAGATGAAATAATGATGCTTTGTGGTAGCAGAGTATCTTCCACCTAATATCTATCACAACAGAGTGCTCAGTGGATAGTAGATTCAAATATCAACATACATTATTTTTTTTCCCACATCCGTGGTATTTCACACACACTGTGAGAATCCATAGCCCAGATGAGCCACAAGAGAACAGCCAACATTCCTGTTCTAGAGAAGCTTGTATTCTTGGCCTGGGTGCTGGCTGACTACTGTCAATTTAGCTCTGGTCTGTTCCCATATTCCAATAAATTTCCTTACCACATTCCATTCCTCCGACTTCTCCCTACCATGATCTTTCCACACCCAGACTCTGCCTTCTACATGAAAGATTCAAGATATGCAGAGCCATGGTATCCATCAAGCATTTATCTGGGCTAAAAAAATAAGATGATTTGAAAATGTCAGTATGCGTGATACTCAACTGGTTTTCCCAGCTGTGACAGGATTTTCCACAGAAGTGTATCACTGTAAAAAATTTGAAAATATTTATCAAAATTATCCTATCATCTCTAAAACATAAATGTTGAGGATCCCCACCCCCAACCTCAACAGAATGGCATGTGCCTGGATAAACTACAAAGTCTTTCCTTAAAAGATTGGACACATTTGCTAAGCAGGTGAGGAATTTGGAGGAAAGCATAAAACAGGCCACAGTCAGGATGGCAGGAAGGACAGAGTTCACCAAGATCAAATAACTTAAAATATTACAAAGCAGACACTGTCTCTTCAAGTTTTGCTATTATTCTATTGTTTTCCTCTCGAAAAATGCATGCCTGATGATGATAAGGATGACAATACGGTGATGGTTTTTAGGAAAGGGATATCACCAGGGTTACAAATCTTCATTAATGTGAAATATGAGACTTCATATTGATAAAATTATTGCATCATTGACTCATTTGCATATTTCTCAAAATTAGTTTAAATTACTAAATTTTTTTAAAAAAGAACATAAGTACACCATGGAGTTATGTATTTTATCCAACTTAGGATACAAAGCCAGATGCAGATGATAAAATTAGTATAAAATCAGAATTATTCTAAGTCTCTTCAGAAGGTGCCTACTGGCGATCAAATTAGCATCTCTCAAGTAGTCTAACACAGCTCATTACTTTTTCTCCAGCATAGGAATGTTACTTACATTTGTTTTATTTGTATATTCATATATTTATATATTTATATTTGGTTAAGCATCTGGCAGTTGATTTGCATTTAGATAGTGTAGAATTGCTTTATATATATATGTGTGTGTGTGTCTGTGTGTGTGTATATAGATACATACATATATTTTTTAAATAAAATCCAAATCTAGTAAGGAGAAATAGTGAATCTGATAAGGATATGCTTTATCTCGCAATCTTAATTAATAAGGAGAAGTTCACGCCTGTAATCCGAGCACTTTGGGATACTGAGGTGGGCGGATTACCTGAGGTCAGGGTTTCGAGACCAGACTGGCCAACATGGCGAAACCCCGTCTGTACTAGAAATACAAAAATTAGCCGGTCATGGTGGCACACGCCTGTAATCCCAGCTACTTAGGAGGCTGAGGCAGGAGAATTGCTTGAGCCTGGGAGATGGAGGTTGCAGTGAGTCGAGATCGTGCCACTGCACTCCAGCCTAGCCGACAGAGCAAGACTCTGTCTCAAAAAAAAATAATAATAATAAAATAAATAAGGAGAAATACTCACTGTATGAGAGATGCTCTGGAACTGAGACCAACAGGGCAAATAGCAGAGTTCAGACTTACATTATGCTCATGCTATAACATGTCCTTGAGTAGAAGAATGAATGGAATTGATGAATTTGGGTTTAAGTTATATTTGTTTGTTTTGGTTTGGTTTCTTGCAGAGTCTGAATGATTCACTTTATATAAATAGAAAAGTATATAACTTTACCACAAAACAGATAAACTTGTCACCAATAATTTTGGAGAATAAAAGTGTCTTTGTTTGATATCCATTTCTGCTGTTGACATCCAATAACAATATATGTCTGTGTCATAAATTGGCTTGAAATCAGTTATAGCTGCCTAATACCTGCCTACTTTTCCAATTTTCCTTGCTAGCTTCCTCTCATGCCTTCAGCTCCAAACTACTTTCTTCAGTTGCCCAAAAGACATGGCTTTTCTAGCCCTACATGCCTTTGTATGTGTGGCAGTCATTACCTCAGTGGTTCTGTGTGATCACTGCACTTAATACATATTTGAAATGCTGCATTTGTGCCAAATGACCTTTACATTCCTCTCTTCAAATTGTCTCTTTAAGGGCATTGTTTGTAACATACGTCTTTGCGTCTTCTGCATTAAAATAGACTCAGTAGCCACTCCAAATATGGTTGTTCAATAAATATATAAGACATATATATTTATGCTCAGGATGTTAGAAACCAAAAGAAAAGATAAAAGAGATTAATTTGGTGTGAGGAATTCATGCTCAAATACCCTTGTTTTCTCAGCGTATGCCAATTCTTTCTGTTCTTTTACATGTGTACACTCAAATAAAAGCCCTACTGTAGTCTTTCATCGGGTCTGATATTTGTAAGAGAAGAGAAATCACCATGTGCTTTCCAGGAGCATTCCCTGGATAATTATTGGTGCCTTTGCTGCAAATACATAGCAAATTCTGGACACTGTGTGGGTGTGCCAGTGGCCTGGCAGTCATCCTCCTTATCAGTTGAAACCACACAGTTTCATTTACAATTCAACAAAAAGCTCTAATTTCCCACTCGAACTAGGATGTGAGCCCAGTATTCATAGGCAATCTGAAATGGGGAGATAAACTCTGCTTTAACTTAAGATCTCAGGAAGGAGTGAGGCTGAGCCTACTAAATTTTAGAGGCAGAACACTGTGTGAAGAAGGGAAGATGTCTTTCCTACCCCACATCTGACATTTCCCGCAACTTTATAAGCTACCAACTGTAAAGTTAATATGCTATGGCTATTATGCCAAGGAATATACATTCCATTTTTTAAAAATTTATTTCTCACTTAGACCAACTTGTTCAGTATTTATGAAAATAATGCTTGCTTTTTTGCTTTATTCTGTGTATTTCTATTTTTCATGAATTAGATATATTTTTAATTTTAATATAAAATTGTAAAATATGTAATGTAAAATTCACCATCTTAATAATTTTTAGGCATAGAGCTCAGTAATGTTAAATACGTTTACATTGTGCAGCCAATCTCTAGGGCTCTTTTCATCTTCCAAAATGAAACACTGTCTCCATTAAACAGCAACTCCCCATTTTCTCTTGTTTTCCAGCCCATGGCAACCATCACTCTACTTTCTGTCTCTATGAATTTGAATACTCTGGGTAACCTCATGTAAGTGGAATCATGCAATATTTGGCTTTCTGTGTCTGGCTTATTTCATTAAGCATGATGTTTTCTCTTTTTTTAAACTTTTATTGTAGGCTCAGGGATACACATGCAGGTTTGTTATATAGGTCAACTGTGTGTCATGGGGCTTTGGTGTACAGATTATTCATCACCCAGGTAATAAGCATAGTGTCTGATAGGTCATTTTTTAATCCTCACCCTCCTCCCTCCCTCCACCTTCAAGTAGGCACCACTGTCTGTTGTTCTCTTCTTTGTGCCCATATATATTAATGTTTAGCTCCCACTTACATATGAGAATATGCAGTGTTTGGTTTTCTGTTCCATGTTAATTTGCTTAGGATAATGGCCTCTAATTCCATTCATGTTGCTGCAAAGGACATGATCTTGTTCCTTTTTATGGCTGCACAGTATTCGATGGTATATATGTACCACATTTTTTAATCCAGTCTACTACCAATGGGAATTTAGGTAGATTCTATGTCTTTGTTATTGTGAATAGGTAAAAGAAAATGCTTATACTTTTTAAATTTCAGTTTTTAAAAAGTAAATACTGCTAAATAAGAGTATACACATAACTTATATTGACAGAACCTATTTTAATTGTAGAATCATCTGGTTGAGAGTGATTTCAGAGATCTTATATTTTAAAGCCTATTTTGACATAAAAGGAATAGCAGCAATCCTAAAGAGGTGTTATGATTTCCTCAAGGTCACCCAGACTTAATTTAGTTCTTGGACTTCAACCCATTCTTCTGAGCTTTAGAAAGGTGGCTTTTATTTTAAAAGATGATGTTTTAGACATGAAGTCCTTGCCCATGCCTATAACGTCATCTTTTAAAATAAAAGACACCTTTCTAAAGCTCAGAAGAATGGGCTGAAGTCCAAGAACTAAATTGCGGCACTACTCACAATAGCAAAGACTTGGAACCAACCCAAATGTCCAACAATGATAGACTGGATTAAGAAAATGTGGCACATATACACCATGGAATACTATGCAGCCATAAAAAATGGTGAGTTCATGTCCTTTGTAGGGACATGGATGAAGCCGGAAACCATCATTCTCAGCAAACTATCGCAAGGACAAAAAAACCAAACACCGCATGTTCTCACTCATAGGTGGGAATTGAAGAATAAGAACACTTGGACACAGGAAAGGGAACATCACACACCAGGGCCTGTTGTGGGGTGGGGTGAGGGGGGAGGGATAGCATTAGGAGATGTACCTAATGTAAATGACGAGTTAATGGGTGCAGCACACCAACATGGCACATGTATACATATGTAACAAACCTGCAGGTTTTGCACATGTACCCTAGAACTTAAAGTATAATAAAAATATATATATATAAATAAATAAAGTAAAAGATGAGGAAATCTAGGATAAGATTTAAATAATAATTTGGTATGATAGAAGATTATTAAAATAATTTCAGGCCATACATTTGAAATGTTACACATTCTCTTCAGAGAGTTTGTGTATAAATAAAGTTGACTGACATTAGAAATGCTATTGGTGTGTAGCCAAAGGAAAACTACTATCAAATGTAGAGTTGTGTTAGTTAAGTAAATGAATCCAGTTAAGATGTCTAGATCTTCAAATAGCTCAGTGCTTGCTATCATTTTCCAAATCTTTTTTATTAACCCATTAATTTTTGAGAAATACATAAAGAGAAATGGCCAAGATTTTAAAAAGATGAAAGTAATCTTCTCAAGGAGATATTAATTTTTCCCAGGAAATAACTATTGCTAAAACACAAAACTTCTTTGCAAGTTTTAGTCATGTGCGATCTTTCTATTCCATAGCCTTAAAAGCCTGGCCTACAGGAAAGATCGTAATTGAAGGCCATGAGGTTTTATTTCCTTGACTTATACTCTTAGAGAATTTTATCCTAGAGTTGCCAACCAAGTCAGATATTAATATATGATTTAGCAATTGTTTTGTAGCCAAGAAACACTCTGTTGATTCTGTTCTTAACAGCTGGATTCACCACATAAAAAGTGATCAAAGACAATAGTTTATGTCTAAAATACACAGACAAAGATATTAAATTTAGTAATTTGTTTTAGAAGTATGTGTAAACTAGGCATCAGTCAAAATAATCAGTGGAAATTTCTTTTTATGCTCAGCTTTTTATGTTGGGCTGAGAAAAAAAAAAAAAAAGATGACCAGAAGTCTTTTTCCACCCTCTTGCACCCTTCCTTATCTCAAACACCTCGTGCCACTCCAGAATTTATAGAAGCCTCAATTATGAGACTCTACCAGACCCCAACTTCCTGTATTAATTCTCTTATCAAGACTTCTACTTCCCAAATTAAAATATTCTTCCCTGTATCTCACCCACTCAAAGCTCTTTTGATATAGAAGATAAAGCGGCAGCCCTAGACAGATGGTATGACTTCCTCAAGGTCACCCAACCTCTTTAGAGCTTTAGTCAGGTGTCTTCTATTTCAAAAGGTGATAAAATTTAGGATAAGAGTAAAACAAAAGTTATTCCTTAATTAATGTACTATTTTCTCATGTTATTCATTTGTACTTATGAGTGCCAAAGGTTTCTGCTGGGCAAGGGGGATGAAATATGTTTGAGATATCAGTAGATGTTAAATTAGACTACATAGGGATATTCCTACCTGCGGGTTGTTGTATTAGTCAAGGTTCTGCAGAGAAACAGAATCAATTGTGTTTGTTTGTGTATGTGTGTATGCATGTATGTATATATGTAGTAAATGCATTATTGCACTTGGCAAACTGGAGACCTGAGAGCTAATGATGTAGTTCCAGTTCAAAAACTGGCAGGCTCTAGACCCAAGAAGAGCTGGGTTTCAGTTTGAGGTGAAGGTGGAAAAAAACCAATATTCCAAGCAATCAGGGTTTAAGGAATTCTCATTTACTCAGCTTTTTTGTTCTATTCAAGTCTTCAATTGATCAAATGAGATCCACTCACATTAGGAAGGGTTATCTGCTTTACTCACTCTACTCATTCTTTTAAATATTAATCTCACCCAGAAACACCTTCAAAGACACACTCAGAATAATGTATGACCAAATGTCTGGGTACCCTGTGGCCCAGTAAAGTTGACACATAATTTCTTTTTTCATGATCTTATGTATTTATTGCATGTAAGTGACTTTCAAGGATCATTTTGCCAGTTGGATTTGTAATCTCAGGGGCAGTGATCCTAAGTACTGCTATCCTGGGGCTGGTGTCTTTAAAGTTGTGTGTTGGTTTTGATTTGTGTTGCTTCAGTTTTGGGGGAAGATCATCCCCAAGCTTCTCTCCAGTGCAGCTCGTGAAGAAGGCTCCCTGCATTACATTCACTGTAATGCAGTGACATTGATACTGACCCTTAACCACACAGCCAAGTATTTGTTGGAGGCAGATATTAAACTTTTCCAGAAATACTTTTGGGATAGGTCCTTTCTTGCCATGTTTGTGCATAGTGATTCTGGTATACAATAATGCACGCTCGAGAGAATGCAGGCATCAATTTGTCGGTATGGGAACAATCTATTTTGGGGAGTAGCACTTTCTTTTTTCTGTTTTTTTTTTCCCTCAAATTCTATTTTAAGTTCAAGGGGTACATGGACACATAAAATTAACCATTACACACATGGAAAAAGGATCAGTTTTCATCTGTGAGATTATAGACAGCAGAAATGGGAGCAACGGGCAAAACTCATGGGAGACTCATTTAAGCCTATTATAGGAAGATGTTTATAACAGGTGTGACTATATTAAAAAAAACTGTTCTGTAAGAGAATGAGCTTCCAGATCTTCAAGCTTAAGCTGAATGATTCTCTGTAATGCGTGCTTTAGAAGGAGTTTCTGCTCTGACTGAAGGTGGGACTGCCTGCTCCCCCCTCCGCCGCGAAGTGTTTCTACCCAAAGAAGTATGATGTGCTCAATATTTCGAAGGCCAGTCTTATTTTCATGTAATCTTGGCCAACTCTCTCTTCTGCATGTCACAGCTAGAGGGATCTCTTTAAATACTTATCTGAATGAGTAGATTTGTTAAGGAAGTTCTTCTAATAGAAGCTAATGAGAGAAAATAGAAGGGAAGAAGCCAAGCCATGTCTCAATCTCAGCCGTTGTCTAAGGTAGGGTAGAACAGAAATTACAACACAGAGCTGATGTCATAAACTGTGAGCTACCCTTGGAACAATATCTCCCAGCATGCTGCATCTCTGGGAAGAGCAGCTCCAGTTGCTCATCGACAGTCCTCTGAAGCAAAGTGTGGGAGTAAACCTTTGGGAGGACTGCATGGAGGAGTTAAGGGGTGGGAGCACAGAAAGAAACCACAAAGGGATTCTGAGAGGATCTAGGTATAGAATTAACACTGTTCTCATCATGTTTCGTTTTAGTCTGGGATGATATGAAACCTTGCAGACGACATGCATGGATCAACTCATGAGACAGTAAATCACTCAAAATCTTACTACAAAAGACAACGTCCTTATTTGCTTTTACAGAAAAAGGTAAATCTTCCTTGACATATTCGGCAGAATCTATGAAGAATTCATTCATTTATTCTTGAAATAAATATCAAGTAGAATCTCTGAACTAAAAGAAACTTCTATGTTGCAAAGCTTTTCTTTTTTCCAAATAATGTAACAGTTTAGAAAACTTGAGAGGTGGGGAAATGTGCTTTCATTCAGTTCTATGTTTTTCTGGAACAGAGCAATAAAAGTAAGATTGACATCTCGCTGACTGTTTAACTGCCAACATTGCCACCTGCTATCCTGAGGCAATAAGCAGCCTTATTGGCACCCTCGTGCCTGGAGAGAAAACCAAAAGATGATGAATAGCCAGTCCCTAAAATCAAACGTCATGCACAGCAGTGGCTGGCACAAGATGAAGTGCTTGCTAAGGAAATAGAATGGTGAATTGAAGCTCTCAGACCATTGATCAAACTTGTTTGTAGCCAGCCTTCAGTGTTTTGTTTCTGGCTGCTAGAATCTCACTACCCTTCTTGGTCTAAAGGAAGCCAAAGACCCTTCATCTGTTTATACAGACCATATGTAACTACAAACAGAACTGTACAAAGTTGTCCCTTTGGAGTCCAGGCATTCATGTACTTCCCCCATATGTAAGCCAAGAAATGAATGCATTCACTGTTTTTTATTCCCCTGTGAGATCTTGCTACAGATTTACTAGTGGTATGACTTAACCTGTATTTCCAACCTACATATGGAAGAAAGTAATAAAGCAAGTAGATAGTGTTATTGTTCACAGAAAATGAGACCTTTCTGACTCCATTCATGGATGGATAAAGACCTCTCCATAGACTCATCAATTTCACTTTACAGACGTACCTGGAAATTGATTAGCCCTTGGAGTGGGGAGCTGCACCTTGCAAGGTACACCTCAGAAGAAGTGGGAAATTTTAGTATTCATAGTTGTTAATGACAACAAGCTAATACTAGTAAGAGAGAATGTGTCATCATGGTAAGTCCTTCCATGAAACTCTCAAAATAAAGGTTATTTATTCAGAAGGGTTTGAGTCCACTTACTAATATATAGTTACTGCATCATATCACAATGCTCTCTGGCCCTTCTAGATGATTGATCCCTTCCTCTGTGCCAAATCTATATGTTCACATACTTTTATTGCTGTTATCATACTGTTTTATTTTACTATTATTAATTGAATTATTATTATTCATTGAATTATTATTATTATTATTATTATTATTATTAGAGACAGACTCTTGCTCTGCCACCCAGGCTAGATGCAGCAGTATGATCTTGGCTCACTGCAACCTCTGCCTCCCAGGTTCAAGCGATTCTCCTTCCTCAGTTTCCTGAGTAGCTCAGATTACAGGTGCATGCCATCACACCACCTGGCTAATCTATATATATTTAGTAGAGACAGGGCTTCACTGCATTGGCCAGGCTGGTCTCAAACTCCTGACCTCAAGTGATCCACCCACCTCAGCCTCCCAAAGTGCTGGGATTACAGGAGTGAGCCACCGCACCCAGCCCAATTTATTGAATTATTTTAGACTTTTAGGGCCTTGAGAGCAATGACTTCTGTCTTACTTACTTAACTGCATCTCTTCACATAGGACACATGTAATTGTGTTCAGTAAATATATATTAAATGAGTGAATTAATGAATGAAAAATATAAAGCAAGAAATTGGAAGAAATGAATTCTCAAACTCCTTTACAGCCTGTGATTGGCAGAATTCTAAGATGAGCCCCAAATGACTCGTGCTTGTGTAGTCTCCTTCCCTTGAGCATGGATGGATGAAAATATGATGAGCTATCACTCCTCTGATTATGTTATATTATATAGCAAAATAGATTTCTGAAGAGATAAGATTACTAATTTTAATGATGGAGTTTAATCACTGTAAACTTTGATTTTAATTACTGAAGATTTTGTAGATGTACTTAAATTTACTGATCAACTGCCTTTGAGTTAATCAAAACAGAGATGATCTGGGTGGGTCTGACCTGATCACCCGAGTCCTGTAAATTTGACTCTAGAGGTCAAGGACAGAAGTCAGAAATTGGAAGCAGCAGAGACCTTTTCTTGTTAGCCCTAAATGGGCACCTGCCATGTTGAGAGAGAGCCAACATGTTGGGGAATGGCAGATATCCTCTAGGAGCTCCTTCACATTAATCAAGAAGGGGCCTCCTAGACATCAGTCAAGAACACAGGGACTTCAGTGTTACAATCTCCGAACTGAATTCTGGCAACACTCTGAATGAGCCTGGAAAAGAACCACAAGCTTCAGGTGAGGCAGCATCCCAAGGCAACACCTTGATTTCAGCTATGTGAGACTCTGAGCAGAGAACTCAGCTGCGTGGTGCTAGATTCCTGACCCATGGAAATGGTGAGATTATAAATAAGTGTTGTTTTACAGATTGTGGCCAATTGTCACACAGCAATAGAAATTAATCCACAGTCCTAAAAACAATTATTTAATGGGCAATTTTAAATAATTTTTATGAAGTGGCCAAGAATAAACATATCTTTCATATGCTTCTCATGGCATTGTAATTTCTCCTGTTATGAAATCAGCTTCATGAGGTCTGGGAATTTGCATGTTTTTTTCATTGTTGTATCTTCATGGCCAACAATAGTGCCTGCACATGGTAGACTTTTCATAAATATTTGCTGAATGAATCAATGTTTTTTGAATTGGATTAAATTGCTTACTATATACTATATTATTGCTATACTGGTAGCAGTGGGAGTGGGTAGGAATGGTATAAAGTAGGGTCATTTTCCTTGAGGAATTTACATTCTGTGATTTTTTTCTATTATAAAATAGAGATTGATGCATGGAAAAGGACAATCTGACCAAGTCTGCCTTCCTTTCCCTAGCAGAAGATTGAGTGCTGTAGAGGAAATATCACGAGCACAAGAGTCAGACAAATTTGAGTTTGTACTCAGGTTCAGCGACTTACTGGCTGGCATTACATGGACATTCCCAGTTCCTCATCTGTTGATAGGGATTAATAATATCTACCTTGCAGAGTTTTTCTGAGGATTAGAAGCAATATGTGTACCTATGGGGTGATCAATAAGTAGAAACATTATTTAGGACTGATGATGACTTCTGGTATTTTATTCTTTATGTTTTCTTTTCCTCTTGAGTAAAATCAGTTTTTAATGTGAATTAGCAATTTTTTATTCCTCTTGAAAACATTATATGCATTATTTTAGCTCCATATTTAAGGGTTGTTCTTTTTTCTTTCTTTCTTTTTTGAGATGGGGTGTCTCTCTGTTGCCCAGGCTGGAGTGCAATGGAATGGTCGTAGCTCACTGCAAACTTTGCTTCCCGGATTCAAATGATTCTCCAGCCTCAGCCTCCTGAGTAGCCGGGATTACAGGTGGCTGTCACCATGCCTGGCTAATTTTTGTATTTTTAGTAGACATGGGGTCTCACTATGTTGGCCAGGCTGGTCTCGAACTCCTGACCTCATGATCTGCATGCCTCAGCCTCACAAAGTGCTGGGCTTACGAGCATCAGCCACTGTACCCGGCCAAGAGTTATTCTTTATAGTAGGCGTCTATTAAGGTTGACTTAGAGTTTAGTTAATGTAGAATGCAGGTCTTAATGGCTAATGATAGGTGCAGTAGCTTTCCACTGAGCATATTTCCATCACTCCACCTTCCAAATGTTGCCTGACCAGTACTGAAGACAACGGAGTTAGGAATTCCTCTAAGCCCTTTTGTTCTGTTAAGACATCCCAGTATAACAGTTTTACTACATTGTTTTTGTTGCAAAGGCAACACACTGTTGGCTCATACTGAGTTTGTAGCTCTCTAGATTTTGTTGATAGAAATGACTATTATTAAGCCAGGTGTCTCCTGTCTTGTACATATGAGATAATTTTGGAGACCACTATTATCTTGTTAGTTTCAGCCCAATATTCCAACCTGTCATAATATTTTTTTAAACTTGATTTAGCCATCCATCATATTAACTGTCTCTCCTAGCTTTGTGTTGGCTGTAGATGTGATAAGCAGGCCATCTTGTCCTTGTTTAAGTTATTAGCAAAAGTGTGGAGCACAATATATGAAAGTATAAAACCCTGCAGCATGTCACCAGAACACTGTTTCCCAAAGTATGTTCTTTAAGATACTAGTTCCATGAGATTCTAAAAACACCACATATGATCTGCCTTTTCTTGGAAAGTCTCAGTGCAGATTGCATGTTATAAACTGCGAATCTTGCAGTAAATAAAGGAAAATCTTCTTTAATTTCAATTAATCCAACATTTTCCAAGCTTATTTGTGTAAGAAAACCCATTTAACAGTTGTTTGGATTTATTTATATTAACATAATGCCATGTTCCTAGTTCACGGAATACACCCCCATCTAGCCCTAATAACATGCTTTAGAACTTTATCATGAAAGACACAAACTAATAGGTCTCTAGTTTCAAAAATTCATTTTATTCATTGTGAACTTTAAGATAAGGCTCCTTTTTTGTCTCCTTGCTATTCAATGTTATTCAATGTAAACATTGTGTTACTTCAAGTTGTTTTAATACTCTGGGCTACATTGATCTCCCCATTAATTTGTCTTATTTTATCTTGTGCCTTATTTTCCTCTTCTCCATATTTCTTCTTTTTTTGGATTGAATATCTTTCTCTATATATAAAAGTTGGAATAAAACAATGAGTTTAGCATTATACTAATGTTACACTGTCTCTCCCAAATAAATTTGATTCTACATGTTCTTTTCACTGTGGGAAGAGCAAACTTTAATTTTTAAAAAAATCATTTAAGTTCTGTATTTTGTATTTTGTTTTCCACAGCCTATTTTCAACTTGATGGTTTATGGAACTCTTATATTTTTATAAGAGTTTATGGTTTATGGAACTCTTATATTTTTATGGTTTATGGAACTCTTATATTTTTATTTTTGGCTATACACTGTTTATTCTGACTTTTGTACATGTCTTTTTAAAAATGACCTCATCCCAGACAGTACCTAGGGTTCCAATTTCTGTTTGTTTTAAAAAATGTAATCAGTAACTGTATTATCAAAATGTTATTGTTATTCTTTCATCTCCTGAAGCAGTCTTCTCTTTTGAATCTCTAGCCATGTAGTCATTCCTAATTTGTCTTACACTTTTTGAGGCCTGCTTTCCTAAAGTCCAGAGTAGATATCTGGCTGTCCCCCAGGATTGCTTTCCACAGCTTTATTATAAATTCCAAGAACATTGTTCACATTCTCCAAAGTTACTTTCACGTCCGTTGACTCAGTCAGTTTTCCCTTGTTGCTAAGAATTAAATTCAAATTAGCAACTCCTTTTGGTTATTTATGGACTCATTAAGAGATGAAATTATTAGCAAAGCAACCTCAGGGTTAGTCAGGTAACTTGATTTTCACATTAAATATATAAAGAGTACTTACTATGTGTCACGTAAGGCTCTTGTTAAGAAAAATATAGCAGAGAACGTGACAGAGAGAGGAGACAGAGGACATAATAAACAAAAAAAGTCAAAATAATTTCAGCTAATTACAGGTTCTGTAAACAAAGTAAATTACCATAATATGACAGAAAGTTATGGGTAAGGAGTTATATCCATTACATTAAATTAGATGCTTAGGAAAGGCCTCACTAAAGAAGTAACACTTAAGCTGAGAGCCAAATTCCAAGAGGGATTAAACCATAAAAATGCCTTAGGGTAGAATATTCCACACGGAGCAATAGCAAGTGCACAAGCCCCAAAGTGTGAATAGTCTTTGCATCTTCTAGGAAGAGGAAGAAGGCCAAAGAGCTGAACATAGGGAATCAAGAATGCAGTGGTGGGAATCAAGGTTCAAGAGTGGGCAGGAGATGGAAAGGCAGGGAATATTTCTCAAGTTAACTTTGACTCCAGATGAGGAATAGATGTAGACATGATCGAGAAAGGTGGAAATAAAGAACCCAACAAGGGATCTACTGGAGATTTCAAGAATAGGTATCTGAGGTCCTCCTTGCTGCCATGATTCAATTCTGCCATTTTTGTGATCCTGAGGTATAAATATGACATATGTCCCTCCTGCTGGACTCGAGAATGTTATGCATTCTCCCCAAACTAGATAATTTATTATGGCTCTCATTTTTTCTGATTAACTTGTTTTTCTTCATATTTTTCTTATATGGGTCGAGGTTTTTCACATAGTTCAGGCTTTCTTGATTTGTGATACTACTCCATTATCCCATCTCTTCAGATTTGTGTTTCATCAAACCAGACTAATAGTCTTGCTCCATTTGTGCAAAAATGTTACAAACGATGTCGTTGGAGTGGTGCCACACAGAGCCCCTGAACACTGACTAAGCATATTTTAACCATGAGTCACAGATTATGTCCTATTGATACTTTATACTTCTAAGGGGTTCTCCTGAGTTTCTCTAAATTATTAAGAATTTCGGCCGGGCGCGGTGGCTCACGCCTGTAATCCCAGCACTTTGGGAGGCCGAGGCGGGCGGATCACGAGGTCAGGAGATCGAGACCATCCTGGCTAACACGGTGAAACCCCATCTCTACTAAAAATACAAAAAATTAGCCGGGCGTGGTAGCGGGCGCCTGTAGTCCCAGCTACTCGGGAGGCTGAGGCAGGAGAATGGCGTGAACCCGGGAGGCGGAGCTTGCAGTGAGCCGAGATCGCGCCACTGCACTCCAGCCTGGGCGACAGAGCGAGACTCCGTCTCAAAAAAAAAAAAAAAAAAAAAAAAGAATTTCCAATTTTATTAGTTGTGTTTTGGATAGGAGGAAGGAAAGAAAATTAGCTTTTGTTGAAAGAAGTCTGGGGAAGAAATAACATATCTGGTTCCTTATTTAAATTAGCTAACCAATTTGGTATTGGAAAACACTTCAAGTGAATCATATAACCTCCACAAAGAACTCTAGTCAGTAGGCAATAACAGTTGCTTCAGGTCAGACACAACTTTGAACTAGCCAAAAATTATCAGGTTTTCTATGAGCACATTAGTTAAACACCAAACAGTTTTCCACTCATTCTTCCTTGCTCCATTGCTCCACTCTCCATCACATAACAATGAACTCACATAGGCTTCAAGTCCCTTATGACTATGAAGTTATAAGGGACTTATATGACTTAGACTTAGCGTCTTATATGACTCCAGAGACCTGGGGGTCATGTTAATTTGCTTTTCTCTAATGTATCTGGGTCCCCTATCATAGTACCAGTGAGACTTGCCTGCAACCAATTGTCTTCTCACTAGAGATTATTGCTTCTGTTACTACATGAAGGCAGTGGTCATTCTCCCAACTGCCTCAGTCAGTTTTACTGGACAGAATTTCACAAAATTTCCCCACAGAATAATGAGGAGAGAAAAAAGCACGCTCTGTTGTTGCCAAAAAAAAGGACAGAAAAAATATTTCTGTATCTTTAAAATAATCAATCCTAAAACAGTCATCAACATTATAGTCCAAGAAATTGACATACTGTTAAAGTTTCTGAGTGTTCTCTGCTATTACCTGACTTAGTTATACTAAAATATAAGCATCAAGACTTAGATTCTACTTCTGTCATGGAAAGCTGTGAGAGCTTGGGCAAGTCACATTTTCTCTCTGACCCTTAGGTTTCTCATTTGTAAAGATATTTCATTAGAAAATGAGCCCAGATGCTCCTTCCATTCTAAAGTTCCATTTTCTTTTATCAAGATTTGCCATTAAGGGAAAATATAATAGATTCAGTTTTGTGTATTATTTTCCCTTTTTTTTCCTAGCACAATAAAGGCCCCACAGCTTGGAAAATCTAAGATTCTGCGGAGCCACTTTCTTTAAAATTAGAATATGGTTCTTTTTTCCATGTTCAGCTCTGTTTCCTTGTCTGACCAAAGTACTCGTTTTCTCTCCAGTATGCTGCACATTAAAAAGTTCAGTGTGGCAGGAGGGAGGAGGATGAGGAGTGATTAGGAACATCTGGAAGAGAGAGCAGAGGGTAAATGATTACTTGTAGCTCATGCAGAAAAAGTTAGATTTAAGTGTTTCTCTGTTTCCAATCCTTCAGCTGCCATGAACCAACTCTAAAGGATTTTGAGTTTAGATTTAGAAAATGAAACACAAGTTAACATTTGGGACTGCAGATTTTTCATCATATAATCATCACATATTCAGAAGGAGGTCTTCTCCTGGCAGTGGACCTATGAGATTTATCAGTGACTAAAAGAAAAGAGTGAATGAGTGGTAGAAAAAACTTTAATCACAGCTAAGGGTTTGGAGTATTAACCAGTCTATTTAGAGCACCCACATTCAATCCACCCACACCATCTTTGCCTTGTATTTATCTAATCAGATGTATTTCAATTTAACATAGTTTTTATTAAGTTCACATTATATGTAGGAAGTCATGATTTATCCTCATTTCTCATCCAGAGAACAATGCCTTATTCAAAAGTTAAAGTGTGGATAACATAATTTATATGTGGTGCAGATGACTGAGAAACAGGTTACTTGGACACCATATTAGTGAGTCTGTCCATAAAATAGCACTTGTACTTTTTCATATATTTTAATAAATTGTATATGATAAAAGACCAAATAGAATCAGGGCTGATGATTCATGGTTTATATCAATGATTTCCTATATTATCATGTTGTCTTTTATGTGTGTGTGTGCATGTACATACATATCTGCAAATTAGGCAGAATCATTGAGATGTTAGATTGGAATAGATACAGTTGATTCTTGTTCATGATAGTTATGTTTTATAAAGTCTCCATGAATGCTGAATTTACTATTACTGAAACATTGTTTCTAGGAGAAATACAGGCTTAGGTTCTTGTGAGCCTCTTGTCACATTTTCATCAACTGACCAATACATAACCTTGTTTAATGTGTGTGTCTGTTTAACTTTCATATCCATATGGAAGTTAGGATACATATGGATGTTAGGCTGAAACATTCAAAGCCAATTTAGATGTAGGGAGCACAGAGGACACAGAGCTCTCCCCATGATAATATTCACTTCCCCAACCTTAGGCAGCACTGATATCCCTTTGCATGTTTTCCTGTTCCAATTATGTATTGATACCTAACAAATCACCCCAAAACTTAATTGCTCAGATAGTATCAATAATTTATTTTATTAGAGATCTAGAATTTTTCAGGGTTTGATAGGAATGACTCCTCTCTGCTCCACAGGGCATCTGTTGGAGGCTGGAGGATCTACTGTCAAGATGACTCACTCTTATGACTAGCAGGTTGGTGCTGACTTTCAACTTGGAGATCCGTAAGGCTATGGGCCAGAGCCTTTGGTTCAGCTCCTTGAGGGCATCTTCATGAGGTAATTTGGCTTCCTCACAGCGTGGTGGATGGGATCCAAGAGCAAATGTACTAAGAAAGAAGAAATGGAAGTTACCAATTTTTGGTTGCCTGGCCTAGAAAATTGAACGATGTCACTTTGGCATATTCTATGATTCAAGAAGTCACAGAGCCCAAATTTAAGGGTAAAGGACATAGAGCCCTTGATGGGAAGAGGGTCAAAAGGATTTGGGGGCCATATTTCCAAACCAACACAATCACAATGCCATTGACATTACCATTAAGCTTAAGCATTATACCCTACTACCAATGATTATAGTTATTCCTTATGACCATTTCTGAATATTTCCCATAATTATTCTCCTAGATTTTCTTACTGTTATAATTTATATAGTATATACCCAAATATCAAGTTTACTGAAAGTGAGTCTTATAGCAAGCCACACCATGTTTCAAAAATCATGGTAGATTTGAAAATATCTCTAGCTTGGCTAGAGACAGGGGTAGTGGACTCTAATTAAATGGAGACATGATGCCCTTTTATGGTAATGTTGAGAGGAAAAGAACGGCTCTATCTTCTCACAGCAGGACATATGAATTTAATGAAGGTTTTCGGCATGCTCAAATTCAAGATGAGTTATGTAACCACAACCTACCCATTTTAGAAATTTATTCTTCGAGATAAAGTTCCAGGCTACAAAGTTTCTAAAGTAAGGGAAAGAAATAGGAGGCTGATAGGAGAGTTCAGTTATAGAAAGCCTTGAGGCTGCAGAATTTATTCAAAATAAGCAGATCAAGTTTGAAGGATATTAGTGAAGAAATAAATAGCTAGAAAAAAAGGGAACTAGGGAAAAAGAGCAAGAACTGATGAGAACTTAGAATAAATTAGAAAGTCTAAGAGAAGGTAAAAGAGAGAAACTTAACATTGACTAAGAATTTTCCCTATAACCTGTCTGGTCTAATTAATCTCATTTAATCCTTGAAGATATCTCATTATGCATTACTACAAACTTTCATGGGTGAGCACACTGAAGTGAACTTAAATAATTTACGGAAGACTATTTAGATTAAATAAACATATGCTGGAATCCCAAGCTCAAGAAGGTCGAGATGAGGAAAGTCTATGATGGGCTTGGTCTTTGGAAGAAAAATCTCTTCTCCAGTTTCATTTAGTAAGGAAAAAATGCACATGGATATCAAGTAGGAGAGGCCTGTTTGGGATTAGCTTGGGATTTGTCCTTAATTAATCACAGTCCTTAATTAATGAGGCAAACTCCACATGGGGGGCCCCTTCACATTGAGCTGAAAAGGATGCTTAAATAAGTTAATATATGCACCAGAAATTTGGAAATGATACGTTGTCATTTATTATGTTATTCTTCCAACTATTCACATGTTAGCCTTTAACATTAATAGGTAAATGCTTGCCCAAGTTATTCCATGACCAAAAAGTGTAAAGGAGAAAGAGAACAAAGAAATAGAAATTAGTCTCAAGTTACTTACCCTTTAGTTAGACTACCTTTAATTAGAAGGATACCTACAAAGCAGTGAATTTCCAAGTTTGTAATGTCTATCACAGTAACTACAGTGAAAGTGCACAAAGTTGAGCAGAGGGAAATTGTTGGGAGGAATAACATCCTGAGAAGGATTTAGAGACTGGGATAGTCACAGGCTGAGAAAGATTGAAATTTAAAGAAGAGAGGAAGAATGCTGTCAAGTAGGCCTGAGTGGACAACGGGAAGAATTTGGAGTTATACCTGAGTTCAAGTCCAACCCCACTGTTACCTAACTGCATCTATTCTGGTTAATTATTCAATATATCTGAGTCTCAGTTCCTTCCTCTGTAAATGTTGATAATTATATATACCTTAAGGGATGATTATTAAATGACATAATGTTTGTAAAGCACCTGGCACAAAAAGCACCCTGATTAGATTTTGTTTTTGAAAACTCATCTAGGCTCAGTCTGGCTTCTGAATAACAAATATCCTATTTCTGAGGATTCCTCCCTATGGCCAAATTAGTTTGAATAGGAAACATTGACATTGATTTTCTTTGCAAATGTACAGGTTCCCTGTGTGCTAGTCATTATTAAATATGTGTGTATGGGGTATACCACTTATAGTTTACTCCCTGAGGTTTCCTGTAGGCTAGTTTTAATGACACAGAATTAAAAAACATGTTATATTTATTTTAATACAACAGATGCTGTATACTTAAAAATGTAGCAACATTCTCATTCTTCTCTTATGTCTGACTGCCTTCACTTGTTTACATAAGGAAATGCATAAGCAAATTTTAAAGGGAATATTTTGGAATAAGTTTCTGCACAATGAATCTTTGGGTACATAGACATCTGTGATGTAAAATCTCCTGGCATTGTTTCAGAAAAAACATTATTGTTTAAAGGCTGCCATGTGGAATGCAATTTTAAAACTTGTTTCCAACAGTTATGGAATTATACTGAAATTATGAAGAGAGAAATGTAAAATAGATACATGATGCTCTTTGTTTTCTCATAGTTATGATAAACATTTAATACTTAAATCTAGAAGTAAAGTGTGCTGTGTATGTTTTGATTTCATTTAAACTTTTTCCCTTTTGAACATCTTTCTTTCTCTGACTCATAACCTTTTTATTATTACTATTATTCTAAACTTCCTTCTATAAATCTCTTGTTTTTAAGTGATGAAAGCAGATGTCTAATATTGTCCTTAAGGCAAGAATTTTTACACTTATTTATTAATTGAAGAGATAACTACGGAGAGCCAGCTATGTGCCTGGAAATCTGTCAAGTTCATTGAATATGATGGTGAGCAAACAAATAGAATCCCGAACTCCAAGGAGCCTAAAAATCTGGTAAAAATAGAAATTATGAAAACATTTCCTAGATCCACTTATACCCTGTGGTCAGTGATATGAAGAATCATTGTTGGGTACTCTTGTGAGCATACCAAAGGGAACTGTTCTAGTTGGTTGTATAGAGAGGACTCTGAGTGCGGAACTAAAAAATAAATATAAGTTAATAGATGAGGAGATGAGGGAAGAATGTTCTAGACACAGGCATTGACTTAAAGGTATCAGAGTGTTGCCAAGGACCAGAATACCCAGCATGAGGCTGGAACTGTAGGCAGCAGCCAGATAGTGTATGGTTGTGCTAAGGATTCAATTGTTATCTAAAGAGCTAAAGTATTAGAACTTTTATAAAGGAAATATAATGAAGAGATTTGGAGTCTTAAAAGTCACTGTGTCCAAGGTAGAAAAAATGGAGAGAAGAAAAGTAAAAGAAGATAGAGGGAAAGTAGTTATAATGTTACTCAGGTAAAGGGGGTTAGAAGACTGATAATCGAGAGAAAGAAACAGTTTGCAGATGTGTGTGGGAAGAGTGTTTCTTTGATTTATTGTTTCCGCACTTTTTTCTTTTTTAACTTTTTTTTAGGTTTGGGGGTACCTGTGAAGGTTTGTTACATAGATAAACATGTGTTATGGAGGCTTGTTGTATATATTATTTCATCACCCAGGCATTAAGCCCAGTACCCAATAGTTATCTTTTCTGCTCCTCTCCCTCCTCCCTCCCTATATCCTCAAGTAGACCCCAGTGTCTGTTGTTTCCCTTGTTGTGTTTGTAAGTTCCTACCATTTAGCTCTCACTTATAAATAAGAACTTGCAGTATTTGGTCTTCTGTTCCTGCATTAATTTGTTAATAGCCCTCAGCTCCATCCATGTTCCTGCAAAAGATGTGATCTCATTCTTTTTTATGGCTGCATAGTATTCCATGGGGTATATGTACCACATCTTCTTTGTCCAATCTGTCATCAGTGGGCATTTTGGTTGATTCCATGTCTTTACTATTGTGAATAGTGCTGCAATGATCATTCACATGCATATGTCTTTATGGTAGAATAATTTATATTCCTCTGGGATTGCTGCGTCAAATCATAGTTCTGCTTTTAGCTTTTGAGGAATTGCCACACTGCTTTCCACGATGATTGAGCTAATTTACACTCCCACCACAGCATGTAAGTTTTCCCTTTTTCCTACAACCGTGCCAGCATCTGTAATTTTTTTTTTTTTTTTTTTTTTTTTTTACTTTTTAATGATAGCCATTCTGACTGGTGTGAAATGGCATCTCATTGTGGTTTTGATTTGCACTTATCTAATAATCAGTGATATTGAGCTTTTTTTCTTATTCTTGTTGGCTGTATGTATATCTTCTTTTGAGAAGTGTCTGTTCATGTCCTTTGCTCACTTGTTTTTTTTTTGAGATGGAGTTTCGCTCTTGTTGCCCAGGCTGGAGTACAGTGGCGCAATCTTGGCTCACTGCAACCTCCACCTTCTGATTTCAAGTGATTCTCCTGCCTTAGCCTCCCTAGTAGCTGGGATTACAGATGCCCACCACCACGCCCAGCTAATTTTTGTATTTTTAGTAGAGACAGGGTTTCACAATGTTGGCCAGGCTGGTCTCAAACTCCTGACCTTAGGTGAGCTGCCTGCCTCGGCCTCCCAAAGTGCTGGGATTACAGGCATGAGGCACTGTGCCTGGCCCTTTGCTTGCTTTTTAATGAGGAGGTTTTTTTTTTTTTGTTAATTTGTTTACATTCCTTATAGATGCTGGATATTAGACCTTTGTGGGATGAATAGTTAGCAAATATTTTCTCTCATTCTGTAGGTCATCTGTTTACTCTGCTGATAGTTTCTTTTGCTGTGCAGAAGCTCTTAAGTTTAATTAGATCCCATTTGTCAATTTTTGCTTTTGTTCTGATTGCTTTTGGTGTATTTATCATGAAATGTGTGCCTGTTCTTATGTCCAGGTTGGCATTGCCTAGGGCTCTCTCTTCTGTTCCATTGGTCTATGTGCCTGTTTCTGTACCAGTACCATGCTATTTTAGTTAATGTAGCCTTGTAGTATAGTTTGAAGTCAAGTAACATTATGCTTTGGCTTTGGTCTTTTTGCTTAGGATTGCTTTGGCTATTTGGGCTTTTTTGGTACCATATGAATTTTAAAATATTTTTTTCTAGTTCTGTGAAGAATGTCATTGCCGGAGTTTTTATAGTTTTGGATTTTACCATTAAGTCTTCAGTCAATCTTGAGTTGATTTTTCTATATGGTGTAAGGAAGAAGTCCAGCTTCATTTTTCAGCATATGGCTAGCCAGTTACCCCAGCACCATTTATTGAATAGGGAGTCTTTTCCCCTATTGCTGTTTTTTGTCAGCTTTGTCAAAGATTGGATGGTCATAGATGTGTGGCCTTATTTCTGGGCTCTCTATTCTGTTTCACTGGTCTATGTGCCTGTTTCTGTACCAGTACCATGCTATTTTAGTTAATGCAGCCTTGTAGTATAGTTTGAAGTCAAGTAACATTATGCTTCAGCTTTGGTCTTTTTCCTTAGGATTGCCTTGGGTATTTGGGCTTTTTTTGATACCATGTGCATTTTAAAATAGTTTTTTCTTGTTCTGTGAAGAATGTCATTGCTAGCTTGATAAGAATAGCATTGAATTTGTACATTGCTTTGTGCAGTATGGCCATTTTAATGATATTGATTTTTCCTATCCACGTGCATGGGATGTTTTTCCATTTGTTTGTGTCTTCTCTTATTTCTGTGAGCGATGTTTTGTAATTCCCATGGTAGAGCTCTTTCACCTCCCTGGTTAGCTGTATTCCTTTGTATTTTATTCTTTTTGTGGCAATTTTGAATGAGATTGCTTTTCTGATTTGACTCTCAATTTGGCTGTTATTGGTGTATAGAAATGCTAGTGATTTTCACATATTGATTTTGTATCCTGCAACTTTGCTGAAGTTATTTATTAGCTGGAGGAGCTTTGGGGCTGAGACTGTGGGGCTTTCTAGATATAGAATTATGTCTTCTGCAAACAGAGATAGTTGACTTCCTCTTTTCCTATTTGGATGTCCTTTATTTCTTTCTCTTGCCTAATTACTCTTGCTAGGGCTTGTAGTACTACTAGGAATAGGAGTGGTGAGAGAGGGCATTCTTTTCTTGTGTCAGTTTTCAAGAGGAATGCTTCCAGCTTTTGCCCATTGGGTATGATGTTGGCTGTGGGTTTGTCATAGATGGCTCTTATTGTTTTGAGGTATGTTTCTTCAATACCTAGTTTATTGAGAGTTTTTAACATGAAGTGGTGCTGAATTTTATGGAAAGCCTTTTCTGCATCTGTTGTGATAATCATGTGGTGTTTTTCTTTAGTTCTGTGAACGCGATGAATCACATTTATTTGTTTGTGTATATTGAATGAACTTGCATCCCAGGATGAAGCCTGCTTGATCATGGTAGATTAGCTTTTGGATGTGCTGCTGAACTCAGTTTGAAAGTATTTTGTTGAAGATTTTTGCATTGATGTTCATCAAGGATATTGGCCTGAAGTTTTCTTTTTTTGTTGTGTCTCTGCTTAAACACACAGAATAGTGTCACTGTAAAGCAACCACACAATCAAGCCAACATAATGACCAGCTAACAGTACAGTGACAATCCACACATATAATTACTAACCTTGAATGTAAATGGGCTAAATAGCCCACTTCAAAGTCACAGAGTGGCAAGCTGGATAAAAAAGCAAGACTTAATGGTATGCTGTCTTCAAGAGACCCATCTCACACTTGATGACACTCACAGGGTGGAAATAAAGGGATGGAGGAAAATCTACCAGGCAAAAGAAAAACATAAAAAAGCGCAGGTTGCAATTCTGATTTCAGACAAAACAGACTTTAAACCAACAAAGTCAAAAAAGACAAAGAAGGGCATTACATAAGACTAAAGGATTTGATTTAACAAGAAGTCTTAACTATCCTAAATATATATGCACCTAACTCAGGAGCACTCAGATTCATAAAGCAAGTTAACAGAGACCTACCAAGAGACATAGACTCACATACAATAATAGTGGGAGACTTCAACATGTCACTGACAGTATTAGATGGATCATTGAGGAAGAATATTAGGAAAGATATTCAGGACCTAAACTCAACACTGGACCAAATGGATCTGAGAGACTTTACAGAACTCTCCATCCAAAACTACAGAATATACATTTTTCTCATTGCCACATGGCACATACTCTAAAATCAACCATATAATTGGACATTAAACAATCCTCAGCAAATGTAAAAGAATCAAAATCCTACCAAACACACTCTCAGACTACAGCACAATAAAAATGGAAGTCAAGACTATAAAAATCTCTTAAAACCATGCAATTACATGGAAATTAAACAACATGTTCCTGAATAATTTCTGGGTAAATAATGAAATTAAGGAAGAAATCAAGAAGTTCTTTGAAAATAATGAGAACAAAGATACAACATACCAGAATATCTGGGACACAGCTAAAACAGTGTTAAGAGGGAAATTCATAGCACTAAATACACACATCAAAAAGTTAGAAAGATCTCAAATTAACAACCTGACTTCACAACGGAAAGAATTAGAGCAGCAAGAGCAAATCAACCCCAAAGCTAGCAGAAGGCAAGAAATAACAAAAATCAGAGCTGACCTGAAGGAAATCAAGACACAACAAAGTATTCAAAAGGTCAATGAATCCAGGAGTTGGTTTTTTGAAAGAAATAGTAAAAGAGATGGGACATTGGCTAGAATAATAAAGAAGAAAAAAGAGAAAATTCAAATAAACACAATTAGAAATGACAAAGGGAATGTTACTACTGACTACACAGAAATAAAAACAGCCATGAGAAGCTACTATGAACACCTGTATGCACACAAACTAGAAAACTTAGAAGAGATGGAAAAATTCCTGGACACATACACCCTCCCAAGACTGAGCCAGGAAGAAATTGATTCAGTTTTTTCCTGGCTATTTGTTCCCTGAACAGACCAATAATGAGTTCCAAAACTGAATCAGTAATAAGTAGCCTACCAATCAAAAAAAGCCCAGGATCTGATAGATTCACAGCCAAATTCTACCAGATGTACAAAGAAGAGCTGGTACCATTCCTAGAGAAACTATTCCGAAAAATTGAGAGGAGGGACTCCTCCTCAACTCATTGTATGAGGCCAGCATCATCTTGATCCCATTGTTTGTCTTTATCCACATGGTTTACACTGTTTCTCCTTTCCACTACAGTCATTCATATTGTTTACTGTGTATCTTTTTACTTCTCTATGTTCTAACAAAATATGAAATGTATCTTTGTAATCATATATTCTTAAGTTATGTAGGTGGTATTGCATGTCTGATTTTTAGGTCCAGTTCTGTTGCCATATGCTTATAATCCATTATTTTACTTGAGGCATTGTCCTCAAAGATATGCTTCTACTCTCGTACTGAAGGTCACAGAGATCAGCAGTCCACAATCTTTTTGGCACCAGGGACCAGTTTTGTGGAAAACAAGTTTTTCCACAGACTGCAGGTGGGTAGATGGTTTCAGGGAGATTCAAGTGCATTACATTTATTGTGCACTTTATTTCTATTACTATTACATTGTAATGTAAAAAAATAATTATACAACTAACCATAATGTAGCATCATTGGGAGCCCTAAGCTTGTTTTCCTGCGACTAGATTGTCCCATCTGGGGATAATGGGAGACAGTGAGAGATCATCAGGCATGAGATTTTCTTAAGGAGCACACAACCTAGATCCCTCAAATGTACAGTTCACAATAGAGCTTGTGGGATCAAGTTGGGGACCCCTGAAATAGATTGCTTCCAGCTTTCCATCATCCAAATAATGTTGCAAAGAATATCCATGTACATAGTTATTTGTAGACCTGTGTAAGAATTTGGAGAGAGGTGGTGTATAATTCTTCTACTACTAATGAATTGAAGTATTTATATGCCTGTTAGACTTACAAAAATTTTCTCCTCCAAAAATTGCCTGTTTATATCCTTTGCTCACTTTCTCCCGTTGGTATTGATATCATTTTCTTATCAATATCCAGGTGTTTCTGGTATAGCCTACATATTAATCCCTTGTTGATCTCATTTAGTTACCTATCTCCTAACTGTCCTGATATCTTAATAGTCCTGATATTGAAAAAGACCAACCTCACTTGTATATAACTAACTTCATAAATGTTTTTGGAGAGAGTTTAGGGAAATAGGGCATGGTCAACAATGTCATTTATTGCCGAGATTTCATATGGAGATGGCTCAAGTATTGTGCAAGATGAGATAGAGTGATGCAGGCAAAAAGTAAGGGATTTTTAATCTCAGTTTTCCAACCTGTAAAACAAAAACGTTTATATACCTCTGTTTGTAAGAAATACAGTAACGTCGTTAGCTAGGAAGGTTTTCATAACCATTGGTGGGTTTTATGATAACTACTTTATATAGTCTGCATCTACCAACAGTCTTCAGATGATGTACAAACTTGATCAAAATTTAAATGGCACAAAACATAGAGTTTATATATGCTTTTTATTTAACTTTTTAAATTATACTTTAAGTTCTAGGTTACATGTGCACAACGTGAAGGCTTGTTATGTAGGTATACATGTGCCATGTTGATTTGCTGAACCCATTAACTCGTCATTTACATTAGGTATTTCTCCTAATGCTATTCCTCCCCATCCTCCCAACCCATGACAGTCCCCAGTGTGTGATGTTCCCCGCCCTGTGTCCAAGTGTTCTCATTGTTCAATTCCCACCTATGAGTGAGAACATGCAGTGTTTGGTTTTCTGTCCTTGCGATAGTTTGCTCAGAATGATGGTTTCCAGCTTCATCCATGTCTCTACAAAGGACATGAACTCATCCTTTTTATGGTTGCATAGTATTCCATGGTGTACATTTGCCACGTTTTCTTAATCCAGTCTATCATTGATGAACATTTGGATTGGTTCCCAGCCTTTGCTGTTGTGAATAGTGCCGCAATAAACATACGTGTGCCTGTGTCTTTATAATAGCATGATTTATAATCCTTTGGGTATATAACCAGTAATGGGATAGCTGGGTCAAATGGTATTTCTAGACCCAGATTCCTGAGGAATTGCCACACTGTCTTCCACAGTGGTTGAACTAGTTTACGGTCCCACCAACAGTGTAAAAGAGTTCCTATTTCTTCACATCCTCTCCAGCACCTGTTTCCTGACTTTTTAATGATCATCATTCTAGCTGGTGTGAGATGGTATCTCACTGTGGTTTTGATTTGCATTTCTCTGATGACCAGTGATGATGAGCAGTTTTTCATGTGTCAGTTTGCTGCATAAATGTCTTCTTTTGAGAAGTGTCTGTTCATATCCTTTGCTCACTTTTTGATGGGGTTTTTTCTTGTAAATTTGTTTAAGTTCTTTGTAGATTCTGGATATTAGCCCTTTGTTAGATGAGTAGATTGCAAAATTTTTCTCCCATTCTGAAGGTTGCCTATTCACTCTGATGGTAGTTTCTTTTGCTATGCAGAAGCTCTTTAGTTTAATTAGATCCCATTTGTCAATTTTGGCTTTTGTTGCCATTGCTTTTGGTGTTTTAGTCATGAAGTCCTTGCCCATGCCTATGTCCTGAACAATATTGCCTAGGTTTTCTTCTAAGATTTTTATGGTTTTAGGTCTAACGTTTAAGTCTTTAATCCATCTTGAATTAATTTTTGTATAAGGTTTAAGGAAGGGATCCAGTTTCAGCTTTCTACATATGGCTAGCCAGTTTTCCCAGCACCATTTATTATATAGGGAATCCTTTCCCCGTTTCTTGTTTCTGTCAGGTTTGTCAAAGATCAGATGGTTGTAGATGTGTGGTGTTATTTCGGAGGACTCTGTTCTGTTCCATTGGTCTATATCTCTGTTTTGGTATAAGCACCATGCTGTTTTGGTTACTGTAGACTTGTAGTATAGTTTGAAGTCAGGTATTGTGATGCCTCCAGCTTTGCTCTTTTTGCTTAGGATTGTCTTGGCAATGTGGGCTCTTTTTTGGTTCCATATGAACTTTAATGTAGTTTTTTCCAATTCTGTGAAGAAAGTCATTGGTAGCTTGATGGGGATGGCATTGAATCTATAAATTACCTTGGGCAGTATGGCCATTTTCATGATATTGATTCTTCCTACCCATGAGCATGGAATGTTCTTGCATTTGTTTGTGTCTTCTTTTATCTCGTTGAGCAGTGGTTTGTAGTTCTCCTTGAAGAGGCCCTTCACAACCCTTGTAAGTTGGATTCCTAGGTATTTAATTCTTTTTGTAGCAATTGTGAATGGGAGTTCACTCATGATTTGGCTCTGTGTTTTTCCGTTATTGTTGTATAGGAATGCTTGTGATTTTTGCACATTGATTTTGTATCCTGAGACTTTGCTGAAGTTGCTTATCAGCTTAAGGAGATTTCGGGCTGAGGCAGTGGGGTTTTCTAAGTATACAATCATGTCATCTGCAAACAGGGACAATTTGACTTCCTCTTTTTCTAATTGAATACCCTTTATTTCTTTTTCTTGCCTGATTGCCCTGGCCAGAACTTCCAACACTATGTTGAATAGGAGTGGTGAGAGAGGGCATCCCTGTCTTGTGCCAGTTTTCAAAGGGGATGCTTCCAGTTTTTGCCCATTCAGTATGATATTGGCTGTGGGTTTGTCATAAATAGCTCTTATTATCTTCAGATATGGTCCATCAATATCTTGTTTACTGAGAGTTTTTAGCACAAAGAGCTGTTGAATTTTGTTGAAGGCCTTTTCTGCATCTGTTGAAATACTCATGTGGTTTTGTCTTTTGTCCTATTTATGTGATGGATTACATTTATTGATTTGTGTATGTTGAACCAGGTTTGCATCCTAGGGATGAAGCCAACTTGATTGTGGTGGATAAACTTTGTGATGTGCTGCTGGATTTGGTTTGCCAGTATTTTACTGAGGATTTTTGCATCGATGTTCATCAGGGATATTGGTCTAAAAGTCTCTTTTTTTGTTGTGTCTCTGCCAGGCTTTGGTATCAGGGTGATGCTGGCCTCATAAAATGAGTTAAGGAGGATTCCCTCTTTTTCTATTGATTGGAATAGTTTCAGAAGGAATGGTACCAGCTCCTCTTGGTACCTCTGGTAGAATTCAGCTATGAATCCATCTGGTCCTGGACTTTTTTTGGTTGGTAGGCTATTAATTATTGCCTCATTTTCAGAGCCTGTTATTGGTCTATTCAGGGATTCAACTTCTTCCTGGTTTAGTCTTGGGAGGGTGTATGTGTCGAGGAATTTATCCATTTCTTCTAGATTTTCTAGTTTATTTGTGTAGAGGTGTTTATAGTATTCTCTAACGGTAGTTTGTATTTCTGAGGGATTGGTGGTGATATCCCCTTTATCATTTTTTATTGCATCTATTTGATTCTTCTCTCTTTTCTTCTTTATTAATCTTGCTAGCAGTCTATCAATTTTGTTGATGTTTTCAAAAAACCAGCTTCTGGATTCATTGATTTTTTGAAGGGTTTTTTGTGTCTCTATCTCCTTCAGTTCTGCTCTGATCTTAGTTTTTTCTTGTGTTCTGCTAGCTTTTGAATGTGTCTGCTCTTGCTTCTCTAGTTCTTTTAATTGTGATGTTAGGGTGTTGATTTTAGATCTTTCCTGCTTTCTCTTGTGGGCGTTTAGTGCTAATAATTTCCCTCTATACACTGCTTTAAATGTGTCCCAGAGATTCTGGTATGTTGTGTCTGTGTTCTCATTGGTTTCAAAGAACATCTTTATTTCTGCCTTCATTTCGTTATGTACCTAGTAGTCATTCAGGAGCAGGTTGTTCAGTTTCCATGTAGTTGTGCAGTTTTGAGTGAGTTTCTTAATCCTGAGTTCTAATTTGATTGCACTGTGTTCTGAGAGACAGTTTGTTGTGATTTCTGTTCTTTTACATTTGCTGAGGAGTACTTTACTTCCAACTATGTGGTCAATTTTGGAATAAGTGTGATGTGGTGCTGAGAAGAATGTATGTTCTGTTGATTTGGGGTGGAGAGTTCTGTAGATGTCTATTAGGTCTGCTTGTTGCAGAGCTGAGTTCAAGTCCTGGATATCCTTGTTAACCTTCTGTCTCATTGATCTGTCTAATATTGACAGTGGGGTGTTAAAGTCTCCCATTATTAGTGTGTGGGAGTCTAAGTCTCTTTGTAGGTCTCTAAGGACTTGGCTTATGAATCTGGGTTCTCCTGTACTGGGTGCATATATAATTAGGATAGTTAACTCTTCTTGTTGAATTGATCCCTTTACCATTATGTAATGGCCTTCTTTGTCTCTTTTGATCTTTATTGGTTTAAAGTCTGTTTTATCAGAGACTAGGATTGCAACCCCTGCCTTTTTTTTCACTTTCCATTTGCTTGGTAGATCTTCCTCCATCCCTTTATTTTGAGCCTATGTGTGTCTCTGCATGTGAGATGGGTCTCCTGAATACAGCACACTGATGGGTCTTGACTCTTTATCCAATTTCCCAGTCTGTGTCTTTTAATTGGGGCATTTAGCCCATTTACACTTAAGGTTAATATTGCTGTGTGTGTATTTGTTCCTGTCATTATGATGTTAGCTGGTTATTTTGCCCATTAGTTGATGCAGTTTCTTCCTAGCATCGATGGTCTTTACAATTTGGCATGGCTCAATTTGCAGTGGCTGGTACCAGCTGTTCCTTTCCATGTTTAGTGCTTCCTTTAGGAGCTCTTGTAAGGCAGGCCTGGTGGTGACAAAATCTCTCAGCATTTGCTTGTCTGTAAAGGATTTTATTTCTCCTTCACTTATGAAGCTTAGTTTGGCTGGATATGAAATTCTGGGTTGAAAATTCTTTTCTTTCAGAATGTTGAATATTCGCACCCACTCTTTTTCTGGCTTGTAGAGTTTCTGCTGAGAGATCCGCTGTTAGTCTGATGGGCTTCCCTTTGTAGGTAACCCGACCTTTCTCTCTGGCTGCCCTTAACATTTTTTCCTTCATTTCAACCTTGGTGAATCTGACAATTATGTGTCTTAGGGTTGCTCTTCTCGAGGAGTGTCTTTGCAGTATTCTCTGTATTTCCTGAATTTGAATGTTGGCCTGCCTTGCTAGATTGGGGAAGTTCTCCTGGATAATATCCTGAAGAGTGTTTTCCAGCTTGGTTCCATTCTCCCCATCACTTTCATGTACGACAATCAAACATAGATTTGGTCTTTTCACACAGTGCCATATTTCTTGGAGGCTTTGTTCGTTTCTTTTTATTCTTTTTTCTCTAAACTTCTCTTCTCACTTCATTTCATTCATTTGATCTTCAATCACTGATACTCTTAATTCCACTTGTTCGAATCAGCTATTGAAGCTTGTGCATGTGTCACATAGTTCTCGTGCCATGGTTTTCAGCTCCATCAGGTCATTTAAGGTCTTCTCTACATTTAACTCTACGTGAAGTAGGACTCCAAAATTAAGTTTAGAATATATTCTCAATAACAGTATTAACTCTATAATTTTGGAGAATATATGTGGTCTTACATCATAGGATCTGAGTGTTCTTACTCAAAAATGTGCAATTTATAGAATAACAGAAATTTGCAGCACTGGACTTATCTGAGAAGATTTATTTCTTAAAATAAATGTTTTTGTAAATTAAATTACTTTAAAATGCAAGTGGTAACTTAAAGAATTAAAAATTTTAAGTTCATCTATAACTTGAATAATAACTAAAATAAATGTTTGTTTAGTAAACCTAGAGTTTTCCCAAACTTACTAAATTGTATTTCTGTGTGATACAGTGGATTCATCACCAGTATATCCTGAAACATACAATATTCTCTCTTTTTCTCTACTTATTGTATTAGTTAATGAGAAAGGATCTTTTAATTTGTCACTACTGTTTTGAATTTATCTCTTCTCCTTTTATTCCATGAGTTTTGTTTTACATATTTGAAATCATTTTGTCATGTTATTGGATAGTCAATTTTATCATCATTAAAATGTCTCTCTTTATCTCTAACAATGTTTCTTGCCTTAAAGTCTACTTTGCTTTTTTCCTAATTCATGTATTCATGGTATGACTTATTTAATTATTTCTTGTAAGCAGAATAGAATGAATTTGTATCTTTATGCAGTCTGAGAATTTTAGTCCTTTAATTAAACTTTAAATTTGATTTGTATTTATTCTAATTATTAATACATTTGATTTTGTATTTGCAAACTACAAGTCTTCTTTATTTGGCTCCAATATTTAAGTTTCTTTTCCCTCATTCTTGCATTATTTTGGATAATGAATATTTTTATTATTTTATTTTCCTTCTATTGACTTCCAAGACAAATATTTTTTACTCTTCTTTAGTGGTTTCCCTGGAGATTATAATACCTATCCCTGAATTACTATAGTCTAATATAAAATATTAATTTTACTATTTCCCCAGTAATGCTAAAATCTTTTGGTGAAGTTCTTGTTCAAATTGTTTAGCCATTTTATTGGATTGTTTATTTTCTCATTACTGAGTTCTATGAATCTTTTAAGATATATATTCTTGATACAAGTATTTTTATCAGATACATGTTTTGCAAATATGTGGCATTACTTTTTATCTTCTTTCTAGTGTTTTTCAAAAAGCAGACATTTTTACTTTGGATGATATTCAATTTGTCATTTTTTTCTTTACGATCGATGTTTTCTGAGTACTATCTAAGAAATGAAATTGCCTAACATAAAGTCATAAATACTTTGCACACTTTTTTTCTAGAAATTTGATAATTTTAGCTATTTTATTTAAACCTATGATCCATTTTAAGTAAGTGTTTGTTTATGTTCTATTAAGGATTGAAGCATATCTATCATACAGATATTGTTTCAGAACCATTTGTTTAAAAGACTATCCTCTCATCATTGAGATACCTTGGCATCTTTGTCAAATATGTATGTGTTGATCTATTTCTGGATTCTCTATTCCATTTATCTCATTATGCCAATACTACTATCTCACTATTTCTTCTACTGTGAAAATAAAGTGAGAACTACTCACTTTAGTCAAATAGGAATTGCATTTGGTAGATACTAGACATAGTTTAGGCAAAACTAAATCTGTCTATTAATTGAACATAGCGCAATTAATTCTGCTCTGTTAATTGGGCATAGCCCTTTAGTGGTTTCAACTGAGAGCTTGTTCAGTTGAGACTATGTTTGCCAGATCCTCTTTCACAGTGGGTTCTTATTGCAAATCATTGTCTCTTTGAAGCTATGAGTTTGCCAAAATTTCTTCTGTGCTTTTCACAGGTTTGGGGTTTTTATGTGTTTTAAGGAGTTGGCTTTTTTGGCTTCTACCACATGAAGCTTCAAATTTAGCATTTATCTTAAAGGGAAAACTGCCTAAATGTAAGATATACTTCAAAAGTTTAACATTTCACTCTAGTCTGTGAGACGGCAAAGATTCTGCAAGTTTTTGTTCTCTAAGAGCAACTTTCTGCCAGGATAAAACTAGATTATCTGTTACTAGCCCACATCTAGGTTGACAGATACCTCCAAAACAATAAAAGCTGCTGATGGTTATTAATTTATCTTTCTATAGTTCTTTTCTCTCAGATTTTTTCACTTTTATCTTCAGTGTTTTGGAAGCTCACTTGCCCCTTTTAAATGGTTATTTTAAATTTGATCCAATGTTGTTTGTTATCAGTGGAAGCGTTGAGAGTTACAAGATGCTCTATTATATGCTACATATTATAACTAAATTATATGCTAAATCATACTTTAATATCGAAGACATTTTAAGCGGTGTTAAAAAATCCAAATTTGGGTAAATATTTAACTTTTTAGGATACTGCCAATTCAAATGACTCAATATTATAAACTTTAACAGTCTACATGTAGCCAAATTCACACAAGTGCAGGTAATGTCAACCCATTAAAGTCTACTTTTATAAATAATGGAAAAAAATTCCTTTTGAAATCTGTCATAAGACACATTCCGATAACCAGAAATATTATCACATTTAAAACGTGGTTTTCAATGGAAAGAATATGGTTGTGCTGGTACCAAGACATACTATGTTCTAGATTTTTGCTAATGTTTTTGAAAGACAATCTTTTAATTGAAAGACAATATTATGAATTGAAAGACAATTAATCTTTTAATTGAAAGACAATATTATGTCTTAGAATACTAGGATTCAATAATGTTTGTTCTTTATAGCATTCTTGTTGGCTTTGATCCTCTTCTCCTGTACAACTCATTCCTAAATGTTTTACTTTCAGTTTACTTTGTTTGTGTTTTTCCAGATAGTTCTTCAAATGTCTTCAAATGAATTAGAATATGATCCAGCATTTACTCAGACACTACACAGTGTTTTTATTTGTGACAACATGATTACAACACATCTTTAATCTAAACCAGGGATGGCAAATAAATTTCATCTTTTGTGGCAATTCTAATAAAGTGGAAGACACATCTTCAGCTGTTTGAAAAGATTCTAAAGGCACACCCAAGGCCAATCTGAAAATATACCAGTATAATTTACTGATATCAGTCACGCATGGGAAAGAGGGAATAGTAATTGGCAATATTGCTGAATCTTGAGTACTTTAAGTTGGACAGAAAATTGATAAATCAGGGAGATGTTTTAATTGACTAATTGAATTTTACTAAAAAAATCATGAACACAATAAATGAAAAAGACTTCTGGTTTTATTAATAGCTATTTTGTTATGAAATGGGTTCTTCCATATGAGTAGGTCACTGAACTCCTCTTGAGCTCATGTCTTACTCATCTTTATAACCCACTGTAGAATTTGTCAATGTGTCTGAAGGTAAATGCTCACTGAATATTTTTTGACTGAATTTAATTGCTTTTAATTTTTTTAAATTATTATTATACTTTAAGTTTTAGGGTACATGTGCACAATGTACAGGTTAGTTACATATGTATACATGTGCCATGCTGGTGTGCTGCACCCACTAACTCATCATTTAGCATTAGGTATATCTCCTAATGCTATCCCTCACCCCTCTCCCTACCCTACAACAGTCCCCAGAGTGTGATGTTCCCCTTCCTGTGTCTATGTGTTCTCATTGTTCAGTTCTCACCTATGAGTGAGAACATGCAGTGTTTGGTTTTTTTGCGATAGTTTACTGAGAATGATTTCCAATTTCATCCATGTCCCTACAAAGGATATAAACTCATCAGTTTTTATGGCTGCATAGTATTCCACGGTGTCTGTGTGCCACATTTTCTTAATCCAGTCTATCATTGTTGGACATTTGGGTTGGTTCCAAGTCTTTGCTATTGTGAATAGTGCCACAATAAACATACGTGTGCATGTGTCTTTATAGCAGCATGATTTATAGTCCTTTGGGTATATACCCAGTAATGGGATGGCTGGGTCAAATGGTATTTCTAGTTCTAGATCCCTGAGGAATTGCCACACTGACTTCCACAATGGTTGAACTAGTTTACAGTCCCACCAACAGTGTAAAAGTGTTCCTATTTCTCCACATCCTCTCCAGCACCTGTTGTTTCCTGACTTTTTAATGGTTGCCATTCTAACTGGTGTGAGATGGTAGGTATCTCATTGTGGTTTTGATTTGCGTTTCTCTGATGGCCAGTGATGATGAGCATTTTTTCATGTGTCTTTTGGCTGCATAAATGTCTTCTTTTGAGAAGTGTCTGTTCATATCCTTTGCCCACTTGTTAATGGGGTTGTTCGTTTTTTTCTTGTAAATTTGCTTGAGTTCATTGTAGACTCTGGATATTAGCCCTTTGTCAGGTGAGTAGGTTGTGAAAATTTTCTCCCATTTTGTAGGTTGCCTGTTCACTCTGATGGTAGTTTCTTTTGCTGTGCAGAAGCTCTTTAGTTTAATTAGATCCCATTTGTCAATTTTGGCTTTTGTTGCCATTGCTTTTGGTGTTTTAGACATGAAGTTCTTGCCCATACCTATGTCCTGAATGGTAATGCCTAGGTTTTCTTCTAGGGTTTTTATGGTTTTAGGTCTAATGTTTAAGTCTTTAATCCATCTTGAATTGATTTTTGTATAAGGTGTACGGAAGGGATCCAGTTTCAGCTTTCTACATATGGCTAGCCAGTTTTCCCAGCACCATTTATTAAATAGGGAATCCTTTCTCCATTGCTTTTAATTTAAAGTGTAAATAATGTAACCTTTCTGAAGTGTTTATTATTCATATTTTACAACAATCTTATTTGTATTTGACAAAATATAAATACAGAAAAATATGGAGACAATAATTTTCATTGATGTAATAAAGATTTAAATGGCATAAGTAGAAATAGGTATAAAACATCTACTTTTAAAATATATTTTCAGTGTTTATCAGATTAAGCCTGAACTATTGGGGAAAATAAATTAACCGAAATCCTTAAAAGAGTTTTGAACTCGAAAAGGAGCTATCAGCAGCACTTTTAGATGATCATCTTACTGAGAAACTCTTTGAGCCAAATACCAGTAGGATAGCAAATTTGAAGAACTGCTGTAATTACTCTGTGTGTGTGTGTGTGTGTGTGTGTGTGTGTCTGTGTGTCTGTGTTTTAACCTCAATATCTGTCTTCCTCGACAGCAATCACCTAAATATTCCTGTTACTAGTTACTGGATCTAACTTGGAACTGATTTTTTTTTTTTTTGAGACAGAGTCTCATTCTGTCACTCAGGTTGGAGTGCTGTGGGGCGATCTGGCTCACTGTAGTCTCCACCTCCTGGGCTCAAGTGATTCTTATCACTCAGCCTCCCTAGTAGTTGGGACTACAGGTGCCCGCCAAAATACCCGGCTGATTTTTGCCTTTTTTAGAAGAGATGGGGTTTCACCATATTAGCCAGGCTGGCCTTGAACTCCTGACTTCAAGTGATCCACCCGCCTCAGCCCCCCAAAGTTCTGGGATTACAGGCATTGGAATTGATTTTGAGAGAATTAAATAAATTGTTAATTTCCTGGATAAATCAATTGTATTCAACTAGTTTTTTAAAAAGTACCAAACGGAGGACACAGTGAAATATAGGGTCCTGCAATCTGAATGCCACCAATCTGGGGAAGAACATTTGTACACAAGCAACCAATTAATTTAATTATAAAAAAATGTTTTGTAAGAAGAGTTGCAAAGTGTGGCATGCTGTGCATTCCAAAATTTCCTCTAATATTTGACCATCAATTAATTATTCACTAAAGGACAAGGAATGTCAGAGTTACCTATTATTTCTTCAGGCAGTTGTCTATTTCCAGGAAATAGCTCTGGAGGTATTTCCCCCCCCTTTTTTATTCCTTCTCTAGTTGTAATTGAACATTTAATATTATTTCATTTAATACTTCTCTTAGCATATTGATTACACTTGTTTTTAAAATTTTGTTAGTGGTTCCTCTACAGTTTGCAATACACATTTTTAACCAATCCAAGTCCACCTTCAAGTAACTCTATATGACTTCATTTGTAATGTAGATGCCTCATAACAAAGTATTTCTAATTATTCCCTCCTGTCCATCCTTAGGACATTGCTGTCATTTATTTTACTTATTAATAAGCTATAATCACCCAATACATTGTTACTATTATGACTTTAAACAAACATTCTTTAGCTCAATTATGAATAAGAAAAAGATAGATTTTATTTAGCTGTTTTAATTTCTTATCCGAGGCTCTTTCTCTCTAAATGTAAATCTGAGTTTGTAAATCTATTATCATTTTCCTTCTTCCTGAACAACTTCTTTTAATATTTCTTACAAGACAGGTATGCTGTTGGTACATTTCTTCAGTTGCTGTTTGTTTGAGAAAGTCTTTATTTCTCCATCATTTTGTGAAAAATAATTTCCCTGGATCTAGTTGGTGTTTTTTTTTTCTTAAGCACTTCAATTATTTCATTCTACTCCCTTCTTGCTTTATAGTTTCTGACAAGAAGTTCGCTTTAATTCTTATCTTTGTATTTTTCCCTGTATAGGTAAAAATGCCATATTTTTTTCCTCTAATTTATTTCAAGGTTTTCTTTTTGTCTGATTTTCTGCAAGTTGAGTATGCTGTGACTAAGGGTAGGTCGACATTTTTGTTTGGAACTTACTGTGCTTTAGTGATCCCTGAGCTTCCTGGGTTTGTGACAGGGGGTCTCATTAATTTTGCAATGGTCTTGACTGCTAGTGCTTCAAATAATCCTTTTTGTCTTTTTCTTTGCCTAATATTTTAGTTATGCACATGTAACACTTGTGAAATTATCACACAGTTCTTAGGTATTCTGTTCTACTTGTATCATTTTTTTCTCTGCATTTTGGCATGAGAAATTCCCATTGACTTCGATTCAAGCACATTTATTCTTTCCTAGACTGTGCCCAGTCTATTAATGACACCAAAGGCATTCTTCTCAGCTGTTATAATGTTTTTGATTCTTTCTTGGACTTTTAATTTATCTGCTTACATTACCCTTCTGTTGCTCTCTGTTGTTTACTTTTTTCATTAGAGTCCCTAACATATTAATCATAGTGGTTTTAATTTCATGTTTGACAATCCCAACATCTGTGGCATATGAGTCTAGTTTGGATGCTTGCTTTGTCTCTGGAGAATGTGGTTTTTCTTACCTTTTAGTATGTCTTCTAATTTCTCCTTGAAAGCCGGATATAATGGGAACTGAGGCAAATGTCCTTTAATGTTAGCTTTTATGTCAATCTGGCTGGGAGTTTGCCTCTATGCAATGTTTGCTGTATCTGAATTTGTCACAGGCTTTAAATTACTTTGATGTCCTTTTTTAAAATGTTCCCTGATGACTTTGGGCTTCTTTAAGTACCCTTCCTCAGAGACAGCCTGCATGTTGCAGACCTTTTAGCTATAATCCACTGTCATTACACCGAGCTCTACTGGTGTGCTGGCAATGTGTGGCAGTGGAAATATTCTTTAATGTTATGATGAAATTTCAGTCTATATGAAATTTCAGATTATACCCCGCACCTGGCTCGGAAGGTTCTACACCCACGGAGCCTTGCTGATTGCTAGCACAGCAGTCTGAGATCAAACTGCAAGGCAGCAGCGAGGCTGGGGGAGGGGCGCCCACAATTGCCCAGGCTTGCTTAGGTAAACAAAGCAGCCGGGAAGCTCGAACTGGGTGGAGCCCACCACAGCTCAAGGAGGCCTGCCTGCCTCTGTAGGCTCCACCTCTGGGGGCAGGGCACAGACAAACAAAAAGACAGCAGTAACCTCTTCAGACTTAAATGTCCCTGTCTGACAGCTTTGAAGAGAGCAGGGATTCTACCAGTACGCAGCTGGAGATCTGAGAACGGGCAGACTGCCTCCTGAAGTCGGTCCCTGACCCCTGACCCCCGAGCTACCTAACTGGGAGGCACCCCCCAGCAGGGGCACACTGACACCTCACACTGCAGGGTACTCCAACAGACCTGCAGCTGAGGGTCCTGTCTGTTGGAAGGAAAACTAACAAACAGAAAGGACATCCACACCAAAAACCCATCTGTACATCACCATCATCAAAGACCAAAAGTAGATAAAACCACAAAGATGGGGAAAAAACAGAACAGAAAAGCTGGAAACTCTAAAAATCAGAGTGCCTCTCCTCCTCCAAAGGAACGCAGCTCCTCACCAGCAACGGAACAAAGCTGGACACAGAATGACTTTGACGAGCTGAGAGAAGAAGGCTTCAGATGATCAAATTACTCTGAGCTACGAGAGGACATTCAAACCAAAGGCAAAGAAGTTGAAAACTTTGAAAAAAATTTAGAAGAATGTATAACTAGAATAATCAATACAGAGAAGTGCTTAAAGGAGCTTATGGAGCTGAAAACCGAGGCTCGAGAACTACATGAAGAATGCAGAAGCCTCAGGAGCCGATGCCATCAACTGGAAGAAAGGGTATCAGCAATGGAAGATGAAATGAATGAAATGAAGTGAGAAGGGAAGTTTAGAGAAAAAAGAATAAAAAGAAATGAGCAAAGCCTCCAAGAAATATGGGACTATGTGAAAAGACCAAATCTACGTCTGATTGGTGTACCTGAAAGTGATGGGGAGAATGGAACCAAGTTGGAAAACACTCTGCAGGATATTATCCAGGAGAACTTCCCCAATCTAGCAAGGCAGGCCAACATTCAGATTCAGGAAATACAGAGAACACCACAAAGATACTCCTCGAGAAGAGCAACTCCAAGACACATAATTGTCAGATTCACCAAAGTTGAAATGAAGGAAAAAAATGTTAAGGGCAGCCAGAGAGAAAGGTCGGGTTACCCTCAAAGGGAAGCCCATCAGACTAACAGCGGATCTCTTGGCAGAAACCCTACAAGCCAGAAGAGAGTGGGGGCCAATATTCAACATTCTTAAAGAAAAGAATTTTCAACCCAGAATTTCATATCCAGACAAACTAAGCTTTATAAATGAAGAAGAAATAAAATCCTTTACAGACAAGCAAATGCTGAGAGATTTTGTCACCACCAGGCCTGCCCTAAAAGAGCTCCTGAAGGAAGTGCTAAACATGGAAAGGAACAATCGGTACCAGCCGCTGCAAAACCATGCCAAAATATAAAGGCCATCGAGACAAGGAAGTAACTGCATCAACTAACGAGCAAAATAACCAGCTAACATCATAATGACAGGATCAAGTTCACACATAACAATATTAACTTTAAATGTAAATGGACTAAATGCTCCAATTAAAAGACACAGACTGGCAAATTGGATAAAGAGTCAAGACCCATCAGTGTGCTGTATTCAGGAAACCCATCTCATGTGCAGAGACACACATAGGCTCAAAATAAAAGGATGGAGGAAGATCTACCAAGCAAATGGAAAACAAAAAAAAAAGGCAGGGGTTGCAATCCTAGTCTCTGATAAAACAGACTTTAAACCAACAAAGATCAAAAGAGACAAAGAAGGCCATTACATAATGGTAAAGGGATCAATTCAACAAGAAGAGCTAACTATCCTAAATATATATGCACCCAATACAGGAGCACCCAGATTCATAAAGCAAGTCCTGAGTGACCTATAAAGAGACTTAGACTCCCACACACTAATAATGGGAGACTTTAACACCCCACTATCAACATTAGACAGATCAACGAGACAGAAAGTCAACAAGGATACACAGGAATTGAACTCAGCTCTGCACCAAGCAGACCTAATAGACATCTACAGAACTCTCCACCCCAAATCAACACAATATACATTTTTTTCAGCACCACACCACACCTATTTCAAAATTGACCACATACTTGGAAGTAAAGCTCTCCTCAGCAAATGTAAAAGAACAGAAATTATAACAAACTATCTCTCAGACCACAGTGCAATCAAACTAGAACTCAGGATTAAGAGTCTCACTCAAAACTGCTCAACTACATGGAAACTGAACAACCTACTCCTGAATGACTACTGGGTACATAACAAAATGAAGGCAGAAATAAAGATGTTCTTTGAAACCAATGAGAACAAAGGCACAACATACCAGAATCTCTGGGACGCATTCAAAGCAGTGTGTAGAGGGAAATTTATAGCACTAAATGCCCACAAGAGAAAGCAGGAAAGATCCAAAATTGACACCCTAACATCACAATTAAAAGAACTAGAAAAGCAAGAGCAAACACATTCAAAAGCTAGCAGAAGGCAATAAATAACTAAAATCAGAGCAGAACTGAAGGAAATAGAGACACAAAAAACCCTTCAAAAAATTAATGAATCCAGGAGCTGGTTTTTTGAAAGGATCAACAATATTGAAAGACCGCTAGCAAGACTACTAAAGAAAAAAAGAGAGAAGAATCAAATAGACACAATAAAAAATGATAAAGGGGATATCACCACCGATCCCACAGAAATACAAACTACCATCAGAGAATACTACAAACACCTCTGCGCAAATCAACTAGAAAATCTAGAAGAAATGGATAAATTCTTGTACACATACACTTTCCCAAGACTGAAGCAGGAAGAAGTAGAATCTCTGAATAGACCAGTAACAGGATCTGAAATTGTGGCAATAATCAATAGCTTACCAACAAAAAAGAGTCCAGGACCAGATGGACTCACAGCTGAATTCCACCAGAGGTACAAGGAGGAACTGCTACCATTCCTTCTGAAACTATTCCAATCAATAGAAAAAGAGGGAATCCTCCCTAAGTCATTTTATGAGGCCAGCATCATTCTGATACCAAAGCTGGGCAGAGACACAACGAGAAAAGAGAATTTTAGACCAATATCCTTGATGAACAATGATGCAAAAATCCTCAATAAAATACTGGCAAAACGAATCCAGCAGCACAACAAAAAGCTTATCCACCATGATCAAGTGGGCTTCATCCCTGGGATGCAAGGCTGGTTTGATATATGCAAATCAATAAATGTAATCCAGCATATAAACAGAGCCAAAGACAAAAACCACATGATTATCTCAATAGATGCAGAAAAGGCCTTTGACAAAATTCAACAAACCTTCATGCTAAAAACTCTCAATAAATTAGGTATTGATGGGATGTATTTCAAAATAATAAGAGCTATCTATGACAAACCCACAGCCAATATCATACTGAATGGGCAAAAACTGGAAGCATTCCCTTTGAAAACTGGCACAAGACAGGGGTGCCCTCTCTCACCCTTCCTATTCAGCATAGTGTTGGAAGTTCTGGCCAGGGCAATTAGGCAGGAGAAGGAAATAAAGGGTATTCAATTAGGAAAAGAGGAAGTCAAATTGTCCCTGTTTGCAGAAGACATGATTGTATATCTAGAAAACCCCATTGTCTCAGCCCAAAATCTCCTTAAGCTAATAAGCAACTTCAGCAAAGTCTCAGGATACAAAATCAATGTGCAAAAATCACAAGCATTCCTATACACCAACAACAGACAAACAGAGAGCCAAATCATGAGTGAACTCCCATTCACAATTGCTTCAAAGAGAATAAAATACCTAGGAATCCAACTTACAAGGGATGTGAAGGACCTCTTCAAGGAGAACTACAAACCACTGCTCAAGGAAATAAAAGAGGATACAAACAAATGGAAGATCATTCCATGCTCATGGGTAGGAAGAATCAATATCGTGAAAATGGCCATACTGCCCAAGGTAATTTACAGATTCAATGCCATCCCCATCAAGCTACCAATGCCTTTCTTCACAGAATTGGAAAAAACTACTTTAAAGTTCATATGGAACCAAAAAAGAGCCTGTGTCGCCAAGTCAATCCTAAGCCAGAAGGACAAAGCTGGAGGCATCACACTACCTGACTTCAAACTATACTACAAGGCTACAGTAACCAAAACAGCATGGTACTGGTACCAAAACAGAGATATAGATCAATGGAACAGAACAGAGCCCTCAGAAATAACGCCACATATCTACAACTATCTGATCTTTGACAAACCTGCCAAAAACAAGCAATGGGGAAAGGATTCCCTATTTAATAAATGGTGCTGGGAAAACTGGCTAGCCATATGTAGAAAGCTGAAACTGGATCCCTTCCGTACACCTTATACAAAAATCAATTCAAGATGGATTAAAGACTTAAACATTAGACCTAAAACCATAAAAACCCTAGAAGAAAACCTAGGCATTACCATTCAGGACATAGGCATGGGCAAGGACTTCATGGCTAAAACACCAAAAGCAATGGCAACAAAGGACAAAATTGACAAATGGGATCTAATTAAACTAAAGAGCTTCTGCACAGCAAAAAAAACTACCATGAGAGTGAACAGGCAACCTACAAAATGGGAGAAAATTTTTGCAACCTACTCATCTGACAAAGGGCTAATACCCAGAATCTACAATGAACTCAAACAAATTTACAAGAAAAAAACAAACAACCCCAACAAAAAGTGGGCGAAGGACATGAACCGATACTTCTCAAAAGAAGACATTTATGCAGCCAAAAGACACATGAAAAAATGCTCATCATCACTGGCCATCAGAGAAATGCAAATCAAAACCACAATGAGATACCATCTCACACCAGTTAGAATGGCAACCATTAAAAAGTCAGGAAACAACAGGTGCTGGAGAGGATGTGGAGAAATAGGAACACTTTTACACTGTTGGTGGGACTGTAAACTAGTTCAACCATTGTGGAAGTCAGTGTAGCGATTCCTCAGGGATCTAGAACTAGAAATACCATCTGACCCAGCCATCCCATTAGTGGGTATATACCCAAAGGACTATAAATCATGTTGCTATAAAGACACATGCACACGTATGTTTATTGTGGCATTATTCACAATAGCAAAGACTTGGAACCAACCCAAATGTCCAACAATGATAGACTGGATTAAGAAAATGTGGCACATATACACCATGGAATACTATGCAGCCATAAAAACTGATGAGTTCATATCCTTTGTAGGGACATGGATGAAATTGGAAATCATCATTCTCAGTAAACTATCGCAAAAACAAAGAACCAAACACTGCATATTCTCTCTCATAGGTGGGAATTGAACAATGAGATCACATGGACACAGGAAGGGGAACATCACACTCTGGGGACTGTTGTGGGGTGGGGGGAGGGGGGAGGGATAGCATTGGGAGATATACCTAATGCTAGATGATGAGTTAGTGGGTGCAGTGCACCAGCGTGGCACATGTATACGTATGTAACTAACCTGCACAATATGCACATGTACCCTAAAACTTAAAGTATAATAATAAAAAAAAAAGAAAAAGAAAAAAAAAGGATTTTCAGTCTTTTTAGTGGGCTTTTTTCCTCCACTGTGAAGACTGTGACATTCGGGAATATTTCTTATCTTTCTCTCCCATTAGGTGAGACAGGGAGCCTAGAAAGGGCTGAGGGTGAGAAGAAAATGCCCTTACCTTAGATGAGATAAAGTTCTAGTAGTGTCTTTTTCCCTGAAAAGTAGGCCTTTGCTATAAAGACTCTCTAGATATATTTCTCAGTAATCACTCTTCCTCTTCCTCTGCCTGAGCAATAAGGATATATTTCTTGGCTCTTCATCATGAGAACCTAGTGAGGTTCTTGGAGGTAAAACCCATGAAATTGTGGGCCTCACGCCCCAGACTGCAATGCCCCAAGAGTTTCTCATTCTCATGCTAGTCCAGAACCAGCTTCCAGCAATTCATCAAAATTACTGTTAAAATGTTTTAACAAGTTTATGGCTCTAGCAGCTACTGTTTCAGGTTAGCAGGGCTTGACTGTGACGCTCTGGATTTACTTGTCTTTCCAGATTTAGGGTGGAGGTTTGCCTTGCAGCTCAGTTCTTTAATGAGTCCAAGAAAAGTCACTGATTTCCAGTTTGTTCATTTTTTTCTTGTTGTAAGAACAGGAGTGACAACTTTTAAGCTCTTTAGATGTAGGAGCCAAAACCAAAAGTTTTTGAGGAAACATATGTAACACAGTGTTCCTAAAAATAAGTTAAGCAAAGATCTTCTTAACTTGGAGAAAATATGAATAGAAATAAAAATGAAATCAGAATTATTTCCTTTTGATTTTATGCATCTATGATTGCAATATGCATTTTAAATGTCAAAATATTAATATGTCTTTTATGTATCATAAGCAGATGTGAAATTGGGTAGTATGAAAAAACTTACCTGTCTTTTTTGTCATTACTAAAAAAATAAATAAACCAAGTGTATTGGTCCGTTTTCACACTGCTGATAAAGACATACCTGAGACTGGGTAATTTATATGGAAAAAGGTTTATTGGATTTACAGTTCCACATGGCTGAGAAGGCCTCATGATCATGGTGGAAGGCAGGAGGAGCAAGTCACATCTTACATGGATGGCAGCAGGCAAAAAAAGAGAGCTTGTGCAGGGAAACTCACGTTTTTAAAACCATCAGATCTTGTGAGACCCATTCACTATCATGAGACCAGAAAGGGAAAGACCTGCCCTCCATGATTCAATCACCTCCCACCAGGTTCCTCCCACAACACATGGGAATTCAAGATGAGATTTGGGTGGGGACACAGCCAAACCATATCACCAAGAGAAAGCTGTTTTTTTTTTTTTTAAATCAACTTAGACTCTGAGTATAAATTCAAAGACAGGTACCTACACTTGTAAATCCTTGCCATATAACACATGATTTTGCTTGAAGTTTGAGCAGTATAAAGTGTGATTTTTCCAAAGTTAATGCATCCCAAGTCATGCTGGGCTGTCTTGTGCACAAAGACTTAGCTATTCCTTTGAAGCTATTTTTCATACAGTCTTTAAATATAAGCACCATAAAACACTTCATTCTTATTTTAAAAGTTTTCTATATTTGGATCTAACAGAATTATGCCTAGCACACAGTAGGTGCTCTATATATGTCTAATGAATTAAATATTTTGATATTACATCAAGTATTATAATATCAGGTTCAACATTCTTCCTAAATAAATGATGAACTAGGCCACTTTATACCTTAAAAATGTAAGAATCTCTCCATCACTTAAGAGCAGGTATCCTCTCCTTGCCCTCTTTTAAATGTATATCTTCCTCACAGTCTCATTAACAGAGAACTGAATTTTGGGAAACAGAAAAGGATTTGCTTCCTTTATCTTGAATGGTAGGTTGAAAAATTACTCAACAAGGGTTGATCTAATCAAAACTGCTAAGCTGATGAAATTCATTTCTGGCAACATTTAAGCATCCTTTCTGCACCATTTCCTGTTGATTTCATCTCTTCTCTACCAGCATCTCAAGACCAAAATCCCTTACTTGGTGTAACAATTCAGGACTGATCTGAAATTATTACTCATATCTTATTTATCTCTGAAACAGGGATTTTTTGTTTTGTTTTGTTTATTCATGTGACTCATCTCAATTAGGTGCTCAGTGGAAAGAAAAAATACCTCTAATTAGCACTGACTTATAAAGGACTGGCAGCTTTCCAAGGTCCATTTGCTCTGGAAGGGTAGGTGGCTAAACCAAATGAATCACTGATTGAGTTTTAAGTGACTGTGTGATTTAGTGAAAGGGAGATCATTGAAATTCTATCTAAAGCTGGGGCCAGGGCTGGGCCTGAGATCAAAACTTCTATTGGAATCAGGATTAGTCCCAGTTCTAGTTTCTGCTTTCCCCTGGAATGGGTAAGCACAAAAGTATAGGGAAACCAAAAACAGTTTGTGCTTAGAGGGTGCAATATCCATGAATTCAGCAGATGAAGTTGTAGGCCAGACAAGGTTTGAAGCAGAAAGTATCAATGTCTAGTATACCAGATCTACCAGTACCAGGTGCTAAATAAAAGGAACAGATTAGCAGAAGCCCTTGAAGAAACCCACACTCTTTCAAGTGACCTAGATGCCCAATTTTTTGTTTTGTCTTCAGATTTCCCAAAATGAAAGAAGATTCATTTCAATACTATCTGAGAATTATTTTGATTTAAGATGTGATGAAATTCTACTGATCATATGGGTATAAATCTGATAGAGGTTAAGAAATGATGCATAATGAGAATAGTTGTGATTTTAAAATCATAGTGTATGACTCCAATGCAAAAGCAGAATACACCTTTAGTGAAACCCAAATGTTACGCATTCTACTGGAGTCAATACAATGAGAATTCACTATCACAAGAACAGAACGGGAAAGACCTGCCCCCATGATTCAGTCACCTCCCACCAGGTCCCTCCCACAACATGTGGAAATTGTGCCAATGGAATAAATTGATTATTCAAGAAAAGTTCATATTATAGAAGAGGGGAGGGAAATGCCTGCATGGCTAAAGAGAATGGAATAAACTAATCAAGAGGCAAAGAAAAGTGAGTAGAAATTTTTGAAATTTCAGAATTTGTGATCACTTTGAATCAGAGCCAACAAAGATTAACTGCTTAAGGAAAGATGTATCTAATATTTTTAAGGTATTCCTTAAAAATATTTGTTTTTTAATGTTTAAATTTATTTATATTTATTATATTTAAATTTATTTATTATATTTAAATTTATTTTTAAAATATTTAATATTTAAGGGAAACTTTGAAGGAAATACTTTTAAGGTATCCCTTAAAAATATTTCCTTCAAAGTTTCCCTTAAATCCAGCCGGGTGCGGTGGCTCATGCCTGTAATCTCAACACTTTGGGAGGCTGAGGCAGGTGGATCAGCTGAGGTCAGGAGTTTGTGACCAGCCTGACCAATATGGTGAAACCCCATCTCTACTAAAAATACAAAAATTAGGCAGGTGTGGTGGCCTGTGCCTGTAGTCCCAGCTACTCAGGAGACTGAGACAGGAGAATTGCTTGAACCTGGTAAGTGGAGGTTGCAGTGAGGCAAGATTGTGCCACTGCACTGCAGCCTGGGTGATAGAGCGAGACTCTGTCTCAAAAAAAAAAAAAAAAAAAAAAAAAAAAAAAAAAAAAAAAAAAAAAACTTCCCTTAAATCCAAAGGGAAAGAAAAGTATATTATTTATATTGTATAACGAAATCCAATAAAACCCCTTTTCCTTCAAAATAAACAGTTTCCTTTATACAACACACATTCTGATATAGAATAAATTTGTCATGGACTTTTAAAAGTAATTTATTTACTATTATGTAAAACCAGACAAAGTTCTACCTAGCTAATAATGAAGCAAGCTGATAACGTTACAAAATCATAGGTTTTAAAAACCCATTAAAGAGTCAAGAACGCAAATAAACCTAAATAAAGAAACTCATAGCTGCTTTCATTTATGGAAACACAACAAGAGGGAATCTGTTATAAAGAGATGTCAGTCTAATTATTACCAAATTTCTAGTAGTCACCTGTGGTCCAGAGTGATGGATGGATTAGAATCCTATGGACTTCCAGCTTCAGAGAACCTATACCCACCCTACAACCCTTATCTTCACTGAGTGCACAGCAGTTGTGTACCAAAGACTGGGGCCAGGTAGGACAGCCCAACAACACACACACACACACACACACACACACACACACACACACACACACACACACACACATTCTTTCTGTCTCTGTCTCTCTCTTTCCTCCTTTTTCTCTGGTCTTTTGCATCTGCACCAAATGTGCTGGAGCAAACTTTCAGGGCTTGACGAAGAAATAGGACAGAGAAAAATTTTCCTGGATTCAGAGAATCTGAAGACAGGACTAAAGGAAAAGAAAAATCTGTATTGATGAAAGAGGTGGCACTGAACTGTAAGGCAGAGAACCATCTCTTATGCTTTGAAAAGCTGATAGCTAAAAGTATAAAGAGACTAAAGCTGATGGACTAAAGTAAAGAATAAAGAGGGCTTTGGAGTCTTCCAGTGTTCAGATTCTAAGCCCCACTTGATTGAAAAGTCCTAATATCTTCTTCAAAATATTGGAAGACAAAAGTTAGCTAAATCTAAGTGAAGCTACAATAAGTCAACCTAAAGATGCAAACTCTGACAAAATTAAAATTCCAGAAGGAAAAACAGAAAAAGTATTTGATAGGCTTAGCAGCAGATTTGACAAAGCAGTAGAAATGATAAATGAACTTGGAGGCAGGACAATAGGAATCATTCAAACCAAAACACAAAGAGAAAAAAAGGAGAAAAATGGGACAGGGCATTCAAGATCTATAGGATTAAAATCAAGCAGTTTAACATTCACATAAACGGAGTCCCAGAAGGAGAGGAGAAAATGAATGGGACAGAAGAAATATTTGCACATATTATCTCTATAATTGTTCAAAATTGATACAAAGCTATTAACCCATATATCCAAGAAACTTGGCAAAACCCATAGAATAAATACAAAGTAAACTACACTAAAAAAACTCATAGTCAAAAGATGAACACCAAGGATTAAGTGAAAATTCATAAAAGTAATAAAGAAGAAAAACCCTGACAGCTTACACACAGATAAAAATGATAAGAATGATAGCTTCTTGCTAGAAAAATATCTTTTTTTGGATAGATACAAGTGATCCTTATTCAGTTGATGTAATAGCACTGTCAGAACATAAGGCCAACATATTAGAATACCAAGCTGCTGATTACATATATTCTGACAATGAGGTTTTATATATTTTTTAAATAATGTAATAATTTTCTTTTATATTTTTTCTATTCCCTCAAGCATTTATTTTTCCAGATACAAACAATCCAATTACATTGCTTGTTATTTTAAAACATACAGTTAAGTTACTATTCACTGTAGTCACCCTTTTATGCTACCAAATAGTAGGACTTATTCACTCTTTGACTTTTTGTACCCATTAAAAATCTCCACCTCCCCCAACCCCCGACTACCCCTCCCGCCTCTGGTTCTCTATATCCATGTCTCTATTCTCTATGTCCATGAGTTCACTTGTTTGATTTTTAGATCCCACAAATAAGTGAGAACATACGATGTTTGTCTTTCTGTGCCTGGCTTATTTCACTTGATATAATGATCTCCAGTTCCACCTATGTTGTTGCAAATGATTGGATCTCATTCTTTTTTATGACTGAATAGTACTCTATTGTGTATATGCTCCACATTTTCTTTATCCATTCATCTGTTGATGGACACTTAGGTTGCTTCTGAATCTTAGCTATTGTAAACAGTGCTGCAACAAACATAAGAGCACAGCTATATCTTCAATATACTGATGTACTTTTTTTGCATATATACCCAGCAGAGGGATTGCTGGATCATATGGCAGCTCAATTTTTAGTTTGTTGAGGATCCTCGAAACTGACCTCCATAGTGGTTGTACTAATTTACATTTCCACCAGCAATGTTCAAGAGTTCCCCTTTCTCCACATCCTTGCCAGCATTTGTTATTGCCTGTGTTTTTGAAATAGCCATTTTAACTGGTGTGAGATGATACCTTACTGTAGTTTTGATTTATATTTCTCTGATGATCAATGACCTTGAGCACCTTTTTTTTTTTCTTTTGAGACAGAGTCTCCCTTTATTGCCCAGGCTGGAGTACAGTGGCACAATCTCGGCTCACTGCAACCTCCACCTCCTGGGTTCAAGCAATTCTCCTGCCTCAGCCTCCCGAGTAGCTGGGACTACAAGTATACACCACCATGCCTGGCTAGTTTTTGTATTTTTAGTAGAGGTGAGGTTTCACCATATTGGCCAGCCTGGTTTTGAACTCCTGACCTCATATCTGCCCGCCTCAGCCTCCCAAAGTGCTGGGATTACAGGCGTGAGCCACTGTGCCTGGTCCCATAAGAGCACCTTTTTATATGTCTATTTGCCACTTGTATGTCTTCCTTTGAGAAATTTCTATTCAAACCTTTTGCCCATTTTTTTTGATCAGATTATTAGGCTCTTTGTTCCTATAGAGTTGGTTGAGCTTCTTAAATATGGAAGCTGGTAACGTGACAAGGGATTACTTATTAATCCCTTGTCAGATGGGTAGTTTGCAAATATTTTCTCTAGGTCCATTTGGTGTATAGTGCAGATTAATTCTGATGTTTCTTTATTGATTTTCTATCTGGAAGATATGTCCAATGCTGAAAGTGGAGTGTTGAAGTCCCCAGCAATTATTGTATTGAAATATGTCTATTATATAGACATATTTATAGACATATAATTATATATGTCATTATATAGACACACAATATGTCTATTATATAGATATATTTCTCTTTAGCTCTAATAATATTTGCTTTATACCTGGGTACTCTAGCATTGGGTGCATATATATTTAAAATTGTTATAGGCTTTTGCTGAATTGACTGCTTCATCATTATATAGTGACCTTCTTTGTCTCTTCTTACAATTTTTGTCCTGAAATCTATTTTGTCTGATATAAGTATAGCGACTAGTGCTCCTTTTTGGTTTTCATTGTCATGGAATGTCTTTTTCCATCCCTTTATTTTCAGTGTCTTCATAGGTTAAGGGTGTTTCTTGTAGAAAGCAAATCAGTGTATCTTGTTTTAACATCCATTCAGCCAATCTATATCTTTTGATTGGAAAGTTTTGTCTATATACATTCAATGTAATTATTGATAAGTAAGTACTGACTATTGCCATTTTGTTATTTGTTTTCTGATTGCTTTGTGGTCTTCTCTTCCTTCTTTCCTGTCTTCCTCTAGTGAAGGAGATTTTCCCTGTTGAAATGATTTAATTTCTTGATTTTTATTTTGTGTGTATTTAATGTATGTTTTTTTGATTTGAGGTTACCATGAGGCTTGTAAATACTACCTTATAATGCATTATTTTAACCTGATAACAACTTCACACTATTTTCATAAACAAACAAATAAGAAAAAAGAAAACTAATAAAATTCCATGCCTTAACTTCATCCCTCTGCTTTTTAAGTTTTTGTTGTTTCTATTTATCTCTTATTATACTTGAAAAGTTATAGAAAAGATATCTTATTGTATCTTGAAAATTTGTTGTAATTATTTTGATTGCTTCATTATTTAGTCTTTCTATTTAGGATAAAAGTAGTTTACACATCACAGGTACAGTTTTATAACATTCTGCATTTTTCTGTGTACTTACTATTACCAGTGAGTTCATCTTAAGGTGATTATTTATTGCTCATTAATGTCCTTTTCTTTCTGATTGATGTACTCCCTTTAGCATTTATTGTAGGACAAGTCTGGTGTTGATGAAATCCTTCAGCTTTTGTTTGTCTGGGAAAGTCCTTATTTCTTCTTTGTGTTTGAAGATATACTATTCTAGGGTAAAAATATTTTCTTTCAGCACTTTAAATACGTCATGCTACTCTCTCCTGGCCTGTAAGGTTCCCATCACAAAGTTTGCTACCAGACATATTAGAGCTCCACTGTGTGTTATTTGTTTCTTTTCTCTTGCTTCTTTTAGGATCCTTTCTTCATCCTTGATTTTGGGAGTTTGATTTTTAAATGCCTCAAGATACTTTCTTTGTGTTAAATCTGCTTGGTGTTTTATAACCTTCTTGTATTTGAATATTGATATATTTCTCTAGATTTGTGAAGTTGGCTGCTATTATATCTGCCAATAAACTTTTGACCACTATATATTTTTCTACCTCCTCTTTAAGGACAGTAACTTTTAAATATGCCATTTTGAGGTTATTTTCTAGATCCTGTAGGCATGTTTCATTCTTCTTTATTCTTTTTTCTTTTGTTTCCTCTGACTGTGTATTTTTGAATAGCCTATTTTCAAGCTCAGCAATTTTTTCTTCTGCTTGATCAAGTCTTCTATTAAAGGACTCTGACACATTCTTCAGTATGCCAATTGTATCTTTCAGCTCCAGAATTTCTGCTTGATTATTTTGATTTTAATATCTTTCTTAAATTTGATATAATTATGAATTCCTTCCCTGTGTTATATTGAATTTCTTTGAGTTTCTTCAACACAGCTATTTTAAATACTCTGTCTTAAAGGTCACATATCTCTGTCTTTCCAGGATTGGCCCCTGGTGGCTTATTTAATTCATTTGGCAAAGTCATGTTTTCCTGGATGGTGTTGGTGCTAATAGATGTTCTTTGGTGTCTGTGCATTGAAAAGTTAGGAATTTATTGTAGCCTTCACTGTCTGGGCTTATGTATAGCCCTTCTTCCTGGGAAGGATTTACAGACATATGAAAGGACTTGGTTGTTGTGATCTAAGCTGTATCTGATTCAGTGGGTACCCAAGCCCAGTAACACTATGGTTCTTGCAGACTTGTAGAGGTACCATCTTAATAGTCTTGGGCAAGGTCTGGGAGAATTCTCTTGGTTTCCAGGCAGAGACTCTTGCTGTCTTCCGTTACTTTCTTCCAAACAAACAGTCTTTCTCTTTCTGTGCTGAGCCATCCAAAGCTGGGGATAGAGTGACACAAGCACCCCTGTGGCCACCACTACTATGACTGTGCTGGATCAGACCTGAAGCTAGTATAGCACTGGGTCTCACCCAAGACCTGCTGTAACCACTCCCTGGCTACTGCCTATGTTCACTCAAGGACCTGGGGCTCTACAATTAGCAGGTGGCAAAGCCAGCCAGGATCGTGGTTTTTTATTTGTTTGTTTGTTTGTTTGTTTGTTTGTTTTTTCCAGCATGGCAAGGTCGTCCACGTCCCAGGTGGGTCCAGGCATGCCATCTGGGAGTCAAGAACTGGAGTCAAAGACTTTAGAACTTTACTTGGTTTTCTATCATACTGAGGCTGAGCTGGCACTCAAACCACAAGATGCAGTCCTTTTCACTCTTTCTTTTCATTTCTAAAGACTGAGGAGAGGAGTCTCACTCTGTAGCCACCTTTACCCCAGGCCTCAAAAAGTACTTCCAGACTGCCCCTGATGCTCCCTTAAGGCTCAAAGTCTCTTAAATCAGCTTGTTGTGAATGCTGCCTGGCCTGGGATTCATACTTCAGAGTAGTGGACTTCCCTCTGGCCCACAGCAGGACCAGAAATGACATCCAAAAGTCAAGTCCTATAATCAGGGATTCCAAGAGCCCATTTGGTGCTCTACCCACCATGGCGGTGTTGGTACCTAAGGTGCAAGACAAAGTCTCCATTCCCTTTCCCTCTGCTTTTCTCAAGCAGAAGGAGTTTTGCCCTGTAGCCACCACAGTTGGTAATGTGCTGAGACTTACCTAAAGTCAGCAAGTCTCAGAGGGTCACCCAAGGTCCTCGATATAGTACCTGGGTATCACTGTTATTAATTCAGGGCCCAGGGGCTTTTCAATAAGCAGGTGATGAGTGCTGGAAGGACTGAGTCCTTTCCTTTAAAAAAGCAGGTTCGCTTCTGGCCCAGGATGTGTCTAGAAATATTTTTTGGGAGCTAGGGCCTGGAATGGGTGTCTGACAACTCTGAGCAGTGCCTTATCCTGCTGTGGCTGAGCTGGTATTCAAGATGCAAAACAAAGTCCTCCCCACTCTTCCCTCTCCTTCCCTCAAATAAAAGGAAGGGGTTTCTTTTGGAGCCTCCAGCCGTGCAGTTTGTGTTAGGGAGGTTTGATGCCAGCACTCTCTTGGCTACCTTAGCTGGTATCTCAGTAGATTGTGTGCCCCCATCCCCCCAAGTCCACTGTCTCTGTTCCTAGTTCAGCACTAGGATTCACCTAAGATTCGCAGTCCTTATGGCCTAGACTGTCTTTCAAGTTTCCTTGGAAACACAGAACACTCAAGCCATCAGTGGCGAGGTTTGCCAAAACTCAAGCAGGGACTGCTGGGGTTGGCAATTCCCCTCTGGCTAGGGCTGGTTTAAATGTTCCCTCTGTGTTGGGGATGTCAGTTGAGTTTGGTCCGATTTTCCTTTCTGCTCTAATACCACTGAGGACACCACTGTGTTCAATGCCTCACAATTGCTGTCCTCTCCCTCCCCCAGTGCCTGGAGATGCTGTCCACATCATGCAGCTGCTCGGGGTAAGGGATGGAGAGCTGGAGGGGTGGCATCTGTGTTTACTATCTCTTCAATGCCTCTTTCAGAAATAAATAGTTAAACCAGGCAGTATGAGTACTCACTTGATTTTTATCCTTACGAGGGTGTTTTTTCTGTGTAGATGATTGTTAAATTGGTGTCCTTGTCGGGGGAACAATTGGTGGAGCCATCTTACTCTGTCTCCCCTGGAAATATATCTTAAAAGAACTGAAAGAAAGCAAAAAAAAAAAAAAAAAACACTGTTATAATAAAATTCTATCTCCAGTGAATATATGCTCTATGTACAAAGATAAATTAAATAAACTTTCAGATAGACAAAAGATAAAAGCTGAGAAATTTGTCTCCAGGAAGCCTGCACTATAGAATAAAATAAATTATTTAGACTAAAGCAAGTGATGCCCAGATCTGCAAGAAACCATTAAAAATGCCAAAGGGGAAATTTGTTGGTGAATATAAATATATATATACACAGACACACATACATATATACACATATATGTATATTTAAGTTTTCTATTGCTGCTGCAATAAATTACCACGATCTTACAAACATAGTGGTTTAAAATAACATTTGTTTTCTCAAGGTTCTGTTGATTCAGCTGGTTTCTCTGCCCTGGGTTTTGCATTTGCAGGCCCAAACCAGGTGTCAACAAGCTGGGCACTTATTTAGAGGCTCTGGGAGTAATCCTCAGAATCCAGTACCTTGTGATTATAGGGCCAAGATCTCACTGTCCTGATGGCTGTCAGCCGGAGGCCATCCTTACCACTTAGAGTTCTCTTTAGGCTTACTTGTGGGCTCTGCATCTTAGACGCAGCAATACTTCTCACACTTGGCATCTCTCAGTGGTCATATAATAAGAATTATACTAAAAATCATATAATCATCTCAATAGATGAAGAAAAGGCATTTGAAAACATTCAGCACCACTTCATGATAAAAACTCTTAACAGATTAGGTACAGAGGAAAGTATTTCAATGCAATAAAGGCCATATGTAACAATCCCATAGATAAAATTATTCTCAGTGTTGAATGAACAGTTGAAAGCTTTTCTTGTAAGATTAGAAACAGGACAAGAATGCTCATTTTCGTCACTTACTTTCAACATAGTACAACTGTAAGTCTTAACCAGAGCAATGGGAAAAGAGAATGAAATAAAAGGGATCCTATTAGGAAAGGAAGAAACAAAATTGTCTCTGTTTATTAACAACATGAACTTATACATAGAAAATCTTAAACTCCACCAAAAAACTGTGAAAACTGATAAACAAATTCAGTAAAGTTGCAGAATGCAAAATCAACATACAATAATTATTAGTGATTCTAGGTACTAATAACAAATTATCCTACAAAGGAAAGTAAGAAAACAATCCCATTCATCATAACAACCAAAAAAATTAAATATTTGGGTGTAAATTTTACAAAGGACGTAAAAGAGCTATGCACTCCAAACTATAAAACACTGATGAATGAAACTGAAGGAAACACAAGTTTGGAAAGATATCCCAAGTTGATGAATTAAAAGAATTAATATTTTGAAGAGTCTGTATTACCCAAATTGATCTACAGATTTAATGCAATCTCTGTCAAAATTCCAATGCCATTTTTTACAGAAATAGAGAAAAACAATTCATGAATTTGTATGGAACCACAAAAGACCCAGAAGACCCAAAATAATCTTGAACAAAAAGAACAAAGCTGAGTGCATCACCCTCTGATTTCAAAACATATTATAAAGCAAATGTAATCATAAAACATGGTACTGGCATAAAAACAGACACTTAGACCAATAGAACAGGATAGAAAGCCCAGAAATAAACCCATGTGTTTATGGTCAATTGATTTTTGATAAAGGTGCCAACAACACAATGGGAGATGGACAGTCTCTTGAATAAATGGTGTTAGAAAAACTGGATATCCAGATGCAGGAGAATGAAATTAGACCCTCATATCATACCATAAACACAAATCAACTCAAAATGGATTAAAGGCTTAAATATAAGACCTGAAACTGTAAAACTACCAGATGAAAACATAGGGGGAAAGGGCTGAAATTGGTCCAGGTAACAAGTTTTTATATGACCCCAAAAGCAAAGGCAACATAAGCAAAAATAGACAAACGTGATGGCAACAAACTAAAAACCTTATGCATAGCAAGCGAAACAAGAAGGTGAAGAGGCAACCTACAGGTTTGTAGAAAATATTTGAAAACCATACATCTGATAAGGGATTAATATCCAAAATATACAAGGAACTCGAACAACTCAATAACAAGAGAACAAATCATCCAAATAAAAATAGGCAAAAAAGCTGAACAAGTATTTCTCAAAACAAGATGTACAAATAGCCAACAGATGCATGAAAAGATTTATCAGCATCTTTAATCTTTGGGAAAATTCAAATTAAAACCACAATGAAATATCACCTCACATCTGTTAGAATGGCTTTTATAGAAAAGACGAAAGATAAGTGTTGGGAAGTATGTAGAGAAAAGGTAACTTTCATACATTGTTGATGGAAATGTGAATTAGTACAACCATTATGGAAAATGATCCATGTTCTTAAAAAAAACTAAAACCAGAACTACCCTATGATTCAGTAATCCCAATTCTGGGTATATATCCAAAGGAACTAAAATTAATTTGTTGAAGAAATAGTTGCATTTCCATGCCCATTGAAGCCTTATTCTCAATAGCCAAGATGTGGAATTAATCTAAGTGCCTGTTGATGGATGAATGGATAAAGAAAATGTGGTATATGTTCACAGTGGAATACTCTTCTGCCTTAAAAAAGAGGGAGAATCCTGTCATTTGTGATAATGTGGATGAATCTGGAAAACATTCTTTTAAGTGAAATAATCCAGGCACAGAAAGACAAAAACCACATGATCTCACATATGTGGAGACTAAAAAAGTTAATCTCATAGAAGTAAAGAGTAGAACAATCGTTACCAGATATATGGATCGGGGGTGGGAATGGGGTGTTGTTGATCAAAGTGTATAAAGTTTCAGACAGACAAAAGGAATTGGCTTTGAGATCTATTGCACAGCAGGGTTTTTGTCTTTGTTTCTGTTTATATGCTGGATTACATTTATTGATTTGTGTATATTGAACCAGCCTTGCATCCCAGGGTAGATGCAGAAAAGGCGTTTGACAAAATTCAACAACCCTTCATGCTAAAAACTCTCAATAAATTAGGTATTGATGGGACGTATTTCAAAATAATAAGAGCTATCTATGACAAACCCACAGCCAATATCATACTGAATGGGCAAAAACTGGGAGCATTCCCTTTGAAAATTGGCACAAGATAGGGATGCCCTCTCTCACCACTCCTATTCAACATAGTGTTGGAAGTTCTGGCCAGGGCAATTAGGCAGGAGAAGGAAATAAAGGGTATTCAATTAGGAAAATAGGAAGTCAAATTGTCCCTGTTTGCGGAAGACATGATTGTATATCTAGAAAACCCCATTGTCTCAGCCCAAAATCTCCTTAAGCTGATAAGCAACTTCAGCAAAGTGTCAGGATACAAAAATCAATGTACAAAAATCACAAGCATTCTTATACACCAACAACAGACAAACAGAGAGCCAAATCATGAGTGAATTCCCATTCACAATTGCTTCAAAGAGAATAAAATACCTAGGAATCCAACTTACAAGGGATGTGAAGGACCTCTTCAAGAACTACAAACCACTGCTCAAGGAAATAAAAGAGGATACAAACAAATGGAAGAACATTCCATGCTCATGGGTAGGAAGAATCAATATCATGAAAATGGCCATACTGCTCAAGGTAATTTACAGATTCAATGCCATCCCCATGAAGCTACCAATGCCTTTCTTCACAGAATTGGAAAAAGCTACTTCAAAGTTCATATGGAACCAAAAAAGAGCCTCATAGCCAAGTCAATCCTAAGCCAAAAGAACAAAGTTTGAGGCATCACACTACCTGACTTCAAACTATACTACAAGGCTACAGTAACCAAAACAGCATGGTACTGGTACCAAAACAGAGATATAGATCAATGGAACAGAACAGAGCCCTCAGAAATAATGCTGCATATCTACAACTATCTGATCTTTGACAAACCTGAGAAAAACAAGCAATGGGGAAAGGATTCCCTATTTAATAAATGGTGCTGGGAAAACTGGCTAGCCATATGTAGAAAGCTGAAACTGGATCCCTTCCTTACACCTTATACAAAAATCAATTCAAGATGGATTAAAGACTTAAACGTTAGACCTAAAACCATAAAAACCCTAGAAGAAAACCTAGGCATTACCATTCAGGACATAGGCATGGGCAAGGACTTCATGTCGAAAACACCAAAATCAATGGCAACAAAAGCCAAAATTGACAAATGGGATCTAATTAAACTAAAGAGCTTCTGCACAGCAAAAGAAACTACCATCAGAGTGAACAGGCAACCTACAAAATGGGAGAAAATTTTCGCAACCTACTCATCTGACAAAGGCCTAATACCCAGAATCTACAATGAACTCAAACAAATTTACAAGAAAAAAACAAACAACCCCATCAAAAAGTGGGCGAAGGACATGAACAGACACTTCTCAAAAGAAGACATTTATGCAGCCAAAAAACACATGAAAAAATGCTCACCATCACTGGCCATCAGAAAAATGCAAATCAAAACCACAATGAGATACCATCTCACACCAGTTAGAATGGCAACCATTAAAAAGTCAGGAAACAACAGGTGCTGGAGAGGATGTGGAGAAATAGGAACACTTTTACACTGTTGGTGGGACTGTAAACTAGTTCAACCATTGTGGAAGTCAGTGTGGCGATTCCTCAGGGATCTAGAACTAGAAATACCATTTGACCCAGCCATCCCATTACTGGGTATATACCCAAAGGACTATAAATCATGCTGCTATAAAGACACATGCACACGTATGTTTATTGCGGCACTATTCACAATAGCAAAGACTTGGAACCAACCCAAATGTCCAACAATGATAGACTGGATTAAGAAAATGTGGCACATATACACCATGGAATACTATGCAGCCATAAAAAAGGATGAGTTCATGTCCTTTATAGGGACATGGATGACACTGGAAACCATCATTCTCAGTAAACTCTCGCAAGAACAAAAAACCAAACACCGCATATTCTCACTCATTGGTGGGAATTGAACAATGAGAACACACGGACACAGGAAGGGGAACATCACACTCTGGGGACTGTTGTGGGGTAGGGGGAGGGGGGAGAGATAGCATTGGGAGATATACCTAATGCTAGATGACGAGTTAGTGAGTGCAGCGCACCAGCATGGCACATGTATACATATGTAACCTGCACATTGTGCACATGTACCCTAAAACTTAAAGTATAATAATAGTAATAAATAAATAAATAAATAAATAAATAAATAAATAAAAAGAAAAATTAGTAACTAAAAATCCTAATGAAAGTGCTATCAGCAAATGAGTCAAAAGGGTTTAAGAAGAAAGAAATGGTATGGGAAATCACCCTACCAGATATCAAGATAAAGAAAAATACTATAGTAATGCAGTAATAAAGGCAGTGTTGTACTGATGCATGAATAGAAAATCAAGTAATGGGACAGAAAAGAAAGTGCAGAATTGGACTCACATAAATACTGAGATTGAGATTTGGTAGAAAACTAAGTTATGTTTACATATCCTTGAGTATAAATTGGGCAACTCAAAAAATGTTGCTTAAACAATTGACTAAAAGGAAAAATAAAAATTAATTCCTAGTTTATACTATTCTAAAAGAATGTATATGAATTAAAGACCTACTATATCCATGTAATCCCTGAATCCAAAATTTTAAAAAAATTAAATAAGAAGCCCTAGTGTAAAAATTAACACTGAATTTTCTAGAACAAAATACTTGTCTTCATTATATCAGAGAGCAAAGTATTTTTTAAAAAAACTCAAAATTCACAAATTATAAAAGCCTGTTAAATTTGATTACAGCAACATGAAAGCTATTACATGACAAATGATCTGATAAATGAATTTAAATGACACATTACAAAGTGACAACACAAAGCAATGTTTAGCTGACAAAGGATTTGTATCTAAAATCTACAAATAAACCAATAAGGAAAACACAATTGCATAGAATATGGGTAAAATATATGAATGGAATCTTCACAGAAAAGAAAACCTAACTGTCAAATAAATACAGATGTTCAACCTTGCTAAAATGAGGAATAGTTGGAATGGTTGGAAGAATAGGAAACAATGATGGGAAAGATCTAATATAAAGTAGATATTTCAGGGTCAAATAGGGGAAGTCAAAGGTTCCAGGAGGAGGCATGAAAGCCTGGACACCAGATGGAACACATGCTTTAGGTAGGATAGGCACCTCTTGTAGTTTAACAGAGGGAAGAGAAGAAGGTGCATGCAAATCCAGGTAGGTTTGTGAGTTGGACAGTCAGCAATTTAGTTGATTCTTTCACATACTTTATTTTTCTCTGTGAAGTTAATGGTAAAATTATCAGCTAAAAATTGTCATACTATGAGATTGGGAAAGAAGTTGCAGTTTGAGGACTTTGTTTAGACTGTTATAACAAAAATGCCATAAACTGGGTAGCTTATTTCTCATAGTCCTTGAGTTTAGGACATCTCAGATCAAGGTGCCAGCAGATGTGGGTTCTGGTGAGGGACCACTTCTCATAAATGGTGCCTTTTAGCTATGTCCTCACATGGCTGGAAGGGCAAACAAGCTTCCTCGAGCCTCTTTTGTGTAGGCACTAATCCCATTCCTGTGGGTTCCACCTTCCTGATCTAATCATCTCCCAAAGTCTCCACCTCCTAATAGCATTATTTTGGGGGACAGGTTTTAACATATGAATATGGGGAAGGGTTTATTCAGACCATACCAAGGATGGAAAAAAAAGTTTGAAATAGTCTTTGAAGAAAGTAAGAGGGCAAGGTAACCAGAGAAATAGATAAGGGTTGTGATTACAAATTTATAATGGGGCCTATTTTTCAAAGCAGGTAATCAAATTATCTCTAAACTCTAAATGGGATTAGACTATTCTGACAAAAAGAGACGAGAAAAGTCATGGTTTTATCAAAGTAATTCCTGGATTGTGTAATAATACCTGAAAAGAGGACAAAGGCAGTAAAAAGGCCAGAGGAAAATGGAAGAGTCAATGAACTGGAAAGCCTCAAAGGGCACAATGATGTCCATGAATGTCAACTAGAAAACCTAGTGATGGCAGTGAGGAACTTGAATTAGTGATGTTCAGAGTTGGAGCAATTGTGTGGTGCCATGTTCCAGATTGTGACAGATGGCGAAAGTCATTTATTAGAAATGAAAAAATAAAGGAACTAGATAATCCAATTTGGATAACTTGTCCACATAAATACTCAATAAGTTAGGAAAGAGAACCATAGACCTAGTATCAAAATATCAAAGAATATGGGGAAATGACTAGGAGATAAGTAGAATGCAGTCACAAGTAACTTGAGAGGGCTACACAAAATCTAGAATACACTCTCCTAAAATAGAGAATTGTGATATATACATGAAGGAGTCACTTCAGTGGGTCTTTGGAGTACATATATGATTGCAAACTATATTCTGAAATATAGCCATATGTTATAAACAGTAAAACAAACACAGCATTTAAAGTAAAATATAAAAATTCCACATCGGCATGGCTTATAAGAATGTGGCATCAGCACTACAGAGAATGAGAACAAGAATCTAATATGTTCTTCTTTTAGTTATTAAAATTACTTGACGGGTCCAATATCCGGCTGGAGCCTTCTACTGGCTTGAAGCAAGCAAGACTTCTGAATGTTTTTTGTTCAGAAGAACTTGGCTTGAGATAATTTTTGGCTGTACTTGAAGTTGAGTAACTGGGACATGAAAGTAGGGCTGCTCGAAAGAGAGCCAAAGAACCCAGCCTGCTGCCTGAGGCAATGTGTGTCCGTCAGAGTCCTACTCAAGAATTCATGTCATCAGAAGTAAGTGGTTTGTTCTTAATGAAAAAGACGTTACTCCCAAAGACATGTCAAATAGTGTCTGAAGAAATGAATCAGGGTATAAAACCTGGGCGGTCTTTAGAGTTGATTTTGCACATAGTACAAAAGAAGCATTTGTGAGGTGGCACGGTATCTGTGAAGGGAATTCTTTCTGCAGACTTGGGGCCACTTTGGCATAGGCAAGGAGATCATTCAGCAGTGCTAGGATTTGTGTGGCCATATTATCTTTTGCCAGGAAATACTTACCCCATAGTCTAATACTGTGTGCTCCTGAATTAGGACAGGCAGTTACCAATTGCCATATTCTACGGTATTAAATGGACTTCTTTTGAGGAATATATGTTCTGGAGATGTACTGTAGCAGCTCGCCACTGAGCATGCTCCCCAAGGAGATAATATGGTTAGAAAACTGAGCTTGGACCTGTGAGAGCCACAGAAAGCTGGACTCCAAATTCAATCCCACCTCAAAATTGTGTCCCAGATTAGCATTAGTAGCCACTCTCCCATCCCAGCTCTGGAGCCATCTTTTAGCCCCAAAAGACTGGGTAGGGTGGTTTTAAGTAAAAATCAGGCATTATGAGGGTTTTGTGTGTGTGTGTACAATTTTCTTTGATGTGATCACCATTCTTAAGCAGATGTATTTTATCAAACTACCCATATTTTTTAGTGATAAAAATACTGTACTGTGCATAAAAGCCATCAGATACAATATCTTATGGTTACAACAAACCTGCAGATGCTTTGATTCAAAGTACTCACTCTTGAGATGAAAGAATAGAGATTTGGTAACATTCAGTAATCTTCCCAATGTCATGGAGCTAGATAGTGATAGAGCCAAAGTGAAAACCGACGTCTCTTCATTTTCAGTCTAAAGCTTTTTCAACAACACCAACTAATCTGCGCTTTCTTCCATGTTTTCCTCTTCTCAGCTTTTGCTCCTAACATGGGATGCTTTCATTCAGCTCAATATCCTTACCCTAAAACCTACAGATTCTTATTGTAAAATACTTTTAAAATACAAAATGTACAGATAAGATTTTAAGGAAAACACATGTTCCTATCTAGCTTTAACAAAAGTGAACATTATGCCTTGCTTGTGTGTCTTTTTCTTTTCCTCCCTGGCCTTACTTCCCAGATAGCCCATAAGCCGTATCTATTATGTCAGTGCAAGTTGTTATATTCTGTATCTATCTATGTATCTGTCTATCTGCCTATTAAGACACACACATAATTATATAATTCTGCATCTTTATTTTGTTCAATATTATGTTTTTAAGATTTATCTCAACCCTACACAGTTGATATGGTTTAGCTGTGTCCCCACCCAAATCTTATCTTGAATTGTAGCTCCCATAATTCCCACATGTTGTAAGAGGGACCCAGTGGGAGGTAACTGAATCGCGGGAGTAGTTTCCCCCATACTATTCTCTTGGTAGTGAATAAGTCTCATGAGATCTGATGGTTTTATAAGGGGTTTCCCTTTTTGCTTGGCTCTTATTGTTTCTTGCCTGCCGCCATGAGAAACATGACTTTACTCCTCCTTTGCCTTCTGCCATGATTGTGAGGCCTTCACAGCCATGTGGAACTGTGAGCCCATTAAACCTCTTTCCTTTATAAATTATTCAGTCTCGAGTATGTCTTTATTAGCAGCATGTGAATAAACAGTATTCCATTATATTAATACACCAGTACTGTTTATGCTAGCAATACCCACAATTTGAAAAATGTTCATGCTATACATAATGTTCCAATGAACATATTTGTGCATATCCTTTGAACATATTTCCAACAGTTCTGTTAGGCTATAGAAGTACAATTGTTATTAATAGTTCAAGGAGTACAGGTAGAATAATCATTCCCCCAAAGATGTCCTTGGAACCTATGAATATTACCTTAAATGGCAAGATGATCTTTACAGATATAATTAAGGATAGGGATCTTCAAAAGGTGAGATTACCTTGGATTATCTAGGAGGATGCAATCTATGCACATGAGTCCTTGAAATTGAAAGAAGAAGCAGATTAGAGAGTCAGAGAGATAGGATCTCTTGCTGGTTTTGAAGATGGAGGAAAGGAGCCAGGAGCCAAGGAATGGCCCCTAGAAGCTAGGAAAGGGGATAGAAAAAGAATTTTTCCCCAGAGGCTCCTGAAAGAAATGTAGCTATATGAACAGACACCTTGATTTTAACCCATGGTAGGTTTCTGACCTCCAGAACTGTAAGCTAACACATTTGGCTTGTTTTAAGCCACAAAGTTTGCAATAATTTGTTACAGCAGCAATAGAAAACTAATATAGCATATTAAACTTTAATAATTATTGCTAACTTTCTTTTCAAAGTGGCTATACCAAATTATGTGCTCTCTATCAATGTATAAGAATCCCTGTGACTCATTAGTCTTATAAACCTAGAATTCTTCCAGATTTTAAAATGTTTTTCTGTCTGCTGAGTTTGAAAAGATATGTGGTTTTAATTGCACATGGGTGTAGCTTACATTTTCCTAATTCTTTATAGTGTTGAGCATTTTACTTTGGTGTTATTGACCCTTTAAACATCTCTTGAGTACCTTTCTCACAAAATGCCCTTTATATTGGATTATGTTTTGCTTCTTCATTTTAAATCATTTACATATTCTGGATACAAAATTATTATTGGCAATAAACCATGCAGATATAAATTCCCATTCTGAAGCTCCTTTAACCTTGTGGTATTTTATTAAATAGAAAGTTTTCATTTTCATATAGGTAAATGTATTATAGCTTATATTTAATGAGTTTTGAAATTTTATATTTTATCTAATACCTCCTTCTGAACCTCAATATCATAAACGTATTCTGTATTTTCTTTTAGGCGCTTTAAAGTTTTGCTTTTAATATTTAGGACTTACCAATATTTGAAGTAGATTGTTTTTTATTTGGCTACTGATATAGTTTGTATATTTGTCCACACCCAAATCTCATGTTGAATTGTAATCCTCAGTATCGGAGGTGGGGCCTGGTGGGAAGTGATTGGATCATGGGGGTGAATGGTTTAGCTCCATCCCCTTGATGCTGTCCTCACTATAGGGAGTAAATTCTCTTCAGATCTGGCTGTTTAAAAGTGTGTGGCACCTCCCACTCTCTCTCTTGATCCTACCTTCACCATTTGATGTGCCTCCTCCTGCTTTGCCTTCCACCATGAGTAAAAGCTTCCTGAGGCCTCCCAGAAGCAGATGCTGGCACTATGTTTCTTGTACAGCCTGCAGAACCATGAGCCAATTAAACCTCTTTTCTTATAAATTACCCAGTCTCAGATATTTCTTTATAGCAATGTAAAAAAAAAGCCCAACACAGATTCCCAGGTGTTCTAATACTATTAATAAAAATTTTATTCTTTCCTCAGTGATTTTTAAGGCCAGTTCTTTGTCATTTAGCCATACATGTGTAGATCTGTTTCCAGGCTCTATTTTCTGGCTTTTTAGTCTATTAGTTTATTTCAGTTCCTGCTCTACACTATTTTAATTACAATATTTGAATATGTGTTGATATCCCCTTTTCATCATATTTTTCTTATAAATATCTTATTTAATCTTGAATTTTTGTTCATTTATCTCAATTTCAGGATAATCTTGGCAAGTTCCATTAAAGTCATACACACACACACACACACACACACACACACACACACACACACATTCTTTCTGGAATTATTGTTGAAATTTGATTTAAAAAACAGAATGAGTTAAAGAGAGCAGACATTTTTGGATGTTAGGTCTTCCATCTATTATCATATCATACTTTCCCATTTATTCAGTACTTTAAAAATATCATTCAAATTAGAATTCTCTCCATCAAAATCTTACTATACAGGATTTGCTAGATTTATTGCTAGGTACTTTACTGGTTTTGTTGACATTGTTTTACTAATTGATAATGCTGGAATATGTTGGGATGTTATTGATTTTTTACATTGATATTTTATCTACTAGACTTGCTGAATATTCTAGTAGTCACAATTGTTTGCAAATTATTTAGAATTTTATAACTTTATCATCTCAATAAGGACAATTTTGCAAGTTTTTGCACTTCTATACCTCTTATTTTTTAAACATTATTTTCCTTGAGTCTTCGGTACAAGGTTTATTAGAGACAGTCATAGCAAGCATTCTTGTGTTGTTCTTGAATTTAATTGAAATATTCCTAGTTTCACATTTAAGTATGTTGTTTACTATAGAGAAAGTTCAGAAATTTTTCTATTCTTAATTTGCTAAACATTTTTACAAACTAGTCTTGAAATTTACAGATTATTTTTAAATATATCTATAGGATTTTACTTTTACTATTCATATCTGCTTTGGGTGTTTGCTTCATGAGAGTAGTTGAGTAGCTTTTTCTTATTTTGTATTCTCTGAAACATTTGTATATGGTTTAAATTATTTGTTTCTTGAAACTTTCATACTTTTTAGATGAGTTTAGTTTAAATAAATTATTAAATGTATTTAATGATTATTATTTCTTCCTTAGGTACTTTTGCTAAATTATGCTTGTCTGGCAAGTTGTCAGATTTGCAAGTTTATTGGCATAAATTTTTTCACAATTTCTTGTAAAAAAAAAAACTACATGAAAATATGGTCATTTAATTTTTTCGTTTCCATTATTATTTTTATGCTTTCTCTTTTTATTGATTACTTCAGTCCATTTTATTTCTTCCTTTAAAATAAATGACGTTTTGTTGATTTTATCATTTTCTATTGCTATATATTTCATTGCTTTCTCCTTTTATTTTGTTTAGACTATTATTTTCCTTGATTACTGAATTAAACCCTTTTCTTGCTTAGTTTCAATTATTATTTTTAATAAACATATGTCTCTAAATTACCCTCTAATTACTGCTTTACATGAGTCTCACAGTTTTTTATTCAGTTACTTTTATATTTATTCACTTTTCTATTTATTCAGTTACATATATTCTCTAATTTCTATTGTAATATTTTCTGTTACTTATTAAAATTATTGCTTCTCTTATGCACTGACCTTTTTTGCTTCTCTCAATACTTTCTGCCTTTAATTCTACCCTGTATATTATTATACTAGTATACTAAACTAGTATACTGTAGTTTAGTATACTGTACTAGTTTCCTCTGAATTAGCATTTGACTCATTATTTTTTTCCCTTTATTTAGCCATTCTGTGTTATTTTTCACCCTCTGCTGGTTTGGATACAATGCCCTATATTTCTATTTTCAGTTATTACCCTTACTATTTAATATACACTCACTATTTTAACAATAAAAATTAAAACTATTTTATTACTTTTCTAACAAAGTTGACAGTGTTTTGTCTTCACTTTGAGCATGCATTAAAATCTCGTAATATTTTTAATTTTACAAAGCATTTAAACTTTATCTCTTTAAAACTCAAGAAAAAAGTTATTTTGATATTTTGGGGACAATTCTTTAACTCTTTAAATTTAGGTAAGATTAAATTGTACATAAAGAATTGTTTTAAGTGGGATAGAAAAAAAGTCCAAAGTTTGATGGAAAATTAATTCTAGAAGTCAAGGCCTTCATCCAAGGACAAGAGAGAAAGCTCATAGTGATGTCATCAGTGGTGGAGGAAATCATTCCAAAGCAGTCCCAGCACCCATCTAAGGTCAGAGACATCTGACAGACTAAGATGGGGCCCAAAGGGGGATTCCCCCAGGGATCACGGTCAGGGACCAGAATTATTCCAGGGGGATGCCTCAAGGAAAATTTGGGTCACCTAATGAGTCCTCCACTTTTCAATGTCATCTTCTCTTTTCCAGACCACTACGGGCAACTCTCCATCTATCCCTCCTGATTCCTTTATGGACAACTCTCCATCTATTCCACCTGATTCCTCTATGGACAACTCTCCATCTATTCCGCCTGATTCCTCCATGGGCAACTGTCCATGTATTCCACCTGACTCCCAGCTAGGCTGCATCCTCCACCATTGGAATCAATTTGACCCTGACAACCTAAAAAGAAAACTGTGATGATTAATACTGAGTGTCAACTTGATTGGATAGAAGGATGCAAAGTATTGATCCTGGATGTGTCTGTGAGGGTATTGCCAAAGGAGATTAACATTTGAGTCAGTGGGCTGGGAAAGGCAGACCCACTCTTAATCTGGGTGGGCACCATCTAATTAGCTGCCAGCATGGCTAGAATATAAAGCAGGCAGAAAAACATGAAAAAACTAGATTGGCCTAGCCTCCCGGCATACATCTTTCTCCTGTGCTGGATGATTCCTGCCTTTGAACATCGGACTCCAAGTTCTTCAGTTTTGGGACTCACACTGGCTTTCCTTGTTCTTCAGCTTGCAGACAGTCTATTGTGGGATGTGGTGATCGTGTGAGTTAATACTACTTAATAAACTCATACGTATAATATATATCATATATATGATATATATGATATATATATCATATATATGATATATATATGATATATATATATCATATATATATCATATATATATATTCTATTCAGTCCCTCTACAGAGCCCTGACTAATACAGATTTTGGTACCAGGAGTGGTTCTAGAAGAGCAGAATATTAAGGCTGGAGTTCTTTCATTGGTTTTGGGGTTTCTGGAGTTGGCTGCTTAATATGATTAGACCCAAAAATGCTAAGGACTCTACTTCTAATAGTATAGAGAACACTAATAGTCCTTGGCATAAACCATTTAGAGAGTTATGCAAAATAAATGCATTTGAAAATCCTGGTTCACTGCTCATGAGAAGCAAGGAATTTAGCAACTCTGTACATAATACCTTTGATCGTATGTGGAAAACCAAGGAACATAATAAAGCTGGTCGGTTGCTCCTAAGTTCACTGAATAAAGTGATGAAAGAAAGTAATGAACTCAGGGATTCTAACTCCCTCCCAGCTTCAGAAGCAGATATTGAGCCTCAAATCTGCTAAGATTGCCCTGAGTGAGAGTCTTATCTTCTGTAGAGAAATAGCTGAAACTATGGAAAAACAGACACAAGTCCTTATCATGTGAGTGGCTGACCTGCAACGAAAAGTGCATGCACACACTCGCCAGGTGCCTACTGTTAAAGTGAGGGCATTGACTGGAAAAGAATAGGATCCTGCAAGTTGGAGTGGGGACATGTGGGAGGACCCTGATAAAGCTGGGGACACTGAACTTGTATACTCTGATGAATGTTTTTTGCCGGAAGAAACAGCTTGCCTATCCCCAGTAGTGGCAACTACTGGGATGTGAGATAGTGGTGGAAGGAGCATAGAGTTGGATCAGGCTAAATTTATTGATTTGGGCCCACTAAGTAGGGACTCTGCATTTAATGTTGCAGCTTGGGGAGTTAAAAAAGGTTCTAACAGTTTATTTGCTTGATTAGCTGAAATATGGATTAAAACGTGGCCCACTGTGAGTGAGCTAGAAATGCCTGAGCTCCCTTGGTTTAATGTAGCGGAAGGGATCCAAAGACTTAGGAAGATTGGAATGGTGGAGTGGATTAGTCATTTTAGACCTACTCATCTCAGCTGGGAGGGTCCAGAAGATATACCTGGGAGACTCCAAAAGATATATCCTTGACCAATGCCATAATAAATAGATTGGTGAGGGCAGTACCTGCAACTTTGAAGGGCCTTGTAGTTGCTCTTCTCTGTATGTCAGATCTAACAGTGGGAACCCCAGTCACTCAACTACAAAATTTAAATACAATGGGAATAATTGGATCCTGAGGTGGCAGGGACCAAGCGGCAGCACTCAACCATCAAAGACAGAGTAGGCATAGCTACCTTAATGGACAGCAGAGGCAAAGTGGCAATCAGAATAGTTGGACTCATGTAGAACTCATGTAGAACTCTGGCATTGGCTAATTAATTACGTTGTTTCTAGAAGTGAAATTAATAGGAACTACTGCATTTTTACTTAATAAATATAAGCAGGAAACTTCTAGGTCGAATGGACAAAAGACTAATTTGAATTATACCAACAGAGCATCAAGGCCCCTCAATCAATTTCCAGATGTGAGCCAGTTAACAAACCCAGAACTCCTTGAATAAAGGGGAGGCTGGATCCCCTTGAGGTAGGACCTCACTACACTACTGACAATTTATGATGTTAATCTTTCTCCCATCCTTCTCCAAGAAGACCTCTGGCCTTTTGCCAGGGTAACTGTGTATTGGGGAAAGGGAGATGATCAGACATTTTGGGGACTACCGGACACGGGCTCTGAGCTGACGTTGATTCCAGGGGACCCTAAGCGTCATTGTGGTCCTCCAGTTAAAGTAAGGGCTTATAGAGGTCAGGTAATTAATGGAGTTTTATCTCAGGTTGACTTATGGTTACTGGGCTTTGGTGGAAACTGAACATTTGACTACAGGTTGTCAGGTCACCATGCAACATGAACTGGGTGCTTTCTGACCCATCTAGCCATAAAGTGGGTTGTGCACAGCAGCATTCCATCATCAAATGGAAGTGGTATATATGTGATTGGGCTCAAGCAGGTCCTGAAGGCACAAGTAAGTCCACTCACAAAGGCTGACCTGGCTATGGCCACCGCTGAGTGCCCAATTTGCCAGCAGCAGAGACCAACTCTGAGCCCTCAATATAGTACCACTCCTCGGGAAGATCAGCCAGCTACCTGGTGGCAGGTTGATTATATTGACCTCTTCCATCATGGGAAGGGCAGAGGTTTGTCCTCACTGGAAAAGACACTTACTCCAAATATGGGTTTGCCTATCCTGCATACAATGCTTCTGTCAAGGCTACCATCCGTGGACTCAGGGAATGCCTTATCCACCATCATGTTATTCCACACACTATTGCCTCTGACCAAGGCACTCATTTTATAGCTAAAGAAGTGTGGCAGTGGGTTCATGCTCATGGGATTCACTGGTCATACCATGTTCCCCATCATCCTGAAGAAGGTGGATTGATAGAACAGTGGAAAGGCCTTTTGAAGTCACAATTACAATGCCAATGAAGTGACAACATTTGCAGGGCTGGGATAGAGTTCTCCAGAAGACTGCGTATGCTGTGAATTAGTGTCCAATACATGATACTTTTTGTCCCATGGCCAGGATTCACAAGTCCAGAAATCAAGGGGTGGAAGTGGAAGTGACACCATTCACCATCACCCCTAGTGATCCACTAGCAAAATTTTTGCTTCCTGATCCCACGACATTAGTTTTGCTGGCGTAGAGGTCTTAGTTCCAGAGGGAGGAACGCTGCCATCAGGAGACACAACAACTCCATTAAACTTGAAGTTAAGATTGCCACCTGGTCACTTTGGGCTCCTCCTACCTTTAAGTCAACAGGCTAAGAAGGGACTTACAGTGTTGGCTGGAGTGATTGACCTGAACTATCAAGATGAAATCAGTCTACCACTCCAGAATGGAGGTAAGGAAGAGTATGCATGGAATACAGGAGACCATTAGGGTGTCTCTTAGTATTACCATGCCCATGCCCTGTGATTAAGGTCAATGGGAAACTACTATGGTCCAATCCAGGCAGGATTACAAATGACTCAGAACTAATGGGATATATATATACATATATATATTCATACATATTCTATTATATATATATTCTATTAGTTCAGTCCCTCTACAGAAACCTAATATAAAAACATATGATTATGTTCCACAATGCTGTTTGGCACCATTATGAGCTGCCCAGCCCAGAACAATGGCTGGTGAATGGTAGCCTTTATTGTGACAATCCTGCAATTTGACCTATTTTGTAAGTGGTAGGGCAAATGGTCAGAAATCCCATATGTACAGCCTCCATGGCCCTATAACAAAACCTAATAATTGCCCCAAAAGAAAGTCCAAAGGCAGAACTAGATATTACACATGACCCTTTTCAAGGGCTACCTGTCTCTCAGGATGAACAGCAACCTCTTCCATATAGCCCCTTGCCAAGTGCACTTGAGGCTACAACTTAAACACTGGAGACCCTACTAAGTCCCCCTCACACTCAGAGAGAAACACCATATTTAACTCTCCCTCCAGCCCTGCTACCCCTTAGGGAAGTAGCAGGAGCTGAAGGGCCAGTCCTAGTGCAGGTCCCTTTCTCTATAACTTATATACAGCAATGTAAGGAAAAGCTAGGAAACTATTCCAAGAATCCCAGGAAATTCACAGATGGGCTCCAAACTTGACCTTAGCCTTTGATCCCTCATGGAGAGATGTTCAATTCATTCTAGCAACCTGTTGCACCCCCCCTTTAAAAGGAATGAATCATTGAGACTGCCCACCGGGAAGTGGAAGACTTATGTCTGAAACCCTCAGGGTAACCTCCTGGGCTGAGACATAGTCTCCACTACTGATCCTAATCGGGACTATAACAGATCCATGGAAATGAACAAGTGGGCTAAATTTCTTGAGGCTCCTTGGAGGAATGAAAAAGGAAACTAACCACCAACCCCAAATCAGGCCACGAGATATGGTACTTGTTAAAACATGGAAGGAGGGATCACCTGCTCAACAACTGCAACCCAAATGGAAGGGACAATTTTCAGTGGTACTGGCCATGACTTCTGCAGTGAAAGCACTGGGATTAGATAGTTGAATACATCTTTCAAGGATCAAGTCTGCTATACCTGAAGTCTCAGACCTGGAACCTGGAAGTTCCCATAAGCCACCACACCTGTGAACCTGTAGAAGACCTGAAGTACCTTTTAGAAGACAGCCAGAAGATAAATAAATGCCTGCCAACTTTCCTTGGTGTTTTTGTTGCATAGTTACTGTAGGCTGGATAATAGTAGCCATGCTTTTATATTTTTTGCAGTTTAATTGCCTTCTTTAGATCGATTCAAATCACTTCCTTTGTAGTAATTAAGCAGAATGTTTTAATTCATTCCTATAACAAACATTCCTTACAGCATAGGTATCCACCCCGTGAAGTCCTCATTAAATCTTTTTATAAAATTCACTTCCTCTCACCTAGAGACTATCAAGGTTCAGATGATCAACTGACTAGGTTTCCAGCCAGTTCCAAATGAAGACAACACCCCCAGCCATCAAGAATCTGCCTTGTCTCCACTTGAAAGAGCAGGATAAGTTCCGTGCTCCCCAATAGGTAGGGACTGTGCCCCATGTCAGTACGAAGTAGTCCCTCTTCTTCCCATCAGTCCCTCTGCCTCCCACAAAGATTTATGGGGATTATTTCTCTTAGTGAGGAAATGAAGCAGGAAAATAGGGTCTGGAGGCAGAGAACCTAAGGCTGATTCATGCTAATTGGATATCAGCAGCTACTCACCTTTTAATCCCTCCTTTTTCTGGGCGGCAATGAAATGAAAGTACCTCTGATTGGTCCCTTCCCACAACCAATCAGTTTGGTTGCAGGCCTACTCTTCATTCTGGTTGGTTCCCTCCTGCAATAAATTAGCCTGGCTGTGGGCCAATGGGAAACCTCTAGGTTTAGGTTTCCTAGGTGGATATTCGAAGCCCGAAAAATGCTGTAACCAGTGTTGTTTGGCCACTTGCTCAAGCCTGCTCCCACCCTGTGGAGTGTACTTTCACTTAAAACAAGATTCTGCTTTTGCTGCCTTGCTTTGTTTGTGTGTTTCATCCAGTTCTTTGTTCAAACCACCAAGAACCTGCCCTTGCTTTCTTTTGCATTTTGTCCAATTCTTTGTTCAAAATGCCAAGAGTCTGGACAACTACCCTCAACTGGTAGTTGGGCAACTGGACAACTACCGTCAACAGTAACACTAGGGCTGTGATGACAATCTAATATTAGAGTAAATAGATGATTATAATAATTGTTAATATTAAACAAGGGTTTTCAGTATGCCAGGCATGTGGTAAGCCATGAACAGACACATAGACACACTCACACACATCCTCATTTAACTCTCACAACAATACTACTTTCCATGTAGAAAGTTTTTTGTTTGTTTGTTTGGTTTGTTTGTTTGTTTTTTGAGACGGAGTCTCGCTCTGTCGCCCAGGCTGGAGTGCAGTGGCACGATCTCGGCTCACTGCAAGCTCCGTCTCCTGGGTTCACGCCATTCTCCTGCCTCAGCCCCCCAAGTAGGTGGGACTACAGGTGCCTGCCACCACGCCCTGCTAATTTTCCATGTAGAAAGTTTTGAACAAAGTTATTGGTGTGTTTTATCTTTCCTACTCCATTGAAAACTATTTGAGAATAAAGACTCTACTTTTTACATAACAGAGGCTTAGCAAATGTCTGAATGAATAAATATCCTTATATTTCCACATAAGAACCTACATTGCATAGAAAAATGTAAATGAAGAATTTTTTTTTTTTTTTTGAGGCAGAGTCTCGCTCTGTCGCCCAGGCTGGAGTGCAGTGGCGCCATCGTGCTCACTGCAAGCTCCGCCTCCCTGGTTCACTCCATTCTCCTGCCTCAGCCTCCCGAGTAGCTGGGACTACAGGCGCCCGCCACCACACCTGGCTAATTTTTTGTATTTCTAGTAGAGACGGGGTTTCACCATGTTAGCCAGGATGGTCTCCATCTCCTGACCTCGTGATCCACCCGCCTCGGCCTCCCAATGTGCTAGGATTACAGGCGTGAGCCACCGCGCCCGGCCAAGAATTTTATGATTTATTCATAATAATTAATTTTTCTTCTCATTCTGTCTGCTACATGGTTCAGTAGTGTTGTGTGTATTCATATTGTTGGGCACGGAGCGCCAGAATTTTTTTCTATCTTGGAAAATGGGAACTCTCTACTCATAAAATAACAATTCCTATTTCAACCTTTCCTCCACCCTGGGCAACCACAATTCTGCTTTCTGTTTCTATGAATTTGAATCATTTAGACACTTCATTATCATTATTTTTGATTGCTCAATATTTATTAAATGCTTCAGATAGTGGCAGTGGAAAAAGTATGTTAAAAGATGTATGCTTTATGTTGGACACATGCAAATCTCACTTTCACTGCCCCCATCCCCCTTCCAAAACATACACGCGTGAGAGAAACAGAGGTAAAAATTTATTGTAGAAATCAGCAACCTAATTTAAAGCTGAAAGCAATCTTACCTTGGGTAACAGAAAAAAAAAAAAAAAAGGTAACCTTCTCTTTGAAACATAAATCACTCCTGAAAGGACCATGTGGGAATTCCTAGAATTCCTCTCTTTCTATTTTTGACTCTTGTAGAAGAGGTTGAAAACAGAAGCATGATTGGAATATTAGGAGCCTTTTCCTCTTGGTAATCATTAAAAAAGGAAAGTCTGAAAGAAACTTCTAATTTCCCCTATAGCTGTGTAAACTCCAGTTAAATATAAATTGTTTTGTTCTCTCTCGATTGTTACATTTATATTTCTTGAGGTCAAAGTGACTTTCCATAGTCATAAACAGATTCTACTTTGTAACCCCACTTTAACTATCAAAGTACCCGAAAAAGCATCAAACTGTGCATTAAGACAATATCCAGGTGACAGAGAGAAACCATAAAAGGATTTAGGCTAGGAGTAAAAATATTATCCTTTGGGAGCCCTACATGAGACCTAGAAATAATATCCTGTTTGTTTGGGCCAAACTTTTCAAAGAGTTTTAATCCTTCTAAAAATCCACATGTATTACCTTAGGATGCAGCTTCAGCCATGTATGTAAAAACATAGGTGTGAAGTGTCTGTAGGGCCTTACACCTCTGGGCCTATAGTTGAAAACAACCTTCTCTAGTTTTTCCTTTATTTTTGTCATTTCTGTCTTAAATAGATTCCACATGTTTTTTTTTTCTTATTTACTTATTTAACTTGTATTTACTAAGTGCCTTCTATGGTCGTTACCTCTATTAGGTAAGGTTCCAGCACTGTGAATTCAAAATTGAACAAGATGCACAATGTCCCTGCCTTCACGAAGCTTTGGTCGGCCTATTATTTGATCATCATAAGACTTAGGAACGTAAACATATAAGATTGAATGGGATCCTTAGAAATTACGTAGTCAGTTATTTCCCTACCTAAAGAGATAATTTACTCAGATTTGGTTGTTATGCCTGAAGAATTTCAGTCACAAAATTTCTCCAGCTTTCACGTTGATGTTCTTGTATGTAATAAAAATATATAGGTGGAATATTTCTCATGCAAACCAAGGTAGGTGATCCGTGATAGTAGAGTTGCTAAGCATAATAAAGGATGCCTAGTTATATTAAAATTTTTATATAAGTTTGTCAAAATATTGCATGGGATACACTTATACTAAAATATTATTTGTCAGTTTTCTGAAATTCAAATTTAATTGCAAATCCTTTAATTTTTTTGTTTTGCTTTGTTTTTGTTTTTTGCTAAATGAGGCAGCTCTATGCAGTAGGGAAAGAAGGAAGGACAGGCAAAGCTCATTTGAAGTATGAGATTAACTAATTAATTATATAACAAAATAATTAAATGGAGATCTAATGCTAATGATTTTGGATTATGGTACCATTAGCAATACACTTTGGAACTCCCTCCTAGCCAATTCTCTTTGTATAGGGATGGCACTGGAATAAGCTGTGCATTGTTGGGCCTACAACACAATTTGTATTGTAGATTCTCAGATAAAAACAAATGATTTGTGCTGCTTACTTTTAGAAAAGCCATATGTTTTAATTGGGGACGGGGATGGGGGCTTCTGGGAATCCTTATATTTCCATGGCCTCTCCTCTAAGCTGTGAGACCACATAAGAGCATAATTTATTCTACATTGTGATGACTATACTTTAATTTTTATTGTGCTGTTTCATAAGCTCTTTTGGAGTAAGATGAAACAGAGAGAAATTTTCCTAATATCTCTATAGTTTATGTTGTATGTGTTAGAGTTTTTAGAGAATAGAAATAATTGTGCAGTAAACTTCACTGCAGCCGAGTCCAGGCCTATGTTTCTTACCACCCTCAACCAAGTATGCAGCACGATGCTCTCTAAATATTGTATGATGGTATGAAAAGAATTATCTCCCAAATGCCTTATGCTCTTCATCCCAGCTAAAAAGTACAAATTCTAAGATTTTCATAAAGGCTCCTCATAACTTCTATGCATATAAAGGAAAAGTCTGGAAAAAATATATATATAATACACATTGCTTATCTTGAGATCTTTCATTATTTCAAAGTAAGAAAATTAGGAATATTTTTAATAAATTTCCCAGAGAAATAAATATATCAAGTATTTGTTTTGCATTATCTCTCTAGATAAAAATGTATATATTTGGTTGAAAGTAATTTACTTGTTGGGTTACAGCACTTCTTGTGATAACACAAAATCCAAACTGATCATTTAATATTGTGCTTCTCAATTTCAAAATGCTTAATATTCATTATGAGGTCTATTATATTAAAAAAGGTAACTTGGTGCTATTGATCCTAAATGGATTCAATGAGTATTCTACATAGAAAGTTCTAGATCCTATATACAACACTGTTACTTTTTTCAGTGAAGAAATGAGCACCCAGAGAGGTTAAGTAGCTTGTCCCAGATCACATCACTGGAATTAAAGCTTTAACCTGATTATCTTCATTCCGAGTCCTCCACTCTGTTTATTACCTCTCCATGTTTTTCTCTCAAATTCAAGAATTTGGGTAAATATGAAAATATGTAAATATGCCCAGAAAGGACAAAGCATATAGGTTTTTATACTAGCATTTAAACAAGCAGCTGAAAAGTTTACATTCTTTATTTTTTTCTTTTTAGCAGTTCACATAATGAATTTCAAGGAAGCATTTACTTTCTTACGAAGTAGAAATAGTTCCCTCATTCCTTTAAACTGTCTTGGACATTGCCTAAATGGCTTTCATGAGGTGAGAACAATGTAGGTTCTCAATTTGACACGCTGGTAGGGTTACCATCTGAGTTTCCTCTGGAAAGTCTGAGAATAAAACGTCTAGACTGATTTTCAATGCAGAAGCTCAAACTTCAAGAAAGTTGGGGCAGTCACAGCAGCCTGAGGATATGGAATAAGCCCAGCTGGGGCATGCATAGTCACACTGTTTCCATCAGATTAAACACCAATTCCAGCTTTTTCTCTCTCCTGCCAGAATAAGAATCAACTCATTCTTCCCATGCTACCTCCTCAGCAAAACCTCTTTCTTTTTTCAGTTTATTTCTGGTCCTGTCATGGTTCTACTTTCAACCAGATTTCTTCCCTTCTTCTCTCACTGAATTTTTGGCTAAATTTTGGAACATATTCTTTGTTAAACCTCATTTGCTTTTTAACTCTGAATGGGTAAGCAGAGTGGATACTTATTTTTTATTTATTTATTTATGCCATAAATACTAAATACTCATTGCACATAATACATAAATCAAAACAGGGATGAAGGTCACTCATTGCACAACCTCAGTTAGTATCACCCACATAGTGGCCCTACTGGAAGCAGCTGGAAGAGCTTAGACATCCTGACAGGCTCTGTAGCCTAGATGTTAGGGTTGGCTTTCCTATCCCTGTTCTCTGAGTACTAAATCAGGGAGCCCTGTCATATCATAGAAGAATGTAGCATTTTATATTTGGTGGGACCGAACTCATGACTGTACCCATTTTTTTCTCCAAACAACAGTGTTTCCTGGAGTTAAGGCATAAAACATAGCATCTTTAAGAAATCCTGGTGGTCAGGTGGCCAAGGTGGAGCATTTAAATTTGATGAGGCTAACCCTGTCTAGACAAACGCCTGCTATGGATGTGGATATTACCCCTGGTTATTACTCATCATGCCCAGGCTGACTCAATAATAAAGAGCTGGCTGGGCAAGGTGGCTCACGCCTGCAATCCCAGCACTTTGGGAGGCCGATGTGGGTGGATCACCTGAGGTCAGGAGTTTGAGACCAGCCTGGCCAACATGGTGAAACCCCGTCTCTACTAAAAATACAAAAATTAGCTGGGCATGGTGGCAGCCGCCTGTCATCCTTTCTACTCAGGAGGCTGAGGCAGGAGAATCGCTTGAACCCAGGAGGTAGAGGTTGTAGTGAGCCGACATCGTGCCACTGCACTCCAGCCTGGGCGACAAGAGCGAGACTCTGTCTCAAAATAAATAAATAAATAAAATAATAATAATAATAATAAAGAGCTAAGAAAACAGCCCACAACAGGGACTATAATGCATAAACCTATGACAAAGGTAGATACATCTAGTAAGGCTGAGATCCAACCATGAGACTGAGGGGTTCCTCTGGTGGAGTCTGGGGGAACCAAGGAATATTTCTTGACCTGGGAGACATGTGAATGCATACAAGGATGGACATATGCGGCTACCAGAGAGTTCAAAGGTGATTCCCAAATGTCTCCTTATTTCATCTGCTTCTGTTTTTACCATTTCTACAGGAGTCCAGGCACCATGCTCTGGACTTTAGCAGTAGAATTCTAATTGGTCTCTCTTCCCTACTTCCACTCTGTTCTCCACCTTGCAGCCAAAGTGATTCTTTAAAAAACAAAGAGCATACAAGTTTGATCATGTAATACATATTTTTCATCATTCTTAAATGTTTTTCCATTTTAAGCTAGGGCAAACTTCCTAAGGGGTCTTCCATGGAGGGACTCTTAATTCATCACTTCTCACAGACTTTTCCACGTTCTAGCCAGTCTCACCACCAAACTGATCTTCTTTCAGGCCCTACTACTTACCAGACTTCCTCCTGACACAGAATATTTATATATCTGGTTCCTTTTGGCTAGAATGCTCTTCCCTATAACCCTGACTAGTCAACTGCAACTCAACCACTAGCTTCAGCTCAGGTTTATCTTCCCTGGGAAAACTTTTTCCTAATCTCTGATTAGGTCAAATCCCGATGTAGTTTTCTTGCACTTCTGCTTGACAACATTTACCACAATTATAATTTTTCTCCTCCTTATGTCATTATTTAATACACATCTGTCACTCCTACCAGACTGCAATGTCCATGAAGGCAATTAGTGGCATCTTTTTCATACAAAGGGGAACATTTTGTATACCAAGCACCCAGCACAGAGCTCAAATTGGTCACTTTCCATATATCTGTTGAATGAGTAAGTGGGACTCTTAAGAAGTGGAACCCGTCTGTTTCTAGCTGTTTCTTTTAATGGACATTTATTGGGCTCTTAATACTTAGCAGTCAGAAGTTCTAGGATCTTCAGGTGTCTGTGTGAGGAGTCAAGCCAAATAAGGTGAGAACTATAAAGTGGAGGGCTTTGCACACTTGATGATGGTGACCTCAAACTGATGACAGAAGTAGCCAATGTTCCCACCACCATAGTTTCTCCCACAGGCTTCAGATTTGAAACAATTTCTGTGTTCCACCAAGATCACCACATATATTAACTAAAAATTAAATTGCTGTTTTTTTTCAAAATCACAAATAGCCAGTTGAAGTTGTTCTTCAGCATAAGATTACTGTGTTACCATACTATGTTGATATTCTTGCAACTAAAACAAGGATGTGAATATAACTGATTAATGTGAGACTTCAAAATTTATTAGAATTAACTATTGATGTTTATATATTTTTGCACAGATGATGCTTTTTTAGCTAATTGATTGATTTCATCTTTTAATTGCCAAATAAAAATCATATATATTTGTGGTGTACATCACAGCATTTTCATATATGTATACATTGTAGAATAGCTAGATAAAAGTAATGAACATATCTGGATTTTTATTTTTGCCTTTGAGAACTGCTAGAAATTTAGGCTTCTCCACTTGGAAACCACTTCTCCAGCTGGAAACCTATGACAAAGGCAGATATATCTGAGATCCAACCATGAGATGGAGGGGTTCCTCTGTCTGTCTTTAAATCCCAAAAAAATAGGGCAATAGAATTGGGGTGTGGGGGTGACCTTCATCTCCTCTCTGCAGTTTCTGTCTTCCTCTGATAAGATTGTAACCTGGAATATTTGGTCCTACAGGCTACAGTTAGTCATATTATTAGTGTAAGGCTGTAGCCTGACAGTGCTTTAGGCAAAAGCACCCAGTGGAAGTTGAAGTAGATAGTGGTCCATGCCTTCACTCAGAAGAGATTTTTCAAAACCGCAATATTGCCAATTTTACCCTTTTCTTAAAGTTGTAAAATGGTATTGCAATCTGAGGGCTACATTTAGTAATAATTCCAGACACACATGGCTGGTTTCCTAAAGCCAAATAAGTATTTAGATAATAGAAAGTACAAAAGGTCAAGTGCAGGCCTGCCAAAGCTTGATGGCAATGCATGTATTCAGAAAAAGAAACTGATTTTTTTTTATTTTACTTTGAGACAGTATCTTTGAAATCTTCACTTGCAATAAAATAATAGCATATCATCTTCATGGAATGCAAAGAATAATTAAAACCTGACCTTGACTTACATTACAGGAGTTGGGTGAAAATAAATGAAATTTTATATATAAAAGTGCTTTGAACTTTTAGGAGGAAGGCTGTATACAAAAATCTAAGGAATACTAATCCTAGGTGTTCCTATAAGTAAAAAATTATATTTAAATCACATGTAATACTTCTTTTTCATAAAAATCTGAACTAATTCTGGCTGGAAATTGATCAGATTCAACCCAGTCAGGGAAACACTGCCATTGGTACCGTCTAAAATGCTGGTGTGACAGGTAGGCATAAAAATCTTGTGCTGACTACAGCGAAAACTGAGACAGTGGCTGAGCGGTTCACTTAAGGTGAGTCAACAGTAGAATTTCTCTGCTCAGATGCCTTTTGAATTAAGTGAAAAATAGCGCAATTATACTTGTCTCCAGAACAACCTCTAATACCATTCTCCTGCATCATTCAAGCTACACCCACCATTAAATTGCTCTTTAAAACCACTAAACTGCAGTCCTGTCTAAAGGTTAATGATGCAAATCTATAATATAACATTCATAAACTGTTTCAGAAAGAGGAAGTTAAGTTTTAACTGGCAAGCAGAAATAATATTCACAATATTGTTGTAAGTGCAAATAATATTCACAATATTGTAAGTACATGGAGCACAAGCAACAAAGGATATCCATTCATTTTTTAGTAAGACCAATTGATGCAAAGCTATGCTATGATTCAGGACTGTCTTTTCCTTTAATCTGATATTTAGACATTAGTGACAGTAACAGCACTTTTTATGATCAGGTTTTGTCTACCTATAGCTTTGGATGAAGTGTCCAGAAATAGCCCCTCCTGAATCTTTGAGAAGTGGAAATGGAGACGGTGAGAGGAATAAGAAACCCCTCTCCCTTCAGACCACCTGGACTCCCAATACAGCATCCAATGCAGGATCTACTTCTGGCCAATAGGTTGGTGAGCCAGTAGAAAATGAGAAGCCCAAGGGAGGCCACAGCTCTGAGACCTGTGCCAACTCTCTCTGACCACACTGTTTCCAATGGTTAAGGGGCACCTAGACGCTGTTGCTCAGGAATGTAAAATGAGGACTTACCAGTCTATTTGCGGATCCGCAGAAATATTTTTGGTTGGGTTTTCTGAATATTGATGACAGAAAATAATCAGCGGGAAGTCCCTTATTAAAGCATGAGCCATTTTCCAAACATGTGAAGTTTTAATGGCCGAAATAAAACATATTTTTCTTCTTTGTCCCTACCTAGCAAAAAGAAAGATCTCTGAGGTTCATGGGCAAGAGGCTAGGTGAACCCCTGTTTCTCCTAATTTGTGTAGAAGCTCCTTATTCTGTAAGGGTGAGGATGGAAGGGAACTAAAAATTGTGACTTTCCTGACAACTTCACGAGAAGTCGAAACATACTCTAATAAATACAAATGATTAGGAAAAAAAACAAAGAAAAAATGTGGTTATGTTTATGATCACCTAGAATATATTTCCCAGGGCTTAAGCAGTGGTTCCTGCCTACATTTGACCTTTTAGGGTGTGTACATAAACAGGGGTTAGTTTAGGAAGGAAACAGAAGCTTACCTGTTCCCTAGTGATTTACATGAATGAATAAACCAAAACAAACTTGCAATTTAAAAAAATAGCCAAAAGCTACATTCACATTTGTCTGGGAATTCATGTTGGGGAATGACTTTTTTGGAATTGTAACAATGAAATGGTAACATTTTGATCATTTTAATCATCATTCATAAATCTCGCACAGTTTTGCCAAAGCAAATATACTTGTTTTGAGTTAAAATGTACCAAATTTGTACTGTGAAATACTGTTTTCCTTTTTTCAAGAAGCCAGATAATCAACACTCAGGAATTTGAACACAACAAAGTGTACCCTGAGCTTCAGCTCTAAAACTATTTTATGTCTAAAAATGATGGATTTCATTTGCCTCCCAGAGTTAACAAATGTTAGCAATTGCTATATTTGCTTCTTTATTAAAATAAATAAAATGTGTAGCTATTGCTGATGCATCTCTCCACATCTTATTCCCTTTCCTCTCTCCCTAAAGAAAACCAGAAGGCCACTGAGTCAAACACAATGCTAAGAGAGGCAAGCTGTGCACTGTAGACCCCAGTTGTTCAATGGGGCAGCCCAATAGCCGCTATGTAAAGTGTCTGCCTTTGGTTTTGACCACTCATTATGTGTGTTTGTATCTTTACACAATTTCATTATTGTTTTCAGTGCTTTAAAAATGTCTACAAGGACACAAAACTGTAAATGTTCTTCTATATATTGTATTATTCTTATTCCAGGTTAAACTAGAGTTGGTAGCTGTCTGCCCATTAACTATTTGCTCTCCATTCCTTGTTAACAGAGCTCCAGTTTTCTTGAGATACAATAGGTACATCCTTTCAGGGAGGAGAGCCTATTTCCATGTCAAGTGTAAATTCTAATTTGTCTAAGCAACCATGGTAATCTTACTCATTTCCTGTGAGTGAATTATGCAGGGCATGCAATGTAATTACAGTCAATGAAACAGGCAGAATGCTACTGGTAGGTTTCTGAGAAAGATTTCTTATTCTTGAAAGCACACAAATAAATGGCTTCATTTTCTGCTGGATGCTGTCATATTTGAATATGAGACCCAGAATTGTGCAGCTGTCTTGCTGCATTGAGAAAATTGGCCTGAAGATAAGTCCACGTAATATGGATGGCAGAGCAGAAATACAGGCAAAACAGGGAGAGGCTATCTTAATCAATCTTCAAGCCATAGCACCTCAGCCTTCTTTACAGATGAGTTCATGCATTTCTTTTTTTGTTACTTTCAGCAAAAAGCATCTATGGAGTTTTGTTGTTGTTGTTGCTGTTGTTGTTGTTGTTTTGATGTTGGGAAATACAGTTTTCTTTAATCACTTTAGTCACTAAATAGTTCCACTGTGCAAACATTTATCCATTTCCATGCTAATGGACATCTCAATTATTTTAAGTTTTTTATGTTACTAACAATGTTACATCCGATATCCTAGCTCATGTCTCCTTATAAGTATTATAAAACTAGAATTGTTGTGTATGTGAGATATACACATCTTTGCCTTATTAGATATTTCAAAATTGGTCTTCAAAGAATCTCAAGCAGTTTACACTAAAAAGAACTTGAAACAATTTTTATTGCAGCAGTATACACCAGTATCTCTTTCTCAACATTGTTGCCAATATTTGGTATTTTCAGACTTAATTTTGCCTTCATGATGAAATGGTGTCTTCCTGTTGCTTTCATTTACATTTCTATATTTGCAAGTAAAGTTGAGAAACTTTAAATATATTTATTAGCCATTGAGGTTTCCTTTTTAATTAATTATTTCTCTAAGTCATTCATTAGTTTTCCATGGGACTGTTTGTTTTCTTGTTAGCTTTTAGAATTATTTTATATTCTGGATTTTAATGGTTTCTCAGTTATATGTACTATAATGTCTTCTCCTGGTGTATTACTTACCTTTTATTTATGGCACCTTTTGAGACACAGGCATTTTATATTGAATGTAGTCAAATTTATCAGTTGTTTCACTTATAACTTGTCCTTATTTCCTCTTTAAAAATTTTTTCTTAATTCTTTCCCATGAGTATATAATAATATGAACCTAAATTTTCTTCAAAATTATAAAGTTTTGCTTTCATATTCCATTAAGTTTTTTATATATTTAGTCATCTTTGTTTTGCTACTGTCATTAATGAAGTGGGGACTTCATCTTTGTTTTGCTACTGTCATTAATGAAGTGGAGACTTCTAAGACTTTTTATTGTAGAAATAAGTTGCATCAGTTAAGGTCCAGTCAGAAAAGAGATACCATGTTAGGTATTCCAGGGAGCAAATTTAACATAAAGAATTGGTTTCACAGGCATTGAAGGAGTGAAAGGACAAAAGAAGAACATTTTTTTTAACCCAGAGATAATAACATAAGGAAGTAGACACTAGCCTCAGTCTGAGAGAAAAGAAGGGAAGATTCTAAAGTTACCAGAGTCTAAAATCTCAGAGGAATCCCTTGCAGAGTTAGTGCTCAGATCTTTAAGAAAGCAGCATCACCAGGTTCCTGCTGGGACCTCTGATGGGTAAGATGAGGCTGGCTCTGGAAGCAGTGAAAGAACCCAAAAGCTGGAGTAAACTGTGGCTTCTGGGCTGAACTACTACTGCTCATATGAATTGTTATTGTTAAGGCAATGCTAATAAGAAATCAAGAAAAAACCACAAAGTTCTCTCCTCTCTGCTTTCCAATCTACCTTTGCAATCTACCTTTGCAATATTGCCTCATATTGGCAGAACTCAAGAGGAAGCCAGCTAGAAAGGAATCTGGCAAATATAAATTGCAATTTCCTAATCACAGCTTTACTGAGTATAGTAAAAAGGGTGGATTTGTATCCAAGAGACAATATAGATGAATAACCAGCATAGGAATGCAAAAGGACATGCAACCTGATCCACATGGGTGAGGAAGAACATAGTAAATGTCCATTGTTTTTTAAAGAGAGAAAAAATATTCAACTTTGCCAATATTTAAAAAGGTTAATTTAGAGATTTTATACTGGTGCCCTCACTCAACCGGTATAGTGTTGAGTTTAAAGTGTTGAGTTTAAAGATAAGCTAAACACTTTTGCCAAAATACACATCCTGAACTTGACCTTAGATATGAGTTAACAGTTACTGTCAACAGTATGCTACCTAGTAGATATATTTTATGATAAACACAATTAGCTTGACCCTTTGCAATTAATTTGGCTCTTACAGATAAAGCTGACATTTCAGCAGTAAGTGAGAAAGAATCAGCTCTCCAATAGTCACCGCTTTTATGAAGAGGATGGGGGTGGAAAGAGAAGAGGAACATTCCATTATGTGACTTGCTAACAAAAGTAATATATACATTAATTATCAACTGTATATATAATAATCTTGAAATTAAAATATTCTAGTCTGAATATTTTCCAAATGATTCAGTGTATTTTGAACCTTTCATTTGGAAAATGTTTAATCTAGAATATTTTAATTTAAAAATTATTATTTTCTAAAAATATAAAAATAGGTCACTTTTTTTTTTGGTGCCAGACTGTTTTTTGTTTTTTTTTTTTTTTTTTTTTTTTTTTTTTTTTTTTACTGTACTTTAAGTTTTAGGGTACATGTTCACAACTTGCAGGTTAGTTACATATGTATACATGTGCCATGTTGGTGTGCTGCCCCCATTAACTCATCATTTACATTAGGTATATCTCCTAATGTTATCCCTCTCCACTCATTCCACCCCACAACAGGCCCCGGTGTGTGATGTTCCCCTTCCTGTGTCCAAGTGTTCTCATTGTTCAATTCCCACCTGTGAGTGAGAAAATGTAGTGTTTGGTTTTTTGTCCTCGTGATAGTTTGCTGAGAATGATGGTTTCCAGCTTCATCCATGTCCCTACAAAGGACATGAACTCATCTTTTTTATGGCTGCATAGTATTCCATGGTGTATATGTGCCACATTTTCTTAATCCAGTCTATCATTGATGGACATTTGGGTTGGTTCCAAGTCTTTTCTATTGTGAATGGTGCTGCAATAAACATACGTGTTCATGTGTCTTTATAGCAAAATGATTTATTATTCTTTGGGTATATATCCAATAATGGGATGGCTGGGTCAAATGGTATTTCTAGTTCTAGATCCTTGAGGAATCGCCACACTGTCTTCCACAATGGTTGAATTAGTTTACCATCCCACCAATGTGTAAAAGTGTTCCTATTTCTCCAAATCCTCTCCAGCACCTGTTGTTTCCTGACTTTTTAATGATCACCATTCTGGTGTGAGATGGTATTTCATTGTGGTTTTGATTTGCATTTCTCTGATGGCCAGTGATGATGAGCATTTTTTCATGTGTCTGTTGGCTTCATAAATGTCTTCTTTTGATAAGTGTCTGTTCATATCCTTTACCTACTTTTTGATGGGGTTGTTTGTTTTTTTCTTGTAAATTTGTTTGAGTTCTTTGTAGATTCTGGATATTAGCCCTTTGTCAGATGAGTAGATTGCAAAAATTTTTTCCCATTCTGTAGGTTGCCTGTTCACTCTGATGGTAGTTTCTTTTGCTGTGCAGAAGCTCTTTAGTTTAATTAGATCCCATTTGTCAATTTTGGCTTTTGTTGCCATTGCTTTTGGTGTTTTAGTCATGAAGTCCTTGCCCATGCCTATGTCCTGAATGGTATTGCCTAGGTTTTCTTCTAGGGTTTTTATGGTTTTAGGTCTAACATTTAAGTCTTTAATCCATCTTGATTTAATTTTTGTATAAGGTGTAAGGAAGGGATCCAGTTTCAGCTTTCTACCTATGGCTAGCCACTTTTCCCAGCACCATTTATTAAATAGGGAATCCTTTCCCCATGTCTTGTTTTTGTCAGGTTTGTCAAAGATCAGATGGTTTTAGATGTGTAGTATTATTTCTGAGGGCTCTGCTCTGTTCCATTGGTCTATATCTCTGTTTTGGTCCCAGTACCATGCTGTTTTGGTTACTGTAGCCTTGTAGTATAGTTTGAAGTCACATAGCGTGATGCCTCCAGCTTTGTTCTTTTGGCTTAGGATTGACTTGGCAACGCAGGCTCTTTTATGGTTCCATATGAACTTTAAAGCAGTTTTTTCCAATTCTGTGAAGAAAGTCATTGGTAGCTTGATGGGGATGGCATTGAATCTATAAATTACCTTGGGCAGTATGGCCATTTTCCCGATATTGATTCTTCCTATCCATGAGCATGGAATGTTCTTCCATTTGTTTTTGTCCTCTTTTATTTCCTTGAGCAGTGGTTTGTAGTTCTCCTTGAAGAGGTCCTTCACATCCCTTGTAAGTTGGATTCCTAGGTATTTTATTCTCTTTGAAGCAATTGTGAATGGGAGTTCACTCATGATTTAAACAAAGAAAAATAGATCACTTTCTAATCACATTTCAGAAACAATAGATTGACATTAGAGAAGATGAAACTTTACTCACTGAATTTTGGCAAAAATTATTCACAATTGGTGGATGACAGTAAAAAGTGGATCTCAAGATATAATGGCAACCAATGATATTCTTGTTTTCATTTGAGACCTACAGGCTGTTAGTAATCTTTTTAAAACTAAAGCAGCTATTAGTACGGAATATAAAATAAGGTGAACTAAAACCAGGTTTTGAATCACTATAACATAAACTGTAAAACTAAGATTTATTTTTACAGTGAGGAATATTTACTTTCAACAAAATTTAAGTAAAAACAAAATAATTTTATATTGTTATTAATTAATATAAAATATGCATTTTAATTTGTCTTATTTTAATAATTCTTAGGTATATTTTAAATTTTTTATAGTTACATATTAGGTCAGTAGTATGTAGATGTATTTTGTGAACAAAAATTAATATAGTGGGTCTGTGTGAACAAATCTGGTTGTTTTTAACCTAATGAAGTATATAGTAGGGTGTACAATCAAAAGTGTCTTCATCCTCTACCTCCGTGTTAACCTTCCTAGCCTCTGGTAACCACCAATCTACTGTATCTTCACAAAATCCATTTTTTTAGCTCCCACTTATGTTTGAGAATATACAATATTTGTTTGTCATTCTGTGTTTGGCTTATTTTACTTAACGTAATGATGTCTAGCTCCACTGATGTTGCTGCAAATTATAAAATTTAATATTTTATGGCTGAATAATATTCCATTGTGTATATATAACACATTTTTTTAATCCATTCATTTGTTGATGGACACTTAGGTTGATTCCATATCTTAGCTATTGTGAATAGTGCTGCAATAAACATAGATGTGCAGATATCTCTTCAATATATTGATTTCCTTTCTTTTGGATGTATACCCAGTAGTGGAACTGCTGTAGCACTTGGCAGTTCTATTTTTAGTTTTTTGAGGAACCTCTATACTGTTTTCCATTCTGTACTAGTTTACTTTCTCACCAACAATGTACGGGGGTTCCCCTTTCTCCACAAGTTTGCCAGCATTCTTTATTCTCTATCTTTTTAATAAAAGCCATTTTAACTGGGGTGAGATGATAAGAGAATATGTAAACTCTAAAATTAAACTCGAATTTATTAGCAGAGTATGGGTTAAAGTTCATATATTTTCATGAGTTTTCAACTTTACTGCATGTTTGTTCTTAAGTGAGCAAGTCAGTCTACCCATTTAGGTGCTGAGGCTTAGAAAATGTTAGCCGAAAGTACCTTGAACTGAAGGAGATTGAGAGGGTCAAAGAATCGGGAAGATCACTTTGACTCTCTCCTGGTTTTTGTGTGAGAATTGACCATAAAGAAAGTTTCTGACTTATCTTGTCTGAAAGTAGATCATCCCAGAGGGATCCTGCCTCATACTCAGGAGGAAGGAATGCTACATGGAGAGACCAAGAAGAATCTGAACAAACAGGCCTTGCTAAGTTACTTCCAGTTTATTACCATTAGATCATATCCCTTTTATTCAGTCATCCTTTTACATGACTATCCATTCCTTACTGAACCTAAGCATAAAAATACACAGTTTTCTTTTAGTCTTTGGGTCTTTATTTCTGAAGCCTCCTATGGTCATGTAAAGTGTTGTCAAATATATTTGGTATGCTTTTATCTTGTTAACTTGTCTTTAATTACAGGTGTGTCCACCATGACCCTTGTGATGAGAGAGGAAAAGAAATTACCTTTTCTCCGCTACATAGATATCAACATCCTCATTTATGCTAACCCATTTGTGGCATTTATGCCAACCCGTTTGTGGCATAAATGATATCAAAAGACCCCTTCAAACCTCACATTTTGTATTACATAGAAAATTATTCTAAAATTAGGCATTTCAAACTCTTCCATTAAATTCTAGAGTTCCAGTGAGCTGATTTTCAGAGTTTGGTGACTGGCAGTATTCCCAGGGCCTGTGATAGACATGTAGGTTTTCTCCTGGTGCAGTTGAAATGACCCTCCAAAGCAAGACTCCACCACTGCTGTGAATTCCTGGGGCCTAGAAGAGGAACTTACAGGCTAATCCCTAAGCTTTTTTTGTTGTTGTTGTTTGTGTTTTGGTAGGGATGAGGCCTCACTATGTTGCCCAGGCTGGTCTTAAACTCCTGGCCCCAAATGGTACTCCTGCCTTGGCCTCTTAAAGTGTTGGGATTACAGGTGTAAGCCACCACACCCATCATCCTGAGTTTTAATGAATCATTTCAGAGTAACCTAGTATTTCCATCTGGGGCAGGCAGCATTTAGACCTGCTCTTCATATTACAGTGTGTGCTTTCTCCCACCTACTTCGTGTACAGACCACTTTGTTAGTCAGCTTACCTCTTTCCTCTACCATCCTTGGATTATCTCTTTGGCATTAAGGTTCGTACGCTTGAAAGATATAAATGTGGTCTTCCCTCCTTCTGGCTCCTCAAACTAACTATCCCCCAAGGGTTTCTTGAAAGAAGAATAATATGCCCATTTGGGATATGTTTGTTTTGTGTCTGCTCCTCCAGCAGCTAACTCTGCCCCAGTCCTGCAATGAGGATTTGGAGTCTAAGATATGAAAAGCAACCCATAAGAATTTTAGAGACTCATAAAGTTTGTAAACTAATGATCTTGGTCTTTCATTTTCTTTGGAAAGGTGGCAAACCAAAGTTGCATAGAGTCAGAAGGAATTTTTAAGACATAAGAAAATGCCTTTATTTAGGCTTTCATTCCTTGAAATGCTAGACAACTTGTCATTCTCCAGTAAAAAAAAAAAATCAAAAATGAAAAGGACTTCTGCATATTGGATGAAATGACCTTCAGAGGGGCAAAAACAAGATAATCTGATCCATGATAGAGGAAGAATGATATGGCCAGGAGGCAATGGCAGACAGCAACTGCTGTGAAGGGAGACAGGATTGACTGGGGACAGATCCAAGAAGACAAAAGAGAAACAACTCGCCAGGGAGTGGTTAAAAGTTCTTTCCTGTGCAATGCAGTGGAAAAAGCCAGAGGCACGAAGAGCTCAGAAGTCTATAAAAGAAATAAAGAAGAGCCAAGCAGAGCCAAACTCTGGGGCAGCCTGGGTGACAAATGATAGCTTGTTCCTAAATATCTCACCCTGTCACTTTAGTACTTGAAATGTCTACTATTAGTCATTTATTTGGGTGATGTTATCTCTAGAGTCAAATATCAGAAATTACATTAATTAAAGGGGAGACAGGAGGGGAAGTCATTGACAAGGAAATGTTAATTATTATTTCAGATTAGTTGATACTTTGGAAATCCAAGAGTGGAGTCCTAGGAGAACCTAGTACAGGAAGGCATATCCCTAGTCATTTACTGAAATACAAACTTACTTAGTTCTCCTTGTATCACTTATCACTCCCTGATAGTTTTTCTTTTCACCTTTTTATTCTTTCTCTTCCATTCTTTGACTCTTTCCACTAGTATCCATGAGCACAGAAACATACGTCTTGCTTACAGCTGCATGACCAGTGACTGGCATGTGGTCGAGCACATAGTAAGCTATCAAGAAATATGTGTTAACTGACTAGTGAATGGTTGAATGAATAAGTAAATGAATGAATAAATGAGGTAGTGGAAAAATGATGTAGGAAAAAAACCCAGAGATGGGTTTTTGTATGTGTGCAAAAGACAGGCATAAGTAAGGAGGTATGGTGCTGGGAACATGGCCAAGAAGAGAAAAGTGAGGAGTTTTGACACTTGGATACCTAAAGTTAGAAAATAAAGAGGATTATAAAAAATAAATTTTTCACTTTTACTCAACATTGGCCCTGGAAGTAAACATACTTACTGTGCTCTAATCTAAAGGGGTAAAACAACAACCAAAAGCTGTTACTATATTTCAGAACTATTAAGAGATCTTTGGAATGACACATCAGCAACACTACTTCTTTATTTGCTTGGGCTTTGATGAAAATATCCCATTTACTTTGTAAGAAATGTTACAGAACTGGGTGCTCTGAAATGCTGGTTTTTAAGTTACAGAAATAACAAGCATTTTGCTTAACTCTATGGTGGTCCTCGTTAAGCAAGTTCAGACATTGAATTCCAGTGAAACCTTCTCTATGAGCTTTGGTGGTTTATTTCATGACTGACTCCAAAGTTCATGTATAGAAAATAGACAAAAAGAACCCTTGATAAATTTAAAATTTAGTAGCTTCATTATTATTTTACTCCTTCAAGAAATGAGAACTGTTCAACATCACCAATCATCAGGGAAATGAAAATCAAAACCACAGTGAGATATCACCTCACTTCAATTAGAATGGCTATTATCAAAAAGGCAAAAGATAACAAGTGTTCCCAAGAACATGGAGGAAAGGGATCCTTTACTTACTATTGGTGAAAATGTAAATTAATACAGTCATTACAGAAAACAGTATGAAGGTTCCTCAAAACACTAAAAATAGAACTACCATATGATCCAGTCATGCACCTGAAGGATATATACCGAAAGGAAATTAAATCATATGTTGGAGAGATGTCTGCACTTCCATGTTTATTGCAGCATTATTCACAATAGCCAATATATGGAACCAAATTAAGTGTCCATCAGTGGATGAATGGATACAGAAAATGTGGTATATAAACACAATGAAATACTATTAAGCCATAAAAAAATTAAATTCTGTCATTTGCAAAAACAAGATTGAACTTGAGGGATATTAAGTTAAATGAAATAAACCAGACACAGAAAGACAAATACTGCGTGATCTCACCCATATGTGGAATCTAAAACAGCTGATTACATAGAATCAGAGTATATAATGGCTAAGGAGAGTGGGGGGAGGGGGAGGATGGAAAGCTGTTGGTCAATGGGTATAAAGTTACAGTTAGATAGGAGAGAAATAAGTTTTGGTGGCCTATTGTACAATAGGGTAACTGTAGTTGAAAACAATGCATTATATATTTCAAAATAGCTAGAAGAAGGGATTTTGAATATTCTCATTACAAAGAAATAATCAATTTACGAGGCGATTGATAGACTCTAGTTACCCAGATTTGACTATTTTACAATGAAGTATACATGTATAAGAGTATAGGAACATCACTGTAATCCCAGCACTCGGGAGGCCGAGGTAATCAGATCACCTGAGGTCAGGAGTTTGAGACCAGCCTGGCCATTATGGTGAAACACCGTCTCTACTAAAAATACAAAAATTAGCCAGGTGTAGTGGTGGGTGCTTGTAATTCCAGCTACTTGGGAGGCTGAGGCAGGAGAATAGCTTGAACCTGGGAGGCAGTGGTTGCAATGAGCCGAGATGGCGCCACTGCACTCCAGCCTGGGCGACAGAGTAAGACTCCATCTCAAAATAAATAAAAAAGGAGCATCACATTGTACCCGATAAAACTGTACAGTTATTATGTGTGTCAATTAAAAATAAAATAAAAACTTACAAAAAGGAAATGAGTAAAAAAAAAATCTAGCGTGGGAATAATTTGACTTGCCTATTTTACTTCCACAGAAATCGAATCAAGTCAAAGGGTTAGATAGTATAAATGGCCTTAAATGTTCCCCATCTTCTACAGCTATAAATTTGTTTGGTTCATTGCTGTGTTTTCTTGCCTTTTATTTTCCCTCTCCTCTCTTCCCCTTTTTAGTTTAGTTTAGTTTAGTTTAGTTTAGTTTAGTTTAGTTTAGTTTAGTTTAGTTTTGCATACTGGAAGTAAGAAAGCTGTGATAACTCAAAGGCACAATGAAGACCCTATACACAGCCTACCTGGCTGATCACCATTATTTTGAAGGGGAATTCTTGTGCTACCACCCATACTATTTCATCTTCAGAATTTCATTTCTGTTATTTCAGTGTTTCAAGGCTAATCAGTCACCATCTAATTGCAAGTGCCATCATCATCCAGGGCTACTGCCTAAAATTTTGTGAAAAAGTTAAGAAAGGGGAAAATAGTATTCATGTATTTGTGAAGGCAAGGTGAAGAAACCAAGGAAGATGTGGTTGGCCATTGTATTTTCTACTGTAATAAAAATGTTCCAGTGACAACTCAAAGATAAGGGCCTACTTACAGGGCCAAATACTCTCTTTTTTGTGTATTGTCATCACATTTACCAAGGTTATTGGAAGTGTATTGTAATTACTACACTTTGAAAAGGCCCACTGTCTCCAACTATGTGTATTTTACCCTATGTGAGAGAGACGTTCATTCTTAGGAATTGAGATTAGTCTTCCTTTATGGAAAGTTCACAACTGGTTTCAGTATTTCAAAAGGCACTTTACCAAAACAAGTCTTGGAAAGTAAAATGGAAAAAATTGTGTTTCTGTTTATTCATACTTCCAATTATTTATGTATACAGCTGGCCCCTAACTTATGATAGTGTGACTTTTGCTTTTTTGACTTCAAGATGATGCTAAAGCTATATGCACTCAGTACAGTATTCAATAAATTATAGGGGATATTCAACACTTTATTATAAAATGGGCTTTTTAAAGATTATTTTGTCCAACTATAGGCTAATGTAAGTGTTCTGAGAATGTTTAAGTTAGTCTAGCCTAAGTTATGATGTTCAGTAGGTCAAATGTATTAAATAAATTTCAAACTTTTGATGAATGTATCAGGATATATTTCCATTATAAATTGAGGAGCATCTATAATTAAAAGAAATATAAGTTTTAGTTATGCTATTGTTTGATGCGTTCCCTAAAGTTCATGTGTTGGAAATTTAAACACAAATGCAACAATGTTGAAAGGTAGGGCCTAATAAAAGGTGATTTGATCATGAGAGTTTTGCCTTCATGAATGAATTAATATCATTACTGTGGGAGATGGTCAGTTATTATAGAATGAGCTCCTGATAAAATGTATGAGTTCGACACCTCTCTTACTGGGTTTGTCACAGAGTGTCTGAGTGATATTTTAAAAATCCAAGTCAAATCATGTTTTCCTTTATTTAAACCATACTAATAGCTTCCAGTCTCAGCATGAAATGCAATCACTCCTCAAGACCAGGACCATTTACAACAACAGGATCTGACTCTCTGCTATCTCTCTCTCAACTCCAATCACATCCTCTTCCCATCTTGTCTCTCCCTATCAGCATTCAAATCCTTCTCCCTCTGCTCCAAGCAGACTTGCTTCCTTGCTACTTATTTCTGGAACACATCAAGGTGATTCCACACTAAGGCATTTGTACTTGGAGTTTCCTGCAATGGAATGTTCTTCTACCAGATTTTCACATGGCTTCCTGTTTCCTTTCCTCCAAATCTCTTTTCAAATGTTACCTTATCAGAGAGGTAGTCCTTTCCACCCTAGTCAGAAGTAGCTCAAATATCCCCTATTTCTTTCATTATCTACCTCCCTTAGTTTGCTTCATTTGCTTCCTTTTTTCATTGAATTTATCATCATGTGTGCGTAGATTTTTTTCTATTTGTGTTTTTTTGTCTCCCCTCACCAGAAGACAAAAAGCTAGTACTCTAACATCATGAAATCAGGAGTGATTTTCTTTGTTTTAATTGCTTTAATTTCAATGTTAAAATACAATGTGGCATATTCCTGGCACATCCCTAAAACTAACAAAAAAATTTTAAATTGAGACATGAAAAACCATTCAAAATATCAATGAATTCAGGAGTTGGTTTTTTTTGAAATATTGAAAATATTAATAAAATGGATAGGCCTCTACTTAGACTATTAAAGAAGAAAAGAGAAAAGATACCAATAAACACAATTAGAAATGATGAAAGGAATGCTACTTCTAACCCTACAGAAATAAAAACAACCATCAGAAACTATTACAAACATCTCTACACACACAAACTAGAAAACCTAGAAGAGATGAATAAATTCCTGGACACATACATAATTCCAAGACTGAATGAGAAAGAAATTAATTCTCTGAACAGACCAATAACCAGCTCTGAAACTGAATTAGTAATAAATAGCCCACTAACCAAAAAAACCCAGGACCTGATGGATGCACAGCCAAATTCTACCAGATGTACAAAGAAGAGCTGGTACCATTCCTACAGAAATATTACAAAAAATTGAGAAGGAGGGACTCATCCCTAACTCATTTTATGAGGCCAGTATCATCTTGATACCAAAACCCGGCAGACACACACACACAAAGAAAACTTCAGACCAATATCCTTGATGAACATCGATGCAATGGGTAAAAGACTCCCTATTTAATAAATAGTGCTAGGATTACTGGCTAGGCATATGCAGAAGACTGAAGCTGGACCCCTGCCTTCCACCACATACAAAAATCAACTCAAGATGGATTAAACACTTAAGTGTAAAACCCAATACTATGAAAACTCTGGAAGACAACCTAGGCAATACCATCCTGGACATAGGAACCAGCAATGATTTCATAACTAAGACACCAAAAGCAATCACAACAAAAGCAAAAATTGATAAGTTGGATCTAATTAAACTTAAGAGTGACCGCACAGCAAAAGAAACTCTCAACAGAGTAAACAGATGACCTACAGAATGGGAGAAAATATTTGCAAACTATGCATCCGACAATGGTCTAGTATCCAGGATCTGTAAGAAACTTAAACAAATTTACAAGAGAAAAACAAATAACCCCATTAAAAAGTGGGCAAAAGACATAGACACTTCTTAAAAGAAGGCATACATGTGGCCAACAAGCATATGAAAAAAAGCTCAATATCAGTGATCATTAGAGAAATGCAAATCAAAACCACAATGAGATACTATCTCACACAAGTCAGAATGGCTATTATTAAAAAGTCAGAAAATAACAGATGCTGGTGGGTTGTGGAGAAAAGGGAATCCTTATATACTGTTGGTGGGAGTGTGAACTAGTTCAACCATCGTTGAGAGCAGTATGGCAATTCCTCAAAGAGCTAAAAGCAGAATTATTCAACTCAGCAATCTCATTACGGTACATACCCAGAGAAATATAAATTATTCTACCATAAAGACACATGCACGCAAATGTTCATTGCAGCACTATTCAAAGTAGCAAAGACACGGAATCAACCTAAATGCCCAACAATGACATATCAGATAAAGAAAATGTGGTACATATACACCATGGAATACTATGCAGCCATAAAAAAAGAATGAGATCATGTCTTTTGCTGGAACATGGATGGAGTTGGAGGCTCTTATCCTTAGAAAATCAACACAGAAACACACAAAAAAAATACTGCATGTTCTTACTTATAAGTGGGAGGAAAATGATAAAAACTTATGAACACAAAGAAGGAAACAGCAGACACTGAGGTCTACTTGAGGGTAGAGGGTGGGAGGAGGGAGAAGGGCAGAAAAGATAACTATTGGGTACTGGGCTTCATATCTGTGTGATAAAATAATATGTGCAACAAACCTCCATGACATGTTTACCTGTGCAACAAATCTGCACATGTACCCTTAAACGTAAAATAAAAGTAAAAAGATTAAAATAAGAAATATGGCAAAGAAAAGTATTTGGAAGTGGAAAAGTATTTGATAAATTAAACTTAATGGATTATATAAGATGTATGTTTATTTTAGAAATTTCAAGTTTTAAACAAACAGGAATTTTAAAATCCTAAGTTTATAATTAATCAAACGCTGCTGGTGGTTAATAATTTATACATCAAATAACATATGACTTTAAAGTAAGAAAGATACTAACACCCATCCATTTTCAGCATGAAATGAACAGAGTTCAAATTTTGATTCTACATTTTATTAGCTAGTTAATACTTTTGGCAAGTTGGTTATTTTCTTAGAGCCTCACTTTTCTAATATATTAAAACAGATGAGAATACCAACCACGTGTCGTGAAGATTAATCACATTCATTTAAAATTGACACAGATTAAATGGTTTTAGCAATGGTAGAAGCAGCAGTGGTAGCAATTGTTTCTCCCTAAGTCTCAGAATAGCAAGTGCTTCTCCTCTGGAAATAAAGTGTCACAAGATTTTCAGCAAGCCATTTAAGTGGGTGTCCCCAGAATCCCTCCCTGGGCTAAGATCTGAAACAGAGGTGGTGAGGAGAATAGCATGGTGTTGAGACCATTGAGATCACAGCCATCCTGGTACTCTCTGCAGGCATAAGTCTCCTCCAGGGTGGCCTCTATACTACTCTATACTACTCTGACTCTATACTACTATTCAGAGACTACTCAGGAGACAAGATCATTTCCACGATGATGCCAGAATTGACTAATATTAATTTGGAAGCCTTCTATTACAGAAAGAATCTAAATTTTAGGGGGAACAGGAACTGACTCAGTTCTCTATTGCTTTTCAGGAGCCTGGATTACACTCGGTGAACATTACTGACTGATCAAGCAAATGGAACATAGCATGTACAAATGTGAAATTGTTGTTTTGCCATGTATACTCAAAGTAGTCATGAAATGCATTCTTCCAGTAAATATATAATAAAAAGAGATGTGTGATTCTTCTTAAAGCTAATGCTTACTCCTTTGAATTTATCGTCATTGCTTCCTATCTTGATCCCTGTTTCTCTTCTGTTAATTTCCCATTCCACCAACAAAGAGCAGAAGGCTACAGCTTGGTGCATGGACAATGTGCATCTTTTAGAATGTGTGCTCTTCCTCTGTTGGATGGACATGTTGGAAGGTACTATGTCTTTAGTAAAGAAAGACAGATACCCTTAGCCATTAGTCAAAAAGAAAATGATCCTCAATTTCTTGACCTTTTCTCTGGAAGAAAGTACCAGCCTTAGTCAGCAGTGTTGATCTGTTCTAAGGGAAAGGGCAGAGGAGTTCCAAGGTGACCTTATAAAACTCCAGCTGTTCAGGAAAAGAGGGCAGAGATGTAGGTGTGTATGGTTTGATTCAATTTTAGGTGGGGCTTGGGTGTATAAGTGGGGAACCAGTCATTGGGCACAGCTCAAAGTACCATTTCATCTAACATAAATAACTCTGGTGAGGGTCACGAGAGCTCCCTGGAAGGGCTTACCACTGCTGCTTGCCACTCCAAAGCCAAATCCTTTTTATAAATTAAAAAAAATACACAACTCTGATTATAGAGTTATGACTTACACAGCAAGACTTCATCCAGTCATTTTACTTTCCTGAGCCAAAAATGTTCCAACTCCAAGGTGATGTGTAATACTGCTTTAGGCTTCACAGGACTGCCCCACATCACCCTTGTACAGGAGCCAGTCCAAACTTCACCTGGCCAGAATCTCACAAGAATTAATGGTTTTAAAGAGAAGGTCACTGGCAGGACCTTAGGAAATGAGATCCCAAGACGTGGAACTAATTGTCTAACAGAAGAGATTTCACACAGGGAAAGAGGTACTTCCTTGTCTGGCTAGTAGGATATATGGAGGGAACAGAGCCCAGGAATGCTCAAATGTTTTTGAAAGTCCTTTATGTGGTTTGAGTTAGGTGAAACAGTTTTTTGTCTCCCATCACTTAGAATTAAATAAATTTCTACATAAGTTTTATTTCTTTTTTTTTTCTTCAAAGAGGTTTTGTATGTGTACTGGAACTTCATACCAAGAGAAATTGAAAGAAGCACATATGGAAAATTCACTGCAATTTTTTGGTTAACAAAAGATAACAGGGGCCTTTTTTGCTAATGGCAACATAAGTGTTTGTTTGCTTGATCATACCATGGCCTGTTAAGTACATATATGACAAATGAAAGCCTCATTTTTAAATTAAGATATCAATACTTCTAACTAGATGGCAACCTCTTTGAAGGGAAGGCACTCACCTTTTGGTTGTCTGTAACTCTCACATTGCCTATCACAACGTGGGACATACTAGACACTTAGTATGTCTCCCATGGAATGGAATGCCTGGTAGGTAGGTTAAGTCAATGTATATAAAATCAACATGCCCAGGGTAATGTCAACTGTTGATATATGTAGTAGTTTGAAGAGGAGACTGGTCTCACCATCACATCATCTGTGAAAAAAAAAATGGAATTTGAATAGGGAGTAATTTCCTCATTGCTTGTTTTTGTCAGCTTTGTCAAAGAACGGATCATTGTTAAGTGTACATCATTATTTTTGGGATCTCTATTCTGTTCCATTGGTTTATATGTCTGTTTTTGTAACAGTACCATGCTATTTCGTTTACTGTGGTCTCATAGAATAGTTCCTTTGGGCAGGATGGCCATTTTAACAATATTCTTCCTATCCATGAGCATGGAATATTTTTCCATTTGTTTCTGTCATCCGTGATTTCTTTGAGCAGTGTTTTGTAATGCTCCCTGTAGGAATCTTTTATGTCCCTGGTTAGCTGTATTCCTAGATATTTTATTCTTTTTGTGGCATTTGTGAGTAGGATTGCATTCTTGATTTGGCTCTTGGCTTGGATGTTTTTGTTGTATAGGAATGCTAGTGACTTTTGTATATTGATTTTGTATCCCGCAACTTTGCTGAAGTTGTATTTTGGATCAAAGAGCTCTTGGGCTAAGACTATGCCGTTTTCTAGATACAGAATAACATTGTCTGCAAACAGGGATAGTTTGACTTTCTCTCTTCCTATTTGTATGCCTTTTATTTCTTTCTCCTGACTGATTGCTTTCACCAGGACTTCCGTGGTGCTGGGATAACTGGCTAGCCATATGCAAAAGATTGAAATTTCACCCCTTTTTACACCACGTACAAAAATCAACTCAAGATGGATTAAAAACTTAAATGTAAATTAAAACTATAAAAACCCTGGAAGGTAACCCAGGTAATATCATCCCACACATGGAACCTGGCAAATATTTCATAACAGAGATGCCAAAAGCAATTGCAACAAAAACAAAAATTGACAAATAAGACCTAATTAAACTAAAGAACTTCTACACAGCAAAAGAAACTATCAACACAGTAAACAAATGACCTTTAGAATGGGAAAAAAACATTTGCAAACTATGCATCCAACAAAGGTCTAATATCCAGAATCTATAAAGAACTTCGACAAATTTATAAGTGAAAAACAAACAACCCCATTAAAAGGTGGGCAAAGGACATGAACAGACACTTCTCAAGAGAAAACATACGTGCAGCCAATACTCATATGAAAAAAACCTCCCTATCAGTGATCATTAGAAAAATGCAAATCAAAACCACAACAAGATACTGTCTCACACCAGTGAGAATGGCTATCATGAAAAAGTCAAAAAATAACAGATGCTGGCAAGGTTACAAAGAAAAGAGAATGCTTATACACTGCTGGTAGGAGTGTAAATTAGCTCAGCTATTGTGAAAAACAGTGTGGGGATTCTTCAAAGAACTTAAAACAGAATTACCATGAGATCCAGCAATCACAGTATTGGGTATATACCCAAAGGAACATAAATCATACTATCATAAAAACACATGGACATGTATGCTCATTCCAGCACCATTCACAATAGCAAAGACATGGAATCAACTTAAATGTCCATCAATGGTAGACTGGATAAAGAAAATGTGGTACACATACACCATGGAATACTACACCACCATAAAAAGAGCAAGACTAGGTTCTTTGCAGCAATGCAGATGGAGCTGGAGGCCATTATCCTAAGCAAACTAACACAGGAACAGAAAACCAAACACCACATGTTCTCACTTATAAGTGGGAGCTAAACAACAAGAACACATGGACACAAAGAAGGTAACAGCAGACACAGAGGTGTATTTGAGGACAGAGGGTGGTAGGAGAGAGGACATAAGAAAAATATACCTATTGGGTACTATGTTTATTGCCTGGGTGGCAATAAAATAATCTGTACGTTTAACTTCCATGACACAAAGTTTACCTATATAACAAACTTGCACATGTACTCTTGAATCTAAAATAACAGTTAAAAAATTGAACTTTTCAAGTTAAATTCATGTATTCACACACTCACCTACAGACACAAATAAGTTTCACTTCTAAATGTGAATACAAAGAAGTAAAAAAGTTCCAGATATTTCCCATACCATTTCCTAAAATGCCTGATTAGACTATTAAATGAACATCTGAAGGATTTGCTCCATAATGAAAAAGAAAGTTCATTTTTCACAGTTCTTTGCCTCTCTGTATTTATGTCTGGAACCTAAACGCTAAGCAATTTCAAGTTGTTACCTCTAATTTCATCTTTAATAAACATAGACAGAAACGAGAAGGAAGAATCTATTTTCTTAGTTTTATTACATTTCCTTCTTCATGTCCTTTCCATTACTCCTCCCTGTCTGCTGGTCCATTCACCTCAATAGAGTTCAAAGAAATTGAGATTCTATTGTTCCATTTGAGGCAGTTTTATGAAAATGACCTTGCTTTCCAAATAAGATTGCTTTCCATGGTAACAATGATTTTATTAATAAGTAATAAATTCCTCAGTGATAACTTGATACCTGTGAAGTTTCAACTTTTAAACTCTCACCATAAGCATTGCACTGAAAGTGATCCTTTAACAATAGTAAAAGATACTTTCTCACCTGCTTTTAACTCCAACATAGTTTAACACGTGCATCATTTTTTTCCAAAAGAAATACACTTTTGGATACAACCCAGATATACACAATTTCTGCCAAAAGAATAGCTTTCTAAAATATTTCTTACAAATTAAAATGGGGTCTGAATGATCTTGAATAAATTTTAAGTAGTCTGCATTTCCACTTATTTAAATTCCGAACTCAAGTTTTGCTTGCATGCTGGACATAGTCAGTGGATATTCCACAGTTTTCTCAAATTCAAGATATTCAAAATTGAACTCATCTTTATTTCCCAAAAAAAATCAACTCATAGAGCTGTATGGATCACTAGCAATTATTTAATAATTTCAACTCTATTAATTTGCAGAAGTTTAAGGAGACCTAGAGGACTTAGATGACTTATCCAATGTATCTAGAGTTAGAGACCAGTATTTCCTTTCTCCTAGTCCTTCCTTCTTTTGATTCCTCTGTTTTTACTAGTGGCATTATTAAAGCCCCCACTCACTGAAGATGAGGTCTTAAGCAGCTGTTTATGTTTTCTTGGTTTTGATTTTACCATCAACTGGCCAATATGATCCTCCTATATTTAACAATTAATTTCTAAGAATTTTCTCAGAGCTGTCAACCAACAGGGCAACTCTTCCTGTGTCCAGGTTTGACCTTGACTCTGCCACCCTATTTAGTATTTCAAAGGAGTAGTTAGGTCTGTTCCACATAATCTAATTGTCTCTTCTTACCCATCCTTAGCACAAATAGGAAGTAACAAATCACCAGTGTTTGAATCTCTTATATTTTCTCTTCAATACACAAAGAATCATTTCTTTCACTATTTTTATTTCCAAAACCTCCAATAAACTTCTGAAGGTGAAACAATAGAAGCTGTCACATATGTATTTTTTAAGATAAAAAAGATTTTAAATATTCTTGTTGGAGGCCAAGAATTCTATCTTGTCAATAGCATTTTATGGGAAGATCATCCAGCCAAGCCACAGGAAAGTCTTCTCCCATAGGTTTCACCTCATTACATCTGGATTTATTCAAAGTAGAATAAATGAAAATAAATAAACTGTCCAAAAATATCACATGAGCCTGGAAGAAGGAAAGAATAGGCATCTACAATTAGCACAGCCTTTACTTGTGTTTTGGTGGTATGTTATATTGTTGGTCACCCTTCAGTGCTAAATATTGTGTTTGTCTTGAGCTATGAGCTGGAGAATATCCTACAATGATTAGTTGCATTGTAAATACATAGCTAACTTCAGCTGGGCCTTCCACAGTGTTCAACTCCCTTTATTTTTGAGTTACCGTTGTATTGAATACCTACATATAACAACTGATCCAAATGTTTTATATGCTCTCATACAATGGGCCCCACATAATCCTCACCTCCTATACTAACAGCAAATTATCTCACCATTTATTCCTATGTGAGGCTCGAGGATATTTCATATCAATACTCTTAACTGTAACCTTAATAGAAAAATATTCCTAACTACATCCTTAATGGAAAAATACTCAAATTTTCTTTGCAAATTATTACTGTTGATAAATATTCAGTTCCCTCTCCTACTCACGGTGGGAGTGCAATTTCCTGCCCCTTTGAAGTGAGGCATGGCTGTGAGTTGCTTTGGCCACCGAAATATGAATGTGTCACTTCCAGATGGAAGATTGAAGAGTCAGTAGATAGTCTGCCACATTCTCTTTCCATCAGCCATAGCTTTCGGCATTGTTCCAAGTTGAGACTCTTCTGTTAAGCTAAGTCTTGAAGTAGCAGTAGAAATGGAGCAGAGCCTCCAGCTTACCCACAATGGTTATGAATCACTCATGGGCAAGTAAACCTTTGCAGTGTTGGTCCACTGAAATGTGGGAGTTGTTTGTTACCTTAACAAAAATTAATCAAGAAGTGGCATCAAGGGAAAATGGTGGAGGAGAGAACTCCAAAAGCTTATCTCTCCACAAAAGTAGTGAATAACCTGGTAAGGATGGTCAGAATCAACTTAATCTGAACTCTGCATACTAATCAAGTGTATAGCAACCAGGCTATAATCAACCAGGCTAAATGAAGAGAAAAACATGAGTCTGCGTAAGAAAACTTTGTGGCATTTTAACTTACTCTTATACCATTTGCCACTCCCCAGCTCAGAGACAGCAGTGAAGACAACAGGCTACATTCCTTGTACAGGTTTTTAGTACCAGAGTTTGCAGAAGAAAACTTATTCTCAAAGAATTGTGGTTGTTTGTTTTGACCTGTCTGGTGGTTGACTGAGGAACAAAAGGCTTGTCTTCACTTTTCCTTATTCAGAAAATTTCATGGCTGAGGTGGCCACCCAGAAGGCATTTGTCAAAACCATTTAAAGGCAAATGCACTAGCAGCTCCTGCTCAGGAGAAGGGGTAACAGGGCAAATAATAAGCAAACTGAAAAGCTTGATAGAAAAGTGTAGGGAATGAGAAAACATATGGAATAAATAAATACATTCTAAATAAATGGAAAGACATTTGTGTTCATGAATGGAAAGATAATACTGTTAAGACAGCAATAATCTCAAATTGATCTACAGATTTCATGCAATCTCTATCAAAATTCTGATTTTTAAAATTTTGCTGAAATGGACAAGCTGATTGTGAAATTCATATTTTATAATTCACATGACATTGCAAGAAATCTCAAGTAGCTGAAACTATCTTGAATAAGAACAAACTTTGGAGGACTCATGCTTTCTGATTTTAAAATGTATTACAGAACTCAGTAATCAAAAGTGGGGTATGGGTACAACGACAGGCAAATAGACCAATGGAATAAAGTTGAGAGTCCATAAAAATCCTCATACATCTCTGGTCAATTAATATTTGACAAGAGTGCCAAGACCATTAAACGGGAAAAAAAATAGTCTTTTTGATAAATAGTGCTAGAAAAATGAGTACGCACATGCAAAACAATAATCTTGGACGATGACATTAGATTTGACAATGGATTCTTAGATATGACACCAAAAGTACAAATCACAAAATAAAAAATAAATAAATGATATCTCATCAAAATTAAAAGTTTGTGCATCAAAGGACACTATCAGTGAGTGAAAAGACAACCCACAGAAGGAAAATATTTGCAAATCATATATCTGATAAGGGTCTAGTATCCAGTATTTATAAAGCACTCCTACAACTCAACAACAAAAAACAAACAGTCCAATTAAAAGTGGGTAAAGGACTTAAATAAATATTTCTCCAAAGACATGCATAAATGGCTAGAAGTGCACATGAAAAGATGTTCAACATTTTTGATCATCAAGAAAACATAAATCAAAACCATAACTTTGCACTGACTAGGAAGGTAGTAGTAATAATAATAAAATGAAAAATGACAAGTGTTGGTGAGAATGTCAAGAAATAGGAACCCTTGTGCATTTCTGAGGGAATGTAAAATGATGCAGCCACTGTGGAAAACAGTTTAGCAGTTCTTCAACAAGCTAAACACAGAATTTCCATATGACCCAGTTGGGTGGAATCTGAGAGCACTGAAAACAGGTGTTCAAACAAAAACATGAAATTTCATAGCAGAATTATTCATAATAGCTTCAAAGTGGAAACATTCTAAATGGCCATCAATTGACAAATGGTATATTGATAGATGGAATATTATTCAACCATAAAAAGAAATGAAGTACTGATACATGTTTCATGGATGAAATTAGAAAACACTATGTTAAGTGAAAGAAGCCATATGCAAAGGCCACAGATTATGACCTTATTTGTATGAAATGTCCAGAATAGACAAACCCATAAAGACAGAAAGCAGATTAATAGTTTCCAGGAGCTAAAGAAGAGGTTTGAGGAGTGACTGAATAATGGGCATAGGGTTTCTTTATAGGGTGATGAAAATGTACCAGAATTAGACAATGATGATGCTTTTACAACATGTGGATGCTCTAAAAACCACTGGGTTGTACACTTTAAAACAGGTAAAAATGAATTTTATGCTATATAAATTTTCCTCAATTAAAAAAAGTTACAAAGAATACTAGTCTATTCTGACGTATACCATGCCCCTCTATTATTCTTAAACTCCTGTGTCAGAAAAAAAATTATATTTCTTTCTTTGCAAGGCTACTCTCTGTGCCAGTGCCTTTGTATCATTCCTAGCTGTCTCTCCTCTGCTCTTGTGCCATCACTCATCCCTTATTTCCAAACTCTTTTTTCAGTTATTTCCCCTAGACCTATAAGCATATCCAAATCTCCTTTACTCTAAAAATAATACAAATCAAAACAATCCCTCTACTTTACTTTTCTGTCATGCTATTCTTCCATTTTCTTTCTTCCCTGTACTATCAAAAATTTAAAGTTTAAAGCTACATTTTCTCTCTACTTTGTTGCCTTTTGATTAGTCCTGAACACTTACCTAGGCCCTGATCCTTTCATTAATTTAATAAAACATTTCTAATACGTTGGCAGAAGGATCCTTCTTACTTTGCATTCTCTATTGATATAACTGCAATGTTGGACTCTACATCCTCTCCTTTTCTATATTTTCTTTTCTTAGCCTTTGTTACACTGTACTTATTTGTCTTGTCTCTCTTAACTATTCTCAATCTCCCCTGCTGACCTCTGTTACTCAACCTTCTTTTTTATTTTTATTCCAATAGCTTTTGGGGGGTACAGGTGGTTTTTAGTTACATGGATAAGTTCTTTAGTGGTGATTTCTGAGATTTTGGTACACCTGTCACCCAAGCAGTGTACACTATACCCAATATTATTATTTTACCCCCTACCCTACTTCTACCTAACGTTCTTTTAAATGAAACATTCAGCCAGCTTCTGGCCTCAGCCAGGCTCATGGTCCCCAACTCCCTCTGTCAAGGCCATAACATTCTTTAAGGATTTCATCAAAATTTACCTTCTCAATGTGGTCTTTCCAAATCTCCTAAATTAGAATTAATAAATTTTGTACTTTTACATAGTACTTTTCATGACATGTCTTGCACTATGATCATTTTTATAGATGTAATAGACCCCAGTAGACTCTGAAATTTTATTTTTAAATTTTTAATGTTTATGGGTACATAGTAGGTATATATATTTATGGGGTAACTGTGATGGTTTATTACAGGCATACAATGTGTAATAATCACATCAGAGTAATTGGGGTATCAATTCAAGTATTTATCTGTTCTTTGTCTTAGGAATATTTTAATTTTACTCTTTTGGTTATTTTGAAATAAACAATACATTATTGTTGACTGTAATCACCCCATTGTGTTATTAAACACCATATCTTATTCACTCTTTCTAACTATATTTTTGCACTTATTAAAAATCCCCACTTCCCTACCTTGTCCTCCCGCCCAACCCACTGGCCCCAGCTACCCTTACCAGACTCTGATAAGCATTATTCTACTCTTTATTGTGATAAGTTCAATTGTTTTTAATTTTTAGCTCTCACAAATGAGTGAGAATGTGCAAAATTTTTCTTCCTGTGACTCGCTTGTTTCACTTAACATAATGACCTCCAGCTCCATTTATGTTGTTGTAAATAACAGGATTTAATTCTTGCTGTGGCTGAATTATATTCTTCTATGTATATGTGCAACATTTTCTTTATCCATTCATCTGTAGATGGACCCTGTTTAGGTTGTTTCCAAATCTTGGCTACTGTAAATAGTGCTGTGATAAACATGGGCATTCAGACGTCTCATCAATTTAATGAGTTTCTTTCTTTGGGGTATATAACTAGCAGTTGGATTGCTGTATCATATGGTAGTTATATTTTTAGTTTGTTGAGGAACTTACATACTGTTCTCCATAGTGGTTGTACTAATTTACATTCCCACCTACAGTGTATGGGGTTTCCTCTTTCTCCACATCTTTGCCACCATACATTATTGCCTGTCTTTTGGACATAAGCCATTTTAACTGGGGTGACATGATAGCTCATTGAAGTTTCACTTTGCATTTCTCTGATAATTAATGATGTTGAACTTTTTTTATATACCTCTTGATCATTTATATGTCTTCTTTTAAGAAATGTCTATTCAGATCTTTTGCCTATTTTTAAATTAGATTGATCTAATTTTCCTGTGGAGTTCTTTGAGCTCCTTATGTATTCTGGTTATTAATCCCTTGGCAGATGAGTAGTTCGCAAATATTTTCTCCCATTCTGTGAGTTGTCTCTGCACTTTGTTGGTTGCTTCCTTTGCTGTGTAGGAGCTATTTAACTTGATGTGATCTGAGGTGTTCATTTTTGCTTTGGTTGCCTGTGTTTTCAGGGTATTACTCAAGAAATTGTTGCCCAGACCAATGTCCTGGAGAGTTCCCCCAAAGTTTTATTTAGCAGTTTTATAGTTTGAGGTCTTAGATTTAAGTCTTTAATCCATTTTGATTTGATTTTTGTACATGGTGGGAGATAGGGGTCTAGTTTTATTCTTCTGGATATCCAGTTTTCCCAAAACGATTTATGTCCTTTCTCCAATGTATGTTCTTGACACCTTTTCAAAAATGAGTTCATTGTAGAAGTATGGACTTACTTCTGGATTTTCTATTATTTCATTGGTCTATGTGTCTGTTTTTATGCCACTACCATGTTGTTTGGGCTACTACAGCTCTATAATATAATTTGAATTAAGGTAATGTGATTCCTCCAGTTTTGTTTTGCTCAGGATGGATTTGGCTTTTCTGGAATTTTTGTGGTTCCATATACATTTTAGAATTTTTTTTCTATTATTTTGTGAAGACAATCATTGGTATTTTGATAGGGATGCACTGAATCTGCAGATTGCTTTAGGCAATATGGACACTTTAACAATATATTTTCCAATCCATGAACATGGAATATCTTTCCAGGTTTTTGTGCCCTCTTTAATTACTTTCATTAATGTGTTATACTTTTCATTGTAGAGATCTTTCACTACTTTGGTTAAGTTTATTCCTAGGTATTTTATTTGTAGCTATTGTAAATACATTTACTTTCTTGATTTCTTTTTCAGATTGTTTTTAGTATACAGAAATGCTACTGAATTTTGTATGTTGATTTTCCATCCTGCAACTTTATCAAATGTATCAGTTCTAATATTTTTTTCATGGAGTCTTTAGGTTTTGCTATGCATAAGATTAACTTGCCTGCAAACAAAGATAGTTTGACTTCTATTTCAATTTAGATGGTCTTTATGTCTTTCTCTGGTCTAATTGCTATAGCTAGGACATCCAGTAGTGTGCTGAGCATTTCTTTCCTGTTCCAGATCTTAGAGGAATGGCTTTCTGTTTTTCCCCATTCAGAACAAAGTATCTGTGGGTCTGCCATATGTAACTTTTATTGTGTTGAAGTATGTTTCTTCTCTACCCAGTTTCTTGAATGTTTTTTACCATGAAGGGATTTTGAATTTTACCAAATGCTGTTTCAGCATCAATTGAAATGATTACGTGATTTTTGTCCTTCATTCTGTTGATATTATGTGTCTCTTTGATTTGCATATGTTGAATCATGCTTGCATTCCTTGGATAAATCACACGTGATCGTGATTAATGATCTTTTTAATGTGCTGTTGAATTCAGTTTGCTAATATTTTGTTGAAGACTTTTGCATCAATTTTCATCAAGGATATTGACCTATAGTTTTCTTTTTTTCTTGTGTCTTTGCCTGGTTTTGGTGTTAGGGTAACACTGGCCTTATAGAATGAGTTTGGAAGTACTCTGCCCCCCTCTACTTTTTGGAATAGCTTGACTAAGATTCATATTGTTTCTTTAAATGTTTGGTAGAACTCAACAGTGAAACAATCAGGTCCCAGGGTTTTCTTGATGGAAGACTTATTATTATGGCTTTAATATTGTTGGTTGTTATTGGTCTATTCAGGTTTTGGATTTCTTTATGTTTTAATCTTGAAGGGTTGTGTCTAGGAATTTATCAATTTCCTTCTAGATTTTCCAATTTATTGGCACATAGTTGAGCATAGTAGTCTCTAATGATCCTTTGTATTTCTGTGTTATCACTTGTAATGCCTCCTTTCATCTAATTTTATTTATTTGGGTCTTCTCTTTTTTGTTCTAATTAGTCTGGGTAGAGCTTTGTCAATTTTGTTTACTTTTTTCAAAATATAAACTCTGATTCATGGATCTTTTGTATTTTTGTCTTAAGTTTATTTCTGTTGTTATCTTTATTATTTCTTTTCTTCTACTAATTTTGTGGTTTGCTCTTGCTTTGGGGTTCTTTAGGACACATAATCAGGTTGCTTATTTAAAGTTTTTCTAAATTTTTTTGAGGTAGCTTATTGCTCTAAATTTTCCTCTTAGTACTGCTTTTGCTATATTCCATAGATTTTGGTATGTTGCATTTTCATTTGTTTCAAGAAACTTTTCAGTTTACTTCTTAATTTCTTTATTTGCCCACTGGTCATTCAGGAAGATATTGTTTAATTTGCATGCATTTGTATAGTTTTCAAAGTTCCTCTTGTTATTGTTTTCTAGTTTTATTCCATTTTGGTCAGAAACGATAGATATTACTTCAACTTTTTGAATTTTTTTAAAAATTATTTTGAGTCCTAACATGTGCTGTTATCACTGAGAATAATGTATGTGCTGAGAAGAAAAGGGTGTATTCTGCAGCCACTGGAGAAAATGTTCTGTAACGATGTATTAGGTCCATTGTTCCTATAGTGCAGATTAAGTGTGATGTTTATCAGTTGATTTTTTTGTCTGGATGACCTGTCCAAAGCTGAAAGTGAGTGTAGAAGTCTCCAGCTTTTATTATATTGGGGTCTATATTTTTATTTTGCTCTAGTAATATTTGATGTAAGTATTTGGGTGCTCCAGTGTTGGGTTCACATGAATTTACATTTGTTATATCCTCTTGCTCAACTGACCCTTTTATCATTGTATAGTAACCTTCTTTGTCCTTTTTTATAGCTTTTGTTTTGAAATCTATTTTATCTAAGTACAGCTACTTCTGCTCCTTTTTGGTTTTTTTTGCATGAAATATATTTTTCCATCTATTTTCCGCCTTTGTGTGTCTTTATATATGACATAAGTTTATTGTAAACGGTATATAGGTGGGTCTTATTTTTTTAATTCATTCAGCCACTGTATGCCTTTTGATTGATAAGTTTAGTCTATTTACATTCCATGTTATTATTGAAAAGTAAGGACTTACTATGCCATCCTATTCCTTGCCTTTTAAAATTATTTTGTGGTTTTTCTTTTTTTCTTTTCATTCTTCTTTCTTGTCTTCCTTCCTTTCTTTCTTCTTGTCTCCCTTCCTTCTTCTTTCCTTTCTTCCTTCCTGCCTCTTGCCTTCCTGCTTGTTTTTTCTTTGTGTAGACGGGGTGTTCCCTGGTGGTATGTTTTGATTTCTTGCTTTTCATTTTACTTGGATCTCTTGTAGATATTTGGATTTGAAATTACCATGAGACTTGTAAATAACATCTTATAATCAATTATTTTAAGCTTTTGCTAAATTAAGTCTGATTGAAAAAAAACTACCAAAAAATAAGCAAAGAGAAAAGTAATAAAAACACTACAATCTAACTGCATCTCTCTCATTTTTTAACTTTTTGTTGTTTCTATGTATATCTTTTTAGACTATTTCTTAAAAAGGTTTTGTAGCTATTATTTTTGATTGGCTTGTCTTTTAGTCTTTCTACTCAAGATACGAGTGGTTTACACACCCAAATTACAGTGTGATTGTGTATTTGTCTTTATACTTACTGTTACTAGTGAGTGTGTACCTTCAGATAATTTCTTATTGCTTATTAACATCCTCTTCTTTCAGATGGAAGAACTGTTTTTAGCATTTCTTATAGGACAGATCTTGTGGTGATTAAATGCCCCAGCTTTTGTTTGTCTGGGAAAGTCTTTATTTTTCCTTTACATTTCAAAGATATTTTCTCTGGATGTACTATTCTAGGATAAAAGTTTATTTCTTTCAGCACTTTAATTATGTCATTCCTCTTTCTCCTGGCTTATACGTTTTTCACTGAGAAGTCTGCTGCCAGACGTAGTGGAGTTGCTTTATATGTTATGTATGTATTTTCTCTTGCTGCTTTTAGGATTTTTGTTTTATCCTTGACCTTTTGGAGTTTGACTATTAAATGTATCAAGATAGTCTTATTTAGGCTAAATTGGCTTGATGTTCTATGACTTTTTTGTACTTGAATATTTATACCTTTCTCTAGGTTTAAAAAGTTCTCTGTTATTATATTTTTGAATAAAATTTCTACCACAATATTTCCCTCTCCCTTCTTTTTCAGGCTAAATAATTCTTAGATTTGCTTTTTTGAGGCTATTTTCTTGATCTTCTAGGCATGCTTTATTCTTTTTTTCCTTTTGTCCCCTCTGACTGTGTATTTTCATATGGCCTGTCTTCACTCTCACTAAGTCTTTCTTCTGTTTGATGAATTCTGCTTTTGATAGACTCTGATGTATTTTTCAGTTTTTCAATTGAATTTTCAGCTCCAGAATTTCTGCTTAATTAAAAAAGATTATTTCAATTTATTTGTTAAGTTTATCTGATAGGACTCTGAATTTCCTCTCTTTGTTATCTTGAATTCAATTGAGCTATCTCAAAACAGCTCCTTTGAATTTTGTGTCTGAAAGGCCACATATCTCTGTCAATCTGTGATTGGTCCCTTGGGCCTTATTTAGTTTGTTTGGTGAGGTCATGTTTTCCTGGATGATCTTGGTGCTTGTGGATGTTTTTCAATGTCTTGGCATTGATGAGATAGATAGTTACTTTAACCTTCACAGTCTGGGCTTGTTTGTACCCATCCTTCTTGAGAAGGCTTATTGGATATTCGAAAGGAATCAGGTGTTATCTAATTCTTTGTTCACTGCAGCCATCTTTCACTAGTGGGCACTGCAGGCCCAGTAACACTGCAAGTCTTGCAGACCTGTAGAGTTATCACCTTGGTGGGCTTGGGTAAGATCCAGGAGTATTCCCTAGATTATCAGGCAAAGACTCTGATATTTTAGATGGTAAAACTTGGTAGCTGTTTGTTCTCTGTATACCAAGTACTACTACCTATTGTAGTGCCTAGAACATAGTAGTGTTAGATAAATTAATTTTTTATTTCCTTCAACTGTCAGGGATGAACAAACATGTTAAAGCAATATCAGACTTTTAAGCAATAAACCATATTCAATATGTGTAAAGTTAAATTTAAGTGATTTCTATTCACTCTCCCACAAGATACCTTCACAGATTTCTGGGAATGTGGTCATTGCAGGCACATGTGATTTAGTATCTGATTGATTAAACATAAATTATATTCCAACACTGCTCTTTGAAGATAGGCTTACAAACCTAATTAAGCATGTCACAAAGTATTCACATCCTCTAAATACTTTAAAATGATGAGTACAGGAGACAAAATATTACTCAGATACATCTCATACAGAGATCTAAACTTGAACACTGGGCCAGCTTTTTAGCGTTCAGGATTATCCAAGATCCATGCTTTCAATCAATATTATTAAGCACCTACTATATGCCTGGCATTGCCCCAGGCCTATCCCTGGCCAAACCTATATTTTAGTAGGGAGAGGAGTTGGAGAAAAGAAATACGTGAGCAAGATAATTTTGGAAAGTGATTATTGCTATGAAATACATAAAGTTGGGTAAAGAAATAAAGGGGTGGAATAGGAAATGCATTTTCTAATATATTAAGAAAAGTTCTGTTGATATGGCATTTAAACTGAGACTGTAAAGCCTAGAAGAAGCCAGCCATGGAAAAACCTAGAACTAGACTCATCTTGGCAGAAGGAGCAGCAACTGTGAATCCTATGGCAGAAAAACTGGGCTTGTTCTCTGCCAGGACAGGAGACCTTGTAGCTGGAGCATAGTAGGGGTGTGGCATGGGATGAGGTAGAGCTACTAGGCAGGAACAGGACTATAGGAGGTATTGTATGTTATTGTATGTTATTGTATGCCATCGGGCTTTTATTCTCTGGACAAGAGGAAGCCACTGGAGGGACTTAAAGGGTGACAAATATGATCTGATTTATCTTCTTAAACATGTATACATATGTAACAAACCTGCACGTTCTGCACATGTACCCTAAAACTTAAAATATAATAAAAAAAATTAAAAAGTGAAAAAAAAGAAAAATAAAAAAATCATCTTGGCTGCTATATAAAGGTGTGAAGAAAACATGAGGAAAGCAGTTAAGACACTATTACAGGGCAGGCAAGAGATGGTGGTACTGTAGATAGGTTTAGATGTAATCATGAGGATTTGGTTACTTACAACAAATCTAGGCATATTTTCTGATCCCCCTTTCATCCACATCCCCTTTCACTTCTTTCTTGTGCTTGTCTTTCATTAGGCTAAGAAAATATAAGCTTTTGCCCTTAACAAAGGGACTGGGAGTTCTTTAAACACAAATACCTAAGAAATTTAAACAAAAAGAAAGTGAGTAACAAGGGAATATTCAGCGTATTAAATTTTCTTAAGATCTGATTCTCTGATTTCTTTAGACACTGAGAACATGGACCAGGGCTCATTTTCATGACTGGATTATAGCCTCAAAAAATAAAGGCACACCTATGTATACAATAACTTTTATTAGCAATTACATCTTGTTTATAGCTTACAATTAAAGCCTATTCTTTCATTGTGTTAACTGTGATTATTTGACATTTAAAGCAGAAAAGGAAATGAAACAACAATGAACATCAATTTGTTTCAAAAGATTTGCTATTTGGCAGACTTCTAAAATCCACATATGCTAATGTTTGTGTTAATTGCTTAATACCAGAATGCTTGTCAGAATCAAATATTTTTGTCATTAATTATTTAAAACCCATCAAGCACTAAAGCATAAGTTGTTTGAGGACTCTGTAAAATTATTCTTAGTTTTAAATCAGTATGCTTTTAATAATAATTAATTTGGAAAGAAAAACTATTTAATGACACATTGAGATAGCCAACTAATGTATAAAATATTATTCACTATGACAAAGTTTAATTTACCAGTAAATTAACAAATACATTTTAAGCATTTGCCATGTATCCAAGACATTTTAATATAATTGGATGTGGGTGGGGTAGACACAACAAATACAAGCCTGTTAGCTCTAAAGTGTATAATACTTATTATTTGCAAAATAATATTTTTTCAATGCAACAACTCAGTGTTTGCTTGAAATATTTCAAAATTATAATGATTAAAATTTAATCTGAGATTCTCATGCTCTCTGCCCAGGTTCTTTTCACCCAATGCAGTAACCACTTCAGATAGATCAAACAGAGAATAAGATCTCTGCACTCAGTATTAACAACGTCTCTGACACTGGCAAACATGATTTTTCTGGATATGAACCCCCTCTGCCCCTGTATATGAGCTTCTCTTCATGTCATACATGTCCCTCTTGACTAAGGTAATGAAGGTGAACCTCTTCCTGCCAGGATTTTCATGTGGAAGTCTGTCAGCTTGTGATCACCCAAATACAGATAAAGGAAACATGTTTTCCTCTTTTGTTGATGTCAAAGATACTATGGGCCAATGGGAAGCATCATGGGTAATAACACTAAAAGCAAGATGTATATCCTTTCCCTGAAGTACCCTCACTGGTGACATCATTATCAACTAGGGTGGCATAGAGAAAACCTGGCATCTACCTTCTACTATGCACGTTACTGAGGTCCCCCTAAACTCCATGGCCAATACAATAGAGATGCTTCAGGTTATGTTTGAGAACTTTGTTGCTATACAGGCAGCCCTGTTACTGAATACCTTTTGTCACACCACTCTATTGTGATGGACTCTGATAACCGTATCACCGACAGTATGGATTTATGGGGCTTATGCCCTACCACACGTCTGGACTTGGAAGGTTGTTACAGACTTCCTTAAGCAGAATGCGGCTATAGCTTCACTGCCACAGCTGAGAAGGAAAATGAACATAACAAAAAGAAGCTGTGTTAGATTGTTGTGGACTTTGAGCATGAGATGGCTACTGTTACTTCCTCCTTATTTAAGAAGAGCTGCAGACTACCTAATGATCAGAGGATCACTATCAGTAGTAAAAAGCTGGAAGTTTCCAAAGGCTTTCTGACAACCATTCTTTCTAGGTATGAGTACTGCAACATTCATGAGCCACTTTAAACTTGACCATGAAATGTGATGTTGATAAGAAACAGACTTATAGGTCAACACGGAGTTGTCTGGTGATACTGCTATGTGTCTTGGCATTGCTTATAACACTAAAAGCAAGAGGCGTATCTTTACCCTGAAGATACACAAGAAAAAAACACAGAAAAAAAATCACAGCCTTGGTACCAAACACTAAAAAATTAAAATGATTTTCTTAATTTCTTAAAAAATTTGAAATAATTTTTTAAATTAAGAAAATTGATATAACTTTTTAAATTAAAAAATTGATTTAAATTTTTAATTAAAATATTAGATTAATTAAATTAAATAAATAGCATATTAAACTAAATAATAAGTAAGCTACATAAATAAATATTTTAAGAGGGGGATTTAAATGCATTGATAAAGAAAGAGGATCATGATATGGTAAGAGAAACAAAGCATGAAAGTATATAACATGATGCCATTTTTATAAAATCTTTATGAATACATGTATGTTTCATAAGCATGGAAAAAGCCTGTCAGAATTGGGTAAAAAAAATCACAAAATACTTTCACTTTTTGCTTTATCTATAGTTTAATTTTATGAATGCTTTCTCAGTATTTATTATGTGGCAATTGATGAATCCACAAAACATGGAGAGGATAGATTCTTATAAAGAGAAGAGGCAGAAAACTTAGATAGTACCCTTGCAGGATGATACTTTATTCTTCCTAAGCAATCTACATATGATACACATCTCTTCTCTGAGTATAAGCATCACAAAAGAGAAAAAAATCCTTTCACTCTATCCTGGGAAATTGACATTTGTTGATAATGTTTATTAAGTAAAGAGTACATCAATAAATGAATGCATGAAATAGAATCAAGAAACTATAGGAAATAAGATCATAGTCTTTGTATTTAATTGGCTATTTATATACTTATTCCAAATTGAAAGTTAGTATAACTCACAATTTTTACTTCCTGACAAAGGTAGGAATATTGTGTTTATCTTTATCTACGCACTGCTATGGAAGAATCCTTCTGGATACAACCAGTTTCTCCTCCCTTCTCAAAACTTCCCTAGAACGAAGTTTGAGGTCTATAAAGTTAGGCTGTCGCATTTCATCTAGGTATCCTGCTTTTGTAAAAGGTATAATTCCCTGAAATCCAGAAGGGCTGTATTCATAGCTATTCACAGAAAAAAAGAATTGCTTGCAGAAATAACAGCAGAATAATTTTTTTTCAAAGCCACAAATTTGGAAATGTAACAAACAGTTGTCCAAGTATCTATTGTAAGGTCAGTTATTTCTCCAGTAGTTTTAAGACAGGTGGTATCATCTGAAGATAATAAAGTTGTTGGAACTGGTGCACCTATTATTGGTTGGTAATTTGTTCATGATCATAAACAAGTGACAACCAATTAAACTTATTATACACAATCTGAAAGTTCTTTTACACCAGAATGTTGTTTTTCATGACCCATTAAAATATTTTTGTGCTGCTTCTTTGCCTAAAAGGAATGTTTATTAAAATTCACAACCTATGAATTTGGAGGACTTGACAAGATGCTGTCTTGCTACAGTGCCCCAAATAGAAGGGCATCATGTTAGCATGCTCTTGAATGCAGTATTACTCAAAGCACACATGACTGATTATTCCAGTTCATTTGTTGTTATATTTGACTGTTAAAATTTGCTTGTGCTTTTAAATATGTACCATTGGTAATGTATTTAAGCAATCAGAAGTGTAAATGAAAATTTATTGTCTAGGATGACTAAAGCAAGGGTCAGTGTGGACTTTGGAATTGAAAAGAACTGGATTCATATCCCAGCTCAACCACTAACTAGAGTGAAACTCTGAACATCAGCTTCTCATCTGTAAACTGGAGGTAACAATGCTTGCTCCCTGGATTGGTAAAAGAGTAAATGAAATTGTGTTTATAAATGCCTGGCATATACTAGGCACTCTGAGTATGGTAGTAATTATTATTCTGTCTCTTGCCAACTTTGCCTTTCTTTATGCTTTGCCAATATGTACAAAGACTTTGCCAGCTTTTCCCATACACCCTCTTTTTTAAACCAACCCTCACTCTTCTAGGAGAAACCCAAGATGCAAAATGAGTGAAATCAATTTCTTTGACATTTATTGGGATTTGACACCTGCAACTGCTTGTGACAGCAGTCCTGATGTTCAAAGAATACTGACTGCTGGACTGAGAAGGAGCCACTTCAGACATGGTCAAAAAGAGAAGGAAAGTAAATTTCAGAGGTGGATCTGGGAGGCTGTCTTTTCCAGCTGGCTAGCCACGAGTAATTCTTACCTACTGGACTGCTAAATAGGGGAAAAGGTAAAATATTTAAGGTCAGCAGGGCTCAATTCCAAGGAAAAAGAGAAAGGCTAGTTTCTTTTTTAATTATTATTCTAAGAGGAAATGTAAAATACTGCTTTGTTTCTGCTTTACTGAATGCAGGCTAATGTACTGCCTGGCTCCAGCTCTGTGATGTTTTGTTTTGTTCATAGGAGCTTAGAGGGAAAGTAGGGCTTATTTTCCTCCATGGGTACACCTTTCAACTAAAGGCAAAATAACTAATAATTGTGAAATAAATCAACTGTGAAATCAATTTAGGTTCAATCTATTTATATAACCAAATTCAGCGGCTTTTTTGAGTATGTGCAATGTGTTTGTATGTGTGTGTATGTGCATTTTTGTGTTTCATATTATTTCAAATAAGTTAAAAATGAAAATGTAATTCTTCTGTACTTACTCTTTTTTAGTGGTGCCTACAGAAAGACTCAATTTAGCTATTTCATTGCATAAAAAGTGTACTATATAAGGTATATTATTAAAAGCTCTTTCTGCTAAAACTCAGAGAATATTTTTAACAAATACATAGTATAAAAAATTAACTCTAGAAAAAATACTTACAATAAATGCAAATCCTGATTTATCAAGACTTGACACCTACAACAGAGGCAAAACTATAAAATGTTAATGACCAAAGGTTTGCTTTCAGAGTTGACATGGCTGTGAATCCTGGTCTAAATCACTCAGAAACCTCAGGATAGGACTGTCCTTAGCTCTGGGAACATCTAATGAAAAAGAGGAAAGGTGAAGTTGTGATTTATCATGATTACATTCTAAGAGAAGAAAATCATATGTATCTCAGCAGCCTCAGGAAAGAAAACAAAATTCAGTAATTATTCTTGATAAAAACTTAGCAAACAAGGTACAGAAGAAAACATTCTTGACTAACACAGAACATCTGCAAAATGCTTTCTGTCAATACCACAAGTGAAAATTTGAGAGTATGTCCTAATTCTAGGATAAACCAAGAATATCTATTGTCACCACTTCTTTCAATATTATACTGGAGATCCTTACCCCTACAGTAAAATCAGACAAAGATAAAATGCATGAAGCTTCAATAATAAAAAAAATTCTTTATTTGCAGAGATTGTGGCTGTATTCATAGAAAGCCTCAAAGAGTCTATTAATAAATTAATATAATTAATTATACAGTTTTTCAAAATGGTGAATAAAAAATAAATATATGAAAGTGAAACACATGACTACACACCAACGACCAAGCACTGGGACAATATGTTTATAGTTTTTTAAAGATACAATACCAAACAGTATGTATTACTTATTTTGTGTTAATGATTGATGTATACGCTTTATATATGTAATAGTTCCAATAGTTTTAAATGTCATGAATTCATTGACAGTCTTCCCCTTGCATTCACTTTTCCTCAAATGTGGGCAGACTGAATGATTCATTCTATTGAGTAGAATGGGGTAGGAGTGATGCTATGTGATTCTGAGACTAGGTCATAAAGAGGATAGCTTCTTCCTCTCTCAGATCATCTGCTCTGTGGGAAGGCTGCCACTAAGTTGTAAGGACACTTAGGTATCTTTCGCAGAGATCCACAAAAAGAGGAACTGATGTCTCATGTCAATACCCAGCACCAATTTGCCAGCCAATAAGTAAGCCAGTACAGCTCCAAATTCTTGATTGCTACACCATCAGAGACCTTAAAGAGTCAGAACTTCAAGCTAAACATCTTTCATGTTCTTGACCAACAGAAACGTGAGAGATAATAAATGTTCATCATTGTTCTTACTGTTTGGATGTATGTCCCTGTCAAATCTCATGCTGAATTGTAATTCCCAATATTGGAGGTGGGGCCTGGTGGGAGGTGATTGGATCATGGGATGAATTTTTCATGAATGGCTTAGCACCATCCTCTTGGTGGTGTCCTTGAGATAGTGAGTGAGTTCTCATGAGACCTGGTCATTTAAAAGTGTATGGCACATCACCCCCACTCTCTCTCCTGTTCATCTTCTCACCATATGATGTGCCTCTTCCCCGTTTGCCTTCTGCCATGATTGGAAGCTTCCTGAGGGCTCCCCAGAAGCAGATGCCACTGTGCTTCTTATACAGCCTGCAGAACCATGAGCCAATTAAACTCCTTTTCTTATAAAGTACCCAATCTCAGGTATTGCTTTATAGCAGTGCAAGAATAGCCTAATACAGAAAATTGATACTGAATAGTGAGGCATTGCTATAAAGATATCTGAAAATGTGGAAGCAGCTTTGGAACTGAGTAATGGGCAGAGGTTGGAACATTTTGGAGGGCTCAGAAGATGAGAAAGATGAGAGGAAGTTTGGAATTACTTAGAGACTGATTAAATGGTTGTGGCCAAAATTCTGATAGTAATATGGACCCTGAAGGCCAGATTTCTGAGGTCTCAGATGGAATAAAAAGCTTATTGGAAACTGGAGCAAAAGGCACACATGTTAGGCCTTAGTAAAGAGCTTGGCTGCATTCTGTTCATGCCACAGTGATCTGCAGAAGTTTGAACTAAACAGTGATGATTTAGAGCAAGTTTGTTGAACCTATAGCCTACAGGCCACATGTGGCCCATGAAGGTTTTGAATGCAGCCCAACACAAATTTGTAAATTTTCTTAAAACATGATGAGATTTTTTTTTCCATTTCCTTTAGCTCATCAGCTATTGTTAGCGTTAGTGTATTTTATGTGTGGCCCAAGACAATTCTTCTTCCAATGTGGCCCAGGGAAGCCAAAAGATTGAACACCCCTGATTTAGAATATCAGGTGAAAAAAATTTATAAGTAGTAAAGCATTCAAGATGTGACCTGGCTGATTCAAATATCCTATGCTCAGATGTGGGAGCAAATAAATGACTTAGAGTTGGAATTTATATAACAGAAAGCAGAGTGTAAAGGTTTGGAAAATTTACAACCTAGCCATGTGGCAAAGAAAGAAAAAAGCTTTTTTGGGAGCTAAATTCAAGCACACTGTGGACCAACCTCTTGATAGAGATACTTGTATAACTAAAAAGGATCCAAGTGCTGATTGCCAAGACAATGGGAAAAGGGCTTTCAGAGGCCTTTTGAAAGGCAAAGGCATTTCTGAAATGAAGACACTTCAGAGACATTTGCAGCAGCCCCTCCCACCATAGGCCCAGAGGACTAGGAGGAAAGAATAGTTTCATGGGCCAGGCCCAGGACCCCCTGCCATACACAGCCTCAGGACACTGCTCCTCAAATTCCACTGCTCCAGCTCCAGCCTTGGCTCAAAGGGGCACAAGTACAGCTCAGGATGCAAGGATCCAGAGGGTGCAAGCCATTAGCTTTGGTGGCTTCCATGTGGTTTTAAGCCTGCAGGCACACAGAAAGCAAGAGTGAAAGAGGCTTGACAGCCTCTACCTAGATTTCAAAGGTTGTATGGGAAAACTTGGGTGCCAAGACAGAAGCCAGTTGCAAGGGCCAAGCCCTCACAGAGAACCTCTACTAGGGCAGTGTTATGAGGAAATGTGAGGTTGGAGACCCCACATCAAGTCCCCACTGGGGCACTTCCTAGTGGAACTGTGAGAAGGGGGCCACCATACTCCTGACCCCAGAATGGTAAATCTACCAGCAGCTTAAGCTTCGCACCTAGAAAAGCTTCAGGCACTCAACAACCTGTGAGGGCAGCCACGGGGGCTGAAACCTGCAAAGCCACAGGGGTGGAGCTGCCTAAGGTCTTAGGAGGCCACCCCTTATACCAGCGTGCCCTGAATGTGGAACATGGAGTCAAAGATTATTTTGGAGCTTTATGATTTAATGACTTCCCTGCTGGGTTTTGAACTTGCATAGGGCCTGCAGCCCCTTTCTTTTGGCTGATTTCTGTGTCTTGGAATGGGAATGTTTCCCCAATGCCTATACTCTTATTGTATCCTAGAAGTAAATAATTTGTTTTGATTTTACAGGCCTCTAGGTGGAAGGAATTTATCTCTAGACAATACTTTAGACTTGGGACTTTTGAGTTAATGCTAGAATGAGTTAAGTCTTTGGGAGACTATTGGGAAAGCATAATTATGTTTTGCAATGTGAGAAGGACATGAGACTTGGGAGGCCAGGGGCTGAATGATATAGTTTCAGTGTATGTCCCCACCAAATCTCATGTTGAATTGTAATCCCCAGTGTTGGAGATAGAGCCTGGTGGGAGGTGACTGGATTAGGTGGGTGGATTTCTCATGAATAGTTTAGCACCATTCTCTTGGTGCCGTCCTCGTGATAGTGAGTGAGTTATCACAAGATCTTGTCATTTAAAAGTGTGTAGGCCAGGTGGGGTGGCTCATGCCTGTAATCCCAGCACTTTGGGAGGCCGAGGTGGGCAGATCACAAGGTCAGGAGATCGAGACCATCCTGGCTAACACGGTGAAACCCCGTCTCTACTAAAAATACAAAAAATTAGCCAGGCCTGGTGGCGGGTGCCTGTAGTCCCAGCTACTCGGGAGGCTGAGTCAGGAGAATGATGTGAACCTGGGAGGCGGAGCTTACAGGGAGCTGAGATTGCGCCACTGCACTCTAGCCTGGGCGACAGAGAAAGACTCTGTCTCAAAAAAAAAAAAAAAAAAAGTGTGTAATACCCCTCCCTCACTCTCTATCTTGCTCCTGTTCTTGCTATGTGATATACCTGCTCCCTTTACTTTCCGTCATGATTGGAATACCTCCACAGAAGTAGATGCTGCAGAACCCTAAGCCAATTAAACTTCTTTTCTTGTAAATTACCCAGTCTCAGTTATGTTTTACAGTAGTCCAAGATCAGCCCAATACAATTGTTTTAAGCCATTAAGTTTTGTAACAGAACAATAGGTAATAAACATTGTGCAATCCTCACAACAGCTCTATAAGATAAATACTATTACTACGGTCACTTTACAGATGAGGCAAGAGAGGCAGAAAGGGGTTAAGTAACACACTCAAGGTCATACAGTGACGTATAACTGGTGGTCATTAAACTCAAACACTGTCAGTTGGTTTCCAGAGTTTGTGCTTTCAACTGTGATACTATATTTTAAAGTCACAATGTTTCTTTTACACATGAAAAAGAATAAATTTCCATCCAAGAAGTCAATAAATAAAAGTAAAATGAAATGGAATATATCTTCAGGAATTTATGGATTTAATCTATGTAAAAATTAAAGGTGTAAGTAACATACTATGATCTCCTCCGTGACTCCCAACAGTAGAAATGGGAAAAGCACTAACTTTAGGTGCAGAAAAGTCTCATAACTTTTGAAAAAATTAGGTGTATATTAAATGAACAATAGAAACAATATAAATTCTCCAAAGATACATGAACAAAGTATGTTTGCCTAACACAAGCTTAGTTAACCTTTTTTTTATAATTAGATTTTAAGTATTTAGTGAGTCCTAATTATTATTCTGCAATGCCGCAAAACAAAACAAAATAGAAATCACTAGTTGCTTGAATATTGTACCTTGCATGTTGATTAATACAGGGTACAAAAGTAGATTGAAGTGTTACCATTAAAAATAATATTGAAAAATAGATTGCATCAATAGTTTTTATTCAACTTTTATAATAAGTATAAAACAATGAACACTTTGCCAAAACTAAATGTTTTACTGCGGTGTTGCATTCACTTACTTACTATTCAATTGTATCTTTGCCAAATTTCCTTAATTATCTGGTGTGGAAATATAACTGATCCTGGAATAAATAAGACAAAACAAAACAAAACAAAAAACCCAAACAAACAAACAAAAACTGATACTACATTACATTGAATTCCCCACCCCCAACTCTCAAATATATGTATTGCATTTCCTTCCTCTCTACTCTCAATCATTACAATTATAATGATTGAGATAAATTTTCATGGAAGATAAACTTTAATGAATCCCTTTTTTGCACTAAATATCTCTGTCCCATAGAATTCCAACCTCCTGGTTCAACAGGGCTAAGTCATGCTGTGGATGTATTAAGCCACTGCCAGCTGCAACTTCTCTTTGCTTTTGCTTGGATCCATCCTTCCTGGGCCCCATATGATTCTCTTTATTTTGAGAATAAAATTTTCTCTTCTCCAAGATCAAGAAAAAAAAATAATGACTGTTATTTTGCCCCAAACCCAAGTAATAAAGTAGAAATCTCAGAACACGTTTTAAACCTATTATTGGCAATAATGAGAGATTGATGTAACTACTCAGGCTGCTCATGGCAGGCTAATCATCAGATGCTTCACTCCAGGATACTTCTGAAAGTGAGCCAGTGCATAAATTTCACTTTCCTCAGAGGTATGTAAAGTTTGCTCTTTGCTTTGTTCAAAGTCTGTAGGCTACATCTTCTGTTCTTACTTGCTAAGCAAGTGATACATTTGACTTATTTGTTTAAGATATATGTAAAGGGTGATCTTTTCCTTTGATACTGTTTTAATGTCTTGATTTGCTGGAGTAAATTTTTAAATAACAATATGTGGAAGATAAACTTTAAGTTACCACATGTCTGAAAATCCCTTCTTCCTGACTTATTTGAATGATAGTTGGCATGGGTACAGAATTTGAGGTGGACTATCACTTTTTCCCTCCAGTTTTCAAGGGATTACATATGGTCGTCTATCATCCAGTGATTGTTGATGATGACTTCTGATGCCAATAGCATTCATATTCCTTTAGAAGTAAGTTTTTTGTTCTCTAAAAACTTTTAGAATCTTTATTTTAGTATTCTGAAATTTCAGCATTTTTTTTGATACCAGTCTTCTTTTGTTTTTTACTAACTGCGCTATCTTGTGATCTCTTGAAATCTGAGATTTGTAGTCTCCATTTAATTTTATATATCCAGTCTTTGTTTCTCTTTTGTTTACATTCTAGTTGATTTTTTAAACTACATTCTCTAAATGTTTTCAGCAGAAATGTTTAATGTTTGTGATGGTTAATTTTATGTGTCAACTTAGCTAGGCAAGGTACCCAGATATTTGGTCAAATACTAGTCTTGATGTTATTGTGAAGATATTTTTAGATGACATTAACATTTAAATCAGTGGACTTTGAGTAAGCAAATTATCCTCCATAATGTGGAGGATCTCCAATCAGTTGAAGCCCTAGAGGAAAAAAAAAAGACTGACATACCCCAAGGAAAAGGGAATTCTGCCTCCAAATTGTCTTTGGACTCCAGCTATCACAACAACCCTTCCCTGAGTCTCCAGCCTGCTGGCCTATCTTATAGATTTTGAATTTTCCAGCCTCCACAATCATGTATGTCAATTCCTTAAACTAGCTCTCTCCCTCCATTCTTTTCTCCCCACATTCTTTCATGTTGATCATGTTGCTTTTCTTTCTCTTTCATGCTACATTATTCTAATATAGTGGTGGCATTTAGTTACCCATTCGTATTGATGAAGAAAAAGCTAGATACATTAGAGTTTCATACACACACACACACACACACACACACACACACACACGCACACACTTCTCCAAGGGGGCTTTACTCAAGAGGGTAGGCACATCATAGCTCCCACTCAGAGGCATCCAGGTATCTAACACTGTATTCCCCTCCATACCTCCTTCTTGTCCCACTGTGCAACCCAGTGCAGTCCCTTAGAGTGAGGAGGAGAGGAGGAAAAGGAGCCCTCTGACTTGTTTCTTCTGTCTTTTGCCCTCCTTTTTATGGATCTTGGCTTTTGCAATTAAAAATTTAAGAGCATGGATTTTAAATTATCTGTGCTGAAACATTTCTTTAGGGAAACAAATGCCTCATAGCCTATTTCGCATGTTAAGCACCACAGGGCCACAAATAAAAGCATTACTGAGGACAACAATAACAAAAACTCACATGGTCACTAGATCAAAATATCATCCCAACCACAAGCCTTACACACTAGAATTAAATAACGATGGTCCAGTCTCTTGGACTTCACATAGTGCCGCCTAGTTCTTCCAATGCTTGTTTTAAAAAGAAGCGTATTTTCAAAATTTACTGTTGTAATCCCATTGTTTATCACTTTCTGGACAGAATAGGAACAGTAAAATATAATTCAAACTTTATTTTGCCTTACTAAAAATGCAAGAACATCATCCAGTGGCAAAACTCTAACTGCAGAATGTTTAATTTACATAGACCATATACTATTCCAACATAGAGAAAAAATATATATTTTCCTAATGAGATTTCCAGACAAAATTGTAGAAAATTTAAATAGCTGCTTATTTCTCAGCTTCCTTTAAAACTCCTAGGCCCATTGCTTCCAAAGTCCCTTTAGACCTGCCTCATGAAGACTTGATATCAATAATGACTCTGTCTTATGAGGACAGGTTGTTGGTTATAACTAAATTCTGAGAATCAGGGCTATGAGAGAACCAGACTAAAACTCCTCTGAGGAATTATTATTCTTTCTTCTGAAAGTAACTTTTCAGCATATTTCCCTTATTTCCCTGGCCATCAGAACACTCCAAGTCAAACACAAAGCCATTTTAAAAGCAACATGGGGGGTAGTAAGTTTGCTGTTAAAGATTGATTTCTTTTAGTTTCAAATGTGCATATATGTATGCACATGAATATATATGTGTTTTAAAATTCTCTATTATTATTGTTGGGATAATCATTAATATCTTATAGATTTATCTTAATTTATAGATATAGTAGATTCTGCTAGAAAACTCCATTGATCCTAGAAATTATAATATGCTGAAAATTCAAAAGGCCTTGGGAAGATTCATAGTTCCTCCCAATGTTTTCACTACCTCACCATAATCTAATAGTATTTTAGCCTAAACTTCATGACTTAAAAGAAATAAATGTGAGCCAAATCATCTGGAGCTCACGGAATTATCTAAGTCTCACCGTAAGATTCGAACATGCTGGGAACATTTAAAGTCAGTATGTACCATGTCACCACGCTGGTAGAAATTTAAAGACTAGAAGCAAGATGTCTTTAGCAAAGACAGTCTTTCTCTGAGACTTGTCCTTTGGCTTTCCTTAGTGACTTGAGTATAGCATGAAAGAAGTCTTAGAACTGCTGTGGTTTTGTTTTGTTTTTTTTTTTGGAGGGGAGGGTGAAGAACATGGGTAGTAGTACAAATGTTTACTCTAGCCATTTAATTAATATAAAGATTTTTTAAAACAAAATGTGTCTACTGTTTGTAATTTTGTATGTTTAAAGTTAATGTAATTTTCCCAAGGATTCTGGAATAGTAGATTCTTGGGAAATGTCAACATGGATCTTCATCTTCAATACCCTGATGCTTGCCTCTTGAACTATCCTCTGATATTTAGGCCATAAGTTAATGATGCCCATGTTTCAATGAATGCTTGCTTAAAAACATGCCTGCAGACTTTGTCTGCACTAGGCCTTTTGTACAGTCCCATGATATAGAAAAACTGTAGTTAAATGAATTCATGAATGACATAGGAATCCTATCCTCTTCATCTGGATCTTACGTAATTCTAGTCTTTTACTTGTCTTTCCATTTTCATTCCTTTGGAAAGCACTTGAGATATTTATTTGCAAACAAAATGTGGTACTCAAACTATGAAGCTGGTGTTCACATTTGCAATAACCCATCTCTCATTTAATTCCATTTACTGATGAAACTCTCACATCACCAAAAGTTACTGCCATGACATTTTTTTTCTTTTATAAACTTTTAGAGGTTCAGAATACATAACGGTGTATATTGTGGAGAGAAAAGTATGTTCTCTCCTTACCAAGTAAGAAGGAAAAAGAACTTTAAACACTTTTGAACTTTTGTTAATTACAGAATCATTAAAAATATGATAGGACTACAATGATCCCCATATCCCCGTATCCATGCTGTAATTTGGTATCAAACAGGCACATATGCTCAGTGGGATGAAGATGGAATGGGTACTCATAAAATTTTACATGGTTCTGCTCTACATCACCATCTGTAGCCTTCCTTACTATACTGACATCTGTTTTGTGATTAACCTGACATTTTTCCCACTTACATGAAGATTCTCCTGGCTCATCCCTTTGGATACTTCCTCACTTATAAATCCTCCTGAAAGAATATATATTCTTCACACTGTCAACTTTTCACTGTACCTTTTTTCTTTTTTTTATTTTATTATTATTATACTTTAAGTTTTAGGGTACATGTGCACAAGGTGCAGGTTAGTTACATATGTATACATGTGCCATGCTGGTGTGCTGCACCCATTAACTCGTCATTTAGCATTAGGTATATCTCCTAATGCTATCCCTCCACCCCCCCACCCACAACAGTCCCCAGAGTGTGATGTTCCCCTTCCTGTGTCCATGTGTTCTCACTGCTCAATTCCCACCTATGAGTGAGAACATGCGGTGTTTCGTTTTTTGTCCTTGAGGTAGTTTTCTGAGAATGATGATTTCCAATTTCATCCATGTCCCTACAAAGGACATGAACTCATCATTTTTTATGGCTGCATAGTATTCCACGGTGTATATGTGCCACATTTTCTTAATCCAGTCTATCACTGTTGGACTTTTTCTCGAAAATTTTGTTTCTTCACCAAATTCAGGCAACTTATTTGGGTGCAGTGAACAGCAGGTACCATATAATTAGGTCTCCTATAATCCCATTATAAAGAGTCATGGGTAATTCATTTTACAGTAATAATCACAACAAGTAACAATTAATATTTCTATTTTGTTCACCTTTATGTAAACTGTTTTATTAGCATTTACTTAAAATCAGGAACATGTATGTATTAATTTAAGAAATGGTTCCCTTTGAGAGAAATTAATAAAATATACTTTAAGAGAGATGGCAGCATTTTATTTTTTGTATCTTTTTCTCAAGTAGTTAAGGAACTATCTCTGTTGGTCACCTTATTGTTACCCATAGATTTCTTTGTCTTCAACTATTTACTACTATGTTTCTAATTAATCTACTATGTGCTATGCATTATCTTATTAACAAGTACTATGTAAAATGTGAAGCAAATATATGCTTTCTACATCTAAAATTAACTAGTTGAGAGATTAAAAATTGTAGAATGAATCCTAGACAAGACAAAAGCACACAGAGACAATTGTGTGCAAAATAAAAGGAATACATAAAGAACTTCTAAATAAAAAGCAATATGGTGAATGCTGCTTCACATAAGCTGATGGAGCTTATGGGGATAAAATTTTTATATTGACAGAATTTTAATAAGGGTATTGGTTTACATAAAAATTAAAATTTATCTGAAATTTTTCAAGGCCTGCAATTACTGGGACCACCTACTAAAAATCAGAATTCTCCTCTGCTTATTTTGGAAAGCCAACGAAGTACAGACTTTGATAAAATGTAATTGGCAATGTCAACGACATAGGCAACTTTTCAAGTCGAATTGGAGCTGAATCTTTTGAAAAAATAATGTAGCATTTGGGCCAAGATACCAAGGCTAAGCTACCCATTTCTATGTGAAAACAATAGGGCAGGCACAATAGATTCCATTTTTGAAAACATTAATTGAACTGACATTGTAGAAGACCTTGCTAGCTATATCCTATTATTAAAAAAAAAAAAAAAATTCAAGCCACCAAAAAATGGCAGCCAAACAAGGGGGAAATTTCTAAATAAAGGCCTACATGATTCTTTCACACTGCTACATGCAGATACAGGGATATAGCTATTTATTAATAGCCTTTGTAATTGAATGCTACCTAATTTTAGGTTTCAGAGTTTGTGGTCCAACATGCTGGCCATCTGCTAACAGAACTTGCACTAAAATTGTAGCCCATGAGTTCATAAACAATAGCTTTCTAAGTTAGAGATTTTATTAATATCTCTCATTGTATTTTATGCATTCTCTTTGAATTACTTCCTCAATTTTTGATATTGAAGTATCTTGTGAATTCAGTGGAGGAAATAAAATTTCAGCTCAAACCTAAAAGATAAGTAAAAGGTGGGAAATAACCAAACAAAAGATGATAAAATGATATCTACACAAAGGGAATGACATATAAATACATAAAATATTATTTCAAGAAATTGAGATTAGTTCAATAGTAATGGACGATAGAGTTCAAAACTATGAAAGAATGACCATGGATACAGCTGAGCATTAGGCAAGGGCTAGATTGTAGAAAGATTTATAAGCAAAGTTAAGGGGCTTGCACTTTATTTTTTTTAACCATTGCTTTTCTTTTAAGTGACATAATCAAACTTGTATATATATATACAAGTTTGCTGTTTTCGCCCAGGCTGGAGTGCAATGGGGCATTCTCGGCTCACTGCAACTTCCGCCTCCCAGGTTCAAGCGATTCTTCTGTCTCAGCCCCCCGAGTAGCTGGGATTACAGTGCGCACCACCATACCAAGCTAATTTTTGTATTTTTAGTAGAGATAACGGTTTCACAATGTCAGCCAGACTGGTCTCAAACTCCGCACCTCAAGTGATCCACACTCCTCGGCCTCCCAAAGTGTTGGGATTACAGGCATGAGCCACCACACCTGGCCAGACTTGTATCTCTAAAAGATCATACTGGATGTTGTGTGAAAAATGTACCAAAAATTAAAATAGTAGATATGGAAATTGTAACTAGAAGAATAGAAATGTTGGATCCCTGAACTAGGGTAAAAGAAGCTGGGATATCTTCTTCATATTTTTTTCTTCCCATTTTGTGGAGAACTAGAACCTGGAACAATCCACCATTGATCACGGAGCCACAGCAATGCCCTACAGAATGGTGAAGAAGTGATTTGAAGGAAACCTGGGTCACTGGAACAAAGCCTCCCACCAGCCTAAAGTACTCATCTTGAACTGTTTTGTGAATTTTTTAAAGGTATTTGTTCTTTAAGTAATTGAGTTTTGTAGGGTCTCATTGTCATATTATCCTAACGTTGACCCTTCCTAATAGATGTGATTGCTCTATTTGTCAGAGTAGATGTGATTACCTAGGGAGAGTGTGGGTAATGAAAGGAGCAGATAATCTAGAAACATCAACATTCAAGGAATGAGTAGAAGAAAAATAACAGCAAAGGGCACTAAACCGTTAGTAAGGGAAGAAGAAAAATTAGAAGCTAAAGGAAGACTGGGTTTCAAAAATAGTGTCAAATGGTAAATAGTAAGGCAAAATAGGAACTGAAAAGTGTCCACCGGATTTGGAAATAAAAAAGTAATGAGTGACTATGCTGGTTGCACAGAGGTAGGGCAAGGGAGTTCAGTATATCATTAAAAGAGGGGTTGTGCAGAACTTAAAGTATAATTAAAAAAAAAAAAACTAGCCCAAAAGAGACCAGCTAAATCGATTGTTTTTCTAGTTTACAACTTCCATAGGATGGGGTAGGCTTATAGGTTTATTTTGAAAAGAGCTTGAGCTTAAGTCCTATGGCTGGAGGAATAAAAATAGATGATGATAAGTTTAGCAATTAATTAAATTAGCAGATTTAATTTAATTTAAATTAGATGATTTTGTGATTAAAGAAAATTAAAATGTTACTCCAGATTAACTGTTAACTATAAAACCTTTTTGCAGCTTTGTGGTTTTATGCGACACATCTCTTCAATTAAAGATTATCTTAAGCACTACAGAGTCGAATAAGAGACCTAAAAAAAGAGGGGTTGTGGACACTATGGAAATTGAGAAGCTACAACATTTTTTTAAGCTAAAGTGTAGTCCAGAGAAATGCCCTAACTCTCTTCAAATCTACGAAGGCTGAGAAAGGTGAGGTGGCTGAAGAAAAGTAGGAATCTAGCAGAGGTCACTTCATGAGATTTAGTGGAAGAAGCCATCCCTATAACAAAAAAGTACGAGGTAAAGCAGCAAGTGCTGGTAAAGAACCAGTAGCAAATTATCCAAAAGATCTAGCTAAGATCATTGATGAAGGTGGCTACACCAAACAACAGATGTTCCACCTAGATAAAACAGTCTTCTATTGGAGTAAGATGCTATCTATGACTTTCATGCTAGAAAGGAGAAGTCAACGGCTGGCTCCAAACTTCAAAAGACCGGCTGACTCTCTTGTTAAGGGCTTATGCAGCTGGTTACTTTAAGTTAAGCCAATGCTCTTTTACCATTTTGAAAAACCTAAGACCCTTAAGAATTATGCTAAATCTATTTTGCCTGTGCTTTATAAATGGAACAACAAAGCCTGGATGACAGCACATTTGTTTACAGCATGGTTTTCTAAATATTTTAAGCTTGCTGTTGAGATTTACTGCTCGGGAAAAAAATATTCTTTTCTAAATACTACTACTCATTGACAGTGCTCTTAGTCACCCAAGAGCTCTCATGGAAATATAAAAAGAGATTAATGTTTTCATGCCTGCTAAGACAACATCCATTCTTCAGCCTATGGATCAAAAAGTAATTTCTGGCTCTAAGTCTTATTAAGACACACATCTTGTAAGGCTATAGAGAATGATTCCTGTAATGCATGTGGGCAAGGTAAATTGAAAATTTTCTGGAAATAATTTACCATGCTAGATGCCATTAAGAACATTGTGGTTCATGGGAGAAAGTCAGAATATCAATGTTAACAGGAGTTTGGAAGAAGTTGATCCCAATCCTCATGGAAGACTTTGGGGGGTTCCAGGCGTCAGTGGAGGAAGCAACTACAGATGCAGTGGAAACAGTAAGAAAACTAGAATTAGAAGTATAGCCTGAAGATGTGACTGAATTGCTGTAATCTCATGACAAAACATGAACAGATGAAGAGTGTTTTCTTATGGACGAGCAAGAAAGTTGTTTCTTAAGATATAATTTACTCCTGGTGAAGATGCTGTGAACACTGTTGAACTGACAACAAAGGATTTAGAATATTTCATAAACCTAGTTGATAAAGCAGTAGCGGGGTTTGAGAAAACTGACTCCAGTTTTGAAAGTTCTACTGTGGGCAAAATGCTATCAAACAGCTTTGCATGCTACAGAGAAATCTTTTGTGAAGGAAAGTGTTGATGTGACAAACATTATTTTTCTCTTATTTTAAGAAACTGCCACAACCACTACAGCCTTCAGCAACCACCATCCTGATGTCAGCAAAAAACAATATTGAGGTGAATACCACTACCAGTAAAAATTTATCACTCACTGAAGCCTCTGATGATCATTAGCAATAAGGTATTTTTATCATTTTCTTAATTTTTAATTTTTGTGGGTACATATTAATAGGAGGTGTATATATTTATGGAGTACCTGAGGTACTTTGGCACAGGAATGCAATACGTAATAATCACATCACAGAAAATTGGGTATCCATCCCCTCAAATATTTATCCTTTGTGTAACAGTCCAATTATAATCTTTTAGTTATTTTAAAATGTACAACTAAATTCTTTTTACAATAGTCTCCCTTTTGTACCAGTGCATACTAGGTCTTATTTTTTCTAACTATTTATTTGTATCCATTAACAAACACTCCCCACTTCCCCACCTCTCAACCTCCAATACTCTTCTCAGCCTCTGGTAATCATCCTACTCCCTATCTCCACGGGTTCGATTGTTTTAATTTTTAGCTTCCACAAATAAGTGAGAACATGTGATGATTGTCTTTCTATGCCTGGCTTACACTTCACATAATATATTGACCTCCAGTTCCTTCCATGTTGTTGCAAATGACAGAATCCCATTTTTTAAAGATGCATAGTACTCTATAGTGTACATGCAAATTTTCTTTCTCCACTTATCTGCTGATGGACACTTAGGTTGCTTTCGAGTCTTGGCTATTGTGAACAATGCTGCAATAAACATGGGAGTGCAGATATCTCTTCGATATACTGATTTTCTTTCTTTTGGGCATATACCCAGAAGAGGGATTGCTGAATAGTAAGGCAGCTCTATTTTTAGTTTTTTGAGGAACCTCCAAACTATTATCCATAGTGGCTGTGAATTTCTACCAACAGCATGTGAGGATTCCCTGCTCTCACATCCTCACCAGCACATGTTATTGCCTCACTTTTGGATAAAAGCCATTTTAACTGGGGTGAGATGATATATCATTGTCATTTTGATTTGCATTTCTCTGATTAGCAATGATGGTGAACACCTTTTCATATACTTGTTGACTATTTGTATGTCTTCTTTTGAGAAATGTCTATTCAAACTCTTTGCCTATTTTTAAATCAGATTATTAGATTTTTTTTCCTATAGAGTTGTTTGAGCTCCTTATATGTTCTGGTTATTAATTTCATGTCAGATAGGGAGTTTTCAAATATTTTCTCCCATTCCATGAGTTGTCTCTTCACTTTGTTGATTGTTTGCTGTGCAGAAGTTTTTAAACTTGATGGGGCCCCCTTTGTCCATTTGTGCTTTGGTTGCTTTTACTTTGGGGGTTTTACTCAAGAAATTGTAGCCCAGACCAACATCTGGGAGTGTTTCTCAATGTTTTCTTGAGGTAGTTTCATAGTTTGAGTTCTTAGATTGAAGTCTTCAACCCATTTTGATGTGATTTTTGTATGTGGTAAGAGATAGGTGTCTACTTTTATTCTTCTGCATATGGATATCCAGTTTTCTCAGAATCGTGTATTGAAGAGACTGTCTTTTCCCCAGTTTATGTTCTTGGCACATTTGTCAAAAATGAGTTCACCGTAGGTGTGTAGATTTGATTCTGGGTTCTCTGTTCTGTCCCATTGGTCTATGTATCTGTTTTTATGCCAGTATTGTGCTGTTTTGGTTACTGTAGCTCTGTAGTATAATTTGAAATCAAGTAATGTGATTCCTCCAGTTTTGTTCTTTTTGTTTAGGATAGCTTTGACTATTCTGGGTCTTTTCTGCTTCCAAACAAATGCTAGGCTTGTTTTTTCTATTTATGTGAACAAAGTTATTGGTATTTTGATAGAAATTGCATTGAATCTGTAGATTGCTCTGGGTAGCATGAAAATTTTAACAATATTAATTCTTCCAGTCCATGAAAATGGAATTTCTTCCATTTGAGTGTCCTTTTTAATTTCTGCCACCAGTGTTTTATAATTTTCATTATAGAGCTCTTTCTCTTCTTTGGCTAATTCCTAGGTATTTTATTTGATTTGTAACTATTGTAATGGGATTACTTTCTTGATTTCTTTTTTCAGATTGTTTGCTATTGGCATCTAGAAATGCTACTGATTTTTGAATGTTGAGTTTGTATCCTTCATTGTTACTGAATTTGTTTACCAGTTCTAACAGCATTTTGACGGAGTCTATAGGGTTTTCCTAATATAAGATCACATAATCTGCAAAGAAGTATAATTTAACTTCTTCCTTCCCAGTAAAGATGCCCATTATTTTTTTTGTCAGATTTCTCTAACTAGACCTTCCAGTTCTGTGTTGAATAACAGTAGTGAAAGTGAGCATCTTTGTCATATTGCAGAATATAGAGGAATGCTTTCATTTTTTCTCCATATAAGATGATACTAGCTATGGGTCGGTTTTATATGGCTTTTGTCATGTTGAGGTATGCTCCTTCTACCCCCAGTTTTTTAGTGTTTTTATCATGAAGGGATGTTGAATTTTATCAAACACTTTTTCAGCATCAATGAAAATGATCATATGGTTTTTGTCCTTCATTCTGTTGATATGATGTATTACACCAGTTGATTTGCATATGTTGAGCCATCCTTGCATCCTTGGGATAAATCCCACTGGGTCACAATAAATGATCTTTTAAATGTGCTGTTGAATTCAGTTTGCTAGTATTTTCTTGAGGATTTTTGCACCAATATTCATCAGAGATATTGGCCAGTAGTTTTTTTTAATGTGTCTTTGTTTGATTTGTATCAGTGTAATAATGGCCTTGTAGAATAAATTTGGAAGTATTCTCTATTTTTCAGAATAGCTTGAGTAGAATTGATACTTGTTTTTCTTTAAATGTTTGGTAGAATTCAGCAGTGAAGTCATTGGATCCCAGGCCTTTTTTGCTGAGAGACTTTTTGTTATGGCTTTGATCTCATTACTTGTTATTGATCTGTTCAGGTTTTGAACTTCTTCCTGCTTCAGCCTGAGTAGGTTGTATGTGTCTGGGAATTTATCCATTTATTCCAGATTTTTCAATTTATTGACATAAAGTTGCTCATAGCAGTCACTAATTATCCTTAGAATTTCTGCACTATCAGAAGTAATATCTACTTTTTCATCTCTGATTTTATTTATTACTGTTTTCTTTTTTTCTTAGTGTAGGTAAAGGTTTGTCAGTTTTATCTTTTCAAAAAACCAACTTTTTGTTTCACTGATACTTAATATTTTTTTCATTTCATATTCATTTATTTCAACTCTAATCTTCATTATTTCTTTTCATCTACTAATTTTGGGTTTGGTTTGCTCTTGATTTTCTAGTTCTTAGATGCATCCTTAGGTGGAGTTTTTCCTTTTTTGATGTAGGCACTTATGGCCATAAACTTCCATCTTAGATCTGCTTTTGCTAAATTTCATAAGCTTTGTTATGTTGTGTCTCCATTATTATTTGTTTCAAGAATTTTTTCAATTTCCTTCTTAATTTTTTCAATGGCCCACTGGTCATATATTGTTTAATTTTTATGTGTTTGTATAGTTTCCAAAATTCCTCCTGCTATTGATTTGTATTTTTATTCCATTGTGTCAGAGAAGATGCTTGATAATATTTCAAGTTTTTGGAATGTTTTAAGGCTTGTTTTGTGACCTACCATATAATCTATGCTTGAGAATGATTCATGTGTTGAGGAAAAATAATGAGTAGTCTGCAGCCATTGGATGAAATGTTCTGTAAATATCTATCATGTCTATTTATTCCATACTGCATTTTAAGTCCAATGTTCCTTTGTTGATTTTCTGCCTGGGAGATCTGTCCAATGCTAAAAGTGAGGTGTGGAAATCTCCAGCTATTATTTTATTGAGGTCTCTGTCCTCAGCTCTAATAATATTTGCGTTATTTCTCTGGGTGTTTCTGTGTTGGGTGCATATATATTTATATCATTATATCCTGTTGCTAGTTTGGCCGTTTTCTTATTATATAATGACCTTCTTTGTCTCATGATTTTTGTCTTGGAAGCTATTTGTCTGATATAAGAATAGCTGCTCTTGCTCTTTTTTGGTTTCCATTGGCACAGAACATCTTTTTCCATTCCCTTATTTTCAGTTTATGTGTATTTTTATAAGTTAAGTGTATTTCTTCTAGAAAACAGATTATTGGGTCTTGTTTTGTTATCCGTTCAGCCACTATATGTCTTTTGATTGGAGGGTGTCGTCCATTTACATTCAATGTTATTATTGAGAAGTAAGGACTTACTCTTGCTATTTTGTTATTTGTTTTCTGGTTGTTTTGTGGTTTTCCCCTCTTTCTTTCTTTCCTTCCTTCGTGTCTTCTTTTTAGTGAAGATGATTTTCTCTGGTGGTATAATACTCTGTGTTTTTCTGTGCGTACTTACTATTAGTAGTGATTTTTGCACCTTCAGATGATTTTGTATTGCTTGTTAATGTCTTTTTCTTTCTGATTGAAGTATTTTCTTTAGCATTTCTGGAGAAGTCTGATGTTGATAAGATCCCTCAGCTTTTATTAGTCTAGGAAAGTCTTTATTTCACCCTTTACATTTCAAGGATATTTTCACCAGATATACTACTCTACAGTAAAAAACAAAAATTCCTTCAGTACTTTTAATACACCATGCCACTTTCTTTTGGATTGTAGGGTTTCCACTGAAAAGTCTGCTGCCGGGCTTATTGAAAGTCTTTGTATGTTACTTTTTCTTTTCTCTTGCTGCTTTTAGGATCCTTTCTTTATTGTTGACCTTTGGGAGTTTGATTATTCAATGCTCTGACGTGTGTTCTTTGGATTACATCTTCTTGGTGTACAACCTTTTTGTACTTGAATGTTGATATCTTTCTCTAGGTTTGAGAAGTTCTCATTATTATCCCTGTGAACAAACTTTCTATCCCTATCTCTTTCTCTACCTGGTCTTTAAGGCCACTAACTCTTAAATTTGTCCTTTTGAGGCTATTTTCTAGATCTTGTAGGCATCCTTCACTGTTTTTTATTCTTTTTTCTTTTGTCTCCTCTGTGTATTTTCAAATAGCCTGTCTTCAAGCTCACTAATTCTCTCTTCTGCCTGATCAATTCTGCTATTAAAAAACTCTGGTGCATTCTTCAGTATGTCAATTTCATTTTTCAACTCTAGAATTTCTGCTTGATTCTTTTTAATTATTTCAATGTCTTTGTTAAATTTATATTATAGAATTTTGATTTCCTTCTCTGTGTTCTCTTTAATTACTTTGAGTTTCCTCAACACAGCTATTTTGAATTCTCCACCTGAAAGGTCGCATATCTCTGTTTCTCCAGGATTGGTCCCTCGTATCTCATTTAGTTTGTTTGCTAAAACCGTGTTTTCCTGAATGATCTTGATGCTTATTAGACATTTGTCATGTCTGGGCATTGAAGAGTTAATTATTTATTGTAATTTTTGCCATCTGGTATTCTTTGTACTCATTCTTCATAAGAGGGCTTTCCAAGTATGCAAAAGGACCTGTGTGTTGTGATGTAAGCCAAAGCTGTGTTAGAGTGCATCACAAGCACAGTAATACCGTGGTTCTTCCAACTTACAGAGGTATTGCCTTGATAGTCTGGGACAAGATCCAGAATTCTCTGGATTATCAGAAAGAGACTTCTGTTACCTTCCCTTAGTTTTTCCCAAATGAAATCTCTGTGTGTGTTCTGAGCCACCTGGAGCTGGGGTTGGGGTAACACAAGTACCACTATGGTCACTACCACTAGGCCTGCACTGTGTGTGACTTGAAGCCAGCACAGCACTGGGTCTTGCCCAAGGACCGGTGTAACCACTACCTGGATACCGCCTATGTTTGCTGGGGGTCTACAATCAGCAGGTTGTGAAGCCAACCAGGCTTCTGTCCTTTCCTTCAGGGCAGTGAGTTCCCTCAGACCCCAGGTGGGTACAGTGGTACCATCTGGGATCCAGGAACTGGAGGCAAAAATTTAAGAAGTCTATCTGGTATTGTGTTGTACTGTGGCTGAGACTATACTCAAACTACAAAACATAGTCCTTCCAACTCTTCTGTCCGCTTTCCACAGGCAGATGAGCCTTATCCTGTGACCATCACCTCCACAGGCCTATGGGGAGTACTGCCAGGATACCACTGATGTTCCCTTAAGGCCCAAGGGCACTGCAGTCAGCTTGTGGTTAATGCTGCCTGGCCTGGGACTTGACCTTCAGGGCAGGGGTATCCTATCTGGCCGAGGACAGGTCCAGAAATGCCATCCAATAGTCTAGGTCTGGAATCAGGCATCTGAAGAGTCTGCTTGATGCTCTATCTCCCTGTGGCCAAGCTAATACCTAAGGTGCAAGGCACTGTCCACTTTACTTTTCCTTCTGCTTTTCTCGTGCAGAAGAAGTTTCTCCCTGTAGGTAGTCGCCACAGCTGGGAATGTGCTGAGTCTCACCTTAAGCCAGCCAATCTCAGTCTCTCTCAAGGCCCATGGTGTAGTATCTGGGTATCACTGCTGATTATTTAGGTTCAAGGGCTCTTTAATCAGCACATGATGTGTCCTAGCAGGACTGGCTCCTTCCCTTCAAGGCAGTGGGTCCCCTTCTGGCCCAGGGTGCTTCTAGAAATGTCACCCAGGAGCTGGGGCCTGGAAAGGGGGCCTCAAGACTCTGAACACTGCCTTATCCAAGTGTGACCGAGCTGGTAGCCAAGATGGAAAACAAAGTCTTTTTTTTAACTTTTCCCTCTTATCTCCTCAAGTAGAAGGAAGAAGTCTCTTTTGGAGTTGCAAGCTGTGGAGCCTGGTGTTGGGGGAGGGGTGGCACAAGCACTGCCTTAGCCACCGCAGCTGGTGTCTCAGTAAGCTGCATGCCCCACAAGTCCATTGGCACTGAGCCCTGTTCAGCCCTGGGACATGCTCAGGAGTTACAGTCCTTGTGGCTTAGACTGCCTTTCAAATTTATTTAGGGTCCCAGAGCATTTGAGCCTATGGTGATGAGGCTTGTCAGAACTCAGATTCCCACTGCCGGGGCAAGCAATTGTCCTTTGCCTAGGACTGGTTTAAATACTCCATCCATAGGTGGGAGTCAGCTGAGTTCAGTCTGGTTGTGCTTTCTGCTATGACAGGGCAGCACTGAGTTCAATGCAGTGTCTCGCAATTGCTACACTTTTCTCCCAAACACTCAGATTCTTTTTCCATACCACGTGGCCACTGCCATGGGAGGAGGAAGGGATGATGTAGGTGATTCAGGACTCTTTCCTACCCTCTTCAATGCCTCTTTCAGTGACATAAAGTTAAAACCATGTACTGTGAGCACCTGAATTTTGGTTCTTATAAAGGTGCTTTTTAAGTGTATATAGTTGTTAAATTGATGTCTTTGCAGGAGTGTAATCAGTGGAGCATTCTATTCAACAATTGTGCTCTTCTCCTCCACCCTATTTTTTATTTTATTGGGAACTTCCATACTGTTCTCCATAGTGGCTGTACTAATTTACATTTCTACCAACAGTATATGAGGGTTCCCTTCTCTCACCTCATCACCAACATATGTTATTGCCTGACTTTTAGATAAAAGCCACTTAGCTGGGGGGAGATTATATCTAATTGCAGTTTTGAATTGCATTATTTCTGATGATTTTTTAAAAATTTGATCATTAGGTTTTCTTCCTGTTGAGTTGTTTGAGCTTCTTATATATTCTTGTTATTAATCCCATGTCAGATTGAAAGTTTGTAAATATTTTCTCCCATTCTGTGGGTTGTCTTTCACTTTGCTGATTGTTTCCTTTGCTTTGCGGAAATGTATTAACTTGATGCGATCCCATTTGTCTATTTTTGCTTTGGTTGCTTTTCCGTTTGGAGCATTACTCAAGAAATTGTTGCCCAGACCAATATCCTGGAGTTATTCCCCAGTATTTTCTTTTTATAGTTTCATACTTTGAGGTCTGAGATTTCAGTCTTTAATCCATTTTTATTGTTTTTTGTATATGATGAGAGATAGGTGTCTAGTTTCATTCTTTTGCTATGGATATCCAGTTTTCCTAGCACCATTTATTGAAAAGACTCTGCTTTCACCAATGAATATTTTTGGAGGCTTTGTCAGAAATGAGTTCACTGTAGATTCATAGATTTATTTCTGGGTTCACTAATTGGTTCTATGTATCTTTTTATGCCAGTACCATGCTGTTTGGGTTATCTTAGCTTTGCAGTATAATATAAAGTCAGGTAATGTGATTCCTCCAGTTTTGTCCTCTTTGCTTAAGATAGCTTTAGCTATTCTGGTTCTTCTGTAGTTCCATATAAATTTTAGAATAATTTTTCTACTTCTATGAAGAAAGTCATTGGTATTTTTATAGGAATTGCATTGAATCTGTACATTGCTTTGTTGAGTATGAACATTTTAACTATTTTGATTCTTCCAATTCATAAACATAATTGTGTTTATTATTTTGTGTCCACTTCAGTTTCTTTCATCAATGTTTTATGATTTTCACTGTGAGATCTTTCACTTCTTTGGTTATTTATTTCTAGGTATTTTATTTTATTGTAAGCTACCATATATGGAATTACTTTCTTAATTTCTTTTCCAAGTTGTTTGTTATTGCTGTATACAAATACCCCTAATTTTTGAATGTTGATTTGTACATTGCAACTCTATTGAATTTGTTTATCATTTCTAGGCATTTTAAGGCTGTTTTTAGGTTTTTAGCAGTTTCTAGTTTATATCTTGGTGATCTTATGTTTGTTGCGTATATATTTATAATTGTTACATTATCTTGCTGAATTGACCTCTTTATTATTTTATAATGACCTTATCTCTTTTATGTCTTTTTTCTTGAAATCTATTTCGTAGTATAGCTCCTCCTGCTCTTTTTCAGTTTCCATTTTCATGGAGTATCTTTTTCCATCCCCATATTTTTCAGTCTGTGTTTTTTTTTTTCATAGGCAAAGTGTGTTTCTTCTAGGCAAGAGATCATTGTTTCTTCTTTTTATATCCAGTTAGATCCTTTATGTCTTCTGATTGGAGAGTACTATACATTCAAAGTTATTGTTGATGAGTAAGGACTTACTATTGCAATTTTGTTATTTGTTTTCTGGTTGTATTGTCTTCCTTCCTTCCTTCTTTCCTTCCTTCCTTTCTTCCTTCCTTCCTTCCTTCCTTCCTTCCTTCCTTCCTTCCTTCCCTCCTTCCTGTCTTCCTTTTCATAAAGGTCATTTTCTGTGGTGGTATGTTTTAACTTCTTGTCTTTTATTTTTCATGTATCTGTTGTGGTTTTGTTGGTTTGAAGTTACTATGAGCCTTGCAAATATCATCTTATAACCCATTATTTTAAACTGATGACATCTTAACACTAATTACAAGAACAACAAACAAACTAACAAGCCAGATAAAACCAATATAAACTCTACACTTCAACCCCAGAACTATTTAACTTTTTGTTTTTTTCTATTTACATTTAATTTATTGTCTATGTCTTGAAAAGGTATTGTAATTATTGTTTTTGATGGGCTCATTTTTTAGTCTTTCTACTGAAGATGTGAGTAGTTTACATACACAATTACAATGTTTAATATTCTGTATTTATCTGTGTGCTTACTAGTTTCAATGGGTTTTGTACCTTCAGATGATTTCTTGTTGCTCATTAGTGTTCTTTCAGATTGAAGAAGCCCATTTAGCATTTCTTGTAGGACAGGTCTGGTTTTGATGAAATCCCTCAGCTTCTGTTTGTCTAGGAAAGTCTTTATTTATCCTTCATGTTTGAAGGGTACTTTCACTGGATATACTATTCTGGGATAAAATACTTTCTCTTCAGCAGTTTAAATATGTCATGTCACTCTTCCTTGGTCTGTAAGGTTTCCATGGGAAAGTCTGCTGCCAGATGTGTGGAAGTTCATTTTTATATTATATGTTTATTTTCTCTTGCTGTTTTTAGGATCATTTTTAAATCCTTGATATTTAAGAGTTTGATTATTAAATATGTTGTGGTAGTGTTCTTTGGGTTAAATCTTCTTGGTATTCTATAACCTTCTTGAACTTGACTATTGGTATCTTTCTCTAGGTTTGGAAAGTTATCTATTATTATCCCTTTAAATAAACTTTCTATCCTGATTTGTTTTTTTACTTTCTCTTTAAGTCCAGTAATTCTTAGATTTGCCTTTTTGAGGCTATTTTTAGATCTTGTAGGTGTTCTTCATTTTAAAAAATTCTTTTCCTTTTCATTTCTCTGTGTATTTTTACATAGCCTGTCTTCAAGCTAATTCTTTATTCTGCTTAATCAATTATCCTGTTGACTCTGATGCATTCTTCACTATGTCAATTGAGTTTTTCAGCTCCAGAATTTCTTCTTCATTTTTAAAAATTAATTTGATTTCTTTGTTACATTTCGCTGATAGGATTCTGAATTTATTTTCACTATTATCTTGAATTTCATTGAGCTTCCTAAAAACAGCTATTTTGAATTCTGTCTGAAAAGCCACATATCTCTATCACTACAAGACTTATCACTGATGCTTTATTTAGTTTTGGTTAGATCAAGTTTTCCTGGTTGGTTTTGATGTTTGTGGATGTTCATCGATGTGTGGACACTGAAGAATTAGGTATTTATTGTAATCTTTACAGTCTGGGATTGTTTGTACCCATGCTTCTTGTACAGGCTTTCCAAGTATTCAAAGGGAATTGAGTGTTGTTGTATAAGTTTTTGTTCACTGCAGACAAACTGCGTTATGGTCCACCCTAGATCAGTAATTATGGACTTTTGCAGACTCATAGAGGTACTGCCTTGTTGGACTTGGGTAAGATCTCAGAGAATTCCCTTGAATACTAAGAAGAGACTCTTGTTCTTTTCTCTTACTTTTCCCCAAACAAATGGAGCCTCTCTCTCCATGCTAAGCTGCCTACAGTTGGGGGAGCAGTGACACAAGTAGCCTTGTGGCCACTACCACTGCAACTGTACTGGGTCAGCCCTGAAGCCAGCACAACACCGGGTCTCATGCAATGCTCATGGCAACCACTACCTAGCTACAGCCAATGTTCATTCAAGGCCCAAGGGCTCTTCAGTCAGAAGGTGTCAAATCTAGCCAGGCTGGTGTCCTTCCATTGAGGGTGGCAAGATCCCCTCCTTCATACAGGGTCAGTTCAGAAATGCCATTTGGGAGCCAGGGCCTAAAGCTGGGAACCTTAGGAATCTACTTTGTGTTCTAGTCTATTGCCTCTGAGCTGACACCCAATCTATAAGACAATGTCCTTCCCAATATTCCCTCTCTTTTCCTCAACAAGGAGTCTTTCCTTGTGGACATCACTGCCCCAGGCCCATAGCAAGTGCTACCTAGCTATCACACATGTTCAATCAAGGTCTCTTCAATCAGCCTGTGGCAAATGCTGCATGCCAATGTCTCTCTCTCAGGGCAGTGGGCTCCCCTCTAGCCCAGGGTGGATCAAAAAATGCTGTCCCAGTGCCAAGGCCTGAATTCAGGGACCCCAGGAGCCCACTTGGTGCTTTATCTTACTGTGGCTGGACTGTACCCAAGCTTCAAGACAAATTTCCCTTTACATTTCTCTTTTATTTCGTTAAGCCAAAGGAGTCTCTTCCCATAGCCACTGCAGCTGGAAGTGTGATGGGTCACCCTTGAAGCTAACACAGCACTAAGTCTCTCCCAAGTACTACAGTGATTACTGCTACAGCAGATGTTTATTCAAGGCCCAAGGGATCTCTAGTAATCAAGTGATATATTCTGCCAGGACTGGGTCCTTCTTTCAAGGAGTGTGTTCCCTTCTGGCCTAAGATGTGTTTAGGAATGTCATCTGGGAGCTAGGGCCTAGAATAGGAGCCTCACAACTCTGCCTGGTATTCTATTCTACTGTGGCTGAGCTAGTATCCAAGTTGCAAGACAAAGTCCTCTTTCCACTCCCTTCTCCTCTCTTCAAATAGAAGGAATGAGTCTCTCTCAGAGCTTCAAGCTCTGCTGCCTGGGGTTGGGGTGGGAGTGTTACAAGCATTCCCTTGGCCAACATGGCTGGTGTCTCCATAGGTCACATGCACCCCATGTGTGCTGGCTCCAATCCCAGATGGCACCTGTACTTGTCCAGGAATATCAGTCCTTGTGGCCTAGACAGGGTTTCAAGTTTATTTAGAACTACAGAGCACTTTAGCTGGTGGTGGTGGGGCTAGCTGGAGCTCAGGTTCTGCCAGTGGCAGAACGTTTACCGTCTGGCTGGGGCTGGCCTAAATGCTCCCTCCATAGGCACTATCTGAATTCTTCCCTGTATTGCTTTCCACTATGGAAGGGCTGGTACTGGATTCCAATACAAAGTTCCACAATCACTGCACTCTCCCTCCCTCAAGCACACAGATTCTTTCTCTATGCAATGTGGCTGCTCCTGGGGGACGGGGGAGGGGTGGTATTAGCAATTTAAGACTGTCTTTTCTACCATTTGCCGTGCCTCTTTCCTTGATTTGATGTTAAAAAAAGGTACTGTGATCACTTACCTGATTTTTTTTTATGAAGGTGCTTTCTTGCATGGATAGTTGTAAAATGTGGTGTTCCTGCAGGAAGTGTCAAACACTGGAGGGTTCTATTTAGCCATCTTACTCCACTTCTCTCTCTAGAGTTGATATATATATATATATATATATATAGAGAGAGAGAGAGAGAGAGAGAGATATTATATATATATATATATCTGTAGAGATATATATATATTATATATATATAGAGAGAGAGAGAGAAAGAGAAAGAGAGAGACATTAGAAGTACAAAATGGGAAAACATACATAAAGGATAATAAATTCATCAAAAAGATATTTATGAACTCTATAATGGAACTTCAAAATATGTGAAGCAATAGCTAATAAAATTAAAAGGAGAAATAGACAGATCCACAATTCAAGATTTCAGTATTCATCTCTCAGTAACAAATAGATAACATATCAACATATCAATAAGAATGTAGTGGACTTGATAAACATTGTCAAACAAATTGGCCTCATTGACTTTATAGAACATACCTAAAATCTATATCAAAATAAAAAGGAACTTGAATGGTCAAAAATACTTTAAAACTATGAACCTACAGTACTCAAGGTGGTGTGGTGTTAATGTAAAATTAAACATGTAGATCAATGACATAAAGTCCAAAAATCTATCTATCTATCTATCTATCTATCTATCTATCTATCTATCTAGGTTCAATTATTTTCAACAGCGATACCAAGGTAATTTATGGGGAAGGAATATTCTTTCCAACAAATTCTGCTGGAAAAATTGGATACCAAATTGGATACCAACTGGGTAAAATAAATTTTAATCTTTATCTGACACCATCTACAAAAACTAATTCAAAGTGAATCATGAACATAACTGTAGAAGTTAAATCTATAAAACTTATAGAAGAACTCACAAGACAATCCTCATGACCTTGAGATGTGCAAGGATTTCCAAATTAGGGCACAAAAAATACATGCTATAAGAAAGTAAAGTGATAAGTTGGGCTTCACCAAATAAAAAGAAACAGTAACTTTTGATCTTTGAAGTATATTGTTAAGGTAAGAAAAAGTCAAGTGACAGCCTTGGGGGGATGTATTAAGTAAAGCTATACACAAATGATAGATATAGATATAGATACTACATATATGTGTATTTACATATATATGAAATAAACATGACTATTTGGGCAAATAGTATTCCTTAAAAAGCATTTGAACAATTCAAAACCCATTCATAATAAAGGTTCTCTGCAAACTAGGTTTTATCAACCTAATAAAAATAATTTGGAAAACCCACAGTTAACATTATTCTTACATACTTAATGGTGAGGAACTATTTTTCTGCTAAGATTGGTAACAAATATGTATATCAACAAACCTGTTAAGGAATAATTTTGTACAGCCATTTCACAAAAGAATATATACAAATTAGCAATAATCACATGAAAATATGTTCAACATAATTAGTCATCAGGAAAGTGCAAATTAAAAGCACAACAGCATTTTATAATATATTTGACTATAGCTGCAATATGACTGACAATAGCAAGTGTTATCAAGGATATGGAGCAAGTGAACAACTGGAAGTGTTCTACATTGTTGATGAGACAATGAATAACACAAATACTTTACAAAAACAGTTTCATAGCTTCTTAAATAAACATTTACTATATAACTCAGTAATCCCACTCTTAGGTATTGACTCCCAAGTTGAAAATGTCCATACACAGAGTCACACAGAAAAAATGACAGCAGTTTTGTTCATTACAACCCCAAAATGAACATGACCCAAATGTTTATCAACAGGAGCACTGACAAGGCCGGGTGCGGTAGCTCATGTCTGTAATCTCAGCACTTTGGGAGGCCGAGGCAGGCGGATCACGAGGTCAGGAGATCGAGACCACCCTGGCTAACATGGTGAAACCCCGTCTCTACTAAAAATACAAAAAAAAATTAGCCGGGCATGGTGGAAGGTGCCTGTAGTCCCAGCTACTTGGGAGGCTGAGGCAGGAGAATGGCGTGAACCCGGGAGGGGGAGCTCGCGGTGAGCCGAGATCGTGCCACTGCACTCCAGCCTGGGCGACAGAGCGAGACTCCGTCTCAAAATAAAGAGTGCTGACAAATAATTGAACTTATTTATACACACAACAACATGAACAAATCTCAAAAACATAAGGCTGAGCAAAAAAGGCAGAAAGAGTCCATATTATATGATTAAATTTATTTATAAGAAAAATGTGATCTATAGTGACAGGTGGCAGATGAGTTTTTGCCTGAGCTGAAGTTTGGAAGATGTGTTTTGGGAAAGGGCATAAGAGAACTTCTTAAGATGATGGAAATATTCTATATCTTCATTGTGATGGTGGCTACTTAGTTATTATGCTTGTTGAAGCTCATTGAAATGTACACTTAAATAGGTGCATTTTATTGTATGGAAATTGTAACTTTATAAAGTTAATCAAAAATCAGTTGTATCACATTTTAAAAACTCATAATATACAAGCATAAAGACACCGCATTTCTGCTACTAACTGTAATACCTCTAGACTGAAAAATTGGAAAGTTTTATACACAAATGCATCTAGGTTATATAATCCATTTTGGTTTTGGTCTGAATACTCGTTTTCTGTCATCATGCTAAACTTTTGTTGATAGGCTACTAGTGTTTCTAGTTTGCCTTGCCAAGGTATCAAGCCAGCCCAGTCTCTTCCATCCAGTGGAGCAAAGCATATTCTCAGCCACACAGACTCCATTAATTCAAAGCAATTTCAGCTAATAATTTTTACTAAGAAAAATGTGGGAACATCAGGAGGGCTGGGGGCGGTGGCTCACGCCTGTAATCCCAGCACTTTGGGAGGCCGAGGCGGGCAGATCACGAGGTCGCGAGATCGAGACCATCCTGGCTAACACGGTGAAACCCCGTCTCTACTAAAAATACAAAAAAGAAATTAGCCGGGCGTGGTGGCGGGCGCCTGTAGTCCCAGCTGCACGGGAGGCTGAGGCAGGAGAGTGGCGTGAACCTGAGAAGCAGAGCTTGCAGTGAGCCGAGGTCGCGCCACTGAACTCCAGCCTGGGAGACAGAGCGAGACTCTGTCTCGAAAAAAAAAAAAGAAAGAAAAATGTGGGAACATCAGGAGAACAGCAGAGTGGATTTTTCTGCTCTCTGTTGAATGCCTTTCTATTATGACCATGGGATCAAAGAATGACAGCAAGTGTTGCAAAGATTGCATCTTTAGCTTGGGAAAGAGTTCAATGCTTTTAAAAGAAAAATAGGCACTCTGGCACGTGTTTTTTTTTTTTTTTTTTTTTTTTACTTTTAAGTGACATAAAAATCATTACCTTCCAATTTATGTAATCATGTAACTAGACACTTCTCTTTAATCCAAATGAATGCCATGAATATGTTACCTAGAATGTTTGTACAAACAGTCTGTTATGGGATTTATATGGCTGGATGTGAGCTCCCTCAACGATTATTTATAATAATCATTTATATGGTCTTTTTTTCTAAATCGTGATATCTTCACACTAGGGTTTGTAAATTCCTCATGTTACCTAGTCTGTATTTCTCTTTTTGCTATTTTAAATATTTTTTTTTTACATGAAGGGCATACTGGGGCTGGAGAACAGCTGATCAACATCCTCCAAATAATATCATGTTTAAATAATCATGGTCAGTAACTTTCCGACTGTGCTTTCTCCAAACCAAATAATCCTAATTCCTTTAATCTTGCATGCATCCAGTTGCTTAGGCCTTTTCTTAAACCCCAACAGCTAGATATCAGATAGTTCCAGCAATGTGTTTAGATCAGAGTTTTCAATCTTCCTTTAATTTTGATTAGAACCATTTTCTCCAGTAATACAAATTCATTTCCCATGCCTCATGACTTAAGATAAATTATTCTAAAGTGTACAGAGGGATGCTCCATCAGGCACCCAGCTGTCCCTCTTTTATTACCTAGATTCTAGCCAGTTAATGAATTAAACATTGTCTATCATGTGTTGTGTATGCAAGCATCCTTTATTGAGGATGGAATAGTCATCTTCAATCTCAGCTTTCCCTTGGAAAAGGTTAGATAAAAAGGTTACTAAACTAGTTAGCATAAGGAGCTGTATTATAGGAATATAATTTTCTTCCTAATGAATTTCATTCATACCTTTGGATGGAGAAGAGTGTCTTTCAAGATATATAAAATCAAATCATTATTAACCCTTTACCTAAAAAAATCACTTTGCTACTAAAATGAGAGGGTAAATACTAATTAGCAAATATGATACATGTTCTATACAATCTTTGTTCTTCATTTGAGGAAAATTCTCCAGGTTCCCCTGAATTAAATAGAGATCATATTTTGGCTAAAAGTCAAGAGTCCCAAGAACAAGATTGATTCTCATGAGCCTAGATAAGCTCAACTGAAACTCTCCCCACTCTGTCCAAAGATGTTCACCTTTATGGAAAGTCTTTAGTGTCTTGTTTTGTTTTGTCTTGTTCTTTACTTTTGCAAAACTAACTATATACATGAGCATTAATTACTTTGGCTTTAAAATATATTTTGCTACTCTCACAAAATTGGCTAACTTGTAAACAACTCTGGTTTTAATAACAATAAGAGCTGATATTTGGTAACAATTAGAACAAAATGAGTCTTAGTAATATAAATAAAATATATAGTAAAGTTTTGAAATGTAATTAGAACCAGTTACTCTACAAGTCATTCTATCTAGACAATGTGGTGTTGAACAAGCCCAAACAAGTAAATATTGGAACAGCTATACATCTAGAAAACAGTATTCAAAAAATTTTAGCTGAAATGGTTGCTTAGAATATTAAGTTTGTGACTCACATGAAACCAGCATATAAGTGAATGCTTCATAAGTGGTTTATATGCTTGATCATTTTTCGTAATTTAGCTCAAGAACAATGCTTTTACTATATACAGTTGTTAATAATTGAAATAAATCTCTAAACAACTGAAATAATTTCTAGGATTTTAGATATCCTTGGTATTGGGAAGGTAAATTATGTAACTGACTAAATGGAGCTCATTAGCTGTCTTTAGGTAAAGGTCAATGGTGCCAGTCTTTATAGCAAAAATTAATGTTAGTACTCAATTGCTTTAGGCCAGGTGCATTGACTCACCCCTGTAATCTCAGCACTTTGGGAGGCCAAAGTGGGTGGACTGCTTGATCTCAGAAGTTCTAGATCATCTGGGCAACATGGTGAAATCCTGTCTCTACAAAAAAATACAAAAATTAACTGGGTGAGGTGGCATGTAGTTCCAACTATTCTGGAGGCTGAGGTGGGAGAATTGCTTGAGCCCAGGAGGCGGCGGTTGCTGTGAGCCATGATCCCACCACTGCACTCCAGCCTGAGCAACAGAGACACTTTCTCAATAACAACAAAAAAGAAAATAGGCCTGATGCTGTGGCCCACACCTGTAATCCCAGCACCTTGGGAGGCCGAGGTGAAATGAATTAAAATGAAAGTTCATATTGCTACTGTCTACAAATCTTCTGAGGAGATTCTGTCAAGACTAACATTTCTATTTTATTTGAAAAGTTTAAACAGTAGAGAAAGGTAAAGATGGCACTAAACAAATATGAATTCTCAAGCCAGCATTTTCACCATATTCACAATTTGTTCTTCAGACATTGTGATTATGAAAAATAAGGCTTGGCTGATGAGATATAAATTTCCTTTATTCTTCTTGCCAGCACCCTTCCCTTTCTCCCTGCTCAGAAGCAAACAATGTCATTAATTTGGTGGATATGCATCCAGTATCATTTTGTATTTTTATTACCTTTCATTTATATAAATTTTCGAAAAACATTTGTTAGTGTATGAATTACTGTTGTTATGTTGAGAACTATTTTAATTATAAATTCATTTGGATAAAATAACATCTTTATTATACCAATTCTTCCAATCCATAAACAATAGTTTTTGGTCCCATTTAGTCAGGTTTCCTTTTATGTCCTTCAGTTTTCTCCATAACATTCTGTAAATATTTTACTAGATTTATTCATTGTAGCTTTAGAGTTTATTTTTCTTAAAAACAAGATTATGTTATTGCTACATTTTTTACATATTTTAATACAAGTAGGAACAATAGTGACTTCTGTTTGTTGATCTTGTATCAGCAGGCCTGCAAAAGTCTTTCCTAGCTTTTAGATTCTCTGAGATTATTTTAAAATAATGTTAATTTTACCTTATCTTTTATAATTTTTAAAACTCTAACTTTTTATCTTCATTAATTGGCTATAATATCTACTATGTTGGAAACTAGTGGGCTTAGTGGTTATTTTTGTCTTAATTGAAGATGTTTCTAATAAAGTTTTTATTATTAAATGTAGTATTTGTGATAAGGTTTGGCTCTGGGACTCCACCCAAATCTCATCTTGAATTGTAATCCTCATAATCCCCAAATGTCAAGGGTGGGACCAGGTGGATGTAATTGAATCATGGGGATAATTTCCCCCATGCTGTTCTCGTGATAATCAGTGAGTCTCACAAGATCTGTTGGTTTTATAAGTGTCTGGTATTTCCCCTGCTTGCACTCATTCTCTCCCTGCCGCCCTGTGAAGAGGGGCCTTCCACCATGATTGTAAGTTTCCTGAGGCCTCCCCAGTTATGTGGAACTGTGAGTCAATTAAACCTCTTTTGTTTATAAATTACTCAGTCTCAAGTATTTCTTCATAGCAGCATGGGAATGGACTAATACAATTTGATGCAAGTTTTGGTTTTATCAATTTAAAGGAGTTTCTTTTTTAAATTTTTAATTTTTTTGGCCACCTAGTAGCTATATATATTTATGGGGTACATGGGATGTTTTGATACAGACATGCAATGTGAAATAGGCATGTCATGGAGAATGGGGTATCCATCCCCTCAAGCATTTATCCTTTGAGTTATGTACAATGCATTTACACTTTTTAAGTTGTTTTAAAATGTACAATTCAGTTATTATTGACTATAGTCACCCTGTTGTGCTATCAAATAGTAGGTCTTCTTCATTCTTTCCATCTTTTTCTTTTTAAAAATTTTTAGAATTATTTTTTAAAATTTTGAGGGTATATAGTAGGTGTATATATTTATGTGGTACATGAGATGTTTTGATACAGGCATGCAGTGTGAAATAAGCACATCATGGACAATGAGGTATTTATCCCCTCAAGCTTTTATCCTTTGAGTTACAACCAATCAAATACATTAAGTTATTTAAAAATATACAGTTAAGTTATTATTGACAATAGTCACCCTATTGTGCTATCAAATGGTAAGTCTTATTCATTCTTTCTGTTGTTTTTGTACCCATTAATCATCCCCACCCCCCCCCACCCAACACCCCACTACCCTTCCCAGCCTCTGGTAACCATCCTTCTATTCTCTATGTCCATGAGTTCAACTGTTTTGATTTTTAGATCCCACAAATAAGTGAGAATATGTGATATTTGTCTTTCTGTAGTTGGCTTATTTCACTTAACATAATGATCTCCAGTTTCATCCATATTGTTGCAAATGACTAGATCTCATCCTTTTTTATGGCTTAATAGTACTCCATTGTGTATATGTACCACATTTTTCAAATCCATTCATCTGTTTGATGGACATATAGGTATGCAGAACCATTTGGAGGTTTCTCATAAAACTAAAAGATGAGCTACCATATGATCCAGCAATCCCACTACTGGTTATATACCCAAAAGAAAGTAAATTAGTGTATTGAAGAAATAATAACACTCCTACGTTTGTTGTAGCACTGTTTACAATAGATAAGACTTAAGGGTGTTTCTTTCAATTCCTAGTTTTTTAAGATTTTTGAAAATAATGAATTATTAAATTTTTCCAATATTACTGCATATATTGAAATTATCTACAACTTTTCTTCAGTCTGTTAATGTGATGGATCACGTAAATATTTCTGATGTTATGCTATCCTTAAATTCCTGGCATAAACCCAAATTAGTCAAAATTTATAAATGTACTTTTAAGCACCATAAAATTGTTTTCTTTCAGATGTAAAATCATCTTGGACAACAATTTTTCTTTGATATTTTCCTAATTCATTATGTTAAAGTATCTGCATTTAAATCTTCATGTTCCTTTTACAAGTGTCTTTTATAAAGTGTAGCTATTACAGCTTTATCCAATCCTATAATCTATATATTTTACTGGTTGTACTGAATCAAAGAAATTTTATTGTGATTACTAATACATTTAGATTTATTTCTGCAATCTTATAATGAAACATATTTTACTTACCTCTTTTCCTGACTTCTTGTTGTATTGATAAGGTAGTTTTCTTTTTTCTTCTCCTGAATTAGAAGGGATAGCATTTATTTCCATGAATTTAGTGCTCTCCTTTGAAGTTTTAAAACCTAATTAGCTTTATATTTTTCTGAAAAAGTAAAAAAATTAGTTAACATTTTGGTTCTTTTCCTAAACAAGAATGATAACTTGCTGTTTATCTCCAAAAACTATGTGAAACTTTTATTACACTTTTCTAAATACATTTTTAGTTTAATATTTTTAAGTATCTTTGCTTCCTATTCCTTCTCGGAACTCACTTTTTCCTCAGGGTTAATATTTTATCTTACTGAAAGTCCTTTTTAAGGGCAATCTTTAAGAAAGACATTTAGAAAACTATTTTTTAATTATTTAGTGGGTTTATTTTTTATACATAAAACAATATGAACTCAATTTCATATGTGTGTTATAGCTATTCTCAGCATAGTGACACAGTAGAGAATATTTGATAGATTTATTACTGAAGATAATCACAAAGGTTATGGAGGAAACATAAACAGAGGATGACTGCATTTAATGTGATACTGAACTAGTAATCTGTAATTTACCTTTAAACTAAGAATATTTGATTCTATAAATAGGCAAAAGCCAAGATTCTCAAGCTAATATGTAAACACTAAAAGATCAAATACAAAGACATTAAGTGTTTACATAAAAATAATAAGTTAAACTCTGTCAGGTCGCACTATAAAAAGTTTAACAACTCAGTCAAGTTATAACAACTTAAAAGTGTGTTTATATAACAAGTAAATCATTTCTTATGACTTGGTTTATAGTGAACACATATAAAATGCTTCCAAATTATTTGGAACATTAGGTAATATTGCACAATTTTTGCTAAGGTTCAAACTGTTTATTCTACTGAATGCATATTATGCCATGAGGTAAGAGAGATGAGAAGTATCAGTGTGAGTAGTAAGTAGTTTGAACTTAGGAGGCACACTAATCAGAGTATAAATCGTGATCCCACTTTTTGCCGTCATCTGTGAGACCTTTGGAAAAACACTTTACCTGCTGATGCCCTGGTTTCCCTATCTATAAAATGGAAGTTAACAACACAACACTTTCATAAAAGGTTATGGTGAGGATTAATAGAAATACTGCTGACAGAGCACTTATCAAATAGCTGAGCATATTATAAGACCTTAATAAAAGATAATTTATTATTAACGTTAGAAAAAAGCTTAAATTATTAATATTATAAACATTGTGAACTTTTCCTATTATAGTCTTTCCAGCAAAAGCCAATAACTGGTAGGAAAGGTATCCATATAAAAATTAGAGTCTATCTGGGGAGATAAAACATTTCAGAGTTTTACTCTATTAGGTGCATTCTGAGTAAGCTGATTAATAGGGGGAAATAGTATTATGGTATCTAGGAAATGTCTGCATTATCAATTTGCAATTGGGGTTATGTTGATACGCATATGATAGAATAAATTTTTCTAATCACTTTCAATTCACATTTGATATAGTAAAAAATTATATTCAAGTCAGATTCTGTTTTACATGTCAATTATAAATAAGCACAGGTTGATCCTCTACTATTATTTGTAATGTTTTTACTTGCAGCCTCTGATTATTCATCAACATAAGCCTATGTTGTTTAAAAACAATTTTTAAAAATTGTAGTTGTCAAAGATCAAACATACATTTCTCATAAAAACTCCTAGTTTTTAATATGAAAGAAATATGTTACATTTGCTCTAAACTAGCCATGCACATGCATTCTCCTAGAGTTTTGCATATTATTATGTCTATATAGAATCTCCAGTGGTCGTTAATGTCCTTCCTAGGGTTATATGGCATTTAATCAGTGTACCCACCTGGCAGGACTGTGGTTGATGTTCCACAGCAAGGAAGGAAACGAGCCCATTAATGAAATTTATAGCACTTTATTACATCATTTCTGGTGGAGAGGGGAATTAGAAGTCACTTCTGTTATGGTTTAATTTCTTGTGAAATTCCAGATGAATTCATTGTCATAAATATTCAGGTTCATGACAGAGAAAATGAACAAGCTGCTTGGGCTTTGTCCTCATTTGCTGTCGTAATTGCTACAATTGACTACGATGAGGCAGTTTTACTTCCCATGTAACTGAGCCATTCACTTTGATTTCCAACTTCTTACTTATAAATTGCATAATTTAATAATCATTAAATAATTGAAGCTTTCAGCAATCTAACCAAATATACATTGTTCCTTTTATTTTTTATTTTTATTTTTTAACTTTTAGGTTCAGGGTTACATGTGCAGGTTTGTTGTACAGGTAAACTACATGTCACGGAGGTTTGTTGTACAGGTAACTTTGTTACCCAGGAAATAAGCACAATACCTGGTATTATACTTATTAGGTATTTTTTCCTATCCTCTCCTTTTTCCCACCCCCTACCTTCAAGTAAGTTCCAGTGTCTGTTGATCCTCTCCTAGTATCCATGTGTCATTATTGTTTAGCTCCCACTTGTAAATCTGAACATGCAGTATTTGATTTTCTGTTCCTGTGTTAATTTGATTAGTATAATGGCCTTTAGCTCCATCCATGCTGCTGCAAAGGACATGATTGTATTCTTTTTATGGCTGCATAGTATTCTATGATGTATATGTATCACACTTTCTTCATCCATTCTACCATTGATGGGCATTTAGGTTGATTCCATGTCTTTGCTATTGTGAAAATTGCTACATGGAACATACAAGTGCATGTGTCTTTACGGTAGAATGATTTATATTCCTTTGGATATATACCCACTAATGAGATTGCTAGGTCTAATGGTAGTTCTGTTTTAAGTTCTTTGAGAAATTTCACTCACAGATGGGAATTGAACAATGAGAACACATGGACACAAGAAAGGGAACATCACACACCGGTGTCTGTTGTGGGGGGAGAGGGGAGGGATAGCATTAGGAGATATACCTAATGCTAAATGACGAGTTAATGGGTGCAGCACACCAACATGGCACATGTATACATATGTAACAAACCTGCACATTGTGCACATGTACCCTAAAACTTAAGTATAATAATAATAAAATAAAATAAATCTCCAAACTGCTCTCTACGGGGGCTAAACTAATTTACACTCCCACCAGCAGTGTATAAACATTCTCTTTTCTCCAAAACCTCACCAGCACCTGTTATTTTTTTAGTTTTTAATCATAGTCATTCTGACTGGTGTGAGATGGTATCTCACTGTAGTTTTGATTTGCATTTCTCTAATGATTTGTGATTGAATTTTTTTTTTCTTTTAGAATGTTTAATGTAGGCCCCCAATCTCTTCTGGCTTATAGGGTTTCTGTTGAAAGTACTGCTGTTACCCTGATGGGGTTCCCTTTGCAGGTGACCTACCTCTTTTCTCAAGCTGACTTTACCATTTTTTTCTTTCATTTTGACCTTGATGAATCAGATAATTATGTATCTTGGGGATAGTATTTTTGTGTAATATCTCACAGAAGTTCTCTGCACTTCCTCAATTTGAATGTTGTTCTCTTCGGGAAAGTTTGAGAAGTTTTCATAGATGATATCCTGAAATATTTTCTCCAAGTAGCTTGCTTTTTCCCTGTTTCTTTCAGGGACACCAACAAGTCATACATTTGGCCTCTTTACATATTCCCATATTTCTTGTGGGTTTTATTCGTTCTTTTTTATTTCTCTCTGACTGATTTATTTCAGACAGCCAGTCTCTGAGCTCTGAGATTCTTTCCTCAGCTTGGTCTATTCTGCTGTTAATACTTGCTATTGCATTATGCAATTTTTGTAGTGTGTTTTCCAGCTCTATTAGATCAGTTTGGTTGTTTTTTATAATGGCTATTTCATTTATCAGCTCTTGTATCATTTTATTGTAATTCTCAGCTTCCTTGGAATGGGTTTCAACATTCTTCTGAATCTTAATGATCTTCATTCTTATCCATATTCTGAATTATATATCTGTCATTTCAGCCATTTCAGCCTGGTTAAGAACCCTTGCTGGGGAAGTAACATGAAATTTTGGAGGAAAGAAGGTGCTCTGGCTTTTTGAGTTGCCAGAATTCTTGCACTGGTTCTTTCTCATCTGTGTGGGCTAGTATTCCTTTAATTGCAGTGTAAATGAGTAGTCAGTAGACTTTTTCTGGATGTTTTCAGCGGGCCAAGGCTTTGTGCAGGGTCTTTATTTGTAGCTGAATTCATGTCCTTAGTTTCACAGGGGAGTGTATCAGCCAAGTTATTTCTTGTGTTGCTGTTTTGGGCTGTGATCCACTAGGTGGCGCTTAAGTGTAATGGCCAGTAGGTAGGCTCTTTTTTCCCAGTCAGAAGGCTTCTTTGTATTTCCTCATGATTGTAGCTGTGCTCCCTCTCAGTGATCTGAAGGTATGGGCTCCTCTCCTATCCTAAGATCTCAGCTTGGCACTCCCAGGCTGCACACTGAAGCTCTGGGACAATCTCAGGCCTTATGTTTCGTCCTCAGCTTGGAGGCAGCAGGGGAAGGGATCTTAGCATTGGTTGTGGTAGTGGGTTTTCCACCTATCTCTTGGGGCTGACCCTAGAGAGATGCAGAGCCACTATCAATCAGTGTGATTTGCACAGGATAGGTTGGCTGAGCTGTGAGCCTAAGCCAGGGAGGCCCTGCGTGGTGAGAAACAGCAGAGTGTGGGAGCTGGGGAAGAAAGACTGGCGTCTCCTCCTTAGGGCAACTGCAGCTTGCTGGAGGTGTGGTTAAAGCACTGAGGGTCTTTGCTCCTCCCTGATCTGAGGGCAGCAAATGCAGTACTACTGCAATGGCAGTGGCAGGGAGTTTTCTATTGCCTCTGGAAGCTTGACCTCAGAGAAACATAAAGCCACTGCTACTGGGAATGTTCAGCCATGGGTTTGGGGTGGCTGCTCTGCTGGCCCTAGATGGTGGCTCTGTTTGTTGAAGAATGGGGACTCAAGGGTTCACAGCGATGAGGAACTGTGCTCCTCTCTCTATGGTGACTGTGGTATGATGGCAGCTTAGGTGACGACCTTAGGCTCTTTGTTTCTTCCCCAGATCAAAGACATTAGGGGCAGAACCATTGCTGTGGCAGTGGCAGGAGAGCCCAGTTGCCTCTGGGAGCCCCTCTCCAGGGAAACACAGAGCCACTACCAGTGGGCATGCTCTTCCCTTCCTGGTGAATAGTTGGGAGTAGGGGCTCACAGTTAAAAGTCACTGGACTCCTGTCTATATGACTGCTGTGGTATGCTGCAGGTGAGAGACTAGGCCCTTTGTTCCTTCCTCTGCCAAGGGCAGTTAGGATGGTACCACTGTAGGTGCAATGGCAGAGAGGTTATGAGTTGTCTCTGGGATTTCCTCCTCAGAGAAATGCGGAACTGCTTCTGACTGCAGTATTCAAGTGAGGGCAGGGTAGTGGTGCTGGAGTCCCAGGTTGGGAAGTCCTGCCCAGTGAGGAAAAGCAGTGACAGGCACCTGTGTGGAGAACAGTCTGGCCACTTTTCCACGGTATGGCTGTGCTATGCTGGGGAACCACACCACTCCCTAATCACAATGCACTCTCCACAGCCTGAAGGCTATAGCAGTGGGGACTGTGAGACAGCAAAAATGGCAGCTGGCCTCTCACTCTGGGAGTTCTGTCCATTGCGGAGCTGCTAATGGCTCAAGAACCCCAGTGGTGGGTGGCTGAAGTCCCAGTGAGGAGAAGCAGGATCGGGGACCTGTATAAAAAACAATCTGTATGCTTTTGCATGGGTTGGCTACACTGTGCAGGGGACTGAAAACACTCCCTAATCACCACTTGCTCTCCAGAGCCTGAAGGCTATAGCAGTGGAGGCTGTGAGACAGCAAAAATTGCAGCCAGCCTCTCCCTCTGGGAGCTCCATCCCGGGCAAGTGCAGAGCTCCTGATGGTCTGAGAACCCTGGTCAGGGGGTGGCTGGAGTCCCAAGTTGGGGTGTCCTGCCCAGTGAGGAAAAGTGGAATCAGGGACCCACCTAAACAAATAGTCTAGCCACCATTTCTGTGGGATGACTATATTGTGTTGGAAATCCATGCCACTCTCTAATCACCACTAGAGCCTGAAGGCTATAGTAGTAGGGTCTGTGAGACAGCAAAAATGGTGGCTGGCCTCTCTCACTGGGAACTCCATCCAGGGAAGTGCAGAGCTGCTACTAGCCCAAGAGCCCAGATGGGGAGTGGCTGGAGACCTAGGCCAGTGGGCCTTATCCTGTGAAATACAGTAAAGACGAGGCCTGCAGTCTGTAACTGCTCAGCCCCCTGTACTTGGCCCCTTTCCTGGGGAAGTGTGGGGGAACTTGACCTCCTCAATGACCAGAGCTGCAGCTGCTAACTCCAGGATGCCTGAGGAATCAAGGCTCCAAGAGTTGGGACTTCATGTGTGCCTGAGCTACCGCTCTGCTCAGACTCCGCATGGGTCTCTGTCAGTCTGCAGGCCCTGGTGAGGTGGGCTCACAGGGGGATCACCTTGAGTCCAGGGTTGCAAGGCCCACGGCAGAAGTGTTGGTCACAAGGAATTCTCGCACTCTCGCCATTTCACCAGGTAAGGAAGCCTCCCCTGGCTCCATGCCACCCTTGAGGGAACCAATCCACTTGTTCTTCTCCATTCTGAGTTGTTTCCTTGATGAATCCCAATGTGACCTCGATGTTCCAGCTGAAGATCTAGTAATTACACCCCACTCTTTTTTTCACTTCATGAGAACAGCACACACTAGCTGCTTCTAGTCTGCTGGATTTATTTGTAATTGATTCACTATTACATATTAAATGTACATATTCTAAGTATAGAGTTGGATAAATTTTAGCAAATGTGTAACCAACTTTGCAATCAAGATATATTAGAACATTGCCCTTGCCACCCTGGAAAGTTTCCTGTCACTATTTTCTTCCTTTCTAAAAAAATTTTTGTCTTAGGTTGAGGGGTGCACTTGCAGGTTTGTTATATAGGTAAACTGCATGCCACAGGAGTTTGGTGTACCGATTACTTCACCACTCAGGTAATAAGCATTGTACAGGATAGGAAGTTTTTCAGTCCTCACCCACGGCCCTCCCACCATCAAGTAGGTCCTGTGTCTGTTGCACTCTTTTTTGTGTGTCCGTATGTATTCAATGTTTAGCTCTCACTTATAAGTAAGAACATGCGGTAGTTGGTTTTCTGTTCCTGTGTTAGTTCACATAAGATAATGGCCTCCAGTTCCATCCATGTTGCTGCAAAGGACATGACCTCATCCTTTTTTTATAGCTGTGCAGTATTCCATGGTGTACATGTGCCACATTCTCTGTATCCATTTGTCTGCTGGTGAAAGATTGCTTCCAAGTCTTAGCTATTATGAATAGTGTTGCAATAAGCATGGAGTGCAGGTATCATTTCAATAAACTAATTTTCTTACCTTTGGATATATATACCCAACAGTGGGATTGCTGCATCATATGGTAGTTCTATTTTTAGTTTTTTGAGAAACTTCCAAACTGTTCTTCATACACTTACATTCCCAGAAAACAGTGTACGAGGGCTCTCTTTTCTCCACATCCTGACCAGCATGTTATTGCCTGACATGTGGATAAAAGCCATTTTAACAGGGTGAGATGATATCTTATTGTAGTTTTGATTTGCATTTCTCTGATGATAAATGATGTTGGGCAACTTTTCATATACCTGTTTGCCATTTTTATGTCTCCTTTTGAGAGATGTCTATTTGGATTGTTTGCCCGTTTTTGATTGAATTTTTAGATTTTTTTCTACTTTTTAATATTCATATATTTTCTAGTTATTAATTCCTTGTCAGATAGATAGTGACAAAGATTTCATGATTAGAATACCAAAAGCATTTGCAACAAAAGCAAAAATTAACAAATGGGATCTAATTAAACTAAAGACCTTCTGCACAACAAAAGAAACTGTCATTAGACTGAACAGACAACCTACAAAATGGGAGAAAATTTTTCCAGTCTATCCATCTGACAAAAGTCTACTGTTCAGTATTTACAAGGAACTTAAACAAATTTACAAGAAACACACAGCCGCATCAAAAATTGGGCAAAGGACATGAACAGCCACTTCTCAAAAAAGACATTCATGCAGCCAACAAACATGAAAAAAGTTCAACATCATTGATCATTAGAGAAATGCAAATCAAAATCACAATGAGATACCATCTCACACCAGTGAGAATAGCAGTTATTAAAAAGTCAAGAAACAACAGATGCTGGTGAGGTTGTGGAGAAAAAGGAACACTTCTACACTGTTGATGAGAATGTAAATTGGTACAAGCATTGTGGAAGACAGTGTGACAATTCCTCAAAGATCTAGAAGCAGAAATACCACTTGACCCGGCAATTCCATTACTGGGTATAAACCCAAAGGAATAGAAATCATTCTATTATAAAGATACATACACACATATGTTCATTAAAGCACTGTTTGCAATAGCAAAGGCATGGAATCAACCCAAATGTCCATCAGCAGTAGACTGGATAAAGAAAATGTGGTACATATACACTATGGAATACTATGCAGCCATAAAAAGGAATGAGATCATGTCCTTTGCAGGGACATGGATATAGCTGGAAGCTGTTATCTTCAGCAAACTAATGTAGGAACAGAAAACCAAACACCACCTGTTCTCACTCATCAGTGGGAGTTGAATGATGAGAACACATGAACACATTGTGGGGAAAAACACACACTGGGGCCTGTTGGGCATGCTGGGGAGGGAGAGCATCAGGAAGAACAGCTAATGGGTGCTGGGCTTAATAACTGGATGATGGGTTGATCTGTGCAGCAAACCACCATGGTACACGTCTACCTATGTAACAAACCTGCACATTCTGCACATGTACCCCAGAACTTAAAATAAAAGTTAGTAAAATAATTAGAAAAAAAAGCTTTCTCCCATTCTGTGGGTTGTCTCTTCATTTTTTAAAATTGTTTCTTTTGCTGTGAAGAAGCTATTTAACTTCATGTGATCCCATTTTTGCTTTGGTATCCTGTGCTTTTGAGGTATTACTAAAGAAATATTTGCCCAGACCAATGACCTAAAAAGTTTCATTAGTTTTCTTTTAGTAGTTTCATGGCTTCAGGTCTTAGATTTAAGTCTCCAATCCATTTTAGTTTGACATTTTTATATGGTGAGAGATTGGGGTCTAGTTTCCATCTTCTGCATATGGATATCCGGTTTTCACAGCACCTTTTTGAAGAGATTGTCCTTTCTCCAATGTCTGTTCTTGGCACCTATGTCAAAAATGAGTTCACTATAGAAGTATGGTTTACTTCTACATTCTCTATTCTGTTCCATTTGTCTAAGTGTCTGTTTAAATGCCATTTCATGCTGTTTGGGTTACTATATCTCTGTAGTATAATTTGAAGTCACATAATGTGTCTCATCTTGTTTTGTCCTGTTTGTTCAGGTTGGTTTTAGTTATCCTGTTTTGTTTTGTTTTGTTTTGTTTACAGTTCCACATAAATTTTAGGATAATTTGTTTCTATTTCTCTGAAGAATGTATTGATATTTTGATAGGAATTGCTTGAATCTGTAGAGTGTTTTAGGTAGTATGGACATTTTAATACTATTAATTTTTCCAATCCATGAATATAAAATATCTTTTAATTTTTGTGTTCTCTTCAATTTCTTAAATAAATGTTTTATAATTTTCATTGTGGAGATTTTTCACTACTTTGGCTATGTTTATTCCTAGGTATTCCATTTGTCACTATTGTAAATGGGATTACATTTTTTTATTTCTTTTTAAGATTGTTTGCTGTTGGCATATAGATATGCCACTGATTTTGTATGTTAATTTTGTACCCTGCAATATTAATGAGCTTGTTTATCAGTTCTAATAGCTTTTAGGTGGAGTCTTAAGATTTTTCCAAATATAAAATTATACAATCTGTAAAGAAGGATATTTTAACTTCTTTCTTTCCAATTTTGATGTCATTTATTTCTTTCTCTTGTCCGATTGGTATAGGTAGGACTTCCAGTCCTATGTTGAAAAATAGTGGTGAAAGTGACCATTTCCATATTGTTGCAGATATTAGAGGATAGGCTTTCAGTTTTTCTCTGTTCAATATGATACAATCTGTGGGTCTGTCACATATGGCTTTCATTATGTTGAGGTATGTTCCTTCTATACCCAGTTTTTTTAGGGTTGTTTTTAGAAGGGGTGTTGAATTTTACCAAATGTTTTTTCAGCATCAGTTGAAATGATCATATGGTTTTTGTCCTTTATTCTCTTGATATGATGTATCACACTGATTGATTTGCATATGTGGACTCATTCTTGCATCACTGGAATAAATTCCACTTGGTCATAATGAATAATCTTTTTAATGTGTTGGTGAATTCAGTTTGCTAGTATTTTTGAGGATTTTTGCATCAATGTTTATCAGAGATGTTGGCCTGTAGTTTTGTTTTCTTTATGTGTTTTTGGTTTTGGCATCAGAGCAATACTGGCCTCATAGAATGAGTTTAGAATTGTTCCCTTTTTCTGTATTTTTTAGAATAGTTTAAGTAGGATCAGTGTTATTTTTCCTTTAAATGTTTGACAAAATTCAGCAGTGAATTCTTTGATTCTTGAGCTTTTCTTTAATGGAAAACTTTTTATTATGGTTTTATCTCATTATTTGTTGTTGATCTGTTCAAGTTTTGGATTTTCTCATGGTTCAATCTTGGTAGATTTTATGTCTCTAGGAATTTATCAGTTTCTTCTAAGTTTTTCCAATTTATAGACCTGTAGTTGCTCATAGTAGTTGCTAATGATTCTTTATATTTCTGCAGTGTCAGTTGTAATGTCACCTCTTTCATCTCTGATTTTATTTACTTGTGTCTTCTCTCTTTTTTAGTTAGTTTGATTAAGAATGTAGCTTTCCAATGAGAACACATGGACACAGGGAGGGGAACATCACACACTGGGGCCTGCAGCGGGTGGGAGGCTAGGGGAGGGATAACATTCGGAGAAATACCTAATGTAGGTGATGGGTTGATGGGTGCAGCAAACCACCATGGCATGTGTATACCTATGTAACAAAACTGAGCATTCTGCACATGTAACCCAGAACTTAAAGTATAATAATAAAAAAAGAATTTGTTAGCTTGCTTTCTTTCTTTCTTCAAAAAACTCAACTTTGTTTCATTAAGCTTTCATATTGTTTTCTTGGTTCAATTTCATTTATTTCTGCTTGGATCTTTATTGTTTATTTTCCTTTACTAACTTTGGGTTTGGTTTCCTCTTCCTTTTCTAATTATTTAAGATGCATTGCTAGTTTTGCTATTTTTTTGTAAAGATGCTTATTGCTACACACTCTCCTGTTAGTACTGCTTTTGCTGTATTCCATAAATTTTGATATTGTGCTTCTGTTTATATTTGTTTCAAGAAATTTTTAATTTCCTTCTTAATTTCTTCATTGACACACTCGCATTCAGGAGCATATTGTTTAATTTCAATGTGTTTATATAGTTTCTAAAATTCCTCTTGGAATTGATTTCTAGCATTATTCCATTGTGGTCAGTGAAGAAACTTGATAAACGTACATTTTCTGAACTTTTTAAGATTTGTTTTGTGGCCTACCTAACATATGATCCATACTTGAGAATATTTCATGTATTGAAGAGAAGAATTTTTATTCTGCTGCCGTGGGATGAAACGTTCTGTGAATATCTGTTAGCTCCATTGGATCTCTAGTGCAGATTAAGTTGAGTGTTGCGTTGGTGATTTTCTGTCTGGATGATCTATCCAACGCTTAAAGTGAGGTATTGAAGTCTCTCCCCATTATTTTATATAGATCCATGTTTCTGTTAGCTCTAATACTTGCTTTATATATCTGGGTGACCCAGTGTTGGGTGTTTATATATTTACAATTATATCATCTTGCTGAATTGACCCCTTTATCATTATATGAGGACCTTCTTTGTCTCCTTTTACAGTTTTTGTCTTGAAATCTATTTTGTCTGAAATAAGTATAGCTACTCCTGCTATTGTTTGGTTTCCATTCACATGGAATGTCTTTTTCCATGTCTTCATTTTCAGTCTATGTGTGTTTTTATAGGTGAAGTGTGTTTCTTGTAGGCAGCAGAAAATCCCTTCAGTTACCCTATGTCTTTTAATTGGAGAGTGTAGTCCATTTACAATCAATGTTATTATTGATAAGTAAGGACTAGTACTGCCATTTAAATATATTTTTTCTTGTTGTTTTGTGGTCTTTCCTCCTTCATTTTTTCCTATCTTTTGTGAAGATTATTTTACGCAATGGTATGTTTTATGTTCTTGGTTTTTATTTTTATTTTTTGTGGATCTATTGTAGCTTTTTTGATTTGAGGTTACCATGAGACTTGCAAATATTATCTTGTAACTCATTATTTTAAACTGATGAAAACTTAACAGATTCCAAAAATTAAAGAAAACAAACAAGCAAAGAGAAAACTAATAAAACTCTGCCCTTTAATTTTATCCCCCAACGTTTTAAAATTTTTGTTGTTTGCATTTATGTCTTATTATACTATGTCTTAAAAAGTTGTTGTAGTTATTATTCATCTTTTAGTCTTCCTACTCAAGATATGAGCACACAGAAATTACAGTGTCATAGCATTCTGTATTTTTCTGTATATTTACTATTACCAGTGAGTTTTGTACATCCAAATAATTTCTTATAGCTCATTAACACATTTTTCTTTCAGATTGAAGAACTCTCTTTAGCATTTTTTTGTTGGACGGGTCTAGTGTTGGCAAAATTTCTCACCTTTCGTTAGTCTAGAAAAGTCTTTATTGACCTTCATGTTTGGAGTATATATTTGCCGGATATAATATGCTATGATAAAAGTTTTCTTTTTCTTTGTAACTTCAAATATGCCATGCCACTCTATACTGGCCTGTAAGTTTTCCACTGAGAAGTCTGCTGTCAATGTATTGGAACTGTTTCACATGCTTTTTTTTTTCTCTTGCTGCTTTTTGGAATTTATTATTGACTTTGGGAGTTTGATTATTAAATATCTTGAGGTAGTCTTACTTGGGTTAAATCTTTGGAGTTCTATAAATCTTCTTGTATTTGAATATTGATTATTTCTCTAGGTTTGGAAAGTTCTCTGATATTATATCTTTAGATAATCTCTCTCTCTCTCTCTCTGTCCGCTTTCAGGCAATAATTCTTAGGTTTGCCTTTTTGAGGATATTTCCTAGATCTTGTAGATGTGCTTTATTCATTATTATTATTTTTCTTTTGTCATTTTTGACTGTGTATTTTCAAATAGTCTGTCTTCAAGCTCACTAATTCTTTCTTCTGCTTGATTAATTCTGCTGTTGAGAGACTGTAATACATTTTTCAGTGTGTTATTTGAATTCTTTAGCTCCAGAATTCCTGCTTGATTCTTTAAAATTATTTCAATCTTTTCATCAAATTTGTCTGATAGGATTCTGAATTCCTTCTCTGTGTTATCTTCAATTTCATTGAGCTTCCTCAAAATAGCTGTTTTGACTTATCTGTCTGAAAGTCTATTTTGAATTCTGTTTGAAAAGTCACATATCTCTGTTCCTCCAGGATGGATCGCTGGTGCTTTATTCAGTTCATTTGGTGAAATCATGTTTTTATAAATGGTCTTGGTCTTGTGGATGTTTGTTGATTTCTGGGCATTGAAGTGTTAGGTATTAATTCTAATACTCTCAGTCTGGGCTTGTTTGTATCTGTCCTTCTTAAGAAGGGCTTTTTATGTATTCCAAGGGAATTGAATGTTGTGGTCTAAATCTTTGGTCGCTGAAGCTCTATCTGCATTGGGAGATAATAAAGCCCAGTGTTGCTGTGACTTTTGTAGTTTTATAGATGTGCCACTTTGGTGAACTTGGGTAAGATCTGTGAGAACTCCCTGGATTACCAGCCACAGTCTCTTGTTCTCTTCCCTTACTTTCCCTCAAACAAATGCAGTTTCTCCCTGAGGGCTGAGCTGCCTGGAGCTGGGGCGGGGTGATGCAAGCACTCCTATGGCCACCACTGCTTGGAGTGTGCTGGGTCACACCTGAAGCCAGCATGACACTGGGACTCGCCCAAGGCCCATGGAAATTACTGCCTGACTACCATTGATGTTTATTCAAGCCCAGCAGCTCTTTAGTCAGCAGGTGGTGAATATTGTCAGGACTGGGTCCTTCCCTTCAGGGTAGCAGGTTTCCTCCTGGCCCAGGGTAGGTCCAGAAATTTCATCCGAGAGCTACAGCCCAGAATAAGGGCTTCAGGACTCTGCTTGGTGCTGTATTCTACTGTGGCTGAGCTGATACCCAAGTTGCAAGACAAAGTCCTCTTTACTCATTCCTCTCCTTTCCTTGAGTGGAAGGACTCTCTGCCAGAGCTGCAAGATGCACTGCCTGAAGTTGGAGTAGTGGTTACATGAGCACCCCCTTGGCCTCCTTATCTGATGCCTCACTAAGCCACTGCACCCTAAATTCACTGGCCCCAAGCCCAGCACAACCCCAGGACTTGCCCAAGAATTGCCACTCTTGTCGTCTCGACTGCCTTTCAGATTTATTTAGGACCCCAGAGTACTGTAGCTTATGGTAGTGGGCTAGCTAGAGCTCAGTCTCCCACTGCTAGGATGGATGAGACCCCACTGGCTAGGGTTGGTCTAAAGGCTCTCTTTGTTGGCACTAGCTGAATTCTGCCCTGTGTTTCTTTCCACTGTTACAGGGCAGCACTGAGGTCCAATGGGAAGTCTCACAATCACTTTGCTCTCCATCCTCTAAGCACATAGATTCTCTGTGTCATGTAGTACTGCTGGAAAATGGGGAAACAAGTGGTGTAGGGAATTCAAGACTATCTTCCTACCCTCTACCCTCTTCAGTGTCTCCTTCCTTCATATGATACTAAAACCAGGTACTGTGATTGCTCACCTAAGTTGTGGTTCTTATGAAGGTGTTCCTGCATGGTTAGTTGCTCAATTTATTGTTCCTGTGGGAGGCACAATCTCTGGAGGGTCCTGTTTAACCACCTTGATCTGCCTGCTTTCTTCTCTCAGTATTTTAATTAGGTTGCTTGTCTTTTTATTATTGATTTATCAGAGTTCTTTATTCTAGAGTCAAGCCTTATTGAATATATGTGATAAAAATATTTTTTCTCACTCTTTGGCTTCATTTTTAAATGGTGTTTTTGAAGAAGAACAAATGCTTTTTATTTTTATGTCATTTCTACATTTGTTTTCTGATTTTGTTGCTGCTTTTTGAATTTGTTAAGAAATCTTTGTCTACCTTCTGTCAGTTTTCTGTGGCTACTATAACAAATTACTATAAATAGTGGCTTAAAACAAGAGACATTTATTCTTTAACAGTTCTGCAAGCCAGAAGTTGGATATCAAAGTATTATCAGAACTATCGTTCCCCCAAAGTCTCTAGAGGACACTGCTTCTTGCCTCCTTCAGCTTTGGGTGGCTAGAAATGTCTTGGTTTGGCTGCATCATTCAAGTCTTTCTATCTGTGTTCACGTTGCCTCCTTTTTTTCTGACTCAAAACTCCTCTGTTTCTCTCTTATAAGGATGGATCTGAGTGCATCTTTGTCTCACTTGTATAATCCAGAATAAGCTTCACCATTTAAGATTCCTAAGTTAATCATTTTCATGTAAGGTTTTACTCACAGGCTCCAGGGGTTGAGATGTGAACATATATTTTAGTAGGGCACTATTTAGCCTACTACTTATGCAAAGTCACAAAGATATTCCATATTTTTCTTAAAACTTTATAGTTTTAGTATTTACATTTAGGTTTATAAACTATATGGATATTTTAATGTATGGTATGATATTGAGTCATGATTCTGTTTTCTTTCCATATTGACATAATATTGACCCAGGACTGTTAAAAATGCTTTCTTTTCCCATTGAATTTCCATGACACATTTGTAACAGATTATTTGACCAAAATGTGTAGAGCTATTTCTAGACTCATGATTCTGTTTTATTGCTCTGTTAGTGTATCCTTCTGTCAATTACACATTGCATTAATTACTGTAGCATTATGGAAGTCTTAAAATTAAGAGTGTGGGCTCTCTGGCTTTGTTCATTCTTAAGATGGTTTTTAGCTATTCTAGGTCCTTTGTATTTCCATATACATTGTACTATAAGATAATCAATTATTATCTAAAATAGCCAAGCCTGCTGGAATTTGCACTGGAGTTGCAATGATCTTTCAATCTATAGATCAAGTGAGAGAAAATCAAAATTTTAAAAATATTACTTTCCATCTAATGAACATGGTACATATCTCCATTTATACAGATATTTTAAAACTTATTGCAGCAATGTGTTCGTGGCTTTCAAGTATAAAGATCTTTTCTCTCTTTTTAAAAAATTATTCTGAGGTTTTATAATTTTTGGTGTTATAAATGACATCAATTTTTGAATTTTATTTTTAATTTTTTGTTGCTGGTATGTAGAAATATGATTTTTTTTGCCTATTTACCTTGAGAAACTGATGAATTCATTTATTAGATATAGCAGTTTCTTTTTTATAAAATCCTTTGTATTTTCTGTGTAGATAATAATGCTTCTGCAAATAAAAATTCACTTCTCTTTTTCCCCCTGATCATTATACAAATTGTTTCCTTGTCTTGCCTAATCACATTGAATAGTACCTTCTGTAAAATATTAAGAAGGGTTGAGAGCAGATATCACTCAACATTTTAACATTAAGTATTATATTGGGTGTACATTTTTCTTAGATGCTCTTTATCATGTGGTAGAATCCTTTCTAGTTTGCCTAAAGTTTTTATCTTTATCATAAATAGGTGTCAAAAATTGTCAGATGATTTTTCTGTATTTATTCATATGACCATATGATTTTTCTTTATTCTGTTAACGTGGTGAAGTATATTGACTGATTTTTGAATGTTAAAAATAAACATGCATTCCTAGGATAATTCTTAGTTGTAATATATTAACTTTTTTATATTTTACTGAATTTATTTTTTTTATGGTTTTGATCTGTGTCCCCACCCAAATCTCACGTTCAATTGTGATCATCAATGTTGGAAGTGAGGCCTGGTGAGAGGTGATTGGATCATGGGGGCAGTTTTTCATGGCTTAACACTATTCCCCTTTGGTGTTCTCATTGTGGTAGTGAGTTCTCATGATATCTGGTTGTTGAAAAATGTGTGATACTTTTTCTAGCCACGTAAGACAATCCTGGCCTGGCCATGTAAGACAATCCTGCTTCCCCTTTATCTTCTTTCATTATTTTAAGTTTCTTGAGGCCTCCCCAGAAGCTGTGCATATGCCCAGCATTACGCTTCCTGTACAGCCTGTGGAACCATGAGCCAGTTAAAGCTCTTTTCTTTATAAACTATCCAGTCTCAAATATTTCTTTAGCAATGCAAGAACGGGCTAATACAGAAAATTGGTACCAGGGGTGCAGTATTGCTATAAAGATATCTGAAAATGTGGAAGCAATTTTGAAACTGGGTAATAGGCAGAGTTTGGAAGAGTGTGGAGGGGTCAGAAAAAGATAGAAAAATGAGGAAAAATTTGGAACTTCTTAGAAACTTGTTGAATGGTTATGACCCAAATACCAATAGTGACATGAACAGAGATGGCCAGGCTGATAGGCCACAGGTGAAGATGAGGAACTTATTGGGAAGTGGAGTGGTCACTTTTGTTACACCTTGTCAAAGAGCTTGGTTTGATTATGCCCCTGATCTAGGAATCTGTGGAACTTTGAACTTGAGAATGCTGATTTAGGGTATCTGGTGGAAAAAACTTCTAAGCAGCAAAGCACTCAAGATGTGACCTGGCTGCTTCTAACAGCCTATGCTAATATGTGTTAGCAAAGAAGTGACTTAAAACTGGAACTTATATTTAAAAGAAAAGCAAAGCATAAAAGTTTGGAAAATTTGCAACCTGGCCATGTGGTAGAAAAGAAAAGCCAATTTTCATGGAAGGAATTCAAGCAGGCTGCAAAAATTTATATATCTAAAAGTTGGCCACATGCCAATAGCTAAGAGAATGGGAAAAGGCCTTGAAGGCATTTCAGAGTCCTTTGCAGAAGCTGTTCCCATCACAGGCTTGGAGGCTTAGGATGACAGAATGGTTTCATGGGCCAAGTTCAGGGTCCCACTGCCCTGTGCAGCCTTGGGACACTGCTCAAAGGGGCCCAGGCACAGCTTGATTCACTGCTCCAGAGAGTGCAAGCCATAAGTCTTGATGGCTTCCATGTGGTGTTAAGCCTGTAGTGCAGTGTGCAGGAGTTCAGGCTTGGGAGTCTCCACCTAAATTTCAGAGGATATATGGAAAAGTCTGGATGTCCAGGCAGAAGCCTGCTGCAGGAGTGGAGCCCTCATGGAGAACCTCTACTAAGTCAGTGAAAGGGGGATATGTGAAGTTGGATCCCCTACACAGAGTCGTCACTGAGGTACTGCCTAGTGGAGCTGTGAAAAGAGGGCCACCAACCTCCAGACCCCAGAAAGGTAGATCCATTGGTAGTTTGCATCCTGCACCTGGAAAAGCCATAGGCACTCAATGCCAGCCCTTGAGATCAGCCATGGGGGCTGAACTTTGCAAAGCCACAGGCACAGAGCTACCAAAGCCTGGGGAGACCACCACTTTCACTAATGTGCCCTAGATGTAAGACATAGGGTCAACAGAGGTTATTTTGGAGCCTTAAGATTTCTTGACTACCCTGCTGGATTTTGGAACTGCATGGACCCTGTAGCCCCTTACTTTTGGCGTTTTTCTCCATTTTGGAATGGGAATATTTACTCAATGCCTGTACCCCCATTGTATTTTGGAAGTAACTAGCTTGCTTTGGATTTTGTAGGCTGATAGGCAGAAGGGACTTACCTTGTCTCAGATGAGACAGAACTTTTGAGTTAATGCTGGAATGGGTTAAGACTTCAATGGATTGATGATAAGGCATAATTGTATTTTTCAGTGTGAGAAAGACATGAGATTTGGGAGGAACCTGGGATAGAATAATATGATTTGGATCTGTGTCCCGACCGAAATCTCATGTTCAGTTGTGATCCTCAATGTTGGAAGTGGGGACTGGTGAAAAGTAATTGGATTATGGAAGCATTTAACACCATAATCCACTTAACACCATCTTCCCTTGGTGCGGTCATCATGTTAGTGAGTTCTCATGATATCCAGTTGTTTAAAAGTGTGTGGCACTTTCCCCACTGTAGTAGTCCATTTCCACGTGACTGATAAAGACATACCTGAGACTGTGCAATTTACAAAAAACAAAAAAAGAGGTTTAATCAGACTTACAGTTTCATATGGCTAGGGAGGCCTCCAAATCATGGTGGAAGGCAAGGAGGAGCAAATCACATCTTAGGTGGATGGCAGCAGGCAAAGAGAGAGCTTCTGTAGGCAAACTCCATTTTTAAAGCCATCAGATCTCATGAGACTTATTCACTATCACAAGAACAGCACAGGAAAGATCCATCCCCATAATTCAGTCATCACCTACCAGGTCCCTTTCACAACACATGGAAATTATGGGAGCTACAAGATGAGATTTGGGTGAGGACACAGAGCCAAACCATATCACCCACATTAGTCTTATTCCTAGTCTGGCCATGTAAAACAAACCTGCTTCCCCTTCACCTTCTGCCATGATTGTAAGTTTCCTAAGGGTTTCCTTGAAGCCCAGCCAATGGCCAGCATCATATTTCCTGTACAGCTTGTAAACTGTGAGCTAACTAAAGCTCTTTCCTTTATAAGTTACCCTGTCTCAGGTATTTCTTTATAGCAATGGGGAACAAACTAATATAGATTTTCTAATGTTTAATTAAGGACATCTGTGTTAGTCCATTCTCACACTGTTAAAAAAAACTACCTGAGACTGAGGAATTTGTGAAGAAAAGGTGTTTGACTCACAGTACCAAAGGCTTAACAGGAAACATGACTGGGAGGCCTTAGGAAACTTACAATCATGGTGGAAGGTGAAAGGGAAGCAAGCACAATTTACCATTGCAAAGCAGGAGAGAGAAGAAGGAAGAAACTACCACACACTTTTAAACCATTAGATCTCATGAGAACTCACTTGCTATTATGAGAACAGCATGGGGGAAATTGATCCAATCACCTCCCACCAGGTCCCTCCCCTAACATCTAGGGATTATAATTCAAGATGAGATTTGGGTGGGAACACAGAGCCAAACCATATCATTCTGCCCCTGGATCCTCCCAAATTTCATGTCCTTCTCACATTTCATAACCAATCATGCTTCCCATCAGTCCCTCAAGCTCTTAACTCATTCCAGCATTAACTCAGAAGTCCAAGTCCAAAGCTTCATCTGAGACAAGGTAAGTTCCTTCTGCCTATGAGCCTGTAAAATTAAAATCAAGTTAGTTACTTCCAAGATACAATGGCGGTACCAACATTCGGTAAATGCTCCCAGTCTAGATGGGAGAAATTGGCCAAAACAAAGGGGTTACAGGCCCCACACAAGTCTGAAACCCAGCAAGGCAGCCATTAAATCTTAAAGCTCCAAAATGATTTCCTTTGACTCCTTGTCTCACATCTATCCAAGCCACAGTGACACAAGGGGTAGGCTCTCAAGGCCTTGGGCAGCTCTGACTCTATGGCTCTGCAGGATGCAGACCCTGAAGCTGCTTTCTTGGGCTGTCATTGAGTGCCTGCAGCTTTCCCAGGATCACAGTACAAGCTCTTGGTGGATCTATCATTCTGGGGTCTAAGGGACTGTGACCCTCTTCTCACAGCTCCCAAGGTAGTGCCTCAATAGGGCTCTGTGTGAGGGTTTTAACCTCACAATTCCCCCCACACTGCCTTGGTAGAGGTTCTCCATGAGGGCTCTGTCCCTGCTAAAGACCTCCTTGGACATCCAGGCATTTCCATACATCCTCTGAAATCTAGGAAGCCACCAAAGTTTAGGGCTTGCACCCTCTAAAGCAATGGCTCAAGCTATACCTTGGTCCCTTTTAGCCACAGCTGGAGCTGGAGTGGCTGGAACGCAGGGCACCATGTCCCAAGGCTGCACAGAGCAGTGGGCGCCTGGACCCAGCCCATGAAGTTATTTTTCCCTTCTAGGCCTCTGGGCCTGTGATGGAAGGGGTTGTCACAAAGTTCTCTCATATGCCCTGGAGACATTTTCCCTATTGTCATGGCAATTAACATTTGGCTCCTCCTTACTCATGCAAATTTCTGCAACCAGCTTGAATTTCTACCTAGAAAATGTGTGTTTTTTTTTCCCTCTCTCTCTTCTGCAACATAGTCAGGCTGCAAATTTTCCAAACTTTTATGCTTTGCTTCCTTTTTAAATGTAAGTTCCCATTTCAGACCATCTCTTTGTGAAAACATGACTGTATGCTGTTAGCAGCAGCTAAGCCATATCTTGAACACTTTGCTGCTTAGAAATTTCTTTCTCCCAAAACCTTAAGTCACCCCAAGATATAAGTTCTACAGATCCTTAGAGCAGGGGCACAATGACACCAGTCTTTTTGCTAAAGCATAGCAAGAGAGATTTTTTTTTTTTTGCTTCTGTTCCCTATATGTTCCTCATCTCCATCTGAGACCACTTCAGTATGGGTTTTGTTGTCCATATAACTATCATCATTTTCGTCAAAACCATTCAACAAATCTCCAGGAAATTCCAAACTTTCCCACATGTTCCTGTCTTCTTCTGAGCCCTCAAAACTCTTCCAACCTCTGCCCATTACTCAGGTCCAAAGTCACTTCCATGTTTTCAAGTATCTTTATAGCAGTGGCCCACTCTCCTGGTATGAATTTTCTGTATTAGTCCATTCTCACACTTTTATAAAGAGCTACCCGAGTCTGCATAATTTATGAAGAAAGAAGGTTTAATTGATTCACAGTTTGAAAGGATTAAAAGGAAACATGACTGGGAGGCCTCAGGAAACTTACAATCATGGTGGAAGGCAATGGGGAAACAAGCACGTCTTACAATGGTGGAGCAGTTGAAAAAAGCAGGGGTGGGGTGGGGGAACTGGCTCACACTTTTAAACCATCAGACCTTGTAAGAACTAACTCACTATCATTAGAACAGCATGGAGGAAACTGTCCCTGTGATCTAATCACAGTTCTAATAGAACTTGTCTATTTCATCTACATCATCAGGTTTGTAGGCACGTTATTCATAATAGTCTCTTACTATCTTTCTAAATACTGTAGGGGTTATGGTCACATTTCCTGCTTTATTCTTGGTATTGATCCTTTGTATTTTCTCTCTTTTTTTGTTGGTCAGTCTAGTGATGTATCAATTTTAATAATCTTTTTAAGAACCAATCTAACTTTGTGTATTTTCTTTATTCCCATATAAATAATTTTTAGTCTCTATTTCTGATATCGTTTGGCTCTGTTTCCCCACCCAAATCTCATAATGAATTGTAATTCTCAATGTTAAGGGAGGGACCTGGTGAGAAGTAATTGGATAATGTGTACAGATTTCCTCCTCGCTATTCTTGTAACAGTGAGTGAGTTCTCATGAGATCTGGTTGTTTCAATGTGTGTAGCACCTTTCCCTTTGTTCTCTCTCTTCTTCTCTCTTGCCATGTGAAGAAGGTGCTTGCCTCCCCTTCACCCTTCTGCCATGATTGTAAGTTTCCTGAGGTCTTCCCATCCATGCTTCCTGTGTAGCCTGCAGAAATGTGAGTCAATTTAACCTCTTTTCTTCATAAATTACTCAGTCTCAGATAGTTCTTCATAGCAGTATGAGATTGGACTAATAAAATTTCCTTTCTTGTACTTATGTTGGGTTTACTCTGTGTAGCTCATTCGTTTTAAACTTTTTGTCTTTTAATATAAAAATTCTAAACCATAAATTTCCCTTGTAGTACTGTTGTAGATGATCTTATACATTTGATATGTTTTGCTTTTGTCATCTAAATCAAAATATTTTTTAAATGTCTTAATGATTTATTCTTTGACCTTGTATAATTTAGAGGTGAGTTCCTTAATTTTGACATCGTTCAGGAATTCTGCATCTTATTATCTTTTATTCTAACACAATTTTGTTGTGTTTTAAGAACATATTCTACGTTAGTTCAATTATTTTATCTTTATTGAGTTTTATTTGCTAGCCTTCTATATGGTCTCCCTTTGAGACTTTAAAAATATGCATTTGAAAATGTTGCATTCCACAGCTGTATGATATAGTATTTGATAAATGCCTATTAGGTCAAATCAGGTGAAATTTTTGTACTAAGCTTCTATGTAATTTCTGATGTTTAAAATTTGTTCCAACAATTGCTGAGATAGTAATGTTAGCATCTATAAGTACGATGGTATATTTTTCTATTTTTGCCTTTAATACTGTCTTTTTCATTTGTTTTAGGTATTTTGAAGCTCTGTTGTTAAGTATATGAACACTTTGTTTAATGTACATGAACCCTGTTATAATTTTGATATATTCTTTCATGCCTACAGTAATACTCATTGTTCTGAGGTCTATTTTCTTACAGTAATACAGTCACACAACTTTCTTATGTTTGTATGGCACATGTTTTTCATCCCATTATTTAAATTTCATTCTCCCTTTGTACTTTAAGTTTCTTGCTTATAATAAACTCATTTTTGGCTTTTGTAATTTTTATCAATTTTTTGTTATTTACCTTGTAATAGTTATTTTATATATCATTATTATTTTTTGATACATAATTTTACCTATTAATTGGGGTACATATATTTTGATACAAACATATGATGTGTAATAATGATCAACTAAGGGTAATTGGGATATCCATCTCCTCAAACAATTTTAATTTCTTTGAGTTGCAAACATTCCTAATCTCTTCTTGCTACTTTGAAATATATAATAGCACAATAGGGCAACTATAGCTAATGTTATATTATTAATTCTGATTATCTCTGCCTCTTATATTTAATAAAATTATTGTGATGACTGTGTTTATGTCTACCAGTTTTTTTTTAATTATTCTGTTCTTTTTTTGTTCCTTTGACCCTGATTTTCTGTATTCTTTTGGATTTAGGATATTTATTCTTCTGTTTATCTCCTTTACTAGATTTTTTTATACAAAACTTTTTGTATTACCTTATAATGGTTTTTTGAACTACAATATGCCTCCTTCACTTCTACAGTCCACTTTGGATTAATATTACACTACTATACATAAAATATAGAAAGCTGACAAATGCATAATTTCATGTATCTTTCTTAAATATTATTTGCTATCATTAGCTATTGTTTTCAAATGTTGCACTCTGTTATAGATCTCACAATTCATTGCTGTTGATTTTGCTTCAGTCAATGTCTTTTAAAGAAATCAGTAAAAATTAGAAAAAGCTTTACAAACCTTCCATTCTTGACCTTTTTCAGTATTTGAGTACTCTACAATCTTTACCACAGATTCAAATTTCCAACTGATGTCATTTCTTTTCAGTTTAAAGAATTTCCTTTAATATATTTTATAGTACAGTTGTACTGGTAGCAAATTATCTCTGTTTGTATCTAAAAATGTCGTTTGTATCTAAAAATGTCTTTAACTCCATTTTAAAAGATTTTTTGTTGAAGAACATAGAATTCTAAATTTCAATTGATTCTGATTGAAAATTGCTGTATTTTCCCTCTTAGCACTGTAAAAATATTATTCCATTGTATTCTGGATCATGCTGTTGCTGTTGATGGACTCATTATACTTATTGTGGTTGCCCTAATATGATATGATATGATTATTTTACTTTGATTGCTTTCTGGATTTCTCTCTCTCTCTCTCTTTCTCTCTCTCTCTCTCTTTGGTTTTTATAGTTTTGCTATGTGCCTAAGTTTGGCTTTCTCTTTATTTCTCTGTTTTGAGATTTGTTGAGAATCTTGGATTTGGGAGTTTATATTTATCATACTTTTTAAAATTTACCATTATTTCTTGAAATAATTTTGTGCTTCTTTCTCTCCTTCCTGTACATTTAGAACTTTGAATACACATGTTAAACTACTTCATATTGTCCCATAGGTCACTGATACTCTCTTCAGTTATGTCAGTATTGTTTTTTCCTCTTTGCCTTATTTTGAATAATTTCTGTCAATCTGTCTTCAGCTTCATTGATCCTTTCTTATGCAGTGTTCATTCACATTTAGTGTGTTTTAATTTTAGGTATTATGCTTTTATGTTCTAGAATTGTTTCTATTTTACAGTTTCCATTTCTATGTTGAGATTTTCCATTTGTTCATCTAATTCTTCTTTTTCCTGAAAATCCTTGAACATAATTATAATAGCTATTTTAATTTCCTTGAGTGATACTTCTACTGTTTCTATCATCTGTAGCTCACCTTCTATTGTTATTTTCTTGGTTGTGGACTCCCATTTGATTGTTTCTTCATGTCCCTTATTATGCTAAATTGTGTTTCCTAAAAAGTAAATCTCCTATAGTTTAAAACATTTTAAAAACTCTATCTTCTCAAGCTGACACCCTATCTCTATCTTTCTCATGGTTATCAAACTTCAAGAAAAATATAATCTATATTTGCTTCATTAATTACCCTATCACACCTTTTATGTTAAAATCCAGCTTTGACTCTTACTATTCTAATAAGTCTCTGCCATTCTTAGGTTTTCTGTTTCTATAAATGCATTATTATCTTCCTGTCACCTACACTTTAACCCTTGGAATCACTTCTGATTCTTCTTTCCCTTACCATATCATAATTGTCACCCTATATAATATTAAGATCTCCTGAAATGCTCTTCCCTTCTCTGTTTCTTAAGCCCTCATTAATTTTCTCCTAATGTATTCCTTTAATTTTTGAAAATATTTTTCTATGTTGAGTCAATTTTATTCATTGATATCAAATCAATGTTATTGAAATTCAGCCCTGTTTATCCTCTCAAAAAAATGACAATATTTTCTGCCATCTGCAAAAAACAATAAATGTTCTAGACATATTTTATATCACTTACCTAGTCTGGTCAAAGCTTATACATACCAATTTCCCACTAATTTAGAGTTATATGTCAAACGCATGGAATTTACTGTCCTGTTTCATATTTTAGGTAAATCTGTTGGTTTTGCGGGAAAAGCATTTCTACTACCTTAATGAGCAACCTAAAGATACTTCTTCCATGAAATTCTGTTTCCTCCAAGATTCCTTTAACATGTATCTTCAATCTCTTATGGTATTTACCACTTACTAGTGTGTATTAGGGTCATTTTGTGCTTATTTCTCTCAGATTGCAAGCCCTTAAGTTCTGATTCACCTTGTCTCCATATCTTCTAGCATATTTCTTAATTTTGTAGGTGCTCAATAAATATATTGAATTAAATTATGTTGTCAAATAAAAATGCCAAAACATATTCCATATGAACTATGTAAGAGAGAAAGAAAGTGTGATGTATTTTTGGAAGTTTTAATCCATATAGTAATTAATAAAGTTAAGGTTCTCAAAGAAGAAAACACTCAGCTCATTGGAAAACCATGGCTACCTAGAATCTCTGGACTTCAATGTAATTTTATTCCTGCCTCTAGTTAAATTTCATTATCTTAGATAAAAAAATCTCTGGCTCATTGGCAAAGCTATCAAAAATATTATCATACAAAAATTAAGAAAAAAAGCATAGCTGTACCTCTGAAAGCTGCATTCATTTTATCCTTGTGCCCCAAATGTGCAAGAAATATAGACTAAGAGATATAAAATGCTATGACAACTAAACAAGTTCTGACATATTTCTTGGTAGTTGTTGGAGGGCTTACTGAAGTACAGCTGACTAATGAAAGACCATGAACAGCTTTAGAGATGATCCCGAAGATGACTAAAGGACTGGAAACTAAGGTTAACATTGAGAGGTTAACAAAGCTGGAACTATACAATTTGATGAAGAAAAGACCCAAAAGTCATTTCATGCCAATTTTTAAATGCATAAAGAGACTTTATTCAGTGAGTACTGGCCATCTGCTTTCAAACTCTGATGTGCACAGAACATGACAAAATGGGTTTAGACCAAATTAGAAGGTATTTAATTTTATTTGGAATAATTTTCCATAAGCAATGAAGTTATAAATAAATCTTCTTCTCTAGAAAAGATGAGCATTTCACTTCCATATTTGTGGGGTTCAATGTGTTTCTGTTGAAGGAGGTGCACTTATTCAGTGTGTCTTGAAGATACCTCAAGGGTTCTCACAGTTTAATATTGTCAAAATGTCAATAGATAAGGCTATCCTAAAGTAAATTCTTCCCCTGGTAACTTCTCATTTACTTCACCTTCAAAGCTACCTTTACATTTTACGTCTGTGAGAAATTTTTATTATACCAGTTGAAGCCTACTGTGACCTAGAAGTTTTGTCAATGAGGGAGATGAGATTCTGGTTTCTGATCAACCAATCAACAATAACAACAACAACAAAAGATTTATATGCACTTTAAGAAATAAGCATAAGCTATCATGATTGATATTTTATCATAGTATATTTTCTTAAAATAATTTATGTTTAATTAGATTTTTTGTAAAGACTTATGTTTTGTATTACTACAGTGGCATTTGACCCAGTTCTGTATAGTTTTGGATTACACAAGAAAGTAGATGTCTTAAGCGACTATTATGTTCTGAAATATTTTTTCTAAGGTCAAGGAACAGATTGACTGAATAGCCTTTGAAGATAGGGTAAAGCCCATAAATCTCTATTATGTCACAGCTCTCCTTTCAAAAATGACAATAATCTGACTTGATTTGTTAACTAAATAAAACAGAATAATCCATACCAAAAAACAATTATTTTATTCATGGTATTAAGAACTATAGCCTGGCAATTTAGATGAGCTCGTATTACAAAGAAAGACATCTAGGGTAATACCTTTGCCTAGTGTTACTCACAGAGTCAGTGAGGCAGAGCCATGAAGAAATCTCAAGCCTCTTGATTCCCAGGTTAGTATAATATATTTTATACCAAAGAAAGCGGCCTCTAATCTAGGTGGAAATGTCTCCTGCAACTAATTCACCAACATTGAGCTAAATAATTTAAACCATCCTATAGCAAAAAGACTCTGAATGAAAATTCCCTTGGAAGGTTCCAAACACTTGCTTTCTAATATTCACCACTTATTCTGAATCCCAAACAGGCTTCCTATGAAAATATTCTTCCCATAAGCCTTGGTCTTCAAAGCATGCATATTTTGAAATCAATGTCTGTGTAGTATGTATGTATGTATTAATCCATTCTCATGCGACTAAAGACATATCTGAGACAGGGAAATTTATAAAAGAAAGAGATTTAATTGACTCACTGTTCAGGGTGGCTGGGGAGGCCTCAAAAAACTTACAGTCATGGCAGAAGGGGAAGCAAACACATCCATCCTTCTTCACATAGTGGCAGCAAGGAGAAGTGCAGAGCAAAGTGGGGGAAAAGACCCATATAAAACCATCTGCTCTCCTAAGAACTAACTCACTATCATGAGAACAGGATGGGGGAAAACACCCCCATGATTTCCTTATCTCCACCTGGTCCTTCCCATGATATGTGGGGATTATGGGAACTACAATTCAATATGAGATTTGGGTGAGGACACAGCCAAGCCATATTATTTCACCCCTGGTCCCTCCAAATCTTATGTTCTCACATTCCAAAGCACAATTATGCCCTTCCAACAGTCCCCCAAAGTCTGAACTCATTCCAGCATTAACTCAAAAGTCCAAGTCCAAAGTCTCATCTGAGACAAGGCAAGTTCCTTCCACCTGTGAGCATGTAAAATCAAAAGCAAGTTAGTTATTTCCTAGATACAATGGGTTACAGGTATTATATAAATATACTTATTCCAATGGGAGAAATTGGCCAAAGCAAATGGGGCAGCAGGCCCCATGCAAGTCTGAAATGCAATAGGACTGTCGTTAAACCTTAAATTTACAAAATGATCTCATTTGACTCCATGTCTCACATCCAGGTCATGCTTATGCATATGGTGGGCTCCCAAGGCCATGGGGAGCTGTGCCTCTGTGGATTTACAGGGTACAACCCCCCTCCAGGCTGCTTTCACAGGCTGACATTGAGTGTCTGTGGCTTTTCCAGGCACTCAGTGCAAGCTGTCAGTGTATCTACCATTCTGGGGTGTGGAGGACACTGGCCTTCTCCTCACAGCTCCACTAGGCAGTGCCCCAGTAGGGATTCTGTGTGAGGGACCCAACCCCACATTTCCCTTCTTCCTGCCCTAGCAGATGTTCTCCATGAGGGCTCTGCCCCTGCAGCTAACTTCTGCATGGACATCCAGGCATTTCCATATATCCTCTGAAATCTAGGTGGAGGTTCCCAAACCTCAATTCTTGACTTCTGTGCACCAGCAGGCTCAACACCACGTGGAAGCTGCCAAGGCTTGGGGTTTGCACACTCTGAAGCCATGGCCTGAGCTGTACCTTGGCCCCTTTTAGCCATGGCTTGGAGTGGCTGGGATGCAGAATACAAAGTCCCAAGGGAGCCCTGGACCTAACCCAGGAAACCATTTTTCCTTCCTAGGTCTCCAGGCCTGTGATGTGAGGGGCTGCTGTGAAGGTTTCTGACATGCCCTGGAGACATTTTCCCCATTGTCTTGGTGAGTAACATTCAGCTCCTCATTATTTATGCAAATTTCTGCAGCAGGCTTGAATTTCTCCCCAGAAAATAGGGTTTTCTTTTCAATCATATTGTCAAGCTGCAAATTTTTTAAACATTTGTGCTCTGCTTCCTCTTGAATGCTTTGCCACTTAAAAATTTCTTCTGTCAGATACTCTAAATCATCTCTCCCAAGTTTTAATTTCCACAGATCTCTAGGGCAGGAGGAAAAATGCCACCAGTTTCTTTGCATAGCAAGAGTGACTTTTACTCCATCTCCCAACAAGTTTCTTATCTCCATCTGAGACCACCTTAGTCTGGACTTTATTGTCCATATCACTATCAGCATTTTGGTCAAAGCCATTCAACAAGCCTTTAGGAAGTTCCAAACCTTCCCACATTTTCCTATTTTCTTCCAAGCCCTCCAAACTGTTCCAACCTCTGCCTATTGCCCAGTTCCAAGATGGCTTCCACGTTTTTGGGTATCTTTATAGCAGTGCCCCACTACCCAATACCAATTTACTGTATTAGTCTGTTCTCATGCTGCTAATAAAGACATACCTGAACTTGGGTAATTTATAAAAGAAAGAGGTTTATTTGACTCACAGTGCAGCATGGCTAGGGAGGCCTCAAGAAACTTACAATCGTGGCAAAAGGGGAAGCAAACACGTCCTTCTTCAGGTGTCAGCAGTAAGGAGAAGTACAGAGTGAAGCAGGGGAAACAGCCTCTTATAAAACCATCAGAGCTCATGAGAACTAGTTCACTATCATAAGAACAGGATTGAGGAAACCATCCCCATAATTCAATTATCTCCACCTGGTCCCTCCCATGACATGTGGGGATTATGAGAACTACAAAATGATATTTGGGTAGGACACAGGAAAAGCATATCAAATAGCTGAAAAAAATGTTCATAATAAGTTGTTTTTGGGAGAGAACAGCATTTAAAAAATATAAATACAAAAACATGCACCACTTCTCTAAAAAAAAGGAGTCAAACAAAAATATTAACTATATTAATCTCAAAGTGGTCACATTTTGGGTGGCTTTTTCCCCCTTTCCTTGTTTATCTATAGTTTTTAAAATCTAAAAATAAACATATATTACTTTTGTGATGAGACAAAAAATCAAAATGTTTTCAACAATATTTTTGTGATTTTGGTTGGAAAGTGTATAACATAATCTGAAGTGACTATGTGAGAAGAGGACTTCTAAACACTAGGTAGGCAAAATCTAGAAATGGAATAAACAGCTAGCATTACAGTTTACCATGCAGCCTACCTAATTGTGAATATAATGCTAAATTTAATTTTACAATAAAACATTACAATGTTTCCTGGTTCTTAATACTTCTCAAAAAAATGCCCTTTAATATTAACATCTTAATGGCTAAATAGATGTTCAAATTTGTCATTCAATGTATTAGTCAATCTAAATTAGAAGCGCTGCTGCTGGAAAGGCTTCATTTATGCTGGGACAAAAGTAGTCTGCTAGAAATTATACATTCTTGATTTTCAATGTATAATTATAATTTTATTATATAAATGCCATTAGTTTGCATACAAGATTGTAACCACTCACCATTTCATCATCTAAATTGTTCAACCAACATTCTTTCTTTCAATAGGAAGATAAAATAAAAAATCATGGACATAAACAAAAGTATAAAAGGAACACAGCTCGACCTCCTCTAGTGTATAATCAATTGCCCTTAGAATAAAGATTGTCTTCTTTAAATTTAACTTTCTAATCATTAGTACAAGCCCACTTGCTAATACCTGCACAGTGAAAGGTAACAAACAAGAATGTTGTTTAAAATAGCTTTTTCTTTCTGTCTTAGTCTGTTTTGTGCTGCCATAATGCTACACACTGGTAACTTATAAAGAACAGAAATGTATTTATCACAGTTCTAAAGTCTGGGAAGCCCAAGATCAAGTCACCAGCATTTGGTGTCTAGCGAGGGCTACATCCTCCAGAGCAGAGGAACACTGTGTCCTCACATGGTGGAAGGCAATGGCAAAGGCTCAAATGCTGCAGGAAGCCATTATTATGAGGGCCTTAATGCCAATCACTAAGGGGTAGCTTTCATGGCCTAATCACCTCTTAGAGGTCCCACCTTTAATGCTATCACACTGGCAACACCTGAATTGTGGAGGAGACACATTAAACTAATAGCCATATTCTTGAAACAGAGTATAGGTATAACCCTATTTGAATGGCCCCTGTTTTGCCTAAAATCCTTACTGATACTGAAGAGACTCTTTGTGAGCATTGTTTGAGAACTCCAAATGAAACTCTGCCAATGAATGATTAATAATCAGTTAGTAAGCCAACCCTGGGACTCATTTTTCTGGCACAAAAAAATGCATAATTCTATGACTCTTATTCATCTGATCTAGTCATCATCCTATTAATTATTCTTATTGCTAATTTCTAAGTATTATCTGTACCTTTTTCAATGGAGTTCTTCTGAAATTATTTCTGTGTTACTACCACGGCTCAGCTGTTGATAAGACTTTATATGACTGAAATTCTTAGACCTCCTGGGTCTTGCTAAGGCTTAAAGTTGCCCTCCTTCAAATACATTCACATTCTGTTTGACTGTTTTTAAACTGTTCACTTTATCTGGAGAACACTGGAGATGGGAGAGGGGGGAGATGCATATTTTCACAGTAGAGAAGAAATATTAAAGGCTGAATTAGAGGAAATCAGTCTTCCAGCATAATGTTGATTTGGGCCCTGGTGTTAAGATTGTATCTAGGAATATGAACATCTGGGCCTAAGGCTATATGAGCATGCATTTGAATCATGCATAAACAGGGTTTCTTCAACCTGGTAATTGCTGACTGCATCAATAAAGGTTCTGTCAGTGATTAGAAAACTTATTCTCTGACACCTGCTGGCCAGCCGTGTACTCCAAAAAGGACAGATTTAATCACTATGGAAAATAATTCTACAATTCTATTCATGGGTTATCATAAAGATGAGATAGCCAATTTATGGTGTGTTTTTCCCTGAAAACAGTCCCACACACTCTCTCTTTCACACACACACACACACACACACACACACACACACACACACAGAGCTACCTTTTTTGTGTGGAGACAGCTTGCTTCTTTGCCTACCCATGAGCCTCACATGTAATGACACATGAGAGGTCCTGGAAAGACCTCACACGACTAACTGAAAATTCCTTCAAATCAAGGTGCTTACTCCTATTGGAGGCAGCTTTTAAAATGCAAATGTTATTCAAGGTGAGAAATGTATTCTACTCTTAACACACATTTTCTTCTTGATTTACTCTGGTTACTTTAGGCAGAGCCCAGAAAACACATGCGTTTTGAAGAGAGGAGGAAGAGAAATGATCAGGCTTATAGGGCTTATAGTGTGTTGCTGCCACAGAGCATAAAACTGGGGAAGCCCTGGGAACCACAGAAGATGGAAGGAGGAAGAGAGGAATGGTGGCAAGACTCTACCAGCTTCCCAGGCCAAGTCTGATTTGATATAAAAATGTCTGCTAGTAGTCTCAATTGATTCCTATTTTTCTGTCAATAACTTTGTATTTATGGAGTTTTGAAGTGAATACTTCCCGTTTTTTCTGTAGTTGGTAGTTAACTTGAGAAAAAAATAAATCTAGCCTTTGTTTCAAATTTTTTAAGGAACATCAGGATATTCATTGAACAAGATATGCTTAAAATTATTCACATTTAAATCAAACAGGTATGGAATGCAGAAGACAAGTAAAATTACACAAGATTAAAAGCATTGAAAATCATCCTGAAACCTGCAAATGACATTTCCTGTTACCCATAAAAAATTATCAGGTGAGGATTGGGTATGAGGTGCTGCAAAGTTCCTTCTAATTCTGAGGTTCTAAAGCTTTCTCACCTGTATTTGTATGGCATAACAAATACATACAGAACAAAGTACTTTCACATGTATCTCTAATTTCAGTTTTATGATAACCTTAAGTCAGAGCACATGAGCCCCACAGAGAAAGAAACTGAGGCTGAGGGATTTGGGATGATTTCCCCAAAGTCATCAATTTCTTGTCATGGTTGAATTCTGATTACAATCAAGGTTTCCTGACTCTCCATCCAATGTTTTACTGCCCTTGGTTCACACAATACTCACGAAAAGATATGAGATTGGTTATATCAATCTTGGAACTTTGGAACACCTCTCTGCTTAGATATGGTTGTAAGTTAAGCAAATTTGTGCAGATAAACTTACTAAAGCTGTTTTTATTCTGTTGCCATATTCGTGTGCCAAAATGTGGTAGACATACGGTCCCTACCTCAAGAATTTTAGCTGTTTTAAACAATAGAATTGTAAATTAGTTTCCTTTCCACACATATTCATTACGCTCTTTCAGCATGCAGAGAGCACATATGCTCAAGTTTCCTCTGAAAAGTGGAGTTTATAGTTGGAATACAAGAGAAGTAAGAAAGGACCAAACACAGTCTCCTAAGGCCTTAAAGAGAACAGGGACATGCATCATTATAGCTCAGGATTGACAAAAGCCTTGAGAAGTCAGAGGAATCTTCTCTGAGAAGCCATGGTGAATGCTTATTTTCCATGCTTAGGACTCCAGCCTTAACTCTGTGGGTTCTTTCTCTAGGTGTTTCTTTTTATTAAATCAACTGTCTGTACACTCCTTTCCTGTCTCATATTCTTCATTGATTAGAGCTGCTTATTATGTTAACTTCTTAATTTTTAATTTTTCTGACCTATTTTACTTTTGACTTACTTACTTTCTTCTGAGAGTATCAGTTTGAGTGTGCTAGTCACCCGGACAGACCTGCTAGGACCCTGAAGACCTTTACAGGCATTGCCTATGTTTTGGGTCACGTCCCTTACCCCTTTCCTGATCCAATCAGCTTTCACAAGGGTTGTGGGCCTTGTGATATAAACATGGTGACCACAAGCAAGACTCTGTCCCAAGGAAGGTGGGGAGTGCTGGTAGCCAGAGACCTCTGACTACTTTTTAATATTTTATTTTACTTTGAGCAGTTGGACTTATTGCTTTCTATTTATTTGTTTGGTCAGATTTTCAAATAATATAAGCATTTTAGTAACACCAGTCAGTAAGAAAATCAGATAGTATTAATAATAAAATCAAATAAGGTAGAGATTATGAGAATCAATGATTTAAACAGAAGTCATTTAATATGAGGAATTTTAAAATATATTGTTTAAAAATAATGTATTTTAACTTAAACATGTAAATATCTTTTTTGCTTTTTTTGAGATTGGGTCTTGCTTGATTGCCCTGGCTTGGCTGGGGTGCAGTGGTATGATCATGGCTCCCTGCAGCCTCAAATTCCTGGGCTCAAGAGATCCTCCTGCCTCAGATTCCTGAGTAGCTGGGACTACAGGTACACATCACTGTGCCCGGCTAATTGAAAAAAAAATTTGTAGAGATGAGGTCTCACTTTCTGACCCAGGCTGGTCTCGAACTCCTGACTTCAAGTGACCCTCCCACCTCAGCCTCCCAAAGGGCTGGGATTACAGGTATAAGACAATGTTCCCAGCCCTAGATATCTTTTGATTGGAGTGTCCTATGGTAGTCTGTGCTGCATAAAGACCATCATTCCTAATGTGACATCTATAATTTACAACTTTTGCTTCTTTAAAGTAAGAATGTTAAAACATTTGTAAATAATATTAGTGCATAATTCTTCAGATTTTGAGGTTATTTTCCCAATCCTTTATAATTTTCTTAACTACACCAAAGTTGAAATGAAAAATTATATTTATAAACACAAATTTATAATGCCTTTCAGAAAACTGACTTAGTTTTGGTAGAAATTATTTTTATACAGATTTTATTTATATAATACTTTAATGAATTCAAAATTTTAATAACAAAATATTAAAATAAATAGTTTGAATAGTGGTATAAAACAACAATAAAACAGACAATAGTCTATAACACAACTGATGTAAACGGAAGTGCCAATGTGGTTCAGGGAATAAAATTGTCTCTAGGTTATGAGTATTTGATATGTATAAGCATAAATCACTATGATTTACAGTGGGAAAATACAGAATCCACTAGTCCAGCAAGTGAGCAAAGGAGTTTTCTTGTACATTTACCCAAAGTAATTCATAATTTCTCTTAGATTAAAATAGTAAGTTTTAAAAGGAATCAAAATGGAGAGAAAATCCCAATGGTGAATTTGTGTTGGAAAAATATAAAATAGCATAGAATTAAGACTGGCTACAAATACACAAGAGGCAGAAATGGTCACCTCCTCAGAATATACACAAAAATAAATTCCAAGTGATTGAAGTAGAAGTAGACTTCTGTTTTCCAAGAACATAGGGAGCAAAGAACATAAAGGTTCCTCTTAGGCATTCTTTAAAGTCATTGGGAAACCAGAAATGACAGGGAACATAAAGAGATAAGTCAGTAATAAGAACATAAGCTGCAACTCTACTCTTGGGGATGTGCTAAATTTTGGGTTTTAATGCACCGAAAGAGGAGCAGAGAATGTAGGGCTCAGAATGGATCTGGAATGAGACCACCAATATAAAGTTGGGACCTCAAGAGCCTGCACTCAACCAAAAGGTTAAAAACAGAAAATAAAAACATAGGGAGAGGGATAGGGAGACTACAAGCACATTTATTGGCATAGGGAGAATACAAGGACATTTATTTTAGCATGGACTTTGAGTGGTTAAAAAAAGAAAAGAAAATCTCCATATTGGGCCTGTACATCATCTAGTTTGAAAGAGAAATTGCTGTAAAAATTGATCTTGTAACAGTTATGCTCTTGAGAATCATAGAATAAGAAAACACAAAATTAATATAAGAAAAGAAAACCAGGGGGGAGGAGCCAAGATGGCCAAATAGGAACAGCTCCAGTCTAGAGCTCCCAGCGGGAGCAATGCAGAAGATGGGTGATTTCTGCATTTCCAACTGAGGTACCGGGTTCATCTCACTGGAGAGTGCCAGACAGTAGGCGCAGGACAGTGGGTGCACCACACCATGCATGAGCCAAAGCAGGGCGAGGCATCACCTCACCCGGAAAGCACAAGGGGTCAGGGAATTCCCTTTCCTAGTCAAAGAAAGGGGTGACAGACGGCACCTGGAAAACCGGGTCACTCCCACCCTAATACTGCGCTTTTCCAATGGGCTTAAAAACCGGCACACCAGGAGATTATAACCTGCACCTGGCTCGGAGGGTCCTACCCCACGGAGTCTCGCTGATTGCTAGCACAGAAGTCTGAGATCAAACTGGAAGGCAGCAGCGAGGCTGGGGGAGGGGCGCCCACCATTGCCAAGTTAGTTGTTTTATTAGGTAAACAAAGCAGCCAGGAAGCTCGAACTGGGTGGAACCCACCACAGCTCAAGGAGGCCTGCCTGCCTCTGTAGGCTCCACCTCTGCAGGCAGGGCACAGACAAACAAAAAGACAGCAGTAACCTCTGCAGACTTAAATGTCCCTGTCTGACAGCTTTGAAGACAGTAGTGGTTCTCCCAGCATGCAGCTTGAGATCTGAGAACTGGCAGACTGCCTCCTCAGGTGGGTCCCTGACCCCCAAGTAGCCTAACTGGGAGGCACCCCCCAGAAGGGGCAGACTGAAATCTCACACAGCCAGGTACTCCTCTGAGACAAAACTTACAGAGGAACAATCAGGCAGCAGCATTTGCGGTTCACCAGTACACGCTGTTCTACAGCCACCGCTGCTGATACCCAGGCAAACAGGGTCTGGAGTGGACCTCTAGCAAACTCCAAAAGACCTGCAGCTGAGGGTCCTGTCTGTTAGAAGGAAAACTAACAAACAGAAAGGACATCCACACCAAAAACCCATCTGTACATCACCATCATCAAAGACCAAAGGTAAATAAAACCACAAAGATGGGGAAAAAACAGAGCAGAAAAACTGGAAACTAAAAATCAGAGCACCTCTCCTCCTCCAAAGGAATGCAGCTCCTCACCAGCAATGGAACAAAGCTGGACAGAGAATGACTTTGATGAGTTGAGAGAAGAAGTCTTCAGATGATCAAACTATTCTGAGCTACAGGAGGAAATTTGAATCAATGGCAAAGAAGTTAAAATCTTTGAAAAAAAATTAGATGAATGGATAACTAGAATAACCAATGCAGAGAAGTCCTTAAAGGACCTGATGGAGCTGAAAACCAAGGCACAAGAGCTACGTGATGAATGCAGAAGCCTCAGGAGCTGATGCAATCAACTGGAAGCAAGGGTATCAGTGACGGAAGATGAAAGGAATGAAATGAAGCGAGAAGAGAAGTTTAGAGAAAAAAGAATAAAAAGAAACAAACAAACAAAGCCTCCAAGAAATATGGGACTATAGAAAACACCAAATCTACGTCTGATTGGTGTACCTGAAAGTTATGGGGAGAATGGAACCAAGTTGGAAAACACTCTGCAGGATCTTATCCAGGAGAACTTCCCCAATCTAGCAAGGCAGGCCAACATTCAAATTCAGGAAATACAGAGAACGCCACAAAGATACTCCTCGAGAAGAGCAACTCCAAGACACATAATTGTCAGATTCAACAAAGTTGAAATGAAGGAAAAAATGTTAAGGGCAGCCAGAGACAAAGGTTGGGTAACCCACAAAGGGAAGCCCATCAGACTAACAGTGGATCTCTCCGTAGAAACTCTACAAGCCAGAAGAGAGTGGGGACCAATATTCAACATTCTTAAAGAAAAGAATTTTCAATCCAGAATTTCATATCCAGCCAAACTAAGCTTCATAAGTGAAGGAGAAATAAAATCCTTTACAGACAAGCAAATGCTGAGAGATTTTGACACCACCAGGCTGCCCTAAAAGAGCTCCTGAAGGAAGCACTAAACATGGAAAGGAACAGCCAGTACCAGCCACTGCAAAAACATGCCAAATTGTAAAGACCATCAAGGCTAGGAAAAAACTGCATCAACTAACGAGCAAAATAACCAGCTAACATCATAATGACAGAATCAAATTCACACATAACAATATTAACTTTAAATGTAAATGGCCTAAATGCTCCAATTAAAAGGCACAGACTGGCAAATTGGATAAAGAGTCAAGACCCATCAGTGTGCTGTGTTCAGGAAACCCATCTCACATGCAGAGACACACATAGGCTCAAAATAAAGGGATGGAGGAAGATCTACCAAGCAAATGGAAAACAAAAAAAAGGCAGGGGTTGCAATCCTAGTCTCTGATAAAACAGACTTTAAACCAACGAAGAGCAAAAGAGACAAAGAAAGCCATTACATAATGGTAAAGGGATCAATTCAACAAGAAGAGCTAACTATCCTAAATATATATACACCCAATACAGGAGCACCCAGATTCATAAAGCAAGTCCTTAGTGACCTACAAAGAGACTTAGACTCCCACACAATAATAATGGGAGACTTTAACACCCCACTGTCAACATTAGACAGATCAACGAGACAGAAAGTTAACAAGGATACCCAGGAATTGAACTCAACTCTGCACCAAGTTGACCTAATAGACATCTACAGAACTCTCCACCCCAAATCAACAGAATATACATTCTTTTCAGCACCACACCACACCTATTCCAAAATTGACCACATAGTTGGAAGTAAAGCACTCCTCAGCAAATGTAAAAGAACAGAAATTATAACAAACTGTCTCTCAGAACACAGTGCAATGAAACTAGGACTCAGGATTAAGAAACTCACTCAAAACCGCTCAACTACATGGAAACTGAACAACCTGCTCCTGAATGACTACTGGGTAAATAATGAAATGAAGGCAGAAATAAAGATGTTCTTTGAAAGGATCTAGAACTAGAAATACCATTTGACCCGGCCATCCCATTACTGGGTATATACCCAAAGGATTATAAATCATGCTGCTATAAAGACACATGCACACGTATGTTTATTGTGGCACTATTCACAATAGCAAAGACTTGGAACCAATCTAAATGTCCAAAAACAATAGACTGGATTAAGAAAATGTGGCACATATCCACCATGGAATACTATGCAGCCATAAAAAATGATGAGTTCATGTCCTTTGTAGGGACATGGATGAAACTGGAAACCATCATTCTTAGCAAACTATCGCAAGGACAAAAAACCAAACACGCATGTTCTCACTCATAGGTGGGAATTGAACAATGAGAAAACATGGACACAGGAAGGGGAACATCACACACCGGGGACTGTTGTGGGGTGGGGGGAGTGGGGAGGGATAGCATTAGGAGATATACTGTTGTGGGGTGGGTGCAGCACACCAACATGGCACATGTATACATATGTAACAAAGCTGCACGTTGTGTACATGTACCCTAAAACTTAAACTATAATAATAATAAAATAAAATAAAAAAGAACAGAAAACCAAATACCATGCATTCTACTTGAGGGTGGAAGGTAGGAGGGCAGTAAAGATAAAGAAAACCCTACCTATTAAGTATCTGGTGATAAAATAAGCTGTATACCAAGCCCCAGCAACACACAGTTTACCTATGTTAACAAATCTCTAAATGTACCCCGAAACAAAAATAAAAGTTAAAAAACACTTACCATAATTAAGACATATGGTCTTGATGCAAGAAATGAGAAAAAGAACAATGATGATAATGCAGAGCCTAGAATCTTCTCTTTGTACACACATTTCTTGAAAGACATTGATGGGGCAGTACTAACTGTTGGGGAGGGAATAGGGTAACCAATATAAGTGTGAGACATTTGGCTGCCCATGTAGTAAAAAGACAAGATTACTTCTCTACCTCACACAATACCACATATAAAAATTAACTAAAAGTAGATGCACCATTTGATCCAGCAATCCCACTACTGGGTATCTACCCGGAGGAAAAGAAGTCATTATATGAAAAGATGCTTGCACATGCATGTTCATAGCAGCACAATTTGCAATTGCAAAAATACGGAACCAGTCCAAATGCCCATCAATAAATGAGTGGACAAAGAAAGTGTGATATGCACATATAGTATGGAATACTACTGAGCCATAAAAAGGAACAAAATAATGGCATTTGCAGCAACCTGGATGGAATTGGAGACTATTATTCTAAGTGAAGTAACTCAGGAATGGAAAACCAAGCATTGTATGTTCTCACTCATATGTGGGAGCTCAGCTATGAGGATGCAAATGCATAAGAATGATACATTGGACTTTGGAGAATCAGGGGAAAGGGTTAGGGGTGGTGAGGGATAAAAGACTTTACATTGGATACAGTGTACAATGCTCGGGTTATGGGTGCACCAAAATCTCAGAAATCACCACTAAAGAAACTGTTCATGTAACCAAACACCACGTGATCCCCAAAAACCTATTGAAATAAAAAATTGAAAAATTAAAAAGAAAATAAACGATAGATAAATAGATAGAACTAAATGGGAAACCCAAATTTAAACCTACATGTGAAAGCCAAATTTTTTAATTGTTTAAAGAAAATATGGAAAAATATGTTTATGACATCTAGTAGTAAAGGATTACTTAAGACACACAGGACAAAAACATGAAGGAAATTATGAATACATTTGACTGCTAAATTTAATTCCTTTATTTGACAAAAGACATCATAAATAAATACCAAAACCATGGGTCGGGATAAAATATTTATAATGGCTAAAACCAGCAAAGAATTCATATGTAAAATATAATTTATATATAAAATCATAAATTAATAAGAAAAATATAAACAATAGAAGAATGGATGCAGGCTGTGAACAATTTACAAAAGATAATCCTGAATAACTTGAAATTTATAGAAGTAAAAAATGAGACATGTTTTCATAGATTTTCTATTCTTTCAGTTGAATATGAGGAATGTACAGGAAGACAATAAATAAGTATTGTCAACCTGCCATTTTAACTTAGAACCTGTTATTTTGCATCAATAATCTGAATATTTTTGCAAAGAATAGGATCATAGCACTGTCTACCTATCCAAGTATGAAGGCATACTTGGGATGCATATATACTCAAGCTGCTTTTACTTTCCATCTAGTCCTAAGATATTTATTGACTGTTTTAGCAATGTAATTTCTATAGAACTCATTGAAATATGAATGTTTCTCTCCTCACCATACCCTACATTCGAAGCAGCTAAGAATTGGGAAAAGCCAGAAAGATCTTTTTAAATGTCTCTTTTGTGTGTCTTGCAATTAAGGCTCATTCTCTGGGGACATTAAAAATTTGAATATAGAAAAAAAACATGTAAAAGTTTTTATACCTGAAGAAGCTGTGGAAGCAATGGAGCTGAGAACATTCTAAATTAGGAGATTAGGTTATATCCAGAGGAAGTGTTCTATGGAGGCCAAGAACAAATCTGAAAATTAAGTGAATGATGATAAAAGCTAAGGATAGGAGAGTAACTCCCTGATATTTTGTTTTTACAAACTGGCTTTTCAGGACTTATATACCATTTATTGTTGAAATATGGCAATTTTAAAAAACAATTTTTCTATTTAAAAATTTACTGAGTGGAAAGTTGTTCAAATTTGTCTTTCAGAGAATGGTTAGTGAGTTGGCTTAGGAATCAGACTATATGGCTTTAAATGCTATATTTGCTGTATGCCTATGGGCAAATTATATGAAGCCCTGCTGTTTGGATCTCCAGTTTTTAATTAATGTACTATAGTTCATCTGCTGCTAATTTTAATGCATGTGAAATACTAAATAGTCTCTTTTTAAGGGTTGGAATTAAAATGTGAAGAGAATGATATGAAACATCAAAGAAGATAACATGTGCTACCAATTTCATAGTTAATATGGCTGGACACTGAGCACATGTGTATTTCTGGGTGAATACACAGATTAGATTAAATCTGACCACTGATACTAACCACACACACACACACACACACACACACACATACACATGGAATCCTGGGTACACATTATTTGCATTCCTAAATACCAGGGAATAAAACCACTATACTAAAATTGACATTCCATATGTTCTTTCCTATTAACCAGAAATGAACATATTTTCCAACATAATTAAAGCATGATCAGAACTACAAAATGTGGGGTATACATTTAAAAATGATTTTAGCATTAGGTATATCTCCTAAAGCTATCCCTCCCCCTCCCCCCACCCCACAACAGTCCCCAGAGTGTGATGTTCCCCTTCCTGTGTCCATGTGTTCTCATTGTTCAATTCCCACCTATGAGTAAGAATATGCGGTGTTTGGTTTTTTGTTCTTGTGATAGTTTACTGAGAATGATTTCCAATTTCATCCATGTCCCTACAAAGGACATGAACTCATCCTTTTTTATGGCTGCATAGTATTCCATGGTGTATATGTGTCACATTTTCTTGATCCAGTCTATCATTGTTAGACATTTGGGGTGGTTCCAAGTCTTTGCTATTGTGAATAGTGCCGCAATAAACATACGTGTGCATGTGTCTTTATAGCAGCATGATTTATAATCCTTTGGGTATATACCCAGTAATGGGATGGCCGGGTCAAATGGTATTTCTAGTTCTAGATCCCTGAGGAATCGCTACACTGACTTCCACAATGGTTGAACTAGTTTACAGTCCCATCAACAGTGTAAAAGTGTTCCTATTTCTCCACATCCTCTCCAGCACCTGTTGTTTCCTGACTTTTTAATGATTGCCATTCTAACTGGTGTGAGATGGTATCTCATTGTGCTTTTGATTTGCATTTCTCTGGTGGCCAGTGATGGTGAGCATTTTTTCATGTGTTTTTTGGCTGCATAAATGTCTTCTTTGAGAAGTGTCTGTTCATGTCCTTTGCCCACTTTTGGATGGGGTTGTTTGTTTTTTTCTTGTAAATTTGTTTGAGTTCATTGTAGATTCTGGATATTAGTCCTTTGTCAGATGAGTAGGTTGCGAAAATTTTCTCCCATTTTGTAGGTTGCCTGTTCACTCTGATGGTAGTTTGTTTTGCTGTGCACAAGCTCTTTAGTTTAATTAGATCCCATTTGTCAATTTTGGCTTTTGTTGCCATAGCTTTTGGTGCTTTAGACATGAAGTCCTTGTCCATGCCTATGTCCTGAATGTTAATGCCTAGGTTTTCTTCTAGGGTTTTTATGGTTTTAGGTCTAACATTTAAGTCTTTAATCCATCTTGAATTAATTTTTGTATAAGGTGTAAGGAAGGGATCCAGTTTCAGCTTTCTACATATGGCTAGCCAGTTTGCCCAGCACCATTTAGTAAATAGGGAATCCTTTCCCCATTACTTATTTTTCTCAGGTTTGTCAAAGATCAGATAGTTGTAGATATGCGGCGTTATTTCTGAGGGCTCTGTTCTGTTCCATTGATCTATATATCTGTTTTGGTACCAGTACCATGCTGTTTTGGTTACTGTAGCCTTGTAGTATAGTTTGAAGTCAGGTAGCGTGATGCCTCCAGCTTCGTTCTTTTGGCTTAGGATTGACTTGGTGACGCAGGCTCTTTTTTGGTTCCATATGAACTTTAAAGTAGTTTTTTCCAACTCTGGGAAGAAAGTCATTGGTAGCTTGATGGGGATGGTATTGAATCTATAAATTACCTTGGGCAGTATGGCCATTTTCATGATATTGATTCTTCCTACCCATGAGCATGGAATGTTCTTCCATTTGTTTGCATCCTCTTTTATTTCATTGAGCAGTGGTTTGTAGTTCTCCTTGAAGAGGTCCTTCACATCCCTTGTAAGTTGGATTCCTAGGTATTTTATTCTCTTTGAAGCAATTGTGAATGGGAGTTCACTCATGATTTGGCTCTCTGTTTGTCTGTTGTTGGTGTATAAGAATGCTTGTGATTTTTTACATTGATTTTGTATCCTGAGACTTTGCTGAAGTTGTTTATCAGCTTAAGGAGATTTTGGGTTGAGACAATGGGGTTTTCTAGATATACAATCATGTCATCTGCAAACAGGGACAATTTGACTTTCTCTTTTCCTAATTGAATACCCTTTATTTCCTTCTCCTGCCTCATTGCCCTGGCCAGAACTTCCAACAGTATGTTGAATAGGAGTGGTGAGAGAGGGCATCCCTGTCTTGTGCCAGTTTTCAAGGGGAATGCTTCCAGTTTTCCAGTTTTTGCCCATTCAGTATGATATTGGCTGTGGGTTTGTCATAGATAGCTCTTATTATTTTGAGATACTTCCCATCAATACCTAATTTATTGAGAATTTGCAGCACACCAGCATGGCACATGTATACATATGTAACTAACCTGCACATTGTGCACATGTACCCTAAAACTTAAAGTATAATAATAATAAAATAAAAAAAAAGTTGTAGATCACTATTCTAACATATCAAGCAAGAAAATATTATGCTTGGGAAAGTTTCTTGAAGTGGAATGAGGTATTATGCAAAATGAAGATGAATGAGATTTGGTTATCAAAATGCTAACCATCAACACCTACCTGCCAATCAAAATGTATTGGTAACTTATTTTAAATTTCAGATAAAAAATTATATATATTCTAATGAATCCAAAATAAGTATAAAAAGATAAATAGTATATCCAGAGAAATTAATTATGTAAAAGAATTTTCTGTCTCAGATTATACATCAAAGATATGGTCATGTCTGTTTTACTTACTTCGTATAATATTATGTCACATATGTAAATTGATAGCTCTATTAAAACTGTAAAAAATATTTTAAAAAATCATTTTATACTGAAACATTCTAAAACAAAGCTTTTCAATTTACAGATGAAAAAACTGAGTATCACAGGTGTTAGTGACAAAGCAGGGCTAAAACATTAGTGTCAACTCTGTGTCCAATATTTTTCTCAACCCATAATTTAGTAATGACTTTTCCAGTTGTGTTTAGTGTATTTAAAATCACATTCATGTGGCTAGTTAAAAGAAACAGCTTTTAATTATGGAGGAAATTACTGAAAGTATGTATTGCACATAAACTTTGTGCCCAACACTCAGCTAGAAATTATGGCAAGATGTGTAGTGTAGTGTTTAAGTGTGGCAATTTTAATGAAGAGAGCTGGGAGTGCTTTTGCAAAAGATGACTAAGTAGAAAACAATGTGTGATATCTCACATTTTCAAATAGTGTTGTCATTAAAAGTAAAGGGTCTGAACTCAAGCTGATTGAGTTCCAATATAGGTTCTACTAATTCCCAGCTATGAAACTTTGGTCAAGTTATTTTACCTCCCTTAGCCTCAGTTTTCTCATGTTGTAAAACAAAGTTTTCACCTTCCTCCAAAGGTTGTTATGAGGATAAAATGGCATAAAGTAGTCAAAGCCCTTGTGGGCCAGAGCCTAACAGGAAGTAAGTGGTTAATAAATATATTATCATCATTATTATTATCATTCAAATGGTGTTAAAGTCCAGCAGTTCTTCCTGAAATGTGAAAAACTCCGGAGATGTTTTCTCCTTGGCTATTAGTTTATGGTCACAAATAATGTGTTTAGATTTTTCTGTATCTGTTCATAAAGTTAGGCAAAAACATATCATGGGATTATTATGTGATTAAAATAAGATAGTCTATGTACAGTGCCTAGCAAAGTACCTTGTGCTTGATAAATCTTAGGCCCCACCCTTTCTCCCTCACAAAGAATAGGTTCTAGATATTTCTGTGAACAGGCAAAGATAGGAATATTTTCCCCAAATAAAGTGCTTAAAACAGGTACGGTGGACATTAGAGACAAGTCAAAGAGAAAAATTATAGTAACTTTTGACAAGTTGGATACTGGAGATGAAGGGAGAGAAGACTTAAGAAGGCTAAGGTTTTCTGAGACCAGAATAAAAGAACAAGTCACAGAAATGAGGAGCTGGCTAAAATGGTTAGTTACCTTGTTGAAGACGAAAGTGAAGAGGATGGTTTGAAGTGAAATATAGAGAGATAATTTTTAAAATTTAACATCTCGTAATTCTGTAAGCATGTCAGATAGAGCTACCAGCTAAGAAGTTAAATAGACTCCAAAATTCTGTCATGATTAGCAAGAGAGATCAGAGATGTTCCCTAAATCGACAAAGTCTGTGACAGAAGTTTAATTATAAATTACGTATCTGTTCTGAAGGGCAGGTAATACAAAAGAATTAAGGGTAGCAGACCCACCAAGAGCAAAAGGACCCAGAAAGAGACAGCAGAATAACAGCAAACTCATTGGTTCTGCATAATTTAGCCAAGAGTCTTCCATAGAAATGTGTTATTAAAGCAACTGAGCTCTGAAACTTTGATCAACTGAGCTCTGAAACCAATTTCATTAATGGGATTCTCCCCACACTAAGAATATTGGAAGCCATATACAATAGGTTGAATTGCATTCCCCTAAAATGTGACCCTATTTGGAAGTAGAATTGTTGTAGATATTAATTAGTTAAGGTAAAATGCAGTCATACTGGACTAGGGTAGCCCCTCATCCAGTATGACTGGTTTCCTTATAAAAAGGGGAAAGTAGGACACAGATAAGCAAATGTGGAAGACACCATGTGAAGATGACATCAGAAACTGAAGTGACACTTCTACAAATCAAGGAACGACAGATTGTTAACAAACCACCAAATGCTAGGAAAGAGGCATGAAACAGATTCTCTGTCACAGCCCTCAGAAGGAACTGACCCTGCTGACACCTTGGTCTCAAACTTCTATCCTCTAGAACATTGAGACAACACAGTTCTGTTGTCTAAGCCACCCAATTTGGTTATTGCAGCACCAGCAAACTAATACACATTACATTTCTCTGGCAATATCCCACTGTTGACTATCATTGCTACACGTTACAGAGAACTTTATGTCTTTTCTTAAAAAGAAGAATTCTTTGATGCAACAAGAAGAATTCAAAGAATACTTAAGAATAGATTTTGGGGGGTTTAAGGGAGGCCTATTAAAGCTGAGAAGCAAGTGATGCTGATATGGATCTGCATCGCCACCAAATCTCACATCAAATTGTAATCTCTAATGTTGAAGGTGGGGTCTAGTGGGTGGCTGGACCATGGGGACAGTTTCTCCTGAATGGTTTAACATCATCCCCCTTGGTGCTGTCATCAAAATAGTGAGTTCTCATGAGATCTGGTTGTTTAAGGTGTGTGGCACCTTACCCCTCTCTCTTTCTCCTGCTCTATTATGTGAAGTGCTGGCTTCCCTTTTGCCTTCTGCCATTATGGTAAGTTTCCTGAGGCCTCTCTGGAAGCTGAGCAGAAGCCACTATGCCTCCTATACAGCCTGCAGAATTGTGAGCCAATTAAACCTCCTTTATTTATAAATTACCCAGTCTCAGGTATTTCTTTATTTCAGTGTGAGAACAGACTCATACAGATACACAAATGAATTGCCTATGTCCAGTGAATATGACGTAAAAGAATAGGAGGAATACAAAGATGTCAGGCTTATTAATTTCACACAAGTAAAAGAACATTGTCAGCTTGTTGTATGTCACAATAAAAACTAATGCATATAGTTAAATTTGCAGAGTACACACGTAGAGAATCGGAGTTGACTATTTTGTTTTATTGTAGAGTCCAAATATTTTACGTATTCTAAAGAGCCCATAAAAATAACAGAACAGTAAATGACTTTAGACAGCATCTCATCTTGTAAACGTGGAACTGAGAGCAAGGAAGAGTAAGTGGCAGTCACAGCACTAGCCAAAGTCAGAGGCCTTGTGTCATACAGACTGAGAAGAGGTTGAAGCCCTTGGATTGAGTCAGAATCTCTGTCCCTAGACCTTGCTCGGTGTCCTTAGGTTGCTTGTTCAAAGCATGGTCCCTGAAGCCAATCATGCCAAGAATGTTTATGAAGCTAGCTATTCCCACAGAAACTCTGATTTGGCCTCATAAGCTACTGAGTCATTATGACTCAAGAATTTAGCTAGTTTGTGCCATTCTTTTTGGTTCCTGACCTAATTATGGAAATGCCGAGCTTGAGCTGTGAGAGCTTCTTGTGCTAATAAAAATAGATTCACAGACATGGTGAATTCACAGACATTGGGAAGGAGCAAAATCTGGGAAGTCATCTCATTATTCATTGTATTTGCCCCCTTCCCACTTTCCTCTTATCATCCCCTGAAGATCAAAAAGTGCAGATTGAAAATATCTTAGAAAGAGTCAGACTCCTTTGATTTACAAAAAGGAGACTGAGACTCACAGTAATTGTGCCTTGCCTATGGTTACACAATGAGTTTATAGAAAAACTGGGCTAGACCAAGTTTCCCAGATTCCAAGTTCAGCTTTCTTGAAATAACACTACTCTGCCATCCCAGGGGAGACTTTTTTCCATATATACTGTGTGTGCATATGTGTGTGTGTGTGTGTGCGCGTGTGTATTCAACATTAAGTGAAACAAGCATTCCTGCCTTGCTATTGATTGAATTGATATTGTTAACTCTTACATGTGAAGTATAGATGATAAACAATGGACAAGTCATGCTACAAGTTTGTCCAACCCCTGACCCCTTTATGCATTTTATTATTATAGCCCTAGTATACAGAGGAAATTGATTCTTTTCCAATCACTTTCATTCAAGGATATTATATTTCTGTATAAAAGCTTTGGTGGACTGATAGTTTCCATGAAAACATACAAATGAATATAATAGATAGACCTGTGCCAAACACACATTTATGGCGTGTTCTCAAAGTACTCTAAAAGTAAAGTAATTCTTTTGGGACTAGCCAAAGCATATTTTTAAATACTCTGTGCCAAGATCTCTGCAATTCAGCTACTAACTGACAATAGTTGGCAGTCTTGAGTTCATTCAATCCATGTGTACAAGAGCCTCACTTTCAATATAATGGCTGGCTCAATCCTATGGTTGTAGTACTAGCGAGAATTACTCTGAAGTTAATAGGTCATAGTCTTCTTAGCATGGAGTGAAATACAAACAATCAACAGAGTTTACTGAACTCTTAAATGGCTAATTTGGGCCGGGCACACTGGCTCATGCTTGTAATCCCAGTACTTTGGGAGGCCAAGGCAGGTAGATCACTTGAGGCCAGGAGTCTGAGACCAGCCTGGCCAATATGGTAGAACCCCATCTCTACTAAAAATACAAAAATGAGCCATGTGTGGTGGTGCGTACCTGTAATGCCAGCTACTCAGGAGGTTGAGGCAGGAGAATCACTTGAACCTGGGAGTTGGAGGTTGCAGTCAGCTGAGATCACACCACTGCATTCCAGCCTGGGTGACAGAGAAAGATTCTGTCTCAGATAATAATAATAAATAAATAATAAAATTAAATGGCTTCAAATTTATTTTTCAGATGACTTGTCTAAATTACTCAACGTGTAGATCATAAACTTTGAGTCATAAGGCGCAGTCCTATAGTTTTATTAACTCCTTTTATTCTAATTGTTGTTCTGTCACAAGTCTGCACTTCAATTAGCTTGTAAAGGATTAATTGATAACCTCACAAAGTGCAGACATCAAAAGAAAAAAAGAAAACCAAATTCTGCATGGCAGTTTAGGCCATAACATAATCAAGCTAAAAGTCCTACTATTTATAAAATCTGATCCTAGTTTAAATGAAACCAATACATTCTCATTAATAATAAGTTTTTTTCTTAGCATCTTCTTTTTTCCAATATGCCTATCAAGAAAAACATTAATTTCAGTTGGTACATGGGATTTGCTGTTCATGGTCAGACCTATTTCTGTTCTTCATTTTTAGATTTCTCCATCTACTTTCAGATGCCTGAAAATTTTAGAGAAACAAAACTTTTCATTTTATAAGCAGAGACTAAGAAGGAAAAATACACATGAACATGCTAGGCAATTCCATAAGTGTTAAATGTATGAACGGTACCTCTAAAGGAAATAATTTCCACACAAATAGTTGCAACTTATTTGCTAAAACCATTCCATTTTACTGAATTTGAATTCAAATGGAACTATCTGAATATTCCTCACTAAAAATCTGAGTACACATATTGTCTTGTCACTATGTTTTTAGGGATACTTTTCAGGGATGGTGATTGGAAGCTTAACGCTTGACATAGAGTACAAAGGTGTGAAACCCTCCATTCACACAGGGAAGGATCCTGCTATCGCAGGAACAGAACATGTGGAAATCTGGTTCCAAATTCCACCTGACAACCAGCATAACAGCAATAGAGCTACAGTTTCCAGAAAGAATCATTTCTATTTCCAATATTAACAATTTTTGAGCTGAATTCTTCTCTACCACATTTAAATAAGACAGTTCCTCAATAAAGGGGCAGCAGTTAACCTAGAAGAAAGAATATATTTGAAAAATATTCTGGCCTTTAAAATGTCTAATAAAAAATATTTCTTTCCCTCTAAAACATCAAATAACAATACTCAAAATTATTCATGGTATTTCTGTATGTCTGATTTCACTACACACATTTTTTTTAACTAATTGTGTCTTGCCTAAAATTCTAGAAGCCAGACCCTGTCTAGAATGGACAATTCCAATCTCAGCAGGATTCTCTTTCCTGAGAGGGAAAAAATATTCCTTGTCATTCTTGTCTCAGATTGGAGGAAAGTGGCCAGGAATTTTCATAGGTAGACTTCTTTGGTCAAGTTGCTAAATTTCTGGAATCAAAATAGGCCTTCACTGGGATGGGTTGTGAAAGTGATGTTTGTTCAGTTCTTACATTTGGGGGTAAGTAGATGCCCTGAGTAGAAAATGTGAATGTCTGTCCAAGAGATGTGGGAGTGCCTGTTACCACTTCCTTTCCACAGCATTTCTCTCACTGGCTTGCTGCATCTGGAATTTCTCGGCTTCTTTATGAAAATGTTGATGTTTATTCAGACTTTCTGAAACTTCACAATGATAGTCAGATGTCTGTGGCCACCTAGGTCACTGAATGGGAGGCTGGCAGCTCTGGAGACCACTGAGGCTGGCACCTGCAACACATCTCCAGAGATGTAAAAGCAGACTGGTCAAAGTCAAGTCCAGAGAGATGATGTGTGAATGTTTAGTCTGAGGCATTTTTTATCCGAGTCTCTTTTTTTTGACAACTTAAACTCACCCTTCTAAGTTCGTTGGTCTGACTTAGTTCTTACAAAATGAAGTATAAACTATTTTTCTTTCTTGGCCTGGCAAAAAAAGTAAGACTCTTTTCCGATATGAATATGAAGGGAAGTTGTGAGAAACTTAGGACAGCTGAAATTAGTGAAGTGATTGTACCTTTTAGGAAGACAAACAATTCATTCAAAATGCACTGCAAGTTATAGAACTGCAATTAAATATGCATCACATTTACACATTTTATTCTAATATCCCAGGGCACTCCAATCCCAACCTTCTCACCATGATTCCTGAACAAAGGGGACAACTGTGTGGTAAAGGATAAATGGAGAAAGAAACACTTACAATTGGTCTGAGGATTGCTATGGTTTATCCCACTGTACCTGGATGAGTTTCTCATTAAACTGCAGTTTATTTTGTTGCAGAATTAGGTAAGGTGAAAATGAAGCTGAAAATCAATCAAGTATTTTTTTCACACCTGTGCTTCTACAACTACAGTAGAGTTGAAGAATATAGAGATGTAGGCATTTCAACATAATGATTCAGGATGACCCTCTGTGAGCACAGGAACAGCCACACAGACTAGTTCATCTTTTCAAAGCAAGGGGAAAGGACAGTCTCTGAAAGGGAAAGTCTACCATGGAATTCATTTTGCAATTCAGGGAGTATTTGGGGAACCAAAGATGTAAAAAGACATTTTGACTTATTCAACCTTTTGGTATTCCATTAAAGTTAAAACATACAATCTGTTTGCTGAAAGATATTTCTAACTTATTGAATATCAGCCCATCAAGGAAGAATATGGCAGGAAACGTCTTACAGTTGCTTACAATGGGCAGCAGCCAAGACTAAACATTCATTATTATGGGGTAAACCTTTGTATATCTAAGCACACAATTTTTCAGATAGAATGCATATATAGACTTAGCATCTGGAAAATTTCTAATAATCTCCAATCTGGGTTCATTTTTTAATGGTAGACTAACCACAGCTATGGAAATGCTTGGACTGCACTTCCACAAGGATATTTTGGGCCAAGTAAGGTTGGCGGTATAGGGACTTCATTTCAGAACTTGGCAGTGCTTCTCCTAACTAGCAGGTGTTGGAACTAATAACAGAATCAAGTGGGTAATAATCAGCAGAACATTTATAAATGAAGGCAACAGAGCTCCACTGTTCTCACTGGTGTGCCTGATAAAATGCAAAGTCCCTGGATACATTCATTTCTGCCCATGTTTTATTTGCTTGGAAAAATGTTTGATATGTGAAGACATGTTTACAAGATTTTATCTGTTCTCAAAATATCAATATAATTTACTCAATTACTCTGAGAAAAAAAGAAAATCTCAACTTATCTGTACTACGCTTCGCCAGAGAAACAGAATCAATAGAATGTACACACACACACACACACACACACACACACACACACAGAGAGAAAGAGAGAGAGAGAGAGAGACAAGCATGCATAAAGACAGAGACTGTGGTAAGTCTGAAATCTGCACAGCAGAATGGCAGCCTGGAAATTTTGGCAGGAGTTGATGTCATACTCTTGATTCTTACGACAGTCTTGAAGGAGAATTCCTTCCTCTTTGTGAGACCTCAGTCTATTCTCTTGAGACCTTTAACTGATTGAATGAGGCCCACCCACAGTGCAAAAGGTAATATACTTTTCTCTAAGTCTATTTGTTGATTTAACTGTTAGTAACGTATAAAATATATCTTCACAGCAACATCTAAGCTAATGTTTGACCAAACAAGTGGGCAACATGGTCTAGCCAAGTCGACACATAAAATTAGCTGACTGTGAGCAAAACACCCTATCCCAAAATATGGCACCTTGGAGGTCACTTTCTGTGTGACTTCTCCTACCTTGCTGTGTAAGAGCTGTTCATAAAAATTCTCTGACCTTCCTCCCCTAAAAGTAGGTCATAAGAATTTCATGTGACAGATGTCCTGCCCTACACCCGTGGGGGAAGAAATGTCATACCGTTAAACAGAAAATAATCTTAACAAATAGAACTTGCTGAACCTCCCCTTCCCCTAGTTTATTACTGTTAGATCATCCTCTTTTTTTGTCCATTCATATTTCTCCACAATTATCCACTTCTTTCATCAGATTTAGCCTAAAATTACAGTTTTTCCCGGGTCTTCGGGTCTTCATTTCTGAAGCCTCCTATATCACATTTACTTTGGTCAAATAAACATGGTACCTTTTTCTCTTGTCAATCTGTCTTTTATTACAGGTGTGTGTGATGGTTAATACTGTGTGTCAACTTGATTGGATTGAAGGTTACACAGTACTGATACTGGGTGTGTCTGTGGGGGTGTTGCCAAAAGAGATTAACATTTGACTCAGTGGGCTGGGAAAGGCCGATCCACCCTTAATCTGGATGGGCACAATCTAATCAGTTGCCAGCTTGGCTAGAATATAAACAGGAAGAAAAATGTGAAAACAGAGACTGGCCTAGCCTCCAAGCCCACATCTTTATCCCGTGCTGGATCCTTCCTGCCCTCGAACATCGGAATCCATGTTCTTCAGTTTTGGAAATAGAACTGACTCTCCTTGTTCCTCAGCCTGCAGATGGCTTATTGTGGGACCTCGTGATCATGTGAGTCAATACTTAATTTTATATATATATATATGTCCCATTAGTTCTGTCTCTCTAGAGAACCCTGACTAATACAGGGTGTCAGGCATGAATTTTTCAACTGGTGAGAAAAAGATGTCACTTACTTTCCCTACATAACCACCACAGCATCTTATGCATAATTCACATTTTTATCACTTAAATATGCTCAAATGGGTTTGTGGAAAACTATAAACCTACAAAACTATAAAGTATGAACTATAAGTTTATCATAAATTATTTCAATCTCATGCTTCTAGTTTTCATTTGCCCCTTTATCTGAATTTTGCCCATGAAAAATGTTATTTGGAAATTATTATACTTAAGCCTGTAGATCCGCCAATGTATGGCAAAGCTACTTGAAATCTAAATCAACATTGTATATAAATTTTGTAATATAGTAAGGAAATAAAGAATTAAAATTTTTCACTGAAATGATGTGCAGTGTGGAAATAATATTGATACTCAGCACAAATTCAATTATAGATTTTTAGGTTAAACTTGACTATCTCTCTCTGAAAAGTCAGACTTTGATGGATGAGAAGTTTATGGAGAAAGTAATAACTTCTGGAGGAAGAGGTAACATCCCTGAGTGAGCAGAATCTGCCAATTTAACCATGAAAATCAATAATAAGCAAATACTGCAACCAGAAGACAACCTGGTAGTTTATTTAAATATAATCTCTTGTTATGACATAACCCCCAGGAGGTTTCTGACAAGAAAGAGATTCATGTTATATAGTCATTCACATATATAGAATATTAAAAAATCATACTAAACTTTATTTCTAACCTTTTCCCAATGACTCACCATTAATTGAGAACCCGCTTCAGATAATCACCTAGCAGTTTACCGAGGCTCTGGTTTTTCATCTGTGCTTTCCACTCTCAGTCCAGTTCTCTTGATCACTTCTCTCCATCCCACTCCTTCCCAGGATCCTGGCTTTACCTTCATAGAAGAGCATCTATAAGACAGGCCTTTCCCTTGCCAATTAGTTACACTTTTCATACATAGAATTATGCCAAAAATCTCTGTCTCTAGACTTTTTAAATGAAATACTCCCACTCTCACTCCAACTGGAAAGCAAAAGAGAAAACCCTACCCTTTTGCATAAGCTGAAAAATCCATCTTCTAGGGGCCTAAAGATGAACAGCATATCAAGATGAATCTGTTGCTACTCAACTGATGGATATTAGTATTATCATTAAGCTGTAGCAAGACCCAGGTTTCTCAATGTTTGGAGCAAGATGTTTTCTGTCTTCTGTATTATTTTCCAACAATTTCAAATAAGAAAAAAGGAAGAAGCTGAGTTGCTTAGCACTAGCAATCCAAAGGCCTTTCTTTCTTTTTTTTCTGGGACTGATTAGGAGTGAGTCAAGTGGACATCCAAAGACCACTGAATTAAAAAAAAAAAAGCAGCAAAGTATATCCTTCTGGCACTTGTTTCACAGAAAGGTTTTATTTCACACCTGATGTTTTCGGTATTCTACGATCAGTCATTCATGACCAAAAGTCTTTGGTCTGGAAAGGTAATCAAATAAAAAATACTTATTGAGTTCCTCTGTGTTTCCAGCTTCATAAAGCTCACCTTATTAAGAAAGAAGTAAAAATTTCAAGAAAGCACAAAGAAAATGGGATAAAAAAGTAAAGCATCTTTAAGATTAGGACACACCCGTTTCTGCTATTTTATTTTTACTTTGCCAAAACATTTGCTTTCATGTGGCTGACTCTGTGATGCCTATTGGCTTTTAGGAGGATGAACATCTTGCATCTTTGATACTTTAGCACTGTGGCCTCAAACTTTTTGATTGCATATAGCCCTATCAATAAAATTTTTGAGAATATACCTTCAGTGTATGTATATTTATTTATAAATTACACAACTGTAGCATTTTCATAACATATTATGTATATTATGAAACTACATAAAAATAGAATTCACAAAAGATAAAATATTTAAGTTGAAGTACTGATATCTCTTCCTGCACCCTTGCAAATCATTTTTTACCTCACAGAGTACACAGCACCCCATACCTTCTACTTTGCAAACCATTGCTTCAGCAAAGACTCCTTTTCTACTGGCTCTTTACACCCAGGGAATGTTATTTATTTTTAATTTTAAGAAAACCCTGCACCTAAAATCTGCAGCTTTGCATCTTTCTATCCCTCACTCTTCTCTGCTGAAGAGCCATGTGACTTCAATTTCATTCTTCCAACTACCCATAAATCTTTGCCACCACCAAAATTCTGAATATACTCTTGTTTGTACACCAAATGGATGGATATATACTTCAGTCTGTCTCCTTAACCATGTTGCAGCACTAGATACTATTAACTACAATCTCCTTGAAGCGCTCTTTTTTTTCTTGATTTATGCCTCAGTGCAAGGTTACCAGCTGCTGGTAATCCAAACCACTCGAGGTAGTTCAAGGAATAGAACCCAGAAGTAGCGATCTCTCTGGACCTTTGAAGGACTGGAACCAAAAATGATAACCTGAAATTTGTTTCTTTTGTTAAGCACCCTATGCCCGTTGAATCTGTCATAACTTCTCAGATCAGTTTCAGTCGTCTGTCTGGAAACAGATTTTCTCTGCTTTTGCACTGCATGGCTGCCCTGACCCTGTCCTGATTTACATGGCTTCCAGTTCCAAAACTCAGTAAAAGAACTGGAGTCTCCCTTTACAGTTACATCCATCAAGAAGAGGGAATCTGATTGTCTCAGCTTGCATCTTCTGTCAAGTTCTGGCCTCTGGTCAGCTGTAGCCAATAGTTTGGGAGTTTTTCAAGGGAACTGACTTGAATTGTGTGTTCCCTAACATGACGACAGGGAGAACATGATTTGCACCTCTGGAGCAGCTTCTGTGGCTCCCTTCCCTATGATTGCCTCCCCTTCATGACTTTTCTTCTTAGACTCTTACACGTGTTCGTCTTCTTCTAACTAGTCCTTTAGTAGGGGTATTTCCCTCAAGGTTCTGTCCCTGGCCCTTTCTCCACTCTGCATAATCATTCCAAACACCTGACTTCTGCAACTACCCAACACGGACAACTTCCGTACTTGTCTCTTCAGATCTGCAGTCTGTCCTGAGCTCAAGTCACATGCTACACCTGCCTGCTGTCTCTCTGCCTGATGTCCTCATCCACCACGAGCCCAGCATGTCCAGGCTGATTTCACCATATTCATCCCCACCACTGGTCTTCCCACTTACCCTTGGCTTACCACTAGCAGACCCAAAACCTGGTAGGCATCTAATTAGACTGCTGTTTTTGTCTGTATTACATTTTGGCTCTTACTTGAAATTTCATTTGAAATGCAAATCTCAGTTGCTTAAAAAACATGTTAAAACATCAAGTATTTAAAATCTTTCTGCTTAAATAGCAATCAATAATATTGATTGTTAACTCTTTATCATAAATGACTTTAGCTTATATCTTTCCAAATAACAAATGGCTGTGGTCAGGGCACCAGGTCATTGTGGAAAGTGATGCTGGAGAATGCCTTGGAAAGCCATGGAACATTATCTCTCATTTATTATTCACCCCCACCATAGGAAGTAAGCACTATAATTATATTAATTTTACAGGTAAAGAAAGATGCTGATATGTACAGTTTGAATAAACTGTGCAATGTTATAGATCTAGAAAGAGGCCGAGCCAGGCTTTTAACCCATATTGCAGAGCCCAGCCTCCTAATGATTACAATATGCTTCCTCTTTCTGTGCTACAGAAGTTAGCATTTGATTAAGAAAATAAGCTTGGAAGTCAAATAATACTGGTATGAATCACTGCTCACCTACTTGGGCTACTCACAAAACATCTCCATGTTTCCTCATTTGCAAAATGGGAGGATAATAGAGCTCTTGGAGGGCTTTACTGAGTAAAAAAGCATGATGGAAATGGAGTGGAGAACACAGAGCCTTCCACACAGTTAATTTTCAATAAATATTACCTTTTAGTCTAAATGTTGACATGTGGTAGATGGATGAATAGTATGAGTCACAACCTCTGCTCAGCCACTGTGTTAGCCAGGGTTCTCCAGAGAAATAGAATCAAAAGGATATATAGAGATAGGTAAAAAGAGGCTTATTTTGAGGGATTGGCTCACACAGTTATGGGGGCCGAGAAGTCCCATGACCTGCCATCTGCAAGCTGAAACCCCAGGAGAGCTGATGCTGTAGTTTCAGTCCAAGGCTGAGGCCTGAGCACAAGAAAGTCACTGATACAAGTCTTAGTCTGAGTTCAAAATCCTGAAAACCAGAAGCACCAATGTCTAATGAGAGAAGATGATGAATGTCCGTGCTAAAGGAGAAAGAGCATTTGCCTTTGTTCTGCCATTTTGTTCTATTTGGGCCTTCAGTGGATTGCATGATGCCTACCTGCGTGGGTGAGACTGACCTTCTTTACTCAGTCTACTAATACAAAGACTAATCTCTCTTGGAAACACCCTCACAGTCATGCTCAGAAGTAATTTTTTACCAGCTATCTGGGTATCTCTTAGAGCAGTCAAGTTGACACATAAAATTAATGATCACAACCACTAACACTTTGGATTACTTTGGGCAACGTTCTTTAATCTCCAGGTAATCACATTCTAAAAGAAGATGCCAATTCTATAAAATAAGGTTTCTAGTGAGGAAATATCAGTCAATGTGACAGGCAGAAGGGTCTTCAACCTAGATATGATACAAAACAGGCATTGATGGATATTATTTCCTTTTCCCATTCAGATGGCAATGTAAAAAACAGCAGAAGCTAGTCATAGGACCATTATGAGACCCCGAAATTCAATTGGGCAACATGTGGAATTGAATTTATTAAATAACTGTGGTATTGCTACAAGCATAATGAAATGACAGTAAGCCAGCTGGGAATACCAGGAAAATGAGTTACTCAATTCAAACCCATTCAGATCACCCTAAAAAGTGATGGTTAGCCATGCCAGTTTAAACATAGAAAGCACTCAGAATATTTGTGGTTAATTAGAAATTTCAGGATAGTGACAGCATTTCAAGAATCTCCCAATTGTTTGGTCACAGTTTTGTGGGCTCAAACCCAAGACACTACTACAGGAGAATATTGGAGTGCAGATGTCCATCCTCCACCTCTTCAGTTCTTAAGATTGATTTCCCCTGAAACTGCAGAACCAGTGTGGTCCTCTCCTAATATTCATTCCTTCTCCCCTCCAATTTGATTAAGTAAATCAAATTGGGCTATAGAACGCTGATCTCCAAGTAAGGTGGATTAAATCTGATTAGTGTAGCATAACCAACTCTTCTGAAGTGATAGGTCCAGAATAGGCTCTCAATTTTATAGGAATATTTAATTCAGATTTTCCTTGCCGGGAGAAAAAGAGAACATGAACATCCCCTCAAAACTCTTTCCAGGAATGTTATAAAATATTGTACTATCCAACTCTTTAATCAAATGATAGTAGCATTCAAAACATCCTGTACTTCAACATTTTTGTCTAGATCTTTGCCTATGTTACCCAAATGACACCCTTTTTACAAATTCAGTGCAGTGTAGGGGACCACTCTATAGAGCCAGGACACAGACTTTCCATCCAAAAGCCACAACTGTGGGGGGTAGGGGGGTGGGGGGTCATGAAGACATTTCTGACCAGAACTACTAAGTGCTGACCTAATAGCCTTTTTCCCCACCTTCCTCACAAACAGAAGCTTGATTGTATGCCTGGCAATGTATCCAGCTTACACAGTACATTTTCCAGGTTTCCTTGAAGCCAGGGGTGAACAAGGTACTTAAGTGAATATCTGAGAAATTTTGAAGGAGCACTGACTCAGTTAAGAGAGGGAACTTCTCACCCTTTTTCCTTCTCCTCCTTCTTCCTTCCTATTGCCCAAAACTCAGATGTAATCACCGATACTCCAGCAGCCATTTTAGACCAGAAGGAGATCTTGAAGTTAAAACTAATGTTTTAGCTCAGGCTGCCTTAATAAAATGCCACAGACAGGGTGGCTTAAACAACAGATATTTATTTTCTCACAGTCCTGGAGGCTCAAAGTCTGAGATCAGGTGTCAGCATGGTTGGTTTCTGGTGAGGCATCTCTTCCTGGCTTGTAGGCATCTGCTACCACACTGTTTGCCCATGTCTTTTTCTTTGTGAACTCAAGAATTCAGGGCAGAGATGGGTAAGAGAGGGTTTTCTGATGCCTCTCTTCTGATAAAAACAATAAACTAATCTTAGCATATCAGGGCCTATCTTGGTCAGTTTGAGCTATTATAACAAGATACCATAGAGTAGATGGTTTAAACAACATAAAATTATTTCTCACAGTTCTGGAGGCTGGAAGTTCAGGAGCAAGATACTGGCAGATCCAATGTCTGTTTAGGGCCCTCTTCCTGGTTTCCTAACGAGAGTAGGGGAAGCAAACTCTTTCCTGTCTCTTTGTATAAAGGCATTAAACCCATTCACATAGGGTTCTACTCTCATAACTAATTACCTCCCAAAGGTCCTGTCTCTAAATATTATCACATTAAGAATTAGACTTTCAACATACAAATGGGGTAGTGGGGACAGACATTTAGTTCATGGCATGACCTCACCCTTATGACCTAATTTAACTGCCTCCACAAAGTTTCTATCTCCAGATATAGTCACATCGGGGGGTTAGGACTCTGAGCACATAATTCAGTCTACAGAAGATGGGTAGCAGAGTTTCTCTTGTGACACTGATGCCAACATTGAGCCAATATACAGCCTTAGATTGCCTGTCTCTAAATATCCTTTATATGAGGAAAAAGAAAAATTCTTCTATCTTGCTGAGTCATAGAGTTTCTATAGATTCAAACCTAATCCTATATAATACAATATATATTCATTTATTCATTCAACAAAAATATTTGAGAATGTACTATGTCTTGGATACCATGCTGAGTACTAAGAACTGAGAATAACAAGACAAATCAGATTGATCCCTTGGCTCTAATGAGCTCATGGTTTTATGAAGGAGACAAACATGAATAGGTAATTCACATTTTTAGTGTTCTATAATGATCAGAAAGAAAAAGTGAACAAAGTTCTCAAATAAAGCTTAGCCTGAAAGTTTGGGAAAACCTACTCAAAAGTAGGATTTGAACCTATTCTTGAAGGATGCATGGAATTTCAGCAATTTGGAGGTTGAGTGTTCTCGACATAGAAAACAGTAAAAGCCAAGGAATGGAGGCATGGAAGAGTAAGGAATGTTCATTGGAGAGTGGGAATGTTTCTGTAATTAGCGAAAGATGATGGGGGTGGGAGAGGTACCTAACAAAGAAGCTGGAAAAGTAACTGGTGGCAATTGCCTTATTATACCATATTTAGATTTTGGGGATTTACTCTATGGTGATAAAACACATTGTAGATTTTCTACGCAGTGATGTTAAGGAGCAATATTATTAGATTTACATTTTAAGAAGATGATTATGCAGGTAGACTGGGATCAGGGAGACTGGGTAGAGGATGATTATAATAATACTGATGGGATATGATGAGGATATAAACAAGGCTAAGGGACAATAGTTAACTCATTCATTTCAGTTCTAACCTACCTTGTCAAATGAGTTGCTAATCATCTTCAGATTAGCTTGCACGGGCCAGTAGACTCCAACCCAGAAATGTAGCATAAGTTCTTACCGCATTAAATAGCAGCTCTTGAAAAATGGTCTCAGCTGCTATCATTTAAGTGTCATTAAGTGCATGTAGAAAGAGGACATCACTAAGATGGTAAAATAGAAGGTAACCCACTTATATCCCACCACCACAACAAGAATTTGTACCCATCCACAGTCAAAAGTTTCTCTGAGGAGCCTCAGGATTGATGTGGGAGTTTGTGAAGCCCCATTGGAGCCCAAGGCCAGACCTTGAAGGGTCATTTTGAGAGTGTAGACCAACACCCAGGTGTCTAATCCACTGAATCTGTTCCTGAGTTCCAGCTCAAAAACAGCCCAGTCTTCTAAGCCGGTTGGCCACATTTCCATTAGTTTATGAGCCTGCAACCAAAACCATTTGCCAAGGAGTCCAGAGGAATTCCCTCACACTAGTGCCTTGGTAGAGAGGCTCATCTGCCCACTGACAATGGTCTCGACCATGCTTCTGAAAGTTGCCTTCCATGGATCTGCTCCAGTCCCCACTTCATTGAGTTTCCAGTTCAGAGCTGCTTTTGTAAGGACCCAGAGGGAGACTTGACCATATCTCACAGCCTGGCAGTCTGAGTCTCCCTAATGGGCTCACCAATCTCTGTCCCACAGCAGATCCCAAGGGGACTCCGTTTCGGCTCTGGCCCTTCCCTTAGCCTCAGGGAACTATCCAGTTTTGCTAGAAGACATGTGCTCCTCTGAGCAAATCAGACCAGGCTCTCCAGCCTCTGCCACACAGCAGATTCTGAGAGGCCGACTGTTAGCTCCAGCGCACCTCGCTGCAGTCAGGAAACTATTCCATCTATGCAGGGAATTCTTGGGAGACATACACCCCTCTGAGCCAATGAGACTGGGTTCTCCAGCCTATATTCCACAACAGATCCCAAGCAAGGACCATCTTAGCTCCAGCCCCTCTGGCTCCAGTCAGGAAAATATCCTACCGGTGCAGAAACTTGCGGGGAGGCACACCTCTCTGGGTCACCAGAACAGTTTCCTGTACTCAGGTCCCTGGCGACCATTTCTACACAGCTCTAGTATCCTCCTTGGGTCTTCCCTAGGTCCATCTGGCCCCAAAAGCCATATCAGCCTCAGAGTCCTCCTGATACTCTCAGCAAGCCTGGTCTTAGACTGTCCCCTAGTGCTGAGAGAGGTGCAGTGGTCACAGGCTCAGGGAACATAGTGGTCAGTCTGCTTAGAATCCCTGAAAGGCCCTCTGAAAAAGGACAGGCACAAAGCAAGACTTTCAAGACTAAATTAAGTACCTAATCCCTCGATATACAGACATTGTGGCACATCCACAAGCATCTGTGCAAGGAGCATTAAGAACATTCAGGGAAATATGATCTCACTAAATGAACAAAATAAAGTGCCAGAGACCAACCCTAAAGTGATGGAGATGTGTTATCTCCCAGACAAAAAATTCAAAATAGTTGTTTTAAGGAAGCTGAACAAACTTTAGGAAAACACAAAGAATCAATTCAGAAATTTATCAAAGAAATTTAACAGAGAGATTGAAATAATTAAAAGTGTATGTAGAAAGAAATTTAGTGAAGTGATCAGGGGCAGACATAGTGAACATGCCAGTGCAGAGGCAGTCCTCCTACTTGCTGCCTATTTTCCTTGAGTGCTTGGGTTTGCTCCATACTGCCATTCCCCTACCTAGACAAGAGGACCCCAGGTGTGCTGCTCTGTATCCCTGGCCGCTAATTTGGTGCCGTACTCCTACCTTCTGTTTGCTCATCACACGCCTTTATTTTCTAAAAGATCTCCCTATATGAGATACCACTCAAAATAATATTATTTCCAGCTTTGTGTTACATTTCTAAGGCACACATGAATTATCCCTGTGTTCCTAGAAGAGAGTTCTAATTAGATCTCGATACCTGTTTAATTCTGAACTATGAAAACTTTATTCTCATGATCAGTACTTCCCTGAGGTGCTCTTTCTACGGGAGTCTCTTTTTTCCCTTAACATGGTTTCTCTTTCTTGCCCACATGCACTCCTCAGGCATTTGATGGAAGCATACACTAACTCCTTCCTTGGAAGTGATACTGATAAATGAGTATGTATCAGGGGCAGAATGGTGACCAGTTAGCTACAAAGTCAACTTGCAGCAAAAGCACAAAAAGGTTAGCTTTTCTTTGACATCAATAATGAGGACACAATTTCTTATGATATTTCCTTAGAAATTGCAAAGTGCAGAGTGAAAATACAATGTATTTTTAGTTCTTTGCCTTTCCTCATCCGTTGAAAAAGCAAGCAACTTTTTTCTTAAATTTAAAACTCATTAATCACTTCTGGATTACAGATTAATTTTATCTGAACATTTCCATAATGTCTGAATCCACACATCAATTATGTATACACACACACACACACACACACACGTGTATGTGATTTTATTCAAAACCAGGCCATCTAAAAAATTAAAATGGGAGGCTCAAAATAAAAATGGGAGGCTCCAAATAAAACATGATTACTTTCCAAGATTTCCACTGTGTTCTGATTTCAAATATTGAATTTTTTTTCTGGGATCTGTTGTTGTTTAAATTGTCTGTTCACCAAGCCATGTTCTCAGCTGGAGCACTCAAAAGCAGGGACATATTTCTGTATATATTTTTAAGGTTCATTCACATTATGTTTGAAAGTTGCAATAAATCAACTTAATTTGAATCAGTCCATAAGTTTATATGCCTGTCTAAACTTTCTGTTTGAATATAAACCGTAAGTGCATATTTTCCCTTTAATCATTTTTTTTTCTGTTTAAATGCTGTTTCAAGACTTCAATATGTGTTTATTCGCATTGTTGATTTATTCATTCATTCACCCATTCAGCAGATATATACCATGCTTCTTCTATGTGACAGATCCTATATTGGTAAGTGTGGAGATATAAAGACAAATAAGACATGATCTCTATGTTAAAGGGCTCTCAGTCTGGCAGCGGAGTGGGGCTTTGTAGTTCACATAGCATTTTCAAATACTTATTCACCCTCAATGACCATTACAGTGGGTTTCAACTGGAATGCAATGAGAATCACCTGGGAAGCTTTAAAAAATTACCAGTGCCTGGACCCCACCTCCGGAAATTCAGATTTGATTTCTCTTGGGTCAGGCCTGGTCATGGGCATTTTTTAAAAGTTCATGAGATGATTCTACTATGCAGCCAAGATTAAGGACTGCCGTTCTACTGTTATTTAATTGCTGTGGTTCTCCTTGGACACCATACTGTTTCCCATGCCTGAGTTTTTGCTTCTCTATCCCTGTACTTACTACTTTACATTGGAATCCTTTTTCTGGTTTTCAACAACCCTCTCACCCCCTGACACACAGACACAGTTTTGAACTCCATCTTATCCATCTTGTAGACCTGAGTGCCTAGCACAGTACCTTACCCACAGTAGGAGCTCATTGTTTGTTGAACCATCTTCAACTTGATCACAAAATATACTACTTTGTGTTATCTCTTCTACTTCAGCACAAAAGATGAAATCTTCCATCTGATTAGATCTACTATTTCATTTTTGTCTCCTTCTTGCTAAGGACCCAGGGCAATTGCCCTGGAGCAAGGCAGGAGGACAGGAAAAGTGGTACTGTGATGTTCTACACTCAAAATCATCCCTCCTCACTAATTCCTATTGTTTCATACCTCAACTCCCTCTCTCTGTGCTACATTTGGCAGGAAAGTAAGGAATGTGGCCATTGACCTAAAGCAACCCAGCTCATCCAGCCAAGGTTGCTGTCGGGAACCTCAACAGATCTTCATTAAAACAATTTTTCCTACTGACCCTTAAAGATATACCCAGCTGGGTCAAAATTCAAAATATGCACCAAGTTTAGACCTTAACTGTAAAATCTATAGCACTCAATACTTACGAAATTTCTTTCTTGATAATAGATCTTTACAGTGTATTTTTCTAACGGAATGAATGTTGTTCAAATGTGTTAGGGCCATCCCAAGAAATACAAACCAAGTACTTTAATTCTTCAAACAAGTTAAACTATTAGTATTACCAAAACAATTTGTAAAATTTAATAATACAGTAAAAATAAAATATTAAATGCTTTATACTAGTTTCTGGGCTTAAAACTGACTATTTTGTTGTATATGTGAATTTTTATAAACATGAGTAGAATAAAGTTGTTTAACATCATAATATTTAATACCTTTATTTTATTGTTATTTACAAAAATTAACATATGTTACACACATATATATGTAGTATATGTCTATATGTATGTATATGTAGTGTATGCCATAAATACTAACAGAAAACATGCTCTCATAGAGCATTTTAGCTCCAGTTTCCCCACCAGAAGCATTTTAGCTCCACTTCTGCTACCAGCATAAGGACGAGTTATTCATTTGGGCATGCAATGGGGTTTGTATAACAGGAGAAGAAACCTGAAATTATGACTCAGAACTTACATAGCGTGGGACATGTGCCCCTCCTCCTCTCCATAGAGAGAGAAACATTTACCCTGAAATGCAACCAAATTTTCTCTGATTATATTTTTTTTAGCTTTGTGTGCACACTCAAATCTCATCTTGAATTGCAATGCCATAATCCCCACATGTCATGGGAGGGACCAGTGGAAGGTATTTGAATCTTGGGGACAGTTTCCCCCATGCTGTTCTCGTGATAGTGAGTGAGTTCTCAGGAGATGTGATGGTTTTTTAAGTGTCTGGCATTTCCCCTGCTGGCATTCATTCTCTCTCCTGCCACCCTGTGAAAAGGTGCCTTCTGCCATGATTGTAACTTTTCTGAGGCTTCCCCAGCCATGCAGAACTGTGAGTCGATTAAACCTATTTTATTTGTAAATTACCTTCTCTTGGGTATTTCTTCATAGCAGTGTGAGAACAGACTAATACATCTGGGAAATGGAGGGGAAGGGCTTGACCATGGAACGTAAGCAAGTGGCTCTGGAGAGATGAGTCTCTAAATCTTTCTGGAGCAATGCACCATTTCTACTTTCCAGCACATATTTGCTATTGAAACCTGAGCTATACAAAAATATAAAAGTATTCATGGAGAACTGTCTCCCAATAAAAAATGTACAGATATTTTCTGTAAATAATTTGTAACATTAACCCAATGTTCTTTCCTTTTTGTAGACCCTAGTGTTTCATGAATTTCCACACATTCTGGACACTAAGCTAGAAGTAGCCACATATCCACTCAATAGTGACAGAAACAACACCATATGAAGCAAAGCCGGGATTCCTACATTTAAAATTCTGAATCAAAGCATTAGAATATTATAATTTGGCTGCCAGATTGTTGAACATTCTGGATTCAGTGGAATACAGAAATAAAATGGTTTTCGGCTTTTTTTTTAAACGACTTTCACTATGCCAGGAGGGCTGTTCATTTACCACCTCTTTGTAAAATCTCAGTCAATTTCCATAGTTTTCCAGCCACTTCCAGTTATCAAAAAGTTCGATCCAATTTGTCATTTCAAACTTTAGTCTTTTATCCACGCTTCCTCTAGTTCAAGTTAGCTGTGGCCTGAAGAATATGGAATAAGGAAGGGGCATGGAGTGCTCCATTAACTCATCTTTGTTCCCTTGCTGAGTCCCCTTCTCTTGTGGCATGTGGGAAGCAGACAGGAGAAACGAAAGATTGGAAGCAAACGTTTCTTACTTATCTATAGCTACAGCAGTCCTCTCTGTGAGATGATCTTGATATGATGGCCCTCGAATGGACACATAAGTGGGATCTTTAGATGACCCTTGTTGGGTCTTCTAACTAAAATTTCTGCCTGAGGATATTTGGTCTAGATTGACATTGTCAATCTCCATAAGTGTCTTCCTATACTCATTCAACCCACAGCCTCTTGCTTCTAGGTTGCCTTTGCCTGGAAGATACTTTGCCTATGAGTATTGCATCCATCCTGCCATGACAGGGGGAGTGAGGTGTACCCCTGCTCCATTTTTATCCCCTCCCTCATTTATGCCATATTTCTCCAGTTCCTTTTCTTTTGCTTAATTCCACACAGAGAGCAGCTCAGCAAGTTATCCACCTGGGCATACATCCCACAGAGAATGAGATGCCAGTGGCTGTCTCCTCTAATCTCTAGGATTGGCTCCTTTGGATCTCTTGACTCAGGGAAGGAAGTGATTCCTCAAGGAACCACTATCTATCGCTTCTGTAGAGGAAGTAAAAGTGTTTCAGTTATCTCTGCTTAGACTCCAATTATTCTCAAATTTCTGTAGTCTGTATAGTTTCTGCTCATATAGATAGGTAGTCAGGATACAGTGATGTTTGAAGTAAAACAGCCAACTTGGTCATCTTTTAATAAGACCTGAAAAGGTCTGGCCCCAATAGTACTCATTAAGTAACCTTATTAGAACATGGGGATTCTATGTGTCCTTCTGCTTCTAATTCTGGATCCCTGTTTCCAATTCTGGAACAATAGCAAGTCTCACTTGACAATGTGTTAGGTAGGGTAACAAGTCCCTTAGTTTCTTAGTTAAGGGACAACTAATTAGAATTGTTCTTATTGGAATTATTCTATATATTAGAATTTCTAGTCTTAGACTGCTTCTGATACATACAAATGCATTCTTTTTATTTACATCACCAAATAATCTGCCTTCTGCTATTCAAAATTTTATTAAACACTGCTTTTCCTAAGCTAAGTAATTAATCAGGCTAATGTAATTTAATGCCAAAAGTGATTAGCAGTAAAGAATGTTCTGGCTAGAAAGAACCATTATAAACTCAGTGAAATTCTATTAAGCAGTAATAATAGTGGATTTTAAAAGGTAAAATAGTTTTTCCAAGGTTATCAAATTAATTAGTGGAAAAGATAGAACCAGAATCCTGACCTCCTGACTTCTGAAAGAGGAAATTTTCCCAAATACATCATGATTTTTGTTTTTTTGCACAAATCAGCATGACCCAACAACAAAACTCACGTGAACCAAAAACATCCAGCTAGTTATACTTATTTGATGGCATATCTCTGGGCACCATGATCTTAAATGGCCATGAAACAATTATGACATAACATAAATGATCAAATAATTCCTTTCTGTATTGTATAACCTGTCATGAGACTGAGCCATGTGTTCTGTGAAGACAGGCAAGTTCAATACTCATGCTGAGTCATACTTAAAAATTGGCACATGTATTTGGAATGCACGTGGGAAAGACATCATTGCACAAAAGTGTGTATTCAGAAGAGATAGCAAGTTTGGCTTAAAACCATAGAAACCAAGTTTCCGGGCAAAGTATGTCATTTTGCAGCTGTTTCCTGCATCTGTAACAATCTTACTACAGTTAACCAGATTAAGTTGGAGGTGTCAGGATATAACCTGGGAGCATGTCTCTTGATGACTCCTCTGGGGTGTTGGGGAATTTTAGTATAAGCAATTACTAATATATCTATAATAAGCTATTGTAAGATGTACTAAGATCAGTGAATAAGAATAATTATAACTCTAAACCATCTTTTCCACAAACTTCAAGAAGTTGAACTAACTTTGCTAAAACATCTATGGGAAATATACTTCTCTTAGGAAAATTGAGGTGGGCATATCTTTTGGGAATGTCTTTGGAAATATTTATAGGAGGGTAAGCTGACATCCAGAATAAGGAGTACAGCCCAAGAAAACTAATTTAGTTCCATAAAGTGGACATTCCAAAGTCCAAAAGCAAGGAGACACAGGGGGAACAAGGGAACCATATATATAAACCAAAAGATTATATATGTAGTGATAATGGTTCCTCAGCCCAGCTTCCTTATTTGGGCTCATTGATATAACTAATCTTTATTGAGCTCTTAACTTCTGCCAATAATGGGAATATAATAATATTAGACAAGACATGGTCTCTACCATTCAGGAATTTATTACCTCTATGGGAAATAAATTAGTACAGCAATAATTACAATGAGAAATGACACTAATTGTATCACTTCCTGCATCTTGCTTTGCATCTCTCTTATGTCTTGATATACAGTTCCTTGGGTATGCTAATATTACTCCTACTACAGGGTAAGCTCTTTGGGAATAGTGATTATGTCTTTGAGGCTTTTGCAGTGCTTGGAAATGCCAAATATTTTACAAGCAAAAGGGATTACTTTGACTATGAGCAAAGCGTTACAATTTATGAACAACTTTTAAGTCCACAAAGTCACTTGGCTAAGGGCCACTATAACCCTATGAAATGTTTAGGGCCTGTATGATTATCCCTATTTCTTAGTCAGTGAAAATGAGGTTTGGAAATCTCAAATTGATTTCCCAATGTAAGTGGTAGAAGAGGCACTAGGCTCTATTTTCCATTCCCTCTGTTATTCCTATGATTATGTGTTGCCTCCTTAGAACATGATAAATGATCCACAAGTGTGATCCATGTTTGAAAGAGAGATAGATCATGTGAGTAATCAAAAAGATGTCATAAAAATATGGCATTGAGCTTATAGTATTGCTTCAAGACCTCTCTAATATTAACCATATTTAAGAATTTTTTTGCTATTTTATTAATTTGTATTCCAATTTGCTCTTCTGATCAATATTGAGGATGCTATTTTAAGTTGAAAACTTCTAGAGAACAAGGCAATATTTTTGTATATGAGGAATAGTATTCTGAATACCTGTTGGTAATAAGTACCTGATTTTCAATGACTGGGTAATTTATCTTGAAATTTTAAGACTTAAGACCACACAATTGTAGAGCTAGAAATGACTCTAGAAATAAAGTAGTAAAATTGTCCTACATGTTTTTGCCATGTAGTGGCCTTTTTATGAGCCTCCTCCCCCCATAGTTCTCCCCTACTTATTTTTAAATATTTTGCCACTATTATTTAGTCCAAAAATAAAGAAAACATGTCACAACTCTGCAAGGAATGCACAAACTAATGTGAGATGTAAATCTGTAATTAAATAACTGTACAATAAACATATTATCCTCTATCTTACGCCCTTTCAATCTGCTTCATCTCAGGAAATGGTGCCACTGTTCACTCAGCTGCCCATGTCTCCAGCCTAGACTTCATCATTCATTCCTGTTTCCCTCATTGCCCAAATCCAATCCATTTGAAGTTTACCAGCATGGCTACTGCTCTTAATTCAGCTCAATTATCACTTCCTTAGAAAGACCATCCCTGACCTCTTGATTTAATGCAGCCAGCCTCCCTGCTGTGGTTTGAATGTGTTCCCTCCAAAATTCAGGTGTTGCCAATGTGATAGTGTTAAGAGGGAGGGCCTTTGACAAGTGATTAGGTCATGAGAGGTCCTCCCTCATGAATGGAATTAATGCCCTTATAAAAGAGGTTTCCAGCAGCATTTGGCTAGCTTGCCCTTCTGCTTTCTGCCATGTGTGCCACAGCATTCCTCTCCTCCCAGAGGATGCATCAACAAGGTTCCCTCTTGGAAGCAGTGAGTAGGTCTCACTGGAAAACCAAACCTGCCAATGTCTTAATCTTGGACTTTCCAGCCTCTAGGACTGTGGGCAATACATTTCTGTTCTTTATAAATTACAGTCTGTGTTATTTTGTTATAGTAACACTCCCCAACTTCTGCTACCCTCTATATTCTTAAACTGCTTTATTTTTATTAATGGCACTGATTACTACCTGAAGTAATATTATTTTAACATTTATTTGCTTATTATTTATTTCACACTAGAATGTATAAAAATCATGAGGTTAAGTACTTTGTATTATTCTCTGCTGTATCATCAGTTACTAGAACACATAGTGGAAAGTCAACAAATATTTGGGTGGATGACTAGAGGGATGAATATATGGACAAATGAATGGATAGACATATCAACCAATGGATTATTAAATGGATGAATACATGAATAGAATGATATAGTGAGAGTACAATGAAAAGAAATGAGGAATCATGGCTGAAGGAAAAGCTAAAGATAGATGATAATCAGTTGGGTCTTAAAAAAAAAAAGTAGAAGTTAATAAGACAAATTAGGTAGAGGGGAGCAGTGCCAGCTAAGGAAGCTAATACAGACATGAGAGTGGGTATAGATCTTTCAGTGAGTGTGGAATACAAGGTATGGATCAGAAGCCACAGGAAAAGAGCAGTTTATTAGATTGAGGCTATATATCTAAAGACCTTGTATCCTTGCTAAGGACTTTGGATTTGCTCTTTGAGTAATATGGAAGAGATTTTATAAATAAAAGTACCACGATAAGATCTGTGGTGAACATGGGTTGAGCACACTTCACAGGGAAGAGCCAGGAGTCAGGAACAGAATTTAGGGCTTACTTTCAACATTACCAACTATACTATCAACTATGAGTGGAGGACCTAGGCCAAGGATGTGGCATGAACATGAACTTGGAGAAACATAAATAGGACATATTTCTGAAATAAAATAAAGTGACAGAATTATATGGTTGCGTTTGAGAAAGGGGGAGATGAAAAACTAAGGGTGATTCCATAATGCCCTGCTTGGGACCTGACAAGAGGGTGATGGGTTAATGAAAGTAGGGAAGCCAGAGGAAGGGTCAGGAAGTAAGAGGAAAAATAAGAGTTCAGTTCAAAGGAACAATATAACATATGGGGGTTGATTCGATTTGTTGGGTAGTTGGATATTTGGTTTGGGAACTGACAGAGAGATTGATCTTAAGAGTACAATGTTTATGAGCATGAAACTATAGGTGGTAGTTTAAGCTATGAGAGTGTCCATCAAGCAAACTTTGTGTATTAATAATTATTTTCACACCTTTAACTTATAAAAATAAAGCTTCTAATCAGAGCTATTGATTAGGACCCATGCTAACACAAACATTATGTTGATGCTTTGAATATAAAACAAAGAAACTTGAATTTTTAGTTGTCTTTTGTTGAATGTATGATTTCTGAGTTTTTTTTTTAACATACTGTCAATAACAGTCCTTATTCTTTGCAAATATCTGGTAGGGAGGAAGTCTGGGGCCTTCAAGTTAGGAACCAATGACCTAGTCCAACCCTTTAGGGAAAAAATCCTTAAACCCAAGGCATTATATCAGTTTAACATTAATTAATTCTTACCTTGAACTTGAATATGGAGGCTCTGTAGCCATGGAAGCTCCTTGTGTCATCTTTAGGATTTCCCTCAGCTCATTTGATACAGAAGTAAAAGAATATGGGTTGAGCAATATATTGACCCAAAGGCCACTAAGTTCTGACCAGCTCTCATTTTACCTTTACCTATGCTCTTATCCAGGGAAGTGGGGAGATGTGCACAGGACAACAGGACAAGGAGAAGAATGACAGTGGTAAAAGGACATGAGAGAGAAACATACAAATTTTGCCAGTCTTGTCCTTAATAAGGAGCAAAAGCAATATTAAGAAGTTTTGTCTCTAGTTTCTAGAAATATATAAGTAGATTGTCAGTTTACTGGAGGTATGATAGAAGAAAGCCAGATCAAGAATATGAAAATGGAATCTGCTTAAAAGCAGAAAATTTTTAATTTAACTACAGGGAAAATGCTAATGCTCTTAAAAATTAAAAACGTATTTGAGAATTATTAGGGAAACAAAAGTATGTATTTGCATAATGCCTATGTCTGCAGTTAATTTTTACATTTCCAGTCCAATTATTATTACTCATTGTTATTTAAAATTACTTATCCTTTTAAATTTCCCAGAGATACTAAACATAACCCCCATAACATCACCCTATGGAAATTTGCTGTGGAAAAGATGACTTTGGTGGCACATGGCATGTAGGCAACCTTATAATCCTAGTCACAACTGCAAAATGGGCAGTTTGTTATTGGAAGTGAAAAGACTTCTCTCTCAATTCTTAGAAACTCAAGGTGTTCAGAATTAATTTTTCAAGATTTCTAACTTTTCATTCTACCTTCCTTCTCACATCCCAGTAAAAATGATTTATCCTGAATTATAACCACTGTAGGCTATTTGAGAAGAGGTATGGCCCAAATTCTACTTAGAAATTCCATTCTCGCACCCCTTAGCTATGAGAATGGCCTTAGACAGGTATGTAACCTCTTTAAGATTCATTTCCCTCATATATACACTAAGAATAATTGGTCCACATAGTAAGATTGTTTTCAGGACTAGAGAAGATACTACAAGGATGGCCCTCAGTTCCACAGCTGGCACATTGAAGTGCTTAAAATATTTAAATATATTGTTTGACATAATTCAACTAAACCGTAAGTAGGAAGGACTGACCAGCTTTAAACATTCAGGGTATACCCACACTTTAAAACTGAAGTCTATAGCTGAATTAATTTCTTATTAATGGAATAAATAATAAAAAATGTATTATGTGCTTTCTATGCACCATATTATGATTTACCTATAACATCTTATTTAATCCTCAAACAATTCAATGAAGGAAGTTATAATATTAGAGGAATTTTACAGATAAGGAAACTGAGGCACAAACAGTTTAAGTAAATTGTCCAAAGTCACACATAACTACCAGAGCTCAGATTCAAATGTAAGCCATCTAGTTCCAATTTAAATTGAGAATTTTCCCACCTCCCTTTTATTTACTATGTCACCCAAAACCCAGAAAAAAGTGGAGCAGCAATTTTCCACCTGAGAATCAATCATTGCTGACAAAAAAAAAAGATTGCTTCAGAGAGGAAGAACAAATGTTTAGAGAGAAAGAACAATCAAAGGAGACTGACAAGCAAGAAAGCAAAGAAGAGAGGGGTGATGGATAGATAAATTTCCAATACTAGCCTCAATTTTCATTTTGGAAGCTCTTCATCATAATCAGGAAGATAATGAAAACTAAAAACAGAACAAATCAGTGGCTTTAAAACTGAAAAAAAAAAATTAGTTTTTCTGGCCAGACAAATAAATACCAGAGCAATATTCCCAATTTGCCCATAAAGCTCCATCACTGGATTAGGAATAAAGACATGTGGTCCTTGCTCCTGCTCTGACTCAGTAACTTATACAAGGTAGAATCTTTGTTTCAAGGGGTAGAGAGGTGAAAAATATCTGAGAGAGCATCATGCCCCGTTGAAACCTCAAGGCATAGGGGATGAAAGTGCTGATAACCAAAAGTAGCTTATAACAATGCTGACTAGATACATCAACAGTTTTCTGTGTGGTTGTCAGAGTGAATGGGAGCCAAAGACAGTCACCTGGGAGTGTCTTTTGTGACTTCAAGGACTACTCAACTCCCCTCCTCCACTTCTTTTAGTGCACGAGTGCAATAATCTCAAATCAGAAACAAAAGAAAGAAAAATACACTCTTAAAATTCTTCCATAGTGCCCCTAGCACTCATACATTTTATTTGTAAAGTGATAAGATAATTTCTGAGGTTCTTTTTGGTTTTATTGCTCAATGATAACTTCAAGAATCAGTGAAATTCTAAGTGTCTCGCCTAAAAAAATTTTAGAAAATATATTTATACTATAAAGATGTGTAAAACATAGTAATGAGTATGTGTGAACAACTGAAATAAAAAAATGTTTATTAATATGCAAATTCCATATTATACACTGTTAAGTAGTTATTATTTAAAATTTCAATTATGCTTATAAAGAGGTTATACAACATGAACAGATGCTTCAATTATTTTACTAAATGAGAAAAGGCAAATATAAAATTTTATGCACAATACGGTCACAATCATAATTCAAAATGTACAGGAAAAAGACTGGGTGGAAATATACAAACTGTTAGTATTGGTTGTTAATAGGTAGTAGGAATAGGCATAATTTTCCTCTGCTCTTCTAATTTCCAACTTTCTACAAGTGTGTTGTTTTTATTAAAATGTTGATCATCTATATATATTTTGGGATTTCTTTTTTAAAAAGTTTAAACTATTTTATATTGCAGCCAGCACCGGGTAACAGCATTGGGCAACAGAGGACAAGCAGGCAGAGGCCCAGGTATCCATGAGCTAGAAGCCTTACCTAGTAAACTAATCATATAGCCACAGTCATGTCACCTGATAGGATGTAGACCAACTTAATTGTGATGGAGAACCCAAAGAACTCCAATTTCTTCAACAAATAATTGTTGACACTATTATTTGTTAATGACAGGATTTCTCCTGATGAAATCTGAAATCATTTTACCAGTGTGATAGTTAATTGTATGTGTTACCCTTACTGAAACACAGGATGCCCAGATACTCGATTAAACAGTATTTCTGAGTGTGCCTGAGGGTATTTCTGGAAGAGATTAGTGTTGGAATAAGTAGATTAAATAAAGCAGATTGCCCTTCCCAATGTAGTGGGTAGCATCCAATCTGTTAAGGGCCTGAAGAGAACAAAAAGTGGAAGTGAGAATTTGCTGACACTGCCTGACTACTTGAGCTGGGACATTAATCTTCTCCTGCCTTCAACTCTCCTTGTTCTCAGGTCTTCAGGCTCACATTGGAATCTGTACCAAAAACTCCCCATTTCTCAGGCCTTCCAACTACACCACTGTCTTTCCCGGGGCTCCAGCTTACAGATCACAGATTGTAGAACTTCTCAGCCTCCATAATCACATGAACCAATATTTTGTAATATATATAATGAGATACCCTGTCGATTCTGTATCAATATCCTACTGGTTCTGTATCTCCAGAGAAGCCTGACTATTCCAAGCAGACATCACACACTATTCATGCCAATAAAAGGTTCTGAGATCATTTTATTTTTTATGATAACCTAGGCCATGTTCTGATATTTAGCCAGCAACACAATCAAAATTAATTAGTCCATAACATGGTTCTATATAAGCAAATATACAAAGTAAAGCCTGCTCATCTTTCTGTAAACTTGCTTTCATTTTTAAAAAGCTACTTCTGGCCCAATGAGAGAGAAGCACAAAGACAGCAGGAGCTAAACTTTGTCGCCATTCAGACCTTTGAAGAATTTTCAAACCATCTACTTGCAAATCTGAAGAAATAGTAATGAATTTCAATAGAGGAAAAATACCATCAATCATTAATTTGCTTAATTTTGTTGGCCAAGTTCTTTCATACACTAAACAGGAAAAGAAATGACTCCACAAGGAACAGGGAGATGTGAATGCAGAATCTTGGTCCCAAAACCACATTCCCTGGCACCCACTGTGGGATTTGTTTTAAACCCTAGGCACCAGCAATCTCTGTCTTGGAAAATCCATCTAGGGCATCAATCAAGCTGCAGGAGATGGTCTCTTTTTGACTAAGCAGAGCCTTGAGAGGAAAATCAGGGGTAACCTGAAATGAAGGCTCCTAATAGAACACTGCTTCTGCCCACATCAGGGCCTTCCCAGACAGTGAGGGCTGAAATCAGTTGCCAAGAAAAGCCTTCAGGGTTCAATTAAGAGCAGTGAGATGTTGGAAAATACTTAGCAAAAACCAATCTTTCAAACCAACATAGAATGTAAAAATTCTGGATGTTGTGGGCAATATATTACACTAGATCCTTCTGATTATATTAGGTGTATAATTAGAACTTCTTTACCAAAAAAGTTTGGTACAAGGTGAATAAGACTCCTAAGGTCTGCCCTAAAGGGTAGACCAGGTTAGAAGAGAAGAAACATTATTTTTAAAAAGAAATAAAGACCTACTGACTAAAAAGAGAAAATATCTCAAATCAGTGGCTATAAGACACAATTTCAGGGATATCTACCTTTGGGATAATATATTCATTTTTCTTAAGAACAACTTGAATTAACTGAAAAGCAAATACCTTGTGATCAAGAATGCTAGAACCAGAAGCAGCCTTAAAGATTATTTAATCCAAACCTCCTCATTTTCTTATGAAGCTGCTGAAATTCAGTGAGGTTTAATGGCTGCCTGTATTAGTCCGTTTTCACTCTGCTGATAAAGACATATCCAAGCCAGGCACAGTGGCTCACACCTGTAATCCCAGCATTTTGGGAGGCCAAGGTGGTTGGATTACAAGGTCAGGAGTTCAAAACCAGATTGGCCAATATGGTGAAACACTGTCTCTACTAAAAAAAAAAAAAAAAAAAAAAATTAGCCAGGTGTGGTGGCACATGCCTGTAGTTCCAGCTACTCGGGAGGCTGAGACAGAAGAATCACTTGAACCTGGGAGGCAGAGGTTGCAGTGAGCCGAGATCATGCCACTGCACTCCAGCCTTGGCAACAGAACAAGATCCCATCTTGCAAAAAAAAAAAAAGACATATCCGATACTGGGCAATTTACAAAAGAAAGAGGTTTAATTACAGTTCCACATGGCTAGGAAGGCCTCACAATTGTGGCAGAAGGCAAGGAGGAGCAAGTCACGTCTTACGTGGATGGCTGCAAGCAAAGAGCTTGTGCAGAAAAACTCCCCCTTATAATTCCATCAGATCTCATGAGAGTTACTCACTATCACAAGAACAGCATGGGAAAGACGTGCCCCCATGATTCAGTTACCTCCCATTGGGTCCTTCCCACAACATGTGGGAATTCAAGATGAGATACAGGTGGGGACACAGCCAAACCAAATCATTCCACCCCTGGCCACTCCCAAATCTCATGTCCTCACATTTCAAAACCAAGCATGCCTTCCCAACAGTCCCCCAAAGTCTTAACTCATTTCAACATTAACTCGAAAGTCCACAGTCCAAAGTCTCACCAGAGACAAGGCAAGTCCTTTCTGCCTATAAGCCTGTAATATCAAAAGCAACTTAGTTACTTCTTAGATACAATAGGGGTATAGGCATTGGATAAAACAGCCATTCAAAACTGGAGACATTGGCCAAAACAAAGGGGCAACAGGCCCCATGCAAGTCTGAAATCCAGGGGGGGCAGGCAAATCTTAAAGTTCCAAAATGATCTCCTTTGACTTCATGTCTCAAATCCAGGTCATGCTGATGCAAGAGGTGGGTTCCCATGGTCTTGGGCAGCTCAGCCCCTGTGGCTTTGCAAGATATAAACCCTTTTCTGGCTGCTTTCACAGACTGTGTTGAGTGTATATGGCTTTTCCAGGTGCACAGTACAAGCTGTCAGTGGATCTACCATTTTGTGGTCTGGAGGACGGTGGCCCTCTTTTCACAGCTCCACTAGGTGGTGCTCCAGTAGGGACTCTGTGTAGGGCCTCTGACCCCACATTTCCCTTCTGCACTACCAGAGGTTCTCCATGAGTCCCCAACCCTGCAGCAAACTTTTGCCTGGGCATCCAGGTGTTTCCATACGTCTTCTGACATCTAGGTGGAGGTACCCAAACCTCAATTCTTGACTTCTGTGCAGGCTCAACACCACGTGGAAGCTGCCAAGGCTTGAGGCTTCCACCCTCTGAAGCAACAGCCTAAGCTGTACCTTGGCTCCTTTTAGTCATGGCTAGAGTGGCTGGGATGCTGGGCACCAAGTCCCTGGACTGCACACAGCACAGGGATCCCTGGACCAGGACCACTAAACCATTTTCTCCTGAGCCTCCAGACTTCTGATGGGAGGGGCTTCTGTGAAGACCTCTGACATGCCCTGGAGACATTTTGCCCATTGTCATGGGGATTAACATTAGGATCCTCATTACTCATGCAAATTTCTGCAGCAGCCAGCTAGAATTTCTCCTCAGAAAATGGGTTTTTATTTTCTATCACATTGTCAGGCTGAAGAATTTCAAACTTTTATGCCCTGCTTTCCTGATAAAACTGAAGACCTTTAACAGCGCCCAAGTCACTTCTTGAATACTTTGCTGCTTAGAAATTTCTTCCACCAGGTACCCTAAATCATCTCTCTCAAGTTCAAAATTCCACAAATCTCTAGGTCAGGGGCAAAATGCTGTCACTCTCTTTGCTAAAACATAACAAAAGTCACCTTTGCTGCGGTCCCCAACAAGTTCCTCATCTCCATCTGAGGCCACCTGAGCCCAGACTTTATTGTCCATATTGCTATCAGGTTTTGTCAAAGCCATTCAACAAGTCTCTAGGAAGTTCCAAACTTTCCCACATTTTTTGGTCTTTTTCTGAGCCCTCCAAACTGTTCCAACCTCTGCCTGTTACCCAGTTCCAAAGTCACTTCCATGTTTTCAGGTATCTTTTCAGCAGCACCCCACTCTACTGCTACTAATTTACTGTATTAGTCCATTTTCACACTGCTGATAAAGACATATCCAAGACTCAGCAATTTACTAGAGGAACAGGTTAAATTGGACTTCAGTTCCACACAGCTGGGGAAGCCTCACAATCATGGTGGAAGGCAAGGAGGAGCATCACATCTTACTTACATAGATGTCAGCAAGCAAAGAGCTTGTGCAGGAAAACTCCCCCTTATCATAACCATCAAATCTCAAAATACGTACTCACTGTCATGAACACAGCATGGGAAAGACCTGACCCCATGATGCAATTACCTCCCACTGGGTCTCTCCCGCAACACGTGGGAATTCAAAATGCGATTTGGGTGGGGACACAGCCAAACCATATCATTGCCTAAAATGAGACTGCTTAGTAGGATCAGAGCCACTGAAATAATCTTTCACATTCAAATAGAACTTTGAGGTTCTCAAGCACTTTTTAATTTAATGGCTTATTTAATCCTCAACTAGCTCTGAGAGGTTTAGTAGCAGAGACTAATCAGTGGGTTGGTTCGTGTATTTCTGACAGTTTTCCAAGTAAAATTACATATCACTTGGGAGAAAATTAGGGTTTAAAACCTGAAAAATGTTCTTAATTCAGTTTTGCCAGTTCATTTATAAAAATGTCAACAGCTTCTATGTTCTTATTTGTATTTTGTCTCAGAATCATACAGGATGAATGACCAGCTATCTGTGAATTCTGCTAAAGTAGGAGGAATTCAGGCTTTTAAAGGGAAAACCCCTATAATGGTATCATTTTTGTTCATTGAAGAATAAAACACAATTCTTTCCCTTAGAGATTTTTCATGGTTGGACAGATTCCCATCTGTAGGTAAGAGTTGAGGCATACTCTTTTCTGGAATTGAGGATGAGACCTGTCCTGAGCTTGATGGTCCCCTCCATTCTTGGAAGAGGGGATTTACTTGCTTATTCATGGTTTTATTTCAGCCTAATACATCTCAGAAATATTTTGATTCTCAAGTGCATTAAAGCCTGAATTCACCTAAAAATTCACCAGTTTGGCTGTAATCGTATCTACCAAGAGCAAAATTTAAATTGGGCCTAGACAGAGACTCTTGCTCTAGGAGTGATTAATGTGACTTCCACTCCTTTCCCACTTCCTCTCCAAGGACTAATGTGGAAAGCAAGACTACACTAATGCCTAAATAAGCAGAAACTTTCTTCCTTCATTGCACTTTTAAACATTATAGTTTTTATAATGTATTGATTAAAAACATATTTTAATCATATTTAAGTGATATATTTAACTTAATTTCTTCCCAAATAAAATAATCACATTCTCCAATGCCCAGTTAAGCTCTTTTCTTCCTAAAGCTACTAACCAAACAGCCAGTCTTGAGTAAACCAGCAATTCCACACTTTGTATGGAAGTAGGACTAGAAAGTACATTAAGTTCAAACAGGAATAACCAGTGAAATTTAATGAAATTAAGTACAGATTGGGGATTTTAAACATTTGTGCTTCTCAGACTTGGCACATGATGGTATATGTCTTCTATCTTCCCTAAATCATCTTTTGAGATTTTGCTGGAATCGCTCCTTGTTAAATCATTTGACATGTAATTGGTTCAAGGCTCACACTCCTATTAATCGTCCCTTTTGGCCTATATAGCTTTGAATATACCTCATAAGAGATTATAATGAAGGATATATAGGCTGAAGAGCTCTAAGCAGAAACTTCACATTACACATGAAGACCACCATTCATGAAAAGGTTTTCAATTTGATTTTTATCATCTAGTAAATAAACTGAGTGGGGTTTGTTTTGTTTTGTTTTTGAGGAAAAAACTTGGCCTTTATTACACTTATAAACTGTAACACCTGTGCTTCTGTGGAGCTTGATAAATCTGTTCAAGGCCAAGAAAAACCGCTAATCCATAGAAAATTACCAAAATCCATTTTCTTCCTCTCAAATTCATACCTGGACCCAATTGTAAATACTGAACTTAGAGGGAATTTATCTGAAAAGGAATCTTTAAAAGCACATCAACTGTATTTCCACTGCATTCTTCCAGTTGAACTTAGGCATTTTGAACAATATAGTTGATTATCATCTTCACATGATAGATGCAGTAGCACTCTCCTCATTGTATTTTCTCTTCTACATTTCATAGTCTGTGACTATTTTTTAAATATTTCTGATATATAGCATTGCCAAGGAAAAAGGGAAAAGGAATACTAATAGTCTCATGTCCGCAAGTGTCCATACACTGTCTCTTACCTCTTCTTCATTTTTGCATATAAGTAGTCCACTAGACTGCAATTACAATGAGCATTAGATATTCCGAACTCTCTATTAATCAAGAACATATTGGAAATATTTTCAATTACAAAATCTAATATTGGATAAGAGCTAATGAAGAGAGATAATTAAATCTCCTGTTACATTGATGGGGATTAAAATATTTCCAATTTCAAGATCTAATATTAAAAAAACTAATGAAAAAAGATATTTAAAACTCTGAATATGAAACTAGGATGTTACATGAAATCACCACTTACACAAAAACAGGTTCAAACAGATGTTCGTTTTCAATTCACAGAGTCCTCGAGTACTCCTTCTTTAAAGAAGACCCAGCCTTCAAAAAACAAAAAAGGAATGTAAAAGCAATTTAAATCTCTAATTAAGATTCTCAAAGCATTTCCAAAGAGAATTTTACTCATAATATACAACAAAAATGCCTCTAAAAATCTTCATCCATTTTTCTCCCCGTGTCTTACATTGAACAAATTCAGCTGCCCAATTTTCTCTCTGCCTTCTATAAAATACCCCAAACACTTTTACAAAACACAACAGCCATGCTTTCTCTTTTTTGGCCTTCACTCATATATTCTTTTCTCCCATAAACAGGATGCTATACTATACACAGTAGAGGAAGGGCTGGTGCAAGTTTAACCTCCAAATATTTTGTAAGATGATGTCCAAATTTCTTAACAAATCTACCTGAAGAAGATATTCTACTGGCTGCTGAAACAAACTCTAATTCAACCTTTCTATTTGGGTCCCCACAATCCAGTGGAAATTCAAACCAAGCATTTCAACTTACACTATTGGCAATGATTTTTCTAAGGCTTGAATTTCAGGGTTTCAAAACAAGACTTCAGTGCCAGCTTATCCCATGGCAGGAAGAAAAGCAAATGAAACCACAGAGACGTGCCAGTTTTAATTTGATTCCCGGCTCAGCAACCCAACCCTAGTATGAAAATAAAACCCAAAACTCCAAACCCTCCTGTAATAACCAACAAAAAAATGCCATCCCTGCCCCCCAAAAAAAGAAGCATTCAAAGTTAATCCAAATGCAACTAGTGAGTGTAATAAGCTTCTCAGACAGAGGGGTGCAAATGGGTATGCCGTTTTAGGGCTAGACAGCATGGCGGGGACACATAACCTCAGTGGAAGAATGTATATGGGTATAAGGAAGAACACAGGAACTCGAGTTTTGACTTGGACTATAAAACTCTAATCCTGAAGATAGAATTTGTACTTAATTGAATCTAACAGCTTTAGCAGGGCCTTTTGGGTAAAAATGCTTTCACTTCTACCCTGTTCTTCCATAATTGATTTAACATGAACTGGGATGGGCGCTAAAAGTCCTGAATCCTGAACAGAGTCTGGTTAACCAAAACAGAAACAGCAACACAGGATACAACACAACACTGTCCAAAATCTACAGAACATAGGAAAAGTTAAGGAAACACAATAAAGGGTTTATCCTGCCTTCGAGGCAGGATAAAAGTCGTGTGCTAATTTCCAAATGAACGGGTCTTTTAATTTATGTGCAAATAGTTTCTAAACAAAAATTCCAAGAACTAAGCTAACTTCGTATCACAGTGACTTCTTATGTGAAGTGTTTTCAGGAGAAAACAAGAAAATATCACACAAGGAAAAAAGAATGGTTATTTGGATGAGCTCTGATAAATAAATTTGAACTACCTAATTAGTCATAAGAGTTGACGTGGTAAATATTCAGTAGTCGTAGGATTCTACCCTGCTGAGAATGTCCTCATATTCTTGGGACTTCAAATATGCTTTTCAGAATGTTCCTCATTTAATGCCTGTTAACTGCCCTTCCTACTTATTTTTTTTTACCCTCTAGTAAATGGCTGTAAGGTCACCTCCATGGTCAAAGTCTTCATTTGAAGAGCACAGGTAAGTGATGTAAGGTTGGGGGAACGACTTAAGCAATTATTAAAGAACTAAACAATAAACCCATGGGGATAACACAAATAACTGAAATTTCCTGGGGATTTAACCTGTCACTACTATTAGTACGTGCTCATAAAAAAATGGGGCAACCAAACTTTTTGAACATTTGACATAAGCAAAATAAACTGAAACTTTTAGGAACTTAAAATTGGTAGAAAGGAATGTTTGTTAATTAATCTCCTTAGTTAATCTGTCATTAATTCCTTTTTGTGTTCACCTAAGGAGTCTCGACCCAACAGCTTTAAGATAATGTATTCTCCTTGATTTAAAAATATGTATATGAATCAGGTGTGGTGACTCACACCTGTAATCCCAGCACTTTGGGAGGCCAAGGAGAGATGATCCCTTAAGGCCAGGAGTTCAAGAACAGTCTGGGCACTATAGCAAGATTCTGTCTCTACAATAAATAAATAAATTAAATTAAATTAAAATATTTATATGTATGTAAATCTATCATCTGGATTCAAATGTCAAGACTGTGCCACACTTGTTTTATTCATCCTTTTAATGCTTTTATTTTCTTATTAATGCTAAAGTATTGCAAAGAATTCTAGATATCATGTAATTTCATCTCAACATATTTCAGTATGCATCCCCAAAAGTTTTTAAAAATTATAATGTCTTAGATTTCAATCTTTAATCCATTTTGATTTGATTTTTGTGTATGACAAGAGATAGGAGTCTAGTTTCATTCTTCTGCATGTGGATATCCAGTTTTCAACAATCCTATTCTTATAATTTTTAATAATGAAATATTTTAAACAAAAAAATTATAAGACCCACCAGAGAGATAAAATAGACATAATATTTGACCTTATTTGCTTCAGTTTGGCTTTAGTTTGTTTTTTCAAAGGAATAAATCATTGCAAATGCAGTTAAGTTTCTCCTTTTTTCACTAGTTTCCCAACTACATAATGCCTCTTAGCCAGGATATTAAAATGCCTAATAAACCAATTCACACCAAGTTTTCACATAAATTCTACAGTTATCTATCTCACTTCAATTAAGACAAAGCCTCTACTAGTTATAAGCTTTGTCATTGAGTCACCTCTAAAAATATTTCCTAGAACTAGACTCTTCCACAGCCTTAGTTTTAAGTTATTATAAATTGCCTGAATGTTTTAGCTCAAGCTTTGTCAATATGCTAGAACATTATACTCTTTCTGGTAGGTATAAAAATAGAGATAAAATTTAATTTATAAGAGCATTAATCTACAAGTACTACCACCATGTCTCTTTTAAATTAAAAAGTAGAGAAATTTAATTGATCTTCCCTTGAACTTAATGTGAATTGAGACAAATTAAATGCATCTAATTTATTTAATCAAGAGGTATACACTAAACCTGAAAGACTTATCTGAGATGTGGTAATAAATTTATATAAGCCTACTTCAGGTTAATAGAAAGGGATTATTTTTAATCTGTATTTTCTTTACCTAGTGCACCTCCTCATAGTTTTTTATCTATCTGAACTCATTTATTGCATAAGAAATAATGTGCGGGGGGAAGGATAAGAAAAGAAGAAAGTAGGAATATTAAAGGTGTAAGTTACCTAGAAATTTGAGCTTGTCCAACTTAAATATTAATTTTCCTCTATGATTGTGCCAGTATATTTGCATTATTTTTCTAAAGTTGAATAGAAAGCAGCTAATTGTAGATTTACAATTTCTGAAAATGACAAATAAGGTGGTTGACAAGAAAAAAGGTCTATTGACAGCAAATATCACAGCCAAATCACAGAATCATAAATGATTCAGGGTTCAATTTTTTGTTTCATTGTTTTTCCTTTCCTTTTCACTTTGGCAATATGCCATTTGTCCAATTCATTGTTTTTAATGACAGGGACAATTTATACCTTACTGAATCTACTCTCATTCTGAGTTAAAGACCAGTTCAATTAAATCAGGCATTTATGGAAAGCAGGATATTGGAGTAGGGGTAAAGCAAGCAGAGACACTGGTAGACTAAAAAAAAAAAAAAAAAAATATATATATATATATATATATATATATATATATATATATATATATATATGACAACTATAGATGTTTGTACTCTGAAAACTTAAGACAGTTTTTCAGGTGAGTGAAGGCAGATGATTATATCTGAAGAATGAGGACAATCTACAAGACCAAAACTACATCGATTTAGCTAGTTAGCCCAGAAAGAAGGCTGGCTTTCCCCTCAAGATTCCATGAAGATTCCACTGTATCTACTATTGCCACCTCAACTGTTTCTTCGACTTGCTGATAGTTCATTAATCTGGCCTAACTTTAGTTAATAGAAGGAGGGAGAAGGCAAAGACAGATAGACTTCAATAAGGGAGGTGGTCCTTTCTGTCTCACCTCTCTCTCTGACTATTCATACATGCTGCTGATTTAGATACTACATTGCAAAAGGCTAAAGATCTGCAGATTTAGCCCACTAAATATTCTTTTCTTCATTTATTTGTGTTTCCTTATTTTTATTTTGTATTTATATAGAGTTGTACATATATGGGGGGTACATATGATATTTTGGTTCCTGTATACAATGTGTAATGATCAAGTCAGAGTAACTGGGATACACATCACTTCAAACATTTATCTTTTCTTTGTTTTAGGAACATTACTATATTCATATTCCAGTTATTTTGAAATATACAAATTATCATTAACTATAATTTCCCTACTGTATTATCAAATGCCACAGCTTATTCCTTCTAACGATATTTTCATACCCCTTATCCAACTCCTCTTCATCCCCTCTCCTCTGTTTCCTTCCTAGCCTCTGGTAACCACCATTCTACTTTCTACTTCTGAGATTAACTGTTTAAGATTCTACACATGAGTGATATCATGCCTATTTTGTCCTGTGCTTGGCTTATTTCACTTAATATCATGTCCTATAGGCTCATCTACATTGTTGCAAATGCCAGCATTTCATTCTTTTTATGGCTCAATAGTATTCCATTGCATGTATATATCACATTTTCTAGTCCATTTATTCATTGATGGACATTTAGGTTGTTTTCATATCTTGGCTATTATGACTAGTGCTGTAATAAACATGGTGATGCAGCTATCTCTTCAACATATTGATTTCATTTCCATTGGATATATACCTAGTAATGGGATTGTTGGATCATATGGTGATTCTATTTTTAATTTCTTGAGTAACTTTCGTACTGTCATCCATATTTACATTCCCACCGACAGTGTATGAGTTTCCCTTTTTCCATATCCTCATCAGCATTTGGGTTTTTGTTTTTTTTTTTGTCTTTTTGATAATAGCCATTCTAACTGCAACAAGGTTATATACCTCATTGAGGATTTTATTTGCATCTCTCTGAGATGAGTGATGTTGAACATATTTCCATACACCTGGTGTCATTTCTATGTCTTCTTTTGAGAAATGACTTTTCAGATATTTTGCCTATTTTTAAATCAAATAATTTGGCTTTTTGCTGTTGAGTTGTTTGAGTTTCTTATACGTTCTGAATATTAACCCCTTGTCAGATGCATAATTTGTGAATATTTTCTCCCATTCTGTAAGTTGTCTCTTTACTCTGTTGTTTCCTTTGCTGTGCAGACATCTTTTACTTTAATATAATCCCTCTTGTCTACTTTTAATTTTGTTGCCTGTGCTTTTGAGGTCTAACCTAAAAATTCTTCATTTAGACCAATGTCCTGCAATGTTTCACCAATGTTTTCTTTTAGTAATCTCATAGTTTCAGGACTTACATTTAAGTCTTTAATCCATTTAGAGTTGATTTTTGCATATGGTGAAAGATGGGAATCTAGTTTTATTCTTTTGCATGTGGATGTCCAGTTTCCCCAGCACTATTTACTAAAGTGAGTATCCTTTTCCAACAGATCTTCTTGGCAACTTTGTTGAAAATAAGTTGGCAGTAAGTACATGGACTTGTTTTTCTTGATAATCCAGAAGTTAAGCTTAGGGTACAGTATGCTGCTCTAAATTGTCTAAATATTTCTAAGGCTGGTCCCTCCTCTCCAAAAAAACAAGTTAATTAAGTCGTTTTTATCTTCAACCAGTCATCTTTGTAAAATAATAGGACAAATAGATATCATCAGATTTTACCTGATTCTACAACCACATTCATTTTTAGAATTTTAAAATATACCCAATAAAATGGTAAATATTCCATAATTTTATTCTTGTATAAGGGAAAAGCATCAATGAGGAAATCAGAAAAGCTATTTTGATATTGATTGTCCCACTAACTAGTCCTTCTTCCCCTTTGGATTTTAGACATATCTGTAAAATGGAAGGATTAGATCACATGATCTATAAGTTATCATTATTATTGTTTGATATGCAAGAGTTATGCATCTATACTTCACAATGCAGTCTTCATGTCTCTTTTCATATGTATGATAAAGTCTTTTGCCTAACAAGTATCTATCCACCTCTATTAATCTCCACTTCCTCGCTCCTACTCCAGGCCAACATAATCTTCAATCTGGTTGACACAGCAGCTCTACACTTCTCCATTTGTGTCTCCTTCCAGTCCATTCCCCAGATAGAAGAAATAATAAATTTAAAACAGAAGTCGTATTATGTTAAACTCCATCTTAAAAGCCCTCAATGGTTTCCTGTTGCATTTAAATACAATGCAAGAGAAGAATCTACGAGGCCCTATAGGATACCCCCAGCACCCTCACATCCTGCTCCAGTCTTACCATTCTCTGTCATGCTTTCCCCTTGCTCATAGTGCTCCAGCTACACTGTCCTGTTTCAGCTTCAACAACTCGCCAAGATCTTTCCTACCTTGAAAGGTGTTTTTACATATTCCTTCCTCTACCTGACTCACTCTTCCACACAGTATTCCCATGATTAGCCCCTCATCCCTGAAATTTCAGCTAACACATGACCTAAAATGTCACCTCCATAGATAAGCTTTCCTGATGTTTCTACCCCAAACCATTGTTCCTCTCTCTATTGTTTTCTAGCTCAGCATCTTACTTTGTTTGTTGATATTATCAACATTTGTAATTATTTTCCTTATCTATTTACTGGGTTTGAGTTTGACTCCCTCCCCCTTGTTAACTGTTTTTCTGTGTCTGTCCTGTTTAGCATAATATCCCCAGCACATGGCCTGGTGTCTAGTACATATTAGACTTCAATAAATATTTGCTGCATGAATTAATAAATATGTGATGGAGTTGAGACTAAGTCTCTGTTTTCTTTTATGTAACACCTGTGAAGTGTGTGTATCATGTGCACAGATTCTTAATACATAGAGATAATGACCTAAGCTGAGTTAATGGAAGGAGTAGAAGAAGGTTAACCCTAAGGTGGTTAACAAGAATTGCTCTCCCTGCACAGATGTGAGGCAAATCTGCTCCACGTGTAAGAACTTGGTGCTCACCTGAATTCTGTTCTATATCTACCATTACGTGCTCTTGTTTGAAGCAATCACTTCCAAGCCTTCTCTACAGTCTGCCTTTATCTTCTCCAGGAGGGAGAAAATATAGGGGTAGAGTAGGCAAGCCTCTCTTTTTAGGCAGTGTTTTGCAAATACCTTTTACCTAACACAGAAGGTTAAGTGAAACAGATTTGATGAGAAACAAATGATGACATGAATCCCACCCTCTGCATGTTGTGAAGGTTCCTTAGAAATAAGAGTGCAGCAGCTTCCTCCATATTCCTTCATAAAAACAAATCCGAAGTATTTCACAATTACTTCCCTGGGAAAATGCTCCTACCCCGACTCCCAAACCCAACATTTTCAATTCTGCCAAGTCAGAGAATTATTTTTAATCTTCAGAGTAATTTCCTTTTTATCAGCTGGGTCAGTTATACAATTACAATGATTGACTAGTTTAAAAGTTGAAACATGAACATTTTCTTTCATTAGCAATTATTGATAAACAACTGCCATCTCATTACCATAATAAATTTCTTAGTCCTGTGTCTCTGGAAACTCATTTTGCAAGTGTTTAATTATGAATTCTGACAATTTTTTTTATTATTGAAAATCGGTTGATAATTTCTCATGGCAACTTGCTGCCAGTTTAAAGACTCACAATTTTATTTCTTTTTGCTCAGATGTGATATCAACTGTGGACTTTCATGCAGGTTGTTGAAAGCAAAAGCTACCAATCATCCCAGTGACCTAAATAGAATATTCCCAGCTCTCTATAAATATGTATCATTAGTAGCCAATGATATATATTTGTATCATGTATACATATTTGTGTAATGATACATATGTATCGTTAGTAGCCGATGACACATCTCAACAGAAAATAGATGTTTTGGCATGATTATGGTCTGTTCTGCTAGAACCCACTTACTTAGCAAAGTCTCCTGAAGCTTAGTACTAGTCTTGAGCTTGTTAATGCTGCAGATCTAGTTCTTTTATCTACTTTATATGCAGAGCCCTATAGTTGGCAGAAGAATATGGTAATTACTCATTAAATATTTGAATCAAATGAGTCACATAAAATGTGAACTATCACATTGGTTATAAAATCATTTCTACAGAGAATATAGATTGAAATTGTAAAGTATATTTATTAAAAACTGTGGGATCATAAAGATCATTTATTTCAAATTCACTATTTTTGTAGGTGAAAAAGAAGGCCCAGAAAAGTTAAAGAATTTGACCAATATTATACTTTTATTAACTAGAACTGGAATTCCAGTTTCCAAGATCCCTTCAATTGCCCTCTATTTCAGGCCCTGAACACCAGTACTATATGTTCAAGGTACTTATCATTAATGCAAAAACATGGTTCTAATGCAAAGATGGAAATGTGAAGGATAGAAGTTACATAAAATATGACAAACTGAAAGAAATTGAGGTCTATTCTGAACATTGGATGTCCTGATATAAAACATTTAAAACACCTACCTATCATTAATTTTTAAGGTTTTCAGACATTATCCAATAGCTAAGGAACAGTAATATGCATTCATCTCAATATAAACATAAAGAATTTAATCTCTTTCACTGGTAATTTTCTGAAGTAAAGCATTTAATTTTCTTACATGGCCTCCTCCCCTGACATAATCAAGAGCATAGTAATGCATGTCTATTGGGGCACTCTATATATAGACCACACAAACACTTAACAGAGTCAATAAAATTATCAGCCACTTCATTTTAATATCAATGACTTTTTTATTGTTGAACAATCTCCTTAGGCTACAAATATCTCAATAAATCCATTTTTGGTTGCTGCTGCCACTGTTATTGTTGTTTTAATTAATTTGACAGTAGTTTGGGGCAGGCATTGCTACTGTTCATAGACAATCAGTTCCCCTCTCCTTCAAGGTGCCTGGAAAGATTCCCTAGAAGGTAAGCGGTGAACAGAAGTGGTGCATGTCATTTTCCTGTAGAGGCATTCAATTGCTAGGACCCAATTTCCTCTTAACATTTCACCTGCCCCAGCAATTATAGGCTCCATAGTCAAAAAACTAGAAAAAGTACCCCCTTCTTCAAGACTGACATTACATATGAGCATACTGAACACATTCAGAATCTCTGCAGAGGAAAAATAAAACTGTTTAACACAGTATTCATCAATTAATTTGACCCCAAACTTTTTATTGTCTAACATTTCTTCTTCCTTAGAATTATCTTGGACAATAGCTGGCTATGCTTTAGACATTGGTAATTAACTTAGTAGAGATTAGTTAACAACCAACTGAGTAGAAAGATAGGTGCTTGGAGAGTAGGTTGAAGAGTTGAGCACTAGCCATTGACTGTTTCCATGTGGAAATGACATGAAACGTTTCCAGTGGTATGCCTAACTTCAAGGGAATTCTTCTAGGTACCTCAAAGCAGAAGGAAATTAGATATCAATACCTGTCACGAACTGCTCCCAAAGTTTATTTTTGAAGACCATGGGGATGGGGGAGATTTGTGATACTAGTAACCCAAATGATAATGATTCAAAATAGCAATTGACAAAATTAAATGCCACAGTTCAGTGAGAAGATGGAAACTACACTAGTAATTTGAACAGGGAAATTTTAATGTAATGAATTATTAGCTAATAAATGGTGATCACTGGAAGGGATAAAGAGGACTCTAAAGAATGCAGAATGAACAAATGCTAAACTGCTATATCTAGGACAGAGGGAGAGCATTAAAGGAGCAAACTAAAAACCCACAGAAGGACTCCAGACACCCAAGGCTGTAAGTCAGACCTTGTGGAAGAGTGTGTAGCTGTGGTCCGCTAGAGGAAGCAGAAGTTTGCTGGGGTGCCAGCAGACTGGACATGGTCTGCAGGAAGCTATCTGTTGGGGGACAGAAAAATTCACTGCAGAATGAGTGCCACAGGGCCTCCCAAACACTACTGTCAACCATGCAGTGAGAAGAAAAGATAAAGCACACTAGAAGTAGAAAAAGAAGCCCCTTCTTCTGCTATGTTTTAAAGTGTCTCTCCAGCCTCCTCTATTGATAAAGCTTAACGTGGAGCCAGCTGGCAAAGAAAAAACTGTATGGAGTCCAGCTATAAAAGCACAAAGCAGTGCAAAGAGGGATGAGTGTGGATCTGAGAGACAATAAATTGAAGACCAGCACATCCAGGAAATGCCAGAAGAAAAAAAAAAGGGAAAGAGAGAGAGAAGGAGGGCTGCGGATACAGAAACCACAAACCTACTATAGACTCACAATCCATTTCTCAACTCAGCACTCTGTGTAGAAATAGAAGCCTAATTTGAAGCACACAATAGACTTTATATTACATGCACCTATAAAAAATTTCCTGGGGAGATGAATCACAGCGTTCTTCATGTTTTCGAAGAAGTTTACAGCCCTATAAAGATTAAGAAGAACTGAAGTAGAGTACTGGGCAAATGTCTAGGTAAGTGAGCAAAAAGAATTTTTCCGTGTCAATTACTCAAGACTCTACAAGAGCAGGCTTATGAAAGTAACTTTTAACCAAATTTTAAACAGTAATTTCTCCAAGGAAAGGTTAGAGAAAACAGAGATGACTCTAACAAAATTTAGAAGGAATAAAATTAAAGAAGTTCAGATTCTGCAGACAAAATATCCAGGCTGAATGCCTTCCCCATTGCTTTGGACTTCCAGCTGTTTTTGGATACCTGTCCCAGGGTTTTGCATAATTTTTTCCGATGGAATGATTCCACAAGTGCACAATTAGAATATATTTACTATTTTCCTTGGACAATTGTTTTTTACATATAATAAAATTGAGCCATTTTTAAGAGCAGCATGTACCACAAGGAAAAAACTCAGACCACAGACTGTTTAAGTAGGACCCATTTTTTAAAAAATGAAATTTAAATTCCTCTCAAATGAGAAGAATACCTTTCTTTTCTGTGACAGGCTGTTACTTCAGCCAAATCTCTGGAGAGGTTTGGAAAGTTCAGAAGATCATTTCTGCCCTGAGGCTGAATGTATTTTATTGTGGATTACTAACGCACCACAGACAAGGAAAGAAAATAGATTATTTTACCCTTTGCGGAGCCAACTCATATGAAATTCTGCAGGAGAATTTTAGGAAAACATGCATTTCCATGCCCCAGAGAAGAGTATGTGCATTATATCTTTTACTTTTCAAATGCAAAGAAATTTTTAGGCTTAGTTATTTGTTAGATTCATACATTTACCGGATTCTTCTACTCAAGAGACTTTTCATATTGTCCTGTAAATTATGGTATTTTTATTCAATTGCATGGGACTCAGAGATTTTTACATTTTTTTATAGAAATGCCCCCACTTTCCTAAATGACATATTCCTGAAAAAGGTTTGAAAGTCAAACAGCTGAAATTCAATCAATAGACATATACAGTATAATATTTGCTGTATTTCCATAGTCCAAAAATTTTATGAACCGCAAAAGTATGATTCCTGTAGTCACTGCTTCCCTCTTGGACACAGACAAGTCTAGTGGATGGGTGTAAGACGGCTAGACAAAAGTCTCTCATGTTAGAGCTTTACATTTAGTAAGACCCTCATTCCTCAATAGCTCAAACTCTTGGTCTCCTTTGTTTGAAAATAAGCTATATACATTTATACAGAGACATATATGCATATGTATACATACACATACTCCTGTTTTAGGACAGGCCAATCCCAATGAAGTAGAAGAGTCTGGCACATTCATTGGCTTTTTAAATGATGCTGTCACTTCAAGAAAATGAAATCAACCTTATTAATGTGATGGGTAACACAGTGTTTAAATTTGCAGTCAAATGCTCTACCACTGAGCTCTACCCCGTGGAGTGTTTAAATTTGCTTAAATTTGCTCTGGAGCCAGATTATCTAACATATAGCCTAGCTCCATCTCCTACTATCTGTATAACCCTGGTCAAGTTACTTAACTTCTTCATGCCTAAATGTTCTTATCAGGAAAATAAGGATAATATAAAGCACTTACCTGATAAGGTTGTTGTGAAAGTTAGGTGAGCTATTAGGCATAAATGCACTTGTGCTTCTACCCAGCCTATGGTGTGCCCTGTCTACGTTAGACAGTGGTGGCAGTAGTAACAGTAGTAGTGACAGTAGTGGTAGCATTTTACTATCACATACTACCAACATGAATGTTAATGGCACTTGTTGGAGCAGCCCACCTCGGACTCCCAAAGTGCTGGGATTATAGGCATGAGCCACCACACCTGGCCTAAGCTTTTATTATCTAATTTTAAAATCATGCAAATAGATATAATTAGAAAGTTAAACAATTACAGGACAATTCCGTGTTAACTGTCTGTCTGAATTAAGAACTAGAACTGTCCTAATATAGCTGAAACCACCTCTGGGCACCTTCTGATTTCATCGCCTGGCCTGACCTCCCCACGCCTGCTAAAGCTAATCATTATCCTGACATTTATTTTATTTTTAATCGTTTTACCACATACATATATATATGTAAAACACATTTTGTAGGGTTTTTCGTGTTATTTTACTTTTTTAAATGGCAGCAAACGATATGAGGTCCTCTTGACTTCCCCCTAACATTATGTTTTTAGGATTCTTTCATTTTTACTGCATATAAATATAAGTTATCTATTTTTTCCACCGCTGAGTCTATACTACAATCTATCCATTCTATTGCAATGAATATTTGTTTCCAAATATGTGTCCCATGAGCTATATATTCAAGAATGACTCTACAGCTTAGTATATATATGTAGAGATGCTGGTTGTAGAATGAGCACATCCACCTGTACTGGATAATAACAAGTTATTTTTCAAAATGATTATGTCAATTTTCATTCCTGCAGTAGTTGATAATCCAACTGATCTGTATCCTTACCAACTCTTAGTACTATCAGTCTGCTTAAATTTGCCAATGGGACCAGTATAAATTAATATTTTCGTGACTATAATTTATATTTTCCTAATTACTAATGAGCATGAGCATCTTGTTATGATATGTATAGACCATTTGCATTTGCTCTTTTGTGTAATATTTGTTCAAGTCTGTTGCATTTGTTCTATTTGGTTGTCTTTTTGTTATTTGTTAAGAGTTCTTTATATATTTTAGACAATGTCGCCATGTTGTACAATTTCAAGAAGTACATTCTCAAATCCAGAGGCTGCCATTTACTTCGAATAGAATGCAGTTGTCCACCTTGAAGTTGTGTAATACCAATTTCTTGGCCTTGCAGTGTTTTACATGTCATATGCTACAAGTTTGTTCTCCAAGTTTATGGCCCATATTTTTGCTGTCTTTATGGCCCATATTTTTGCTGTGCCTCCTGATGCACAGAAGTTCTTAAATAATTTCAATGTTTTCTTCTTCTATTTGGTGTTGCTAGTAGTTTTGTATCACATGCAAGAAATCTTTTCCTATACCAATGCTATAAAGACATTTTCTTATACTTCTAAACAATTTAAAGTTTTGCATTTCATATCCAACTTTTTTAATCCCTCACAAATTGAATTTTGTGCTTTGTGTGAGAAAATAATCCAGTTTCATTTTTTTCCATATGTAATATTTCATCATTTACCCAATGATATATAATGTCACCTCTACCATACATCAATTTTTCATATGCACTGGATCTGTTTCTGGGTTTGCTAGTCTGTTCAAGTCAATATGTTCATCCTTGCTCAATAATATACTATCTTAATTCCTATACCTTTACAATAAATATTAATGTCTAGTAGCACAGATCTCCCCACCTACTCTATTTCTGTAGGAAAGGCTTGGCTATACTGGGCATCTCCCCCTTATATATTTTAGAACTAGCTAATCAACTTTCTCAAAACAATTAGTTGAGTTTTGAGTAGAATTACATGGGACCTATAAACCACTTTGAGGAGGACTGATGTCTTTACATATTTTGAAGTATTTTCCATAAGAGTCTTGCAAATATTTTGTTAGATGTATTACTAAATATCTTTTTATTTCTAATATAAATTAATTCTATATTTTAAAATATATTTCCATTTGTATGTTTCTCTATGTCCAATACTCTTAAATTCTGCTACTGAGTCTAACAATATGTAATTATGTGGTATATTCTATTTAGATAGATGCAAATACTTAGATTGATACAATATCTATTTAGATAGATACAAGTATCTAAATAGAATACACCACATAATTAACACATTGTTAGACTCAATAGCAGTATTTGCAAATACTAGTAGTTGTACTACTGCCTTTCCAAGTCTTATGAGTTTTTACATAGTTCTTCCTTTATTTATTTTCGTGTATTATTACACTAACTGGAATCCATTGCACAATGTGGAATAGAAGTGGTAAATAGTGGGCATCTTTGTCTAATTAAGCTTTTTCACTCTATTTCAACAAGGAGACATATTTAATCTATTGATACAGTGTAAATTATAAGCAGCAAATTAAATACTAACATCTTGAATGAGGAATAGCAGTCAGAGAAAAGTGTAGCTGTCTAAAATCAGTTGCCAAAGACACAAAGGGATGAAAATTCCTTTTTATGTTACAATAGCTTCTGAGAGCATCACAACATTGGAGTCCAATATGATAATTGGATAACTGATGATTAGAGCAATGGCTTTCCTTCTCTTTATTCTTTGCTAGCTTCTCCTTCTCTGGTAATCCTTTAAGCACTAGAGTCTCAAGGACCGTGTACTGGTCCCATACTTTGGTCACATATTGGCCCTCCAGTCTCACCTGTATGCCTAAATTCCAAAATTTAAATCTCCAATGCTAATTACTTCTCAAGACTCCTGAGTTGTGTATCCAATTGCCTAACTGACATCTTTTTTAGATGTCAAATAGGCATATAATTTAATTTTTCCCACTCTATGATCTCAGAAAGTGATATCAGCATCCACCAGCTTTAAAGTAAAAAACCCAGGAGTTACTCTTAATTCTCATATTTTTCTGACCTCGCATTGATAATTAACAAAAAATCTATTGATTCTACCTTCAAAATGAAAAAGTGTACAATCTTGGCCATTATAGGCCAAGTTGTCGTCATCACTCACCTAGACTACTCTAAGAATTTCCTCATTAGATTTCCAGCTTCTATTCTTGGTCTTCTCTGATCCATTTCCCACATAGGAACCACCATGCTTTCTTGAGAGAGAGAGAGAGAGAGAGAGAGAGAGAGAGAGATGTATATATATGTATATATGTATGTGTATGTATATATGTATATATGTATGCATATGTATATATGTATATACGTATGCATATGTATTTATATGCATATATATATTTTGAAGTATTTTCCATAAGAATCTTGCAAATATTTTGTTAGATTGATTACTAAATACCTTTTGGTTATTTCTAATATAAATTGGAAGATATATATATATATCTTAAGATATAGATACATATACATGTATGTGTATATGTTTACATGTATATGTATATATACATGTATATATATGCTTTCTTAAGATATATATACACATACATGTGTATATATTATGTATGTATATGTATGTGTATATATATGCTTTAAGATATACATATCATGTGTGTATATTATATATATATATATATGATCATGTAAATCCCTGCTTTAAACTCTTCAGTGTTATTTCATCATAATTAAAATAAAACTTAAAACTCTTATTGGTCTAGGACAATAAGTCCTATATTATCAAGCCCCTAGCTTCCTTTCCAGCATCACCCTCTACCAGTCTTCCCTTGACAACTATGCTTCAGCTACACTCATCTTTTTACTGCACCTCAAACATGTTAAGCTTGTACAAATCTATATTAGGGTTCTTCAAAGAGACAGACCAATAGGATGCATGGTTGGATAGATTAGATAGATGATAGATAGATAGATAGATAGATAGATAGATAGATAGATAGATAGATGAGAAGACATTTATTGGGGGGAATTGCCCTATGGAATTATGGAGGCTGAAAATTTCTATGATAGGCCATCTGCAAGCTGGAGAACCAGGGAACTTGGTGGCCTGGCTCAGTCTAAGTTTGAAAGTCTCAGAAACAGGGAAGTCCAGGTATAAATCTCAGTCTGAAGTTGAAGGCCTGAGAACCCAAGGGACTGCTGATGCAAGTCCCAGAGTCCAAAGGCTAGATACCTGGTGTTCTCACATCCAAGGGCAGAAGAAGAAGGGTGTCTCAGCTCTAGGTGAGAAAATATTTGCCTTTCCTCTGCCTTTTTGTTCAATCCAGACCCTCAGCCAACTGGAAGCTGCCTCACCTTGGGAGGGTGTGTCTTCCCCACTCAGACCATTTACTCATATGTCAGTCTCCTACAGAATCACCCTCACAGACACATCCAGAAATAAGTTTACCAGCTCTATAAGTATCCCTTAACCCAGACAAGTTGACACCTAAAATTAACCATCATGCCATCTTAGGGCCTTCTGTTACTATTAACTGGAATACTCTTTCCCCTGATTCACACCTAAGTTTAAAAATGTCATTTCAACAGAGAGGCCTACATTAACCATCCAATCTAATGTGGCCACTCATTTGTCCTCCATCACAGCAACCTATTTTAATTATCTGCTTATCACTAAATGTTTGCACTTTTGTGTATTCATTTATTTTGAAAAAGATATTCTTCAAAATTCATTATTAAGAAAATGAAAAAACAAATTATAGTCTGGGAGAAAATATTTGCAAAATACATATATGCTAAAGAACTTGTATCCAGAATAGATATGTATCTTACAACAAATAGCCCAATAATAAGTGAGAAAAGTACTTGAACAGACACTTCACCAAAGAAAGTATACAGATGGTCAGTAAGAACATGAAAAGTTGCTCAATATAATATAGTCATTTGGGAAATATAAACTAAAACCAAAAAATATCATTATACACTTACTAAAATGACTGAAATAGACTAACAGTACAAAGTACTATCAAGGATGTGGAGCAACTAACTCTCACACTTTACTGATGGAAATTTAAAATGGCACAGCCACTTTGGAAAACAGTTCAGTATTTTCTTATAAAATTAAATATATACTCACCATACAACCCAACAGTTCCACTCATTAGGTAACTACTCAAGAGAAATTACAATGTTTGTCCACCCACAAACTTGCACTTGAATGTTCATAGCAGCTCTATTCATAATACATACAAACTAGAAGCAACCCTGGTGAATAGATAAATAAATTGTAGTCAATCTAAATAATGGAACACTAATGAGCAATTTAAAAGAACAAATTACTGAGGGGAAGAGAACAAAAATGTGAATCACAGTAGTGATTGTCAAGAGAATAAGGGGAGGAAATTGATTTAAAAATATATGCATGAAGAAATTTGGGGGATTATTAAATGTTCTAAATGTTGATTGTGGTGGTAGTTATGTAAATATATACATTTGTCAAAACTAATGAAATTATACATTTTATAAGATGAATTTTATCGTATATAAATTATACATCAGTAAACCTGACTTTAAAAGGTAGTCACTCTGGCTGGGCACAGTGGCTTATGCCTGTTATCCCAGCACTTTGGGAGACTGAGGCGGGCAGATTGCTTGAGGCCTGGAGTTTGAGACTAGCCTGGCCAACATGCCGAAACCCCGTCTCTACTAAAAATACAAAAATTAGCTGGGTGTGGTGGTGCACGCTTGTAATCTCAGCTACTCAGGTGGCTGAGGCATGAGAGTTGCTTGAACCTGGGAGGCGGTGGTTGCAGTGAGCTGAGACCACACCATTGCATTCCAGCCTGGGTGACAGAGTGAGACTCTGCCTAAAAAAATAAAGAAAAACATTAAGAATAGTCATTCAGTAAAAATTAGTTGAGTAGCTCTGAACCATCATTAAAAAACTGTTTAAAAATCTATGACGTAAAGTATCTAACGCATTTTATATAATTTTTATTAAAAAATAATATTTTTACTAAAAAATAAAATATTTAACAAATAATAACTTGGTTAAATGAAAAGTGTACATATATGCAACACTTTATTCTTTAACATTGTTAGGTATATGTGGTCATATTATACATAATATGCATGTATGTATACCCTTGGAAGTGTGACTACAAAATAGGAGAATGGTTTTCATGTGTAACCTGTGGGAGGCAATTTCGTTACTTTATATGCTTCCCATGTATACTCCCTCCGTGCTGTTCTCATTCTCAACATCTTTGTTAGGCTTCTCATAATTCTCACCTTACTTCTACAACAGCCTCCACACCTTCATAGGTCTCCTTTATTTTAGTCTACCTCCACATTTCAAATTAATCTCACACCCACAATAATCTACAATGAGTTTCCATCAAACTCTAAATGAAATTTAAGCTCTTTGTTCTGAAATTCAAGACCTTCCTAAATCAGACCTCAAACCTGTTATTTAAACCTTATCTTTACTTCTTGATCCACAGAAAAGTATACATCATTTAGATTAATGATAATTCAGGAGCAGTTCACATCATTCATTTTCCTTCGAAGGCCTCCCCCAATACTGTCAAAAATCTGTCCTTCCTGCCCAACTCCCTGTATCTTATGCTAATACTCATTGCCTGTATTTTTCAAGTGAATGAATGTATGAATGAATGAAGTATCACTTCTTCTATTATATTTGCCTTAGTCTCCAAACCAGATATTTCTCCTTCCTTTAATAAACTATGAGCTTTTCTGTATTTTTTCTTATTGTATTTGACATATTTCCCTTACATTGCCATTAAAAGTAGACTTGTCTCATTCCTCATACCAGAACATATCTACTTATTTTGTGTAATTTTGTTTCACTTATCTTCATCTCCATAGAGCATCTAGTTTTACATATAGTATATCCTCAGAAACAATTCTTAAAAGCATGTGTAGATGTTTGACTAAAAAATATAAAGAACACAATTCATAAAATGAGGTTGTATCATGACTGCTAAGGACTTCGTGAAATTATAAGAGGCTGCCCCTCTTAGTGCAAATTCAAAGTGAGTTGCACCCTGAAATTGTTGGAAGGCACAAATTTTTATGACAATTAACTTATAACTTATTTAAAACAATATGCACAACAGTAGTTTTGAGCTCAATTACATTGACCATGTGACTCATCTGATCTTTTTTTATGGAAGTCAATAGCTCAGACAACTGAATAGGAAAGATGCAAGTAAAAATGAATGATATAGTATGTGTAGTAGGTAATCAGTAATAGCCTTTGTTTCATTTCTACTTTTGTAATATGTAAAAAATTATCATATTCTAATGAGTAAAGATATTAATTCACAAGGTAAAAATTATTTTATTCATTATGTGAAAGGATAATGGGTAACACTAATTCCTTGTATTAAGACTTTATATTTCTCTTCCTTGCATGTCTAATTACAATGGTGCCTTTTTATGCTTTCTTGAAAGATATACTTTTCTTCTGTAGGCACTGAACAACATTCCATTACCAATACGGACATTTACCAATCCTTAATGATACAATAACATGGAAAATGCTTGAAATGTTCTTTGTCAATTAAGTTAACTTTTATAAACAGCTAATTAATTTCTAGATCATATCATTGAAAGCATTATTAAACATTACAAGCCGATCCAAAGAATGGAAAGAAAGAAATTTTTATATATTGCACATATGACAGAATTAAGAAACTTTTATTATGATACAGCATGCTTTTTAAAAAAGTTTATTTCTGTTGGGCTATGGAGAAACTACTTTGTAATTGAAATATATCATTAAATACTTCGAAATTTTGTCTAATTATGGTATTCTAGTAAACTGAGACTTTTGTAATTAAGGCTTTAAGCAGGAGGCAGTGTCCACCTACACCTCTAGGTTAGATCTGACTGACAAGTGTGCCAATTCATATAAATGCATAGCAAATGCCAGATGAGGAGGAGCAAGAACTCAGAGATATACGCAAATAAAGATGATTTTCCATCAGAGGGGAAACAATAACTACTTTACCAATGTCAAAAGCCATATAACTTTTCTTAATGGTTTTCTGCTTTCTCCAACTGAAATCAGATAGGAACAAAGTACTAAGAAACTGAAAAACCAAACAGATGCCTTTTCTATGAAAGTATTAAATCGTTGTTAGGAGGATTAAATCATTGTTAGGAGGATTAAATCGTTGTTTTAAATTGTTGTTAGGAGGATAAAAGACTTCAGGAGTTTCGACCTCTAGTGGCGCTCTCAAAATTTGAAAACCATGTGAGAGTGGTACATAACCCAGTTTGAGCAGGATACTCAAAGCAAGCTAATCTTTCTAAGGATGAGAAAAACAAAACTATATTAAAAAGTATTTAACAATAATTCAGTGTTAGTAAATACAGAATCAAATGGGTTTTTGTTTTAAGCTTATTAAACCCTTGTTCTAAAATGATATGTAATTTATTTCGAGTATATACACTTAACCAGTTCAAAGAGATAACTACTTTCAGGAGATTTGGAAATAAAACAGATGTGTTGATCCTTTATTAAGCACACCTATGGAAAACCAAGGTGTTATAACCAGAAGCCCAGGTGGAGATAATGTCTCCAATAGCAGCAAAATGCATAGAAGACAAACCTCTAGATTACTGGACTAACAAGCCCAAAACTTTCAAGAATTAGCACACATTACAGGGAATAGCAATTGGCAATGATCAGTTGAGTTAAACTTTTCATATCCAACAAGGAAAAATGTGATGATTCCTGGTCTCACATAAGATAAAGAGTAGAGGGTGGAGCCAAGATGGCTGAATAGGAACAGCTCCAGTCTATAGCTCCCAGAGTGAGCGACACAGAAGACAGGTGATTTCTGCATTTCCAACTGAGGTACTGGGTTCATCTCACTGGGGAGTGTCAGAAAGTGGGTGCAGGACAGTGGGTGCAGCGCACGGAGAGTGAGCCAAAGCAGGGCAAGGCATTGCCTCACCCGGGAAGTGCAAGGGGTCAGGGAATTCCCTTTCCTAGTCAAAGAAAGGGGTGACAGATGGCACCTGGAAAATTGGGTCACTCCCACCCTAATAGTGCGCTTTTCCAATGGTCTTAGCGAACGGCACACCAGGAGATTATATCCCACGCATGGCTCAGAGGGTCCTGTGCCCACAGAGCCTCGCTCATTGCTAGCACAGCACTCTGAGATCAAACTGCAAGGTGGCAGCGAGGCTGGGGGAGGGGTGCCCACCATTGCCAAGGCTTGAGTAGGTAAACAAAGCTGCTCAGGAAGCTCGAACTGGGTGGAGCCCACCGCAGCTCAAGGAGGCCTGGCTGCCTCTGTAGACTCCACCTGTAGGGGCAGGGCATAGCCAAACAAAAGGCAGCAGAATCCTCTGCAGACTTAAATGTCCCTGTCTGACAGCTTTGAAGAGAGTAGTGGTTCTCCCAGCATGCAGCTGGAGATCTGAGAACGGACAGACTGCCTCCTCAAGTGTGTCCCTGACCCCCGTGTAGCCTAACTGGGAGGCACCCTCCAGTAGGGACAGACTGACACCTCACACGGCTGGGTACTCCTCTGAGACAAAACTTCCAGAGGAACGATCAGGCAGCAACATTTGCTGTTCACCAATATCCACTGTTCTGTAGCCTCCGCTGCTGATACCCATACAAACAGGTTCTGGAGTGGACCTCCAGCAAACTCCAACAGACCTGCAGCTGAGGGTCCTGACTGTTAGAATGAAAACTAATGAACAGAAAGGACATCCACACCAAAACCCCATCTGTACATCACCATCATCAACAATGATAGACTGGATTAAGAAAATGTGGCACATATACACCATGGAATACTATGCAGCCATAAAAAATGACGAGTTCATGTCCTTTGTAGGGACATGGATGAAGCTGGAAACCATCATTCTCAGCAAACTATCGCAAGGACAAAAAACCAAACACCGCATGTTCTCACTCACAGGTGGGAATTGAACAGTGAGAACACATGGACACAGGAAGGGAAACATCACACACCAGGGCCTGTTGTCGGGGAGGGATAGCATTAGGAGATATACCTAATGTTAAATGACAAGTTAATGGGTGCAACACACCAACATGGCACATGTATACGTATGTAACAAACCTGCACGTTGTGCACATGTACTCTAAAAAAGTATAATTAAAAAAAAAAAAAGATAAAGATTAGATGTGCCCCTGTCTGTAACAAATTGGAGTTTCTCAGCCCAAGGCCAAGTATTTACAACAGTGGTTCTTAACTCTGGTTGTTTATTATTAATAAAATCATTTTGGAGCATTAAAAAATATGGCCTGGAGCAGTGGCTGATCCCTATAATCCCAGCACTTTCTGAGGCTGAGGGAGGCAAATCACTTGAGGTCAGGAGTTCAAGAGCAGCCTGGCCAACATGGCAAAACTCTATCTCTATTAAAAACACAAAAATTAGCCGGGCCTAGTGACATAGACCTGTAATCACAGCTACTCAGGACGCTGAGGCACAAGAATTGCTTGAACCTAGGAGGTGGAGATTGCAGTGAGCTGAGATTGCACCACTGCACTCCAGCCTGGACAACACAGTGAGACTTGGTCTCAAAAAGGAAAAGAAAGAAAAAAAAGAAAAAGAAAGAAAGAAGGAAGGAAGGGAGGGAGGGAGGGAGGGAAGGAAGGAAAATGCCTGAGCCCCACCCTCACAGATTTGATTTAATTTGCCTTAGGTGGACCCCTGTCACCAATATATTTAAACCTCCCTCACCGCCAAGTGATTCTAATGTGAAGCTGGGGTTGCAAACTGCTGTATCATTGCAAAGACGATTGAAGAGAAAGATGTTCTTGCCCTTCAGCTTTAAAGTAGCCCTAAGATCTCTAAAAATTTGATGAAGAGAGTAGAAAAAACAAAAACTGCAATTTAAAAGCATTACACTGTACACTCATTGCAAATGGTGCAGTCTTGAATTGGAGTAGATCTTCCTTCTGGGGAAACCAACTCAAAGGGCCTCTCATATAAAGGTAAAGCAAAGACTCCCTGGTAAAATAGAGGTGTGTGGAAAGACCAGGACTCCAATATTTTAAAAACTGCTTTGTCACAGACAGTGTTGCATTTGGAGTAAATTTTGGTATGTAGTGGGGAGAGGGATGGGTTAGAGTTGAAGGAGAGAGGGATGAGGAGTAGGTGGTATGGCACTTATGACCCTCTGGCTCCTTGAAATGGATATGAGCCTCCATGGTTAGAGTGATGAAGCCCAAAATCCAAATTTTTCACAGGAGGTTCTGTAGAATTCAGGCCCTGTGGAAAAGTGGTAGGCAGGGAATAGGTGACTCTGTCTGCCTCTCAATGGAACCTAGCTTTGACTCAGGGCTGGCAACCAGGAGAGCATCTGGAAATAGCACCACTGTCATCCCCATAGGAGTTCTGATCATGAGCACTCTCAGCTGAGCCAGTCACAATGCTTCTCTGTGGATTTTATAGATGTGAGACATGGGCCAGTAGAAGCCAGCAGGAGAAAAACAATAATATGCCACTTTTAACTGAGAGATAACCGTTGGGGAACTTCACAAATAATTGGAGTATACTTGGGGTTATGTGATCCTATTATCAAAGCAGTGATTAAAAGTTAATGTAACTTCTTTTTTAGTCACAGAGAAGACCAGGACATAGAGGTTCTACATATAAAGCACAAGGAAAAACATTCAGCAAGAGGCTTATCTCAGGGACCTACAAGGTTCTTACCACTACAACTAACAACAGAAATAACAGAAATGCAGGATATGGTTTGAAAGATGATCTAAGTGATGGCAGGGCTGAACTTTTTTCTCTCATTTATTAAACAAGTATCTCTATCTTCTGTTTGCACTTTATGTGTATCCCTCCCAAAGCCGCCCACTCACTTGAAAATAAACTTTTCAGGTGGAAGGTCAGTGCTATTTGGCCAAAAATATATACAGGTTGAGCATTCCAAATTCAAAACCCCAAAATCTTAAATGCTTAAAAATCTGAAACTTTGCGAGTGTCAGTGTGACACCACAAGTGGAAAATTCCACATCTAATCTCATGCGATGGGTCGCAGTCAAAATGCAGGCGCACAGTTAAGTTATTCAGCATCCCCAAAAGAAAAAAGACCTTTTTATTCTCCTTCTGCTGTATTTTGGCACAGGCCCAGAGTCCCACACACAAGCACACCCACAAGAGGTAATAAAATGGCACATGTGCAGGCAGGATGCACCGATGGCAGGTTCCCCACAATGTCCCACATGAAGCCAATAACTATGTACATTACTCACTATAATTGTACGTTTGCTTGTTTTCTTTTTTGCTTATTCTCTGTGATGTAAGACCTAAGGAAACAGAAGGATACACTGTGGAAGTTCTATGCTGAAAGTGATGAACAAAAGTTAATGAAAAATAGAAAAACACTACCTAATGTTAAAAATAAAGATCTCAGTCAAGTATTGAGAGACCAGATCTGTCAGTGTTGCAGTGAACACATGCCACTTAATGGTATGCTGACGATGAAAAGAGCAAAGATTTATCATGATGGACTGAAAATTGAAGGGAACTTTGAATATTCGACAGGAAGGTTGCAGAAATGTAAGAAGAGACACAATATCAAATGTTTAAAGATTTGTGGTGATAAAGCATCTGCTGATCAAGAAGCAACAAATTCCATTGACAGGTTTGCCAAGGTCATCACTGATGAAAATCGGATGCCAGGGTAAATATAGAACGCTGATGAAACATCACTGTTTTGGTGTTATTGCCCCAGATAGACACTGACTACAGCTGATGAGAAAGCCTGTGCAGGAATTAAGGATGCCAAAGACACGATAACTGTGCTGGGCTGTGCTAACACAGCAGACACGCGTAAGTATAAACTTGCTGTGATAGCCAAAAACCTGTGTCCACACTGATTTCAAGGAGTTAATTTCTTAGCAGTCCATTACTATGCTATCAAAAAGGCATGGATCAACAGGGACATCTTTTCTGATTGGTGTCACAAATATTTTGTACCAGCAGCTTGTGTTCATTGTAGTGAAATGGAACTGGATGATGACTGCAAGATTTTGTTATTTTTTGACAACAGTTCTGCTCAACCTTCAGCTGAAATTCTCATCAAAAACATTTTTTATTCCATGTACTTTGCCCCAAATGTGATTTTATTAATTCAGCCATGTGACCAGGGTATCTTTAGATGAATGAAGAATAAATGTAGCATTTATTCTTTCTTGAGTAGCATGCTAGCAGCAGTAAACGGAGGGTGTGGAATGTTTTCAAAAGACATTTTGCATAAAATATGCTGTATAAGCTGTTGCCAATACTTGCTATACAGTTGACTAAAGACAATTTGTGCATGCCTGGGACAATCTCTGGCTTGCAACTATGTCCAGTGATGATGCTGAACAAGGTGGTGACTTTCAAGGATTCCATATGTCAAGTGAGAAAAAAATGGTGTCTGACCTCCTTGCTTATGCAAAAATATACCTTCCATCAGTAAACTGGAAGAAGTAGATATTGAATAAATTTGTAACATTGATAATGAGGCTCCAGTTGTTTATTTATTGACCAAAGGTGTAATAGCTAAAATGGTTCTGAATTAAGGCAATCATAATACTGATGATGAAAATGACAACACTGTAGAAAACATGCCTATAGATGACATGATAGCAATGAAGCATAAGCCTTGCTTTACTGTTAAGTACTTATGTGTGAATAAGCACAATAAAAGGATTGCTTATCAGTAGCATATAAATTCGGAGTCGAGAATGAGGGTGAAACCAAACAACCACAGATTGTCCACATGGGTTCCTTATATAGTGACACTTGTGCTTTCTGATGTTCAATGTACACAAACTTTGTTTCAAAATTATTTAAAATATTGTATAAAATTACTTTCAGCTTAAGCATATAATGTGTATATGAAACATAAATACATTTCATCTTTATACTTGGGTTTCACCTCCAAGATACCCCCAAAAAATCCAAAATCCAAAACACTTCAAGTGCCAGTCATTTCAGATAAGAGATATTCAACTAGCTTCACTCCCTGCCAGAAATGCCAAATAAGTTATCACGTTTCTTTTTCGTACACACACAAACACACACAAAGTATAGTCATTGCCCCTCCCCCAAAGACCTTATAATCTACTTATAAAGAACTTGTCAAAGTCATCTATATAGTGAACTAAACTTCATGTAAATTATAATAAAACATTCATCTGGGTTATCTCTGACTTGCTTATACAGTGAAGGTTTGGGAATATGAATATGTGTGGCCCAAGAAAGATGAATATAATCCAGAGATAATGGGTCAACTGATATTGATAGGCACATTGTTTATAAGGTTATAACAAAGGTGGGATCAATATCATAACTGCACGTTTTAAAATATAGGTTTTATTATTTTTCAGGTATGATATGGCCTCAGGAAATGGTTGTCACTGAAAAGACAGTTTGTTACTGTATTAGGGTTCTCTAGAGGGACAGAACTAATAGGATAGATGTATATATAAAGGGGAGCTTATTAAGGAGTCTTGACTCACATGATCACAAGGTGAAGTCCCACAATAGGCCATCTGCAAGCTGAGGAGCAAGGAAGACAGTCCAAGTCCCAAAACCTCAAAAGTAGGAAAGCTGATGGTGCAGCGTTCAGTCTGTGGTCGAAGGTTCAAGTGCCCAAAAGCTGAAGAACTTGGAGTCTGATGTTTGAGGGCAGGAAGCCTCCAGCAGGGGAGAAAGATGTAGCCCAGAAGACTAAGCCGGTCTAGTCTTTGCATGTTCCTCCACCTGCTTTTATCCTAGCTGTGCTGGCAGCTAGGATGGTGCCCACTCAGATTGAGGGTGGGTCTGCCTCTCCCAGTCCACTGACTCAAATGTTAACCTCCTTTGGCAACACCTCACAGACACACTTCGGAACAATACTTTGCATCCTTCAATCCAATCAAGTTGACGCTCAATATTAACCATCACATTTACTCACAGATCCCAAGAGAAGAAGGCATGCCACACCATGTGGGGACAACACAGGGAAGCACAGTGTCAGTCAGGAGGCAGAGGAGCAAGAGGAAAATGTGGGCAAGAACCTTTATTGTGGTTTCTGTGGGAAAAAACAGGTGAGCTGGGGTAAACAGATTTAGGATTGGCTAGTTTGAATGATTTCAGAAGGGTCTGGTGCAGATCAGCTGTCTGCTACCTGACCCTTGGGTGATTAGGGCAGGTGGATAGTGGCCTGAAGTGTGAAAGCCCCTATAAGGGAGATGGTAAGGTTTGGACTATGGATTCCTCAACCCATATTGGGCAGTTATGCATATGAAAGGCATGCTAGAAGAAGAGTTTTTTGCTATCTCCAGGAATTAGCTAGCCCTGGGAGGAACAACCACTCCAGGGTCAGCAAGTCTCCAGGGTGTCAAAGCATCAGAAAATAAAAGGCACAGTTGATACACTGCATTACCTATTCCAAATTGGTAGTAATTTCTGAGCTGAACATAGGTTTAGATTTGGATTATGACTCCAGAACCCAGGTGAGGCAATAAGACCTGGAAAACTAACTTGAAGTCTAAACACAGCAGGTTCTCAGTTTCAGGTTTGCTGAGGGACTCAGCACACATCAATGTTATTTTTAAAGGTGAAAATGAACAGGAGCTGGAATAATAGAAAGGTAACATGGAAAGATGATGAAATAACCCTCCCATCATGCTTGGCATCAGTGAGACGATTGTTAAAGTGTTTCTGCCTGGTTTACAGCTCTACTGCCCCCATCCTCAACCCAGAGGGAGATGGAAAATTCTTTCAACTGCTAAAGAGCAACCAAAGACAGGGTGGGAAAATTGATCTACCATCATCTGTATTCATGGGAAAGATAGTTTACAAACCTGTTGTCATTTTATAATACAGTTAAAACTACATTTTTGTTTGAGAACATCTGAAGTGGTCAAGCAAATATTCACACACCTCCATTCTTCCTTTCTTTGCTGAGATCAAACTCCCTTTTCCTCACACCCATTGTGTTCACCTAAAGGTCTGGAAAAGTCAATTTGAGAATGTGTATTTCCTCATTGTGACTACATCAAGTAAAAATCTGTTCACCGATAACTGAAAATTTGCTCACTCTCTCTGAAATATTTCTTGCAGCAGTTCACAATTTAAACTTTAGAACACAAACCTGGGGCAATTTGTTGAATAATAGTCACCTCCTTTTAATATATCTTACCCTCTTGCTTCTTCCCCTGGTCCCAGTGTACTTATAGTCCCCCCTCACATGGTCTGGCTGGGTCAGGGCCTTCCTTGCTTTCGTGACCACTCCATCGATGCATAGAGCTGCTCTTGCCTCCCTGCTGCTAACGTTAAAGTCTTGAAGTTGCCAACCTATATCGAGTCATCTGAGAGAGGACAATGTGTTTTCTGTAAGATAAGCAATATGGTGGATGCACAGGCAGATTCACACTCTGAGTCCACATGCCACATAACACTGACACCAACACTCCCCTGCATTTTTCTGGGAAAGTGATATCTATTTTAACAAATGCATTAATTAAACAGTTAAATAACTTTTGTGTGTCAAATATCATTTTAGGACTTTTAGGGTATAATAAGAGGCACAGAATCTGATCAGCTTTCAATGAATTTGCTATTTAACTTTAGAAACAACCAATTTATACCCGTGAAAATTTAATATGTGAGTTATATATCAGTACAAAACAAGCCCCCAAGGCAGTTTTGAATTAATTGCCAATTAAGAAGAGTAGGTAACATTTGTGGGCACAGTGGCCTGGGAAGATGCCATGAAAGAGGCAGGATATGTGTGAGGCTTTTAAAAATGGGTAGGATTTAAAGAAGAAAAGCCAGACTGGGGGTATGGAGGAAAGACAGAGAACAAGGCATGATAACAATAAGCCCAGGCAAAGAAGAAGATCCTGATCCTGACTGTTTGTCAGGTTTCAGGATGAGAGCAGGAGAAAGAGGATAGAGAGTAACATTATAAAAGTGGCAGTTTGGGAAGATTTATTTCAAGATACTAAAATCTCTAGGTCTCCCTGTTAGATCCAAGTGCCCACTATTCCTTGTAAGATGCTCAGAGCTAATCCACCATGGACCACACCCCCAGCCTTCCCTCCCTTCTTATTTGCCAAAGGAAGAGAATCCCCAGACATCTAAACTGTCATCCCTCAAACAATCTGAACCTCTTTACCCTCTAACTCTGACTCTACCCCTTTTCCCTGCCTTCAGCAGTATCCTCAGGAGTTTCAATGAAGAGAAAACTCCCTCAAATCCTCAGCCTTTTGAACATATGTTGCCTCTCTTCCCTTATCTCCTCTAAGAATGCATCCTCTGCAATCCTCTCCAGTGGAGGCTGTAGTTTCTGCTACACTCCCACCTCCCCTCCTTTTGAATTTCAAGGTTAGGAGGGATAACTGGTGTTATCCTACAATGGTCTTCCATTACTCAAAATTGACCCCTTATTAAAATATATAGATAGACAATGCATATATGCACACATACCTTGCTTCTGAGGCTTATGCAATCAGCCAATTAGCTGTAACCCTCAACATTCATCGTTGCTGTCATCAACAAACCTGCCAGGCCCTACCCTCATTCACCAAAGATATTGTTGTTGGCTCATTCTTCCCCTTTATCCCAATTCTTGCCATTACCCTGGTTGAATTCAATATCTTGTCATTTTCTTGCAAAAATCATTCAGTGTTTCCCACTGCTCTTGGTTCTGAGCATGGTCTACACTTCCCAGCAGGATAGTAACCAATCTCTTAGCAGATTCCATGTATTCATTCATATTGGCCTTCTTTAAGTTCTTGGAAGACCCCAGGTTCATTCCCGGTCAGGATCTTGCAGGTACTGGGCTCCCTTCCAAGAACACTGAGACCCATCCTAGCTCCCAAAGACTCCTACCCCCTTCCTTCCACAACCCTAATGTTGAGGAAGTCCAATTCATCCTTCAGCTCTCTATTCAAATGGCCTATTCACAGGTTGAATGTTTCCATGCTAAACTCAGCCCCAACTTACCTAGACTAAACAGTGATTCCCAGCTGAGGGACAATTTGGCACCCCAAGAAACTTTTGTTTGTCACAACTGATGAGTGCTCTGAAGAGTACTTCTAGCATGTAGAAAGCAAAGGCCAGAGTGCTGCTAGTCATCTGTGAACAATGTTCACAGCACGGTCCCCACAACATAGAACTATCCAGTACAAAATGTCAATAGTGCTAAGGTGAGAAATCCCACATGAGATCAGAGGTGCACCCTGTACATTCTGTTGCAGTGCTCATCACATTTATAGTATTATTCATTTAATGTCTGTCTTTCATGTCTATCTTGATCACCATGAAATCATAACTACATACCATTTGGAACACTCTGGTGACCAATACCCATTTATGCACAAGAGAGAGACAAGAAAAATTGACAAGAAAAGAAGTCAGGTAGGAAAACACCAGTTAGGAAAGCTTCAATAATTCAATAATGAGGAAAGTTTGGACTAGAATGTTGTAAGTGAAAATGGTGAGAGTGCGGGGCATGGTGGCTCATGCCTGTAATCCTAGCACTTTGGGAGGCTAAGGTGGGAGGATTAATTGAGGCCAAGAGTTCAACACAGTCTGGGCAACATAATGAAACACATCCCTACAAAAAAATAAAAGAACTATGGAACAAAGATGGCCGAATAGGAACAGCTCCAGTCTACAGCTCCCAGTGTGAGCGACACAGAAGATGGGTGATTTCTGCATTTCCATCTGAGGTACCGGGTTCATCTCACTAGGGAGTGCCAGACAGTGGGTGCAGGACAGGGGGTGCAGTGCACTGTGAGCGAGCCAAAGCAGGGCAATGCATTGCCTCACTGGGGAAGCACAAGGGGTCAGGCAGTTCCCTTTTCTAGTCAAAGAAAGGGGTGACAGATGGCACCTGGAAAATAGGGTCACTCCCACCCTAATACTGCGCTTTTCCGACGGGCTTAAAAAACGGCACACCAGGAGATTATATCCCACACATGGCTTGGAGGGTCCTAAGCCCACAGAGTCTCGCTGATTGCTAGCACAGCAGTCTGAGATCAAACTGCAAGGTGGCAGCGAGGCTGGGGGAGGGGCGCCCACCATTGCCCAGGCTTGCTTAGGTAAACAAAGCAGCCAGGAAACTTGAACAGGGTGGAGCCCACCATGCTCAAGGAGGCCTGCCCACATCTGTAGGCTCCACCTCTGGGGGCAGGGCACAGACAAACAAAAAGACAGCAGTAACCTCTGCAGACTTAAATGTCCCTGTCTGACAAAATTGAAGAGAGCAGTGGCTCTCCCAGCACATGGCTGGAGATCTGAGAATGGGCAGACTGCCTCCTCAAGTGGGTCCCTGACCCCTGACCCCCCAGCAGCCCAACTGGGAGACACCCCCCAGTAGGGGCAGACTGACACCTCACACGGCCAGGTACTCCTCCAAGACAAAACTTCCAGAGGAATGATCAGACAGCAGCATTCGCAGTTCATGAAAATCCACTGTTCTACAGCCACCGCTGCTGGTACCAAGGCAAACAGGGTCTGGAGTGGACCTCTAGCAAACTCCAAAAGACATGCAGCTGAGGGTCCTGTCTGTTAGAAGGAAAACTAACAACAGAAAGGACATCCACACCAAAAACTCATCTGTACATCACCATCATCAAAGACAAAAAGTAGATAAAACCACAAAGATGGGAAAAAAACAGAGCAGAAAAACTGGAAACTCTAAAAACCACAGCGCCTCTCCTCCTCCAAAGGAACGCAGTTCCTCACCAGCAACGGAACAAAGCTGGACAGAGAATGACTTTGACGAGTTGAGAGAAGAAAGCTTCAGACGATCAAACTACCCCAAGCTACTGGAGGAGATTCAAATTAAAGGAAAAGAAGTTAAAAACTTCGAAAAAAATTTAGACGAATTTATAACTAGGATAACCAATACAGAGAAGTGCTTAAAGGAACTGATGGAGCTGAAAGCCAAGGCTCGAGAACTACGTGAAGAATGCAGAAGCCTCAGGAGCCGATGTGATCAACTGGAAGAAAGGGTATCAGTGATGCAAGATGAACTGAATGAAATGAAGTGAGAAGGGAGGTTTAGAGAAAAAAAAAATAAAAAGAAATGACAAAGCCTCCAAGAAATATGGGACTATGTGAAAACACCAAATCTATGTCTGATTGGTGTACCTGAAAGTGACGGGAAGAATGGATCCAAGTTGGAAAACACGCTGCAGGATATTATCCAGGAGAACTTCCCCAATCTAGCAAGGCAGACCAACATTCAGATTCAGGAAATACAGAGAACGCCACAAAGATACTCCTCAAGAAGAGCAACTCCAAGACACATAATTGTCAGATTCACCAAAGTTGAAATGAAGGAAAAAATGTTAAGGGCAGCCAGAGAGAAAGGTCGGGTTACCCACAAAGGGAAGCCCATCAGACTAACAGCAGATCTCTTGGCAGAAACTCTACAAGCCAGACGAGAGTGGGGGCCAATATTCAACATTCTTGAAGAAAAGAATTTTCAACCCAGAATTTCATATCCAGCCAAACTAAGCTTCATAAGTGAAGGAGAAATAAAATCCTTTACAGACAAGCAAATGCTGAGAGATTTTGTCACCACCAGGCCTGCCCTAAAAGAGCTCCTGAAGGAAGCACTAAACATGGAAAGGAACAACCGGTACCAGCCACTGCAAAAACATGCCAAATTGTAAAGACCATTGATGCTAGGAAGAAACTGCATCAACTAATGAGCAAAATAACCAGCTAACATCATAATGACAGGATCGAATTCACACATAACAGTATTAACTTTAAATGTAAATGGACTAAATGCTCCAATTAAAAGACACAGACTGGCAAATTGGATAAAGAGTCAAGACCCATCAGTGTGCTGTATTCAGGAAACCCATCTCAGATGCAGAGGCACACATAGGCTCAAAATAAAAGGATGGAGGAAGATCTACCAAGCAAATGGAAAACAAAAAAAGGCAGGGGTTGCAATCCTAGTCTCTGATAAAACAGACTTTAAACCAACAAAGATCAAAAGAGACAAAGAAGGCCATTACATAATGGTAAAGGGATCAATTCAACAAGAAGAGCTAACTATCCTAAATATATATGCACCCAATGCAGGAGCACCCAGATTCATAAAGAAAGTCCTGAGTGACCTACAAAGAGACTTAGACTCCCACACATTAATATTGGGAGACTTTAACACCCCACTGTCAACATTAGACAGATCAATGAAAGAGAAAGTTAACAAGGATACCCAGGAATTGAACTCAGCTCTGCTCCATGCAGACCTAACAGACATCTACAGAACTCTCCACCTCAAATCAACAGAACATACATTTTTTTCAGCACCACACCACACCTATTCCAAAATTGACCACATACATGGAAGTAAAGCTCTCCTCAGCAAATGTAAAAGAACAGAAATTATAACAAACTGTCTCTCAGACCACAGTGCAATCAAACTAGAACTCAGGATTAAGAAACTCACTCAAAACCACTCAACTACATGGAAGCTGAACAACCTGCTCCTGAATGACTACTGGGTACATAACAAAATGAAGGCAGAAATAAAGACGTTCTTTGAAACCAACGAGAACAAAGACACAACATGCCAGAATCTCTGGGACACATTCAAAGCAGTGTGTAGAGGGAAATTTATAGCACTAAATGCCCACAAGAGAAAGCAGGAAAGATCCAAAATTGACACCCTAACATCACAATTAAAAGAACTAGAAAGGCAAGAGCAAACACATTCAAAAGCTAGCAGAAGGCAAGAAATAACTAAGATCAGAGCAGAACTGAAGGAAATAGAGACACAAAAAACCCTTCAAAAAATCGGTGAATCCAGGAGCTGGTTTTATGAAAGGATCAACAAAATTGATAGACTGCTAGCAAGACTAATAAAGAAGAAAAGAGAGAAGAATCAAATAGATACAATAAAAAATGATAAAGGGGATATCACCACTGATTCCACAGAAGTACGAACTACCATCAGAGAATACTACAAACACCTCTACCCAAATAAACTAGAAAATCTAGAAGAAATGGATAAATTCCTCGACACATACACCCTCCCAAGACTAAACCAGGAAGAAGTTGAATCTCTGAATAAACCAATAACAGGATCTGAAATTGTGGCAATAATCAATAGCTTACCAACCAAAAAAAGTCCAGGACCAGAGGGATTCACAGTCGAATTCTACCAGAGGTAGAAGGAGGAATTGGTACCATTCCTTCTGAAACTATTCCAATCAATAGAAAAAGAGGGAATCCTCCCTAACTCTTTTTATGAGGCCAGCATCATCCTGATACCAAAGCCTGGCAGAGACACAACCAAAAAAGAGAATTTTAGACCAATATCCCTGATGAACATCGATGTAAAAATCCTCAGTAAAATACTGGCAAACCGAATCCAGCAGCACATCAAAAAGCTTATCCACCATGATCAAGTGGGCTTCATCCCTGGGATGCAAGGCTGGTTCAATACATGCAAATCAATAAATGTAATCCAGCATGTAAACAGAACCAAAGACAAAAACCACATGATTATCTCAATAGATGCAGAAAAGGCCTTTGACAAAATTCAACAACCCTTCATGCTAAAAACTCTCAATAAATTAGGTATTGATGGGATGTAACTCAAAATAATAAGAGCTATCTATGACAAACCCACAGCCAATAGCATACTGAATGGGCAAAAACTGGAAGCATTCCCTTTGAAAACAGGCACAAGACAGGGATGCCCTCTCTCACCACTCCTATTCAACATAGTGTTGGAAGTTCTGGTCAGGGCAATTAGGCAGGAGAAGGAAATAAAGGGTATTCAACTAGGAAAAGAGGAAGTCAAATTGTCCCTGTTTGCAGACGACATGATTGTATATCTAGAAAACCCCATTGTGGCAGCCCAAAATCTCCTTAAGCTGATAAGCAACTTCAGCAAAGTCTCAGGATACAAAATCAATGTACAAAAATCACAAGCATTCTTATACACCAATAACAGACAAACAGAGAGCCAAATCATGAGTGAACTCCCATTCACAATTGCTTCAAAGAGAATAAAATACCTTGGAATCCAACTTACAAGGGATGTGAAGGACCTCTTCAAGGAGAACTACAAACCACTGCTCAAGGAAATAAAAGAGGATACAAACAAATGGAAGAACATTCCATGCTCATGGGTAGGAAGAATCAATATTGTGAAAATGGCCATACTGCCCAAGGTAATTTACAGATTCAATACCATCCCCACCAAGCTACCAATGACTTTCTTCCCAGAGTTGGAAAAAACTACTTTAAAGTTCATATGGAACCAAAAAAGAGCCCGCATCACCAAGTCAATCCTAAGCCAAAAGAACAAAGCTGAAGGCATCATGCTACCTGACTTCAAACTATACTACAAGGCTACAGTAACCAAAATAGCATGGTACTGGGACCAAAACAGAGATATAGCTCAATGGAATGGAACAGAGCCCTCAGAAATAATGCCACATATCTACAACTATCTGATCTTTGACAAACCTGAGAAAAACAAGCAATGGGGAAAGGATTCCCTATTTAATAAATGGTGCTGGGAAAACTGGCTAGCCATATGTAGAAAGCTGAAACTGGATCCCTTCCTTACACTTTATACAAAAATTAATTCAAGATGAATTAAAGACTTAAATGTTAGACTAAAACCATAAAAACCCTAGAAGAAAACCTAGGCATTACCATTCAGGACATACACATGGGCAAGGACTTCATGTCTAAAACACCAAAAGCAATGGCAACAAAAGCCAAAATTGACAAATGGGATCTAATTAAACTAATGAGCTTCTGCACAGCAAAAGAAACTACCATCAGAGTGAACAGGCAACCTACAAAATGGGAGAAAATTTTCACAACCTACTCATCTGACAAAGGGCTAATATCCAGAATCTACAATGAACTCAAACAAATTTACAAGAAAAAAACAAACAACCCCACCAAAAAGTGGGGGAAGGACATGAACAGACACTTCTCAAAAGAAGACATTTATGCAGCCGAAAAACATATGAAAAAATGCTCACCATCACTGGCCATCAGAGAAATGCAAATCAAAAGCACAATGAGATACCATCTCACACCAGTTAGAATGGCAATCATTAAAAAGTCAGGAAACAACAGGTGCTGGAGAGGATGTGGAGAAATAGGAACACTTTTACACTGTTGGTGAGACTGTAAACCAGTTCAACCCTTGTGGAAGTCAGTGTGGCGATTCCTCAGGGATCTAGAACTAGAAATACCACTTGACCCAGCCATCCCATTACTGGGTATATACCCAAAGGACTATAAATCATGCTGCTATAAAGACACATGCACATGTATGTTTATTGTGGCACTATTCACAATAGCAAAGACTTGGAACCAACCCAAATGTCCAACAATGATAGACTGGATCAAGAAAATGTGGCACATATACACCATGGAATACTATGCAGCCATAAAAAAGGATGAGTTCATGTCCTTTGTAGGGACATGGATGAAACTGGAAATCATCATTCTCAGTAAACTATCACAAGAACAAAAAACCAAACACCGCATATTCTCACTCATAGGTGGGAATTGAACAATGAGAACACATGGACACAGGAAGGGGAACATCACACTCTGGGGACTGTTGCGGGGTGGGGGAGGGGGAGGGATAGCATTAGGGGATATACCTAATGCTAAATGACTTGTTAATGGGTGCAGCACACCAGCATGGCACATGTATACATATGTAACTAACCTGCACATTGTGCACATGTACCCTAAAATTTAAAGTATAAAAAAAAAAAAAGAACTAGTCAGGAATGGTGCTACACGCCTGTGGTTGCAGCTGATCAGGAGGCTGAGGAGGGAGGATTACTTGATCCAAGAAGGTCAAGGCTGCAGTCAGCCATAATTATGCCAAACATTGTAGCCTGGGCAACAGAAGAAAGCCCTGTCTCAAAAAAAAAAACAAAAAAAAAACAACAACAACAAAAAAAAAAAACAGAGAAAGAAAAGAGGAGATCAAAGGATGAAAGAAAGAAAGGGAGAAAGAGCGGAAGGAAGGAAGGAAGGAAGGAGAGGGAGGGAGGGAGGAAAGAAGGAAGGAAGGAAGGAATGGGGCAGAAGAAAGAAAGAGAGAAAGTGAGAGAAAAAGAAAATGGTGAGGATAAAAGCCAGGAAAGAGACATCTTAAGAAAGAATCGAAAGAACACATGAATAATTAGGTATGAGTAATGAAAAAGAAGTATCAGAAAAGAAAGTTGAGGCTTGAGCAGTCTCAAATGGAACAAATAGAGCAGTTTTATTTTTTATTGTATTATTTATTGTTCTTTTGTATCAGAAATTATTTGAGACAACTTAAAATCAAAGACATATAAAGTAACATTAAATGAAAAACAGCAGCTTAAGTGTCAAATAATGGGAGCAATCAATACTGATCATTCTTAGCAGCAACCTGAAAGAAAGGTAAGTGCTGCAAATTAATATGAAATAAAAATCTGAGCTTTCTGAGAGCCAAGACACAAAGCAAATCATAAACATGATTGGTCTCCACCTTCAATGAACTTTGGCCACACTTCATGCTATTTTCTTCAGTTATTTTGTTATTAATATTCTTAATTTTTGTGTTTCTTTGATTAGGGAAGATAAATTTTCCAGGAACTGAAATCTAAGAAGAAAGTATCCAAATGATTTTCTTAAGAAACATTATGCTACAGTGCAAAATGTTTTCAGTAGTAATTTTACTGAAGTGCATAAATGTCTCTCATGTGAGCTTCTTTTATTTAGGCTCAGGATTAATTAGTGTTATGAAGGTGTCTATACATCAGTGATTCTCAGCTACATGAGGGGCTGCTGGTGTGTGGTGAGGACAGGGGGTTTTTCAAACCGTGTTCATGCCCTTCTGCACTAGCCCTCCAGCTCTCCTGACATTAGACTCACTCATGGAGCCAGTGAGACAGTTGTCTCTCATCGGTTAAGTGCTTTTCACTAGATATCCTGTTGGAGAATTAAGGGGAAGGGTTGGAATGGGGATGAGGGGAGTGAGTGGGGATCTGTGAATGGGATTTGCAGTACAAAGAATTCTCTTTCCACCTGCTTGTACAGTTCTAAACAAATATTTCCTTAATAAACTCAGATGTGATTTTTCTAATTTGCCTCTGGATTTTACATGGGATTGACTGTAGTGTAATAGGTGATGTGACTGATCAGTAGTCATCCCTTTTCCCTACTTCACCAAGAGTTTATGAAAATCCTTGATCTGAAGAAAGAATTAAAACTATTAGATAGAATCATTACTAAAGTGAGTTCCAGATCAAGCTATGATGTAACAGAAAATAAGTATCTTAGATATTTCTAAACCCATGGCAATGAATGGCACACTCAGATCAATATGTTCAAAGAAGAATCATCAACAATTTCCTGAGCTAATTTTTATTATTAATCAGGCCATCTGAACATTCTAGTAATCACCTGGAAACAACCTAAAATCATTTCTAACTATAGGTTAATGTGGATTTGGGACAAAAATTTTTCCCTTAAAACATCTCTAAGATTAGTGTATTCCAGTTCTATAATGTGAATATTGGCTGGCACATTGCTGACAGTTAGAAAGAATGCAACGGCTAAATACCATGTGCAATTTCTCAAATCACAAATTTGAAGGATGGTTTGCGTCATGTCCCAACAGGACATTTTTGGGAAAATAAAGTGTTGTTTCTTCATAACTATTGCAGCTAATAAAATTCTAAGCCAGCTAGATAATTTTCTTTCATTGGTTAAATGCATTGTCACTAGGTATTTTGTCGGAAAATCTTGTTAAGAAGAAGGGCTGGGAAAATGCGTGCGCTAGGAGCATGTGTGGGGGTGTGGTACAGAGAACTCTCTTTCCACCAGCTCATACAGTTCTAAAGCACATATTTTCTTATTAAACTCAGATGTTATTTTTCTAATTTGCCTCTGGATTTTTAATGACATTTACTCCAAACGCAACATTTAATAGCTCTGTGAAAATAATAACAAAATTGAACAGAAGGGAAGTGTTTAGTACGAAAAAGTTGGATTTAAATTCATTTTCCAAGTTCTCTTCTTCCCTTTCCCCTTTCGTGTTTTGCCACTGACAATAATTCCAGTGTCAACAATGAGAACCTTAGGGATAAGTCAAAATATAAATGATCTACATTTATTTGGTTAACTGCTGGAGGAAAGACAACATCCCGTTTGAAGTTCATTATTAATTGAGATTAGATCTAAACCTTCCCAGTTAAAATGGATTTATGTGGACTATTCTGGCTTCCAAAATCAGCTTGGCAAATTTATGACACTATTGTCTGAAAGTAGAGATATAATTTATTGAAACACTTTATTTTAACCCTAGGTTGGATTCACATAGTGTTGTGTGCTAATTGCTCATTGGTAGTCAATAAAAACATTGAAGCTCAAGAATTAGGCATTGTGGTTTATGGCCTGCCTTGCTATTACTCAAAGTTCCTGTGTTCAGGACAGACATAGGCACCCTCTGTGGCGCCAGTGTTTTACTACCTTCTGATAACTATCCTCTCACTGCTGGGGGTCACCTGCCAGCGTCCCCCTCCCAAGCCACCCTGCTTTAAGTAGTATTGCATATTCCAAGTGACATCGTCCTTCTTTCTTACCCTCTAGGAAATCTCCTGAGTTGGGTGCACTGACCAACACATCTCCATGGTACTAGTTATTTCACTATGCTATCGTTGAATTGATATACATGTGCCTCTTTAAATGATGAGATATTTGAGGAGTCACATTCATCCTGGTATCCCCAGCTTTAGATAATACTTGGCACATCGTAAAGGTTCATTATTTGTGGAAGAAACAAAGATGAGAAGGAAAGAAAGAAGGAAGAAAAGAAAGAAGGAAGGAAGAGAGGATGGAAGAAAAATAACAGGAAGGAAGAAATGAAGGAAGCAGAAACTCTAAGAGAAATACAATCCTACGTAAATATTTATTAAAATAAAAACAACTGTAGCCACCTTAAAAGAACAAAACCTCAAGAAAGGTTTTATTTTCAAAAGACACTTAGTAAAACAAAATATAAATTTTTAAAGGTGGAATTTCAAGTTCTCTATTACATTGGTAAAACAAATGCTTGAAGTCAGGAAGCTTTCCTAATGCCTCTTAAATCACTCCATATTTACAGCTAAAGTAAATGGGCCTCAGTAAATGGGACCCTGCCTGTGTTCCCCATTTATACCTGTTTGCAATGGAATTTTCAAAGGTTTGGAGAAGGGGACATTAAGGGTGTTCACCGTCATATAGAGGATGAACCAGCAAAGTCCCAAATAAAGGTTCACAAGCAGATGAGCAAGTGAGTATTGGAAAGCCAATACTTCAAATTAGTGGAACTACTCTTTAGTAGTCCTGGAAGTGACCACTCTAAGTTCTCTGACATTATCTTGCTCAGCTACCCTTGTTTACATACTTTCATTACCACCCAGTCTCAGAGAAAGAGGCCTCTGTCCTCTGTCCTAAAGATAAGATTTCCTCTTGTTCTTTTAATCTCAAGTGTTCTCATCTCCACAAATGTTTTTTTCCCTGCAATTAACATTAAATTAAAGAAAAATTCTTTAGCAGTTTCAGCCTCCGTCTCTAAACCAGCCTCTCTCCTTCTTGCCTTCAAACATTCTCAGATCTCCCCCATCTGAAAATAAAGTATACAAGCAGTTGAACACAGCTATTCCTCCTATCAATCCAGCCATCTCTCTAGTACACTTCGTTTTTACAAACCATTGGGTAACATGTTACTGACCCTCTCAAATTTATTATAACAACATAAAGTTACCTATAATGTCATTCCAAACAAGTCTGAATACCTCATTTGGGTAACATTTTACAGGTTTGACCGTTTTCTTTTACCAAACACTATTGCCTTGGCTTTGCTTGCATTATATTTTGTTTCTCCTTCCTCACTAATCAATTAATCTATGTTTCAGTCCTCTTGTTCCTCTACTGCCTTAACTAAAATGATGATTTTCAGGCCTCCATTTTTTTTCCTGTATGATTTCCAACATTTTCTAATCTCAACCTCTTGCTCCAACCTTCAATTACTATACATTTTGAGTTGTAGACTCCTTTGTTTCAGACATTTGGAGAGCTGAAAGTGATGGGAGTGGGGGAAGGCTTAGGGGAAGAGTATAAATTGATGTACTATGAATGAAAGAGTCATCTACGTCTTTATAATTTACATGGAATTGACATTGATAATCATGTCTCTTGTTCTATATTAAGTGTTACATGATATGTAATGTTACAAATATTTCAACGAAAACTACTTAAATTATTTCTTTACCCAACCTGGAAATATTAGATGCCCCTGCAAAGTTCCTCCTTTTGAGTACTCAAATCTTTATTGATTCCCCAACAAAGTCCAGAAATTCTATTGATATTTTCTTTCAATAAGCATCAGAATTTTTTCATTTTTACTCCCCATACTTTGATTGGGCTTTTATTATCTATTGCTTTAATTATGTCCATTGTTTCCTCTTTTGTGTCACTTTTTCCTGTTTCTTCATCTCCTATCTATCCTAAGACACAATGACTGCTTTCTCTTTCTTAGATACCTATCATGTTTTGCTCCATATTACGAACTGAAAATGACCTATCCCCAATTCCGAGCTAAAGTTATTCCAAAGTAATTTTATTTATAATTTTGAGGAATGAAATTTGTAGATAAGGAAGAATGTCTTGAAACATTTGACAAAATCTTTCAAAAAAAAAACTTATAAATGAAGAAACATAAGCTAGGTGTTGGCAGAGTTAGGGGGATTTGTGCCTGACTGAATAAATAAAATGCTTCTGGGCTTGTGTCTGGCCTTGTCCTGTTCCTTATGTTTATCAGTGATTCATGTAAGGACAAAAGCATGCTTATAAATCCTTAGGAGACCAATATTTTGGAGATCTATAACAGCACGACAGAAATTCAAAACATTCTCTCTGGGCTTGAAAATATGACATGAAGTTATGTGATGATGAAGTAAACTGTACTTAGAATAAAAGAATCAATTATACAAGTTCATGAAAGGAATCTGGTTTAACAGCAATTCTTATGAGAATATAAAGACTTTAGTTGACAAAGAGCTTAATATTAATATTAATAATATGACTTACAGAATGGAATATAAGACTATCCTAAGAGAATATAGATTTAGATTAAAAACTAATTCAGTGGTCCCTAAACTAAAAGATGAGGACTAGCCTGTTACTGTAATGAAAGAGTGCTGATGTTGGTTCTGCAGCTACCAACAAAGGAGAAATGCCACAGGCTCTCAGTGTCATCTTTTTATTATCCCCATCCCCATTTCCGGCTCTCACTAGAGGTTCAATACATGTTGCTCACATAAACAAATAAACAGACAGATGGTGATGCAGTGGCAGACATCAGCCTAATGGGAACATCATTTACATATCTGAAGAAGTTGAAAATATTTATTTATTTATTTTGAGACAGAGTCTTGTGCTGTCACCCAATCTGGAGTGCAGTGGCACAGTCATACTTCACTGCAGCCACAAACTCCTGGGCTCAAGTAATCCTTCTGCCTTAGCCTCCCAAGCAGCTGGGACTACAGGTACCCACCACCACATCTAGCTATTTAAAAAAAAAAAAAAAATTTCTAGAGACGTGGGTCTTGCTACATTGGCCAGGCTGGTCTCAAACTCCTGGCCTCAAGCAACCTTCCTGCCTCCGCCTTCCAAAGCAGTGGAATTACAGGTGTGAGCCACTGCTCCTGGATGAAAATATTTAAATATTTCATGTATGTGTATATGCAATAAATGTATGCATGTAATGAAGAAGGTATTGACTTTCAAAAATTTCAAAATTAGGCAACTACAGATGACATGTTTACAGAAAAATTTCTAAGACAGTTGGGGAAACATGGAAATAATTATAAGCAAGGTATGAGTCTATCTATTTTGGCTAAAGTTACACATTTTATTCTGAAAGAGAGATTTCAATGAAACTGAAGCTGATAAGGGCTCTTTTTCCAAGTACCTAAAAAATCTGGCCTTTGTAAAGCCAAACATAATTAAATAATATAGCATCGTAGACCAGCTGCATAAGAATAATTATGTGGCATTAGATTCTACATCTCACCACTAAAGATGAACTTCCTGACTTCCCTCTAAATGCAAAAGATTAGAATCTTTCATTAAAATGAGGACTGAGTTGTACAGAACTGTACTTTCTGAATATCATTTATCATTGGCGATGATGTAAGGCATTGGAGCAAATCAAATGAATAAGTATTTATTGAGTGCTTAGTTCTCTACCTTCAAATAAAAAATTTTTCAAAGTACTATGAAAAAGTGAAATAATGTGCTATATCAGAGAAATGCTTTTAAGCTAGTTAATCTCCAGCCAAGCGTACTCCAAAGTGTATTGCCAAAAGGTGGCACTAACAAAGGAAAAAAAAACCTGGGTTTGGCAGAAATTTTGTGAGCACTACAAAGCAGAGATTTCTTAAGGGATACCTCATGAGTAATAATAGGTATACCTCTTGGCCTCCAACCAAGCAGAGATAAATGAGCTTTTCAAACTAATGTGCTAACCCTAGTCATTCGATAGTGACTGCTAAAAGTAATGTGATGGGGTGGATTCTGAAGCCAACTCTAAGCTTATCAGTAAAAAAGTACCATGATCAATGATCATGTCTGGAATGGATGGTAAATCAACAGCATATTTGCTCTGGTAGTTCTAAACCTGTAACATGCTGTTAAGTAATAAAATAAACAAACTTCCAAGTATCCAAAAACATCTTTCCTGAGTTTTCCCAACCAGGATAAACCTAGTTTTACAAATGAAAAATAAAAATCCTGAGGAATGATTCGGCCTCCATCTATTTTTAATACTTTCACTTGAAATCTTCTCTCCCTTCCCACCTCCACCACCCATTCCTGCTGGCAGACATCTCCAACTTCCAGTAACCCATCTAAAGACCTTTAAAACTGTAGTTCATGCTCCTCGTGTTTCCCACCAGCCTTCACTCAAATGGGTCTACCTCCCATGCTCTATTACCCCTGTGAAAATGTGCTCTAAGATGACAGCCAGGTAATCTGATCACCTTAAGCCTTATTTGAATTTAAAGAGAACTTCCATTTTGTGACACTTCCAGTACCCTTTCTTTCTAAGTAACATTTTTATCTTTTCAGAGACTATGATTTCCCCCACCTGCTCCTCCCAATCTTAGTATTTAACCCAAAGGAGTCAGTCTAATAGTAAGATTTTAGGAATATTTCAGGGCAATTAAAGTGTTAGGATAACTCTATTTTCCTTCCTACATCTTCATAACTGTACTTCCCCTGCCTCCATAAGCTTTCCAAATAGAATGTTCATACGTTAATTGAAATGCAGTAGGTGTACCACAGTATTGCTTCTCTTGCCCAGATCTATACATGCTGCTCTTAGAATGAATACAGACAAATGATAAGGATTATGTCAATGAAGAGAGCTAACCAAGCAGAGTTCCACCTGAGAAGTTACTATCTGTTCCTTCTGTTTAAAGGCCAAGTTACTATTTTAATGTAGCCAGAGGACCCATAATATTAACTCAAAAAATGCTTCTGATACATACATTTGCTTTGTGAACTGATGTATAAAACATGAACTCAAGATGAGATATCTTCAGTTTTCTTTGCCACAAAGAGAAATGACACCAACATGCCTGTGGTTTCATCCTTCTCAAGAGACACATCTTCTTAATATGTCTACTGAGTTACCATCATGGTCATTGGAGTGCCTTTCAAGGAGAGACATCACTCTGGCTACCATGGACACAGGTATGGTAGGACTCTAAATCATTTCCCTGACATTACTTCTCTGAAAACCAATTCATTGAAAAACAATTTGCTATGTTTTCCAGTTTTACTCATTTGACAAAAAAAAAAATTTAATGCTATCATTTTTAAATATTGAAATATTTGAGTATAAATTTCTTATGAATATGTATTAACATATTCTAACTGGTAATTCATTTAAATATGTTCGGGAAGAATATTTATTAAAACAACTTTTTATGAATTGAGTAAATGTGTTGTTCGATGAATTAGTCGTTCAATATTTGATATTTTGGGAAATGGGTTTTTGGTAAAATTGGCTTTTGTCAAATTGATTTTGGGTGGGTCAACTTGCTTCTCTATAGTAGAGACCATTCCGTCAAATATAATAGAGTAGTGTAAAACCAAGATTTATTTAAGATAGAGCAGTAGTCTCAACCATAAAAAATCATGTCCCATAGTGGACATTTGTCAATGTCTGGAGACATTTTTTGTTGCCACAACTGGAACAGTGGGAAGTTCTATAGCTATCTAGTGGGTAAAGGCCAGGGTTGCTGCTAGACATCTTCTAATGTACAGGGCACGCCCTCCCCACCATCAAAGGATTATCTAACATTAAACGTCAATACTGCCTAGATTAAAAGGCCCTGAGATAAAAAAGACATCTTCCTCAAAATTCTGTCTACATCTCTCCTACATCTCTCTACATCACCTTGGTGTGTGTGTCCCCGTTGCTCAATCTTAAAATTATTTCATTTTAGTTAACTGGTTTTGAGCCTGATTCTCTGGGATATATTTTGAGTACCCTCTGACTATCTATGGCTGTTTGGACACATACACGTATTTTTATTGGATTTGAGAGGGAATTGGGTGTCTCTTTTTACACTCCCTACCACCACTAATGTGTCATTTATGTAAAAATCTCCAAAATAGGGAGAGTACCTGAGAAGGAAGTAAAAGTGGCTCATTTTCTCTTCTCTCCTCTTTTCTTTTTTCCCTTTCCTTTCTCTACAAAGTCCACAATTCCTTTCATTAAAAGTAATATCAGACTCTAAAGGGCCTTACAGATTGTTCTAGCAAAAACATAGAACCAAAGACATAAGAGGGAAAAACCAAATGGAACATGTAATTACTGTGGACACAATGTTGAACTATTTAAACAAGCCCTGCAGTGCAAGAAAGAAAGAGCAATTACTTAGAAAAGAAGAATGTCCCAATTCCCAAAGGCAAGAGTGTGTCATAACCCCTAATCTTCAGAGAGTCTTCAGCAGAGTCTTCAACAGAGCCTGTCCAGTAAGGTCTGGCTGCTGGAGGTAGAAGAAGCTGCCTAGTCCATGTCCTCCAGAGACCAGCTTGTCAATTCCTTCCTGTTTCTTACCAGGACCACACCTGTTGAAAGTGGCCAAAGGAAATAAAATTTGCAGGTGCCTTGGGAGCAGTTTTCTTCACTGCCCATGTGTCAAAGCAAAAATCTGGAAGTGGAAACAGAAAGACGATTTTGTGGTATTGGTGGAGGGAACAAACAGCTTGACTGACTAGGAAAAAGTCAACTCCAATGCCTTCCTTTATAGGATCCAGCTTCTCCAGAACATCAGCTATGATTTCTTAAGCTTGGATTTTAAGAAGAAAAGAGAAATGGCCAGACAAGGGTAAGATAAGTCAGTTGAGCAAGAGAGGAGACAGTGATGTTATCCTGACCTGTCTGCAGCCTGTCTTAATAGAGGAACAGAGAATGAAGCAAATGTCAGGGTTGGAAAAGACTTCAAAAGTTTTCTAAATCTAAGCTTCTCATTTTGGAGCTGAGGAAATAGATATCCAGAGGCTAAGACATTCATGTATTGTCACATGCTAATAAAAGTCATAACCAAGTCTCTCCTCTCCACTTCTGGACTGATGTCCTTTTGACCCCAATGCCAATTTGGGGTAACAAGCCTAAAACCCATGTGCTCTTGACTAAGTCACCTCCCCTATCTCTACCATGGTTGTTTTGTAGGATTGACAATATTTGAGACCTAATACATGAGAGTGCACAGATGAAACATAAAGTAAGAGATATTGGCAATTGGTATACACAATTTGCTGAACAACACTCCATAAAAGCAAATCTAACTTATTAACCTTATGAAAACTTCTGATAATTTAATATATAAATATTTCAGACTTTTTATAAGCTAGTCTTCAAATTGGTGTATGAGTAGCCTTCAGCACATGATGTTGATACTTAAAATTAATTAAAAGAGATTAAGTTTGTAAAATAAAAACTGGTGATGTGAACTCTACAAAACTGATGTGTCCATATGGAATCTGTTGTTTAGTTGGGAAACTGATAGTGGTTGCAACATCTAGAATATCGTGAGGATATAACTAAAATTGGGCTAAGCATGTACGATCAGAATTGAGTCAAAGCCTCCAATGCATATTCATATAATATTTGTTTAATTAAGACACATGAGATTATCCCCAGACTAATATCACATGTTCTCTTGGGCATAATAAAGAGTAAACTGCTCTCTTTTTTTTCCAATTTCATTTGGCTCTGTGAACAATAAAATAAAATTAAGATTTTGGATCCCCAAATTTTCAGCTGTCCTATAATACATTTTAATGCCATTTCCATCCCCTTTAAGTCAGCCAAAAATGAGTAGGCTAACTTATAACTAAATGTGTTTGCCAAATTTTTTCAAAATCAAAACTCCTATAAAAACCTCACAGAAAGGAGTGGCAAAAAAGGTCACAAATATCCTTAAATACTTTTGAAAATACCAAGTGGGTTATTTCCTTTTTGTTCTGAAAAAGTGGCCAATTTACCTATATGTCATAATTAACGTGTGATATTTTAATTTTTTATTTTTATTAATATATAATAGATGTGTATATTTGGGAAGTATGTGTGATAATTTAATATATTTACATATATTTGATAATTTGATACATTTATATAACTTGTAAAGATAAAATCAGCATAATTGGGAGATTCATCACCTTAAATGTTTGTGTTTTCTTTATGATAGAAACATTTGAATTATTCTCTTCTATCTATTTTGAAATATACATTAGATTATTGTAAACTACTGTCACTCTACTGATATATCAAATCTAGGTCTTATTTCTTGTATTAAACTTTATATTTGTACCCATTAATCAGTCTCTCTTCATTTTCCCTTCCCCCTACCTTTTCTAGCTTCTGATAGTTACCAATGTACAGATACCTCTTGGGTACATTGATTTCCTTTCTTTGGGATTTATACCCAGTAGTGAAATTGCTGGATCATATGGGAATTCCATTTGTCATTTTTTTGAGGAACCTCCATACTATTCTCCATAGTGGTTGTACTAGTTTACATTTCCACTAACAGTGAACAATGTTTCCTCTTTCTCCACATCCTCGCCAGCATCTGTTATTTTCTGTCTTTTTTATAAAAGTGATTTTAACTGGGATGACATGATATCCCATTGTGGTATTGATTTGCATTTCTCTGATGATTAATAGTGTTGAGAATTTTTTCATGTACTTATTGGCCATTTGTGTATCTTTTTTCTTTTTATTTGTCAAAATTTATGGGTTACATGTGCAATTTACTTACATGCGTAGAGTAGTGGTCAAGTCAGTGCTTATAGGGTATCCATCACCTGATAATGTACATTGTACTCATTAATCAGTTGCTCATCATCCTCCTTCCTCCCACCCACTAACCTGCCAAGTCTCCATTATCTATCATTCCATTCTCAATGTCTACATGAGCACATTTTTTGGCACCCCCTTATGAGTGAGTGCATGTGAAATTTGCCTTTTTGTGTCTAGTTTCACTTAAGATAATGAACTCCAGTTCCATCCATGTTGCTGCAAAAGATATAATTTCACTCTTTTATGGCTGAACAGTATTCTATTGTGCATATATGCCACATTTTCTTTATTAATTCATCCATATCTTTGTGTTTCATAATGTGAAAAGTGCTATGATAAATATACAAGTGCAGATATCTTTTTGATGTATTGACTTATTTCCTTTGGGAAGATAACCAGTAGTGAGATTGCTGATTGAATGCTAGTTCTATTTTTAGTTCTTTAAGAAATATCCATGCTTTTTTCATAAAGGCTGTACATTCCCACCAACAGTGTATAAGAGTTTCCTTTGCTCTACATCCTCACCATAATCTGTTATTTCTGAGTTTGTAATAACAGCCATTCTGACTGGGGTAAGATGATATCTCAAGGTTGTTTTGATTTGCATTTCTCTGATGATTAGTGATGTTGAGTTGTTTTTCTTTTCCATTTATCTGTTGACCATTTGTATGTCTTCTTTTGAAAAATGTCTATTCATATCATTTGCCCACATCTTAATGGGATTATTCGGGGGGTTTCGTTGTTGAGTTGCTTGAGTTCCTTGTATACTCTAAATATTAGTCCCCTGCAGATGAATAGTTTGCAGATATTTCCCCCCATTTCTCAGGTTATCTGTTCTCTCTGTTGATCTTTTTTAGCTGGGCAGAAGCTTTTTAGTTTAATTAAATCTCATTTATCTACATTTGTTTTTGTTATCTTTTGTGGTCTTAACCATAAATACTTTGCCCAGACAAATGTCCACAAGAGTTTTCCCTAGGTTGTCTTCTAGTCTTTGTTTATTTTTAGATCTTACTTTTAAGTCTTTAATCCACCTTTCATTGATTTTTGTATATGGTGAGAGATATGGGTCCAGTTTCATTCTTCTGCATATGGCTATTCACTTTTCCCAGCACCATTTATTCAGGAAGGTGTCCATTTCCCAAAGTATGTACTTGTTGGCTTTGTGAAAGATTAGTTTGCTGTAAACATGTGGCTTTATTTCTGGGTTCTCTATTGTGTTCCATTGATATATATGTCTATTTTTATACAAGTACCATCTTATTTTGGTTACGATAGCCTTGTAATATAATTCTAAATCAGATAATGCGATATCTCCAGCTTTGTTTTTGTTGCTCAGAGTTGCTTTGGCTCTTCAGGTTCTTTTTTCGTTCCATGTGAATTTTAGAGTTCTTTTCTAATTATGTAAAAAAAAAGTGAGCTAGGTATTTTGATAGAAATTGCACTGAATCTTTAGATTGCTTTGGGCAGTATGGTCATATTTACAAAATTAACTCTTCAGATCCATTAGCGTGAGATGCTTTTCCATTAGTTTGGGTCACCTTTAATTTCTTTCATAAGTGTTTTGTAGTTTTTCCTGTAGATATCTTTCACTTCCTGTGTTAAATTTATTTCTAGGCATTTTACTTTTTGTAGATATGATAAATGGAATTGCCTTCTTAAGTTTTTCTTAGCCAGATTGTTATTGGTGCATGGAAATGCTATTGATTGTTGTACATTGATTTTCTATCCTGCAACTTTACTGAATTCATTTATCAAATCCAAGAGGGTTTTTTGGTAAAGTCTTTAGGTTTTTCTAGATATAAAATTATATCATCAGCAAATGAGGATAATTTTAGTTTCTCTTTTCCAATGCTGTTTATTTCTTTCTCTTGCCTGATTGATCTGGCTAGCACTTCCAGTACTATGTTGAATAAGAGTGGTAAAATTGGGCATCCTTATCGTGTTCTAGTTCTTAAAGTAAATGCTTTCAACTTTTTCTCATTATAATGTTAGCTGTGGGTGTACCATATATAGACTTTGTTATTTTGATTAGAGATTAAATTAGAAATAAATATAAAACCTGAACAGACTAATAATGAGTAGTGAGATTGAATCAGTAATGAAAAGTCTCCCAACATAGAATATTCCTTCTATGCTTAGTTTAAAGATAATTTCTACCATTAAGGAATGTGAATTTTATTAAATGCCTTTTCTGCCTCTATTGAGATGATCATACGGTTTTGTGCTTTATTCTGTTGACGTAATGTATCATTTTTATTGATTTGCATGTTTAACCATCCTTGCATTTTTAGTATAAATCCCACTTGATTGTGGTATATTATCTTTTTGATGTGCTATTGGATTTGGTTTTCTAGTATTTTGTTGAATATTTTTGCATCTATGTTCGTGAGGGATATTGGCCTGCAGCTTTCTTTTTTTTTTGTGGATTCTTTGTGTGGTTTTGGAATCAGGATAATGCTGGCCTCACAGAATGAGTTAAAGAGAATTTCCTCCTGTTTCACATTTAGAAATAGTTTTAGGAAGATTTATACTAGTTTTTCTTTCTTTGTTTGATAAAATATGGCTACAGATCCAGCTGGTCCTGGGCTTTTCTATGTTGGCAGACTTTATATTACTGATTTAATCTCACTAGTCATTATCAGTCTGTTCAGGTTTGATATTTACTCCTATTTTAATCTTTATAGGTTGTATGTTTCTAGAAATTTGTCCATTTCCTCCAGGTTTCCAGTTTGTCACTGTATAGTTGCTGGTAATATTCTCTGATGATCTTTTGTATTTCTGTGGTATCAATTGTCTGTCTCCCTTTTCATTTCTGATTTTGTTTATTTGGGTCCTCTTTCTTATTTTCTTGGTTATTATAGCTAGTACTTTATCAATTTAGTTTACATTTTTGAAGAACCAACTTTTTGTTTTGTTTTTCCTTTTTATTATATTTTTAGCCTCTATTTCATTTATTTCTGCTCTGATTGTTAACATTTCTTTTCTTCTGTTAATTTTATGTTTGGTTTGTTCTTGTTTTTCTAGTTCCCTGTTGTGCATTGTTAGATTGTTATTTTGTAATATTAATACTTTTTGATGTAGGCATTTATTGCTATAAAATTCCCTGTAGCACTGGTTTTACTTTATGCCACAGCTTTTGGTATGTTGTATTGTCATTTTCATCTATTTCAAAGATGTTTATATTCCCATCTTAATTTCTTCATTGACCCAATGGTCACTCAGGAACATGTTTAATTTCTATGTATTTGTATATTTTTCAGAGTTCCTCTTGCTATTGATTTCTAATGTTATTCCATTATGGTCAGAGAAGATACTTGATATTATCTCCATTTTTAAAAACTGGTTGACTCGTTTTGTGGCCTAAAGTGTGGTCTATCCTGGAGAATGTTCAATGTGCTGATGGAGGCAATATATATTCTGCAGTTGTTGGATACAGTATTCTGTAAATGTCTGTTAGGTCCATTTGGTCTAAAGTTCAGTTTATATCCAAAGCATCTTTGTTGATTTTCTGTCTAGATGATCTGTCTAATGCTGAGACTGAGGTGTTGAAGCCTCCCACTATTATTGTATTGCACTCTATCTCTCTCTTTAGATATACTAATATTTGCTCTATAAATCTGGATGCTCCAGTTTTTGGTGCATATATATTTAGAATTGATGTATCAATTGCAGGATTGATCCCTTTATCCTTGTATAGTGCACTTATTTGTCCTTTTTTTAATTGTTCTTAAAGTATGTTTAATCTGCTGTAAGTATAGCTACTCCTGCATGCTTTTGGTTTGAATTTGCATGGAATATTTTTTCCATCCCTTTACTTTCAGTCTATGTGTGTCTTTACTGCTAAAGAGTGTTTATTTTAAGTAGTATGTAATTTGATTATTTTTAAAACTCTAGTAATTCTATATCTTTTAAGAGGAGAATTTAATCCATTTATTTTCAAGGTTATTACTGACATGTGAGGCTTTGTTCCTGTCATATTATTAATTGTACTCTTGTTATTATAATTTCTTTTCTTTCTTTTTCTCTTATGCTTTGCCATTTAGGTTTGGTGGGTTTCTGTGGTAATACCATTTGAATCCTTTCTCTTTCTCCTTTGTATGATTGCATGACCAGTGAGTTTTATATTTTTGTGTGTTTTCATGATGATAAATGTCATTCTTTGCTGCCAGTTTTAGGACTCTCTTCATTAAGCATTTCTTGTATGGCTAGTCTAGTAGTAACTAATTCCTTCAGCATTTGTTTGCCTGGAAATGACTTTATTTCTTCTTCATTTATGGAGGATAATTTTGTTGAATGTAGAATTCTTATATCATTGCATTACCTTCTGGCCTGTAATATATTCCTCTGGAAACATCATATTTCCTTGCTTTTTCATGTTTCCTTTGCCCTTAAATTGATATCTGTGCATCTGGTGTAATAGTTGCTCCTTCTTATTTTTGAATTTACATTAGTAGGGAAGGACTTTTATCTGAAGACATATCTATGGTGTTAGTTGGGTAGGGTATTTTTGCTGTGATGGTGAATGCAGTACTATAGTCTCTGTATGATTTCATTGGTTGTAAAAAGCATTAGCCGTATTTGTGTTTTTTTCAGTGGGTTAGATGTAGTTATTAGTGGAGGCTGTAGTGAAGTTGTGCTGGGACTGGGAAGCTAGATTGACCAGTCTGCAGGTCACAATTGTGGCAGCAGTGGGCTGAGCATACCTATCTTTGTGCCCCAGGATGGTGCACACTAGCACCTGTATTGTCAGTTACTGGCAGGCTGATTCTTCAGCCTCCAGGTGGCATTCTTGAATGCCATTATGGTAGTTATGGACCTGGCAGGTGAACAGATTCTCGGGACCCTGAGAATCAGATGTGGTGTGAACAATGGGAATAGCAATGATGGGACAATTTTCTGGATCATAAGTGGTGTTCACTAATGTTAGCAGTGGCTGCAATGGGGTGAATGGGTGTCCATGGGAGGCCCTAACCCCAATGGTGACAGTAGGCACCAGCTGTTGTGAGCAGAGGCAGAGTGATCTTCAAATAGCTCAGGTGAGAGGTGGGTAGCAGCCGTGCTGAGGATCCACCACTAGAGAGGGTGGAGCCACCCTCAATGGCCACAGCCTGGGCTGATGGGTAGCTGATACACATTCCTTTCAGACACTAGTTCCAGCAGGTCTCACTCCCTGGTCTAGCTGCAGAAGCCCACAACCAGTTTGAGATCAACTTGCAAAGGTGAATCACACCTTGCTTAAATCCTGGTCTCAGACTCCAGCAGTGCTTACTTCCTGACACCGTCTGCTGCCACCCAGGCCTCACCTACTTCTAAGCGGGAGTGTAAAGTTTGTCAGAGACTAGTATTGAAAATGCTGCCTTGTTGAAGCTGCTTAGATCTCAGATAGTGTATTGGTCTTAGTACAAGCTCCCTTCTGCAGCAGTTTCATTCCAGGGACTCCCAGCAGATTCCTGTTTGTTTCAGGGGTTGAGATGGTCAAGGCGTTCTTCCTCAGCTAGGATAGCATGATAACACAGTAAGGGTGTGAGCCACTAGAAGTCTATTACTCACCCCTCCCCAGGAGTAACTAGTAACTCTCTCCAGGAGAGTTACTGGAGATGCTATCTCCCCAGGAGATAGCATAACACAGTAGAGGTGTGGGCCACTGGTTTATTACTCACCCCTCCCCAGGACAGTTACTCCTGGCCAGGGAGACTGTCTCTCCTCCTTTTTCTTTTGTGTTGTTCCTCATTTCACTGTTGAATTCCAGCATTCTCTCTTGGATAATGTGCTCAATGTGTGACTGTCTGTACACTACTCCAGCTCTTCTGTGTGGAGCAGGCAGTCATGAAATGCTTCCAGGCAGCCATCTTTAATGAGATTCTCTCCTCGGATGTCTTCTTTTGAGGAATGTCTATTCAGGTCTTTGACTCATTTTTCAATCAGATTTTTTTTTATATCAAGTTGTTTGTGCTCCTTGCATATTCTTATTTTAATCTTTTGTCAGATGGAGAGTTTGCAAATATTTTCTCCCATTCTGTAGATTGCCTCTTTGTTGATTGTTTCTTTTGCTGGGTACAAGCTTTTTAAATTTTTTTTTTTTTTTTTTTTTACCATTTCACTTTTTTTTTTAATTTTATTATTATTATACTTTAAGTTATAGGGTACATGTGCCCAACGTGCAGGTTTGTACATATGTATACATGTGCCATGCTGGTGTGCTGCACCCATTAACTCATCATTTAGCATTAGATGTATCTTCTACTGCTATCCCTCCCCCCTCCCCCCACCCCACAACAGTCCCCGGTGTGTGATGTTCCCCTTCCTGTGTCCATGTGTTCTCATTGTTCAATTCTCACCTATGAGTGAGAACATGCGGTGTTTGGTTCTTTGTCCTTGTGATAGTTTGCTGAGAATGATGGTTTCCAGTTTCATCTATGTCCCTACAAAGGACATGAACTCATCATTTTTTATGGCTGCATAGTATTCCATGGTGTATATGTGCCACATATTCTTAATCCAGTCTATCGTTGTTGGACATTTAGGTTGGTTCCAAGTCTTTGCTATTGTGAATAGTGCTGCTATAAACATACGTGTGCATGTGTCTTTGTAGCAGCATGATTTGTAACCTTTTGGGTATATACCCAGTAATGGGATGGCTGGGTCAAATGGTATTTCTAGTTCTAGATCCCTGAGGAATTGCCACACTGACTTCCACAATGGATGAATTAGTTTACAGTCCCACCAACAGTGTAAAAGTGTTCCTATTTCTCCACATCCTCTCCAGCACCTGTTGTTTCCTGAATTTTTAATGATCGCCATTCTAACTGGTGTGAGATGGTATCTCATTGTGGTTTTGCTTTGCATTTCTCTGGTGGCCAGTGATGATGAGCATTTTTTCATGTGTCTTTTGGCTGCATAAATGTCTTCTTTTGAGAAGTGTCTGTTTATATCCTTTGCCCACTTTTGGATGGGGTTGTTTGTTTTTTTCTTGTAAATTTGTTTGAGTTCATTGTAGATTCTGGATATTAGCCCTTTGTCAGATGAGTAGGTTGCAGAAATTTTCTCCCGTTCTGTAGGTTGCCTGTTCACTCTGATGGTTAGTTTCTTTTGCTGTGCAGAAGCTCTTTAGTTTACTTATATGCCATTTGTCAATTTTGGTTTTTGTTGCCATAGCTTTTGGTGTTTTAGACATGAAGTCCCATGCCTATGTCCTGAATGGTATTGCCTAGGTTTTCTTCTAGGGTTTTTATGGTTTTAGGTCTAACGTTTAAGTCTTTAATCCATCTTGAATTAATTTTTGTATAAGGTGTAAGGAAGGGATCCAGTTTCAGCTTTCTACATATGGCTAGCCAGTTTTCCCAGCACCATTTATTAAATAGGGAATCCTTTCCCCATTGCTTGTTTTTCTCAGGTTTGTGAAAGATCAGATAGTTGTAGATATGCGGCATTATTTCTGAGGGCTCTGTTCCGTACCATTAGTCTATATCTCTGTTTTGGTCCCAGTACCATGCTGTTTTGGTTACTGTAGCCTTGTAGTATAGTTTGAAGTCAGGAGCATGATGCCTGCAGCTTTGTTCTTTTGGCTTAGGATTGACTTGGTGATGTGGGCTCTTTTTTGATTCCATGTGAACTTTAAAGTAGTTTTATCCAATTCTGTGAAGAAAGTCATTGGTAGCTTGATGGGGATGGCATTGAATCTATAAATTACCTTGGGCAGAATGGCCATTTTCATGCTATTGATTCTTCCTACCCATAAGCATGGAATGTTCTTCCATTTGTTTGTATCCTCTTTTATTTCATTGAGCAGTGGTTTGAAGTTCTCCTTGAAGAGGTCCTTCACATCCCTTGTAAGTTGGATTCCAAGGTATTTTATTCTCTTTGAAGCAATTGTGAATGGGAGTTCACTCATGATTTGGCTCTCTGTTTGTCTGTTATTGGTGTGTAAGAATGCTTGTAATTTTTGTACATTGATTTTGTATCCTGAGACTTTGCTGAAGTTGCTTATCAGCTTAAGGAGATTTTGGGCTGAAATGATGGGGTTTTCTAGATATACAATCATGTCATCTGCCAACAGGGACAATTTGACTTCCTCTTTTCCTAATTGAGTACCCTTTATTTCCTTCTGCTGCCTGATTGCCCTGGCCAGAACTTCCAACACTATGTTGAATAGGAGTGGTGAGAGAGGGCATCCCTGTCTTGTGCCCATTTTCAAAGGGAATGCTTCCAGTTTTTGCGCATTCAGTATGATATTGGCTGTGGGTTTGTCGTAGATAGCTCTTATTATTTTGAGATACGTCCCATCAATACCTAATTTATTGAGAGTTTTTAGCACGAAGTGTTGTTGAATTTTGTCAAAGGCTTTTTCTGCATCTATTGAGATAATCATGTGGTTTTTGTCTTTGGCTCTCTTTATATGCTGGATTACATGTATTGATTTGCGTATATTGAACCAGCCTTGCATCCCAGGGATGAAGCCCACTTGATCATGGTGGATAAGCTTTTGGATGTGCTGCTGGATTCGGTTTGCCAGTATTTTACTGAGGATTTTTGCATCAATGTTCATCCAAGGATATTGGCCTAAAATTCTCTTTTTTGGTTGTGTCTCTGCCAGGCTTTGGTATCAGGATGATGTTGGCCTCATAAAAAGAGTTAGGGAGGATTCCTTCTTTTTCTATTGATTGGAATAGTTTCAGAAGGAATGGTACCAGCTCCTCTTTGTACCTCTGGTAGAATTCGGCTGTGAATCCATCTGGTCCTGGACTGTTTTTGGTTGGTAAGCTATTGATTATTGCCACAATTTCAGAGCCTGTTATTGGTCTATTCAGAGATTCAACTTCTTCCTGGTTTAGTCTTGGGAGGATGTATGTGTCAAGGAATTTATCCATTTCTTCTAGATTTTCTTGTTTATTTGCATAGAGGTGTTTGTAGCATTCTCTGATGGTAGTTTGTATTTCTGTGGGATCGGTGGTGAGATCCCCTTTGTCATTTTTTATTGCATCTATTTGATTCTTCTGTCTTCTTTATTAGTCTTGCTAGTGGTCTATCAACTTTATTGATCTTTTCAAAAAACCAGCTCCTGGATTCATTAATCTTTTGAAGGGTTTTTTGTGTCTCTCTTTCCTTCAGTTCTGTTCTGATCTTAGTTATTTCTTGCCTTCTGCTAGCTTTTGAATGTGTTTGCTCTTGCTTTTCTAGTTCCTTTAATTGTGATGTTAGGGTGTCAATTTTAGATCTTTCCTGCTTTCTCTTGTGGGCATTTAGTGGTATAAATTTCCCTCTACACACTGCTTTGAATGTGTCCCAGAGATTCTGGTATGTTGTGTATTTTTTCTCATTGGTTTCAAAGAACATCTTTATTTCTGCCTTCATTTCATTATTTACTCAGTAGTCATTCAGGAGCAGGTTGTTCAGTTTCCATGTAGTTGAGTAGTTTTGAGTGAGTTTCTTAATCCTGAGTTCTAGTTTGATTGCACTGTGGTCTGAGACAGTTTTTTATAATTTCTATTCTTTTACATTTGCTGAGGAGTGCTTTACTTCCAACTATGTGGTCAATTTTGGAATAGGTGTGGTGTGGTGCTGAAAAGAATGTATATTCTGTTGATTTGGGGTGGAGAGTTCTGTAGATGTCTATTAGGTCCGCTTGGTGCAGAGCTGAGTTCAATTCCTGGGTATCCTTGTTAACTTTCTGTCTCATTGATCTGTCTAATGTTGACAGTGGGGTGTTAAAGTCTCCCATTATTATCGTGTGGGAGTCTAAGTCTCTTTGTAGGTCACTCAGGACTTGCTTTATGAATCTGGGTGCTCCTGTATTGGCTGCATATATATTTAGGATAGTTAGCTCTTCTTGTTGAATTGATCCCTTTACCTTTATGTAATGGCCTTCTTTGTCTCTTTTAATCTTTGTTGGTTTAAAGTCTGTTTTATCAGAGACTAGGATTGCAACCCCTGCCTTTTTTTGTTTTCCATTTGCTTGGTAGATCTTCCTCCATCTTTTTATTTTGAGCCTATGTGTGTCTCTGCATGTGAGATGGGTTTCCTGAATACAGCACACTGATTGTTCTTGACTCTTTATCCAATTTGCTAGTCTGTGTCTTTTAATTGGAGCATTTAGCCCATTTACATTTAAAGTTAATATTGTTATGTGTGAATTCGATCCTGTCATTATGATGTTAGCTGGTTATTTTCCTCGTTAGTTGATGCAGTTTCTTCCTAGCATCAATGGTCTTCACAATTTGGCATGTTTTTGCAGTGGCTGGTACCAGTTTTTCCTTTCCATGTTCAGTGCTTCCTTCAGGAGCTCTTTTAGGGCAGGCCTGGTGGTGACAAAATCTCTCAGCATTTGCTTGTCTGATAAGGATTTTATTTCTCCTTCACTTATGAAGCTTAGTTTGGCTGGATATGAGATTCTGGGTTGAAAATTCTTTTCTTTAAGAATGTTGAATATTGGTCCACACTCTCTTCTGGCTTGTAGAGTTTCTGCTGAGAGATTCACTGTTAGTCTGATGGGCTTCCCTTTGTGGGTAACCTGACCTTTCTCTCTGGCTGCCCTTAACATTTTTTTCCCTCATTTCAACTTTGGTGAATCTGACAATTACGTGTCTTGGAGTTGCTCTTCTCGAGGAGTATCTTTGTGGCATTCTCTGTATTTCCTGAATTTGAATGTTGGCCTGCCTTGCTAGATTGTGGAAGTTCTCCTGGATAATATCCTGCAGAGTGTTTTCCAACTTGTTTCCATGCTCCCTGTCACTTTCAGGTACACCAATCAGATGTAGATTTGGTCTTTTCACATAGTCCCATATTTTTTGGAGGCTTTGTTCATTTCTTTTTATTGTTTTTTCTCTAAACTTCTCTTCTCCCTTCATTTCATTCATTTCATCTTCCATCACTGATACCCTTTCTTCCAGTTGATCGCATCGGCTACTGAGGCTTCTGCATTCATCACGTAGCTCTTGTGCCTTGGTTTTCAGCTCCATCAGGTCCTTCAAGGACTTCTCTGCATTGGTTATTCTAGTTATCCATTCGTCTAATTTTTTTTCAAAGCTTTTAACTTCTTTGCCATTGGTTCAAATTTCCTCCTTTAGCTCGGAGTAGTTTGATCATCTGAAGCCTCCTTCTCTCAACTCATCAAAGTCATTCTCCATCCAGCTTTGTTCCATTGCTGGTGAGGAGCTGCATTCCTTTGGAGGAGGAGAGGCGCTGCGGTTTTTAGAGTTTCCAGTTTTTCTGCTCTGTTTTTTTCCCATCTTTGTGGTTTTATCTACTTTTGGTCTTTGATGATGGTGACGTACAGATGGGTTTTTGTTGTGGATGTCCTTTCTGTTTGTTAGTTTTCCTTCTAACAGTCAGGACCCTCAGCTGCAGGTCTTTTGGAGTTTGCTAGAGGTCCACTCCAGACCCTGTTTGCCTGGGTATCAGCAGCAATGGCTGCAGAACAGTGGATATTGGTGAACCACAGATGCTGCTGTCTGATCGTTCCTCTGGAAGTTTTGTCTCAGTGGAGTACCCGGCCATGTGAGGTGTCAGTCCACCCCTACTGGGGGGTGCCACCCAGTTAGGCTACTTGGGAGTCAGGGACCCACTTGAGGAGGCAGTCTGCCCATTCTCAGATCTCAAGCTGTGTGCTGGGAGAACCACTACTCTCTTCAAACCTGTCTGAGAGGGACATTTAAGTCTGCAGAGGTTACTGCTGTCTTTTTGTTTGTCTGTGCCCTGCCCCCAGAGGTGGAGCCTACAGTGGCAGGCAGGCCTCCTTGAGCTGTGGTGGGCTCCACCCAGTTCGAGCTTCCCAGCTGCTTTGTTTACCTAATCAAACAACTAACTGGGCAATGGCAGGCACCCCTCCCCCAGCCTCACCGCCCCCTTGCAGTTTGATCTCTGACTGCTGTGCTAGCAATGAGTGAGACTCTGTGGGCATAGAACCCTCTGAGCCAGGCAGGGGATATAATCTCCTGATGTGCCATTTTTTAAGCCCCTTGGAAAAGTGCTGTATTAGGGTGGGAGAGACCAGATTTTCCAGGTGCCATTTGTCACCACTTTCTTTGACTAGGAAAGTGAATTCCCTGACCCCTTGTGCTTCCCAGGTGAGGCAATGCCTCACCCTGCTTCGGCTCGTGCACTGTGCACTGCACGCACTGTCCTGCCCCTGCCGTCTGGCACTCCCCAGTGAGATGAACCCGGTACCTCAGTTGGCAATGCAGAAATCACCCGTCTGCATCACTCACGCTGGGAGCTGTAGACCGGAGCTGTTCCTATTCGGCCATCTTGGCTCCTCCCCCTAAATTTTTTTTAAATTTCTGTGGGTACATAGTAGGTGTATAAATTTATGAGGTACATGAGATATTTTGATATAGGCATACAATGCATAATAATCAAATCAGAGTAAATGCAGTATCCATTACCTCAAGCATTTATCCTTTCCTTGTGTTACAAACAATCTAATTATACCTGTTTAGTTATTTGTTTTTACATATTATCCCAACAGTGGGCCTATTGTTGCCACCATTATGCTCATTTTGCTTTTCTTTTTATTTTTTTAACTTTTATTTTTGATTTAGGAGTACATGGCAGATTTGTCATATAGGTAAATTGCATGTCATGGGAGTTAGGTATACAGATTATTTTGTTACCCAGGCAATAAACACAGTACCTCATAGGTAGTTTGTCAGTCCTTACCCTCCTCCCACACTCCACCCTAAAGTAGGCACTGGTGTCTGTTGTAACCTTCTTTGTGTCTATCTGTACTCAATGTTTAGCTCCCACTTACAAGTGAGAACATGCAATATTTGTTTTTTTGTTCCTGCATTAGTCGACTTAGGATAATGGCTTCCAGCTCCATGCATATTAGTGCAAAGGACATGATCTCATTCTGTTTTATGGCTGCGTAGTATTCCATGGCATATATATAACACATTTTCTTTATCCAGTTTACCATGGTCATCTAGGTTAATTCCATGTCTTTGCTATTGTGAGTAGTGCTGCAATTAACATACACATGCATGTGTCTTTATGATAGAATGATTTATATTGGTAAATAACCAATATTGAGATTGCTGGGTCCAATGGCAATTATTTCTTATGTTATTTGAATAATAGCCAAACTGCTTTCACAATGGCTAGACTAATTTACATTCCCACCAGCAGTATATAAAAATTCCTTTTTCTCAGCAGCCTTGCCAGCATTTGTTATTTTTTGATGTTTTAATTATAGCCATTCTGGCAGGTATGAGATGGTATCTCATTATGGTTTTGATTTACAATTCCGTAATGATTCATGAGGTTGAGCAGTTTTTCATGTGCATATTGACCACGTGTATGTCTTCTTTTGAGAAGTGTCTGCTGTACCTGTCCTTTGCCAATTTTTAATGGGGTTGTTTTTTGCTTCTTAATGTGTGTAAGTTTCTTATAAATTCTGGATATTAGACCTTTGTCAGATACATAACTTGCAAATGTTTTCTCCATTCTGTAGGTTGTATGTTTACTCCATTGATAGTTTTGTTGTTGGCTGTGGGTTTGTCATGGATGGCTCTTATTATTTTGAGATATTATTCCTTCAATGCTTAGTTTATTGAGGGTTTTTTAACATGAAGCGATGTTGGATTTTACCGAAAGCCTTTCTGTATCTATTGAGATAGTTATTTGGTTTTTATTTAGTTCTGTTTATGTGATGAGTCATATTTATTGACTTGAGTATGTTAAACCAACCAGCAATAAAGCCTACTTGATCGTGGTAGATTTCGATGTGCCACTGGATTCAGTTTGCTAGTATTTTGTTGAGAATTTTTGCATCTATGTTCATCAGCAATATTGGCCTGAAGTTCTTTGTTGTTGTTGTTGTTGTGTCCCTGCCAGGTTTTGGTATCAGGGTGATGCTGGCCTCATTTAATGATTTAGGTAGGAGTCTCTTCTTCTCAAGTCTTTGGAACAGTTTCAGTAGGAATGGTACCAGGTCATCTTTACATAATACATCTGGAAGAATTCAGTTATGAATCCATCTGATCCAGGGCTTTTTCTAGTTTACAGGCTTTTTATTACCGATTCAATTTCAGAATGGGTTATTGATCTGTTCAGGTATTCAGTTTCTTCCTGGTTCAATCTTGGGAGGTTTTATATTTCCAGAAATTTATCCATTTCTTCTATGTTTTCTAGTTTGTGTACATAGAGGTGTTCATGGCAGTCTTTGAGGGTTTTTTGTATTTCTGTGGGGTCAGTGGCAATGTCCACTTTGTCATTTCTGATTGTGTTTATTTGGATTTTCTCTATTTTTACTCTCTTAATTTGTGTATATAGCTAGAAGTGGGATTCCTGGATCATATGCTAGCTCCATTTTTAGTTTCTGTAGTAAACTCCAAGCTGTTCTCCATAATGGTTACACTAGTTTACATTCCCAACAACAGTGTATATACTTCCCTTTTCTCCACATCATCAACAGCATGTGTTATTACCTGTCTTTTGGATATAAGCCATTTTAACTGGGGTGAGATTTTATCCAGTTGTAGTTTTGATTTGCCTTTCTCTGGTAATCAATGGTGTTAAGCACCTTTTCAGACACCTGTTTGGCATTTGTATGTCTTCTTTTGAGAAATGTCTATTCAGGCCTTTTGGCAAAAGCTTTTTAGCTTGATGTAATCTCACTTGTATACTTTTGTTTGGGTTGCCTGTGCTTTTGGGATCTTATACAAAAAAACTTGCCCTAGAGAAAGGGGAGTGGGTTAAAAAAAAAAAAAAACTACCAATTAGGTACTATGTTCATTACCAGGGTGACAGAATCTGTACTTCAAACTCCATCATCACATAATATTCCCATGTAACAAATCTGCACATGTATCTCCATATCTAAAATAAAATTTGAAGTTAAAAACATTTGTTTTGCCCAGATCAGTGTCCTAGAACATTTCCCCAATGTTTTTTTTCTAGTAGTTTTATAGTTTCAGGTCTTCTACTTAAGTCTTTAATCCATCTTGATTTGATTTTTTATATGGTGAGAGGTAGGAGTCCAGTTTCATTCTTCTGCATATGTTAACCCATTTTCCAACACTATTAATTAAGAGGGTGTCTGTTTCTCATTATAAGCTCTTAGTGTTTTTGTGAAAGATGAGTTGATTGTAAATGTGTAGATTTATATCTGGGTTCTATATTTTCTTCCATTTGTCAATGCGTCTGTTTTTATGCCAGTACCATGCTGATTCGGTTACTGTATCTTTGTAGCACATTTTGAAGTCAGATAGTGTGATGCCTTAAGGTTTGTTCTTTTTGCTCAGGATTCGTTTGTGTATTTGGGGTCGTCTCTGATTCCATGTACATTTTAGGATTTTTTTTTCTATTTATGTGAAGAATATCATTGGTATTTTGATAGGGATTACCTTGAATCTGGTTAGAATTTTCACCTTAACAAAATCAATTCTTCCAATCCATGAGTATAGGATATCTTTCTATTACTTTTTTGTCCTGTTCAATTTTTTATTCATAGTTCATAGTTTCCTTGATAGACCTTTCACTTCTTTGGCTAAATTGATTCCTGGGTATTTCATATTCTTTGTAACTATTGTATGTGGGATTGCTTTCTTGATTTCTTTTTCAGATTGTTCATTATTGGCATATATAAATGCCACTGATTTTTGTATGTTGATTTTGTATCTTGTAATTTTACTGAATTTTTTATCAGTTCTAAGTTTTTTAATGGTCTTTAGGTTTTTCTAATTATAAGATCATGTCTTCTGCAAATGAGACCTCTTCTTTTCCAGTTTTAATGTTCTTTATTTCTTTCTCTGGCCTAATTGCTCTGGCCAGGACTTCCAGTATTATTTTAATAAAAGAGGTAAAAGTGAGCATCTTTGTCTTGCTCTAGATCTTAGAGGAAAGACTTTCAATTTTTCCTCATTTGATATGATTATGGCTATTGGTTTTTCATATATGGCCTTTATTAATTTGAGGTATGTTTCTTTTTTACCCAGTTTGATAAGAGTGCCTTGTTTGTTTGTTTGCTTATTTGTTTTTGAGACAGAGTCTCATTCTGTCACCCAGGCTGGAGTGTAGTGGCATGATCTCAGCTCACTGCAACTTCTGCTTCCTGGTTTCAAGCGATTCTCCTGCCTCAGCCTCCCAAGCAGCTGGGATTACAGGTGCCCACCACCATGTCCGGCTAATTTTTGAATTTTTGGTAGAGACAGGTTTCACCATGTTGGCCAGGCTGGTCTCAAACTCTTGAACTCAAGTGATGCACCTGCTTTGGCCTCCCAATGTGCTGGGATTACAGGCATGTGCCACTGCACCCAGCCCTGATAAGAGTTTTTATCATAAAGCGATGTTGAATTTTATCAAATCCTTTTTCAGCATCTATTGAAATAATTATAGATTTTGTTCTTGGTCCTGTTAATGAGATGTATCATGTTTTTTGATGTGTGTATGTTGAACCATGCTTGCATCCCTGGAATGAATCCCACTTAATTATGATAAGTGTTCTTCTAAATGTGTTCTTAAATTCAGTTTTCTACAATTTTGTTGGGAATTCTTTCATCTATGTTCATGAGGGATGTTGGCCTGTAGTTTTCATTTTTTTGTCGTATTTATCTGGTTTGGGTATCAGGGTAATGCTGGCATCATAGGATGAGTTTGAAAGTATTCCCTCCTCTTCAATTTTTTTGAAGAGTTTGAAGAGAATTGGTATTAGTTCTTCCTTAAATGTTTGGTAGAATTCTTCAGTGAAACAATCAGGTCCTGGGCTTTTCTTTGAAGGGAAACTTTTTATTACGGCTTTGATCTCATTACACACTATTAGTTTGTTTGGGTTTTCTGTTTCTTTATCATTCAATTTTGGTAAATTGTGTGTGTCCAGAAATTTTATCCATTTCTTCCGGATTTTTTTATTTGTTAGTATATAATTATATATAATAGTATCTCATAATTCTCTATATTTCTGTAGTCTCAATTGTTATGTCTCTTTTATGGATCTGGTTTTATTTATTTGGGTGTTCTCTCTTTTATTTGTTAGTCTAGCTAAAGGTTTGTTGATTTTCGCTATCTTTTCAAAAACCCAAATTTTTATTTCATTGATCTTCTGTATTTTTTTGATTTTTTAAATTTTCTAATTATTAGAGGTACATCATAAGGTTGTTTATTTGAAGTCTTTCTACTTTTTTGGTATAGGCATTTATTGCTAAATAATTTCCTCTTAATGCTGCCTTTATTGTATTGTATGGATTTTTTTTGTATGTTAAATTTCCTTTTTTAATTATTTAAAGAAGCTTTTCAAATTTCCCTCTTAATTTATTCACGGACACATTGGGTCATTCAGGAGCATATTGTTTAATTTATATGTGCTCGTGTATTTTTCAAGTTTCCTCTTCTTATTGATTTCTAGTTTTATCCCATTGTAGTCAGAAAAGATAACATGACCTCTACTTTTTTGAATTTGTTGAGACTTATTTTGTTACCTAAGATATTGTCTATCCTGGAGAATGTTCCATGTGTTGATGAATAAAATGTGTATTCCGCAATAGTTAGGTGAAATGTTCTCTATGTGTCAGTTAGGCCCATTTGGTCTATTGCGTAGTTTAACTGTATTGTTTCTTCATTGATTTTATTTCTGAATGACCTGTTACTGAGAGCTGGGTGCTAAATTTGCTACTGTTTGCTTTATATGCTTGGGAGCTCCAGTGTTGAGGCCATTCGTACATTAAAATGCTATATTGTCTTGTTGATTTGACCTTTTTAATCATTGTATAGTGACCTTCTTTAGTTTTTACAATCTTTAATTTGTAGACAGTTTTATTTGATATAAGTACGCTACTCGTGTTCTTTTTTTGATTTCCAGTTGCATCCCATCACTTTCAGTCTATTGTTTTTTTGTAGGTAGAGTGGGTCTCCTGTAGCGTATAGTTGGGTGTTGTTTCTTTATTCATTCAGCCAATCTTTGTCTTTTAATTGAAGAATTGAGTCCGTTTACATCCACTGTTATTATTGGCAAGTAAGGACTAACTACTGCTATTTTTTTTCTTGTTTCCTGGTTGTTTTGTAAGTCCCCTCTTCCTTTATTTCTTATTGTCATTTATTGTGGTTATGTTCTCTGACAGTATGTTTTAATTTATTGCTTCTTATTTTCAGTGAATCTGTTATAGGTTTTCTCATTGTGGTTACCATGAGGTAAAAAATATAGATATAATACATTATTTTATTTTATTTTTTTAATTATACTTTTTAAGTTTTAGGGTACATGTGCACAACATGCAGGTTAGTTACATATGTATACATGTGCCATGTTGGTGTGCTGCATCCATTAACTCATCATTTAACATTAGGTATATCTCTTAATGCTATCCCTCCCCCCTCCCCCACCCCACAACAGGCTCGGGTGTGTGATGTTCCCCTTCCTGTGTCCATGTGTTTTCATTGTTCAATTCCCACCTATGAGTGAGAACATGCGGTGTTTGGTTTTTTGTCCTTGCGAGAGTTTGCTGAGAATGATGGTTTCCAGCTTCATCCATGTCCCTACAAAGGACATGAACTCATCATTTTTTATGGCTGCATAGTATTCCATGGTGTATATGTGCCACATTTTCTTAATCCAGTCTATCATTGTTGGACATTTGGGTTGGTTCCAAGTCTTTGCTATTGATAACACATTATTTCAAAGAGATGAGAACTTATCTTTGATCACACAGAAAAAAAATAGGGACAAACAAACCAAGAAAAAATCTTTAACCTCTACACATTAATTTTATCACCCCATGTTTTGACTTTTAGTTACCCCCATTTACATATTTTTATATTGCCTATCTTTTAGCAGGTTATTGTAAATATTATTGTTTTTGATAAATTTTTCATTTGGGTTTTATTCTAAAGTTATAAATAGATTGCAAACCACAATTATAGTATTAGTGTATTCCGCGTTTTCTGTGTACTTAATTTTACCAGTAACTTTTACACCTTTAAATGTTTTCTCTATGCACACTTTTTTCTTTAGATGAAGTTACTGAAATTTGTTATATTAGTTATACATAACTGTCAATTACTGAGAGTGAGGTGTTAAAGTCCCCTTCTATTATTATATTGCAGTGTTTGTTGTAGGACAGGTCTGGTGGTGATGAATTCTCTCAGTTGTTGTTTCTCTGAGAAATAAAGTACTCCATATTTATAGAATAGCTTTGCTGGATATAGTATTATTGGATGACAGTTATTTTCTTTCAGCACTTTGAAAATGTCAGACCACTTTCTTCTGGCTTACATGGTTTCTGTTAAGGAGTCTGTTGCCAGATGAATTGAAGCTCCTTTATATGTTATTTTCTTCTTTTTATCTTGCTGCTTTTAGGATACTTTCTTCATTCTTGACCTTTGAGAATCTATTATATGCCTTTGGGTGGTCTTATTTGATCAGATATGTTTGATATTCTCTGACCTTCCTATACCTGAATTATCTCATTCTCAGGGTTTGGTAATATTTTTTCTCATTTTTTTGAGTAAGCTTTCTACAATTTGCTCTTTCTCAACTTCCTCTTGAACACCAATAATTCTTAGATGTTTGTCTTTTGGGATAATTTTTATATTGTGTAAGTGATCTGCATTCCTTTTCATTTTTTTCTATCTTTCTCCTATGACTGTGTATTTTCTAATAGCTTATTTTCAAGGTCATTGATTCTTTCCTCTGTTTGAGCCATTTTACTCTTGACAGTCTAGTGAATTTTTCAGTTCAGCAAATGTATTTCTCAGTTCTAAGATTTCTATTCGATTTTCTTGTATTATTTCAATCTCTGTTAAATTTCTCTAATAAATTTCTGAATTGTTTTTCTGTTATTTTGGAAATCACTTAGTTTCCTTAAAACTCCTATTTTGAATTCTTGGTCAGAGAGTTAACATATCACCATCTTGTTAGGGTTAGTCACTGATTCTTTGCTTTGTCCATTTGGGAAGATCATGGTTCCCTGTTTGCTGTTGTTTCTTGTGGGTATACATTTGTGTCTTTGCATTGAAAGATTAGTTATCTATTCCAATATTCTCTGTTTGGCTTATTTAGGTTTTTAAAATATGTCCACTAGGTCCCTCCTTCCTTTTTGGTATGAGATGACACCCTAAGCCCAGGTTTGCCTTGGTTCTAGGAAACAGAGTGCCACCGTCTTGCATTAGAGAGGTCCCAAAGGGGATTTCCCTGTATCACCTTTGGGACCTCCCTAATTCAAGGGAAGGTGGCTAGGAGTTCATGTTCAGTGTACCCGTGGAACAAATCTCCTACAGGACAGTTCTGCTGAACAGCCAGTCTGATTTGGCACCTTTTTTGGCTGAGTTACAAATCAGAATTTCCAGGGCTGGCAATGGTAGTCCCACCTCCCCTTCTTTGTCTTTGGCTCTCCTCAGAGATATTTTTCCCTTCCAGCACTCCTGATGCTTCCCACGATTTGAGCCAGGGACAAGTCTCCTACATGGAATCCCAAATGGTGGGGAAGCTAATTGTTCACCTCAGTCTCACTTTTTCCAGTATAGAAACCATAAGTTGGGGGGTAATTTTCCATACACTTGGTGCTGGACAGACTGGGGAAGAGGGGCATTGCAGATATGGAAGTTCAATTCTCTCACCACCTGCTCAGAGTTTTTTCACTTATCTGTGGCCATAGGAACTGTCTTATCCTCATATTTGAGTTCTGGTCTATTGCTGGTGATAATCTCTGTGCTGCATATTTGTTTTTGGTTTTCTCTGGGGGAAAATGGAGCCAGCTTGTTTCTACACCACCACTTTCGAACTGGCACTTCTAGCAACATACGATAATTTTTAATTGGTTATTTCCAGTGCTTTGAAAGATGTATGAATAAAAACTTGCATCTTTGCTGTGCCTCCAATAGGGTACAGAAAACTTATCATTTCAAACAAAGATATATTACCTCAACAATTGTAGGAAAAGTGCTAATGATGTGTTGAGTAGCAAAGATCTAATGTTAGGCAATGGATGGTGTTTTACAAGAAAGGATCAAATAGAGTGCAAATATTTTCTTACCAACATTGCCCTGCTCTGCTTCTCATGTCCTCCCTACAATACCAAAATATGAGCTCAACTGACTAAATTATAAAGCATTTGACTGACTTAGAAGACATTATTACTATCTCCCATACATGCTTTCCTAGATTTAGAAGGGCATTTAGAATTAGGTTTGTCAGATCTTACACCTGTTAGAATGGCTATTATCAAAAAGACAAGGAAGAAAAAGGAACTCTGGTGCATTGCTGGTGGGATTTTAAATTAGTACAGCCATTATGAAAAACAACATAAAGTCTCCTCAACAAACTAAAAATAGAACTGCCATATTATCGAGGAATCCCACTTCTGGGTACATATTCCAATGAATTGAAATCAGTATGTTGAAGTGATATCTGCACTCACAAGTTTATTGCAGTATTATTCATAATAGCCAAAACATGCAATCAGTCTAAGTCTCCATCAATTGATGAATGTGTGAAGAAAATATGGTATACATACACAATGATATGCCATTCAGCCTTAAAAAATGGAGGAAATCCTGTCATTTGCTACAACATGGATAAACCCAGAGGACATTATGCTATGTGAAATAAGCCTGATACAGAAAGACAAATACACATGGTTTAATTTATATGTGGACTCTAAAGAGACCAAATTTATAAAACTAGAGAGTAAAATGGTGGGTATCAAAGGCTGGATATGGGGTGATGGAAGGGGAGGGGAATGATTAAGTGTTAGTCAAAGGGTGCAAAATTTTAGTAAGGAGAAATAAGTTTTAGGACCTATTGTACAGCATGATAACCACAGTTAATAATAATGTATTGTATATTTCAAAATGACTTTTAAAAATAGGTTTTAAATGTCCAAAAAAATGGACACGTGAATTAGCTTAATACAATCATTGCACAATGTACACATATATCCAAATATCACATTGTACCCCATAAATATATATGATTATTTATCAATTACAAATAAAAATAAAACAAAAGGGGACAAAACAGAACTAGGATTATCACATAGCCACACAGATACCTTAAACATCTGTTGTTATCCTGATGACTATAGGGTCATGTAAAGACCAGGTCAAATGAAACAACTTGATATGGCAAATCCAGAAGCACAGGTGTGTATCTGAGGTAGACAGAGAGCCTGCCAACATTTTTCAAGTCCACTAACTGCTCCTTAATTTTTCTGCAGAGAGAGAGTGATATGAGAAGTAGATATCTGGTAACAAAGTGAGTAGAAAATCGTAGATTTTTCTGACTTGTAGCTTAGAGGCTTGTCTCTTCTCATTGTATTTCACATTTGGTTGTAATCTTCCTGAGGTTAGAATTGTAGATACTAAAACTTTTAGCACAGTGTCTTATATATAGTATACAAATTGCTGAATTCAATTTTCTGCACATTAACTTTCAATATTAAAATAATGGACTAAGGATAGCATAATTTTATGAGGATTAAAAAGAGAATATCTGACAAAGACACACTAACCTGAACAAAAAAATGTAAATAGTAATTTTAAGTAAAACCAGATTCCTTGTTGGCCAATAACATTGTAGCAGACAAACAGAAGTACAGAAATATTCAGGAGAAAATACTTGGAAAATAATTTGGTATGATATGGCTTCAAATGTCCAGATGCCAGGGCTCAGGAAATAAGAATGCCTTCAAATCTTTTAAACAATTAAGCCAATGCAATCATCTAGAGATCATTCAAAGTTAGTGAGATGAGATCTATCCATTGATATTTCTGGTAGAACAGAATGTGAAAAGCATTTGAGAGAGAAAGAAAGGATAGTGAATAGAAATAATAATATTTAGTATAAAACATGTTGATATAAAGAGTTTTCCCAAAATCCTATAGAAAACCTCTTGTGATACAGTAGGAATTCTTATTCAGTTCTTTTTACTGATTAAATCATAGCAAGGGGCCAAATAACTTCCTAATTCACTCAGCTACCACATGGCACATACAGGACTCTATTCTATATCTTTAACTACAAATTCTCACCTCTACTATATACTTCCTATTTAATTTGAGAGGGCACCACAGAGGGCCTAACCAGGCTGAAGACATGGTCAAATATTGATTTTGAATCTGTTGAATGAGGAATAGAAGTACTGATCTGAATAAAGTCAATAAAATAATCTCTGGTTATGTGATTACTTATCACTTTCCACCCCCACTGTTTAATCCTCTGTTATAGAATTAATTATCCTGGAATCACAGAATTAATGTGTGGTAGCTGAAAACTGAGATGGAAATTTGCATGCAACAGGCAATTGGGCTGGTTTTGAAACTTTGAGAAATACAGCCACCTGTTGGACATAGTCTGGTATCACACTCTGTTCACCATTTGTTTTTTAATGTTCTTTGAATGCGAAAAACTTTTGTTAATAACCAAAACGTAAAAAAAAAAAAAAGCATAATTGTCACTATTAGAAAAAATAAAGATGATTAAAAACAGTTGAATGTCTTATTTTGTCTGTTTAAAGAATGAACCTGTGTATTAATAATGTAATTTTCTAGATATAGTCTGAATAAGCTGAAAAGCTTTCATCATCATAAGAACCAATTAATAAATAATTTTTTTAAAAAAGTTATTTCCTCACAAATTAGTAAAAGTAGGAATTTGTTATTTTTTTCATTCCACTCCAGCACTGGCCTCTAGAGCAGCAGTTGGCAAATATTTTTTAATGTTTTTCAGATAGTAAATACTTTAGGCCTTGAAGGCCATAAGCTTCTTTCTCCTTTCCCTTTTATCCTTTCATTTTGGAAAGTTAAGCATCTTTATTTTACTTAATAAAAACTGTATATATTTAAGGTGTACAACATGGTGTTTTGATATACATATACTTAGTGCACTAATTACTACTGTCAAGCTAATTAACATATCCATCTCCACCTATTTACCTTTCTGCATTTGTGGTGAGAACACTGAAGATCTACTCTCTTAGTAAATTTCAAGTATACAGTACAGTATTATTAACTATAGTCCCAATGCTGTACATTGGATCTCTAGAATTTATTCATCCTACATAACTGAAACATTGTACCTTTTAACCGATGTCGTCTCATTTCCCCACCTCCCCAACAACACACAGCCCCACCCCACTCCTGCCCCTGGTAACTATCATCTACTCTCTGCTTCTAAGAATTTGATTTTTTTTTAGATTCCACATGTAAGTGAAATCATGTAGTATTTGTCTTTCTGTTCGTGTCTTATTTCACTTAGCATAATGTCCTCCTGGTTCATCCATGTGGTCACAGATGGCAGGATCTCGTTTTTTTTGAGGTTGAATAATATTCCATTATATATATATATACCACAGTTGTTTTTATCCATTGATCCATGACAGACACTTAGGTTGTTTCCACATCTTGGCTATTGTGAATATGTTTCTATTGCAACTATTCAACTCTGCTGATTTAGCATAAAAGAAGCCATACACAAAGGGAAACAAATGTGCATAGCTGTGTGACAATAAACCTTTACTGATAAAAACAGTTGACAGGCCAGATATAGCCCACAGGCTATAGTTTTCTTATACCTTCTTGTGATGGTTAATATTGAGTGTCAACTTGATTGGATTGAAGGATGCAAAGTGTTGATCCTGTGTGTGTCTATTAGGGTATTGCCAAAGGAGATTAACATCTGAGTCACTGGACTGGGAGAGGCAGAGCCATCCTCGGTCTGGGTGGGTACCATCTAATCAGCTGCCAGCACAGCTAGAATAAAGCAGGCATAAAAGGGTGGAAAGAGTTGACTTGCTGAGTCTTCTTGTCTCCATCTTTCTCCCATGCTGGATGCTTCCTGCCCTCAAACATCGGACTCCAACATCTTCAGCTTTTGGGCTCTTGGGCCTATACCAGTGCCAAGGGCTCTCAGGCCTTTGGCTGCAGACTGAAGGCTGCACTATCAGCCTCCCTACATTTGAGGTTTTTGGACTCAGGCTGGCTTCCTTGCTCCTCAGCTTGCAGATGGCGTATTGTGGGACTTCACTTTGTGAACATGTGTCAATACTCCTTTATAAGCTCCCCTTCATATATACACCTATCCTATTAGTTCTGTCCCTCTAGAACACCCTGACGAATACACTGCTCTAAAGGCCTTTGCGTTGGCTATTCCCTCTGCCTGAATCACTCTTCCCTCAAGTATTCACACAGCTTACTCACTCACTTCCACAAATCCTTGTTTAAAGTATCTCCTTTCCAATGAAGTCTACCCTAACTACTCCACTTAAAATTGCAATCTGCAACCTTGCACCCCATCCCAGGTCTAAGAAACAACCTCACAGGCCACTCACAACTGAAACACCCCCAGGCCAGCTGAGCAACTGTGCATCCATGCTCCTGGCCAGAGAAATAACCCCAGGACCACAACCCCAGAGATCCAAACCCCAAGTCAGCTGACCCACCATGTGCACCTGTCCTAAGAAACCTGGCGAGTCCATCATCAGCAGAGCCACATGCCTGCTGCCACAAGCCCTTGCAGCCCAAGCCACTGAGAAACTCCCATATGTCATTAGTGTGACTTATGGCTGAAAAACTTAGGTAGAGACTACACTATTGCATCTACCTAGAACCAGAGGCAATGCACCCCATCTAACTGACACCCCCAAGTCCCATTCATATGAATAAATGTTTCTCTACAAAACCTACTCCATAAAATTGGAAGAGGTGACTATTTCACCAGATGCATTGAAATCAAACTAGAAACATATAAACATGAAAAAGCCAGGAAACATGATGCCTCCAAAAGAACACAGTAATTCTCCAGTAATAGGCCCCAATGATAAAGAAACATACAAAATGCCAGAAAAGTAGTTCAAAATAATAACTTTAAGGAAACTCAGTGAGATCCAAAGGAATACAGATAGACAATTCAACAAAATAAAATTGCAACCCTCTACTTCTCTTGCTTTATTTTTTTCTTAACAGTTAACTCATTTTAATGTATTACATTATGTTCATTGGAGCCCATCTCTCCCAACCGGAATGTTAGCTCCATGGCCAAGACTTAAAGCAGTGCCTGGCATGTAATAGATACTCAAGAAATATTTGTTGAACAAAAAGATGATTTATTCACATTTGCTCCAAAAACAATTAACAACACTAATTTTGTTTAAGAATGTGACTCCTGGCCAGGCGTGGTGGTTCACGCCCGTAATCCCAGCACTTTGGGAGGCCAAGGCAAGCAGATCACCTGAGGTCAGGAGTTTGAGACTGGCCTGGTTAACATGGTGAAACCCCATCTCTACTAAAAATACAAAATTAGTTGGGCATGGTGGTGCACGCCTGTAATCCCAGCTACTTGGGAGGCTGAGGCAAGAGAATCACTTGAACCCAGGAGGCCAAGGTTGCAGTGAGCCAGGATCACGCCACTGCACTCCAGCCAGGCTTGCATATAATTTCAAAAGTTTTATAAATCTCTTTGCTTTACTCATGAACGTAGTAGAAATGTCATTTTTTAAATCAGAATATCAATGAATATATTGCCCATTGTAGTCCCCAAAACTCTATCATTTTATTTAAACCTTACAATATTCTTATTACACAGACAATATTATCACCACTTCATAGATGACAAAACTAATGCTAAAAAATGTCAGTAACTTGCTCATAGTCACAAGGTAGTAAGAGAATGGCCTAGGGTCCATGTGTCTTGATTTTAAAGCCAGTTTTCTTTTCCTGACAATGCAACTGTCAGCCAACCTTGCCTCATTCCAAGCCTCTTGAGGACTCCTTTCTCCATAGCTGAATTAGCTTCAGCAACACCTCAATCCCTAGGACAAATTTGACTTCAGATAAAAAGGATTTGATGAGCTTTGACCCAAATTTGTAGAGGTGAACATCATTCACTTTGCATTTAAGATGCTTACTTATTTTCCTCCTTACTTATTTTCTTATTTGGCTCAACTACCAGATTCCCATCTCTAATTAGCTGGATCTGAATACCTTGTAAACTCTTGTACAGTCAGTTCCTTGCCTTTGTCTAGTGACAGTACTGGCTCTTAACAGTCTCTCCAAAGATCTACGTTCCCACCTACAGGCTGAGGCTCTGCTTTCTGATAACGAGTTTCCTAGGTGCTGACTGTTTCCTACGCCAGATTTCCAAATATCACTCACTCTAATCTTATGCTCTGTTCATGAGCAGGACAATCTCAGTTCTTTGGAGAACCTTTTCCCCACCTATAATTACAATTCCTTTCCCATATTTCTTCTGTATAGTCTGTAGCCTCTATCGTCTTGATATCATGCTCTCCTTTTGTGCAAGTTTAGGTACCTTCAAAGTACCTCTACCAAAACAGAATTTGGCATATGAGGCATAAAAGCCAATTCTGCTTTCTGCTGAGGAGTTTTAGCTAAAATGTGGCCAAAGCCTCTTTTGTGTTTAAGCGCTTTTCTGTGAGGTAAGGCTCCCAAGTGGAAAAATGCTGAACATGCTTCCTGCTACACTGTCTCCTGACTTATTACTAAAGAAGACAAGTTCAATATAGATTGATAGCAATGACAATTGAGTGAAACAGTAAAGCTGAGCTGTAACATGGAGGAAGAAATAATGAAGCCTGATAAAAAATTGGAGAAATCAGAAAAAATTAACAGAAAATTAGAATGGTTCTATAAAATCTCCAGCCTATGTGATTAGAGGAATAGTGGTTCCACTGCATAGAGAAAAGTAGTTGGAAAGTACAATCAATGTTGGAGTAAAGATAAATTCACTGAACAAATGGAGATTATGTTAGAATATAAATATATATCAAACTGAATATAAAGATTAGTGTCTTCCACCACATAGCATTCTAGAATTTCAAAACTTGTTTTTGCATTTATTTAGTGTCACACAAGGCAACCTGAGATGAATAAATTTTGACATATTTATCCTTTGACAAGTGAAACTGAGGCCTAAAGAGGAAAATAACTAAAATTCCACAGACCTTGTGTATGAACCCAGTACTTGGGACACCTTATGCTTTCAATTTGATCATTTGGCCTCTCAGGCCAACTACAACAATTGACAACTTTATCTGAATGTAATTCAGCCAAAGTCATTTAGTCAATAAAATATAGAGGAAATTGGACCAAGGGGCTTGTTAAGGGCAGAACTGATAGTTTATAATAAAATCTAAGGGTCGTAAACTCAAAGTTTAAAAGCTCTGATATTTTCTTTTATGAAAGAGAGAATAAAATAGATGGGATAAAATACAATAAAAGTATTCCAGGGGTAATTTGGTCAATCTGTCTTTCTCCAAACATCCACAAATTTCTATTAACTTTATTAAACTCCATGACCAAAAAGCCAGCCTCTGTACTTTCCCATCACAAACAACCAAAAAATTCATTTTACATGATTGTTTTATTTTGAATGTCAGTGATATGAATTATTATCTTTAAAATGGTCCAGTTAGTTACATTTTAAGCCAATATTTGCTTGTACTTTTGTTTAATTTCCAAAACAATGAAAGTATTTTGCCCTCTGGAGTGTTTCTAATAAAGATAATGGTATTTTAGAAATAAATCAATACTTGGTACTTACATAAAAGTTTTCACCTGAGAAGTGCACCATGTCTTGGTGTTACATTGTTATTTCACTGACCTCTGCTTATTTTGGCTAATGGGAGACACTGTTCTCACTTTACCAGAAGAGAAACCAAAGTCCAGGACCTGTCTAACGAAACAATGAATTAATGACAGTTTTTGGAAGAGGAATCAGTACGTTTGATTTCCAAGGTTTAAACAGATTTGTGATGCCAGGATATAATCCTTGTTCAACATGAAAAGTTGCCTTCCCACCCCAGGGGCCAAAGACACAGGAGAAGTTGGCATTCTTACGACATTTTAGTAAGAAGTGTTTCTTTTTCATTATATGATCCCAAGCCTTTACAACTCCAAAGAAAGAAAATTATTTCAAGGTACTTAGGATAAGGAAGAAACTCCCATGGCTTGGAAAACTTCTCACAAAAATTATTTTCTAACCTGTATTTAGTAGATGTTCACTGACAATAATTTTCTGTTTTCACCAGAGTTTAAGATTATGAGAATGCTACAACAGATAGAAAAAGAAGAAAGTGTTAGTCTGGGGAGAAAGATAATAAACCTTGATTTAAACAAAGTCTCTCCTGATCAAGCCCTCTTTATTCCATTTGAAGTTTCTTCAAAAATCTTTTTTGCCTCTATCTTCTTCCTTACCCTTTCTGAAAATAATGAGTCCAAGGATATTTGATGAACTGAGCAAGGTAGGTGTCCATGCCAGAGAGTGGGGAGCAAAGTGGACCTGAGTGTGCAAAAAGGGCATCCATGCAGGGTGTCAGCCCATTAGGAGCTATGAGATCCCAAGCAGGATTAAAAAAGCATCTGTGTAGGTGCAGGGAACCAGGCTGACCTAGGGGCTCAGGTTCCAAGTTGGGATTAAAGGGGCTGTTTGTGCAGAATATCAGAGCTTGAGAGAGGTGACAAGGGTGTCCATGTGAGGACTGACCCAGAATGAGGTGTCAGAGCACAAGTAAGGTGAGAAGGTCATCTTGGCTGAAAGACAGCCTAGCTCAGGTTATCATCAAGCAGGATGAGGAGGGTTTCCAGGCTGGGGTCCTTCAGCATGGTGTGTAAAGCTTGGGCAGAGAGAGAAGGGTGTCCATGCAGAACAGGGGATATCAGAGCCCAGCATATAGGTGAGCCCAGCACAAGGGTGAGGAAGCCAAGCATATCTAGACGGGGCATCATTGGTGACAGTGCCAATGAGAGATTGGACACCTAGGAGATTTCACATACACACACACACACACACACACACACACACACTTTGAAGAGGGAGCCAGTTTTCTCATTGTCAAAAAAGGGAAGTACAAATATGGAAAGAAAACTAGAATAAACTCCTGTGTCATTGGATTAGAACTGAAGATAATAGATGGGTAAATAGATACATTAATAAAACATTTTACTTGGCATTTTATAAGCTCCCAGTAATTTGTGTTCCCAAATTCATGTAAACTTTTTTGATCACTGAATGTTTAGGTTGTGAGAAGAATGTGCTTAGTAAAGATAATATGGTTTTTAGATTCAGGCTCAAGTAATATCTTGGGTTCAAAATGTATCTCAACTATTGGGTGATTTTATATAATCATGGTGAAAACTGTGGGACAGAAAATAAACAAACTGCAAAATACTTTTAAGTTTTTCTAAGACAGCAGTTCTCAACCAAGGGTGATTTTTCCAGTACTCTGATCTCAGGTATATTTGACAGTGTCTAGAGATGTTTTTGGTTGTTACAACTGGAGGTTGCTAATGTTATCCAGTGGGTGAAGGTGAGGGATGCTGCTAAACATCTTGCAGTGCACGGGACAGCCCCTGCAACAAAGAATTATTGTTACAGGCTGAATTGCATCCCCTCAAAATTCATGTGTTGAAGCAAAAACTTTTGTACCTCAGAATATGACTCTATTTGGAGATAGAGCCTTTCAAGAAATGACTAAGTTAAAATGAGGTCATTTGAGAGAGGGAGTCCTAATCCAATCTCATTGATGTCCTTATAAGAAGAGGAAATTTGCACACAGAGACACCAGAAATGTGCTTGCAGAGAGGAAAGACATGTGAGGACACACAATGAGAAGGTGACTACCTGCAAACCAAGAAGAGAGGCCTCAGAAGAAACCAAACCTGCTGACACCTTTAAACCTCTAGAACTCTGAGAAAATCTATTCCTGTTGTTTAAGCCACCCAGTCTGTGATATTTGGTAATGGCAGCCCTAGCAAACTAATACAATTATTCAGCCCAAAATGCCAAAAGCGCCAAGGTTGAGAAACTCTGGTTTAATATATACAGAAATAGTCCTGACAAGAACATTCATGTGTGGGTAATATAGTTTAAATATGTGTCCCAACCCAAATCTCATGTGGAATTTTAATCCCCAGTGTTGGAGGTGGGGCCTGGTGGGAGTTGATTGGACCATGGGGGCAGTTTCTCCTTAAGGGTTTAATGCCATCTACTGGTGCTGTCCTCACAATAGTGAGTGAATTCTCACAAAATCTGGTCGTTGAAAAGTGGGTAGCACCTCCCCCGCTTGCTTTCTTGCTCCTGCTTTCACCATATGATGTGTCTGCTCTCCCTTCACCTTCTGCCATGACTGTAAGCTTTCTGAGGCCTCCCCAGAAGCCAAGCAGATGCCAGTACCATGCTTCCTGTACAGCCTGTGGAATTGAGATTCAATTAAACCTCTTTTCTGTATAATTACCCCGTCTGAGGCATTTCTTTATAGCAATGAGAGAACAGACTAATACAGTGGGAAAGACAACCTGGCTAATATTCATCATTAAAATGGCAAACAGAAGGAAAGAGATAAAACAGTTTTGCCTCCACAAAAAATAGAAAAAGAAATAGCGAAAAAACATCACTCCCCAGGACTTTATGTAAAGGATGGGCCAGTGCAGTTAAAATTCTTTTTGGGCTGTAAAATTATTAAAAATATGTAATCAGTCTGATTTCAGGGTAAGTATATTTTTACTTCTTCGAATTTTTAGAATAAAACTAAATCTGGAAGACTCAAGAATTTGATTCCTACATGCATTTTCTCAAAATATTTTCACCCAAAAGGCTAAGGAAACCCAATCTTGGCTTAATTCCAAAGTTACTTTCCCTTGGTTTACAAAGAATAATATCTTCCTTGATACCACATATTTATTAGAGCTTTCATAAAAGTTCAAATGCGTTATATAATCTAATTTCTTCTTTGTCAGCACAAAAGTAAACCCTCAAAATACATTATAAATATATACCCAAAAGCTAAAACTATAAAATGTCTAGAAAAACACATAGAAAAAATCATTGTGACTTTCAGTTGGCAAAAATTCTTAGACACAAAAAGCACCACTTTTATAAGTGATGCTTATAAGAAAGCAGTGATTAGCTCAACTCCAGCAAATTTTTATATTTTTATTTTTTGAAAGACTCTATTGAGAAAATTGAAAGATGAGGTACTTGAGATTGGGAGAAAATTTTTTTTGTTTGTTTTGAGACAGAGTCTTGCTCTGTCGGCCAGGCTGGACTGCAATGGCACTATCTCGGCTCACTGCAAGCTCCGCCTCCCAGGTTCACGCCATTCTCCTGCCTCAGCCTCCGGAGTAGCTGGGACTACAGGCGCCTGCCACCACGCCCGGCTAATTTTTTGTATTTTTAGTAGAGACGGGGTTTCACCATGTTAGCTAGGATGGTCTGGATCTGACCTCGTGATCCGCCCGCCTCGGCCTCCCAAAGTGCTGGGATTACAGACGTGAGCCACCACGCCCGGCCAAGAAAATGTTTTTAATACATATGTCTGACAAGGGACTTGCATCCAGAACATAAAAGCACTCTTATAATTCAATAAGAAAAAGCAAACAGCTTCACTAACATGTCAAAAATGTTTGAACACAACAAAAGAAGATATTTTAATGATAAACACATAAAAAATTATCCACATCATTAGTTATCAACACAACAAAAATTAAAACTATAGCAAGACACCACTACATACCCATTCAAATAGCTAAAATTTAAAAGACTGATATTACTGGCTGGGCGCAGTGGCTTATGCCTGTAATCCCAGCACTTTGGGAGGCCGAGGCAGGTGAATCACTTGAGGTCAGGAGTTTGAGACCACCCTGGCCAACATGAAACTCCTTCTCTACAAAAATACAAAAAAATTTAGCCGGGCATGATGGTGCACTCCTGTAATCCCAGCTACTTGGGAGGCTGAAACAGGAGAATCACTTGAACCCAGGAAGCAGAGGTTACAGTGAGCCAAGATCATGCCATTGCACTCCAGCCTGGGCAACAGAGCAAGATTTCATCTCAAAAAAAAAAAAAAAAAAAAAAAAAAAGACTGATATTACCAAGTCTCACTGAGTGTGAAGCAACTGAAATTCATACATTGCTGGTAGATGAATAAACTGATAATGCCATTTTGGAAAAGAGTGTGGTACTTTCTCATAAAGTTAACATCTCATACAACCAGTACTTCCACTTTTAGGTATTTAGCCAAGAGAAATGAAAACATTGGCCCACAAAAACACACGTATATATACATTTCTGGCCACTTCACTTAAGATAGCAAAATCTTGACACAACCCAGAACTTTGTCAACAGAAAACGACATAAACCCATCATGGTTTATTCATACAATTAAATATGATTCATCCATAAGAAGGAATAAACTACTGATAAGTGCAATAACGTGAATAAATCTCACTGACATTATGCTGAGCCAAGAAAGCCAGACACAACAGTATATACCATATGATTCTGTTACTATAAAACTTTAGAACTGATAAAACCAACTCATGTGATAGAAATCAGATCAGTATCTGCCTGAGGTGGGGTTGGAGAGGAATAACTAGAAAGGAACATGAGCTTTCTGGGGTGATGGAAATGTACTCTATCTTAATTTGGGAGGTAGTTGCAAGCTTGTTTTCATTTATCAAAACTCATTTAACTGTCTACTTAAAATGGGTGCATCTTATGGTATATAAATTATACTTCAATAAATTTTATTTTAAAAATATGCAGAAGTAACTATATTTATATGTGACAATGGAAAGGACCTGCAAACAGCAACACTCCAAATCAATGAGCACACCTAGTACCCAAACTTTAGTGTTTAAATATAATTCTCATGTAAAGGAACCAGGAATTCTTGGGAAAATGGCTGGTTTCAAGGTTGAGGAAAACACAAAATGAAACTAGAATATGTTGTTGTGGCAGAAACTCAAGAAGTACTCAAAAAATAATGGACAGTGTCAAAAAGGACAAAGAAGCCAGCTCTAAGGGACTCCTGCTGGCCAACTCTGAGAGAATCTGAGTATCAAAATGTATAAGGATAGTAACAGATTATAACCCACTAAATTAAACAGGGAACCTAAATAAGAAATAAATAAATGAGTAAATTGAATATGATGAAGAAAGAGATATTTATTTGATTTTAAAAGTATCTTCCCTCAAAATACTTTTTAAGTACAAAGTAAAAGGATGTAGGAAAAGGATGTAATGCTACAGTGAAGAAGCATGGCAGACACCACTTCAATCAAATGATCAAAGTAAGCATCATTAATAATGCAATAAATTGAAATTGCCACCTACTAGGGCATATGAGGAGACTGCATCAGTTTTGTGACTCTACTATTAAAGACACATAACCTGAATCTATTCCTAGAGATGTTACTATACGCATCATGCCAACTTTAACTTATAGAAATGCAGCAAAAATCTCAAATGTTTCCTTCTGGGTCAGCAGATACCCTATACACAGTACAAGCATTGATAACTCTTCTTATTGTACCACTCATCCTTTCCTCCCTTAGACATATCTCTGATCCATCATCTTAATCTCTTTGCTATTTTTATATCTTTAGATATGCAGCACATTTTTCTAATTAGAGCACTTCTACTTCCTCAGAATTTGTATAAAAACAGATAGCAACATGAATATCACTAGAAGATTTTATCTGGAGACTAACCTCGTATCTTTTAAAATACCAGATCTCTGTCAAGAACAAAGTTTCCACAGGACAGTAGATTATAAACATCTGGCACCCAATGGCCAGTGATTCAGTTACTGGCTGACATTTCAACCCTGAACTCATCTAGCAAATGGTGTCTAAATTATAATTTCTGCTAAGCCTATAAATAAGGAGATAGGAGGCAGCACCTGGAGACTCCGAAAGCATGAGCTGGGGTCTTTTGTCATGCTTGGTATAGCACAGAAGCTTTGTAAAAAACTTAGTCACCTGGAGGTCAGTGAAAAATGACAGTGGCAGCTGCAATCACTCAAGTACAAAGAGGAAAAAATGTTTCTTTGCTGGACTGCATGGTTGGCTGGGCACTAGCCACTTGTGACGAGAAGAGAATTCAATTCATAACCTCACTATGTTCCTTGGGCGGCCCATGCATACTTCCTGACTTCTGTAAGGGTTACTGGTAGCACAGCTTCTCAGCCCTTTGTCCTTATTTGAGCATAGAACACTAAATCCCACTTTTAACACCATTGGTAAGAGAACATTAAATCTCCAGTCTCTGGGGTACTCCACAAGCCTGATCTCAACCTGGGAAAGAATAGTTCTCACCTGATGGAGCAAAGCCTGTCAGAGAAACAAACATACCATCTGATTTTTAAACTCCAAAATGTGCTTAAATTTTTAAACATTCCATCTCTGCTAATCTATTTAAGAAATGGAGTGATGGAAGTGAATACCTAAGACTAAGATGAGTCTTCCACCAGAGAGCCAAGCTAACTCACTACTTTAGGAGCAAGAGCTAATGCTTTGTTGTAAATCTAAGAATGCTTTGCATCATTTTTCCACTGTTCATTAAATGAAATGTATACCACTTAATTATTATTCATGTGACAGAATATTTTTATCATAATTATATTTCAATTTAGGCTCATTTCAGAGCTAGAAAACCCATTAAACAGAAACCCTAATATCTTCAGAATTATTGAGAAGAGAGCCCTGACTATATAGTCACACTGCTTCATTCTCTTGTCCCCTTCTGGTGAGACTTCAAGAATGTACCTTCCATTGACCCATTCTCTTCTCCTGATAAGTATACATATTTAACAACTGAATTCATTATAATTAATGCCCCCTAATATACAAAGGGCCATGAATCTTTAAAAACAAGAAAATTGGTGAAATCAGGGAAAAGGAAATATAACTGGCCAAAAACACATTAAAAGTGCTAAACCTAACTGATGATTAAGGAAATAAAAATTGAAGAAATTATACTATCAGAATGGCAAAACAATTATTCAATGATAACAGCCATTGGTAAAGATGTGAGAAACTAGGTAGTTGAATTGAAGCTGATAAAATCTCCTTAGGGAGCAATTTGGTATTATGTTTTAAAATGTAAAACTCATATTCCCTTTGAGCTAGCTCTTCCATTTTCAGAAAGTTATGTTATAGACTCTCATATACACACACTAGTATATATACACATATGTATATATGTGTATAAACACACATGCTAATTGCCATTTTAATTTTTTAATTAAAAGCAACCTAAATGCTCACTGATAAGAAATATGTTAAATATAATATATAGGTATATATACACACACACATTACAATGTATTGGCATATTCATACATTGAAAAGCTGTGACATCATGAAGACACCAAAGCAAATCTAAATGGAGCTGTCTCTCAGGTACACCAAAATAATAAACATATTTTGGTAAAAATTGTGTGTGTACATATATATATATATATATATATATATATATATGTCTTTTATAACTACATAAGCTTACATAAGCATACAACGTTTTTGGAAAGATCCACAAGAAACTCTTTACAGTGGTTAGTTCTGGCAAAGAATACAAAGGGTCCAAAATGGAAGGAAAGCTTATTTCTGTCATCATGTACCAATTTGAACTATTTGAATTTTGTTCATGTGCATGTATTACTTGTTCAATAAAAGGAACATGTTACATATAATATTTATGTTATATATATTTATTTGACCTGCAAAAATAAATATTATATGTAACATGTTTCTAGTTTGGGAAAACCTCATTAAAGTTCTGTGAATATTCTTGTACAAATTGTTTTGTGGACACATGCACTACTTTTGGCACATCCCAAATATAATATACTCAAAGCCATCTGTATTAACTTCTCTCCTTCATCTTACATCTTCAATTCATTTTCCTGTTCACCAGGATGACAAAATTTTTTTTTAAAAAATATTCAATCCCTAGAATTTTTTTGACTCTTCTCTCCTCTTCACTTTCTGTGCAAAATGACTCTTCAAAAACTATTGTTCTCTTTCTCTTATAGTTCACATTGGCATATGACAGACTACTCAAAAATTAGCGTTGTAAAACAACCACCATTTTATTTTTCTTATAATTATGTGGGTTAGGAATTACAATTGGTTCAGCTAGGTAGTTTTCACTTAGGGCCTCCAATATATTTGCAATCAAACATCAGCTCATCCCTGTTATCTGAAGGATTAACTAGCCTTGACATCCAAGACAGCTCACTCATATAGCTGGCAGCTGGTAATGGCTGATATAGTTTGGATGTTTATCACTTCCAAAACTCATGTTAAAGTATAATCCTCCATGTTGGAGGTGGGGCCTAGTGAGAGGTGTTTCAGTCATGGAGGCTGCTCCCTCATGGCCTGGTGCTGTCCTGGTGATTGTGAGTGCATTCATGTGAGATCTGGTTGTTTAAAAGTGTGTGGCATCTTCCCCCTCTCTTTCTTGCTCCTGCTCTTGCCATGTGACACACCTGCTCCCCCTTTTCCTTCTGCCATGATTGGAAGATTCCTGAGACCCTCACAAGAAGCAGATGCTAGCACCGCGCTTATATGGTCTGCAGAACTATGAGCCAATTGAACCTCTTTTATTTACCCAGCCTTAGGTATTCCTTTATAGCAATGCAATAAGGGCCTAATACAGAAAATTGGTACCAAGGAGTGGGATCTTTCTATAAGGATACCTAAAATTGTGAAAGCAACTTTGAAACTGGGTAACAGGCAGAGTTTGGAGGGCTCAGAAGAAGACAGGAAGATGAGGAAATGTTTAGAACTTATTTTAGAGACTGGTTAAATGGCTGTGATCAAGATGCTGATAGTGATATGGACAATGAAGGCCAGGCAGATGAGGTCTCAGAAGGAAATTAGGAACTTATTGGGAACTGGAGTAAAAGTCATCCTTGTTATGCCTTAGCAAAAAACTTGACTGCATTATGTTCATGTCCTAGGAATAAATGAAAGCTTGAACTTAAGAGTGATGACTTCGCATATATGATGGAAGAAATTTCTAAGCAGCAAATGTTCAAGGTATGACCTGTTTCTAAAAACCTACACGTTGATGTGGGAGTGAAGAAAGGACTTAAAGTTAGAACTTATGTTAAAAAGAAAACTGTAAACATGTGCAAAATTTGCAGCCTATCCATGTGGTAGAAAAGAAAAGCCCATTTTCAGGAGATGATTGTATTTTGCAATATGAGAAGGGCATGAAATTTGAAGGGCCAGGGGCAGAATGATATAATTTGGATGTTTGTACCCTCTAAATCTCATATTGAAATGTAATTCCCAATGTTGGAAGTGGGGCCTGATTGGAAGTGTTTGGGTCATGGGGACAGATCCCTCATGGATGGGTTGGTGCTGCCCTCATGATAGTGAGCGAATTCTCATGATATCTGGTGGTTTAAAAGTGTGTGGCACCTCCTAGTCTCCTCTCTTGCTCCCACTCTCCCTATGTGATGTGCCTGCTCCCCTTAGCTTCCACTATAATGGGAATCTTCCTGAGGCCCCCACCAGAAGCAGATGCAGTGCCATGCTTGTCAGCCTGCAGAGCCATGAACCAATGGGATATTCCTTTCTAGCAATTCAAGAACAGCCTAATATAGTGGCTCTACCAAAGAACTTACATGTGTCCTCTTCAGAATGGTGGATTCCAGGTAGTAAGATTTCCTAGATGGTGGCAGATTTCCTCCAGGGCAAGCATTCCAAAAACACCAGGGGGAACCATACAGTCCTTCTAACCTAGCCTAAATTATTAGCCAATTGTTAAACATTGATCAAAACACCACTGACTTAGTTCTTCCTTCTTTGCTTTCTATGTTTGTGTACATGCTGAAAAGCATTTAGAAAACTATGAAGTGTTTCACAAAAGTTAGAAAATCATTAGAAAATGATTATAAAAAATGGGTCTTATGTCTATGACAGGATAGATTGCTGAAATATCAACTAATGTTTTGATCTCATTATATTTTTTACCTTGGATTTTCAAGCAAGGTCATTAGTCTTCTTGTTCTTTTATTCAGGGACATTTATAGGACCAAAGCAAAATTTCATAACAACTTCCCTCCTGTATCTCATTTTCAAACACTAGACTTACTGAATATTATGCTAGAGGATGGCAAGAAAAAGTCAAGTGCCTTTTGAAGGGTGAGTAGGGGAACAGAGAAGAGAGGGATACTAATAGAAAAATCTTCCTTCTCATTCTCCTAGAGGTTTCCAAGGTGGATTACTGCCAGAACATTATAGCATATATCAGGAGTTGACAAACTGCAGCCTGCAGGTTGGCACCAAGTTTTGTAAATAAAGTTTTTTTCAAAGATGACAGATTAGAAGCTTTTAGCATGCCTCAGACACTTGTAAATAGCAAGACAGTACATAAAGATCATCTCTGTGAGTTTTAATTCAAGAAGGAAAATTGGAATCCACCAGAATTGTGAAGGACATCCAAAATCCTGGGCATGAGAACATGGGTAAACAGCCCCTGTGACAGCATCTGGCTAATAAAAAGATCCTGGTGTAGGGTGGGTTCTCTCCTGTCTACACCCAGGCAGATCACTAGACATTTGGAGCACCTGATCACCTGAATAAGCAGCCTGACCCAGCCAGTCCTTCCTATACAAAGACTGTTGTGAAGTGGGGTCCTCTTTGCTCCATGCTCAGGCAAATCTCCAGGCATCTGGAGCTCCACTCTCTTACATTAGGAGTTTAGGCTGACTCCCCTCCCCATGCAGATAACTTGGGGCCAGGGAGGAGGTTTCCCAGCTCCATGCCTAGGCACACCTCTGGGAACCTGGTGGTCACCCATGGGATTCTCCCCCAGCACTAGTGTTTGTGCCTGCCAACCCATATTGCCCCCATCTCCTCTCCCTGGAGCTGAACAGGGAACTCGGACCACTGAGCATTCCACAGATCAACCCATTGGCTGATGCAACAGAGAGTTTCTTCCAGTAAACAAGGATCAAGTATATACCCAGCCACACTGGCCACATCTGAGTCTTGTCTGTAAGTGCCATCTACTAGCTTACAGGTTGAACTGAACAGCCCAATATAAAACCTACTGACAGAGGTGCATAGGGCTATAGAATTGAAGCCAAAAGACCCTATGCATATTCTCTACAGTCACATCCCCTAGAGAGGGGGAGAAAGGGAAAAGCAAATGAAAAAAAAAAAACAATAATATTTTAGGGAAGGAAAGAAAAAGAAAAAATTCCACCCCCACAAAAAATTACAAAAATTAGAAATTCCAGCATCTTCAAATAATATGGAACCAGCATAAAAATTCTGGCACCATGAAAAATCTTAATGTAGTGACACCACCAAAGGATCACACTAGCTCTCCTACAATGGTTCCTAACCAAAATGAAAATTCAGAAATGACAGATAAAGAATTTAAAGCATGGATTGCAATGAAGCTTAACAAGATCCAAGACAAAGTTGGAAATCAACACAAAGAAACTTCTAAAGCAATCCAGGAAATGAAGTAAAAGATAAACATCTATAAAGGAAATCAACCAGAGCTTCCAAAATTGAAACACTCACTAGAAAAATTTCAAAATACAGTTAGAAGTTTTATCAATAGACTGGAATAAGCAGAAAAAAGAATTTCAGAGCATGAAGACTAGCCTTTTAAGCTAACCAAGTCAGACAAAAAAAAAGAATTTTAAAAATGAACAAAGTCTTCAAGAAATATGGGATTATGTAAAACCACCAAACCTAGAGGTTATTGGCGTTCCCGAGAGGGAAAGATAAAAAATAAACAACTAGGAAAACATATTTAAGGGAGTAATTCAAATAAATTTTCCTAATCTTGCTAGAGAGGTAGACACAAATACAAGAAATCCAGAGAATATGCAGGAGATACTATATAATACAAATATCACCAAGGCATATGGTCACCAGACTGTCCAAGGTCAATGCTAAAGAAAAAGATATTAACATCAGCTAGAGAAAAAGATCAGATCATGTACAAAGGGAAACCCATCAGGCTAACACAGGCTTCTCAGTAGAAACCTTGCTAGCAAAGAGAGATTAAGGACCTATTTTCAGTATTATTAAAGAAAAGATAAATCATGCTGCTATAAAGACACATGCACACGTATGTTTATTGTGGCACTATTCACAATAGCAAAGACTTGGAACCAACCCAAATGTCCAACAATGATAGACTGGATTAAGAAAATGTGGCACATATACACCATGGAATACTATGCAGCCATAAAAAATGATGAGTTCATGTCCTTTGTAGGGACATGGATGAAATTGGAAATCATCAATCTCAGTAAACTATCGCAAGAACAAAAAACCAAACACCGCATATTCTCACTCATAGGTGGGAATTGAACAATGAGAACACATGGATGCAGGAAGGGGAACATCACACACCGGTGCCTGTCATGGGGTGGGGGGAGCGGGGAGGGATAGCATTAGGAGATATACCTAATGCTAAATGACGAGTTAATGGGTGCAGCACACCAGCATGGCACATGTATACATATGTAACTAACCTGCACATTGTGCACATGTACCCTAAAACTTAAAGTATAATAATAATAAAATAAAATAAAAAAAGAAAAGAAATTCCCATCAAGAATTTTATATCCCAGTAAACTAAGCTTCATAAGTGAAGGAGAAATAAAATATTTTTCAGACAGGCAAGTTAAGGGAATTTGCTAGCACTAGACCAGCCTTACATGAGATCCTTAAGGGAGTTCTAAACATGAAACAAAAGAAGAATACCTGCTACCACAAAAACACACTTAAGTACATAGCCCATAGGTCCTATAAGGCAAGCACACAGTAGCAACCACAAAGTAGAAACTACAAAGTAACCAGCTAACAATTTCATGATAGGATGAAAACCTCAGATTTAGATATTAGCTTTCAATGTCAAGGGTCTAAATTCCCCCACTTAAATGACACACAGTAGTAAGTTGGATAAAGAAGCAAGACCCAACTATGTGATATCTTCTAGAGACCCATCTCACAAGTAATGACACTCAAAAGCTCAAAGTAAAGGATTGGAGAAAGATTTATCATGCAGATAGAAAATGAAAAAGATTCTATTCTTGTATCACATAAAACAGACTTTAGGCCAAAAACAGGGAAAAAATGGACAAAAAAGGGTACTATATAATGACAAAGGATTCAATTCAACAAGAAGATTTTCTAATTCTAATTATATGTGCACCCAACATTGGAGTACCTAGATTCATAAAACAAGTACTTCTAGACCTACAAAAAGCCATAGACAATGAAACAATAATAGAGGAGGATTTCAACACCCAACTGACAGCATTAGACAGTTCATCAAGGCAGAACACAAAGAAATTCTGGACTAAATTTGACAGTTGACCAATTTAACCTAATAGATATCTACAGACAACTTCATCCATCAACCACAGAATACACATTCTTCTCATCTGCACACAGAACATACTGAAAGATCAACCACATGCTCGCCATTAAGCAAGTATCAATAAATTCAAAAAATTGAAATTATACCAATAATACTATTGAACCACAGTGGAATAAAAATAGAAATCAGTACCAAGAAAATATTTCCAAACCATACAATTACATGGAAATTAAACAACTTGCTCCTGAAAGAACATCTTTGGGTAAACAACAAAATTAAGGCAGGAATTTTAAAGTTCTTTGAAATAAATGAAGACAGAGACACAACATATCAAAATCTCTGGGATATGGCAAAAGCAGTGTTATGAGGAAAGTTGATAGTACTAAAGTTAGGAACTTCTCAAATTAATGAAATAACAAAACACCTAGAAAAATTAGAAAAACTAAAACAAACTAACCCTAAAGCTAGCAGAAAAACAAAAAAAAACTAAGAGCAGAACTGAGCAAAATTGAGAACCAAGTATCCATACATTTTAGCTCAACAAAACCAAATGTTGGCTCTTTAAAATGATGAACAAGATCTATAGACTGCTAGCTAGATTAATAAAGACAAAAAGAGAGGTAAATCAGATAAGCACAATCAGAAATGACAAAGGTTACATTTCTACTGATCCCACAAAAATGCAAAAGATCCTCAGAGACTAGTAGAAACACCTTTATGCATACAAACTAAAAAAACTAGAGGAAAATGAGTAAATTCCTGGAAACACACAACTTTCCAAGATTGAATCAGGAAGAAATTGAAACCTTGAACAGACCAGTATCATGTACAGAATTTACCCAGTAATAAAAAAGCTAAAAACCAGAAAAAAGTTCTGGACTAGATGGATTCACAGTCAAATGCTACCAGTAATACAAGGAAGAACTGGTACTAATTCTACTGAAACTATTCCAAAAAATTTAGAAGGAGAGACTCCTACCTAACTGATATGGTTTGGCTCTGTGCCCCCTCCCAAATCTCATCTTATAGCTCCCATAATTCCCACATGTTGTGGGAGGTACCCAGTAGGAGATGATTGGATAATGGGTGTGGGCCTTTCCCATGCTGTTCTCATAATAGTGAATGGGTCTCATGCAATCTGATGGTTTTTTAAAAAATGGGAATTTGTCTGCACAAGTTCTTCTCTTGTATGTCAGCGTGTGAGATGTGTCTTTAAACTTCCATCATGATTGTGAGGCCTCCCCAGCCACATGGAACTGTAAATTCAATAAACCTCTTTCTTCTGTAAATTGCCCAGTCTCGGGTATGTCTTTATTGGCAGCATGAAAACAGACTAATACAGTAAATCGGTACCAGTAGAGTGGGGCATTGCTGAAAAGATACCCAAAAATGTGGGAGCAGCTTTGGAACTGGGTAACAGGCAAAGGTTGGAACAGTTTGGAGGACTCAGAACACAGGAAAATGTGGGAAAGTTTGTAACTTCCTAGAGACTTGTTGAATGGCTTTGACCAAAAGCCTGATAGTGATATAAACAATAAGGTCTAGGCTGAAGTGGTCTCAAATGTAGATGAGAAACTTGTTGGGAACTAGAGCAAAGGTGGCTCTTGTTATGTTTTAGCAAAGAGACAGGTGGCATTTTGCCCCTTCCCTAGAGATCTGTGGAACTTTGAACTTGAGAGAGATGATTTAGGTTATCTGGCAGCAAAGCATTCAAGAGGTAACTTGGGTGGTGTTAAAGGCATTCAGTTTCCAAGCAGCAAAACATTCAAGAGGTGACTTGGCTGCTGTTAAATGCATTCAGTTTTATAAGGAAAGCAAAGCACAAAAGTTAGGAAAATCTGCAGCCTGACAACGTGATAGAAAAGAAAATCCCATTTTATGAGGAGAAATTCAAGCCAGCTGCAAAAATTTTCATAAATAACAAGGAACCAAATGTTAATCACCAAGACAATGGCGAAAATGTCTCCACGGCATGGCAGAGGTCTTCACAGCAGCTTCTGGCATCACAGACCTGGAGGCCTAGGAGAAAAAAGTGGTTCCGTGGGCTGGGCCCAGGGTCCCTGTGCTGTGTGCAGCCTAGGGACTTGGCGCCTCTCATCCTAAGGAGCCAACATAAGGCTCCTCCAGCCATGGCTGAAAGGGGCCAACATAAAGCTTGTGCTGTGGCTTCAGAGGGTGCAAGCCTCAAGCCTTGGCAGCTTTCATGTTGTGTTGAGCCCAGAAGTGCACAGAAGTCAAGAACTGGGGTTTGGAAACCGCTGCCTAGATTTCAGAAGATGTATGAAAACACCTGGATGCCCAGGCAAAAGTTTGCTGCAGGGGAGGGGCCCTCACCCACCTCTGCTAGGGTGGTGCAGAAGGGGAATGTGGGGTAGGAGCCCCCACACAGAATCCCTACTGGGGTGTCACCTAGTGGAGCTGTGAGAATATGGCCACTGTTCTCCAGACCCCAGAATGGGTAGGACCACTGACAGCTTGCAGTGTACACCTGGAAAAGCTGCAGACATTCAATGCCAGCCCATGAAGGCAGCCAGGAGGGAGGCTCTACCCTGCAGAGCCACAGGGGTGGAGCTGCCCAAGACCTTGGGAACCCACCTCTTGCATCAGCATGACCTGGATGTGAGACATGGAGTCAAAGGAGATTATTTTTGGAGCTGTAAGATTGGACGGCCCTGCGGGATTTCGGACTTGCATGGGGCCTGTAGCCCCTTTGTTTCAGCCAATCTCTCCCATTTGGAATGGCTGTATTTACCCAATGCCTATACCCCCATTGTATCTAGGACATAACTAACTTGCTTTTGATTTTACAGGCTAATGGGCAGTAGGAATGGGCAGTCTTAGATAAGACTTTGGACCATGGATTTTTGAGTTAATGCTGAAATGAGTTGAAACTTTGGTGGACTGTTGGGAAGCCATGATTCATTTTGAAATGTGAAGATATGAAATTTGGGAGGGGCTGGGGTGGAATGATGTGGTTTGGCTCTGTGTCCGCACCCAAATCTCATCTTGTAGCTCCCACAATTCGCACGTATTGTGGGAGGGACCTGGTGGGAGATGACTGAATCTTGGGGGCTGGTCTTTTCCATGCTGTTCTCGTGATAGTAAATGGGTCTCACAATACCTGATGGCTTTAAAAAATGGGAGTTTCTCTGCACAATCTCTTTTTATTGCCTGCTGCCATCCACTAGATGTGACTTGCTTCTCCTTGCCTTCTGCCATGATTGTGAGGCCTCCCTAGCTGTGTGGAACTGTAAGTCCAATTAAACCTCTTTCTTTTGTATATTGCCCCATCTTGGGTATGTCTTTATCAGCAGCATGAAAACAGATTAATACACTAACTGATCCTATGAGGCTGGCATCACCCTGATACCAAAACCTGACAGACACAACAGCAAAAAATTATATAGACTGATATCCCTGATGAACATGGACATGAAAATCCTCAACAAAACACTAGCAAACTGAATCCAGCAGCACATCAAAAAGTTAATTTACCACAATCAAGTAAGCTTCATTCCTGGGACACAAAGTTGATTCAATATATGTAAATCAATAAATGTGATTCACAACATAAACAGATTTAAAAACGAAACCCATATGATTCTGCATCTCGAAAGATGCAGAAAATGGTTTTGATAAAATCCAACATTCTTTCATAATAAAAACCCTCAACAAATTAGCCATCAAAGGAACATACCTCAAAACAATAAGAGTCACCTTTCACAAACCCACAGCCAACATCACCCTAAATGGGCAAAAACTGGAAGCATCTGCTTTGAGAACTGAAACACAACAAGGACGCCACTCTCACCACTCCTATTCAACATGATATTAAAAGTCCTAGCCAGAGAAGTCAGGCAAGAGAAAGAAATAAAAGGCATCAAATAGGGAAAGAAGAAGTCAAACTATCTGTCTTTACTGATGATATGAACCTATACCTAGAAAACCCTAACAACTCTGCTAAAAGTTTCCTGGAACTGATAAATAACTTCAGTGAAATTTCAGGACACAAAATCTATGTACAACAATCAGTGGCATTTCTATACACCAGCATCCCAGCTGAGAGCCAAATCAAGAATGCAATTGCATTAACAATGGCCACCAAACACACACACACAAACAAGGAATACATCTAACCAAGGAGGTGAAAGATTTCTACAAGGAGAACCACAAAACACTGCTAGAAGAAATTATAGACGACACAAACAAAGGGAAAAACATTCCATGATCATGGATGAGAAGAATCAATATCATGAAAATCGTCATACTGCCCAAAGCAATCTACAGATTCAATGCTATTCCTATCAAATGACCAATGTAATTTTTTACAGAATTAGAAAAAACTATTCAAAAATTCATATGGAAGCAAAAAAAGAGCTTGAATAACTAAAGAAATCCTAAGCAAAAGGAACAAGGTCAGAGGCATCACATTATCCAACTACAAACTATACCATGAGCCTACAGTAACCAAAGTAGCGTAGGACTGATACAAAAAGAGACACATAGACTAATGGAACAGAATAGAAGAAATAAAGCCACACACCCACAGCCATCTGATCTTTCATGAAGTTGACAAAGATAAGCAATGGGGAAGGATTCCCCATTCAATATATTGTGCTGGGATAACTGGCTAGCCATATGCAGACAAATAAAACTGGACCATCAGCCTGTCATAATACTAGAAGAAAACCTAGGAAACACTATTCTGGACATCAACCTTGAGAAGAAGTGTATGGCTAAGTCCTCAAAAGCAATCACAACAAAAATAAAAATTGACAAGTGGGACGTAATTAAACTAAAGAGCTTCTGCACAGCAAAAGAAATAGTCAACATAGTAAACAAACAGTCCAGAGAATGGGAGAAGATATTTGCAAGCTCTGTATCTAATGAAGGTCTAATATCCAGAATCTATATGGAACTTAAACAATTCAACAAGAAAAAAAGCAAACAACCACATTAAAAAGTGGGTGAAATACATGCACAGACATTTCTCAAAGGAAGACATACAAGCAGCCAACAAACATATGAAAAAAATGATCAACATAGCTAACATCAGAGACATGCAAATCAAAACCACAGTGAGATAGCCTCTCACACTGGTCAGAATGGTTATTACTAAAAGGTCAAAAAACAACAGATGCTGGCAAGGTTGTAGAGAATAGGAAACACCTATATATTGTTGGTGGGAATATAAATTAGTTCAGCCACTGTGAGAGTGCTTTAGAGATTTCTCAAAGAACCTAAAACAAAAGTACCAGTTGACCCAGCAATCCCATTACTGAGTATATATCCAAAAGAAAATAAGTTGTTCTACCAAAAAGACATGTGCACCCATATGTTTATGACAGCCCTACTCACAATAGTAAAGATATGGAATCAACATGGAATGCTACGCAGTCATATAAAGGAATGAACATGTGTTCTTTGCAGCAACATTGATGTAGCTGGGGGCCATTATCCTAAGTAAATTAATGCAGAAGCAGAAAACCAAATACTACCTGTTTTCACTTATAAGTGGGAGCTAAACATTGGGTACTCATGGACATAAAGATGGCAACAATAAACACTGGGGACTAATAGAGGTGGGAGAAAGGGGGCAAGGTTTGAAAAACTAACCATTTCATACCATGCTCACTACCTGGGTGACAGAATCAATCATACCCCAAACCTAAGCATCATGCAGTATAGCCATGTAACAAACGTGTACATGTACTTTCTGAATCTAAAATAAAACTTGAAATTATTTTTAAAATTATAAACCAAAACCAAATAAAAAATTTAAAAAAATATTTTTGCAACACAGTCAATCCTATTCGTTAAGATATTGTGTATGGCTGCTTTTGAGCTACAGTAGTAGAGTTTACTAGTTGTGGCGTATTTACTATCTACAAAGTTTTACCCATGCTCTATGTGAATGGCACCATCTAGAGCTGAGTACTACAAAACTTGCACAATCATGCAGCATCCCAAAAACTACAGATCCCTGGCAAAAATCATCATCCCTACTGTGTCAGGAAAGTGACTTCAAATAACATGTGAGGTTCAATGGGGGCTATATTAGTGGGACTGTAACAGGATACATTTTAGAAGAGGATAAAAATCACAACTGCAAATACAAATTTAACATGTCAAGACTTTTATTTAACTAAATAATTGAGAGAATCAATAATATATAACAACCAGTTCAAATGAAGATTTGACTTCCAGAGATTTACAGTTTCTAGCTCATCAAAGAACACCAGAGCTACACAGTTAAAGGAGTGTATTAGTCCATTTTCATGCTGCTGATAAAGACATACCTGAGACTGGGTAATTTATATATAAAGAAAATGAGGTTTAACGGACTCACAGTTCCATGTGGCTGGGGAGGCTTCACAATTATGGCAGAAGGTGAAAGGCATGTCTTACATAGCGGCAAACAAAAGAGAGTCAGAATCAAGTGAAAGTGGAAACCCCTTATAAAACCATCAGATCTCATGAGACTTATTCACTACCACAAGAACAGTATGGGGTAAACTGCTGCCATGATTCAATTATGGGAATCATGGGAGCTACAATTCAAGATGAGATTTGAGTGGGTACACAACCAAACCATATCAATGGGCAAAAGCAGATTTTAATCAGGAACTATTGCAATATGGGAAAAGAGACCTCAATATAGAATTGTAATCAATTCCAAACACAACACGGACAACTTGTGGATTTATAGCCAACGAGCAAGGTCGGGGTTAGTGGATGCAAAATTACTAAAAGGAAGCATTAAGTGTAAGGGGTGATTTCTAGCTAAATAATCCAATAGGATTCTTATTGAAAGCTGGCCAGGATGAATGGATGTCACCTCGGGGACTCAGGGGAATTATAAATTAAATCAGATATCAAGGGTAGGGGTTCTGGTTAAACCAACTTAGCAAGACTGTTGCTATGGTTGTGTAATGCGTGTCTGATAAGGATAGACACTAAGGTCACAGCCTACAGGGCTTATAGGCAACTGACTAGGGTTTGGTCAAGGAGACAGTTTTTGTCAGTTTCTCCTCATGTTTCAGGAAGGAAGAAATTCTTCTTGAGCAATAAGAGTCCATTACACAAATGCCTTTTGTTCATTAAAGACCAGCTGAACCATCTGTTGAGACTTGGTAGTAGAGGATATCTGCTGGATGGTGCAAGTAGTCAGGTATTGAAGGAGGAGAGTTTCTAGGAAAACAAAGTAAGACAAAAATTAATGGTTGAAGCAAGCTGAAAACCCAGTTTCTGAGTCCAGAGTATAACCAGCTGACAAGAGTTTATGTTGGGTTAAAAGCATTTTTAGATGGTGGAGTGAGGATGGCAGTGGAGAGCTGACAGATTTCCTGGCTTGCAGTTTGAATGTCTTTGGTGATGATACATGCATTAGTGCTGCAGTTTTGGTTATTTCTCAGAACAGAGCATGGAAACATCTAGCTTCAAATACAGGGCTTCTTTAGATAGTCCCAAGAAGAACATGGGCAATCAGGTTTTAGTTCTCAGTAATGCAAAGTCAGGAGTGTGGGAGAAAAATTGGAAATGTTCATTTGGAGATATGTAGCCAGATTTCAGAGGAAACTAGAAAAGTTGAGGAGGTTCCAGTCTAGTTTACAGATAGATAATAAAGTAGAAAGTAAAATGGAGTTACCAGGAGGCGAAAAATAGCTCTAAAACAATGAACACTCAGAAAAGTATGCTATAGCTTTCCATGAAAATACAAAATTTCTCACTACAATCACCCTCATTTTGATTAAAGATAACTAAAGTAAGGTTATTCTTGTCTTCAGAATAAGTCTGGTCTCATTAGATCTGGCATGATTGTTTACCTAGGTGCAGCAAGACTATAATTGACCACAAAGACCTTTTTAAGTTTGCTTTGCTGAAACTTTTCATAAGGAATCTCAGATTAGACTTCTAAAATCCTCTCAAGACTAGGAAACCAAGCCAAGACTTTGCCACCAGATTTTACCTTCAATACCTACCAATTTGGGTGAATCCCTCTCTCCTTGAAGTCCCCAAAATACTCTAAGTTTCCTAGGCCTGCCTGAATAAAAACTACATTACTCACATGGAATGCTGCAAACACTATAAGTTAGTTCCCAGGCTATTTTTTCTAGAAGGGCTTTTTAAGCATTGGTTCCGTAAAGTCAACCTTAACTCCTTAAATCTGTCTGGTCATATCTGATTCTATGCCTATTATTCTTAAATATAACATTCCAGTCAAAGCCTTGGTTAATACAACCAATGTTTCCAATTATGTCCTGGTAAAATAAAAAAGGTAGATTCTTATTGAACTTATGTAAATAATTATATTACCATGAAAATAAGAATATTCAAAAAGAGCTTTGGAATTCTGAAGGGATCAGGAAAGGGAAAAGATAAATGTTTCATTTCTGTTTACAAAAGTATAATATACTAAATCATTGTAATTTATGGATAGTTTAAGAGAAAAAAGAAAGGGGTTTCTTATATCCAAAAAATGGAGCATTAAAGAACTAACAATATTCCAAAGAAAAACCATTATCTTCTCTCACCAGTTCATTCAGTCCCATGTTATTAATTCTTATTCTACTCAGCCTTGAGTTAATAGTTTCATAAACCCATCAGCTTTTCAATAAAACTCTTGGGACTTACATATGATTCCAAGGAAGACAGGTAATGAATGAGATTAAATTTTCTGCTAAACAGGTGGCTGGGTCTCAGATTCAGAATATATTTGATTTAAAGAAACTAAAGCATGTTGATATGTTTTGTATCTCTGAGTATATGAAGTAAAGTTCATATCTGTTGTATTCAAGTTTCTTGAGGACAGAGGCTTTGTCTTACTTCTATTTTCTTAAAGCTGACGCTGGATAAGTGATTCAAAAATATTTGCTAAATGGAATTGAAAGAAAAAGTCAATGAACAAAATAAATATAAACTAAGAAACAAAGAAAATTGGATATTTTACATAGTTAAATAAAACTTCATCGGGGGGAAGACTTCTAACGATGGATCATCTCACATGTGCACTATCCAAATTCTTATCTAACTTCACTGTGTCATGTATGAGAGAAATAACAAGAAGAATCTAATCTAGAAACTTAGGAGTTGCAGAGAGAGCCTTACATCTGCCTGTTTTCTAAGGAAACTGATTGAGGAAAGAGGATCAAATAGAAAATTATTTTCTCCTGCAGGAGAAAAAATATACTGGAAGTTTACACTTTAAAGGACACCTTAAGGATTATCTGATTCAACTGTTTTATTGTCTTTAAGCTAGTTTGCAACTCTGTAAATTGAAAATAAATGGTAACAACACAAAAATAATTCTTGCCTATTGACATGCAAATTCCATCCTGTTCAATAAAAGTCCAATTGATTTCCCTTCCCCTCCTGTGGAAAAACCAATTTTGCCCCCACCTGCAAGTTCATTTTAATATTTCTGATTTATAAATGTGTCTGGTCTTCAGATTCTCTTCTGAGCCAGCTGTAACATCTCCCTGGTTCCCTCATTGGTAAATGAGTAGAATAAAATATTTACCGTCTGTTCATTTTTATTTCTTTGACAGTCATGAGTTTCACCTTTTTTGAAAATTAGTTTTTAAGACTTCCCAAAATAATATTAGTTTTAGGAGAAAGTAAATATTCAATTCAAAAAACACACATAGTTAAAAACAGAATCAAAAAGAGGACATTCAAGCTGTCAAAATAAATTAGGAGGTAAGCTTGGAATAATTATTAGTGTGTTAAGGATACAGGTAAATATTTATGCTCATAATACATCACCTAAGCCCATTGCAGTAGCAACAGCATTCAGGTAATACTCTAAAAGCCATCTATAAATACATTGTTTTAATTATTTACCCCATTGCCTTCATCAAAATGTAGAGGTGAGTCAAATCCCAAAGCCAATTTCCTTTTTCTCCCTGTATTTACATTTGTTTCTTTCTTTTTGCTAAATATCCATGCAAAAATCACACTAGTGTTAAAATGTGTACATGTTATAGGGCTCAGTTATCCTCTTTTGAGTCTATTAAGAAATCTCCTGTGGTCTACTTCCAGGTAAGGCACTATAACAGCCCAATTCCTCTAGGACTGTCTGAGTTAACCTTCCTCAGAAGAGAGAAATTTGTGGAATAGCTTCAGGTTACAAAAATCACAAGGATCTTATTATGCCAACTGAATTTGATGTGAGACACCTATTATTTCCAAACTCTATGGAATACAATTACACCATTAATTCTCTGGAGAGAAAGAGGAGAGTTTTCAGGGATAAGCATTAAAAGAGGTTCCCTTCTAAATTATAATTAATTGGGCTCTGAGGAAAGTAAACCACAAGCTGAGAGAGAGATGCTCATTTGGTGAAATAAATGCAGTTTCTCCCAGACACCAGAGCATTGTTTGGGAAAGGATATTTTAGAATTGAATATGTGAAAAAATAAGAAGAGGTAACACATCATTTCCACTGCAGTTTTGTTAGATTCTAAAAACTACACATTATGTGCAAGAGAACACCAAATGATTCCCCAGAACACAGACTCAAATGACAATCCTGGTTGATTACTTCTTTTCAAGCTACATTAACTGGTGATAAAAAAGTTACAGGCTTTCACCAGCAGAGGGAAATACTGTCCTAAGGAAAAACATGGAATCTCATGCCCATTTTTTCCATCTTAATTCTTCTGTGGTATAAGCAAGAAATGAATGCTTCTCCCTAGTTCTTCTCATTTTATGGCATGTTGAACAGCAGAGAATTTTCTATTCAATGCCTAGAGCATAATTGTTTTGAGGAAGGATGAAGGAGAATGCAGGAAGCTGTGAGATCAGAGAAGAGTCAACTGAGAGCTGTCAGGCTTTAGGAGACACATGAGGCTGAATTATAAAATAGTTCCATGTGCAAAGAGCTTTCCTTACATATTCATAACTCACTCCTCTCTCAAACCTCCAAATCCAAAGCTTATTCTGGAATATTGATGAGTCCTCATTGGCTCTTTTCTATGGGAGACTATTAGCCATCCTCAACCAACAGGAACTTCTAATGTATAGGCATTCAGGGAGTGTCCTTCAGGAACTATATATTTTTAAATGTCTAGCTGTTTTCCACTTAATATCTCCATAACCTTTTGGCTTTATTTTCCAAGGTTCCCAATTCTGCCAACAATTAAGAAGCTGATTTCATGAAGGGAAGCTATATCCTGCAGTTGAATTACACAGCAAGTGTCACAATCCTGAATGAAAAGGAGAATCTATGTTCCTGTGATACAGCAGGCCTAAGCATCCTCCTTCCAAACCAACTTTAAAGCCCCTTCTAGGGTCACAGCAAGCAGAGGTCACTATATGTCACAAGAAAAGAAGGTAGAGCATCTTCAGCAGAACACTGGGGTTGCACCCTTTGGTTAGAGAGAGATTGTGCAGTGCCACATTATACAGTTGTCTTCAGAGAAGAAAGAAAGAAAATTGGAGCAAGGAAGGCAGGCAGGCAGGCAAAATGGTACAGGTCACTGTGTAAGACACTTTGGCAATTTCTTTAAAACCTAAACATTCTTACCACAAGATCCAGTAATAATGCTCCTTGGTATTTATCCAAAAGAAGTTTAAAATTTTTGTCTATGCAAAAAAAGCACATAAATATTTATAGCAGTTTTATTCATAATTTCCCAAACTTGGAAACAACCAAGCTGTCCTTCAATAGGTGAATGGATAAAGAAACCGCGGTGCACATGGAATACTATGCAGCCATAAAAAAGAATGAAATCATGTCCTTTGTGGAAGCATGGATGGAGGTGGAAGCCATTATCCTAAGCAAATTAATGCAGGAACAGAAAACCAAATATCACATGTTCTGTCTTATAAGTCGGAGCTAAACATTGAGCACAGATGGACACAAAGAAGGGAAAAATAGATACTAGGTTCTACTTGAGGATGGAGGGTAGGAGGAGGGAGAGGATCAAAAAACTACTCAGGTACTATGTTCATTACATGGGTGATGAAATAATCTGTATACCAAACCCCCACAACATGCAATTTACCTATATAACAAACATGCACATGTACCCCTGAACCTAAAATAAAAGTTGGAAGTAAAAAAAATAAACTGTGGTACATCCAGATATGATGAATTATTTAGCAATAAAAAGAAATGAGGTGTGAAGACATGAAAATGCATGGAAGAACCTTAAACATATATTGCTAAGTAAAAGATGTCAATCTGAAAAGGCTATATTCCGTATCAATATAACCATATGACATTCTGGGAAAGGCAAAACTGAAGATAGTACAAAGATCAGTGGTTGTCAGGGGTTCAGGAGGTCAGAAGGAGGGACAAAATTTTTAGGGCAGTGAAACTATTCTGTAGGATACAGCAGTGACAGATACATTTGAAAAAACACAGAATGTACAACTGGGTGTAAACTATAGACTTTATTTCACAGTAATGCATTAATATTGGCTTATCAATTCTAACAGATATGTCACACTAATGAAAGATGTTAATAACAGAGGAAACTGAAGGGAGAGGGCAAGGGTCCTATTGAAATTATCTGTATTTTCTGCTCATTTTTCTGTTCATTTTTCTGTAAACCTAACTACAAAAAAATTAAGTCTACTATGAATGAAACAAACAAATGAAGAATATCAAGAAAGAGCTATGGGGTTGGAAACTCCTAGTAAAAAGGAAATGGTCTGACACCAGAATCTATTGAATATCTTCTCTGTTTTATTGTATATATTTATCATATAGATGTTCAGGTCCAATCAGGAGTCAGAAATCATATAGTGATTTAAACAGGGGAAGTTTAATATACAAAGTTATTAAACTATGGTCAAAGTGTAACTATAAAATATTTTTAAGGCTAAATATGCTACCGTAGGATGAGGAGAGCACTAAAGAAAGGCCAAATTTGGAACGTGTGACTTCTCCCCAAGTCTGGGTTGGAAAAAGTAAGATTGCAGCCCAGTGGACAGCAGAGAGGTTTCCTCTTTGCCTGGACCAGATCTTCTGCAGTCACTGAGCAAGCAGGAAACAACCCTCTGGGGCTCACGCTTTATACAGCCAGTGGCCAGCACGCTGGCAAGCAGAGTCAACCTTCCAGGCATGGTGAGAGTATAAGTGAGCTTCAGAAAGTGGTTAGAGACATAGGAGTAATAAGAAGAACAAATACCCTGAGGAGAAGAGGCCTAGAGTGCAGTGTTTCCTAGTGTCTCTGTCAATAAGGACCAGGAAATTGATCACCAGGTCAGGCAGGAGCTTCAAGGTTGTGTAGGGGCCAAATATTCTGGGCTTTTGGCTGGGACACAGCACAACCCTGTCTTCATCATCACACCACTAACTGACCCTACAATCACTGGAAGCAGCAGAAGATCCCCTTTTGCCTCCTATGTCCTTCTAGTGCCCTCTACTGAGGATGTTGAACATCATCCTCACTGTAAAGGAGATGCTTACAATAATTCCTTCCTTTATCACAGAACAAATATTGGAGAGTAAATTTGGAGCTAAGGGGCAATAAATTGATAACTGTCATATATGAATAAACTGTATGTAATTAAATACAGAATGTGAGTGCAATGATTCTCAAAAAAAATTTTTGTATTCCTAAAGTTCTAAGATTAAGAACCCTTCCAGGTATTTGTTAAATAAATTATTTGACTGGATTGACCCTCACTGCCCATTAAAATTAAGATTCTGGAGATCGTGCCGTTGCACTCTAGCCTGGGCAAGAAGAGCGAAATTCCACCTCAAAAAAAAAGATTTAAGATTCTGGAGTCTAGAGTGTGAAGTAAGCCCCATCACAGAAATCTAAGTGGGTGAGTCCCATTGTGCCTTCCCAGTATCTGATGTTATAGCAACACTGTGCTGAAGTTGTTAAAATCCAAGTCTGTTGGGAAAGTGAAGTCCATGATGATAGGTCTAAAAAATGTCTCAAATAGGAGAAGTTCAAAAGATTTCAAAGATGCTTTTGGCATTTATTTCTGGTTTGTTATAAGAATTGAATACTTTCCAAACATGAAGGGATAAAATGATTCAGGACTAAAGGCACCAATAAAATAACCTACTAAGGGAAAGTCTGCTAAGGTAGAACAGTAGCATGAGTGGTTAAGCAAGATTTTGGAACCAGACTCCTTGGATCGAAATCAGGGCTCTGCCACTTATTAGTGATGCAAGGTGCTTAACCTCTCTGTAAGTCAGTTTCCTCATTTTTAAGATGGAAATGGTAATCATTAAGGTGGCTCTTAGAGACATTGTGAGGTTAGATGAATAGATACATGTGAAGCATTCAGAACAGTGCCTAGCACAGAGTCCATGCGATATAAGCATGGCTATTCTTATTTTTAAACTTGTACATGTACTGTACAAATAGCAGGTAAAATCAAGGGAGGAATTTTAAAGAGTAAAATGAATACCATATTAAGAGATTGGAAAGAAGACTGTGAAACATGAAAAAAAAATTAGAAATTCCAAATCTCTAGACATTGTGAAGCATGAGACTTCTCCCATAAAAGGTAAGTGCAGATTTTTCAAGGGAGTCATGGCATCCCATACCTCCCACAAAATAAGAAAGGGCTCTAGTAGTTATGAAGAGTCTGCTATTCCCTCCGAAAAGTAAGGGTAGACATGGTAGTAGGTGGTTACTGAAGGGCATACCTTTCCTGGGGAAAGTAGTCATCTGCAGTTCTTATCAAATAACCCACCTCTTTCTCGGTCTCAATGATTGTATTATTTATACTCACTTCTGCTTATTACATGGATAACTTACATTCAGATGTTTTGCATCTAGAATTTAGATACTTTATGGTAAACACACTCATTTCTGAATATTTTCATTCAGTTTAACAATCCAGTTGTTTCCACTGGAAATTTCTTGGTGTATTCTCAACCATAATAAGATACTTTCCTACTTTGAACTTCTATTGAATGATAGCACAATTGCACATGCCGCTTGCAAAAAATAATTGGAGTTGGTCATGCTTGCTTTCTTAGGCAGCCTCATTTTCTAGGATGCAAATGGATGAAATACAGGTTCTGACCTTAATTTTCTCACTCCAGCATGCTTGAAATGATTTCATTGTCTCATGCTCCACTAGGACAATTCTATCAACTATTTTATTTCTTAATCTGTAAGGATATTAAGGTATAGTATTTTTTTCTAGTGTATGTCTGTGCATCTCTTTCTGTTCAAGTGTTTTGCGGTTTTCCATTAAAATCCCATCCTCTTAAACTTTTAAAAATTCTGTCCACTTATTTTATATCCTAAGAAGATTACATAATTAATAAAATAATAAATATTATACAGGTTAAATTAATCTGATTTCTTTCTGCATTGTGAGAAAAATCAACTTGGTTTCATTAAGACTGCTTGCCTCAGGAATCATTCCATTGAGTCATTGTAGGATAATACAAGTATATATAGCTTCTGATAAATACATCATAGATTCCAATAAGAAACCTGATTCCAAGCCCCTACTATACATGGATGGAACTGCCCTTTGTTCACCAAAATGGTAAGTTGCAATAAATGGCACCCATTATTATTCCACAGACTCAAATTTTGGCCAAAGACAGAGCTGGGATGGATGCTTAGACAGGAGGCACAGTGTATTAGTTCATTCTCACACTGCTATAAAGAAATACCTGAGACTGAGTAATTTATTACGAAAAGAGGTTTAATTGGCTCATGGGTCTGCAGGCAATACACGAAGCATAGTGGCTTCTGCTTCTGGCGAAGCCTCAGGAAGCTTCCAATCACAGCAGAAGGCAAAAGGACAGCAAGGTGTCTAGCAAGGGGGGAACAGTGGCAGGGTCAGGAGGGAGGAGCAACACACTTTTAAACAACCAGCTCTCTGAGAACTCTATCACAAGAACAACACCAAGGAGATGGTGCTAAACCATTTATGAAGGGTCTGCCCCCATGATTCAATCACCTCCCACCAGGCCCCACCTCTAATGTTGAGGATTACATTTCGACATGAGATTTGGGCAGGGACATAGATTCAAACCATATCACACAGCTTCACTCCCTGGTCACATTCTGTATTAAGAGCGCATTTGTAAAGAAAATATGTTAGCATGACAGTTAACACCATGATGAGAGGCATCAGAAGACAGTAAGTGAAGGCAGAACTCTAAATAAAGTAGAAGACGAAGTCAAATTGTTGGGTTTGCATTTTTGGGGTGGTGGGCATTGTTTGGTTATGTTTATTGTTGTCATTAGAAGCTTGCTGCCCATCCATCCACCAGTAAATGAAGGCTGTGATTTCCCTCCCATCCCTTCAGCCAAGGCTCCTAGGGAACCACATTATAACCCTGCCTCCAAAGTGTCTTGCCTAAAGTCTCACAACTACTATGTGTCAAAACAGGATTCGAACCCAATTGCCCTTGGCTTCAATATTCTCAGATTGACCTTCAGGTCTGTTACATAAACCCCCAATGTGTGGCTAGCCTGGAAAACACAATGTAAACCCCACTACAGTCCCTTATCTGAAATTCCAGATCCAAAATGTTCTGAAAACTGCAAGGTTTTCCTAAGTTTGTGGTAAATGCATTTGGTGGTAAATCTGACCTGAACTGACAGAAAGATATTTACAGTCTTTTTTTTTAATTGTTTTTTTTTTATTTTATTATTATACTTTAAGTTTTAGGGTACATGTGCACAATGTGCAGGTTAGTTACATATGTATACATGTGCCATGCTGGTGTGCTGCACCCATTAACTCGTCATTTAGCATTAGGTATATCTCCTAATGCTATCCCTCCCCCCTCCCCCCACCCCACAACAGTCCCCAGAGTGTGATGTTCCGCTTCCTGTGGCCATGTGTTCTCATTGTTCAATTCCCACCTATGAGTGAGAATATGCGGTGTTTGGTTTTTTGTTCTTGCGATAGTTTACTGAGAATGATGATTTCCAGTTTCATCCATGTCCCTACAAAGGACATGAACTCATCATTTTTATGGCTGCATAGTATTCCATGGTGTATATGTGCCACATTTTCTTAATCTAGTCTATCATTGTTGGACATTTGGGTTAGTTCCAAGTCTTTGCTATTGTGAATAGTGCCACAATAAACATACATGTGCATGTGTCTTTATAGCAGCATGATTTATAGTCCTTTGGGTATATATCCAGTAATGGGATGGCTGGGTCAAATGGTATTTCTAGTTCTAGATCCCTGAGGAATCGCCACACTGACTTCTACAATGGTTGAACTAGTTTACAGTCCCACCAACAGTGTAAAAGTGTTCCTATTTCTCCACATCCTCTTCAGCACCTGTTGTTTCCTGACTTTTTAATGATTGCCATTCTAACTGGTGTGAGATGGTATCTCATTGTGCTTTTAATTTGCATTTCTCTGATGGCCAGTGATGGTGAGCATTTTTTCATGTCAAGTACTCCACTTAGTGTCAATATTCAAACATTTTCCTAGAGAAGCATTAATGTGTTTGAATACTGTCCTCAGACCTTGCTGTGGGTATACATATATTTTATTTATTTGTTTTCTTTTTCCTTTCTTTTTATTCACTTTTTGTGGGGGGTGGGGAGGCAGATTCCTGGTGAAAACTGGAAAATGTACTAGACAAATTCTAAAAGATCTGTAACACTGTGGGTATATATTGAGACAGTATGTAAACAACAGGGCAGTCACACAGGGCCCTACACTTAACAATGACCCTGCACTTGGCTAAAAGCTCTGCTGTGGCATCATGAAATCCTTAATAATTTTTTAACAAGATGCCTTGCTTTCCCCACCCCCACCACAGAGCCCTGTAAATTATGTAGCTAGTCCTGAGTATAAGCACTACAGTACAGTAGTATAAGCACTACTCATAATATCCTCATGGTATCTAATATATCTACTACTATATAATACTATAATATTATAGTACTGTATAATATTATAATACTATAATATTATACTACTATATAATAAGTATACAGTAGTATACAGTAGTATAAGCACCACTCATAACTTTTCTGATTTTTCTAAAATCAGAGAAGTTACGAGCTCTGAAACACATCTGACCCTAGGGCTTTGGCTAAGGGACCTATGTTACTACACTACCAGTATTAATTCTATTGTTACTAACACCATGGATTGAGTGCCTCCTGTAGGCAAATGATTTCCTAAGGACTTTACAGGTGTTAGCTATAACCCTGTGAGGTACATATTATGTTATTCATTTTTTTTAATTTAGTAAAGTGAGGTTCTGAAAGTTACCCTAAAGTTTTAAGATCACCCAGCTAGTAAATGGCAGAGTTGGAATTCAAACTAAGGTCTGCCTGATTCTAGAACTTGTTTAATATTCTAGGAGGTAGGTGCTTTGGAAGTATTAGGATGAACCATGAAATTGCCAATATCCAATCATTTTACATAGAAAAATGGCGATTTCATGTGGCTCAACTTAATATGAATGACTACTTATAAAATATAATCTCCCTCTATTTCATTTATGGGTGTTTTTTAGTTTGAAACGATGACCAAACTAATCCTTTTGCTAAAATGTAAATAAAAGATTGCAGTGAAGTCAGAAGAAAAATTTATGTAGTTCAATTTAAAACAAGTTGCATGTCTCATCCTGTCTCACTAGAGATGACATCACTGCTCCTAAATAGGGAGGATGGATCACATGGGAGAACTTGTTTTTATTGTGATCAGCTGCAGGCGATCAGCAATATGACCTCATCTGCAGCTGAGGGGATTTGACCTTTGCCCCTTTAGGTATGTGAAGCAGAAAAAAATCCTTCACAGGCTGAGGAATGCAAAGCAGACAAGCATCTTCAGCCAGCAGAGTTTATCAAGCATGTGTTCAGTGCAAATGCTCAGACTTGGACATGATGCAAAAGCAATTAAGAGAAAGAACAGTGAGTAGCCTGGGAGTTGGGTGGGTCCCTTGGTGTTTCTCAGTAATACTAGAAAAATATGTTTTTCATTTTCGAATAATAAAAGATAAGAAAGGGGCCTTTAAAAAAAAATGCTTCTTGTGCTAAGTTACCATAAGCAGATGATAGAATTTAAGTTCTTATCATAACCAGTTTCCTGTGAGAATATCTTAGATGTAATCAAGTCAGATCTAACAACTGATCAATTTAACTGGCTAGTTTTAAAAACAAACTCTAAGTAAAACATGCTCTTCAGCTGTATTTTTAAATTGATGCAGTGAAAGTGACAGTTGGACAATAAAAGCCCAGGTTATCCACTCACAAATGTCTAGGAATGTGTGGAAAATTAACGAGATAAGTTGCTTATTGTGTATTCTTTCCTCGTCCTGTTTATATCTACTTAACTCCCAGACCGAAAAGCTCACAGTGTTACAGATTTCCTTCTGTTCAAAAACTCCTTATTAACCAGAAATTGCTTAATATTTTAGGGCTTTGACATGTATTATTTGATGTAGCACTCATGGGCACCATGATGAGGAGCTCTTAAATCAGCTTAAGAAAGGTGAACTACTAAGATCAAAAGAGTGTTCCTTTTTCCTGGTGAGTAATTGTTAATGAATATCTTCCAAATCAAACACCTTGCAAGAAGCAGAGTTTTTGTATTTTACTAGCAACAAATTGGAGAGATGGAAGCCCTCCAAAAGAGTTCTAGAATGCTGAAATATGAAACGTAAAAAAAATTTCATCCAGGTTAAAAAGGCAGTTTATTATTCTAATTTTCAGCTGCACAGTTACCCAACTTAAGCCAAGTCTTTTCACACTTCCTGAGTGATTTTTATCTTACCTACTGCTTCCCACTTCCCAAGTGGGAAGAAATCTCATTCCCTCCAACTGAGAATCTGAGAAGACCAATTGCTTTAAAAAATGTAAGAAAAATGGCTGATGATTTAGGCAGTTAGTAGTATAATTATTTCTTCTATTTTTATTGTTTTTGTGATACTAGAAGTAGTCATTTTCATGTTTATCCAATATCTTTGAGGTCCAAAGTGAGGTGTCAAATTTCACAAAAACTTTATATTTCAGCAATATTTTTGGTGGGTAGATTTTCAAAAAGTTTTGCTTGGTTATCACTCAGTGCACTCAGAAAAATAGTCATTTACAAAAGTAAACATCAAGAGATAGTGAAAAACTTGATGAAAGAAAAAGTATTATATCCTAATGTCTACCACTAGGTGAATGGATAAATAAATTGGGGTTTATCCATACAACAGAATTCTACTGAGTATCAAAATAACTGAACTATTGATACACTCAACAACAGGAATACATCTTGAAATAATTATACTGAGTGAAAAAAATTCCCTAAGACATTTTGTGTGACTCTTCCAGTTTATAAAATTCTTTTAAAATGCAAACTAATCTTTAGTGACAGAAAGCAAATGAGTGGTTGCTTGAGAACAAGGAGAAGAGGCAGGGAGGGACAAGTGGAAGGTATTACAAAGGGGCAAATGAAGCTTTTGCAGGTGATGAATATGTTCTTTATCTTCATTGCAGGTAATGAATATGTTTGTTATCTTCATTGTGGTGAAGTTTTTTAAGTGTATACATATATCCAAACATATTAAATTTTATACTTTGTGCAATTTAGTTTATTTCAGTTATATTGCAATACAGTTTTCAAATCTTTAAATAAAATTAGGCATGAAAAAAAGGTATTGTAATTTGCCTTAAGTCACAGGTCTAGGTCACGGAGGAACAAGGACTTGTAATTAGCTGTCTGAAACTAAAGTCAGCAAGGAGGAAGAAAAGATCATTCTTCCAAATGATAGGTTTGCCAGTTAGAGAGGACTCCTTGACTAAGGAGGTTGCCTACTGATTATGTGAAAGTCAAGAATGTTCCAAGAGGGAAGTCCTTTAGAGGAGTGTTACTAGTTTGGATGATTTAATGTGAGGGCCAGTCTTACATTTTGACCAGTTTTCTTTGCAGGGCATCTAAAAACATGATGACCTTGATTAATCAGAGAAAAATAAATATGATTTCATATTTATTTTGAAACTGGCTTTCCTCAACCAGTTTATGGGTACTTAGTAAGTCTTCAAGGATTATAAAATAAATAGGTACTTGGAATATCTTGAAAAATTCTGGGAGAATTCTTCACATTCTTCCGAACTACTGGAAAAAAAAAATACACCAGGATGATGATTCCTTAGACCAGGGTTTTTCGGCTGCAGCATTATTGACATTTGGAGTTGGATACTTCTTTGTTGTGGGTGACACCCTGTCCGTTATAGGATGTTTAGCAGCACTCTTGTCCTCTAACCACTAAATGCCCAGAGCACAGTCCTCTTAGTTCTGACAACCAAAAATGTCTCCAGACATTGCCAAAATGTCCCTTGGAGTACAAAACTACCCCTGATTGAGAACCACTGCATCAGAATCATTGTCATGTTTGAGAAAAATTCAGAAATTGTAAATAAGCAAACAACTAATTTAGAGAAGAAGGGTTGATATCATTACTAACAAAAGAGCTCTTACAAGCCGGTTAAAAACTATACTGCTAGAGAGAGAAACATAAAACAAATAATAACTTCTAATATTTCAAATTAGCTTGCCACTGGTAAAGAGCTTTAAAATTTACATTACTTCTAAGCTGGGTCCTCTTTGCTGCTTAGTGGGTTCGGCAAACATTCTCTAATTTTATTGCCTACCTTATACAGCATTTCAGCCTGTAGTTTCAGCTGATCATTTCTCAGCCAATATACATCTGGTAGCATTGGATCTTTCCTTAGCTTTCAAACAATAGTAGCCATTGTCTTTAAACAATGCTTATGGCCCATTATGAAGTGGCCAGTTGTAATAAATGTATCTCAAACGTTAGTACAGAAAAAGTGCATCACACTTGAAATCATCTTGTTTCCATCAATCAAATAAACTCAGTTTCCATTAATTAAATCAGATGCCATTCTGATTTAAACTAGGCAGCAAAAAACCCAGAACTAAAAGAAAAGCTCAATGATATAATCAAGCTATTTGAATGAGTATGAGTGGTTGTAATAATATTCTCATTCTGTGATTATAACTTATTTAAATATAAATATTTATTGTGTACATGTATACAATGTAAGCCACATTAAAACATTTGGGAAAGAATATAAGGGTGTAAATAATGAATAAATTAATTAATTCATGATCTTTTTTCTTAAAATGACAATAGGTAGAAGTTCTGATCCTAAGAAAAAGAAACAATGCAAATGTTTGGAGAAGACCTCTAAATCTGGATTCTTCAAAGTAAAATTTGTATGCAAGGCCATTGATAAAAGATACATTGTATATGTGATAATTTCAGACCCTTCCACAATGCAGAGAAAGGATTTATTTGCATGCTAATGTATGCCAAAGGATAAGTAATTCCTCCCCTTCTTCTCCTTCTACATACTGGTCACAAAGCTTAGATTCAATGTCAAATAAATTTGAAAGCTGGTACTCGAAGTCACTGCTGGGGAAGAGAAAAGCTTTATGCCTGTAGCTGGGCCCATGGACAAAGCCAAGGATTCAGTAAAGTACTGAGGCTTACATTCCAGCTGTGTAATCATCTCCCTCTGTGACCTCGGACAAATGATTATGCTTCCATTCTTATTTCTTCATCTGTAAAAAATGACAAGAAAAGTTTGGAAGGGGAGATCTCAGTGTTCATACTCAAACTATAGATCAAATTGTTATAATTAAAACCACAACATAACCCAGTTCTACAAACCTATAGCAGATGCCATAATATTATATCATTTGTCAGTAAAAATCTGCTTCTATTCCATCTGATACAGACACAAAGGTGATGTATTCTTTAACAGGCAAAATAAATCCCAGTAGAGAATACTACTGGCATTGTTCTTTCCTTGCATTCAGCTCATTAAAAACAGAATGATCGTGTGGGAACCTTGAAAAAATGACTGAATATACTAAGTGAAGCACTTCTTTAAGAGTACATAATTTTAATTTTAATCAAAATCCCAATTTTATTTTTAATATTAGCCTTCAGCAAGAATGTGAAAACACTAAACCAAGAAAATTTACTTTGTTTATTCCTTTAGTTTAATAAGAGCAAATTGTTTCTAGTCTTAGTTCTATGAACAACAAGGTATGTGACTTGGACAGATATGGCTAATTTATAGAAAAGAACATTGTATATAATCATTATGCATTTATATTTAAGAGCCTTTACAGTAATATTGAGGGTAACTATAACATCAAGTAAAAAATTATTTAGAAGAGTTTTTACATTTTTAATCACTTAGAAAAGTATTCACAGAATACTAAGTGAACAGACAAAAAAAAGAAGTAAAACTTATATGTATAATATAATATCAACTACCAAAAAATGCCAGCGGTAGTAGAAAAATCTACCAAAATGTTAGCAATAGTGGTCTTATTTAATGTGGTGAAATTGTAAATGATATTTTTCTCTTCTTTCAATTTTCCTCTTTATTATATTCTTTAACACCTATATATTATTTTATAATCAGAAAATAATAAACTATTCATGAAAGAAAATATAACTCCCAGGCAATGAGAACTTCAGCTTCCATCTGTTAATTTCTGCAAACAGTAGTACCCATTATTACTGAGAATGCTCAGAGAATCTTACACACCAATGACATTTCAGAATCAAAGGATTAGTTATATCCCATGCCATACAAAAAAAATTGATTCCCCAGTATTACTTACTTCCTCTACTCATTACTGCAGCCAGAGATCAGGGTTGACAGTGAGGGAATAATTGTCCTTGCCTCAGACCAGGAAGCCTTCAATTCCAGGGAAAGAGATAACAATGCGAAGGAGTAACACAGCTGGGGAATACCTTATTGATGAAGCCACAAAATAGCTTTCTAAATGACCAGAAGTCGTGCCTAGCAAATGTATCAGCAAATCTCTGTGGCTTCATTACCCAAACTTCTTCCTCTAGGAAACCACCTACTTCTCCCACAGAGGAGTCATGAGCAGTTAGTGTCAGCTCAGGAGCAGCCACAACTGTCCACATGCTCCCAAGAGCTTCTAGTGTCTTTCTAAAATATACACACAGCTCTTTCTGGGTATAAGTATGACTCATTTCTTCACTTATTCTATATTTATTGAGCACCAAGTATGTGTCAAGCCCAGGAGACAAAAATATCTCCTCATTTAAAACAGGTAAGTCAAGCATTTTGAGGTTATAATTTGAAGTTTGCCTCAAGGTATTATAGAAAAAGTTTGCATTTTAGAGTCAGGTAGACTTGCGCTTGAACCCCAACAGGAAAATAATATTTATGGTTGAACTTGGATAATTTACTTAGCCTTTCTGAACTTTGATTAATATTCTATAATGGGGCTAGTCATACTAATATTATTTTAAATATCTGGTACATAATTGTGATTCTCAATAAATAATTTTACTTTGTTAGTAACATATTTATTAACAATTAAACATAAGAGAGGCATATTCTGGAAAAAATCATTACTACTTAAGAAGCATACAGAAAAATAGAATAATCAATACATATAATTAGAGCAGTATGTCCCTGAGGAACTTTGATGGAGAATAGCCCATTAGTCCCTCAATAATTTGAAATAAACTGAAATCTTTCTAGACATTTTAAATGTTTTATCTATTTCTGACAGAAGCACTAATTTTAACATAGAAGCTCTTCAAGTAAGTTGCTAACTGTAAAGTACCCTATTAAAACCACTCTTTCTGATCTACCCAAACTAAGGAAAAAAGAGAGAGAAACATACTGTTAAATTTTGGCTAAAGCCAAAGTCAAATGCTTTAGAAAAAAGGTAACCAGCTTCTCTACTTGGACCAGACTCATCAAGAAAACAAGTGAGAAAAGTCACTTTGTATCCTCATTCATTATTTTCTAGGTAGTGGGAAATAACAAAAGTGTTCCTGAATGAAAATAGAAGGGAAACGTTCTAAACAAGAGTGCCCAGGGTCAATCAAATGTGATCTTGTTTTGCTGAGAGGGAGGATATGTAGAGGAATCATGTGGGAATGAGGCTGAGGGAAAGGTGGGATGGCATTTGGAGAGGTTGTAGATTCCAACCTGAAATATTGGTATTAATGTCCTCATCATTTCATTTAAGATTTATAACATCTGCATGAACTAAGCATTTTGGAGTTGAGGAAACCAATTCCCATTAAGAGATCTGGCCAATGTCACACAGCAAGAAAGGGAAAGACAGGATTGAAACCCAATTTCCTGATTCCTAGGTCAGAGTTGACTGCATGCTTCCTAATAGACCCCTTAACAATGAACCAAACTCAAAATTTGGAAGACTGGAATAAGGAAATCTGCTAATATTGGTTACATTGTTTTATAACTTTATCCCATAGCATGTAAGGTGACAAATTTGTTTTGGCAGCATCCTTAGAATTCATGTGAACAATAGGTGTCAAGAAAGTATCATAATGAAATAGAGACAGAAATCACATATGGGTACTAATTATTTAAAAATCACTTAGAAGGTAAGTAAATCATCAAGATTTTCCTTTCTAGAGAAATGATCTAATAGAGGAAAAACATGTTTGTCTTTCCTCGGATGGTTTCCCACAATTTCAAAAGGATTGTTTTGCTTTTAACATATTTTCTCCCATGACATTCTTTGATCTTCAGATTAACTAAAATGTGTGAAGTCCCTGTTTGCTGAGAGCAAAAGAGAACTACAACTGTTCATAACCCTTCCCCTGCTCTCTTCAAGCTATGATAGGATTCAGAGCAAGGAAATATCTGCCAAGACTTGAAAATGCCATCTCTATGTTCTTGCATATGCTGTTCCAGAAGAGGCAGGCCCTTACTCTTCCTGACCTCTACAACCTTCCTTTACCCATAAATAGAATTACTGGATCCCCATTTGCAGACTCCACCTCTTATACCCCATCTCTAAGACCAATTCTGACATTTGGCAGAAAAGATGTAAATCACGTTGATTCTCTATTCTAGCATTCATCATCCTGTGACTCTCGCTCCTAGACAGGTCTTGAACTTGTATCCCAGTCTCTAACTGTGAGCAATTAAAGGACAGCAACTATATCTTATTTTATTTTATGCCCTAGAATCTAATATATTGGTGGCTTACACATAGACAAAAATGTTTGCTGATTGACTGACTGACTGACTGACTGACTGACTGGTGGAATGGAGCTTCTGCCCTGTTGGTAAAACCCAGTTGACACCTGTTTGGTAACTCAATCCCTGTTCTACTCTCTGTTTAAGTTCTTGCTTTGGTTACCTTCTTAGTAGTCTAGCCCGTCTGGGATGTAGGACCATGTCTTACACCTGGAAATGTACTTCACAGGATATGATTCCTTTCCCTGAGCTCCTACTGATAAATTTTTGACAATGGTAGAATTTACCTTGCTTTTTGAATCTCCACATATCATTTCTCCCCAGCTTCACCACAGCCCTGACATACTGACTTGCTGTAATACTGCTTCACTCTGGGTAGGTTGTGTTTGTTTAGGCTATCACATTGGCGAGTATAATACATACTACTAGATGACTTCTGCTAGTCTATTTTTCTGGTGGTACATGGATCACTTGTTTTTATAAAAAGTAATTCACATCTTACCGCAGACTTACTTCATTAATCTATAAAATCTGTTACTATCCAAATTATATCACGGTTCCATGAAGTAATCTGTCAATTGCCAAAAAAAAGAGAGATGAGATAGGTAAAATAAATAAACTTATTGACCCACAGAGAATAATTAAGTCATTTTGAAACTCCTCATTGTCCTTAACAAAATAGGATGTGTATATTTGTGTGTGTTTGTGTGTCTATGTGTGTGTGTATTTAGTTTTTGTTTAAGTTAAGCAACTCTCTCTGACCTCTGTTTTCTTTCTATTGAAACAATAGGTCTGTAAACACATTACTGCAGATTGAAAGTTTTCATCTTAAGCTCCTGCTTCATCTTATTTCTCAAAGAGTTGAACAACCTAACAAGCTGAAGCAAATCATACTCTGGAGAGCTACATTATTTTAATTCACTAATGATTCCATTTTAAGGCATCTGGAGACCCAAGAGTCTTGTACATGACAATTAAAACCTCACAACCAAGACAACACCCCAACCAAAAAAAAAAAAACCTATGCCAGATCATGGTCTAAAAAAACCCACAAAGACTTAGAAAAGACCCCTCAAATTTGGAAAAATCAGAGGAGTTTGTTGTCTTCACAAAATAATTGATGGCATTGTCATCAGTTTTTCAAAATTATTTCTGAGCCACTAAGCAATGAGTTGTTGAAGAGCATTTTCACTTTGTAAGAGGAAGGATGACTCATGGTTTCAAAGACAACTTGGTGCCAAGTTGAGGCAGGGTGGTGATCCCATTTTATCTACCTCAATGCACTTAAACCTTAAACCGATTGTTTAAAAAATACGCTTAATTTTTCACAAAGATTCACATTAGCAGAGGGATCATGAGGTCATGTTTGTCCATCTAACACCACATCCTGCCTCCAGTAATGGCTAGAGAATTCCTCAGAGGAAAGAGTGATGTTCATTTCATAATATTTCTTGTTAGCAATGAGATGAAACACTTAAGTGAAAGTATTTTCTTTTAATATTTCTTCACTACATGAGAAAATATAAGATACTAAATTTAATATTCAAGGACAAAAAAGATATTAGGTCAATTTTCTTCAGTCCAACTCCAAGATCTAGTTAGGTCATTAAATGTTAGAACTGAGAAATTTTAATAATGACTTTGATTTAAAGTTCAGAGGAAGTAAACTTTTAAGTTCATATGCAATTATGGTAGAATATAATTATATTCAAATCGATCTCCATAGCTGATTTCCATAGAAAGTCACAAGAAGAATCAGGGAGAAGGGATGTAAGACCCCCTGGCCGGGCGCGGTGGCTCACGCCTGTAATCGCAGCACTTTGGGAGGCCGAGGCGGGTGAATCACGAGTCAGGAGATCGAGACCATCCTGGCTAACACTGTGAAACCCCGTCTCTACTAAAAAATAAAAAAAATTAGCCAGGCGTGGTGGCAGGCGCCTGTAGTCCCAGCTAGTCGGGAGGCTGAGGCAGGAGAATGGGGTGAACCCGGGAGGCGGAGCTTGAAGTGAGCCGAGACCGCGCCACTGCACTCCAGCCTGGGTGACAGAGCGAGACTCCGTCTCAAAAAAAAAAAAAAAAAAAAATGCCAACGTATAAAACCCCAAGTCAAACCACACACTTGACTCTCTCAAGTCACCCACTTAGTCCTCTTCCAAGTGTATTTTACTTCCTTTCATTCCTGCTCTAAAGCTTTTAAATAAATATTCACTCCTGCTCTAAGAAAATCATAAGAGGAGAAAAGTGAGTCCTATGAACTGAATATCTGTGTCCCCCACCAAAACTCATGTTGAACCCCTACCCCTCAATGTGATAATATTTGGAGGTGAGGCCTTTGGAAGGTAATTAGGTTTAGATGAGGTCTTGAAGGTGAGGCCCACATGATGAGATTATTTTCCTTATAAGAAGAGAGAGGGACAAGAGCTCACTCTATCTCTGCCATGTGAGGACACAGAAAGAAAGCAACTATCTGCATGCTAGGAAGTGGTCCTCACCAGAAGCCAACTACTTGGGCACCCTGATCTCGGACATCCAGCCTCCAGAACTGTGAGAAATTGTTCTTGTTTAAGCCAATAGTCTATGGTATTTTGTTATGGCAGCCCAGGCTGACTAAAACAACGGGTATAATTCAGTACTCAATTGACTACTTATAATTACCATAAGCCTTCCTTCTGGAGTAGATCAGATCTTTTTCTCAGAGGTGGGGAGGGGAAAAAGCCCATTTTGTTTTTTGTCTGTGAGTGCAAAGTGTCCAACGCTGGACTGAGTTTAGGGAAATATTCCAAAGCACTTAGTTTGGCTGCTTGTGACCCACAATGCACAGGAACTAAACAACCACAATCTATAATGCTTTGCCTCTGCACAGATTTTCCAACAGTATTGTATTATTATATATTGTTAAATACTTCGTATTAGTCATTCAGAGCAGCAGAATTTTTTTTTTTAAGTTCTGGAGTACACGTGCAGGATGTGCAAGTTTGCTACATAGGTAAACGTGTGCCATGGTGGTTTGCTGCACCTATCAACCCATCACTTAGGTATTAAGCCCAAGATGCATTAGCTATTTTTCCTAATGCACCCCTTCCCCTGATTCCACCCTCCCAACAGGCCCCAGTGTGTGCTATTCCCTTCCCTGTGTCCATGTGTTCTCATTGTTCAGTTACCACTTATAAGTGAGATTAAATGGTGTTTGGTTTTCTGCTCCTGCATTAGTTTGCTAAAGATAATGGATTCCAGCTCCATCCATGTCCCTGCAAAGAACATGATCTCATTCCCTTTTATGGCTGCATAGTATTCTGTGGCGTGTATGTACCACATTTTCTTTATCCAGTCTATCATTGATGGGCATTTGGGTTGATTCCATATCTTTGCTATTGTGAATAGTCCTGCAGTGAACATATGTGTCCATGTATCTTTGTAATAGAATGATTTCTATTCCCTTAGGTATATACCCAGTAATGGGATTGCTGGGTCAAATGGTATTTCAAGTTCTAGATCTTTGAGGAATCACCACACCATCTTCCACAATGGTTGAACTAATTTACACTCCCATCAACCCTGTAAAATTGTTCCTATTTCTCCACAGCCTCACCAGCATCTGTGGTTTCTTGACTTTTTAATAATCACCATTCTGAATGGTGTGAGATGGTATCTCATTGTGGTTTTAATTTGCATTTCTCTAATGATAGTGATGTTGAACTTTTCTTCATATGTTTGTTGGGAGCATGAATGTCTTCTTTTGAGAAGTGCCTGTTCATGTCCTTTGCCTGGTTTTTAATGGGGTTGGTTTTTTTTTTCTTGTAAATTTGTTTAAGTTCCTTGTAGATTCTGGATATTAGACCTTTGTCAGATGGATAGATTGCAAAAATCTTCTCCCACTCTGTAGGTTGCCTGTTCTCTCTGATGATAGTTTCTTTTGCTGTGCAGAGAAGCTCTTTAGTTTAATTAGAACCCATTTGTCAATTTTTGCTTTGATTGCAATTGCTTTTGGCAATGTCATCATGATATCTTTGCCCATGCCTATGTCCTTAATGGTATTGCCTAGATTTTCTTCTAGGGTTTTTATAGTTTTGGGTTTTATATGTAAGTCTTTAATCCATCTTGAGTTAATTTTTGTATAAGGTGTAAGGAAGGGGTCCAGTTTCAATTTTCTGCATATGGCTAGCCAGTTCTCCCAGAACCATTTGTTAAATAGAAAATCCTTTCCTCATTGCTTGTTTTTAGCAGAATTTTTAAATTATATTTAATGTGATTGATTCTTGGCCTTTGCCCTTGAAAACTGAGCTAACATTTACACTGGCTTCCTATTTGTAATTATGAGATCAGAGGCAACTCACTAACAGATAGTTAGTAGTTCAGTCCCTCTCCAAAGAAGATGGTTTAAAGTGCTGAACAAACATGACACCAATATCTCTCAACTTCTATGGGAACAGGAAATGACTGGGTACCTAAAGGTTAGTTCTCTAAAGACAGAGAGAAAAAGGTGGGTCAAGGACTTCATTTTTTTCTGTATCCCATCCTTTTATTTGTTATTCCAAAAGAAAAGCCTGTAACAACTGGGAGAACAAATTAGGATAAGAGATGATTAAAAAGCTGAACTTAATTAAAAGAATGGACTTTTGAGAAAATAATAAAAGCACTGGTTTAATGACAGCAGAATAGTCACACGTATTGAGAAAGGGAATAGAAATCAAAAAAATGCATAAGATATAACAAAAAGGATAAGATTTATCCATAATAATAGTTAAATTAGTATACTTTGCTACATGCCATTTAGGTACTGCCATTTGAAATCCTCAGAATAACCTCCAGAGGTAGATGCTATGGTTTAAATGTGTTTCCTCCAAAATTCAGGTGTTGCCAATGTGACAATATTAGAAGGTGGAGCCTAAACCTTAAACAGGTGCTTTAAGATTAGGCCATGAGGGCTCCTTCCTTGTGAATGGGATTAGGTGCCCTTATAAAACGCTCTGACTTGGGGAGTTCATCCTTCTATTAGCCTTCTGCCTTTCATCATGTGAGGACACAGCAAGAAGGCTCTCATCAAATGCCAGCACCTTGATCTTGGACTTCCCTGCTTCTAAAACTGTGAGAAATACATTTCTGTTCTTATTAATTAACCAGTTCTTGACCAGATCTTGGGCAAGTTACATAACCTCTCTGAGCCTCATCTTTCTCCATGGTAAAATAAAGATGTCAGTAATTTCTATACCAAGGGATTATTTTGAGGATTAAGTGGGCTGCTTTTGCTAAAGTGTTTAAAATGGTGACTAGTCCATAATAAGTATTAAAATGTTTTAGTTAATTAAATTGTAAAAATCCACATAGGTTAAGGCAAAAAAGTTTAAAACTTCAGTATGAATTGACTACTTATTGCTTTACAATCAATATTGACATTACATGTAGCCCATATTTGCCAACTGCTAATTATTTTGTAAAAAAGTCAACCTAGGCCGGGCGCGGTGGCTCACGCCTGTAATCCCAGAACTTTGGGAGGCCAAGACAGGTGGATCACGAGGTCAGAAGATCGAGACCATCCTGGCTAACACGGTGAAACCCCATCTCTACTAAAAATACAAAAAATTAGCCGGGCGTGGTGGCGGGCGCCTGTAGTCCCAGCTACTCGGGAGGCTGAGGCAGGAGAATGGTGTGAACCCAGGAGGCGGAGCTTGCAGTGAGCTGAGATCTAGCCACTGCACTCCAGCCTGGGCGACAGAGCGAGACTCCATCTCAAAAAAAAAAAAAAGTCAACCTAATCCTTAAAAAAAAAAAAAAAAACTGTTCTGTGAAAGAAATTAAATATGGCCCTTGGCACTCAGTCTTTTTGTTCCCCTTAACAGCACTTCCTTCTTTGCTACCTCTATTTTCAGCCTGGTTCTGCCTGCGTGGTGGTTCCCAGTACCTGCAGGCCTCCTTCATCATCCTACAGCTAAAAATGGCAGTGAAAAACTTATTACCCACATGTACAACTAAGTTTCAGAAGAATTCTCATTGGCCTAAATTGGGTCACATGATAATCCCTGAACCAATCACTGTGACCAGTGAACTGGATGTGTTGATTGGTCAAGCTCGGGTCACACAGACAAGGGGGAAGGAGAGTCCACCCCAGCCATACCACATAAACTGTGAAAGATTATATCTTAAGGAAAATGAAGGTGCTGTTATGAGAAGATGGAGTAACAAAGGCTAGAGACAAGACAATAAATCTTTGCTATAATGACGAATAATATTTTTGTGCCACAAAAAAAAATTTTACTGGGAAATAGAAAACTTCGTTTTCATACTTTGAAAGATAATGACAAACTGTCATTCCAAGGTTAAAAAACGCTAATAATTTTGTTCCTATGGAATTTTCCTTCTGCTAAACTATGTATTATAGTTTTCTTTCCTGTTAAGAAAAGATTCTTTTCATAAACAGAGCAGTTTTAATATGTATTTTTAAAATTTTTGTTTTGTTAACCATTTGCAGATCTTATTTGGAAATTACATTAACTTTGTTCCTTTTAGTTCTCTTATAAAGAAAAGTGAGATAATGAACACATACTCAAGGAAACAGAGAATGACGGACTTGTTGAAAGTGCAGTGAAACCAACCTCCCTCTCTCTCTCTCTCTGTGTGTGTGTGTGTGTGTGTGTGTGTTTAATATTTCCATGATGACTCCTGGGAAAGAACCTCTGGGATTTATATTCCCTTCCAATCCTTCCCTCCCCCAGAGTGAGATCATAGCTCATTCGGTCCTTTTGTGTTTTCTTTACATTGCCCTTCAAAACACATTTAATAATGCATCCAGAAAAACTAAAATTAGGGTAACTAGATGAAGAAAATTTATGTCAAAATTCATATTGGAGAACTGCTGCTTTTTATCTTCTTAAAATCAGAAGGAACCATGATCAAAAGCCACTTTTAATTTAATTTCTTAAAAATCTTAGTACATATACTTAATCAGAAGCCCAAATAAAAGTGATATCTGGAAACTCCCGATATTCTATTCTGTGGTTAATTTTGTCATGCTATGTTATCGGAATTTTTCTGTGCTCCTATAAAGTGCCACTCATCACATTTTAAAGTGTTTATCTTTTATGGTTGCTTACTTCATCCTTTTCCTAATTTGCTGAAATGATTTTTCTAAAGAATTACTTTAGATAAAATTTGGCATTTGCCTTACTCAAAAAATGTAGGCCATTTTATAAGCCATGGTGAATTCTTCACAGCACAAAACTGACATTACATATTAGCTTTGTGTAACGTTAACCTCAGGGACCATGAGATGTACTTAGTATTAATTTGCCCTTATTTCCCTGGCTACCTACTGAACGTGAATTCCCCCATGCTCAGTAGGCTGAGCCCACTCTGTGGGCTGTCCTTCTACTGACTTCCTCTACATCTTATTCTCAAGTGAGATGTAAGAATTTTTTAGCTCAGAGGTGTCAGTCCGCTGACTCTGACATGTGTGTGTTGTAACCCCTGCCATACATCATTCCACAGACAGGGTATAACAAACTGATATTTCTATGAATAGAGGAAAAAACCTCATATACAAAGTCCCCAAACCTCATTCAATTATGTGGGTGATTCAACCAAGCCCAATCTCCAAGTTCACATCTTGGAAAAAAAGGCCCATTATCTTTCTTTATGTTAGAGGACATTATGACTAAACATCATGCTCATCAATGATTATGCTTCTCTGATATGTCAAGAACCTCTGTCTCATAACCATTAGGAAATGTGTCATCTAGTAAATCACCCTAACTTCCTGGGGAGATGAAAGGATCAAAGTAAGAATAATAGTCTGTATGATTCATTGGCATGTAATTTAGAGAAGGTATATTGTTAGGATAATCATTTTTAGTGTTGGAAATCTTGCCTCACTTCTTCAAATTTCTTATTCTGAAATCGAAGTCCTTAGATCACTAGTAAGTTCTTCAACAGAGACTTAAAAATAATGGTGACATTTTCAAAAATTCTATTGCCATGTTCTCAAAGCACTTTTATTTGCAATAAAGGGCTAAAATGTGAAAGGTCATTCTAATGTATTCTTTTTTAAAATGAAGCATCAATGGAGATTTGATTTTTATTTATTTTTTATTATTATTTATTTATTTATTTATTTTTGAGACGGAGTCTCACTCTGTCACCCAGGCTAGAGTGCACTGGCGTGATCTCGGCTCACTGCAACCTCTGTCCCACCCAGGTTCAAGCTATTCTTCTGCCTCAGCCTCCCCAGTAGCTGGGACTACAGATGCACACCACCACACCTGGCTAATTTTTGTATTTTTAGTAGAGACAGGGTTTCACCATATTGGCCAGACTGGTCTCGAACTCCTGACCTCATGATCTGCCCGCCTTAGCCTCCCAAAGTGCTGGGATTACAGGCCTGAGCCACCATGCCTGGCGGAGATTTGATTTTTTATCACCATACAATTAATAACTTGGGTGCTACTGTGAAAACAAGCAATGTCTTTGAGTGTGCTAATAAGTCTCAGTAATAAGTTTTATGCAAAGGCAGCTAAAAAAATGGGAGTGTATGAATGCTGTAGGAAGTGAAGAGGAAAGAAATGAGAGGAAAATGAAGGGAAGGGAAAGGAGGAAATGGCAGTGAGAAGATGTAGATGTAGCCTACGTAAAATATCCTTGACAGGTTAAATAAGCAACTGTTCACAAAGGGAGTAAGTGCCTGACCCATCTACACAGAAAATGTGACAGAGTTCTCAGACCTCTGGATAGATGTGAGGAGCATTTTTCAGTTTAGACTAAAGGTAGAGGTTTCTCTAGTCCAAATCTAAGTATAATAAAACCTTCCCATTGCCATAATTCGAAACAAAAAACAGTCATACCTACTTAGCTTCCTTCCTGAATAACTCAATTCAAAAACCATTAGGTGGGGTCTTAGTGAGCTACTAGTCCATATGGGGTAGGAGAGAAGTGAGACTACAGTGGCCTACCACTGGGTAAGAGTCCCCATGAAGGGGTAGCAGTAGCTGAGCATAGGACCAGGAGATTAAGAACACAGGTTGAGGCCGGGTGCGGTGGCTCACGCCTGTAATCCCAGCACTTTGAGAGGTTGAGGTGGGCGGATCACGAGGTCAGGAGATCGAAACCATCCTGGCTAACACGGTGAATCGCCGTCTCTACTAAAAATACAAAAAATCAGCCGGGCATGGTGGCGGGCGCCTGCAGTCCCAGCTACTCGGGAGGCTGAGGCAGGAGAATGGTGTGAACCCAGGAGGCGGAGCTTGCAGTGAGCCGAGATCGTGCCACTGCACTCCAGCCTGGGCGACAGAGCGAGACTCCTTCTCAAAAAAATAAATAAATAAGTAAGAATACAGGTTGAGCACCCCAAATCCAAAAGTAAGAAATCTAAAATGCTCCAAAATTCTGAAGTTTTTAGTGTCAACATGATGCTCAAAAGAAATGCTCATTAGAGGATTTCAGATTTTGAATTTTCAGACTTCAGATGCTCACCTAGTAAGTATAATGCAAATATTTCACAATCCAAAAAAATCTGAAATCTGAAACACTTCTGGTCCCAGGCATTTTGAATAAGAGATACTCAACTTGTATATGAGCATAATGGGAACCAGCTTTCTCATTCTCATGAAAAAAGCAAAAACTGGAATGAATCCTGTGGTGTTGGATTGGATTTCAAGGTATTGATATGAACTCATAGTTTTTATCAATTGATAGATAAGTGCATAGATAGAATGATATCAAAATAGAGATAAAGAAATAAATATAAATATTGTGGTAGCCTGTCTCTAAAATGGTCCCCAGTTTTTCTTGCCTCGGAAGGTATTCAGACTTCTGTGTAGACACCTCCCATACTAAACAGTGTCAACCTGTGTAAGCAATAGTATACTGTGAAAATTACAAAGTGAGACTTTGAGACCAGGCCATAAAAGACATTCTGGCTTCTTCCTGGCTATCCTTCTGGGGGAAACCAGACACCATTTTATGAGATACTCAAGCAGCTCTATGGAGAGGTCAATGACATGAGGAAATGAGGCCTCTAGCCAATAACCAGCCCTAACTCTTCGGACATGTGAGTGAGCCACCTTGAACGTGGATCCCCCAGCCTCAGACAAGCCTTAGGCCACATCTTGACTGAAATTTTACGAGAGTCATGGAGCCAGAACCATGCCCTCTGAATTCTGGATAAAACTGCGAAGTAATTAATGTCCATTGTTTTAAGCACTAAATTTTGAGGTAGTTCTTTTTGTACCTCAAAAAAAAAATTTTGTACCTCAAGAAAAAATAGATAGTTAATGTACTGGTGAATGTATGTATGTATAAAAAACACTTGCCTACATATATTACCTAGCTCTATCCATTGACAGACTCTGGATACAATAACACTTCAAAACCAGAGAGCATACTGGTGCCAGATCTTGATTTCTAAAAACAATTCTTCACTAAAAGGAACCAGTGCTCCTCAGAGAAATGGCTAACTTCAGGGTGAGAGCAGGAAAAATTAAAGATGAGTCTGAATGTTTTATTTAATATATCAAGGAAATGGTCAAACAATTATGAAAGCCAGTTTGGAATAGCTCCCACTGGTGAATCTGGGACAATCCAAGCCTCAGAATGAATAATAACCTACTGAATAAAACAGGAATTTATACCTCCATACTGATATGAATAAATAAGTAAAAAAGTAAATTGGAAGGAATAAATTATTGCAGTAGAATGCCAACTAATAAATGCAGAAGAAATGGTAAAATTAGAAGATAACTAGCGGGCAACCATCATAGTAATAATTAATTCAGCCAAAAAATGTCAACAGATACTAAAATTACCAAATGTAAGTGTGATGAGAAATGAAATGTTACATAGGCTCAACTATTCACAAAATGCTTATTAAATATAAGGAAGAAAGGAGTGACTGTACAGTGGAGAAATCTGGCAGACACCACCTAAACAAATTATTAAAGTTAACATCATCAGTAATGGGACAAATTGAAAGCATGTGCCATCTAATTGGATGCAATGAGAAGAACACAAAATCATTACTGTAATATTCCAGCCCTAGGAGAAGCACAACTTGAATCTAATAATAAGGAAACATTAGATAAATCAGATTTGGTGACTAATGTGATAAAAAGTCCAGGTCATGAAAGTGAAAAGAGACTGAGGAACTGTTCCTGATAAAGGAGACAATAGAAACACAACAGCTGACTGTAACATGTGATCTTGGACTAAATTATTTTTAAGGAAATTATTGGGATAATTGGCAAAAAGTTGAATGATACTTGTGATTTAGGTAATAATAGTGAATCCTTCTTAATTTCCTGATTTGATAATGTTACTGTGGTTATACAGAAAACTACTTACTTGTATAAAATATTCACTAAGGTATTTGAAGTTATGGGGCTTCTTACCAACAACTTAGCTCAAATTGTTCAGAATCAAAAAGCTCTTAAATCTAGCTTTGCTAATTCTTTGTAGGTTTTTTATTATTTTAAAATAAAAGGACAAAAGAAACACATTACAGATGTGAAAATTACAGCACTCATTTGGCGGAGAACATAAAGGCAGAGAACAAAAAGACACATCATGCTAAATAGAAAAAATACACAGAAAGGGCATGCATAGCAGGCATCATATACCCATAAAGTGCCAACAACAACAGCAACAATAAAAGAGAAAGTAGGAACATGGAGAGCAGATCCAAACGGAGACATCCACTGAATTACTTACCATCCCAAGAGAAAACAGATGGTGTAGTTCAAAATAGAATAATTTCATGAGGGTTTATTTACAAAGAGACTATTTGCAAAGATGTGGATTATGGGAACCATACATCCAAGGATTAGTAATAGCCTAATACCTAAGCTATTAAGAGGGGCAGACATAGTACAGGATCCACAGAGTCATGCCTACTGCCTTACGGGAGTCAATATTCTGTTGGAGAGACACAGCCAGCAGGAAGAGACCTTGCAGCAAGGGTGCCGGGGCCTCATTCCCCTTCCCTCCAATCTACTGCCAGGGCTCCCCATTGGCAAACTGGGCAAACTCAGTAGGAATGAAAAGGGTGTGGGAACTTATGATGTGGTCCACATGAGTCAACCTGTCTGGCAGAAAACAAGATATAGAAGAGCTGAGAGTGATTGAGGAGGCAAGAGAAGTGATCTGACCTATCTGCCTTGAATTATATGAAATTAAGAACAGCAACGCTTAGTTCTTTAAAAATAACCATACATAAGAACTCTATTTAAAATGTTTGAGAAAATTACTTTGTAAAGACTGAAAATTCCTTTAAATTGCAAAAAAAAAAAAGTGAGCCAAATCAAAACAACAACAAAAAACCATTTGGTACACTGGTGGGTCATCAACAGCAAGGATCACAAAAGTCATTGGATGATTCAAAATGGTACAACAAAAGAGAAGAGAACCAGGAAAGCAACAGGAAGCAACTATTAGTCACAGTTCTTTCAAGCACAACCTACCTACAAGTTTTGCCAGTTCCCTAGTCAGAAGAATTGAAAGTAAATATCAAAATTATTGGTAAACATAATTTCGCTTGTTATCTATTTAAACTGCAAAGAGTTCTCATAACTTTCTGCAGATTCAATCTTTCCATTTTATCTTTTCGTTGCTGTATAAAGTTCAAAAGCCGAAATCTCTTTGGATTGAGTAAATCCCATATTTAAATATCAGTCAATATGTTTTTTACCCCAAATTGGCAGGTAAAAGGCTGTTATTAAAAAATGTTGCCTTGGCCAGGCACAGTGGCTGATGCCTGTAATCCCAGCACTTTGGGAGGCCGAGGCGGGTGGATCACCTGAGGTCAGGAGTTCGAGACCAGTCTCAACATGGAGAAACCCCATCTCTACTAAAAATACAACAGTAGCCGGGCATGGTGGTGCATGCCTGTAATCCCAGCTACTTGGGAGGCTGAGGCAGGAGAATTGCTTGAACCTGGGAGGCGGAGGTTGCAGTGAGCCGAGATCGCGCCATTGCACTCCAACCTGGGCAACGAGAGCGAAACTCCATCTCAAAAAAAAAAAAAAAAGTTGCCTTAACCAAGCTTCTTCTTAGATGATTATGCTTAAACTCCTGTACAGAGCAGACAAGTGTAGAGAATCAATACAGTTTGAAATCAGATAAGTCTGTCTCATGGGTTTCCTCAAGTTTAAAAGCACTTAATAAAAACAAGCAAAAGTTATGGAAAAAAATGTTCTATGATAACAGTACCTCTGGTGTTTATGGTGACATTAAAAGAGGAGTTACAACCATCATATTTTATTATATTTTTATTTTCATAACAACACTATGGAAGACCCAGCACCTATTAGCCCCATTTTGCAGATGAATAAATTAACTAAATTTCCGCAGCTAGTAAGTAGCAGAGACAGAATTTAAACCTAGATTTCCTGAATACAAGCCTAGTGAATTTTCCATTATAATTCTACCTATAATTAAATCCAAATGTAAAATCAAGCCACTTTATATTTCCTAAGAATACTCTAATATGCATTGTGCTGTTATCATAATGAAGAAATAATTTTCTTCCCCAAAAAAATGAAGGAAGGATAATATTGAGGCAAGAAGGAAAGGAGAGAGAAAATGAGAAAGAAAGAGAAGTAATGAAAGGGTTTGTATTTGAAGGACATTCTGCTAAAATTCACTTGCAGAGAGAATGTTGCTTTGAAAGTAAGGCTAAGAGAAGCCATGGGTGGCCCTGCTCATATTCTTCATTATAGCTCCAGGTTGTGAATGGCTACTGGCTTGAATTCTATCCAGGGAACTATTAGAAAATGTGTTTATATTGCTTGGGAACATCATTGCTAATAAGAGATACCAAGGTACACAAGGGAAATAGTAGTAAAACAAGCAGAGTAGTCACTTAAAAATCCCTTCAACAGTCATTTGTTGAGTCCCTAGTATTAAAGAAACAAAGATAAAAACATGTAATGTCAGTCACAGTGGAATGAAATCTGTTTTGCTGATAAACAGCCATGCACATCCCAGAGACTTGAAACTGGGATTTATTTCACATTCTCACTACATGTCTGTGTGATTTGGCGGAGTTTCTGCTTCCTGTCATGCTCACTTTTGTCCCCAGGCTAATGCAGCAACCTCTATCGTGGAACACCACTGGTCATTGAGGCAGATGGAAAGATAGTACTCAACAAATTGCTTAGGGAGTCCACCTGGAAGAAATACATTTCATTCTGTTCACATTTCATTGCCCAGAGTAACTAATGACCAAAGCACAAGACCAATCCACCTCCAGGAAAATAGAGAAGTACAGCATGCTGGAGAAAAGAACTGGAAATGTTTGTTGAACATAACTAATTACTACCTGATACTTTCCTTCCAGGATGTTCCTGGCTAATGCTTAGTCTTCCTCTTACATCTTTATATTCCCACAGTAGGTTCCTGGGACAGAGACAGGACTCACCGACTATTCCATATGCTCCCTGTGTTTCCCAACCTCGCTTGCAATTAGGTTACAGTCCGGTGACTAGTTAAGGCAAATAGACCACGAATAGAAAAGATATTTGTTTATAACTCCAGGAGTTGGAAATTAGTGTGTAACTTCATCCTTCTCTTCCTGTGCCAGGGGGACCCCAAACTCCAGGTGTTCCCAGGGGTGTAGCTCCATTAGCCTGGTTTCCTGAATAACTTCATGGATCATCATGTCCACCAACTCCTCTGAGCATGCAGTGTAAACAAGATCAAAGCTTTGTTGTATAAGCACTGATATTTCAGAATGTCTGTTGCGCCAGCTAGCATTAATTATTCTAATAAGAATACTAGTACCTCAATGTGAAGTGTTGGTATAAAAACAACCTAAAACATATGAATTTGCTTAGTGGGTAATGAGCATCAAGGAAACTGATATCAGCAGCTGAAATGATAATGAGAATGTGTTTTTCAGTGGTGAAATATTTGACAAAACCATCATATGCAGTGACTTGGAAGTCAGCTCATATGGGTATTGAGCCAGGAGTTTAGAGACAAGGGTAGAAAATAGAACTTTAGTACTGTGCATTGGTGGCTCTTATATAAACTCAGAAAGAATTGACCGTGGGAAAGCGGATTGGAAGATAATTTGTAGGGAAAGACCAGAAATTCAGGGACTTTCAATCTGGAAAGTCAACTGCTTCTATACCTCAAAAGTAAGAAACAGGACTAAAAAGGCTTTGAGTGACAAATACCCAAGAAAAACTTTCAGTTCATTCAAGTGTTTCTAGGCAAATTCAGATTAAGGGTATAATCTTCCCATTTAAGCTCAACAGCCCCAAGATAGCCTCAAAAAAGCAAGGCGCATGTATGAAGAAGCACAGAAATAAAGCAGATCTGAAAATCCTATTTTGAAAGCAGCTTTTAGTGTGATTACTGGTATGTAAAATTTACTTGTGATATACAGATCAAAAGCCTCTTGATAGATTGCATTGCCAAAAATACTGGAACATGACCAAAAAAGCATTTGATTGAAAGCAAGACGAACCTCCAAGCTGTTTTCATGTGAATGGCCTGAGAAAGCTATTCAGCATCCAAGGAGGGCATGTACTTCCAATATCCACTTCAGATCCACTGAAGAAGAAAAAAAGATACATCCTGCAAACATCTATAGACAAAGAGATGCCTCCTATAAACAGCATCACAACCTAAAGATTTAAGGAAGCTCTCTCAACCCAGAGTCTACTCCCAATGTCTACTCAGTTGGATTTCAAAACTTCCACAGCCTAATGACCACTGGCTGTCTCCCTTCTCCCCCTCCCCAAATCAGAGTGGGTTCTGCTGTTATCCTGTCCTTTTTGTTCATCATTGTCTACTGGGGAGTGGGGATACTGGAAGAAAACCTATCTTTGTGGTTGTTAAGTGTCTCAATAAGGGAAGCCTCATCTGGACCTAATGGGCAGACTACATTAGGATGTATACACACTCTGAGTCACTGCTGAGGTAATATAAAGGAAGAGAAAAAGTCTCTTCATATTTTAATGATTTGAACTCTTTTGCTATTAGAATTTAAAGCTTTCATTTTTAGATTTTTAATAATTTTGCTGGATTTTGAGAGGAAATTTAGAGATGGTAGAGAACCAAGGTGGATTATTCCTAACTTTGCATCACCAATGAATACTGAGGGAAATGTTTGTATAGCATAAAAGCTGATATTTCAGATCCCAGACTACTGCTAGATGGCTGCACCCCCGCATTATTATATCCTTAGGTAAGGGGTAATTCTATTAGTTAAGATTCCTTTGGTTGCATATGACCACAACCCAACAAAAATTAATGGAAAGAAAAAGAGAAATGAGTTGACTCATCTGGTTAGGAAGCACACTGAGATAGATCATTAACTTGGAAGAGAAGCCACAGAGACCAGTGATTCAGGGACTGAGTCAGGGGCCTCAGGAATACCATGATGCTGTTGTTCTCTGCTTCTCTTTGTATTTGGCTTCTTTATTTTCTACTCTTTGCAGTCTCACTCCATGCATGAATTGACGGCCACTGACAATTCAGATCCACATTCTTACAGGTTGCATGCTAAGCATGAGAAAGTCATTCCTATCTACCTCCCACTGTAAGGTTCTGGAGAATAATTCTGATTGGCCTTGTTTAGTTGATATGTACACTGCTGTCAATAATAACTGTTCTAGTGGATGTGGTACCGCGACTGGCTCAGCCTGATTCATGTATTCAACTATGTGCCTGGGAAGGTAGAGGATAGGAATGCAATGATCAATATGTATACCAGGACCATGTAAAGAAGAGAGGAGTCTGCCAAAGGAAAGGAAATATTGTAGCTATGAAAAGGAAGATGGAAAAGTTGAGTGGGCAGAAAAAAGAGCTACCAGATTCTTCTAAGATAACCTAGATACAAATAGCAATGCCCACCATGGAATGTACCAAAAAAAAAGCATACCTGTGAGCAGAGGCACACACTTTTCAATCTAGGGCAGCCTGACTTTAATCAGTTCTAATGATTATCCAGACTCTTTGTCATGGTTTCCTCATTTCTCCATTTTGAACTACTCCCACTCTTCAGTAGAATACATGGATCCCCTGGGACAAGTAGTATGATTATAATGATATTCTACTGCCTCCTTCTCATTCTCTTCCAGGCTTGGGAGTGACCCCAGATTGAGTTCACATGCTCTCTAAAGCACTAAAAACCACAATATTTATATAAGCCCATATACATTTTTATTAAATGACTAAATGCTTTGTAATTACCAAATACTTTCTAATACCTCCACCAGATTAATGTTTCTACCATGTCACTTTATGTCACCTCTTAATAGAAAAACACATTCTATTTTCTTTAAATCCTCCTGAATAAACTACTAAGTCCAGGCTTTGAAAGCATTCAATAATGTAACTCACAAATATCTTTGCAGTCTGATCTTTTACTATTCTTTTATTCATGCCTTCTTTTTCATACAAAACAGACTACTCCCTGTCTCTAGGATACATATCATTTTTTCATCCCTCCCCATTTATTTACTAAGTCAACATATATTGGTTGCTTATTTATGTGCCAGATACTATTATAAGTCACGGGGATGCAAAGATGAAAACATGAACCCTTTCTTCAAAGAGTTTGCTCTAACTATAGAAGAAACATACATTGTAGATAATTACAATTCTCTGTGAAGTATATTGTAAGTGAGGTATTAAGAAATGGTTAGGCCAAATGATTGCATAAACAGTGGGGGCAAGTTTCTGCTTGAATGTGATATTTAAGCTGAGGCTTGAAAGATAAGCATAAGTTTGCCAGGTGGGAGAACAGCAAAGGGATATGCAAACGTCCAACAATAGAAAGATAGGTAGTTTGTTCAGGAAAATACAACTTTAGTAAAAGCTGCCTCAATTAACACCCACTAAAACAACACTCAAGGTTAAACAGGCACTACATGCCTGTATAAATATATTGGCTAACATGTAGAACATGCTAAATGCTTATAGCTAAAAGATTATTTTCCTGCTTACCCATGGGATTATATAGCCACTAGTTAAATTTTATGTTTGTTAAGAGTCAGTGGTATCTGCCAAAATCTGTTGTATTTGTTGTTATAATTACACAATTGAATTGCTATATAAACGAAGGTTTCTTAACCTAAGCACTATTGACATTTGGGCCAGATAATTCCTTGTTGTGAGGGGAGGCTATTCTGTGCTTTATAGAATATTTAACAGCATCCCTGACCTCTCCTGTTGGATGCAGGGAGCACCCTCCCCTGAGCTGTGACAACTGAAAATGTCTCCAGATGTTGCACTGTTAATGTTCTCTGGGGTACAAAATCACCACTGGTAGAATTGGGCCAGGTTATGAAGGGCCTTGTAAATGGACTTGATCAATACAATGAGAAGCTACTGAATGTGTTTTAGTAGTAGAATAACATATGTGGCAATATATTTCCAAGGATAAATCAGAAGAGGCAAGACGATGAGACTTGTTAAGGAGGCAGTTGCCATAGAACAGGTAAGAAGTAACTAGGGTATTGATGAATACAGTAACAGTGATGGTCAAAAGCAAATCAATGAGAGATTTTAGATGCAAATAAGTGTCATTCACTCTATTGAGATTCTCCCCCACTTTCTCTTCCTTTCTGTGTTCAGCTATTAAATCCAATCCAACCTCAAGGCACAACTAAAATCTCATGTCCCCAGATCAAGCCACCGGAAATGGCATGTCCTCCTCTGAATCTTGTAGCTCATTATTTGAGCTTCTCTTAGGGCAGTTCATGATATTATTAATTTAATACCTACATTATAAACTAAATTTTGAGTCTAGATTATAATTTTGAGTCTGGGTTATTTACAGGACCATATTTTGCTCATATTTGCTTTTAAACTCAGTGCCCAATAATATGCTTTTTATATAGCAGATGACAAATATTTATTGAGCATATTGTAGAATTCTAGGCCGAATTGCTTCAATACATTTATGTGTCCCTTGAATTCTTGTAGCCATAAGTATTGGGGGTGGAGGAGAGCCTGGGCTCAATTTAACCAGCACTGCATTCTTTATAGGTCTCTTTCCCACAGTTTCTATCTGCTCACATCACTGGAAGAAGTTTATATTCATTAGTCTTATAGCTTTTCTTATAAACCGCTGCTTAGAGAAATTCAGCAAAACAACATCCAAAAGCCCCTGTCAAAAAAAAAAAAGTAACCGAAGCCTAGATGGTATCAAAGTAGTAAACAATTATATCAAACAATATTAAGCACTATGTGAATTAATGTTAAACAAAAACACCCATCTGGATTTTTCTCAAAGTAAGAGTTTTTCTGCCCGAATAAACCACCTAAACCATCATTCACTGTATTATCTCAACTATATTTTTATTCAGTTGCTCATAGCTATCCTATTAGTTTGTACCAACAAGTGACAAGAAATATTAATTGTGAACAAATCTTTAATTGCATACTTGAGATTTATCTCTAGTGATAGAGGTTGGGACAAATATGTAAAATCAAACTGAACCTCTGTCACGTTGTATACCTGAATTGTTTTTATCCATGAAAATGGCCAATTATATTATGTGTTTCATACTTTATTGACAAAGCAGGAAGTGCAAAAAATGCCAAGGTCTCTGCTAATAAAGATCTTACGGGGGAGACAAAGGAAACAAATGTCACTTTTATCAGTGGCAGCATGGGGAGTGGGGTGGCTGGCTTTTCAGTTACATCTGGTCCCAGCTCCTCGTTCCATTTTAAATTATGGACCACCTTGAGGTTTTATATATGCTGTCCCTATTCCAAACCAGATAACTCAGACATAGTATCTGTCAGATTTTCACAAAATTAACCCCACTCACACAATGCCTTTGTGCATATTGCACAGTGTACCAATGGGTTAAGGTGACAGCAATGCTAAAAACAATTACAACTGAATATTAGATACACAGATTTAAGAGTCTCTTAGCCATTTCCATAAACTTAGCTTACATCTCCAACCTCTAGCATTCCCTTCAATCACCTGGGAGAAAAGTATCTTATTAGAGTCAACCCTACCATGGGTAGGGAATCCATCTGTTATTATTATCCATACTTAAGAAATAAGAAAACTTGTGGGCAAGGAAGTTAAATGAGTTGTCTGAGGTCACAATTGTGACAGACTAGCCTCAAACTCAGGAATTCTGACACCCCATACACTTCTCTCTCTACCACAACTTCATGTTCTCTAGTTTCATTACATGGTCCTAATGTCAATTGATCCTCTGAGAAGACCTGTCTCTTCTCAATAAAATCTCTTTTTTTTTCTTGATTTTATCTGAATGTTCCCAATACCACTGGTTCATCAAATGCCTGGTTTTTACATCTATTATGCTAGTAAACAGTTATTCTATAGGCAGTAACTGTTAATCTTGTCAATGTAAATGATCAAATTGGAAATTTCAAAATAAAAATAAAAACAAACGTCTAACAAAATAAAATTAACTGGCAAGCTAATACAACTGTCTTTAAAACACCCCACAATTGATGTCATTGAGTATGGAAGGTCTTCTGGCAAAACAGCCCTCAAGCCAAAGGCTACTAAAGGAGTAGGTCTATGTAGCACTATATAGTATCCCTTACCTGAGCCCCACTCTTTACCTACGGAGAGAGAAGGCTCTGCATGATACAAATTGTATCAAGAAAAAGCCTTCCCAACATTTATGTGAACAACATGAAATGCTTCTTCATATTTTGTGCAACATCCCTCTGATGGGAAGGATCCCAGATATCAACCCTAAGGAGGCTGTTATATTTCCCAAAGTTACAATGATTATCTCTTCCAAGGAGTCTAAGCAAAAGCATTTTTGCTTTCCAAACTTTTAGGTCAAAAGGTCTTTCAAAGACATAACACTAGGCAACTTTTGACAAGAAACTTACATACTTTGACTACAAATAGTATTTTGCAAACAATATAAGTAAAAGCAAGTTGGTCAACATTATAATTTAATCTTAGTAATTATTTAACCAAAAAAATGAATATTTTCAGTATTTGACATCTTGTTCATTGTAAATTTTGATGAGTTTGCCCTCTTACTCATTTTCGTCTGCTTTTTCAGAATTTGGCAAGAGTAGACAAAATAAAAGCATGTTTTACTTTTAATTGACTTTCAAAAAGTATTTCTGCTTTGAACTGTCTTTAATGTGGAAAGTTGGAACATTCATATCAAAAGAGCCATATTGTATAAACATAATAAATATTTGTTTAGTGTAGGGGTGAGCCATGCACTCCGCCTGACCAAAGACATCAGTGTTACCCACTCTGGTGTACTGTGGGTTTTTCCAGAACTTTTTCTATAAACTTATTTTAATTTACTTGTGCAAAATAATATGAGTACACATACTGTTTGTCAACTTTTCATAATTAATTTAATATTATCTGATTGTTCCCAATAATACCTCCTAGTTTATCAAATTAGCCCTCTAATTGCTAGATTAATTTTTTTCATGATTTTACAGATGAAGAAATTGAAGGCTCAGAGAGGTTAAGCTATTTACTGCTTGTTTGACTTCTGGCAGCTTAACTTCTATAATTTGTTTCCAAGTTATGCTACGTTTTTATATGACTTGTTTCCTGTTGCAATGATGGTATTCACTAAACTGTTCCAATCTGGTATCTGTGTTCCATTTAGGTCCTTGTGTGGTGTCCAGCTAAATTTAAAATAATTCCTACTTTGAAACAACATTTTTTCCAATCAATAAGGTCAACTAGTATATATAAAAATTAATTAATAAGAAACGCATTCTCATTGTCAGAATAGTTCAAAAATGGAAGTGACAGAACCAACAGGGAGAAATTTTCCTTTATGGGAAATAATCACTAGATGGGAACATTGTAAGGAGAATTCAAACTTTAGAAAAATATTCACCTAAATGACTCTTGAACTCAAGAATGTTTATTGTTGATGAGGATGATAACATGAGTGTGAAGAAGAGAAAAAGAAAGAAGGGAAGAAGGAAAGAGGCACAATACATTATTTTATTTGTGTTTGCCACCCAGGCTGGAGTGCAGTGGTGCGATCACAGCTCACTGCAGCCCCCACGTACTGGGCTAAAGCAATTCTCCCGGATCAAGCAATCCTCCCACCTCAGCCTCCCAAGTAGCTGGGACTGCAGGTGCAAGCCACCATGTTTGGCTAATTTTTTTTTCAATTTTTTGTAGAGATGGGGTCTCCCTATTTTGCACAGGTTCCTCCCAAACTTCTGGGCTCAAGCAGTCCTCCTATCTTGGCCTCCCAAAGTGTTGGGATTACAGGTGTGAGCCACTGTACCCAGCCATAATTCTTTTTTGTTTGTTTGTTTCTTTAAGATGGAGTCTCCCTCTGTCACCAGGCTGCAGTGCCTTGGCCCGATCTCGGCTCACTGCAACCTCAGCCTCCTGGGTTCAAGCGATTCTCCTGCCTCAGCCTCCTGAGTAGCTGGGACTGCATGCGAGCACCACCACATCCAGCTAATTTTTGTATTTTTAGTAGAGACGGGGTTTCACGATGTTGGCCAGGATGGTCTCTACCTCCTGACCTCATGATCCACCCACCTCAGCCTCCCAAAGTGCTGGCATTACAGGCATGAGCGACTGCGCCCCGCCCATAATTCTTATAAATAACTATATTCTGTGTGGAATGCGATTCCCAAAAATAATGATGTTGAGCAGTCTTGTTGTAAGCAGCCTTGAAATGGAATCAAGGCTTTGCTTAGTTTGAATAAATGTTCTTTAAATATTTGTTTGCTTTTATAAATGAGGGATTTTATTGCTCCAATTTCTATAACATTGCATTATGCACATGCTTTGGAGCTAGTCAGGTATAGTTGTAAATAATTACTATATGACCTTGGGTAAGTAACTCAAACTTTTATAATCTCAGTTTACTCACCTACAAAATGGGCATAGTAATAACTGCACCTACCTCATAGTATCACTGTGATAATAAAATGAGAAGCATTTTGCACAGTGCCTGGTACACAGCATGTGAAATATTAGCACCATGTTTGCTACATAGAAAACACTTTATAAATGAGGTATATTATTAAAATTTGTTGCATTAATTAAAAGCTATCTGCCACACCTTGATCTCCCCCATAAGGCCATTTCTTTCTGATTTTCTTGAACAATGAAATTATGCTTCATATGGAACTATTTTATTGTAATATTTCCACTGCAGGATATATTATTTATTCAGTGTTCTGTAGATCCATTAAGGGATGTCTCTCTTCCAGAGTTAACTGCTGATCATTGATCAATTTTCAAAGGGTTTATTAACTTTTTTATTTTAAAAAATATAGAATCATATTTCCCTCTGAGAAATCATCACATGATATTAGATCAAAAACAGAATTTTCATAAACTCCAAACTTTTGCATTTCTAGGTAGTCAGTAAAGAAAGATGGGCAATGCAGTGTGATTTCCAGAACATTTACATTTGTAATTTAAAAGATTTTAGAAAAAATAATCATTGGAAAAAGTGCCATTGATTCTGATTTATATAGAAGTGTTTCAACATTCCTTTTTCTTTTTGTCTATAATTTAAGTTGATAATGTTTGTATTTCAGGCACTCATTCCCTCATTTTAGTTATTAAAACAAGATGGATGCACACAAGTTCAAAAATTTACTCCTGGACAAGTGTGTGCACTATTGATGCCAACTAATTCACTCAGTCTTGTTGGAGGTGGGGAATAACTGATTTTCCAGCTTAATATATTTTCCTCATAGAGGTTGAATTTATGTTGGAGGCAACTAGTAATTTCCCTCTACCGATTTTAAAAAGCACAAAGACAAGAAGACCAAATATCTCCTGTGGGTCTCTCATTCACCAGCAGACACCCTCCCTTGCCTATTCCTTGATTCTCCACTAATTTTTCGCCTAGGTCATTTTTTCTCATTCCTATAAATCCAAATGGTCTACAGACACTTCCTATGAGATCTCATCTTGACTAATCACTATATATGACTCACCCCCAGGAGTCCAACACAATTCTGGGTGTGTAGATAAATTGTTCAATAAATAAGAATTTCTAACAAAGAAACTTTGTAGTGGCAAATGTTGCATTGTAACTTGCAGCTCTCACTCTGGGCCAGCAAGGCACAAGTGTTTTCATTCATCCCATATAAAATCAGCCCTGAATGTTTGCAAGACTAGTGGGGCGGGCTCCACTTTTGTAGAAATGATTCACATACTTCTGTCATCTTGGACATGCATGTTACCCATCTGGCTTTCTTGGAGCCATTCCCCTAAATAGCTAATCCATCAAGAAAGGCACATCCAGATCAGGAGGTTTTGTTTTGATTTTAGAAAATTCTTACACCAGCTTCACACCTTACTAACAAGTTGGTCAGTGAAATCAGCACAACTGAAATGTGTCATGCTGCTTTGCACACTGAGCAGACAATTCATAAATTTAATTTCATATTTTTATTTAAAATATATAATTCTATAAATTTACAACATATGAGGGTTTATGCTGAAAACCGATGTACATTTGAAGGTACTCAACAGTTCTAAAAGAGGACACAAATAATGACTTAATGGCATTAAAGTGTAGTTGGATACCTCAAAGGAACCACAAGAATCAGCCTTTAAACAAGGAATGACAAACTGACATTTACTGCAGTGTGCTCCAAAGCTGTTTAGTATGAGGACAGGGTATACTGGCATGTAACATTCTTTTCACAGTTCATTAAATGACTTAAACTATAATAAGAACAAGATGGAATGTATGGCTATTTTGTAAGCAGAAAATTTATCCTCCAGAGAAAACAGACTGGTTAGGATGTATTTATATTGTTTTGGTCTTTTTTACATAGAGAAAAAAATATGATTTGATTTTAGATTATGTTTCTGTGATTGCCTCTAAAATGTTTTTTAAAATATTCCTTGTGCTCAAATTAATGAGAAAAAAACCGAGATGCAAATGAGCCAGGGGCTGCTCAACTTGCTGAAGTAAAGCCTGTTAACAATCCAATAGCTTTAGCTCATAATCTCACATCTCTCAAAGTGTTAAAAGAATACTAAGATTATAATTTTATTAATTTATAAACATAAATACATATGTTACAAACTAAAAATAATATTGAATGTGTTTCCTTGGTCCTGATGTTAATGCCACTTCCTTGGTGGAGATTTGATTAAAAAGCTTAACCAAGTGTTGCTAAAGAAAATATTCTGATCCTTTATGGATCTCTTTGTTTTATCATCTTAGTTTTTATGCTCATTCATTTCCTCATGGTAGACTGAAAAAATCTAATAGCAGACTATCCCTGTCCTTCTCTGCACACGGTCAATATTCAGATTTGAAGGAAAAATTTTCTGAGGGGTAAGAAGATGGTGGATAGGAGACAGGGCTAATGTGTAGCTCCCACTTGGGTGGATAGAACAGCTTGTGGAGACTCACACGTGAAATTTTGCTTTAAGAACCACCTCAGAAACATTCCAGGTATATTAGTCAGGGTTCTCTTAGAAGGACAAAACTAATAGGAGATAGATAGATGATTGATAGATAGATAGATAGAATGTAAGTTACACATGTAAAGGGGTGTTTATTATATATTAACTTACACAATCACAAGGTCCCACAATAGGCTGTCTGCAAGCTGAAGAGCAAGGAGAGCCAGTCCGAGTCCCAAAACTGAAGAACTTGGAGTCTGATGTTCAAGGGTAGGAAGCATCCAGCACAGGAGAAAGATGTAGGCTGGGAGGCTAGATCCGTCTGTCCTTTTCATTTTTTTCTGCCTGCATTATATTCACTGAAAGCTGATTAGATTGTACCCACCAGATTAAGGGTGGATCTGCCTTCCTCCAGCCCACTGACTCAAATGTTAATCTCTTTTGGCAACACTCACACAGACACACCCAGGATTAATACTTTGTATCCCTCAATCCAATCAAGTTGACATTCAGTATTAACCATTACACCAGGAAAACTGAAAAAATTCACAAATCCTTGAAAGAAGTGGCACACCACAGCAAATTCTGCAAAACAGACAAAAAACTATAAGATCCCAAAGTCTGAGAGTAGTGAAGCTGCCTCCAAACATGTATCGTCACCGGGGAATCTGAAAATCCAGATCATGGGAGAAGGATTTAACCTTACCTAGAGCTGAAACAGATCTAGAGAGCTGCATAAAATATAAAAGTAGAAGCACAGTGGGAGGAGCCTTGTAGACACTCCCAGTCTCCAGCTTGGCCCAGGGAAGCCCCCTGATGATATCTCACAGGGGCCCTCAGGGAAGGCATCCAGCAGAATAAGGGAAGGGTCACAGGGTGAAAGAAGCTTCTAACTGAACTTTGAAATAATTTCAACTGGGCACAAACTTTCTTGAGCAGAATCTGAGGAGTGGATCAGAACTGCTACAGATATGAGCAGAAGAGCCACCACCAACATTGTGGGCAGATGGGGAGCAGTGAGGCCTGAAAGCCATGCTTGCTTTCTCAGCGGGGAAGCTTACTGCCTGGGGCAGGCTGCCTGGATATAAACTTGATGCTATTAGCAGGACACTGTGGGAGTGAAACAAGCCTTGCCAACTGTGTGGGAGCTGGGTAAGGCCTTTCACTACCAGCTATCCCCAACTTCCCTGGAAAACTATATGGCACAGCAGAGGCAGCCATGATCCCTTCTGGAACATAACCCCATTGGCCTGAGAAACACCCTCCCATCTGCAACAGTGGCTGCAGCAAGCCCTGCGCAAGGAGACTCTGAGCTCAGACCCACCTAACCCTGCCCCACCTGATGGTATTTCTCTACTCACCCTAATAGCTGAACACAAAAGACATAAACTCTTCGAAGCTTATGGCCTCACTCATCACCTGAGACTACTTACCCTGGCCAACTTAGGGCAAGCTTATATCACTCTACTACTACTGCAGCTGGTGCTCTCTTGAAAGCACCAACTCCTGGCTGGAGGCAAATCAACTCAAGCCACTACAGCAACTCATTACAGAGTAACCTTGCTCCCAGGAAGGAGAAAACAGGTAATACCACTGACTCCAGCATCCTGGCTAACCAGAGGTCCTGCGTCTGTCAATGTGACAACTTCAATGCTAGCATAACCAGAATTTGAGAGAGCCAGCACACTAAACATATATACAACCAAGGATTCTCACAGAGTCTGCTTCACTCCCCTGCTACCTCCATCAGAGCAGGTACTAGTTTACACAGCTGGGAGACCTGAAGATGGATCACGTCAAAGGACTCTTTGCAGACATTCCCTAGCACCAGCTCGGATCCTGGTAGCTCCACTGGGTGGCTAGACCCAGAAGAGCATTAACAATCACTGCAGTCCAGCTCTCAGGAAGCCCCATCTCTAGGGAAAGGGGGAGCGTACCACACTGAGGGATCACCCCATGGGACAAAAGAAACTGAACAGTAGGCCTTGAGTTCCAGACCTTTCCACTGAAATAGTCTACCCAAATGAGAAGGAACTAGAAAAGAAATTCTGGTAATATGACAAAACAGCATTCTATAACACTCCCAAAAGATCACACTGGCTCCCCAGCAGTGAATTCAAACCAAGAACAAATATCTGAATTGCCAAGTATTCAGAAGGTTGATTATTAATCTACTCAAGGTGATACCAGAGAAAGGTGAAAAGCAACTTAAAGAAATTTTTAAAATTACAGGTTATGGATGAAAAATTCTCCAGAAAAGTAGATATCTTTAAGAAAAAATAATAACTTCTGGAAATGAAACACACACTTAGAAAAATACAAAATCCATTGGAAAGTTTCAACAATAGACTAGAACAAGTGGAAAGAAGTTCAGAGTTTGAAGACAAGGCTTTTATTATTATTATTATACTTTAAGTGCTAGGATACATGTGCAGAACATGCAGGTTTGTTACATAGGTATACATGTGCCATGGTGGTTTGCTGCACCCATCAACCCATCATCTACATAGTATCTCCTAATGCTATCCCTCTCCCTACCCCCGACCCCCCGACAGGCCCTGGTATGTGATGTTCCCCTCCCTGTGTTCATGTGTTCTCATTGTTCAACTCCCACTTATGAGTGAGAACATATGGTGTTTGGTTTTCTGTTCCTGTGTTAATTTGCTGAAAATGATGGTTTCCAGCTTCATCCATGTCCCTGCAAAGAACAAGAACTCATTTTTTATGGCTGCATAATATTTCATGGTGTATATGTGCCACATTTTCTTTATCCAGTCTATCATTGACGGGCATTTGAGTTGGTTCCAAGTCTTTGCTATTATGAATAATGCTGCAATAAACATACATGTGCATGTGTCTTTATAGTAGAATGATTTATAATCCTTTGGGTATATACCCAGTAATGGGATTGCTGGATCAAATGGTATTTCTAATTCTAGATCCTTGAGGAATTGCCATACTGTCTTCCACAATGGTTGACCTAATTTACACTCCCACCAACAGGGTAAAAGTGTTCCTATTTCTCCACTTCCTCTCCAGCATCTGTTGTTTCCTGACTTGTTAATGATTGTCATTCTAACTGGCGTGAGATGGTATCTCGTTGTGGTTTTAATTTGCATTTCTCTAATGACCAGTTATGATGAGCTTTTTTCATATGTTTGTTGGCTGCATAAATGGAAGACAAGGGTTTTGAATTAATCCAATCAGACAAAGACAAAGAAAAAGAATTAAAAAAATGAACAAAGCCTCCAAGAAATTTGGAATTACGTTAAATGGCCAAAACTAAGAATAACTGATTTTCCTGAGGAAGAAGAGAAATCCAAAAGTTTGGAAAGCTTATTTGAGGGAAAAAATTGAGAAAAATTTCCCTGGCCTTGCTGGAGATCTAGATATCCAAATACAAGAAGCTCAAAGAACAACTGGAAAATTCTTTGCAAAAATATCATCACCTAGGCACATAGTCATTGGGTTATCTAAAGTCAAGATGAAGGAAAGAATCTTCAGAGCTGTGAGACAAAAGCATCAGGTAACCTACTAACAAAACCTATCAGGTTAACAGCAGATTTTTCAGCACAAACCCTACAAGCCAGAAGGAATTGAGGTCCTATCTTCAGCCTCCTGAAACAAATAAATTGTTAGCCAAAAATTTTGTATACAGCAAAACTAAACTTCATAAATGGAAGAAAGACAAAGTATTTTTTCAGACAAACAAATGCTGAGAGAATTTGGCACTACCAAGTCAGCCTTATGGGAAATGATAAAAGGAGCTCTAAATCTTAAAACAAAACCTTGAAATACATCAAAATAGAACCTCCTTAAAGCATAAATCTCACAGGGCCTATAAAATGAAAAAAAAGTATTAAGGCAATGGCTAGCATGATGAATAGAACAGTAACTTACGTTAATACTAATGCTGAATGTAAATGGCCTAAATGCTCCAATTAAAAGATACAGATGGCAGAATGGGTAAAAATTTACCAACCAAGTATCTGCTGTCTTCAAGAGACTCACCTAACACATCAGAACTCACATAAACTTAAGGTAAAGGGGTGAAAAAAGATATTCCATGCAAATGGAAACCAAAAGCAAGCAGGAGTAGCTATTCTTATATCAGACAAAACAGACTTTAAAGTAACAACAGTGGCTACGCACAGTGGCTCATGCCTGTAATCTCAGCACTTTGGGAGGCCAAGACAGGTGGATCACCTGAGGTCAGGAGTTTGAGACCAGCCTGATCAACATAGTGGAACCCTGTCTTTACTAAAAATACAAAATTAGCCAGACATGCCTGTAATCCCAGCTACTTGGGAGGCTGATGGCAGGAGAATCTCTTTAACCCAGGAGGCAGAGGTTGCAGTGAGCCGAGATCGCACCATTGCACTCCAGACTGGGCAACAAGAACAAAACTCCATCTCAAAAAATTAAATAAATAAATAACAACAGTAAAAAAAAAAAAAAAAAAGACAAAGAGGGACATTATATAAGGACTTGTCCTATAGGAAAATATCACAATCCTAAATATATACACCCCTAACACTGGAACTTCTAAATTTATAAAACAATTACTACTAGACCTAAGAAATGAGATAGACAGCAACACAATAACAGTAGGAAATTTCAATAATCCACTATACTCCACTGACAGTGCTAGCCAGCTCATCAAGACAGAAAGTAAACAAAGAAACAATGGATTTAAACTACACCCTAGAACAAATGGACTTAACAGATATTTACAGAACATTCTACCCAACAACAGCAGAATATACATTCTATTCATCAACACATGGAACATTCTCCAAGATAGATCATATGATAAGCCAGAAAATGAGTCACAATAAACTTAAGGAAAGGCCAGGCATGGTGGCTCACACCTGTAATCCCAGCACTCTGGGAGGCTGAAGCGGGTAGATCACGAGGTCAGGAGATCAAGACCAGCCTGACCAAGATGGTGAAAGCATCTCTACTAAAAATACAAAAATTAGACTGGCATGGTGGCAGGCGCCTATAATCCCAGCTAATCTGGAGGCTGAGGCAGGAGAATCATTTGAACCCAGGCAGCAGAGGTTGCAGTGAGCCAAGATCATGCTACTGCACTCCAGCCTGGGCGACAGAGTGAGACTCTGTCTCAAAAAAAAAAAAAAAAAATTGAAATTTTATCAACTACTCTCTCAGACCACAGGGGAATAGAATTGGAAATCAACTCCAAAAGGAACCCTCAAAACCATGCAAATACATGGAAATTAAATAACATTCTCCTGAATGATCACTGGGTCAACAATGAAATCAAGATGGAAATTTTAAAATTCTTGTAACTGAACTATAATAGTTACACAACCTATCAAAATCTCTAGGATACAGGAAGTGCAGTAGTCAGAGGAAAGGTCACAATATTAAACACCTACATCAAAAAGTCAAAAGTACACAAATAGACAATCTAAGGTCACACCTCATGGAACTAGAGGAAAAAGAACAAATCAAACCCAAACCCAGCAGAATAAAACAAATAAAGATCATAATAGAACTAAATAAAATTGAAAGAATTGAACAAAAAAATACAAAAGATAAATTATCAAAAACTGTTCTTTGAAAAGATAAACAAAATTGATAGACTGTTAGCAAGATTAACCAAGAAAAGATGAGAGAGGATCCAAATAAGCTCAATTAGAAATGAAATTCGAGATACTACAACTGATACCACAGAAATACAAAAGATAATTCAAGGCTACTATGAATACCTTCACACATACAAACGTGAAAACCTTGAGGAGTTGGATTAATTTCTGGAAATATACTACCCTCCTAGATTAAATCAGGAAAAATAGAAACTCTGAACAGACCAATAACAAGTAGTGAGATTGAAACAGAAATTAAAAAGTTGCCAAGAACAACAACAAAAAATGCCCAGGACCAGATGGATTCACAGCTGAATTCTATCAGACATTCAAAGAAGAATTGGTATGAATCTTACTGTAACTATTCTAAAAGATACAGAAAGAGGCCATCCTCCCTAAATCATTCTATGAAGCCAGTATCACCCTAATACTAAAACCAGGAAGCGACATAACAAAAAAAGGAAAACTACAGAACGATACCCTGATGAACACAGATTCAAAAATCCTCAACAAAATACTAGCTAACTGAATCCAGAAGCATCCTGTGCTCAGAATAACTAACTGATAAACCATGGGACTGGCATCCCTTAGAAAGAGCTTTACATAATCTAGCCCTTATTATAGGAAAACTGTGGTCCTTCCTACAACCTTCTCACTTCATTCCCATACTATCTCCTAAACTCTTGGTCAAATCTTGCCTTTACTTGGATTCCTTTAATCAAAGGAATCCTTTAATCAAAGGAATCCAATCCTTCTTCAGCCTCCTTCTTGTCCTTATAACCTGAGAATGGATTTGACTTTTTTATTTTGAGCTCTGGAACTCTTATTTCTTGAGATACATTTGTTCTGGCTCCATCTTATTCCAACCACCCCAGGGAAGAGCACTGGCATTAGTTAGCTTAACTGACTTCCTGTTAGGAGGCAGAAGAATCCATCCTATTTCATACCTCCTGCTCCATACCAGGGTTTATACACCAGACTCTTAGGCATTCTCCTAAATTGAGATTGTCCTTTTCCAGTCCATTCTCCATCACTTTGCTACTGCCATCCTAAAACACTTTAACATCTGCATTAATCTGTTCTCACACTGCTATAAAGAAATAACTGGGTAATTTATAAAGAAAAGAGGTTTAATTGGCTCATGGTTCTGCAGGCTATACAAGAACCATAGCAGCTCCTGCTTTTGGGGAGGCCTCAGGAAGCTTCCAATCATGGTGTAAGGCAAAGAGGGAGCAGGTGTCTCACATAGCAGGAGCAGAAGCAAGAGAGAGAGCAGAGAGGTGCTACACACTTTTAAATGGCCAAATTTAATGAGAACTCACTCACTGTTGTAAGAACAGTACCAACAGGGATGGTGATAAACCGTTCATGAGAAAACCACCCCCACGATCCAGCTACCTCCCACCAGGCCCTATCTCCAACACTAGGGATTACAATTTGACATGAGATTTGGTGGGGACACATGCTCAAACTATATCAACATCTCATTAAAACTTCTCATAATTCCATACCACTATAAAATGTAGTACAAACTCCTAAGCCTATGACCTAACTTTACCCACTCAGCTACTTCTTACAACTCCTTTGTCCTAGCCACAGTGGTCTTTTCACTGTCTCTTAGAACATATCCACCTGGTCCTACCTCCCACTTTGTATGCTGGCTTCGCCACCCTCTTAAATTTTACCCAGCATTTTATTCCTAGCTCAAGCTCACCTCCTTCATGAAACTTCTAATGCCTGTTCCATGTTGTTCTACCCCTATTTAAATACACCTAGAAAAGTTTGGAGATTGCAAGGGTTTGCTGTGTGTATTACTCATTGCAGTAATTAACAAAATATAATTATGTGATTATACATGTTTATCTAATGTATAATGGGAATTTTAGTTTTCCTAACAGTATATTTCATGAAGATAAGAACTATATCTTCAAATTATTTAAACTGTTTATAATATTAACAAATAAATACTTATTGAAAAAAGATCCCAATAATTCAAATGACTTTCAAGATTGTCATTCTAGTCATCACATGGGTTGAAGACAAAGAATATACTAGGTTATCTCATAAAATGTTTTCTATCTATGTATTTCTCAGATAGCCTGAGGTGGTTGTTTATGGAAGCTATAATTACAATTCTTGTTTCCAAACAACCAGATGGATTAATATCTCAAGGCATCTGTTAAATTTCTCATTTTGCATGGGCTTTTAATTGCCATGAGTAATTTGTTTTGAGTCACACAGATTGCTTTCTTTTTGAATATTTCTAAACCGAGCTCTAATTAAGAGGAAGAAGAGCAGAATGATTAAGATTTGCATTTAAATCCAGCTCTGCCCAATTATGAGCTGCTTAATTCTTAAGCAAGTAGCTTAACCTCACTGTCTTTATTACTTTATCTGTAAAATGGAAACATTAATAATAAGTGATGTATACTATTAGGTAGTATTAAGCAGTACTTATATATAGTAAACATAAAACACATGTTAGATCTTATAGTTATTAATCATTTCTCTCTAGGCAAAGAATCAAACATAAAAAGACAACATATGAGCTTTAATATAATTCCTTTTCTGGAACAGTCATAGCTGTTATCGCTATTTTTCATAGTCTAATCTGATTCACAATTTTGGAGCAGACTAAGGATAATGAGCTTGATTCTTTTCTTAGTCACAGACAGGGAAGGAAGTGAATTTTCCTCACCCACATGGTTCCAAAGCACAGAGACAAATGGAGCCAAGCAAAGAGATAAGATGAGAGCAGAGAAGATGGTTTTCTGGCATTCTCTTGGAGGTTCCCCTCTCAGTGTTGTGTTCAAACTTACAAATAAAACATTGAGCAGATCAAGCACCAATATTTCTCATTCTTGCCATCTGATTTGATTGTGCTTTTATCTAATCAAACTAGCATGTTGGCCAACTGAATTTAATGAATTTGGCATAACTGACTAGTTGCTTTTGCCCTGAGTTCATTCAGCCACATAGTAGAATAACCACAAACTTGTCAAGATAAAAACTAGTTACTTAAAGCCAAATTTTTAGCCAATGTTTTAGCAACCTGAGTATTCTCTGTAACTCCACTCAAAAAATAAGAATTAATATTTTAAATGTTTTTAAAAATGCGTTCATTGTTAGGCATGGTGGCTCATGCCTGTAATCCCAGCACTTTCGGAGGCCAAAGTGAGTGGATCACTTGAGATCAGGAGTTCAAGACCAGCCTGGCCAACATGGTGAAACGGCATCTTTACTAAAAATACAAAAATTAGCCGGGCATGGTGGCGCATGCCTGTATTCCCAGCTACTCAGGAGGCTGAGGCAGGAGAATCACTTGAACCTGTAGTCCCAGCTACTCAGGAGGGTAAGGCAGGAGAATCACTTGAACCTGGAAGGCAAAGGTTGCAGTGAGCGGAGATTGCACCACTGTAATCCAGACTGGGCAACACATTGAGACTATGTCTCAAAAAAAATAAAATAAAATGCATTCATTATTATTAATTATATTCAATTGAAAGAACACTAATTTGTCATGAAAATATATCATAATCATCATGCTAGTATTTGTCCTATGCGTCATAAGACCACAGTGGAAACAATATAGAATGAAGAAAAATAAAAGTCTGAACAATAAACGCAGACACTGAGACCCTGAGAATGTTTAATGTTGAGAAAGTTATTTAAAAAAAAAAAAAAAGCTTTTTCCAAACATATTCACATAGACCACCACATATATTTGCATTCCAGGTCGGCCACTTATCTCACCTGTGTCTTTATCATCATCCCTTCACCCTATATTACTTACTTACAGCTTCTCATAAATCAGCAGGAATACATCACTAATAATCAGTTTTTCTTGATTTAAATCAAACATTTTAATGAAGTGCTTGGAAGTACATCAGTACCTAATTCCTGCAGTGTAATATTTTCCTTTCCAAAATATGTCTGAATTACAAATTTTGTTAAACTCCCATCAAATAGGCCTAAAGGAATTGTAATACTCTGCAGACATTTGGAAATGCTAGGATTTAGTTCATTTTACTTAATATTGACTTTACAAAGCTCCAGGAGGCCTATTTCTATTACCAGCTCAGTCACTAGCTTAGTTGTGTGACCTTGAGCAAGTCATCTAACCTCTCTGAATCTCAGACTTTTTAAAAATCTGTAAAACAAAGTGGCTAAATCAAATAATTTTTAAACTCCTTCCTAATTTATGTCCTTATCTTTTACACAGGATATTTAAGATCTCCAACTCATATGGTATATTGCTTCTATAAATTGGGATTATATCTCATCTATCCTTTTGCTATTATCCTAGCTGCAGAGTTTGAGATGGGAAGATGAAAACATTCCACTCAGATGTGTTTTATCTGGAAAAAGCTCTACTTCATAGAAATGACAACCAATAAGACAACTTGATAATTAAGGATAAAACACCAGAATGGATAAACACCAAGTTAAATATTAACAATACGCCATACCTTCTTGAAAGGAAACGGAACAGTTATGAAACTTCATGCATAAACTGATCCTGTAGCTGAAAATTTGTTTTTAATCACATATATTAAAATTCAAAGTTATTTTATTATAAAGACAGGTGAGGAGTTTGGTGGAATCAGGAATAGCAGTTAAAGCAATTCTCATGTTGCTGAAATGTAGCCAAGAAGAATATCTGTAATAGAGGTTTTCTCCAAGAACACTGTGACATACTTGCATTATGAACTCTCAGGGATTTAGATGAGGGCATGTGGCTTCACCTTCTAATGCTGAAAGGAGAGAGGTGCCTGGTGCACCAAAGTAGAGACTGGGTCTTATGTGATGCCTCTACCATGGGAATAAGCAAAAGTTTAAATTTAAAGAAACTAGTCTGTTTAGTGAAAATCAGTCCAAGGGCCTAAAAGAAGGCTAAGCGGTGACTTTAAAGAAGTGCAGTGCACTCTCCTTCTTGCCATTTCTGTTTCCTTTCGAGTATTTTGCCTAGAACCTTGACTTGGCAGAGTTATCACAAAATGGCAGTGCTACACCTGAAATAACGAGCCGGCTGTACACCAGAACTGTTTATTCTTCCACTCTGTCTGTCCGAAGAGAACGTGACCAAACAAATCTGGACACATGGGAACCAGCAATCTTTGTTTTTAACAAAAGCTCTTCATATGTTTATGACGCACACTAAAGTTTGAAAGTGGCTCACGCCTGTAATCCCAGCACTTTGGGAGGCCAAGGCGGGCGGATCACAAGGTCAGGAGATCGAGACCATCCTGGCTAACACAGTGAAACCCCGTCTCTACTAAAAATACAAAAAATTAGCCGGGCATGGTGGCGGGCGCCTGTAGTCCTAGCTACTCGGGAGGCTGAGGCAGGAGAATGGCGTGAACCCGGGAAGCGGAGCCTGCAGTGAACCAAGATAGCGCCACTGCACTCCAGCCTAGGCGACAGAGCGAGACTCCGTCTCAAAAAAAAAAAAAAAAAAAAAAAAAAAAACAACTGAGATTTCATAGTTTCGCTATGCTTCTTCCTTACCCCCACCTGAAAAAGTAAAAGGCTTAAATTCACTAGAAATATTAGATCCAGTTTCTAATTTCAGTTGCTTCTATTTTATTGAAGGAATCAGCAAGATCTGACACACCTTGATTTTTTTTATCATTATTAAAATCCTCTAACTCTGAAATTCATTTCGATTAAAATCTAGACATTCAAGTATCAATTGAATAGAATAGGTCAATAAATATCTGTTGATCTGAGCAACCTTATCTTTCAATCTCTGAATTAAAGAGAAATGTGGTATTAACAAATTTACTCTTTCATATTTAGAAGAACCCTAGCAATATGTCACCTCAGATATAAAAAGAAGGAAAATCTCTTCATGTGTTTTCTTCTTTGCTTAGCTAAAAGCAGGAGTAACGCTCCAAAAATTATAACTTCCAAACAGATGACAAGAGAGCTATGTGTAACAAAAATAAAATTTTATTTTTCACCAATACTATAAAGACTAAAAAGAATAATGTATAAGTAAGACTAAATTTAGCTGCAAGTAGATTAAACAAGTTAGAAATATATTTCTCTGTCAGTATTCTAGGGACAGAGAGTTCAAAGTTCATAGTACAGGTTCAGGTGTCATGGACTTAGGTCCTTTCTCTCTGTGGAAACCATGGTCCAAAATGGCTGTTGGATCATCAGATACATTTACATTTTGAGTAGCAGAGACAAATATGGAGGAAAGAGGACATGTCATTCACTTAGAGAAAACATTCCAGAAACTGCACAGATCACTTCTTTGTAGATCTGATTGCTAAAGCTTGGTTATATTGCCACATCTAGCTACAAGAGATGCAAAGAAGAAATCTTTATTGCAAGCCGCCTTGTGTCCAGCTAAGGAAAGAAGAGGGGGAAAAACGGCTACTGAAATTCAACCACAAATGATAATACCCAGTCCTGGCCAAAGTGTGAGAAAACGGGCACTTTCTTTTTTAACATTGCTGTAGGAATGTAAATTGCTATAGTGTTTCTACGGACACTTGACAATATGCATCAAACACTTCAAAACATGACCCCAACACTTTAAGGAAGTTATCCTTTAAAAAAAGAAAACAAATAGATATACTATTAGTCAAGGCTCTCCAGAGAAACAGAACCAATAGAAGATACTTATTAATTATTTAATAATTATTATAAATAATTCACTCATGCAGTTAGGGAAGCTGAGAAGTCTCAATATCCACAATCCAAAGACTTCAGAACCCAGGGAGTCCATGATGTAAATTCCAGTCCAAGTCCAAGTGTACAGGCAGGAGAAGACCTATGATGTCCCAGCACAAAGACAGGGAGGAGGAGAGAATTAATTCTTTTTTTCTCAGTCTTTTGTTCTTTCAGGCCTTCAATGGACTGGATAAGGTCCACCCACATTGGGGAGGACCATCTCCTTTATTCAGTCCATGGAGTCAAATGTTAATCTCATCCACAGACAGCCTTAAAGAGAGACAGACTCAGAGTAAGATTTAACCAAATATCTGAGCACTCTTTGGCCGTCAAGTTGACACATAAAATTAACCATCACAGATACATATTACTATAATATTTACCATAGTGGTTTTTAGTTGTGGTAAAATACACGAAAATGGTTAGATAATACATTTTATAAGTGTAGAGTAGTGTTAAGTACATTCACATTGTTGTGCAACCAATCTCCAGAACTTTTATCATTTTGTAATACTAAAACTCTATGCTCATTAAACAACAACTCTGCATTTCCCCTCCCTCTTCTTCCTGGCAACCACTATTCTTTGTTCTGTCTCTATGAATTTGACTACTATAGATAACTCATATGAGTAAAATCACACAATATTTTTTCTTTTTTCTGGCTATTTCATTTAGCATAATGTCTCTGGGTTTATCCATGTTATAGCATGTATTAGAATTTTCTTCCTTTTTAAGGCTGAGTAATATTCCATTTTATGTATATAACACATTTTGTTTATCTATTTGTCAATGGACACTTAGGTTGCTTCCACTCTTTGGCTATTGTGAATAACGCTGCTATGAACATGGATGCATACCATGGTGATTTTAAGACCATAGGTTTTGCTCTTACTACTATTGGTGGGAATATACATTGCTATAAAATGACAAAAGTTAAATATTAATGTAATTATTTCTATTAAATATACATTTATTATCTGTAATGATTAACCCAAGAGTAGCCATTTGTTTAGATGTGACCATGATCACTCAAACACATCTGGCCAATTATATCTGTCAGCATCCTATCAGGAATGTGTATAAGGATTTATGTATTTTGCAGGGAATTGGGTTAAATCACCTTCTACTTATGAGATCCTATGAAACTCTTTCTCAGAGAAAGTTACAGCTTGAGCCCGAAGATTATATGAGCATAGAAGTCATATAGTATTAGAGCTGAAAGTAATTTTAATAGTAAACCAGGAAAATGGCTTATTTTTAAAATGAAGATGCTGAATCTGAAGAAAATTAATGAATTTCCCAAAGTCAAGGTAATTTGCATTAGTTCTAGGACCTCTAAATTATATTTGAATGATTTATGGATATGAAAACTGGCTATAGTAAAGAATCTCTAAATTACAGGAACCAACCTGAACTTCATCTACATTTCTACAGAAACTTATACTAGATCTTCCATATTTTTATGTGATAATTTTATACTTGCAATGATTTTTTAAGATTTAAAAATTATTTTAAAATTTATATACAGAAAAATTGATCTTTTTAGGTGGAGTTGTATAGGTTTTAACACATGTGTAGATTTGTGACCATCATTGGGACCACAGTCAGGATACAGAACAGTTCCATCACACCAAAAACCTCTGTACTTTCTCTTTCATAGTCAAACCATATGCCATTCCCTAGATCCTGGCAATCACTCATGTGTTTATATCCATATAGTTTGCTTTTTCTAGAATGTGATATGAGTAAACTCATAAATGTGTTATATTTTATAACTGGCATTTTCACTCAGCATGGCTTTGAGATTCATCATGTTGTTACAGCAATAGTTCATTCCTTTTTATGTTGAGTAGTATTCCATTGTATTGATGTAGCTCAGTTAATCTATTCACCTGTTTAAAGGCATCTGGGTTATTTCCCAATTTGGAGTGATTGTGAATACAACTGCTATAAACATTGAGGTACAGGTTTTTTGTGTAAATGTAAGCTTTTACTTTCATATGTGTTTGCATAAACATAAGTTTTCATTTCTCTCATCCCTAGGAGTGAGATTCCTAGGTCATATAGTAAACATATATTTAACTTCTTAAGAAACTGCAAAACTCTCTTTCAAAGTGGCTGTGCCATTTGACATTCTGAGCAATGTGTATGAAAGTTCTAATTGTTCTGCATCCTTGTCAGCACTTGAAATTGTTTATTGTTTTTTAAAAATAGCGGTCTTTCTAATATATGTGTAGCTGGATTCCATTGTGGATTTAATTTGGATTATCCTAATGGCTAGTGATACTGACATTTTTCTTGTGGTTATTTGTCATCTATATATCTTTGTTAAAATATCTGTTCACATATTTTGTTAATTTTTAAATTGAGTTGTTTTCTTATTGTTGAGTTTGGAGTATTATTGGATGTTAGATATGTAATTTGCAAATATTTTCTTCCAGATTGTATCTTGTCTTTTCATTCTCTTAATGGTGTCTTTCACAAAGCAGAAGTTTTTAATTGTTTGGAATCCAATTTATCAATATTTTCTTTTAGAATTAATGCTCCTCTTCTTCTCTTTCTCTTCTCCTTCTCATTCTCCTTCCTGTTCTTCTTATTCTTGTTCCTCTTGTTCCAGGGGTACACGTGCAGGTTTGTTTGTCGTATGGGTAAATTGCGTGTTACTGAAGCTTGGTGTATAAATGATCTTGTCACCCAAGTAGTGAGCATAGTACTCGATAGGTAGCCTTCCAACCTGTGCCCCCAACCCACCTTCCCCTCTCGAGCAGTCCCTAGTGTCTATTATTCACATCTTTGTATTCATATGTATTCAATGTTTAGCTCTCACTTATAAGTGAAAACATGTAGTATTTGGTTTTCTGTTCCTGTGTTAGTTCACTTAGCGTAACGGCCTCCAGCTGCATATGTGTTGCTGCAAAGGACATGATTTTGTTCTTTTTTATGGCTGTGTAGTATTTCGTGGTATATATGTACCACATTTTCTTTATCCAGTCTACCATTGATGGGCATCTTAGTTGATTCCATGTCTTTGCTATTGTGAATAGTGCTGTGATGAACATATGAGTGCAAGTGTCTTTTTGGTAGAATGATTTATTTTCCTTTGGGTATATAGCCAGTAGTGGGATGGCTGGGTCAAACAGTAATTCTGTTTTCAGTTCTTTGAGAAACTGCCTAAGTGATTTCCATAGTGGCTGAACGAATTTATATTCTCACCAGCAGTGTATAAGTGTTCCCATTTTTCTGCAACCTGGCCAGCATCTGTTGTATGACTTTTTGATAATAGCTGTTCTAAATGGTATAAGATGGTGTCTCATTGTGGTTTTGATTTGCATTCCTCTAATAATTAGTGATGATTAGCATTTTTCATATATTTATTGATTATATGTATGTCTTGAGAAGTGTCTGTTCATGTTCTTTGCCCATTTTTAATAAAGTTATTTCATTTTTGTTTCTTGAATTGCTTAAGTACTTTATATTAGATATTAGACCTTTGTTAGATGCATAGTTTGTGAATATTTTCTCCCATTTTGTTGGTCATTTACTCTGTTGGTAGTTTTTTTTTTTTTTTTTTTTTAGTGTGCAGATGCTCTTTAGTTTAATCAGGCCCCACTTGTCAATTTTTGTTTTTGTTGCAATTGCTTTTGGGGACTTAATCATAAATTATTTGCCAAGGTTGATGTCCAGAATGGTATTTACTAGATTTTCTTTTAGAGTTTTTATTGTTTTAGGTTTTACATTTAAGTATTTATTCCATCTTGAGTTACTTTTTGTAAATAGTGAAAGGAAGAGGTCTAGTTTCAATCTTATACATATGGTTAACCCAGTTATCCCAGCACTATTCATTAAATAGGGAGTCCTTTCCCCATTATTTGTTGTTAACTTTGTCAGAGATCATGTGGTTTTTAGTGTATGGATTTATTAATATTTGAGTTTTCTATCCTGTTCAATTGGTCTATGTGTCTGTTATTGTACCACTACCATGCTAGTTTGGTTACTGTAGCCCTGTAGTATACTTTAAAGTTGGATAATGTGATGTCTTTGGCTTTGTTCTGCTTAGGATTGCTTTGGTGATTCAGGCTCTTTTTTGGTTCCATGTGAATTTTAGTTTTTTCTAATTCTGTTAAAATGGTTTTGGTAGTTTGATGGGAGTAGCACTGAATCTATAAATTGCTTTGGACAGTATGGCCATTTTAACAATATTGATTTTTTCCTCTCCATGAGCATGGAATGTTTTTCCATTTGTGTATTTCCTGATTTCTGTCAGCATCATTTTGTAATTCTTGTTGTAGAGACTTTTCACCTCCTTGGTTAGAGGTATTCTGAGGTATTTTCTCCTTTTTGTGGCTATTGTGAATGGAATTGCATTCTTGATTAGGATCTCAATGTGGATGTTATTAGTATATAGAAATGCTACTAATTTTTGTATACTGACTTTTGTATCCTGAAACTTTACTAAAGTTCTTTATCATATCTAGGATCCTTCTGGTAAAGTCTATGGGGTTTTTGGCATAGAATCTTATCATCAGTGATAGTTTGACTTCCTCACTTCGTATTTGGATGCCTTTTCTTTCTTTCTCTTGCCTGATTGCTCCTGCTAGGACTTTCAGTGCTATATTGAACAGGAGTGGTGAGAGCGGGCATCCTTGTTTTGTTCCAGTTCTCAAGGGAGAATGCTTCCAGATTTCACCCATTCAGTGATGTTGGCTGTGAGTTTGTCATAGACTGCTCTTACCACTTTGAGGTATATTTCTTCAATGCCCAATTTGCCGAGAGTTATTAACATGAAGGATGTTGAATTTTATCAAATGCTTTTTCTGCATCCAGTGATATGATCATGTGGTTTTTGTTTTTAGTTCTGTTTATGTGGTGCATCACATTTATTGATTTGCATATGTTGAATCAATCTTACATCCCAGGATTAAAGCCTACATAATAGTAGTGAATTAACTTTTTGATGTGCTGCTGGATTCAGTTTGCTAGTATTTTGTTGAGGATTTTTACTTCTATGTTCATCAGGGATATTGGCCTGAAGTTTTCTTTTATCATTGTGTCTTTGCTGGATTTGGTAGCAGGATGATTTTAGCATCATAGAAAGTGTTAGGTAGGAGTCCCTCCTCTTCCTCGATGTTTTGGAATAGTTTCAGCAGAATTGTTAACTGCTCTCCTTTTGTATCTCAGGTAAAATTCAGCTGTGAATCTGTCTGGTCCAGGGCTTTTTTTTTTTTGGTTGGTAGGCTTTTTATAACTCATTCAGTTTTGGAACTTGTTATCAGCCTGTTCAGCATTTTAATTTCTTTCTGGTTCAATCTTGGGAGGTTGTGTGTTTCCAATAGTTTATTTCTTCTAAGTTTTCTAGTTTGTATGCATGGAGGTTTTCATAATAGTCTCTGAGGATATTTTTGTGTTTCTGCAGGTTTGTTTTTATGGTCACTTTTGTCTTTTCTGAGTGTGTTCTCTCTTTTTGTCTTCATTAATCGAACTAGCCATCTATCGATCGTGTTTAATGTTTAGAAGAACCAACTTTTGGGTTTATTGATCTTTTATATAAATTTTTGCATTTCAATTTTATTGAGTTCAGCTCTGATTTTTGTTATTTCTTATATTCTGCTTGCTTTGGGGTTGGTTTGTTCTTGTTTTTCTTGTTCCTGAAATTGGTAGGTGCAATACCAGGTTGTTTATTTGAGATCTTTGTAACTTCTTAATGTAGATGTTTAGAGCTATAAACTTTCTTCTTAACACAGTGTTATCTGTGTCCCAAATAGTCTGATATATTGTGTCTATTTTCATTAGTTTCCAAAAATGTTTTGATTTCTTCCTCAATTTTGTTCTTTACCCAAAAGTCATTTAGGAGCAGGTTGTTTAACTTCCAAATAATTGTATAGTTTTAATAGATCTTCTTAGTATTGATCTCTATTTTTATTCAGCTGTGATCCAAGACTGTAGTTGGTATGATTTCAGTGTTTTTTTTTAATTTGTTGATACTTGCTTTATGGCTGACCATATGGTCAATCTTAAAGTATGTGCCATGTGCAGGTAAGAAGAATGTATATTCTGTTGTTGTTGGGTGGAGTGTTCTGTAAATGTCCAGGTCCAACTGGTCAATGTTGAGTTTAAGTTCCAAATATCTTTGTTAGTTTTCTGCCTCAATGATCTGTCTGACGCTGTCAGTGGGGTATTGAAATTCCCCACTATTATTGTGTGTTTGTCTAAATCCTTTTGTAGATCTCTAAGAACTTGTTTTATAAATCTGATTGCTCTAATATTGGGTGTGTATATATTTAGGCTAGTAAAATCTTCTTGTTGTATTGAACCCTTTATATTTTTGCAATATTCTTCTTTGTCCTTTTTGATCATTGTTGGCTTAAAGCCTGTTTTATCTGATATAAGAATAGCAATGCCTGCTCTATTTTGTTTTCAGTTTGCCTGATAGATCTTTCTCCATCCCTTTACTTTGAGTCTATGGGTGTTGTTACTTGTGAGATGAGCCTCTTGAATACAGCAGACAGTTGGGTCTTGCTTCTTTACTCAACTTGCCGCTCTATGCCTTTTAAATTAGGCATTTAGCCAATTTACACTTAAGGTCAATATTGATATGTGAGGATTTGATTCTGTCATCATGCTGTTAGCTGGTTTTTATGTAGACTTGATTGCCTAATTCCTTTGTAGTGCCAATGGGCTATGTACTTAAGGGTGTTTTGTGGTGGCACGTATTGTTCTTTAATTTCTGTTTAGCACTCCCTTTAGGACTTCTTATCAGGCAGGTCTAGTGGTAATGAAGTCCCTTAGCATTTGCTTGTCTGAAAAGGACTTCATTTCTCCTTTACTTATGAAGCTTAGTTTGGCCAAATATGAAATTCATCTGCAAACAAAGATAATTTTACTTCCTCTTTTCCTATTTGAATCTTCTTAATTTCTTTCTCTTCTTTGATTGCCCTGGCCAGAACTCCCAATACTATGTTGAATAGGAGTAGTGAGAGAGGGCATCATGGTCTTTTGCCAGTCTTCAAGGAAATGCTTCCAGCTTTTGCACATTCAGTGTGATATTGGCCTTCAGTTTGTCATATATGATCTTATTATTTTGAGGTATGTTCCCTTAATACCTAGTTTATTGAGAGTTTTTAACATGAAAGGATGTTACATTTTATCAAAGCCCTTTTCTGCATCTATTGAGATGATCATGTGGTTTCTGTCTTGAGTTCAGTCTATGTGATATATCACATTTATTGATTTGCATATGTTAAACCAAACTTGCATCCCAGGAATGAAGCCTACTTGATCGTAGTGGATAAGCTTTTTGATGTGCTGCTGGATTCGGTTTGCCAGTATTTTATTGAGGATTTTTGCATCGATGTTCATCAAGGATATTGGCCTAAAGTTTTCTTTTTTTTGTTGTATGTCTGCCAGGTTTTGGTATCAGGATGATGCTGGCCTCATAGAATGAGTTAGGGAGGAGTGCCTCTTTTTCAATTCTTTGGAATAGTTTCAGTAGAAATGGTACCAGCTTTTCTTTGTACCTCTAGTAGAATTCAGCTGTGAATCCATCTGGCCCTGTGCTTTTTTGGTTGGTAGGGTATTTATTACTGCCGCAATTTCAGAACTCAATATTGGTCTATTTGGGGATTCAGTTTCTTTCCGGCTCAATCTTGGGAGGGTGTACGTGTCTGGTATTTATTCATTTCTCTTAGATTTTTTAGTTTCTGTGCATAGAGGTATTTATAGTATTCTCTGATGGTTGTTATTATTTCTGTGGGGTCAGTGGTGATATTCCCTTTATCATTTCTGATTGTATTTATTTGAATAATCTCTCTTTTTTCTTTATTAGTCTAGCTAGTGGCAATTTCTTTTATTAATTTTTTCAAAAAAACACCTCCAGGATTTGTTGATTTTTTGAAGGGATTTTTTTGTGTCTCTATCTCATTCAGTTCATCTCTGATCGTGGTTATTTCTTGCCTTCTGCTAGCTTTGGGGTTTGTTTGCTGTTGGTTTTTTAGCTCATTTAGTTGTGATGTTAGGTTGTTAACTAGACCTCTTTCTAGCTTTTGATGTGGGCACTTAGTGCTATAAATTTCCCTCTTAACACTGCTAGGAAGAATCAATATCATGAAAATGGCCATACTGCCCAAGGTAATTTACAGATTCAATGCCATCCCCATCAAGCTACCAATGACTTTCTTCGCAGAACTGGAAAAAAAACTACTTTAAAGTTCATATGGAACCAAAAAAGAGCCCACATTACCAAGTCAATCCTAAGCCAAATGAACAAAGCTGGAGGCATCACGCTACCTGACTTCAAACTATACTACATGGCTACAGTAACCAAAACAGCATGGTACTGGGACCAAAACAGAGATACAGACCAGTGGAACAGAACAGAGCCCTCAGAAATAATACCACACATCTACAACTATCTGATCTTTGACAAACCTGACAAAAACAAGAAATGGGGAAAGGATTCCCTGTTTAACAAATGGTGCTGGGAAAACTGGCTAGCCATAAGTAGAAAGCTGAAACTGGATCCCTTCCTTACACCTTATACAAAAATTAATTCAAGATGGATTAAAGACTTAAATTTTAGACCTAAAACCATAAAAACCCTAGAAGAAAACCGAGGCAATACCATTCAGGACACAGGCATGGACTTCATGTCTAAAACACCAAAAGCAATGGCAACAAAAGCCAAAACTGACAAATGGGATCTAATTAAACTAAAGAGCTTCTGCACAGCAAAAGAAACTACCATCAGAGTGAGCAGGCAACCTACAGAATGGGAGAACATTTTTGCAATCTACTCATCTGACAAAGGGCTAATATCCAGAATCTACAAAGAACTCAAACAAATTTACAAGAAACAACAAACAACCCCATCAATAAGTGGGCGAAGGATATGAACAGACACTTCTCAAAAGAAGACATTTATGCAGCCAAAAGACACATGAAAAAATGCTCATCATCACTGGCCATCAGAGAAATACAAATCAAAACCACAATGAGATACCATCTGACACCAGTTAGAATGGTGATCATTAAAAAGTCAGGAAACAACAGGTGCTGGAGAGGATGTGGAGAAATAGGAACACTTTTACACTGTTGATGGGAGTGTAAACTAATTCAACCATTGTGGAAGACTGTGTGGCGATTCCTCAGGGATCTGGAACTAGAAATACCATTTGACCCAGCCATCCCATTACTGGGTATATACCCAAAGATTATAAATTATGCTTCTATAAAGACACATGCACACGTGTGTTTATTGCGGCACTATTCACAATAGCAAAGACTTGGAACCAACCCAAATGTCCAACAATGATAGACTGGATTAAGAAAATGTGGCACATATACATCATGGAATACTATGCAGCCATAAAAAATGATGCGTTCATGTCCTTTGTAGGGACAAGGATGAAGCTGGAAACCATCATTCTCAGCAAACTATCGCAAGGACAAAAAACCAAACACCGCATGTTCTCACTCATAGGTGGGAATTGAACAATGAGAACACATGGACACAGGAAGGGGAACATCACACACTGGGGCCTGTTGTGGGATGGGGGAGGGAGGGGATAGCATTAGGAGATATACCTAATGTAAATGACAGGTTAATGGGTGCAGCACACCAACATGGCATATGTATACATATGTAACAAACCTGCACATTGTGCACATGTACCCTAGAACTTAAAGTATAATAAAAATATACAAAATAAAATAAAATTAAATTAAATTAAAAAACACTGCTTTAGTTGCATCCCAAAGATTTTGGTATGTTGTCTCTTTGTTCTTATTAGTTTCAAAGAACTTTTTGTTTTCTGCCTTAATTTCATTATTTACCCAAGAATCACTCAGGAGCAGGTTGTTCAATTTTCATGTAGTTGTGTGGTTTTAGAGAATTTCCTAATCTTGAATTCTAATTTGATTGCATGATGGTCTGAGAGACTGTTTATTATTATCTCAGTTATTTTGCATTTGCTGAGGAATGTTTTACTTCTGATTATGTTACCAATATGTTCACATTGGACAATATGGTCTCCATTATGTGGAGAGTTCTGTAGATATCTATCACATCCACTTGATCCAAAGCTGAGTTGAGGTTCTGAATACCTTTGTTAATTTTCTGTCTCAATGACCTAATATTGTCAGTGGAGTGTTAAATTCTCCTACTAGTATGGTGTTGGAGTCTAAGTCTCTTTGTAGGTCTCTAAGAACTTTCTTTATGAATCTGGGTGCTCCTGTATTGAGTCCGTTTAGGAGAGTCAGCTCTTCTTCTTGAATTGAACCCTTTTCCATTATGTAATGCCCTTCTTTGTCTTCTTTTAATCTTTGTTCGTTTAAAGTCTGTTCTGTCAGAAGGTAGTATTGCAACCCCTGCTTTTCTCTGTTTTCCATTTACTTGGTAAATTTTTCTCCATCCCTTTATTTTGAGCATATGTGTGCTTTGCATGTGAGATGGGTCTCTTGAAAACAGAATACCAATGGCATCTTGGCTCATTATCCAGCTTGCTATTTTGTGTCTTTTAATTGGGGCATTTAGCCCATTTACATTACATTTAGTATTGTTATGTGTGAATTTGATCCTGTCATCATGATGCTAGCTGGTTATTTTAAAGACTTGGTTATGTGGTTATTTTAAGGACTTGTTTATGTGGTTGCTTCATAGTGTCACTGGCTCATGTATTTCAGTGTGTTTTTGTAGTGGCTGGTAATGGTTTTTCCTTTCCATATTTAGTGCTTTCTTCAAGAGCTCTTGCAAGGCAGGCCCAGTGGTGACAAATTCCCTCAGCATTTGCTTGTCTGAAAAAAATCTTATTTCTCCTTTGCTTATGAACTATTGTTCAGCCAGATATGAAATTCTGGGTTGGAAATTATTTTCTTTAAGAATGTTGAATATTGCTTCCCAATCCTTTTGGCTTATAGGGTTTCCACTGAGAGTTCTGCTTTTAGTATGATGGGTTTCCCTTTGTAGGTGAACAGTCCTTTCTCTCTGGCTGTTCTTAATATTTTTTATTTCATTTCAACCTTGGAGAGTCTGATGGTTAGGTGTCTTGGGGTTGATCTTCTCATGGAGTATCTGACTGGGGTTCTCTGCATTTCCCAAAATTGAATGTTGCCCTGTCTTGCTAAATTGGGGAAGTTCTCTTGGATGATATCCTGAAGTATGTTTTCCAACTTGTTTTCATTTTCCCTGTCTCTTTCAGGTATCCCAATCAGCCATAGGTTCAGTCTCTTTACGTAATCCCATATTTCTCAGAGGTTTTGTTCATTCCTTTTAATTATTTTTTCTCTATTCTTGTCTGTCTATCTTATTTCAGAAAGATAACCTTCAAGCTCTGAGATTCTTTTCTCTGCTTGGTCTATTCTGCTATTGATGCTTATGATTGCATTATGAATTTCTTGTGTTGTGTTTTTCAGCTCCATCAGGTTGGTTATGTTTCTCTCTTAACTGGCTATTCTGGCTATCAGCTCCTGTAATGTTTTATCATGATTCTTAGCTTGTTTGCATTACATTATAACATGCTCCTTTAGCTTAGCAAAGTTTGTTATTACTCACTTTCTGAAGCTTACTTCTGTCAATTCAGCCATCTCAGCCTCAGTCCAGTTCTGTGCCCTTCCTGGAGAGGTGCTGCAATCATTTTGAGAAGAAGCACTCTGGTTTTTTGAGTTTTCAGCATTTTTGTGTTGATTATTTCTCATCTTTGTAGGCTTATCTACCTTCGATCTTTGAGGTTGCTAACATTTGAATAAGGTTTTCGTGGGTTTTTTTTTTTTTTTTTTTTTTTTTTTTGAGACGGAGTCTCGCTCTGTCGCCCAGGCTGGACTGCAGTGGCGCGATCTCGGCTCACTGCAAGCTCCGCCTCCCGGGTTCACGCCATTCTCCTGCCTCAGCCTCCCGAGTAGCTGGGACTACAGGCGCCCGCCACCACGCCCGGCTAATTTTTTGTATTTTTAGTAGAGACGGGGTTTCACTGTGTTAGCCAGGATGGTCTCGATCTCCTGACCTCATGATCCGCCCGCCTCGGCCTCCCAAAGTGCTGGGATTACAGGCGTGAGCCACCGCGCCCGGCCTTGTGGGTTTTTTTTTTAATGCTGTTGTTTTTTGTTTGTGTGTTTGTTTTTCTTTTATAATAACCCTCAGGCCATTCTATCATAGGTCTGCTGAAGTTTGCTGGGGGTCTGGTCCAGATCCCAGTTGCCTTGTTTTTTTCCCATACCTGGACTTATCACCAGTGAAGCCTTTAAAACAGCAAAGATAGTAGCAAGCTCCTTCCTGTGGAAGTTCCATCCCGGGGCGGTTCTGACCTGTTGCCAACCCACATGCATCAGGAGGTTGCTGGAGACCCCCATTGGGAGGGCTTACCCAGTCAGGAGGAACAGAATCAGTGACTTACCCAAAGAAGCAGTCTGACTGCTTTTTGGTAGAGCAGTTGTGCTGCACTCTGGGAGACCCTTCCTTGTCCAGACAGCCTGTATTCTCCACAGTCTGCATGCTGGAGCAGCTGAATCAACAGGACCACAGAGATGGTGGCAGCCCTTCCCCCAGGAACTCCATCCCAGGGAGAGATCAGAGTTTTATCTGTAGAACCCTGGCTGGAGTGGCTGAAGCCCCTGCAAGGAGATCCTGCCCAGTGAGGAGGAATGGATCGGGATCCCACTTGGCGGGCAGATCACGAGGTCAGGACATCGAGACCAAGGTGAAACCCTGTCTCTACTAAAAATACCAAAAAAATTAGCCGGCGCGGTGGCAGGCGCCTGTAGTCCCAGCTACTCGCAAAGCTGAGGCAGGAGAATGGCGTGAACCCGGGAGGCGGAGCTTGCAGTGAGCTGAGATCGCGCCTCCGCACTCTAGCCTGGGTGACAGAGCGAGACTCTGTCTCAAAAAAAAAGCAGTCTGGCCACAATCTGGAAAGGTAGCTGTGCTGCACTGCGGTGGACCCTTCCTCATCCAGACCATCTGTATTCTCCACAGCCAGCAGACTGAAACAACTAAGTGAACCGAACTGCAGAAATGGCAGCTGCCCCACCTCCTGAGGGCTTCCTCCCAGGGAAAGATCAGAGCTCTGTCCATAGAACTCTTGCTGGCATGGTTGAAGCCCCCACAGGGAGGTCCTGCCAGTAAGAAAGAATGGATTGGGGTCCCATTTAAAGAAGCAGTCTGGCTTTGCTCTGGCAAGGCAGCTGTACTGTGTTGTAAAGGACCCATCCTCATCTGATCATCTGTATTCTCCATAGCTGGCAGGCTGGAGTGGCTAAATCAACAGAATTGCAGAGATGGTGGTCACCCCTCCACACAGGACCTCAGACCCATCTCAGGCAGACTCCAACCCACTGCCATTGGCAGGTTGGGATTCCAAACCAGTGGGTCTTAACTTATGAGGTTCCGTGGGAGTGGGGCCCTCAGAAATAAGCTGCTTGGCTCCCTGGATTTAGCCCCCTTCCTAAGTATATGTATGGATGGATTTCGCACCTTGACAGGAATCCTGGGGTGGGAGAATGTAAAACTCCTGGGCCTCTGTCTATGCCTGAACAGCTGCTCTGCCGAGACTCCACACAGCTCTGTGTATCAGACCCAAGGCCCTGGTGGTGTGGGCTCATGAGGGAATCTCCTGATCCATGGATTGTAAAGGTCCATGGGAGAAGCATGGTTTCCCAGTCCAGGTTGCATAATCACCTACCACTTCCCTTGGCTGGGGTTGGGGGTTCCTCTCGGTGCCACTCCCAGTTGGGCCATTGTCCCACCAGCTCCCTAGTTTTCTTTGTTCTTTGTGGGTTGGATTGTTTGCCTGGTCAGTCCCAATGCAAGAACCTGGATATTTCAGTTGAAGGTGCTGAATTCACACTCCTCTTTGATCATTCCTCTCTGTGAATGCCACAGACCACACCTGCTTCTAATTGGCTATCTTGGCTCGATTGGCCTAATTTCTTTTACTCGTCTTATTGCAATAACTAGAACTTTTAGTACATTGTTGAATAGAAGAGTTGAGATTAAACGTTCTTACTTTTTTTCTGGAAAGCATTTCGTATTTCACAATTAAATATTAAATTAGGTTTGCCATTTTTATAGATGCCTTTTATCAGGTTAAGTATATTCCCTTATAGTCTGAGTTTGCTGAGTTTTTATAAAACTCATAAATATTGAAAATGAATTTTTTAAAATATAAAACTCATGAATGTGAATATTAAATTTTTCAAATGCTTTTGCTGTGTCAATTGTTATGATCATGTGGTTTTCCTTTTAGTCTCTAACATAATGAATTAAATTGATTTATTTTTAAACATTAAATCAACTTGGCATTCATGTAATTAACCTCACTCAGTTGTTGATCACGACTCTTTTACATATGGCTGAATTCAACTTACTAATATTTTATTGAGCATTGTGTATATGTTCATGTGGAATATTGCTGCATAGTTTACTTTTTTTCTTGTAATGCCTTTGCCAGATTTTGGCATCAAATTAGTGCTGATCACATAAAATGAATTGGAAAGTGTTCTCTCTTCTATTTTCTGGAAGAGGTTTTATAGAATTATTATTAGTTATCCTTTAAAAGCCTGGAAGCATTCACCAGTGCAACTGTCTGTGCCTGGAGGGTTTTTTGGGGGGAAGGAGAAGGTTAAATTATAAATACAAATTCTTTAATAGTTATGGAGTTATTCAGATTATATATTTCATATTGAGTTCTGGTAGTTTGCGCTTTTTGAGGCATTTATTCATTTCAACAAACTGTCAAGTTTACATGTAGAATTGTTTGTAATATTTACTTACTATTCTTATGATGTCTAAAAGGTCTATAATCACACACCCTGTTTCATTCCTAATATGAGTAATTTAAATTTTCTCTTTTTAAATGTTTTTAGTCTTTTAGAAGTATATCAATTTTGTTGACCTTTACAGCCAGTTTTTTGCTTCACTGATTTTCTCTATTGTTTTTCTGTTTTCAAGATTATTGATTCTGTCCTTATTTGTATTACTTCCATCTTCTGCTTGTCAGGGGAGTATCTAACTATTGTTTTTCCAGTTTCTTTAGATAGAAAGTTCAATTATTAATTTGAGAACTTTTATTTTCTAAAGTAAGCATTTGGTGCTATAAATTTCCCTCTCAGCACTGATTTCATGCATTCCATATATTTGGATATGTTGTATTTTTATTTTCATGGAACTCATTGTATTTTTTAAAGTGTCCTTTACGATGTAGCAGCATGGCAGACACTAGCTGCCAGGGCTGTTTGATTCACACTTATGACTTATATAAGAAATAAAATTATATAAAACGTCCTGGTAATTTTTCCTTGATAATAAGATTATGTTTACCTTAAAAATAGTATATTTTCTATAATTATTTTTACATAAGTGGAAATAAAAATGGGGAATATAAAACTTAAATGATGTTGACCCATATGAAATTATACTGTTTTACTTATTTAATACACAAAAGCATTAGTCCCCTGTGGTTCAATCTAATAATTCTTAGAATTTGATACATATGGTTCTCCTTTAAGTATTGCTTCTCAATATCTCATTTTAGGAATTGGGGTAACAAAGAAAGACAAAAATTTGTGGTGTATATCAGAGTCAGGACCAGATGAGGCCTTGTGAGTCTTCTAGATTAAAAAAATGAATTATTAGCTTAGCACAGTAGCTCACACCTGTAATCCCAGCACTTTGGGAGGCCAACGTGGGAGAACTGCTAGAGCTGAGGAGTTCAAGACCAGCCCGGCCAACACAGGGACATGCCCAAATCTACAAAAAATACAAAAATTATCCAGGCATGGTGGTGTACCCCTGTAGTCCCAGCTACATGGCAGGCTGAGGTAGGAAGACGGCTTGATCTCAGGAGGTCAAGGCTGCAGTGAGCCATGATCACACCACTCCACTTCAACCTAGATGACAGAATGAGACCCTGACTCAAAATTAAAAAAAAAAAATAAAAATAAAAAATAAATTCTTCCCTTTTTTTTTGAGATGGAGTCTCGCCATGTCGCTCAGGTGGGAGTGCATTTGTGCGATCTCGGCTCACTGTGACCTCTGCCTCCTGGGTTCAAGCAATTCTCCCTCAGCCTCCAGAGTAGCTGAGATTATAGATGCACATCACCATTCCCAGCTAATTTTTGTATTTTTAGTAGAGATGGGGTTTCCCCATGTTGGCCAGGCTGGTCTCAAACTCCTGACGTTAGGTGATCTGCCCGCCGTGGCCTCCCAAAGTGCTGGGATTACAGGCGTGAGCCACCATGGCCAGACAATAAATTCTTAAGACCAGGTTAAAGGAGGCAGATGCAGCCTTGACTAGGTAGTTCAAGTCTTCTAGAGTATCCAAGAGGTTATTTAGACACAAATATCAGAGCATGAAGATAATGCCAAAGATGAGGCCTCAGGTAAAGGCTACTCATTGCATCTCTAGTTACAGGCCATACTCTAGTATGTTCCAAAGAGGGTACCTTACAGAATCAGCTACATGAAAATCTGTTTTTGTGGCTCACAGCGTGACATTGGACAATGTTTTTAACTTTGTTTGTGAAGCAGAGATAATAATGCCTGATTTGTAGTATTGTTGCAGAGATCTAGCTATACAACACGTGGGAGGGCCTGGGATAAATTAGGCAATCAGTATATGTTAATTTCCTTCTTCCTTAGCCTCTAAGGAAATCGCTGCTCTGGAAGACCCTAGAGTTAGAGGAGTGGTGCATATTAATGGTTCAGGCATGGCCTTTCAATCACAGTGCTATGCTCAGACCTTGTATTAGTCTGTTCTCAAGCTGCTATGAAGAAATACCTGAGACTGGGAAATTCATAAAAGAAGGAGGTTGAATTAACTCTCAGTTCCACATGGCTAGGGAGGACTCAGGAAACTTACAATCACAGAAGGCACCTCTTCACAAGGCAGCAGCAGAGAGAATGAGAGCCGAGTGAAGGAAAGCCCCTTTTAAAACCATCAGATCTCGTGAGAACTCACTCAGTATCATGAGAACAGCCGGGGGAAAACCGCATCCGTGATTCAATTATCTCCACCTGATCCCACCCTTAAAACATGGGGATTATTACAATTCAAGGTGAGATTTGGGTAGGGACACAGAGCCAAACCATATCAGACCTCATTAGCCATATGACAAATGGCAAATTATGTAACTTCTTGATATTTCAGTTTTTCTTCTATGAAAGGATTTATCAGTACTGCCTATCTCCTAGGGTTGTTGAGAAGATTAAATCAGTCAATATATGTAATGCCTTTAGAACACTGCTCTGCAAATAGCAAGCACTATGTACATGCTATTTTATTAGTGGCATCGGAAAACTGATTCGGATCAACAACTTCATTTTGAAGGTAATCATGGAGTGGGGAGAGGCAGAAGTTGGATGAGGAAGAGAAGGAGGAGAGGAAAGGAGAAAGAAGAGGAGGGGCAGGTAGGAAGAGAAGAAGAAGGAGAAGAGGAGAGAAAGGAAGGCGGAAGATGAGTGGGGCATGAGGAGAAGGGGAGGAGGAGGAAGGGGGAGAAAGGAGATGTAAAAGAGAAGAAAGAGAAAAGAAAATACATATATTTAAAACAGCCCCTTTCTTTGTCTAAGAAGCTGGGAAGAATAGTACTAACACTGTGGCAGACAGGACACTTGCTACATCAAATATTTCTAGTAATGAAATCTTAAAGTTTCTTTTGTGTTTGTTTTGTTTTTTGAGTCAGGGTCTTGCTCTGTCACCCAGGCTGGAGTGCAGTGGTGCGATCTCAGCTCACTGCAGCCTCCACCTCCTGGACCTGGGTGATCTTCCCACCTCAGCTTCCTGAGTAGCTGGGACCACAGGCACATGCCACCACGCCCAGCTAATTTTTGTATTGTTTGTAGAGACAGGGTTTCGCCATGTTTCCCAGGCCAGTCTCAAACTCCTGGGCTCAAATAATCCTCTCACCATGGCCTCCCAAAGTGCTGGGATTACAGGCACGAACTGCCACACCTGGCCTCTGAGAATATTTTTATTGTTTGCTTTTGAAGGATAAAAGCAGGTAATAAGGAAAGTCCAGAGAAATTAACCAGTGAGAATATAGGTAAAATGGTGAGCAAAAAGAGAGAGGGAAGTTGCTATGCAGCAATGCTACAGTCATTGTGGATTTCATTTCAGAGAGGAGGAACTACAAGTGACAGATAATCACTTCATTTACTTTAGGTCTCTGAATACAAGATAATCCTTGATGCAAAAGTATCTTTGAGGAGCTTAGTGATTTTTCCCCTTAATGGATTGATGTCTTCATAGTACACATTGTAATAATTGGTTTTGCTTTATCTCCTAAATGTATGACCTTATGGCTTTCTTTTTAATAATTGTTGGCAGCTAGCTCTGCATGACAGCATTGAATACAAATATCACTGATGATGATGAATGGATTGAGGAATGCGGAATGCATTGTACTAAAAGGGTAAGACATTATGTCTATGTAATTGCTTCATCTCCGTTAGGATAGACAAAGTTCAAAGAAATGTGAACACAGATGACTCACAAGACATGTTCTTTAGGGTGACCCAGAACGCATTTCTCTGATTACATTAACCTTTTCTCCCTTCTGCACTTATCACAAGTGCACTTGCTGTACAGGGCATCTTGACAGGGTGCTCAGCCACTTAACTTTCCCACTTTTATTTATTGCAATATTTCCCCAAAGACAGCACTCAAAAACAGTAAAGTGGCAGGAAAACATTCATCTGAAATTGAGTTTCCAACATTTTTCCAAAATGCATATTAAGCAGTTTATATGTTTCATCATAAATATTATTCTTTCATATTTTGTTTGTAATATTGCCCGTCAGTATGTACTAATAAGAGTTTTGAAAAGCCTATACTAATTTGGTATTTTCTAGTTAACAACTGTGTGAGACACATTTTGGGGGGCCTAACCTATCTTTGTAAAGATTCTTAAAACAGTCTTGTTGGAATGGTATTCTAATTGATATAATTTTCCAACAAATAGGGTGTTCAACAAATCGTGATTCAAATACTTGAACCTTCTATTGCCTGAGAGCTCACTACTTAATGAGGTAGCCTTGACTATTGTCTTTGAACATTTTGAAGACTTTGAGTATTTAGATGATTGTTTCTGATCTTAAGATATTAACTCTGTAACCTCACAATCTATGCCTCTTCCTTATGATGATTCTTGGAATATCTGAAAGCTGGCATTACATGACCTCTTTGCCAAGCTTTTGTCTCCCGTCATGAGAAGTGGTCACTGGACTGAAGAAAATGTTGGCAAATGTCCTAGACCTCTTGAGCCTGACAAAATTCATCATGAACTCCGACACCAGACTTAAAGTATTCCAGCATAGTCCTATGGGTCAAAGTAGTTAGAGTATGATAAAATATTCACTTTCTGTCTCCTGAACCATAGTTTTTTTGGTCAGAAGACTGCTTCCTTCTTAGGAGCAGCTTACTTATCTGCTGTTCAAATCCAGATTACGACCAACTAAAAAGCCTTGTTCTTTTTTATACAGACCACTAAATAGTCACCCCCTTCCCACTGTCATTTTCTATCCCTTGTTTTAGGAAATCTAAAGAATCCATTCTATTAGATCATGCTAAAGGCCTTCAATACATAATGATTAAGAGCTTGTACTTTAGATCCAGTCTACTCGGGCTCAAAACTTAACTCTATCATTTCCTTGCTATGTGGCCTTGGGCAAGTGACTTGATGTCTCAATACACCATTCCTCATCTGTGAAATAAGAATCAAATGAACTAATTTATGCAAATCACATAGAAGAGTGGATATAGTGAGCACTAGACAAGTGTTTCCGGCTATTATTTTGTGTTCAGCTATTTCTCCCAGCATTGTATCTTCTGCAGACTAGAATACTATGCTGTCTATGCAGTAACCTGAGTGATTGATAAAAAGGCAAACAGTATAGTAGCAAGAACAGACTCACAGAATTCCTCCCAGGTTTCTCTTTGAGTTCCAAGAGTAGAGTAGACATTTGCCTAGCTTTCTGTCTGAAATGTTGGAAGAAGCACCTTCACATAGTCATAGTGGGGTCTATAGAGATAGCAGCACAGCAGATCTAGCCATGAGAGGGCTACAGATTATCCTCCTCATCCTCCCAAGTTGTTCATAACCTAAAGTGGTATAGAGAGCATTTGAAAGTACCTGTGGGTTCTGAGTGGGGTTTCGGGAGAGTCCTCTGGAGATAAAGCAAGATGATATGCCTATTTAGGGCTGTGCAGTCTGGACAAGGAATGCATGTCAGTAAGATCCAGGGTAGATAGTACACCACTAAAGTTTGGATTTGGATTTGTGTCTTTGCAGGTGGTAGAGGCAGGGGTAGAGCATGAGTTGGGTTGTTGTCCACACACCATACCGTTGCCAATGCAGCTGGAGCACTACAATCACCAATGGCAAACACCAAAACAGAAGGATCACTTCTAGATCAAAAGGCTAGCCAGTGGCACCATAGATCAAGACCTAAAAGCAGACATCTCCCTCCCCAGTGATGTCTTGAGACAGAGACCCTCTCAATTACATTTTTTGTATGCCTCAGCTTTTCTGAACTGTTGTGATTCCATAAAATGTATACACTGCATAACTAAAAACCTCACACATACACACTCTAACTTTCCCACTCTTCCTTCTTTTAAATGGTAGTGCTCTTTTATTCTCTTACCACTATGAAAGGGTTTGGGGCACTCCTACAACTACCTCAGAGAGAAAAGCTAGTTATTTAAGTACTGTAGATGAGGTAAAGTACACAAATACATCATATTATCTAGTTATGCTGAAATACTTTTTAAACCCTGATCAGTTCATTTAAGCATTCGCTAAGATGTCTCTTTTTTAATGCAGTGTAAACCATTGGCTTTCAAACTTTGGGGACTAATCGGATACGCTTGGTTGCAAGTGACATAAAACCTTATTCAAGCTTATTTAAATAAGAACATTTATTAGCTCACAGGAGAGGAAGCCCAGACATAGTCCAGGCTTCAGAACATTGTTGAACCAGTGGCTCAACAATGTCATGAAGATTCTAGTTCTTTTCCTCTCTTTGCTCTTACACCCACAGTGTCAGATTCCTCATCTCATATTGTAGGCTGGTTTCCAGGCTGGGCCAAATGCTTCCTCAGACATGTGCATTTGGAGGAAGGGCAGCTTTTCTCTCTCAAGGGTGAAGGGGAAAAGCTGGGTGATGGGTACATCAGGTTTATTCATCTATTCTTTCTGAATTTGAAGCAAATTTTGCAAAAGAGCATGGAGTTACCCTTAGATCAAGTATGCTCCCCCAAAACTGATATTAATTCTCAAAAATATATTGCTGACATACGATGTGCAAGCTATGAAATGAGTACTGGGGAGTTAACTACCAGAACCAGAAGAATCAGAAATCAGAAACTTGTTGAATCTGAAAAAAGCAATGGAACCTGTTCCCAGAAAATACAAATATGTACCAAATTTTGCACTCAATTTCAGGAGGCTCAAAAAGCCTCCTGAAGCACAATTAGAGCTCCCCCGGGAGTCTATGAACTTCAAGGCTATAAACCCAACAAGGCTATAAACTGACCCACGGGGCACAATAATTCTAACAGTATGCCTTTCTTTTCATTCTAGGTCCAGAAATTGCCACAAGTCTCTTTTTGAGTCTCAGAGAAGCAAGGCCATCATGTATAAGCCAGGTTGCTTTCTGATCTTAACTTGATAAATGAAATCAGCTGCTGATATCTCTTCAACAAGCCCTAGCTTCATTCTTTCTGCTTCCTATATTGCGTACTCTTCTTTCAGCTCTCCACACACTCCACAGACCTTGACATATACAGACCCATCCAGTTTTCAGGTCACACTGACCCTTCCTTTCTCTTTGCCTTAGGCTACTCCTTAGTTTCTGCAGTTTGCATCAAAATATTCCAGATTCTAAAGTGCAGATTTATTAAGTGTTTACTATGGAGTAGGGTTGGTAGTAGGTATTTTGCCTACATTAAATTGCTAAATGCTGACAACAAGTTCATAGGGAAAGGAATATTTATGTTGTTCTAAGATGAGGAAGTCATTCTACACAGACATTAGTTACCAAAGGGCAGAATTGGGATTTGAACCCAGGCCTTCCTGACTCTAGATTATAATGCTCTTTCCACAGCTTCACCACATCCCTAGACCTTCTGTCTTCCCCTTATTTAGTTCTGTGCATTACAAAAAAAGATACCAACTTCCCAAAGAAGCTTTTGTCAATTGCCTCTTAGCATTTTAAAAATTTCAGATCTCACATTAATATAAAGCCATGAAAATATCAACTTTTGATCTAGAGCTCATCCTTCAATTCACACTTGCCCTATGGGAGGGGAGTATTTCATCCTTTTTTAAAATTAATGCTCCTAAAAAGGGGAGTTTTTTGTTTCATCTCATTTTTTTTCTTTTCCTCTATTGCTCCTGGGAAGATCTTAATTTGACCCAATAACTGAAAATATTTTGGTATATGATTTTTAAGCAAAAGACACAATAGTTTTCTAACTTCTTTTTAGTTATCTAAACATTATCTGTTTTAGTGCTTCTTTGAAACACTCCTCTAGTTTTTCTAATCTTATTTATATAACTAGTCATCTTCTCCACATTCCAGTCAGGGGAGTAGAATCACAGACAGAAACAATCTTCTACAATGCTGAGATTGTGACAAGAGACAGAGCTCTTTTTTCAAAGCTGCTTGCTTACAGTAAATTTAATCATACTGCAGTTCTGTGATGTTAATAACAAAATCAAATACCTTCTCCTTGCATCAAAAAATAGCTTGGTATTTATTATATGTACACAAATAACTCCTAGCAAATTGGATATGGCTCACATGTATGTAGGAATGAAACAGCAAACTAACGCTTGAGTGTCTTCACAGTCCTGGGACTAGACCTTAATAGAATGACAAAGTTACAGAGAAAAGTGGGGCTTTGTAGATAGATAGAAAATGACTAGGGTAATATCAACATTATTTAGTAACTGGTATAGCACATGTCCTTATCAGATGCCAACCTCAGCCCCTGTGCAGGGGCCTAGAATCCTCCAACCATGCTACAGGTTGCCAGATTAGATGCTAGACAGTAAGGAGATCTGTAGAGTAGGAGCCACAGTGGTGAGGGCACACTTGGGGAAAACAGGACAATGACTATTTACTTACTGAATGAAAATATTCCAAAACTCTAGTATCTGCCCTTTATGGTATAAATCTACTGCATATCAGTTGTAAGAAAAAGGGTCAGAGATTAGATGACCCAAAGTCCCCAGAAAAGTCCCAGTTTATACTTGGTATTCCAGTGCTATTAGCAAGAGCTCCTTTTGAGACAATCACGTTTGCTTTTTGTGCCTTTATATTAGGATGACCATATATCTCAAAGTGTCTCTGATTGGACAATATATAGTCACCCTAATACAAGGATGAAAAGACAAAATACGATTCTCCCTGAATAAAAACTCATAGACAGGGGAAGACCTTGACATCCAGAAGAAAAAAAAATGGCAACACAGAGAAATTTTCCCTACTAATTCTTAACAAAGACTGTGGGTATATGAATGCCAGTGTTCAGTGTAATCTAGGGAGTCAAGGACACAGCTGAAGACAGCCCAAGATAACAGAGCTGCCAATGAATCCCATTGCCATGCTCTAGGAAAAGTAAGAGCCAGAGGAAAGACAGAAGACAAACACAGGGAAACTTGGCAAAGAGACTCTTCAGCCACAATAAGCAAAACAAAAGAAAACCCAAAGAATGGACAGGGCTGCCTTGTATGGCCATGGAGGTTGTGCACTACCCAGCAACAGAAATTTCATTCCCTCCATTAGACTATCACATGAATGCCATTCCCTAGAATTTAACAGTGCATTAGCATATGTGGCAGTCTCAAGACTAGCATTGTCTCAGCTCCCATGTGCCTGCACATTGACCTAATATTTTATATAAATTTTCCTTTAATTAAATTTCTTTTCTGAAACCCATCTGTCAATAATTCAGATGATATGTTCAGGATTTTTCTTCAGAGTTATGTGCAAACAATTCTATGGTATTAATTACTTGGTAACTTTGAAGAAGAGTAATCACTTCATCCCACAGTCAAAGAAAAAAGTAAGTCATAGACTGCATTTTCAAAATAAGGCAGATAAAGCAGTGAGCAAAGATTCATTAAGGATGCTTCCGCACTGTGGAACAATTCACAAAGTTCCTACACTTACCAGTTCACAGGCTGTATCACTTCCTTTGTATAATACTTTTTCATTTGACAAGGAGTGCAATTAAGGACCATTACATGTTATATAGTGGGCAAGGATAATCAAAGAGATTGCAGTTATTATGATCTTTATATCATTAAAACAGACATCTTTTAAGTCACCATGGAAAATAAAGATGTCCTAGTATATTCCAAACTCTTTCACAGAAAGTAGATACAAATAAAAAATTCACATTTACATTATACTCCCAAATTACAATGTCTTCAAGTTTTACCTTCCTTGCTGGAACTAAAAGGAGAAATAAATGTTTCTCTGACAGAAAGGTCAGAGATGGTTGAATTAAAATGCAAATGAGGAATCAAAGTGACCTAAATAATATTTTGACAGCTGTTGGGGGCTGAAAAAATTAATATAGTTTTCATGGTAGCTAGTAACTCCTAAGACAATACTTTGTATGTATCTACCTTCATGCCTTTGTCCATGTCATTTGCTTCTTTGATAGTGTCCTAAACTTTCAACTTACTAAAATCCTGTCCATTCTTCATGTCCTCCTCTATGAAGCTTTCCAGATCCTTCCAATAAAATGCAATATCTCCATCCATTACATCTATACCTATTTCATGGTATGCACTGGACTCTACTTTGTATTATATATATTTGGATGCTTATCTAATCATCTCTAATAAGTTTCTTCAAGGAAGAGTCATTACTTATTCATATTTATTTTCTACTATAGTATTGAAGACAATATGTTAGACATTTTAAAAATTGCTTAAGGTTTATTTAATTAAATTAGGGAATAGGGAATAACAGTCGTACTGTAACTCCATACTCAGTATCTATGAAAGAGACTATTGTACCAACTCATAACAAAGTCTTTTCAATAAAAAGTTCTTTTAAAGTCTCCTACCATCTTCCACAAGAAGTTCTGGACCCCTGTGGCTCTCTCTGTGGCTCTGAGGGGCCTGGGGCTGGATTTTATGTCCCTGAAGATGATGGTGTGCTGCCAGAAGGGCAGTTGTGTGCTTCCAGAGCAGAGACAGTAGATTCACAAAAAGGTGAAGATGTTAGTTTGCCATACCCAAAGCAATTATTGAGCCTACTGCCTACAGTGAACAAGATTTGGGTGATACTGTCTCCTCTAGAAGCTATCAATTACTGGGTGCTATTGGAAGGTTTTGTCCAATTTTCATGGGGTGGCAGGGGAGGGAGAGCTATAATTCCAGAGTCATCTATGTGGTTCCAAAAGCAAGGAAAATTAATACATCTCTGATCTTCAGAATTTAGCAACTGTCATGAAGTAAAACGATGTTGTGGCCACTAAAGTTGCCAGTAGTGAAGGGTTATACTAAGATCCACCAGTGGTTGAGAAGAAATGCCATCAGGACCCAGTTCACTTTGTTGTGACATTCTAGTATTATTACTCAGAAAATTTCATGTTTTTATGTGGACAAACTGGCTTAGTAAAAATGAGCCTGCTGTTTCTCAACTAGCTTGGCACCAAGTCAATACATGCTCTTGCCCACCAAGAAAGTAGCTGCTAAAATGCAAATAGGGTCTTCAGACTGCAGGGATACATGATGGAAGTATCCACTGATCAAGCCTGGCACACTGGAACTCATGGCAGGCTCGAGACCAAAATTAAGCAGTGTGAATAGTACTGGCATGCAGGATGTTTCAGAATCTCAGTGAAATTTCAGAACAGCCTATTTATTTTTTAAGTACACACTATGGGCTGGTCTTTGAAATTGTGAAAGCGGGATGGAAAAAGTTTAATATATAGACATTCATTTATTTGCTTCCCAGCCTCATTTTCAGCTCTGATTCTCAAATTCTAGCCCTTCTGCCTGATATTCCCTCAACTTATAAAACTGTAGCTCTTGTCCTTATTGACACATACCTTTTAAATTCTTCTTCTGTCACTTTAACATCATTTTTAGGGCAGGAAGAGGGAATAAACATTTGTGGTTAATCCCCCATAATTATCTAGAAATTAATGTCTCAGATTCTTTGAGGCTTGGGAGACTACATTAGGTAAAGTTGAGGAATGCTGATACATTCTCTAAATACAAAATTCAACCCCGGCTAACCTCCAGGACCTGGGCTTGTATGTCTTTCAAAATATACAAGACTTTAATTTTTAAATGAAATGTTAGATAATACAAGAGATAAAATGAGTATTCACTAACATCGTTTTCAAAACAGCCATTTGTACCAAATCACAATTTTATGACAAAAAAATGCACTTTTATTAGGTATTTACCTTGTTGCCTGTTGGTAATAAGCTTTGGAAAGAACTTTGATTGATGCAAGCAAAATTTCCAAAACAACATGGAGGCAGTGTGGTCAAGTGGAAAAAATCACATGTGCTCACATTAGACAGACTTGGAGTCTCAACCCAGTGAGACCTAGCCTAATCACTGAATCAGTGTGCCCATAGTTGTGAGTAATTATACTCGCCTCACTGAGATGCCATGAGACATCAATAATACATGTCGGGGAAATGTCCAGCAGAGGTTGATACTCACTAATCATGAAGCCCCATCTCCTTCTCTTCTGGCCAGGGTTGCTGAGCATTGGAGGTGACCCAGTATTAGAGTATATGATTCTTCATTTGCTACAAGAGAACACCTCATCTGGGTCACCAACAGCTTTCTGACGAATGCTGAGGAAATTGTGTGCAACTAATTCCTACAACGAGAATCCCGTACCCACTGTGATGGGTGATCTGTTTGCTCAAGACAGAGGAGCCCATTAAGCAAGCATCACGTATGACCTGTTACCGGGGTTTAGACACCATCTGCAGCCTGGCTTGCTGCCCATTGCACGTTGTGGCCGTGAATCAACATTGTGACAGAGAGGGCACTGGGTCAGCTACATTCCATTAATGGATCAAAGTGTTTCATTTAGATTCCTACAGCAAAGGAGAAGGAATATGGATGATATGTAGCCTGGGATGGACAAAAGCTTAGTTGGCAGAAACAGACATATAGAATTTTTTAATGTAAATCTGACAAAGCCAAAGTCCCTGATGAATTTACACAACATGGTTGCCATAATTAAGTCTTCCAACCAATTGGTTCTCAATATTTTTCTCACCACTATTCAAGGAGGCCACAGGTGCTATTAGGGGCTATCAGGACTTTTAAAATCCCCATCAGGTGATTCTGTTGGTACTTACCATCTCAGTAGAGCAGCTCATTTTACTCTATAGGCCAAAAACTTTACCATAATAATTTTAATGCAGCTTGTTTTTAATCAATTTGGAAACCTGATTTTTAAAATTAACATTCATTGTTCAGGATGTAGAATTTTCAGCTGCTTTGCTTTTTTTTCCAAAGACATTTTACATTCTCAATATATCCATAGTGACAATTCATATTATATTCTCCAAAATAGTTTCTTATCATTTATTAACTACATCAAGTCCATAAAGGCAATTTTTAAAAGAAGATATTTAGCGGCTACTCACTCTACCTTTCATTAATATTAGCTACCTCTGGTATCATTTGGGTTGGAAAAATAAAGGTGGGGTTTATTTTACATAACAGAATGAAATTAGACCCACAATTATGAAAATTATAAGACCAGGAAAAAAATCTTGATAAAGAAGAACTTACATTGTTTAAATGCATAATATACATAATATATAATATATAAGTTGAGAAATAACTTTTAGAAGAGAAAATTTGATCACAGATGGGATTTGAGTGTAATATTTTAACACATACTCAAACATGGCTTGTTCATTTCATTTTCTCTCCATTAGGGCACAGATGGTGTTAAACATTTCATTCTGGGCCATGTATAACTATAATTTGTCTAAATTGATGGCTGCAGTAAGAATGCATGAATGATTGTGTCAGTTTGTTCACTTGGAGAGAATTTCAATTATACACAGTGTTGTAGTTATTATTAAAATAAAATCAGAGGACTGATTCATCATGGCTTTCTGGTGAGCATACTATTTTGTAGGTGATTTAATTAATTGCATACATATATGATTAACAGTATCTAGAGTGAATATAACTATGGGTGAATATATTGATGTTGTAATAATGATGTACTTTCTTAATATTAGTTATTTATTAATATGAGAATAATAGTAAACGACAAAAAGACTAAAGTGAATCCTGAATTAACTTTTGTCTGGTAATTGATTTTAGGTGGAAAAAGCTTAATATTTCAAATCAAACAGCTAAACAAATAGATTTTGTCATTAGATGGGGCTGTTAATAATTGAGTGCCTTCCAAATAAGGTCCCAAATAAGAAGGAAATCCATGAATTTTGTTACTACATGACTTTTTGTGACTCAGTAATTTATGATTTTTATGAAGGCCATGCTCTTACCCTCCACTTAGGTCAACGCAGTAGGATAAGCAATGTGCATCAAATATACTGATTATATTCACAAAATGAATCTACATATCTTTGGAATCAAGCATTGATTTAGAGAGATCACCAATAAATAATGCCAGATATGTGGTTTAAAAATCGTTCTTTTAAATTCAGAATTGTATAAGCACTAGGCATGTACAGTTTTTTACAATTAAAAGAAAAAATAGCTAAGTCAGGGAAATTATATTCTCCTTTGTTTCTCTCCTAGGAATTATTTTTGTCTGCAATCAATCCTTCAGAAGAATCTCTCACATCTTCACTTTTGTGCAGTATGTTAACTATGAACAAAATGATAGTGTATGTCAGTCAAATGTAATACTTATATTAAAACCTGATTATTAATGCAGAAGCTCATGGAAAGTAAGGTTAATCTGAATAATATATTATTTCTCTTAGTCCACAATCTATCATTTCACAAACCATGGTTAATAGAATGACAAAAATAAAAAGCTTTGTTTAAATGAAAATGTATAATATATTCTTCATCTCATTTATATCTTATTGTGTTAGGTAGGCGAACATAGCTAGTCTGTGAATGTGATAAAAAGAAGATGATACATTTCTTTGTTTTAAAAATCTTAAGTATTCCTGCTAAATAGTGAGTTTCCAAAGGCTTGCTATTATTTAAAATATTGCTTCCTAGTCTATTAACTTATTAAACAAATATCTTACAGTTTAAAGGATTCAAAAAGGCTGGTTAAAAGAAGAGATCTATGCATTAAAAAATCCCAATTTCTATTTTTTAATATTAAAAACATTCCTTTTAAATATCTTTTTTTCCAACTTTTATTTTAAGTTCAGGGGTACCTGTGCAGGATATGCAGGTTTGTTACATAGGTAAATGTGTGCCATGGTGGTTTGCTGTACAGATAGTCCCATCACCTAGGTATTAAGTGCAGCATCCATTAGCTATTCTTCCTGACCCTCTCCCTCCTCCCACCCACACCCTCCGACAGGCCCCAGTGTGTGTTGTTCCCCACTATGTGTTCATGTGTTCTCAACATTCAGTTCCCACTTATAAGTGAGAACATGTGGTATTTGGTTTTCTGTTCCTGCATTAGTTTGCTGAGGATAATGGCTTCCAGCTCCATCCACGTCCCTGCAAAGAACATGATCTCATTCCTTTTTATGGCTGCACAGTATTCCATGGTACATATGTAACCACATTTTCTTTATCTAGTCTATCATTGATGGACATTTAGGTTGATTACAAGTCTTTGCTATTATGAATAAAGCTGCAATGAACATATGCACACATGTATCTTTATAACAGAATGATCTATTCCTCTGGGTATATATACGCAGTAATGAGATTGCTGAGTGAAGTGATATTTCTGCCTCTAGGTCTTTGAGGAATCACCACACTGTCTTCCACAATGGTTGAACTCATTTACACTCCCACCAACAGTGTAAAAGTGTTCCTTTTTCTCCACAACCTTGCCAGCATCTGTTGTTTCTTGACTTTTTAATGATAACCGTTCTGACAGGCATAAGATGGTATCTCATTATGGTTTTGATTTGTATTTCTCTAATGATTAGTAATGTTGAGCTTTCTTTTTTTTTTTTTTTTTGAGACGGAGTCTCACTCTGTTGCCCAGGCTGGAGTGCAGTGGCGCGATCTCAGCTGCTCACTGCTGCAAGCTCCACCTCCCAGGTTCACACCATTCTCCTGCCTCAGCCTCCCGAGTAGCTGGGACTACAGGTGCCCGCCACCACACCCAGCTAATTTTTTGTATTTTTTAGTAGAGACGGGGTTTCACCATGTTAGCCAGGATGGTCTCGATCTCCTGACCTCGTGATCTGCCCGCCTTGGCCTCCCAAAGTGCTGGGATTGCAGGCGTGAGCCACTGCACCCAGTCGCATGTCTTCTTTTGAGAAGGGTCTGTTCATGTCCTTTGCCCACTTTTTAATGAGCTTGTTTTTTTCTTGTAAATTTATTTAAGTACCTTGTCGATGCTGGATATTAGACATCTGTCAGATGGGTAGTTTGCAAAAATTTTCTCCCATTCTATAGGTTGTCTGTTCACTCTGATGATAGTTTCTTTTGCTGTGCAGAAGCTCTTTCGTTTAATTAGATCCCATTTGTCAATCTTTGCTTTTGTTGTAATTGCTTTTGGCATTTTCTTTATGAAATCTTTGCCCGTGCTTATGTCCTAAATGGTATTGCCTAGATTTTCTTCTAGGGTTTTTATAATTTTGGGTTTTACAATTGTCTTTAATCCATCTTGAGTTGATTTTTGTATATGGTGTAAGAAAAGGGTTCAGTTTCAATTTTCTCCATATGGTTAGCCAGTTAGTTCTCCTAGCACCATTTGTTAAATAGAAAATCCTTTCTCTATTGCTTGTTTTTGTCAAGTTTGTTGAAGATCAGCTGGTTGGAGGCGTGCAGTCTTATTTCTGGGTTCTCTATTCTCTTCCATTGGTCTATGTGTCTGTTCTTGTACCAGTACCATGCTGTTTTGTCACTGTAGTCTTGTAGTATATTTTTCAGCCAGGTAGCATGATGCCTCCAGCTTTGTTTTTGCTTAGGATTGTCTTGGCTATTTGGCCTCTTTTTGGGTTCCATATTTGATCATAGTGGATAAGCTTTTTGATGTGCTGCTGGATTCAGTTTGCTAGTATTTTATTGAGGGTTTTTGCATTGATTCTTATCAAGGATATTGGCCTGAAGATTTCTTTTTTTGTTCTATCACTGCCAGGTTTTGGCATCAGGTTAATGCTGATGTCATAGAATGAGTTAGGGAAGAGTCCCTCCTTTTCAATTCTTTGGAATAGTTTCAGTACAAATGGTACCAATTCTTCGTGCCTATGAAGTGAATCCATCTGGTTCTGGACTTTTTTTGGTTAGTAAGCTATTTATTACTGCCTCAATTTCAGGACTCATTATTGGTCTATTCAGGGATTTGAATTCTTCCTGGTTCAGTTATGGGATTGGGGGTATGTGTTCAGAAGTTCATCAGTTTCTTCTAGATTTTCTAGTTTATGTGTATAGAGGTGTTGATAGTATTCTCTGATGGTTGTTTGTATTTCTGTGGGGCCATTGGTGATAGCCCTCATCACTTCCGATTGTGTTTCAATCTTCTCTCTTTTCTTCCTTAGTCTTGCTAGCAGTCTATCTATTTTGTTAATTTTTTCACAAAAACACCTCCTGGATTTTATTTTTTTTAATGTGTTTTTTGTGTCTCTAACTCCTTCATTTCAGTTCTGATCTTGCTTATTTCTTGTCTTCTGCTAGCTTTGGGATTTGTTTGCTCTTGGTTCTCTAGTTCCTTCAGTTGTAATGTTAGCTTGTTAACTTGACATCTTTCTAGCTTTTTGATGTGGGCATTTAGTGCTGTAAATTTTCCTCTTAACATTGCTTTCACTGTATCCCAGAGATTCTGGTTCATTGTTTCTTCATTCTCATTAGTTTCAAAGAACTTCTTGTTTTCTGCCTTAATTTCATTATTTACCCAAGAATCATTCAGGAGCAGGTTGTTCAATTTCCATGTAGTTGTGTGGTTTTGAGTGAATTTCTTAATCTTGAGTTCCAATTTGATTGCATGGTGGTTTGAGAGACTGTTTATGATTTCAGTTCTTTTGCATTTGCTGAGGAGTGTTTTACTTCTGATGATGTGGTCAACTTTAGAGTAAGTGCCATGTGGCAATGAGAAGAATACATATTCTGTTGTTTTTAGGTGGAGAGTTCTGCAGATATCTGTCAGGTCCACTTGACCCAGAACTGAATTCAGGTCCTGAATATCTTTGTTAATTTTCTATCTGAATCATCTGTCTACTATTGTCAGTGGGGTGTTAAAATCTCCCACTATTATTGTGTGGGAGTCTAAGTCTCTTTGAAGGTCTCTAAGAACTTGCTTTGTGATTCTGGGTGCTCCTGTATTGGGTACATATATACTCAGGATAGTTAGCTCTTCTTGCTGAATTGAACACTTTACCATTATGTAATGTCTTTGTCTTTTTTTTTAATCTTTGTTGGTTTAAAGTCTATTTTGTCAGAAACTAGGATTGCAACCCCTGCTTTTTTCTGTTTTCCATTTGCTTGGTAAATTTTCCTCCATCCTTTTATTTTGAGCCTATGTGTATCTTTGCATCTGAGATGGATCTCTTGAAGACAACATACCGATGGGTCTTGGTTCTTTATCCAGCTTGCCATTCTGTGTCTTTTAATTGGGGCATTTAGCCCATTTACATTTATGGTTGGTGTTTTTATGTGTGGATTTGATCTTGTCATCATGATGGTAGCTGGTTATTTTGCAGACTTGAAAAATATGGAATGCTTACAAATTTGCGTGCCATCCTTGTGCAGGGGCCATGCTAATCATCTCTGTATTGTTCCAATTTTAGTATATGTGCCACCGAAGTGAGCACCCAATTTCAATTCTATTCTCTTCGTTCTTAGAAAATAAAAATTTGAATTATTATATTATTATTTGCTTATCCTAGTGTGAAAGATGTCACTTGCCTGGACGATTCCAAATCCTCTAGCTTGCTATGGTTCAAACATCCTGACTTATATAGGGATGGGAACCTAGTTTCTTGTCAAGAGAGTGGGGAGTGGCGTGAAGATTTAAGTTTCTCAAAATCTCTAGTTATAGTAGTCTTCTGCTTCCTCTGAATCCTTGATCCATGCTTTCATTTCACCACCTGCTGATGCTGCCCTTGTTTATGTGGAAATAGGCATGTCCTCCACTCACAGTGCCCAAAGTCTCCCCCAATCAAGGCTGTGATTGTAGTAAACTTAATGAAGAGTTTGGGAGGAAGGCAAGGGGAAGATTACAGTATAGCATATATAGCAAACACCTTGAAATTATTTATTAGATATCCCTATTTTTAAAGCATCTTTGCATTGAAATGAGTGGGAAATTATATTTCTTACATCTCTGAAGCTCCAGCTTCCTGCCAAGTTGCTAACCAGCTTTATTTCCTCTGACCTGGCCCCATCTCCTCTCTGAAAAGGTTACCCTGCCTGTCCAAGGTTCTGTTCGCTTCTTTCACAGAATAAAACTGGGGCTATTCATATAGCCTCCATTCATTAAGACATTGCTGGGATGCAGTTGGGGGACCTGAGGATTATTTTCCAAATCAAACACACCCTTTAAGGTGCACTGGTGTTCAGCAAAGACAATTATTTCCCAGAGACCAATTCTGTAGTTATCAGCGTTTGGTTCTTTTCCCTCCTCATTAGGTAGAAATCTGGGAACTGAAGACTTAGAATTTGACGTGAGGTGAAAGGGAGATGTGAATAAAGAAAATTTGGAAGTATTATCAAACTTCAGATTTAGAATAGGATCCCATCATTTTCTGTTATGGGCAAGGAAACTGAGGTCTAGAGAGATTAGGAGCCTTGCTGGAGGTTATATAGCACTTTCAAGCAGAAATTGTATACAAGAGTCTTATCTAGGGCTGTTTCCATTATCTCACAAAACTTAATTTCTCAGAATCCAAAGAGCATTTCAACTCTGTACATCTAATTCTCAACTGCGTTGCCAGCAAAAGTCCCACAGGAAAGGATACAGGCATATAGCAGGGGAGGCCTGCAGGTTACCTAAATCATATTATCTCAGATATACTAGCATGGTCACTATTCACATTTTACTGCTATGTTAACCATCCATGTATAATTAATTTCCTAATTTCTAGGCATGATAATAATGTTATGGAAGGCAGTTTTCACATGCTTTTACTAAAATCCTTTGAAATCTCCATCAGAGATAAAATACTAGACTGAAGCCTTCTTCTTGTCATGACCCATAAGAAAATGAATTGGTTAATTTCCTAAAGTTCCTAGAAAAACCAAGAGTGTGAGAGAGACTGGGGCAAGAGATGGAGAGAGAGAAAGAGAGTAAGATGGTTGCAGTAGATGAAGATGCAAATGGAAAATGCTAAAAGTTAGTCATGTTGCTGATATATACAAATGTTAATCTTTTAAGAGAAATATTTAACATTATCATCCACTGGCAGAAATTAAATACCTTCTATAATAAATTAGATTTCTGGCACTTTTGCCTTAAATTTGCTATAACAAATATCTTTTAAAAAGTTTATAAGTGTTAAGAAAATATGAGTAATAAACTTAGGAGAGTTGACTGAAATAAGTAACTGAAAAAAGCATACAAGATAAAGAGAAAAATGTGTCCAAAACACTTCTGTTCACAGAAAGAAAGTGTCTTCAGCGGAATTCAGACATTTAGCAGCAAAGTTGGCTGTAAACATTTTCCCAAACAGTCAACAGGACAAAGAAAATGCTCCTGTGAGAACAGTAACCAGATCTTAAGGCTCTGGTCTTTGATGTTTGAAGTATTTCCCCAGAACTGCCACAATCTTCTTTCTCTCCTACCCCACTGGAAGATCACAAAAGTACATTCTTGTTCATTCCCTCTTTCTGTTATCCTGCCAAAAATACACAGTCACTGATAAAGCTCACCAATGATTCATTACATACCATCCTCCTAAGGTTTCCAGTATAAATGCCATTTTTAATGAGCCTCTTTTGTTTCATTAATGCTAACAGACATTTAATAGCAATGATGGGTGCCAAATGATTCTTACGGTACCATTTCATTGAAACCCAGATGTTTCTGCACAGACAGAAACAAAGGCACCAGCCCCCAGGTTCTTTTCCTACATTCTAATTTCCTTAGCAGTTGGCTGAGCTTGGATTCATTTGAAAGTAGGAATAGTAAAATGTAACTATTCTTTTTATATTTCCCCTTTTCCCTATAGATTAATTTGATTTTCTTCATTCTTCCATTTTTTTTTTTTTTTAATGAGACGGAGTTTCACTCTGTCACCCAGGCTGGAGTGCAGTGGTGCATCTCGGCTCACTGCAAGCTCCACCTCCTGGGTTCATGCCATTCTCCTGCCTCGGCCTCCCGAGTAGCTGGGACTACAGGCACCCGCCACCACCACACCCGGCTAATTTTTTGTATTTTAAGTAGAGACGGGGTTTCACGGTGTTAGCCAGGATAGTCTCGATCTCCTGACCTCGTGATCTGCCCGCCTCAGCCTCCCAAAGTGCTGGGATTACAGGCATGAGCCACTGCACCCGGTCTTTTTTTTTTTTTTTTTTTTTGAGAGGGAGTCTTGCTCTGTCACCCAGGCTGGAGTGCAGTGGAGCAATCTCGGCTCACTGCAAGCTCCGCCTCACGAGTTCACGCCATTCTCCTGCCTCAGCCTCCCGAGTAGCTGGGACTACAGGCGCCCGCCACCATGCCCGGCTAATTTTTTGTATTTTTAGTAGAGACAGGGTTTCACTGTGTTAGCCAGGATGGTCTCGATCTCCTGACCTCGTGATCCGCCCGCTTCGGCCTCCCAAAGTGCTGGGATTACAGGTGTAAGCTACCGCGCCCGGCCTATTCTTCCATTCTTTACTGATTAAGAAACATGAAATAAAGAATGAGAAAAAGAGGAAGAGAGATAAAAAATTAAAATTTAGGTTGAGAATCTATTTTTATTTTTAAATATCTTAATGTAGAGTAAACAACCAGAAATACAATAAAATAATACACACTTTTGAAACCCTGTAAAAAGAAGCCAGAACCTGGGCTTGCCTTGTGGAGGAACTGTAGCTTCTTGGAGCCTCTATGTGCTACAATGATGGCCCTCTCCAAACCTATCCACTTTGAGACTTGATTAGAATCCCCAGTTCTGCCCCTGGGTTATGCATCTGGGTTGCATGGGTAAAATGGTCCTGGACAAGTATTGCTCCCACTGCCTCATAAGATGTCATTCCCCAAACAAACCAAGTCCCCAGAAGCAAGGATCATGACAAAGTTGTCTAGAGCAGCATGCAGAGAATAAGAAAGGTAATATAAACTAGAATTCCACTTTACCCGCATTGTCTTAGAAATGAATGCCTATTATATTCCTTTGGTGTGAGGTCCCAGGAGAAAATTTTGATCATTTCAGAGCAGCCTTCTGTCATTGTTTGGCAACTAAGTAGAGAGACAATAATCAGAAGAGAGAATATGGGTGCAACAGCATCAATCCTCTCCCACATCTGTGCTATATTTGTAATTTTCTATATACATAAAGCAATAGGGGGCACCACAAATGTTCTCTAGCCAGACTTCCAGACCCTGTCTTCCAAAGCGAAACTCCGGAAGCTGAGGCATAAAATAACACAGAAATAGTCAAATGGCATCAGTCACTAAGACCTTCTGATTTTGCTGCTTTAAATATAACTCCAACTTGCTCCCACCTCCCTCTCTTTTTCCCTGCCAGTGACCTAATTCAGAACCTCTTCACCTCTCTAGTCTCTACTTTTAACAACTTTAAAACACTAGACAGTAAGTAAAACAGTGATGAGAAATGTAAGTGCTCCTTCCTCTTGCTTTACACGTATGTAGTCGGGATCTTTTCCTGCTATATTAAAGGGGTAGGGGTTGCTAGAGACCAAATTTTGCCTCTTCCAGAAATGCTCCATAACTGTGCTAGTTCTTAGGTGAATTCTCTGCCTCTGCCACAGTTCTATGTAGTCAATAGAATGCCAGGCTAAGATTCACACTACCTTGCTCTGCCACCACATCTGTGACCTCAAGCTTCTCTTTCAATGGTCCTATGAAAGGAGTGATTCCACATGAAATAGGTTGTCTCAGGCACTACTACTAGAAATCTTATTTCATGACTGACTGCTTGCCACATTAGCACATCATGTCTGATAGGTTCAATTCTGAATTTATGATTTTTAACTTCTACTTCTTTATCCAACCAAACCAATTCTCCTTCTTGTACTCCTTACTGTGGGAAAGACATCACCTTCTACCAGAAACCTGGAGACTTCCTCAACTCCTTACACTCCACATAATCAGTCACCAAGTTTAAAAATATTCCCCTAGTTGGTCCCGCCTTCCCAAGCCCACTTTTAATGCACTAAAAACTCACCATCACTCCCTTTAACTGCAGACTGGCTCTCCCTGGCTTCCAGTCTTGCTCTTACACCAATGTATTCCTCACCCTACTGGCTGATTGGGGTTTTTACAATAAAAACCTGATAATGACCGGGCGCGATGGCTCACGCCGTTATCCCAGCACTTTGGGAGGCTGAGGCGGGTGGATCACCTGAGGTCGGGAGTTCGAGACCAGCCTGACCAACAATGGAGAAACCCCGGCTCTACTAAAAATACAAAATTAGCCGGGTGCGGTGGCACATGCCTGTAATCCCAGCTACTAGGGAGACTGAGGCAGGAGAATCGCTTGAACCCGGGAGGCAGAGGTTGCAGTGAGCCGAGATCATGCCATTGCACTCCAGCCTGGGCAACAAGAGCAAAACTCCATCTCAAAAAAAACAAAAACAAAAACAAAAACAAAAAAAAAACTGACAATGTCATTCTTTCTTAGAACCCTTTAGTTATTTTCCAGTGATACAAAATAAAATCTTGACTCTTAGCTTGCCTTACATCTTGCCCCTCCTAACTTTTCCAGACTAGTCTCCAGTTCCTCCCATTACGTCAGCAGTAGTCAATCCAGCTCCATCAACACCATTCCCTATTGAGCCTGTGACCCAGCCTATTTTGCCTCTGGCCTGAGATCACCTTTTTCACTTTAGTTTCTTATTCAAGACACTGGCATTTCAAACTGACGGGTTTTTTTGAACTCCGTTCACTGTGGTATTGTGGCACCAGTCCACACCTCTAACAGGGCACTAATAACAATAGGTTTGTTTACATGTCACCTCCTCCTCCAGAATGTAAGTTCTTCTCAGTAAACTTTTTATGCCCAATGCCCACAATGGCTTAGAGCATAATAGGGTTTCTTAGGCATTTAATAAATGTTAATTGAATAAATTTGGTTAAAGAGATTATTGTATAAGAAATATGCAGGGGAGTTGAAACATACGACCTCCAAAGTCCTTTCCAACTTAGACTTTCATTGAAGGATATCAGTCCCTTCCATGTTTTTGAATATCACATCTATGTATGACTATGTATACATATGTATATGTATACATGTATGGCTATGTATGACTCCCAGAGCCATAATTTCAAAGCTCTCAATCTGAGCTTTCGACTAAAATATCCATCTGCCTGTTACATAGCTTCACTTATTATCTAAGTTGGCATCTCAAATTCAATACGTCCAAAATTAACTTACTTTCCCACACAACTTGTTCCACCTTAGCAGTTTTTTGTATTTGCTAATGACACCATTGTCCTTTCAGGGACTGCTGTTAAAAACATCCTACATGGCCACTCTCTTCTAAAATAAATCACTGCGTAGACCTCTGCATTCCTCTTTCCTAAAATTCTTTTTGTCGTTCCATAGGCTTACAGTCTCCATCAAACTGCTTGTGACTCTAATTAGCACTTACTTCATTCTGACTTGCATGCTATATTTCCATCTCTGTTCCACATTTCAAGATTTCTGTAGATAGACAGCAGGTGCTCAACAACTCCTTGTAGAATGGCTGCATGAAGGTTGGGATGTTAGGTTTAAATTGCCTTTGCGGCACGGATCTTGTTTTACACTTTTTTGTCCCCCACCCCCCGCCATAAAAAGAGCAGAGAAAACAGGGAACACATATATTAAAAACTGAACACTGCATCTATTATTCTAACTCGGAGCTGTTGCAACAACTGGCGGCAGTTTTAACAAAACAAGCCACGCTCTGCCATTAAAAAAAAAAAAAAAGTCCCTTAGACTCAGCTCCCAGCTAAAACAACCCAGGATCCAGGTTTCCCACCCCCTTCCAGTGGTCTGATGTGCGTCGGAGGAGCGAGGAGAAAGGAGCAAGGAGCAAGCTGGGCCTGAGGAGCAGGGAGCGCGGGATGGGGGACGTCCCGGAAGTCACTGACGAGCTGGCTGCCGCCTCTGCGGGATCAGTTTGGGCTGAGGGCCCAACAATAACAGGCGCCCGGGCCGGGCGGGGGCCGCGGGGATCCGAAGCTGGAGGGCGGGACCTGGATTGGAGGAGGCGGGTGGGACGCCTCCAAAGGCCGAAGGGGATTGGAAGAGGGAGGTAAGGGGCGGTGGAGCTCGAGGAATGGGCCGGAGAACTAGCGGGTCGAGCGAGGAGCGAGCATGCTGATTGGGTTTCGCGGAAGGAGACGGACCAGAGCTGGCCGAGGATTGGCCGCGGTGCCTAGGGGGCGTGGCCGGCGCGCGCGAGAGGGAGCGCGAGGGAGCTGGCTGCGGGCCTGCCTGCCAGCTAGCCGGAGCCGCGGGTGAGCGCGGCGAGCGGCGACCCTGGTGAGGAGCGCGGCGCGGGAGGCACGTTCCTTAGCTCCGCCGCGGCCGTCCTCCGCGGCTCGAGGACTCCGCTTCCTTCCCTCCCCTCCCCTGCGCTCCGGCCTGGGGTCTCGGCGCGGGGAGCGGAGGGAAGGGACGAAGGAGGAGTAGGTGAAAGCGGGGTGAGGGGCGGAAGGGTCCCGGCGCGGGGTGAGGCGAGGGCTGCCTCTTGTTCTCCCGCCGCTGCCGCCGTCTCCTGGTCGGGTGCCGCGGCCAGAGGCGCGCGGGGCTGCCGAGGCACCCGCACTATGCAGGCAGACTGCCGGCCGCCGCGATGGCGAGCCGGGCGGTGGTGAGAGCCAGGCGCTGCCCGCAGTGTCCCCAAGTCCGGGCCGCGGCCGCCGCCCCCGCCTGGGCCGCGCTCCCCCTCTCCCGCTCCCTCCCTCCCTGCTCCAACTCCTCCTCCTTCTCCATGCCTCTGTTCCTCCTGCTCTTACTTGTCCTGCTCCTGCTGCTCGAGGACGCTGGAGCCCAGCAAGGTGAGTGGTCCCAGGGGAGTGAGCGGCGGGGGAACCTCCGTCGGGGCTGCGGGTCTCTTGGCCCCTGAACAAATCTGCAGACGCTGCAGGGAGGCGCGGTGCGCTTTCGTGCGTGGCCGGACCTGGCTGGGTACTCACGGGGTTGAGTTGCAAAGGCAAGGTCTTGCCCGTCTGTCCCCCAAGTTGGCGCGGCTTTACTTTTTGGCAAGGCCATTTATTTTTCTGAAAGGGGGACGTGAGACCCTGCTATGAAAGCCTCGTTGATATTAGGTCCTTCTGGGGAAAATTTTGGGGAGGAAAAAGAACCTTTGGAGGTAATGACCCCTAAAGTTAAGCTGCACGGATGGATGGACACTGTAGGAAGGCAGGTTAATTAAATAGCATCTTAAGCCTATTAAAGGTAAGTGGTGGTAATTATGATCCTTTGTGAAAGAGCCCGGGTTCTGAAGCGAATGGAATAGTTTCTGCTTATCTCTGAGTCTTGGATTCAGAACATGTTCTTTACAATCCATCATTGAGGCTGGTGGTCTAGACTGCCTTGGTCAAACACTGGGTCTGACCCAACGCTATGCTAATTTGCCCAAGTGAAGCTCTCCACATTAAAAAGGTAAGCCTTTCCAGAAAGTGACAAAACTTTTTTTTTTTTCCACCTACAATCCTTGAAAAACCTGTTCCAGAAACAGGCAAAACTGTTTATTAAATACTTATCATAATGGAAGGAGAATGCAGGGTGATTTCTTTTCCCCTTTAGTACTGTTTTCCCGTAGTGTACCACACTTTTTGAATCAGTTTGGCATCAGTTTTTGAAAAGATATTTCCATTGCATTTTCCATTTTATTGCAGTGGGAAGGATAAGGATTGGATTGTTACTTATTGCTAGGAAGAGAGTTTTTTAAAAAGAAAATTGTTCTCTGCCTTTAAGCCCAGCTTTATGTTGCTCTCATGGTTTTCAGTGAAGTATGGAATCATGGCCTGTCATTAAGAAGATGCCGAACCTTGACAGGCATGTGGAAATATAATCTCTGTAACTATAAGGAAAAAATGTATTTGGCAAACTGACCCCTTACATCTAGACACGTTTCTATATAGAGTAACTCAAAATTTAGATGCTTAGCATTTAGGTTTTAGTTAGATCGTCTTCTAAAATTACTGAACATCATCATCATTTAATATATTAAAGTGTGAAATCCTTCTTTCCACTGTAGAGATGTATTTCCCTCCTGGTAGGGGGGAAAACAGGCTTATATATGGCTAACACTTAGGGCTTACTTTGTGGCTGGAACAACTGGACTAAGTGGTTTGGGTTTATTAACTCCTTGAATCTTCACTACAATCAGCTGAGATAGTTATTGTTATCCCAGTTCAAACGTAAGGACATTGAGACACAAAGAATATAAGGTACCTTGATGCAGGAGGGCATATTACTCCATAGGCAGAGTACTCTGCTTTGCTTGTTTCTGGATCTGATAGTGTTTGTATCATGTTATTAAAAAAAATCTTGGAACAGTATAGAATCAGTTACATGTCTACCTTCCAAATGAGGGATTGCCTTGTTTTTAGAAAAGGCCAGTCTACCGGGCGCGGTGGCTCACACCTGTAATCCGAGCACTTTGGGAGGCTGAGGCGGGCAGATCACGAGGTCAGGAGATCGAGACCATCCTGACCAACATGGTGAAACCCCGTCTCTCCTAAAATACAAAAAATTAGCCGGGCATGGTGGCACATGCCTGTAGTCCCAGGTACTCAGGAGGCTGAGGCAGGGGAATCGCTTGAACCCGGGAGGCGGAGGTTGCAGCGATCGCGCCACTGCACTCCAGCCTGGCGACAGAGCGAGACTGTCTCAAAAAAAAAAAAAAAAAAAGAAAAAGAAATAGCCAGTCTAATCAGACAAGCAACATTACTTCATTTTTTAAGGTTTAATATAATTTTTTTTTACCAGAACATTTTAACAAATACATTTCTCTTTAACAGTGTCATCTTATGTAAACATCAACATAAATAGAAATGATTCTGATAATTAAAAGACTTTTTTTTTTTTTAGTTCTTCTAAATTGCTTGGGTAAATTTTGCTAAATCATTTAATATTTAATCTCTTTGTACCTCAGTTTTCTACATCATTAAGGTGAGCATGCATACCTATCTCATAGCTTAATATAAATGAAATGATAGTATGCAGGAATTTTGCAAAGGGAAAAGCTTAAAATAGCTATAAATGATTATTACTAATCTCGATCTTACTAAGTTGATAAATTAAGAGCTAATTAGGTATACATCATCTGAAAACTCACAATTATTTGAGATTTGAATTTTCTCATTTTTAAAAATTAAATTTTTTACTCAAAGGACCCTAAAGCAGCCCGTGGTGGAATTCCTTTTAAGCCAGTCTTCCCAGTCTAACAGATGTTCTTTAGGGTCTACTGATATTCCCTCACATAACCTGAAAAGAAGTCTGTTTAAAACACCTTTAGAATTTTTAATGGGATTTGTACATGTTGTAATGTTCAGCTACAAGGTAGAGTTTTTACTCTATAAGAAGTCTTAAGACTGGAAGGAAATAAACTGTTGACAGTTGTTGTCTTTTGGTGGTAAAATTGTGGGACATTTCTTTATACTTTTCTAAATTTTCTGTAATTCGCATATAGTCAGAATAAAAATTAAACTGCAAAAAAGGTTTCTTTGATAGATTTTTTTTCTTTATTTGACAACTGAAGGTAGAAATGCATCTAGTATGGAGAGGTAGAAATGTGCTTCAGTGTCTTTTTTCTTTCTGACATCATTTTGAAATAGCAGAATATATTACCTTCATTCCAATTAATGTCATACATAGCTATTCCTCAATAGATTTTCTGTTCACAATGACCTTTCTTTTTATTTGGCTCCGAATAAAATGTATCATTAGTTTGAAAACTTACCGACTTTTCACAACAGATGTATTTTAACCAGTTCTGTTTCACTTATAAATTTATAAATATATTCTGTTTACCTCTATTTATTATGTTGATGTTTCACATATGGCTTGTATTTGTGTAGAGTTCTAAGTTGGATATCAAGAAGTTGGTCTTCGAAATCTTTTTTATTGAAGACTTTTTTTCTGTAAAATGTACCTCTCAAAAAAATTAAATTGGTGAAACTTATGCTGGTAGCATATTTGCTATTGTATTAAATTTATTGGAAGTTGATGGTTTACTATGATTTTAGGTCTCTGGTTTCCATTATGACTGTAGGAATTTGGGTTACTTCATATCAGGAGCTCAGCTTCCTCATTTGTATCCTGGAAGGCTTGCCTACTTTCTTGGTTAGAATGTAATTTGAACATGGTAAAATATCAGGGAATTAATTCTTAAAAACCATTAAGCCTGATTTGTTTGGGCCTATTAATATATAACATGTTGTGAAGATATTAGTTTTTCTTTGCTAATTTAATCTGTGAAACAAATCAGGTTCATTCTTAAAAAGGATGTTTCAGTTATTTGAACATATTTGGAACCAATATGTGAAAAAGTTTATATTCTGTCAAGGAATGCCTTTATTTGCTTGTGATGCAGGGAAATATTTTTGAACAATATTTGTGAGTTGCCAGAAAATAAAAACTTATTTCTCTCTGCAAATAAACATTTGTAATTATTTTTCACATTGACATTAGGTTAATTTAGAAATTTCCATTGTCTTTTCTTTGTCTGATAAAACATTGGGGCTCTTATCCAGTTTTGTTCAGAAGCAAATAAATCAAAGCATCCTTTTCTGCTATATTTCTAATTAATTTTACAAAATGAAAATTAGAAGCAGCACACAATCCACACGTGTGAATGATCAGATTGAAACAGCACATTTTTGAAACTTGTAAATGAAAAATTGATTCTAAGATTGCAGGTAAATTATAGGTAGATTTCTCAGTGTTAGAAACAAAAAGAACATATTATTTTCCCTGGGGATAGTTGATAATTCCATTTGAACATCTGAGCCTCATTTTAAAGACAAACATGTAAAAATATCTTAAAATGGTGGAATTGGCATAAGTAAAATACCAGTAGTAGAATTAAAATGACAAATTAATTTCCAAAAGTTAATAGATCATGTATGTGGGAAAGGGCTAGATTTACATAGGAGTAGAATTTAAATTTAGGACTACACTTAGCAAAGTGACACTGGGAAGTGAAGCTCAGGTAGTAATGTTGGACATTAATTGAATGCATACAAGTAGACAGTTTCTGCTTCCACTTCTTGATATATTTGGAAGGATATGGAATGATGACCCAACAGTAGAAGGATGAGGAAAAGCTTCATAAAGATAGTGATATTTGCTAAGTGTGATTGTTGAAATATGAAGTGAGACAATTTGGCAATTTTTCTGATGTGGCTCCTGGATTCGGTTTTCTTTATAACAACCTTACGGCCATAGGACTTTGTATTTATTTTTAAATATTGTATGGATAACAATGATTATTACTCAAAACTAAAAACGTAGATGATTATCCACATTTCTGTCTTCTAATCCATCGACTTATAATTTTTAACTTTCCTTTCTATTACATATTCACATACCTGCATAATCTTTTGTAGTTGTAATTTTAATAGTGTGTTCATGTAAAATTAACTTATAGGCTAATTTAGCACACATAAGCATACCTACAAAATACAGTAAAACAAAAATTTCAAAATGCAAAATTTTATCATAAGACATTCAGTATTTATAAAGTAATTACTGTATTGTTCAGAGCTGTTATTGTATTTAATTGAATTCTTCATTCTGGAGAAAAATCTTTGAGAAAGTATTTCAGTTCAAAATGTTAGTTTAGAAACAAATATCAGGCTAATTTTTCAGTTCATTATTTGGGTTAAATTAGTACAACCTATGAGGACAGAAAATACAGATATTCAAATAAACTAGTATCTAATGAGTGCCAGTGCAGTACCCACTGAAGCTGATGAGATACTCATGATTTCCAAGGGCTACTAAAACATCATTCACCAGCTGAACGTGCACCCTGATGGGTGTGTAATTGAAAGAAAAACTTTGATTTGCTGCTTGAATTATGGGAGAATCCCAAGATGCACGTTCCCTCAACTGCTTTTTAAGGAGAGTGGCCCAGAATTCCCTGCAAGGCTTTTGTTGAGTAGGGTGTGTGCAACCTTGCCTTCAAAACTGAATTGCCTGGGATCAAAGAGAAGGTATTGGCACTCTTTATCATTCTCTCATTAAGAACTATCAGTATGAAGGGGTACCAACTGTGAACTCTCAAGAGAGTGTGCATGTACCTCAGTATAGTCCTGAGACATTCAGAGAAGAGTAAAACATTGTTATTGTCTTCAGAGAACCTACAGTCTATTTGAGAAAGTAATTCAAGTTGGAATATATATAATAATAACCAAGGAAGGATATCAGAAGGTTATGTAAGGCAGAGAGAACTCACCACTCCTGGAGAAGCAGGAGACGCCTACTATAATAATAATCAAGGAAGGTTATAAGAAGGTTGTATAAGGCAGAAAAAGCTCACAACTCCTGGAGAAGTAGGAGACGCCTCACTGATAAAGTGGTTTTAGATTGGTAAGCTTTGAAGTTTGGTAGGTTTCTTGTCCACAAGGAACAGCAGATATTTGAAGAGTAAGATCATAAGATTATAACCTGGGGAGTCAGGAAAGTGGGAGTGTGAAAGCCCACCCTTTTAGAATGAGTAGCAAAACTCATTCTGGTCATGCTCCACTGTTTGCTTCTTGAACTCATGCCCTGTGTCTGCCCAGTTATTGGAAAAACGTTGGTTGGTTACTGTGGGCCAGGCATGGTACCACATGCTGGGGCATTTTCCTCTTGGAGCTGTGTTAATGACTTCCATAGTGTTGCCAGCAGCCCCTTTATCATCTGTAAGATACCGTCCAAACTCCTTTGCGTATCATGTAAGTAATTTTTTTCACAGTCTGGTCCCTCCCTTTCACTCTGACTTAATCTAATGCCAGCATTTCTCACACTGTATAGTTCAGATATGAGACTGAGCTAATTTTATTCTTCTAAGATATAATTTCATGCCATTTTGCCTTGTTCCCTATACTAACCTCTTCATATATGCAGTTTCCTCTACTTGAAATGCTCTTACTTTCCTTGTCTTCTCGGTAAACTCTCGATCAGCCTTCAAAACCCTTCTTGGGTATCATCCCTTTATGAAGAGTTCTCGAACAGTCCCCACACACTCATCTCCGGATAATACATTCCACACTGTATTCTAAGTATTTATTCCTGCCAGCGGAGAGAGTTTTATTCATTTTCTTATTTCTAATACTTATCATAGTGTCTGTCATTCAAATTATGTGAATTAAGAACCCCATTTCTAGAGTTAATCTGCTACCCTGAGCACATTATTTGGTTCATCCCTTGGCACCGGCATGCACTTCATGCTGTTGTCCTTTGCCTAATCCCCGTAAATTAGTGGTCAGTTCAGGAGCCGGGAACAGAGCCATGTCTTGACCCTTACTACCTGTTTGCTCAGAGCCTAACAGTCTTCCCAGCCTTTCCCAGTCCCACCTCTTCCCAGGAGGAAGACTCCTTTGCTGCACACCCTTGACTATGAGAGGAATCCTTCAAGCTGAAATTCTGAAAATAGACATGCCTACTTCTTAGAAAGCTCTGCTCCCCTCAGATGGGTCATCCTTAACAACCGTGACAGCCTAAATCAGTGCCAGCAATTTGGGCACACTTTCTCCTTTGCATGCTTTCAGCTTCTGACTTCAATAGGCATCTCCAATATTATAAAAGTCCCCCTAGTTTTTGTTCTCGTAGTTGCCTGTCTCCTTTTTCTTGCCAGTGGATGTTGCTGGGGAGCATTCAGGTAGCTTCACTAATCTGGTGTAATAGAAAAGTAATGAGAAATGGAGGCTGGAACGTATTGTGGAGGACTTCCCATTGAGGGGCAGACTGAGGAGTTTGTATCTGCGATGTTAGGCCTGACATTAGCCTCAGGTGCTTCCTCTTTCACCTGGTTCATTTGTCTGTCACTAGGTTTGGTTATCTCTTCTCAACTCAGGCACCCCAAATCCATCATCTCAACAATGCTCTTTCCGTGATCTTGGACAGTTCCCAAACTTGGGCCCATGTGATAATCCCCATTCTCTGCTTTCTCTGGTTCTGGATAGCTCATAGTTACAAGATTAAGTCATGTGGTCATCGTGATTAGATCTGCCACAAATGAGGTCTGGCTAATCAAGTCCCAAGTGGGGATTACTGCTTAGCAGACTATCTCACTTTGTAAAGCTGATTTGTACAGCCGAACTCCTGCCCTGCTCCTAATCCTTGCACAGTATGACTTCCTCCTGACTGAAACCTTGTCCTCTTCCTCTTTATCAGAGCACTGCTACATTGGGGAATGTGAATTTTGTTTTGGCATGCTTTACACTTTGATGGCACTTTTACTTTATATCTGGAAACATGCTCAAAATGCCACTGGCTTTTACATATCTCTTTTTTCATTGCTTTGTGGTACCTTGTATCTCTGCTTTTTTCAGTGACGAGCTTTCTAAATGGTAATCTACATTTGTGCTGTATATTTTCTTAGTGACTGGCACACAGCAGATATTTGTTAAATTGTTAATTTATTTTTTAACCCTTGCAATAAAAAAGCAAGGGTTTTGTTTCTGCTTTACTGAAACTGTCATTTACACTGTCAGATTTTTGTTTGTTTTGGTTTTTGTTTTAGTTTGAAAAACCAAGCAGCTTTGCCTATCTTTATTATTGGTTTCTTTTTTTTTTTTTTCTTACTACAGTGGTCTTTGAAAATCTGGAGGCTTTGGACTTGGACATACCTGGATTTAAATAATAGCCTTGTTGAACTTGACATCCAGTTACTACTCTAAATATTTTAAAATATGTAACTCATCTTTCTTTTTAGACTGTAACGAGGGCTGGGATTGAATCTGGGTAGCAAGTAAATTTTTGTTCAATGAATGAATCAATATGTCAAAGAAAATTTTGTTTCATTTTACTCTGCAGTTAAAATTTCCATTTTTATATGTTTCCGTTCCACTAAGACTCACTTTTCCATCCCTCTTCCCTTTATCCCCAATTATTGTTCCACCCCCAGCTCAGTGAGAGGAGTCAGAGCATGCAATAGAGGAATGTGGCAGAAAGGCATGACTGTCTCCAGCCCACCCAAATCTTAATGTGAGTTCTGTGCTCTCCTTTTTGACCTTTGCTCTGCCTCTTCAGCCTTCTGCCTGTTGGTGTGCTTCAGTGTTTTTTGATCCCCACCATCTCAGATCATTTTATCTCTTCTTTCCTGATATACCTTTGTTTCTGTCTACTCTTGGCATCCTAAAAGCCAGCTTTATAGGTCTGGATGTGAGGTGGACATTCTTTTGCATGCATGGAGGAAGAGTGTTTTAGTTAGGACTTTTGAGGTTATAGAGAACAGAAATCCATATCTGATTAAGGTAGAAGGAGAAACTATTGGGAGGATTGAGAGGGGAAGGCAGGAATGCAGCTAGACTTCAGGAACCAAGGACTCAGCTTAGTTCTTCCCTCTTGTTTCAGTCTGGCTTTCTCTTTGTGGAAGGAATCATGGCTGCTGGCAATCCCGAAGGCTTACGGTTTTAACACGGAGAAATTCTGTATTTTCCCTATTGTACAAGGTCCAGGAAAGGGTGAGTTGGCCCTCACATTGACCCAGTGTGATTCAGTACCCACCCTTGGACCAGTCAAATAACCAGGGGGCATGAGGTCATATTAAAACTGTTGGGAAACTGCAGAGCACCTTCCAGAGAAGGATAAGGCAGGGTACTAGATAAACAGAGGCATCCTCTTCTAGGAGAAAGAGTGTTACATTTATAAAGAGACCACTGTATTTTAAAGAAGTTCTTACTGAACCTTTACATTTATCTTGGGAGATGGGTGGTGGTATCCTCATCCGTGAGGTAGTTGCATCCTCACCAGTATACTGGTTAGGGTATGTAAGCTTGTGGCAGTTAAGTGTCCAGGATCTTGAAAACTGGCATGTCTAGAATTTGAATCTAAGTCTGTTGGACTCCAAAGCCTATGTACTTTCTAATGTGTTAGTTGTCTACCATAACATTAGTTTAGGCTTATTTCTCATTCAACAGCATGTGCTAAGAGCCTTGTATGTTTTATTTCTGTGTGTATGCTTATAAAGGTGAGTAGAATGCATTGCCTTTCTAACCAAATTTTATAGGTTGGTATGGTAACCTGACATAAATATGCATAATTAAGCATATTAAGTACAGAAAGATATTATTATGGAAATAGGGAGAAACACCAGGAGCTTCAGAAAGGTTTCACAAAGAAAATAACATTGAGTAGGTATTTGCTAGGTGGATAAAAGGAGGAGGGACGTTATTCTTGGCAGAGTGGAATGTTAAGTGCAGTGGCACAGAGGTGAGAGCGTGGAGCATGTGGGGAGTCACCTATAGTTCAGGACTGTGGAACAAAGAGGTTGTGGGAAAAGTGAAGAGATGAGACCAGAAAGGGAATCAGGGGCCAGATTATGATAGCCTTTGTATCCTGGCTGAAGCATTTGAACTTCGTTGTATCATCAGTGGAAAACAGTTAAAGGATTTCTAAATAAGGGACCTACATGACCCAGTTAGTATTTAAGAAACTCTGGCTGAAGTGTGGACAGTGGATTAGAGGGAGAAAAGATAGAAAGTGGGGAAACCTATTAGAGAACTTTGCAAGGGCCTGCACTTGTTCAGAGGGACTAAATTTAGAACTGCTAAGGAGATAAAAAGTATAAAATATAATGATTAGTTAAATTTGAGAGAGCCAAGTCAGTTTAATATTGAGATTTTTCTTTCTGGAATCTTCTTCCTCTTCCTGCATTCCACTTCTCTCATTCACCAGGATTTCTACCTAGCTAACTGCTTGCTTGCTTGCTTGCTTTTTTCTTTCTTTCTCTCTCTCTCTCTCTCCCTCCCTCTCCCTCTCTCCTTCTCCCTCTCCCTCTGTCACACATGCACACACACACACACATTCTCACACTCACACTGAAGCACTCATTACTTCCCTGTAGTACTCATCATCCCTGGAATGACTCTCTGTGTTTGTCTTACTCCCTATATTGTAAACTCTGTAAGGACAGGGGTCTTGTCTGACATTTTTACTGTTGTTCCTAATACCTAGTAGCACACTGCTGGACATGTGGAGGTTGTTCATTGAATGCGTAGGACATGTGGAGTTTCAAATGAAGTGGAACTTCTGAGCAAAAGTGCTTAGTATGTATATAGATAAGATTGAAGACTTTGGAGCTTTCTCCATTTAGTGACAACTGAAGTCAAGGAGTAGATTGCCCACATAGAATACAGAGTGGGGAAAGAACTCTGAAGAATAGCAACATCAACAGCTGGTAGTAACAAGGTTACATACAGTTAAGGTCTGCGAGATGCAGTTGGAGGGTTAAAGGAATTAAGACATGGGAGGAGAGATTTAAGAAGGAGGGAGGGGAGATATGAAGTAAGGGAGAAGGAAGCAAGAGAAGGAAGTGCCAGCAATGCCAGATGCTGTAGAAGGTAACAAAAGATAAGGATGGAAAATTCTCCATTGGCTTTTGGCAGCTCAGAAACTGACTGCTTTAGTGAAGAGTTTCATTGGATATGTAGATCTGTGTGTTTCCTAGGGCAGCTGTAACAAAGTACCACAAGCTTAACTGACTTAAATTTATTGTCTCACAGTTATGGAGGCTAGAATTCTGACAGCAGGGTGTGCAGAGGGCCATGCTCTTTCCTAAGACTCTAAGGTAGGATCCTTATCTCTTTCTAGCTTTTTGGTGATTGCAACTCTTAGCATTGCTTGGCTTTTAATATATCACTCCAGTCTCTGCCTCTGTGGTTACATGTGGTTCTCCCTGCATCTCTGTCTAAACTTTCCTCCTCTTAGAAAACACCAGTTGTTGGATTAGGGCCCACCCTAACTCCAGAATGACTTCATTTTAACTTGATTACATTTGCAAAATCCAGTTTCCAGATAAGGTCACATTTGTAGGTACCAAAAATTAGGACTTGAACATGTGTCTTTTTGAGGGACACAATTCAACCCGCAACAGTCTTGAACGTGAATTGCAGTGCATTGACATTAGAAAAGGAGGCAAAGAAGACATCAAGTATAGGCAACTAAAGAAATCTATGTACAAGAAGGAAAAAGTGAGAAAAAGGTGGTAGATGGGGGGTGGTGAGGGGACACCATGTAGAAGGAGGTTTTGTGTGTTTTTAGTTGTTACCCTTAGTGTTTTAAAGCTTGTAAAACTGCAGATCCAAGGCCCCACTGAAGAACTACAATTACAGGTTATAATTTGCAAAAAAGGCAAAATCAGTTGTCTTGCAAATATAAGATAAACACACCAAATATTTTGTTCAACTCATTCATTAATGAGGGAATCAGTAAAATGTTAAAACTGTCCATAGAGTATTTGAGAAGCTAGGTGTTTATAGGCAATGTTAGGATATGATAGCTGCATTAGATGGCCAAAACTGATTAATGGCCAACAAAGCCTTAAACTTTTACCTATAGGTTATTTTTTCAACTATAGAAAAATTATGTGCATCTTTACCAAACAATCTGTAAGTTAACATGTAACCAAGACTGCAACCTTTAATCAGCATTAAATAGCAGGTGGTAATTATTTTGCCCTATAACTTTGAGTGGCTTTTGCTTTTTATGACATTTAAAGGATGTGCTGCACACTTTTTTTTTACCCTATTTCCAAGTTTCAGGTCATCTTTCTGACATACTTGTTAGAATCCAGGGAGGTGGAAATAGGAGCCTGAGAACCTTTAATTAGCCTGTAAGTGATTCTAACATTGACTTGACTTTGAGTACCACCAAATAAGAGAAAACTGAGAGGCTTTGAGTGCCCATCTGAGGCTGGAACCCATTACTATCTGATGACACTCATCTCCTGGGTTTTGTGAGTTTTTTCTCTTTCTATAGTGCTCAACTCTTTGACAAAGAGAAATTATTTAATGATCTAGGGTGGAGCTTTTGCCAGGCAGATATATGCTCAAGAAGAATACAGTGGCTAGAAAGCGAAGATATCAGAAAGAGTGTAGTTAATGTATTGGACGTGAGGCCCAGACTAGGTAGAGAAAGAAGTGAGGCCAGGATCAGCTTAACAGATGGAGAGAGAAGAGAGAAATCCAGTTCACAGAAAGTATGCAGTGGGTGTAAGAGAGCTGAGAGGTCAGGAGACTGTAACCAGAAGAGCGAGATGTTAAAGTTTTTAAGATTTCAGAGTTGGGAGTAGTTTCCAATAATGGCAAAAATAAAGTCCAGGTTGTGGTCCTGAGAGTGAGTTACTGAACTGCAGTAGAGGTCATTGGGTTGATTAGTGAGCATTACTTTCTCATAAATTTATACTTTCTACAAGACACTAGAAGCTTTAAAGCATGCTATAAATTTAAATTTCCTAAAATAATGTGCCATTGTTCTCTTAACTTTCGCCAGATTGTAGCCAAGTGTACTGGGTCAATAAACAATGGGCAAAAGCTGTTCTGATCTTTTATGACAATAATAGTACTCACAAATATTTATTGAGCACATTGTTATGGCTTAGGACCTTGACACCAGTTGTTTTCGTATGGTATGTCGTTTAAATCTTAACCTTGGTAGCTTGAATTGTTAATATTCCCATTTTACCCCTGGCAAAACTGTGATTTAGCAGCAATAAGTAACCTTTTCAAGGTCATAGTGAGTGGTAGATAGGACATTTAAATTGATTGTATGACTCCAGTGTGTATAACCATTGCATTCTAGGTAGAGTATGTGCATGGTGGAGTTGAAGAGGATTTATATATAGCTCACATTCCTTCATGTTATTCAGTTTTGTAGATTATCACACATGCAGAGATGAGTTTGAGCTTAAAAAGAATGAAGCTGGGGGCAATGTCTTTTTAAAAAAATGGTCACATTGACCCTCTTTGGACTCTGAATGCATGTGCATCTTATGCAGTATTTTAAAAATTAAATAAATGAGCTATCAAGCCACAAAAAACCATGGAGGAAATTTAAATACATTCTACTAAATGAAAGCAGCCAATCCGAAAAGGCTACCAACTATGTGATTCCAACTGTTTGATGCTCTGGAAAAGGCAAAACTAGGGAGACCCGAAAAAGATCAGTGGTTACCAGGGTTTTGGGGGAGGTAGAGATGAGCAGGTGGAACATGGGATTTTTAGGGCAGTGAAACTACTCTGTGTGATACTATAGTGGTGGGTACATGTCATATATTTGTCCAGACCTATAGAATGTACACCAGGAGTGAACCCTAATATGAACTGTGGACTCAGGGTGATAACAATGTGTCAGTGTAGGTTCATCAATTGTAACAAATGTATCAGTTTAGTCAGGAATGTTAATAATGAAGGAGGCTATGCAAGTGTAGGGGCAAGGGATATATGACAAATATCTGTTCTTTCTATTCAGTTTTATTATGAACCTAAAACTGCTTTAAAAAGTGAAATATATTTTAAATACTAAATTTATGTTATATATGTTTTACCACAATTTAAAAACTGTAGGGATGGAGAAAGATATACCTTGTGAACACTAAAGAAGACTGGAGTCACTGTATTAATTTCAGACAAAACTTCAGAACAAGGAAAATTACCAGGGCTAAAGAGGACATTAAAAAATTAAGTGAAATTAGAGTAGTATTTGAATTATCTGAGATTTGTAGTGATGCAACTTAACAAACCTCACAATTACAAGGTTGATATAGTACTTCTGGTCTAAAAATTCACAGTACCAAATAATAAAAACTTTATTGTAACCAAATGAAATCAGATACGTTAGTTAACAGTTGCAACTTACTCTTCTGAACACTTTTCTGTTTCGTAAAAGCTCCATGCTTTCTCATTTTAAGATCTCGCAGATATATTATGTGACCAAAGTGACAGTTATTTAGAGCAAGTATAGTCAGACTCACCAGTTCACCAAAAAAAACCTTGAAAACTCACTGGAAAAGTTTAAACCTTTGCTCTCCATTTTTGGCATATTTGTGCAAGTGTATCCTGCATTTGCTGTTAAAGGAAATAATTTTGGAAATCACAATGTTCATATTATTAAAATTCAGTAATGCATATATAAGAATATAATTAATACAATTTATCAGTAGTGATATGGCTAAAATCTGGGGGTGGCTGGAAAGTCATATGGAATCAGCATCACAAGCACATACTTAAACAAAAAACACACTTGATTTGGAGTTTAATTAGAGTAGCCTAAAAAAGCATGCATTCTTTGTTGCAATAATTCATTATCATTTAAATACGTTTAATTTTCTTTCTCTTTTTTCTAGGGATAAGTAGTAAAAAAAAAAAAAAAAGGGGGGGGGTTTTCCTGTAATAATATCAAAATTTGTATCTGGCTTAACACATCTGACCTTACACTCTTCAGAGGAAGTGAACACATGTTCTATGAGTAATTCCCTAGATAAATGTGCAGCCAAAGAATCATTAAGATCAAATTCCAGTGTTTATTCTTAGCTGAAATAAAATTAAAATTCAAAAATTAGGTTAACAGGCTTCTACCCTTTTTGATCAGTTATAGTCTGGTGGAGAACATGTCGAGGAGGAAGATGAAAAAGAGAACCTGTCAGTGATAGTGCTGATGGAGTTTGGAGAAGGAGAAAGTTAGTGAAGTTGGAGTTGGTGAGAATGTATGGATTGGTGCTCTGAATGTTGTTTTTTCCAAGAGTAGTTTTACTCTTTTTGTCAATTCTGCCTTATGAGCAGGAATAATAGTAGGTGGTGTAGCCTGGTCACAGATCATTATTCTTCCCAGTGTACAAAGCTACTCAGAATTAATAGCAGTCACAGATGATTACTGTTAGCTCCTTTCCCTCCTAATGTTAAGAGCTCCTGACCCAGAAAAAATATATATCATTTGAGGTCTGTAGACTAATAAAAAGCATTTCTTTATGTTAAAGAAAAATAAAACATTCCTTTTACTTTTTTTAAAAATTGGAAAGTCGGAACATAAAACTCTTTAGTATAACTGCTGATCTTTGGGGGAAAACCAGTCTCTTAGTGAATAGAACAGCATTACCCTTTGGGCCAAATGGAACCCAGCCAAGAGCTAAACCAGATCTTTTTTCTGAGATTTTCTAGCTTTAACTCTAAGTCAGCACTTAACCTCAGCACTATTCACTTTTAAGGTTGATCATTCTTTGTTCTGAGGGACCTCCTGTGCATGATAAGATGTTTTAGCAGCTTTTCTGGCCTTTACCTACTAGATGCCAATAACACCCCTCCCCCTCCAGTTGTGACAACCAAAATTGTCTCAAGACACTGCCAAATGGGAGGTAAAATTGCTTCTGTGGGGTCCTCTTCTCCTCTGCCCTGCAACCCACCTTTTGAGAATCACTGCTCTAAGTGTATTACATAATTGGTTGATCAAGAATGTTTTCCCAATTTTAGTTCTACTTTTAAATATTTTGTCGTATTTTAAGTATCTTGGTGGAATAGGCTTTACTTTTAAGAACTGTAAAAATAAACTGGAAACACATTTCTAATTTAGGGGTGAAAATGAGAACGAGGTCTTTCCTTGATTTGCAAATTCAATGTTAAGACCTTTGCATACCTAGCACAGTGTTTTTCAGATTGCAGTTGGGGACACATTAGGGGGTCATGAAATACTTTAGTGGGTCATGAGCGTGCATGCGAGAGTGTATAGGGTCACGATGTAAACGGTATTTCTTTTGGAATAAGCAAAAAAAATATGTATATGTCTAGCCTTCCCTTTTGAACTGGAGTATTCTGAACATATATTTCATAGCAGTAGGTGCTTAGTTAAGCTATTTATCCAGTCAGGTTAAACTTGTCAAATATTTTTTGAGATACAAAGCATTCAAATTTGTTCATTGCTGTAGATTGGAGACCTGTTGTTAACTTTAGTTTCTGGTGCATATCATCTTGCTTGCAAGAGGAGGAAGCTCTGAACTCCATCACATATTTTAGAACATTCTTGGCACGTTACTTGTGGACTGTTCCTGCCCTCCCCCTACACAAGGTTATGAAAAAAGACAACTCTGTAATTATTTTCTTCATCAGCATGCATGCAAAAGTCCTGTTTTTCATCAGTTAGTATTTCTTTTGTTAACTTTTGTAGAAATTATCCTTCATGTTGGAAAGGGCAGTAAATGTTCGTGTATTTATTGAGAATCAAACATGAGCATAAGACACCTAAAAATTACTCCTAACACTCTGCGTGTACTCTTTGTAAAAATCATTTTTAAATGACAACCGTAAGTTGAATAATAGCCTACAGGGAATACCTTAAGTGTGACAATCTGCCACTACAAAGTCGTAGATTCAGCTGTTAATAGAAAATACTTGAGTTTCTGAAATTCATCTACACTTTCAATCACCTTAAAAGCTGCCTTTGTTTTCTATTTACTAAAGAACGTGCATTTATATTTTGAGTTACTTTGTTTATTCAGTGGTTATTTTATGAAGATTGAACCACCTACAGGAAGAATGTTTTCATCTTTTCAGTAGTAAGGGCATTTCAGACTAGTTTTATAATGTTAGGAACTCTGTCTTAGGGTGGTAGTTTTTTCCTCTGAGGAAAAATGTTAGTGATTGTTTAAGAGTTATTTATCTTACAATTCATTTATTTTCACAGTAGATTTTTTTATATCCCTATGTTTTTAATTTAGCTGATATCCAGCAGAGATATTCAAGGTATTTTCATGCCAGTTTCAGGGGAAATTTGTGGTTTTTTTTTTTTATGGACTGTGTAACATCCTACATTTTATATTTGCAAAAGACCAGTGGATATATTGCACAGAAATCCACGTTTATTACATTCTGCCCTTATATATTTTTGTGTTACTGAGTTGCTATGCCTAGTTCTTGTGTATGAAATGAAAGCAAGTATAGAAGATAGCTAAAATTTAATGTTGATTAAAAACTAAGCTTTGTGTGAGAGATACTTGTTCAGAAAGCCAGATTTCTAGTACTGACCTTTAAAAGTAGACTAAGGAGCAATACTAATATGGATTCAACAATAAAATTTCTTTATCAGCCAAGGATACGATTTTTAAGTATTATCATAAGAATTTAGGTACAAAGTTGTTCCATCATTAAAGTTAGCTTTGAGACTAATTTGAAATTACTTTTTCATAGATTAATGTACAGTTTCCTTATTCAATTAATAAACATTTATTTAGCATCCACCACTTACTAAAAACTACATGAAATTCTTATTCATAGGCTTTTGAAAGTTTTCATCTTTTCTAGCAAATATTAGCACTACATTTGTTCTTAAAAATAATCAACATAGTAGAAAGTTCTATTACAGCCCTCTGTGTCCATATTGAGTTTAGAACTCAGCAGTGTCACTTTTAATATAGTTTTTGTGTAAGTGCTGTACTGTTCCAAAAGGTGATTTGTAAATAACTGTTTTGAAGGACAAAATGCTGTTATTTTAAAAGCATATATTCATCATCCTACTAGAAAGAGATTTATTTGAATCTTATTGTTATGGAATGCTGAACAGTACAGTTGGAGCAGCTGCTGAAACTCCTAAATGAACATTAATTTTTCCTTCTGGGTGCTCAGTAAAAACAAAATACAAACTTTATGATAAAGAATGCAAATATTTCATTTTTACAAACATGTTGTTAACTAAGTTTCTGTATTTAGCTGCTGAATAAATTTCTGGAGCAAATAATGCTGCTGCCAATATATAAAGGTCATTTTTTCAAATCTTTAATTTTACTTCTCCTTATTCTATAGGGAAAAAATAAGGTGTGCGGGAGGAACTACTAAAAAGTTAAATTTCAGTAAATATAGAATTAAACTTCATTAAATATTGCTTTAATAATTTCAAGAAGGAGTGCCTTGTAGTCTGTAATAGTCAGTAATCTGCATAATCTTTCGTACATAGTGTTTTTAGAAATATTCAGCTTCTCGACATTTATGCAGCCAACAAACATATGAAAAAAATGCTCATCATCACTGGTCATTAGAGAATGCAGATCAAAACCACAATGAGATACTATCTCATGGCCAGTTAGAATGGTAATCATTAAAAAGTCAGGAAACAACAGATGCTGGAGAGGATGTGGAGAAATAGGAATGCTGTTACACTGTTGGTGGGAGTGTAAATTAGTTCAACCATTGTGGAAGACAGTGTGGCGATTCCTCAAGGATCTAGAACTAGAAATACCATTTGACCCAGCCATCCCATTACTGGGCATATACCCAAAGGATCATAAATCATGCTACTATAAAAACACATGCACACATATGTTTATTGCGGCACTATTCACAATAGCAAAGACTTGGAACTAACCCAAGTGTTCATCAGTAATAGACTGGATAAAGAAAATGTGGCACATATACACCATGGAATACTATGCAGCCATAAAAAAGGATGAGTTCATGTCCTTTGCAGGGACATGGATGAAGCTGGAAACCATCATTCTCAGCAAATTACCACAAGGACAGAAAACCAAACACCACATGTTCTCACTCATAAGTGGGGGTTGAACAATGAGAACACACGTACACAGGGAAGGGAGTATCACACACTGGGGCCTGTCAGAGGCTGGGAGGCTGGGGAAGGGATAGCATTAGGAGAAATACCTAATGTAGATGATGGGTTGATGGGCACAGCAAACCAACATGGCACATGTATATCTGTGTAACCTGCGCATTGTGCACATGTACCCCAGAACTTGTATAATTTTTAAAAAGTTAAAAAAAAAAGAGCTTCCATTCAGCTTCTCACAGATATTTTGGTTCATGATTTGTAAATAGATGAAGCTGACCACATTTCTATATTTTACATTCACTTTTTGAACAATTAAGTTGCTCTTCTTTTGAAGATTGGATTTATTATAACATGTATATGTATATTTAATGACTACTAATTTATATTTACTTTTATTTGTTCAGAATTGAAATCTCCTTGAACTTATAAATTATATAAGTAACCATTGATTATTTTGACCTAACTTGTCTTCTCTTGCCTCCTGTGAATAGATATACTAAGAACAATGTCAGGTCTTGTGATTTGTTAAAGGATACAAAGTTACAGCTAGATAGGAGGAATCTACCACTGCAGGATGGCTATAGTTAACAAAATTATGTAGTTTCAGGTAACACAAGTGATAAATGTTTGAGATGATGCATTTGCTAATTGCCCTGATCTGATCACTATACATCATATGTATCAGAACATCACTGTGAACCCCATGAGTATGTACAATTATTTGTCCATTAAAAAAAATAAAATAGAAAGTATGGGTGGTATAAAATATTTGATGTCGTGCATATTTTTAAATCTTCACAAAAAAATCATTATAGAGGAAGTAAAATATGTGAGAATAATTTATCATTCTTTTCACTTTTTTTAAAGGTGATGGATGTGGACACACTGTACTAGGCCCTGAGAGTGGAACCCTTACATCCATAAACTACCCACAGACCTATCCCAACAGCACTGTTTGTGAATGGGAGATCCGTGTAAAGATGGGAGAGAGAGTTCGCATCAAATTTGGTGACTTTGACATTGAAGATTCTGATTCTTGTCACTTTAATTACTTGAGAATTTATAATGGAATTGGAGTCAGCAGAACTGAAATAGGTAGGACTTTTTTTTGTAAATGTACATGTAAATACATCATTGTCTCAATGATGTATTTTTTTGATATTAACATTAAATAACCATGCAGTGTAAGGTGCTATGTGGGAAATTATTGAATATGTGTAAAAATTTTGAATTTGAATCTTTTGGGAAGAGAAGATTCTTGTCTGTTTACTTTATTTACTTTTCTAATAAGCACATATTGGTACCCTTGCCCAAGATGCCACTGTACTACTAAGAAGGAGGAAGTTAATTCTCTGTTTTTTTTTTTTTGTTTTTTTTTTTGAGACAGAGTCTTGCTTTTGTAGCCCAGGCTGGAGGGCAATGGCGCAATTTTGGCTCACTGCAACCTCCGCCTCCTGGGTTCAAGCTATCCTCCTGCCTCGGCCTCCCAAGTACCTGATTACAGGCGCTCGCCACCATAGCCGGCTAATTTTTTTTTGATTTTTAGTAGAGACGGTTTCACCATGGTGGCCAGGCTGTTGGCCAGGCTGGTCTCAAACTCCAGCCTCAGGTGATCCACCCACCTCAGCCTCCCAAAGTGCTGGGATTACAGGCGTAAACCACTGCACCCAGCCAATTATCTCATTTTTAAAAATGTTTTCCTTTCATAGTTTTATTTGCAATTGAAGAATACAAGTATAATTAATGCTTAGGAGACAGTATAGCATGGTGATTAAAAACAAGGGTTTTGGATCCAAACTTCCTGGGATTAAAGCATAACTCTCATCAGCTTGCTGTGTGACTTTGGCCAGATTACCTGACCTCTCCATTTTTTCTCTTGTAAAAAATACAGGGAATGAACTAGTATGTGTAACGTGCTTAGAAAAGTAAACAGCACCTAAGATATAATATATGCTTAGTAAATGGTAGTGGCCATTGTTGTTGTTCTTGATTAAGAGCAGTGGTTCTCAATTATAGCTGCATATTAGAGCCACCTAAGTAGTAAACAATACCATAAACCCAGTTACCATCCTAGACCAGTTGAATCAGAATTGATTAGGTGGAACCCAGGCCTCAGTATCTTAAACGCTTCCTGGGAAAATCTCTTGCAGTCACGTTTAAAAACCTTTGATTTAGGCATCAGTACCTTTCTTAAGCAAGAAAGGTGGAAAAATTTGTAAGGCTTTTTAGGTGAACTAACATTATAAAATTAGGAATTCTCTGTGAGTTTATTTAGAAACATTTTTTGGTTCCAGTGTGTAAAATATCCTTCAGAACTATAATAGGAATCCAATATACTGTTCTTTAAATACCATACTATGTTCATCCTCTGGCTTCCTCTCCATCTCTAGTGAAATCCTTCATCTCTTCTTTACTTTTTTGGCCTCTTATCTACCAGAGGAAAAATTCCTGCCCTATCTCCCAGGCTGCTGATTGATAAACTTTGGTGCTTCTCAGTCACTTCTTGATTAACCTGGTGGTTTGAGCACCACGTGCGTATTGCATGAATATATGGTGTTGAACAAAGTTTTAGGAACACAAATCGCCTGAGGATGTAGAAAAACTTACTGTGATATTAACACTAATAGAAGATAACTGGATAGTAGATGTCTCCTGCAGATGCAGTAGGGAGCAGACAGTACCACCTGAGCATTCTTTAAGCAACAGTGAGGAAAAGTGAACCACAGTTTGGTCACCCCTCTAACACTTTACAGGAGATAAGGGAGATAGAGAAATACATTCTACTGAGTGTAAGGACTAAATTAAGGATATGAGAAATTCTGTAGAACAAACGACCTAGTTTCTTCAACATATACATAGCATTTTAAAAAAATAGGAGGAGGGGGAAGGTAACTGTTCTACATTGTGACATATCTTCCTAAAATAATATGTAGACTTTGCTTGGATCTTGATTCAAGCTAACCACTGAAAGAAATTATTTTTAAGATTATCAGACCGAGGTGGGCGGATCACGAGGTCAGGTGATCGAGACCATCCTGGCTAACATGGTGAAACCCTGCCTCTACTGAAAATACAAAAAAATGAGCCGGGCGTGGTGGCGGGCGCCTGTAGTCCCAGCTACTTGGGAGGCTGAGGGAGGAGAATGGCGTGAACCCGGGAGACGGAGCTTGCAGTGAGCCGAGATCGAGCCACTGCACTCCAGCCTGGGTGACAGAGCAAGACTCCGTCTCAAAAAAAGAAAAAAAGATTATCAGAGAAATTTGAAGCATTGGGCATTCAGTGATGGTAAAGAATGACTGTTTTAGATGTAATAATGTTAAAATTATTTTTAAGTTCTAATTTGTTAGAGACATTCTCAAGTTCAAATGTCTAGGATTTATGTTTAAGTATTTCAGAAATAGGGAGAAGGATAGGAGAAACAAGGGCACATTAGTGAAGCTGAGTAATGGGCAGATGGGAATTGTTACACCCTCTTCTTTCTACTTTTGTGTAATTTTGAAAATTCCTATAAAGAAAAGTGGTTATGTTAAAATAAAACAAGAGAATTATATATTTAGATAATACATAGTGGCACTGTTGGTAGAGTGGAAGAGTGGCGTGGGGAAGATTCTGAGCACAGGTTTCAAATTGCTCGCTGAATTCTAGTCAAAGCTCCAGGAGTTACTTGTTGAGAGTCCTTTTTCTACAAAGTGTTGAACCTGCCCAGACTTCATAGTCACTTTCTGTACGGTCTGAAGATTAAAAGAAGTAATACTTTGCAGTGTTTGGTGTGTAATAGGTATTTAATAAATCTCAGCTTTCCCTTATTTCCATTGCTTTTTCCTATTCTCCTCATGGGTGAATGGAAAGCTGCAGAAAGGTCAAGGGGCCTGAGTGATGATGGTTCCTGTTGGGCTTCAGTTTGTACCCACCCTTCCCCCATCACACCTACCGTATACCCACTGGTCCTCCATTTGGTAGCAGCCTATGGTTAGTGGTAGAAAAGTTTCTTAACGTATTGCAGAGAAATAAAGATAATTCAAGAATAGTCGTTTAACATTCTGGTTAAGATAGGTCTGCAGAGAATTACAGGATAGAAACAAATACATTGTGGGCATCAGGATTTCAGGGATAATGTCACTGAATCTTTTTTTTTCCCCCTATATCATGTTTTCTCAGTGCCCCTTTAGAAAACAAGCATTAAAGGAGAAGAGAGTTCATTGGTCTCTCTGTGTTTCTGATGTTCACATTTGAAGTATATGGGCTAATGATTTCGTGGGATGTGTGTCTGATGCTTCCTCATTATTAGATTCCAGTGACAGACTTTTGGCAAGAATACCACAGATGCGCTGTTCTCAGTGTATCATATCATGGCACATGAGATTGATTTGTCCCATTTCTGGTGCTATTAACTTTGATATTTTGGCTAAGGTGATGTCTCTCAGTTTTCTACACTGTAACTATGCTGCTCTTCATAACCAATACATGTCTGATTGGGAGACTCTTTGAAATGTTGGAAATATCCTGTTACTCATCAAACTTATACCCACTAGATTTGGGACATATTAATCTTGTATGAATCAATTATTATTTTCTAATTTCATTATTCCTTCTGTATTTATTAGGTTTTTTTTTCATACTAAAAACAGGATCTTTCCCTTCTCTCCCATTTGTTTGTTTATATCAGTGTGAAGTCAATGGATTCCTGTGTTAGGCCATCACTTATCACCCTTTCCTGTCATTATTTTGGTGCTCAGATTGTCCCAAATCTCCAGTGGGAGCCTCTTCACGCTAGCTCCTATGTCCTTTGGTGATGTCCTCATCATTATTTGAGTACCTCTTTATATTCTGGCACAGGATATTCTAGGTTTATCTTGTGATTGCCCTGCTCCAGCCCTGGAATCAGCCATTTCTTCAGGGAACCCTGGTTCTTTTTAGTGGAGAATGGTATTAGAAATCAATGTCTGGTTGCTAGGTTTAGACCAATGAGCTACCATATGCCTATCAACAAATAGATTTAGTAAATAGACATTTGTATATACATATGTATATACATGTACCTGTTATATCTTTTTATATTTATCTGCCTGTATTAAAGAGCATGAGTTTATGCTGATACCTTTAATACTAATGCAACATTATAGGGTTCATTCTATCCTTTTCCTATTTTTCTTTCTAACTCACTTCTCTGACAGTGAGAAATCTTGCTCCCATTACCTGTAATGTATTTACTTGTTCAGTGCTATAACCAGAAAATAGTTTTAGAATTGCTAACCCATGACTCGAACTGAAAGAAGCCTGCTACCTAGAATTCGTACCTGAGGACTTAGAGTCTAAATACTACATTAAAAAATTCTTTAGGCTGGTTCTTACTCCACCACCACCTGCCCTTCAATGTGGTTATGTTACTCATTTGAAATATGGTTTGGTTCATTTCTTTCTGTTCATCTTCCATTATAGGTTTTTTCTTTATCCTTGTTGGTTTTCTTTCTCTTTTGTTGAATATGTTAAACATTAACATGATTCTCAAAGTTAAAACTGTACAAAAAGGTAGATAAGTGACATTCCTCCCCTTTACAGTGCATTTCTTCTTTCCTTTTAACCCCATCTCCACTCACTCCCTGTAGCTAACCAATTGCATTAGTGTTTGTTTTATCTTTTCCGTACTTCTTTATACAAATGACATTTATATTTTCTGTTTTCTCCTTTCTTATACGAACTTTAACATTCTTTCAATATTCTTTTGTACTTTGCTTTCTCCCTACCTATCAGTGTTTTCTGGAAATCACTGTGCATCATTTTGTAGGATAGTCCTCATTCTTTTTATAGCAGTATAGAACTCCATCATGTGGATGTATCATAGTTTATTTAATCACTCTTTTATGAATGGTTGTATTGGTTGCTTTCAATATTTTACAGTTACAAACTATTTTTGTATTCTTAGAGGTGTCTTTGGTGTAGATTCCTGAAGTGATTGCTGAGTCAAAAGGTAAATTATATACTTTGTTAGACATTGCTAAATTGGAAGTTATACCAGTTTGCATTTCCATAGCATAAAAATGCTTGTTTTCCACAGCCTTCCCAACAAAGTGTGTTGTCATATCTTTTAAGTTTTGCCAATTGATAATGATAAATAGTGCTCAGTATAGTTGTAATTTGCATTTCTCTTACTATGAGTGAAATTGAACTGTTTTTTCCCATATGTTGACGGCCTTTTTTTTTTTTTTTTTTTTTTTTTTTTTTACTTTTTATCTCTTCCTGTCTTTTGCCCGTTTTTCTGTCAAGTTTTTTTTTATTTTTAAAGACAGGTCTTTCTATATTGCTCAGGCTGGCCTCAAACCCCTGGGCTCAAGCAATCATCTCACCTCAGCCCCCTGAGTAGCTGGGACGACAGGCACACACCATTTGCCCATCTGTCAAGTTTTATTGGTCTTTGTTTCTCTCAGGTTTTAGGACTTCTCATTATCTTTTAGGGATATTAGTCTATAAACATAATAGTGGTATATGCTACAAATAATTTCTCCTAATTTGTCAGTTGTCTTTTGACTTTGTTTATGTTACTTTTTTTCAACCATGCAAACTTTTAAAAATGTATTTATAGTTAGATTCATTAGTCTTTTTTTAAATTGCATCTAGATTCTAAGTCCTAGTTAGAAAGCTTCTTCCTATATCCCAACTAAAGATAAATTTACCCATTTTTTTCATAGTGGGATTATATGATTTCATTTTTTATATTTAGATCCCTGGTACATCGGGGTTTTTTTCTTTTGTATGGCATGAAGTATAGATCTCATTGTGTTTTCCATATGACTAACCACTTGCCCCATCACCATGCATTTAAAAGTTTATCTTTGTCCCAGTGGTTTGAAATACTGCCTTTATCATATACTGCAGTTCTGTATGTGCTTGGGTCTATTTCTGGACTTTGGGTTGCACTCCACAGATGTATCTATCCACATACCAGAATGTGACTGTTTTGTAAAGGCTTTCAGAGGCTTTACGGTATGTGTTAATGCCTGATAGGGCTTAGTCTCCTTTCAGAAACGTTCATTTTTAGTGTTTTCCTGGGTCTTCCTTCCTGTTTGTTTATCCATGTGAAGTTTAGTATCAGCTTATCTAACTCCACAAAAAAGCTCGTTGGTGTTTTTATTGACATTATACTGTTTATAAATTAACTTTATGATGTTGAGTTATCTTAAGTTCAAAACCAAGAGCTCTTTTTTTTTCTCCTTTCTTCACATCTACTTTTGTTGTCTTTAAGGATTGTTTTAAACTCTTTCTCATGTAGGGTTTACACATTTTTTGTTAAACTTAATCCTTAACATCTTATCTGCTTTGTTGCAATGGAGATGGAGGTGTTTTTGTTTTGCTGTTATATCCTGTAACGGGTTCCTAATTATGTGAGATTGTATTTCTGTATGTTGATTTTTTTCTGCTATTTTACTGAGTTTTTAAAATTATTTCAGTTAGTTTTATCATTCACTTTCTAGGGATTTTCAGATACACAATCACATCTGCAGATAGAGATAGTTCTACTTCCTTTTTTTCCATTTCTTATGCCTATGGTTGATTCTTTTATCTAATTGTATTGGCTAACACCTCCAGTCCAGGACTACGTTAAACAGTAGTGGAGAGAGTGAGCATCCTTTCCGGGTTCCTTATCTTAGTGGAAATTTAAAGTGTCTGAGCTCAGGTTGCCGTAACAAAATCTATAGACCGAGTGGCTTAAAAAAACAGCAGTTTACTTTCTCAGAGTTTTGGAGGCTAGAAGTCCCACATCAAGATGCCAAGCAATTCAGTTTCTGGTGAGGGCTCTCTTCCTGGCTTGTAGATGGCCACCTTCTTCCTGTGTCCTCACATGACGAGGTTGGAGGGATGAGGAGAGAGAAACAGCAGGTTCTCTTATGTCTCTTCTTATAAGTACACTAATCCTGTTGGATCAGCGCCCCACCTTAGGAAAACTAAAACCATTTAATTTTAATTACCTCTCTAAAGAGCCTAACTCCAACTCTAGTCATATTAAGAGTTGGGACTTCAACAGCAATTAATTTTGGGGGGCGTACCAGTATCTGGTCCATAATAGGAAGTATCCACTGATTTCCATTAAGTGTTGTTATCAAGAAAGACTATTGAATTTTGTTGAAAAGCTTTTTTAGCATCTATGGAGGTAATGATATGGTTTTTCTACCTAAATCTATTGGTATAGTGTATTATATTAATGGGTTCCCTAATATTGAAATAACTGTGCATTGTTGGAATAAGTATCTCTTGGTTATGATGTGACATTCTTTTAATGTGGCATTGGATTATGTTTCCTAATATTTTATTAGTATTTTTGCATAAATATTGGTGTGATATTAATTTGTAATTTACTTTGCATTTTCTTTATCAGGCTTAGGTATTGATACTATACATACAAATAAAAAGAAATATGAAGTTTTCCTTTCTTTTTAGTTCTCTGGAAAAATTTACAGAGAATTTGAACAATCTAGTTTTTGAAGGTTTCACTCTGTGAAGCTATTTTAGCCTGGTGCGTTTTTGATAGGATGCTTCCTTAATGACGTTCTCTGTTTCTTCTCAGGAAATTGGTCTGTTTGAGCTTTCTACCTCTAATGGGTCCAATTGTAATAAACGGTACTTGCCTGGTAAATTACCCATTCACCTAGGTGATCTAATATATTGGCCATGATGTCTGTAAAATAGAATCTTACAGTTATTAACATGGTTATTTCAGTGTTTTTCCAATAGTTATTTACCTCCTGTCATTTCTTATTTTACATATTTATGCTTCCCACCCTCTTTTTTCATTAAATTAGCTAGGGGCATGCCTATTCTGTTAAATTTTTCCAAAAAATGAATCTTGATTTATTAGAACTATTGTTTTTCTGTTGTCTACATTATTAATCTCTATTTTCATGATTTAAAATTTTTTTTTTACTTTGTTAACTGCTAGTTTTAGCTAGGCATTTAATTCACTTTTTCTTTCATTTTTATTGATAAAAATATCTAAGCCTATGAATTTTACTTTGATCACATCCTTAAGAATGATATCACTGATTAATATGGGTCAATTATATCATTTTTTAGGAATTTTTAAACTTTGGTTTATGTTTTTCTTTTACCCAATAATTGTTTAACAGGTTTATTTCTAATTGGAAGGACCTTTCTTTGTTATTGCTAATAATGTATAATTCTATTGCATTATAGTCAGAGAGCATTGTAAAATTTCTACTTTATAAGCTAATGTATGACCAGTTTTTTTGTGAATATTCTATATATACTTGAGAAGGTTTACTCTCTACTGTAAAAAGTTTGATATGCATTTAAAAATCTGTCTTTATTTTGCTGTTTCTGTCTTCTATATACTTATTTTATCTGTTTGATCTCCTATTTGGTGTGGTTCTTTCTCTTTCTTTGCTGTCTCCTGGAGGTTTTGCTTTTATAAAGTTGCTGTGCTGTGTCGACTAGATATTCATAATTCTAATATCTCCATTTTAAATTATGACTTCTCACATTTAAAGGTTTCCTACCCATCATATATTACTTTTTAGTTTGAATTCTCCTTTGTTTGACACCAGTATCACACACATACCCTCCTATTAATTCCTTATTGTTTTCATTATCCTGCTGTGTCTGTCTGTGCCCATCACTTTATTTTTAGCCTTTCTGAATCACTTTGTTTTGGGTGTCTTTCTTGAATATTGCATATTTTTGGGTCTTTATGAGCCAAATTGCAAATATTTTTAATGTCTAAGTTAAATCCATTCGCATTTATTTATAACTGATACATTTTAACTCTTCCATATCTTTCAAAGTTATGTATATTATATTTGTTGTGTTCATTTTTTCTACATTGTTTTCTGTCCTTCTGGTTTTTTTTAAGTGTCTTTTCGTGTTTGGTAAGGTTTATAGTTTTGTTCTAGGTGCTGCTTTTCAATTTATACTTTTTAAAATGCCTGTGGTCCCTATTGTCTTAATCATTTACTATCCGATTTGTCCATTTTTAATGGTATTCTTTATTTTCTACCTATTGCCTATAAAACATTCAATGAACTAGACTTCTTTCCCCTTCCTTCTGTACCCAGTTTCCTCAGTTTTATTCTGTTTAGTGTGGCTACGACAGAATAACTGAAGCTGGATGTTTTATAAAGAAAAGAGGTTTATTTGGTTCATAATTCTGGTGGCTGGAAAGTGCAAGAGTGGACAGCTCATCTGATAAAGGTTTTGTGCTGCTTCAACTCATGGAGGAAACTGGAAGGGAAAGGGGCTTGTGCAGAGAGAGAGGGGACCGAGGAGGCTGACTTGCTTTATAACAACCCACTGTCATGGTAACTAATCCAGTCCTGTTAGAGTGAGAACTCACTCCCGTGAGATGGCATTAATCAATTTATAAGAGATCTGGCCCCATGACCCAAACAACTCCCATTAGGCCCCACTTTCCAATACTGTCATGCTGGCAGTTAAACTTCAACATGAAGACTATACTTTCAGAGATCACTTCTGTAGTTTATTATTAGAAAGTTTCTCTGAATGTGTAGAACACTGGAAAAAATGATCTAAGACTACTGTGAATATGTCTGTGCACACAAACTAGAAAGTCTAGAGGAAATGGATAAATTCCTAGAAACACACAATCCCACAAATTTGAATCAGGAAGAAACAGAAATCCTGAATGGACCAAGTAATAAGTAGTGAGATTGAATCAGTAATAAAAAATCTCCCAATGACAACAACAACAACAACGAATGCCCAGGACCAGATGGATTCACAGCTGAATTTTACCAGACATGGAAAGAAGAACTGATGCCAATTCTACTGAAACTATTCTAAAAGATGGAGAAAGAGGGAATCCTCCCTAATTCTTTCTATGAACCCGGTATCACCCTAATACCAAAGCCAGGAAAAGACACAACAAACAAGGAAAACTGCAGACCAATATTCCTAATGAACATAGGTGCAAAAATCCTCAACAAAATTCTAGCAAACCAGATTCAGCAGTATATCAACAAGATAATTCAGCATCAAGTGGGTTTCATACCAGGAATGCAAGGATGATTTGACATATGCAAATCAACAAATGTGATTCACCACATAAATATAATTAAAAACAAAAAAAAATCATTTCAGTAGATGAAGAAAAAGCATTTGATAAAATTGAGCATCCCTTCATGATAAAACTCCTCAACAAACTAGGCACAGAAAGAACATACCTTAAAATAATAAAAGCCATATATGACAAACTCACAGCCAACATACTGAATGAGGAAAAACTGAAAGCATTCTTCCTAAGAACTGGAACAAGACAAGAATGCCCACTTCTGCCACTTTTATTCAACGTAGTACTGGAAGTTCTAGCTAGAACAGTCAGGCAAGAGAAGAAATAAAGGGCATCTAAGTTAGAAAAGAGAAATCAAGCTATCTCTGTTTGCTGATGATGTGATCTTATACCTTGAAAATTCTAAAGACTCCTCCAAAATCTCCTAGATTGGATAAATGAATCTGTAAAGTGTCAGGTTACAAAATCACCATACACACATCAGTACTACTGCTATATACCAATAATGACCAAGCAGAATCAAATCAAGAACTCAGTCCCATTTACAATTGTTGCAAAAAAAGGAAAAAAAAAAACCCTAGGAATATACTTAACCAAAGAGGTGAAAGATCTCTACACATAGAACTGCAAAACACTGATGAAAGAAACCATAGATGATACAAACAAATAGAAAACCTCCTATGTTCATGAATTAAAAGAATCAATATTGTGAAAATGACCATACTGCCCAAAACAATCTACAGATTCAGTAGAGTTCCTATCAAAATACCACCAATGCCTGCCTACCTTTCTTTCTTTCTTTCTTTCTTTCTTTCTTTCTTTCTTTCTTTCTTTCTTTCTTTCTTTCTTTCTTTCTTTCTTTTTCTTTCTTTTCTTTTCCTTTTTCTTTCTTTTTTTCTCTCTCTTTTTCTTTCTCTATTTCTCTCTCTCTCTCTCTCTCTCTTTCTCTATCTCTTCTTCCTTCCATTTCCCTTTCCCTTTCCCTTTCCTTTCCATCTTACTCTGTCACCCAGTCTGGAGTGCAGTTGTGCAATCTTGGCTTACTTCAGCCTCAGCCTCCTGCCTTAGCCTCCCAAGCAGCTGGAACTACAGGTGTGTGCCATCATATCCTGCCAAAAACACCATTTTTCTCAGAATTAGAAAAGAAAATCCTAAATTCAAATAAAACCAAAAATCCTGAATAGCAAAAGCAGTCCTGAGCAAACAAAAGAAATCTGGGGGCATCACATTAGCTATCTTTAAGTTATACTGCAAGGCTACAGTAATCAACACAGTATGACAACTGGTATAAAAATAGACACATATACCAATGAAACAGAATAGAGAACCCAGATATAAAGCCAAATAACTACAACCAACTGATCTTTGACAAAGCAGACTGAAACATACAATGGGGGAAAGGACACCCTATTCATTCAGTGGTGCTGGAAAATTGGATAGCCATACACAGAAGAATGAAACTGGTTCCCTATCTCTCACCGTCTACAAAAATTTACTCAAGATGGATTAAAGACTTAACCCTTTCCCCATTTGCTCTGAGAATACTCACCAGTGGCACTTGCGGCTGCATCATTTACCCCAAAGTAAATTTGCCACAAAATAGCACCCTATGATTATTATTTTTGCATTGCTCTAGTATATCAACTTTGGAAACAAAAGACATTATCCTATTTATAGCACTCCATTTTTAGTAGCGGTATTTCCACTTACAAAATAAAATCTCAGCCACTGAAAATGTCAAATCTTAGAAAACAGCATTCCTACACATGATGCTAACATTGTTCATGAAAAGTTGTTGGCCAAGGATTAGTTTCATGAATTCAGTTTTTCTGAAATAGATTATTCTGATGATTCAGACAATTCTAATGTTAGTTCTGTTTAGAAATAACTCCAAGAACAGTTTTTATATTTTATTTTCACATTGACTATCAGTCAGATTTGCTTCAGCCTCAAAGAACGTGTTTATGTAAAATTAAATGAGCGCTGGCAGCAAGCCACACCTTTTTTTGAAAACAGGAAAAGGGTCAAATGTAAGACCTGAAACCATAACAATTTTAGAAGAAGCCCTAGGAAAAATTCTGGATATTGGCGTAGGCAGAGAATTTATTAGTAAGAGACAGAGCAAATGCAACAAAAATAAATAAATGGGACTCAAACTGAAAAGCTTTGTACAGCAAAAGAGATAATCTGCAGAGTAAACAGAGAACCTACAGAATGGGAGAAAATATTTGTAAACTATACATCTGACAAAGGACTAATGTCCGTAATCTACAAGGAACTGAAATTAGCAAGAAAATAAATAATCCCTTAAAAAGTAGACAAACAACATGAACAGACATTTCTCAAAAGAAGATACACAAAAGACTAACAAACATATGAAAAATGCTCAACATCACTAGTCATCACAGAAATGCAAATTAAAACTGCAGTAAGATACCACTTTGCCCTAGTCAGAATGGCCATTAAGAAGTCAAAAAACAATAGATGTTGGCGCAGACAGGGAACACTTATACACTGTTGGTGAGAATGTAAATTAGTTCAACCTCTGTGGAAAACAGTATGGAAATTTATCAAAGAACTAACAGATCTACCATTCAGTTCAGCAGTCTCACTACTGATATCTGCCCAAAGGAAAATATGTCATTATATCAAAAAGATACCTGCACTAGTATGTTTATCATAGTAGAATTCACCATGGAAAAGATACGGAATCAACCTAAGAGTCCATCAAACCAATGAGTGGATAAAGAAAATGTTATATATATATGATGTAAACATATAGACACAGTGGAATACTACTCACCCTTAAAAAGAATGAAATAATGTCTTCGCAGCTCCTTGGATAGAACTGGGGATCATTATCCTAAGTAAAGTAACTCAGGAACAGAAAACCAAGTACCATATGTTCTCACAAGGGGGGACTAACCTTGTGGATAAATAACAGCATACAGAATGCTGTAATGGACATCGGAGACTCAGAAAGGGGGAGGGTGGTAAGGGATTAAAAAATCACCTGTTGGGTACACTGTACACTATTTGGGTGATGGGTACACTAAAAGCTCAGATTTCACCACTATAAAATTTATCTGTGTAACAAAAACTACTTGTACCCCTAAAGCTATTGAAAATTAAAAAAATATATAAATAAATTTCAACATGAGATTTCATGGGGACAAACCATGTCCAAATCATAGCACTCTCAGAATATACATTCATAACACACAGCATGTATCATATCTTCTTATTCTTCAACCCCATCTCTAACTTTTCTAGATCTATAATTAAATATAATAAATGATCACTGTCTTTTTCCTCAAGTCCTCCCACTAGTCTATTGTTTGGATGAAGTTCATCTTTGAATAGGTTGATTCCTTAAGAAGGGCTTATGTTGCAGATTTTGCATGTTTAAAACTGCTTACTTTGTAAATTTTTTATGGCCTTTAGGCTTCAGGGGGCTGCTTGATAGTATTTAAATCTTGGATTCAAATGTTATTTCTGGTCGGGCACGGTGGCTCACGCCTGTAATCCCAGAACTTTGGGAGGCTGAGGTGGGCAGATCACAAGGTCAGGAGATCGAGACCATCCTGGCTAACAAGGTGAAACCCCGTCTCTACTGAAAATACAAAAAAAGTAGCCGGGCGCGGTGGCAGGCACCTGTAGTCCCAGCTATGCAGGAGGCTGAGGCAGGAGAATGGCATGAACCTGGGAGGCGGAGCTTGCAGTGAACCAAGATTGTGCCACTGCACTCCAGCCTGGGTGACAGAGCGAGACTCCGTCTCAAAAAAAAAAAAACAAAAAACAACAAAAACAAATGTTATTTCTTTGAGTTAAAAAAAATGCTTTTCCATGATTCCCTTACTTCATATTGTTTTTTGAGAAGTCTGATGACAATTGAACTCTCCTGCCATTATAAGGTATTTGGTTTTTGTACAGTGACCATGAGGATTTTTTTCTTTACCTTTAAAGTCTATTAGTTTTCTAAGGATATGTGTTGAAGTTGATCATTACAGGTTTTCACTGGTACCCAGTGGACCCTTTCAGTATGTAAATTCAAGTCTTCCTTTATTTCTAGAAAATTGAATTGGATTATAGTTTTAATACTTCTTATTTAATGATTTTTTAAGTGACATGAAAATTGTACATATTTTATAAAATACCTAGGAATCCAACTTACAAGGGCTGTGAAGGACCTCTTCAAGGAGAACTACAAACCACTGCTCAATGAAATAAAAGAGGACACAAATGGAAGAACATTCCATGCTCATGGATAGGAAGAATCAATATCGTGAAAATGGCTATACTGCCCAAGGTAATTTATAGATTCAATGCCATCCCCATCAAGCTACCAATGACTTTCTTCACAGAATTGGAAAAAACTACTTTAAAGTTCATATGGAACCAAAAAAGAGCTGGCATTGCCAAGTCAATCCTAAGCCAAAAGAACAAAGCGGGAGGCATCAGGCTACCTGACTTCAAACTATACTACAAGGCTACAGTAACCAAAACAGCATGGTACTGGGACCAAAACAGAGATATAGACCAATGGAACAGAACAGAGCCCTCAGAAATAATACCACACATCTACAACCATCTGATCTTTGACAAACCTGACAAAAACAAGAAATGGGGAAAGGATTCCCTATTTAATAAATGGTTCTGGGAAAACTGGCTAGCCATATGTAAAAAGCTGAAACTGGATCCCTTCCTTACACCTTATGCAAAAACTAATTCAAGATGGATTAAAGACTTAAATGTTAGACCTAAAACCATAAAAACCCTAGAAGAAAACCTAGGCAGTACCATTCAGGACATAGGCATGGGCAAGGACTTCATGTCTGAAACACCAAAAGCAATGGCAACAAAAGCCAAAATTGACAAATGGGATCTAATTAAACTAAAGAGCTTCTGCACAGCAAAAGAAACTACCATCAGAGTGAACAGGCAACCTACAGAATGGGAGAAAATTTTTGCAATCTACTCATCAGACAAAGGGCTAATATTGAGAATCTACAAAGAACTCAAACAAATTTACAAGAAAAAAACAACCCCATCAACAAGTGGGCAAATGATATGAACAGACACTTCTCAAAAGAAGACATTTATGCAGCCAAAAGACACATGAAAAAATGCTCATCATCACTGGCCATCAGAGAAATGCAAATCAAAACCACAATGAGATACCATCTCACACCAGTTAGAATGGTGATCATTAAAAAGTCAGGAAATAACAGGTGCTGGAGAGGTTGTGGAGAAATAGGAACACTTTTACACTGTTGGTGGGAGTGTAAACTAGTTCAACCATTGTGGAAGACAGTGTGGCGATTCCTCAGGGATCTAGAACTAGAAATACCATTTGACCCAGCCATCCCATTACTGGGTATATACCCAAAGGATTATAAATCATGCTGCTATAAAGACACATGCACACGTCTGTTTATTGCGGCACTATTCACAATAGCAAAGACTTGGAACCAACCCAGATGTCCATCAATGATAGACTGGATTAAGAAAATGTGGCACATATACACCATGGAATACTATGCAGCCATAAAAAATGATGAGTTCATGTCCTTTGTAAGGACATGGATGAAGCTGGAAACCATCATTCTCAGCAAACTATCACAAGGACAAAAAACCGAACACCGCATGTTCTCACTCATAGGTGGGAATTGAACAATGAGAACAGTTGGACACAGGAAGGGGAACATCACACACCGGTGCCTGTCATGGGGTGGGGGGAGGGAGGAGGGATAGCATTAGGAGATATACCTAATGTAAATGACGAGTTAATGGGTGCAGCACACCAGCGTGTCACATGTATACATATGTCACCTGCACGTTGTGCACATGTACCCTAGAACTTAAAGTATAATACAAAATATATATATAAAAAAAGAAAATTGTATATATGCTGTACATTATGTTTTCATATGTGTATACATTGTAGAATGGGTCAATCAGACTAATAAATGCATTACCTCACGTACTTAACGTTTTTGTGGTGAGAACACTTAAAAAATCTCTTAGCAATTTTTAACTATACAATACACTGTTATACAGTGTTTCTTTTTAACTTATCACTCCTATGTAACTGAAATTTTTGTGTCCCTTGACCAACATCTCTCCAGCTCATCCCTCCAACTCCCCCTTCAACCCGTTCTACTCTCTGCTTCTGTGAGTTTGTCTTTTTTAGATTCTACATGTGAGTGGGATCATGTAGTATTTGTCTTTCTATGCCTTGCTTATTTCGCTTAACATCATATCCTCCAGTTTCATCCATGTTGTTAGAAATGTCAGGGTTTCTTTTTTTTTTAATACAGGCTGAATAGTACTCTGTTGTGTTCATATACCACATTTCCTTTATCCATTCATCTACTGATGGACATTTAGATTGATTCCATATCTTGGCTATTGTGAATAATGCAGCAGTGAACATGGGAGTGTAGGTATCTTTTCAACATACTGATTTCATTTTCTTTGGATATGTATACCCAGTAGTAAAATTACTGGATCATATGGTAGTTTTATTTTTAATTTTTTGAGGAACTTCCATACTGGTTTTCATAACAGCTATACTAATTTAGATTCCCACCAATAGTGTAGAAGTGTACCATTTTCTCCACATTCTTGTCAACACTTTTGTCTTTTTGATAGTAGCCATTCTAGGAAGCATGAGGTGATATCTCATTGTGGTTTTATTTTCATTTCCTTGGTGTTTAACGGTGCAGAACATTTTTTCTTTTTTTATTATTATTTAAGTTCTAGGATACGTGTGCACAGTGTGCAGGTTTTTTACATATGTATGCATGAGCCATGTTGGTATGCTGCACCCATTAACTCGTCATTTACATTAGGTATATCTCCTAATGCTTTCTCTCCCCCCTCCACCCACCCCACAACAGGCCCCAGAGTGTGATGTTCCCCTGCCTGTGTCCAAGTGTTCTCATTGTTCAATTCCCACCTATGAGTGAGAACATGCGCTGTTTGGTTTTTTGTTCTTGCGATAGTTTGCTGAGAATGATGGTTTCCAGCTTCATCCATGTCCCTACAAAGGACATGAACTCATCTTTTTTTATGGTTGCATAGTATTCCATGGTGTATATGTGCCACATTTTCTTAATCTAGTCTATCATTGATGGACATTTGGGTTGGTTCCAAGTCTTTGCTATTGTGAATAGTGCCACAATAAACATACATGCGCATGTGCCTTTACAGCAACATGATTTATAATCCTTTGGGTATATACCCAGTAATGGGATGGCTGGATCAAATGGTATTTTAAGTTCTAGATACTTGAGGAATTGCCACACTGTCTTCTACAATGGTTTAACAAGTTTACAGTCCCACCAACAATTTAAAAGTGTTCCTATTTCTCCACAACCTCTCCAGCACCTGTTATTTCCTGACTTTTTAATAATCACCATTCTAACTGGTGTGAGGTGGTATCTCATTGTGGTTTTGATTTGCATTTCTCTGATGGCCAGTGATGATGAGCATTTTTTTCTGTGTCTTTTGGCTGCATAAATGTCTTCTTTTGAGAAGTGTCTGTTCATATCGTTCGCCCACTTGTTGATGGGGTTGTTTTTTTCTTGTAAATTTGTTTGAGTTCTTTGTAGATTCTCAATATTAGCCCTTTGTCAGATGAGTAGATTGCAAAAATTTTCTCCCATCCTGTAGGTTGCCTGTTCACTCTGATGGTAGTTTCTTTTGCTGTGCAGAAGCTCTTTAGTTTAATTAGATCCCATTTGTCAATTTTGGCTTTTGTTGCCATTGCTTTTGGTGTTTTAGACATGAAGTCCATGCCTATGTCCTGAATGGTATTGCCTAGGTTTTCTTCTAGGGTTTTTATGGTGTTAGGTCTAACATTTAAGTCTTTAATCCATCTTGAGTTAATTTTTGTATAAGGTGTAAGGAAGGGATCCAGTTTCAGCTTTCTACATATGGCTAGCCAGTTTTCCCAGCACCATTTATTAAATAGGGAATCCTTTCCCCATTTCTTGTTTTTGTCAGGTTTGTCAAAGATCAGATGGTTGTAAATGTATGGTATTATTTCTGAGGGCTCTGTTCTGTTCCATTGGTCTATATCTCTGTTTTGGTCCCAGTACCATGCTGTTTTGGTTACTGTAGCCTTGTAGTATAGTTTGAAGTCAAGTAGCTTGATGCCTCCCGCTTTGTTCTTTTGGCTTAGGATTGTCTTGGCAATGCAGCTTTTTTTTGGTTCCATATGAACTTTAAAGTAGTTTTTTCCAATTCTGTGAAGAAAGTCATTGGTAGCTTGATGGGGATGGCATTGAATCTATAAATTACCTTGGGCAGTATGGCCATTTTCATGATATTGATTCTTCCTCTCCATGAGCCTGGAATGTTCTTCCAATTGTTGACCTCTTTTGTTGAGCAGTGGTTTGTAGTTCTCTTTGAAGAGGTCCTTCACATCCCTTGTAAGTTGGATTCCTAGTTATTTTATTCTCTTTGAAGCAGTTGTGAATGGGAGTTCACTCATGATTTGGCTCTCTGTTTGTCTGTTATTGGTATATAAGAATGCCTGTGATTTTTGTACATTGATTTTGTATCCTGAGACTTTGCTGAAGTTGCTTATCAGCTTAAGAAGATTTTGGGCGTAGATGATGGGGTTTTCTAAATATACAATCATGTCATCTGCAAACAGGGACAATTTGACTTCCTCTTTTCCTAACTGAATACCCTTTATTTCTTTCTCCTGCCTGATTGCCCTGGCCAGAACTTCCAATACTATATGAAATAGGAGTAGTGAGAGAGGGCATCCCTGTTTTGCACCAGTTTTCAAAGGGAATGCTTCCAGTTTTTGCCCATTCAGTGTGATATTGGCTGTGGGTTTGTCATAAATAACTCTTATTATTTTGAGACACGTCTCATCAATACATGATTTATTGAGAGTTTTTAGGATAAAAGGCTGTTGAATTTTGTCAAACCCCTTTTCTGCATCTATTGAGATAATCAATGTGGTTTTTGTATGTGGTTCTGTTTATATGCTGGATTACGTTTATGGATTTGCATATGTTCAACCAGCCTTGCATCCCAGAGATGAAGCCCACTTGATCGTGGTGGATAAACTTTTTGATGTGCTGCTGGATTCGGTTTGCCAGTATTTTATTGAGGATTTTTGCATCGATGTTCATCAGGGATATTGGTCTAAAATTCTCTTTTTTTGTTGTGTCTCTGCCAGGCTTTGGTATCAGGATGATGCTGGCCTCATAAAAAGAGTTAGGGAGGATTCCCTCTTTTTCTATTGATTGGAATACTTTCAGAAAGAATGGTACCAGCTCCTCCTTGTACCTCTGGTAGAATTTGGCTGTGAATCTGTCTGGTCCTGGACTTTTTTTGGTTGGTAGGCTATTATTGCCTCAATTTCAGAGCCTGTTATTGGTCTGTTCAGGGATTCAACTTCTTCCTGGTTTAGTCTTGGGAGGGTGTGCATGTCCAGGAACTTATCCATTTCTTCTAGATTTTCTTGTTTATTTGCGTAGAGGTGTTTGTAGTATTCTCTGATGGTAGTTTGTATCTCTGTGGGATCGGTGGTGATATCCCCTTTATCATTTTTTATTGCGTCTATTTGATTCTTCTCTCTTTTCTTTATTAGTCTTGCTAGCAATCTATCAATTTTGTTGATCTTTTCAAAAAACCATCTCCTGGATTCATTGATTTTTTGAAGGTTTTTTTGTGTCCCTATCTCCTTCAGTTCTTCTCTGATCTTAGTTATTTCTTGCCTTCTGCTAGCTTTTGAATGTGTTTGCTCTTGCTTCTCTAGTTCTTTTAATTGTGATGTTAGGGTGTCCATTTTAGATCTTTCCTGCTTTCTCTTGTGGGCATTTAGTGCTTAAATTTCCCTCTACACACTGCTTTAAATGTGTCCCAGAGATTCTGGTATGTTGTGTCTTTGTTCTCGTTGGTTTCAAAGAACATATTTATTTCTGCCTTCATTTCGTTATGTACCCAGTAGTCATTCAGGAGCAGGTTGTTCAGTTTCCACGTTGTTGAGCGGTTTTGAGTGAGTTTCTTAATCCTGAGTTCTAGTTTGATTGCACTGTGGTCTGAGAGACAGTTTGTTATGATTTCTGTTCTTTTACATTTGCTGAGGAGTACTTTACTTCCAACTATGTGGTCAATTTTGGAATAAGTGCAATGTGGTGCTGAGAAGAACGTATATTGTGTTGATTTGGGGTGGAGAGTTCTGTAGATGTGTGTTAGGTCTGCTTGGTGCAGAGCTAAGTTCAATTCCTGGATATCCCTGTTAACTTTCTTTCTCATTGATCTGTCTAATGCTGACAGTGGGGTGTTAAAAGTCTCCCATTATTATTGTGTGGGAGTCTAAGTCTCCTTGTAGATCTCTAAGGACTTGCTTTATGAATCTGGGTTCTCCTGTATTGGCTGCATATATATTTAGGATAGTTAGCTCTTCTTGTTGAATTGATCCCTTTACCATTATGTAATGGCCTTCTTTGTCTCTTTTAATCTTTGTTGGTTTAAAGTCTGTTTTATCAGAGACTAGGATTGCAACCCCTGCCTTTTTGTGTTTTCCATTTGCTTGGTAGATCTTCCTCCATCTCCTTATTTTGAGCCTATGTGTGTCTCTGCATGTGAGATGGGTCTCCTGAATACAGCACACTGATGAGTCTCGACTCTTTATCCAATTTGCCAGTCTATGTCTTTTAATTGGAGCATTTAGCCCATTTACATTTAAGGTTAATATTGTTATGTGTGAATTTGATCCTGTCATTGTGATGTTAGCTGGTTATTTTGCTTGTTAGTTGATGCAGTTTCTTCCAAGCATTGATGGTCTTTACAATTTGTCATGTTTTTGCAGTGGCTGGTATTGGTTGTTCCTTTCCATGTTTAGTGCTTCCTTTAGGAGCTCTTTTAGGGCAGGCCTGGTGGTGACAAAATCTGTCAGCGTTTGCTTGTCTGTAAAGTATTTTATTTCTCCTTCACTTATGAAGCTTAGTTTGGCTGGATATGAAATTCCGGGTTGAAAATTCTTTCCTTTAAGAATGTTGAATATTGGCCCCTACTGTCTTCTGGCTTGTAGAGTTTCTCCTGAAAGATCTGCTGTTAGTCTGATGGGCTTCCCTTCGTGGGTAACCCAACCTTTCTCTCTGGCTGCTCTCATCATTTTTTCCTTCATTTCAACTTTGGTGAATCTGACAATTATGTGTCATGAAGTTGCTCTTCTCGAGGAGTATCTTTGTGGCATTCTCTGTATTTCCTGAATTTGAGTGTTGGCCTGCCTTGCTAGGTTGGGGAAGTTCTCCTGGATAATATCCTGCAGAGTGTTTTCCAACTTGGTTCCATTCTCCCCATCACTTTCAGGTACACCAATCAGACGTAGATTTGGTCTTTTCACCTAGTCCCATATTTCTTGGAGGCTTTGTTCATTTCTTTTTAGTCTTTTTTCTCCAAATTTCTCTTCTGGCTTCATTTCATTCATTTGATCTTCTATCACCGATACCCTTTCTTCCAGTTGATTGAATTATCTACTGAAGCTTGTGCATTCGTCACGTAGTTCTCATGCCATGGTTTTCAGCTCTATCAGGTCATTTAAGGACTTCTCTACACTGGTTATTCTAGTTAGCCATTCGTCTAATCTTTTCTCAAGGTTTTTAGCTTCTTTGTGTTGTGTTCAAACTTCTTCCTTTAGCTCAGAGAAGTTTGATGGTCTGAAGCCTTCTTCTCTCAACTCGTCAAAGTCATTCTCCGTCCAGCTTTGTTCCGTTGCTGGCGAGGAGCTGCGTTCCTTTGTGGGGGGAGAGGTGCTCTGATTTTTAGAATTTTCAGATTTTCTGCTCTGTTTTTTCCCCATCTTTGTGGTTTTATCTACCTTTGGTCTTTGATGTTGGTGACATACAGATGGGGTTTTGGTGTGGATGTCCTTTCTGTTTGTTAATTTTCCTTTTAACAGTCATAGCCCTCAGCTGAGGTCTGTTGGAGTTTTCTGGAGGTCCACTCCAGACCCTGTTTGCCTGGGTATCAGCAGTGGAGGCTGCAGAACAGTGAATATTGCTGAACAGCAAATGTTGCTGCCTGATCATTCCTCTGGAAGCTTCGTCTCAGAGGCGTACCCGGCCATGTGAGGTATCAGTCTGCCCCTACTGGGGGGTGCCTCCCAGTTAGGCTACTTGGGGGTCAGGGACCCACTTGAGGAGGCAGTCTGTCTGTTCTCAGATCTCAGACTCCATGCTGGGAGAACCACTACTCTCTTCAAAGCTGTCAGACAGGGACATTTAAGTCTGTAGAGGTTTTTGCTGACTTTTGTTTGGCTATGCCCTGCCCCCAGAGGTGGAGTCTACAGAGGCAGGCAGGCCTCCTTGAGCTGCGTTGGGCTCCACCCAGTTCGAGCTTCCTGGCCGCTTTGTTTACCTACTCAACCCTCAGCAATGGTGGGCTCCCCTCCCCCAGCCTCCTGCTGCCTTGCAGTTCAATCCCAGACTGCTGTGCTAGCAATGAGTGAGCCTCCGTTGGCGTAGGACCCTCCGAGCCAGGCGTGGGATGTAATCTCCTGGTGTGCCGTTTGCTATAAGACCATTGGAAAAGTGCGGTATTAGGGCAGAAGTGACCCGATTTTCCAGGTGCCATCTGTCACCCCTTCCCTTGGCTAGGAAAGGGAATTCCCCGACCCCACGCGCTTCCCAGGTGAAGCGATGCCAGTACCTCAGTTGGAAATGCAGAAATCACCCATCTTCTGCGTCGCTCACACTGGGAGCTATAGACTGGAGCTGTTCCTATTCGGCCATCTTGGAACGGAGGACCCAGAACATTTTTTCATATATCTGTTGGCTATTTGTATAATAGGGGAGGGGATTGTTTTCATAAACTTTTTCTGAAAAATGCCTACTTAGGTCTTTTTTCATTTTTAAAGTTACTTGTTTTCTTGCTTTTGAGTTGTTTGACCTCATATGTTTTTGGTATTAACCCCTTACCAGATACATGGTTTGCAGGTATTTTCTCTTTCTGTGTCTCTTCACTCTGTTGATTGTTTTCTTTGCTATGCGAAAGCATTTTAGTGTGAGGTAATCCTATATGCCTATTTTTTAATGTTAATATTTGTTCCATTGCTTTGTGTATTTATTTTTAATACTTATGAGAGGTGACAGCGTGCTGGCAGCCCTCGCAGGCCTCGCTCGCTCTCGGCACCTCCTCTGCCTGGGCTCCCACTTTGGCAGCACTTGAGGAGCCCTTCAGCCTGCTGCTGCACTGTGGGAGCCCCTTCCTGGGCTGGCCAAGGCCGGAGCCGGCTCCCTCAGCTTGCGGGTAGGTGTGGAGGGAGAGGCGCAGGCGGGAACTGGGGCTGCACACGGCGCTTGCGGGCCAGTGCGAGTTCTGGGTGTGTGTGGGCTCGGCAGGCCCCACACTCGGAGTGGCCAGCTGGCCCTGCCAGCCCCAGGCAGTGAGGTGCTTAGCACCTGGGCCAGCAGCTGCTGTGACTTTTCGCTGGGCCTTAGCTGCCTCCCCGTGGGGCAGGGCTCGGGACCTGCAGCCCGCCATGCCTGAGCCTGCCCCCCACCGTGGGCTGCTGCGTGGCCCAAGCCTCCCCGACGAGCACCGCCCCCTGCTCCATGGCACCCAGTCCCATTGACCACCCAAGGGCTGAGGAGTGCGGGCGCACGGCGCGGGACTGGCAGGCAGCTCCACCTGCAGCCCCGGTGCGGGATCCACTGGGTGCAGCCAGCTGGGCTCCTGAGTCTGGTGGGGACTTGGAGAACCTTTATGTCTAGCTAAGGGATTGTAAATACACCAGTCGGCACTCTGTATCTAGCTCAAGGTTTGTAAAGACACCAATCAGCACCCTGTGTGTGGCTCAGGGTTTGTGAATGCACCAATCGACTGTATCTAGCTACTCTAGTGGGGACGTGGAGAACCTTTATGTCTAGCTAAGGGATTGTAAATACACCAATCGGCACTGTGTATCTAGCTCAAGGTTTGTAAACACACCAATCAGCACCCTGCGTCTAGCTCAGGGTTTGTGAATGCACCAATCGACACTCTGTGTCTAGCTAATCTCGTGGGGATGTGGAGAACTTTTGTGTCTAGCTCAGGGATTGTAAACGCACCAATCAGCACCCTGTCATAACGGACCAATAAGCTCTCTGTAAAATGGACCAGTCGGCTCTCTGTAAAATGGACTAATCAGCAGAATGTGGGTTGGGCCAGATAAGAGAATAAAAGCAGGCTGCCGGAGCCAGCAGTGGCGAGCCAGCAGTGGCAACCCAGCTTGGGTCCCCTTACACACTGTGGAAGCTTTGTTCTTTCGCTCTTTGCAATAAATCTTGCTACTGCTCACTCTTTGGGTCCACACTGCCTTTATGAGCTGTAACACTCACCGCAAAGGTCTGCAGCTTCACTCCTGAAGCCAGCGAGACCACGAACCCACCAGGAGGAATGAACAACTCCAGACGTGCCGCCTTAAGAGCTGTAACACTCACCACGAAGGTCTGCAGCTTCACTCCTGAGCCAGTGAGACCACGAACCCACCAGAAGGAAGAAACTCCAAACACATCCGAACATCAGAAAGAACAAACTCCGGACATGCCACCTTTAAGAACCGTAACACTCACTGCGAGGGTCTGCGGCTTCGTTCTTGAAGTCAGTGAGACCAAGAACCCACCAATTCTGGACACACTTATATGTCAGTTGAATCTTCTTTGCCATTTATATCCCCTTTCATTTCAGCCACATTCTCACTGATCCTTTTTACTTTTTAAATATTCTTTTTAGTCTGTTTTTTTTCTTCTTTTCAACATTCCTTATGTTTTCGTTAGAATCTGTAATTCCTTGTGCACTTTATAATGTCTTAATTCTTCATTTTTGGTATACTTTTGTCTTTTTCTTATATTTCTTTCCTGAGGTCAACCAACTCTCATTTCTTTCTGCTTTTTTTGTCCATTTCTGCCCCTAGTTTCTGAATTTATGCTTCAAGATGTTTTATCATATCCCAAATGTATGAGGACATTTAATTAACTTTGGAGTGTTGTGCTGTAGTTTCCTTCTGTCACTGTTTTTATAGGGGGAGAGGGTTTTCATAAACTAAATTTTAGGGATTCCCATTTTTTGTTTTCTTTTTATACTGTGTATTTTTAAGTAGATTAACATTGTACCTCTGTATTTCTGTGGATAGGGCTGGCAGTTTGCAGTGGTTTATAAGCTTTGTAGCTCATAATAGGCCCCTTTGTTAATATAGTTTTTTCTTTTTTTTCTTCTGAGAGAGACCATAGTTCGGGAGAGATTGCATATATATTTGTTGTTTTGTTTTGTTCTTTCAGTATCCTAAATGTTTCCTCTGAGGTTTTGAGGCAGATTATTGAGGAATTGACAACTGTCCATTTCTCAGCATTTAACTGGAGGGAACTTACTCTCCTGTGAGATCCTGCCCCCATCCAAGAATTCCTGTTTGTGAGCCTTTTAAGTGAATATTAAAAGGTTTTGACATCTCCTAAGTAGTGAAGAGTATATTTTTTCAGAAAAGCTTTAAAGAAATTTCTTGATATTCTATGAATGTCTCATCTGTGATGCTTGGCACCACATCTGGTTTTGCTGAAGTCTTCACATTATTATGACTCATTGCTTTTTGTATTAGCATACTTGGCATGAGAAACTGCCAGCTATACTGAAATAATCTGTCAACTTAGTAAGAGCTAGGACCTTGAATCACTACCTTTTCAAGATGTTTTATTAAGAAATAGAATGTGAAGCTCTCTTTACAGAGTTGGCTTGTTTTCCAAAAGATAACTCTTAAAGTCCTTTGCTAAAGTAGAAGTTTCATAAGAGAGAAGGAAAGCCCACTTGGAAAATTTCGATGGGGAATTTTGATATTACCTTATGAATATTTCAGCCCATCTGAATGCTATAAATTTTTCTATCAAGACCGTTTGGTTACCATTGTAGATAGTGGTAAAAACCTATATGCTCTTTTGTCTGAGCTACAGTTCTGAAAGGATTTTAGAGGAGGGAACTATGCTTACAGTCAAAGAAATGCATAGTTTTAAAACTACATTTTTTTCCTGACTTTTGAATTCATAAAAAATATTAAAATTTTAATGTTATGTTTGTGTGAGTGTGGTAAAACTGACACTTTTTTATGTTGAAGATGTACGTAAGTACACATTTCTATACGTAGAAGAGGAATTGCTGGGTCACTGGGTTGCATATGTTCAGCTTTAGCAGTTATTGCCAAATGTTTTTGTGGCTGTACTATTTTATACCCACCACCAGTGTATAAGAGTTCTAGTTACCATTCTCTGCTTTTCTCCATGTTAACTGTTCTGGTGTGTGTGTACTGATGGCATGTTATACATAGTTTGCTTTGTATTTCCTTGATAGCTGATGATACTGTGCTCTTTTCATACATTTATTATCCATTTAAATATCTTTGTTTATAAAAAATCTGTTTACATTTTCATGCATATTCTCTATTGGGAGATCTTTTTCTTATTCATTTGTTGGAGTTCTGTATATATTCGGGTAATGGGTTCTTTTTAGATGTAGTAAATGTATCTTCTCCATTGCTATGGGCTGCCATTTTACTCCCTTACTGGTATCTTATGATAAATAAACGTTAATTTTATGTAGTTTGCGTTTACTAATTATTTTATGGTTAGTACTTTTTGTATTCTGTTTAAGAAATTTTTGCCCAGTTCTAGGTCGTGAAGCTCTTCTCAAAGTTTTCCACTTAAAGCCTTATTGGATTTGTTTCTAATATTATCCTCAATCCATCCAGAATTGATTTTTATCTGTGTTGTGTGAGGTAGGAGTCAAAGTGTCAAGGTACATTTTTCCCTTGCAGCGTTTATTCACTTTAAAATGTGCAGATATCAGATCTGCTGCTTAAGAAGAATAACACCAAAATAGCCACTTTTCTAAAATCAAGATGTACAATGACTATGATATGTTGTAGAAAAACATAATTTAAAATACTTTTCTAAAACCACTATATTTTAGAAGGAGAGGCAAATTCATTTTTAGTAATATTGTTAAATCCCTTTTAAACCTAGTAAATATCTGTTATGTCCCATTTTAAATATATACCCAATAGTCTAATTGTTCAAAAAGAAATTAGAGCTATACCTTCCTATCATTATCTTCTGCAGGCAAGTCTTTGCTGAAGCAGCTAAAAGTAAGGCTAAATCCAGCCAAAAGGACAGCTTATTCACAGTATAAGAGAAATGATTATGGGAAGACATTTTAGACATTCAAAAAGAGAACACTCAACCACTCCAAGCAGGGGGTTAATTTGTACATCTCCACCTCACTCTGGCCCACCAAGCATAAGACAATGGTCCTCAAAGCCAGACTTTTTAAAGAAACTACTGATGGGAGTTATTTAATGATAGCATCTATGGTAAACATTGTTCAGGAGCTATCATGGCCTCTTCTGTACCTTAGAGGATTCAACTGTACATTTGATTTGTCCCACTACACTAAGCTTTCTGAGGGCATCACTGCCTCTCATTCCATTACTGAATCCCCAGTTCCTGCCTGGCTTAGTGCCTGGATATTCAGAGTTTCAGTAAATGAGTTCCTTTGAGAATTCCAAATTTTGTTTTTGAGACTAGAGATGCTCTATACTAGTTAAAAAAAGAAAAAAAAAACCTGTTCGTAAATAAGTTTGTAAATTAGGACTGAGGCTCTTTAAGCAAGCTTCATTTCCCTCCACTGAAAGTGGGCAGAGCTGATGTGCTTTTGTTCTAGCAAGTAACTCTCTACCCTCTGGTTCATCCTTCTAAGTTGCAGATTCCTAAGGAGAGCATTGTTCCGTGGCACACCTCAGGAAGTTGAATGAGCTTCCATTTAATTGAGAACATAAATAAGATTTCTCAAGTTTCGTAACAATATTAATTATACTTCTGGTTTATCAGAGTCAGATGCACTATCTCCCCTCTTTTGAATACAGAATGTTTCCATTTAACACCTTCTAGAGCTTAATTTATTGCTGTTATTCATCTACTGTGGTTGATGTGGACATCAGAAGAGGCATGGTGACCATAAGGTCTCTATACTCTGTACAAGTGGCTACAAGCTCACTGCCAACAGGGTCTAGACAGATGAAATAAAGGAGTGAAATGGCCTAGGCATATGAAGAATAACAGCATAGCCATGATGATAAATGATAGCTGAGCTTCAGGACTGGTGGCATTGTGGAGTGATAGGGCTGTGGCAAACTGGAGTGTGACTTTCTTTTTCAAAGGGGACAGCTGCTACTTAAGGACAACCACTTAGAAAACTGGCCTAGATTTCCTTTTTTTCCTTGTGATTTTTCAAGAGAAGTTGGAAATTCAGAATTTATGTTAAGTTTCCAGATTTTGAGAACTTTAACACCTAATTTAAACATTTTTGAAGGAGAGTATAGCCCAGAGCTGTACAGACCAAGAGGCCTGTGGGCTAATTTGGGTCCTGAGCCATCAATTCTAACTTCGCCTCCATACCTCTATCAAATTCAATTATCCAAAAGCACAATATTCTTGGACTGTACACTAAATTCCTGGTTGTATTCTGTTTTACTTTGCTTCTTAATAAATTATCACAAGCCTACAACTTAAAACAGCGCAGTTTTATCATCTCACTTCCCATGGATCTGAAGTCTAGGCATTGCATGGCATGACTGAATTCTCTGCTTGGGGTCCCACCAGGCTGAAATTAAGGTGTTAGCTGGGAATACGTTTCTCATCTGGGGCTCACAGTTCTCTTCCAAGTGTACTAGTTGTTGGTAGAATTCAGTTCATTGCAGTTGTAAAACTGAGGTCCCCATTTTCTTGGTAACTGTTGGCCAGGGACTGCTTTAACTTTCTAGAGGTGACTTGCAATGGCCCTGATAGGCAAGTTGCTACATAGATGTTTGCATTCTTCCAGGCCACCTGGCATGTGTCTCTCTTATTTCCAATTCTGCAACCTGAGAAAACAATGTGCTTTTAATGGGCCTACCTGATTAGTTCAGGCTTACCCAGAAAAATCTCCGTTTTGCCATATATGTAACATAAAAGAAGTTAAAAATGAAACTGACAGGGAATCCTGGTAAGAAATACCCTAGAAGGCTGGGTGCGGTGGCTCACGCCTGTAATCCCATCACTTTGGGAGGCCGAGGTGGGTGGATCACCACAGGTCAGGAGTTCTAGACCAGCCTGGCAAATACGGTGAAACCCTGTCTCTAATAAAAATACAAAAATTAGCCTGGCGTGTTGGTGTGCGCCTGTAATCCCAGCTACTTGGGAGGCTGAGACAGGAGAATTGCTTGAACGTGGGAGGCAGAGGTTGCAGTGAGCCAAGATCACGCCACTGTACTCCAGCCTGGGTGACAGAGCGAGACTCCTTTAAAAAAAAAAAAAAAAAGAAATATCCTAGAAGCATTAAAAGATCACATACTAGAGGAAATTTTACAAGTAAACACACATTGGAAAAGTTAATCAAGAAAATAACAAGTTACCAGTCTCTTGATCACCAATACTGCTGGGGAGAAGGGGAATAAATTGGTACAGCCTTTTTGTTTAATTAGATTCCATTTGTCAGTTTTGGCTTTTGTTGCCATTGTTTTTGGTGTTTTAGTCATGCAGTCTTGGCCCATGCCTATGTCCTGAATGGTATTGCCTAGGTTTTCTAGGTTTTTTATGGTTTTAGGTCTTACGTTTAAGTCTTTAATCCATCTTGAGTTAATTTTTGTATAAGGTGTAAGGAAGGGGCCCAGTTTCAGTTTTCTGCATATGGCTAGCTGGCCAGTTTTCCCAACAGCATTTATTAAATAGGGAACCCTTTCCCCGTTGCTTGTTTTTGTTAGGTTTGTCAAAGATCAAATGGTTGTAGTTGTGTAGTGTTATTTCTGAAGCCTCTGTTCTGTTCCATTGGTCTACATACCTGTTTTGGTACCAGTACCGTGCTGTTTGGGTTACTGTAGCCTTGTATAGTTTGAAGTCAGGTAGCGTGATGCCTCCAGCTTTGTTCTTTTTGCTTAGGAATGTCTTGGCTACATGGATTCTTTTTTGGTTCCATATGAAATTTAAAGTAGTTTTTTCTAATTCTGTGAAGAAAGTCAATGGTAGCTTGATGGGGATAGCATTGAATCTATACATTTGGGCATTATGGCCATTTTCCTGATATTGATTCTTCCTATCCACGAGCATGGAATGTTTTTCCATTTGTATCCGCTCTTATTTCCTTGAGCAGTGCTTTGTAGTTCTCCTTGAAGAGGTCCTTCACATCCCTTGTAAGTTGTATTCCTAGGTATTTTATTCTCTTTGTAGCAATTGTGAATGGGAGTTCTCTCATGATTTGGCTCTCTGTCTGTTATTGGTGTATAGGAATGCTTGTGATTTTTTCACGTTGATTTTGTATCCTGAGACTTTGCTGAAGTTGTCTATCAGCTTAAGGAGATTTTGGGCTGAGACAATGGGGTTTTCTAAATATACAGTCATGTCATCTGCAAACAAAGACAATTTTACTTCCTCACTTCCTGTTTGAATACCCTTTATTTCTTTCTCTTGCCTGATTTCCCTGACCAGAACTTCCAGTACTATGTTAATAGGAGTGGTGAGAGAGGGCATCCTTGTCTTGTGCAGGTTTTCAAAGGGAATGCTTCCAGTTTTTGCCCATTCAGTATGATATTGGCTGTGGGTTTGTCATAAATAGTTCTTATTATTTTGAGGTATGCTGATTTTGAACTTTTTAAAGCAATTTTATTCCTAAGTTTTTTAACTTTTTTGATGCTATTATGGATGGAGTTTTAAAAATTTCATTTCAGATTGCACTAGCATATATGGAAATGCAGTTGATTTTTGTATATGGATCCTGTGACTTAGCTAAGTTTCTTTACTAGTTCTAGAGAGGTTTTGTTTTGTTTTATTTGTCAATTCCTTAGAATTCACTACTCATAAGATAAAGTATCATCCTTGAAAATGATATCCTTGGAGGTCCACATTACTCTTATTCAAGTGATGTTGCCATAGCTTAAAACATTTTTGGAAGTCCTTATTCAGGCTTTCTTACACAAGTTACCAAGCACATAAGAAAATCAGTTTTTATTATTTATTAGTGTGTGTCTTGCTTTAATTTTTCTTCTTCTTTCTTTTTATCTTAGTATCTTAGATCTGTACTGAGGATATGTTATTTTTTATATATCTGATAGACCAAGCTTGTCCAACCTGTGGCCTGCAGGCCACATGCGGCCCAGGACAGCTTTGAATGCGGCCCAACAGAAATTTATAAACTTTCTTAAAACATGAGATTTTTTTGTGATTTATTTATGTTTGTTTGTTTATTGGTTGATTGATCGTGCCCAAAAGCTGTCATTAGTGTTAATGCATTTTATGTGTGGCCCAAGACAATTCTTTTTCCACTGTGGCCCAGGGAGACCAAAAGATGAGGCACCTCTGTGATAGACATTAAAGGATGAAATTTAGGCACACAGTTTTATATATGCATCTGACATTCAAGGAAAAAGCTGTGGATGGAAGGTTAAGCTTGTGAGTTGTCAGATCATAGTTAAAGCCATGGGATCAGATATGATCACCTAAAGAGATTAACTAGAAATCCAACAACCCTCAGAAGTAAAATTGAGTAGGTCCAAAAAAAGGCTTGAGGGATGACCTGAGGCTGGAATCTAAGGGGTTTGAGGGAAGCACTTTAAGAATACTACTAATTAATCATCAATTCATTTGTGAGCCACCTGCCTGGATGAAATATTTTGTTAATTTTTTTTTTAGTCCCTCATTATTGTTTTGAAAGAGTATACATGTCTTTCACAGGAAATTAATCTCTATAAGTTCAGTGATGCATGTACTGCTTTTCCTTTTGAATCATTTGAATAGACATTACTTGTCATTTTTTTCCTCCAGAGCAATATGATTGGTAATCATTAAACATTTTAGTCATTATTCCATACTAATTTAACAGCCAGCTTGGTATATTATTCTGCTTCTGTTATCTACATTGCAAATATTATTGACTTCATGAGAGTCATCCCAAATAATCTGCTTTTCTTTCATTCCTAGGCAAATACTGTGGTCTGGGGTTGCAAATGAACCATTCAATTGAATCAAAAGGCAATGAAATCACATTGCTGTTCATGAGTGGAATCCATGTTTCTGGACGCGGATTTTTGGCCTCATACTCTGTTATAGATAAACAAGGTAATTTTCACCTTTTGCAATGGTTCCTACAGTTTGTAATTTCTAACAACAAAAATAAAATGCTTTTTTTAAGTACCTGTTTTCTGAAATTGGAATAGAGCAGAAAGACTGAACAATTAATAGCACATATATAAATTTGACAAATAAGGTGAGTTCAGTTTCAAAGTTCCAAAAATAAAAGTACATAAACGTTACTTCCCTTTCCTTAGTAAAGGAAATACTGCTGAAATGCTGATTTTTTTTATTTTTATAAGATTGGAACACGAGCTATAATAACTTTTTTTTTTTTTTGAGACAGAGTTTTGCTCTTGTTGCCCAGGCTGGAGTGCAGTGGTGTGATCTCGGCTCACCGCAATCTCCACCTCCCGGGTTCAAGCAATTCTCCTGTCCCAGCCTCCTGAGTAGCTGGGATTACAGGCATGCGCCACCATGCCCAGCTAATTTTGTATTTTTAGTAGAGATGGGGTTTCTACATGTTGGCCAGGCTGGTCTCGAACTCCTGACCCCAGGTGATCCGCCTGGCTCGGCCTCCCAAAGTGCTGGGATTACAGGTGTGAGCTACTGCACCCGGCCTATAATAACATTTTTAAAATTTATAAATTATTGAAATGTTTTATATCAATTTAAAACATTATTATTCACAGTTTACCACTTCATAGTGCTGTGTTAAAGACCATACTACCATTATTTTCAAAGAATAAGATCTCACATCCCCAGGAGTACCTGAGGAGTGCTGAGACAGCATGAAATAAACATGGGATATTTCTAAATTGCTAATGTTTAGGAGGAAAATGTGGTGTAAAGGGGGAAAATTAAAAACAAGGTTATTCAGATGCTGGTGAGGTTGTGGAGAAAAAGAAACCGTATACACTGTTTGTGGGAGTGTAAGTCAGTTCAGCCATTGTGGAAGACAGTGTGGCAATTCCTCAAAGACCTAAAGACAGAAATACCATTCAACCCAGCAATCCTATTACTGGATATATACCCAAAGGAATATAAATTATTCTGTCATAAAGACATAAGCATGTGTATGTTCATTGCACCGCTATTCAATAGCAAAGACTTAGAATCACCTTAAATGCCCATCAGTGATAGACTGGATAAAGAAAGTTTTGGACATGTATACCATGGAATACTATGCAGCCATGAAAAAGAATGAGATGTTCTTTGCAGGGACATGGATGGAGCTGGAAGCCCTTATCTTTAGCAAACTAATTAATGCAGGAACAGAAAACCAAATACTGCATGTTTTCACATATAAATAGGAGCTAAATTATGAAAACACATGGACATATAGAGGGGAACAACACACACTGGGGCTTTTGGGAGGGTGGGAGGTGGGAGAGGATCAGGAAAAATAACTAATGGATACCAGGCTTAATACCTGGATGATAAAATAATCTGTAAAACAAGCCCCCATGACGCAAGCTTACTTATGGAACAAACCTGCACATGTACCCCAAACTTAAAAGTTTAAAAACAAAAGATTATCAAATAGAATAAAATCCAAAATTTACCTGAATCTCTAAGATAAAATGCAAGACCTGCATGAACTCTCTCACGTGTTTTAGCTGCTGTGGGATGTGTTCATTTCCCCCTGCTATATAGGGGTACCATGATGAGAAAGTTTAATAAGTGTTGCTAGTACAAGAATATATCAAAACAATCATTTAAATTTTTAACAGTTGATTATTTTGATATTCAGCATTGAATTAAGTTACCATTTAAAAGTTTAAATTGGCTTTTACTTCATATTGTATAAATGAGGAGATTCTCAAGAACCTCCTAGTTGTGAGAATGCTGGGCACTGGGAATTATAGGGGAAAGCAAGCGATTCCTCCTCAGCTATGGTGGGCTTGAGATAAACACGATATGTCTTATTGAAAGTTTCATATAGAAAGTGATAGAGGAGAGAGCTGTTCTGTGTGGAGGAACCTGCCTTTCCTTAGTTTATAAGCAGTAGGGCAAGATGTGAAGGCTAACAAAATCTTTCATAGTAAATGAGAAGGAAAATTCATTTGGATGAAATAATAGAAAAGAACTAGAAACATTATGCCAAATGAACAATTAATATTTTCGACAGAACCAGGAAAACTTAGTCAGTGTGATGTTATGGAAAGGACTCTTGGTATCCCTGCCTCTGCCACGTGCTAGCTGGCTAACCTCTGGCCAGTCATTTCACCACTGTGAGTTGTATCTTTGAATGGATTCGTTGTGAGGACTGAATCTAATAAAAACATGTGTACTGTTTGTAGGCTCATGACATAGCAGACACATACAATGTTAGTTTCCCCCCTTCTACCACTGTACACATGCATACACGTGTTCCCCACCCCTACCACCAAAAGAGTAATGTAGAGAACACAAGTGAGATGATAATGGATTACCGTCCTTTAAGTTTTACTTATTGAAAGTCTTGGGTTGATAGGTGAGAGGATAGAAAATAAAGTTAATTTGCTTCTTATTTTCATTAAGTTTCTTAATATCAGGTTAAATTATTTATTTTGATTCATATTTTTGCTTTTCTCTGTTATTTATCAAGTTGAAGGTTTCTGGAAAATAAGTATCCTGTTTTTTTAAAAAAAGGTTCTCATATTAGATATTTAAATTATGAGGCTTTTTGGCCCACAGAAACCTTAATGTCCTGCATGAAATTTACTTAAGAATTGGCTATGACCTCAGATAAAAGAATCAGTATGTTGTGTAGCTTACAAACCTGTACCAAATTTCAAATGGCTATATTCTATTTTAGATGAATCTTAGCTTCCAAAGATTTTTGAAACAACCACCTTAATCAGGAATTTCTTGATACTAAAACTTTCCAAAGTCATAATCATCTTGGGAAATCTCATTTAACAGCTCCTAAAATCTTATTATTTTTTGCCTGTCTTTATCCCATCCATCAAGCATTTGTTTTATCTGAACTAGAATGAATTGCCTGAACTATATTCAAGACAACACTGGTTGAATTTCTTATTACTTCTTCTTGGGTGGCTTTTTGATGACAATTTCTTATAATGACTCATTAATTTGAAGGTTGCTTGGCTTTGGTTGAGGTCCTCAGTATATTTTTATCCAGGAAACTTAACTGCCACAATGAATTCCATAAATATTTTCAAGGAACCTAGCTACATGTCCCTAGCCTAGAAGTCTAGTTGAAGATTTAGAGTATTTGGGAATGAAAAGATTGTGAAAAATATTGCTTCATCAGCTACTTCATTTGTTAGGCTCTCAAGATGACTTGTGTTATAGCATGGGTTGTTGATAGAGTCATCATTTTGCATGAGATAGACTAATTCTCATTACCTTGTGCAAGAGCCCATTATAAAAATCTATTCCTTTTGATTCCTTATTTCCTGCCCTATACTTGGCACCAAGGAAACAGCAGTAGATAAGACACAATCACACCTTCATGGAACTTGCAGTATAGGGTTGGAAAAAGATATTAAACGATTACTTCATTGCAACTATGAAATAAAGTATGGTGAAAGAATCACCAAATGATAGGGGCCAGAGGTGTGTGGGGAGTGGAAGATTGATAAAAAGCAGAGTTTTCCTGAGGAAGTCACTTTTAAGCTGAGAAGTGAAGGATTGGAGTTTCCAGGCAGACAAGGAAGGAAAAACATTCTACAGAAGGGAACAGCAGGTGCAAAAACCTGATGGTAGAGAAGAGCTCTGGGAGAACTGGAAAAGAAAGCAGAGTAGCTGAAGTAGATTGGGTTGGGGGAGAGTAGGCTTCATTATTCTGAACCTTACAGAAAATGTAAGGGTTGGAGCTTTTTCCTAAGAGTGCATGGAAGCTGTTAAGGAAGATGTTAAGAACAGAGAAGTGGTGTGACTGGATTTATGTTTTTGTTTATGCAGTCTTCCCTGCTCTGTGAAGAGCGGGTCAAATAAAAGTAAGAATAAATGTAGAGAGGCCCGTTAAGAGGCTGTCCGAGGAGGCAAAGCAGAGATGATTGAATTAAGAGGTCTCGTTATAAATGTAACTAGAATTATGCCAGTTTGTAAAGACTGTAGAGTCAGACATATCTTCTATAGGGAACATTTCGATGAATTAGAGTTTATCTTGGTGGAATTTAAGCTCTAGGAAGAGTCTTTGAGCATTAGGAAGCCCTCTTGGGTAAAGCTCTGAGCTACAGTAATGCCCGGGTTGTATCTTGGGCTCTCTACCTGGAGTCCTCTTCCACTTTCATTTCTAGTTTTCATTAAATTTTTAATAAAGCTTTTTCCCCCCTCTGCTATTTTTAATGATCTTTGAGCAATAGTTTTCAGCTTTTTTCATTACCAGTTATCTCTTTCCATTTTCACCTATAAACCTCATTTTTGAAAGATAGTGAAAGGAAAAGTTCCCATTTCCTCAAGCAATTTGATATATAGAAATATGAATCAAGACTTCCAACAACTATGAGAGGACTAATAATTTCTACTCTAAAGTAGCATAATCTCAACAAATTTCAACTGTTCCACAGAAGCAGCCACTAAATACTTCCTTATACAAACAACCACATCTATAGTCCTCATAATAGGTATTCTCTCTAACAGTCTATTCGCCACACAGTGAACTATAATAAATACTGTTAATCAGTTTTCATCTACCACGGCCAGACTTTCTGAAAATTTGAACGTGTATGTGGACCTTTGTGGTATCTTGGACTTTTATACTGGCAACCCCTGTTTAGAAGCTCTATAGAAACTCCTGAGTTACTGCTGGTGTTACTGAGTGAGGCAGAACCTACCACAGTAAGGTCCAGACTCAGGTAACTTGGATCTTTTAATTTAGTATAATAATGAATGTGGCCAGGTGCGGTGGTTCACACTTGTAATCCCAGCACTTTGGGAGGCCGAAGCGGGTGGGTCATCTGAGGTCAGTAGTTCGAGACAAGCCTGGCCAACATGATGAAAACCTGTCTTTACTAAAAATATAAAAAATTAGCCGGGCGTGGTGGTGGGTGCCTGTAATCCCAGCTACTCAGGGGGCTGAGGCAGGAGAATCGTTTGTTTGTACCCGGGAGGCGAAGGTTGCAGTGAGCCAAGACTGCATTACTGCACTCCAACCTGGGCAACAAGAATGAAACTCTATCCCAAAATAATAATAATAATAATAATAATAATAAATGCTACTGACATTTTATTCTGAAAAGTAGATTTAAAAACAGTGGTTGTCATTGGAATTGAAAAATAAAATGAATTTTATAGATGATCTAAATTTCTGTTTTTGAATCTGTTCAACAATGACCAGTTTCTAGGAGGAACTGGACATTTGTAGAATGGTTCTGGGTGACGAATTTTTTAAGTTGTAGTTATAAAACAGTGAACTCAAAAGAAATATATACATTTGCATTGAAAGCTTCAAGTCCTTCAAGACAGCATTTATTCATATGTACCATAATTGGGGTGTGTGTGTGTGTGTGTGTGTGTGTGTGCATGCATGATTGGAAAGTGGTGATCCTGGTATTCTTTTTGGAGAACATGAAATTGTCACTTAAAACATAATACTGAATCTTACTACTTTAGATTTCACCAACTCGAAATTTTGTAGTGCTCAGTCTATAAAGTTTGCCTTTATTTTGGACGGGAGAAATAGTAAATAGTTTAAAATTTCATGTGAAATAATGTAGATATTAATATAGTTCCTAATCGGAACTCATAAACACATGTTCATTCATTGTCTGCCACCCCTTAGAATCTGATGACAGTGCACTTAAGACTTGTAAACAGCTGAGCCTGGAAAATATTCCCATTTAACAAGATTATCATTGCTATATGATGGATTATTTTTAGAATTAACACCAATAGTATAAAAAATATTTGCTGCATTTTTTAACCACATCATTTTTGCAAATATTTGCCATTTTTTCATTCTTACATCAGATTATATGAGTTTGCAAATGAAACGTAGGGCTGACTAGATAATTCCTTTCTAGCAGAGTCCAAATTTCTGTAACCGGTTATTTTTTTCCTGCATGGAATGTTTTCGGCTTTGAAAATAGAGTGTGAATTCCTTAGATTGTTTGCCTTCTTAACCGTACAGTAATTTTATAGAATCTGTTTTGTTTCCAGTACTACAATTGGCTAGGTTCCTATTTGTTATTTTTATATTGGGTTCCAAATTTTGGTTCCTGTATCTGGCAAACATTTTAAAACTCTGATACTATTAAACTTAGTAAGATTTTATTAATGAAGTTTCAGTTTACATTCCTATCTTTAGATATGCTTTTATTTCCATACAAATGAGTATGTATAATGTTTGTATGTATAATATAATTAACACGCAGAAGAATATTTGTAGTTTGGTGTCAGTTTGTAGAACAAAGGTGCTGACGAACAAAGTGTTACCAATTTTGCAGAGAAAGAGAATTTAAACACTTAATCTGTTAAGATGGTGTTAACCTGAAGAGGCAATTCACATTACAGGATAGAGTTTATTCCAAGCTGTTAGATAAACCTGAAGAGCATCTTAATGATTTTAATGTTTTCTATGTTTTTAATTTTTTTGGCATATTAGGAGTGCTGAGAAGAGACTACATACGTGTTTGTGCTGTCCTGTGCTGTACAGTGGCTCTATCCTTCACTGTTGATAAATACTAATGTATTTATTAGCTTCCTAGATACTGTGTAGGTCACAAAATAATTATGCTATATTTTAATGTTTTGTATTCATTTTTTAGTGTATGGAGATTTAGATAAGGAGTTTGATTTGATCCAGTTAACCATGTGTAGCTTATAGCGTGTTTGACTACATAGTTTATTGCTTAGGCAACTGAGCTATGCTTTATATCATCCATAGGAAAGCATTAATTATTTTCATCTGAGAAAATTTTTTCTGGGCTTCTACTGTGGACTCTGCTTTCATAGATGACATTGTTATATTCTTAAGAGAAACATAAGGTTTAGTGTCCACTCTCAGTATGTAAAAGGAGAGAAGAGGTAAAATACCTAGTATAGTGTCTGGTACTTAGTAAATGTTAATTGGCTCTGAATCACTATAAATTATGTTGTACTATACTATATATGTAAATTTCTCTTAACAGAATTGCAGATGCTAAAAAATCAATGCCAGATTCCTATAATAGGAGCAAGGAATTAGTCTTAGGACCACACAATAATATTGTCAGGAGAATTTAGCAGAAGACCAGGCTTATCCTACATCCTTTAGCACTTGAACAGAGTAGCTGTTCATATATCTACGATGCAAGGCTATTGACAAGATGAGAACTATGAAAGCAAGACCACATATTGTTTAAGGCTCTGGGAAATTGGTTATTTAAATAATTTTAGATCACATAAGAGAGAAGAATGAATAGGTGTACATTTTCTTGTTTCGGCCTATATTTTCTTATTTCTAGTAAATAATACAGTAACTTTGGAACAGTACTTCTGTGCTTTCTTTTTTGAGATGGAGTCTTGCTCTGGCACCCGGGCTGTAGTACAGTGGCACGATCTCAGCTCACTGCAGCCTCCGCCTCTCGGGTTCAAGCGATTCTCCTGCCTCAGCCTCCCAAGTAGCTGGGACTACAGGCACACGCCACCATGCCCGGCTAATTTTTTGTATTTTTTTTGGTAGAGACGGGGTTTCACTGTGTTAGCCAGGATGGTCTCGATCTCCTGACCTCGTGATCTGCCTGCCTCGGCCTCCCAAAGTGCTGGGATTACAGGCATGAGCCACCGTGCCTGGCCACTTTCTTGAGTTAGAATAAATATAGGCACTTGAGTTCAACTGTGCAAAAATGTTTACAGCAAATATAGTTGTCATTATACCAACTTATTGTGGTAAGTGATGGCTACTGACACTACTGAGGGTCTTTTTCAATTCATTCAAGAACACAAAACAGTATTGAAGGAAAATCTAAATAAATATATTTTGCAACCCTACAATCTCAGAAATAGCCAACACTGTCAATCAAAAATATTTCTATGATAGTAACCAATGTGCTGATATTTTTTGATTCATTTGTTAACATAAAATATATTTTCATGGTATTATATATGGGTCAACATAAGATTTCAAGTTTAAATATTTCATGCAACAGTTACAAAGTTCTCTAGCCTTTGCAGTTATTATGTCTTGAAAATGTTTTTAATTGTACTTTATTTTTTTTAAATGTATATATCAGTTATGGCAGATAATATAGCTAACTAAGTTTGCAACTGTCTTAGGAAATCTGATGTTGGTGTTTTCAGAAAACCTGACGTTCCTCAGGCTGTTATTGATTATTGGCTTGCCTTCACATTTGTATTCTCTCCTGCTCTTTCTCACAATCACATTATCCTGCCTTCAGAGCCCCATCTGAGATCTGCCTGCTCTGGACAGCCCTCTAGGATTAGGGAAGGCAGGTAATGGGGAAGGATAGAAACTCTTTTTATAGATACTATGGTTACACTTCCTTTGGGTTAAACTCTACTGTGAAGACTAGTGTATATTCAACACTGAAGATGCTCTTTTGGGGGCTATACAGAAAAAGAGGGAATGCCAGTTTGCTTCAGCAGAATCCCTGAGGGCATTCTGTTTACTACTGCCATCGCTGTTATCTACAACACCCAAATGAAGTGTACCATATGTGTGATACTTCGTGCAGTAATGTGTTACAGTCATTTGTATGTATTGTTTGATTAAAATTACCAGAATAAAATTCTATGCAGAGGCTGTCAGTTTAAAACGTAGCAAATAACAGGCATGGGGGCTCACATATGTCTTCTCAACAGTTTGGGAGGTTGACGTGGGAGGATTGCTTGAGGCTGGGAGTTCCAGACCAGAAAGGTAGTGAGACCCCCATCTTTACCAACAATTTAAAAAATTAGTTGGGTGTGGTGGCACATGCCTGTAGTTTTAGCTACTTGGGAGGCTGAGGTGGAGGATTGCTTGAGACCAGGAACTTGAGGCTGCAGTGAGCTAGGATCATGCCACTGCACTCTAGCCTCGGTGACAGAGCAAGGAAAAAGAAATGTAAATTATATACTGCCCCGTACTTTGAACATATCACTGATTTTTCTAGTATTATAGGACATATTAAAGTGGATCCAGCAAGATAAGTGTTTTCTCAGTATTTATTATAATCTAAGCACTTCACATGTAATAAGTTCATCTTTTAAGTTGCTCAGTCCAGAAATTTTAGTGTATCTTTGACTCCTCTCTTTTTCTCAAGCTTCATATTCAGCTGCCAATTCTTCGAATATATATGTACATGTACCAGAATCTGACTACATCTTAACAGCTCTACTACTACCACTCTATTTCAGGTTCCAACTTTTACCTCAATTACGGCAATAAATTTCTTACCTTTGTTTTTGCTGTTTTCCCCCTTCAATCTACTCTGAATTCAGTGGTCAGTATGATCTTATTAAAGTGAAAGTTTCATCTCACTCTACCAACTATCCTTATCTCCAAGATGCTCTAGCATTCAGCTTCCCATTACTCATCTGACTTCATCTTTTACTTGTCTACTGTGGCCTCAAACATGCTGAGCACATTTCCTAACAGGGCCTTTGATTCCCGCTGCCTGTTCTCAGATTCAAATACCTAACACCTCACTCCCTCACCGATTTTAAGAGTTTTACTTAAATGTCATCTTCACAGTGATGCCTGATCTGACCACTGTACTTAAAATTGTAACTCCCTAACTTTTTAAAACTTCCTTGTTCTCATTATTTTTCTAAAGTACAATACACATTCTAACACAGTATTTTTTTCTTACTAACATTGTCTTTTACCTCCCCCACCCCACCCAGAGGTATACTCCCTATACGAAGGAATTTTTATCTGGTTGTTCTTTGTTTTATCTCTGGTGCCTAGAATGACATCTGGTCATAACACATGCTTATTAAATATATGCTGAATGAATAAATGAACGAACTGCCAGCCCTGGCTCTTTTACTAGGCTTTATTTCACCCATCAATACAGATATGCTACATATGAAAGGACACTGTTATTCTATGATAGTTTCTTTTTATTTTATAACAGTCTTATTAAGTTATAATTCACACACCATACAATTCCCTTATTTAAAATATACAATTCAGGGGGGTTGGCCAAGGTGACCAACTAAAAACAGCTAGTGTGTGCCGCCTTCATGGAAAGAAATAGAAGGGGCAAGTAAATACAGCACTTCAACTGGAACACCCAGGTACACAAACGGATTCATCAAGAAAACAACTCGACTGCATTCCAGCCTGGGCAACAGAGCAAGACTCTGAGAAAGAAAGAGGAAGAAAGAAAGAATGAGAGAGAGAGAGAAGGAAAGAAGGAAAGAAAGAAGGAAGGAAGGAAGGAAGGAAGGAAGAAAGAAAGGAAAGAAAGAAAGAAAGAAAGAAAGAAGGAAGGAAGGAAGGAAAGAAAGAAAAAGAAAGAAAGAAAGAAGGGAGCACAGGGTTGGGGGTAAGGTCACAGATCAACAGGATCCCAAGGCTCCCTCTCCCTCTCCCTCTCCCTCTCCCGACGGTCTCCCTCTCATGCGGAGCCGAAGCTGGACTGTACTGCTGCCATCTCGGCTCACTGCAACCTCCCTGCCTGATACTCCTGCCTCAGTCTGCCGAATGCCTGCGATTGCAGGCACGCGCCGCCACGCCTGACTGGTTTTGGTGGAGACGGGGTTTCGCTGTGTTGGCCGGGCCGGTCTCCAGCCCCTAACCGCGAGTGATCCGCCAACCTCAGCCTCCCGAGGTGCCGGGATTGCAGACGGAGTCTCGTTCACTCAGTGCTCAATGGTGCCCAGGCTGGAGTGCAGTGGCGTGATCTTGGCTCGCTACAACCTACACCTCCCAGCCGCCTGCCTTGGCCTCCCAAAGTGCCGAGATTGCAGCCTCTGCCCAGCCGCCACCCCGTCTGGGAAGTGAAGAGTGTCTCTGCCTGGCCGCCCATCGTCTGGGATGTGAGGAGCCCCTCTGCCTGGCTGCCCAGTCTGGAAAGTGAGGAGCGTCTCCGCCCGGCCGCCATCCCATCTAGGAAGTGAGGAGCGCCTCTTCCCAGCTGCCATCACATCTAGGAAGTGAGGAGCGTCTCTGCCCGGCCGCCCATCGTCTGAGATGTGGGGAGCGCCTCTGCCCCGCCGCCCCATCTGGGATGTGAGGAGCGCCTCTGCCCGGCCGAGACCCCGTCTGGGAGGTGAGGAGCGTCTCTGCCCGGCCGCCCCGTCTGAGAAGTGAGGAGACCCTCTGCCTGGCAACCGCCCCGTCTGAGAAGTGAGGAGCCCCTCCGCCCGGCAGCTGCCCCGTCTGAGAAGTGAGGAGCCTCTCCGCCCGGCAGCCACCCCATCTGGGAAGTGAGGAGCGTCTCCGCCCGGCAGCCACCCCGTCCGGGAGGGAGGTGGGGGGGGTCAGCCCCCCGCCCGACCAGCCGCCCCATCCGGGAGGGAGGTGGGGGGTTCAGCCCCCGGCCTGGCCAGCCGTGCCGTCCGGGAGGGAGGTGGGGGGGTCAGCCCCCCGCCCGGCCAGCCGCCCCGTCCGGGAGGTGAGGGGCGCCTCTGCCCGGCCGCCCCTACTGGGAAGTGAGGAGCCCCTCAGCCCGGCCAGCCACCCCATCCGGGAGGGAGATGGGGGGGTCAGCACCCCCACCCGGCCAGCCGCCCCATCCGGGAGGGAGGTGGGGGGGTCAGCCCCCCGCATGGCCAGCCGCCCCGTCCGGGAGGGAGGTGGGGGGGTCAGCCCTCCGCCCGGCCAGCCGCCCCGTCTGGGAGGTGAGGGGCGCCTCTGCCCGGCCGCCCCTACTGGGAAGTGAGGAGCCCCTCTGCCCGGCCAGCCGCCCCGTCCGGGAGGGAGGTGGGGGGGTCAGCCCCCCGCCCGGCCAGCCGCCCCGTCCGGGAGGGAGGTGGGGGGGTCAGCCCTCCGCCCGGCCAGCCGCCCCGTCTGGGAGGTGAGGGGCGCCTCTGCCCGGCCGCCCCTACTGGGAAGTGAGGAGCCCCTCTGCCCGGCCAGCTGCCCCATCCGGGAGGGAGGTGGGGGGGTCGGCCCCCCGCCCGGCCAGCCGCCCCGTCCGGGAGGGAGGTGGGGGGGTCAGCCCCCCGCCCGGCCAGCCGCCCCGTCCGGGAGGTGGGGGTGTCAGCCCCCCTGCCCGGCCAGCCACCCCGTCCGGGAGGTGAGGGGCGCCTCTGCCCGGCCGCCCCTACTGGGAAGTGAGGAGCCCCTCTGCCCGGCCAGCCGCCCCGTCCGGGAGGGAGGTGGGGGTGTCGGCCCCCCGCCCGGCCAGCCGCCCCGTCCGGGAGGGAGGTGGGGGGGTCGGCCCCCTGCCCGGCCAGCCACCCCGTCCGGGAGGGAGGTGGGGGTGTCGGCCCCCCGCCCGGCCAGCCGCCCCGTCCGGGAGGGAGGTGGGGGGGTCGGCCCCCTGCCCGGCCAGCCACCCCGTCTGGGAGGGAGGTGGGGGTGTCGGCCCCCCGCCCGGCCAGCCGCCCCGTCCGGGAGGGAGATGGGGGGGGTCAGCCCCCCCGCCCGGCCAGCCGCCCCGTCCGGGAGGTGAGGGGCGCCTCTGCCCGGCCGCCCCTACTGGGAAGTGAGGAGCCCCTCTGCCCGGCCAGCCGCCCCGTCCGGGAGGGAGGTGGGGGGGTCAGCCCCCCGCCCGGCCAGCCGCCCCCTCCGGGAGGGAGGTGGGGGTGTCGGCCCCCCGCCCGGCCAGCCGCCCCGTCCGGGAGGGAGGTGGGGGGGTCGGCCCCCTGCCCGGCCAGCCACCCCGTCCGGGAGGGAGGTGGGGGTGTCGGCCCCCCGCCCGGCCAGCCACCCCGTCCGGGAGGGAGATGGGGGGGTCAGCCCCCCCGCCCGGCCAGCCGCCCCGTCCGGGAGGTGATGGGCGCCTCTGCCCGGCCGCCCCTACTGGGAAGTGAGGAGCCCCTCTGCCCGGCCAGCCGCCCCGTCTGGGAGGTGTGCCCAACAGCTCATTGAGAACGGGCCAGGATGACAATGGCGGCTTTGTGGAATAGAAAGGCGGGAAAGGTGGGGAAAAGATTGAGAAATCGGATGGTTGCGGTGTCTGTGTAGAAAGAAGTAGACATGAGAGACTTTTCATTTTGTTCTGGATCTCAAATTTCATAACGCATGGGCCCTTTTCACCAAAAAATAATTTCCATGGGTTCCAATTGAGTAGCATTAACTGTGGAACTAACGTTCCATGTTATACAAATTTCATCCACAGACTTCCACCTCTGGCAATTACTAACTGGTACCAGATCTACCCTCCTCTGCCACTGTAAACAATCAGAAAACTGAGCAAAATATTGGAGGCAACCATTTTCAGGCAAGGGACAACAGGCAGTGCAGAACCAGAGCACCTGCCGGCAGGGAAGCAGCTGGTAAATATGTGGATACATACAAAACAGCAGCTTTTCTTTTGTCCTCTTAATTTCCTTAAGATGCAAGTGGCTATTTAAAATAATAATATTGCAAGGTGAGGTTTACATACACACACACATACACACACACACAGGAGGACTGATTTATTACTATAAAATGGTGAAATCTATACATAAGTTCAAAAGAATTTAGATTCTCCTCAATGTGAATAAACAAAAATTTAAAAATCTTAAAAAAAAAAAAAAAGAAAGAAAGGAAGGAAGAAAGAAAGAAAGAAAGAAAAATTCATCTCCTCCCCTCATATAAGCACCAAATAATTATAGTAGCATATGGAGTGGCCAGGCGTGGTGGCTCACGCTATAATCCCAGCAGTTTGGGAGGCCAAGGTAGGTGAATCACCTGAGGTCAGGAGCTTGAGACCAGCCTGGCCAACATGGTGAAACCCTGTCTCTACTAAAAATACAAAAATTAGCCAGGCATGGTGGCACGTGCCTGTAGTCCCAGCTACTCGGGAGGCTAAGACGAGAGAATCGCTTGAATCCGGGAGGCAGAAGTTGCAGTGAGCCGAGATTGCACCATTGCACTCAAGGCTGGGCAACAAAAAAGAAACTCTGTCTCAAAAAAAAAAAAAGAAGAAAAAAAAATAGCATACGGAGTGAGAGGATGGATAAGTGAACCTGGCACATATTTGGTGCTCAATAGATGTTTACTGAGTGAAGAATAATTAAATGGCAAGAAAATAGTTATCTTAGAAGAACAAATGAGAAGGGAATCATTTCTGGCTGGGGACACCCAGGAGTTGACATTTGAATTTGACCTTGAACAGTGGGTAGGATGCTTTTGGTGATGAGAAACCCATTCTAGGTAAGGGAGGAATGCCAGGAAAGAGTAGGGACTTAAGAATGTGCGAGTATGCCGGGCGCGGTGGCTCCTGCCTGTAATCCCAGCACTTTGGGAAGTTGAGGCGGACAGATCATCTGAGTTCAGGAGTTCGAGACCAGCCTGACCAACATGGTGAAACCCCATCTCTCCTAAAAATACAAAATTACCCAGGTGTGGTGGCACATGCCTGTAATCCCAGCTACCTGGGAGGCTGAGGCAGGAGAATCGCCTGAACCTGGGAGGCAGAGGTTGCAGTGAGCCAAGATAGGGCCATTGCACTCTAGCCTGGATGACAGAGCAAAACTCTGTCTCAAAAAAATAAAAAAAAAAAAGAATGTGCAAGTTTATAGCAGAAGGGCTGGTGGCCTATTGGGATGGAAAATTTAAAGACAAGCAGTAGGAATCAGTTGGGATTATGACAGGCAGCTTTGGGTTTGAAAAAGGAAGTTCCAGATGTCAAAGCAGTTCAGACTGAGGGGAGGCTTTTAACTTTTTAGGATAACATCTATAAGTTTCAATATATGGAAAAGATATCTGCACTCCCATCTTTATCGCAGCACTATTCACAATAGCTAAAATATAGAATCAATCTAAGTATCCATCAATGGATGAGTGAATAAAGAAAAGGTGATGTATACACAATGGAATATTATTCAGCAATGAAAAAGAATGAGATCCTGTCATTTGCAGCAACAGGCATGGAACTGGAAGTCACTGTGTTGTGAAATAAGCCAAGCATGGATAAGCAAATATCACATGTTCTCACTCATATTTGGGAGCTAAAAACGTAAATCTCATGAAGTTAGAGAATAGACTGGTGGTTACTGGAGGCTGAAAGGGGAGGAGGTGGGGGGATGAAGAGAGGTTGATTAATGGGTACAAATATACAGTTTGATAGAAGAAATAAGACCTGGTGTTTGATAGATCAGTAAGGTGACTATGGTTTACAATAATCTGTTGTATATTTTGAAATAGCTAGAAGGGAATAAAGCAAATGTTTTAGCATAAAGAAAAGTATTCAAGGTGATGAATATCCCAATTACACTGATTTGATCTTTGTGAATTCTATGAATGTATTAAGTTATCATATGTACTCCCCAAAATAGGTACATCTATTATGTATCAATAAAAAAATTTAAAACAAAAAAAAAAAAAAAAAAGAAAACAACTCTACTCACAGAGAATGGAAAAAAGCAAAGCAGGACAACCACCCACTCAGGAACGACACAGGGCCAGAGGAGCCTCCCCCACCCAGGGAAGTGGTGCTGGAAAATCCGAGGTGACTGGGGACCAGAGCAGGCCCCTAGTTTACTGGAGTAGTCATGGAAAAGTGGCCAGACTGTTTCTTACATGGGTCTCCACTCCCATATCTCCTCACTGGGCAAGTCCTCCAGGCTTGGGTTTCCAGCCTCCCTTCACTGGGACTTTGGAGCCAGTAGCAGCTCTGCAGCAACCTGGGACAGAGCTCCCACTGGGAGGGTGGTGTTTCCATCTTTTCTGCCTTGCAGCCCTCACCTTTGCTGTTTCCAGGCTCTGGAGAGTCCATGGGACTGAAGCCTGGTCTGAACCCCAAGCACAGTACCCATCTCACCAAAAAGTGGTCAGACGGTTCTCCATGTAGATCCTGGTCCTCACTTCTCCTCACTGGACAGGGCTGCCTGACCTGGGACTCCAGCACAACCACTGTACCCCCACCTGACCACTTCAATTAGAGGCAGCCCAGCAGTTAAAGGAACACCCACACAGAGAGATGAGAAAGAACTAACACAAGAACTTCAGCAATTCAAATGGCCAGAGTGTCTTATGTCCTCCTAACGATTGCACTAGTTCACCAATGAGGGTTCTTAACCAGGCTGAGTTGGCTGAAATGACAGAAATAGAATTCAGAATATGCACAGGAATGAAGAGCATCGAGATTCAGGAGAATGGCAAAACCCAATTCAAGGAAACTAAGAATTAACAATAAAACAATACAGGAGCTGGCAGATAAAATAGCCAGTGCAAAAAAGAATCTAACTGACCTGATAGAGCTGAAAAACACACTACAAGAATTTCACAACCCAATTGCAAGTATTAACAGCAGAATAGACCACGCTGAGGAAAGAATCTTGGAACTTGAAGACTGGCTCTCTGAAATAAGAGAGTCAGACAAAAGTAAAGAAAAAAAGAATGAAAAGGAATGAATAAAACCTCTAAGAAATAAGGGATTATATAAAGAAGCCAAATCTGCAAATCACTGATATCCCTGAATTGGATGGGGAGAAAGCAAACAACTTGGAAAACATATTTCAGGATATCATCTATGAAAATTTCCCCAGCCTCGCTAGAGAGGCCAACAGTCAAAATTCAGGAAATACAGAGAACCCCTGCAAGATTCTACACAAGATCTCCCCAAGACACATAATCATCAGATTTTCCAATGTCTAAATAAAAGAATGTTAAAGGCAGCTAGAGAGAAAGGGCAGATCACCAACAAAGGGAACCCCATCAGGCTAGCAACAGACCTCTCAGCTGAAACCCTGCAAACTGGAAGAGATTGGGGACCTATATTTGACATTCTTAAAGGAAAAAAATCTTCAAGAATTTCATAACCAGCCAAACTAAGCTTCCTTAGCAAAGGAGAAATAAGATTCTTGTCAGATAAGCAAATGCTAAGCGAGTTCATTACCACCAGACCCACCTTTCAAGACATCTTGAAGCTAGCACTAAATATGGAAAAGAAAAACCATTAAAACACCACTAGGAAAATACACTCAAGTACACACACCAGTGACACTATAAAGGAACCACACAAACAAGCCAGCATAATAATCAGCTAACAACACAATGACAGGATCATATGCACACATATCAATACTACCCTTGAATGTAAATAGCCTAAATGCCCTATTTAAAAAGGCATAGAGTGGCATGCTGAATAAAAAAGCAAGACCCAATGATACGCCGTCTTCAGGAACCCATCTCACATGCAATGACATCCATAGGCTCAAAATAAAGGGATGGAGGAAAATCTAACAAGCAAATGGAAATCAGAAAAATGCAGGCATTGCAACCCTAATTTCAGACAAAACAGACTTTAAACGAACAAAGCTCAAAAAAGACAAGGGCATTACATAATGTAAAGCATTCAGTTCAACAAGAATACCTAACTATTCTAAATATATATGCACTCAACACAGGAGCACCCAGATTCATAAAGCAAGTTCTTAGAAACCTAAAAAGAGACTTAGGCTCCCACACAATAATAGTGGGAGACTTTAACACTCCACTGACAGTATTAGACAGATCATCTAAGCAGAAAATTAACAAAGATATTCAGGACCTAAACTCAACACTGGACCAAATGTATCTAATAGACCTCTACAGAACTGTCCATCCAAAGACAATAGAAAATACATTCTTCTGATTGCCACATGACACATACTCTAAAAATGACCACATAATCGGACATAAAGCAATCAGCAGATGCAAAAGAACCAAAACCATACCAGACACACTCTCAGACCACAGTGCAATAAAAATAGAAATCAAAACTAAAAAAAATGGCTCAAAACCATGCAATTACATGGAAATGCTCCAGAATAACTTTGGAGTAAATAATGAAATTAAGGCAAAAATCAAGAAGTTCTTTGAAACTAAATGAGAACAAAGATACAACATTCCAGAATCTCCGGGATGCAGCTAAGGCATTGTTACAAGAGAAATTTATAGCACTAAATGCCCACATCAAAAAGTTAGATCTCAAATTAACCTAACATCACAACTAAAAGAACTAGAAAAGTAAGAGCAAACCAACCTTAAAGCTAGCAGAATATGTATAATCAAAATCAGAGCTCAACCTGAAGGACAGTGAGACGCAGAAAAACATTCAAAAGGTCAACAAATCAAGGAGTTGGTTTTTTGAAAAAAATTAATGATAGGCCACTAGCTAGATTAATAAAGAAGAGAGAAGGGCCAAGAGCGGTAGCTCATGCCTGAAATCCCAGCACTTTGGAGGCCAAGGTGGGTGGATCACTTGAGGTCAGGAGTTGGTAATGAGCCTGGCTGACATGATGAAACCTCGTCTCTACTAAAAATACCAAAAAAAAAAAAAAAATTAGCTCAGCATGGTGGCATGTGCCTGTAATCCCAGCTACCCGGGAGGCGGAGGTTGCAGTGAGCCAAGATCACACCACTGCACTGCACTCCAGCCTGGGCAACAGAGCAAGACTCCATCTCAAAAAAAAAAAAAAATTACTAGCATTTCTGTACACCAAAAACAGTCAAGCCAAGAGCCTAATCAAGAACACAATCCCATTCACAATTGCCACAAAAAGAATAAAATACCTAGGAATGCAGCTAACTGGGGAGGTGAATGATCTCTACAACAGGAATTACAAAACACAGCTCAAAGAAATCAGAGATGACACAAACAAGTGGAAAAACATGCCATGCTCATGAATTGGAGGAGTCATTATCATAAAAATGGCCATTCTGTCCAAAGTGATTTACAGATTCAATGAAATTGTTATCAAACTTCCAATGACATTCTTCACAGAACTAGAAAAAACTACTTTAGAATTCATATGGAAACAAAAAGGAGCCCAAATAGCCAAGGCAATCTTAAACAAAAAGAAAAAAGCTGCAGGAGTCATATTACCTGACTTCAAACTGTACTGCAGGGCTACAGTAACCAAAACAGCATGGTACTGGTACAGAAATAGGTGCGTAGACCAATAGAACAGAGTAGAGAGCACAGAAATAAGGCCACATATCTGCAACCACCTGATCTTCGACAAAGCTAACAAAAATAAACAATGTAGAAAGGACTGCCTATTTAATAAATGGTGCTGGGATAACTGGCTAGCCATATGCAGAAGATTGAAGCTGGACCCCTTCCTTATATCATATCCAAAAATCAACTCAAGATAGATTAAACACTTAAATGTAAATCTCAAAACTATAAAAACCCTGGAAGACAATGTAGGCAATAGCATTCTGTCATAGGAACTGTCAAAGATTTCATGATGAAGACACCAAAAACAATCACAGCAAAAGCAAACATTGACAAATAGGATCTAATTAAAATTAAGAGCTTCTGTACAGCAAAAGAAACTATCAACAGAGTAAACAGACAACCTACAGAATGGGGAGAAAATATTTGCAAAGTGTGGATCTGGCAAAGGTCTGATATCCAACATCAATAAGGAACTTAAACAAGTTTACAAGAAAAAAGAAACATTAAAAAGCAGGTAAAGAACATGAGCAGACACTTTTCCAAAGAAGACACATATGTGGCCAATAAGCATAAGAAAAAAAGCTCAATATCATCGATCTTTAGAGAAATACAAATCAAAACCATAATGAGATACCATCTCATACCAGTCAGAATGGCTATTATTAAAAAGTAAAAAAATAACATGCTAATGAGGTTATGGAGAAAAGGGAACACTTAAACGCTGTTGGTGGGAGTGTAAGTTCAACCATTGTGGAAACCAGTGGTGATTGCTCAGAGTGCTAAAAGCAGGGCCACCATTTGACCTAGTAACCCCATTACTGGGTATATACCCAGAGGAATATAAATTGCACTCATATTGTTCATTGCAGCAGTATTTACAATAGCAAAGACATGGAGTCAACCTAAATGTCCATTAATGGTAGACTGGATAAAGAAAATGTGGTACATATACACTATGGAATACTATGCAGTCATAAAAAAGAATGAGATTATGCCCTTTGCAGGGACATGGATGGAACTGGAGGCCATTAACCTCACAGGAAGAGAAAACCAAATACCACATGTTCTTACTTTTAAGTGGCAGTTAAATGTAGCACATGGACACATAAAGGGGAACAATTGACACTGAGGCCTACTGGAGGGTGGGAGGAGGGAGAGGAACAGAAACAATAACTGTGGGATGCTAACTAGGCTTAGTACCTAGATGACAAAAGATACAGCAAACCCCCATGACACAAGTTTACCTATATAACAATCCTGCGCATATACCCTTGAACCTAAAATAAAGTTAAAAGGAAAACTACCTGTTGGGTACTATGTTCACTCTCTTGGTGGTGGGGTCTGTACCCCAAACCTCAGCACCATGCAGTATACCTATGTAACAAACCTACACATGTACCCCGTATCTAAAATAAAAGTTGAAATTAAATAATAAAATATCTGTATATACAATTCATTGATTTTTCAGTGTATTTAGAGTTGTACAGTTATCACCATAGTCAATTTTAGAACATATTTATCACCCCAAAGGAAATTCCTTAGTTAGTAGCAGTTATTCCCCATTTCTCTCCTCTTAACCCCCTACAATCCTAGGAAACCACGAATCTACTTTTTATTGCTATAGATTTGCCTATTCGAAACATTTCATATAAATGTATCACATAGTATGTGGTCTTTTGTGACTAGCTTCTTTCACTTAGCATATTTTCAAAGTTTATCAATGTTGTAGCATGAATCAGTACTTCATTTCTTTTTATGGCCAAATAATATTCCATTGTATGTATATACACCCCATTTTGTTTATCTATCCATTCATCAGTTGATGAACTTTTGTGTACAAATGTTGGTGGGGACATAGGTTTTTAATTCTCTTGGGCATATACCTAGGAGTGAGATTTCTGGGTCATATGCTAACTCTTTGTTTAATATTTTAAGGAACTGCCAAACCATTTTCCAAAACAGTTGCACCATTTTACAATTTTACTAGTACTGCATAAAGACTCCAGTTTCTCCACATTTTTGCCAGTGCTTGTTATGTCTTTTTTATTTTCGCCATCCTAGTGAGTGTATGGTGGTGTCTCACTGTGATTTTAATTTGCATTTCCCTGATGGCTAATGATGCTGAGCATCTTTTTATGTGCCTGTTGGCCATTTGTATATCTTCTTTGGAGAAATGTCTGTTCATATCCATTGTCTGTTTTTAAATTGGTTCCTTTGTCTTTTTAATGCCACATAATAATATTCTTTATTCTGGATATTAGATACATCTGTTTTCATTGATATATCATTTGTGAATGTTTTCTCCCATTCTGTGTGCCATCTTTCTCTTTCTTAATGGTGTCCTGTGAAGTACAAAAGTTTTTAATCTTGATGAACTTCCATTTATTTTTATTTGTTTTCTTGTGCTTTTGGTGTTTTATCTAAGAAATCACTGCTTAATCCAGAGTTGTGATATTCTCATATATTTTTTTCTAAAAGTTTTATAGTTTCAGCTCTTGAGTTTAGATCCACTTTATTTTGTATGTAGTTTGAGGTACGGGTCCAATTCATTTGTTTGTTTGGTGGATATCCAGTTGTCTCAGCATCATTTGTCTAAAAGATAATTCTTCCCCCCATTGAATTGTCTAGGCACCCTTGCTGAAACTCAGTTGACTATAAATTTGAGGGTTTATTTCTAGATTTTCAATTCTGTTCCTTTGATTATGATGACTTATACATTGCTATCAGAAATCTCTGGGGCAGATGGATTTTTCTGGAGCTAGGCTGTGTTCTTATTAGCTGGGAGCATTGTAGTAATGACAATTTTCTGGAAGGCTGTTTACTTGGGAAAAGCTTTTAAGAAAGACATTTTAAAGCTTCTTAATTGCCTGCTTTATTTGATGTTGTTTTCTTTGTAGAGTTGTAAAGGTCAAAGTGTGTACTTAAGGCTTTCTTTATCTTCAGTCTTCTTGGCTCTCCTTGTAGCTGTCCATTTTGAATTCTTATTTTTCTCCTTGAGAGCTCTTTGAACTTCCATGGAATTTGAGAGCAACTTTAGTGAGTTGCACATTTGCATGGCATAGTTTTGGAGTCTCAGCACTGCATGCACTTACAACCAAAGCCCTGTTCTGATCAAATAATCCATAGTTGACCAGATTTCTGGCATGTGGCTGGAAGATAATGGGGCCAGCTGGCAGTCTTCTTGTGGTTTAAGTGCCATATTGGACCACACAGTACCTTTCATCCCAGGCTATTAATCTTAGAAATTCAACTTCTAATCTTAGAAGTCGGAAATTTTTTTGGTGGAGCAGAAAGTGGAAAATTGATTCTTGTTGATGCTGGGCAAAGATTGACAGGAATAACTAGAGAACTGGTAATTCAATTTGCCTGCTCTTCTGGTTGGTCAACTGGGTGGTAGTGAGCCCCTATTTAGGCATCTATCCTATTAAATTCCTAAAGCACAGATTTAGCTTAACTGTCATTCAAATGCCTGTGGTTTATAACTATTAATTTATACACTTGCCTTGAAAATACCCCTTTCTTACTGGTACAACACAGTTATTAAGCTCTAGTTCAAGACACATTTTAGTTGAATAGTAAACACAAAATTTCTTCAGAATTATGGAATAAAATGATCGATTATCATATGCTTGCTGTGGTAACCATTAATTTAACAAATATTTATATACTGTTCAGTGTGCTAGGAGCTATCTCCATCAAGGGTATATTGGCTACCCTTGACACAGTTCTTTAATCAAGCGTTTATATGTAAAATCACTTACTTTTGTGATTGCCTTGGGGTCTTCTTCCAGGTTTTCTTCCCTGCAGGTTAGTAAATAACTGGACTTAGCCAAACATGCTAATGATCAGAAACTTTTATTCATCCATTGATTCAATAAATAAGTCTCCTGTATACCATATGCTGTTATTGCTACTGGAAATACAAAGGTGAGGACAAACAGCCTCAGGCTCTGTCCGGGGACTAGGCTTTATAGAGTGATTTTGCTTATAACTCTATAATTACACCAACAAGTCAGGCTTACATATTAACATAACACATTACGTTTGACAACACAGAATAGTCATCTGTTTATTAAAACAAACAAAACTTAAGTGCCTACTGTGTGCTAAAGGAATTTGACTTGTGAAGCTGAGGGACAGCTTCTGTGAGGAAGTGGCAGTGAAGCTGAGCTCTTAGAGAGGAATCAGCTAAGCTAAGTAGTAGTGGGAAAGCCTTACAAGTCGAGAGAGCAGCTTGTGCCAGGGGACCAAAACAAGACTGGAGCGGCGAGAAGCCAAGGCAGGTACACACAAGACTGCAGAGTAAGACAAGGCCAGCACTTCAAGACTCTGTAGGCTGTGTTGAAGGCTTTGCTGTCTAACCTAAGAGAAGGAAGCCACTGAAATGGTGTGTTTTGTTTTGTTTTTTTTGCTTTTTTTTTAACCAAAGCCACTTTTTACATAGCCTATGAACTTGGTCTTAATTAGAGGCAGATTAGTTCTTGCTCAGCTGTATTGGTTTCTAGGCAGAAAATGTTAAATTTTAGAAGTTTTATTTCTTTAGAGCAATGCTACTGCAGCTTCCGTGTGCTTAAGAAATTACTGAGAGGACTTGTTAAAACAGATTTTTGGGCACCACCGCCAGAGATTCTGTAAGTCTGGATGGAGTTCAAGAATTTGAATTTCTACTAAATTTCCAGAAGGTGCTGATGCACCAGTCCTGTCTCTGGACCAGATTTTAATTAGCAGTTATTAATAGTTAGAGCCATAAAATTAACTCTCTTTGTCATTATTTTCCTTATGTGCAAACAGCAAAGGGTCATTTTTAGTTATATAATAACCAAGAAATATTTCTGTGTGTGGGTAGCTGTATTTTACAGAAACCACTTTAAAGCTATAAATTTTACTTATCTATGCATGTTCTAAATATATATATATATATATATATATATATATATATATAAATACACATATACATATATGTGTGTATATGGTATGTGACTTCCTGAGGTGATGTAGTAAACAGTATTGAGGGGACATTGCTCCAAAAATCAAGAAACTTAATATCAGAAAGAAATTGTGATTAACAAAAGTTGGCAAAGTTTTTAGTACCACTTTGACAGTGCCATTGAGATTTTTGAAAATTAGAGTAGTACAGTTTGGGATTCTGAGACACTTGGAGTTTCAGCAAGGTAATCCTGTATATTAATGGAATCAGTTTTTTATTTTTGTTTTTCTAGATCTAATTACTTGTTTGGACACTGCATCCAATTTTTTGGAACCTGAGTTCAGGTATGATTATATTTGTGACTTTTTTTTTTTTTTTTGCTTAAATGTTACTTTTCATTCACTTCTTCATTTTCATTCTGTATACTCTTAGGGTTAATGTATATTGTGTGATACATATCATTGTTCCGAGACTTCAATAAATTAGAGCTTACTTAAAGCATAAAGCCATTTAGTTGCATGTTTACATTTTGCTTTTATTGTAGCATTTAGATCTGCAAAATGAAAGTATCATTTTAATATGCTTTGAAAGTAGAACTAGTTGCTTTTCAAAATCTAGCAAAACTCCTAGTAAAAGTTGAAAAGGTATTTATCTTTTTTCAAAAAATTGAAAGAGCATGGTTTTGGCTGTTATAGAATTCTGCAGTGTTGTTACTCAAGTACCATTTCTACTATTTCTCTTCTTTATGCCTTTGTCTCTTGCCTAGACAACTTCTAATCGAGTTCCTATTTCTGTTTGCTGGCTGCCATTCACACTGCTGCCAAGTTGTTTCCAAAATACATATCTGATCATTTCCCTGCATAAAAATCTTGAGAAACTACTTATTATGATAAAAAACAGTTGTCCAGATTTCCTTAACCTGGTCTTCTCGTTCTTTCACAAGCAGTCCTCAGGCCATTTTTCCAGTCTCATCTTATGTTCTCCATATTGAAATGACTCTTGAGTTATTTACAGTGCTCTGAGCTCACAGAGCTTTTACCAGGAACCACTTGCCTCCTCTGCTTGGCAGATCATTCTCATCTTTCAAGAGCCATCTTACTAACTTTTCCGAACTTACTACCACTTCCCCCCAAGAACCTTAATTTTGTCTTCAAGAATGGTTCTGTGTGGGAAGGGTGCCCTCTTCAGCATTTGAGGGGGACGTTAGCTGGGGTAACCCTAGCATCAGTGTATGGTAGACAGCCCTGGCAGAGGGTCAGCTGCGCTCGCGCCACTCTCCAGCTCCATGATCTGCCACAACAAATCCAAGCTCCCATTATCCCTGTCCGGGGCTGCTGTACTATTGCCTAATGGTGTCCCAGCCTCCACTCATGATTCCTTGCTATCTCTTTTCTTCCCAGGAGCCAGAATAATCTTTTTTAAAAATACTAATCAGATTATGTATGTAAGCTGCCAAAATCCTTTACTGGCTTCCTATTTTTACTTAGAAATATATTCCATACTCTTCACCATAGCCCACAAGGCTCCTGCATTACCTGCCCGTCTGTCCAGTCTTCTCTCTAACTAACCTTAGTTTTGCTCTCTGGCACCTACTTGCACTGCCGTCCCCACTTCCGGACACACACTAGGCCATCCTGCCTCATGCTGTGCTCATCCCTCTGACTAATGTGCATTTCCCACCACTTGTTCTAGTGACACCCCTTAGCTCACTGCTGAGGCTTCACTTCCTAAGAGCCCCATCCTGCCACCCCCATTCCCTGACTGGGGGCGGTACAGAGTCCTGCATAAGAGCATGGACTCCAGACCCCATTTGCTACCTGCTAACTGTGTGAATGGGCATACAGTTCCTTAATTTCCCTGTTTCCTAAAATGAGGACAACACTAGCATCTCCTCCATAGAGTTCTTATATGGATTACCTAAAGCACTTAGGGTGCTACCTGGCAATTCATTAAGTTTACTGAATTATTGTGTTACTTGTATTAAGTTAGATTTCTTGCGGTTATTTCAGCATGACTTCATAGCAGAATCAAAATCAATTATTTGTGTAAGTATTGGTTTAATGTCTTCTACCACTGGAATATAAACTCAGTGAGGACAGGGGCAATATTTGTCTGTTTGACTTTTGTAAACCCAGTACCTAGTACTGCCCTACACTCAACAGACAGCATAATAGACACTCAAATAAATGTGTTGGGTGGATGGGTAGCAGCGTGAATGAATGCACCTCTTTTAATACAGCTTAAATTGGATCAATAGAGGGTTGGTAAAATGTATTATGGCATATCCACAGAATAGAATATCATTTAGCTCTTAAATTTGATGAGTAGGTTTTATAGTAGAAACATGTCTACCATTCATTATGAAATAAAATAATCAAGGCAGTATGTAATAAGACAAAAAAATGTTTCAAATGTGTGAGTAAAGACATATTATATATATATGGATGGAAGAAAGTCTGAAAGGGCTTTTTAGAACTGGTGGTCCTGGCCGGGCACAGTCATTCACACCTGAAATCCCAGCAGTTTGGGAGGCCGAGGTGGGCGGATCACCTGAGGTCAGGAGTTTGAGACCAGCCTGGCCAACATGGTGAAACCCCATCTCTACTAAAAATACAAAAATTAGCCAGGTGTGGTGGTATGCACCTGTAATCCCAGCTACTCGGGAGGCTGAGCCAGGAAAATCTCTGAGACCCAGGAGACAGATGTTGCAGTGAGCCAAGAAGGTGCCATTGCACTCCAGCCTGGGCGACAAGAGTGAAACTCCGTGTCAAAAAAAAGAAGTGGTGGGTCTTTGAGGGTAGTGAAATTATGGTATTCACCTTGAACTGAAAAATGTGTCTGTGATATTTTTGGGGGGTTGCTTTTTTCCCTGTAAAATACAGCATTATGTAACCTTTTGCTTGTTTTCATTTCTCAGTAAGTACTGCCCAGCTGGTTGTCTGCTTCCTTTTGCTGAGATATCTGGAACAATTCCTCATGGATATAGAGATGTAAGCCAGATATAAACTTATTTGAAAATTGTGATATAACTCTATTTTTTTAGAACTCCAGAGTAGTTAGAGGTGTGTTAATCATATATCCTTATCTTTTGCCTTTTTAAGACATTTTTTAATCATATGTGTTTTATTCTTTTTCTTCTGCTAAAACTGTTGTGTTACAGTACCAATAATCTATTTTTGTTTATGAAGTTTATGAAGAAACTGCCTAGATTAACTGATTTCTCAGGAAGTAGAGTGTCTTGTTTATGAATTATTAAGAGAAAATTAAAAATGAATCTTTTCTTTTCCCTTCCTTAAGTCCTCGCCATTGTGCATGGCTGGTGTGCATGCAGGAGTAGTGTCAAACACGTTGGGCGGCCAAATCAGTGTTGTAATTAGTAAAGGTATCCCCTATTATGAAAGTTCTTTGGCTAACAACGTCACATCTGTGGTGTAAGTATATATGCAATTTAAAAAATATATGCTATATATAATTAGCATTCTGGGTAGCACTGGGCTAAGAACTAGCTAGATCTCAGCAGTATCACTGTTAATGGTGTTCATGAAAGAACATTTAGGCAGTAAGCACTCACATTAGTGTGCTCAGTGTCTGTTTTTTTGTTTTGTTTTGTTTGAGACAGAGTTTCGCTCTCATTGCCCAGGCTGGAGTGCAGTGGCGTGATCTCGGCTCACTGCAACCTCTGTATTCTGGTTTCAAGCGATTCTCCGGTCTCAGCCTCCCAAGTAGCTGGGATTACAGGTGTGTGGCACCACGCCTGGCTAACTTTTGTATTTTTAGTAGAGGCGGGGTTTCACCATGTTGGCCAGGCTGCTCTCGAACTCCTGACCTCGTGATCCACCCGCCTCGGCCACCGAAAGTGCTGGGATTACAGGCGTGACCCACCGTGCCCAGCCAGTGTCTGCATATTTTGAAGAGTACAGGTGGTGTTGTACTACTTTAGCTTATTGTTCTTCAAAAATGTAGTCATTTGGAAGAGTAATGTGTTTCTTCTGTCTTTTCTAAGTGTTAAAAAAAAGTCTACATAAGAGTCTAGAAGTTTGTTGCCAAATCCTTATTTATTTTACAGATTGAAAGGCTTAACTACTGTGTTCCTTATAGCACATGGGGATTCAAGATAATTGAAATACTTTAAATATAAATTTAAGTTTGACATAAAGTGTTACATCATAAGCATTATTGTGAATCTTCCTTTCATTCTAAGAGAATATTTTGAAGATGTATTTTCATGGTAACTATAGTGTTCTACTGTTTTATAAAACGTAGGGTAGGCATCAAAAGCAAGAGAAATTGAAACATTAAATAGAAATGCAGTGTTAGCAATCTGTTTTTATAAATCTTGTCTCTTAGATCTGCTCAGTCTTTCAGACAACACTAAGCCTAATTGAAACCAGCTTTTCTTCAGAGGTCCTAGGCCAATTTTCATTCAGAAGACACAAGCATCATCCATATCCAGATTGGTATACAACAGGATTCAGCAGATTTGTTCTGTAAAGATCCAGCTAATAAATATTTTAGGCTTTACAGGCCACATGTCGCTGCAGCTTATTCTTTTTTTGTTTTATTTATAGCTCTTTATTCTTAACTCACGGCCCATACAAAACAGGCCATGCATGGGCAGTCATTTGCCCATCCCTGGTATAGATTCAACTACCTTCCCTTCTTTTTTTTTTTTTTTTTCTAGATTATTTTATGCAGACCCTTTCATTCCTTTACCATGTTATACCTTTAGAAAGATTTAGTGTTTGTGAATTCTCTCTTTCATACTTTAAAAAAGAAAACAGGGATAAATTGCATCCTCTTGTAATGGTTTGTATGTTGGACTAAAGGCAGGAGTGTACACTGAAACTTCTTCCATGAGATGTTGATTTCTCCTAAAAAAAAAAAAAAAAAGAAAAAGAAATCTATTAGTACCCAACTTTTCTCATGTTTATCCGAAAAAACTTGAGCCTCATTCTCTGAGAATTAGACCTTTTAGTGTATTTTCATCGAAAGCATTTGCCACAGAAAAGTGTTAAGAATCCATTTATTTCATGAAATAAAGTAGTGAGAGATTGACAGTAAACAATGAGTAAATACATATGAAAAAGAAGTACATATTAAAGATTACATAGAGAACTTTTGCACAATCACATATGAAACTGGGTGCTAGATACTTGTAGAGAAAGCTGTTTATGCTGATTTCAGAAGTTGTCCTGCTTAGAAATGAGACTTTTTTCCTAGGAACAATATTAGTTGTCTAATTTTTAGCCACACAGTCTTCTTGGTTCTTTTATTGGGTGGGGGGAACCAAATCAAAAGAAAATGTTTCACTAAATATGGGGCATCATGTGTTATGTGAGTATCACCAAAAAAAACCCTTCTCTCTTTCAGGGGACACTTATCTACAAGTCTTTTTACATTTAAGACAAGTGGTAAGCCTTTTATGGACTTTATAATTTTTTATTTATATAATATTTTTTGAACACTGTTAGGCACTGTGTCAGTTGCTGATTTATTGTACTTTCTCACGTAGTTGTCTTAATAACACTATGAGGTAAGATAGTTATCTAATAATATAATGAATAGAGCAAATTGAAAGTTTTATATTTATAGAGAAATGGTCATGTAAGCAAGGAAGGTTCCTTAAGAAAGATGACTTTTGAACTTGTCTGAAGAAGTAATCAATTCGTTCAACAGAAAATACTTACTGAGTGCCTTCTCTTTATGTGCCAGGCATTGCTCTGGTTCGAGTGATAGAGTAAAGTGAACAAACTCCTGCCTTCCTGGAGCTTACATTCTAGTAGTGAGAGATTGATGATAAGCAATGAATAAATTTCTGTTTATAATGTACTGTTTACAATATGATAAAAGATGTAGGAAAATAAGGAGGACTGGATTGAAGTTGGGAAGGGCCTTCCTCCCAGGGAAGACCTCAGGGAGAATGCAACATAGGCCAAAAACCTGAAGGAGGTAAAGGAGTGAGTTACTCAGTTATTTGGGAAGAGTGTCCCAGGGAGAAGATAATGTATCTCCATTAAACTAACAGTCATGCTTATAAATGAGCATGTTTGTAGGTTTCCTAATGATACACAAAGACATATGCCCAAGAAACACTTGCCTAGTTTTGAAATTTCTCTGTTACAGTGTATTATTAGTGTAGTGTATGTTAATTAAAGATGGAATAGAAAGTTTTCAGTGAGCAGGTCTACATGCATTTTGAAATTATACCTGGAAACCAAATTTAGTCTTTTCTTTGTTTCAGGATGTTATGGAACACTGGGGATGGAGTCTGGTGTGATCGCGGATCCTCAAATAACAGCATCATCTGTGCTGGAGTGGACTGACCACACAGGGCAAGAGAACAGTTGGAAACCCAAAAAAGCCAGGCTGAAAAAACCTGGACCGCCTTGGGCTGCTTTTGCCACTGATGAATACCAGTGGTTACAAATAGATTTGAATAAGGAAAAGAAAATAACAGGTTAAGAGACAAAAATTTTCTAAAGCAATTTGTAACACTTATTTTATTTGAAAAACTAGTAACATCTAAGATTTTCAGAGAAAATTAAGGCATTAAAATTGTAATTATATGGTTTTATATTTTCTTCACTGATGTTAATATTACTAGAGACACATTTTATGAAACATGGCAGAGAAAAGGAGTTATTTGTGTTGGTCAGGGTTCTCTAAAAGGACACAACTGATAGGACAGATGTATATATAAAGGGGAGTTTATTAAGGTGTATCGACTCACATGATCACAAAGTGAAGTCCCACAGTAGGCCATCTGCAAGCTGAGGAGCAAGGAAGCCATTCCGAGTCCCAAAACCTCAAAAGTAGGGAAGCCAACAGTGCAGCTTTTAGTCTATGGTCAAAGGTCCAGAAGTCCCAAAGCTAAGAACTTGGAGTCTGATGTTCAAGGGCAGGAAGCATCCAGCATGGGAGAAAGATGTAGGCTGGGAGACTTAAGCCAGTTTAGTCTTTTCACATTTTCTTCTGCCTGTTTTTATTCTGGCCGTGCTGATGCAGATTAAATGGTGCCGACCCAGATTGAGGGTGGGTCTGCGTGTCCTAGTCCACTGACTCAAATGTTAATCTCCTCTAGCAACACCCTCACAGACACACCTGGGAACAATACTTTTCATCCTTCAATCAAGTTGACACTCAGTATTAACCATCACAGTATTTAATTCGTAATAGCTTTTTGTTTCCATTGTAATGAGACTCTTTTTTTAAGGTAGTGTTTCAGTAAAGTGGTCTTGAGACATCTAAAATAACGGTCTCCTACAGTCATTAAGAGAAATTTATGTTAAAGGAGTCCATTTTAAATGATGAGATCATTAATTTTCCACATGTGGAGAGTATAAATTTAATTTAGGGGAACTTAGCAAATGGTCGGAATAATTGGTTGGGATTGGTTTAATTTTGTTAAAATATTTATTTTGTTTTGGTACTGTAAATAATACCAATAATCATCTTTAATCTGTTCATTCCCAGGAAGTCATCTTACCCAGTAGTCAAAATCTATTTTACGACGTTATAAACACAAGACACCAAAACAGAATAGTTCTTTACTTAATTAATGCCCACCCATAATCCTTCCTCTCTCTCCAAGGGAATAAGGCCAAGGATTTAGTAATTGTTATGACAAAAACGTGCACTTGGATATGGAAATGAGCCATAATTAGAAATGTTCGAGCTGTGCATTTCAAGTGTTTATACTTTGATGCTGAACAAACTTAGGGAATCAGACCATGTGCATTAATGAAAGCAACTCTTCATTCCCCAGGCATTATAACCACTGGATCCACCATGGTGGAGCACAATTACTATGTGTCTGCCTACAGAATCCTGTACAGTGATGATGGGCAGAAATGGACTGTGTACAGAGAGCCTGGTGTGGAGCAAGATAAGGTAAAATGATTACCAAGGTATTTTTAAAAAACATTTTTTAAATGGGTGGTTGCCAAGTCACAGAGCTCTCCTGTATAAAAGAGATGTAGAAGTTTAGAATGTCTTATACTACCCTCTTGTGGTTATTTTAGGTAGTGTTATTGGCCTTACTCTACTGACTTTAGAAAATTCTCAGTAGTTCTAGGTTCCTTTTGGTGATTGTAACGGTGAGTACTTTTCTGATTTTTGTCATTGCATTTTTAATTGAATTGTTTAGACACTTTATTAAGAAAGTCTAAAAGGGACCTTGTAATTTCTTATTTTTATGAAGCTTTTTTCAATTCACCAGATGATGGAGAGCCTTTGTTCCCAGATTTCTACTCTGTAGGCAAGAGGTAAAAAAAGAAAAAAGCTGAAAACCAACGTGCATTAAATTATAGGATATTAGAGATGAAAATTCATCTGAAGATCATCTCACCAACTTTCATCTTGGGAAACTTCTGTTTTTTCTTACATGAAGAATTGCTCTAGCATCTAATTATGGAATCTTTGTTTTAGTTAGCAACAATTTATGAAGATGCTGGAATGAGCCAGAGGAAATGATAAGGGGTGGGGAGCAGGCAGAGATGGGTCTTATTCAGATGTGTATCCCTTTGATCTTTAAATGGAGAAGTCCTTGTGCCTAAGGAAGATAGATGTCTCCCATCAGTACCAAAACTATGGGGCTGGGCATGATGGCTCACTCCTGTAATCACAGCACTTTGGGATTGCTTGAGCTCAGGAGTTTGAAACCAGCCTGGGCAACATGGCAACACGCCATCTCCACTAAAAATACAGAAAATTAGCCAGGCATGGTGGCGCATGCCTGTAGTCCCAGTTTCTTGGGAGGCTGAGGTGGGAGAATCACCTGAACCCAGGAGGTTGAGGCTGCAGTGAGCTGTGATCACTCCACTGCAATCCAGCCTGGGCGACAGAGGGAGACTCTGTCTCAAAGTGGAAAAAAAAGAACTGAAACAATGATGACATTTTTTCAAACTTTCCTATGAGTTTGATTTTGATTATATATTTTTGTTTTTTATCATGTATGATTTGCTAAAAAGTCTTCAATTACTACTTTTCTCATCTCTTTGTTCAAAAACCTCCAGGGGCTCATTATCTTTCATATGCATCTTAACTCCTCTGCTTTTATTCAAGGCCTCTTTCTTCTCTTCTACTTGGCGTCACATGAACTTCATCTTTGGTGAGCCTCTCCCTGTTAAAGAAAATAACAATACTGTCTCCATACATATCTTCTACCTCATGCCCCTAAACTTGACTACTCTTTACTCCTGCCACATCCATATTCATTTGTATCACATTTATTTTGCTTGTGGAATATAGCTAAATTTTTGGAATGTTAAGAATTGTTCAGGCTTATACTATAAAAACTTCTAAACATTAAATGATATTTCTGAAAAAGATTCTATGTTGCATTCATTTTTGAAAGGTAATTTCTCTAAGTGTAGAAATCTGGGTTGATCAGTGGTTTTTTGGTTTTTTTTTTTTTTTGGTTTTTCCTTTCAATAATTGAAATACGTTGTCTGCTGTTTGCTGGCTTGCATTGTTTTTGACAAGAATTCTGCTATTATTTCTGTTCCTCAATATGTGATATGTCTTTTTTTCTGTGGCTCCTTTTAAGGTTTTCTTTTTATCATTTGTTTTAAGCAGTTTGATTGATGTGGCTTTTTTATATTTTTCTTCTTTTTTTTTTGCGTGGGGTTCTTTGAGGTTTTTGGATCTGTAGGTTATGATTTGCATCAAATTTAGAAAATTGTAGTTCTTTTTTTTTCAAATATTTCCCTTCCCCAATTCTAATTTTATGAATATTATGACCCTTGAAGGTATCTTACCATTCACCAATGCTCCGTTCTTTATTTTTTTCAGTCTTTTTCTCTTTGTATTTTAGTTTGAAAGTTTTCTGTTTTGTCTTCAAGTTCACTAATCTATTCTTCTGAAATGTCTAATCTGTTAATCCCATCCAATGTATTTTTATCTCTGATACTGTATTTTTTATCTCTAGATGTTCAGTTTGGGAGTTTTAAGATGTCTCCAGTGTGTCTTTACATGCTCATGCTTTTCTCTATCTCTGGAACATGGAGCATATATAATAGCTCTTTTAATATCCTCATCTGCTAATGTTATCCTATGTCATATATGGGTCTTTTTATGTTGATTGATATTATGGATCATATTTTACCTGCCCGAATTTTTTTTATTGGATGCCAGACATTGTGTTACATTGTTTGGTGCTGGGGTTTTTTGTTATTAATATTCCCTTAAGTATTTTTGAGCTTTATTCTGGAATGTAGTTAAGCTACTGGAAACAATGTGATATTTTCAAGGCTTGCTTTTAAACTTCATTAGGCAGGACCTGGACAGCCTTCAGTTTTCTTATTTTTCTCCCCCACTGAGACAATACTGTTCTAAGTACTCACTGCAGCATCCCATGTATTATGAGGTTTCTCTGTTCTACCTCTTGGCAGTGTAAGGAATTCCCAGATCTACGGAGCTGTGAGACTTGTCCTGCTGACTCATTCCAGTGTTTCTTTTACTGGCCATAGGTCATTTCTTTACATGCAGCTGAAGATTTAAGGGATAACTCCTTATATATTCTAGAAGTGTCTCTCTCTCTCTCTCTCACTCACTCTATCTTTATAGCTCTCTTCTCTCCTAATCTCTGCCTACAAATTCTAGCTACCTTATTGGCCTCCCACTCTCAGCTCTGTCTCTGCAACTCAGTGAGACCGGCAGGCTCTGTTAGGGATCTCTCTCCCTGCACTGTGGCCTGGAAACTCTTCTATAGACAGTACTGGGGCAATAAATAGCAGGGTTCACCTTATTTGTTTCCCTTCTTTCCGTCATTATTGCCCAAGGCAGCCTGTTATCCAGTTTCTCAGGTACGTATAGGGCTGAACAATAAGTCTAATCCGTTACTCTTATGGTCAGAAATGCAAATCTTCACATTGAATTGTATGAATTAACAGTCTTTTCCCGCTCATGTAAGTCCATCTGCTCCCTCATCACCTCCAACCCAAGGGTAATTGGTGTATTCATTTTACCCCTTTTCTGAGCCTGCACATGTGCATGAGTACGCAGAGACTGCATTTGGTTTTGTTTTTAGAAAATGGGATTTATATATATATATACAATTTGTTTTCATAATATATCACTTTCTAACATTATGCCATATTTATGTGTGGTAATCAATAAAATTTAAGTTTCTTGAGGGTGGGAACTGTAGCAACCATATCCATTTTCTCTTCATGACACCTCACATACTTCTCTGTACATGAGGATTCTCAGTAAATGCTCATAGGTTGACTATAGCAAATCTTTTTTACTCAGTTTTTATAAAATTGAGACAGCAATATAGAGGAATATCTTAAAGATAGTTTTTATGTGTTAAAGTAATGATTTGTTATCGTCCCTGTTCCACTAATATAGTAAGAATGAAAATAATTGCCTTTCATTTTATTTCAGAGTAATATCTGAGGAAATCACGGGAGCTCACTAGTATGGAAGTTATTGTAACTGCAAAACAAACTTTTTAGGAAATGAAGGATATTAACACATCTTTCGAGATTTATAGTCTAATGCCAAGTGAATTAGCCAAGAAGAAATAGAGCCACAATACTTGGAAATAGCTTGATTGAGAAGTTAAACATTTACTTAATCTCATCTTAGCTGATTAGAAAAAAAATCACTTTGATTTTAGGCAATATATGCTTATTAATGGTCTTTAGAAACTACCTAGTTGATCTGACCTAGAGAACAAACAGGGCTCTTTTTAGCTTATTGGAGTCCATACTTAAGTCGGAAGACCCAGAGTCAAGTTGCTGCCCTGTCATTGACTAGCTGTGCAATCCACTTACAGATTCCTGTGCCCTCCTATTTCATAGGGTTGTCTGAATTAGTTACATTAAAATGTTTTATAAATAATTAAGTGCTGGTCCATTGTAAGATACTATCATTATTTGCTTGAAGTAGTTAAGGGAATGAGACTCACCTAAACTCATATTTTTACCTAGGGATTATTTTTATAATGCATTTGTTGCTAGTTAGTTACAAGCATTAAATTAGTCACAGGCCAGGCGTGGTAGCTCACACCTGTAATTCCAGCATTTTGGGGGAGGTCTAGGTGTGAGTATACTTGAGGACAGGAGTTTGAGACCAGCCTGAACAGCATAGCAAGACCCCTTTCTACAAAAATAAAAAATCACCAGGTGCAGTGGCTCATTCCTGTAATCTCAGCACTTTGGGAGGCTGAGGCAGGTGGATCCCTTGAGGTCAACATGGTAAAACCCTGTCTCTACTAAAAATGCAAAAATTAGCCGGGCGTGTTGGTGCACACCTGTAATCCCAGCTACTCAGGAGGCTGAGGCAGGAGAGTTGCTTGAACTTGGGAGGAAGAGGTTGCAGTGAGCCAAGATTGCGCCACTGCACACTAGCCTGGGCAACAAAGCGAGACCTCTTTTCTAAATAAATAAGTAAATATTGCCACACATGTTGGCATGCGCCTCTGTAGTCCTAGCTACTCAGGAGGCTGAGGTGGGAGGATCTTTTGAGCCCAGGAGTTCTAGGCTGTATTGTGCTATGATCCCGCCAATGCATTCCTTGGATGACAGAGCAAGACTCTATCTCTAAAAATAATTAATAATTTAAGCATAAAATAGCATTTCAAAGTCACTTCTAGTTTAAATAGCAGCATGGAACAAAAACCGGGATAATAGGAGAACTGTCTTTATGCAGTTTATCCAGTAGGTGGAGGTATATATCTGTTATATGTTTGTTAGTATATGTTCACCTTCAGCCTGTTGAGAGAAAAATTATGAAAAGTACACAAGCAAAATATTTCCCCTAAGACTTGGCATGATCAATTTTGTTTTACTTTAAAAATAAAAATTAATATATTTAAATAGTTGGTAATTCCACAGGACTAGAGTTACTGATTTACTAATAGGATAAATTGTCTCACTGGATTTGAAACCTTTTACCCAAATGCCAAGTTAGCCCTCTTGTTAAGTTCTTAAATCATCTTAAAATCATTTCTATATTAAATATTTTTGTTTCATAAACTTTTGATAAAAATGTGCAGCATCTTAATATTTTTCCAAATTATGATTATTTTCTTAAAAATTGATCCTTATTATCATACTTTCCAGATGTAATTTAAGGCCTAGAGCAAAGAACAAAAACATGTTTAAGTGGAGAAATTTAGCCCTGACCTCTATTGATTTGAAGTACCAATTTTTTGTTGTTTTTTTAAAGATATTTCAAGGAAACAAAGATTATCACCAGGATGTGCGTAATAACTTTTTGCCACCAATTATTGCACGTTTTATTAGAGTGAATCCTACCCAATGGCAGCAGAAAATTGCCATGAAAATGGAGCTGCTCGGATGTCAGTTTATTCCTAAAGGTAAAGAGACAGTTCGTTTAAGATATGTTTTTACTGGATTGCCAATTTAAAATGGTTTTGCTGTTCTCAGAGAGAGTAATTAATAATGTGAGTGTCTTTCTGGTTAAACTCTAATTACAATATCTTCTTAAAGGGATGTTAAAAAAAATGGTTACCCTATTAAAAAGTTAGTTATAAGAATGGTTTCCAAAATTATAAGTGGAAGAAGAAATAGCATCATTCATAAGATAATGTAAATGAGATCACTTTCCAAATTTAATCTCAATCCTAATAATTTTAAATCAGGTGTCATGTACTGTAATATTTGTTTAACATAAGCATGAAAGATTGTAACAATACATTTAAAGCAAGAATAATTTATCTCAATATTATACATTTTAATATACTGTTTACTTTTGTACGCCCAAAGGCTACCACAGTGCCTGACACATCGTTGGCCCTCCATAAATAACTATTAAATGAATTGAATAAGTACTGTATCAAAATGTGGATGACTCCTTTATAGCTTTAGCATTCAACATCACTTTCCACCCCATTATTCTTCTTCCTAAGATTATTTTCAGATGATTTAATTATTTAAAAACTGAGAAATCCTGGCATATTTGTGCCTTTATTGCAGAGTATAATATTTATCCTTCCAATATATTTCTCTCTGAGAGTTAAAATTATTCTGCAGAATTAAATACTTTAGGAAATATTGAAGACATTTAGCATTACTATTTTTAATTATGATTTTTAAAAACAAAATGTTTAAATTTTTCTAAACCATTTTTCAAGGTCGTCCTCCAAAACTTACTCAACCTCCACCTCCTCGGAACAGCAATGACCTCAAAAACACTACAGCCCCTCCAAAAATAGCCAAAGGTATGCCTGTTTTTAATGTGAGAATTTGATATTCCTTGGATTTATGGTGCAACTTTCCAAAAATATATTAAAAGCATTATCAAATAAGTTTATGTTAATCAAGTTGGTACAGATTAAAAAGTAAAGAGCTTTTGAAACTTTTTTAAAGGTCGTGCCCCAAAATTTACGCAACCACTACAACCTCGCAGTAGCAATGAATTTCCTGCACAGACAGAACAAACAACTGCCAGTCCTGATATCAGAAATACTACCGTAACTCCAAATGTAACCAAAGGTATGCAAACATGGAAATGAACGCCTAGTACATAGTATTGTTTTGTTCTTAACTGAAGTTTTCACGGGCATTTTTAAACCTTCAGTTTATTTTCTTCCAACTATAGTTTTTAAGTATAGCAAAAAAAAAAATTTATTTTCTTTCATAGGAAAAGACTGCATTGATCTAAGTTGTAGTCTCTGCTGCCATGTAGAATTGCTCTTTAAATATTTAGAGAAGGCCACTGTGTTGCAGGCCTCCTCTTGTGATTTATTGTTCCTTACAGCTAAACATGTTGACTCTCAGGCTTAGAAATACAATATTTTCTAGAAATAACTGAAATCATAGCAGGAAACAAACTTGTTTCCCTTGATAATATATTAATTTGATGGATAGGGAACTTGATGGCAAAAAGGGGAAAATAAAAACAGAACTTTTAGTAGAAACTAGTAATTGTTAAAAAATACTCATAGTTAACATATTCATAAAAAAAAACTTTGGTCTCTTTTTAAGTGTTTGCAATTATATTTTTTAAGATCATAAATAGAAATTTATTAGAATTTACTTTCAAGTTTTGTTATCAGTGATAAATAAGGTCTCAAAATACATAAAACATAGTAGTCTTACTAGTTGTTGAAAAACAAAATTTCAATTGAATTCAAAAAAGTGTCAGTGTCATAGTAGACTAAGTATCAGAGTTGTCACATAAAAAGCTTCCTTGTTTTCAGGAAAGTGCAGAGAGAGAAAGCCGTTCATCCAAAGTAATTTGTGCCACATAGAACTTCAGTCATTCTCATTTTTTGAAAGTTTGCCTGGATTCAGATAACTTTCTCTGACTTTCCCCATGTTGGTTCTTTCCCATCTTCTGAAGTATTTTCACAAAGATGAATTACTTTCTCATGCTGCAGGTACAGCTAGAGAGAATCAAGGGTTCTCAGAGGCAGGAGATCTCAGCATCTTTTAACTGCTTACCAGTTGTCAGAAGGCATGTACTAAGGCAGAATCCCAGACCACATGCCTGGATGGAGATCAGTCACTGAAAAGTGTTGCTCATCTTAAAATCTGATTGCATCTCAGACCCTCAAGGCTAAAAAGAGTCCTTAAATAATTTCCTTCCAGAATTAGGATCCCTGTATGCCCAAAAAGAATAACAAAGAATGAGTTGGTCTTCTCAGAGACCTCCTGTCTCTTTTTTAGGGGGATGGTAGTATATAAATTTATTTTTTGAACCTAAGAAGATGTTTTAAAGCCTCTGATTAAATCACACAGCATCCATCTAAACTTGATTATCTTCTCTTGTCTCACTAATCTTATGGAAAAAGCACATTTACCGTTGTGAATTCTGAGTGCTTTCTAGTCTAAGTCATTATTTCTGTTTATGGACTTCTCCATTTTTACAGCCAGGCTGAGAGTGATTTCATGGAAAAGATTATGTCATGGTCAGATTTGTGCCTCTGTAGTTTCCAGGTCCTCCCTCAGTGGGGCCCGTGGCACCAGCTGGCTGACCTTCTGAAAGGCTGCAGTAGCTCTTCTGTCTGTTCTCAACTGTAGCTATTTTACATATTCCCCTTATTTTCAAGCCCTTCACCCAGATATCTTCACCCACTCTCAGTTACCGCTCCAACTTCACAGAGAAAGTAGGGAGTTTCCTTCCAGTGAAACTCCCTTTTTGTGGAGCCTACAAACCTATCTGTATCCTCTGTTCACTGCAGTGAAAAGGGGGCTTCCTTATGTTGCCCAAGGCTGATTATATCACCTGTGCCCTGGTTCCCCTCGATCTACCTCTCAGGGACCCAATCTTACTGATTATCCTCTCCCCCTCCTGTATCTTCAGCCTCTTTCTCTCTTTTGGATACAGTTGTTTTAAGGAATAAAGAAGATGGTGCAGGTTAGACTCATTGCAGTGTCCGGCTCTGAGCCCCCAGTAAATATCAGCAGGTGCTGCTATTATCATCTTCATGGCAAGTAGGGGGTTGAGCGACAAAGGAAGAAACTAATATCCCAAGTGACCTTAGGCAGATCATTTTCTATATCTGGGCCCAGAATTCCTTATCTCTGGAGTGAAATTAGGGGATTAAATGATCCCTAAATCTCTCCCAGTTCCAGCATTATGCTGGCTTCTGACCTGGTCACACACACATTTCCAATTGACTTTCTTAACACCACATTGTTACCTTCCCATATATATATATATGAATGTTTTGCCATTATGATGTAACGTCATTTCAATTGCTGGATTATTTTCTCTTGTAAGGAGGATACCATGATTTATTCCCTCTCATTTTTGGGCATTTGGATTATTTCCAATTTTTCACTCTTACGCAGAAACAGGGAGAACATCTTTAAGGATGCATCTTTTTTTAGTTTCTGAGAATAAATTCTAGGAATGGAATTGCCAATAGATTTTTGTACATATTGCCCAAAAATGCCAATCAGTGAGATAGCATCAGTTTATATTTCCATTAAAAAATAACTGTTTCCTGGTAGCCTGTTCATCAATTAGTTGTTGTTTTAAATATTTGCCACTTTGATTAGCAAAAGTAGTATTTTGTTGTTTTAACTTTTTTTGTGTTGGTTGTTTAACTTGTATTTCTTTGATTACTAGTGAAGTTAACATATTTAATGGTTACTTGTATTTTTTAATGTATTACTAGTTAATCTCTGCTGATTTTTCTCTTAAATGTTTGGATTTGGCTTGTAATGCCCTACAATATAATAATTATTTAAAGTAACTCTTCTCATATGTAGAAAATATATTTTCCCAATTTTTCATTTGTCTTTCAATTTTATTTTAGTGATTTAAAAATTTAGGAAAATTTCACATCTCTACACAGATGGAATGAATAGTGTAACAAGCTTTTGTGTATCTGCAAAAGCTTCTACAGTTACCACCACATGCCCAGTCTTGACAAATAATGTTTATGGTATTTCCGTGAGGTAGAAAAATGTTGAAAGATGATGTGGTTAATTTTCCCTAGTGATTTCTGCCTTTGGTGTTAATATGGCTTTTGTTTGTCTGTTTTTGTCTTTGTAACTTCAGATGTAGCGCTGGCTGCAGTTCTTGTCCCTGTGCTGGTCATGGTCCTCACTACTCTCATTCTCATATTAGTGTGTGCTTGGCACTGGAGAAACAGGTTAGTACATAACTAGTTCACCTGAGTCCAAAACTACCAAATGTGAAGTAGAAGCTAAATATAGAAGATGAAAATGTTTACCTGTTTGAGAGTGAGAGTTAAGGTAATTATTAAAATGAAAATTTCATGCTTCTCCTTTATTCCCATTAAAAATAAATAAGTTCAATTCCACAATCAGTTACTAAGTACCTTTTTTGTATCAAGTTCTGCATTATACACTGGGATATGTACATTAATATGAACAATTTCTGACACATGATAGTTACATTTACTTAAAGAATGAGACACAATTCCTTTCTCTGAAGTGTTTAGCAGGGTTGACTAACAAGGAACTATATCATGTGGTTTGATGAGTTATGAACCATGAGAATTAACTGAAGTTTTTTCTTCGGGAAAGGGGACTCCTCAAGTTTGGCTTGCTTTGCCTTAAAGGAATTGTAGTTGGCTAGATAGAGGAAGGTAGATGTCTTTGTTTGGGATGCTGTAAGAAAATACCATAACCTGGGTGACATAAATAATAGAATTGATTTCTCACAGTTCTGGAGGCTGAGAAGTCCAAGATCAAAACACTGCAGATACTATGACTAGTGAGGGCCTGCCGTCTGGCTCATTCATCAACAGTGCCTTCTTGCCCGATCCTCTCATGGTGGAAGGGATAAACACGCTCTCTCAGGCCTTTCCTGTAAGGGCACCAATCCCATTCATGAGGACTCTGCCTTCATGACCTAATCACTTACCAAAGCCCCACTTTCTAACGGGGGTTAGGATTTCAACATATGAATTTTGGAGAGATGCAAATATTCAGACCATAGCACTAGCAAATGGCCCAACCTGAGCCAATTGTTTGAGTGAAGGCACAGAGATATGGAATGTAGGCAAAATAGTGAGTCATCGCATGTACGCTTGGCGTGGGAGAGTCCTGAGAAATAACCATAGAGGTTCAGTCTGGGCCTGGATCAGGAAAGGCTTTTCTGGAAGAGAGAAATTTAGATTTCATTCTATAGATGGAAAGTCACTTGAGTGTCAAGCAAAGAGGTGATATTGTCAGATGATTGTACAAAGATGGTGGCAGTTTTGAAGGGTAGATTGAAGAGGAGAGAGGCTGAGAGACTTAGCAAGATGAGTTAGGAAACCACTGAGGCCAGGCAGGCACATAACACACTGATTCTAGGAAAGGGAGAAGAGATGGAGTGGAGATGTTTCCCAGTAGCATTGACAGGATGTATGACTAGTTGTCTAGTAAGGAAGAAGTGATACAGGAGGAATCTGAGGTTTCTGGCTTGTGCAGTTAGACCAGTAGAGGTGTCATGAGTTGAGATAACACAGCAGGAAGGACAGGTTTGGTGGAGAATGAAAATGACTTCATTTGTTCAGCCATGCAACAAGTATTTGAATATTTGGCTGTTACCCTATGTCAAGTATTGAGCCATGTGCTGGGGATTCCAGTGATGAACCCCAAAGCTTACAGATTAGGAACGGATGCAATGCAAAAAAAACTCCCAGCTGTAACACCAGCCATAGAATATATGCCATGGGAGGAAGCTAGTGGATCCCAGCTTCATGAACAGGCTGTCTAAGCAGAGACACAGCAAATTAGTATGAGAACAATAGGGAAAGGAAAGGACTTTAGGAAATTCCAAAGAGGAGAGAGTATGATGCATTTAAGGAACTTAGCAACAACAGTGATAGTAGTGATGAGGCCCGCAGCAGCAGAAGCTAATTTTTATAGAAAATTGAATGCTAATCTTAGTCACTATTCTACATAATTATTCCAAATACCTGTATTTTCTATTTTCAATTTTATTTTAGTGATTTAAAAATTTAGGAAAGTTTCACATCTCTACACAGATGGAATGCATAGTGTAACAAGCTTTTGTGTATCTGCAAAAGCTTCTGCAGTTACCACCACATGCCCAGTCTTGACAACATGCACCTCTACGCAAATTATTCTAAATACCTGAATTAATTAATTTAATCCTCAAAACAATCTACGAAGCAGGCACTATAATAAGCCCCGTTTTACAGAAGGAGAAAATGAGACACAACATAAATAACTTGCCTAGTTATGGGCAAATAACTTGCCTAGTTTATGGGCATAAATAACCTGCCTAGTTATTGCCTAGTACATGGGCAGAGGGGAGTTTTGGACCAGACTTGAGAGATCGTGCTCTTACCCACTGCTGCTCTGAACACATAATAAATAAAGTATAACTCACTGTTATTAAAGCACAGGGTGTGAGGGGGAGGACTGAGGAGTGCCGCTGTTGAGAGGGCAGAAGTCAGACAGAGCCTGAGGTCAGTTTGGGATGGTGTTGAAAGGACCCTGTGGACATCCAGACTCCTGAGGCAATTCGACCACACACCTGGCGTTAAGGACACGATCTGAGCTGGAGAATTGAAGTTACTGTTAGGAACGTAGTTGAAATCACTGATGAGTGTGGCTTTATGACAAGGAGTAAAGGAGCAGATACCATTAATATGCTGTGGAAAATAGGGAGGATGAGAATGATAATAAAAACAGCTGCAGCTTATTGAATCCAGAGCTCATTCTAAGCACTTTATACGTAATGAATAAGTAACCAGAAGCTTTGTCACTTATGTGTATAAAATCCTTTATAGTACAACCTATGGCTAATATTGATGCCATAAATTTGTTGTCCTAGCAATATAGGGCATCTAACTTCTATTTAGAAAAGATGATTTATTTATTTTTTTATTTCTAAATCATGTGATGATTAGAGCATTTTCAGGGAGAAAGGTGTTTAATCAGTATTTTTTTTTATTTCTTTTCCATTCAAGTGTTTCATTAACATCTTCAACACTCATTATCTTTTCCACAAATTTTTTATTATGCTGTACTTTGAAATAATGAAATAAGTATACCTACGCTTTAAAATGAGGATGCATTTAGTATCAAAAATATAGTCTTATACTGGAGAATGTTTCCCAGTAGGAAAAGCACATGGCTTGGGCTTTTTATGAAAACCACATTTGTGGTGCTCACTTCGGCAGCACATATACTAACATTGGAACGACACAGAGAAGATTAGCATGGCCCCTGTGCAAGGATGACACGCAAATTCATGAAGCGTTCCATATTTTTAATTGACCACATAGTTGAAAGTAAAGCACTCATCAGCAAATGTAACAGAAAAGAAATTATAACAAACTGTCTCTCAGACCACAGTTCAATCAAACAAGAACTCAGGATTAAGAAACTCACTCAAAACCACTCAACTACATGGAAACTGAACAACCTGCTCCTGAATGACTACTGGGTACATAATGAAATGAAGGCAGAAATAAAGATTTTCTTTGAAACCAATGAGAGCAAAGACACAACATACCAGAATCTCTGGGACACATTCAAAGCAGTGTGTAGAGGGAAATTTATAGCACTAAATGCCCACAAGAGAAAGCAGGAAAGTTCTAAAATTGACACCCTAACATCACAATTAAAAGAACTAGAGAAGCAAGAGCAAACACATTGAAAAGCTGCAGAAGTCAAGAAATAACTAAGATCAGAGCAGAACTGAAGGAGATAGAGACAAAAAACCCTTCAAAAAATCAGTGAATCCAGGAGCTGGTTTTTTGAAAAGATCAACAAAATTGATAGACTGCTAGCAAGACTAATAAAGAAGAAAAGAGAGAAGAATCAAATAGATGCAATAAAAAATGATAAAGGGGATATCACCACCGATCCCACAGAAATACAAACTACCATCAGAGAATACTACAAACACCTCTATGCAAATAAACTAGAAAATCTAGAAGAAATGGATAAATTCCTGGACACATACACCCTCCCAAGACTAAACCAGGAAGAAGTTGAATCCCTGAATAGACCAATAACAGGCTCTGAAATTGAGGCAATAATTAATAGCCTACCAACCAAAAAAAGTCCAGGACCAGACGGATTCATAGCCGAATTCTACCAGAGGTACAAGGAGGAGCTGGTACCATTCTTTCTGAAAGTATTCCAATCAATAGAAAAAGAGGGAATCCTCCCTAACTCATTTTATGAGGCCAGCATCATCCTGATACCAAAGCCTGGCAGAGACACAACAAAAAAAAGAGAATTTTAGACCAATATCCCTGATGAAAATCGATGCAAAAATCCTCAGTAAAATACTGGCAAACCGAATCCAGCAGCACGTCAAAAAGCTTATCCACTGTGATCAAGTGGGCTTCATCCCTGGGATGCCAGGCTGGTTCAACATATGCAAATCAATAAACGTAATCCAGCATATAAACAGAACCAAAGACAAACACTACATGATTATCTCAATAAATGCAGAAAAGGCCTTTGACAAAATTCAACAACCCTTCATGCTAAAAACTCTCAATAAATTAGGTATTGATGGGACGTATCCCAAAATAATAAGAGCTATGTATGACAAACCCACAGCCAATATCATACTGAATGGGCAAAAACTGGAAGCATTGCCTTTGAAAACTGGCACAAGACAGGGATGCCCTCTCTCACCACTCCTATTCAATATAGTGTTGGAAGTTCTGGCCAGGGCAGTCAGGCAAGAGAAAGAAATAAAGGGTATTCAATTAGGAAAAGAGGAAGTCAAATTTTCCCTGTTTGCAGATGACATGATTGTATATTTAGAAAACCCCATCATCTCAGCCCAAAATCTTCTTAAGCTGATAAGCAACTTCAGCAAAGTCTCAGGATACAAAATCAATGTACAAAAATCACAAGCATTCTTATACACCAATAACAGACAGAGAGCCAAATCATGAGTGAACTCCCATTCACAATTGCTTCAAAGAGAATAAAATACCTAGGAATCCAACTTACAAGGGATGTGAAGGACCTCTTCAAAGAGAACTACAAACCACTGCTCAATGAAATAAAAGAGGACGCAAACAAATGGAAGAACATTCCATGCTCATGGATAGGAAGAATCAATATCGTGAAAATGGCCATACTGCCCAAGGTAATTTATAGATCAATGCCATCCCCATCAAGCTACCAATGACTTTCTTCACAAAATTGGAAAAAACTACTTTAAAGTTCATATAGAACCAAAAAAGAGCCCACATTGCCAAGACAATCCTAAGCCAAAAGAACAAAGCTGGAGGCATCACGTTACCTGACTTCAAACTATACTACAAGGCTACAGTAACCAAAACAGCATGATACTGGGACCAAAACAGAGATATAGACCAATGGAACAGAACAGAGCCCTCAGAAATAATACCACACATCTACAACCATCTGATCTTTGACAAACCTGACAAAAACAAGAACTGGGGAAAGGATTCCCTATTTAATAAATGGTGCTGGGAAAACTGGCTAGCCATATGTAGAAAGCTGAAACTGGATCCCTTCCTTACACCTTATACAAAAATTAATTCAAGATGGATTAAAGACTTAAATGTTAGACCTAAAACCATAAAAACCCTAGAAGAAAACCTAGGCAATACCATTCAGGACACAGACATGGACTTCATGTCTAAAACACCAAAAACAATGGCAACAAAAGCCAGAATTGACAAATGGGATCTAATTAAACTAAACAGCTTCTGCACAGCAAAAGAAACTACCATCAAAGTGAGCAGGCAACCTACAGAATGGGAGAAAATTTTTGCAATCTACTCATCTGACAAAGGGCTAATATCCAGAATCTACAAAGAACTCAAACAAATTTACAAGAAAAAAAAACAACCCCATCAACAAGTGGGCGAAAGATATGAACAGACACTTCTCAAAAGAAGACATTTATGCAGCCAACAAACACATGAAAAAATGCTCATCATCACTGGCCATCAGAGAAATGCAAATCAAAACCACAATGAGATACCATCTCACACCAGTTAGAATGGTGATCATTAAAAAGTCAGGAAACAACAGGTGCTGGAGAGGATGTGGAGAAATAGGAACATTTTTACACTGTTGGTAGGACTGTAACCTAGTTCAACCATTGTGGAAGACAGTGTGGTGATTCCTCAGGGATCTAGAACTAGAAATACCATTTGACCCAGCCATCCCATTACTGGGTATATACCCAAAGGATTATAAATCATGCTGCTATAGAGACACATGCACACGTATGTTCATTGCAGCACTATTCAAAATAGCAAAGACTTGGAACCAACCCAAATGTCCATGAATGATAGATTGAATTAAGAAAATGTGGCACATATACACCATGGAATACTATGCAGCCATAAAAAATGATGAGTTCCTGTCCTTTGTAGTGACATGGATGAAGCTGGAAACCATCATTCTCAGCAAACTGTCCCAAGGACAAAAAACCAAACACCGCATGTTCTCACTCATAGGTGGGAATTGAACAATGAGAACACTTGGACACAGGAAGGGGAATATCACATACCAAGGCCTGTCATGGGGTAGGGGGAGCAGGCTTACCAGTGAATTTACTCTGTTTGCTAACTTCTCTTCTGTATTTTTCCAGAAAGAAAAAAACTGAAGGCACCTATGACTTACCTTACTGGGACCGGGCAGGTAACTCACGTGGTCTTTGCATCTCATTTCTATCAGAGGGATGTCGCTCCCCTACAGGGGGCAGTAGTGAAAAAAGAGTCATTCTCTGGCCCAGGTGAACTCCCCGACACTGTTAGAACAATGGCATTACTCTTCAGTTCTCACCATTTTTACCCTTCTGCAAAGTCTCTTGTAATTCCTAAGTAATGAAATGAAAAGTACAAATTTCTTAAAACAAGCTCTGTTCTTTTTCTTCTGGAAAACTTGTGTAGTTTGTCCTGTGTATCTGTTTCTCATGAGGAGACCGGCTTTCTGTGGCCCACGTGAACACTGAGTAAGAAACAAAAGACTGTGGTCTCCAGGACACAGTGTGTGTTTGTCCTCTGCCATGGTTATTCACCAAGTGGAGTCCAGCAGTTTAGGAATCGGGAGGTCTCCCATGATGAGTTGTCATCTTCTGAATTGCTGCAAGTGACACCAAAGGGGCCCCCCTACCAGTTTCTCACTTCCCAGTCTCACTACTGGATCAGCTCTTAGGAGCCAGGAGAGTTCACTGCTGTGGCTAGGATAGAAAAGGGCAGCTAGTGCCCCAGGGTAGATCTTGGAAAATATTTTTTGGGAAAAATGTAATTAAGGCCACCCCTAAAATAGATACTGTATCTGGCTGTACTATACTAACAGTGATTTGCCTGCATGTGTTTGATAGAGATTTCTACCATGTACTGCTTGGTGCTGGATAGTCTATCACAGCAAAAAAAAAAAAAAAAGTTGGATTATAAAGGCAAGTTTGTAGAGATATTTGTTATAGAAATGGCTTAAATGCAACAGGATTTTTCTCTTGATACTACTGTTTGAGATACAGGTTTTTATTTAATGGTCTCTTTGGCTTGCCGTCACAATGAAGGTTGGTGGAAAGGAATGAAGCAGTTTCTTCCTGCAAAAGCAGTGGACCATGAGGAAACCCCAGTTCGCTATAGCAGCAGCGAAGTTAATCACCTGAGTCCAAGAGAAGTCACCACAGTGCTGCAGGCTGACTCTGCAGGTAACTATGTTGCAGCCTTCTGGTACCAGGCAGAGGGAGAAACTGCTTAGGCTTGCTATAAAGTGCTTTGGGATTTACAGTTCTTTGATCCCTTTCATGTTTAAGAAATGAATTGTTTCCTAAAGGTAGAACCACTTTTTTAAAAGGTGACTCTTCAGAGAGTCATTTCTGTATCTTGGATATTCTGTCTGTAAAGTTGGGACATTGATTTCTAAAGACTCTGGGCATTATGTATGTTAACTGAGGCTTGTGGGGAGACCCGAGATGTTGAGAGGAGAGCGGGAAAGACAGAAGAAGCCTTACAGTGTTTATCCTCTTAGCCTAGTACATACTTATTTTAAACATTTCCTAATATTTGAAAAAAATCTCTGAAATTATTTTTCAAGATTAATATTTATTCCAGTAACTGAATGTTTCTTTTCCAATGAAATATTCTGAAAATAATTCAGAAAGGAAATATTCAGTAAAGAAATATGTTGTCTGTAAATCTAAAGAACATATGTGAAAATTCTATATGCAAAATTACATGAATGAGACTTTCTGGTATATTATTACTATGAGAAGTACTAGACAGTATGTTTAATTTTAATTTTCAAAGTTCTTACAGATTAAGTATTGATGGCAACAAAAGTATCCTAAAGAATGTTTGCTTTTAGTATAATCTGCAGCTGCCACCCTAAATTATGCAATCTCTTTACTAGTAAAATGACTTTTCTGTTGTTTTGTGATATCCACAGAGTATGCTCAGCCACTGGTAGGAGGAATTGTTGGTACACTTCATCAAAGATCTACCTTTAAACCAGAAGAAGGAAAAGAAGCAGGCTATGCAGACCTAGATCCTTACAACTCACCAGGGCAGGAAGTTTATCATGCCTATGCTGAACCACTCCCAATTACGGGGCCTGAGTATGCAACCCCAATCATCATGGACATGTCAGGGCACCCCACAACTTCAGTTGGTCAGCCCTCCACATCCACTTTCAAGGCTACGGGGAACCAACCTCCCCCACTAGTGGGAACTTACAATACACTTCTCTCCAGGACTGACAGCTGCTCCTCAGCCCAGGCCCAGTATGATACCCCGAAAGCTGGGAAGCCAGGTCTACCTGCCCCAGACGAATTGGTGTACCAGGTGCCACAGAGCACACAAGAAGTATCAGGAGCAGGAAGGGATGGGGAATGTGATGTTTTTAAAGAAATCCTTTGAAGATGATGCTGCTTTTTACAAAGCATCGTTTTAAAGCACATGGCCTTTTTTTTTTAATTATTAGTGGTAGTAATATATAGAATGTATTACATAACTGTCACTGAAGTGGTTGGGGAAAATGTGGTGACTGAGGTACAGGAAACTACTAATCTTGCCATCTTGCTTTAAGGTGTTATGGTGGCACAGTTACTGCTCGCCTGTTAAATTTCAAATGTCCTGTTTGATACTACTGTAGAACACTATTTTTAATACAGAAAAAGCTCCCTATAATGCACTTCAGAGAAATTAAAAATCACAGAGTATTTATTACCAATGCTGCAGGTACATTAATGAACTCGAGATGGCTCTGTAAGCCTGACTGGCAATAACGCACGGTACTGTTCTTGAAATACCTAATGGCTTGAAATTCTAGTCTGTTTGTGAAAGATGGGTACTATCATGATTTCCTCTTCTATTCCTATATTCTTTTCTGGATTTTTTTTAATAATTAGTGATATAAGCATTGTTTTTATTGCAGCCATATCCACTTATCCATCTTAAGATCTGTAGCTGGGATTTTCTGACTTGTAATGAGCAGGGGGATTGCTTTTTCACTTTGTGACACTCTTTAGAGCTTTAATGCTTCACAGTATATGGCCTGGTCTCATCCTTGCGTGTTCCACTTGAGGCCCTTTGGTGTCTTGCCCCATTCTTGTGTTTATAAAATGTTTGAGTATTTCTGATGAGTGATGCTTGCCTTAGTCTCATGAATTCAGATCCCTTCATGTCCTTTAAGTATGCTCCTCAATGTGTAAACAGGAACAACTTTATGATTTGAAAGCTTTAAAGGAGATTCTTCTCCCACCCCCAACTTTATTTGCAATGGGATTTTTCCTAGGAGAGTTATGAAAAGTTGAAGGCTTCTAAGGGAATACTGTAAACATGACCCACTTATATTTATCACAGTGAAAGGCAAAATTATTCACTCAGAAGTAATATAAATTACCTCTTTAAAAAGTAACCAGAATTTGTCCTTTTTGGTTTTATACATTCACAAACATATACATTTTTCTTGAGTCTCAAGGTATTTTATATTTTTAGTCAGAAAAAATAATTTTTCATTTCAGTTTTCCATAAACTGTTACACAAAATATAAACCTAACGTGTATTTTTCAGGACTGCGTGATCGTGCACTTTGTGTGGTAAGAGGTTTGAGTAGTCCTATATGTCACCTAGGGAACAGACATTATAGCTTACTAGCAAATGAATATTCATGCCTTGTTTTTGATACCTCCTGGCAGCTTCCATGTCACCACTTGTTCATACCTGCCCAGAGCTAGTTTTAGACATGGCAAAATAGAAATCATCTGTAATTTATTAGCTAACAATGTAAAACCATCTTTTAAAGCCTTCAGACTGTCAAGACGACATGAGCAGCTCACCATATGATAAAAATACATAAATTTGACATTCCCTCTTCCATAAACCTTTGTTTGTAGATTTAATGTTGAACAGTACTTTTCCATAAAGTTCTAGTCACTTCTGTTGGCCTGAGCCACCAGATTATGATGTTGCCAGAATTCACTCAATTTGAATAAAGATGAACAGTATTTGTTTTCTTGTTTCCATGAATTATATCAGTATTCTAAAACATCGCTTCAGAAAGAGAACTGTTTATTTCTGCAGGCTTCCTGTCCTTTTGTGGTATGGTTTTTTGGCCTTATTTTCACTGGCTTTTCCTTCTCCAAACTTTGAGGCGTGATTTCATTCATTGAAGAATCAATACATATTTTGTTTCAAAATGTTTGAAACAAAAGACATAGATGGTAGACTTTTATTAAAACATATATGGATGTGGAAAGCACATATATTAATGCAGTCATCCCTTTTCAGGTGGGAAGAGAGCAAACCAGTTGATTTTTTAATTCATCCTTAGTACACAGAGAATATACTTTTCCTCAAGTAATATACCTGTTTGAAGCTTTAAGAGAGATGTTTTTGGTAACTATTTCATTTTCCCAAAGAAGTTTGCTATTCTTGTGTTAATTGTGTATACCTGATTGTTTTTTCCTGGAGGTTTTTGTTGTTGTTGTTTAGTTTTGGGTTTTTTTTTTTTTAAGAGGGGCAAGTGTTTTCTGAAATGATGCATATTTTAAGACTCGATTCATATTGCCACTGTGCTATCCTTGAACTACCAATAATTTTTATAAAATATCTAGTTTTTACTACTTTTATATAAACTTTACTTTCCAGATGAAGAGCTGAGCCTGATTCAAATGGTTTTTCTGCTTTATACTTCTTTTTAGTTCATTGGTTTTTATAGTAGAGGTTTTCTATTTTTTTTTTTTTTTTTTTTACTACATTTATATGTCTGATACATATACGGCTTTGGAGACAATCAAGTAACAACTGAAAATGTGAAAGTAACCATATCTGACAAAATTCCCTTGAATTTTTATCCTTTGCTTGCAACATTTAAGACTCAAAGTCACTGGTATATTGGATTAAGTTTTTTCCTGTTAATGCAATTATAGAAATACATCGGAGACACAACAAATGTGGCCATTACAGGTTTCATAAAATTACACTGACTTGGCTGTTACTTGATCTTAGGAAACAGCACAGTTTAAGATATTGTGAATTCTGACTTATACTTTATTAAATGCTGTAAATCTAAATAGATCCTGTTGGATGTGATGGGTCTAGTCCAGTTTATTTAAGTTCATGTTTCACTGTTTGCACTTTGCATTGAACAATGGGTTTATTCGCTGATGTAAACGGTTCGAGTGAAGAATTAATGCAGTAAGTATGACAACACATACACACTTGCCTCTCCCCATCTCCAGAAGAGGGGAGCAGAGTCCGAGCTTATCTAAATATGAATGTGGCCACAAAGCTGTGGAAGGTGACAAAGCTTAAACACCTTTGCCCTGGCTCTGCATTGTCACCTAGAGAGCAAGAGGTCTATAGAAACATCATGTCACATGAAACGATTCTCTGCTTTTTGGTTCTGAACTTGAAGTCCCTAAACTGCAAAATCTAAGAGTTGGGTGGTTATTAAAATGCTTTTAAAGTCAACTGTGGCACCAATTCTAATGTAATCCAACTTGTGACTGTTTTTTTTTGTTTTGTTTTGTTTTTGTGTGTGTGTGTGTGGCACTGGGAAAAGTGGAAACAAACATGTATTGAAATACATATTGGAAATAAAAATGGTTTGAGCGTCAGTGATATTCTCCCAGAATGTACTTATCTTACCTCGGCATGTACTGTAGTCACTCAGTATTTGTATATGTTGCTAGAATTTAGATTGTAAAATAGTGAAATTTTAATGTGTTCATTTGTTTTTAATGTATATATGTCTTGCTCAGATTATTTGGTTTAAATAAAACAACCTTGAGGTTTGTAGCTTTTCCTTATACTATAAAATGCCAGATTCTTCTATTTTAACCTCACTAATTTATGGCCAATATTGTGCTTCCAGCAACATTTGAAAATGACACTGTTAGTTTACTTTGACTTTTTCTATGACCAGCGCCATCCTTTTTTTAAAAAAATAATTTCAACTTTTATTTTAGATTCTAAGGGTACATGTGCAGAGTGCAGGTTGTTACATGGGTATATTGTGTGATACTGAGGTTTGTGGTATGAATGATCCCATCATCCAGGTTGTGAGCATAGTACCCAATACATAGTCTTTCAGCCCTTGCCCTCCCCGCTCCCCTCGCTCCCCCCGCCGCAGTCCTCAGTGTCTATCGTTCCCATCTTTATGTCCTTGTGTACCCACAGCACCATTCTTTTTGAAGCCTGATTTACTTTATATCAATTGAACTTCAGCAGCCACACTGCAGCCTATGGCTGTGTGGTATGAGGGGAAAATCACACTGATTGATTACATGTGATTCCAGTTCTGGTACCTTCCTTTTGCACCTCAAAAAGTTATAAGAGGAATCAAAACTGTGGGACTCTGCAAACATATGCTGGTATTCATGTCTAATCTGGGTTAGATCAACTACTACTGTTCTCCCCTTTATTCTGCTTTATAAGTACCGCATTCTGTTTCTGAGCCAAATCTAATGTATTTCACCCTTTATACACCCTCTTTAGAGAGGCAGGTTGGTTGTCAGTAATCAAGCCATGGTTTTCCAGTGTTTCCCAATTGTATTTATTGGTCAAAAGAGAGTAATTCTTTCTTCAGCTCATACCTCTTCTGACAACTTTTAGTTCCATCCTTATAACCTCTATTTTTCTGTTTCTTCACCTCTCATTCCCCTACCTCCAGATGGCCTTTGGTTACATTTATTAAAATATAGGAAGGAAGACTAGCTCACCACATTTGTAGGATTGACTGGCTTGCATTGGATCAGATTCTCTGGTGCACCCTAGGTAGCCAGGCAAGCTTTCCATCTGAAGATTAGCTTTAATCATGGGAAAATGAGATATTCTTTTTGTACCATTTAAATCCAAAAATCCCAACTTCACTTTTTATATTTTTTAGAAGACAGCCTCACTCTGTCACCCAGGCTGAAGTGCAGTGGCGCGATCTTGGCTCACTGCAACCTCTGCCTCCCGGGCTCAAGCAATTCTCGTGCCTCAGCCTCCCGAGTACCTGGGACTACAGCGCATACCACCACGCCCAGCTAATTATTTTGTATTTTAGTAGAGATGAGGTTTCACCATGTTGGCCAGGCTGGTCTTGAACTCCTGAGTTCAGGCAATCCAGCTGCCTCCCTCGGCCTCCCAAAGTGTTTGTTAGGATTACAGGTGTGAGCCACCCTGCCCGGCCTCAGCTTGACTTTTCTTAAGTGTTTACTTGTTCTGTTATCTTCTTTACCTTTCCTAATTTACTTCAAGTGGAAAACCTTCAAAATTTAATGAATAAGTAAGTCAGGCAAAAAAAAATAATGTTCAAGATTTTTTTTTCCTTCTTGAGCTTGCCTAGCTTAGCTTCACTGTATAAAGTTAAACTTCATTTCTTTAAAATAATACAAAGCCATCAGAGTTTAGTAATTGTATTCTTTCTTTAGTTATTTACTTATCTAATAAGAACTTTATGTTTAGCCCATTTCCTTTAACTTAAAAACAAACACTGCCTTCATTGTACCAAATTACTCTTCACAATCATGGTTCATTTAATTCTGGGGGTTGTCAGGAGAGAGCTTAATTAAACCAGTATGAACTTAGATTTCCAGAGCCAAGTGGTTTCGGCTTGCCACATCAAGCCACAATCGTGATTTTCCACCAGCCATGTTTACAGTAGCCAAATATCCTCCTCAAAATGTCTTATTGTAGTCAGAATTGTTGTGGTAAACTAAATCCTTAGTAGGAAGTCATATCCCTTCAAAAATCTAAGATGAAGTAACTATAAAAAGACGTGTGAAAACACCTCAGAAAACTAGCTTATTTTAAAAACAATGCAATCAAAACTTATTTTCCTGTTATCTTTACATTTCTTGGTTTTCATAAGTTAAATATACAGTATTCACAGAAATTAAGCTGGTGGTTATGAATCACCAGGCAGCAACAGACAGTATACATAATTATTTGACGAGTGCATCCAACATATTTTAAACTAAAAATTGCAGTACAAAAATAAAACTAACACTGTTAGCATCATCTTCTGAGTCTGTAGAGTCAATCTTGAGTCAAGTTGATTACGAGGTTTTTTTCTATAATGTCCTTCAAAAAGAGCTGCTCTGCAGTCACATTGTGATACGCGTTCTAAAGAAGAAAAATACAATTACCATCATTCTTTCCCAATCTCAAAGTATTAGCAGCACCAATGGAGTACTTTATATCTAAAAAAATCCGAATAAAGAACTCGAATGTTAAGTAACGAGTTGCATGTACTTTTAACTTTTGATAGCCTTTTAAATTACTTTCCTTGCTGGTTCTTGTGCAAAAGCTTTCCCTACAGCCCACTCTTTCCATTTCAACTCTCACATAAGTAAGACTCCTTCATATCAAACCCTGGTAGACCGAATCATGGTACAATACAAATCTGGAGACCAAAATTTTGAGTTGTTCACTTTAATGGAAGAAGCCCCTAGAAATCAGTTTAAAAACAAACAAAATCAGCCTGGAGATAAACTATTATAATGCCTGGTTCAGTTTAAGATGTGTTAAAAATTACTGTTCTATACATGAATATCCAAGTTTTCTTCCTGAGGAAGTTGTTTTAATATTCTGCTCTTTAGATGACACTTGAAATACCACAAGTGCTACAGGAAAGTTTAGGGCGGAGGAGAAATCAGCCTAATCCAAAGTCTGTTGGGGTACCTCATTCTTGAAATACTTAAGTGCTTGTCTTACCTGGTGGGGACAGAGGGTGGGGGTGAGGGACAAAAGACAATACTAAATCTAACCTGATTTATACCACTTTCTCAGCTTATATAGTGGGGTGATTCAAGGGGACTGATTTCATGAGATATATCCATATACTTTTTATCAAGTAATATTTCAATATTAAAAGTATACAGATAACATTTTAATCCCATCACTTGTGATGCACTACTAATTTAAGTTAGAATTACAAAACTAGGAAACTCCTTCCCAGTCAAGTAAATTACAAATCCTTAGCCAGGCACAGTGGCCCATGCCTGTAATCCCAGCACTCTGGGAGGCTAAGGCGGGCAGATCACATGAGGCCAGGAGTTCGAGACCAGCCTGGCCAACATGGCAAAAACTCATCTCTACAAAAATACAAAAAAAAAAAAAAAAAATTAGCCGGTCGTGGTGGCGGGCGCCTGTTATCCCAGAAACTAGGGAGACTGAAGCAGGAGAATCACTTCAACCTGCGGGGTGCAGGTTGCAGTAAGCCGAGATCATGCCAGTGCACTCCAGCCTGGGTGACAGAGTGAGACTCTCAAAAAAAAAAAAAAAATTTAAACTAAAATTGTTAAAAAAAATAAAATACAAATCCTCACTATTAATCCCTATTCAAGAGAAGTGTGATCCAGTATGAAAGTTGGTAACCTTTTTGATCATGAAGATTCTCTTGTAGGGTTAAAATATTCTACACCATCTTGTCTACTTAAAAACAAATGAGAATAATTAAGCACAGCAATGCAAGGTGAATTTGTAATATCTCAAACACAGCAGGTTGCCTGAATTTCAATAGTGCAAATATAATATCTAAAGTAAGGTTCTGTACTTATATGGGTTTGATGACACTTGGCAATAACCATGAGGCCCATAAATTGGGATTTCATGCTGTAGTAAAATGATCCTGGACATGAGTTCTAGTTACAGCCCTTGGTAGCCCTGTAATCACCATCAAGCCCTCAACCCTTCAAAACGTGGTCCCTCAGTAAAATGAGTGTGAGAAGAGAAAATATGGGCTTTCCATCCCTCAAAGATTAGTCCAAAGCATATGTATATTACCTAAAGTACAGTATATTACCTTATTCATCAAAGACATGGTGGCATTCCCATAGTAGTGCAAAGGACTCTTGAGGTCAGAAAAGTTGTATTTAAAACCAGCTAGGTGAACTTCGTGACATATGTAAAACGCCAATGTGATGGCAATAATTCCTGTTGTTGGGTGTTTAGGTTTCTGGGGGAGGGGATGAAAAAAACTTTTTTAAGCAAAAGGAGCTACTTGTTACCAAAGCATATTTGGTTGGCTGAATCATATAAAACAGGGATTTCTAAACATTTAATAAGGAGAGAAATAACTAAACTCTCATTATAAGGCTCAAGCCCCAAAGAGTATGCATATATACCTTAACTCTAAAAAATATATAAACTGTGATTGAAATCTTAGGAAGTCTTTAAAATAAAATATAGCTGTGGTATTAGCCCAGAGGACAACTATCCAATGAAAGAATACTGTGAGGCTTAAGGAAGAGAATGTTGCTGTATTGTTTTAAAAAACACAAAAACATGATGAGTCAGGCTCCTTATGGCAAAAGCAAAGCCTGGGAATTTTGAACACGTGTATGAAATATAAGGACAGCTTCATTCACAAACGGATGGAATCATGATAAAAGACTTCATATAAATTCGCCTTCGAATAGCTATATTTTATACTCACCATTTAAACTAACTCTAGGGAAAGGCTAATCTAGTACTTCAATGATAAATTGTAACAGTATCTGACTAGAAAATAAATATTCCAAATGCATACATAGCAATATCACAATCTCAGCTGCACCATTATACTTTTAGAAAGAAAAACCAAGCATCCTCTTTCCTTATCTTACATATATCTTGAAAACCAGTGTGATAGATATTTGACAAGAGGGTCTTGGCTTTCAGAAATTGTAATTCTCACTGAGATGGCCTTCAAAGCGAAAAACAAGATACATCTTAAGCTTTTTACATAACACTTTCAATAAAGTGTTTCTTATAGTTCCCATTGAAATTACATATGACTTACTATGATTTTGAGGAAAAGAAAAAAAAATCGAAGAAGCACAACCAAATCAATTCCAGGAGGCAAACTTGTCCGAAAGCATTAACTGCCTTCAGCATAAAATTTTCTTTATCCTATGTACCATTGTAACCTAGGAGTCATTCAGCCTCATTGATCCCATTGCTTTTTCCTTCTCCTTGCCCCTTTTCATGTCTTCTACTTCCTTTCTTCACATCTTAAGAGTCCTTCATCCGTCTTTATAACCATTCCTTTATATAGACCAGCTCTTCTGCAGCCATCACCCACAGAACCTATATTACCACCTGACAAACTCTTATAAGAGGAATAAGCACTGCAGTCACCCTGTACCCACACCCCAGCAACAGAATAGGGCAAGAGAAAAATACGTTTACCTGGTTGAATGTTGAATTTATGACCCAACTCTCAAACAGGCAGTAAGTATTGCCTAGCAATCCAGTTACGTTTGACTAGTAAATTTCCATTCCTACTCTCCAAGATGAGAATTTATAACTTTGTATCCTGCAACAGCCCTAGTCTTCTTCCTAATTTGACTAGTTAATCTTTATTTTTTTAAGGAAACAAAAGCAGTCAAAAGAGTGGCTTCATCATCCCAACTCCAAATCTACCATCTTACCTGTATCTTTACTCACATTTGCAGTGCTTATTCCTCTTATAATGGATGAGATGTAACTTCAGCAACTTTTCACTAGTGTATATTTTATCCCATATCACTTCTCAACAATTTTACTTCTGTACTTAACTACTTTCTCCCCTCATCATCAGTGTTTCTTTCTGCTGAACCATTCCCTTCAGCATATACACAGACCAAAAATAAAACACGCTTCTTCGATCCTATATCATCTTCCAACTATTGCTTCATTTCTACGATCCTTGTTCTAGCAAAAAGTCCACTAAAGATTTGTTGCTGCTTGCTCATGTCCCAGGTTCTCTTCAACCCAATTCAAGCAGGCTTTTTCCTTCTTTCTTGTTAATATATATCACCAATATGACCTCCACGTTTCTAAAACCAGGGTTTATTATTTACATTCAACCTCTGGACAGCATCTGACATGGCTGACTTCTCTTGAAATACAGCATTTGATTTCTGGGACACCATGTCCTACTGGGACTTTGATGTAGCTACAGCTAGTTCTAATGTCATCACTAAGTATGCTCAGGGTCTTCCTGTGCTTTTGGAATTAAAGATATTACCTAAAATGAAGAAGCAAGAGATATACCTGATCATACTTCACTTAGGAATATAGGAAGTGAAAACTCACAAAACACACATTCAGAAGCTGTCCTTTACCCTCAAAATTACTAGGAAGTCAGGTTTAAATTTAAAACATGTATGCTTTTTGACTTGAGCATTCCACTTCCAGAAGTCCATCCTACAGAAATCCGACAAATGGGCAGAAAACCCCTATAAACACATGTACTGCTATATTATTTAAAGAGAAGAAAATGTTGGATATATCTGAGTGTCTATAAATAGGGGAAGAGTTAAATAAAGAGAAAAAAGAAAATAACAACAATACCTATGGTATAATCATAATTATACTGAACAAACAAAAAGATTATGTGTTTATGAATGCATAGCAAATAGTCTGGAAGCACATAAAAGGTAGAAAAGCTTGAGAGGTTACATGGGTTGTAGAGGGAAGAGAATAGACTGGTGACTTCCTTTTTGATTTTTAATATTCCTTTATTTCAGTGTGCAACACTAACATTTGTTTTCAGCATATAACACTTTTGAATTTCTTAATCACAATTCTTATCATGCTAAATATACATCATGAAAATACATGATGTATATTTATTTCTTTGGATTTTTCCCTACTTTAAAAAGGGGTGAAAAACTCATTTCAACCAAGGTGTCATGTTATACAGTTACTCAAGCTTCCAGTAAAAAATATCTCTGCCACTGTATGGGTCTAGAGTATTGTTTTCTAGGGAAAGAAGGCAAACAGGAGTGAAAGTCAATGAGATTTCATTTTGAAGTTTCAAGAACTCTTTCAATATTGCTGTAGCTACCATTTCTTGAGAATTTAATGCCAACATTTCCTCTGACCACAGAAATGTTTCTGGACTACTTTATTGTCCTTCCTCACCTTTCCTCTGGCTTTCCTGTGATATTTTTATCAGAGCATCTCAGACACTTCTTTTTAGCCTGCAAAGCCATGCACTTGGCCTGAAGCCAGGCCAGCTACTCTGAGCACAAGCCTGCCCGTCAGCCCACCCAGTCAGACTCTCCTCACTGCAGAACACTGAAGACAGAGTTATGAAAGATAAATTGTTTCGGCATGCACAAAGAGACCCCAGGAAGGCCCTACAAGGGCAGGAAAAAAACCCAACTTAAAATTACATTTCCTTGCAACATAAATGAAAAACATAAAGATAATATCCATAGATAACTACTTTTACTAACTCAGAGATGGCCCTCAGAAATCATCTCATGAGCTGTGGTTCTCATACAGTTTCTGAGAGTTCCCAGGACCCTCTATCCTACCTCAGCCAGATCTGTAGTTTGAAACCATGCAGAGATAAATACATACCTGATTTTTGGGAAACACTTTTGGAAAATGAAGCAGTTCATAAGCTGCTGTTCTGATAATGAAAGGATCTAATATTCGGATTTGATAAGGTTTATAAATCAGGTTTAAGGCTGGTTTCTTCCAAAAACCATTAGTGTTCTGAAAGTAAAAAATATAGAGAATAGAACAGTGTGGCTGTCTGTTTTTTAAGGAAAAAAAGCACTAAAGGTAATCTGAAGGCAGAACAATTTTGCCTACTTACTATTTTGTCACCCATCAACAATTCCAACAGCCACCTTAAATCATGTGGCTTAAAAGCAGTGAGAATCACTGTCGTATTAGGGTCATTGTGAATAGGATCTGAAAAAACAGATTCTGGATAAAAAAGTCGGAAGGTTGTCCTTCTCCCAACTTCTTCTTCATGTCCTAAAACAGGACCATTATTCATTCTGTGGATAGTAAAACATACAAGATATGTAGACCAAGTGCAGTATCTGCCATTCCCATCACAGTTCTCAGAGGTTTCAGAGTTGGACAAACATCAGCCTTTTATCCTGTGCTCTGAAGCCACAAAGCAATAGATCAATCTTTCACACATAATGGCCAAGGAGATCATTCCTTTTCATGAAATAGTTGGTTGATCAAAGGCAGAAATGTTCATTTGTATTTGAAAATTAATTGTGGAGCCAATGATAATTCAGTCTTACCTCCAGGGGAACTGAAGACTAAATTTAAAAAAGTGGGAACACAGAGCCACAGGATACCAGAGTTGAAAGAGAACTTGGAGGACAAACCCCTGGAGAGAAAATTACTTGCTCAAAGCCACACAGTCATGTAGCACATGGATGTGTGTGACTGACAGGTAAGAAGAATCACATTTAAGTTGGTTTAAAGACCCATCAAAATTGTTGTACTCTGAAATAAGGTTAACAATATAAATCTGCTATATTATATTCAAGCACAACCAAATGAATGTCTATTGCTAGAGTAAACTAAAGAACCACAAAGGATCTACTGTTGGGTTTGTGTATGCTGAAAGCCAAGGTTGGACATGCACTATTTATGCACACATTATGAAGCCATGCTATAAAAAAAGAAATGCTTTGTTTCCAAAACAGTGTCCCCAAAGAGATAAATACTGTTTTGCCCTTTGCTACTGACTCTACGTAATATAAGACGAACAGACTTATTAACACTTGAGATGACTTTCAAAATGTTGTACCCATGATATTTTCCTGCAAGGGTTTCCTGTGGCTCTAAATTATCAGATTTAGACAATTATGGGTAGAGAAACCTGTGATTGCTTCAAAATTGTTTTGTAGGTAAATTATCACAGCTTCCTCAAAATGGATAGTAAACAGAAAATAAGGTGACCTCACCATGCAGAAACCCTAGGCAGCTTGTAACCCCACAAAACCCCCAAAGCTGCCAAACCATCCTAATGTATTGCCTCAGTATGCTAACTTTGCCATTCTTTAAACTATTCATAGCTACTCCTAACACACACACACACACACACACACACACACTTATCCCAGATGATGACCTTATCTTGACCTTTCACTAAAAAAATAGAGATAGAAAGGTCCGTATTTTCCCCTCACTACATCAGAGGGACTCTTGGTAGTTGTAACCACAATCCTGGCTCTCCTTTCCATTATGAAACATTAACCACACTTGTGTTCTGAACCCCCTTCCCCTCTCTTTTACCACCCCAATCTCTTTCTCATTTCCACCAGTTAACCAATGTACTATAGTGCCTCCAATCTTTTCAAAAGAAGAAAACAAACAAAAAAAAAACCCTGATTGCATAACCATCTCTAACTGCCATCTGATTTCTCAACTCCTCTTTGAAGCAAAATCCCTGGACTACATTGGTTTCTCTACATCTTCATCTGTACATTCAGGTGTACATTCTCTGCATTCCCTCTTCGACCTAGTCCAGCCGGGCTTCTTGCCACATCACGCCTCTAAGCCTGCTTTTATTGGGAGTGTCAATGAGCCTCAGGTCACCAGTCCAATGGTCACCACTCTGTCCTTATCTTGCATGACCTCTCACCAGCACTGGGATACAGTTGGTCACTCCTTCTGTCCTGGAACACTTTGCTCTCTTGGCTTCTGTGATCACCTTCTCCCGATTTTCTTCTTACCTCACTGGTGGATCCTCTTCATCTCTTTTACACATTCCTTTTTCTTTGCTCAACCTCTAAATTTTGAGTTCTCTGAGGCTCAGTCCTCACTCTCTTCTCTCTCTCTCAGTCTCTCCTTGGGAAATCTCACCCAGTCCATGGTTTAAATACAGCTTATAGGCCACACACCATCAAGATTTTAACCTGTTTATCCAACTGCCTACTCGACAAACCCACTGCAAATCTAACAAGCATCTCAAATCTAACATGTTCATATCATGGTTTTCCTCTAAACCTGCTCCTATACCAGTCTTCCCCAACTTAATAAATGATACCACTCTCCAGCCAATCTCCTAAGCTGAAAACAGAGTAGGAGGCATCCTTGATTTCTTTATTCTCATTACTCTTCACATCTAATACGGCAACAAATCCCGATAACTCTATGTCTAAAACACATCTTCAGTCAGTCCACATATCTCTTCCTCTCCTACAACAATCCTGTCCCAAGCCACCATCATATTATACCCGAATACAGCAACCTAATTGGCCTCTTCATTTCCACCCTTGTCCCCCACATTCCATTGTCCATGCCACAGCCAGAATATTTAAGACATAACCAGACTGCTTTGTTCTCTTGCTTAAAACCCTTAAAAAGCTTCCTGTTGCACTTAAAATCCAAGTTTCTAATCCTAGCTTACAAAGTCCTATGCAGCCTGATCTTTGCTCACCGCTTCAGCTTCCAATTCCACCACTCTCCCCCTGCCTGCTACTTTCCAGCTTCACTGGGTTTCTTTGCTACTCCTCTCAAACTCAGGATCATCTCCTCCTGAGGCCCTGCAGCAAACATCCTTTCTGCCTGGACTGCTCTACCATAATCTTCATATGGCTGTTGCTGTGTGGTCACTTGGGCCCTGCTTAGATGTCTCTTTCTCAAAGTGGTCAATCATTACAAAGGAGCCATTCAAAGATTCTCTGTTATATCCTTTTTAAATTATGTATGGCATTTATTATTTTTATATATTTAATTACTCATTTTCTTCCCTCCACAGGGAGCACAAACATTGTTCTTATCCATTGCTATCTCTCCTGTGGCTAGAAGCATGCTAGCACACTAAGGAGACTTAACAAATACTTGCTAAATGAGTAACCTGAAATCTAGGTCTAACTCTAGCCAACAACCAAGAGAGAAGGTTGTGCAATAAAAAAAAAACCAAATGGAAACATCTCCCCTTCCTGTCAAAACACAGCTGTATTAAGGCAAGAAACCATATTCTTTTGAAACAATTCTAGGGTAGCAAATAGAAAATATATTTACCTTATTATTACATCATAGGAGTCGATTTTTTCTCCTAATGTCTTATTCTTCAAAACTCCTCCATTACCAACCACCACACACTTTTTACAGGGTATGCTGTTGGACAGATGGACAAGTGAGAGATTGAGCCATCTTTTACAAAACTGATTCCAAGAATCCATGCATACTGTCAGAAACCCAGTGCCAAATTCCACTTGTTGCGCAAGTAGAAAAAGAACCAACTGCGACTTACAAGTCTAGAGCTGTATTAAAAAGATACAAGATTCAATGAGTAACATTCTATAGGAAGAGCATATCATTGTCAGCAACTATTATCAGCCCATACATGTTCTCTCATTTGATTCTCATACCCACCTATTGAGATAAGTAAGCCTGATATTCCCAGTATACAAATGAAGAAAGAGGTTCAGAAATCTATTATGTAACATTTTAAAGTCATACTCCAAAGTGGAACTAGCATGTGGATCCAGAACTTGAGACTGTGAAACACACCTCCATATAGGACTCTGCATTTGTGTTTTACATTATGCAGGTCTACATTCTTTGCCAGCATTACCCACTCCTCGAAGATTCTACCTCTGGCTCTCTGCTGCACAAGTGTGGAGATGGACAGTTTGGAATCTGGTGAGAAAAGTGCAGTTTTCTGTACCCTGCCCATGCTCACTTCAATTTCTCAAACATGGACTGGTCCTTGGAGCTTAACCAATACAAACTAAAAGTTCACGCGGTGTTCCTGGCAAACAGCTTTAAAGTAGAACACAAAGGGGAACTTCGTGTTGCTGGTCCATCTCTCTCCCAGCTCTTACCCTCACCCAGGCAGGCCTGGAGAAATGACAAAATAGACTGTGTCCTTGCCCGCTAGGGAACAAAACCACAGAAGGGAAAGTTGTTGAGGCTATCCTTCCAGGGCCCTCATGGCATGGAAAGTCTAAAGAGAACACTGTTTCCCTAAGACCCGTGAAATCAGCAGACCAGATGAACTCAAGACCTTAAGGATTTTAGGAAATCAATGAGTAGCAAAACTGTACAAACACTGTAGAACCCAGAAACATGGAGAATGTGAGAATTCGGAAACTGTTTAAAAGAGCCAAGCATTGGCTTTGTCAGGTAAACAGGAGATGATGTACACACTCCTATATTCATTAAATTTACCTTTTTTGAGTAGTACAGTTCATCTGATTGTAAGGTTTAAAATTTAAAAAATACTTTTAACATATTTTAATTGGAAGCTCTATGCTCTCAAATATTAAAGAGTCATGCCTAAATCAGTGTCTACCTAATCAGTCAAGAAAAATAAGTACCAGTGGCACAGGTTGGTAAGGACTTGGGGGCGGGGAGGGCTGTCCAGCAGATGCTCCTTCAGTGTGTGCCTGAAACCTCGCCTTGTGGACACATCTCATGTCACAGTAGGTTCCAGAAGGGTCTGTTTGTTCATTTAAATTTTCTTTGCATTTTTTTTATTTCTTTTTTCTGGGAGTCTATAGATGGAGCAAAAATGAAATCAATGTCAGACATATTATATTTGATTTGGTTCAAATGTGGCTGATGTCCATTTGCAGCAGAGAAGAACTGAGGGGAGGAAGGTACACAGTGTTGCCGGCAAGGGGACACTGAACAAAAACAGTTTGCCATTCATTGTAAAAGTGGGCGGGCACCACACAGTCAGTGTGAGTCAGTTAACCAAGACAAGGGACTCAAGGTTCAATGAGCAGGGATAAAACCAAGGTAAGCGGGTTGTGGGGTGGGGGAATAAGTACAGAACTTTCAAGAGACAAGGCCAGAACATTTAGAGAACTAGCTGCAGCAGAGGCTGGCTGGAGAACGGTGGTCAGTGCAGGTCTGCTGGATCACTTGGGGAACATGATGACCACATCGTACCCTCAAGTGGTGTGACTTGCTCCTGGGCATGCTCTTCACAGTAGATTTGATGGAAAAAAAAAAAAAAAAAGCCCTTCTCTTTCGGGTGAGTGTCACAATCAGTGCACACGTAACATTCAGGGAGGGGATGATGGTCCCCGCAGCTTTACAAACATGCCTACAATGCCAGGACCACATTTGTCACACATGGGCACCTTCTGAGCATTTCCAATTGATGCAGCCACTGAGTAATAGACTGAGCTGAGTAACACTTCTGAATCCTGAGGGTTGTTGAGATCCCCTTTTATCTCAGACTCCAGGATTTCCTGCAAAATCAGGAAAGAGGTAGACTGTTTCAGGGGTTCATTCAACTCCTGTTTCTCCTGAAGCATCTTGTAAACTTCAGATTCTTTGTTGATTATGAGACCACTTGGAGGCTGAACATGATCTATGGACACGCCATTGGCCTCCTCCCTGCTGGCAGCAGTTTTTGAAATACCAGCAATATGGTATCTCAAAGTATTGTTGAAGTTGGAGATGTTTTCAGAAGAGAGGCCAGCTGGGTTACTGTACTGGTTTGGATGACCCCAGGGACAGTGCTGGAAGCAGGAGAGGCAGTAAAGAGCATGGTACTTGGATTGTAGGCACTTCCTACGTGCAGGACCTCCTGGGGTTCAGAGTGTAAATTCATCTTGTATGGATGACACTTCCTTTTCTCCATCACCAGAAGAGACTAGATTTTATATTCAGATCTGGCTATTGTGAGAGTCATGGTACAGCCTTTTGACTTTTTTCTGAGCTTCCAAGGGCATCATATTGCTGATATTTTCCCTATCAATGGCTGTAATTACATCTTGCATACATCAATTAGCTATAGCAGCCTTGCTTCTGAAAGTGACTGGGAAAACAGCTGAGAAGCTACTGGAAGTCCTTGCTGTCCAGCAGGCGGAAGCCTCATGGTCCTGGGCTCTCTGTTTCTAAATAAGAAAGTAACATAACTCTAGATGCTTTTACAAGCAAGTTTGATTTCAATCCCTATTCTAGAAAGCCAACTTTATCAAAGGCTCTCTGCTGTGGGGCCATGTAGTATGGCTGAGATGGGAGCTGCTGAATATTCAAAACCCTTTCCTCTCAGGGTATTATTGCCATTATCCTCCCCAAATCATCCCATGAATATGCTATAGGAGGGGGCGATTCTCACACTCCCAGCTTGCTTGCCCTTTCCATAACCTCAGGGTCAGTTTAATTCAGATCAGAGGCTACACCTCCTAAAGCTGGCTCCATCTCCACTAGGAATGTTAAGCAAGGCTGGGCACTGGGGAAGGCATGGCTAAGACAAGATTGAAATAACAGCTGTTCCCATGAGATAACCTGCATAGGGGTAGAGGGGGAATATCTATAGATGGTATCTAGTCTAATCCTCTCCATTCAATGAAGGCTGTAGGCCAATCCTCTGTCAAGAAAAGGGGCTGCCTCGCCCTGAGCCCAGGTGCCTCAGGGGCTCCTGCATCCATCCTGGCCTGGAGTTCCCAGTCTGACACTGGGCTACCTGACTCCACCTACATGGAACATGCAGGGGCAAAGGCCAACAAGCCACCAGCATACCACCAGAGCCCCTGTCCTCTACAAAAGACTCCTGAACAACAAGCCAAATATCTGAAGTTGACCCCAGAAAGGTTACTCAGCTCAGTCTATTTTTTTTTTTTTTTATACTTTAAGTTCTGGGATACATGTGCAGAACGTGCAGGTTTGTTACATAAGTATACAAGTGCCGTGGTGGTTTGCTGCACCCATCAACACATCATCTACATTAGGTATTTCTCCTAATGCTATCCCTCCCCTAGCCCCCAACCCTGCGACAGGCCCCAGTGTGTGATGTTCCCCTTCCTGTGTCCACGTGTTCTCATTGTTCACCTCCCACTTATGAGTGAGAACATGCAGTGTTTGGTTTTCTGTTCCTGTGTTAGTTTGCTGAGAATGATAGTTTCCAGCTTCATCCATGTCCCTGCAAAGGACATGAACTCATTCTTTTTTATGGCTGCATAGTATTCCATGGTGTCTATGTGTCACATTTTCTTTATTCAATCTATCATTGATGGGCATTTGGGTTGGTTCCAAGTCTTTGCTATTGTGAACAGTGCTGCAATAAACATACATGTGCATGTAGTATAAAGTCTATATAGTATAATGTCTATATAGTATAATGATTTATAATCTTTTGGGTATATACCCAGTAATGGGATTGACTGAGCTCAGTCTTAGACGTGGTCAGTTATATAACATTGCTCAACAATGAACTGATAGCTTAGACCTTAGTGTTCACAGAAGTTTCCACTCTATCACACTGAGTTACAGATGGTCATCAAGCCCTAGATAATGCGTGGCCCAAAGAGTATCATGGTAAGAGTAGCTACCATCTGTCATATACATGTGCCATTATCACTGGTCATCACTCAGACTCAAGGTCCTGGACCTCCACCCACATACCCTATAAGCCAAGAAAAAAGAGGGGTCTAGGGTTTCAGGCAGATCTCTTCTGCAGGGCAATTCCTCATACTCAGCCTCTCCTACTTATGGTCCCAGCAGTTCAAGGACTTTTAAAAAACAGGAAGAAATAACATAGACATTGCCTCATTTAGAACGCCCATTCCAAAGATTCTTTGCAGCTCTACGTCACCATATTTTTAGGAGTTTCATTCTACTTTTTTTTCCTGTCAGCTTATAGGGGACAAACAGAAAGAGAGAAGGGCCTTTACTATAGGAAATCATGCCAATGCTTTTGAAAGGAAACCTTATCAATGAAAGTCCACTTTTCCTCCTGGTAAAGGATATTGCAAAGATTTACGCATTTTTCTGAAAATCACATAGAAACTCTTTTGAGGGCATCCCTAGGACTACTCTTTGGCAATAACACTTTATCTACAGCTAGTATTCATAGTACCACCATGGCTCTGGGAAGTATGGAATGGTACAGATAAGCTGTCTGAATCGCACTCCTCGTTACTCATTGCTTCCCTCACTCTCTAGCAAGTACCCCATACTCTGAAAGGACTGATTCATTCTCTCCTTGACTTCATCCATTTGGCTTGTGATTCTGGCTTCCTCTGCCTTTTTATGTGTGGAACAATGACTTTCAGTGTCCTTTGGGTGACTGTAAAACTTCACATATTTAATTAACATAACTTTCATGTAGAAATAGCTGCAGTAAATTGTGAGTCCCTAGAGGAAAGAATAGTATCATTTATATCTCTGTATCCTCCCATCTACAACACTTCCTGATTCACAGGCTGTGCATTTTAGAATTCAGTTTGGTTGTTACATTAAGTATATGGAGGTTATTTCCCTACTTTGTGTTTGGAGAAGGAATTACTTTTTACTCCTCCAACCACCCTGGAAACACGGAGGAAAATGCGTATGCTCTAAACTGCTTACCCAGAAAACAAAATAATTGTTTTGGAACCTGTTAATGGAAATCTGGAAAGCTGCTAAAGCAGTGGTAGTAAGAGATTACACTTCCCCCAGGTGAAAGCTGTGTTTCTCATAAAGTCAGGCAAAAGCTGGAAGAGTCATTACCTTATGCAGAGGGAAACATTAAACACAATCAATATAGAGCAAGCAAACTTGAGTTGCCCATTTCAAATGATCTATGATGTGTTTTATTTTACAAATGCTTTTTGACATGCATTTTCCCTTCAATACCATCATGTACATTAAAATACATGACTCTACCTTCAGTGTAACAATCTATGGCAAATCATACCACTCACATTCCCAACACCCATTACCCCATGTGCCTTGCTAGCAGATCCCTGCTTTCCTAAGCCTATAATAGTGAGCTCATTGTCTCTGCCAATGTTTCATCTAGACATAGCCATGTGACCCATCCCTGGGCAATAAGATATTAGGGAAGTCTATTAGATGCTTTTGGAAGAGATTTTGCTGCTGCCAAAAGAATCATGTGAACAGGATACTTCATTACTCACTTCTTCCTTTCTGCTTAGACATTGACACGTGATAACAAAAAGTTAGAGCAGCTACACATCAGAGAAAAAGACAGCCACAGAAAAACTACCCTGGAGCCTTGACATCACTGAGCCACTAACTCAATCCCCCAACCAGGGCCACTCCAAACATATGTGCAAGTTGTACACAGTCCAATGTCCGGGAGCACCATTCAGATAACTATATGAATGAATCGGTACTCCCTGGAGTTGTGCAATCCACAGTCTGTACAGCCATAAGCAGCCCCACACTGCAAGCTGGAACCACAAATATGCAGACCTGAATCCACATGTCTACGCAATACAGGAGATAATAAATGTCCACGTAGTTTAAATCACTCCTAGTGAAGACTATTACTTGCAGCCAGGAGATCCTCAAACTACACAAGGAACTGTAGTTGGAGACCTGGTTGCTAGTTCTGGCTCCTCCGCTTAGCACCTCTTAGGACCTTGGTGTAGTAATCTGACCTCTCTGATCTCGGTTTGCTCTTTTGTGAAGTAAGGGAATCACTTAGGTCTTGTATGTTACTCTCTGATGGAAGAGACCATTTCCTTTGGCAAAAGTACTGAGACTTCTATACCTTTACCCAACATCTGACCACAGCCGATGCTAGAAAGCAGGCAGGGGCTGCTTCTGCATATTCACCACAAATGATTCACTCTGTTGATGTAGAATCGCAACTTCCCCTCATCCTCAAGCTCTCCTTGCTAAAAATCCTGCAATGTAAAGAAACTCTGCAAAACAGCAGAATGTCTAAAGTAGGGAGGCAGATATTGATATTCCGTTTAGAGTTAGGACTCTTTTTCAATAAATACACCACTAATGTCTAATTCTTTTTTAAGTTTTCTAAAGACATGCTCCTGGCCTGGCTGGTAGTCAATCTAACCCAGCTTTGCTGATGCTGACATAATGGATGCTGCTTGAGAGAGCAACCAGGCAGCTTTTACAAATCCTTGTCCATTTAGCAGGCAACTGACTTGACACAGGTGCTTTAGTCAGGTAAGATATTTATGTCTAGTTACTATATAACCACCTGTGCTGCAGGACTAAAGCATTCTTCATAAAACTTGGCATGCTTTCAGAAGGAATGTTGGTGGTTGGGGATGGGGAGCTTGTCTGTGCATTTTAAGTGGGAGCTGAGATTTGATCATTTAGGGTTGCTGCTGTTTCTAGCTGTGTGAGGATGTACTTCCACTGAGGAGAAAGCAATAATCCTTAGGACTAGGGGGCAGACTGGTGCTGAGGAGCTACATGGACAGCCAGGAAGGATTAGGGCCTTGGAATATGGCCATATTTTTAGTATTCCTTTTCTGTGATGCAATTCTCTTAAAAAATCCTCAGTCTTCAGTGAAGTTTGTTAAACTTAGTCACCTTATGTTGGCTGTGCTTTGGAGAATAAAGAGAAGAGCCTGTGTCCATGAGAAATCAGTAGCAGCAGCAGATAAAAAAGATGCACTGAACTCAGTTGTTAGAGAGCAGAGTCAGATATTTGACTTCAGAATCCTGAAAGTGACCAGGCATAAAAACAGATGGGGACCAGGGAAATGATGCAGAATATTGGTAAAGACAGCTATTTGTTCCCCAATAATCTTGTTTCCTTCATCTGTTAAAATCATGTTTGCTTTTAAAGGTGAGCACACAGTCACCTGGAATACAAACTACATTTTCCGGTCCACATTCCAGCTAGGGGTGGCCTTGTGATGGAGTCCTATCCAATGGGATGCAAACAGTGGTTGCTAGTCAATGTTTAACAATCAGTTCTGGGGGAGGGGGAGGAGTATGAATGGGCAAAGCCCTGATTTGTAATGTTTGCCAATTCCCATGGTACGAATACTCTCACCTTGGCCATTTCAAGCTTTCACCTTGATGGCACTAAATATGGAGCTGAATACAAAGAGATACAGCTCTCACAAGTTGGTACCAACTGGTTCCAGCACATCATTGGAGGTAAGGAAGTGTTATATGGGATTTCTGGGAGATGCCCTTAAGAAGAAGGCATGTCTTAAAGGGTTGGGGTATGCCCTTCGCCCTTTCCTCCTCCTGGCTGGCAGGGAGGTAGGCGTGATCGGTGGAACTCCAGCCATCATACCAGACCAGAAGGAACAAGTTGTATATTTAGGAATGGTGGCGTCAAGATAGAGAAGCAGCCTTGGTCCCTGATGCTCACAGAACCAGCCCTGGCAAGTTTACCTGCAGAGTTCATTTACATGAAAACTGGACAAATGGAGAACTTCCTTCTTACAATCACAACTGATATTTTGAGTTTTCCCATTCACAGTGGAATCTATCCCAACTGAGGGCATCATACATGCTGGACGAGATATCTGACAAAACTACAACTTATATCTGGTAGAATCTTAAAGGATTCAGATTTGAAACAACAGCACCAACAACATCTGACCCTTTCTAGAAGGGACAAAGAGGATGGAAGGAGAATAAAAAGCAAGGAAAATAATGTGCTTAGCTGTTATAACTCAAACTACGTCGAGCACCTTCTAGAGCACAGGTAGGAAAAAATGAGCAGAGAGCAAGGCCAGCAATTATATAAATATCAGTAAAGAAAGCAGAAAAAGGAGGAAAGTAACTTGAAAGTAATCCCTTCTACCTCAGCTCCTCCTCTCTGACCTACAGACCCATGATGAAGGACAAGCCAGCCTAAATATCAATACCTTCCTCCTTGGACGTGTGGGCCCAGCTCACAAATTCACAAGCCAGGGGCTCAGGGAGGACTCTCCTGCCAAAGGCAGTCTAAATTCTCTGCCTGAGAAAGAAAGACTGTTCTCAGACATCTTTCTTCTAGAGCTTTATTCCCAGGCTGAGAAGAGAAATGAGAACTACATAAGGTCACTTGAGGAACTAAGTTGACTCAGAGGCAGCATTCAGGCAATTCAGTCCATTCTGCCTTTCTGGAGTTTACTAAAAATGTATTGCTCAGGCACAGCCTGGTTGGTTTTTTCCTATGTGTTGTACATTGGGCACATGATAAAGGTAGAATGACTCACTTAAAATATAGGCAAAATTTAATACTACATGTGAACCCCTCTGAAAAGTGCTATGCAAATAGAAGATAATAGTGTCATAAATATATTCTTATCTATTTTTGAAATACTCGATAAGGTTTGCCCAGGTCGAACACACAACTCAGCAATGCTAACTGAACATCTGTGATGTTACAAAACATGTGTCACTGTGCTCCCTCTGTGGGGATCCTACAGGGTTATTTGCCATTCATTCTTTATCTAGAGTCTCTGACTATACATTTACTTCACTTCAGACTCTTGGCAACTTCAGACTAAAGGACTCCTGCAGTCAGCATGATTTTCAATCCCTCCTCACCAGCTACACTCTACTTCTCTCCCAAGAAAGGTAATGCTAAGAAATGAACTTAGCATGATGGTGGGGAGTGGGGAGATTCTGGTGACAGGAGGAAAGGGGCAGGAAACAGCAAGACCAAGGCAGCAAGAAGAGAAAAATTAGCCTGATGGAGGCATACACAAACAGATGAACACCTGTGGGACAAGGGGTTATGAAAGCAACTAAATAAAGCACAGTCTAGTTCTTAGATAAAAATTAGTCAAGAACAAAACTTCTAGTCATATAGCCTCCAGAATCCTGACAGTAGCTTGCATGTATGGAGTCAAGCATCTTTACAAATATTTGCAGATAATTGCTGCAAGGACTCACAATTATCTTTTTTTTTTTTTTTTGAGACGAAGTCTTGCTCTGTCGCCCAAGCTGGAGTACAGTGGTGGATCTCGGCTCACTGCAACCTCCGCCTCCCTGGTTCAAGCAATTCTCCTGCCTCAGCCTCCCAAGTAGCTGGGACTACAGGCATGCGCCATCATGCCAGGCTAATTTTTGTATTTTTAGTAGAGACTGGGTTTCACTATGTTGGCCAGGCTGGTCTCGAACTCCGACCTCACGATCTGCCCGCCTCAGCTTCCCAAAGTGCTGGGGGATTGCAGGCATCAGCCACAGCACCCGGCCACCTTTATTACTCTTAACTCAGACATCCAGGCACTGGAGTTGAACTATCTAGGTTCACATCCTGGGTCTGGCATTTACCAAGTGTAACAAACTGTGTGCCTAGCCTCAGTTTCTCCAGAAACTTACAGAATTAGAGAGAATCAACATAAAGCACATATGTGAAAGGTCTGCAAAAAACAATATTCTACAAATCAGAGCTACATAAATTTGGGGGTTGAAAAAATTTATGGTTGCTATTGATATGCAATCAAAATTAAAATTGATTAGGTTGATGGCATAGTTTGAAGTTATAAAAAACTGAAATGAACCAATACACATTACACAAATACACACTTCACGTCAAGCATCTTGGTCTCCAACAGAGAAAAATGAGATAAACCTGGACAAAATCTAACGCTGCTCTTATGGCAAACTCTGTCTACACTTTCAGACCTCTATCCACTACCCTCACTCTCTGCACCCAAAAAATAGCACTCCTATTCTCTTGGGCAAGAGGGTAAGTTCTGCCATTTTCCTTTTTAATGGAGGCCTTACATCTGTAGACTACCCATATTATCACACTGGCACCCTGGCCAAATTCTAAAGTGTGGCTTGAAACTTTGTGAAATAAACCTACCTCTGTAAAATAAGCCCAACAGTGAAGAAGTCTATTTTTGGCAATTCAATTTATATGGGGTTATTTAATGACAAAATTGTCTAAAAACTAAATTACTTTTGTAGTCAGAAAACATCAAAGCAAGTATATTTGTCCTTCAAATGTAATTCTGATTAAAAAAGAAGAGAGCTGCTTCCAAAATCTAATAATCTCCTTAACAAGTGAGACAGAAAGAATCTCATCAGTAGTTTGGAGGATGCATGGAAAAGTATGGGAAACAGCCTATAAAGGGAAGCCATGAGCTGATTAGCAGGGGGTGAACTAATTCTTAAGTAGGAACAACTTAGAAAAAAATGAATGTAGGTTAAAAATGTCCTGATTTGGGACCAGTGTTGATCATCATCAAGATTCTGCAAACTTTTGAGCCAACCAGTTATGCAGCGTCTAAATTAATTTTATAGGTATTTAAGTGTCAAATTACTACTAGAAATTTTGGTTATGCACAAACGCTATGAAATTTTCCTGAGTAAATACATCTTACATTTCTTGGGGTACATATTTTGAACCAGCTTAGCTGAAGCTAAAAGCCAGACTAGAAGCAAGGAAATAAACTCACTTGTCAAACTCATCAAAGAGATCACAACTCTGCAGTTTTGAAAGAGCAAGTCGAAAATATTCCGCTAGAAAACAAATGGAGTGTTATGAATAAAAGGATAATCATGTCTTTTTAGTACTTAGTAAACCACCTTACTCCCTCCCACACAAACCCATTTCCAACCAGCATGGCCACATTGATTTATTCTGTGAAAAATTAATGATACAACTGCAATTAGCCAGCACTACTTCAGCAGGCCCATTCAAAATCGTAAATGCTCTAAAGACACTTTCCAAAACCTCCCCAAAAAACAACACATTTAATCTGAAAAACAATCATATAATTTTAAAATAGCACGATTCTGAAATTGATGTTAGAATAGAAATAGTAAGTTTAACCCAATTAAATTCTCAAATTCTCTGCAAAATAGTTTTAAAATAAAAAATAAAACAAAAAAATACAACCCCCACCCTCACAGGATCAGTTGAATAAGCAAAATATGACTCACAATGTTGAAGGCTTGTCACCTTGGGCTTTTATGATCCCTCAAAAATCTAGAACTTAATGCTATATAGGGCCAATCACTTATCAACAAGCAGAAGGGAAAGTGTTTTATCATTAGAAGATGGAATAATTATCTCTAAACTTAACAAAAATAAAATATCCACTGGTTAAATTAAAAGACTGCTTAAGGAGATAAGAATCGCTGATGAGATAAAACTCACAGGTAAAAAGAAGCCATGGGAAGCTAGGAAGGAAGCTAACCCTCAGGTTTTCCTGCTAATTCTAAATTAGAATAAAGTAAGGCACCAGAACTTACATGGATCACATGGCGGCAGAGCAAATGTAAAAAGTAGTTTCTCAACAACAACAAATCTACCCCTGTTATCCTTTGGTTCTATACTGCCTCAAAAGGAGTGATAATTTATATTTTAAAATGTAATTCATTTCATTCCATCCCAAAATCATATCCATTGGAAATCATTAGGAAGCAGAAAGAATAAAAGCCCTTAAAATTATATTAACATGCCATTCTCATCAAACACCACTCAAATTTAACAGAACCAGGTAAGAATACTACTACTGACCTGATGTTCTCATCCCATAGGGCAAATCAAACTTATCGCTACCATACAAGGAAGCAATCTTTCTAAAATCAGCCGCACACAGAAAAGGGTGAAACTGATGAAACCTGGAAGGAAAGGATAAAGAATGATTTTGCCAAATACCTACTATATTTGCAAGCTTTTAAAATCAAAACTAAAAGTAACTACAGCATATAATCCATATCATTATACTGGCTATACAAAAATGTATAATTTTTTTTAATTTTTAAAAATAACTTTAAACCGTGCTGAAATATTGCATAGAATGGGGTACTTAATGGAACTACACAACTGAAATGAAAACACTTTGCAGCCACTAAGATGAAAATTATGTTACAACTCAGGAAGTAAAAACAAAACTTAAAAACAAACGAAGAGCAAGTGATAAAATAATAGCCATATATAGGAAAAAACAAAGTAATATTATAAAAGTGCTGATGCTAAGCTATTTCTAAATTTAAAAGTACCATATATGTGAAGTTGTATCAGCTATGACAAGTCTGGGGTCACTATCCCATAAATGACAGCTGAAATCCACACCCAAGCCTAATTATAAGGGAAGATGTTCTCTTTATAACACTGAAGATAAAAGCTCCAGGTTTCCCAGAAGAGCTTCTCCAAATTGCTGCTGGCTTTTCTGTTTCTGAGAAAGTGGCCTCAAGTACACTCTAGGGGACTGCCCTCAGAGAATACTGTCCACATGATAAACATAAATCTACCTGTCGCTTACACTGTAGACTTACATATTGCTGAATAATCTTGCATAAATACTTTAACCCTTTTGGGTTTTCTCAGAAAGGAAAGGATATCTTTTTTCACTAAAGTTATGGAGTACCTTAATTCTAGAGTAGCATTTTAACCTGTGGTCTGCAACCCGTATGTGGCTCAGAAAATCAATTTTGTGAGTCACGATCGGCATCTTTTTAAAAAGTGAATGGAACAGAACACAGTACATCTGGAGTAGTAAAGGTAAAAATTCTTTTTTTTTCTTATTATATAAATATGTGTTTGCACTAGATCCCAAGTAAAATGTATTTCTTCCTGAGTCATGTTCAAAAAAGTTTAAAACACTATTCCAGTTTTGCAGTGGTCCTCACTGGACGCACACCCCTGGAAAGGCTACAGGCAGCCATAGCAAACTTGGAATCATATACGAAAAAGTCTTATGTATTTGCAGTTTTCCAGAGAGTTGATTGATTGTAAAGGGATCTGTAGCCCCAAAGAGTTAAAAAACAGTAATAACAAGGTGCAGTAATAAAAGACAATAGGAAAAAAAATGAATTTTTAATGCTTCATAGAAAAAATGCTGAACAGATTGTGCCTGTTTTACCCAATTAAACATGCCTTGAACAGATTTTTATTTCTTGTTATCTAGAGCATTTTGACCAGCAATCTGTCAAAGTCAAAGTGATGGAGGAAAAGAACATATGTGAATAGAAGAGTAAATTCTTTACAAAGCCCAAGAGCCACAATCAACAATCATTGACATTTTATGTAGATTAATCATTATTTGCATTCTATGTAGTTCATTAAAAGTTAATAAAAGGGAAAATTTCTACTCAAAAAGTTTAACCTAGAGGCAAGGAAGGAGAAGCCACAAATTAATAAGGGTGGAAAATAACATGAGAGCAACAAGGGGGAAAAATAAAACCCTAAAGAACAATTCGCTTTTTTATAATCAAACACAAATAGACCTCTCTAGCCTCACCTGTGTGAAAAGAATACTGGTTTGATTGAGTTCCTCAATGCCTTTTCTTAAAATATATGCAGAGCTCTGACTAAAAGCACAAAAAGAGACAGGATATTCAAGCTCTTCCTTAAATATGGGGTGTCCACTTTATACTGCTAAGATTTGCATTAAAAAAATAAACAAGTGTGGAAAATGATTACAAGCACATTTAGAATATTTTGTATGCCACAGGTTTTTCTGGTATATTTTTACCTCAGCAGAGAGGCAAAAGCTGGCTTTGATAAACAAGGCTGGATCTTATTTCTCCGTTTCATTTCCACAGGTGCCACCCTATGAGACAAAAATAATGTCAGTCAGAAACCAGAATCGGGCACCCTGCCCAAAGGGAAGCAAATGCCCTGGGAACTCATTCATGCCACCACTGAGAGGTTCTGTGGCAGCAAACAAAAATACTCCCTGCACCTCTTGAGGTCTGCCAGTACCTTCTCCAAGCCCTACACACACCTGAGATTCATGGATGTAAGGAAAGGGAGGGTGGAAAAGCTGAGGTGATGAGCAACCCAGAAGTGATTCCAAGAGCAATGATTCAAAGGACCTTCAGAGAAGGGCCAGGATTACTGCATTGTAGAAGCTGCAACCAGGCTCACTTTTTAGAAGTCCCTGAAAGCTGGAGAAACCGAAACTCACCCCAAGGGCACGTGGCTATTTACCTCCTCCTGCCACATCTGCTGACGCACACCGGCAGCGAACACCACAGAAACACCTGACCTGAACAGGTTCCATAGACCCTTGCCTTGGGATCCGGGGGACTCTACAAATCACACTATTGAGAGTCATTTCTAACTCTTCTCTATTCTTGGCATAAGTTAGGCCCTTGTGTGCTCCTGAATGGAGTACTTGTCTCCACAATTTAAAAGGGTATTGTGAAACATGACAGAGCACAACAAGGAAAATAAATGAAAGGGGTGGTGGATGGCAGGATCCAGACTTAGCTGGGAAAGAGGAAAACAGCTTAATACAAAAACTTATTAATGATCATCAGTTATGTGAAGAATTCATATTTAAAAACTAATCAATTTTCTTCTATAATCAGCAGAATTCAAAATGAAGGAAATACCCTAAACCCTTCATGGACAGACACAATTTTCCATTTTTGTGGGTACAAAATCCCCATAGTTAGAATTGCTAGGTTTCTGAACTGTGAGGCTAGTAAACTCCTTACGCAGGAAAACATCTTTTGTGAATACCACAATGGCAAGGACTCCTTGATTTATACATAAGGAAGATACATAAATATGGTGGACCAGCACACTAGACCAAAAAATCTCAATTATATTTGGAGGATAACATGAAGATATTATTTGATTTCTAAAGTCATTAAAACATAGAAAACAGTTTTAGGATATTGTGAAGACAACCTTTGGGTGACTTTTTAAAAGAAAAACACAATTATATGTCTTAAATCATTTTTAAGGAAGCAAGTTCATTGCACAAACAACTGTCTGAGCTAATATCCCAAGGTACTTGCTGTGACTATAGTAATGTGTTAGCTGAGGAGTGACATGGTCACTTCAACCCTGATGACAAAAGACTGCTGATTTAGATCCTTTTCATCACCTTCTTTATCATTTTCCCTGTGACCAACAATAGGATTTGTAGGAAAGTAGCAATCTAGTAAGCTTTTTGCTTTCTCTTCTATTTTTGTCTTCTACTACTAAGGGTAGGACAGAGAATGTGGCAAAGATGTAGGGATAGATCCCCTTGATGTAGTCCTCATTTAGTACATAATCAGACTTCAAAATTCTCTAGCCCGATATTTGGGTCCAAAGCCTAAAACTTTAGGGCCAAAACTATCCACCTGGCATTGGGTTTTTTCCAGTGGCCATTTGCCTAACGTCCTTCCATGAAAAGCATTACAATTATTTTTCAATCAACCAGTAATGAAATCAAATGCAGAAGCATCAGCTTTTTTTCATCAAGTAAGCACAAGTTAGAAACATGATCTAAGATGTACTATGAAACACTGGCAAAAAATACTGACTCTTTGTCTAAGACAGGAAGTTATGTGATTTATTTTAGCATAATTATGTACTGCCACCCGCTTGGGATTTAAAGGTCATCAAAACTTTTTTCCTAGCCAAAGGACTGACAATGAGAAGGTTAAAATCCCTATTACAGAGGCTTTCTCTTCAGTAAAACTATCTGTGCCTCTTCAAAGTTTTATATGTGGTATTTCAAGTCAAAGCTATTTCAGAAGATACATATATCATCGTTCACCAAATATATTTAAACAAAGGAAACCATATGTAATATCTGTATTTTATCAATAATCTCTTAAGCAAGCATTTTAGGTTCCAAAAGTACCACTGAGCCCAGTAATTACGCCATTAACTCAAGGAGATGATCTATAGCATAAAGAAAGAATGTTATAACCCAAAGATGGTTAACACCATGGCTTCCCTGGGAAGTCAATAGAAAGTAGGTGTTGCTTGTCAACTTTTAAATTGTTCGAGATACAATCTATAGGATACTGGAATGGTAAAACCCCAATTTACAATGGAAAGCAAGAAAATATTCAAAATGGTACAAGTTTTTTTCATAGGACCCTCTACTATAATTTGTGGATTTGTGTGAAAGACTAGGTTGAGAGTTATTTTTAAATAACAAAATGAAACTTACCAATAGACATTCGTTCCCCATAATATGCAATGCAGTACATAATAGAGGAAGACAGCACTCAGGAATATGGCCACAAGATACCCTCTCATGGCTGGCTCACCTGAAACACAAGGAATGAAGTCCAAAGCAAAGGCCAGGTTGTTATACAAATGGATTTTCACAATGGCTCAAATATAAGCATTATTGGAAAAAATATACAAAAGGAACTATAGAAAAAAATGATGTGGGCATGTAATTTTGGAAATACTCACTAAACGTGCAGAAAGATAATGTTTTTTCTGTCTCTCCTTTTATCAATAAGCACAACATAATGTATGTTTAGGCCAATAAACAGTTCCACGGTCTCAAAGGTAGGGGCCTCCCCCTACTACTTTCTCATGGTAGGTAAGAAAGAAATAATTCCTTCAGAATAAAATTTTACACATCTATTCCATATCCAAAACTTTTTTCACAAACATTAAAACCTATCTATTTTCTCTCTCAGTAGAAAGTGAATAGATGCCTTAAACTGTGAATATTTCATTTCTTCAGTGCTTGAAATGATGTTAAAATGTTATACATTATAATTTTTACAAGTCATTTTCTAATTTTTAACTGAGGAAAAAAGCTACTGAAAAAACATTTCCCTCATCCTCAATTTTTATATACTTTTAGATCCACCTATTTGATTTTTCCACATCACAGTTCAGGTATATTCAGCTACTTGCTTGTTTTGTATTAAATTGACAATATTATTCATTACACATTTGCAGACAGACAAAAACCTTGACACAATCCTCTCTAAAATGTAAATGCAAAAAAAGCCTTTATAGAATATATTTTAAAAACCTATAAAACATGTTTGGTTTTCTCTTTTGCTTCAAAGGAAAAAAGGAAAAGTTTCCATTGTCTTATGTAATTAAATGTAAAAGACAAATTTAACATATGGTTCCATAATAGACCTATTTCAACGCCTGTGACTTTAAACAGGTACACTGCTTCTCTGTCTCCCTTATCAAGTTTCTAGTTCGTCTAAACAACTGCATGTGCCACTCCTTTCACTCCTATCCATGCCTATTAACCTCAATCATGGCGATGCAGTATAGAACCTGGGAGTCTGGTTGAATAAATTTCCAAATAATATGGCATTGCCTTCTTTTTAATGGTAAATATGTTCAAATGGAAATCTTAAAATAAACCACTCCCTTTGCCTTCATAAGTAGAATATACTAAACATAATTTAAACTTTTCTTGATAATATGGGGTCAGCTCAACAAATATAATTGTTCTGGGCTTTCTTACAGTTGAAACCCTCTGCAGCTAATGGGTGTGTGGGGCTATTTGCTAAGCAGTCCTAAACTGGCATGATTATCTGGTTGAGTTGCTTTTCACTCCTCCCTTGCTGTCAGCTGTTGGTTCTTGCTGCTATTAATGCAGTCACCACCCCCACATGCCACTATTCTAAATTAGTTAGAAATGAAAACTATGTCAGGAGAAAGCAAATAAATAAGCAAGTTAATGAGCAAACTTTAGTTCACACATACTTCTAATTAGGTATACATAATCCCTGTGAAGAGTCAACACTGGTTGGAAATCAGAAGACAAGATTCACAGCCTAACTCTACATATGGTGTGGGGACCCTAAGGTAAATCAGTCTACCTCTTCTGACCTGAGGGTCCTCATGTGTTTACAAGTGAGAACACACCATCTACCTCTTTGGGTTATTAGATGGTCCTGGAAGGCAGTTTACCATGGGCCAAAATAGTGAGGAACATCTTATTAAATGCTCAAATCAAACATTTAAGGCTCCACTAAGAATAACTTCATTTGGCTGGGCGCAGTGGCTCATGCCTGTAATCCCAGCACTTTGGGAGGCTGAGGCAGGTGGATCACGAGGTCAGGAGTTCAATACCAACCTGGCCAAGATGGTGAAACACCGTCTCTACTAAAAATGCAAAAAAATTAGCCGGGCGTGATGGCAGGCACCTGCAATCCCACCCATTCAGGAGGCTAAGGCAGAGAATTGCTTGAACCCAAGAGGCAGAGGTTGCAGTGAGCCGAGATCACGCCACTGCACTCCAGCCTGGGCGACAGAGTGAGACTCCCTTTCCCAAAAAAAAAAAAAAAAAAAAAAAAAAAAAAAAGAATGACATTTATGCAAAGATCCAACAAGGATAAAACTTACCAGTATCAGCAAAATTTTTTAATGTATTTACATCTAAGACAGTATATGAAGGTCTAGGGAAAGAAGTCAGTATTTACAAGTCAAAATTCCTATGTATTCTCCAAAACATACTCTTTGGGCAATTTATGTATTATTCTACAGAACACGGAGGTATGGGTAAGCGAGACTTGTGTTATTGTTTTGTTGTTTTTCATTCACTAATATGTGGTCTAATTAAAAACAAAGAAGTGTGAGAGAATGCTCTGTTTTCAAACAATAAAACGAACCCACTCTTGAACAGCTACTGCACACGCCACCTGAAAAACATTTAGGAAGTTAAGGCACTATCGTATTTCATGTACAATTCACAGCTTCAGTATTCAAGTTGCAAAGGACACGGGCCAGCCAGGATATCCTTGTGATAAACATGGTTCCTCTGCTTGCTCACAGGAAAAAGCTTCCACAAATAAACCAATTATCTAATTATATTGTATAAGTGGAAGGGCATTTTGCTTTGAGCAAAAACATTCAAAGAAAAAAACAGAATTTAAGAGGTTATCTGCTTTTAAAAAGACATAAGGCCCTTTAATATAGCTTTGATTACCAAAAAAAAGAGTTTTCAAGATCTTGACATTAAACAGGACCAATGCCAGCTTTGTGGCTGCAGATGCTCCTAAAATCAGGGTCCCTAAAACATCCTTTACAAAAATGTGGGTAGAGGATGGCAAGGGAAAGAAGGACTCACTGGCAGAGGACAAATGTTCACATATTCTCCAACTAAGATATGTAACCCAATGTATAAGTAACCTATATATGCCAAATTAAACTCAATCTTGACAAATGTTTCACTTTGCTTTAATAGTAAAAGCATATTTTGTGTGGAGCATCAAAGTTCATAAAAAATCTTTTATATGTCCATCCCTCCATTTAAGGCTCAAAATAAGCTTGTTAGATGGGTGTGCAGGTGTTGTCTTCTTGATGAATGAGGAAAACTGAAGGTTTATAAGGTTGAGTTGTCTGAGGTCACACAGTTTAAGGAAGACAGAAATAGATTTATGGTTCAATCATTTCTTTCTCAGAGTTCCATTCCTGGTGTTATCCTGTCTCTCAAGATAAAAAGCACAAGGCAAATCTAAAAGAGATAATTCTAATCTGAAAATTCCTAATGGTGTTCCATTGGTATCTTGAAGTCTAGAAGGGTAAATTCAGATATTGGTGAAAGGAGGTGACTCTAGGGCAGGCTCAAGAGTCTGCACCAGGCGGGGACTTGTTAACATGCACACTCCTGAGCCTCTACTTAATCTGAATCTCTGGGGCTCAGGAATGTGCATTTAAACAGCATCCACCAATTTGATTCTTATGCACACTAAAATTTTGAGAATCACTGCTCTAAGAAATACAATAGAACCATGGAAGAATTTCTGAAATACAGAGACTGTAACAGATACAGATCCCATAACTAGATGCTTTGTATTATTTTTTTTTACCCTAAATGCCTAGCACGTGGTAAATGCTCAATGAATAACAACTGATTAGAAGCATTAAGATGTATGAGTGCTTAGCCTGTGCCAAGGCATGTGATAATTGCTTTTGGTGTATTACCTCATGACATCCTGACAACCACCTTGCAAAAGAAGTGGTAGACTTACAATTCCTATTTTGTAGAGGAGGAAACCAAAACTCTGGGAGAAGCAACGACTTTGTTGAGCTGACAAGTAGCAGAACGAGGACTCAAATCTGTCTCTATCAGGCCACAGGCCATGCGTTATACTACCTCCCCCTAGATGTGAGCTTTCACAAGTGAGCACAGGCCCCTCCTTTTGCTACCAGACTAAACATTACTGAACATTTCTCCAACTTAAGCAATCCTGCAAGCTCCTTAAGCAATATCAATTCTAGTAATTGATGAAATGGAGGTAAAGCTTATAATACTTTTGATTCAAACTCAGCTGAAATAAAAGCCTGTTACTCCCAACCCTGTTCCCAGTTCTGCTCCTCCCAACCATGCTAGCATTGTTTATAAAAACAAACTCTACGGAGAAACACTTGAAAAAAATGTCAGGTTTTTTTTTAGACTCCCCTAATGCTTTCTCAAACCAAAGGGAGCTTGCTTTTCCAACCAGCTAGAAAAAAGCATGTTCAGCAATAATTCTAGAAACATTGTTCTACTTATCAAGCATTAGGTTAGTGCAAAAGTAATTGTGGTTTTTGTCATTTAAAACCAACCTAATAGAAAAACCCGGTGGGTATCTCAGTCAATATGCAACACCAAGGAAGAAAGACCCTTGGCGTTCTCTATTCCGGATGCTGAGCACACACAAACCTCACCTCCCTGTCTCCTCCATCCCCAGTTCTGTTTCAGTCTGGAAGCAGGTGCTTCCTAATGCCCATCTGCAAGCCCAGCCACCCCAGGCACTGGGACTGATTCTGACCCACAGAAAGAGAGTCTGAGGAGCCCTCGACTAGCAGCTTAACAGTTGGGTCAGGTTCCTGTGGATCCAGTAGTGATCCTGGTCATCTCATCCACTGGACCTGGGTTCCTGCTGCTGGGTGCTTAAACTATACCACACTTTTCCAACGTCTGCATTCTTCTCTTTCCTAGTCACCCTAGCAGCTCTGCAGCCAAACTTCCATTTTTTTTTTTTTTTTTTTAGTCACTAGGATCCTAAACCATGTCCCCATCTGCCCTGGGGTGAGGCACCCTTCTGTTCCCTGCTTCCTCAGTGGCAGACATACTACTCTTTCTACTACTAGGTCTCTTCTCAAACCCAACATGCTGCTGTTCAATAATACTCCTCAGTAACTCACATCTTTGTGCAAATAAGAGAAGCACATCCCCCTTCTACCTCCACACAGCCTGTGGGCACCTAATGTCTAATATCTCAGCAGCATCTAGATTTAAGCCACAACCTTCCCCTTAAGCAGGTAACCTTGTTCATGGCTCACCTCCATACCTTTACCAGGTGGCCCTGCTGACACCTGTGTCCATTCAGCCCCTGGACAGGCCGTCATCCATCCTAGTCTCTGCTGGTCTTCAGCTCACACTGACATACACTCCAGACTGTGTGGAACATGGCCAACAGATTTCACATCCTGCCTTCCTTCCTCTTTGTACTTATTACTCAATTTGTGATTATAATCTGCAGTCACATGCCTACATGAGCAAATCTACAACAGAACCTCCAACTCTAGCCATGCATTAATGTCTAGATTTTTTTTGGTCCAGCCTCATAGGTCCCCTAAGCCTAAGCCTCACAGACCCAGCCATCTCCATATGACCTGAGCCTTAATGTACAGGACTCCACAGTGATGAATGGAAAGGCCTCAGTCCTCCTCAATTCATTTACTACCTCTCTTTTAGGTTTGGTCCTTATTACTAATTAGGTAGTCCAAATGCGTGAGATCAGCTTCATTCATATCCCAAGGATCTACAACCTCTGGCAGCGATGATCATGTAAATGATAGCACAGTTTATTAACCACTTACTAAATGGCCAGCACAGTACTAAGCCCTTTTTCACATAAGGATGAAATCACGGATATTTTCATCCCCATGCTAGATATGTTTAATACCCAGAGCACTGGCCAGAATTCAAACTGAGATCTGATTTCAAAGCCCACACTTTGAAATTGTGGCTTATAGAAAACTATAATAACCATATTTTTAAGAGTATGAACTGTTAAATAATCATTTAATAATATCTTTTAAAAATAAAACAAGGGGATGATACACATTAAATTATGCATTTATCAAACACACTTCTTTAGAAACATTATAATATGAAAAGCTATTAATCTCATAATTAAAGAGAGAAATCCTAAGGAATCAGTAGTCTGGTTGATGGGATTTTCTGCTAGAAGGATGACGAAATTCTCAATAGACCATAATTAAAGAAATAAAAAACAGCACATATAGATTTTTTAAACATACAATATTACAACGAAAAGGCTAAATTTAATCTGAAGTTATAAACTAATGCTATTTAATACAAGTTAAGAAAAAAACTCTGACATTGCTGAGTAAATTAACAGAAAATCTGATTTATGCCCCCCTCCAAAAATATTGAGTTGTGTAGTGTCAACAAATTAGATCAGCTGTATACATTTTGACTGATTTCTAAGAATATAACTATTTTCTTTCTGCATTGCAGAAAGGGAACACGTATAATTAACTTTCTTTCCCTCTCCTCCCCCAACTCTTCTGCTAATACAATGATATGAAGCTGGTTCCGACATGCATATGCACAAACACCCTTCTCTTTCAGCTTTTCAACAAAGCCAGTGCTTTCACCAGTGCTTTCACTGTCCTTAGCACATGTAGACAGATCTTTTCACTTAATTAAAGATAAGCCTTCTGCCAAAGCAGATGACCAGATCCTCTCCTGAAAGTGGGGTGTGCTCACTGCAAAGAATATAAAAAGGAGAGAAATGACTTCTCAGCAGAATTTTCTTCTTTAATAGCACAACAGGACACACTAAAATCATTCAGCTAATAGCAACTATATGGGATGCTAAAAATAGAAGAACTGGAGTTCCTGTTTTCAAGAGCTCTCTCTTCAGACTCAGGTCCATTGCAAGTACACAAGTAAGCTTTTAGGGAACTTCTTTTGTTCCTACTGTTTATTCACATTTTCTTTCCATGCCCATTTATTCTCTTAAAGTAAAAATTGTCCCTGTATTCTCTTATTAACATCCTGCTAATAAGATATCAGCTTCCAAGAAGCATTAGATGTTGTTAACAGGTTGATGACTGTGGCTACTTTTTTTTTTTTTTTTTGAGATGGAGTCTTGCTCTGTTGCCCAGGCTGAAGTGTAGTGATGCAATCTTGGCTCACTGCAACCTCCACCACCCGGGTTCAAGCAATTTCTCCTGCTTCAGCCTCCCAAGTAGCTGGGACTATAGGCACGTGCCACCATGCCTGGCTAATTCTTTGTATTTTTAATAGAGATGGGGTTTTGCCATGTTGGCCAGGCTGGTCTCGAACTCCTAACCTCAAGTGATCCACCCACCTCGGCCTCCCAAAGTGCTGGGATTACAGGCATCAGCCACCATGCCCAGCCTGTGTGTAATTTTTAAAATTGCCTTTATTCATTTTTTTCCTTTTTTTGAGACAGGGTCTCACTATACTGTCCAGCCTGGTCTCTAACTTCTGGGCTCAAGTAATCCTCCTGCCTCAGCCTCCTGAGTAGCTGGGGATAAAATTTTTATACACTAAAATTCGCCACTTTTAAGTGTATCAGGTAACAACCACTGAAGTCATGATTCTAAACATTGTCATCAACCTCAAAAGTTCCTTTGTTCCTCTTTGTAGTCACTTCCTTCTTCCCACTTCCTGGCCCCTAGCAGCCTGATCTGCTATCACTATAGTTTTGCTTTTCTAAAATTTCATATAAATTGAATCATATAATATATATCTTATTTCTGACTTCTGTCAATTAACATAATACTTTTTAAAAAAATGCTCAAGTTGTTGCTTGTACCAGGAGTTCATTCCTTTTTGTTGCTAAATAGCATCCCATTGTATGGTCATACCACAATTAATTTATCAGTTCACAAGTTATTTATCAGGCAATACACATTTGGTTTCTTTGCAATTTTTGGTTATTGTAAATAAAACTGCATTAAACATTCAAGTGCAACTTCTTGGGTGGATATACGTTTTCATGGGCCATATGGTAAACACGTTTAACTTTATATGAAAACTTTATATTGCATTGTGGTGCCTATCTCAGTTATATTGCATGCTGGTGCTTATCTCAGTTTAAAAAAAAGCCCTACCTATACCAGTTCAAATTATTACTGCTATTGAATAATACAAATCACTGACCGAGGTAAGAATCTCTTATCTATTAATATCAAGAATTTCATAATGTGTACGTACTCGACTTTAGGATATGGAGAATAGAGCTCACAGTCTGGTGAAGGAGCTGTTACACTGTTTCAAAATTATTTCCATTATCTGCTACGAGAATTAAAGCAAACTATTTTACACCTCTGTTATTCAAAGTGTGGTCCATGGACCAGCAGTACTGGCATCACCTGGGAAGTTGGTAGAGCTGCAGAGTCTCAGCTCCAACCTTTGATCCACTGAGTCAAGTGGATTTTGGCAAACCCCATGTGATCTGTGTGTTTGAGAAGCACTGCTGGAGAAGGTCAGAGAAAAAAGGAATTGTATCCAGCCGAGAAGATCAGGGCTTCACAGAAAACAGTTTTTGAGGGGAACTGGCAGCTCATTCTAAGTTTTATGCTACATCTTTTAAGAGTCTTTAGGGCTTGACCTTTGAAAGTTTTCAATCAACAGAAGTTTCTCTGAAGAAACTAGTCAGATTCCCTTTGAAAATAAGTGGCTTTGAGAAAAATTTCCCTCACCACTCTAGGGAATGTTTGTGGGGTTTTTTGTTTTTTGTTTTTTGTTTTTAATTCCCTGGACACTGTCTTTCCTGTATTATTTTCAGTCTCATCCTTCCATCTACTATTAGTGTCAGTATGATACTACCAGTATTTTTGAGGGAAAATATGTAGGATTCCTCCATTCACATTACAGCTATAGGACACACACCTTATCTTGCATCTCCTTCTGATTCACCTAAGTGCCAACTGAATCATTGGCCACATATTTACAACATTTCCAATTATTGCAATTTACAACTTGAACCCAAGAATTACAGATCTTAGAGCTGGGAAGACCGCAAGAGTTGGGGGCATTTAGACACAGTGAGGACTTACGTATCATACTACAGAAGAGGCAGCCAGGATTTTGAAAAGTTTAAAAAAAAAAAACTTGTCAAAGGCTATCTTGCTAATAAGTAGCAAAGTTGGTAATAAAGAAGAACATTTTACACGGGTTCCCCTCCAGCACAATTCCTGTCACATTATGGGTGCACAATAATATTTACTTATTTCATGAGTAAAAAAGTCAATAAATGAATAAATAAATTACTATCTCCAAACCCACTCGTCTTTGTTTTTGTTCCAATCCTCTCTGATCTCTACGGTTTTCAGTTCCAGAATCTCCCCTTGGGTAGCACTACACGGCCTCCCTCCTCTACTTCTCTGCCTGTGTTTCTAGATTTCCTCTTCTTCCTCTGTCCACCTAAATACAGGTGTTTTCAAGCTGTTATCTTAATCCTGTTTCCTAAACCCATGTTCTCATTACTTCTCACCTTAGCTACTAGCAATGATCTCTAATCTTTCTTCCCTTTAAACCAGCCCACACGCTGTACTTGGCATAAAATCCTCGAAGTGCAGCTCTCATCTTGTCACTTTGCCTGGTATTTAAGACTTCCATGATTTGGTCTTAATAATTCATTGGCAATTTATTCTTTGTAGGTAGTAGCATAATTAGGTGTTAAGATTGTTTGCTTGACAATCAGACCCCCTGAGTTTGAGTCTCAGCTCTTCTTCTGATGAGTTGTATCACCCTGGGAATTTGCCTAATCTTTTTACACTTCAGCTTCCTTGGCTGTAAAATAAGAAATAATAATACTTCCTAATAGAGCTATTACAAGTAGTAAATATAAAATACTTAGGTAAGTAACTGGCACATGGTAAAGACTCTCCTAATCTTGTTTCAATTCTTCTTTTAAAATTAGTGAAGTATCAGCTTCCCATGCACCAAGCCCTCCCTAAAAACTTAGCTTCCTAATGTCCTGGTAGAGATGCTAAAGAACTCATGACTTTGTGCTAATAACAGCCTCGAAAAATTAAGTTTCCATTACTGTGCTATTATTGCTGCACAATCATTTTAACATCTTAAAGTATCTGTGACAGGAAGCTTTACTCATCTGCTTTTGAATATAAAGTGAAAGGCATTCAAAATAGTATTAATTCACTGGCAAAACTCATCTTAGAATTAGACCCTATTTCTGGCTATAGAAACCATATCTTTTTTATGCTTTTCATAATAAAACTGCTCTGAAATTTAGTAAAAACAAACAAAAAACTCAGATTTGTAAACAACATTTCAAATTTATGTTTTGAAGCAAGCAAATAAAAATCAAGAACTCTATAAACAATCTGAGTTGGCAAATAGGTTTCATGAAATAGGTTTCATTCTCATTTGGATCCATTATAATGTTGAGAAGGATTCAGATATTGTGTCCTAGGTGTTGAAGCAAATACCATGGTGACTCTAGCAATGTTTAACAAGGTAAGGATAAAGACTGGAATTTTTCTCACCCTAGGCTAGAGAATAAGGACAGAAGAATAAACACTGTATGACAGGTGCCAATAAAAAGTTAAAATTAGGACCGGGCACGGTGGCTCAAGCCTGTAATCCCAGCACTTTGGGAGGCCAAGGCAGGTGGGTCACTAGAGGTCAGGAGCTCGAGACCAGCCTGGCCAACATATAGTGAAACCCCGCTCTACTAAATAATACAAAAATTAGCTAGACGTGGTGGTGCACGCCTGTAGTCCCAAGCTACTTGGGAAGCTGAGGCAGGAGAATTGCTTGAACCCGGGAGGCAGAGGTTGCAGTGAGCCAAAATCGTGCCACTGCACTCCAGCCTGGGCAACAGAGCAAGACTCCGTCTCAAAAAAAAAAAAGAAAAAAAAGCAGTTAAAATTAACTAAACGCTTATGTGATAGAACAGTTTTAAATGCTTTAGACATAGACTTATTTTAATCCTCAAAACCAACCTTTACGAAAGGCTTTATCGTCATCCCTATCATACAGATAAAGACACCAAAGCACAGAGAAGTTATAACTTCCCCCGGGATACCCAAATCAAAAGTGACAGAGCTGGGACTTGAACCCAAGCACGTACTAGAGTCCAGGAGCATCACAAAGACTCTCAAAATACTTCCATCTTTTTGATGCCAGAAATGGTAAAGATTGACAAGAAAAACAGCTTTACAAATCACCAAGATGATTACAGTCCAGATTCCACTAAATTGAGGTGTTGCTGGCAGTAAAACCTGAGGATCCAGCCCTACCTCCAGCCTTGATTCAGGTCCTCAAGAGTTCTGCAAGTCCAGTGGCTAAGGACCACGCTGGGGAAGGACTTTGAAACCCTCATGAGCAATCTCAATAGGAACAAGCAAGAGCTTAAGAGGTTCCCTAGGACTAAATCACAAGACCATTATGAGTGTCCATATTGGCCAGCACTACTAAAGCATAATGTTATCAGTCAATAAGTGTCTTTCCCAAAAAGATCTCCAAACAAATTTGCTAGAATAATCATTCTCTGATGAACCTTAATAAATCATTGAGTGCCTGCATATATTCATGGGTAAAACATGTAGTTCATTCCTGGTAGACATCTGAACTCTAGATCTTTTTTCAGAATAAAGTTATACATTGATGTCTGAAATCTGTGCATAGGATTCCAAAAAAAGTAAGAAAAATCAGCCTAAAAAATTAGAAGGTACTTTAATGAAACTATCATTAATTGTTGCACTTAAAGACAGAGAACTGGAATTAATTCTATTGAGAAAACAAGGCCCAAAGAGGGAAACCCTCTTGCCCAATATAAAGCTGGTTAACAGTAGAATTTCTATAATATTTGTGATGCATATAATGTTCTAATTTTAAGAGTTTTCTTACTCCTCACTTATGTATTGGTTAAGAAGAGTCCCAAAGAAGGCCCATTCAACTGAGAATAAAAATAATATTTAAGACTCTCATAGCTCAACTGTGGGATATGCTGAAGGGTCATGGGTTACATTAGCAGTCTTATAGGCCCCCAGGCTGCAAAACTAGTAAGAGAAAAAAATAGCAGGCACCTGTATTCATAGAAGAGGGGATTTTAACATCACCCACAAGAGAAGCATTGTATAAGAACATTACAAGTGCTCAAGTTTACATTTAAGCAATTTGAGACAATGGTGGTGTTGCCTTTGCTTACCTGCACTTTTAAGAATCTGTGTCCTAAAGACCCTCTGTTCGCAAAGGTGGAGAATTTGCGAAAGAGGGACCAGGCTGCCAAAGACTCAGGACGCTGCCTGCTGAATTGCTGGGGCCTCTCTGTTAGAAATTATCTAAAACCCAGGGTTGTGCTGCTTCCTCACTTGCAAATGCTGAAATAAAACATAAAGATAGTATGTTTCTAAGAATGGTTCAGCTGCCCCAGAAAAATGTAAAGTCATTTTTAAAACTTTAAGGAAAACGCCATTTTAGTAAACTCACTTCTGATCTCCTAAAAAATGTTTTCCAGGATGATGAAATTACCAAACACAAAAACAAAACAAAAAATCCAACAGTACATATTACATTATTGCCTGCCTTTCAGAACTGGCTTTCCAAAGGACCCAGCTCAGTCTCCTTAAAAATAATAACATACCCAGCTCAATTAATCCCAAGTAACCTGGTAATGAAAGAACCATCTGTCTTCTTTTCCAGCTTCTCTCCACACATACACGCAGCTTTATTTTGAAATGCAGAGGTGAGGTGAGAGAAGTATCTATTTCTCTGAAAATCATTAGAAGAGGAAGGGACAGAAGGAGAGAGGAGAATGAGGAGGAGATCAAGAAGAATAAAAATATCTAGAAGAAAGTGAGGGAAAAAGAAGTGTGGGTGAAGTATTAGAACAACTAGTTTAAAAATGTGCCGTGGGCTACTTTCTAAAAAAAAAAAAATGAAAAAAATCTCAAACCTCTCTTGCTACAGCTATTTTTACACAAGACTAACACACACACACAGACACGCACACACAAAATGCATGCTCTTTAGGACGTTAAAAACAATTATGCTAAATCTACTCTGCCTGTGTGCTATAAAAGAACAGCATGGTTTATGGAGTATTTTAAGTCCATTATTATGGTATTAATATTCCGGTATTTTGCCTATTTAAGTTAAAGGCACTTGAAAAATAGCAGCTGCATGAATATCTCATTAACCCTTGTGCTGTTTCTTAAAAGCAGAAAATGAAATTCCCACATGGAAGATACCCTCTTTATACTAGAAAAAATGGCAACATCCTTATCTTCAAAGACAAGATGTTGAGACAGAGCTTGTTGAAATAACTCTTATCTTTTAAGCCTCCCCACACAATTTAGCTGCATTTTCACAGTTTATTATGTTCAATCTAGTATATAAGTTCAGGCCGGGCGCGGTGGCTCACACCTGTAATCCCAGCACTGTGGGAGGCTGAGGCAGGTGGATCACGAGGTCAGGAGATCAAGACCATCCTGGCTAACATGGTGAAACCCAGTCTCTACTAAAAAGACAAAAAATCAGTCAGGCGCGGTGGCAGGCACCTGTAGTCCCAGCTACCCAGGAAGCTGAGGCAGGAGAATCGCTTGAACCGGGAGGTGGAGGTTGCAGTGAACCGAGATTGTGCCACTGCACTCCAGGCTGGGCGACAGAGCGAGACTCCGTCTCAAAAAAAATAAACAAATAAATAAAAAATAAATTCAGACACACTGAAGAGATATTGCATGTTCAGTTCCACACCACTGCAATAAAGCAAATATCACAATAAAGCAAGTCACAAATTTTTCAGTTTCCCAATGGATGTAAGTTATGTTTATACAACAGTCTATAAGTGTGCAGTAATAGCATTGTGTCTAAAAACCAATGTGCATATCTTAATTTTAAAATATTTTACTGCTAAAAATGCTAATGATTGATCATATGAGCCTTCACTGAGTTATAATCTTTTTGCTAGTGGATGATCTTGACTCAGTGCTTATGGCTACTAACTTATCAGGCTGGTGGTTGCTAAAGGTTGGGGTGGCTGTGACAATGTCTTAAAATAAAACAATGACGTTTGCTGTGTCAACTGACATTTCCCTTCACAAAATATTTCTCCGTACCATGTAATGCTCTTTGATAGCATTTTAGCCACAGAACTTCTTTCAAAATTACAGTCAATCCTCTCGAACCCTGCCACTGTTTTATCAACTAAATTTATCTACTATTCCTAACCCTTTGTTGTCATTTCAACAAAGTTCAGAGCATTCTCACTAGGAGCTGATTTCATCTCAAGGAATCACTTTCTTTGCTCCTGCATAAGAAGCAATCCTCATTCATTAAAGTTTTATTATGAGTTTGTAACAATTCAGTCACTTCTTCAGGCTCTACTGCTAATTCTAGTTCTCTTGCTATTCCCATCAATCTGCAGTTTCTTCCTCCACTACAATCTGGAAGCCCTCAAAGTCATCCCTGAGAGTTGTAATCAACTTCTTCCAAACTTCTGTTAAAGTGGATATTTTGACCTCCCATAAATCACAAACGTTCTTAATGGCATATAGAATGGTGAATTCTTTCCAGAAGGCTTTGAATTTACTTTACCCACATCCATCAGAGGGGTCACTATCTATGTGACCCCTAGACACACTATCTATGTGACACCTAGAGCTTTACAAACTATATTTCTTAAATAATAAGACTTGAATGTTGAAATTATTCCTTGATTCAGAGACTGCAGAATAGACGTTGTTTTAGCAGGCATGAAAACAACATTAAACTCCTCATACAACACCACCAGAGCTCTTGGGTAATTAGGTGCACTGTAGAGCAATAATATTTTGAAAACAATCTTTTTCTTCTAAGCAGCAGGTCTCAATAACTGGCTTAAACTATTCAGTAAACCATGCTGTTCCTTTATAGCACACAGGATGAGTAGATTTAGGACAATTATTTTTTAATAGATGGGTTCTCCCTATGATTCCCAGGCTGGCCTCAAACTCCTGTGCTCAAGTGATCCTCCTGCCTTGGCCTCCCAAATGCTGGGATTACAGGCGTAAGCTACCGCACTTGGCTGATTTAGCATAATTTGTAAGGGTTGTAGGATTTTCGGAATGGTAAATGAGTACTGGCTTCAACTTAAAAGTCAACAGCTGCATTAGCCCCTAACAAGAGGGTGAGCCAGCCCTTTGAAGCTTTGAAGCCAGGCATTGACTTCTCTCTAGCTATAAAAGTCCCAGAAGCCATCTTCTTCCACTAGAAGACTGTCTGTCTACAATGAAAATCTACTGTTCAGTGTAGCCACCTTCATCATTTATCTTAGCTAGATCTGGATAACTTGTTGCAGCCTCTTCTTTAACACTTGCTTCTTCACCTTGCACTTTTGTGTTATGGAGAGTTTCTTTCCTTAAACCTCATGACTTACAACTTTTCTTCTGCAGGTTCCCTTAGTCTTCATGGAAAAGAGTTAGAGCCTTGTTTGGGATCAGGCTTTGGCTCAAGAAAATTTTGTGGCTTGTTTGATGTTCTATTCAGACCACTAATACTCTCTATATATCAGCAATAAGGCTTTCACTTTACCATTTGTGTATTCACTGGAGAAGCACTTGTAATAAGAACTTTTCCTATGCATTCACAACTTGGTTAACTATCTCAAGAGGCATAGTTTCTGGTCTGTATTGGCTTTCAACAGGCTTTCCTCACTAAGCTTAATCATTACTAGCGTTTGATTTAAAGTGAGAGATATACAACTCATCCTTTCACTTGAATACTTAGAGGCTATTGGAGGATTATTAATTGGACTAATTTCAATATTGTTGTGTCTCAGAGAATACGGAAGCCCAAGGGGAGGAAGAAAAACAGGGAAAAAACTGGTCGGTGGTCCATTCAGAACACATAAACATTTATAGATTACGCTGACTGTCTTATAGTGGTGTAGTTTGTGGTGTCCCAAAACAATTACAATAGTAACATCAAAGATCAGTGATCAGCTGGGCGCGGTGGCTCACGCCTGTAATCCCAGCACTTTGGGAGGCCGAGGCGGGCAGATCACGAGGTCAGGAGATCGAGACCATCCTGGCTAACACGGTGAAACCCCGTCTCTACTAAAAATACAAAAAATTAGCCAGGCATGGTGGCGGGTGCCTGTAGTCCCAGCTACTCGCGAGGCTGAGGCAGGAGAATGGCATGAACCCAGGAGGCGGAGGTTGCAGTGAGCCAAGATGGCGTCACTGCGCTCCAGCCTGGGCAACACAGCAAGACTCCGTCTCAAAAAAATAAAATAAATAAATAAAATTTAAAAAGAAAGAAAAAAATATATATTTTATAAAAAGATCAGTGATCATAGATCACCATAACAGATATAATAATAATGAAAAAATCTGAAATATTAAGATTACCAAGATGTAACACAATGGTAAGAAGTGAGTACATACTGTGGGAAAATGGTACCAATAGGCTTATTGGACAAAGGGTGGCCACAAACCTTCAATGTGTAAAAAGCACAATATCTATGAAATACAATAAAATGAGCCATGCCCGTAACTGGCTCTAACTGCTTCTTTGCGTCTTTACTTCTTTATGAGGGCTCCCATGCCACATAAAACTTGTAAAATTAATGTGCATGCTTTTCTCCTGTTAATCTAACTTATGTCAATTTAATTCTTGGACCCAGCTGGGACCTTAAGAGGATGAAGGTGGGGTTTTTCTGCTGCTATGGTCTCTGTTAGAATATATTTATTTTAAAAAATTCTTAGAAAACAAATACCTTAAAATTGGCAAATATTTTATTTCATAGGCCATTTATGAACTCTAATGCCCTTAAACAGGGAAATAATTATGCTTGATTATGAAAATCATATAGTAACATAAAAAATAGATTTTACCAAAGAAAGTTTTTAAAAGTTGACTACATGAAGATTATTTCCATTTGTTAGACATATGCATATGTAACACCTTATAGTAAATCCTCACTTATTGTTCATAAGTTCTTGGAAACTATGACTTTCAGCAAAGTAAGGTACATCAAAACCAATTTTTTTCATCAATAATAAAATGACAATGAACAAAAATGTTTTGCTTAAGGTTGTAGTTTCCAAAAACCTATTAATGACATTAAATGAGAATGTACTGTACTGAAAGGCATTAAAGAAAAACAAAATCAGCTGATGTGCTGAATTGTAGATTACAGAGAATTTTTTTAAGTACATAAATGTTTCAATTTTCAAAGAAACTGAAAGTGCTTATTTTCATATATCTCTATATACATTTCACTTTTGAAGTGTTAAGTAGCAAACCCATTTAGAAATCAAGAGAAAAGCAAAGGAGTGCTGTTTAATGCCTACTATTAGAGAAGTCTTCACCATGAGACAGAATTTTGAACCTAAAGAAATTATGGATCATGATATATTTGTGCCTCAGGATTATTCTCTCCTTAAATGTATAGAAAGTATAGTTCCTGAGTTTCCATCATCTTCTATCCACTATTACTTATTACTAAAGAATCCATCACAATTTTAAAGTTGGAAGGGTCCTTTAAGATTATTCAGTCTGGGACGAGCGCAGTGGCTCACACCTGTAATCCCAACTACTCGGGAGGCTGAGGCAGGGAGAATTCCTTGAACCTGGGAGGCAGAGGCTCCAGTGAGCCAAGATCATGTCACTGAATTTCAGCCTGGGCAACAGAGCGAGACTCCATCTCAAAAAAAAAAAAAAAGATTATTTAGTCTGGATAAGTTGGTAAAGAAACCTCAAGCACTGTCATACTGGGGGAAACAGGGATTTAGTTACACCTGGGGAAGCTTAAATCAAGGAAGGAAACAAGACAGCCTAGTCACAGGCTTGAAGGTCCTTCATGAAGAGGATTTTACTTGGTTCTGATGGCTACCAAGCAGTTATGCCAAGGCCAGTGAATGCAAAATTCAAGGAGTTAAGTTTGAGCTCAGTACTAGGAAGACCTTGCTAATATTTGGACTGCCTAATACAGGATGCATTCTTGGAAAGTGGGTCACACATTACTAGTATGTTCTAAAGTCCATTTGGCAGGAGTGGGCAGAGCAGTGCTTAACAAACTTTAATAGCCATTGGCATCACCTGAGCATCCTGTTAAGTTGCTCATTCTGATTCAGCATGTCTAGGGCAGGGCCTGGTTATCTGCATTTCCAGCAAGCTCCCAAATCATGCAAAAAAAAAAAAAAGAATGCCAGTGCTGCTAGTCTGAAGCCCCTGCTTTGAGTGGCAAGAATTTAGGGTGAACAGGAACATTCGAATGTTACTTAAACCAGGGTTTCCCAAAGTATGGTCACTGTACAGAGTCTTCTAACTACATTATTTCAAAAGTCTTCAGCCCTGATTTTGAGGCAGATGATTAATAAATAGGTTAAGTGGTTATTAGCAGAGTTTTGTGAGTCCACACATTCAAATGTCCAAAAACATGTTATATCCTATACCCCCAAGGTCATACCCCAACCAGTAATTAATTTTGCACAATTCTAAAGAAGAGATGTTTCACTTCCATAGAAGAATGGTGACCTTATTCTGAGCTTGGAAAGTACTTAAAACTAAGTAAATGTGCTCTGATGAAGAAAAGAATGAATGAATTTGTGATTTCAGTATACTACCATTAATGAAAATGCAGAATGCAAGAAAACATGGCTCTAAAGTAATTTTTCCAGGGATTTCTGTTAAAAAAAAATCATGTGTCTCTGAACGGGGCAGGGAAAGTCCCCTAAGGCCACAATTTGCAGTCTTCTTTTTCATTGTAGGGCTTTACATTATATTCCTAGCCCTGGAATTTCACCTCCCAACCACCTATACAAACTATAAGAATTTCTTAAAAGCTTTGAAGGTACTCGTTTATTGCTTGGTCATATTTTGCTCTGCTCCTCAACTGATCCAATAGATTTGGGCTTTCAATCAGTTCAAAACTCTCTGATGTCTTTCTTGGAGCAGTATGCTGATATCTGAATACACAGCCCTTCCTTACACTTGAAAGCATTCTTATGTTTTTCTCCCAGGGTAAATAAAACTACAACTAAGGGGGAACAAGTTTCTGTCTTTCCTGATTCTAAAAGTCCCCCTTCCAAAGAGTTTACTGTTTTAGTTTGCTTAAAAGTTATAAATAACATTTCATCTGATATTTGAAAGTTCTGTTTTCAAATACTTATTATGCCAATTTATTCTGAATAAGCCTGGATTATTCTGGCCCTTAGGAAATATCCTCTCCAATCTGATTTTTTTCCCTTACCTTTTCTGCTATTTTTAAAAGAAAGAAATGAGTTAGCTTAAGGGTGAACAATCAGATGAGCATATACCAAACCTTAAAATTCCCGTGTTGAAACTGTCCTGCTCTCCACAGCAAATGAAAATGTGACAACACATATACCACTATCAATCAGATGATTTCCTAGAGCTAAGTTACAAATATGAGGTGAATCTTAATTTAGGGCAACTTATAATTTATTATTACAAATAAATCAATACATATGATAGATTTTTTTATGAAATGAAACAATCCTAGATTTATTTCCTAAAACCAGTGGATTGATCCTTAAGGCAAAGTGAATTTCAAAATCATTTCTTGCTAAATTTAACTCTGAATGTTTTCACTTTCTAGGGTAACTTTGTTGATTTCTTCAATAAAGAATTTCTCACTGACTACTCTGTGCTGGACACTGTTTTAGGCTTTGGAGATACAGCAGCGAAGAAGAAAAACAGTTTACAGTTCATCAAGAAAGGCAGAAATTAACAAGTAGTTCACAAGTAATCATCAAGTTCCAATTGTAGGGTGACTAGGGACTGATCCAGATAGGGAAGGACAGGAAGTGTCTCTGAAGGATGAAGAGGAGTTAATCAGATAAAACAGGGTAGAAAGAAAGAACATTCCAGGCAGAGGAAGAAGCATTTGCAAAGATTCTGAGGTGAGAATGAAAATGGTACACTCAAAGAACCGAGGCTGCAGATAGCAGGGGCAGTGATGAAAATAATAATAGCGCAGGCCAGGCGCGGTGGCTCACACCTGTAATCCCAGCACTTTGGGAGGCCAAGGCGGGCAGATCACCTGAGGTCAGGAGTTCGAGACCAGCCTGGCCAACATGGCAAAACCCCGTCTCTACGAAAAATACAAAAAATTAGCCAGGCATGGTGGCAGGCGCCTGTAATTCCAGCTACTAGGGAGGCTGAGGCAAGAGAAACGCTTAAACCCGGAGGCGGAGGTTGCAGTGAGCTGAGATCTCACCACTGCACTCCAGCGTGGGAGAAAGAGCAAGACTCTGTCTCAAAAAAATAAATAAATACAAATAAGAAAAGAAAATAATAGCTAATCTTTTTTGCACACTTACTACATTCCAGGTTTCACAGGCACAAACTCATATAATCCCCACAATAGCACTGAGATGGAGATGTGCACTACTATTCTGACTCTACAGAAAAGGAGACTGAGACCTAGAGAAGTTAAATGACTTGCCCAAGGTCTTAAGCTAAAAGGTATCAAGGCTGGTTTGCTCTTAGGCAGTTTGCTGCCAGGGTCCTTATTCCCAACCTGTAAGCTTCCCAAGAGTGAGATCAACTTGAAGCTTTCCTCATGTTCAAAATTCATTCTGTTAATTTTCAATTTGCACAGAATGACATCATGAAATATTAGGTGTGCCTAACAATAGCTTCAGTCTCATTCCCAGAATCTTGATAAATGTATGGCTCCTAGTTGTGATCTATTTCATTAGGAAATATTATGCATATTTATCACAAAAACATTAATAGAGGTCCAAATGTTAATTTAATAAATGCCCATGAGCTCATTACCAAAAATAACCATCTCTTCTGAAAGATATTTTTAAACTAGATTTATGGTCCCTTCCCTACCCCCATTCCTCTCCTCCCAGTATCATGGATTTGATACATAGTCAGTCCCCTTTTTATATATACACACAAAAACACATACCCACACATACATATTCATAAACATTATAGAGTATATGATATTGTTTTCAGTGTTAACATTTGAATAGCAAATACATAATATTCTGAAATTTGTGTTTATCACTCTATATTTTTAATTTTTAGGTCTATCCATATGGTGCCTAAAGATCTGGTTCATTCTTTTTAAATGCTCTATTCTATCAAACAAATACATCACAAATTTGTACATTCCTTGGAGTAGAAATTAGGTTGTTTTCAGAGACTTGATTATCTAAATGTCATTTTGGAGCCAAATCACTTTTTGCCAATCTGGTAAAAACAGTTTACTAAGCTAGTGAATCGTACAAATTGCTAGAAATACTTTAGAATTGTCGTTTCATTTTTAAATAGAATTTTTTTCTAAAACATAAACATGTTTTTGGTAGTTTAAGTCATGTAACATAAACCTTTGGTAGCTCAAGTCATCCGAAGATACCTAGATATTTAAAACACTATGAATCTCTGAAAAAGGAAATAAAACAGAAAAAGATTTCCAGTTTATGTGAATCTATAATAACGCTGTTGAAAACAAAACATATTGAAGAGAAAGTAGATGCAGAAAATAGTCTTCTTATAACCAATTTCTCTTCCTGATAACCATACTGACGGGGCTGAAAAAATGAGCGCATTGAAGAAAGTAGATAAACAAACCAAGGTTTCTCTGGAATGCTTTGTTCTGTGTTCTGGCCAGAAAATAATCCAAGGCACAACCTTACAGGAAGGTTACCACATTGTTTTTAGAATCAAGGGACTGTGAAGTGCCTACCACATACCATAGACAATGTCTGATAAAGGGGACTATTAAACAGAGCATGAACGAGCCTGGTCTTTAGTCTTGAAGTGGTTAGACTTATAAATGATGTGACTATAAACAATGATCTACTTACATGAACGGCAAATGTTACCTCAAAGACATTGTAACAAGGTTTATTATCAAGTGTAAACTGAAATCTAGTTAACAAATATGTGAAGACTCAAATATCCTAATTATCCTGATGTGATTATATGAATGTATCAAACTATAACATGTGCCCCCAAAATACATACATATAATATGTAACAATAAGGAAATTAAAATAAAATAAATAATATTGCATAATTTTTAAAAATTAAAAAAATAATTTTGTTTTCACTGACAAAAATGTGAAGACTCATGTATGGAATTCTTTCACTGTTAACGTTATTTTCTATAAAGAAGAATCTGAGAAAACATTAAAAGGTAGATCTTTCAAAAGATGGATAACTATTTACTGACGACATTATTCACATTATAAAACAACCCAGTCTAGAAAATACAATACAAAATTCAAAGGGCATTTCTCTTCTGGGGCAGAGGGGAGAAGAAAAGTATCTTCTACAGAAGTGTACGCAATCCCCAAGAAGGTAAATTAAAAAAAAAAATCTGGGCTCCCAATGAAAAACGTCACCCCAGTACACTGAGGGTTACAATGGAGTCTGTTTGGCCTCACTTTCACAACCTACTAGAACAATATTTTAGTACATTCCATAGCCAAGCTAAGGAGTTATCAGTTCTAGATCTCTGAAGCTTAAGAAATCCTCCTGGGCTTAGGAAAACGCTTCCAAGCTTCAGGAGGCACCCCTGAAATCAACTGAAATTCATATCACTAGCATAATAGTTTAGTGAGAAAACCGACCAAGCAGATGGAGCAGCCCTATCATTTGTTCATCTATCCATATATCCATGTATCCATCCATCTCAGCCCATCTCATCCATCCATCTATCCAACCAACCTATCTCATCCATCTATCCATCCAACCATCCATCACAGATAATTATACCCATCTATCACATGCCATGAAATCTCAGGGTGTAAGGACTGTCTGAGCCGAGAGAGTATGGATGTACTAAAGGCAAGCCCATGTAGTCACACATTTAAACACAGACAATAAAACATAACATACACATAACCCCTTGCTCTATCCCTGACCTCTGAACTACAAAGTGTACTGTTTTATATTTTTTCAATTACATAAAATGTGCATTATATATAATATATAATTAGCCTAAAACTCCCTCCTCCAAGGGCAAAATACTTCCCAGTATAAACAACAGGAGCTAGAAGCTGAAAGAGGCTTAACAAGAGAATTAAGAATGTCAAATAGACCAGAAACCAAAACTAGGATTACCTAAACTTCTGAAAGTTGGTGATTTTTAAAAATGTCTTGAAGACTTTCCCATAGTTGCTAGCAATATTCCACTGCTTCTGAACAGAAAAGAAAGGGACAGTTGAAGAATGTACATCCACTCTAGGCTGAGGACATTAAAGACCAAAGGACAGTCTGTGCTAAGAGGATTTAAAAGAAATGCCACCAGCAGAGTCCCTAGGTCCCAAAGCAAGAACACAGGAACTGGCCTGAGCCTAGAGAGTCACTCTGGGGACTTCACAACAGTACTGTCCTTGTGATTCCCCTAACACCAGAAACTCAGCCCAAAATAAAAAACAGATAAGTTCACAGGCGCAGTGGCTCACGCCTGTAATCCTAGGACTTTGGGAGGTCAAGGGGGGTGGATCACCTGAGGTCAGGAGTTTGAGACCAACCTGACCAACATGGTGAAACCCCGTCTCTACTAAAAATACAAAAATTAGCTAGGCTTGATGGCAAGTGCCTGTAATCCCAGCTACTCAGGAGGCTGAGGCAGGAGAATCGCTTGAAACCCAGAGGCAGAGGTTGCAGTGAGCTGAGATCACACCACTACACCCCAGCCTGGGTGACAGAGCAAGACTCCATCTCAAAAAATAAATAAATAAATAAAATTTAAAAAAAAAAAAGTTGTAAGGCAGTTTAAAGACGATCTTTCAATGAGTAAGGAACATCCCATGTCTAGTATGCTCTGCATGGTTCCCTATTACTAACCAAAGTCTAATTGTTGGGCTGCTTTTTAAACTGAGGGCTTTTCTATTTTATCAAAGAAGAAGGAATCTTTGACATGCCAAAGTTCAGCATAATGAAGCCTTTATTTACAACATGCCACACTATTTGGAAAATCAGGATTTCATTTAAAAAATAAAGTGAGCTGATTTTTTTTTTTCCTATCAAAGATATTTTTGGGGCCAAAGGAACTGGGAAAAACTGGACACCAGAGGTGTGGCCCCAATCTGGTCTAGGAGGATGAATAAGAACACTTCAGCAGAGACCCAGGCAAGGTGCAGAAGGGCAGGTCTGCAAGGCTCAACCTGGAGCATGTCAGGAAGCAAACTGGCTCAATCTCAAAGTGTAGTAAAGAGCAGAGTCAAGAAATGAAGAAAAACCAATATAATGATAATGAAACTTGTCTGCCCCCAGGGCACATCACAGACAGGGAGTAAGCAGAAGCAAGAGAGGCAGTTTTTGAGTCAGTTTAGAGAGCCACAGCTTGGACAGGGTGTAGCCACTACTCAGTTGGACCATCTTCAAGACCAAGAACCAAGTGTACTCAGGGGATGCAGAGAAGAGGGATCAGTACCATGGCAGAACCTCTGTATTAGTGCCTAGGACTGCTGAAACAAAGTGCCACATACTGGGTAGCTTAGAACAACCGATATTTACTGTCTCACAGTTCTGGAGGCCAGAAGTCTGAAATCAAGGTGTTAGCAGGGCCATGCTCCCTCTGAAAACTGTAGAGAGGAATCTTTCCTTGCCTCTTCCTAGCTTTGGCTCTGCCACCAATCTTGGGCATTCCTTGGCTTGTGGATGCATCACTACAATTCTCTGTCTTCACGTGGTGTTTTCCCGTGTTTCTGTCTTCACCTGGACACTAATCATATTGCATTAGGGACCCACCCTACTCCAGTGTGACCTCATCTTAACTAATTACATCTGCCATGACTCTATTTCCAAATAAGGTCACAATCTGAGGTACTGGGGATTAGGACTTCTAAATATCTCTTGGAGCGGGGGGGGGAGGGGGGCACAACTGAACCAATTACACCCTCGTTGGGGTGCCCAAGGCTCACCCTCAGCCAGACGGATCCTAATATCCTAGGTCATTCAGAATACCAGGCGCTAATTAATGTGAAAGAGAAACAGGAAAGAATTAATCTATGGTGGCAAAAGTCAGAGTAGTGGTTACATGTGAGTAGTAATAGTGACTGGGTGGGAACACATGGTACCCTTCTGGAGGGCCTGTATTGTCCTATTTCTTCATCTGGAGGCAGCTTGCCTGGGTGCATTCACTGTAAGGAAATTTATTGAACTATACTTATATGCTTTGTGCACTCCTCTGTATGTCTGATATATTTCCATAAAAACTTTACAAAACATTAGAGAAGATGGAGCTATCCAAGAAATAGGGGTCTTGGAAGCCCAGCTAGGACCTCAGGGAGGGGCATTATCTGGGAGGAGTTACACAGCCAGGAGTTGGCAGCTCAGCCCTGCGGGTTCAGACACTTGAGTTGTCTGTTCACCTGAGAAGCAGAATTCTTAAGAGGCTGCTTTATAACTGGAAATGCTGAAGTAATTCATTTAAATAAAAAAAAAAAATTGGGCCAGGCACAGTGGCTCACGCCTGTAATCCTAGCACTTTGCGAGGCCAAGGTTGATGGATCGCTCTGAGCTCAGGAGTTGGAGAACAGCCTGGGCAACATGGTGAAACCCCATCTCCAGGAAAAATACACACACACACACAAAAATGAGCCAGGCATAGTGGCTCACATCTGTGTTCCTAGCTACTCCAGAGGCTAAGGCTGGAGGATCGCTTGAGCTGGGAAGCAGAGGTTGCAGTGAGCCAAGATTGCACCACGATATTCCAGCCTGGGCGACAGAGCAAGACCTTGTCTCAGAAAAAAAAAAAAAAAAAAAAAAAAGAGCCTGGCATGGTGGCTTATGCCTGTAATCCCAGCACTTTGGGAGGCTGAGTCGGGCAGATCACCTGAGGTCGGGAGTTTGAGACCAGCCTGACCAACATGGACAAACCCCGTCTCTACTAAAAATACAAAAAAATTAGCCAGGTGTGGTGGTACATGCCTGGTATCCCAGCTACTTGGAAGGCTGAGGCAGGAGAATCGCTTAACCCAGGAGGCGGAGGTTGCTGTAAGCCAAGATTGCGCCACTGCACTCTTGCCTGGGCAACAAGAGCAAAACTCCATCTCAAAAAGAAAAAAAAAAAAAAAGAAAGAAAGAAAAAGAAAAATATAAGGGCCAAGAAGTCTGTATATTTGAATCAGTAGATTGGCAACTTCTATAGGCAAATCCATGAGTGATAATTAAAAAGTTGTTTGGTAAGCATGGACCCCTCAATAAGGGTATGATCTCCCCTGCACAGTGCTGCAAATATGCTGATATTCTGCTTTGCTCTGTTTTCCTAGCCTCCTTGCAGACCTCTCCCTGACATTCCACTTTCAGGCTAATTAAAGTTCAAGTAAGTTATAGAGTTGTTTCTTTCACATCTAATTCTTCTCTGGGAATTTTAAGCTCTTGCGGTTAGGGTGTTTTGGGTCCTAATGCTTAATTTCCAAGGAAGAGGAAACACCACAAAAAGACAGAGTTAAAATCTACTGGACAACACTCAAACTTAGAAAACATATTTTTGGAGTAAAAATGTAAAATTTTTTAGAGCTAAATATTAACATCAGGTATTGCATAAGCTATGAATAACACATTGATATATCAAATCAAAGGAGTGGAGAGGGGAAGGAAGTCAAAACTTAATTGCAATGCCAACAAAGAAATACAAACCAAATATTGATGAAAATGTATTTGTACATTGTCATACACATAATTGTGTAAAATGAAGCTGTGAATAGAAAGCACTTGGCTTTCTACTGTGTAAAATATATGAAGAAGGTACTGAAAGGTTCGAGGCCACACATTTGTAGTGATCCTCTTGACTCTTCTCATTGGATGTCTCAATCCCGTCAAATCCCATCTCTACTATCAAACTTCATACAGAATCCCCCACCTCAAAAGTCACAAATGACACTTCACATTTCTATCCTTCACTCAAGTTATTAAAAGTGAGAGTGCTAAATATCAATTATATATTAACTTAACTAATGTTTTCATCATATTCTGGTGACAACAGCAATTGGAAGGAATGTATTACATGCCATATTGTAAGCCCCAAGTCCAAATTTAGAAGCAACATGTAGAATTTACCTGTTATAAATTGTTTATATAGACCTACCTCCCTAAGTGCCTTATAGAGAGATATAAATATATAAGCCATAGGCCTCTAAGTCTGATCCAGCTGGCTCCTACGGCCTGTCCTGCCTTATCTCCTGAAATGCTTGACTCTTGACTCATCTCCTGAAATGCTTGACTCTAGTAACACCAAACTTTGTGCACTTCTCAATCCTTCTTGGCAGTTTCATGTCTCAGCGCCTTTGGTCATACTGTTCCTGCTGCCCGGAATGTTCTCCCTCTCCTCTCACCCTGCCCCCCAATTCCCCTCCCACAACATTCCCACTCCCCAATATAAATTGGAATAATCTGTTAGGATTCTGTTCTTCAAGGAGGACTTCCCTTTCTATCTCTACCCTGCATCTGGATGATGACATAGGAGTCCAAGAAAGCATATGTAAAGCTGTTTCAAGATCAGAGATAACTACAGTGTTTCTATGTTTTGAACCATAAAAAAAAAAAATCTCAGATTTCAAGAACATTCGGAGAGAACGGTTTTTGCTCCTTAAGCCTAGTTTATTCTGAAAAATTCATAGCTCTATTCAACCTACAGATTTTCTCTCCCTAACTCCACTTGAAAGCATATGTACATACATGCATGCACACACACACACACACACACACACACACACACTGAATCCCTCTACTATATGCCCATGGATCCCTTTATAATAGCAGAGTACTTGGCATATGATAGATGCAAAGTATTTGTTGCTGTTCGCTGAAGAATGATGAAAGAAATATAATAACATAGGTAGATTAACATAGTCCAAAGGGAAGCCAGGTGCTAAGAGGAAACAGATCTGAGAAAAAATTAGAGGTATATAAGAACAATCAGAAAGGGTTTCTGGGGAAAGTCAATTTTTAACTAATTGAGGAAGAATAGAATTGTCATAATAGCTATAAAAACAGAGTTATAATAGTAATAGTGGCAGATAACACTGATTAAATATTTGATATTTGGCAGAAACTATGCTCAAATATTTGTATGTGTTTTTTTCATTATCACAATTACTGTGATGTGGATATTATTTCAAATTTATAGATAAGGAAAGTAAGGCTCAGAGAAGTTAGGCTATTTGTTCGGAGTCATGCAGTGATAAGTTATGAAGCTGGAAACTGAACACGTTATAATCTGGCTTAGATGGGAGAGTGTGGAGGAGAAGGAGAATGGCACTGAGTGTCAAAGAACAGCCTGAGCTGAAGCACTAGGAGACCTGCGTGGCTACAGCGTCAAACAGGACAATAAAAAGAAAGTTAGCAACATAAGATGGCAGAAAACCTCAAAAATCAGTGAGAGAAATTCTCTGGATTTTTAAGCAGAAAAAAAATAATGAAAATCATTGATGGTCATAGAGAGCTTGAATATAAGATTTTTGTAAGAATATGATTTTTTATTCTATGACTAAAGCAGAAGAACCATACACATCAAATTTGTAAAAAAAAAAAAAAAAAAAAAAGTGTTTTGCAATAAGAGAGCCAGATTTGCCCTCCAAAAAATTCAGTGTGTGCAAAATATTTATAGTTACTTGGTGATCAGAAAACACACATATCTCCTTACATCCCGTTTATCAAAAAATCCAATTATTTATCATTTAATTGTAGCATATCTGGGATAAAAGAATAATAATTAGCTAAATCACTTCGACATCTACCTGAAATATTGGCTTTAAATATTAAAAATATTTTGACAGCAATGTCCTTTATCTCACAAGATCACTTACAACAGAAAGCTCCTTTAATTACCACAACCTATCAATTAAATAAGATTATAAATTACATTTAATTGCTGTTCTAAAATGTAGTTGAAAAATTCATTTGTACCCTATTTGAATGCCTGGATTATCTATCACCTCACTGCTCTCATCTAAATGCAACTGCTTAACCCATCTTACAGTTTTTAAATGCAATGAGTTATCCACAAAAAAGACAGAATTAAAAAAATAAAATCTACAATCTCCTTTTATTCTTTGGCCCTATGCTAACCATAGAAAATGTACACATTCCCTATATCTGCTTCCTCCACCCCTTAATACATTAAGGACTCTTACATATTAAAGTTGCATAAGATTTTAATAAAAGCATTTGAGACTTCCTTCTAGGTTTCCTGCCTAAATATTTGTAATGGAATATTTCCTAAGCTGAAAACCCCACTAAGAGGTCAGAAGCAACAGGCTGATACCTCTTAAGACTAAAATCTAATGGTATGGGAAAGGTGATTTCATAGAATCAGCTCAAAGACAAGAGGTCTGTGTTTATATGGCATTTTGCATGGGTTTTTTTGGGGTTTTTTTTTTGTTTGTTTGTTTTCTGTCTCAATTTCCTTCAAGTCAAGTCTACTACTGGTTATTTCTCATCTTCTGCTAGCTTTAGGCTTGGTTAGCTCTTGTTCCTCTAGTTTCTCTAGATGTGATGTTAGGTTGTTAATTTGGGATCTTTTTGAATTTTTGATGTAGGCATTTGGCACTATAAACTTCCCTCTTAGCAGTGCTTTAGCTGTGTCCCAGAGATCTGGTATACTGTATCTTTGTTCTGATTAGTTTCAGAGAACTGATTTCTGCCTTAATTTCACTGTTTTCCAAAAAGTCATTCAGGAGCAAGTTCTTTAATTTTCATATAATTGTATGGTTTTGAGTTATTTTCTTAGTATTGATTTCTATTTTTATTGCATTGTGGTCTAAGAGTGTGGTTGGTATGATTTTGGTTTTTTTGAATTTGCTGAGGATTGTTTTATATCCATTTGTGTGGTTGGTTTTAGAGTATGTGCCATGTGCAGATGAGAAGAATGTATATTCTGTCATTTTGTGGTGGAGAGTTCTGTAGATGTCTATTAGGTACATTCTGTCAAGTTCAGGTCCTGAATATCTTTGTTAGTTTTTGGCCTTGATTATCTGTCTAATACTGCCAGTGGGGTGTTAAAGTCTCCCACTGTTATTGTGTGGAAATCTAAGTCTCTTCATAGGTCTTACCTTGTGAATCTGGGTGCTCCTGTGTTGGCTGCATATATATTTTGGATAGTTAGGTCTTCCTGTTGAATTGAACCCTTTATCATTATGTATTGCCCATCTGTATTAGTTCATTCTCACACTGCTATAAAGAAATACCTGAGTTTGGGCACAGTGGCTTATGCCTGTAATCCCGACACTTTGGGAGGCCGAGGCAGGAGGATTGCTTGAGCCCAGAAGTTCAAGACTAGACTGGGCAACTCAGTGAGACCCCGTCTCTACAAATAATTTTTTAAAAAATCAGCCGGGTGTGGCGGTGTGTATCTGCAGTCCCAGCTACCTAGGAGGCTGAGATGGTAAGATTGCTTGTGCCCATGAGGCTGAGGCTGCAGTGAAGAATGATTGTGCCACTGCATTTCAGCTTGTTCAACAGAGTGAGACCCTATCCAAAAAAAAAAGAAAGAAAGAAATACCTGAGACTAGGTAATATAAAAAGCAAAGAGGTTTAATTGGCTCACGGTTCTTCAGGCTGTACGGAAAGCATGACTGGGAGGCCTCAGGAAACTCACAGAAGTCTCCTGGCAAAAGGTGAAGGGGAAGCAGGCACATCTTACATAATTGGAGTAGGAGGAAAGGCGGGGGTGGGGGGAGGGCGGGGGGAGGCTAAACAACCAGATCTTGTAAGAACTCACTCAGTATCAGAAGAACAGCACCCAGGGGGATGGTGTTAAACGATTAGAAACTGCCCCCCATATCCAATCACCTCCCATCAGGCCCCACCTCCAACACTGAGGATTACAATTGAATATGAGATTTGGGTGGGGGCACAGATCCAAACCATATCACTATCTTTGTCTTTTGTGGTTTTTGTTGGTTTAAAGTCTGTTTTGTCTAAAATTAGAATAGCAACCCCTGCTTTTTTCTGTTTTCCATTTGCTTGCCAGACTTTTCTCCATCCCTTTACTTTCAGCCTTTGGATATCATTGAATGTGAGATAGGTCTCCTGAGGTTTCAGGTTTTATGCCACTGTGTTAATCAGAAAAGCCATAATTTAGTTGTTTTGTATGTTAGTTAAGTATGTGAGTTAACAATGGGCCAAAGAATCTCAAAAATAATTTTCTATCTAAAAATTGTGCCAAGTCTCCCTAGATACTAATAGAGTGGTGATGATGAGACATCTTGAAATCAAAGGACAAGAGGATAAAAGGAATACTGTATAGGCGTCTCTGAGCTCTGCCTGTCTTTGTGATATTCCTGTGCTCTGCCCTAGGGAAAAGAGAGGGGAAATCAGTTATGGTAAATTAGTAGAAAGAAAAAAAGGCAACTAAGGGTAGAAATTTGTGTGTTTATGTGTGTGAGAGAGAGAAAGAGAGACAGAGAGACAGGAAGGGGCCGCGTGTGGTGGCTCACGCCTGTAATCCCAACACTTTAGGAGGCCGAAGTGGGCGGATCACCTGAATTCAGGAGTTCAAGACCAGCTTGGCCAACATGGCGAAACCCCATCTCTACAAAAAAAATACAGAAAATAGCCAGGTGTGGTGGTGCATGCCTGTAATCCCAGCTACTTGGGAGGCTGAGACAGGAGAATCACTTAAATTCAGGAGGCAGAGGTTTTAGTGAGCGGAGATCGAGCCACTGCACTCCAGCCTGGGTGACAGAGCAAGACTCCACCTCAAAAAGAAAGAAAAAGAAGAGACAGGAAAGCCTATCATGACTGGGTGAAGACTGAATTAGGCTCTCATCAAAAATCTCCAGGCATGCCAATTCTAACTAGAATACGATTCAAACTCCACAAAATCTGCCTTCCTATCTTACTGACTACATCTCCTCCCACTCCGTCTTTTGCACTCTTCTTTAACTACATATTGTCTTAACCACTCTCTTCTCACACTGCACCTTCTGTTTCTCAAACGACCCAAATTCACTCATGCCTCATGTATTTGTAACTCATTTTTTGACTCTGCCCCCCATAAAACATAAGCTCTGTAAGAGCAGGGGCTTTGCTGTGTCCAACACGGCACGCTCCCAACCCCACCCACAAGAACATCTCTTGTTACATGGTGGACATTCAGTGAATGTTGGTTGACCATTAGGGAAGTCCCATCTCATGGATGACCACATGGAATATCACCCAAAGTCCACTGAAAAAAACACTTTCTGCTCCCTTGTTGCCCCCATCTTTCAGCATAGTGACTCTGACCCACAGCCATAACAACTCCAGGCCTGCTTCCACAACCTGTGGAAGGTGAGAATAACCCTCCCACCTCTGGAGGAATCTCCAGCTTCCTTGCCGTCTCCTCTTCTGGGGGCCTTGTTCTCATCATGTCCTAAAGATCTTTCCATTCCCAACCAAATAAAAAGTAAATCAATGTTTAAACCATCTTTCAAAGCCTAGCACTAAATACATTGCAAAGTATGCAATGATGCTATCTGTATACTTTGTCTTAGGCTAAGCATATAAGAAGGGGAAAGAGAGAATGGGGGAGAAGATAACTTTTCACTCAGCTTTCCAATGTTTTTAAGAAAATCTCCTAAGGGCTAGGTGCTTTCCTTTCCCTCTATCTCAATGGTGCAGGAAGAGGAAGGCCCCTGGTCAGATACAAAAGTTTGTGGCAGTAAAAAGGTAAACTGGACAATCCTCCTAGATGACCAAAAGCTCTCCAAGAAAAACAAACATGGGCACAAGGAAGAAAACCAGGTCTTACTGATCCTGTTATCTTTTACTTTCATAACCTCACTGCCAGAATCTCAGCACTTCTTAGCCTGATTATACGACAGTCAAGTTCCTGACCAAGTCTGAGACACTGCAGCTGATTCAGTGCTGAGGTGTCACCATCAGGGGAAAGAACTCCAGCTATCCCACAATGGTGAGGGAATTGTGTTTCTGACATCCTGATATGGAATTGTAAATAAAATTTCCTACCAAAACACTATAATATCCAATGTATACATTCTATTCCATGCATCAAGCTCACTCCAAATCAAAATCCATTTTAACCCCTAAGGGTTAAATTGGAAACTGTGATGTGTGATGTGTGCTATTATCCATCACAGTTGGGACAGACAGGAGAGAATGTTTCATTTCAACTGTGAGGGTGGGGATGTAACCCTGGGAAAACCTCTTCCAGGTAACATATAGCTTGAGTAGGAGCTTCAGTGAAAATGTATTCAGAAAGGAAAGAACTTTTGGAATATGCCCATTGAAGACAGCATAAACTCCTAGATTTCGCCAGACCCTGATCACCTAAGTGACACATCAGAGATGTGCAGAAGATAGAAGGTTCCTGGCTGGTGAAAGTCTAAAGCTGTCACAAGGAAGGCAAAGTACGCAGACCACCTATTCAAAAAGCCCAGCCTGGGGATAACTAGAAAGGCATATTCAGACCAAGGTATATATAAATGGAGGATATGCCAGGCAAAGGAGAAAGATATGCACAGGAAATGGAAGAATTTGTGCAGAATGTATACTGCAGAGGATTCCTGGGATGGTGTAGGCAGAGGTAGAGTCAAACCTTTATGTGAGCCACTGCAACTCAACCTAAGGCAATCTTGGTTTTTTAAGCTATAAAATGGGGCTAAAAATTCCTTTCTTGCAGGAGTTTTGTCAGGAAGATTAAATAAAATAGCATATGAGAACACACCAAAAATCAGAGTGGGTGCCAAATAGGAGTTCCATGCTTCCTTCACCTTCTCAATAAGCATCACCTAAAATGCATACTAAACAGATCTCTGGTCACCACTCCTGGATGGAAGCACAATTTCCATGGAAGCCATCTGGCAGTCTGCATGGTTAGCAGATGATGCTTATCAGGGAAATGCGGGAAACATGGCATTACTCACGTCTTCTCCCATAAGGTTCCACATGATGTGGAACACAGAAATGTCTCCAACAGAAGAAAACTGCTGTGAAATCCAGTCGTCTGCCACTGAATGAGAACACCTACGATTTACAATTTCACAGGAGACAGACTAATGTTTTTAAATGGTATGTCTCTTAATGGTATTATTCTGTCAATACTGTCTATTCTTGAGCCTCAAAGGTTTTTTATTATTATTATTGATATAGGGCATAAGAACAAACTATCTCCAACAAATCTACTGAAATGTAGTCAAAATTGCAGTCCCATTTTACTGCACCATGTAAACAACATATGGTGCAATCTGGGACTGAGACATTGTGGAACTATAGTAAAAATACAATTCAAGGAAAGCGACATCACAAGGAATGAAGATCTCCCCTCCCAGTCTACATGACCACAAGAACAGCTTAGGAAACCAGACCAATGCAACACTTTCTAGAAAAATTATCTTCTTATAAGCAAAGTTGCCATTATCCAAAGACCCTCTGTGGAATTTGGCCTTACTCAGAGACAATAAACTAAATAACAGTCTAAGGGCATCGTTTTTCGCAGATCTTGGTATGAAAAGCGTTCTTAGTGAAACAAAAAGGAAGCAACATAAACCAACTTGCAAATGTCAAATCGGCATGCTTTCAAACGGAAAATAACCTGGCAGCCTGAGCAGATGTTCCCAAATATTTAACATCTCCCTGTAAATAAAAAGACAGTTTTATGGTCTGCAGCTAGGTGAGGAAGATTGAGGACCGGAAAGTCAAACATTCGGGCTAGCCTAAAAGAGGTGGCCGCTGGAGACCCGAAGAGTTACGAGGTTCAAAGGTCAGCGTGGACACGAGACCACAGACCACGAGGAGCTTTCAGCAGATCTACAGTTTCCTTAACTATCCACCTACTCACAGCACCCAGCTGGTCCTCGTAAGGCAAATGGGACTTACGACTTTAGACTCGGTGTGATTTCTGATACACTAGCAGTCACCACGTTATTTTCATCCCTACCCCCACACACTGTTTTTAAACATTACCTTTCAACAGCAACCTCTTCTCCCCCTCCTGCTCCTCCCCACTGTCCCCGCCAACCCTCGCTACTGAAAAATCCTAAAAGAAGGTGCTTTGGGTTTGTTTTTGGTTTCTGGGCGTCGCTTTTTATAGGTTTTCTTTTAAGCCAAAATAACAGCACACAAGAAAGAGGCTTGAGATTGCCGGGATCTCCGGAGCCGGCGGCCTCAAAATGACAAGTTGCTTCTCCCTTATCTTGAAAATTAACAGCAGCCCAAACACTGCAATTTACTCACCGTCCTCCTTTCTCCTAAACTGCCTCGGAGCTTGTTTTGTTAGGTCTAGTTCCATTGTGGAGGGAAAAAGGGTTTCTCGAAAAACTTTATACGGTAAGAGACCAGAACCTTCCAGACCCCTCAACCCTCCTCGCGTACAGACCCTTTTACAAGAAAACAATAGTGAACGAGGAGCTGGACACTCCTCTTGGCTTCCCAATTGCACAACCTCGCCGGCGATTCGACAAAAGAGGGTCCCAGAGCAGATTCTCTCGGCCCCCACGGCTCCTGGGCTTACCCGCGAGGCTGCGCGTCCCTCCCGCCCTTCACTGGGGCTCCAGGATCCCCGGGTGCCCTCTCGGCGGTGGCTGCGGCGCACGCCGGCTGGCTCGCGGGTCCCAGCGCCCATGGTCCCTTTACGCCTCCGCACGCCACCTCCTTGGTGCTGGCAGGATATGTGGAGGGGCAAACAGCGCTCCGTGTCCCCACCCCCAACCCTGAGCCTCAGAGGCTGCAAAGCCGGAGGGTCGGGGCAGCACAGACCCCAGGCCGCCCGGACCCCGGCCCAGACCGGTCTTCCCGCACCCCCAATTTCCCTCACCCGGGCAGTGCAAACCCGCAGCGAAGCCGGCCGGCAAGAGTGACCCGCCGAGGCCCAGGAGCGACGACCGCAGAGGCGCACCGGGCTCCGAGACCTGAGGGGCCGCTGCTCCAGCCGGCTGCTGCCTCTCTCGCGGCGCCTGCCACATCGGGCCGCAGAAGCCCGAGGCCGGCAGAAACCAAAGGAAGGTGGCGCGGGCCAGGGGCGGCGCGGGCACGATTCCTTCCCCGCGGATCTGGCGGGGGAGCAGAGGAGGGAGCAGCCCTGCCCGGAGTCTCAGGCTCCCGCCAGCCCCAATCCCGGGCGACTGCGCCGAGCGCCTCCGGAGTCGCGGGAAGCTCCTCCTGCTCCGCGGCTGGCGCCAGTTGCACGGTGGCCGCCCCCAAATTCGAGGAGGAAGGTGCAAAGTGGTGGGAGGCTGCGGGTCTCCCGGAGGGTGAGGCGTTGGGGACCAGGCGGGAGCACAGCCGAACCCCTACCTTTCGGGCGGGGCGGACACCAGCCGCGCGCCCTCGCCGGGCGCCGGGACCGGAAAATCACCGCGAAGGGAGGGACGAGGAAAGGCGGCGGGTGGCTTCAGGACAAGGTAGGAGGATCGATTTCCACAGCCAAGAAGACACTCCCATCCCGCCCTGGTTTGTTTGGAAAGCTGCAGGAGCTAAAGTGAGGGGTGGCCGGGTACTCCCCTTCCCCGCCCGGCTGGCAGGCGGCAGAAGTAAACACTGAGGCTTGTGGCGCCGCGGACTGACTGTGACACAAGGCTCAGCAGAAGGTTTGGTCCCTATCAGAAGGGGAGGAGTGTTCAGAGAGCTCCTGAATTCCGGGGCTCTGCCCTTCAAGGGCAAATGTGTTCGTACTTTTTATCTTTTGAAGGAGATAAATTACTTTAGGGAGAACGAAGGTGGAACGTGCTGTTTGCGTTTTCTTTTCTCTCCATAGGCAAAACCCTACGTTATTAATGTCCTCTTACTTGGATGGCTCTGAATACTTTTTAAAGTGTGTTTGTCAAATAATTCCTTGTCTAGAAACATTCAAGTCATAGCTCCAACCTTTGGGCCCTGAGCAGTGTAATCACGTGCCATCAATTGACCCCAGAGAGAAGACCCACGGACTTGGATGTAATTCAAAGTTGGCAATGTGTCACGAACTGGAACAAAGTCCTTCATCTGTGATGGGCTTTCTGGTATTTGTCCTTTTTTTTTTTTTTTTTTTTGAGACAGAATCTTGCTTTGTCACCCAGGCTGGGGTACAGGGGCATGATCTTGGCTCACTGCAACCTCTGCCTCCCAGGCTCAAGCGACTCTCCTGCCTCAGCCTCCCGAGTAGCTGGGATTACAGGCTGGGATTACCACTCCCAGCTAATTTTTGTATTTTTAGTAGAGATGAGGTTTCATTATGTTGGCCAGGCTGGTTTCGAACTCCTGACCTCAAATGATCCGCTCGCCTCCACCTGCCAAAGTGCTCTGGTATTTGTCTTAATTGTAATAACAGCCCTAGGAGGTATCATTTGTTGTTTTCCCAACCTTACTTTAAAAAAAAAATGGCCGGGCGCCGTGGCTCACACCTGTAATCCCAGCACTTTCGAAGGCCGAGGCGGGCGGATCACGAGGTCCGGAGTTCCAGATCAGCCTGACCAACGTGGTGAAGCCCCGTCTCTCCTAAAAATACAAAAATTAGCCGGGCATGGTGGTGCGCGCCTGTAATCTCAGCTACTCAGGAAGCTGGGGCAGAAGAATCGCTTGAACCCAGTGAGCTGAGATGGCGCCACTGCACTCCAGCTTGGGCGACACAGCGAGCCTCTGTCTCAAAACAAACAAACAAACAAACAAACAAACAAAAAACTCAATGGGTTCAGATAATTCATATTCTTTGCCCTTTCTACAGATTGCCTTTGACATAACCCACACAGATTTTGTAATTTTAAACGTGGCTCTTGAGACATCAGGATAGTGAAAGAGTTTTAGGGAATTTGTCTATCTGAACTAATTGGTGTTGAGGTTTACTTTGCTCTTTTAATTTCTCCTGGGTTCTTCACTGACCCCTTGTTCATGATCTTAAAAACTAAAACTGTATTTCACCTCATCCACTCTGGCCTTCTGGACTTCTTGAATCTGCAAAGCAGTGTGCTAAGGAGAGAGGCTATCTGCTGTTCTGAGGTGACGTTTGTATTTCATATTTGGTAGTGGCCAGTAGTGACTACTGTTGACCCCAACCTAGTTCAAAAGCTACCTCTTCTGCTGACCTGCTGTGTGACTTTGGGCAAGTGGCATTACCACAGTGGGCTTCATTTTTTGTCAGGTGTAAAGTGAGATAATACAGCTAGTCTTGAAGGGTGATTAGGATTAAAACAGTCTCTGTTGTAAAGAAGGCTTGGCACAGTGCTTGCCCCCAAAACCATCAATTCAGGAAGTAAAATGTTGACTTTAAAAATAACGCTAAAAATATTAACTACCAGTCATTGCCCACCATGAGTCAGCCACCCACCATGCATTGTATCTGTTCCTCTCACTCACCCTGCAAGCCAGTCATGGTAGAAAGGAAGGAACAGAGTCAGGTGGTCTAGGGCTGTGCTGCCTACATTGGAGCTGTGACTCAAAGGAAAGCACCTGAGGCCAAAATCATTGTTCTTTCTGAGATATCACTGCTATGTAACTCTCTGTGATGGGAGGGGCTTTTGATCAGTGTAACATTAATTTTTAAAAATTCAAGATATATTATTGTATGGGCACATGATTGCTATTATATAAATATTTTATATTCCTGTGGAAACTGACAAAGGCTTAAGTAGGGTGATGGAATTAAAAGTTTTTAGTCCTCTCTGGGTTAGTGTTTTTGGTCATTGTTTTGGAGAAAATACCCTCCCAATATATGTATATTTAATTTGGCCTTTTGGTAGAAGATTTCTTCTAATAAGCTGGGAGGGGAAAAGCCACAAAGAAGGAGAGGACTCTTGGGACATGCAAGGTCTTTCAAAGGCCCCTAAAATTATAATTTTCAGGCAGTGTACATATAGGGCTGGCCCTGTTTTACTAGGTTTGTTTTTTTTATTATGGTGGTGCAGTCTCTTTAAAATAAATGCTATTGTTTCATAGACTGTCGCCTCTGCGCACCAGTGACAGGTAGAGGCCAGGTTCCCCACATTACCATGGGAGGCCATTCAGCACTAAATGTGCAGTCTAGAATAGACCAAAGTATTTCCTCCTCATCCCCATTGTAGGGCCTGCCTTCTAAATTCTCCTGTTCTGTGCCAAGTACAGCCTTTTCTGCCATGACTGATGGCAAGAATGTCTACTCCTTGTAGGAGAGACCTACTCATAAGGGTGTGCTCTCAGCAAGACAATCAGATCAGATCATAGTAAGTGAACCCCAGGACTGGAGATACCTATAAAGTGACATGAGGCCACTTTCTTACAACATCCTCTTAGAATAATTTTTAAAACTTTAAATTTTTTTTTCTTTTACAGTACATGATGTTCAAAAGGTTTCTTTTTAAAAACAGTTTTCAAGGTCGAGTTCAATTTTTTTTTTTTTTAATTTGACACATTGGTCAGAGAACATTGAGTTCAATTTTAAACACCATCTAGCTCATGACTGAGCTTGACCAAGCTAATCGTTTTTACATACAATCCTTCCTCCAACTCAAGGAGAAAATCCTGCCAGTGCAGTCTTCTGGCTGTCTTGGAGTTTTATCTCCTATAAGCAATTATTTAAAGAACATGTGCATCTCAAAAATAATAAGCCACAGTAGGTCGGGCGCGGTGGCTCACGCCTGTAATCCCAGCACTTTGGGAGGCCGAGGTGGTTGGATCATGAGGTCAGGAGTTAGAGACCAGCCTAACCAACACGATGAAACCCCGGCTCTACTAAAAATACAAAAATTAGCTGGGTGTGGTGGCGCACGCCTGTAATCCCAGCTACTCAGGAGGCTGAGGAAGAAGAATTGCTTGAGCCTGGGAGGCAGAGGCTGCAGTGAGCCGAGATCCTGTCACTGCACTCCAGCCTGGGCTACAAGCGAGATTCCATCTCAAAAAAAAAAAAAAAAAAAAAAAAACCCACAGTGCCTAAGCAGTATAAATCCTGACTTACAGCTATGACTGTCCACAGTGTAGAAAATGTATCACATTAGCAAAAAGCAGTTTAGTTGCATTAAGCAGAGTCATACTTCTCCAAAATCTCTATTTCAGACTAGAGTCTCAGCTACATTTTTGCATATGTAAATATCCATTGTGATGATTTTTCCAGTATTGTGATTGTACAGAAAAGGAAGTCAAGTCTACCAGGAAGCTTATTTGCAGCTTCATAAATGATGACATCCTCATATTCTACCAGTTTTGTCAAAGTTTCAGGGGTCTTCATTGCTCAGTCTCTTTTACCACAGGCTGGAAGGTGAGGGGAGGTGGGATGGTGTGACTGGCGATAAGTTCATCCCAAACTCCTGAACATGTAGAACATCTGTACAGTGGAAACCGTAAATAGGGCAACTGACAGAAAATAATTGCAATGTATTTTTTTTAAAGGGAGAATATCCAGAATATGTTAAAAAAAATGCCTATGGATCAGTACCAAAAAAAAACCCTATTTTAAAATAGAACACAAGCCATAAACAAGCAATTCGTACAATAAATACAAGGGCCAGGTGCAGTGGCTCACGCCTGTAATCCCAGCACTTTGGGAGGCTAAGGCGGGCAGATCCCCTGAGGTCAGGAGTTCCAGACCAGCCTGGCCAACATGGCGAAACCCCGTCTCTACTAAAAATACGAAAATTAGCCAGGCATGATGGCGGGCACCTGTAATCCCAGGTACTAGGGAGGCTGAGGCAAGAGAATTGCTTGAACCTGGGAGGCAGGGGTTGCAGTGAGCCGAGATCGTGCCACTGCACTCCAGCCTGGGCGACAAAGTGAGATTCTGCCTCAAAAACAAAAAGAAAAGAAAAGAAAGAACAAATAGTTTACAACCATGTGCAAAAATTTGTGTCCTTTTATAATAATACTACTTTAAAAAAATAATGAGAAATAAGATTGGCTGAAACTAAAAAAAATGAATGCGATACAATTTTGTTAAAAGGTGTCAGAAAACTGTTTATGGAATTGTAAAGTGCTACTTCCTTTTTAGAGAGCAATTTGGTGATTGGTATCAAATTTACAAGGTTGTTTAGGGTTTGAATTTCAAGACCCTAATTAAAGTTCCTTAACTTTTCTCCTTAGAAGACATTTTGGCCTCAAGTCAACAAGCAATGTAGCAATGTAGGGGGTGGAAAAGAGCTCTCTTAGTTGACTCCTAGCTACCTTGGTCAACACGGGAGGAAAACTTCCAATTGCTGAGCGGTTGCCAATACAGACTCAGAGATGGTGGGAGCTCTTCCTGGAGTTGTGTGGGGGCAATCTACAAAATAATGGCAACTTGGGGCAAGGCAGCTTCCTCAGAGCTCTTATTTGATTATGGGAAGGACTAGAAGCCTGAACTACTGTACGAGTTGATGGGCCCCCCTTTCAGGAGAGGAGGGAGGTATCTCACCCCATATGTCTGTGGAGCTTTTCTCCTCATTTCTGCTTCAGAGTCTCAAAACTAATAATTCTGTCAAAGTATTACAAATAGCTTTACTTTAGGTATACACTTAATTCATTAGTTATGCTTAACCTTTTTAGCTTACACCTTTGTCTCGTTTTGGGGGGTTTACAGAGCTGGACTTAAAGCAACTTCATGTGAATGTTTGTAAAAATATTTCCAAATGCTTGATTTTCACAATAAGCACCTATTGACTTTGTAGCTGAAAAAATTTTTTTCAAAACATTTAACACTTAGAAAGTTTTACATGCAATTGCTTAGAGACATCAAATTGACTTTTACTTGTTGGGGAAGGGAGATCAATTATTTTTCTGAGAAGTGACAACAGCTGATATTGTAAAGGGGTGTGTGCGCAATTATCATTAGGATCTTGATAGTTACAGTACTTTGGCTATTTATTCTCATCCTCAGAATTAAAAGAACTCATCTACCCCCAAACTTATGATTCTCTCATCATCATAAGGATACTTAGAGTGGCTTGTCAAGCTGAGACACTAATAGGATACAAATTTCGTGCTGGGGAATACACAAGAAATTGCCACACATGCACACTGGGGGCCCTCTCTCAGCTTTTGATCATTACACCTGGAAGTAAACGGAGTGACACCAAGAGAATAGAAAAAAAAAAAAAAAAAACCTCACATGTGAGTTCATATTTGCTATATCCCTCTAGATGCTAGGAGATTTTCTATAGATTATATTGTTTATTACACACATCAACCCTGAGGGCTATCATTATCCCCATTTTCCAGATGAAGAATTGAAGACTCAGAGAAGTTTCATAATTTGTTCAAGGATCTAGAGCTAATATGTGTCAAAACGGGGACATAGTGCCTTTCTGTTCAAGAAATAAGAAAAATTAATACCTATTATTCTACAATGTGACATTCCAGGAAAACATTTATAGCCATAATAAATTTAATGTGAATCCTGTGAAGCCTTAATTAGCCTTTTGTGAATGAGTATTAAGCTGTCAACTGAAATGGAATTGCAGTCATTTCCAGTTCCCATTGTTTCAGTTCTGGTTCTCAAACACCATGATGTTTTCTTCAGGGATATGTAGAATGTAGATTACTGAAAACTTTCTTCAGGACCACAGGCATCATTCCTCCTAGCTGAGTCAATGATCTCTTTCACTCACTCTTCGGGGATGAATCCAATTTTTAAGGTAACTGTAGTGGCAGAAGCAGTAACTAATGGCATCAGGCTCATAGGAAAAATATGTTTAGCAGCTCCCTAGGAGCATGCAAAACCAGTACTTCAGTTCTTCATTTCTGCTTCTTATGGGGAACTGTTTATTATACTACAGAACATTATGAATACAAGAGAAACAGCATTAATAATTAAAGAGCCATACATACAGGGAACATCTTGCGATGAACTGAATGCGTTCCCCAAAAATTCATACATTGAAATCCTAACCTTTCATTCGTTCCCATGATGGTATTAGGAAGTGGGCCCTTTGGGAGGTAATTAGGTCATGAGGGTGGAGCACTCATGAATGAGAATAATGCCCTTATAAAAAGGGCCCCAAAGATCTCTCTCAAACTCCTTCTATCGTGTGAGGATGCGACAAGAAGATGGCAGTCTGCAGCCTGGAAGAGGATCTTCAGCAGAGCTCAGCCATGATCTCAGACTTCCAGCCTCTGGAACTAAAAAATGAATATCCACAGTTTCCAAGCCACGCAAAATCTATGGTACTTTGCTGTAGTAACACAAACTAAGACTTGTGAACATCTGAAATAGAAGTATAAAGAAAGATTTAAATTGGCGATTTTTTCCCAGTGATTTTGACTACTAATCTGTTTTACTACAGTTTTTGTTTGTTTTTACTATATCTTCTTGTAAACCTTTTAATTTACTTTTTGTACTCAAAAGTGCCATGTTAGCAAAAGTTTTCCAAATCCTGTTCATTAATGGCAGTGACTGTTACTTGTGACGAGTATGTTAACCATATGGTGATATACTGACCATCCAAACAGCTATCTGCAATGCTTCAAAAGTGGTAAATACTGATAACTTCAATCATCATTATAATTTTTTATTATCCCCAAAAATGAAGGGTCTTATGAATCCTTACCTAAGGACTAAAAAAGAACACATATAATTTGTGCTCTTTGGAGAAAGGGAAGGATGTAAGCAGAATTTAATTGTATGTCTCTGCTTATCACATAATAAATTAATGCATTTTAACAAAATCAAATGGGTCCTGGACTTTGGACCCACAATATTTTGTATAAGCGATAAAAGATTTTACTGGCTATAGATTACAAAGTTGAATATTTTGAATCTTCCTGGGCCCTTGATAGTGAAGAGTCCTGCTTACTGACAATGTCTCAGACAAAACTCTAATCCACAGGCTGAAAAACAGTAACACACCAATACTAAAGATTTGGAAGTTGTTCCTAAATTTTACTTAACCCCAGGATTATTCACAGGTTCATTTGAACATCACTTCAGAAAAGGTGCATGTCCCTTCCAGTTCAGTACCGCCTACCTCCAACACTTACTCTGTATCTGAGATCTCTCAAGGATTCATTACCCAACTTCCATTGAGGGACTAGCGAGTCTTCTATTCCTAGCTCTGACTACTTTCTTAAGTCTTAGTCTTGTATCTCCAATTGCCTGCTGAACATTCAGTTTAACATGTGTTTATCAGTTCCCAATGTAAAGCTAAACTCTTTAGGCTTCCAGCTCAGCCAGCCATTTAACTTACATTTTTATTGGTGATAATGCTTTTTCTCCCACTTATGAAACCTCAGTCATCCTGACCTCTCCTTTTTCTCATCTTACTTGAACTTTCCTCCTTCATGTCATTAACATACTTCATATTCAATCATTAAATACATCTTTACTTAGTGCCTACTATTTGCCAGGCACTATAGTTCTAGGTGCTAGGAGTACAGTTTACCAGCAGGAAAATAAAAAGAAATTATTGCTTGCTCTCTCTAGAGGTGCTCGCTCGCTCTCTCTCTCTCTCTCTCCCACCCTCGAGAGAGAGCAAATTTTTTATTTTTATTTTATAAAATTTTTAGAGACAGGGTCTTGCTCTGTCACCCAGGCTCGAGTATAATGAATAACACAATCATAGCTGACTATAGCCTCCAAATCCTGGGCTCAAGTGATCCTTCCACCTCAGCCTCCTGAATAGCTCAGATTACAGGTGCGCACCACCACACCGGCTATTTATTTTTTGTAGAGACAAAGTCTCACTATGTCGCCCAGGCTGCTGCTCCAACTCATGGCTTCAAGTGATCCTCCGCTTGGCCTCCCAATGTAATGGGATCACAGGTGTGAGCCACCATGCCTGGCTGCTTACAGTCTAATATTTAATGGTGTCCAGAAAGAGTCTTCAGAGGTCATCTTGTTGATCGCTTTATCTCTGTTTCACTTGTGCTTCCCCTCCCATAGTGTTCATTCGCATTCCCTGTGGGAGGTCACCTAGAGCTGGGATCTGTGCGATGCTATCCCAGGGATCCACAACTCACCATTCTACTTCTCAGTCTTGGGCTAGTCGCCCAAACTCTTTCTCTCCTTAGGTTTCTTTTCTCTTTCTCTGTAGAATAACCTGCCTCTTCCACCTCGCCACGCTCATTCCCCTAACATGAAGCACAACAGTGGACTCCTGCTTCTCTGACTCAATCAGTCTAAGATTTCTAAACAAAAGAAACACAAGTTGAGTTGTCTTCTGGATATCTGGTGACTTTTAGTTTTTATTCTGTAACCAAAAAATCACTGAGCCAACAGAACACCAAAGCTCTGTTACCTTCTTGAGATGGAGGAGTGATAAATATTTACAGCAGGGATATATGTGGGAACATAAAGAGATTTAAGAGTAATTCCTGTTTAACAGTCATCTATCAACACAAGGCAAAATATGGCCACCCCAAATATATGAAAGCCCTCAACAGACAAGAAGTCAGATGAAGCAGGGGGAAAAAAAAAAAAAGACCGAGCACAGTGGCTCGCGCCTGTAATCCCAGCAATTTGGGAGGCCGAGGCAGGCGGATCACGAGGTCAGGAGTTCAAGACCATCCTGGCCAACAGGGTGAAACCTCATCTCTACTAAAAATACAAAAATTACCTGGGCGTGGTGGCGTGTGCCTGTAATCCAAGCTACTTGGGAGGCTGAGGCAGGAGAATCGCTTGAACCAGGGAGTCGGAGGTTGCAGTGAGCTGAGAGCGCACCACAGCACTCCAGCCTGCCAACAGAGCAAGACTCCATCTCAAAAAAAAAAGAGGGGAGAGGGGATTTTGCATTCATTATCATATCTAATAGCAACAAATCTAGTAGTTAGATATTACTGAGGTAATATGATGAGAGCAGAAACAGTCAAGGACAGAACCAGAGGCAAACCCAGGTCTCCGTGGGTCCAAAGCAAAGACACACAAACTCACCTGACAGAAGCGGGGGATCCAGTGCTCTTTTAGGAACCCTCTCAATTGACTCTGACATAAAAATAAAAATTTTAACTGAGGAGAACAGATATAATTTAATTCTCAACTTTCTGAGGTTTGATGAAATATTGATAACAAGTAACTAATTCATGTCATTACTTTTTTTTTAACTTTAAGACTAAATTTCAAGTTTGTCATTACATTTCCATTTTTTTCCTTGTAAAAATTGTGCTTTTCTTACTATCCTTAAAAAGAAAGATCTGGGAATGGCCTATTAAGTAAACAGCTGTCTGATGCAGCAGCCCAGACCTTACAGTTTTCCCTTCTTTGTAAATGTTATTTCGGAAAAGATTCAGTACTTTAGGAATTGAGTAGCCTTTTCCAAATTGTATCGTGCTGGGAGATGCTAATCTGAGTTCTAAGAACAAAGGATATCTCGCAAACAAGATTGAGTACTAACCTCGCCTCCCACACCCCTGCCTCCAGGCCATATTCAGTACATATTAGCATATTAAAGAACCAGGTAAAAACAGCAAAAAGGAAAGCTGTTTAACTTTCCTTAAATGTTAAACAGATCTAAACAAGCTTGTTTTTGTGTCAAAGACTTTTTTATTCAGTATTCTATCATAATCTCCTATCTCTATCTCCCAAAACAAATTAAAACAACAATAAAAAAACCAATTGCTGTAGATTTGGGTCTGTATATATCCAGTTGGAGGACCAACAGCTGGGATCTTTGATAAAATCAACTGTGACTATAAAGGGTTAAAGATGAAAGTCACTTTATTTCATTAGGAATTTATTTATCAATCTATTAATTTATTTTAGAGACAGGGCTGGAGTCAATGGCACAGTTATTCATTGCAAGCTCAACTCCTGGGCTCAATCCTCCTGTCTCAGCCTCCTGACTATCTAGGACTAAGGGATAATACTACCACACACGGCATATCTATCTATCTGTGTGTCTGTCTGTCTATCTATCTATCTATCTTTACTTATTTATTTATTTTATTTTTTTTTTTGTAGACAGGGAGTCTTGCTATGTTGCTCAAGCTGGCCTTAGATATCTGGCCTCAAGCAATCCTCCCAAGCTGGCTTCACAAAGTACTGGGATTATGGGTGTGAGCCACTGCACCCAGCTCTAGAAATATATTTAGAAGAAAATTGCTTGGCAAACTTGCAGTGACAGGTTTAATATAAAATCATCACTGTATTTTTGAAACCATACATCTATCAGCATTTCCTTTTTTTTTTTTTTTTTTTTTTTTTTTTTTTTTTTTTTTTGACAGAGTCTCGCTCTGTCGCCCAGGTTGGAATGCAGTGGCGTGATCTCGGATCACCGGAACCTCCACCTCCTGGGTTCTAGACATTCTTCTGCCTCAGCCTCCTGAATAGCTGGGATTACAGGTGCATGCCACCATGCCTGGCTAATTTTTGTATTTTTAGTAGAGATGGGGTTTCACCATATTGGCCAAGCTGATCTTGAACTCCTGACTTCAAGTGATCTACCCACCTCGGCCTCCCAAAGTGCTGGGATTACAGGCATTAGTCACCGCAGCCGGCCAGCATTTTCTAATATTTTATTATATAAGTATTTATGTTTTAGTTCATGCATAATAAAATAGATTCTGGTCCAAATCTGGATAAATGTCTGAAATAATTTTCTATTATTTTGTCTGCTGGCTTTTCTCATTTCTATAGAAGCAGCTTGTGCAATGTAAATTCTCTAGCATTAAATACTTTTACAATCAAAGTCTTAGTGCAACAGAAATTCCTTTGGCATCAACCTATGTCTACTTATTTCCAGCACAACTTGATAGTACATCAGAATGTGAACTGAATATTGGAATGATATTTGATATGTGTATCACACCTTCATTAATTTATTGCTTTACATATTTCATGAGAACCTATGTGTCCAGCACAGTGGCATTGTAGGCACTGGACATACACAGTTCTAGATGGAGTTTCTGCCTTGGGAGGTGATATGAGGAAAATAGTCATTGAGACTAAAAATATTTACTGAGATTCATACTTGTCATGCATTGAGCTAGGTTCAGAGAATACAGTGGTGAACAGACAGGTTCCCTATCTTGATGATGCTTGCAGACATTGTTCATTCAAGCTGCTATAACAAAATACCATAAACTGGGTAGCTTGTAAACAAAAAACATTTATTTCTTATAGTTCTGGAAGCCGTTAAGTCCAAGATCAGGGTGCTGGCAGATTTAGTGTCTGGAGAAGGCTTGCTTTCTCATAGATGACAACTTCTTTGTCCTCCCCTGGTGCAAGGGGCCAACCAGCTCTCTGATGCCTCTTTGATAAGGGAATTAATCTCTTATAAGGCTCTTCCTTCATGACCTAATCACCTCCTAACCCCACCTCTTAACACTATTGCATTGAGGACTAGGTACAACATGTTTGGGGGAAACACAAACATTCAGACCATAGCAGATATGTAGACTAATACTATTTCAGCATATTGCAACTATTAGACATAAACAGCATTAATAGAAAAAAGGACACAACCTCCTAGGTACATCAGGAAAGATGGAATTGGTGATGTGCTTTATGCAGAATATAATTGTCTCTTTTTTTCTTAATTTTTCTTTACTAGTATTGCCTTATCTTTGCTTTAAATAAAGCATGCATGTACCCAAGATTTGCCAGAAGAACGATTCTATCTCAGGATTCTCAGCCACTGAGATGTGAAATGGCTTTCCAAAAAAATCTTCAGTGCTCGGACACTCTGATTCATACCACCTAACATAGCTCAAAGCCATAGCATGGATCACTGATGCCTGCCTAGGGTTTCTGATTCTGTAGGATTAAAGTGTGATATGAGACTTTGTACTGTTAACAGGCTCCCAGAAGTTGCTGATGCTGCCAGTCCAGGGGCCACACTTTAAAAATCATAGTTTAAAGGATTAAATATACCAACTTAAAAGTTAAAATAATTATTGGAAGATTGTGAGGCAGATAATATCTCTGTTTCACAGGATGAATAACAAGCCTAGGTTATTTAGAAAATGCAAAGTTATAAGGAGATAGACAAAACTAAATACAGTAATAAATATTTCATGTCCTCAGTGCAACAGTCTATTAACTTGAAGCCCAAAGCCTCCATCTATCACTGATCATCAGAATCCAAAATACTTTGAGGATGAAATGCTTTATTTGACTTGTTATCACTCTCTTTTTTTAATCTCATAGACAGATGTTTTAGAAATTTAGATATTAAAAAGTTGTGACCGCATCTGTGACCAGTATTATAATGCTGGACTTCATGATGCGGCCTCAAGGCCACTGCTTTAATGTAGGTAGGCAAATTCCTTTTTTCTTTCTGCAGCCTCAACCTCCAAGGCTCAAGTGATCCTCCTGCCTCAGCCACCTGAGTAGCTGGGGCTACAGGCATGCGCCACCATGCCCAGCTAATTAAAAAAAAAAAAAAGGTAGAGATGAGGTCTCACTATGTTGCCCAGGCTGTTCTTGAATTCCTGAGCTCAAGCGATCATCCTGCCTCAGCCTTCCAGAGTGCTAGGATTATAGACGTGAGGCACCGTGCCTGATGGCAAACTCCTTTTAAGACAGCATCAGGCTGGGCGCGTTGGCTCATGCCTGTAATGCCTGCACTTTGAGAGGCTGAGGTGGGTGGATCACCTGAGGTCAGGAGTTGGAGACCAGCCTGGCCAACATGATGAAACCTTGTCTCTACAAAAAATACAAAAGATTAGCTAGGAGTGGTGGTGGTGAGCGCCTGTAATCCCAGCTACTCAGGAGGCTGAGGCAGGAGAATTGCTTGAACCTGGGAGGCGGAGGTTGAAGTGAGCCGAGATGGCACCACTGCACTACAACCTGGGTGACAAGAGTGAAACTGGGTCTAAAAAAAAAAAGACAGCATCAGTGAGAGCAAACAACAGGGACAATGATGGTGGTAACAGTCCAGAGGAATTTGGCAACATGAAGAGACAGATGCCAACTAAGTGACTTGAAATGAGAAAAGCAAAATGAACATGGAGAGAATTTATATTTTCAGAAGAATCTATTTGAGGTCTGAAAATTCAGTGTACCCAGTATCAAGAGGACTATACTCATAAACAGAGTTATAAATAGAAACATCATAACCAAGTCAAAAAAGAAAGTATCTATACTGTATTTTCCTTCTGCTGCTGCTGTAACAAAGTATCACAAACTCAGTGGTTTAAAACAACACAAATTAATTTTTCTTTTAGTCCTGGAGGTCAGATGTCTGAAATCAACGTGTCAGAAAGGCTATGTTCCCTTCTGGAGGCCCTTGGGGGCAATTTTTTCCCTGCCTTCTTCAGCTTCTAAAGGCTACCTGCATCCCTTGGCTCTTGACCCCTTTGTCCACCTTCAAGGTCGGCAGCACGGTGTCTTTAGAGAAAGAGTTCTCTGACTGCAGGCCCTGCTTCCCTCATCAGATCTCCTTCTCTGACTGTCTGTCCTGCTTCCTTTTTGTCATCAGATCTCCTTTTCTGACTGTCTGTCCTGCTTCCTTTTTCTCAGGACTTTGTGATTACATTGGGCCCATCCAGATCATCCAGGATCATCTTCCCATCTCAAGATTCTTCACTTAATCACATCTGCAAAATTCCTTTTGCTGTGTAAGGTGACGTATTCACAGTTTCTGGGTATTAGGATGTAGACATCTTTGTGGGTGGAGGGAGGAATTATTTTTCTACATATGCTATTTATTTTGTTCTATCAAAAAACTCTTGAGGGTGCCGAGCATGGTGGCTCACGTCTATAATCCTAGCACTTTGGAAGGCCGAGGTGGGCGGATCATTTGAGGTCAGTAGTTCGAGACCAGCTTGTCCAACATGGTGAGACCCCAGTCTCTACTAAAAATACAAAAATTAGTGGGGTGTGGTGGTGCGTGCCTGTAATCCCAGCTACTCGGGAGGCTGAGGTAGGAGAATCACTTGAATCCAGGAGGCAGAGGTTGCAGTGAGCTGATATCATGCTACTGCACTCTGGCCTGGGCAACAGAGCGAGACTCCATCTCAAAAAAAAAAAAAAAAAAAGAAACCAACAAAAAACTTGGGGTAGTGTTTTCTGGGCATATTTTCAGGAGGACATTGATTAATGGTGTTATATGGAAGAGTATAGAGAATAACCATGAATCATTCATTCACTTGACAAACATTCATGAAGCATTCCCTATGCACCAGACATACTGATACACAGAGCCAGACTTAGGGCAAGGATAACTCTGGGGATATGGGTAAGAACATGCTGAAGCTGTACAGTGTGGTACTAATGAGCCAGGACTCTGGAGTCTTATGATTTGGCTTTGAATCTTGGCCCCACGATTTATAAACCTTATGACCTAAGCAAATTACTCATCTGTGTTTACCTCAATTTTGTCACTTATGAAGCTAAGAAAATTAATATCTGTACCATAGGGTTCTAGTGAAGACTAAATAAGGTTATTGATAACGTTTTTGGCACACTGACTGGCATAAAGAGTTCAAGAAGTGTGGGCATGGAGGAGGAACTAGAGAGGACTACAAACAGAACATGGAGTACTTACTGCCATAGGGACTTTGGAAAGGCTTTCCAGAGCTAAGCCTTGAAAGCTGAGTTTCATGTCATCAGTTGGGAGTTGAAGAGATGAGGGTTATGCCAGGAGCAGACATAGTGATGAATTTGGAAACCATGAGGAAGGGCTGAGGAGATTGGGAGGAAAAGGGCTGGGGGTCAAGGAGGACCAATATTTAAATATTGTGCTTCAGCCAGGCACCATGGCTCACACCTGTAATCCCAACACTTTGGGAGGCCTAGGCTGGTGGATCTCTTGAGGCCAGGAGTTTGAGACCAGCCTGGCCAACATAGCGAAACCCTGTCTCTACAAAAAATACATAAATTAGGCCAGGCGCGGTGGCTCACGCCTGTAATCCCAGCACTTTGGGAGGCTGAGGTGGGCAGATCATGAGGTCAAGAGATCAAGACCATCCTGGCTAACTTGGTGAAACCCCACCTCTACTAAAAATACAAAAAAGTAGCTGGGCGTGGTGGCGGGCGCCTGTAGTCCCAGCCACTCGGGAGGCTGAGGCAGGAGAATGGCCTGAACCCCGGAGGCAGAGGTTGCGATGAGCTGAGATCACGCCACTGCACTCCAGCCTGGGTGACAGAGACTCCGTCTCATAAAATAAATAAATAAATAAATAAATAAATAAATAAATAAATAAATAAATGAATAAATAACCAAAAAAAACATAAACTAGCTGGGCGTGGTGGCATGCACCTGTTGTCCCAGCTAACAGGAGGCTCAGGCATGAGAATTGCTTGAACCCTGGAGATGGAGGTTGCAGTGAGCCAAGATCCCGCCACTGCACTCCAGCCTGGGCAACATAGCAAGACCCTATCTCAAAATATCTATATATCTATATCTTTTGATAGATATAGATATATAGTGCTTGGATATTGACACAGTAATGAGAAATTAGACTTATTTTACTTCTATACAGAAAAATACCCAAGCCTAAGTGGAAATGACAGAAATAACTTTTATCTCCATATTTGAAAGAAATTGTGATTAATAAGGATTTCCTTAATTTTTTGAGGACAATATAAACCCTTCTCTGTGCACCACTCACTGTCAAAACACACTGCCTTCTTTGTGGGGTATCTACTTTATGTCCATTTTCCTCTTCACTTGTGTTAATAGGAGCCCAAGTATTTTCATGATCAGTGGGCCGTAAACTTTAAAGGAGGCTGGGCTTTTCTCCCGCCCCAAGGGTGTAAATCAGGATTGGTTTGAGCCAATCATGACAACCATTGCCTTTGTCATTGGTTAAGACAATGGACATTGGTTACGATGGACGTGTGGCACAATTCTTGCTGATGACATAGGGGAGGAAAGGCTTTGGAAAAGTTTTTCTTATCTCTTAAAAAGATAAATGAAGCTGAGTGCAGTGGCTCACACCTATAATCCCAGCACTTTGTGAGGCTGAGCCTGGAAGAGCACTTGAGCCCAGGTGTCTGAGACCAGCCTGGGCAACATGACGAAACCGCATCTCTACAAAAAATACAAAAATTAGCCAGGCATGTTGACATGCGTCTGTAGTCCCAGCCACTTGGGAGGCTGAGATGGGAGGATCACCTGAGCCTGGGAGGTTGAGGCTACAGTGAGCCGAGATTGCACCACTGCATTCCAGCCTGGGCAACACAGGCCGTGTCTCAAAAATAAAAAAATAAAAATAAAAATAAATAAATGAGGGATGTGGCTGCACTCTCTTCTCTTCCAGCTGTGAGATATCGGTGGGCGAGGATGTGATGCCTGAAGATGTGGCATCTACCTTGAAACAGTCAAGGACCTGAGGATGAAGCCAGCATCTGAGGAAGACAGACAGAAAGGATCTGGATACATCATGAGGTAAATGAGCTGCTAAATTATCCAAACCTGGAATAATAATAAAATATGTCATTTAGTATATTTACAGGTAGTATATTCAAGTACATTCAATGTTAAAGTCAATCATGATATTCTTCCCCTTCTTACAGCCTGAAAAGTATCTTGCATACACAACTGGCAGCACAGAATCCTGACAAACCTCTCATCAGAAATCAACCACAGACTCTTTATGCTCTTACCAAAATGCTGGCTTTGAGAACTAATTATGAATGAAAATTACTGATGTGATTTTCAGGTGAGAGACCCTATTAGACAAAATTTTGGATTCATTTTTTTCTCTTGAGTAAAACATGGGGAAAAAATCTTTCTCAATTTTATCTTTGAATCAAACTATATCATGAAAGGGCTATGTTTTTATCCCTTACAATTAATACCATGAAGGGTCCAGCAATAGAATACATCACCTGTATTAACTATATAACTATCTTTCAGAATTAATTCCTGCATAGGTAAATGAGTAATTCTCTAATTCCTACAATTTCTACAACTCTAAGATTCTGTGATATCAAAATTTTCAAGTATTATACTAAACTCTCAATATATATTGATAAGCTGGTTCTTTTGCTATTGCAAAAATTCAACTAAGAGATAGGAAAATGGGTCAATGGCAACAACAAATTAATGGAGACTGCAGCAAAAGATTATTTAACATACTTTCTTCCCTTTTATGGAAAAGAGAGCTGTTCTCCTTTTTGAACCATATTCCCCTAAATACCCTCACAATCTTCTTAGGCCTCTCACTCCTTCATTTTCTTTTCTAGCCCCTTCATCTCATCCTTATTTTGAATTCAGATGAGTTAATACAGTTTGATGGCCTAGTTCAGATTCTAGAAAGGGACAGCTATTCAGAGATGATAGTGACATGCTTTTCTCTTCTCACATTGCTTCTCTTTAAAGAATTTACAGGACTTCTGCCTACATTTACATCTGAAAACAATAGTTTCATTTGGTGTCACATCCTTGCCCAAATTTATTGAGAATATTGGTAAAGGACAACATATTTACAAGGATTTCTTTATTAAAAACTGGGGAGATTGGCAAGTGACACTGTCACTAAATAAATAAAAATAAAAACTGAGAAAAGCAATAACATTTGATTTGTCATTTCCCAGTCTAGGGAAGAATATCAAGTTAAACTTTATGAAGTCCAAGACAATGGGAAAAGAAGAGGTGTTCCTGTCCAGGCCCTCTTCCAGTTAGAAGGTGATGGTTTCCAGAAGTCTGCACCTGTATTTCAATTACCTATAATGGAGTTTATAGGACTAAACTATATTCACTATATTTTCTTATTTTTGTGTGTGTGTTTGATGTGCTGGCAACTGGGGACTTGGTAACTGGGGAGGGATAGCTCTTCTCAGGAAGAGCTAATTCTTAGAGATACAGGGAGCATGCTTTTCATATGCAAACTACTCAAACTGGAGTCCACACTTCCCCAACCTCCTCTATAGGACTCTTACTCTCCTGCCCGATATTCCCCTGCTCTAATCATCTTGGGGCCAGGTACCAGGCAACTCAGGACGGCCACTACACCTCCAGAGCCCACTGACATTATTAAAACTAGACAATTCTAAGCTGCTTGCCCTACCTTGACCTTATTCCTTTTGTTGCAAAACGCAATAAAGGGTCTTGCCACATTTTCCTTCTGCTCCCTCTGCCTCCGGACTGACCCTGGTGCTTTCCTTTGTGGGCCTTCGTGGCTTACCTCGTGTTTCTAGGAACCTGCAAGTGTAAAAACTTCTTTCTTCATGACAGTCATTTCCATGACTGCTGCCTTACTATACCTGATTTAAACAAATCCTGAGCACATTTTAAAACATAAATTCAACAGCTGGACCTGCTATGCAGAGCAATTCAGGCGGAGGGAATGGCTCATGCACACTCTCCAAGTACTGTTAGGTATGAGTTCTAAATTTCTCTTCAAAGAATCAATATGTCAGTATGTTCAGTTCTTTGCCTTCTACTGTTAAACTTAACTTCCTCGTAAAGCAACCTTTTTCCATTACCTGCTCCACCCTGACTCATTCTGATTACCTGCTCATTCTCCACCCTGGCTTACTCTGATTTCCTGCTCTGCCCTGTAACCATTTTTCCCGCCAAACCACTCACCCTGTCACTCTCTTTAAATTAGCCAATTGGAATTAGTTTAGCCTGTGCAGTCTAACCCAAGCCAATAGGGGAACCATACAGCAGCAGGGACCACGTGCCTCAGGGATAAGAACCCCTTCCCCTCCCTTGTCCAAGTGTGCGCTCACGATTGCTCCATCTGTAAGGGTGCACCCTTCTATAGAAGTACGTTGTCTTGCTGAGAATTAAAAAGAAAATTTTATATTCGAGCGCTATTTCTTTTGCGGCACTGAAACTTTATTTATAATAGTATGAATGAGCCTGGCATGTGCAGGGAAGAACCAGCAGATCGGTCTGGCTGGAGCATATCATACGAGGGGAGCGTAATGGGCAAGGAAGCCAAAGAGGAGGTAGGAGCTAGATCGTTCATCACGCAGGGCCTCGAAGGCAAGGGTAAGGAATTGGGATTTGATTCTAAATGCGAAAGGAAGTAAATAAAATATTTTACGCAAGGAGTGATTGAATCTGACATATTTTTTAAAAAATCACTCTGAGGTCTACTTGGAGAAAGAATTACAATGATGCAAGAGTGGAAGCAGAAAAGCCAGTCTGGAGACTACTGCAGGACCTGAGGCAAGAGATGACAATGGCTTGGACCATGCTGGCGGCTGTGGATATGGAGCCCAGTGCCATCTAAATTTATCCTAAAGAATGCAGAAAATCAAAGACTAGTCTCATATGAGACAAACTCAAGCCCCAGCAGAATAACAAGTGGGACCCTGAGGAGTATAAATAATGCCAGATCATTTCTTTCTTTGATAGAATGATGAGTCACCTTAATCAGGGGAAGAAGAGTTTCTGGTAAAAAATCTTGAGTCACGCACTTTTTTTTTTTTTAACGTCTCAAGGTAGAATTGTCTAATGCTTAGGTGGTCCACATCTTACAGGTTATCTAGTTTGGTTCCCATATTTCATGAGTAAGAAAAATGAAGTGAACTCATCGTGGTGAGGGTCTTGCCCAAATTAAACCTCTGGAGAGTAGATTCTTTAATGCTCAAGAGGCTTTTTGCAAGGAAAGAACATACTCTTTGGGCATTGTTCAATGCTCAATTTATTAGTCTAATATTCTATTCCCAGTAAAATGCTCAAATTCAGGAAGGATTCCAAAAAATCAGTTCGGGACGGGTGCGGTGGCTCACGCCTGTAATCCCAGCACTTTGGAAGGCCAAGGCTGGCGGATCACAAGGTCAGGAGATCAAGACCATCCTGGCTAACACGGTGAAACCCCATCTCTACTAAAAATACAAAAAATTAGCCAGGCGTGGCAGCGTGTGCCTGTAGTCCCAGCTGTTGGGGAGGCTGAGGCAGGAGAATGGTGTGAACCTGGGAGGTGGAGCTTGCGGTGAGCTGAGATTGCCCTACTGCACTCCAGCCTAGGAGACAGAGCAAGACTCCATCTCAAAAAATAAAATAAAAAATCAGTTCAATGTTTTTTCTGTTCTTTTTTGTGCTTCTGTTTTTTAACCTCTTCGAGGTAAGACTGGATAATGATACCCATCCAACATATTTTCAATATGTTTTGGAAAACAAAGATATTGATAAGCAGGTACTATGCAGAGTGCCAGATTAAAACCTTTAGAGACTCAAAGTTCAAAAATGTTATAGAGTCCATACTCAATATGTAATTCTATATAAAAATAATACTAGTCCATAATGTAAGTGGGAGACCAGCAAGATCCTGATAATTTTCAAATGACTTTTTCTGTAGTTTAAAAATAACCACTTTTTAACTTAAAAAAAGTTCTTTTGATGCCTCTGTTTTTGGTGTCCTAAGAATGTATTTAAGCTGCATTTGGGTAATCCAGTTGCAGTTGAGCATCTGCTGTGCTTTACACTAGATGAGGAAATGGGATATGACAGAGAATGACTGGAGGGCTTCTTGATTGCGTTATCAGAACAGACTTCTCTGAGGAGGGAACTTTCAAGTTGAGGTCTAAATGATGAGGAGAACCCAGCTACGTAAAGATTAATGGAATGAGCAACCCAGGAAAAAGAAAGAAAGAAGAAACAGGATCCTGGACATCAAGTAGCTCCCCATCTAGTCAGGGAGACAGACATAAAAAGAGCTCATTTTGGCCGCGCATGGTGGCTCACACCTTTAATCCCAACACTTTAGGAGGCTGAGGTGGGTGGATTGCTTGAGGTCAAGTGTTCGACACCAGCCTGACCAACATGGTGAAACCCTGTCTCTGCTAAAAATACAAAAATTAGCCGGGCATGGTGGCAGACGCCTGTAGTTCCAGCTTTTTGGGAGGCTGAGGCACGAGAATCACTTGAACCTGGAGGCAGGGATTGCAGTGGGCAGAGATCGTGCCACTGCACTCCAGCCTGGGCAACAGAGAGACTCTGTCTAAAAAAAAAAAAAAAAGGAAAAAGAGAGCTGATTTTAACACAATGCGGTTCCTGCTGCACCAGGCATGAGAACAGGAATCCAGTGGAAGGAGTGATTAATTAGAACTAAGAATTGAGAAAGGGCTGTGCCAAGCAGAATATACAAAATTATAGAGTAGCATTGTAAAGATTTAAACTCTTGCTTCAACAGAGACATTTGTTAAAAAACAGATTACTGGGCTTCACTCCACATTTACTCAGTCAGAATCTCTGAGTTGGCTGCCTAGAAATCTATGTTTTTGACCAAGCACCCTTCTGATGTGAAGACTTTTTGTGATCCTCTGATTTATGGAATAGGTTTTGAAGTTAGGTGACTCGGACATAGGACCTACATCTCACTTTCATCACCTGTGAAATGAGGATAATAATACAATCTTCCTCATTGGGTAACTTTGAGGATTAAACGAGGTTGTATTTATAAAGTGTTATCTATTATGGCTATTATGTGAAACGTATAGCTTTGATCATAGCCGAGTGAAGAACTGAACAAGCTGTCTCTGAGCTCACTTAACATATCTCAGAATCTTACTTACAGGTGAAATGATAGTGGCAAGGTCACAGCCATTGGGATAAACTAAGGAGACTAGAAAAGCAACATTCAGGGTTGGGGAGGAAGCCAGTTTCTACTGGAGCAGGAGAAGAGTGCACAGCTGTTGTGTCAAAGGTTTGCAGAAAACAGCTGGCTTTTCCTCTTTCTTGTTTTTTGTTTTGTTTTGTTTTCTTTTTTTCTTTTTTACTTCCTCCTTTAATTAAAGTACAAATTATTTAAAGACTTCCTTCCCCACACCTGAGCCTAGCCTTGGCTAAGTCAAAAGAGAGTTATCTCCTTAAGAAAGGGAAGCCCCTAGGGAAGTGAGGAAGTTAGCTGGGCCAAGTTTGGCCGAGGAGAGTCAGGACTAGGAAATACCAGATTGATTAAAACCCTTTCTACAGTCCACAGGGCCTGAAAATTGCTTCCAGCAACTGACAAGTTCATCCCCTTCCAACTGGTCTGACAAGCCCTGAGGAAGGAGGAAGACAGTGATATCCACCCCCCGCTGCCCCTACCTCCTTAACTGTAAAATTGTCCATCTCATCTTGAACTATCCAGAAACCAACATGGGACTACACAAAACCACTACTTGAAGTCAGCACCAAAAGAGTTGTCTGTGGAAAATGGTTGACCAGGGTCAACGTTATTTATAGATGTGCAACAAACTGCCTACCTTCTAGTCTTCAATTATCTGCATATGTATAGGAGATGTTGGAAATTTGTTTTTGGACTGATTCTTTGAAGCCTTACCTCCTTGCATAGTCCTGATAGAATAACAAATTAGGTTCCCAATATTGAGTGAGAAGAGTGGGTTTCAGGAGTCATTCACACACTGCATTCTGCCTTCCAGAGGCAGTGGGAGGCAAGAATAAGAGAAGTATCATGGGCTTTGGGGTTAGCCAGGACTACACCCAAATTTCTGCTGGCCTTGGTACTAGCTGGGTCCTAGAGTATGACACGTTCCCTGTTAAGTGTTTTTGTTTGTTTGTTTGTTCTTTTTTTTTTTTTTTTGTCTGATCTGGTAGCCTGCAGTAAATTGTTATTTCCTTGGCCTTAGGATTTATAGCCTGTGACCAGTTACCAGATTATCTCACCACTGAAGGCCTAGATAGTACTGTGTATAATGAAAGCAAGTAAGGTTATTAACACTTGAAGCTTTTTAACCATAGTATTTCTCAGTTCAAAGCAAAGAAACCCATCCACCTATTTATTTTTGCATGACTAGTATAGATATCTATAATATTGAGAGGACGTTCCAGCTTGGCTTCCTGGGTCAAGTAGGGGCTCAGAAAGCTGTGAAACTCACTCATTTCCTGCATCAGGACTTATTTCGGTCCTGGATGAATAATATTGAAGATATATGCTTAAAATATTCCTAACACCAGGATTTGTGCATGTGTTTTCTTCCCCAAGAAACCTATAAACAGCAAAAATTTTGCTGTAAGTTTCCCTGTGTCCTCTCTCCCTCTCTCTCTTCCCCCTCCCCTAAAACTAAAAGGAACGTTAAATGCCCATTTTCTGCTGGACCTTATCTATGCTCCTAATTCCAATTCCTTGTAAACATGCTTTGTAAAGTCCTGTGAGATCCTGTCTCCTTTGCCATGCCGCTGCAAGGTCATAAAGTAGATAAAACCTAAGTTGCAATTCCAGTTTTCCTCAAAATCTAAAACATGTCACAAAATAATTTACTGCCTTTGTTTCTGCTCTGGCAACATCTTCCCTCTGCAGGCACGTATTTCCCGCTTTAAAGAGTTTAAAAGGCAATTGCATAATCTAACTCTGGCTACCCGCTGGGGACCCCTTCCACACTGTGGAAGCTTTGTACTGTCACTCTGCTCAATAAAGCCTACAGCTTTTTTTCTCTTGGTCCGTGTCTCCATCACTCTCCGCGGGCAGCCGCCACACTAATTCTTTGGCGTGGCTAAGGCAAGAACCTTTGGCATTACAATATGTGCTACCATATTTTGTTTGTTTCTTTGTTTAGTAATTTTTTCTTTTTTTACTTTTTATTTTTTATACGATTTTTTTTCTTTTTTTAGAGATGGGGTTCTGTTGCCCAGGCTGGTCTCGAATTCCTGGACTCAAGGGATTGCTCCCACCTCAGCCACCCAAAGTGCTGGGATTACAGGCATGAGCCACCATGCCTAGCCCCATGTGTTTTTTAATGATAAGAAAAATATAAGTTTTATTATTTAATCAGTGTTTAATGGCTGGTTCTGAAAATATGATATTACTTATATTTTGCAGGTTGATTCTGTTATACAAGTACAGAATAACTGCAGTACAAAACAGCAATCAAGTCTGAACAGGAAATCTCTGGACAAAGAGAAAAATACTATCATTGAAATAAGGGACAAGGGATTATGGCAATATTAAATAATGGCACTGATTAGTGAAATGATTCTAGGGGGAAGTGTCAAAAGATTTTCTAAAGAACATGTACTGAGCAGATGATCGCTGACTGCATAATTGCCCTTTCTGGGTAGGTGTGTAAGACACACACACGCACACACACGTTTGGGAGAATTGTGACCATCGGGTTCCATAGTAACAAGATAAGTTATAATAGCCACCTTTCATTGAGCACCTACAATATGTCACAAACTGTGATAGGGACTTTATGTATTTCAATACACTATCTGTTATCTATTTTCCTTTTTTTTTGGAGACGGAGTTTCACTCTTGTTGCCCAGGCTGGAGTGTGATCTCGGCTGGTGCTATCTCGGCTCATGGCAACTTCTACTTCCCGGGTTCAAGTGATACTCCTGTCTCAGCCTCCCGAGTAGCTGGGATTACAGGCATGCACTACCACGCCTGGCTAATTTTGTATTTTTAGTAGAGACGGGGTTTCTCCTTGTTGGTCAGGCTGGTCTCAAACTCCCGACCTCAGGTGATCTGCCAGCCTCGGCCTCCTGAAGTCCTGGGATTACAGGCGTGATCCATCTCACCCGGCCTTGTTACCTATTTTCTATTGGTAACTGAGGTAAAACCTATTGGAGGCTTAGCAGTAGGTTCATGTGTTCATACATTTTGGGGAATGTAAGAGAGTATCAGGGCAATTGATTATTGCCTTTGTGGGTTGAAAGCAGCAACACAGGAATAGATTGCTGATATGAAGAGTGAGATGACCTGTAGAGTAAGCAATCTAACCATTAACATCAACTCAACTTGGGCAATAAAATTTGATATTTTACTTATGGGACAAATATTTATTGAGTGTCCAGTTTGTGTCAGGTACTAAATACGTAAGCTTTACTAATCCCACTTCTAGAAGAATGATTTCTTTTTCTTTTTGAAATAACACTTCAGCAGAGCACCACATTGTTTCAGACTTAAGTTTCCTTTTCCATTTTGTCGACACCAACAGTGTTCTTATAATATTAACTCACCAACATTTAGTCTATAATATGATTGCCAGGGATGTGGCAATATGTCCTTGGGAGCTTCAAGCCATATATATCTGGTCCATCTTTTGGAAAGTTCATGACATAGATGGGCAAGGATACAATTTATACTCAGGAGATGCAGCCACCCTAACAGAGTTACAAATGAATGTTAAATGACATAAACTATGCGTAGTGCAAGCACGGAAGCATCTCTTTGGTCTGAGGGATATTTGCAGGGACCTTGAATAGGCAGAGAGAGGGGGACATGTGGTCTAAGCCTCTGAGTTGGGAGAGGACAATGATGGGCATGGGGGAGAATGTATATGCTGTTTGACTTGAGAGGATGACATGTAGGCATTATGGTAGTCTTTTTCTTGACATCTGATACACAATCACTTCTTTCTTTTCTCCATGAAATCTAGCCACAAAGATGAGTTGCTCAAATGTCAAGGTCTACCCCTCTTTAAAGCCTCCATGATTTGCACTCTCTGCAGCCTTGGCCAGGATTGTCCTTATCTTGCCCTGTCGCTGATGGGTTATTTACTACTCATCTTTCAAGGGCCGGGTAGAATTTTACCTATTCTGAGACACCTTCAAGCAGAATGAGTCTTTCCTTTGCTGTGCTCCCATGACACAATGCTCATCTTCAATAAATAATTATATTTTTTGTACCTTCAGTGTATCATGTTCATCTTTGCATCCCCAGTTTCCTCAAGAATCCTGGCATGAAAGAATATGCTTGTTGAGTGAATAAATTGGCTGATTCTAATGTTCATAAGGCAAAGTTCACCTGTCCTAATTGCTGATTCAATTCCAATTTGACAGTGTCTTACAGATTCTGGGTAAATTGGGATACTTCCCTTTGTCCTAACATTGGAAAACCTTGGAGAAAAGTATTGTTATTTTCTACATCAAGTACTTTATCTGAGACATGGGCAGCTAAATAAAAAATTGACACCTATTTCCTGCTTTTTGCTGATGTTCTTTTAGCATTCTATTTATATGCTAACACTACCATTTTAGACCCTTGAAAATCATTTTTTTAGCATCACTCTATATATGGTATGATTTAAGGACAGATAGGGAGGCTGTGTCCTCAATCCTCATTCTATACATTTTTTCTGATGTCTATTAGTCCATTATTAATGATACATTCTTTAGGTCAGGATTTCTCAACCTTGGCACTATTGACACTTTGGGCTAGATCTTTGTTATGAAGGGCTGTCCCGTGCATTGTAGGATGTTTAGCAGCATTCTTGCCCTGTAGCAATTGACCCACTAGATGCCAGTAGTGCCTTCCTTCTGGTTGTCACAACCAAAAATATCTCCAGACATTGCTAAATATCCCCTGGAGGATGGAATCATCTCCAGCCAAGAACTTCTTTTTTAGAGAAAAGAGTTTCTCCCTTATAGACACACATGCACTTAAATTTCATTCTTCTTTGAGCCCTTTCTCTTTCCTTTCACTTCTTCCTCTTCCTCCACCTCCTTCTTTTCCATTAAATTTCCCCCGAGACTGTCTCTTTTTCTGAGTACTATATTTGTCTTCTCTTGCAAGCAGGAGAAAGAGAAATTCAGATTCTAGAATTAGAATCCCAAGAAC